>NC_000023.11:39785837-42285837 GCF_000001405.40 Homo sapiens
TTCTTAGAGTTACCAGTGAGGTGTGGAAACGAAGGTTTGACATTCAATGAAGCTGGGGTAGGAGTCTCCTCCTATGAGGATGAGCTGATTCAGAGCCAGTCTCCAACTAGAAGGCCCCCTACCCCTGCTCAGAGAGTTGCCGGGGAGCCCCCAGGGGCTGGGTAACTTTGTGGCAATGGAGTGATGGAGGTGCCCCCGTGGTTCCAAGCCATCAAGCAGGGTTACAATAATCTCTACTGGGGAATTTTTCTTCTAATTTGAGACAATGATAACTAAACACCCACCTAAATCATTTTTTAAAAGTCATTAATCTCTGATCGTGTGACTTCCTAATGAATTCTCCAAGCTCAACTAGTATAAAATGTGTTCCAAGGTGACCCAGGTGATTAGCTGCTGGGGTTATAAGCCAAGCACCAGGTATAAATGGGGAATCTCTACCACCAACAATGGCTTCCAATCCAAAACAACTAAACGGTAGTTCTCCTTTCTGCCAATAATTAGATGGAAGTTGTTTATTAAAGCCATTGCTGGATGTCATTACTGATAATAACAATGGCTAGTATTTATTAAGCATGTATTACATGCCAGGCACTATATTTTCTTATGTGATCTTCAGAACAGTGCTCTGACTGGGCAGCTGACTAGCCCATCATTCCCATTTTTTTTTATCTTTTTTTTTCTTTTTAAGAGATCAGGGTCTCACTGTGTTGCCCAGGCTGGAGCACAGTGAGTATTCACAGGCAAGATCCCACTACTGATCAGCACGGGAGTTTTGACCTGCTCCGTTTCCAACCTGGGCCAGTTCACCCTTTCTTAGGCAACCTCGTGGTCCCCCGCCCCTGGGAGGTCACCATATAGATGCTGAACTTAGTGTGGACACTTGATCAGCATAGCGTGCTACAGCCCAGAAGTCCTTGGCTCAAGTGATCCTCCCACCTCAGCCTCCGGAGTAGCCAGGACCACAGGCATGCACCACTATGCCTGACCCATCATTGCCATTTTACAGATGGGCAATTCTAGGTTTAGAGAGGTAAAGTAATTTTCACAAAGTCAAAATGTAAGCCAAGATTTTTCTCTCTCTTTTTTTTTTTTTTGGCTGAGCACAGGGTACTTTATTGATGGTATATGACAAGGTGGGGCTCCCTAGGCCCCTCCCCTCTTCAAGGGGTCTACATGGAAACTGTGAGGAGGGGAGATTCAGTGTGGTGGGGGACTGAGTGTGGCAGGGACTCCCCAGCAGTGAGGGTCTCTCTCTTCCTCTTGTGCTCTTACTGGGGCTGGTGGTCCAGGGGTCTTACTCCTTGGAGGCCATGTGGGCCATGAGGTCCACCATCCTGTTGCTGTAGCCAAATTCATTGTCATACCAGGAAATGAGCTTGAAAAAGTGGTTGTTGAGGGCAATGACAGCCCCAGCATTGAAGGTGGAAGAGTGGGTGTTGCTGTTGAAGTCGGAGGAGACCACCTGGTGCTCAGTGTAGCCCAGGATGCCCTTGAGGGGGCCCTCCGATGCCTGCTTCACCACCTTCTTGGTGTCATCATATTTGGCAGGTTTTTCCAGACGGCAGGTCAGGTCCACCACTGACACGGCAGTGGGGACACAGAAGGCCATGCCAGTGAGCTTCCCGTTCAGCTCAGGGATGACCTTGCCCATAGCCTTCGCAGTGCCAGTAGAGGCAGGGATGATGTTCTGGAGAGCCCCGTGGCCATCACGCCACAGTTTCCCGGAGGGGCCATCCACAGTCTTCTGGGTGGCAGTGATGGCGTGGACTATGGTCATGAGTCCTTCCACGATACCAAAGTTGTCATGGATGACCTTGGCCAGGGGTGCTAAGCAGTTGGTGGTGCAGAAGGCACTGCCGACAATCTTGAGGTTGTTGTCATACTTCTCATGGTTCACACCCATGACAAACATTGGGGCATCAGCAGAGGGGGCAGAGATGATGACCCTTTTGGCTCCCCCCTGCAAATGAGGCCCAGCCTTCTACATGGTGGTGAAGACGCCAGTGGACTCCATGACGTACTCAGCGCCAGCATCGCCCCACTTGATTTTGGAGGGATCTCGCTCCTGGAAGATGGTGATGGGATTTCCATTGATGACAAGCTTCCCATTCTCAGCCTTGACGGTGCCATGGAATTTGCTATGGGTGGAGTCATATTGGAACATGTAAACCATGTAGTTCAGGTCAATGAAGGGGTCATTGATGGCAACAATATCCACTTTACCAGAGTTAAAAGCAGCCCTGGTGACCAGGCGCCCAGTACGACCAAATCTGTTGACTCCGACCTTCACCTTCCCCATGGTGTCTCAGGGATGTGGTTTGGCTGACGATGCAAAAGAAGATGCGGCTGACTGTAGAACAGGAGGAGCAGAGAGCCGAGCCAAGATTTTTCTGACTTACCTGTCTTTGGCCTTAACCACTACACTGTGACATTTATGAATATGAAACTTTCAGCTCACCAGCAGTGGTATCAAAAGGTTAAGAAATGAGTTTAAAAGGTGGGGAGAGGCAGTGGTAAGGGAGAAGAAAGTATTGCTTTATGCCCCTGAAAATACTTCTCATATCCATTAGAAGGCCGTTCTCCCTGTTTCAATGGTCTATTGCTGTATAGCAAACCACCCTAAAACGTGGAGGCATATGTAGGGGAGAAAAGATTTCTTTTCTCATTCATCACTGGGTTCATGGATGAGGCACCTAAAACAAGATCGATTAACAAGAGAAAAGCATACAAATGTATTTCATATACGTTTTACGTGACATGAGAGTACTCAGAAATGAAAACCCAAAGAAATGGGTAAACTTGCAAATTTTTATGCTTAGGTTTGATGACGAGGTGGCTGGTCATGGAGAAGTATGATTGCACAAAGAATGTATGATCCAATGGTAGTAAACTGGGGTGGGGAGAGGAACTTCGCAAGCCTGTTTATTCAGGTTCCTCTCTGCGTCCCTGTGTCTTCAGACATAAAGAAGTTCCTTTCTGTTGGCTATTGAAAGGGTACCACCTCTCACATGAGGGTCTTATGACCTGCTTCATGGAAAAGTCAAAAAAGTATTTTCCAGGTTTTATGGCCTGCTTCAGGGGAAAAGGTTGGGAGAAGATCAGAAAGTCCTACCTGCTTCTGTAGTTTTCTCAAATGCCAAGGTGCCATATTTTGGAGTAGTGGGTCCTGAACCCCATCCCATAAAACAACAATTTATGATAGCCTCTCATAGTTCTGTGGATTGACTGGGCTCAGGTGGGTGGCTCTTGCTTGGGGTCTCTCATGCAGTTGCAGTCAGGAACTGGCCAGGGCTGGATTCCTCTGGAGATTCAACTGGGCTGGACATCCAAGATGGTGCCTGCACAGGCGCTGGCAGTTGACAACAGCTGTCATCTGGGAAGTCAGCTGTCTACCAGAGTGCCAACACCTGGACTTTCCATGTGACTTGGGCTGTGAAATTTGAATTTCAGATAAACAATTAATAATTTTTTTAGTATAAGTTTGTCCCGGCCATGCACAGTGGCTCACACCTGCAATCACAGCACTGTAGGAGGCTGAGATGGGCGGATTTCTTGAGCTCAGGAGTTTGAGACCAGCCTGGGCAACACAAGGAAACCTCATTTCTACAAAAAATACAAAAATTAGCTGGGTGTGGTGACACATGCCTGGAGTCCCAGTCACTGGGGAGGCTGCGGTGGGAGGATTGCTTGAGCCCACAAGGTTGAAGCTGCAGTGAGCCGGGGCCGCATCACCGCACTCCATCCTGGGTGACAAAATGAGACCCTCTCTCAAAAAGAAAAAAAAAAAAAGAAAAAAAGAAAAAAAAGTTTGTCCCAAATATTACACAGGACATACTCATACTTAAAAAAAAAATCATTGTTTATCTGCAATTCAAACTGGGGAACTGGGGACATATTTATACTTAAAAATTCTATAATGTATCTGAAATTCAAATTTAACTAAGAGTCTTGTATTTTTCTTTATCTGGTAACCCTACCTAGGAAACCATTTTTCTACCATTCTCAACTATTCGTGGTTTGCGTGGAGTCAGCCTTAACATCTGTATTCATCTTCTCTTGCTATGTAACAAATTTTCAGAAACAGTGGCCAGCTCACAGTTTCATGGGTCAGAAGTGGCTCAGCCGGATTCTCTGCTTAGAGCACTTAGCACATTAGGCTAAAATCCAGGTGTCAACAGGGCTGTGTTCCTTTCTGGAAAATCTGGGAAAGAATGCACTTCCAAACTCACTCAGGTTGTTGAGAGAATGCAGTTTCTCCTCACATTTTCCACGTGGTCCCCTCCATCTTAAAGTCAACAAGGGCACTTGGAGTTATTCTTGTGCTTTTATTTTTTTATGATTTTTTCTTCTCTTTTCTCTTCTGCCACCAGCCAGAGAAAGTTCTCTGCTTTTAAGGGTTCGTGTGATTAGATTAGGCCCACTCAGATAATCTCCCTTTTTAAAGATCAGCTGTGCTATATAACATAACACAACCATGGGAGTGAAATCTCATCACATTTACAGTTTCCAAGGCGTAAGGGGTATCTTCGTTCTTTTGCATCGCCGTAAAGGGATTCCTGAAGCTGGGTAGTTTATAAAGAAAAGAGGTTTGTTTGGCTCACAGTTCTGCAGGCTGTACAAGAAGCATGGCTCCAGCAGCTGCTTCTGATGAGGCCTCAGGCTGCTTCCACTCATGGCTGAAGATGAAGGGGAGCCAAGGTATGCCAAGACCATGTGACAAAAGAGGAAGCAAGGGGGGTGGGGTAGAGGTGCCCGGCTTTATTTAACAATCAGCTTTCGTGGGAACTCAGACAGCAAGAACTCACTCATTACAGTGAGGACAACACCAACACCAAGCCATTCATGAGGGATCCAGCCCCATGACCCAGACACCCCCCACCAGGTCCCACCTCCAGCACTGGGGGTCACATTTCCACATGAGATTTAGAGGGGCCAAATAAACTATATCTATATCCAAAATATATCCATATCCAAACTATAACATGGGACATGGGGTCTTGGGGGCCATTCTTAGAAATTCTGCCTGTCACACCCCCAGACCTAGGGGTAGGCCCTGAGAGTCTTAAGCCGATGGATGCTTCTGATGTCCACCTGAAGCCAATGGTGACTGGTGTAGGGATTGGCATGTAATCCAATCAGAGCCAATGAGATGGAAGAACATGTTTGCCCAGGATTGAGGGAAAGAATGTTTTCTCTTCCACAGGATTGGGCGCTACCTGGATATAGGTCTGGAGGCACCACCATCTGAAGACCATGATGGGTGGGCTGGAAGCTAGCAGGGACAACCACAGAGAGCTTGACAGGGAGCCTGCCCAAGGGAGCAAAGCCGAAAACTGGGTTGGTAATGTCATCACAGGGCTAACTCAGGCCACTCCAGGACCCTACTCTACCTGTTTACTTGTAATTCACGGGGGACAGAATGAGGGTGGAAAGGGTGTTGTACAATCCCCTTCATGCCTAAGAAGCTTTAGTAGGTTTTTCCTATCATCTGCACATCTGCAACTGAAACATTCATATATATATTTGTTTTATTATAAGTGTGCAAAGATCTTTACGCATTGGGCAAAATAGCCATTTCTTTATGAGAATAGTTCCTCAAACTCACTCTTGCAACCACCATCCATCAAGACACAGGAAAAAGGAATGCAGGGATTTAGGAATGCTATACTTGCTTCTCTTCAACTTCAGCAGCAAAAGTAGGAACGTTCTCAAGATGCTCCTGACAATAATTATGTTGTCCTAAGCAATAGGATGTTGGAGAGTATGGAGGCCTGATGCACAGGCCTTCAAGTTCTCAAAGTGTTTCATCTTCTCAGTTCAGGCACAATGTTCTCGGTGAAACCATGCCAGGCACAGGAGCATCCTCTTCACCCGATTGGGTACACAGGGCCGACCAAAAATGGTGATTTCCACTAGGTTCCCAGAGTCCACTATGCCCACTGTCAGCAGGGCCTGGATCATCCACTCCATTTCTAGAGTTATGGCTCCATCTGGGCCAAAGATCTCATCCGCCAGCCATGCCTCCAGGTAGAACACCAAAGGGTCTCTCAGTTCCTGCACCGGAAACCACCCGAAACATTCTTAACTGATACAAGAGTGATGTCACTAACCTGTGTGCAGCATTTCTGGCTCTTGGTAGACAATTTCAAACTTGGTAGACGATATCAAACAAGTGCCAGATGAGTCTCTCAGTTACAAAAATGCAGGTGTGAACCTGTGCTAGGTTACTGGTAATCCAACAGCAGGAAAATTTCTCCCAAATAACTCCCAGAGAGCATCAGGTCTCCAATAGTTTTGTGAAGACTGACCCCCTAATTTTTCTAACCTCTTCAGGTGAGCAGCCAGGCTGACTCAAAGGTTAACAAGAGAAAAAGCAATGTGCTTGGCCTAACTCATTGTCACCTGCCCTTTCTGGAACTTTCTCATGTCTTTCAATTACCTGCCCATTCACTTTTCCAGGACTTTGTCAGGAAAAAAGTTCCTGTGGAACTTTAGCCTGGTGTTACAGCTCTGCCAGTACCTATGGGCATTGACAGCTCTGGGGGAGAGGGGTGTCTTTAAACAACATAAAACAGCAGGGACTCTTGGAGTCCTGAAACCTCATCTCTAAATAACTAGGTTCTCTATCTCCCCAAGATAGGAAGGACTTTGGTCAGTGGAATTCACTTTCATTGAGCAGCTAGTAGGTGTCAGAGACTACATGATAGTGATAACACAAACACACAAAATACTATATACACATAAGGCCGGGTGTGGTGGCTCTCACCTATAATCCTAGCACTTTGGGAGGCCAAGGCAGGAGGATCACTTGAGCCCAGGAGATAGAGACCAGCCTGGGCAACACAGCAAGACTCCCTCTTTACCAAGAGTAAAAATTAAAAAATACTATATACACATGCACATTTTGAATCCTACAGCATCTGAGTGAGGAAGGGGTATGTTTTCACTCCTTTTAAAGATGAGAAAATTGAGATTCAGATAGGTAACTTAACTTGCCTCAGGACCCAAAGCAAGTGGGGAAAAGAGGCAGGATTCACACAGGTGGCCACCTAACTTCAGGCAGTACGCTCCAGTACCTGGCCCTGAGCTGGGCGAATGAAAACTGACTGGGGCAAGAACCTCAAATTGTGTTTTGTTTTGTTTTGTTTTGTTTTGTTTTGTTTTGTTTTGTTTTTTTGTGGGGGGGAGTCTCGTTCTGTTGTCCAGGCTGGAGTGCAGTGGCACAATCTAGGCTCACTGCAACCTCCGTCTCCTGGGTTCAAGAGATTCTCCTGCCTCAACCTCCTGAGTAGCTGGGATTACAGACATGTGCCACCACATCCAGCTCATTTTTGCATTTTTAGTGGAGACGGGGTTTCACCATGTTGGCCAGGCTAGTCTTGAACCCCTGACCTCAGGTGATCTGCCTGCCTCAGCCTCCCAAAGTGGTGGGATCACAGGTGTGAGCCACCATGCCTGGCCAATTGTGTGGTTTTAATCCTTCCAATAATCCTGAAAAACTAGGTATCATTAACATTGGCCCCATTTTACAGATGAGGAAACTGCTTACAGAGTAGCTTTTTCAATGTCACAAAATGAGTACAGAGTTAGAGTTTGAGCCTAGGGCTTGTAGATGCGAGGAGAGAGGCTCAGAGCAGAACTGGGCAGAAACTTGGAGTCAGAAATCTGATAATACTCTGGTGTCATTCACTCACCCATTTATCAATTCACTCATTTGTGCATCTAGTTATTTATTGAGCACCCCTTGTGTGTTATGCTGTGAGAAAGGCTCATACCACTGAACTTTGCTCTCAAGAGATTTATAATCTATCGAGACAGATGATTTTTTTTGTGCGTGCCCAAAAAGAACATTCTAGCAGGGGGTGTGGCAGGAGCAGAATCCAGAAACAGAGCAATGGCAGAGTTCATTGCGGGGAACCGAACCGACCCCACTTTCAGTATTTCAACAGAAAGCAATTTAATACAGAGAATTGAATGTTAACCACATCATTGAAAGAGCTGTGGAGAAGACACTTAGGCTGGCCCTCCAGAAATGACCCCCAGGACTGACCCTCCAGGGGAGCCACTCCCTCAGCCACAATCAGAAAACTGGGAATCAGAAGTTGCCAGTGGGACTAAGGAGTTCGAGAACATAGCCAGAGCCATAATCTAAGGATCAAAAAGCTGCTGGTACCCAGTTCAGGAAACTGGAGTGCAAAGCCTGGCTGCTGCCACTGCGTCTCACCACCTACAAACTGGACATTGGACTACTACCACAGAAAATTCCACATCTCTACAACCTTGCTTGCATTCAAAAGGCCAGCCAAAGGTACAGAAATATGACCTCCACCTCACTTCCATCTCCCAAATCTCTGTCAGTCACAGCACACACCTCTGCTTGGTAGAAACTATTCTGCATCCTGAACCCTAGTTGCGAGGGAGTCTGGGGAAAGTGGTGTTTTAGCTTCTGCTCTTCAGGAAGGCACACAGATGGAGGTGGGAGCCAAGCCCTGACAGTCGATAGTGAGCTGGTGAACCGCCCCCACCCCTCGAAAAGAAAAAAAACCCGATGTGTAGCAGTTGCCAATTTCAATGGTGTAAATACTCTCATGATGGCTAATTTTAAGCTACCAATGTGATGTCACTGAACTGAGAGTTGGAAAGAGGTATGTAAAATTGGCTTTCACAATTCAGTACAAACCGGCTCCAGCACACCACCGCTAACAGATCATATCCAGTTTATGTCTGAGGCAATGGGGAGAGGAGATGGAATGAGAGAAGGATTTAGGATGCTTTGTTTGTTCCAAATTAAGTAAAGTCGAATTTCCCACTCTTGTTCCACATTGCCCCGTTGACGGCTGCCTTACCACCTTACTCTGTGGGTTATGCTGGCTTCTTTCTCAGTGCTAAGAAACTGATCTGTGTGAGACCTGGCGCAGTGGCTCACGCCTGTAATCCCAGCACTTTGGGAGGCCAAGGCGGGTGGATCGCAATGTCGGGAGATTGAGACCATCCTGGCTAACACGGTGAAATCCCGTCTTTACCAAAAATACAAAAAATTAGCCTGGGCGTGGTGGCACGCACCTGTAGTCCCAGCTATTCGGGAGGCTGGGGCAGGAGAATTGCTTGAACCTGGGAGGCAGAGGCTGCAGTGAGCCAAGATCGCGCCACTGCACTCCAGCCTGGGTGACAGAGCGAGACTCTGTCTCCAAAAAAAAAAAAAAAAAACAAAGAAAAGAAAAAGAAACTGATCTGTGTAGGTTGCAGCCCTGACTGATGGGAGGAACACAGCCAGTGAAATTAGAGCTTCCCCACAGATGGGAGACTGACTCCAACGCTGCACTCCCAAGGTGCTGGCAGATTAAGTTTCGTCATTCTCCATTTTCCCCCAAATGTTTGCAAGATGGCAACACCAGGGAAGTGGAGGACACTAAGTGACAAGAGCCAATAAGGAGGCCACTTGCTGATCAGTGTGAAGGAGAGAATCTTTCGGGCCCTTCCTTTTTTTGCAGCGGAGGGGAGCTTTTGTTTATATTTAGTTAGAGAAAAATCCTCAAGCTCAACCACTGTGAATTATTGAACCAAAGATAAACTTCAAAAGGAGCCAGCCCCCTTCAAAAAGGAGCGTGAAAGACACTGGGAAAGAGAAAAAAAATGATAACAAAAAAAATAAGGATCTCAATTTAAATTGGTTCTGTGCATACAGGGAAAGAAGGAGGTGGCTTTATTTTTTAACTAAAAAAAAAAAACAAACACTTGGTGGCTGGAGCAAGAGTTAACTCAGGACCAGATGGGACATGGCTGGGGCCTCCCAGCGGAGCTCGAGCTAAGAGATATGGCCTGGCCTCCTTAGAAAGTTCTAATTGGCTTAGGCCAACAGTAGTGTGGGAACACGAAGGGGTGGGGGGTGGGGGTGCCATATATAAAAGTTACAGGACAGTTCATCTACCTCAAGTGTCTTACAAGAGCACACCTCTTGAATTTTAACGACTGGAGTTACGACTGGGCAATTAACCCCATGCACAGTCGCCCTCCACCCAAGACAGCCAGAGACAAAAGGCAGAGATGCTAACAGGCTCTCTGGGGTCAATAGAGTCAGGCTTTCACCCTCTTCCTGGGCAGAAGGAAACGGCTTTTCTTTTCATACCAGGGTCTCCAAAAAAGAAAGCACACACTCAAAAGAACTGCTGTATAACTTATTGTTTTATAAAAACCCATTCTCTTTCTTTCAAATGTACTGTAATTTTAAATGTTTAGAGAACAAGTGGTAAAAATCCTTTTAAAAATCTGAAAGACCTGAAGCAAGCTTTAAGCTGCTAGGAGCATTGGCTATTTACCCAATAATAATTAGCCATTCAAGGCAAAAATCACTTTTCTACCCAGGCCAGGAAACAGTGGGGGAATGAGTTACTGAATGAAGTTTAGAGCATAGTTTCCGAGGAACTGCTGTCTCGAGTTTATGCAACACCTTGGAAATGAGTAGTATTTTGCTATTTGGCCCCCACTCCAATCCAGCCCCGTTCCTTTCTGACCAAGGCAGAAAAAAATACAGTGGGGACAGCCTGTACCTGAGAAAGCCCATAGGCGCTGGGGGCAGCTATTGCTCTTTGTAAAAAAAAAAGGGTGACAAAGGTGTGAGTGGATCACTAGGATGGAATTAAGATGCCCTAATTTCAAATAGAGTGGCTTCCGATGTCCAAGCTGCCAGGAAAGCAGTTGCAGAGACAGAAGGGATAAGAGCATGTATAATCCCAAAGCTCTAGGGAGAGAGAGAGAGAGAAAAAAAAAGAAAAAATTTATTAAGTTAAGTTGTGACCCTAAAGCTCTCAAGTCATGTGGCACAAGGTATGGGCTCTCTAGTCCCTTTTCAAAGGCTTACTTGAGCTTGTCTCTCTTGGTTATATACAACCATAGATGGCTATGTGGGGTTTAGTTAAATAATTTATGTGATTGTTTTTAATAGAAAGTTCACTCCTTATAGGAAAATCAATAATGGCTACATCGTGTCCTACTTTTGTGCAGGCGTGAGTTGAATCTATTCCCTTGGACCCCCGCTGCCCATGATGGGTGTTCAGCTAGGAGGGTTGGCACTCCAAGCTGGAGGACAAATACTGAGGAGAAATAGGCAGAGGAGAGAGACTTGTTCCCAGCCAGGAGCAAGTCTTGCAAAACTAAACCTTTTGAGCATTAGCCATATGACCATGCAGGACCAGCTCTGTGGGCAAGCCAATAGTGCAGTCACAGGGCTCCCACGCTCAGAAAGGTCTGGTACTTGGGGTTTCATGCCCTGTGGTGAATCATTCTCTCTTTTGTAAGTGAAGTCCAATGGGGCAGTGGAACATGATCTGGGAGCTTGGAGCCTCAGCTCATACAGGGTCCCACCTCTCGCACTTCCCAGCCTCCTTAGGATAGGTTTTTGGCAGCCTGCTCCCCATCCTCTGGTGTCCCGACCCTGCCCATCCTCTGGTGTCCCGACCCTGCCCAGCCTCTCCCTCCCTGCCTACCCACCTAGCAACCACTGGGGCTCTCTTCCCCTGGGGGAGGGTCAGGGTGGCACCCCCAGAATTGGCATCCAGCAGGCCACTTGGCCTGGAGCAAGCCCTTCACCTGCTCCTATCCTAGCCATGAGGTTGCCATCCCTTAGGGGTCACCCCTCCCTTATGGGTGGGGGCAGCTTTCCTCTGGGAAGGGAAAATTGACTTTCCTGCCCTGAGCCATGACATCAAGGCCTGCAGGTCTGGCTGGAGAAAGGAGGGACCCAGCAGGTGGCAGGGTGAGTGCAGAATCTTGAGGCAGGACCCCCAGGCAGTTTTGAGGGTCCTCGCTTGCACCAAGAGTATCCCATACCCAAAGGAATATGACATTAGGTAGCAAGTACTGGTTGAGAGAAAGAGACCACAGAAGAAAGGAAAATGTTTTATATTTTAGTACCTTTAATGGCACGTTTTTCCCCCTACATTTTGAGCAGGGGTCCCTGAATTTTCATTTTGTACTGGGTCCCCCAAATTATATAGCTAGCCCTGTCACCATATTTTACTCATATTTTGCTTCTGAGGACTCACCTGAACTCATCATTTGCATCACTTACACATCTCTCATTTGTATTAGGCCCCCTGGCCTGGGGAGTAAGTGTTGCCCAGCCTAAGCCCTGACTTAGGCTGAGCAACCCAAGCAGGTTACCTGCCCTGTGGTGAGCTGGTGAACAACTGACAAAACGTTCTCCAGGGTCTAATAGCTCTGACTGGTAGCATTTGCCCATTTCTGTGGTGTAAAGATTCCCACCATAGCTGACTTCAAGCCACTAATACCACAGTGCTGAGATGCACACCATCTGCTCTGGTGTGCAGGTAGGAGCTGGTTCCAACATGAAACATGGGCTCCAAATCTTCAAAGCATTAAACCAGGACCATAGGAACAGAGGGGGAACCTCAGAGGTTAGGAGACTTTGGCAGAGAGATAATAAAGCAAAAAGATCTTCTCCTAGATGGAAGGCTTTCCATCTTGGCAAACCTTGATTCCACATTGGTATCACCTTGGGAGCTTTAAAAACCCACATACCAGCCAGGTGCAGTGGCTCATACCTGTAATTCTAGCACTTTGGGAGGCCAAGGCAGGAGGATTGCCTGAACTCACGAGTTCGAGACCAGCCTGGCCAACATGGTGAAACCCCGTCTCTGAAAAAAATACACAAATTAGCCAGGCATGGTGGTGCCCGCCTGTAGTCCCAGCTACTCAGGAGGCTGAGGTGGGAGGATCACTTGAGCCCGGGAGGTCAAGACTGCAGTAAGCTATATGATCATACCACTGCACTCCAGCCTGGATAACAGAGTGAGATTCTGTCTCAAAAAATAAATAAATAAATAAATAAATAAATAAGTAAATAAATAAATAAAAAAAATAAAAATCTACATACCCAGACCAATTACATCAGCACCTCTAGGGTAGACCAGGCAGAAGTTGTTTTTTTCTTTTTTTAATCCCCAAATGATTCCAATGCAAAGGCAGGTTGTAAACCAGGGTGGCTTGGTGGTTGTCTAACTTTGATGTGCATCAGAATACTCCAGGAGTGGGGGGAGGCTTGTTAAAACACCCATTGCTAGGCCCCACCCCACAACTTCTGATTCTGAGGCCTGGGGTGGGGCCCAGGAATGGGCATTTCTGACCAGTTCCCAGGTGATGCTGATGCTGCTCTTCCAGGCACTGCACTTGGAGAGCCACAGCTCCAGAAAAACCTGCCTGGCACCAACTGTCCTGATTAAGAAGGTGCCAGGTATAAAGCTTTTACTTAATTGGAGGCCCTAGGGTTGGGGTTTACATTAAAAGGCAAGTGAGCTGTGAGTGCTACTGCTTAATTAAAAATGCATACAGGGAGAGGGAGGCCAGGTTGATCAGCCCTAGGTGGTCACCTTCAGGGACTTGCTGCTGGGCAGGGCAGTCTGAGAAGGGAGCAGAGAAAGGGGAGCCAGTCTGTCTCCCTCTCCAAGGACTGCCAGCTTCTTGGGCTTGGTCTAATCCTGTCCTAAAGCATCTCAGCAGCCCATGCCTGGCCTCTGAACCCTCTTAGGAGGGTCTTTCCTGTGTTCATTTTTCTTCTAATTCACCCTCATCCACTTCTGCATTGAAGCCTCTTTCTCTGACCAAAATAGAAGCCATGATTGGCAAACAAAATCTAGTTAATAATAATAATATTTAAAAAAAAACCAACCACCTTGGTGTTTAGTTGGGTGCAGTGGCATGCACCTGTAATACCAGCTACTTGGGAGGCTAAGGCAGGAAAATCGCTTGAGCCCAGGAGTTTGAGGCCAGCCTGGGCAATATAGTGAGACACCCTTCTCAAAAAAAAAAATTATTCAGTGTTGGGATTCCTGCTGCCTTGGAAGGCAAGTTTGGGGGAACTCTTGTTCATGGAGCAACTGTTTCACATACCGCTCTATCTAAGGCCTCATTCTTTACAGAATAAATCTTTTTTTTTTTTTTTTTTTTTTTTGGTACAGAGTCTCTCTCTGCCACCCAGGCTGGAGTACAGTGGCAATGACCTCAGCTCATGCAGCCTCTGCCTCCGAGGCTCAAAAGATTCTCATGCCTCAGCCTCCCAAGTAGCTGGGATTACAGGTGAGCACCACCTTACCCAGCCAATTTTTATATTTTTAGTAGAGACGGGGTTTCACCACTTTGGCCAGGCTGGTCTCAAACTCCTGATCTCAAGTGATCTGCCCGCCGTGGCCTCCCAAAGTGCTGGGATTACAGGTGTGAACCACTGGGCCCAGCCCTGAATAAATCTTTTTCAATGTAATTGAAACTAAAATTAATCATATACAGATGTTCTAACCCAGGAATTCCTCTCCCAGGAATACCCAAGAGAAATGAGTTCATATGGCCACATGGAGACATGTACATAAACATTTGCAGCAACTTTATTCATAAGAGACAAAAAAAAAAAAAAGGAAACAACACAAATTTCCATCAAAGGTAGAATGGATAAGTAAATTGTGGTGTATTTATACAATGGAATACTACCTAGCAATGAGAAAAAAAAAAAAAGAACTACTGATACACGCAACAATGTAGAGGTACTTCACAGATATACTGACTGAAAAAAAGGCCAGGCACATATGAGTACGTATGTTCTGATTGAATTTACATGAACTTCTAGAGCAGACAGAACCAATCAATGACGACAGAACTCAGGATCGTGGTTAAGGAGGCAGGGGGTAGTATTGACTGAGAAGGGGCAAGAGGGAACCTTCTAGATGGCTGGAAATGTTCTATGTTTTGATCTGGGGCTGATTGCATGAATCTAGACATATGTAAAATTTTATTGAGTTGTACACTTAAGACTAGTGCACTTTATGATATATAAGCTACACTTCAATTTTAAAAAAATATTTTAATATAATTGAAAACATCATTTTAGGCCATCTGGTCTCAGACAATCGTTTTTGATACCTGGGAACTGAGGTTTGAAAACGTTTGACAAGTTAGCAAAGATTTTTTTTTCTTCTTTTTGAATTGGACAAATAAATGGTTCTTGCCAACTAGTACCCCAAGAAATTGGCATGTGACCGCTACCATTGGTATGGATTGAACTTGTACCCTTGGCCAAGCCCTGGAACAAACCTTGTATGTGCATTCTCATCCTCGCAACTCTGAAATGTAGGGACTATTATTATCCCTATTTTATGAACAAGGAAGCTGAGTTCGGAGAGATTGAGTAACAATTGAGAAGGGAACTCAGCCCTGGTGTCACCCAGGCTGAGCTCTAACCATCCATCATGCTGAGACTGTAGCAGAAGATGTCCTGCGTGTTTTATGGAAACCAGTCCTTAAGAAGGGGTTGTAGGGGCGGAATGTGTGATACCTTTTCTCAGTCATCATAAGTGTCACAGCCAACACTCCTATGACAAAAGACAGGTTAGCAAGAGAAAAGCATAACAAATCTATTTAATCGAAGTTTGTTTGTTTGTTTGTTCGTTTGTTTGTTTGTTTCAGATGGAGTCTCGCTCTGTCGCCCAGGCTGGAATGCAGTGGTGTGATCTCGGCTCACTGCAACCTCCGCCTTCCGGGTACAAGTGATTCTCCTGCCTCAGCCTCCCAAGTAGCTGGAATTACAGGTGTGTACCACCACGCTTGGCTAATTTTTGTATTTTTAGTAAAGATGGGTTTTCACCATGTTAGCCAGGCTGGTCTCAAACTCCTGACCTCAGGTGATCCTCCTGCCTCAGCCACCCAAAGTGCTGGGATTACAGGCCTGAGCCACCCCGCCCAGCCAAAACTGTCTATTTTTATGCTTACATTCCATGAAGAATGGGCAGCCTTGTAGAAATGTGACTGGACAAAAGGGTATGATCTCATGGTAATAGACTGAGGAGGAATCCCAGCAAGCCCTGTCCAGATTCTTGGCCCGTCTGTATAGCATTCCTTCCTTTCAGGTATGAGGCAGGACCCCTCTGAAATGAGGGTCTTCAAGACAGAAGGGAAAAGGGAGAGAGTGACCTTTCTAGATTGTATGGCTTGCTTTGGGAGAGAAGGCTTCTAGTTTCCATGATTCGCCTTTGGGAAGAGGAATTTTGGTTTCTATGACTTCCTTTGTAGGGGAAAAAGAAGTCAGAGACAGGAGAGTAGGAGAGGTTCAGAGAGACTTTGCGTCTGAGGCCCTCCAATCTCCTTTGGTTTAAAGCACTCAGCATGCCAAAGTGCCATACTTTGGGGTATTGTGTTCCGAGCCCAATAGGGTCGTAATTGTTTTTGCCCTGTGGCCCCTTTGGAGCCTTCTCAGAATAATACTTTAAGTGCATACAATAAAATACCATGGAATTGCAAAGCAAACCAATTATATTGAAATAAGCATGAAAATATTTGGTGATGTAGTCATATACGTACTTATTTAATGAATTAAATAACTAGGTAAAATAACTGCTGTAATTTCAAAACAATGATGAGTGTAATTGGTATTTGAGATACCTGCAGTAACTGTAACATAATATGGAAATATCTGTGATTTCTGTTGGCGACAAAGTCACAGCTCCTGCCAATATCACTGTGGTTTGTTTCCTACGTCTATTAAAGGATTTCAGTGAGAGGTTAGCGAAAATGAAGATGTAATTTTTCTTCCCATCCAAGTTCACGGACCTCCTGCCGTCTATCAATTTAGTAATCCTGCCTTCCAGGAAGCAGCCAGAGGTCGTGGAAGGAGACGGGGCAGCTGGGCTGAGTTCGGCTGCTTTTTGGGGCTGGCTCTAGCAGGAGCTCACTGGGTGGCCTTCCAGAGCTCACTTCCTCTCTCTGGCTTTGGTCTCCTCCTCTGTAAAAGGAGGTCCGAATTAAGCACTCTTCACAGTACCCGGCTGTGCACTTGTCCCCAGAAGTTTCTCTACCGGCTCCAGGGCTGTCTTCAGCCAATCAACAAATGTTTCATGTGGTTCACCCTGTGCGGGGAACCTGGAACCCCCTGACGGGAATCCCTGTGCTTCCCAAATGCAGAGGGGCCTCCCTTCCCGAATGTGAAGGCCAGCAAAAACCCCAAGAGAAACTACTAGGAATATCTTCTATCTCTCAACTCCCTTCATTCTGGAGCCAGGGCATTTGCACTTTGAAATTCTTTTTCATTGATTCTGTACCCAATGGAACCCGGGTTAAGTAAGAGGAGGGAGTATATAATCCAAGTTGAGTCAAGGCAGTAAACACTGGAGAAGATAAATAACAATGCAAGGGGCAGAGAATGGGCCCTGGAAGGAGTGATTAATTACCAAACAGCCGGTTCCAAAAACAAGCGGGCTGCGGCAAGAGGGAGAGATCCGAGGAGTCAGGCCCCGTGTCCAGAAGACTTTTTGCAAATGAAAGCGCTGGTGACAAGCTCTGAAAGCCGGCAAGGCATGAACTGGCCAAGGGGAGGGTACCAGATGGCAAAGGTCAGTAGATCAGGTTCCAGGGCACATCTCTCAACCAGCACCACCGCAGGCCTCAGACCTGGCTGCACAACGGAATCACCAGGTGGTTGTTGTTGTTGCTGTTGTTGTTGTTGTTTTCAAACAGAGTTTCACTCTGTCGCCCAGGCTGGAGTGCAGTGGCTCGATCTGGGCTCACTGCAACCTCCACCTCCCGGGTTCAAGTGATTCTCTCGCCTCAGCCTCCTGAGTAGCTGGGATTACAGGCGCCCGCCACCAAACCTAGCTAATTTTTGTATTTTTAGTAGAGACGGGTTTCACCATATTGGCCAGGATGGTCTCGAACTCCTGACCTCAAGTCATCCACCCGCCTCAGCCTCCCAAAGTGCTGGGATTTAAGGCGTGAGCCACCATGCCTGTCCTGTTGTTGTGGTTTTTGAAGCTAGCAATGCCTGGGTTCCATCCTCAGAGATTTGGATTCAATTTAAGTGAGTGGGAGCCCAGGTATGAAGGATTTTTTAAAAGCTCCCAGAGGATTCTAAAGCTGAGCTAGGACTACAGACCACTGCAGGCGGTAAAGTCCCCAAAGCAGCCAGCCGGGAAAACAACTTTTCTTTTCCACCCTGCAGGCTGTGGGCAGGGCACTCCCTGGGCAAGGTGGCTCTCAAAGGCAGAAACCTGCAGGGGAGCCCTGGGGTCAAAAGGGGGAGGGCTATGGGAGATGAGAAGCTGGATCTGTGGACTCTCTGAAGTAAGAATGCCCTTCCCCGCCCTCGCTGGCGTTGGCCAGTGTAGACACCTGCTGCTGCGTCTTTTTCCCTTTCACTCCACAAAAACATATATAAAACATCTGCGAGGGCCAGAGCGTCTGGTCCCAGGGCTGTGGCAGATATAAAAGGGTCTGCATAGTCTAGCCTCACCTGCCAGTATGCAGGAGCAAAATGCCACAAAGGCATTACTCCACCCCTCGGTTGCGCCGCTGGTCAAAGGTTCCCATACTTGAAATCCCAGAGAGGCCCCCCAGGTGCCCAACCTTGAGCCCTCCAGCCACGCACTGGTGATTGGGGGAGGCCTCCTGAGACCTCTGTTTATGGAGTACCCAGAGCCTTCAGGGTGGCAAGGCCTTGGTCAGAGACAGCGTGAGTTTCAGGGCTGGGGCATGTGAGGAGAATCATTGCTTTTCCTGCTCTGTCTCCACTTTATTATCAAGTTGCGATTCCAGCATTTGCCCCAAGCCCCACGCATTCACGTTTTCAACAAATATTGAGGTTCCACTGAGTGCCGGGCACTGAACTAAAAGCATGACAAGAAACAAAATGACTTTTGGCAGGGCACAGTGGTTCATGCCTGTAATACCAGCACTTTGGGAGGCTGAGGCAGGCGGATCACTTGAGGTCAGGAGTTCTAGACCAGCCTGGCCAACATGGTGAGACCCAGTCTCTACTAAAAATACAAAAATTAGCTGGGCGTGGTGGCATGCGCCTGTAGTCCCAGCTACTCAGGAGGCTGAGGCAGGAGAATCACTTGAACCCAGGAGATGGGAGGTTGCAGTGAGCCGAGATCACGCCACGGCACTCCAGCCTGGGTGAAAGGGCAAATCAAAAAAAAAAAAAAAGAAGAAGAAAAGAAAGAAACAAACAAACAAAATAGATTTAAAAATCCCTGCCCTCATGGCAGCTGCCATTCTGGTGGGAGACAAAAAGCCAGAAGCAAGATAACCAAGTAAACTATATAGCATGTCAGATGTTAACGAGTGCCAAGGTGTACAAGTAAACAGGAGTGGAGGATAGGGAGTATATAGTTGGGGAAAGGCAGAGTAAAGGAAGTCCTCCCCAGAAGCTGACATCTGCATAAAGACCTGAAGGGAGGAACTGAAGGCATTACCTGGGGGGAGGAGCTTTCCAGGCAGAGGGAGGAGCATTCCAGGCAGAGGAGGAACAAGTGCAAAGGCCCTGAGGCAGGAGCAGGCAGAGGCAGGCCTGCCATGTTCCAGGCAGTGTGGCTGGAGGGGAGGGAGCAAGGAGGAGGGAATAGAGGGTGAAGTCAGACAGGCGATGGGAACTAGGTCGTGTAGGCCTTACAGGACACTGTGTTTCAGTCAGTGCTGCTTTTACTCTGAATGAGCTGGGAAATTTCAAGGGTTTTGAGCTGAGGAATGATGACATGACAGGGGCACAGTGGCTTCACTGAAACTCAAATTCAGGGGGCAGAAGTGAAGCAGAGAGGCCAGAGAGAAGTCATTAGCAGAGAAAGCTGGTGGCAGGTACCCATGAAAAAAGCCTGGGAGTGGGATTTTTGGTTTTGCTTTGTTTCGTTTTGTACAAAAATAGTGACAGGGTCTCACTATGTTGCCGAGTCTGGTCTGAAACTCCTGGGCTCGAGGGATCCTCTTGTCTCAGCCTCCCAAAGTGCTAGGATTACAGGCGTGAGCCAACAACCCCGGCCTAGGAGTGTTTTGACGGTAAGACCAACAGGCATTACTAACAACTAGATGTCGATTATGAAAGAGGGGAGAGGCCAGGCGCAGTGGTTCATGCCTGTAATCCCAGCATTTTGGGAGGCCGAGGTGGGCAGATCGCTTGATCTCAGGAGTTCAATACCAGCCTGGGCAACATGGTGAAACCTCAGGATATGGTTTGGCTGTGTCCCCACCTAAATCTCATCTTGAGCTGTAGTTCCTATAATCCCCACATGTTGTGGGAGGGACCAGGTAGAGATCACTGAATCGTGGGGGCAGTTACCTCCATGCTGTTCTCCTGATAGAGAGTTAGTTCTCACAAGATCTGATGGTTTTATAAAGGGCTTCCCCCTTCGCTGGGCACTTATTCTCTCCCCTGCGACTCTGTGAAGAGGTGCTTTCCGCCATGATTGTAAGTTTCCTGAGGCCTCCCCAGCCACACAGAACTGTGAGTCAATTAAACCTCTTTCCTTTGTCAATTACCCAGTCTCAGGTATTTCTTCAGAGCAGTGTGAGAACGGACTAATACACTCTGTCTCCACCAAAAAATACAAAATTTAGCTGGGCGTGGTGGCGCACTCCTGTAGTCCCAGCTACTTGGGGGGCTGAGGAGGGAGGATCACTTGAGCCCAGGAGGTTGAGACTGCAGTGATCCATGAAAGTGCCACTGCACTCCAGCCTGGGTGACAGTGCAAGACCCTGTCTCAAAAAAAAGAAGAAGAAAAGAAAAAGAAAGAGGAGAGAGTGATGGGGGATTTTGAGGGCAAGGGTTTGGGCCTTCAAATCAGGAGGAAGAAGTAGCTGCATGCTGAGATGGAGAGGGGGCTATGGATTGGAGAGGTGCTACAAGGAGGGAGACGGTGGGAAACATTTGAGGAACTTCTCCAGCATTTGGTATGGGAGATGTGAAGGAAGTTGAACAGGTAGTTGGGCAGTTTTACATGTACTGTTTCTGAGCCTCCAACCCTAAATGCTACCCCCCTATCCTGCGTGGGGCAACAGCCGGCCCATGCCACTCCATCCTCTGGAGCCTTTATCCTCTCCCTCCACCAAAGAGAAACAAAGTCACCAAGCTTGCCAGCTCCTGGAAATGCTGGAGACCTTTGTCACCTGAGGTCAACCCACATGGGGAAAGCCCACTTACAGTGAACCAATTGAAATAGAGACCAAGGTTTCCAAGTAAATACAGGGGAAAAAATTGAACTGGGACTTAATCTCAAAAATGACACTTGAATCATAAAAATAAGTTATTTTTGGTTTCATTTATATATGGAATCTAAAAAAGTCGAACTCATAGAAACAGAGTGGGCCAGACACAATGGCTCACGCCTATAATCCCAGCACTCTGGGTGGCCAGGATGGGCAGATCACCTGAGGTCAAAAGTTCGAGACCTGCCTGGGCAACATGGTGAAACCCCATCTCTCCCATCTCTACTAAAAAAAAGAAAAAAAAAAAAAAAAAAAAAATTAGCTGGGCCTGGTGGTGGGTGCCTGTAATCCTAGCTACTTGGGAGGCTGAGGCAAGAGAATTGCTTGAACCCAGGAGGCAGAGGTTGCAGTGAGCCAAGATGGCACCACTGCACTCCAGCCTCAGCAACAGAGCAAGACTCCATCTCAAAAAGAAACAGAGTAGAATGGTGGCTGCCAAGGGCTGGGACACGGAGTAAATGGGATGTTGGTCAAAGGGTACAGTTTCAGTTATGAAGGATGAATAAGTTCTGGAGATCTAATATACAGAATGATGACTGTAGTTAATAATACTGTATTGTATACATTTGCTAAGAGAATAAATATCAAGTGTTCTTACCACACACAAAATGGTAACTATGTGAGGTGATGGATATGTCAATTAGCTTGATTGTCCTAATTATTTCACAATGTATACATACATCAAACATTGTATAGCTCAAATATATACAATTTTTCTGTTGAACCATACTTCAATGAAGCTGGGGAAAAAATAAGTCATTTCATATTTAAGAAAATGGAGTTTCTAAGTGCAACTGTGCACCACTCTTAGCAGTAACAAAGTGCTGACAAGTTTGGTTGGGAGTTCAAAGCTTTTCTTTTCCCCGACCAAATCATCTAGAGACACAACAGCCTCCAATTCACCCTTGACTTTCACACACCATCATAAACAGGGTCATTTTGGCAAAAAGGTTCAAGGCCTTCATCAGCTATCCCAAGGGTCTCTCTTGATTCTTTGTTCTTCAAAAGGTCCACTTTTGGAAACTCCCATCATGCCTCCTGCCTATGGATCATCTCTTTGGCTGAGAACCGAGCTAACTCACTCAAGATCCCAATTAGTGACTCCTCATGAGATGGAAGTAATTCTCCGGCATCGTCCTCATTTGATTTCAGAAAATCCAGCAGTTCTGGACTTCACAGTTGCACCACACGGTATTGGGCTGTGGTCTGCTTCCTGGCAACCAAAGGGCAGGACATAGGTAGCTGATAAGGAAGGAGTGAAGGATGTCTGCGTGGGGGCAAATTTCATGCAAAATTCATTACTGAATATTTCTGTAATATGACAATTTCTGCTTTCCTAGCCAACCATACAACTGCAGAGATCCACAGAGCTACCGTTTGAGGAATAAGGAACCCTGTACATAGCCAGGGGCATTCTAAAATCCCCAAACTTGAATCCTACTTCCGACTTTGCTAGGACACCGCAGGAATTACCATCAAAGAAGGAAAAAGATGCACAGAAGTTTCCCATTCGACAGCTACGATTCTACAACCCCATAGTCTTTCTAAACCACAGGCTGCATTTTCCATTTTGTTTTGCTGTGTTTTCCTTCATGCGCCTAACTCCGGAGGCAGAGTTCTGCCCCTACAAAGCCACATTCATGTCATCATTCCAAAACTCACAACTCCTGAAAACTTTGAGGAATGTTATTAGGCCCTGTAGGCCAGAAGGGCCGTTTCCAGGGTAACAGCAACTCCACACTAAGGAAGAAAGGCATTTCCCTTCCTATGCTCCTCTCAGAGTTCAGGCCACTACAGAGAAACCCATGCCCTGAGCCTGAGGGACACTTCCTGTGGCCCTTATGCAACCAGCCCAGCACCCACCCCAAGGACACACAGCCAGCCCCTGCGCACTGGAAGGCCACACTTCCTGCCCCCGATATCTCATGTTGATCTCCTGCCATAAATCTACCCATGCCTGTCCGTCAGCACGTCCCAATCTGTGGTCTGGAAAAGTCAGCATAGATGTGAGAAGAACTCCTGCACAGGCATTTGTTTTTCCAGCCGCCTGGCTTTTGTTTTGAGCAAGGTGGAAATGAAAACTGTCTCTAAGGGAGAGAACGCTCCCTCCAGGTGCTTGAGTGACTCCAGGCCCAGAGAGCTTAACCGTGCCCCTTTCACCTTGGCCTGGGTCCTTCTTGACTGAATAAGACACATTTCCGCCATCTAATAAGGAAACTTGGAAATGAGGAAGGAGGCCCGCAGGGGATATCTGGGATGCCCTGTCCATGTAAGTCTTTCTCCCCAGTGTTCGTCGGCTTTCCTGATTGCCTAATCCAGACAGGCTCTGGCAGGGACCCCTGAAGGCGAACCACATTGAGCTGGGTGAGAGATTCCCCCTGTGAAACTCAAGACATATCGAGTTCAAGAACAGGGCTCAAAAGCTTGTGGGGCTAAGGCAGGTCATGGCCACAGGGTCTCTCTACCAGATCCCCCTCCCCCATCTCTGTGCGCCCCACCACTCCTGCACCCATCCACATACAACTAAGCCTTGCATTTACTTGCAAGTTTCTTGAGACATGGCTGAAAAAAAAAAAAAAAAAAGCTGTTTTTGCCAATGACACTGATCTTCCCTGATTCATAATGGAGTCAGACCTTCGAATTCCTCCTGGGGACAGAAGGAGAAGTGACTAACAGGAAGCCCTTGGGATTGTGAGACTTACCCTTGAGAATGGAAGAGCACAGTGGAGAAAAAAATGAACACATGTAACAAAATCAGCGGCAAGTGCAAGGCTGGGCAGTGCTATTGAAGCTCAGTAGCAATTCAGGGAAGGGAACTACCAGGGCAGGCTGACTTGCGGCAGACAGGGTGTTCTTGGGGGTGGTGCAAGGTGGGGAAGTGCTGAGGCTAAAGGTAAGTCTTTTTTTTTTTTAAGAGTCAGGGTCTCATTCTATTAATATCACCCAGGCTGGACTGCAGTGGCACGATCATAGCTCACTGCAGCCTCAAACTCCTGGGCTCAAGAAATCCTTCTGCCACAGCCTCCCTAGTAGCTGGGACTACAGGCACATAGTACCATGCCCAGCTAATTTTTAAAATTTCTTGTAGAGACTGGGTCTCACCATGTTATCTACCCAGGCTGGTCTCCTGGCCTCAAGCAATCTTCCCGCCTTAGCCTCCCAAGTCCCTGGGATTACAGCCATGAGCCACCGTGCCTGGCTAAAGCTAAGTCTTACAGATTTCCATAGGAAAGGACCAGGCAGGGGGTGGCAGGGCTAAAGCACAGAAGTGGGAATGGCCCTGGCATATGCAGGCAGAGAGAACAATCCACAGAAAAACAGGTTTTGCTTATATTTCATTTAGAGGATTTTCTAATACAGATTCAAGTCATTCAACATTTACTGGTACCTACTATGAGGTACCTGCTATGGGCCAGGCACCATTTTGGGACCTACAGGGGATCTGGGGCTAGTCCAGCAGGACGAAGGACCAGAACAAACAAAGTGACATGTCTGCGTTTGGGTTCCTCAGTAGCCGACCCTGAGATAAGGGTCTAAGTACAAGTAGTATATCTGGAAGGAGGCAGGGAAGGGAAGGTAGCCAATGAGCAGGTTACTGCTGTGGGCAACTGGGGCACAGTCCCACTGGGGATCTGAGAGCTGGCACAGAACAATTACTTGGGAATATTCCATCCATGGAGTGAGGGAGCTGGGGTATTTATCCACCAGCTCCCATCAGTCATTGGTTGAGGGCTGCTCCCAGGGAGCATTAACCCCCTGGCACCTTCTGCTTGACAGAGAAGGCTCAAGTGGTCAGAAACAGGCTCCAGGCACAGGGATACAGGTGCTGGCAGCTGTGTGCACAGAAATGGTAAGCACAAGGTGACATGGGTGAGGCATCAATAGTGTCTACTGCACATGTGACTGAAAGGGGACAAAGAGGATATGGACCTGTGGCCTCCATAAAGACACCAGGACAAAGTTTCCAAAACACTCATCGGAAGATCCTTGGGGTTCAAAATGCTGAGAGCCGGGGCTGGGGAAGTAGTACATCATTTCAAATAAAAGGAACATTGTGAACAAAGACAGCTGAGCAAGGATCATGTCTGGGAGCTGAAAAGTGTGATTTGGCTAAAGTATAGTGACAAGGAAGGTCAGAGGTAGGGACCTGAGCCACACTGTGGAGAACTCGAATGCCAGGCAACAGCTTTAATCTTCATTCCACAGGCAATGAGGAGCCATTGAAGGTGGTTGAGCAGGAGTGGCATGGAGAAGTGTTGTAGGAACACTAATCTAGCCAAAAAGCAAGAGGATAACTTGGAGGTAGGGAGACTAGGTTAAAAAAAAAAATTCCCCAAATGAATGTTAGCCACAGTGGAGATTATTTCGGAAGGGAGAGAAATGAAGGGGGCTCCCTGCAGCTCTGGCCCCAAGAGAAAGGCCCCTGAAAAGAATTGCGTGGGAGCTGCTAAAAGGGGGACCAGCTCCTCGCCTGCATGGCCTGATTGTTCCTTCTGGCAAAGATGTGGGCCCACTCATTTCTCTCCTATTTTCTTTCCTCCAAAAATGCTTTTGGCCTCTGGTTTCCGAAAGCTTTGCTCAGTGAGTTTAAACAGCATCTCACAGCATGGCCGAGCAATAACAAATGGCGCCTGGTGGCTCGCCTGCTGGTGGCTTAAAAAACAATTGATGACTTTTAATCAGCTGAATGAGCATGGGACAAATGACAGCATGGCCTGAATGCAGCCCAGACGTCATCGGCTGACATCAGTGGGGAGGAGGGAGGTGCCCTTCTGGTGAGCTTGGGAACAAACAGGAGCAGAGGCTGGCGCTTGAGGCTCCAGGAGGCAGCTCTGCTCTCACCCCAAAGCGGTTGCCTTCTTCTCTCCCTTCTGGGGAGACCAGGTGAGCCAAGGGCTGGGGCACTGGAAGACCGGGGTTCAGGGTCTCCAGATGTCACTTGGTAACTGTAGGCATCAGTTCCCCTCCAGACCTCAGTTTCCCCCTCTGATAAATGGAGGAGATGAAGGCAAGTTTGTGTCTTCTGTTAAGCCGCCCCATATGTGGGATAGCTTTAGACTGAATCTCTAAAGGACTCAAGTGAAGGTCTGTTTATATATCCTGCTCCTATCAAAACTATCAAAACCATCAAC
Source organism: Homo sapiens (assembly GCF_000001405.40). Lineage (NCBI taxonomy): Eukaryota > Metazoa > Chordata > Mammalia > Primates > Hominidae > Homo > Homo sapiens. The sequence continues at coordinate 39,812,000 of NC_000023.11, forward strand.
ACTCCCCACTGCACGGCCACTTTCCCCCACCTCCCCCTACCCACACACCAAATGGATACTCACCAAGCATTCCTTTTTTTTTTTTTTTTTTTTTTTGAGACGGACTCTTGCTCTGTTGCCCAGGCTGGAGTGCAGCAGCGTGATCTCACTGCAACCTCCGCCTCCCGGGTTCAAGCTATTCTCCTGCCTTGTAATCCTAGCTGGGATTACAGGTGCGTGCCACCACACCCAGCTAATTTTTGTATTTTTCATAGAGATGGGGTTTTGCCATGTTGGCCAGGTTGGTCTCCAACTCCTAAGCTCAAGTGATCCACCTGCCTCAGCCCCCCAAAGTCCTGGGATTACAGGTGTGAGCCACTGCACCCGGCCTCACCAAGCATCTCTGATAAAGGAGTGCAAATTTGAGCAAAGGAAGCAAAAATGGCAGGAATGAAAATAAAGGTATTTGTTGAGTGCTTACTACATGCCTGGCCCCGTGCTATGTGTTTATAGGCATTATCTCATTATCCCCATCTCACATGAGGTGAGGTGGGGAGGAAACAGGCTCGGAAGGGTAAAGGAATCTGCCCATAGTTCTACCACCAGTAAGTGAGGGACACGAACACATGCCTACCTGCTTCCAAAGCGCTTGCCCTTCCTCACTTTTCCAGCCCAAACTGGGACACAGGAGCAACTTAAGAAAGTAGGCTGGGGGAAAACTTGACCTGATGCAGGAACATATAAATTATATTAAGAAATGCCACAGGTCACACCTCAGTCACAATCACAGGAACGCAAGACCTTTATGCCATGAATCTTCCCTGACCACCAAAATTTAGGAATTAAGAATCTGCTTCTTAGGATTTTTTTTTTTAATCCTGTGCTTGGTCCACAGGAATGGACACTCCCTCCTGGCCAGCTTGCCCACCCTCCAGGCCACAGTTTGCACACTGTTTGTCTCCCCGAGAAGAGCTACCCCTCCCTCCCTGGCTTATGCTGGGCTTTGTGCGAGATGGACCCTGAGATGGTGACTGGTGTATAGGATCCTGATTGGAGGCTGCTGTCAGGAACAATGCCTGTGAGGGAGAAAGGGCTGCAGGATGGGGCAGAGGGAGAAGCTGAACTACAGTGCAGTTGCAACAGAGGCCTCAGTCAACTCCAAGGCAAGTTCTGGGGCTGGGATGGCCCTTCAGAGATGTCCTAAATTGAGGCAAAGGGGTAAGTCCTTGCATAGTCTCCCCCGCCTATAAACCAGTCATTGAATGAGTTGCCCTCCCGGAAGGTGGCAGGGCGCTCCCTTGGACAAGGCAGCTCAGCCAGCTCCTATCAGCTAAGGACAATTCCAAGTGGGCAGCGGTCCCCACCCAAACCTTTGAAGGGGGTAGTTATATGGTGTGCTCCTGAATCCACCATCCCATCCAACAAAACTCCTGCTCATCCTTCAGTTGGCAGCTCAAGCTTGACCCATTCTTTCTGAACTCCTAGCCACTCCCTGAGCCCCTAGACTCGCCACTATTTCCATCCGCAATGATGGCCCTGCTTCAGAAATGTCAGATAACTCCTTACCCTCCATCTCTAGACAGTGAGAAATGGAGATCACCTTTACCACCTGTTCCTGGCACAAAGAAGCCTCCCCTAGGTGCTGAGTAGATGGATGTTGCATGGGAGGTGCCAGCAGGCCCACGGGAATGTTCCAGCTTCCACAATTTCCTCTCTATCAGTGACTCAAAGTGTCTACGTTGTTTCTGCCGATGACATACAAGCACAGAGAAAGCTTGCTCCCACAGCCAACCTGGCAACCTCTCTTGGGCTCAGGCCAAGAAAGTCCTGTCCTTGTTCCCTTCCCTGTCCAGTGTTCTGCTGTAAGTCCACTTCCTAGCTAAGAGGGCCAAGCACATTTAGAAGCCTCCGTGCCAGGGAAAGCCCAATGCCATTGCCAACTGCACTACATCGCCGTTCTTCTGAAGGAAATTACTATTGATCCCACAGCTCTCCTCCCCATGCTGTTTGCCGGGGACAGCCAAGGATTCCCGTGCCAGCTGGGCTCCCACACGGCTCGACTGTTCCTGCACCAGATGGCCAGACCAACACCCTCTGGCTGCCGCACGCTCCCTGGGAGACGAGGCTCTGACGTCTATCAGCCTGGCTTTTTGTGCACAGGGACGCCGGGGTCAGGGATTACAGGGCCAATCACATTACACTAAAAATCTCTGCACAGCGTAAAGATTTCCAAATCCCAGTGGTTATCAGTGTAACCAACAAGGCAGGGAAACTGTTTCTATAGCCTTAACTTTCACTGCTCTTTTCACAAATATCAGTTGAATGCCTCCGTGGTCTGAGGGATGCAATGGTAAACAAGACAGTCCCTACCCTCAAGCTAGTTATAGTCTACTGGGGTATAGGTTAGGTAACCATATCATTTATTGTTCAAACTAGGACACTTTTGAGAAAGTAAAAGGGGTGTTTTTATCGTTAAACCAGGGTAGTAGGCATAAATAAGGAGGTGTTCCAGGCAAACCAGGATGTTTGGGCACCCCAGATAGAGACACAGCATGACCAAAATGGGGGGGAGTTCAGGTCATGGGGGCATAGTACTGTTAGGTGGCGCCACAAGATGGCGCAATTGAAATACTCGTAGCTTTTCTTTGTTTTTGTTTTCTCTCTTGAAAACTAATTTTTCTTTCCATTGCCACAGAGCCAGTAGAACCCTTCCATGGTGTGCTGGAGCCAAAGGGTACTGGTTTGTGAGATCAGATCATCAAATTTTCAGGAATTTTTGCCAATTGGTTACTAAGCATAGCCATTAATAAAAATTAAAAGAAGTAAAATAAAAAATAGAATTATAATTAAAATAATTAAAATTTAAAATGGAGTAAGTCATATTAAAAACAAAGGTAATAAATACTGAAAACTCACACCTTCCTGACTGCTTTGCTACAGTTTACTATTATTTACTCTCATGAGGTTATTTACCCTTTCATGACTGTGTGGTAGAAATACTATGTAAAAGGCAGGGCATGGTGGCTCACACCTGTAATCACAGCACTTTGGAAAGCTGAGGCAGGTGGATCACGAGGTCAGGAGTTCGAGACCAGCCTGGCCAACATAATGAAACCCCCTCTCTACTAAAAATACAAAAATTAGCCAGGTGTGGTGGCGGGCACCTGTAGTCCCAGCTACTCTGGAGGCTGAGGCAGGCGAATCGCTTGAACCCGGGAGGCGGAGGTTGTAGTGAGCTGAGACCACACCATTGCACTCCAGCCTGGGTGAGAGGGTGAGACTCTGTGTCAAAAAAAAAAAGAAAAAAGAAAGAAATACTATGTAATGCTGTGTCCGTGTCTTTTCAACTCCATGGTCAGCACCATCACGTGGGCAGCTTGAGACTGGCTGTGGTGGGAGTATTTGCATCATGGAAATCAGCAGATACTACAAGTCAGGGCTTGGGGGGCAGGGAGCCAGTTGTTAAACATTTACTAGCACATCACCAGAATCATCATTTAAGTTCAATAATTTATGTGGCTGATTTCATGTACTCTGGGCAGTTCTATCACATTCCCCAAAATTATAATGTCCGCTCTCACCCAAAACAACACAGAAAGTTGGGGGAGGAAGGGGTTATGTTCTTCCCATAACCTAATCTGAACACTGAGGAAGGAGGAGCCCACACAGTTTAGTGCTAAGTGCCACAGTGCAGATAGGTGAATCAGGGAGTCCACCGCCAGGGTCTAGACTGCTGTGGAAAGCTTACCCCCAGGGACAGATGCCTAACATTTGCATATTCAAATTGACCAGTGGGGAACTCAGGATATCTTGTCTGTGATTGGTGGGATGACTTAGGGACTGCCCATGGGTACCACTTGTGCTGTGAGTCAGGGCCCCAGTAGCAATGGATGGCAGACTCAGCAAGAGGGTTAACTGACAAGAGTTTGTAAAGGGACTATTTACAGAGTTGTGGGCAGATTACAGAAACCACAAGGGATAGGGAAGTACCCTGGGACTAGCAACAATGGGAAGCTGCCACCACTCCCTGGACTGAGGGAGCCAGGAGTGGGGGCTGTTAGCAGAACCTGGAAAGAGCTGTAGGTGAGGGCTGCTATGGGACGAGGAACGCAGCCACCACCAAAAGGGCAGCCCAGCTGTGGAAATAAATACCCAACCTCTGACTCCTCCTACCTGCCTCCCATTGGCCAAGCCAACCAGAAGCCAGTGGTCAAGGCAGCCCAAGGGATCCAGTCCCCAAGGATCAAGGATCAGCCTCCTGGGCACAGAAAGTGGATGGGGTGAGGGGAGGGCAAATAGATCTGCCCGGCCAATATGGTGCTGCCCCTACCAGTCTGCTGGCTTGAAGAGGATGTGCCAGAGACCACTCACCTGCATGGCTGGCCCAGTAGAACAAACCACAGGCTGGCTGTGGGCCTAGAGGCAGGCAGGCCAGCCGGAGCCTGGCAGAGATATACCAGAGTCAAAGGAGGGCCATCCAAGACCGTCCAGTTGACCTAAACGTGATGTGGAGAGGGATGTGTCTTAGCTACACCTATGTCCAGAATTAAGCCTCTGCACAGGTGTGGATTTTACCTCGAGGCTAATAAAGCTTAAAGTTCAGGGCCTTGACTCGCACAGTCCCCTTCCAAGGCCCTGGTAGGGTCCTAGCAGTTATCATTTGTACCTCTGCACTGTTTTTCTTCAAGAAGGCCCCAAAATTCACGTAACTTTTAGGCCCCCAAACTTGGATCTGACCCTGCAGCTGCATTAAGAAGAGATTGGGCTGCTATTCTGGTTTCTCCTTCCAGGGGGTAAGTTTATCCGCAGGGTACAGGAGGGCAGAAGGGACTGTACCTCCCCACAAGAGGGGTTTTGCCTCCGCTCTGCTTCTCTTGGAGGAGCATTTCCCAAGCTCCTCCTCCTCACCTCGTTCTGGGAGAGGGTTAATAGACGTGGGGGTAGGAGGCCTCTTGGGGCCAAATACTTCTGGAAAGATTGGCGGCCTCTCCACTGCCCCCCACCCACCAACCTCCGGAAGATTCACAATGTACATTAGCATAGTAAAGGCTCCAGATAAAGAAAACGTTTGGCTTTGTTTACTGTGGGGGTTGCCCATACTTCCTGGAGCTTAAGCTGAAAGCGAAAGGATGAGTAGGAGTCAGATAGTTGTAGGAGTCAGATAGTTTTAGGAGTCAGAGGGTTTTAGGCTTGAGGGTACAGCCCCAGCAAAAGCCTCGCAAAGCCCGGAGAACTGGAAGAAATTGCTGCTGGAAGGCAGAGTTTGAGGTGGTGGAGCCGGGAGGGATGGACTAGAGGAGCCCCCCAAGCAGGCCTTTCATCCTGAGGACACCGGGCGACAACGCGCTCAGAGCTCTGAATCAGAGCTTCCCTGAATCACAGGCAGAGCTCCCAGCTCTCTGAAGGCTTGGCATGCTGCTGTTTGCATCCTTCCATCTGTTAGCGATGTTTCAGGCTGGGCAGGCATTGTCCTCATAGAGTTTCTCCCCCATTGTCTCTGCCTCTGCTCACCCCAAAGCTGGCAGAACCACAGCGCCCAGTGGCCTCTGGCTGCAGAGGGCATGAGGACTTCAGGCTGGTTTCCCAGAAACAGGAGGGTTTGTAGATAACCCTGATACCCTATGACCAAAGGCACCGTTCCCAAAACCCCTGCCCATGGAGCTATAGCCTAGTGCTGCCAAGTAAAGTTTGGTTCTGGAAAAAACAATTAGCCTACAGGGGTAGCACTAGCTGTTTCTGAAGTTCTACAGCCCAGGCCACCACTGGGTGCTGGCCTCAGTCCCATGAACCTTCAGCCCTGCCAATGAGAAGAATTCACAGATTTATTGTCTTCTAGAAAGGTTGGGGGACACATTCCTCCATGCCACTCTCTGCTAGTTGAGGGCCTGTCCTTTTTCCCCAGGGAATAGTATCTCCCTGGCCAGAGAGCGAGCGGACCAGGCTTTGCTTTCCAGCCTCACATAACCACCCTCCCGATGCCAAATATGACACATTCTTCAAGCTAATGACCTCTGCCCCCACCTTAAAAATAACAGCCCTCCACTTCATCCATCTTTGGGCTGATGACTGCTTTTTCTCGAGCAGGCACGGACTCTAGCAGTTCCTTTGTTTTCCAGTGATGCTTTTTATCCTCCATCTGATTTCATGTCATCTGTGTCTGTGACTGAGCAGGGCTCCCCCGTCTCCTGGCTCGCCCCGCCCATGCACCTTTGGACGTGAGTCTGGAGAGCCTCTGATTCCATGTACAGATTTGCAGGGCTGGCATTTGCCTCTCACATTGGTGCTCAGAGTGGCCGTGTGAAAAGAGGGCGGTCTGGCCGTGGGACTGACTTCCCAGAGCAACAGGGCAAGCTGGTGAGTAAGAACCAGCCTTTTTGCTGGCAAGGGACCTGGGCAGAGATGGGCCCTAATATACCCAGGAGCAACTTGAAGAATAAATACAAGTCATGAGCAGCATTACTGCCAGAGTGTGACAGCTGGCCACCTAGCCCTAGATGGGTACAGGGGAGTGTGTAGAGCCTGGAACCTTCTGGAATGGGGTAAAGGAGTAGCTGAGGGCTCCTAGCTCCACCCTTGGCTCTTTACATGCTCCTGAACACACAAGGGTCCCGCCTAAAATACCGGAGGGCATGGGAGTCTACGTGTTAGTCCCTGTGGCAATTTGAGTCCTCCAGGTAGAGGACACCAAGAGAGAGTAAGTGTGAGAGATGTATTGGGGGAGATTTTTAAGAAGGATAAAGGGGGGGGGGGGACTTCAGACCGGGAGGCAGCTCTGACCCCTGCAGAAGGAGAGGGGAAGGAAGGAGGGGTGGGTAGGGAGAGCCTCAGCCGGCAGCGCAGCTCTGAGAAAGCCTCAGCCAGGCCGATGGGGAGCCCCAGAGCACAGACTGCCCATCAGAAACTTCCTGTGTCAGGCAGTAATGACCCAGCTCTAGTCCCCCTGCTATGCTCTGTCATCGGGCGGGAACAGCCTGGGGAGGGTGGCCTCAGCAAGAATGCTGCAGCAGATCCCGAAGGTGCCACAGCCAGAGGCTAGCAAACCATGACACTTCTTCCAGAAACTTTTCCGCTGAAGGGAGGTCTGGGCAGTGCCCTTGCATGGCTGCCACTGTCCTTTTGTGTGGGGGTAAGGGGGTATCAGTGAGGGGAACTCTGAACCCTGGTCTCATGACCTCAGTCAAGCTTTTCTCTGTTGTAGCTTCTTAGTGTGTGGATGAGGGGAATGAACTATACCACATCAGTCCCCATCTCTATGGGGATGCTTGACACCCTGGATTCTGGTTATTTCAGTCTTTGAGCTCCTAGAAGGTAGACATGGAATCAAAAAAGATACCGAAGGGCCTCCACCACCAGAGACAGACACATTGCAGTTGGAAAGGGTCCAGAGTCCTTTTCCACTTGCAAGTACAGAAGGGATGTGGGCCTGGCCCAAGACCACTGAGCTATCCAGTCATTGATTCCATTATTCCACAAAGATGTGGTAGCCACCTACTCCGTGCAGATGGCTACTGTGTGCCCAAGGGGGCCATGGGTCTCCTGAGGACCAGACGGGCTTCAGCAGGAAGACCTTGCTGCCCATCTCTCCCACCCAGCCTTGGTGATTCTCAAAACCGAGGGGCAATATTCCAGATCAACCCCACTTGGTCCTGAGGAAGAGAGAAATGGTCAGGGGCGGAGGGTGGGGGAGGTCTCAGGACAAATAATATAATCCCAGTGACTCCCCCGACACTTCCCCTGCACTATCACCTCACAAATACGTGCATTCACACGTGCACACACGCACAACCACACAGCCATCTTTGGCATCATTAATAATTTATCTTTGAAGAAGCCTGTACAGTTTACAAATATTAAAGCATTATCTCACTATTTTAATCACAACGACTGCTTTGGGGTATTCTCGTTCTTTCTGATAATGAAGCTAGGCTCCGAGATCAAACTTCAACAAGGTCAAAGGGATGGCAGGTGGTTCTTAACCTTTGGGACTGTCTCAGATCCCTTTAAGAACTCTCCCCTCGGAAAAATGCATCTACCCAGAATTTTGCCCACTCTTTCAGGGGTTTGCAGTCCCTACTTCAAGCCCTTGCAGGGCTCCGCCTCCCCACCCCAGTCCCGGTGCGGCTGAGTTGGACCCGGCGGCCGCAGGATAAAATCCAGAGAGGAGTCCGTGTGACGGCGCAGCAGGATTAAGAAATCTCCCAGACCAGGATGGGCACAGAAATGGTTAAGGGGGTGGAGGGTTTTGTTTTTCACCTCTGAGGACTCTGTTATGGGTCATTAAGAACACAAGACCGAACGAGCATTCCATTTGCTGGGCCTGCCTCTAGCGCACAGCTCTGCTTCCCGACAAGATAAGTTCTGTGCAGGAAGGAAATCCTGGGCCCAGGGAGGCAGATGGGAAATCACCCCAGATAAGGCGGCTGCTCCGAGTGCTGGAGTCACACAGGGCCTTTCTGCTGCAAGAATGGCACTGCCGAGAGTCTGCGTTTCTTGCCAGCTGAGGAGGAGGAGGCTCTTCGGAGGCGTCTCCTAACACATTGCTGTTCTAGGCAGCTCTGCAAGGGGAACCCCCCAACGGGGGTGCAGCACCGTGCCTCCAAGTGAAGGAGAGGCCCTCGGGTTCCCGGAGTCTGGAGAGGTGGCCTCCAGCGGTGCCCCGGCCGCCTCCGGCTAGGCCCGCACACAGTTTACCCCCACCCAGGCCTCCTGGCACCCCCGCCCCGCATCCACCACCCAGGTGGTACCTGTGCCCGCGCAGGTGAGGAAAAAGGCCTGTGGAAAACATCATTACTGATAAATAACAGTTCCTTTCAGGTTTAATGACACGTTGCATCCATCCTAAATCTCTCAAAAAAAAAAAAAAAGAAGAAGAAAAGAAAAAAAAGAAAGAAAAAGAAAAAAGCCCTCTCGAGGGACTGCGCCTCGCGCCTGTAAATAGGAACGACAGGCCGGGGCGCGCGCCGAGGCGGGCGCACGGCTTGGAGCGGGCGTATAAATTAACCGGGGGCCGCAGAGTGAATACATTGCACGCGGTATTTATTATGCGGCCGGACCTCCGAGGGGTTCTCCGGCTCCCGGACGTGGCAAATCTTGTCCGGAGCGCCGCTGGCCGCGCTGCCAAGGGCTAGGACGAGAGGACCCGTGGCGGGGGGCGGGGGGCTTCTCCTCCAGTCCTCGGGAGCCCCGGGGCAGCCCGCTTACAGCGGCGGCAGCGGGGAGGGTTTAGGCGAGGAGAGACGCGGCCCCGGGCGCCGCTCGGGCTAGGGGCCGGGCGGGGAGGGCGGGGCGGTGGGAGCGGGCGGCGCGCCCGGCCCCTTAGCATTCCGCCGGCGCGCCCGCCATCGCCGCGTGCGCCCCCGCGCCCCGCTGTAATTACCCCGATTACCAAATGAATCTCGCGCTTTTGTGCTCGCCGGGCGGTGGGTGCGGGGAGGCAGTTCTAATAGTTGTCATTAGGGCCGGGGGAGGCGGGGCGCCGGGGGCTGAGGGTGGGAGCGCGGGGGTGGGGGAGGCCCGCCATTCCCTCGCTGGCTCGCTTGTTCGCTGGCGGTCCCAGGCGGCGCGCAGGCCGCTGCTGGCTGCTGAGTAATGATTTTTTTTCTAATTGGAGGCGAACAGCGGCCCTAATGGATGGAGCCGCTCTCGGCGCGTTCGCTGCGCCCGCCCTTCGATCAATACGGCTCGCTGAGACCGCCGGGCCGCGCTCCCCGGCCCTTTGTGGTCAGAGATGCCTCGGGGGCCCCAATCCCCGCCACCACCACCGGCCCCCCATGCTGCCTCAGCCTCGCCCGGGGAGTTCCCAGCCCCGCCACTCCGAGACACCACCCCTCCTCCGGCCTACCCCCACCCCGGACACTCCAACCCCAGGCTCCTTCCCGCACCCCCGCGCCCGAGTTCCCCTCTCGGAACACTCTTACTCCAGCTCCCCCAACACTGCCCCCGCGTGTCCCCGCCGTCCCGAGCCCTCCATCCCTTCTTGTCCTCACACTATGCCCAGTAGCCTGGTCCCCGTGGCCTCTCAGACAGGGTGGGTTAGCAGGGAGGTGTACGGGAGGGCAGACCCGGGATTGCCACCCTCACCCCTTTTCCGTGACCGCGTTTCTGCCAAGCGCCCCAGGCCGGGAGGAGAGCCGGGCACAGGCGACAGCCTCCGAGAGTTTACGCCGGCTGGTCCGGGAAGGGTTCGCTGAGTCCAATTAAATCCCCACGTTCTTTCCTTCTTGAGCCCACTCCATCTCGGACTGGCTCCAACTGGGACCCTCCGGCTTTCTGAAGGTACAGAAACTTGCGAGCACAGACACACTCCCTGGGGGCACCAGTTTCCAAGAAGCCCTCTGGAATGTTTAGCTCAGAAACCGGACAGCATGCACAAGTCCTCCTAGGTCAGGGGTCAAATGTGCCCTCTGTTTTGCAGGCCCTTCGTGCACTGCTTCTAACTAGCTGGTGACCTTGGGCAACGACTCAGTGCCTGAGGGACTCTTTTTCTTACACCTTACAGAAGTTTATCCAGCTCTACAAGCTAGGCGGCTGGGATACAACATTAAAAGGAATGGTCAAACCTTCCCACTCCTTCCTGCAGTTTAGAGACTTTCCTCCTTCCACCCTGCGGAGAGCGGCTCCTGGGAGGCCCAAGCTGCTCCACCTACCCTCCTTCCTTCATCTGCTTACTTTCTGTTGCTGGCTGTGATTCCTGCATAACATTTAGCATCACCTAACATAATAAACACTTGCTTGGTTTTTTTGTTTGTTTTTTGAGACGGAGTTTTGCTCTTGTCGCTCAGGCTGCAGTGCAATGGCGCGATTTCAGCTCACTGCAACCTCCTTCTCCCAGATTCAAGCAATTCTCCTGCCTTGGCTGGGATTACAGGAGCGCCCCCCCACCGCCCCACCACCACCACGCCAGGCTAATTTTTGTATTTGTAGTAGAGATAGGGTTTCTCCATGTTGTCCAGGCTGGTCTCAAACTCCTGACCTCAGGTGATCCACCCACCTTGGCCTCCCAAAGTGCTGAGATTACAGGCGTGAGCCACCGCACCCAGCCAACACTTGCTTGTTTGTTTATTGTGATTCTTCCCCCACTACTATGTCATCTCCACAAGGACTGGGATTTTTATCCATTTTGTATCCTCAGCACCTAAAACAGAGCTTGGAACATAATAGGTATTCAGTAAATATTAGCTGCATGAACAAATTGAAACAATTTGAACCTGGTGAAACCTCTTCCTCTCCTGTCCTGAGAAAGGATAAGACTTTGGCTTTTCACTTCTTGGACTCTGTGGCATATTGTGTTTTCCAAATAATGGCCACAGCAATGTTTCTGGTCCCACATGCTATTCCAGCACCGTGCCTCTACCCCCTTCAAGAGAAGTCTCTTTCCCCTCCACTTGAACCTGGGTGGGTCTTTGTGACTGTCTCCACGAATAGAATGTAGCCACATACATCCTAGTCTAAGTCATAAATGATTACATGGCTTCCTTCTCTCTTTTTCTCTTGGGACTGTCACCCTTGCAACCCATCCACCATGTTGTAAGGGAGCCCAGACCACATGAAGAGGTCAAGTGTAGGTGTTCCAGCCAATAGCCCTAGCTAATGTCCTAGCCACCACCTAGCACCAGCCACCAGATAGGTGAAAGAGCAAGCCTTCAAATGATTCCAATCCCGGCCTTTGAGCCACCCCACTTGATGCCAAGTTGCATCACCATTCAAGCTACCCAGCTGACACTGAGTGAAGCACAAATTATCCCTGCTGAGTACAGCCAAGTAGCAGATTCATGAACAAACTAAATGTTGATATAAGTCACTAAGTTTTGGGGTAGTTTGCTACCCAATAGATAGCTGAATCCCCCATTCCACTGACTTCTCTCCAGTCCTCTATTACCTAGGCACACCACAAACCTCCTTGTCACAGTACACAGAGTGAACTCTCTTCTGAGGCCCTAAGCTCTGTGCTCCATCCCTGCAGCCACCTGTTTGAGGATCCTCAGCTCCCCTGTCCCAGTAGCACAGCCTGGATAAACATCAGCCCACTATAAATCCAACAGGCCCTCCTGCCCTCCTCTAGGCTTGCTCCCAGGAGGCCCAGCCCAGCAGGAGGAAATCACTCAGCCTTGCTAAGCAGTAGCACCACCACCAGCCCTGTGAATCCTGCATCTTCCTGCTCAGCTCTCGACACACAGTTACTTCCCTCATTCTCCACTCAGCTGACTTCAGCCCCACACTCCACTTCACAGAGACCATGACCTCCCCCACCCCAGCATGTTGCCATCACACGTCTGTCCACAGCATCCTGTCTGCCTACCCTCTGGTTCCAGGTGTCTTTCCACCCATCTAAAGGCCAATCCCACTCTTGGGCTCTGGATGCTAGCTGCTCCAACTCTAGGGCAGCGCTGCACAACAGTTGCAGTGATGGAACTGTTCCATCTCTGTGCTGTCCAATAGAATAGCCACTAGCCACCTGTGACTACTGAGCACTTAAAATGTGGTCAGTACCACCAAGGGGATAAATTATTTTATCTTAGTTCATTTAGGTAGCTGAACGCTGCTAGTGGCTACTGTATTGTATAGTGCAACTCCAGAGATTAGTCCTGCCCTCTCCCAGGTCCTCGGCTTCACCCTCCCCATCAGCCATTTACAAGTCCTTCTCTCTCATCTCCTGCTACCTCCCACTCCACCCCCACCCACCCCCACTGCATTTTTCTCTGGTCCTTCACAGCCAAACTTCTTCATGGATTTGTCGCCACTGCCTCTTCTCCCATACCCGCACCTTGTCCACACCCTAGGTCTTTCCGAATGTCGTTTTCTTCCCCACCTTCCCAGCCCCTCCCCACGAAATGAACTCCCCACGTAATGAAATCACCTTAGAAGCTTCAAGGTAAAAAGTTACTTTTTCCAGGAAGCCCTACCGGACACCCCCATCCCAGAAGAGATTGGTTGTCTTTGCCATGTGTCCCTGTGGTGCCCTAAACAATCTCTGGGACTGTACATGTCAGTTTCTTGCCATTGCCTATTTAATTACCAGGCTTCCCTGCAGACTGGTTGTCCCGTGAGGGTAGAAGCCAAGCTCCCATGCCCATCATCACATCCCTGTGCTTGTGCCAGGCACATGATGGGTGGTCAGTAAATATTTGTTGAAGAAATGCCCTAAGGGGGAAACTGTAGCTAAACAAGTAAGTGACAGATGCTTCAGTGGAGGACCCAGTGGGTGGGTGGGAGCACACAGGGGAGTTCGAGGTTGGTAAAGGCCTCACAAAGAAGGTGACATCTGCAGGGGATCTGAAAAGACAAAATGAGTTTGCCAGGTGAGCAAGTCAGGAGATTATTCCGGGGAGAAAGATATCATGAGCAAAAACCCAGACATGCAGTGGCAATGAGCAGGAAGAAATGCAGACTGGGCGGAAGGGGTGAGAGAAGGAGGGCTGCGAGGAACCAGGCTGGGGGCAGAGTGAGGCCCAGAGGAAAGGGGCTTGCCTTGGGGGCCGTGCATTTTATCTTCAACCTGTTGAAGTTGAACCTGTTCAGCTTTGAGGCTTTTTGTTTACCCATTTGCATGAGAAGGGAACTCTGCAAGGAAGCTTGGAAGGGACCACGGTCATCTTGGAGATCCATTGCTCAGATCTCTCTTGCACACAGAACTTTCTACAAGTGCAATTAGTTGACAACCTCCAGCCGTGGGTGCCTTCAGGCTCTGCCTTTTAGGGCAAGGCCATGCACTTCCAGTGACTGAGTATGGCCAATCCAGGCTAGATCACTTCTCTAGGTGATCTTTACGCTAGAACTTCCCCATGGACCTGGCTGAGACTCTCTGAGCTGCACTGAGGGGTGAGGCTTTCCCTACCAGCCCCTCCTTCCTTCCCCTCTCCCTTCATAGGAGTCAGACCTGCTTCCTGGCCTGAAGGCCCTCCCCACCTCCTCCTGCTCCCTCCTCACTTCATCTTCCATAAGCATTTCCCCCAGTAAACCTCTTGCATGTCTAATTCCATCTTAGCATTTGCTTCCTGGAGGACCCAACTGACACAGTACAGAATTACTGACACACACACTTTCCCTTTACTGAGTCCCCTGTTAAATACTTGCCATACATTGTCTCACTAACCCTCCCAGCAGTCCCATAAGGTAGGCACCATTATTATCTTCACTTGACAGATGAGAACAGGGGCTCAGAGAGGACAAATTACTTGCACAAGGTCATACCATCAGGGCTTGATGGAATTCAAAATCAGGCCTAGGCATGCCTGACTCCAAAACTCAGCTGCTCAACTCCTGCACTGTGACCCTTTAGGGACTGGTTGGAACAAAGTTGTCCTGGAGACAGTGGCCAAGCAAATGAGGTGGACTGGAGCACGTCATCTCAAGAGTCCTCCAGGCCTTACTTTTTCCATCTCTGTGGCTTTGGGACATGTAGGCACACACAGGTGCCAGGATTTACCTGTGCCGAGGAACCTGCCTGCCACACTGTGACCAGGCAAGCATTGGATTGAGGGTAAACAGATTAGGATTCCAAAATGGGGGCTTTGGTCAGCACCTGAGTGATCTTAGGCAAATGACGTGGATTCACCAGGAAACTTCATTTCCACAGCTATGGTGATCATCTGATTCCCGTGATGATCTGGTGCCCCTGATGTTTGATGCTCTTCTTTGCCACAGCCTGACTTCCTGTCCAAGATGCCCAAGGCAAAAAGTAGACTTTTTCTCTGCTTGCAAAGTGATTTGTGGTCTCAGCTCAAAAGCCTGAAAACTAATGTTTGCAGCCAGGGGGTTGGAATACCTGAGGACTGCTTAGGTAAACAGTCCTACCAGACTGCCTCTGGAGAAGGTTTTTGGTGGTGAGCAGAGGGGCCCACTCGAGGTCTGCTTGACCTGTGCCTGTACCTGCACCTGTTCACGACGAAGGTGCAGTCTCAGCCCCCTTGGGGAGAGGATGCGGTCATTGGCAGTGCCCCCTCAGCTGCGCGCTGTGGGATCTAACCAGTGATAATGCTGGTAAATGTTTAACTGGCTCTCTGGGGGAAAGTCCTAATTTCTAGTTTTTGCCAATTTCCATAGAGCAAACCCTCCTACTCTAGCCAATTCCAAGCTTCAGACTTGTCATCACTGAACACAGAGGTAGGAAGAGCTGTGCACAGTTGGCTGGGCTCTTGTGCGCTGGAGCCGGCCCCAAAACACCCCTCACTGGGTCTAACCCTGTGGCTGACTGAGGAATGGCTCCTCATGCATGGCCAGAGACTCCTGAGTACACAGGGCCAGGCCAGGGAGCAGAGGAATCAAAAGGATGGGGCAGGGGTTAGGGGCTTCGACTGGCTGGGTTGGGGGCCTGGGAAGAACATGTCACGCCAGATGCCACATCACAGCTCAGCGTGTTGCTGCACAGTCTGGCCCAGCGTGTGTTCATGCATTTGCTCTGTCTCTTTCTAGAGACATTCTAGAACTCAGTGCTTACATCTGGCAGATGCTCACTACATTTCTAATTGAGAAGTGTGTGCGTGCTTAGATCCAGGCCTTTCCCCCAGAGACAATAGAGACAGAGATACCCAGAGAGACTGACTGTAAAGACTGGGCCACAGCCTCGGCAGCTCTGAGCTGTGGCAGGGATTGCAGCGTGGGAGCTGGAGGAGTAGAATCGCTCGGGGAAGAAAGACAAGGTTCCTATTGAGTTAGGATGAGAGGTTCACAAACCAGAAGTGGTTATAGGGGCTCCCCTTCTATAGAGACTCCTTGGAGCAGGACTGAGGCCCCTGGAAGCTAAAGGCCATTGCCTGGCTGCTTGCCCCCAGGCAACCTTCCCCACACCTGCCCCCTCCCCACCTCTGCCTGACTGACCCTAGATCCTTTTTCTTTTTTCTTCCTTTCCTTTGTACAAAAAGGGAAGAGCAAGTCCGGCTCAAACGTGCTACTCTCCAGGAATTGCCGAAACTTACACTGAATGACACCCAAATCCCTTCATGGGCACCTCCGATAACCACCTTGGTGGCCGTTTTTCATACCCATGGCTCATTAGGGTTTCTGGGGCCAGGCCAAGAAATTGCCAAAGACAAGACAAGCAACGCCTGCCTGGAAATTCCGCAGAGCCCACTCCCCTCAGAGGCCCTTCCTGCAGCGTGAGTGAGGGGGTGAGTTGCGCTGAGCTAGAGCCGCGCCTGACAAGTGACACGCCTGATGAGAGACGCGATGACGAGTCCCTGGGGAGGCTGTGGAGTCTGGTTCCTGCAGACACTGTCTCCCCTGAGGCAGTCTCCGCGCTTGAGTGCTGAGTGTGTGGTGTGTGTGTGTGTGTATGCACACACATCTTGCTTCTCCAAAGAAGATTCTCTGAGCTCCACAGCAAGCTTGACAGAGGCCCCCCGAACACTCCTGGGGTCCACGGACATCAAGAACAGGCACGGCAGGCCGGGTGCGGTGGCTCACGCCTGTAATCCCAGCACTTTGGGAGGCCGAGGCAAGCAGATCACTTGAGGTCAGGAGTTCGAGACCAGCCTGGCCAACATGGTGAAACCTGGTCTCTACTAAAAATACAAAAATTAGCTGGGCGTGGTGGTGGGTGCCTGTAATCCCAGCTACTTGGGAGGCTGAGACACAAGAATCACTTGAACCAGGGAGGCAGAGGTTGCAGTGATCCGAGATTGCGCAACTGCACTCTGGCCTGGGTGATAGAGCGAAACTCCATCTCAAAAAAAAAGAAAGAAAAGAAAAAAAAAGAAAAGAAAGAAGGAAAGAACAGGCATGACAAGCCAGCCACAGCCTGCTGAGTTCAGGAGGTCCCTCATGGAGTTGCCCTATCCTCACCTCCCTGTTCCAAGCACATACAGGGATGGATTGATCCCCTTGGGAGCTGCTGAGCCCTGCCTGGTACAGCAAGGGAGGTAAGATCCAGCCTGCAGGTGTGTGATTCGCCTGACTCAGCCCAAACCCAGATCATGCCTGGACCATCAGCCCTGTGCTGGGCACTGGGCCATACAGAAATGAATAAAATAGTCTCTCTCTTCAGAGTGCTTGCAATCTAGGTACTGCAGACTATGTAAGGGTCATATGTTCCAAAGAAGCCAAGGTCACAAGAAAAATTTTTTTTTCCTAGCCCTCCTCTGATATTCCCACCCCCAAAAGCTTTCTGAAGGATGTGGCATGTGATTTTGAAAAATGCCTAGGCTGACAAAAGCCCACAGAGATGGAACAAGAGGAGGAATGTCTTCCAGCAGGGTCTTGTGGTTAAAGTGAAGAGTTCCCTTTGGGGGAAGTGGATGTAATGAATGTGGAAGATGACAAAGAACCAAAGAAGCTCAAGGCAGGACTGTATGTCAAGTATTTGGTCCCCTGGGTTCCCCTCCAGACACCAACAAGCAGCCACCATCTTTTTCTTCATGCTCTGCAGGGAGTGTTACAAAGTCATACATGGTCCCCTTCTTAGATGGATCTGAATGTCTTAGAGTTCCTACCTGTACTGAGCCAAAAGGTGCAGCTCTCTTGCTATTCACCCTGGGGCCTGCAAAAACAAGGCTCATTTCTCTTCCACCAATGACCCTTCAAATATTTGAAATAACTGTGTTTTGCTTTTCTACTCCTGCCTAAGAAGTACCACCAAAACTTAATGGTTTAAAACAACAGTGTGATTATAGCTCACTGCAGCCTCCAATTCCTGTGCTCAAGTGGTCCTCCCACCTCAGCCTCCCAAGTAGATGGGACTACAGGCATGAGCCACCACACTCAGCTTAACAATTGATTCTTTTTCTCACAATTCTACAGGGTCAGTTTGGCTCAGCTGGATGGTTCTTCTGTTCCACGTGGCAGCTGGAGCCATGCAACTGCAGTCAGCTAGGAGTTTGACAGAGTATGGGGCATCCCAGATGGCCTCATTCACATTTTTGGCAGTTGGTGTTACCTATTGACTGAGTTGCTCGTGTTCTCTTCCCCTCGGCCTCTCTCTTCAGTAGCGTAGCCCAGGCTTTTTACATGGCAGTTCTATTCGAGAAAGCAAAGACAGATGCTGCCAGGTCTCTTAAGTCCTAGACTCAGAAGTCACATGGGAACACTTCCATTGCATTCTCTTGGCCAGACCAAGTCACAAGGCCAGCCTGGGCTCAAGGGGAGGGGAAACAGATTCTTGCTTCTTTTTGATGAGGAGAGTGGCATGCATACACAGGGATGGGAGAAATTGCTGGCAACCAGTTTTGCAGACAGTCTGCCAGGAGCTTCCAACAGGTCCAAAGTCCTTTCTTCCAAGCCATCCCTTCCCACTGAACCCATGCTGGTTTGGGTACACCTCTCTTAGGCTTGCTGTAGAGCCTCCTTCAGTATAGTGAGGGGAATCATTTGAGCAGTACGGAATATTGAGGACTTTCAGAGGAGACTTGGGGATATGGGCTGAGGCCAGAGCAAGCTCTAACCTTTAAGGCAGCCCCCAAATTGACTAGGGCCAGAGGAGCGGGGGTGAGGGAGAGAGGCCTCCTGATAGAGGATGTTTAGAGCTCCCCCTTGTCCAAAAAGCCCCTAGGAAAGAAAGCTTTCTGGCTGGTAAAGACTCCAGAAAACCTGTCACACAGCAGAACAAAGTGTTCTTTAAAAACCCTAAAGACTCTCCATGTCCCAGCTGGTCACTTGGAGCAAACACTGCTGGTTAGGGAACTTGTAGTGCTTAGTTGGCAATTAATCACTTGGAGCTCTGTGATGTCCCTCATATTGTCCCGGGTTGTTATTTAACTCTAGCTGTGTTTACGCTGCCAGGCAGAGTAGAGCCTCTAAGACAGACTGCAGACCAGCCTAGAACACCCTCTTCCTGGTGAGAGAGTCTCTCCTCTCTCTCTTTCTGATCATTTTAATGTTCTTCTTTATATTCTTCTGTATTTTTCCATTTTTTTTCTATAATGACTACCTTATACTTTCATAACAAGAGAAAAAGGTTAGGGGAATCCCTGACAAAGATGTTCATTGGAATATTATTTATATTAACAGAAATTTGAGGACAGAATCAATGTCCAGCAATAAGAACATTGCTAAATAAATTATGATGAATCTATGGGGTGCAAAATTCTGAAGCCATTTAAAGCGAGGCTCTATAAGAGCATTTAATGATACAGGAAAATGCTCATGGTAGAACATTAGTGAGAAAACAAGCCAGCTTCCAAATTTTTAAAGGGTTTGGTCTAAATTGTGATATATGGTAATATGAAAATAAGAGCTAGTATTTCTTTCTTTCTTTTTTTTTCTTTTTTCTTCTTGGGACGGAGTATCGCTCTGTTGTCCAGGCTGGAGTGCTGTGGCACTATCTCAGCTCACTGCAACCTCCGTCCCCCAGGCTCAAGCGATTCTCTTGCCTCAGCCTACTGAGTAGCTGGGACTATAGGCACATGCTACCACGCCCGGCTGATTTTTTGTGTTTTTAGTAGAGACAGGGTTTCACCATGTTGGCCAGGCTGGTCTTCAACTCCTGACCTCAAGTTATCCACCCACCTCGGCCTCCCAAAGTGCTGGGACTACAGACATGAGCCACCATGCCCAGCTACTTTTTGTATTTTTAGTAGAGATAGGGTTTCATCATGTTGGCCAGACTTGTCTCAAACTCCTGACCTCAAGTGATCTGCCCACCTTGGCCTCCCAAAGTGCTGGGATTACAGGCATGAGCCACCGTGCTTGGCCAAGAGCTAGTATTTATTGAGCACTTACTATGTGCTGTCACTAGCAGGAATCATCTCATTCAGTCAGCACAAAATCCCCATAAGCTACGTACAGTCATCCCTCGGTACCCATGGAAGGATTGGTTCCAGGACCCCCCCACCCGCCCCCACCCCTTGGATAACAAAATCTGGGATGCTCAAGTCTCTCATATAAAATAGTATAGTATTTGCATATAACCTATGCACATTCTCCTGTACACTTTAAATCATCTCTAGATTACTTATAATACCTACTACAGGCAGGGCACAATGGTTCACACCTGTAATCCTAGCACTTTGGGAGGCCAAGGAGGGTGGATCACCTGAGGTCAGGAGTTTGAGACCAGCCTGGGTAACATGGTGAAACCCCGTCTCTACTAAAAATACAAAAATTAGCTGGGCGTGATGGTGCGCTCCGGTAGTTTCAGCTACTCAGGAGGCTGAGGCAGGAGAATCGCTTGAGTCTGGGAGGTCGAGGCTGCAGTGAGCCATGATCATGCCACAACGCTCCACCTCCTGGGGGAGAGAGCAAAATCCTGTCTCAAAAAAAAGTAAATAAATAAATAAAAACAAAATCAAAACAAGAATAAAAGCAAATGGGACCCCTGGCCAGCAAAACTTCACATACTGGATTTAAGGTTTGAAGCCTTCCCTTTGATCCTCAGACCGGCCTTGTTCTCACTCCTGCTGGTCTGCTTCCTGGCTCTCCTCCTGGGAAAGCAGAGGGGTAAGTCCCCTGATTCATCCTTGGCAGCTTTTCATCAGTATTTGACCAGACTTCGAAGGTCCGAAATGACGGCTGGGAGGCGGCTGTTTCCCAAATACAGAGCCATCCTTCCCTCCCTCCCAACCATGTACCGCCCTGGTTTCACTGCTCCAGCATCTGGTGGATACGTTGTCTTATCCCTAACTAAATCATCCACTGCTCTTGGCACGGACCGTGACTTACACACATCTTGCCGTCACCCACGTCACCCATGGCACCTGGTGTCTTGACACAGATAACAGCCTCTGAAAACACACCTACCCATTGGCTGCTCGACACATGGAAGCCCAGAAACAGTGCAGGCAGCTCAGGAGCTTATGGTGGGAGGGAGCCTTGTGCCAGACCCAGACATCCTACCTGGGTGGAAAGGAATGGAGGGAATACAGTACGCCTCAGATGCTAGCCACCAGATGGGCCCGTTAGAGGCTGTTGAAGCAAAAAGTAGTGCCAGAAACTCAATTCTAGCAATAGAACCTGGAGATGGGGCCTTTACATTAGGAGATTATCCACAGACTCACAGACATTCAGTCCAAGCCCCAATGGGATTCACTTTGTCCCTGTGAATGTCAGTCTGTATTTATCAGTTGGTCAACAAATATTTATTGAGGCCAAGGCAGCAAATTATAAGGTACTTGAGTTGGGATAGAGGCTTGTGGGGGTTGGGGAGGGACAGTGGGCCCTCATTTTCCCCACTCACCCTGCCCTTCGCCCAACCACCACATACACACACTTTGGAACTTAGGGACTTAGAGATTGGTTCTTGTAGATCTTGGTGGTTTTCATGAACGGTTTACAGTCTGTTGGACAGAGTGGTATGTGGACCATTGTTCCCTGATTCCTGTCCCCTCCTGTATTTGAATTATTCACCATACTCCTTGGCATTGATCTTGCAGTTTCTTATACATTTCTCCACCCCTTAACTTTGGGCCTGGACCTGTAACTTGCTTTGATCAATGAGGTGTTAGTAGATGGGTGGCAAGCAGAGGTTTGCAACGTGCTTGTGAGGTTGGCCTAGCCCAACCTCTTATGCTTCTGCTGTGTCATGAGAACAGGGCTCAGCTCGACAGCAGGTCCAAGGGGCCGACTCAGGCTTCTCCCCATGGACTTGCCCCCACCTCTGCCTGGCTCTCTGGCTGCTACAGCAAAGGCACCAGGCTAAGTATTCAAACATCAATGGTTTCATTCAATTCACTCAACAGCTCTAGGAGGCAGGGCCCACTTGACAGATGAGAAAACTAGAACACAGTAAAATCACTTGACCAAGGTCACACAGCCAGGAAAAGCCAAGTGAGGATTTGAACTCAGCGGTCGGCTCCAGAACCTTCAAGGTGAGCCTCCTTTGATTTCTCCTGATCCCTGGGAACCTCATCTACCAGTAGGGTCTGGGCTCCCGAGCCAAGTCCAGGCCAAGGGGAACATTCCTTACTTGTGGCAACCTGGTAGTCGTGTCTTATCTTAATCCCTAGCCGGCAAAGACTCTGGAACATTCCTGTTCACTACCACAGCTGCCACCACACTAACCTGCCTCAGAGGCCCCCATGACACCTTCGGCAGGTACCTAGGATTGACCACCTGGGGGGCCCCACTCTCTCTCACACTGGAATTTGAGCCCTCAGGCAAATAATAAGCTGAACATTTTTTCAATCTCCTGCCAGTGCCATGAGCTCCCTCAATTACAGCCACCATTGGCAAGCCCTGGGCCCTTATCTGCAAACCCCTAGGTTCATCACAAGAGTCTCAGAGCAAAGCTTTCTCAGCCAAGAGCTGCAAACATGATGTCCTGAGCTTAAATTAGAAGGCAAGGTCCTCTGGCCAGGTGCAGTGGCTCACACCTGTAATCCCAGCACTTTGGGAGGCAGAAGCAGGCAGATCGCTTGAGCCCAGTAGTTCAAGACTAGCCTGGGCAACATGGCGAAACCCCATCTCTACAAAAAAATACAAAAATTAACTAGGTGAGGTGGTACATGCCTGTAGTCCCAGCTACTTAGGAGGCTGAGGTGGGAGGATCAATTCAGCCCAGGAAGTCGAGGTTGCAGAGAGCCATGATCGTGCCAGCCTAGGTGACAGAGCAAGACCCTGTCTCAAAAAAAGAAAAAAGGAAAGTGAGGTCCCTCTTGTCTATCACCCCTGAAATGTCCCTATAGTTTTCTGACACACATACATTGATACAGATAATGTATACACAGGTGTCATCTTAATTTTGGCCTCAAGGTCTTGAAGGGCTCGGCAGGGCCGTGGGTGTGGGGACTTATTAGTACTGTCCATTATCATTAGAATAGGAGAGTTATTTTAGGCAAACACTAACTCACACTAAGTCCAGAGGCTGGTGAAATAGTCCTTCACCTTTCTCATCAAGTCCTTTAAAGTCTATACAAAGCAGATCTCTGTGAGTTAGCACAGGGTTTAACTCTGAGTAACAAAGACCAGAAATGAAAGTGGCTTAAATGAGTCAAAAGTGTATTTCTCACCCAAATACCCAAGCTAGGTGGTCTGGGGCTGGTGTGGCAGCTGTGGCTGTGCTCCATGAACCCTCAGGGACTATGGCAGGTAGAATTTTCCAGAACTGGCTACAACAGTATCTCCTGTCCCTCACGCTCTTCTGTATCATGAGCTTGATAGCCCACCAGTGGAGAAGGGGCGTCTGATTCCCCTCCTAGGTTGAATCTAAGCCAGCTTGTGACTGTTTCGGCCAATAGAATTTGGTAGAGTGATACTGCAAGATTTTTGGGTGGATCATAAAAGGTCATATGTTCTCCACCTTGTTCACTGGAATATTCTTGCTTGGGGCTCAGAGCCACCATGTAAGAGATCCAACTACCCTGAGGTTACTATGCTGTGATGACATCAAGCCACATGGAGAGGCCATGTATAGGTGCCCTGGTTGACAGTCCTAATCTTTGAGCCATCCTTATTCCAGGCTCCAGATGTGTAAGTGAAGCTGTGTTGGATCTTCCAGACCAGCCATTCAGTCAGCTGAGTACCACTGAGTGACGCCAGTCAACACCACTAGGAACAAAAGCATTGCCCAGCCAAGCCCTGCCCAGAGTCCTTTCCCACAGAATCTATGAGCACAATAAAATGGTTGTTTGGGATTTTTGAGACAGAGGCTCACTCTGTTCCCCCAGGCTGGATTGCAGTAGCATGATCTCGGCTCACTGCAACCTCCGCCTCCCATGTTGAAGTGATTCTTGTGCCTCAGCCTCCCGAGTAGCTGAGACTACAGGTGTGCGCCACCATGCCTGGCTAATTTTTGTATTTTTGGTACAGATGGGGTTTCACCATGTTAACCAAGCTGGTCTCAAACTGGCCTTAAGTGATCTGCCCACCTTAGCTTCCCAAAGTGCTGGGATTACAGGCGTGAGCTATCACGCCCAGCCCTAAAATGGTTGTTTTAAGCCACCAACTCTGCAGTAGTTTGTTACACACCGAAAGTAACTGGGACAGAAATTCTGGTTCCATCCAGCTCATTGTTCTGCCACAGCTAGGAGTGACCTTGTCCTCATTATCCAAAATGGTGTCTGGAGCTTCAGCCATTACATCTGCATTCCAGATGGTAGGATATTGGGAGGGATGAAGGAAAAGGGCAAAGTGTGTGACACAGCTCTCTCTTAAGGAAGTTCCTGGAGGATGCCTCAGGACATGAAATAAAATTGGCTAGTATTTAGTCATGTAGCCATACCTAGCAATAAGAGAAGCTGGGAAACATTGTCTTTATTCCAGATGAGTGTATGCCCAACTAAAAATCAGGGGTTCTATTACATAAGAAGATGAAGAAAATAAACACAACAGTCTGCCACAGCATCCCCAAATGCCCTTGCTCTCTCCCTCCTCTCCCAGAGCCCCCGTATTTATTTATATACACTGTCAGCCTAGCCCAGGGTCCTAACATGAATATCAAGAAGTGAGTATCTAAAAGACAAATGAGTGTTTCTCCAGCTAATACTGAAGATCCCTCTCAAAGCATAATTTCTGATGCTAACAAAGTCTTTCTCTTTTCTTTTCTTTTTTTTTTTTTTTTTTTTTTACAGAGTCTTGCTCTGTCCCCTAGGCTGGAATGCAGTGGCACAATCTTGGCTCACTGCAACCTCCACCTCCTGGGTTCAAGCAATTCTCCTGCCTCAGCCTCCCCAGTAGCTGGGATTACAGGCGAGTGCCACCATGACCAGCTAATTTTTGTATTTTTAGTAGAGACAGGGTTTCACCATGTTGGCCAGGTTGGTCTCCAACTGCTGACCTCAGGTGATCTCCCAAAGTGCTGGGATTACAGGCATGAGCCACCGTGCCCGACCTTGTCTCTTTTCTTTCTAAAGGCCCCTTCCCAGTAAGGATGAGGAAAGATGGTAGGGGTCTGGGGCCAGGGGGAATAGGGATCCTGGCCAGCCCCATATATTAATTAATGAAGCAACTGTTAGTGTGTCCAACACTGGCTCCTCTAATCCTTGCCCTAAAACATGGCACTACGATTACATTCAGTTAGCAGATGGGGGAAAAAAACAGACTCAGAAAGCTTAAGTGACTCACCCCAAGTCACACAGCTAGAAGTGGCAAGGACAGCAGGGCTGGTGTGGCAGCTGTCACAGCTCACCCCTGAGCACAAGGTCAGGTGCCAAGTTCCTGGTGGTGGCTCTTTAAACAGCAAGTCCCAGCATGTCCCCTGTCACCGGGTCTGCCTGTGGTCTGCAGCCTCCCTTGTGGAGACCCTGCTTGTCTGTCTTCCCTGCACCCACAGGAACAGGATCGTTTGTGAGCATGCCTGAGGGAAGCCAGGGTTGTGTTAAACTGTGGCTACAGCCGAGACCCGTGGACATTGTTCTCTTTCAGTTTGGAACTGGGCCTCACTCCAGAGCTCGGTGCCTGAGCCTGAGCCTCCACTCAGAGACAAGCTCATCAGCTGCAAGACAGTCAGGGAGGTGCAGGCAGCCCCCGCAGCTTGTGAATCAGTGAGTGAGCTTAGATATATAAAGAACCCCGGCAAATGATGAAAAACTTCTGCAGATGGCTGGTGGTGATGGTAGCACAATGTGAATGTACTGAATGCCACTCAACTGTACGTTTAAAAATGGTTAAAATGGTAAATGCTATGTTATGCATATTTTATCACAATAAAAAAACACCCCAAAACTTAGTGGCTTAAAAGAGCAATCATTTATCAGCCCATGATTCTGCAGATCTGCAATTTGGGCTGGGCTGGGTTGGGCAGTTCTTCTGCTGGACTCACCTGTGACCAGCTGGCAGGTCACCTGGGAACCGAATGGTCTAGGATGGCCTCATGCAGTGTGTCTGGTGGTTGGTGCTGGTTGTCAGCTGGGTGGCAGTGGTGACTGGGCCACATACCTCCACCTGCCTAACCCAGGCACATTCACATGTTGGCAGTTGTAAGGGTCCCAAGAACAGCGTGAGAGGGCAAATCTCAATGCACAAGCACTTTTCAAACCTCTGCTAATCATGGTTGATGGTGTCCCATTGGCCAAAGCAAGTCACCTGGCCAAACCCACAGTCAGTGTGGGAGGGAACTACACCAGGGACTGAATCCAAGGAGGTGTGAGCAAATGGAGTCACTACCACCAGTCACACAACTTGTCCATGAGTTATTGTTGCAACTATCAAGCCTGGGTGACTACACAGGTGCATTAATTTTCAAAACAGAAAAGAAAGCTGGTTGCCCAAATCAGCATCTACTTTAGCCATTGAAGACACGAGATGGCCCCAGGCAGGAGTGCAGTTTTCAAAAATGAAGGGAACATTCTAGCATGACGTCGTCTCTTGGAGATCCAGAACAGAACCCACATCCCCAGCTCTTGGGGCTTTCTGTGAAGTTTCGGAGAGCAAGCAGGGTGCCCCCAGCTCTTCCTGGTTGGTGGAAGCGCCAGCCTCTCCAAGTGCATCCACTTCTTAAAGGCAAATCGTGATTCCCAGGCCCTGCCCCATCAACACAGATATGCTAAAAGCAGGGTTTGAACTAGAGATGGGTGGTGAGAACCAGGCCAAAAAATGACTCCTTCCGCAGTGTACTGGATTTCCTTTCTGCCCTGTCCCCGGATAGAGCCCCAGAGGAGAACGGCTGTTTGCTTTCTTTCCAAAATGAGCTCAACTTTCCTTTGGGAAGAAGGAGGTGGAGTTGTCCTGCCCCCATTACTGAGCAAATCAAGAATGGAGGGCCAGCCTCTATACCCCGCCGGCTGACAAGGAGGGCAGCCATACCCACACAAGAGTCAGACAGTCTGGGTGACCCCATCAATCACCCCTGTGTGACCTTGAGCAAGTTACTTAGCCTCACATGGTCTGTTTCCTCATAGAAGTGCAACAACGACAAGATTAACCCCTCTTGAAGGGCCATCATGAGGATCCTATGCCCTAGCTCTTGCATGAGACAGTCCAGAGCACATAGAAGATGCTTACTAGCCACAGCTTGTCTTTTACGGTGGCTCTCTCCCAAGCCACAGGAGAAGAAAGCTTCTATGAGCTAGGCCAGGGTAACAGACCAACAAGGTCATTTGCAAACCCACATCTGGGCAGCAAATCTCACAGCCCTCCTTTCATCCAAAGGGCTTGATCATGGCAGCGGTGCTTCCACCCCCCTGACGCAAGAGAGACTCCCTCTGCCTTCCCCCGAAGCCATCACTAAGTCTCCACCTAACATTGTGTAAGGATGTCCCAACCATCCCTCCAAACCCTACTTCCACTGGCTGTGACAGGTGGCCAGACAGGAAGGAGGTATTACCTTGGTGTGAGAGTGGAGGGTTACAAGCTACCTTCAGGGTGCTACCTTGCAGGTTTCAGAAAACAGGCCAAGCCGCAACCCCATACACCACCTCTCCAGCATGCGGAAGCCGTGCTGCTGAAAGCATTTTGATTTTCCTCTTCCCTTGGCTTATCCTCTCCCCCTCAAATGCCATCTGCGGGGGAAATAGAAACAAGAGAGCATTTTAAAGACTTCTTGTGGTCTAAAAGCAGCAGTCCTCCAGGATGAAGCATCCTTAGGAAACCAATGACTGATTCTTTCAACCCTATTCCATGAAGCAGAACCCCCAAATCGTCCCCCTCTGATTTTACATCCCCTTGAGTTTGCCAGATTTTACCACCCAGCATCCTCCAGTGTCCCAAGCAGACCCGCAGCACACACCTGATTAAGCAGGTGCCAGACCCCCCCACCCTCACCCCGGGGCAGGTTTTGCGTGTTGACTCTCTCGGAACACTGCCCCTACCTGGTTCAGCTGGTTTATTGCAAGTTAATTGGTCTCATCCCTTCCCACTCCCCAACTCCATCACCCTTGGTTATTTATTGCTATGTACCAGTTACATAATGTTTTCTCTTTCGTTCATGAGGTAACAAAAATGTCTCTGCCTTTTTATTTTTTCTTAGACAGGGCTGGAGGGAGGAAAACAAGGGGTGACCCAGAAGTCTGCATGTCACCCTGGCCCTGAGGAACACTTAGAGATTCCCTCGCTTGGGTTCTGCCCCAGAGGATGGAAGAGATGAACTGCCACCTTTACCAGTCAAGCTGAGAAGGCTGCAGGCCCTCTGAGGTTCTGGGTGGGCTCCCGGCCTCCCCCTGGCTAGGGAAATATGGCCATTGGTAAACTGGGGAGAGAGGTACATGGACACAGGGCTGGGGTGAGGGGGCAGTAAAGGACCCTGATAAATCTGTCCTGGCTTTAAAGCTCCAAATAGGAGCTTGCCTTCATGGGCTCCTTCCTCCAGGTTCAGAAACCTGGACAAATAGCTCCCCACTTCCCAGGGTCAATGACCAAATCTGGATGGAGGGGGAGGGGAGAGCAGGCTGGGGGTGTGGGGGGTGGCGGTGCTGCTACCGCTGCTGCTGCAGCCCCCTGTGTATAAAACTCCCTTTGTATGCAGGTCGCCGGCTGCTCCCCATGCCAGGTGCAGCTGCCAGGATTCTCAATGCGGTTTGAACACAATTTGCCAGTGTTGGTTCAGCTCCGCTGGCTTCCAGTTGGGGGGCCATATGCTGTCTTTAATCTGCCTGTGCAATTCTCACCGATGTCAATAGGCGCGGGCGGGTGGGTGGTTCAAATGGCCCGAGAGCTGGGACTGGGGTGGTGCTCTCCCTGCTGCCAGGCGGCCTAGCTCTCCACCCCACCAAGGACCACCAGCGGGTCCTTGCAGGAGGCCATGGCAGCAGGCGGCAGGGACAGGCAGGGCCCAGTCACTGGCAGCTGCCCCTGTGTTTGGCTATGGCGCGTGGGAGCCTCTCTGTTCGGCCATCCCCAGAGCCATCATTGAGCCTTCCCCTCGACAGAGATCCCTGCCAAGGAAGTCGGCCAGGGAGGTGCCAGCGCTCAGTCCAGACTTCACATTTCCCTCATTCTTTCTTTAATTGGATTTTTGGTCCTGCTGGGCAAAATAAGCTTTCCACTGGCAAAACACTCTTGCCTCTTCGGAACGCGCGGTGGTGCCCGGCGGCTCTAGGCAGATCGTCGCCTGCCTCCCCCACCAACGCATTCATTCCCTCTCCCCAGGGACACAAGAGAGCTTGGCGTGCACACACATGCACTCACACACACACACATCCCCTCTGCCAGGTCCAGGCAAAGTCAGCCTCCCTCCAAGAACTTGATGTAGAGATCTTTGCAAACAGTTACTCTTGCTTACCAGGTCACGATCCCACATGGAATGGCCCGGAGTCGGGTGCTGTGGTTGGAGCTGGGGCTGTTGGGCGGGCATCAGGCCCTGGCCCAGCTGTTGGCTGCCCTCTCCGTGGCTGGGCTGCCCCCTCCCCTTGTAGTTAGTCCCTCCTTCCCTGAAGCCCTGAAAGTCCCAATTCTGTTACTCAGACACAGATTAAGGTGCCAAGAAGCAATCTTCTGTCTTTCCTTGACAATCGGACAGGCAAGCTAGGCCTTCGTGTGTGTTTGGGGTGGAAGTGTGTGGTGGTGGTGGGTTGGGGAAAGGCTGACGGAGGAGCAGGCAAGCAAGCTGGAGTCGGACTGAGAATGTCATTCAGAGAAGTGGCATTTTACTAGCAGCACTCAACATGAGATATTTAGATACTCTTACATCTTGGACTGAGCATTAGGGAAGAAAGGGAGAGGGGGAGGAGAGAGAGGGAGAGTGGAAGAAGGAGGACCAGGAAGGGAGGAGGGGAGAAGAAAAAGAAAGGAAGGAGAAGTGGGGGAGAACAGAGTGGGGAGGATGAAGAGGAAAAGGGGAGGAAGGAGAGGAAGAAGAGGGGAGGAAGGGCAAGAAAGAGCCACCCCCAACTCTCACCCGCCTTTACAAGAGGTGTGTTTTAAATCCTCACAGGCAGCTGTGAGGACCAGCAGAGCTAGCCCCTAGCCTCTCCCAGGTTTAGCCAGGCACGTTAAGGAAACCCTGCATCCCCAGACACTCTCAGAGCTTTCAGTGGCCAAGGGAACCCAGCAGTCCTCTCTCCATCTCTGGGATCCCGCATTCCACACCCCGCCCCCCACCCGCCACTGGCTGGGCCTTCCCATCCAGTGCCTGAGAGTATTACAGACCTCATCCCCGGGTAGTTAAGGTGCCTATTAAAATACACCAAGCTCAGCCCCAACAGCAGGCCAGAAAGCTGCTGATGGTCAAATACATCACAATATTTCAAAGTCCCTGTTAACAAGCACCCATTAAAATTTGACAACCAAGTAGTATCGCAGAAAGCGCTCATTCTGAAAAAAACGTGAGAGCTTTCTGCTGCTTCAGCAAGAGAAGGCTGGTTTACCTGTTCCTTGCATTTTAAGCCCGGGAGCACGAGGCCTTCCTGTCGGGGTGCTGCCTGGTTAAAGGAACACTGGGTGTTTATTCGCCAGGCCACATCTGAACCCGGCTTGTTAATGAGTCTGCTGTTGTAGGCTTGCTGTCGGTCAGCCTGCCTTTTTTTAATCAAAAGATAAAACAAGTCGGTTATCCAGGATTAATGACTCTTAGAGCATCCATATGAGGCTTGTATTTATCTTTTAAAAGAAAACAGAAGGAAGAAAAATGACCAGATTTTGTTTCAGTAAGCAGTTTAAATCTGCTCTGGTAAGTTGAATTCATTCATTCATTAATTCAGTCATGTGTCTGGGAGAAGCCAGCAGGAGCCCCTTCCATCATAAGAACTTCTGACTGTGAAATAAACCCCGAGTAACCAGATTAACTATGAAGTATGTCTCCGTCAGGTTTTAGGCATTAGTTCAAGTGTAATTTCTGTGCATTTCGGCTTATTGCAGCGAGTTGCCCATTCTGGTATTCCAGGCAGCTCTTCAGGAGGAGAAAGGGTCTCTGTTTCCCCTCTCCAGCTTCAAAACAGCTCGTGTATGCAATGACAATATTGCCCAGTGTTGTTTTAACTGGGAATATCAATATTTTAAATAAATTCCCATATGACTCATATAGCTTTGCATAGCACAGAGTGTATGAATGTCTCTTCACCTCTGAACATGCAGAGGTATATATGCACATACCGGCACGTGTGTGCGCACACACACCCATATCACATATACATATATGTGACCATGCAGAGCATATGGCTACCGAAATACTCATTTTAAACAGTTTGAGGGCTTCGTTTACAACATATATTATAAAATTGGTATCTTTTATTTAGCATCCCTAGATACAGTTTGGCCATAAAACACACACACACACACACACACACACACACACACAATATTGGCCTTGCTCTCACTCGAACTGGGCCCTGCTGTTTTCTAAGTTGGCTGTCTTCATACGGGCCTCCTTCTTTTTATTCTCCATCCTTTTCTGAAAGTCTATATGCTCTGGTGTAGGAGAGCTAGTACTCTTGCATGAGGACACTTGAAATCACAGCCAAAAATGTCAAGGCGCTCCTTCTCACATCAGCAACAATGGCACACACTCAGGTTACAATGCGGCCCATTTTGGAAAGTAAATGATGTTTCCGGTGCTGCAGCACATCATTCTCTGGCTTCAAAGAAAGGCAAATACTCATTCTGGAGTAGGCTGGGGATCAAAAACAAATTCAGAAAACCCTGGTGAGGATCTGTCTACTGTAGTTTCACCTCTTTGGGTCTCCTGGCTCTTCCTCACCGGCAACATGGTAGTATTAACATCTGATCTACCGCCCCACTGGGGAGAAAAGGAAATTGGATTTAAAGGAAATGCTTCAAGGGGATTATTTCTGGGTGGGGTAACTAACAGTTCAGTTCCCATGGGAAGGATGTCACGTGGAGGACCTGAAACCTGTGCTGTTGTGCCGAGATTCATGTTCTGACTCCTGTGTTAGGCAGAGAGGCTGTTGGGAGTGGGAATGTGGAGAAGAAATCCTGGTGAGAGGTTCTAGAAGCCTTGTTCTCACTAATAAAATGGTGAAGCCCCAGAAAAGCTTCTAGTCAATTTCACCAGGAGGGAGTTGGAATGCAGATGAGGGGCCATTCAGCAGGCACCGTGCCAACCATTCCTTCTAGTGAGCAAAACTTTCAAAATAGTACAGGGCTTTGCCCACCTGATAGCAATTAATTACAGAGGGAAAACTCATCACTTTACATTGGAGAAAGCTGGCAGACATCATCTTAACCCAATGATGAAGGTAACAAACTGGCATCCTTTTATGGTATTCTTGCCAAACATTCATAATCTGAGTTGAATCATAAGGAAAAATCAGGCAAACTCAAATTGAGAGACATTTTGCAAAATAACTAGCCTGTATGCTTTGAAAACGTCAAGGTCAAGACTCAAGTAAAGACTGAAGAACTAGTCGGGCGCGGTGGCTCAGGCCTGTAATACCAACACTTTGGGAGGCCAAGGTGGACGGATCACCTGAGGTCGGGAGTTTGAGATCGATCTGACCAACATGGAGAAACCCCGTCTCTACCAAAAATACAAAAAAATTAGCCAGGCGTGATGGTGCATGCCTGTAATCCCAGCTACTCGGGAGGCTGTGGCAGGAGAATGGCTTGAACCCGGGAGGTAGAGGTTGTGGTGAGCCGAGATCAGGCTATTGCACTCCAGCCTGGGCAACAAGAGCGAAACTCTGTCTCAAAAACAACAACAACAACAACAACTGAAGAACTGTTCCAGATAAAAGGAAACTAAAAAGACATGACAACGAATTGGATCTTGGGCAGAAATCTTTTTTTTTCTTTGATATAAAAGGATAGTAGTGAGACAACTGAAGAAATGCGAATGTCTGTGCATTAGATAATAGCATTATCGCAATGTTAATTTCCTGATCTTGATAATTGCACCATGGTTATGTAAGAGAATGTCCTTGTTTCTTAAGAAATTTATATTAAAGTATCAGAGGTAAAGGGTCACCGTGTCTGCAACATACTCTCAAATAATTCAGAAATAGACATTTCAGGGTTGGGGGAGAGAGGAATAAAGGCGATTGGTAAAATACTAACCTTTGGAGAATCTGGGTGAAGAGTATATCAGAATTCTTTATACTGTTTTTGCAACTTTTTTGTGAGTCTGAATTTTTTTTTAAGCCAGGGGTTAATAAGTATATAAAGGACTTTGGATTTCTCTTTGGAGCAGCAAGGTAAAAAGGAGCTGGGGAATGGGCTAGAGTCAGACTTGGTGAGTGTGATGACCCACAAGGGTCAGTAGACAGAATGGCCATGACCCAGCGGAGAGGAGACAGGACAGGGCCCTGCCCTGATGCCGATCTCAGCCAAAAGTTGCCCTGGAGTTTTCCGCAATATGCACACTGATGTAGGCTGAGTAAGTGTTCTTTATGGCTCGGTGCCTATCATGGGGCTCAACACTTAGTAGCTGGTGGGTCTGTTTTGTAGCTGAGTGAATGAATGAATAAATGAATGTGATCCTCCCTCCGCATCACACGCCATGGGGCAGTATGCTCCACTGGTCCGACCAGAGCTTTAAAGGGAGGTTTGTGCCTCCATTTACTGGCCCTAGTTGGGTGAGAAGGCTTGAGTGGCAGTGGGAGTCAGGACTCCCTGCATTCATCTGAATGCTTATGTGAGATTCATTATTTAAGCGACAGTGCATCCTCCAAATAAACACGTGTGTCTTTGCAGCTTGCAGCCTGGGAGCTCTATTAAACACACAGCAGCAAAAGGCCCAGGCCCGCGCTGCTGCGTGCAATTTCCAGCCAGCTCGCTATTCTTTTGTCACCGCCTTTTTATTGGTTTTCTCAAAGTGGTTACAATGCTGTTATTGTAAAACCTTCACACCAGAAGAGCGAGACGCAGCAGAGATGGGGGAATGGAGCAATTTCTGCCAGGAGAGCCTGCAGACCCAGGTGGGGGAGGCTCCCTGGCAAAAGTGGGAGGAAGTAGAGTCTTTTCTTTGCTCAGGTCCACTTGACCGGCTAAGAAATCTACCGGGAGCCAGGGCAACCCTTGAATTCCCTGTAGGGTATATGGCCTTGGCGTTTTCTGCTCCTGGGGAGGCCCCTCTGCGAATCTCAGCAGCCCTTCCCCTTCCCAGTCCAGCCAGTTTCTGGGTGCACAACCAGGCCTGGCCCATGGCAGGGGACAGAAGTCACGCTCTTGGGGGCTATGACTTTGCCAGTGTCCCCATTTCTCACCTGCAGGAAGGACTCTTTTTCTCATCCCACTGGGGTATAGGTATTGAAGTATATAATTTGCATGCAATAAAATGTGCAAATTTCAAGTGTATGCCTCGATGACTTTTTACACAACGCAGCTCAAGAAATGGAGCAGCGCTGTCCAATAGAACTTTCTGCAAAGTAGGAAATATTCTCTATCTGTCACATGTGGCTTTTGAGCATTTGAAATGTGGCTAATGCGTCTAAGCAACTGAATTTTTAATTGTACTTCATTTTAATTTCATAATCACGTGTGCCTAGCGGCTACCATATTAAACATAAATATAGAAGATTTCATCATTCCAGAAAGTCATCATTCCAGAAAGTTCCCTTCTGCCCCCTCCAGTCACTCCCCAAGAAGTAACCACTTTTCTGACTTCTATCACCATAGGCCAGAGGTTCTCCACTTGGGCACTGTTGACCTTTGGGGTGGGATGAGTCTTTGTCGTAGAGGACTGTCCTGTGCATTGTAGGATGTTTAACAGCATCCCTGGCCTCTACCCACCAGATGCCAGTAGCACGCGTGCACACACACACACCCCAGTTATAATAACCAAAACTGTCTCCAGACATTGCCAAATGTCCCGCAATGGGGGATGGGAGTTGTGGATTCACCCTTGATCGAGAACCCCTACCCTAAATTAGTTTTTCCTGTTCTTAAACGTCCTATTAATGGAATCATACATTATGTAATTTGTGTCCAGCTCCTTTTGCCCAACATAATGTCTGAGCTTCCTCCATGTTGTTTCGAGTATCTGAAGCTGATTCCTTTTCATTGCTGAGTACTATTCCATTGCCTAGATATACTGCAGTTTGTTTATTCATTGGTCTGTTGATAAACATTTGGGTTGTTTCCAATTTGGGGCTGTTATGCATAAAGTCACTGTGAACATTCATGTACAGATCTTTGTGTGGGTGTAGGTTTTTATTTCAATGCCCAAGAGTGGAATTGCTTGGTCACAGGTACATAGGTATTTAGGTTTATCAGAAACTCTTCTCCAGAGTGGCCATTTTCCACTCCTACTGGCAATGCATGAGAGTTCCTGTTCCCGAGCACCCTTGCCTCTGTCTTTTTAATTTTAGCCATTCTAATGGATTCTAGGGCAACCTAACAAAGCCCACAAAGCCATCCACAGGAGCCAGAGTAAAAGTGCAGCTGTAATAACAAAAGTGTGGCCAGGTGCGATAGTTTACACCTATAATCCCAGTACTTTGAGAGGCCAAGGTGAGAGGATCAATTGAGACCAGGAGTTTGTGACCAACCTGAGCAACGTAGTGAGACCCTGTCTCTACAAAAAATATAAAAAGTAGCCAGGTGTGGGGGCATGTAACTGTAATCTCGGGAGGCTGAGACAGGAGGATTGCCTGAGCCCAGGAGTTTGAGGTTACAGTGAGCTGTGATCATGCCACTGCACTCTAGCTTAGGCGACAGAGCAAGATCAAGGAAAGGAAAGGAATGGAAAGGAGAAAGGAAAGGAGAGGAGAGGAGAGGGGAGGGGAGGGGAGGGGAGGGAAGAAAGGAAAAAGTGTAAGCAGTGGAAGGGAACTTGGAGACCCCCAGCCTTTGGCCTTCATGAGCTCTGAAACCAGGGAGCCAAGTATGCCTTGGAGCCACTCACAGTGGGCAGTAGGGGAGGTAGGTTGCTTCCCAGCAATGTTCTTTCTGCTCCACAGCTTGTTGGAGGGAAGAGGCCTCAACATGACCATCCCACAGGGAAAAAGAAAACACAGACAGGGAGACAGAGTTTGCATCATGAATGAGAATGACAGGAAAAAATGTATTTTATAGGAGACCCTCAACCCCTTCCCACACACACAGACATGCATGCATATGCACACACAGACACACACACACACACACACTCCCCTCCATGAGAGACATGGGACAGCAATTCCTTTGCAAAAGGTGGGGTGATGATGAAGAAGGAGAGAGGGATAAGAAGGGTTACTCAGCTGTCACATGGGGAGTTCAAAATGGTTTGGCTAAGGACTTACCAAGTTTTGGAGGGCATGCCCTGCACATGTTGTAAATTAGACACTAGAAGATGGGAAATCTGTCAAGGAAATAAATCCCGACCCCTACCTCGGTGAAGCTCCTGGTCTAATTTTCGATGGAAAATAAATAGTGCAACTCCGAAGTTGGAGATAATATAATGCCACCAGGACCTGGACACAGAGAGCTGCCTGTGTCAGGACTGACAGAGTGTGACAGGTTAATCCAGAGGGGCTTACCAGAGGAAGTCAGGAATCTGAAGGAGAGAAGCGCCCGGAATTAACCACGAGACAGAGGAAGCGCCCCACCATCCTAATAAGGATAGTGTCTTAACATGTTCTTCTGTTTGGTGCCGTTTCAGAGGGCCTTGTTAGCTGCAGTGTTCCCCTAAATCTCGGGGAAATGTTATTTCCTCCTCCAAAACACTAACTTATTTTTAAAATAATAAGGAAACTCCCAGTGATAAAGCAATCTATCTCTGTTACTAAAGTAAGTGTAGGAAGGTCCCTGCCAATGTTATCCCGTAGAGGTCAGGGTTAGTGGTAACGAACAGGGTGTGCTCTGAGGATGACGTCACCTGTTCCATCAATCACTTGGGAAGAAAACGTCTGGAAGTGGAAAGTGGCCCTACTGGTGTTCAGAAAGTGGACCTTAGCCAACTGAGAGAGAACATGGATCTAGATCTCTTGTGCCAGGACATCTTGAAGCTGGAATATATATATATATATATATATATTTTTAGACAGAGTCTTGCTCTGTTGCCCAGGCTGGAGTGCAGTGGCGTGATCTTGGCTCACTGCAACTTCCTCCTCCCAGGTTCAAGCGATTCTCCTGCCTCAGCCTCCCCAGTAGCTGGGATTACAGGCATGAGCCACTACTCCCAACTAATTTTTGTGTCTTTTTTTTTTTTTTTTACTAGAGATGGGGTTTTACCATGTTGGCCAGGCTGGTCTCGAACTCCTGACCTCAAGTGATCTGCCCACCTCGGCCTCCCAAAGTGCTGGGATCACAGGTGTGAGCCTTTAGGGGCACTCACCAGTGGTAGGGCTCAAAGTTAGCATCTGCTTGAGGAGAAGAGATGTCAGTTAGCCAGGAACTCGTAGCAGGAGGGACGTCAAACTGAAGATGAGTCAACTCTAAGTTGTGAGCCAAATGCTCCAGGTTCGTGTTTCTCTGTTTATTTTCTCTTTGTCCGCCTCCAAACTATTTATTAAAATGTGAGCTCCACGAAGGGCAAGGGCTTCATCTGTCTTGTTCACAGCTGTATCAGCAGCTAGAAATGTGCCTGGCACATGGCTCACTAAATATTTGGTGAACGGATGAATAACAAGACCTAATTGAATGCTCAGACCTTGGTTCAGCTGAGCTACTCAATAAATCTGGGAAGGCGACTACTACAAAACACAGAAGGCCTGATCAGGGGGTGGCAAAGAAACTCGAAGCACCTATGAAGCCGCTGTGACAGTCTCAGGGAGACCAGAGCGAGGAGCCCAGGGAAAAGGTGACTTCTCTAAAGTTTCAAGTGCCAGCCGTGTTTTCAGCCTGATATCGTTTGGATGTTTGTCCTCTCCAAATCTCATGTTGAAATGTGATCCCCACTGTTGGAGGTGGGGCCTGGTGGGAGGTGATTGGATCATGGGAATAGCCCCTCGTGAATGGTGTAGCGCCATCCCTTCAGTGATAAGTGAGTTCTCGCTCAGTTAGTTCATGCAAGATGTGGTTGCTTAGGCCAGGCAGGGTGGCTCACGCCTGTAATCCCAGCACTTTAGGAGGCCGAGGCGGGTGGATCACGATGTCAGGAGTTCGAGACTAGCCTGACCAACATGGTGAAACCCTGCCTCTACTAAAAATACAAAAATTAGCCGGGCATGGTGGCACGCGCCTGTAATCGCAGCTACTCAGGAGCCTGAGGCAGGAGAATCGCTTGAACCTGGGAGGTGGAGGTTGCAGTGAGCCGAGATCACGCTGCTGCACTCCAGCCTGGGCAACAGAGCAGGACTCCATCTAAAAAAAAAAAAAAATCTGGTTGTTTAAAAGTGTGTGGCTGCCTCCCCTCCCTCTCTCTTGCTCTCACTCTCAACATGTGAAACATTGGCTCCCCTTCGTCTTCCACCATGATTGTAAGCTCCCTGAGGCCCTCATCGGAAGCAGATGCCAGCACCATGCTTCCTGTACAACCTGCAGAATCAAGAGCCAATGAAACCTCTTTTCTTTATAAATTCCCCAATCTCAGGTATTTCTTTATACTGACACAAAAACAGCCCAATTCACAGCCTGTCTGCATTGACTCCACTTCTATCACCAGCCGCTGGGAGAGGTGGGTCCTGTTTTACTGAACAGTGTCCCTAACATGGCCGCCCTTCCTTGTATAGGCCCCAGAACCTTCCAGGGTTAAACAAAAGCAGGTTTCCAGGATGGAAAAGCTCCAGGCAGACATGAGACGCTAAACACCCAAACTTTCCTCCTGGAATTCCCCTTCCTCTTGCAGTTTGTACCTTGATACCAAAGGTCACCCCTAGGAGAAAACACCCTTCATGACTAGTCCTTCAAAGGACAGAGTCCTTTTCTTTGTTTCACCTTAGCAGAGTCGAGACAGGCAGATAAAAATGTCTTGCTTTGTTAAAGAATGAAGGAGGAGCAGAAACATAAGGGGCATAAAATCATGTTCATGAGTGAGGCACGTCTGGACACACAGGGGCAACTTTGATTCCAGACCTGCCTCCCGGAGTCAGATAAGGGAGCTGAAGTGCCAGCCAGTGGCCTCAGCTTTCTTAAGTCCTCCTACTCCAGCTTTGGACAAGCCAATGCCATCTTCCTCCAAGAGGCAGGCACCATCTCTTTTCCAGGGCCTGCGGGGAGCAGTTCCCCTCTCCTTCTGCCTCAAGGATGGCACCTCCCAGCTTCCCTAATCTCTCCCCCTTAGTGTGGGGGTGCAGCTAGTCTGTGGATGATTTGCAGGACAGTGGTGGTTGACAGCCAGCAAATAATAGAGCTCCCTGGGTCTGTGTTATCTAATCCACCTACCCCTGGAGCTTCCCTTAGCAACTCACTCCGGAAGCACCCCTCCCCCCACACCATCTGGAAGTGGTTTCAGAAAAACCTACTCATTATTGTTAAAAAGCAACATGTAGGCTTTTGCAAGATACAGTTACAACAGCAGCCCCTAGATTGTAAGTTCCCGGAAGGTAGGGATCTTTCCCTTGTTTGCTACTGTGTAACCATCACCTGGCACATAGTAGGAACTTGATAAATGACTTTCAAATAAATGCAGAATTAATAAACTCACAATCAAGGTCTTCCAATTATTTCTGC
This sequence comes from Homo sapiens, assembly GCF_000001405.40. NCBI lineage: Eukaryota > Metazoa > Chordata > Mammalia > Primates > Hominidae > Homo > Homo sapiens. Next base: position 39,851,201 of record NC_000023.11, read on the forward strand.
ATAACAAATTACTCCAAAATTTAGCAGCTTAACAACGGTTTTATTATGCTCGAAGTTTCCATAAGTCAGGAATTTGGACGGGCCAAAGCATTGTGGATCTCTCTGCTCCACAATGTCTGGGGTCTCAGTTGAGAAGACTTGAAAAGAGCTGGGGGCTGGAATCATCCAGAAGCTTCTTCATTCACACATCTGGTACTTAGGCTGAAATGACTTGGAGACTGGGCTCAGTTGGGACTATGGATCTCTGCACCTATGTGTTGTCCCTTCATATTAATTGGGCCTCCTCTCAGCATGGCCGGCTGAGGGTAGTCAGAGTTCTTACATGACAGCTATTCAGGGCTTCAGGGCAGAAGCTGTGTGGCCTTTTATGACCTAGCCCTTTCATTCTCTTAGTTGAAGCTGTCACCAGCGTATCCAGATTCAAGGAGAGAAGGACCCCGCTTCTCATTGGAAGGAGTGTCAGGAAACTTTGGGGTCATGTTTTTGAACCACCCCAAAGGGTGAAAGATTAGAAAGCTCTAATGATGTTACATTCATTCCTTCAACAGAATTTACGTTGAGCATCTACCACATGTTAAGCTCTGGGTTGAGTGATGTGCAGGGATTTAGTGGTGAACAAAATAGACATTGTCTCTGCCCTCATTAAACAAATAGATACACAAACAAATGCATAATTACATATCATGATGAGTGCTATTAAGCTGGGGGTGGGGAGTGCCCTGAGAAAGAACAGGGAGACTTAATTTAGATTGCAAATGTCTTGCATACAAGGTTTTGTGTGCAAGCAGTTTCTTTGGGAGGTGATTCCAGGAAGCATCAGTAGGGCAATGAGGACATGGAGAGAGAGCCAGGGGGGCAGTCAGAGGCCGTATTGATAAGTAGGCTCCCACCCATTTGTCCGCATTTGTTGGGGCAAATGGGGCTGGGTCCTGCAGGATACCCCTGGTTGACAGTGTGGAACACACCTCAGATCATCCCTCCTGAAGGATGAGGAGGCTGGAGCATTTACTTACGGAATCCTAACAGTCAGAGTTGAGGGTGTTAGGGAGGGCTGCCCACTCACGCAGCCAAAGAGAGCCTCAGGCAAAGGACACCAAGTGCTGGCAGAAGCAGCCAAGAGAATGGGGAAGGAGCCTGCCCAGGGGTCAGGGAAGCCCTCCATGAACAAGTGATCTTCTTAAAGAAGGAGTTCAAGGGTCAAGAAGTTAGGATTTCTAGATGGTTCATAGATTTTTCTGTGTTATATGTGGATTTTCACCAAATGCAACCCTAATGCCAGCACTTAGCACAGTGCCTTAGATAGTAATATGGTTTTGGTTTTCTTCCTGTGTAATGATTGTCCCCACTGACCACCCTGCCCCCACCTGCCCCTCTCCTTTGTGACTAATGGAAAACATTGGCAAAATTGCCCACAGGCAGGGAGGCAGGTAGGCAAGGTGGGGAGAGAGTTTTCCCTTTGTGTGAGTTAACTGCCCGGAGTTGCGGGCGTCACACCCCACCACTCTGACCTCAGCTGAGCTTAGTGAGGCAGAGAGGCTAGCCTAGCTTAAGCTGTCACTAAACAATTCTTGGGGGAGATCTTTCATGCCTAGTCAGTTCCTCAGGAGGGGAGTCTGTGTAGAGAAATCCAGTGAGCAGTACCCTTGTTGAGGGATGGTCACATTAGCCAGACACATGGCTCTCTGGTCCCGGCAACCTGAGAGAGATTCCCAGAGACCCCTCGCAGTTCCTCAGCACAAGCTTTGCAACAAGCTTTGCAACACCAGACTCCACGGAACAGCAGGTCTGCGGTGAACTGGAAGAGACGCTACGAAAACACTAATCAGCCACCGCAACTGGGGGGAAAAAAATCAGTGAGCAACTGGAAAAAAAGCATTTTTACAAAGACAGTATAATACTCTTTCATTTTCAAATAGCTAAATAGAATTTCTGTATAATTTTCAAACAGTGTTTGTCTTAATGACTCTTTGAAAGCCTCCTTTTTCCAATTTGACTGCTACTGAATACCAAGTAGATGCCATGCCCTGGGTGAAGCATTTTTTGTAAGGTAAAAATCATAATAATGACTGCCTGTGTAGTGACTTTCAGCGCTTGACACAGTGCGTAGCTAAAGCAGGAACATGGTCCCTAGCCACTTGTCGACATATCTCTTTTTTGTGCACTCTCCTGCCTTTGGATTCTCAGCTGCTCTCCCACCCATCCCCAGGGCTGGCCTAAGTCACCGTCACCCTGAGGACAGCAAAACAGTATGTGGGGGAGGGGCGGGAGAGGGAGAGGAGGGGGAAGAGAGAAAAAGGGAAGGGGAGAAAGGAGAGGAGACAGAAAAGGGCAGGGGAGAGGGGGGAAGAAAAAAGGGAGAGAATGGAGAAGGGGAACAAAATGGAAAGGGGGGAAGAGGAGGGTGGGGAAGGAGAGGAGAAGGGGAGAGGGATGGAAAAGCAGGCAGAGGAGAAGGGAAAAGAGGAAAGGAGAGAAGGGGGAAAGAGAGAAGAGGAAGGGAGGGGAGGGGAGAGAATTCTTCTGGGATGGAAAAGGCAGGAAGTGAAATTCCTAACCCAGTGATAAATAGAATCCCAGCTGCACCAAGAACAGAGCAGTGGTAAAATCATTCAAACTCTGAATTCCTGACAGTGGAAAATAAACTCATCTTTGCTGGTGAATGGAAATTTAGGGAAGGCAACCGGGTGTGCTCTGGATTCCACAGCCCCATCCCTGGTAGAGGGCACAGAAGCATTGGAGGGTTGAGAAAGGGCAACTGGCAGCCTTTGGGCCAAGTTGCTTTAAGTCCAGAGAGGCTGAGAAAAGCAGCTCAATGCTGCAGAAGAGAAGGTGGAAGTTGGAAGTAAGAAAATGAAAGAGCCAGGTGGCCCATGGTGGAGAGGTGCCCAGAGCTGGCGACAGAACCCAAGGAACCCTGGTTCCTGGGGTGACCTTGAGAAAAGACCCGGCCAGTCTTAGACAAGGTGATGAAAGGAAGGAAGAAGGCTACTGAGCTGAAGAGAACAAAAATATTTCCCCAACCCCATCCCGCTGGACAGTGAAGCATCTTCAGGGCCCCTAGCCTGGGTGCCGGACAAAAGACTTGGAGGTACTGGAATATTGGGTCTGTGCCCCAGCCCTATCCGTGCCCAGTGTTGGGCACCCCCAGAGGCTAAGCTTGGCCAAAAGCTCCTCAGGCTTCCTCATCCCACTTGTTCATGGGATGGTTCCACCCATATGAAGAGTAAGGCCTGGGTGGTGCCTCTCCTCCTGACTCCAGCCTCCTTCCCCGGCCCCAGTCCCATCCATACAGGGGTGCTGGCCTGGCCCCCTCTGGTGGGAGGACAGATAAGCAAAGGGGTGGTGGGGACACTCTAGATGCTTCACCCACATCCCCTCGGGCTCCTTCCCCCACCCCATATAGCTTCCCCTCTCCTAATTCCCACAGCCTGTGCCTGGGACTCTTTGCAGGCCCGCCCGGGGCACATCCCCCTCAGAGCCAGAAGTACCCAGGAGTTTCAATCCCCACACTCACGGTAGCTCCTAGCTGGTGCAAGGGAGCATGCAGGTACAGTGCTCTTGCCTGGAGTCAGGACAGGCTCTGAGTTGACACTTGCCCTCCAGAGCTCCTCCTTTGGGAGGTCATGAGGTCATGAGGATGGAGCCCTCATGAAGGGGGTCAGTGCCCTTATAAAAAGCGACCCCAGAGAGCTCTCTCTCCCTGTCTCTGCCATGTGAGGGCACAAGGAAAAGTTGGCAATCTACAGCCCAGAAGAGGGCCCTCCCCCAAACCCGACCGTGCTGGTACCCTGATCTCGGCCTCTCAGCCTCCAGAACCATGAGAAGTACGTGTCTGTGGTTTATCAGCCCCCCCGCGTGTGGTACCGTGTTACAGCAGCCTGGATGGACTAAGACCCTTCTGCAGAGGGACTTTGTCTGAAACTGGCTTCCTCCCCTTCTTGGTCCTGCCCTTCCATACCCTTCCGTGTTTCTTGGGAGCACTTCCTTAATAAATTGCTTCCACACGAATCCGCGTCTCAGAAGCTGCTTCTGAGAAAACCGAAGTGATGGGGCCCCTGGGCTGCACAGTAATAACAGTTGTTACAGACGGCACCTCCTCCAACCCTCAGAACCAGACGGCCACAATGGTATTGACTGCATTGCACAGAGGAGGAAACGGAAACCCAGAGAGCAGAAGGGACTTGCCCAGGATGGTGGAGTTGGTGAGCAGAGCAGCCTACATTAAACCCAGCTCCAAAGCCAGCCCTGGGTCTTTGATGCCCCACAGAAAATACATGGGAGGAGCCCTGCAGCTCCTGAAAGGAGCTAACATCTCCCAAGCCCCACTTCCAGGGGCAATCTGGGGCCAGCCAGGTACTTAGATGGACAGATGACCAAGGAGAGACCACTCAAGCCCTCAGTTTGAGAATGCATTCCTCTGCGTTCACAGGCTTACCTGGAGCCAGTTCCCCAAAGCCCCACTGGACTTTTTAAGCCCCCAGAGGCCTTCAGACAGGAACCCACTGAGTCTTCAAACCCCCAATCTCCATGGGGTTAAAACAATCCCCAAAAGGCAGGACTTACTAGGAGTCGTTCAGAAACTGGCAAAAGCACCCTCTGAATAAATGTTCAGGGTTCCATCCGGAGACGCCCACGGTGACTGATGAGTCATCAGATAGCCAGCTGTCGCCACAGAGTGCTATATATAGAAGCTGGAGGGGTGCCTGGTACCTAAAGAAAGGGGAGGAGCACACACCTAGTAGGTGGGGTCTCAGCTGGGAGGCAGGCCTAGAGCACCTGGAAACTGCACCCTCAGCTCCCTCTGCCCCCCCAGCAAAACAGAATCTGGGTCAGCAATTCCCCGGCACAGAATGCCGCGTGAACTGGAAGCAAGCAGCAACAGGGCCGGACGTGGGCCATGCCAGTGCATTCATGATGATTACTGCTAATGATGGTAATGGGAGAATAATGGCTCAGTGAACTTCCCGCACATCACCTCGTCGTCTTCCCATCAGACATACACACTGAGGACGCGCTTGTATTGCTGCCATTTAGACAGCCGAAACAGAACTTCCAGACCTCAGGCTTGGTAGGCTGGGCCTGTGCTGTCCAGGACAGGGGCCACTAGCCACATGTTTCTACTGAACACTTGAAATGTGGCCCGGCCAAATTGAGATCCTCTGTCAGCATAGAATGCACACCAGACTTTGAAGATTTAGTTTCAAGAAAAGAATGTCAAATACCTTGTCAATAATTTTTTCCTGGTTTCATATTGAAATGATAATATTTTAGATACATCGGGTTGATCAAAATATATGATTAAGTCAATTTCACCTGTTCCTTTTTACCTTTTTAATGTGGCTTCTCGAACATTAAAATTATTAATACATATGTGGCTCACATTTGTGGCTTGCATTATATTTCTATTGGACAGTGCCGGGTTGCAGGCTGGAGGCCAGAACCTTCAGGAAATCCTGGCTATGCCCTCTCCTGACAAATAAAGCCTGCTTCCTGGTTCAAGGCTGAGAGAGGCCAGGGCTGCTCTCCAGACAATGCCAGTGGCCAGCTGCAGCTCCATGTACCGATCACAGAAGGTCCAGGTGACGCACAAAAGCCCCTGAGGGTCTGTGAACCCCAAACTTGTCCCTTATATCTTCTGAAAATGCACAGCTTTCCGGGGGAAAGATGATGAATTCTCCCTGGCCCTGTCTTCTGCCTTCCCCACTTAACCCCCAAGAGAGCTCCATGCTGTGTGATTGCATAATGAGGCCATGGAATAAGGCCACTTCACAAATGAAGCAGCTCTTTCCCTCACATATGCAAACAGCAGAGAGAGGCAAAGGAAAGTAGGGAGATGAGAAACAGAATGAGAAATGCAGACGAGACAGGCAATTCACACCAAGAGAGAGAAACTGTATCCCAGAGACAGACACACAATGTCACACACACTCTGCTCACTGACACCTGGGGGGAGGGGGAGAAGGGTGTGTGTGTGCACGTGTGTGGCGTGTTCATGTGCATGCATGCATGTGTGTGGAGCTAGAGAGCACTAGAGGCCGGGCACGGTGGCTCATGCCTGTAATCCCAGCACTTTGGGAGGCCGAGGTGGGCGGATCACCTGAGGTCAGGAGTTTGAGACCAGCCTGCCCAGCATGGTGAAACCCTGTCTCTACTAAAAATATGAAAATTAGCCAGGTATAGTGGCGTGTGCCTGTAATCCCAGCTACTCGGGAGGCTAAGGCAGGAGAATCGCTTGAACCCGTGAGGCAGAGGTTGCGGTGAACCGAGGTCACGCCACTGCACTCCAGCCTGGGCGACACAGTGAGACTCTTTCTCAAAAAAAAAAAAAAAAAAAACAAAAAAACAAGAGAGCACTAGAGAAAGGTTCTAGAACGAGGCAAATCGAACAGAACAGGGAAGAGATGAGCACAGGAGGCGAAAAGAAATGGAGGTTCGGGGAGTTGACAGCCTCCATTTTGTAGCAAGGCCTGCCCTTTCTTTCTATGTCAGTTTAAATTATTTACATCAGGACAATGGAAAGAATATAGATAGCAAAATAAAAAATGCGTCGGGGCCAGGCAGGCCCAGGATTCATGTGTGGTGGAAACAGAGTCCAGGGAGGAGGAAGGGCTGCCCGCCCTGCACCCAGGAGTGGGCTGGGCTTTGGGTGGCTGCAGTCAGGGCTGCTTTTCCAGTCACTCAGTACCTACATCAAGTCCAGAGTGTTGACAGAGCTGGAGCCAAACTGCACACCCCCAGGGGCAGACCTGGGACATTTAGGGAGCTGTGTGAGTCAGACAAGGCCTGGGGACACCCACAGACCACAACCCCTCTGGGGCCAGGCTGAGGGCTGCCTGGTGTTCGCCTGCTCCCAGAGAGGCTGACACTTTGTGCCAGCCTCCTGCCTATCCTGAGCTGACCCTTCACTGGCAAGTCCAGGGTCCCGTGGGTGACCATCAGTTAATCAAATCAAAGCAGCCTTCTGTGCTGCCAGGACAGGATGGGGAGAGGTTCTCCCTCCCCTTCCTAGGTAATTAGGAAGTGACTTCTGGAGGCCTGGGCCCACCTTGGTCACCTCACCTAAAGGAAGATTCTGTCACAGGGATGCAGGACGAATGTATCAGTCTCCTCAGGCTGCTGCAACAGAAGACCACAAGCTGAGTGGCTTAAACAACGGATATTTATGTTCTCACAGTTCTGATGGCTGGAAGTCCAAGATCAAGGTTTGGTTTCCCCTGAGGCCTCTCTCCTTGGCTTGCACACGGCCACCTTATTGCTGTGTCTTCACACGGTCTTTCCTCTATGCGTATACCCTGCCAGTGTCTCTCGTGGGTCCACATTTTCTTCTAGGGACACCAGTTGTATTGGATTAAGCCCACCCTAATGGCCTCATTTTAACTTAATCACCTCTTTAAAGGCCCTAACTCTAAATATAGCCACATTCTGAGGTCCTGGGAGTTAGGGCTTCCATAGATGAATGGGGTGTGGGGCACAGTTCAACCCATAGCAATGAAGTACCAAGAAAGACAAGGCCAGGTTCACACCAGGATGGGGAGAACAGTTCAGGGCCATGACCCTCTCAACGTCTGATAATCCCACTGTCTCCCTGCCTGTGCTTAGGGCCTCCTCCCAGTAAAGCTTATAGAAACCAGAGGCAACATTTCTGCAGGACAGGGGTTTGGGAGAATGTTGTTCCCATGGCTGGTAGTTGCTGTCTTGCCCAGGAGCAGGAGTTGTGTAGCCCCAAGTCCCAGTTCAATGCCTGGCCCAGCAGGGAAACTCTGATGGGGGCAGAACAGAGGCCATTAGGCAAGGCTCTGTGTCCTTACTCATTTAGAGTCTTATTGTCAATGGAAGTGACTCCAGAATAAATTTGGACTTCATTCACAGAGAGTTGAGGCCCTCGCAGATTTAAAAATAATAAAAGAAAAAGGCCGGGTGCAGTGGTTCATGCCTGTAATTCTAGCACTTTGGGAGGCAGAGGCGGGCGGATCACTTGAGGTCAGGAGTTTGAGACGACCAGCCTGGCCAACATGGTGAAACCCCGTCTCTACTAAAAATACAAAAATTAGCTGGGCATGGTGGCAGGTGCCTGTAGTCCCAGCTACTCGAGAGGCTGAGGCAGGAGAATCGCTTGAACCCAGGAGGTGGGAGCTGCAATGAGCCAAGATCACGCCACTGCACTCTAGCCTGGGCGACAGAGGGAGACTCTGTCTCAAAAAAAAAAAAAGAAAATAAAATAAAAAAGAAGGAAGGAAGGAAGGAAAGAGAGAGAGAGAAAAAGAAAGAAAGAAAGAAAGAAAGAAAGAAAGAAAGAAAGAAAGAAAGAAAGAAAGAAAGAAAGAAAGAAGCCAGGTGCAGTTGCTTACACCTGTAATCCCAGCACTTAAGGAGGCCAAGGCAGGTGGATCACTTGAGGCCAGGAGTTCAAGACCAGCCTGGCCAGCACGGCGAAACTCCATCTCTACTAAAAATACAAAAATTGGCTGGGTGTGGTGGTGGGTGCCTGTAATCCCAGCTACTAGAGAGGCTGAGGCAGGTGAATCGCTTGAACCCAGGAGGTGGAGGTTGCAGTGAGCCGGGATCACACCATTGCACTCCAACCTGGGTGACAGAGCGAGACTCTTTCTCAAAAAAAAATTAAAAAATAAAAATAAAAGTTTAAAAAATATATGACTTCAGCCCCAGGTATAGTCTGGAGGCAACTGCATGAGACAGAGAAAGAGAGAGAGAGAGAGAGACAAAGATACAGACAGACAAAAACAGAGACAGAGAGAAAAAAAAACTAGCTAAGAGCAGTCAACCCCCAGAAGAGTGAGAGATAATAATAACATGGTAGTCGTGTTTTTTGTCACTACGTTTTGGAGTGATTCATTATGCAGCAATAGATAACTGGAACACAGGCCAAAACACAATTGCGTGGGCACACGCACACACACAAGGTACACAAAAATCCTCCTTCACAGGACCTGTTTTGAGGCTCCTGGCAGCCAGCCTAGGTGCTGGTGCTCACGCCACAGACTCTGGGGCCAGCCTGCCAGGATTCACACCCCTTTCCCACCACTTCTTAGCTGTCCAGCCTTGGATGGGGAAACCAACACCTCTGCCTCAGTTTCCTCATCTCTGAACTGGAAACCATACTGGAGCCCTCCATCTGGGATGGCTGGGAGGATTAAATATGCTAACCCACATCAAATGCATGGGGCCATGCCAGGCATGCAGTCGGCACTTGATAACTGTTTGCTGGAATGATATGACTCAACATCTGCCTTTCTGCTTCCTAACAGGTGGGCTGAGAAACACGCCATTTCCGGCAGACACGCCGCTGACCATCTTTTTCCATCACACTGAGGTCACCAGCACAGCCTCACACTTATTTGTTTTGTAAAAATGTCAGCAGCTGGGCCAGGTCCCCTCCCCCAGCCCCTGTGGAAAGTCAGCTCCCTCTCCCTCTGCAGGCGCTTCAGATCTGTCCCTGCCACTGTCATCTCCCGCCTTTGCCTTGCAAACCACAGATTAGCAGAAGACAAAACGCTGGCTAAGGGCTGACCTCAATACCTGCTTTTAAAGTCCCTTGGCCTGGCCCAGCCACAGAGCTGTGGGACACAGGATGAGCAGGAAGCAGACAATAACAGTTGGCTGGGCTTGCAACATCCTCTTGCCTCTCCTTTTGTGGGATGGCTAAATGGTGCAGCTTTTGGGATGCCCTGGTGCCTCCTACGCATGGAGGACCCACTTTCCAGAGGCAACTCCCACAGCCAGGAGGGGACAGGATCATGACAAGGTGCTTGCGGCTTTGCCAAGTCCTCCTCACTGCCCTGGGCTCCCCCAGGGTACCAGCGGAGCCAGAGGCCAGGTTCTTCCCATGAGGAAGCAGGGGGTGGAAGAGAATAAAGTCAGCAGAAGACCCCTTTTCTGTCTAGTCAAGGCCCGCCTGGCCTCCAGAAAGGTCTCCTCTGCCTTTTCCTCTGGGGCAACCCCTTGATTGTGCCCCATACTAAATCCCCTGTCATGGGCATTCACGCTCCTCTGACTTTCCAGCTGTGTCACTTTTGGGGGGGCTATTGCCACCCGTGGGCCCTGTTTCTCACTCTCCATTTGTGGTAACTGGCTGCCTTACCCAGCAACACAACCCTCCCCTCCCCTTTGACCCTCACATCTCCCTCCAGGTGGCCTCTGCCAGACCTAAAGCAGGTGCCCGGGCATCTCCTCTCCAGCCTTGTTGGGCTGCAGGATGCACAGGATTTCGATAAGTTCTCCAGCTCTCTTACGCTAAGTAATCCCTGCCCCAATCCCTTGGGTCACCTTGAAAAACCATTCTTAGTCTCTAATGAACCAATTGGTTCTTTAGAAAAGACACCTGGAACTTTCTTTGCAGCGATGAGCCATGTTTGTCAATGGGAGCACTATTCATATTTGGGCCTGGACAAATCCCCATTGTGTGGGACAGTCCCTCCCCCATTGTTGGATGTTAATTGTCCTTGGCCCCCTGCCTGCTAAACTCCAGTAGCACCCTCTAGTCATTGTGACAGCCAAAAATGCACCCCTATTTCCAAATGCCCCCACCCCCAGGTGGAACAGTCCCTGAATAGGGAAGCACCATTCATCTCAGGATAAAATTCTTTCTCCGCCACAACAATCACCAAGCAGCATCTCCCTGCAGGATCAGTTATGCGCGCTTGATCAGCCCAATCTCCCTCATGTTATGCAACCCAGAGTCAACGCCGCTGCACAAGTCTATTCTGTTTCTGCATTCACAGGCTCATACTGTGAGCAGGGACTCCAAAGTACGCTGAGGAACTCGGTCCCTAAATCTATCCTCTTTATTATAGATTGTGTGTGGGTTGCCCCTGACAGATAATTCTCAGCAAAGCGTTTACTGAGAAATCATTTGTTTAATTTCACACGCCCCCTTCCATCACTGGCATTACTTTAAAAAATAAAAATAAAAGTAAAAGAGCAGCCATTGTTGGAAGAGTTCCATTGGAGCTGTTTGTTTGTCAAGGTCCATTGAGTCAAAATTCCCAGTTTAACTTTGAATGCTCAACGCTTCTGCCCCTAATGTGAGGTTGGTGTTTGTACCTTAAAAAGGGAGGGGAAATTGAGTCTTTGAAAGAAAGAAAAAAGGGAATAAAATAATCCTCCCTCTGTAGTGTCTATACTTTTTAACATAACATGGGAGTGCAACTACCTTTTTACCAAAACACGTCTCCAGCTTGGCGTGAAGTCCCCACATCTGGATCCGCCAGGAGGGAGGAACATCCATTCTGACAGGGACATAGCCTTGCACACACCTGCTGACACTTCTGCATCGCTGTGAGTCTAGCTGTAGTAGCTACATTGGGTCGTTTTCCTTTTTAAAACAATAGTTCTTAACACCAAGAGCTTCTTGCTGGTGTCATAAAATCCCCGTCTCACATTGAAGACCTAATCCTGAAGGTTTTTAAATCTCCCAGAGTCCACTTGTGATGATCTGATGGACCCTAAGGCCTCTCTTCACAGAACAAGACAGACACATGTGTGGACACATAGGGTATGTCCACATGCGTGCACTCACTTCCACAGAACTTTACACATAATCACAAAGCCTCCTAAAGCCTGCCCTCAGGCAGTCAATTAAGAACCCACCGCTGGTTCCACACATGAGGAAATTGAATGTAAAAGCAGCTTTGGTGGTACATACAAATATGATTCAGTTTCATGTGGGAAGGCGACCAACTCTCAAACTGTTCTTCCTGAAACAAGCCACTAGCCTCGTGTAAAGACAATAGCCCCTGTAGATGGAGATGGTGAGAAAAAGCTTCCAGAGACCACTGTCACTCCTGAACACTCCAAATTTATGTGGACTGCTAAGGAGAGAGACCAGAAAGCAAAGCAACCTGGAAAAACTCAAAACCCGTTACCCCAAAGTAAAACAATTCCTGTCGATGGCAGTTCCTGTAGATAACAGCACCACATTGCCTTGCACTTGCACAATGCTTTACCCGGCTCAAACAGCTTTCACCAGCATTATTCAGCAGTCTCACAACTGCTCTGTGAAGTCAGGACCACTATAATTGCCCCCATGTATGGGTTGCAACAAAGGAAGAGGGCTCAAAGAGTGGAAGTGATGCCTGAAAGGACACGTTGGTTGGTAACGGTAGTACTGACTTAGTCTGTTCTGGTTTCTATAACAAAATCCCTTAGACTGGGTAATTTACAAACAACAGAAATTTAGTGGTCACAGTTCTAGAGGCTGGGAAGTCCAAGATCAAGGCATCAGCAGATTCCATGTCTGGTGAGGGTTCTCTGCTTCAGAGATAGTGCCTTTACCCTGAGTCCTCACGTGGCAGAAGGGACAAACAGGCTCCCTCAAGCCTCTTTTATAAAAGCACTCATCCCATTTATGGGAGTGGAACCTTTGTGACCTAATCACCTCCCAAATACCCCACCTCTTAATACCATCACACTGGGGATTCAGTTTCAACATATGAATTTTGGAGGGGCACCAATGTTCAGACTATAGCAGTAGGCAAGCCTCAACACTCAAGTGCTTGTCAAATCATGCTGCATCGCGCTTTTGTGATGTTCTTCTTTTACATGCCATTGCTGATGTTCCATTGGCCAAAGAAAGTCATGAGGCTAAACTCAACATGAGAAGGGACTACCCATGGATGTGGATATCAGGACGTATAACTCATTTGGGGGCCATATTTGTAACCACCTACCACACACACGAGTTAAAGCATCTCCCCTCCCACATAATGACCGAAATATCATCATTTATCTTTCAGACCATTGCCCTCTTTTTGCTTGCGCTTTGAGAAATCAGGCATGGCTTTATTGAATATCCTATGACCCAGCAATTGTATTTCAAGATATACAGCCGAGAGAAACAAGTGCTTGTGCGCACCAAAAGCCCTGCATGCAAATGCACGTAGCAGCTTTATTCACAACAGCCTGAAACTGGAAACAACCTAAATGCCTGTCAACGGGAGAGCAGATAAACTAATCATGGTATACTCATACAATAACACACTATACAGCATTGAAAAAGAACAAATTACTGCTACATATAACAACATGGATGAATATCCCAGATGATATTGAGCAAAAGAAACCAAATTCACGAGAATATGTGTTGTATGATTCTATTTATTTGAGGTTCAAAAACAGATAAATCAGCTGGGCGTGATGGTTCACACCTATAATCCCAGCACTTTGGGAGGCCAAGATGGAAGGATCACTTGAGCCCAGGAGTTTGAGACCAGCTTGGGCAACATAGTGAGACTGTGTCTCTATTAAAAAAAAAAAAAAAAAAAAATTAGCCAGGCATGGTGGCACGAGTCTGTAGTCCCAGCTACTCAGGAGAGTCAGGCAGGAGGATGGCTTGAGCCCAGAAAGTCGAGGCTGCAGTGAGCTGCGATTGCACCACCACACCACTGCACTCCAGCCCAGGTGACCCTGTCTCCAAAAAAACAGACAAATCAAGTCTATGTTGTTACAAGTCAAAATAATGGTTACCTTTGGGGGGATAGAAAGTGGGAGGGGACACAAGGGAGCTTCTGGGACAGGTGCTAGAAATAGTCTCTATGTCAACCTGGGTGACTGTGGGTCTGCACATATGTAAAGAGTCATAGACTTGTACACTTAAGATTGGTGGACTTTACTGTGCTTATAGCTTAACTGTTTTTCAAGTACAACATTAAAAGTAAGAATGGAATTCAGGTGCAGGCTTGGGGCTGGAGCCCAGGCTGCGGGGTCCACCTCGGGCCTCAGGGGCACGTCTGGGAGGGCAGGGCCCAGCGCCCAATTTCGGGAGTTAATTCCAGGCGTTGGTGATTTCCTAGGGATTAACTGGGGCGGAGGGTGCATGCTTTTGGGTGTATCTAGATGAGTGCTTCCTAAATCCTGGGGGCTCCGCACTTTAGTGGAGGCTCCAGCATTTTAGGAGTTACCATCTTAAAATCCACATTTAAGAAGGTATTTTTGGAGTTCTCCAGTCTTAAGGGTTAATCCTGTGGAAACTGACTCCTAAGGGCAAATCCAAGGAGCCTGCGGTTTTGGTATTTAATTCTGAATCCTTATGAGTTACATAAGGAGTGAATCCTGGGTGGGTGACCTTGGGTCTTGGAGAATGATCCTCGCTGAAAGGTGTCTGGGGTGTGAGAGGGGTGATTCTGGTTTAGAGGATGAATTCTGCAGGCCCTGGGAGGCCTTCTAGAGCATATAAATTGAAATAACCCCCGGCTTAGATCTGAGTATGAATTACAGACGGAGTGAGCCTACCAAAAGCAGCCGACCATCTTTCAAAACAAGAAGAAGCTCCTGCTGGGAGAAACTGGCAAGAAGCTCCTGCAGTACTACAGAACATCAATCTGGGCTTCAAGACACCTGAAGAGGCGATTGAGGGCACCTACATTGACAAGAAATGCCCCTTCACTGGTAATGCCTCCATTCGAGGGCGGATCCTCTTTGGCATGGTGACCAAGATGAAGATGCAGAGGACTGTCATCTGCCGAGACTATCTCCACTACACCTGCAAGTACAACCACCTTGAGAAGCACCACAAGAACATGTCCGTAAACCTGTCCCCCTGCTTCAGGGACATCCAGATCAGCGACATCATCACAGTGGGCGAGTGCTGGCCCCTGAGCAAGATGGTACGCTTCAACGTGCTCAAGGTCACCAAGACCACCGGGCACCAAGAAGCAGTTCCAGAAGTTCTGAGGCTGGATGTCTGCCCGCTCCCCACAATGAAATAAAGTTATTTTCTCAGCCCCTCCCCCACCTAAAAAAAAACAGTAAGAATGGGTTTCCTAGTGTGGCTTCTCTAGACAGGGTGGCAGCCTTGGGAGGGTGTCAAGGTGGAGAGTGGGAGGCCCTCAGCCTGGCATCATCTGGCCTGCCCTGTGCCTTCTCCCAAGCCAGCAAGGAAAAGACCTTGCTCCTTGCTTGGGCCCTGAAGAGCTCCACGTGGCACGGTAGTCAGTGCGGGTTACTTTAGACTGGGGCACAGTGGTGATGGCCACACAGGTTCCCCTGTGGGAAATGCTTTGAAGAGCCTTTGTTCCCAAGAGTTGATCAAGGAAACAAGCTGGTAATGAACAGCAGAAATAACAATACTTAATAATGGGCAGAATCAAAATGGATTTCAATCCTGGCAGCTAATTTACCAGGAAACTTATTCCTGAGGCAGGCAGCTCTCTCCCCTCATCAGACTGTAGGATAAACAAGGAAGTGGCAGGACCAGGAGAGGCAGGAGGTGGGAGGAGAGGAGGTGGAGGGAGAGAGGAAGGGGGAAGAAAGAAGGGAGGGAGGAGCAGCGGGGTCTGAATGAGGTCTTTGGAAATGTGCAGAGACGCTGGGGAGTGAGAGTGGGCAGGGGTTAGGAAGGGTAGGAGCCCCCAAATCTCAAAGATGCCTCTCAGAGGCCCTGCAGCTTCCCCGGCCCCCGTGATGGCTGTGAAGCCCAGGGCTCCTCCTCCAGATCTCCAGCTCAGCCCCTCCAACTCTTCAACCCTTGGTACATATCCTCCACTGTTACTGCCTGCCCCCAAGAGCTAAGGAAGGGGGCCTCAAGACCACACAACAATGGAAGGAAACCCCTTGTCAGGGAAGGAAGATTCTAACTGGAGCCCTCAATGCTCCAGAAAGATTATCTTTCCGGTTCCCATTGTAAAGAGAGCAACTCACAATCACCCCACTACCCATAAGCTCTCACTGCCCTTTTCCTCCCCCACCCCCACCCCCCAAACAGGCTGATTTGTTTACCTTTTATCACTCTGTTAAAAAATTAGTTCTTACAGGTCCTTCTCCCAGGATGAGGGCAAAAGACAGCCTGGGCCTCCTCTGTTATTTTAAGGCAAGATATGTCGGCTTGAAGTCTGCTCTGAGATCTTGTGGGGAGGGCGGCAGGGCTTGTTATATGAGGGTCAAGTCAATAATAAGACCTGCTGGCCAGGCGCGGTGGCTCTCGCCTGTAATCCCAGCACTTTAGGAGACCAAGGCAGGTGGATCACCTGAGGTCAGGAGTTCGAGACCAGCCTGGCCAACGTGGTGAAACCGTCTCTACTAAAAATACAAAAACTAGCCGGATGTGGTTGCACGTGTCTGTAGTCCCAGCTACTCGGGAGGCTGAGGCAGGAGAATTGCTTGAACCCGGGAGGTGGAGGTTGCAGTGAGCCGTGATCATGCCCACTGCACTCCAGCCTGGGCGACAGAGCAAAACTCCATCTCAAAAAAAAAAAAAACCTGCTCACATCCAGGGTCTTCGGATCACCTTGTCCGTGGCCAATGAGAAAAATGCTTCCCTTCCCTCCAGGCCTTTTCCTGCCTGTCCCCAGTCCCTTCAACTGTCCCTGGCTTCCCAGGGCTCCTCCCCTCCCCCTCCAAACTTGCTACTTGCCAACACCATCTACCTTCCGCACCCCCATATCCCACTTTTTTATTCAACGTCCCCATCAGGTGTAGGAGAAGCTAAAGCCCACGTGTACATCTCTGTCTCTGACCATGAATCCATCGAGGTGATATGCCTGAACCCCAAGGCCGGTGGACGGGCACTGGGGGAACTCTTCAATTTCCACTACTTGAGTGCTTGCTTGCCTACATTGACAAATGGATCTCTCACTTTTCAACTTGAGCAGAGTGGATTCTTCTTGCTAAAGGCTGAAGTACTTGCTGAGTTGCAAGTTTTAGAAAATGAGGCCATTGTGGGGCTATTTCTGAGGGAAAGGAAGACCTGCAGTGCCAGCGCCAGCCCCGTCCACCTCCCACAAGAATCGGGCACCATTCTTTTTACATTGGGGAAAATTCCATCTCCTATTTCAAGAAAAATAACTGAATCTGGCTTCATCTTCTGCCAAAGTATACACTGTGAGGAGATGGCAAGGGTTTAATTCTTAGAGACAGTGAGAAGCAAGTGACCAAAAGGAACTTCAGGATGAAGATGACTTTTCAGTATCTAAGAGGGCTTTGCTGGTGAAGCCCCTGCAGTTAAGGTGTCAGCTATGGGATAACCGGGGGTGGGGGTAGGAGAGACCCCCTCACCATGGCATCCTGCTGGGAGCATAGCCGGTCTGTGTGAGGAGCAGAGTCAGCCTCCCAGGAAAGGGCAAAGAAAGGTGGGGTTCATGGTCACTTTTGAAAACCAGCTTCCCAGGGCTTTGCCTGTAACAAAGTATCATGCACTGGGGGGCTTAAACAATGGAATTTTATCTTCTCACAGTTCTGGAGGCTGGAAGTCTGAGATCAAGGTGCCAGCAGGGTTGGTTCCTTCTGAGGCCTCTCTCTTTGGCTTGTAGATGGCTGTCTTCTGGCTGTATATCTTCACAGTCTTCCCTCTGTATGTGTCTGTGTCCTAATTTCCTCTTCTTATAAAGACACCAGCCATATTGGATTAGGGCTTACCCATATGACCTCATTTTAACTTAATTACCGCTTTAAAGACCCCATTTCCAAATACTGTCACATTCTGGGGCACTGAGGGGTTAGGACTTCAACATATGTTCTGAATTGCATACCCTGAAAATTCCTTTGTTGAAGTTTTTGCTTCCACAATTACAACCTATTCAAACTGCAATCGATATAGTGCTGGGACTGGGAGAAGCTGCAGGGTTGCAGATCACACATAAAAAGGTCCTCGTCTACCCCAACCCCAGGCTTCTTTCTGCCTAAATTCTCCTCAGCATCCAAGTCTTGCCTCTGCAAGAAGCCCTCCCTGTCCCCTGAACTCACATGGAGTTTTCCCTTTGTCAAATTTCACAAGGAAGGATCGTTCAAGTCATGCTTTCTGCATCCTGAGTGTAAATCATAAATTCGCTTTTTTTTTTTTTTTTCGAGACAGTGTCTTTCTCTGTTGACCAGGCTGGAGTATAATGACACATTCACACCTCATGGCAGCCTTGACCTCCTGGGCTCAAGTGATCCTCCTGCCTCAGCCTCCTTTCTGAGTAAGATCTTTAAGAATAAGCCACCCCCATCCTAACACACACACACGCACACACACACACACACACACACACAAGTGGCCAGTATCTATTTCCTCCCTCTCCCAGCCAGGCAGTTTAGGGAGTTGGAGTTGGCTGCACATCCAGCTCTAGGGATCAACCAGATTGGCTTAATTCAAAAGGGAAGATACACATGACCAAATTGGTCCAATCAGAGTGAATATCAGGATTCTTGATGGGAATGCTGGAACACAGGGTCTCTCTTCTGGGCTGGGTTTGGTTGTACAGCATGTGAGTTCTAGAGTAGAGCAGCTACAATTGGGTGGGCAGGTGGCAGGAATGGGGGCTGGAAGTTCCAGGAATCTGGATGGGGTTGGGGGGTGGGGGCAGGGAACCACTACTGTGTGTAACCATGAAACCCATCCAGAGGAAACAGAGCAGATAATGGGTGCTGGTGGCATCATTTAAGCCCTAGATGAAGCCATACCTGAAGTAGGTTACCTCTGGACCATTCAGTAACATAAACCAATCAATTTCCCCTTTTGCTAATATTGAATTGGGTTGGGTTCACAATGGAAAAATCACTAAATGATATAATTTCTTTGGGATCCTCCAAAGAGCCTAACCCCAGGATAGTGTGGACACTCAATAAATACAAGTATGCACCACATAATGACGTACCAGTCAACAACATATTGTATATACGACAGTGGTCCCGTAATATTATAATACTGTATTTTTACTGTAACTTTTCTATGTGTAGAGATGTTTAGATACACAAATACCACTGTATAACAATTACCTGCAGTATTCAGTACAGTACATGCTGTACAGGTTTGTAGCCTAGGAACAACAGGCTATACCATGTAGCCTAAGTGTGTAGTAAGCTATACCACATAGGCTCGTAGAAATATATGCTATGATGTTCATACAATGACGAAATCCCCTAACCAAACATTTTTCAGAACATATCCCCTTCATTAAGTGACACATGACTGTACTAGAGCATTACAAAGCCTCAATCTATGAAGGCTTTGTAGATAAGAAAACTGTGACCAGGGGTAAAGGGATTTACCAAGTCTCAGGAGCCAGTTAGTGGCAGAGCCTGGATGACAGCCTAGATCTCCAATCTAGTGCCATTCCCACTGCACTGGAAGGGATGAGGGCCACTGTTCCTCCTCCCTTGATCCGCCAACCTAGTCCCTGCAGGAGAGGGAGGAGCTGAGAAAGCCAGTGTGAAGCCACAGCACCCTCAACCCCCCAGATAGGAAGACTTGGTTGCAAGCCAGGAGGCCAGAGGAGAGGCGAGGCAGGAAATTGAGTGGCTCCACGTCAACCACACGTTCTGAGTCACCTGGGGGCTGTCAGTAAGAAGATAGTGCAAAGATGGTGAGCAGCTGCCAACCCAGGCAGCAGGCATGTCGGTGTCCTCAGGACCCCAGAGGGCCCCATTGCAGGCTCTAGGGAGACCTCTACCCTCAAGAAGGCTATCTCCGAAGGGGCGCGGTGGCTCATGCCTGTAATCCCAGCACTTTGGGAGGCCAAGGTGGGCGGATCACGAGGTCAGGAGATCGAGACTATCCTGGCTAACATGGTGATACCCCGTCCCTACTAAAAATACAAAAAATTAGCCGGGCATGGTGGCGGGCGCCTGTAGTCCCAGCTAGTCGGGAGGCTGAGGCAGGAGAATGGTGTGAACCTGGGAGGCGGAGCTTGCAGTGAGCTGAGATCGTGCCACTGCACTCCAGCCTGGGCAACAGAGCGAGAATGAAACTCCGTCTCAAAAAAAAAAAAAAAAAAAAAAAAGAAGGCTGTCTCCAAGTGGGGTGGTGGGCTTAGCAGGCTCCAGAAGGGGCAGAAATGTGTGTCGGGGCAGAGTCACGTGTCTGGCAGCTGGGCTGTGAAGACTGGCAGGGGTGGGGAGTGGATTGTGCAGAATAGAATATCTGGGATACCTTGGGCATCTCTCTCCAACATGGCAGCTTCAGGGTAGCCAAATTCTTAAATGGCAGCTCAGTGCTTCAAAGACATGTGGGAGGGAGGGAGAGAGGGAGAGAGGGAGAGAGGGCGAGGGGGAGAAGGAGTGAGAGAGAGAGAGAGGTGAAAGCCATATCACCTTTTCCAACCTGGCCTCACAGCATCACCTCTGGTTCATTCAATTCATTGGAAATGTCTGGTCCATATTCAGAGGAGAATTAGGCTCCACCTGGTTGGGAGGACTGTCAAAGAAAGTCTAGATATGGTATTTTATTTGTTGTTGTTTGAGACAGGATCCTGCTCTGTCATCCAGGCCGGAATGCAGTGGTGTGACCATGGTTCACTGTATCCTCGACCTCCTGGGCTCAAAAGATCCTCCTACCTCAGCCTCCCTAGTAGCTTGGACCACAGGCATGTGCCATCGCACCTGGCTTATTTTTTTTTAGAGATGGAGTCTCTCGCTAATGTTGCCCAGGCTGGTCTTGAACCCCTGGGCTCAAAGGATCCTCCCACCTTGGCCTCCCAAACTGCTGGGATTACAGGTATGAGCCACTGCACGTAGCTGAGACATGGTTTTCAACCATGTTAGAAGCCATACCTGGCAGACAACAAGGAGCCGGTGTCCCTAACCCTGTACAATGCCAGCGCTTCCTGGCACTGCCTAAATCTGGACCTTCTGAACACGAGGGATAAAGTGAATGCTATCTTGGACATACCAATGTCATGTGGGGTTTTTTGGTTACTCTCAGCCAAAGCTAATCCTAGCTGATACTGAGCACATGAACTGCCACGTCCTATTCCCGGCACGGAGCAAGCTCTCAAGCCAAAACTTGCTAAGTGAGAGTGGGTGGGCTGATGGAAGGAGGGAGGGAAGGAAAATGCAGCAGTGAACACACTGGACTACAGATCTCAAATACGCTGTTCCATTGGCCAGTAGATTCACTTGTATTTGTTACGCTGTATCCCAATATCTATTTGTTAAAGTGAAAAAACATGCAAAGAAAACCTTAAGTTAACATATAAGGAAGTAGAGGCCAAACAGTAAGTACCTGTGGATGGAATGGATGAATAAATGAGCAATTACAGGACATAAACAGGCAAGGGAAGGTCCCCAAAGCAAAGGCTTTCAGATTAGTCAAGGTGCCCAGGCTGGCTCAAGGCCACATTATGAAAAAGTCCTTTGTCCTAGAAGCCTCTTCTTTTACCTCTCTCTTCCTACTCCACTTTCTCATTCTTCTCTTGCTTTTCCCCCTCCTCTTTCCCTCTTTCTCCTTCTGTTCTTTTTTTTTTTTTTTTTTTTTTTTTTTGAGACAGGATCTCACTCTGTTGCCCAGGCTGGAGTGCTGTGGCACGATCTTGGCTCACTGCAGCCTCTGCCTCCCGGGTCCAAGTGATTCTCCCACCTCAGCCTCCCAAGTAGCTGGGATTACAGGCACACCCCACTACACCTGGCTAATTTTCTATATTTTTAGTAGAGACGAGGTTTCACCGTGTCAGCCAGGCTGGTCTCAAACTCCTGACCTCAGGTGATCCACCTGCCTCGGCCTTCCAAAGTGCTGGGATTACAGGTATGAGCCACCGCGCCCGGCCTTCCTCTTTTTCGTCTTCCCCCTTCTTCTTCTCTTTCTCCTCCTTTCTCTTCCCCCCTTCCTCTCTCCCTCCTCTTTTCCCTTCTTTGTCCTCCTTCTCCCTCTTCTCCTTCCCCCACCCACCTCTCTCTTTCCACAGCCACCTGGTATATATTCTTAGCCCCGTACCCGCCCACCGCCACACACCAAAATCTAGGCATTTCCTGATGTCCTGGACAAAGGGAAGGGAAAACCAATCAAACCATCAATCCCAGTTCCCTGACAGGCCTGGCAAATGTGGTCCCAGCACTCCGTCCATCCTTCTCTCCCTTCCCCTCACCACTTCCCTCATGCTCCAGCCTCTTCACCACCCCCTCCTATTCTGGTCAACTCCTACTCGTCATTCACCATCCTGCTCAGATGTCACCTCCTCTAGAAAAGGCGTCAACCCAAGCCGACACAGCAGGCCCTATTGGGGTAGGTGCCTCTCCCGTGTGCTTCCAGAAGCCCCTGCTCACCTGTGTCAGAACACGCAGCCCACTGGAGTGGAACAGTCTGCCTTGGTCTCCACCAAGAGCCGTGGAGTTGCAGGGAAGGTGCATTCCCATTGCAGAACCTCCAAGAGCCTGCCCTCCAGAAAACCTGCGAGAGTGACTCTACCAGCTTAGTCATCCCTGAATTATGGCAAAGACTAACCCTAAAGTAGCATTTCCTGGGTTGCAGGACATGGGGTAAGTGTCCTCTTGGTGTCTCTTATATCAAGGTGGCTGGGCAGCCCCTATATTGTGTCTGGACCCAAAGAAGCACTGGATGTTCCTTGGGCTGGTTCCCTGGAATTCGAGGGCTTTTCTTTTCTTTTTTCTTTTTTTGAGAAAGGGTCTCAGTCTGTCACCTGGGCTGGAGTGCAGCGGCATGATCATGGCTCACTGCAGCCTTCACTTCCTTGACTCAAGCTATCCTCCCATCTCAGCCTCCTGAGTAGCTGGGACTACAGGTGTGCACAACCACGCCTGACTAATTTTTTAATTTTTTGTAGAGATGGAGACTCACTTTGTTGCCCAGGCTGGTCTCAAAATCCTGAGCTCAAGTGATCCTCCCGCCTCGGCCCCCCAAAGTGCTGGGATTACAGACATGAGCCACTGCACCCAGCCGAATTCAAGTTTTATTTATTTATTTCAATTATTTTTTTTCTTCTTGAGATAGGGTCTCACTCTTTCACCCAGGCTGGAGTGCAGTGGCATGATCACAGCTCACTGCAGCTTCGACCTCCACGGCCCAAGTGATCCTCCCACCTCAGCCTCCTGAGTACCTGAGACCACAGGTACTTGACACCATGCCCAGCTAATTTTTTGTATTTTTCATAGAGATGGGGTTTTGCCACATTGCCCGGACTGGTCTCAAACTCCTGGTCTCAAGCCATCTACCCTCCTAGGCCTTCTGAAATGCTGGGATTACAAGCATAAGCCACCACACCTGGCCTCAAATTCAAGTATTTAACATGTTTAAGCCACATCTTTTCCACTCTGTCTCCAGACACCTCTGTTGTGATACACTGTATTTCTCAATTATGGCCACAGTGATATTTCTGGTCCCATATGTTCTTCCAGGATCTCCTTACTCCCTCAAGAGGTGGTGTCTTTTTCCTCTCCCCTTGAACCTGGGTGGGTGACTCTTCCAACCCATAGAATATGGTGGAACTGATGCCATGTGGTTTGTGATGCTAAGTCACAACATGCAAACAGCTTCTGCTTGGTGCCCAGGAGCTCTCTTTTGGGACACTGACCTTTGGAACCTAGTCGCCATGCTGTGAGAAAGCCCAAACTACACAGAGAGGTCGTGTGTAAATATGTGACCAACAGCCCCAGCTGAGGGCTTTAAGGACAGCCAGCATCAACTGGCAGACCTATGAGTGAACAAGCCTCCTTTCCAGGATGTGAGTGTTGCCTGACAAGGAAACCCCCCTTCCCGTGTCTGCAGTAGCAGAGAAGCCCTGGGGCAGAAAATGAAAGGCAGAGATGACTGGTACTCACTTTGGGTGAGACGCTGTCAGTGTGAGTTGAGTCAAAGCCCTCACGGAATGGTCCACCAAGGCCACAGCTGGAAGCAGCAGAGGTGAGGCCTCAAGGAAGTGAGCCAAGGCACCAGAGGCAAATGATCCAGCAATTTCTTTAACCCCCTTTGCCTCAGTTTCATCATATGAAAAATGGAAATCCTAACAGGGCACTTGTGAGGATTGAACATGATAACCCATGCAAAGTGCCAGACACATTGGAAGTGCTCAATACATATTAGTCTACTAAGAGAAAGGGGCCAGTTTCAGTGGCTCACACCTGTGATCCCAGCACTTTGGGAGGCCAAGGCAGGCAGATCACCTGAAGTCAGGAGTTCGAGACCAGCCTGGCCAACATGGTGAAACCCCATCTCTACTAAAAATACAAAAATTAGCCGGGTGTGGCGGCAGGTGCCTGTAATCCCAGCTACTTGGGAGGCTGAGGCAGGAGAATTGCTTGAACATGGGAGGCAGAGGTTGCAGTGAGCCGAGATCGCGCCACTGCACTCCAGCCTGGGTGACAGAATGAGACTCCGTCTCAAAAAAAAAGAAGAAAGAAATAAAAGAAAGGAAAAAAGAAAGGTTGTTAAGGTCCCAGGAAGACTTCTGTATGTATCACAGACTGGCTGCTCTCGGGAGCCATAGACTTCCAAATGTGAACAAAGAAGGTGCTTTGGAATTCTGAACTTAATTTTTTAGATGCCTTGGACTTGGAACGTTGATTTTACACCATAATATAAAGAATGGGGGTGGGATAATGAGAGCAGTTTTTCTGCCACAGGGAGAGGGAATCACGGTTCCACCAGTTCAAGAGGATGGCTGGCTGGTAGAAGGGTCTACGTGCCCATGGGAGCCCTGTAACCGGCCTGGGACTCTTCCCGCACAGGGACGGGAGACGCATGAAAACCCCAGAGAGGTTCACAGGAACAGGGAGGAGAGGGGATGGAGCCTCACGCCATGGCAGCCAGCAGCAAGGGAAGCCTGCACATCGCACAGAGGAGGTCCACTTTTCATCTGGCACTGCGGCGGTAAAGTGGCTGTGGCTAAATGCAGTGTCTCAGCAGCGATTGCAAGGGTGGCCCAGGTCCTCACACCCCAGCACAGTAGAGAGAGCAGCCAAGGGCACCCAAGCCACCATGGCACCAAAGGGCGCCCGCCTGGGGCATGTAGCGGAGTACCATGCAAGGCCTCTGGACTAGAGGCTGTAGCCAGCCACAACATCAGGTTTCATGTTCAAGTCCAAGAGGGACAGGCACACTTTGTCCAAGTCCACTCGGCCCAGTGGGTAGGGCCAGGATGCAGATAGCAGCATGCGGACACATGTCCCTTGCGCAATACCAGGACAGTGTAGGACCAGCCTCTCCTCCACGCCCCACACCGCCCCCTACCCCCACCCCCAGCCTCCCACTCCCAGGGCTGCAGCTCATGCCTGGGAAGAATGAGTGAGGGAGAATCCTGAAGAGACAGCATTTGCCTAAAAGTGACCATGATTTAAACCAGAAGTGACTGTTACCTTGACTTGGCAAGTTTAAGTTGTCGACCATCAGCAGAAACGGGGGCTCAAGATCCCAGTTAATGCTGCAGTTGGGGAGAAATAAAGAAAAGCTACATCTTAGCACACCTGAGTGTCAGGAGAGTGGAACTTAAACCTGCTACGCAAGGCTTTACTCAAGGCTTGGGAATAACAGGAGGAAATTAAGCCAGAGCGGAGCTGACACATAAATAATCCAGTTGACAAGCTGCGACTTGCTCTCCAGGGGCCAGTGTCCCTGCAGAAGGCACACGCATGGGAGGGGGCAAGGAGAGGGAGAAGGGGAGGAGGTCAGGAGTCTGTCCAAAGGAAGACAAAACGTGTGACTCTCCTTTTTGGATCCTGCTGCCTCTCTCAACAACTCTTAATTACTAGCAATCAGCTCTTAATTACCTACAACAAGAGAGACCAGGGAAAACAGATAAATGAAATCCACAGATAATCCCCAAACCCCAATTTGGTCGATAACATCATCAAGCTTCCCCAAGTAACCTCTTGCCAGGACTCCTGATCTCCTGACAAGTTGCGGATCAGAATGATCCCCAATTCTCCCTCTTTCCTTGCCCTTGCCCTTGCCCGTGCCCGCCTTCTGTTGATGCAGAGAGAAGCAGGTGGACCCTAAATAATTCCCAACTGGATATTCTTTCCTCCTGTCCCTGGGATGTGGCTGCCAGGGTCCCTGGCCAGGTGCCAGGCTCCAAGCCTCCTGGCACTGGACTGTTTTCACTGTCTGTTTGCCCAACAAACAGGAATGCTGGCTGAGAATTCAAGCCACCTTGGAGGACAGGAAGAAAGGACAATAGGTTCCAGGGCAAGGGATGCTGAAGGCACACTGTGCAGGGGGCTGCTGTGGGCCACCACATGTCCCACAGACCCAAGGGTCTCTCTGTCCACACCTAAGTCAGGATGGCTGCCTAGAGGCAGAGGACAGAACCAAGACAAGTTAGAACCGAGAGTGAGCGCTAAGATGGACGAAAGATGGCCAAGTCTGGGGGCTCCCCATTCCTGTTTCCTGACTTTTACATACTCAGGCAGTCAGGAATTATTTTTCTTTTTTTTTAGAGACAGGATCTCGCTCTATTGCCTAGGCTGGAGTACAGTGGCACAATCATGGCTTACCGCAGCCTCGAACTCCTGGGCTCAAGCGATCCTCCCGCCTCAGCCTCCTGGTAGCTGGGACTACAGGTGTACACAATCACACTTGGCTAATTTTTTTATTTTTTGTACAGACAGGGTCTCACTTTGTTGCCCAGGCTGGTCTCGAACTCCCGGGCTTAAGCGATCCTCCCACCTTGGCCTCCTTCCCAAAGTACTGGGATTACAGACATGCAGTCGGGAATTCTTAAATGTTCCCTGTCTGAGCAGGCAGGCAGGGCATATACCTTAGGTCTCATGCATGAGCTAGCAGAATCCTGGGCAAACTGCCTGTCCTGCTTAAAAAGAATGTCCTGGGTTCATCGCCTGGGGAAAAATGTTCAAGACTGACCCAGCAGCACAGCAAATGGGCCAGTATCAGTTAAAGAGGAAAAAAAAAAAAGGAGCAAAGGGAATCCATAGAATCAACAGTACCCCCACCCCTCCCTTTCCCACTCTTTCACCCCACTCACCCCACCCCAGCAATGGCCAAGGCAGCTAGGGGCTGGTGGCCTCTTGGGTTCAGAGAAGTAGCCACAGTTGAGCATGAACTTGAACATCGCTCTCCCTTTTCTGACTTTTCTTTTTTCCTACCGTCCAGTGAACACGGTGGACAAGCCAATCCTCATTCCCGCAGGCCTCGTTAATGAACCTGCAGCAGCAAATGTGCCTTGTTATT
Organism: Homo sapiens; assembly: GCF_000001405.40. NCBI lineage: Eukaryota > Metazoa > Chordata > Mammalia > Primates > Hominidae > Homo > Homo sapiens. Next base: position 39,878,046 of record NC_000023.11, read on the forward strand.
GCTGGAAACGTGGAAGCAGCACGTTCCCCAGCAACGTGCAAATACCACACAGGAAGAGCCCTCTCCCCTCCCCCTCCCCCTCTCCCGTCCCCCCCACCTCTCCCAGCGTCGCACAGCCGAAGCTTCAAGTGCCTGAGTCCTGCTAAGCAGCCTATCCAGGGCGTGCCCCGACCCTTACCCATCGCCCCCCTAGATTTCTGTGGAGTTGAGTCGGCCAGGAGGCGGCACACGTGGAGGTCCCAGAGGGAAGGTTGCCTACTGCAAATCGGAGGCTAGACAGTGCATTGAATGGAAGAACACCGGGCCCAGGCTGAGGCTAAGAAATACTACAGGCTAGGGGCCGCAGTGGCGGGTGGGGGGGGGGGGCGCAGGGATGCTGCTATGGCCTCACCTCTTCACGACGCCCCTCTCAACCTTGACTGGGTCACAGTCTCTTCCACATTCTAAATGGGCATTAATGCAGCCAACGCTAATTCAATTTCATCACAGGGAGACAGGAAAGATTTTTCTCCAGTCCTTTGCTTCTGCTATGTCTGTCTCCTCCTATGGGGACTGTTGGTTCTTCTTCATGAGGTTGGATTTTCAGGCTTTTTGGCCTTTCCTTACTCCATTTGATGACCATTTGAATAAGGGAGAGACCAGGAGGGAGAGACAGGGAAACAGCCAGGCCCCAGGGACAAAGCAGTTTCCTACAATCCAAAGCCACCATGATTCCGGGGCATCATTATGCATCTCTCCTGTGACCTGGTGACCTGGGACTCCAGATAGCCCATGACACAGAAGATGAGATGTACCAACAGCCCTTCTCACCAAATTGATGTGAAATCAAATGATGCAGGGAAGTTTTTAGAAGGGAAAAGAAAAAAGAGAGTGAGAAAGACAACATTCGATTTCCCCTGCTGAGGAGGCTGACAGCACTCTCTGCCAAACAAAAATTGCCTGCCTTTCTCAAAGCCAGCATTCTGGAGCTGTTTTCTGATTATTTCAATCAGTCTAATAACGTGGAGGTTTGAGACAGCTGCTTTTGCGGTTTGGAGGGTCTGGCTTTTCTGCTGGCTCCTGCAGAAGCATAATTGTTGCTCCCTGAAGCTCACGTGCAACTAGGGAAAAAGAGTTTGAATGGATTTTTCGACCCCAGAATATAACCATCCTGGAATGTGTTGCAAGGTCAAGCAGTCTTTTCGAGCTGACTGGCTGGATCGGAGGCCCGGTTGCCATCTCTAGTTCACTGTTCTGCATTCTCAGCTGGTTTCCTCGCTGATAATAAGAACTGGCTAAATGTGGGTTCTGTTCATTCCTGTGTGTAGTCCCCAGGTCTCGGAGCCCAGTGGGGTGTGCTGTCTGGCTGCCTGGATTCTGGGAATGATGGCTCCCTTCGTGGCTTGTTTCTTCATGGCAGGCTTGTGCAGAAGGGTCGCCAGCCATGCCCTAAACCTCTATAAGAGCACAGAGAGAACAGAGTGCACGCTGCCCACCGTGTGCCACAGAGCCCAGAGAAAAGGGCACAGTTCATTTTAAAGGGCAATGTTGAACTCAAGGTGGCTTTGAAGGTAGCCAAGGTTGGAATAAAATTTCTATTAGGCCAAAAAAAAATCAAAATATCAGCGGAGCGCTGTGGCTCATGCCTGTAATCCCAGCATTTTGGGAGGCCAAGGCAGGTGGATCACTGAAGGTCAGGAGTTAGAGACCAACCTGACCAACATGGTAAAACCCCTGTCTCTACTAAAAATACAAAAATTAGCTGGATGTGGTGGCACATGCCTGTAATCCCAGCTACTTGGGAGGCTGAAGCAGGAGAATTGCAATTGCTTGAGCCCGGGGAGGCGGAGGTTGCAGTGAGCTGAGATCGTGCCATTGAACTCTAGCCTGGGCGACAAAGTGGGGGAGACTCTGTCTCAAGAAAAAAAAATCAGAATATCATCATAGAAAGTTAGCCAGTGTATTATACAGGACTACATTTATTAGAGTGCTGTCAAATTTTGAGTACCTGCTGTGAACAAGAGCCGTGCTAGGTGTTTTTGTATGCATCACCTCATTTAATCCTCACAAGTGATGCAGATATTACAATCGCCATTTGACATTCCAGAAATCTGGAAAACTCTCCTGTGTGTTCATATTTTTTTTCTGCAATTGCAAATCTTCCCTTCTCTGGGCCTCTGTTTTTAAAACACTTGCAATCCTAAGTAAATCTTAAAACAGCACTGTCTTCCTGAATGCCATTATCTGATGGGAAGGGTGGGTGAACTCAGGCAAAGAGCAGACTTCCAAGGCCTCCTCACAGCTATCTGCACCCACCTCCTCACTGTTCGGGGAATCCATTTTTGATTTTCCTTTTTTGGCTAATCTGTCCCTGATTGGAAATTTCTTTCTGACACTAATGCACACATGCACGAGTTGATTAATATCTTCCTTCTTGGTTGCAAAGAATTAGCAGCAGCCTAACTATCCTCAGTATAATCTCGTGTTCATTGTCCTGTAGGTTTTCACAAAATGGGGAGGAGACTGTTGCTGACTCTTTTTTTTTTTTTTTTTGAGATGGTGTCTTGCTCTGTTGCCCAGGCTGGAGTGCAGTGGCAGGATCTCAGCTCACTACAACCTCTGCCTCCTGGGTTCAAGCGATTCTCCTGCCTCAACCTCCTGAGTAGTTGGGATTATAGGCGTCCACTACCATGCCTGGCTAATGTTTTAATGTTTTATATTTTTAACAGAGACGGAGTTTCACCATGTTGGCCAGGCTGGCCTCAAACTCCTGACCTCAAGTGATCTGCCCGCCTTGGCCTCCCAAAATGCTGGGATTACAGGCGTGAGCCACTGCGCCCAGTCAACTGTTGCTGACTCTTGAGGAGCCCATGTCCACTGCCCACTACAGGGGGTGTAACGGCAATCAAACAAAGTGTTTGCTGAACATCCCAGTGCTGGGCTACCCAGAGCTCACAAAACCCACCACCAAACCAGGGGACGGTGTTCTGTCCACACTGAGCTTCTCAGAGCCTTCACAAGAGAACCCCCTAACAAGGCAAAGCTATAGGGTGAGGAGGCTGGCCAGCCCCCTAAATGATACCCAGAACACATACATCCAAAGATGTCTCCCTCACTGCTGACACCTTAAGAGGCCAGAAACTTATTTCAATAATGCAGTCATGGCTCAAAACCGCATGCAATTCCACTTTTAGAACCACTGCCAGAGGCAGCTGACAGACGACATTGAAAAAAGGAGTTTCACTGGATAAAGCTTAGTCTCATGTTTGCCCTCGTTGCCTAAAGTATTATTCTCTGGGTATGGATAATCTGTTTGGAGGGCGATCCTGGGAAATAGGGTTCAGAGAGTGGAGAAAGTGAGACAAGAAAGGGGAAAAAGACAAAAAGAGTGTGTTAGTGAACAGGTTACCTCCATAGACAATGGAGGCCCAGTTCCATTTGGGCCCCTCCGGGAGATGGTGTGGTCACTCCAGGACACACCTCAGACTTCTCCCGCTGAGTCGTAATGAAAAGGAGATATTGATCCATCATCTCCACTGCCTCACTGGTTGAGAGTCAGACCTGAGGGCATTTATTCCCCAGCTGTTTCAATGCCATCATCTCGCCTGCAAGCCACACCTGGCAGAGATGCTCAGAAAACCATCTGCAGGTACAAGAACTGTCTGCAGGGGACCTCTGGGGCGGGCAGAGGGCACATGGGCACCAACAGCACCTGCTATAGATCTGAATGACTTTTGAATTGTCAGCGAGAAATTAAATCCATGTTTGGATGATAAAGATTGCTATCAGCAGAGATCTTTAGAGAAATAATAATAATAGCTGAAGTTTATTGAGCGTTTATTGTGTGCCAGCTGCTGTTCTAATCACTTTATATGCACTAACCCATTTAGTTCTCACACATATGTATAAAATAGGCACCATTATTATATTCTTTTGACAGATAAGGAAATGGATGTGCTACAAACTCCAAGACAATTCCACAAACATTTTGGAGCAGTGAACCCATCATTGGAATAAACAAACAGCCATCCAGGTGATAGTTTTAAGAAGATAAATTAGATTGGTGTATATATAAATATATGTATATGCAAATGCATTTGAGTATGTTTGGTAAAAGCAAAACTAGTCTCATGATTTATACATGAACCAATGAATAACCAATTGAATTTTGGCCACCCTAAAGGCCCTTGGAGTTCAGAAGCAGGAAGAGAATGTGCTAGAAATATCAAGGGAAGCTTTATGGAAAGGACGGGCCTAGAGCTGTAATTAAAAGGTGAAGAAATAGCATGAAATAAGTCCTAAAGGCAGGATGAAGCAGAGTGGGGAGGGGACCAACTCATCTGGCATATGAGTCAAGATGGCAATGGCAATGTTCACCAAATATCTCCAGCCCTCTTCTTTCCCAGCATATGGTAGAATTATATTTTCTTGCCCCTCTTTGAAGTCAGGTGTGGCCATGTGACTTGATTTGGTCAAGGAAATGTCACCAGAAGTTACTTGTGTCCTGTCGAATTGGAAGCACTGAATCAAGATGTGATTCACTATGTTCTCTCCCCACTTTGGAGGGAACTCACAGACCACAAAAATGGACTCTCCATCCACCTGGATACCTGAGTAACTACCATGAGAAAAGCCTCCCCCTGCTGACCTATGAAAACGTGTAGCACGAGCAAGGAAGAAATTTTTTTTGTTGTGTTGTAAGTCACTGAGATTTTGGAATTGTTCTGACAACATAACCTAGCCTGTCCTGATATGCTAGGCTTATGCTGCCGTAACACAACTGCAAGATCTCAGTGGCTTAAGAAATTTCATGTCCATACAAAGTTCACTGCAAGTCAATGGATGAAGAGGGAAAAGTGTTCTGCTCCATATAGTCACTCAGGAACTCAGGCAATGGAGGCTTTACCATCTGGAACACTGCAACTGATCACCCCAGCAAGGGTTAAGAGAAGTCGGAGGGTCCTGCAGAGCCTTTTCATTGTCTCAATGTAAAATTCTCACACGTCACTTCCACATATATTTCATTGACCAGAGCTAGTCACATGGCGCTGCCTAATTGCAAAGGGGCTGTGAAGTAGGATCTCCCCACTGTCCAGGAAGGAGAGAACTGGCTATTTGTGAGCACTAATAATGTCCACCACAGCTGGCTTCAGAATACTGGCAAGTGATGCTCAGCCAGGGATATGGAGAGCATGGGCACAGGTGAGGAAGGCTTTTGAGAACCAGAATATGACCCATGCAATGTCAGGGAGCCACTGTAAGTATATGAGCAGGGCAGGGACTTGAGGAAGGTTGAGTTAAAGTATCACTGGACTAGCAGTCTAGTGTTGGGCAAACAGGCATGGTGGGGGTAAATGGAAGTGAAGTGGTGACCCTATGCTTATAGGCAAGGAGATTTGTTGTGAGGCTGTTATATTAACCCAGGCCTGTGCTGATAGTTAGGATGTCACCTGGTGTTATCAGAGGAAGAGCAATAAGGAGTAAATCCTGTAGCATTTAAAAGAGTGGGGAGGGGTATGGTGTATCGAGAGCCCAGTCTTTGACATCAGATAGACTGAGATTCAAATTCCACCTCTGACACCTACCGGCTTCTTGCTCTTAGGCAAAATATATCATCTCTCTAAGCCTCAGTGTTCTTATCTACAAACTGAGGATAATAATAATATTTACCTTGTACAGCTATTATGAGTATTGAAAGACTAGAGATTATGTTTGTAAATTGACAGTGGAAGTGGTGATGATGGTGGAGGTGGTGGTGGTGGTGGTGGTGGTGGTGGTGGTGGTGGTGGTAGTGGTAGTAGTAGTGCTGGTAGTAGAGATGGTGGCGGAGATGATGTGGGTGGTAGTAGTGATGGTGAATCATAAAAGGACTGAGGTTAAGGCTTTGGGCAGGGAAAGTACCTACAATGAGGAGGCAAAATGAAGAGGCTCCCCGTATACAAAATGTAGAAGTAGTAGTCAGAAGACAGAAAGTCAGCTATACAATCCAAGGTCCTAGAAACCAAAGGGAAAACGAGTTTCAGTAAAAAACTCTAAACTCAAAGTGGACAAGGAAGATATGAACAACAGCCATTGGGTTTTAAAAAAATAAAGTGACTATGACCTGGTGAAGGAGTAGGTTGGTGGCAAGGGATTAAGAGGGACTAGACATCTGAAAAGCAGGGCCCAGCTTGTGTGGCCCTCTCTCAGAAGGAGTTTGGTAGTGGAAGGATGGAAGATCAAAGAACCTGTATCAGTGAGAAATGCCTTTGGCTGCAAGTAACAGAGTATATATATATATATATTCAATCAAAGATGTAACAAAAGAAGGCAATGGAGAGAAAGAGAGGGGAAATATGTACAAATGCTTTGCATTCAGAGTTGAAAGAATCAGCCATAGGCAAAAAAAAAAAAATCAATAGCTAAAATTAAAAATAAGGCTCTTTAATTTTTAGTTCTTTTCTTTGCCTAAGAGCTCTTTACAGAGCATTTACATTGAAGAACCCCCATAGTTGGGTAAGACTGAGCTATTTGTCTTTGCTACCTGTCCCTGAATATCTTCCCTAGTGGCCACCAGGAAAAAGACTAATTTCCCAGCTACCTGTTGTCATGTGACTAAGTTCTGGCCAATGGGACATATGGAAGCATGGCGTGTCAGTTTCCAAAAATCTTCCTTAAAAGACAGCCTGTCTCTATAAAGTACTAAGAGGAGTCAAAATCATAGAGGCAGAAAGTAGACTGGCAGTTGCCAGGGAATGGGGGCAGGGGATGGGGGAATCGGGAGTTAGTGTTTAACAGGCACACAGTTTCAGTTTTACAAGATGAAAAGAGTTCTGGAGATGAATGGTGGTGATGGCTGTGTTACTGGTGGAGGGTGTCCACGTTCTTGGTGTTTTGAACAAAGAATTGGACAAAACACACAAACAAAGCAAGGATAGAATGAAGCAACAAAAGCAGAGATTTATTGAAAACGAAAGAACACCCCACAAAGTGGGAGCAGGCCGACCACAGGGGCTCAAGAGCCCCTTTACAGAATTTTCTGGGATTTAAATACCCTCTAGAGGTTTCTCATTGGTTACTTGTTGTGCACCCTATGTAAATGAAGTAGTGGCCTGTAATCACAAGCTGAAGTGAAGTTATACAGGTTACACCCTATGCAAGCATCTGATTGGTTGTGGAAAGCAACCAATCAGAGGCTAAAGTGAAGTTACAAAGTTACACTTCTATGCAAAAGAAGACTTCACTTGGAGTCCATCTGATTGGTTGTGGAAAGCAACTGATCAGAGGCTAAAGTGAAGTTACAAAGTTACACTCCTATTGGTTGCAGAAAGCAACCAATCAGAGATACTTTCAACTTTCCATCTGCAACACAGAAAAAGGGGATGGGGGTTGCAAAGGGAGTAGCCTCCCGTCCTTTTGTGTTTGTTGTTGTTGTTGTTGTTGTTGTTGTTATTGTTGTTATGGAGTTTCACTCTTGTTGCCCAAGCTGGAGTGCAATGGTGCGATCTCAGCTCAGTGCAACCTCCGCCTCCCAGATTCAAGCAATTCTCCTGCCTCAGCCTCCCGAGTAGCTGGGATTACAGGCACGTGCCACCATGCCTGGCTTATTTTTTGTATTTTTAGTAGAAATGGGGTTTCACCATTTTAGCCAGGCTGGTCTCGAACTCCTGAACTCAGGTGATCTGCCCACCTCGGTCTCCCAAAGTGCTGGGATTACAGGCATGAGCCACCACGCCTGGCCACCTCCCGTCCTTTTGTTACTCAGGTGTGGAAATTTGGGGTTTTCCTTTTGATTTAGTTCTAGGAAGTCAGTGCGAATTGGCCTTAAGTTCCCTGCCTCCAGACCCTATTCTCCCACCTCAGCTGCACGCCATTATGAGTACATTTAAAAATGTCTCAGATGGTAAATTTTACATCATATGTATTTTACCACAATAAAAAAATATTGAGGAAGGGGTAAAGACAGCTAGTCTGTGCCTCATCATCCCTTTCTTTTTAGTTGCTTTCTCTATCCTGCTGCCTGCTGCCTTAAACATGGGTATCATGGCTGCCATCTTGGACCAGGGGGCTAAAGTTTCCATCCTTTGAAAGGTGGAGCAGTGAACTTGGAGGATCCTGGATCCCTGAGGATTTCATGGAGCAGAGCAGTCATTCCAGCTCTGGACTGCAGCCAAAGCTTGTCTTCCCAGATACAGTCCCCAGGGAGGGGACGACCGGCCTGGATACCCACCAAGGGCAGTCTCTGAGATTGAGATTCACCCACAGATACCAGCCCTTTCTCTAGGGGCAGGACTTTGACATAGGGCCGTCCCCAGTCTTCCTAAGCACCACTTTGTGGAAGGGAGGAAGGAGGCCCACATTGCCCTCAGTCTCCTCAGTCTGGAGAAATCTTAGAAGAAAGGTGCCCAGAGTGGCCCTTCAGGGCTGCTTGTGAGACACCCAGCCTCTGTGTTGGCTGGCTGGCTGGCAGGAGGACAGGTTCTGATCTCAGCTGTGCATAGCTAATAAGCAGTGACCTCACATTGGCCAGCCAAGCCGATTTGAGTGCTTTCAAGGACAAAATGTGTCCTGATATCTGGAGGCGAAAATCAGAACCAAGTAGCACTGCCTTGCTATTTCTAGAGGCAAAGGAAAAGCTTTTAGAGGTCAGTTCCATCCCTGTTCTGCCAGGGTGGCCTCCCCTCAGCAACACGAGTCCCCCACTCCCACCCCAAAAGAGTTTCTGCATCATTTCTCCTTGTGAACTCATTCAGCACATCCCACCCACTGCCTGGTTCTGTGGTCGTCTTTGGGGTAGGTGTGCTATCTCCCCCTGCCCCTCGCCTGGCCCATCGTGAGCTCCAGGAGAGCGGGGACCCAGCCTTTTTCACCTTTGTAGCCTCATTACCCAGCAACACATCTGGCACACAGCAAAGGATCAAAAAATGTTTCTGATTAACTACTACTGAATATCATTTGGGGATCTTTGCTCCAGAGAAAGGGAATCCAAAGAAGTCATTTGTGTCAATCCCCAGATGCCAGGCCAGCCTAAGAAAGCTGCGGCTAGTCCATTTTGGAGACCTGTTTCTCAGAACCCCCCAAGTTTCAGGGAGAATTTCCACCAGCTCTCCTTGGTAAAAGGTGGTGATATAGGTTTCCCAATGACAAGCCTAAATTTCTCCTGTCGCACTTTATAACCACTCCATATGCTCTTAACGTCACTGTGACAGCCCAGCTGCTCACTGCCACCTACAACCTGGGCTGACATTCAGTCGAAATGCACTGCTACGACAGCTGTACTGGTTGTTAAAATATTGAAATGCTTCTATCACCATAGAGTAAATAGCTACTGCCCCAGGCCCCCTGAGTGTCCCCACCTGCCACACTGGCCACCCTTGGCCATTCCCCTGGTACCTCCAGACCCCCCTCCAATCCAGATCACAAGGGACCTCTGGAGCCCAGATCTCAGAGACTGCTCTGAATGATCAGTGCCTGCATGTAAATCTCACCTAGCTAAGGCAACTCACCCTTCTCTTCCCCCAGCTGCAGAACAGTGACTCCATCAGCTTGTCCCTCCCCCAGGCATCAATGTCCCATGATGGCTGCCCCCGGGAGATGTGCAGGTCCTGTGCCAGCCACAGATTGGGGGTGGGTGCTGGGAGCTGTCCACACTGAGAGGGGAGGTAAAGCCACTCACCTGGGATGGATGGGGATCAGATGCCCAGGGAGGGAATAGGAGGCCAAAGCCTGGACTAGGAGCCAGGATGGGGAGAGGCTGGATCCAGCTGGAGCCAGACCTGAGCAGGATGCCTGGGATAGACCAGGTTCTAGGGCAAGTGTGAGGTCAAAGCTGGCCAGGCAAGAGGCAAGCTCATCTGTGCTACTAGTTCCCTCTCCCAACCCTGAAAACACCAAAGAGGTGAGAGGGTAACATATATCCATAAGCCAACCAAAGACTTGTGAGAAGACCCAGGCGAGACTGAAGGCTGCCTTTGAAGTGGCATCTGTAGGGATGGTGGGTGGCTGGAAGCAGAAATGAAAGGATAGGTAAGAGAGAAGCTTTTAAAATTGGCTCTTGCATCCCCCATCTGCCTGAGGCCCTGGGCTGTCATTTTCCCGGCCCTTTCATGGCAGAAATCGGTGGCAACAGCCCACGTTGTCAGTGCCCAGGAAACTAAGGACTCTCCTTTTTTTTTTGAGACAGGGTCTCACTTTGTTGCCCAGGTTGGAGTGCAGTTGTGCAGTCACGGCTCACTGCAGCCTCAACCTCCCTGGGCTCAGGTGATTCTCCCACCTCAGCCTCCTGAAGAGCTGGAACCACAGGCACGCATCACCATGCCTGGCTAATTTTTTTATTTTATGTAGAGACCGGGTTTTGCCATGTCGCCCAGGCTAGTCTTAAACTCCTGGACTCAAGCGATCCTCCTGCCTTGGCCTCCCAAAGTGCCGGGATTACTCACATGAGCCACTGTGGTTGGCCAGCCTCTCCTTAAACTCCCTGGGACTGAGAACTACTGAGACCTGGACTTGAGCCCTTCCCCAATTTACAGGACCAGGCAGGTGGCTGCCAGCCCTGTTCCATTACATGTGATCCTCTTAAGGCCAAACAATGAGGCCCCTGAGGTTGTCTATCACAAGAAAAAGACCATAAACTGGACATCAGAATCAGTGGAAGCAGATGGAAATGATGGGAACAAGAGGACCCAGCATTTGCAATGAGCAAGAGAAATATAGTCAAAGAGAAAATAGAAGATAGCAGCAACAAGAAACAAGAGCACGGAATGACAGGAAAAAATATCAAGTGGAAATATGAGAAGGGAAAGAAGAAGAGATGAAATAGAGAGCACACTTGTTGGGATAAGTACTAGGATGGGTACAGTTGGAGAACAAATTGATAAGCTAGGGAAACAGATGAAGTTACAGCCCCAGAGTACAGCAGAAAAAGAGAAAAACTCAGCCACAGGTGGATGGAAGAAGAGGTGACTCACTGAATTTTCCATCTGCAGCTCTTCCCTCTGCCTATGACAGTCATGTCCCCCTGCCACTGCATCCAGCCCTGAGCTCACCATCCTTTGGCTCTCTGCTCAAATGCCCCTGGACCTGGGAAACTGGGAACATTTCCTGATCTCTCTCTCTCTCTCTCTCTCTCTCTCTCTCTCTCTCCAAATCAGGCTATGGCCCTGTCACATGCCCTCCACTGCCACTCTGCAATGAATGCTTTGGGTGTTATCTGCCCCTTTTCCACAAGCAGCCCCTCCCCGAGCCACATGATTTCCATGGGCAGCCCCCTATTAGTAATGCATAACGCCACCCTTTCACTGAAGTTGTTTGGTCCAAAACTGGACACCGGACTATACAGAGTCCAGTGAGACCCCTTCCCCAGAATTTTTGTTTTTTTCTTTTGAGATGGAGTCTCACTCTGTTGCCCAGGTTGGAGTGCAGTGGCGCAATCTCAGCTCACTGCAACCTCCACCTCCTGGCTTCAAGCTACTCTCCTGCCTCAGCCTCCTGAGTAGCTAGGATTACAGGCACCTGCCACCATACCCAGCTAATTTTTGTATTTTTAGTAGAGAGAGGGTTCCACCATGTTGGCCAGGCTCATCTCGAACTCCTGACCTCAGGTGATCTGCCCACCTCAGCCTCCCAAAGTGCTGAGATTATAGGCGTGAGCCACTGCTCTGGGCCTTCTCCTGGAATTTTTGGACCTGAAATAGAGAAAGGTGACTGAATCTCTGATTGGGTGGCTGCAGCTGTGAGGTATAATGCTTGGGAGCATCAGCCATTATATTCTCTGTTACATGGAGAAAACTAGTCTGTATGAGAGAGAAGAGAGGCACTAACAAGCAGAGAGGAGACATGAGAAGAGATTCCTGGGTTCCCAGTGTCTGATGCCTAACCACATTGCTGCCTTGAGTTTTATGAGATGTGTATTTGCCTTGAGTTTTATGAGTTGTGTATTTCTCTATAAACAATGGAGAAACTCTAACCCCATTTTCCTTTAAGCTAGTCTGAGTTGAGTGTTGTGCCTTGCCACAAGAGAGGATTACTGGCCAGGGGTGGTGGCTCACGCCTGTAATCCCAGCAGTTTGGGAGGCTGAGGTAGGAGAATCCCTTGAGCTCAGGAGTTCAGGACCAGCCTGGACAACATAGTGAGACTTTGTCTCTACAAAAGTTTTTTTAAAAAAAAATTAGGCAGGAATGGTGGTGCATGTCTGTATCCCAGCTACTGGGGAGGCTGAGGTGGGAGGATTGCTTGAGCTCAAGACAGGGAGGCTGCTGTGAGCTATGATCATACCACTGCAGTCCAGCTTCAATGAGAGTGAGACCCTGTCTCAAAGAAAAAGAGAATTACCAGTAAGCAAGCGTTATATCAGACTTTACCATAAGCGCTTGTTTAGTTGGCCATCTTCTCTGCCAGTGATGTCTTCTTCGCTGTGGAATCAAGGCTCTGGAGAGTTTGGCATGTGGTAAGTGCTCAGTGCACACATACATAATGGCAGTGGTGGCAGCAGCGGGTGTGGTGGCTGCTCATTGCTGCAGAACAGGCACAGGCAAAGACTGGTCATTTACTGTCTCCAGAGGCTGCCAGATCCGACAGCTCCTGTGTCCCTTCTTGTGTCCCAGGAGCCAGCAGAGGGGAGGATGGGACACTGACTCTGGGACTCTGTTCTGTTGGATGCTTTAGGAGCCCAAAGCAGTCATCATATGGCTTTAGTGACATGCCTAAGTAGGTGTGGGCCTGGTGCTGGGTCACTGTTGAGTTATGCTTCTGCAGGGTCTTGCTGACCCCCACCACAGGCCCAGGAGTGGGTCGGTTGTTATTCAGGGGCTCCTTCGTGTCTAGAGCCTGATGAGGATGAACGTCATGGAAACCCATTCTCACATGGCTCCGGGCATTTCCAGAGAAAGGGGATTCTATTCGGGCAGACCAGCATACTGACATTTGAAGAGCCAAGGACTACATCCCAGCTCATGTCAACCCACAAATGTGTCTGGAAAATGCACGTGGCAGCCTTTAGAAATGTCAGCCCATGGTCATGAGCAGAGGGCGGGGGAGTGTTCTGTCACTCCACAGGGACAGCACAGCCCAGGAGTGGAAACACCAGCTCTTTTTCCACTGGAGAATGGGTGTTTCCCAAAACGGATCCACAAAGGGCAAAGCAGGTTGCGTAGCAAGGTTTAAACTAAGCATAATTTACTCAGTGTCATAGTCACAGGCCCTACTTTTTTTTTTTTTTTTTTTTTTTGTATCTACAGAGACCTCTGGAAGCCACGCAGTCCTTTTACTCTCCCTTTATTTTCCTCTCCTTTTTAAAATTGTATTATTGCACGTTTGAGGATATTTGATGTTAATGTTTTGAATGTGTGTTATTATATCAGCATAGGATTTATTTTTATTTATACAGTGAAAAGTACCCCCTCCATCTCTGTTCCCCGGTCTACCCAGTGCTCCCCCACCCCCATACATCTACCACTAGCAGTTCCTTGTTTCTCTTTCCAAAGTTAATTCATGCAAATACAAGGAAATACAAATGCACATATTCTTATTGCTCTCCCCTTTTTTACATAAAAGGTAGCATAATATATGCACAGTGTCCTGCACCTGGCTTTTTCCTCTTAACAATCTACCTTCAGGATTTCTCCAGTCATACACAGAGGAATTACTCATCTTTTTTCAGTTGCAGATTATTCCAGAGTAGACATCATAGTTGATTTCAGCTAGTCTCCTACTGATGGCTGTTTTGATTGTTTCTATCAACGTCAATGCTGCAGTAAGTAACCATGTATAAATGTGGAGGATTTGACACATGTGGAGGACTGATGGTATAGATGGCCCCAAGTCTTTACCTCTCCCTGTATCATTGCCCTTTGACCCTTGACTTTGCTACTTCTTTCACTACAGGAGCAGAGTGCATTTCCGTTCCCCTTTGCCATGTTACTTGCTTAGCAGACTCAAAGAAAGCAAAAGCTTAAGAAAGCACTTGAAGTTTCCGTTTCCTCTTTTGTTTGCCTGTAATTGGCATGAAACATGCCCGGGCCAGCCTGAGAACAAGTTAGCCTGCTGGAAGATGAGAGCAGGTATGGACAGAGTCATACTGCCCAGCTGAGGCTGTCCTAGATAAGCCAGTTCTTAGCCAATCCACCAGCAGACCACAGACACACTAGTGAATTTAGCCAAGATTAACCTAGTCTAACTCAAATCAGCAGAACCGCCCAACCAAACAAATAGTGAGAAATAATAAATGGTTGTGGTTTTAAGGCACTAAAATTTGGAATGCTTGGTTATGTGGCAATAGCCAATTGATTGATACAACATACAATACATACACAGGTAGGGTAAATTCCTGGAAATGGAATTGCTGGATCAAAGGGTATGTGCAGCAGGGCATGGTGGCTCAAGCCTGTAATCCCAGCACTTAGGGAGGCCAAGGCAGGCAGATCATCTGAGGTCAGGAGTTCAAGACCAGCCTTGTCAACATGTTGAAACCCTGTCTCTACTAAAAACACAAAAATTAGCTGGGTGTGGTGGTGCACACCTGTAGTCTCAGCTACTCGGGAGGCTGAGGAAGGAGAATCACTTGAGCCTGGGAGGCAGAGGTTGCAGTGAGCCAAGATGGCACCACTGCACTCCAGCTTGGGTGACAGAGTGAGACTCCATCTCAAAAAAAAAAAAAAAAGGCATGTGCATTTGAAATTTTGATAGATATTGCTAATTTCCCTGCATAAGAGTTGGACTAATTTATACTCCTACAAGCAATGTAAGAGAGCACATCTGTAGACAGCCTCACCATCATAGCGTGTTATCAGTTTTTCTTTTGCCAACCTTCTAGGTAAAAAAATAATATCTCAGTATAGTTTTATTTTGTGTTTTCTTATTATAAGTGAGAGCAAGCAACACTTCACATGTTTAAAAGCCATTTGTAGGTCCTTTTCAATAAACTATGTGTCCATATCTTTTGCATATTTTTCCTATCAGATCACTGATTTTTTTAATTTCTAGGAACTTTTTATATATTGGAGAAGTTAGCTTTTTGGCTATAATTACCCTTCCTTGAAACCTTCCACTCCCAGATGAGAAGCAAGCAGTGGGGAGGAAACACAGACAACAGAGTTTGGACAGAAAGTTACTTTTCCTCAAACAATTAGCAACCATATATTGAGCTGTTTCTTAGTTCAGGGCTCTGGGTTGTATTCCAGCATATTCAGAAAAAATATGACACAGTACTCAAGAAATGTTCTGGAGATGACTGTTGCTAAATTCCCCCATATATCTATCCATAGTCCCTGCTTAAGGGGTAGGCTAGGGAACTCCAATATTCCTCATGACCAAACCTCCCTGACCACTGCTGACTGGCCAGGCCAATATACCTGATCTAGGGCGGAACCAATCCCTAACCCCGACTGAATCAATGAGATTCTCTTCTGAGATTTTTTAACTCAGAGACAGAAAATCAGTCAGAGAGGATTTATGGGCCCTGGAGCTTGTCAGGCCATTTCACAGAGTTAGAGCCGCCATTTGGGGCAGCCAAACTGAGTTAGACATAATCAGGCAAAGGAGTCAAGGAAGAGTCAGCGAGTAGAGACAGAACACATCAGTCACCCAGAGAACCACGGGGAGGAGTGACTGTGGGCCCCAGGCTGAGGGAGAGGGACAGAGCCCAGCCTCATTTCTAGATCTCTAAGTCTCAGTCCCTGGCCCCGTGATCCGTGGTAGTTTTGGGTTATACAAGGGACCCTTGTCTCCTGTTACTAAACCTCCCGTGTCTTTGAGCTAATTTAAATAGTATTCTGATCCTCGGTATCAAGAGTGTCCTAGGACAAGGTATTTTCATATCAACTGAAAAAGATAATAAAACATTTTCATCTTGTATGATATATTTTTGCCTTCAAGAGTTTTGTGGGTACCATCACCCCTCATTTTATAGCTAGAGGAAGTGAAACTGGAAAACCTGGGGGCTTGGCCAAGATCACCCTGACCACAAAAGGCAGACCTCAGCCACCAGCTGGAGGCATCTGCTGCCAAGTGGGCTTTCCCTCCATCCCACCTTGCTGTATGCAACCCAAAGCATTATATAAGCACGTGCTAAATCATGGGGCTATGGCTGTAAGTGCTGACCGGTTCCTGAGAGAGAGGGTGATCAATACTGGCAAGTGTAGCCAGGGAGGCTGGCCCGGGAAGCCGGCCGGGCCCTGAATGACCTCTCTGGCTTCCACCCATTCCCCCATACACTCAGAGATGCTTCCCATGGTCACTCTTGCTTATTTATTTGTATGGCACTCTTCCTCAGAGGAATAGGGCTGGTGCACTGAAGGAAAATCAGAGTACTGGTCCCTCAAAGTGTCAGGCTTGGCCTGCAGAGCTGCTCATGTGGCCCCTACAGCGGCCTGGCCACCTCTTCAAGGACTCACGGGGCCATGAAGTTCACACATGGATTGCTCTCCCCACCTACGCATCATCCTCCACCATATTTCACACAAGAAGTAGGGAAATGGGCCCCTGAGCAAAGTGGCCAGGCACCGGCCCCTCCCATCGGTACCCTCTGCAATCCGCAGAAGAGCCCAGAGGTCTCAAGTGGCCTCCAATTTCCCTACAAAGTAAGATCCTGAGAGTTCTCCAGCATGTAGAATTCCACAATGGGGGCGGGGTTGAGGGGGCAGCGGAGACAGCTCAGATCTCCCCTGCAGGGACAAACGCGTCCCCTCGAAGGAATCCACTTTGGCCCTTCTGTCCACAGCCACATCTAAGAAAATAATTAGTTCACCTAATCTTTCCTAAGCACCCACTATGTACAAAACATCCTGGAGGGCACTGGCAGGGATTCAGGAGGCTTCCGGGTACATTCTCCACCAGGGGAGGGGACAGGGCTGGAGCCTGGGGGGAGGGGAAGCAGGAACTAAATCTCCTGCCAAGTAGGACGGAAATTACATTTCTTCCCCTCCTCCTTCTTCTGCCTCCCTCAAAGCCCCTCCCTGACGACTCACTTTTTATATCTCTCCAATTACAGTTTTAAGCATTTAGGGTGTTGGTGTTTGAGTTTTAAAACTTGTTAGGCTCAATTTATGCCACTTAGTAAAACCTCTATTCCAAATGAAGCCAAATTAGAACTAAAACACTGCAAGCAATAAAATGTGAGCGTTACATCTGGGCTGGGTTGGCTTTTTGATTGTTTGTGTAAATGAAGCCTTCGGGAGCCTGTCTCAGGCCTGGGCAAGGGGAGCAATTCCCTCAGGTCCCCCTGGAGGTCTGTTAGCTGGTTGGGGCCAGCCTTCTCCCTCGCTGAGGCTCAGGTCTGGAAGAGCAGGTTCATGTGCAGCCAGGCGAAGAGCGAGCCTTTAAAACAGGTCACTGTAACCCTTGGCAATGCCCTCCCCATCGCTGACCCCTCAGCGGATGGTAGAAGCCACATGGTCTCCCCACAGCAACACGGCCAGCGCTTCCTGCTGGACGGCCAACAGCACCCTGGCAGGCCCTACGTCAGCAGGTGACAGCCACCCACTGCCACTGCACAGCGTACAATAAATAGACATTGAATAGAATTGAACCAGCTGTAACCACGGACACAGTCGGGAATATCTCCTCCCCGCCCTTGCCATGCAATGCCTGAAATATGCCCCTGCCTCCAATGGCCATTCCTCTCTGCTCTGACTCTGGGGCCACCCATCAAGGTGAAGGTGGAGCCCAAAGAGAAGGAGGAAAAGGACATTCTGAGCTACTAATTAGGCATCTGGTGTGAGGGGAGGTGGCTGCCAAGCAGGTCAGAGAAGTTCCTAACTGATGAGCCAAGGATCTAAGCTATGAGCTAGGCCTCCCTGGGGCCCTCAGGAGGTGACATCTGGGGTTCCTAGGCTGGCCCTGTCTGTGCCAGGGGAAGAAGGCAGAGAATACGGTGAGGACTGAGAGCTGGAGAGGGAAGATCAAGGCAGCGGCGATGGCCACAGTGATGAGACAGTGACTAAGGGCCAGTGTGCGGTTTGCCAAGCAATTTGGCTTGTCCCCATGCCAACAATAAAGGCCCAGTGTCTGGCAGGAGATGGGGATTTTGTGTGCAGAGGGACACCTTACGACTGACCCTGGCAGAGAGCCACAGTCATCAGGAACAAGAGAGGAGAACAGATATAAGGGGGGAAAGGTCTCCTTTAGAGGGGCAGGACTGGCCTCAGGCTGCAGGAAGGGTGTCTGGGGAGGATGCAATGGAGTTGAAGAAATTTCATGTGTGGTTGGGGGCAGGGGTTGCCCTACTGAAGGAGTCTATTATGTTTGGAATAATCTCTCAAAGCAAGGGGAAATAAAGTACAATCAGTGGAGGAAACCTCTGGAACAATTTAAGGGAAACTGGACAAAACCCCCCAGACTGTAATAAAATGGCATCTGGAGTCCTGCTGGTTCCCAAGGACTCTCTACCACAGGCTGGGGTCTCTGGAAGCAGACGCTGAGATGGATATTGGGGGTTAAGAGGAATTTGTGAGGGATCAGATCCTGTGAAAGGAAGTGGGGGGCAAGCAGGACTTGGCAGAGCGGGTAGTCAAGCTGGGATACAGGTCCAACAGAGTCTTGACTAACCTGGAGGAGAGAGTTCTGGAGTTCTGGAGAGTTCCCGGCCAAAATGGCAAGCCCTTTATTTATTTATTTATTTATTTATTTATTTATTTATTTATTTACTTTGAGATGGAGTCTCACTCTGTCGCCCAGGCTGGAGTGCAGTGGCGTGATCTCGGCTCACTGCAAGCTCCGCCTCCCGGGTTCATGCCATTCTCCTGCCTCAGCCTCCAGAGTAGCTGGGACTACAGGCGCCCGGCACCACATCCAGCTAATTTTTTGTATTTTCAGTAGAGACGGGGTTTCACAGTGTTAGCCAGGATGGTCTCCATCTCCTGACTTTGTGATCCGCCCGCCTCGGCCCCCCAAAGCGCTGGGATTACAGCGTGAGCCACCGTGCCCAGCAAAGGCAAGCCCTTTATAACAGGCCCCCCACCCCACTTCAGCACCAGATATGGGCCACCCCAGGAGAGTGTGGCCTTGGCCGAGGCATTCTTAAACGCCCAAGGCTTGACAGCTGGAGGCTGTCTGGAGACTACACAGCCTGCAGCTGGGCAGCCAGGCCTTCCACAAAGAGAGATCTGGGCGGTGCCCCTCCATGTCAGCCACTCCCTCTCCCCTCCCTCAATGTCTAGGCTTCTAGCACATCTGGACAGATCAATCTCTTTCTTTACCTCGGGGCCTGGTCGCCCCCTCACTGTTCCTCCGGAGGCTGATGCCTGTCTGGAACCTGGTCTGACCCTAGCCCAGCCTTGCGTTTTAGTTGGCCCAGGCCCACGGAGGAGAACGCTAGTCTGATTTCTCCATTGTGCTTTCCTCCTACACTCAGGCACTGAGTCCCGGGAACCAACGGCCATCACAGCTTGCGACTGCAGGGGGCCTCATGCTTCCGGCTTGTTTAAGGGTTGCTTCTGCAGGGCTGATCATTAGGCTTCATTGTGCCACCCACCAGGGCACTAGGCAGCCCAGGACGACCCTCGGACAAGCCCAACCACAGTTAAATAAGACAACCCAATCAGCACCACAAAATATCCATAGCTTGGCCCATCGGCTGTGGCGAACGTGTTCCTCTCCAGCCGCCAGCTCAGCCCCCCTTCCTCCCAAGAGTTGCCAGTGACCAGCTGTTACTTGTTCCCCAGCCATGTAGCTTCACCAGCAAAGAATCCAGGGCTCCGGCTCCACTCTCCAGCCTGGTGGTTGAAATAACCAGCACATTCTTCACATACCTGCCAGCTTCCCAACTTGCCTAGGCTGTTCAGCAGCCCGACTTCTCTCTCTGGATTAATATTAAGGGTCTTGAAGAGGAGCAGGACAGGTCTGGGGAAACGTGGGGACTGAGTAAACATTCGGGGCTAACCCCAGCCCTCACTTCCCCTCCTGACAGCTGGCCTAAACTCCCTGCTGCAAACCCCTTGAAGCTACTTCCCCTGGCACAAGTTATGGCCCAGAACGAAGTGTTGGGTGCTGAGCAGGGAAGCCAGGAGTGGCTTCCGGCTTACCTGGTAGTAGAAAAGGAATGCCTAGAGCACTTCTCTAAAACGATCTGGGGAGAAGTTGGGGGACAGTGTGGTACTCACTGTGGCTGTGCACATAAACGACACCAGCCAATGCGAGCCACATCAGGAGGGTGGTCTTGGTTGGAACCGCCCAGCCCACTCTTGCTTATAACTTGGGTCAGCAAGAAGCTGTGGGCTTCCAGGGGTGGAATCCTAGAGGAGACCTCCTACAGGCCTACTTAACCCCCATTACATTCATTCCCTAATATACTTTTCACCTTCAGCAAATAGTGCAAATTTGAATTTTTACTCACTGATCAAATATTTACCCTGTGAGCTGCCAGTCTGGCTGAGCTTGACTTCCACAATTCTCCACATTTGTATTAGATGAATTAGCATTTTATTGTTGGCAGATTCGACAGTGAGATAAGGAAGACCAGAGGTAGCAGCCCAAGAGATTCTCCATGAAGAGTATGTTCAGTTTAGTCTTTTGTCTTAGTGTAAGTGACAGGTCTCCCAAACAATCCATCAGATATTTTAAAACATTGTTTTGGAAGGTATGAAAGATAATTGCTCACAAAGAACAACAACTTTCTGTACTTCTCATCTTCGTGACACACACCTTCAAAATCTGTTACCTGGGAACGTGGGTTTAAGGAGTGTTTCATTGTTTCGTTCTGTTTTGTTGCCACAGAAGCTTGAGCAAATCAAGTCACCTCTCTGAGCCTCAGCTTCCTTATTGGCATAATGGGCACAGTAACATTACCCCTTTCAGAAGGCTGTTGTGAGGGTCAAAATAAATATTAGAGATGACCAACACTGTAAAATATAAAGCACTACATGAAGAATTGTATAAGACTAGAAACTGAGGCCATTTTAAAACATGGTCCCCAAAGTCTTTAACACTCCTCCCATCAAGAACTGGGGTCTATGTCCCCTCTCCTTGAATCTGAGTGGGCTCATGACTGCTTCAACCCATACAGTATAGCATGAATGACACTGTGTGGCTTCCAAAGCTGTGTCAGAAAGGTGCATGCAACTTTCACCTAGTTCTCGTAGCACAGTTGCTATGGGGGAAGCCAGTCGCCACATAAGAAATCCAGCCTTCCTGAGACTGCTGTACTGAGGAGGCCGCGCACAGAGGCTCCGGGTGACAACTCCTCCCCACCAAGGCACCGGACATGAGTGGAGCCATGTTGGAAACCTCCAGACCCAGCTCACCTGCCACTGGGTAGTCTCAGTAGATACCATGAGGAGTGAAAGAAGGGCCCAGCTGAACCCCGCCCAAATTGTGCACAATGAAATGGGTGTGGTTTTGTGCCTCTAAATTTGGGTGGTTTGTTACACAGCAGTAATAACTGGAACAAAAACTATTCACTTATTAAGTTCCTGTATCTGGCTGGGCGCGGTGGCTCACGCCTATAATCCTAGCATTTTGGGAGGCCGAGGCAGATGGATCACTTGAGGTCAGGAGTTCAAGACAAGCCTGGCCAACATGGTGAAACCCCGTCTCTACTAAAAATACAAAAATTAGCCAGGCGTGATGGCGGGTGCCTGTAATCCGAGCTACTCGGGAGGCTGAGGCACGAGAATTGCTTGAACCCGGGTGGCGGAGGTTGCAGTGAGCTGAGGTCATGCCACTGCACTCCAGCCTGGGTGGCAAAGTGAGACTCTGTCCCCCCATCCCCCACAAAAAAAAAAAGTTCCTGTATCTGTCTGTCAGAGATCAAACGCCCTTATCTCTTGTTTTGTTTCCTTGTTCCAATTGGACTCTAAGAGACAGAGTGAGGTGGGATATCTCCTGACCCAACTTTGTAGATATGGGGCCACAACGTGTTCAAGTGTCCCTGGAACAAGGGAAGACTTGAACCCAGAAGTCCTGCTGCCCAGTCCCCTGCTTTCCCCACAGGACAGGGCTGCCAAGTCCATAAAGGGAGAGGTTGTCTCCATGGGTTCTGATCCCATGTAAAAGAGTTAATAGAAAACTCCTAATTATCCAAGCAATAAAGTGGAAGGGTGCCACAGAAAACCACAAACAGCCCAGCATCCCCAATTAACTTCTTGACTGTGGAATGCTGGGGTTTTGTTGTTGAAGCACGCTGTCCTTCCCACTTATGTCTGGGCTTCTGCTAAAATGCAAAAGAAAAAGAAAAAAAAAATAGATGGGCTTTTCCAGAACCTACACTGCCGGGAAGGAGCTTGGTGTGGCCCAGAAGGGCGTGATAAGGGTGCTGGCGGTGGCCTGTCAGGGATCTTCAAAATACCCAGCTTCAGAGACTCCGGAAAGTGAGCAATCTACACCTGGAAAACAGGTTGCTGGCTGCACAGAGCTTTCCAAGTCTGGATGCCGTTTACACTTGCCGAAGCGCAGCCTTCTAATTCCAGCCGCTCATGAAAAGGCACGTAGATCCTCCGTGACGTCAAATCGCTCTTTCAACTGAGCATAATTTCTTTCAATGATGGGCTTGGAGGGGTTTCAGCGACGGTGGGTTTTTTTTTTAATGAATCATAAACATGCAGATCAGATTTAGTGTTATGACTGTGGTGCGCAGAGCGTCACTGTTAATTCTTGCTAAGCGCTGACAGCAGGATCAACCCCCAAACAGCACAGGCAAATACACCATCCCAGCCCCGGGGGCTTAGAGACTGCATAATTACAGACATCGCACAGTAGTCATTATCACCGGAACATCTCAGCCCAGGCATGGCACCCCCGATCCGGAGAGCCCCCTGGTGTGCCTGCCAGCTCCAGTTCCCTCAACCAGGGCAGAGTTTGTTCCCATCTTTAGACCAGAAGGTGGGTAAAGGTCACCAAAAGCTGGGCACAGCAGGTCAGAGCCGGAGTGCCCACTCCCCTGTTCTGAAGGTTGCAGTTCGAGGCAGTTGATGCTTCCTCTGAAATGCTAAAGAGAAGCTGGGAGGACAGGGGTGGAGCGCGGTGCAGAGTACACGCCAGATTTTGCTAAATGCCGAACAGCTGAACAAGTCCCCAGGGCTGAGGATCACTCGGTGTCTCTCATCAAAGGCAGAGAGTGGGGGCTGGAGTCAGAGCGCTAGCTCTGGGCATGCTGGGGTGCCGGGTCACTGTGTATGCCCCAAGATTGCCCAGGGGGGCCGCAGGAGCCACCGCCAGGCTGTTTTCACAGCAATCAATAAGGGCATCATAAAACCTCCCGTCTAGGGTTCTAACACCACCTTTCCTCCCGAAGATTTAAAGGGAAAACCAAACTCCTGGGGTCTGCTGAACTCTGCTGGGCTCTCCTTCCCCTTCTGGGTCAGCCTGCGAATATTTAATAAGCCTCAGCCACTTGCAAGTCTTTGAGTTGGAGCTAAGAGGCAAAAGAGGATAGAAAATAGGCAGCCTCAAGACCTGGAGGATGGGAAGGTGATTTTAGATATTTCAGTTCAATGTTTTCTGGTGTGGGAATGCCAGTAACCATGCATTACCATGCGTTACCATCCAGCATTCCAGAGTATTTGCTTCATGCTCCCTGCTTCGTATTTACGGTCTCACTTTGCTCTCCCAAGGACACCATGAGGTGGGTATTATCACCGCCTGCAAAACAGATGAGGAAACTGAGGCTCAACTTCAGCAACCTACTCAAAGCCACTCTATTCTTTCTGACTCTGAAGCCATACTCTTTATGTCGGTGGTCCCTGACCTGGGCTGCACATGGAAACCTATAGGGAGCTTTTAAAACACCCCACGCCCAGGCCACACCTGAGACCCAAGAAGTCTGAATTTTGGGGCTGGGACAGAGGCATCGGTACATCTTACAGCCCCCCAGCTGACTCCAACATGAAGTTAAGATTGAGAACCAGTGCTCTGTACCACTGGAGTCATCTTTCTTTCTCTCCTTCCAGCTTTCCTCCCTTCCTTCCAACAAATATGCATTCAGTGCCTATTAAATGCCAGGCTCATAAATGTTCCATAAAGTAGCTTCCTTCTCTCCAGAGCAGTAGATCTCAGGGGTGTGTGGGAGGGGAAGGACCCTCACAGACTGTCACTCAGAGTGACAAGAAGTGATCCTGACAGAAATGGACTCGCGACACTGGCCAGAAGGCAGAAATAGTGGTGTGGTCTAGGGAGCTGAAGGTTCCCTGAGAAGCAATCCTCCAGCTCTGCTACAAACTCCAGCAGAAAGGGCCTGTGGTCCCAGCTACTCAGGAGGCTGAGGTGGGAGGATGGCTTGAGCCCAGGAGTTCAAGACTGCAGTGAGCCTTGATGGCACCACTGTACTCCAGCCTGGGTGACAGAGCAAGAACCTGTCTCTGAAAAAAAGAGAGAGAGAGAGAGAGAGACAGAGAGACTCCAGAAAGGGTAGAATTTGGTGCTGACCATTCCAGCCTGGAAAATGTTACCCCTAAAGTGGCTTCCATCTTTCTGAGAGGAGAAAGGTGCACACCAACCTACAGGGCCACCTACAGAGCCACCCATAACCAAGGGGAGGGAGAGCACTCAGGCAAGTCCGACTGTACCCATCAAGCTGCTAGTGAGGGTGCAGCCAGGCCAAAGGAGTCCCCTTCCCATTGTCTGGAACAAAGGGAGAATGGGAATGTCCTGCTCCCTATTGTAGAACCCTTCCTCCCTTCTAGAAGCCAGGGAACAGTGCTGCAAATCAATTGTTTTCCAACTAAAGAAAGCTCTCTTGACATGGGAAGCCTGGCATTGCTTTGAATGCAATATGCAAGAAGCGTGCTTATTCAAAAGAATGCCAGCCTTCTCATGTCAAGTGAGACAGGGTAAATTTTCTTGGGCAACCAGCAGAATTTTTTTTTATCTTTAAGCCATAACAAGTAGAAAAACACTAACCCCTCACCTAACCAGCATCAGGGAAGAATGGGTTGTTTTAAAGAAATGAAGTTGCAGGATAAGTAAAGCTAACCCTCTGTAAACTCCAAAACTTAAAAAGCATAACTATTTTTAAATAAACCAAGTCTAAACTGCATTTCACATGTCCCCATTTCCTTAGATGGCGCTGACACACTTGGTGTGTGTCTTGGTGGCCCACTCACTCAGAACATCGACAACTGTGTCTTGCTGAAAGACAAAGAGGCCTTCTGTATCTTTGGTCCTTCATTGGATGGCCCCACCCGGCTATCCTCTTTGAGTTCTGGTTTCTATTAAATAGTTTGTTCCCATCTCTTCTTTTGCTCTACTGTTGACCATAATCCCTTCCTGGCCAAGGCAGAAGGATCACTTGAGCCCGAGAGTTCAAGGCTGTAGTGAGCTACCGCACTCCAGCCTGGGCAACAGAGTGAGAGCCTGTCTCTACAAAAAGAAAAGAAAACAAAAACAAAATAATAACCCCTCCCTCCCGCTTTTAGTATCCCAGAGTCCTCTTAGTCTGTGTCCAAACCTGAACTCATTTAATTATCCTTCCAACTTGTTCCTCTTTCTCTTGTATTCCTGATTTTAGTCATGGGAGTCAAAACAAAAGCAAAAATGAAAGGGGGTGTTGAAGGAATTTTAGAGTCATCTAGTTGGTTAGAATCGTGTGTGAAATAAGAGTAAAGAGGTTCTGATGAAAAAGGATCGAGCATTTGTACAACGATGACTACTTAGAACAGGGAATTCCTCACATATTTTGGTTCTTCTTGGTTGTTCCAGATACTTGGGATTGCTAAATCAAGTAATTTCTGGATAAGCAAGCTGTCATAGCTCATAGTTTTTTCTTTGTTTCCTTTGGGTTTAAAGCATCAATTTTGTATAATTCAAGAAACAGGCTATAATTCAGGGGCTCTACGGGAGCTTTTGACCTCTCTCCCATCTCAATTCCCCTATTACATAATCCTCCAGAGGAGATCCCCCAGGACTCCAAGTCGGAAAGAGCAACTGCCAGACCCGACCAACGTGCATGAGGCTTACACCTCCTCCTTCCCCTCTTCTCCTTTGCTTTTCCTCCAATGTGAGTGTACCCCACCCCATCCCACCCATGCTGCCCCCATGCCTGAGGCACCAGTTAAAAACCACGGCAGCGGGTAGGGCTGACCAGGAATAAAAGTGGCCTTGCAACCAAGACTCGCTAAAGTGACAGAGGGGAGTCCATCTCTGAGACAGTAGCTAGGGGAAGGTAGGCTGGCAAACCACCACAGTCAGGAGCTGACTCAGAAACAGAATTTGGTCAGCATACTTGGCACAGACCTGCCTGCCAAACCTGACTCATAGTCACCAAACTCAGAAGATTGGTGGATAAATCAGATGCCCAACACAGCTATTGGCAATGGGGTGCATTCCTTTCCCAGGGCAGGAAAGCTTGTGACCACCTCTGCACCGTCCTCTTTGAGGTTCCTGGGAAACTGAGTCTGTGATGGGAGTGTTGTACGTGTGTCATAGAAAGAAGAAGCAGAAGTCACAACCAACATCTCTGCCCCGGGTGGATCAAGCCGTGCCAATGTCCACTTTAGGCCTCTTGACTCCCTGGTGACCACTCCTGCCTTTAACACAATCTATCAAACTGGTCACGATATGACAGGCCAGGGCAGAGCCTTTCTTCACATCCTGAGACTGTACCTCTGACGTCCTGGGTGAACCAGGCTATCCCAGCTCTCCCCAGGTGCCCCCGTAGCTGAGAAGGGAGGAGAAAGTGTTTGGGAGATCAAGGAGGATGGACTCACCAACAGACAAGGTTCTCATTTTCCTAAGCGCTGCAGCTCTACAGTTCCTTATGGAAAGCCCCTCTAAACTGATTCCAGTGCCACTTAGAAAATCAGTCCCTCTGGCCTTTCCCTTCTGCTTTCAGGAGGGTGAAGGCTAATCATCAAACTGATTCAAAAGTTCTGAATTCTCAGAGAAAGCCTGAACAGAGACCAGAATGGGTGTTGCATCCTGCCTCTCCTGAGCACCACATTGGCCTGGCTGCTCAAGGCTGCCTGGAGACCACCGTGCACTGCCCTGATCTGTCATTCACCAGGACAGCCCTGCTCAACCTCGTGGGAGCAGCTCACCCACAGCCTCCTCACCGACCTCCCGGGCAGCTTGTCGGAGCCGTCTCTTTGCCTAACACAGAAGCTTTGGAATGAAGCAGGGAGAGAAAGACGTGAGTGGCGGCGGTGGGGGACCCTTCTCTGAGCTTATTAAGAATCTTTTGTGCGCCATAGAATAAGTCCAGTCTTGTCCGTCCTGCTCCCCCTGCACTTAACTTTTTCAGGCCTGATGAGCTTAAATGCTTCAGTTAGTCCATGAAACCAAAAGCACTCCTTGGCCTTTGACTGTGTCTGGGTTTCTTTTATGTGGCCATCATAATTAGACAGTGGCCCGACCCCGTGGCCGGAGGTGCCTGCTCTGGCACTCCACAGCCCTGTCCTGTCTCTGGAGACTCACACACTGTGCCAGACTGGAAGAACAGTCTGGAAGGAAAGCCCGTTGTCAAACAAATCATCGTTCTGGGAACACAAAGCCGCAGGGACCCTCGGGGTGCTGCTGACACCCGGGCCGGCAGCATCAGAGAGCTGTGTCTCCTGTGTGGCGCTGAAGCCCCAAGTTTGGAGACAGAAAGCTGGCTGGTGGCCAACAGCAGCAGCAGCAGTGGACACCTTATCTAAACAAAGGGAGAGGGCACCAAGCGTGAGGGGAAGGGGTAGGTGGACACTGCGTGGGTGGTTTCGTGTTGCAATTTTTTTTTCTCTTTTGTGGCTGTTGTTTTCTTTTTCATCTATTCAGTTTTGTAGTATTCAACAGCCGGGCGCTTGGCAAAACCTGGCAGCGTTATCCACACGGCCGTTTTCAGTCCAAATGGCTCCTGTCAACTTTTACAGCCCCGCGCTAAAACTCCAGGCACGTCTCTTATTGCCAGCACAGGGTTATTTATTTGCCCGGACTGTCTGGCCTCACATTTTTCACGTGTGTGTTACCCCGGCAGTTGCTTCAACTTCCCTCTGGCCCTTAAAACGCTAGTAAACGCCCAGTCCAATTTAGAGCTGGGAGGTGTTGAGCATTTCATCTTTTCAGGATCCTGCACTGGTTAATGTCATTTTCGTCTCCGTTCAGCTTTTGACCTGAAGGAAGGGGAAGCCTTCTCCACTGTGAAAATTACTCTTTCACTGGAAACCATTGTTACTAATAATAACCTCACCAGGCACACCATCGAATGGTCCGGATGCCCCCTGCCCGCAGGGGTGGGGCACACACATGACTCAGAGGGGACATGGCTGGCCCAGGTCAGCGGGTGAGGGCCACAGCCTTGGCCACTCCACGTCTGGAACCCTGGTCATGTTCTGCAACTGGGCCTTTCATTCTTTTTTAATCCTTTACACAAACAGTGTGTGTGTGAACATGCGCACGCTGGTGTGTCTGTGTGTGTGTGTGTGTGTGTGTGTGTTCACGCGCGAGCTTATGTGTGGCTTTGAAATCATCCAAAAAAGGTTTTTCATGGTTGAGGCTGACCTGGTGCAATGCAGAATATATTATTTCTTTCAGAGCGTGGATAGCAGATCTGCACGTGAAACACAGATCAAACACGGCCCACAGAAACAATGGTAGGAAGCATAACCAGAGTGAATCGATTCCTTGATCCTGCTCTGCCAAAAAATTAAAGAGGAGCACTCCTGGGGTTTTTAACCCAGATAAGACTTCAGCCACAGCCGTATTTCCCATGTTCCTGGATCTCTTGTTCTGGCTCTTATTCTGCGGATAAAATGTGGAATAGAGTAAGCAGTGTCGAGTTCTGCCGGTTCATCTGGCTTTTTAAAAAAAAATTAAATGGCTCTATCTCTTTGCCCTCAACACTTCTGCACACGCACATGTGCACGCACACAGCCTTGTTTTACCTTTTCTCCAGAACTAAACTGGACAGACTTTGCCATTTCTTTCAACAGGACAAGGAGAAGGTAGAAAGGGCCCTCTCAGGCATCAGCCTCTTAAAAGGACAAATTTCTTGAAGCAAAGAAAGTTCTAGTCCCCAGTCTGAGACCCATTCTGTCTCTCCATCCCCAAGTGATGACACAACCCCTTCGTTCTCAAAGATCTGTTTAAATATGTAGGTGGTCTTGCTTGAGTCAACTGGTTTTTATGTCAGCATTGACCTCAGTCCTGAGATCCTAGATTGCCCAGCTGGCAGAGCACTGGAGGGTAGAGCTCGCTGCAAGTGAGGCCAGCCCACCCCCAGCCTTCTGATGGGCCACTGAGGCCACCCCGTTGGGCTGGTCATCTGCAGCCGGTGTCCTCTCCTGACCTCTGCTCTAATCTCAAGGGCACCCTTTATTTAGACACCACAGTCCAGCCTGAGCCTCAAGTCCTCGATTCATTGGCTGGACATGAGCCAGGGACAGCCACAGGCTGGCTCCAGAGGGCTCCCCAAAAGAGGCCACAGAGGCCCCAGGAGGCAGGCTCTGGCCGAGCTGGAACAGAGAACGGAGGTTTAAATTTCCGAGGCCTCAGTTCGAATTCCAGCTCTCTCACTGGCGATGACCTTGATCCGTGGGGTAACTTCCCTGAGCCTGGTGCCTGCATCAATCAAATGGAAGAGGAGAAGACCACGTGAACGTGGAGCAGAGTGAGATGCAAAGATGCTGGCCTTGACGTTTGTAGTGATTAGTGAGGCAGCCACAAGCCAAGGAAGGCCAGCAGCCACCAGAAGCCAGAAGAGGCAAGGAACAGATTTTTCACTGGATTCTCATGAGAAAGTATGGCCCAGTGAAACTGACTTCAGGCTTCTAGCTTCCAGAACCATAAGAGAATATATTCCTACTGTTTTAAGCCACCAAATTGTGGTCATTTGTTATAGGCAGCCATAGGAAGCTAAGACAGAATTTACAAAGGGCCTCCGGGAGACCTCTGTGAAATGGTACTAGATATTGACTTGTATTATCTTAATGGGCCCTGACAACGAGCTTTTAAGGTAGTGGGCAAGGCAAGCCTTGTCAGTGTTTTACTGATTAGGAAATGGAGGCTCTGAGAAATTAAGTGTCTTGTTCGAGGTCACATGTTGTTTGGTGGCAGAGCTGGGACTGGAACAGAGGTGACCCAGAGCCTGGTGCTGGTCCCTTTCCACCACCCGCCATGCCCTGTGCCCACCCTCCCTCCTCTGACCAAGTCTAAGCAAGTGGAAAGGAGGGCTTGGCCTCCAGTGGGAGCTTAGCAAGGCCTCTCAAGGGCCTGGAAGACAAGGGGACCCTTCTCTAGCCCCCTGCCTGGCCCTGGGTGTTTGCATTTGGACATGTGCTGTGGCAGAGGCATCACGGGGGCACTGGATGCTCCATCTGGAGTTACGTCTCTTCTCCTAGAGGAAAGGGAATCCAGGGACATGAATTCTCTCTCAGTGACTCACCTCTGAGCCCTGTCAGGTCTCCCCGGGCCTCAGATTCCTCTGTGGTGACATGGAAATAATAACAGGGCCGCCCCCTCCTTGAGGAGCTGTGGAATTAGAGAATGAGCCTGCACAGAAATGCCCACGGTGAGTCGATTACCCAGTTCCGCTCTCCTCTGGCCCAAGCGGTGGCCCCGAGAGTCCCCTGGAACAGGAGGGCCTCAGGGAAATTTGCCAGGGGCACCACACA
This sequence comes from Homo sapiens, assembly GCF_000001405.40. NCBI lineage: Eukaryota > Metazoa > Chordata > Mammalia > Primates > Hominidae > Homo > Homo sapiens. The sequence goes on from NC_000023.11 coordinate 39,908,514, forward strand.
GAGAGCACGCCAGGGAGGCGTTGCTCAATCTCTCACCCACGTGGGCCCCAGGGAAAGCCCGCAGCCCAGCCATGACTCCTGAACTGCCCTGAGAGCCTGGGACAGGCTCGCACTGCGCTCACTCATCCTCTCTGTCTCTCTCTCTCTCTCATGCTTTTCCTTTATTTTCTCATGCTTTCCCTCTCTTGTGCCCACACTCCAGAAATATGTTTCCCATCCCCTCATTTCCCTGCATTCTCTGTCCTCCTCCTCCCGTCCTCCTTGCTTGCTGGCTTTCACTTACTCTCTTCTTCTCCCTGGTGCTCTGTTCCCCGCTCTGTGCCCTCTTTCATGCCCCCTGTCCATCACCCCGCCACTCTCTTGCTGTCTCGGCTTACTCTCTCCTGCTTGCCCTCTTGCTGCCTTACTTTCCTCTCTTGCCCTCTCACTCTCTGACTCTTCCGTGCTCTCTGCTGCCCTGGACCCTCCATGGCCCCCACCCCCGCCCTGGGATCAGGCTGAGGCCAGGCTTCCGCTGAGCTTCCCTCCTTGCTTCACCTCTTCCCTGCCGCGCTGCTGCCCTCGCTCTCTCGCTGGCTTCTCCTGCAAGGACTTGCTCCATAAAGCACTCACACGGGACTTCCCCCTCAGGCTCTGCTTCTAGAGAATTCTTTCTTTTTTTTTTTTTTGAGTCGGAGTTTCACTCTTGTTGCCCAGGCTGGAGTGCAGTGGCACGATCTTGGCTCACTGCTGCAACCTACGCCTCCCGGGTTCAAGCGATTCTCCTGCCTCAGCCTCCCAATAACTGGGATTACAGGTGTGTGCCACCACGCCCAGCTAATTTTTGTGTTTTTAGTAGAGCGGGGTTTCACCATGTTGGCCAGGCTGGTCTCCAACTCCTGACCTCAAGTGATCCACCCACCTTGGCCTCCCAAAGTGCTGGGATCACAGTCATGAGCTACCGCACCTTGCCCTGGAGAATTCTTACCTAAGATACCCTGGTAGGTTCTAGAGAAGGAAAATCAGGAAAGATGTGCCTGCCCTGCCTTCCAAGAGCTTCTGGCCTGGGAGGAGAAGCATCCTGAAGGAGAATACAGGGCAATACCCCCTGTCCCAGGTGCTGCAATTGAGGTCTACTCAGCCCACCACAAAGCACCAGGGATTAGGTGATGTGTTGAGTGTGTGGAGGGATAATCGGGGAAGGCTGCATAGAGGAGGTGGCCCAGGTTAATAAGGAAATAGGGGAGGGAAGGGAGATGAAAGGGAAACAGGAAAGAAAAAAAACACAAGGCCATAGTCTCACCCACCAGGGGGCTGCCAACTGCTATATGTGGCTGGAATATGGGATAACAGGGTCGGGGGCACTAGATGAGGCCTGGAAAAGTTGCAGGAATCCATCATCGCAGGCCTCGGGGGGCTCAGCTAAGGGGATCAAACTTACTCCTGAGGGCAATGGTGAGGCATGGAAGATTGTAGAGGGATCTAGGGTTGGTCCTGAAAGGTAACCCTGGCAGCAGAGTAGAAGGCTTTGAGAGAGGCAGCTGGAGGCAGAGATTTAGACAAAGTGAGCTCTCAGGTCCCTTTCAACTTGGAAGCTCTAGAAGTCTCCAGGGGAATTACCGAGGTGGGGCGGTGGCATGGAGAAGAAACCCAGGCCAGGGGTGACCAGCCAAATCTCCTGAACATTGACGATGGGGAGAGATGGCCACCAGCGTCAACAGCAGGCAGCAGGCCTCCCTGTGGGCTGAGCTCAGCACACACTTCCAGCCCTGACGCAGAGCCAGTCCTACTTGGGCCTATCATGTGGCTAGGCCCTGAGGGTCCCAAATGTTCCCCAAGGCTGGCAGACAGGGCAGGAGGACAAACCAGCACAGATTAGACATCAGGGCAATGATGGATGGGAGAGAAGCCGCCTCAGGCCCTGGGGCAGAACCAGGTAGGCACTGGACCTCTGTATTCCTCCGAGGGATATGGGCATTTGGGGCCCCTCCAGCCCTGCCACAGCTTGGCTCTGCATTCCTCTCCCCTCCCCGGCTTGGACATACATGGGGCCGGCAGGGGCGAGGGATGCTCTGTCCACCCACAGTGCCCTGAGAGGCCCAGGCAGGGCTCGAACGCTGACTCCAGCCCCTTCCCACCTAGAGGGAGGCCCGGCTTGTGACCACCCTGAATTTTTCTTGCAGCCTCTTGGCCCAGCCTCGCTGCAAGTCTGTTGACAAGCTGGGAGAGCTGACAGTAAAACGAGCTGAGGCCCAAAGTAGGGAGGCGGCACTGCGAGGAGACACTTCGTCATTAGAATGCAGCACGATTCCGCAAGCCTTTCTCCAGTGCCCGGGCCACTCTTGCCAAGCGCTGTGTGCAGAGCTGCAGGGAACAGGGCAGGACAAGGCGCCCAGAACCAAGAGTCCCGGGAAGACAAGGAGATGCTTGTCGGGGTTCTGGGAACCTGCAGAGGCCGCAGGGCCCAGGGCAGGCCCGGGCTGCGCAAGGAGCTCCAGCTCCCAGGGAGGGGCACTGGGAGTCCGAGACCAGCCCCCCAGCCCTCAGCGCCCCCATCCACTGTCCTTTCTGCCTGACTCCCTCTTCCCTGGCTTTAAAGGATCATTAATTCTTTCTTCTGTCAATCCACAAAGGCAGAGACACCTCCTACTAAATGGGGAGGATGGGGAGGATGGGAGCAGAGCGAGGAGGAAATGGGGGTCTCTATGATGCACCTCTAAGTTATTCTTGCTCCTGCCCTCCGGGAGCTCACAGTCTAATCAGGGAGATAGATATAGTTGCAACCGCCCATGATGCAATCAGATATAAAGGCTAAGTGGCGTCTATACTTAGTAACATGAGAGTTGGGGGAAATTCATCACAGTAGCTAACGCATCCAGCAACAACCTCACCCCAGGTACTGTACTAAGTGGTTGACATGCATTCACTCATTTCCTCCTCATCACAGCTCTGAGGCAGGTGCTAGTGCTAGCCCCATTTGACAGATTAGGAAACTGAGGCACAGAGACGTTGAGTAACTTTCCCAAGGTCACACAGGTGGAACCAAGATTTGTCCCTAGTGGCCTGGCTCCAGAGTCTGTGCCTTTAACCACCAGGCCAGACTAAAGGAATAATGGCATCTCTTTGGTCTTTGCAGCAGCACTGGTGAGTGCTGGAGAGCACGGCGCCCTGGGTCGGGCAGACCCACAGTGGTCGTCATGTGGCCTTGCGCAACTCCTGTGCCCTTTCTAAGCTTCAGTTTCCTCTCCAATAAAATGCGGAGAGCAACAGTATAGCACCTTCCTCCCAGGGCTGCCAGGAGAAGTAAATGAGCAGAGACGTGTGGAGATCTTAGCACAGGGCCTGCGCAGAACAGATGCACGCAGACGTTGCTCCATTTACACGGGCCTTTGAGAGCTGCAAGACCCTTCCACACTCATTCAGTAGACTGGACAGAGAAGCAGCTGGAGAGATGAAGGCTTTGGGAATGGCTTCTGAGGAGGGGCGGTGCTTGTCTCACTAGAATAGCCAGGTCCCCAGAGATCTCTCCCTATTCCCGAATCCTGGCTTGATCTCACTCCCAGACTTCCGAGCCATCACACAAGGGCATTGATCACCACCCCCTGCATCAGGGATAGTCCAAGGCTCAGCAGCCCCCAGCGTTCAGGAACCAACGGCCTCAAGTCAGCTGATATCCAGATGAAGGACCCAGAGAGTGAGGGAGGATAGGCCCTGGAGTTGGGGAGCGGAGAAGCCTCTGTCCCCACCCCATCCTGTTGAGGAGCTACAGAGCCTGCCTGGGATTCACTCCCCACAAGAAAGCCACCCCCACGCCATCGCCCTCTGCACAGATTTGCAGACGGTTCCCTGATGCAACCTAGGGCCCTCTCTGGCTAGCATCCACCAGCCTCAGATGCAACTGGAAGAAAATAATGTGTAAATGAGAGCTGGAACCTGCACTGCAATGGGCGGGCAAAAGCCAGCTCCCTTTTGGGCTTCAGCCCTGGGCTTCTACCCACCTCTGTGACCTTGCAGCTCTGTGACCTTGTGGCTCCGTGACTCTGCAGCTCTGTGACTGCACTGGCTCTTCCTTTAGTGAGCACCCTTGCATACCCCATTTTGCCTGCCTGGAAATATCAGCTTTCAGCCCCATCTCTCCCATGGCACTTTGTCTGATGAATACCCCACCCACCCCATCTCACATACATGCATGTGCGCACGCACGCACACACACACACACACACACACACACACACAAAGGTTAACATTTACTCTCCTCTCCTTACGCCCATGTGTGGGTACCTTTATTGAAAAAGTACCACATGGTGTTGTTACATTTTTTTTCTTTCACCTGTCTCCCAGTTCCAGTTACCTATTGCTGCACTTTAAAAAATCACCCAAAACCTAATGGCTTAAAACTATGACATTTATTTTGCTCACCAACCTGCAATTTCAATGGGGCATGATGGAGACAGCTTCTTTCTCCTCCACTCGGTGTCAGCTGGGGCAGCTGGGAGTCTGGGGTGGGAGCACCCAAAGGCCCCCTCTCATGTGCAGAGGTTCTCACTATCTGTTGTTTGGGATCTTGGCTGGAACTGGGCCTCCTGGCAGGAGAGCGGGGCAAATTAAAGGGAATCTCACCCATGAGGAACTCAGAAGCTCATTGGAGGTGCTAAGAAATGGCAGTTCCTCTTCTCTGCCTTTTCCTGACCCTTCACAGCCTCCAGAATGGCAACAGTGCCCAGTCCAGGGCTTTCTCAGATTCCTGAAGATGGAGCTTGGGAAGAAAGAGATTGCCTGCTCTCTTAACCCCAGATGGGAAGGTAGCAGACAGCCCAGCCTGCTCAGCCATGCTCTCACTGTGGAGGGGACAGTGACTCACCAGTCCTTCTTCACCAGCCTGGCAAGAATATCCCTCAACATCATCCAACTCCTGTTATATCACTTCCATAGTTACTAAACCCTCCAGTGAACCCTTGCTGCATCACAGAGGACCCTAAAACCTAGTGGCTTAAAACAACAGCCATTTTATTATCTTTCATGATGATGGGGGTCAGGAATTAGGGCAGGGCTCAGTTGGGTGATTCTTCAGCAACACATGGCATTGAATGGGGTCACTTGATGATATTCATCTAGTAACTGCTCTAGTCTGGAGGATCCAAGATGGCCCCACTCCTGTGCCTGGTGCCTTGGCAAGGGAGGCTGGAGGGCTGGCTCAGCAGGGCTTCTCTCCCTTTCCATGTAGCATTGTGACCATTCCACGGGGTCTCTCCAGCAGTGTGGTCCAGCTTCTCACATGGTGACTTGGAGCTCCAAGGAACCAAGGCAGGAGCCTTTGAAAAGTCTAAGCCTGACACTGGCATGGCATCACTTCTGCCATCCTCCATTAGTCAAAGCAGCTTGGGCCCAGCCCAGACTCAGGGAAGGGGTAACTGACCCCACTTCTCCATAGGAGAAGCCTCAAAGTTTCTGTGGTCCTCTTTAAATGGCCAAGCAATCTTTGGACCCAGGGCCCAGGCTCCTGGGTAGGTCTGTCTGCCCATCAGGAAGTTCTGTGCCCAAGGTCAATCCCATTACTCACTCCAGACTGAACTTATGGGCTGAATTGTTCCCCTCAAATTCATATGTTGAAGTCTCAGGACCTCAGAACGTGACCTTATTTGGAGATAGGGCCTTTACAAAGATAATCGAGTTAAAATAAAGCTATTAGGGTGGGCTTAATCCAATCTGACTGTTGTCCTCATAAGAAGAGGGAATTTAGACACACAGAGAGACACCAGGGTGTGTGTGCACAAAGGAAAGATTGTGTCAGGACACAGTGGGAAGGCAATCATCTACAAGCCAAGGAAAGAGGCCTCCGAAGAAACCAACCCTGCAGAGACCTTGATCTTGGACTTCTAGTCTCCAGAACTGTGAGAAAATAAAATTTCTGTCGCTTAAGCCCCTCAGTAAGTGGTATTTTCTTATTGCAGCCCAAGCAGACTAATACAGAGCTCCTGCAGGTAATTAATACATTGGCATTTTGGTCTCTATTATTCTCAAGTGAATGTGGTGAAGTCTATTACTTAGCTGCTTTGAGAGTTTGATTAATGTGATAAAAGTTCACAGAATGGGAGTGGGGGTGGAACAGGGAATCAAGGTCCTGTCCTGCAAAGATGAGGCTTGGGCCAGGCCCCTTGGGGCGCCAGGCAGGTGCCAGCAAGGTGTGTGGCAGCCCAGAGTGGACAGCAAGCCAGTGCCTGCCTGCCCTCAACACACCACCATCCCAGGGTCCAGGGAGGAGGAGTCAGCCTCAGCTGGGCCGAGGTCAAGATCCTAGGACCCTTTTGGAGAGACACTGAAGGAGCAGATCAAAGAAGCAAGATCCTAGGTTTGGCATTCACAGCATCTAGGCATCGGCTGAGGTGACAGATGTTTGGCACACAGGCCACGGCAGCTCCTCTCTGGGTCCTCCCTTCTTGGCAACTTCTGTTGCGTTGGTTGCCTCTGTTTCTCCTCACTCCACCTGGGATGGTGCTGCTTGATCCCAAGGGAAAGTGATGGCCTCCAAGAGGTAATGCCCACAGACAGCTTGAGTGCCAGGAGGCAGGGATGACCAGCAGGGTAGTGAAGAGCATTATTGTTGTCCTTCCAGGTAGTGGTGCCTCTCCAGAGTGAGGCAGCTGTGGTCACTCCAAGCCCAGCGGACCTGCCCCACCCCTGCCCAGGCCAAGTCCTGGTCTCTGTTACTCACTGGGGTTGGGTGGCTTGGTTGAGGTTTTCTGCACCTGGTAAAACAAACAGAGCATCAAGAAGGTGGCAGCCTTGCTGAGAGCTCTGCCACTGAGGGACAGGCCTCAGCCCTCAAGCCGCCAGCCTGGGCCTTGTGTTTTCACTAGAAGCCAACCTCCCAGGGTGGCCTGGGCTCCCAGGCCCTCAGGGATGGTGTTACACAGTGCAATCTTTCCTTATGGCTGGGGGAGAGATGGGCAGGTGGACACTCGGCAGAAGAGGAGGTTTTTTTCACCCTTTTCAGAAGCGCAATTGGCCTGCAGTGAGAAGAAACAAAGGAACGCAAACCACGAGCACTTTCAAACAGAGGCCTGCAGCCCCTGAGCTCCGACAAGGAGCTCAATCTGGCGGAGGACCATGACAGCAGAATCTGATTTCCTCCCCGCGGCAACTTCAACAGAGGCTACTTTATTTTAGCTTCATTGTATAAGGTCAAACTGAGGCTTAGAGAGGGGAGGCGATAGATTCAACATCACCCAGCTGGCAAGAGGCAGGGCCTAGATTCAAAGCCAGGCCTGTCGGATGCAATTTCTCTGCCGTTAAAATCTACCCTATGTTGGCCAGGCGCGGTGGCTCGTGCCTGTAATCCCAGCACTTTGGGAAGCCGAGGACGGCCGATTGAGGGTAGGAGTTCAAGACGTGGCCAACATGGCAAAACCTCATTTCTACTAAAAATACAAAAATTACCTGGGTGTGGTGGCAAGTGCCTATAATCCCAACTACCTGGGAGGCTGAGGCAGGAGAATCCTTTGAACCCGGGAGGCAGAGGTTGCAGTGAGCCGAGCTCGCACCACTGCACTCCAGCCTGGGCAACAGAGCGAGACTCCGTCTCAAAAAAAAAAAAAATTCTACCCTATGCTATGCCTCCAGGATAACGAGGCATGGTAGTGTGCATGCACATGTGTATGTGCATGTGTGCGTGAGTTTAGAGTAATGGAAATCGATTACACGGCGGGTGCGGTGGCTCACGCCTGCAATCCCTGGACTTTGGGAGGCTGAGACAGGCAGATCACTTGAGGTCAGGAGTTCGAGACCAGTCTGGCCAGCATGGTGAAACCCTGTCTCTACTAAAACTACAAAAAGATCAGCTGGGCGTGGTAGCACATGCCTGTAATCCCAGCTACTAGGGAGGCTGAGGCACCAGAATTGCTTGAACTCAGGAGGTGGAGGTTGCAGTGAGCCGAGATTGTGCCACTGCACTCCGACGTGGGTGACAGAGCAAGACTGTTTCAAAAAAAAAATTGATTACAGCACATGATAATTAAAAATTGACATGACACTTCATTATTTTAAAAATTCCTCAGCAGATCGTCGTGTCGGGGAATTTCTCACTGACCCCAGTTCACGACCATGTCCATGGGGTTTTCTCCTTTGGTCCCCCTTCTCTCCCTGCCCCTTTCTTTCCCCACTTGCAGGCCACCCCCTGGAAAACTCTTTCTAATTAGGCAGAGCAATTCAATCCTCACTAAGCCTCATGAACCTTCCCAAACCGGAGAAAACCCAACAAAGCTCATCAAAGTATCAAAATAGTTTTACACCTGCCACAGAAAAGCACTCTAGGTGTCTGCCCCTCCTACCTCTCTGCTGCCGTCCGTATCTCCATAATTTGAGACTCTATAAGCTGGAAAAGGCCCAGCAGCAGGGAGAGCAACTGTCTCACTTTACAGATGAGGACACTGAGGTTCAGGTTGGTGATGTGGTCTGACCAGCGCCAAGGAGCACATGTCTGGAGGTTTGGGGCTGGAACCCAGGAATAGAGCCGCCTAGATCTTACCTAACTTGGTACTTCTTACCCTTCATAGGTTGTATCAGCAGGACGGGCTTTGCCCGTGTGGTAACAGGAAGCCTGTATTCATTCTGCATTTCTAGGTAGAAAATTGCTCCAAAACTCCACAACTTACACAGCCTATTTTGATCATCTCACACAGTTTCTGAGGGGCAGGAATGTGGGATCAGCTTAGCTGGTGGTTCTGGCTCCAAGTTATTCACACAAGGCTGCAATCAAGGCGTTGTCTGGGGCTTCGGTCTCCGAAGACCCCACCGGGGCTAAAGGATCCACTTCCAAGCTCACTAATGTGGCTGTTGGCAGGAGGCGTCAGTTCCTTGCTACATGCGCCTCTTTGTATTGCTGCTCATGACATAACTTCCCTGGAACCAGTGACCCATGAGAGAGAGAAAGCAAACCCAAGACAGAAGCAGCAGTCTTTGTATAACCTAACCACAGAAGTGACACGCCATCACTTCTGCCATATGGTTGTTACTGGTCATACAAGCCAACCCTGGTACAATGTGGGAGGGGCCTATACAAGGGTATAAATACCGGGAGGGAGAATCATTGAGGACTATCTTAGAGGCTGCCTACCAAACAACTCAAGATATTAGCAGCTTAAACAAGAGAAAAATGTATTTTCCTCTAACGCAGATATAGTCTATGGAAACAGTCCAAAGTTGATATGATGGTTCCATCTTCATGTGAGATCCAGACTTCCTCCCTCATCTCTTTGCCACTTCATGGTCTAAGGTGGCTACTCAAGCTCCAGCCATCACATCTGCACTCCAGCCAGTAGGAAGAAAAAAGATCTCTTTCTTTTTACAAACACTTCCCAGAACTTGCACATACCATGTCTATTTATATTCCCTTGGCCGGTAATTCATCACAAGGTTACTTCCAGCCTGCAAAGGAGGCTAAAAATTTTAGTCTTTATTTCACATGGGTTATGTGTCCAGAAAGAATTCAGAGGTTCTATTACTGAGAAGAAAGGGGGGAAAATGGAGGTTTGGGGATAACTAGCAATCTCTGTTTTTGATAACCCAATAAAGGCAATGAACTCTTTCACAGAAAAAAAAAAAAAAAAAGAAATCATGTACATGCAAAAGTGTGCATGCAACTTCAGAGGGTTTACAGATGCCTGTGAAGTCAGTTTATGGATGTCACACAAAGAACCTCTACACCTCTGGCCAGGACCTCAGCCTGTTCCTGTGTATGAACAGTGTTCACTTAGACCCTTTGGACGAGGTCCCTCTGAGAGGGCAAAGGACACGCCCAGCACATTTCCTCAATGGGGCATGAACCACTTCATCTAATACCTACCTGGTAGGCTGTGTCACCCCGGGAAGAGTCGTCCTGGTGTCTGGCAGATTGTGGACCTCACTTTCCTTCAGCGACTTCATGCAAAACAAGGGCTGATAAGGAAGAAACTGAAAGGGGTTGGTGTCACGGGTTATGCTGCGGGACCCCCCATTTGTGTTTTCAAGAATCAGCCAATAGTGTTCATTGGAATTCCAGATCAGCTTTTCTCTGCTGACATTTCAAATGCCAGGTTACAAGTACACAGGCATGGAGCCATTCTCAACACTGTTCAAATTAACCATACTTTTCCTAGGGCTAAAGATAGGTCCAAGGTTAAAACCACAATGAGATACCACTTTACATTGACTAGAACGGCTAAAATAAAAAAGAACAACAATGCCAAGTATTAACGGGAGTGACAAGCAAGAGGAACTGTCGTCTGTTGCTGGAGGTATGTAAAATAGTCCAGCCACTTTGGAGGACAGTTTGACAGTTTCTTTCAAAGTTATGCATGCACTTACCATAAGACCCACCTATCCCACTCCTGCAAGAGAGAGGAAAGCATTTGTTCACAAAAAGATTTGAACATGAGACCGGGCGTGGTGGCTCACACCTGTACCAGCACTTTGGGAGGCTGAGGCGGGCAGATCACCTGAGGTCAGGAGTTCGAGACCAGCCTGGCCTGGTGAAATCCTGTCTCTACTAAAAATATAGGCCGGGCGCGGTGGCTCACTCCTGCAAACCCAGTACTTTGGGAGGCCGAGACGGGCAGATCACGATGTCAGGAGATCGAGACCATCCTGGCTAACATGGTGAAACCCTGTCTCTACTAAAAAATACAAAAAATTAGCCGGGCATGGTGGCTGGCTCCTGTAGTCCCAGCTACTCGGGAGGCTGAGGCAGGAGAATGGCGGGAACCCAGGAGGCGGAGCTTGCAGTGAGCCGAGATCACCCCACTGCACTCCAGCCTGGGCAACAAAGCGAGACTCCATCTCCAAAAAAATAAAAAATAAAAAATAAATAAAAATAATGAAAATACAAAATTAGCTGGGCGTGGTGGCGCACACCTGTGATCCCAGCTACTCGGGAGGTGGAGGCACAAGAATCGCTTGAACCAGGGAAGCAGAAGTTGCAGTAAGCCGAGATTGCGCCACTGCACTCCAGCCTGGGTGACAAGAGTGAAACTCCGTCTCAAAAAAAAAAAAAAAAAGATTTGAACATGAATGTTCATAGCAGCATTATTCACAGCAGCCAAAAACTGGAAACAATGCAAACAACCATCTATAGGTTAATGAATATACGAACTAGGGTACATCTATACAATGGAGAACTACTCTGCCGTAAAAAGGAGCAAACTACTGATAGACACAACTTGGATGATCTTAAATGCAATATGCCGTGTGAAAAAAGCTGAGCACAAAAGACTGCATGCCATGTGCTTGCATTTATATGAAATTCAAGAACAAGCAAGATTAAGCTATGATAATAGAAATCAGAAAAGAGAAGGAGCATGAAAGAATGTTCTGGAATGGTGGAAATGAGCTATATCTTGATAGGAGGATGTGTTACACAAGAAAACCCCTCAAACCATAGCACCTAAGATTGGTATATTTCACTGTATGTAAGTTACACCTAAACTTAGAAAAAGAAAAAAAAGATCTGACTGAAATGCAGGAGTCAGTACCCCACAGACCAAACCCCAGCCAACTGCTTGACCACTGTGCAGAGCAAGACTCAGTGCTGGGTCAACCGTAGCAACTCAAGCTGAGAGATATCGAGGTCTTCCAGGGAAGGGGGTTATACCACAGACAGCCTCGGTGGGTCAACATGCAGGTAGTAATGATACTAATAGCAGAACTGACTGAGCTCTGGCCCTGCCCAAATTCTGCTGAATGTAGTCCCTGTGTTCAGAACAACTAGTTCCCCTCAAATGCACAAGGGGCTCAGGCTAGCATCCACCACCCTAGCAGGCCCTTTCCATACCATTCAGCCTGCACAAAGACAGCCAATGTGACCACAATGCAGCAAACGTAGACACAGAGAATGTCAGTTCCCAGAGATCCTGTTGGTCAGCTCCCCATTTCATAGAGGAGAAAACTGAGACCCAGACAGGGGAGGGCCTCTCCATCTGTCACACAGGGACTGAGTGGCAGAGCCCAGAATAGCACCCCATCCCTGGACTCCCGCTCCAGTGCTCACATGTCCATATTGCCCAGTACTTTCCTTCCGACTTTTCCAAAAGGACTGAAATGAACCTCAAGAAACCCTGTTTTTCTTCATTTTTAAAAAAAAATATATGCAAAAAAAAAAAAAGGTTTTGGTGCAAGTGGGCTTTCCCTCTAGTGGATTAGAGTCCATGTTGGCCACATTGATACAAAAGTAAAAAGAAGTCCGGCCAGGTACAGTGGCTCAAGCTTGTAATCCCCGCACTTTGGGAGGCTGAGGTGGGTGGATCACTTGAAACCAGGAGCTCGAGACCAGTCTGGACAACACAGTAAAGCCCTTTCTCTACCAAAAAAATACAAAAATTAGCCAGGTGTGGTGGTGCGTGCCTGTTGTCCCAGCTACTTGGGAGGCTGAGGCAGGAGAATGACTTGGACCCAGGTGGCGGAGGTTGCAGTGAGCTGAGATCGTGCCACTGAACTCCAGCCTGGGCAACAGAGCGAGACTCTGTCTCAAAAACTAAATAAATAAATAAAAGAAGTCCAAAAGTTGTGGGGGTTTTTCCTCATTCCACAAATCAAAAGCAGCAGGTGCTTCCACACATCCCAGCAGGCACCATTAAGGCAAGTCTGAAACTGGCTGCATTAGGGAGTGGGGACTTCCTGAGCCGTCGTGCCCCCCCTGCCTGCTGAGGGACAAGAAGATGGCCAAACAGGTACCCAGGGAGCCTCAGAAACTCTCTCTCCTTCCCAAAGAGCATCCATCTCTTGAAGCTCTCCAATTTGCATTAAAAGAGACCAAAGTACCAAATGGGAAGCGCCTTTGCCCCAGACTCGAGTGACCAAATGCCATTTGCATATCCAAGTATCTTAGAACACCGCCCCCATCGTTCCTCCCCTTTTGCAACTGCACCCCTCTTCCTCCTCTATACACAAACAGAATCTCAAAGCCTAGCCCTGCCCCTCTCCCTGCCCCTCAGGACACTTTATACTACTACTAATACAAGAGCAGCCGGGCGTGGTGCCTCAGCTAGGTGCAGTGGCTCACACCTGTAATCCCAGCACTTTGGGAGGCTGAGGCGGGCAGATCACTTGAGGTCAGGAGTTCAAAACCAGCCTGGCCAACATGGTGAAACCCCGCCTCTACTAAAAATACAAAAATTAGCCAGGCTTGGTGGCACACACCTGTAATCCCAGCTACTCGGGGGGGCTGAGGCAGGAGAATCGCTTGAACCCAGGAGATGGAGGCTGCAGTGAGCTGAGATCACGCCACCGCACTCCAGCCTGGGTGACAGAGTGACACTCCATCTTAAAGAAACACACACAAGTAAACAAAAACAAGAGCAGCTGCAGTTTGTTGAGGACTTACTCTGTGGTAGGCACTGTATCAGTTACATAGAGTTCTTTGATTGCAAATAACAGAAACAGGTTCTGACTAATTTGGGCAAAAGGAAATTGACTGGAAGATGATGGGAGGTTGGCACAATAGTTCAGAAGCCTGGAGAAGAAAGCTTGGCCTTGGCAGGGGCCAGGGCAGACCCAGGGACACATGACCAGCTCTTGGCATTCTGGTGTCTCCATTCTTCCACTTAAGATTCCAGTGCCAGGCAGGAGTGTAAAATGGCACGGTCACTTTGAACAACAGTCTGGAAGTCTCTCACAAGGTTTAACATATGATTACCCTACAACCTAATAATTTTACTTTTGGGTATTTGCCCAAGGGAAATAAGAGCATAAGTCCATAAAAACACTTGCACCGGAGTGTTCATAGAAACTACATTTGTTGGCCAGGCGCAGTGGTTCACACCTGTACTCCCAGCACTTTGGGAGGCTGAGGCATGGTCATGGCTTAAGGCCAAGAGTTCAAGACCAGCCTGGATAACATAGCAAGACCTTGTCTCTATTAAAAACAGAAATAATTAAAATAATGTTTTAAAAAAGAAACTATATTTGTAATTGCTCCAAATTGGAGTAGACTCCAATATCCATCCACTGATGAATGGATAAACAAATTGTGGTATAGCCATATAATGGAATTCTACTCAACAATATAAGGGAATATGCTACTGATACTCACAACGATGTGAATGAATCTCCTAAGACATTATGTCATGCAAAAGGAACCAAACACAAGAGAGCACATGCTGTATGATCCATTTATATGAACTCCAAGGAGAGATCAAACTAACCTCTGGGGAAATCAGAACAGGAGCTGCCTATGCTGACCAGGGAGGACAGGCTGGGAAGAGAACAAGGAAATGTTTTCAAATGATGGAAATGTTCCAGATCTTGATTGTGGTGGTAGTCACACAGACACGTATATTTGCCAAAACTCATCAAACTGCACACCTTCTGTGCACTTCAATGTATGTAAATTGTGCTTTAATTAAAAATTAAATTTAAAAAGAATCACAAGCATTGGAGATACAGTAGGGAACAGGGTAGACAGAGCCCTGTCCAGAGGGAGCTGCCATCTGGCCCCAGAGCTAATAAGCGACAGAACTGGGGATGAACCGAGATTCTTCTGCCTCCCAAGTCACTCCCAGCTTTCTTCAGCGTTGCCCTGGACAGCACACCCCAGAGCACGATGGGAGCTGCAGCAAGGTCACTGGCAACTGCCCCCAAGACCAAAAGCCCTCCCTCCAAAGGGGCTCAAGCCTGCCCAGTGCAATCCGGCAGCTCAGTGAGGAGACAAACTCAGGGCTCGCAGTCCCGTCCTGCACAGGGGCTGCCAGGCCTTCCCTACCTTTCCTGAAGACCTCTGGCCCACAAGACCTCGCATGAAAAGGAAATTTCATGTATTTATTACTCAGCAGAGGAAATATAAAATACTTAGACCCAGAAATGAAAAGAGCATTTGGACAGTACCAAACTATTAAAGGATTTTCTTGCACATTCTGGCCATTGAAGAGGTGACAGGACAGAGTTGGGGGACCCACGGAGACTGAGGACATGGGAAGGACCAGGCATTGGCTTTCGAGGGATGTGGTTTGTGGATCACTGTTAGATGGTCACTGTTGGGCTGAGGGCCTCAGAGTGACACCAGTTAATGGTCAGTTATTTAATGACTGTTCAGGCTTTTGCCACTCTGGCCCTTAAGCCCCTAGAGGCTGGAGTGACCAGGGAAGTGCACCACGGTGGAAACTGTCACCCACATAAACAGAAAGACCCTGGGCCCTCTGTCCCAGGTTTTCCAATCCCATAGGCACAGCAGGTTAGGTACAGAAGGGAATGTTCTGGAGGCCACCAACTGTCATTCCTTCTACCTTGTAGCATTATGCAGCTCATGTCATCCAACTAGCCCTGCCTCACAAATGAGGTCAGCACTATTGTCCCTATATTACAGATGGGGAAACTGAGTCTTCGAGAGGTTGCTCTCAGACACAGGCCAGAAATGGCAACGTCGGGGCAAGAAACAAGATCTCCCAAGTCCCACACGTGATGTTTTTTCCTCCACGTTCACTTGTAGTGATAGGGAACCTTCTCAGGCCCAAGAACCTTCTAGGACAGTGAGGTTCACAAAGGGCCTGCTCCCTGTGGCAGGCAGCCTCTAAGATGGTCCCCAAATGATCTCTACCTCCTGGTATTCACACCCTTGTGAGATCCCCTCACTCTGAGTGTGGGCTGGAGTGAGGAACTGGCTTCTAACAAATAGAATAAGGCCTGGTGTGGTGGCTCACACCTGTAATCCCAGCACTTTGGGAGGCTGAGGCGGGTGGATTACTTGAGGCCAAGAGTTTGAGACCAGCCTGGGCAACATAGGGAGACCCCATCTCTACAAAAATACAAAAGTTAGCAGGGCGTGATGGCAGGCACCTGTAATCTCAGCTACTCGGGAGGCTAAGGCAGGAGAATAACTTGAACCCAGGAAGCAGAGGTTGCAATGAGCTGAGATTGTGCCACTGCACTCCAGCGTCAGTGACAGAGCAAGACTCTGTCTCAAAAAAAAAAAAAAAATAGTACAGAAGTGATAGGATAGCATTTCTGAGATTAGGTTAAAAAGACTGTGACTTTTATCTTGGGCTCTCTCTGGCTGTCTCTCGGGTCACAAGCTGACATGTCATGAGGGCACCAGCAGCCTATGGAGAGACCCATGTGACGAGGAACCACATGAATGAGCTTGGAGAAGGATCTTCTAGGTCTCCTACAGTCGCTGTGTGAGTGAACCACCTTGGAAGTGGATCCCCCAGCCCTGGTCAAGCCTTCAGATGACTGCAACCCTGGCTGACATTTTGATTGCATTTCAGGAGAGATTGTGAACCAGAACCACCCAATTAAGCCACTCCAGAGTCATGACTCTCAGACAGTGGGAGGAATAATAAATGTTTGTTGTTTTAAGCTGCTAAGTTTTGGGGGTAATATGTTACATAGCAACAGACAATTAACATAGCTTATAACTAATCTCCTAACACTACTACACTAATAACTAGTATTCCCTTCACCTCCAAGTCTTCTCAGGCCAGAGCATGTAACCCTGACTTTCTTGGCCTTACACACAAGCACACCCATACACATACACACACACACACACACACACACACACACACACACACACCTGCTGCTTTGATATTGGTGCATTTGCATTATTTAACTTGGTTTCTTTTTCCCTAAAAAGCATGTGAAAGTTGGTCCTCCTACACAGAAAACATTTGAAATTGCAGTTATGTCATCCTGGGAGAAAGCGAACCTTGAGGTTCCGTGCACTGTACCACTTACCTTGACTGCCTGGAATACATCCCCGTGCCTTTTGCGTGACTGCCTTTGTTTTGAGCACATCCTAAATTGCCTCTAAGCCAAATGCTGAATGTGACCAGAAATGACACAGGATGAATAATGTGGCATATAATTATCACCACATTTCAGATGAGGGCAATGTGCATTTTTCTCAGAGCTAAAGGGATGCAATTTTATTTTGTAATACAAAATGCTCCATTTGGGGGTCAGTTTTCGAGCAGCCCTTCATTCTGAAGCAATTTCACGTGAATAAAGGCATTTGTATTCCTGTACCGCGTAACACACATTATCCCAGCCCCGACTCCTGGTGTACATTTCTCCACGTGATTCCACCTCCTCTCAATGAACCAGCTTCAGATCCGAATGAGAAGGTGAATATGACGATGTTTTTGACTTTTTCACGTCTCTGAGTATTTGTCTCCTTTTCTGCCAACTGAGGATGAGCTGGTTTCTCTACAAACTGCTCTCAGACCCCACCCTGGGGACTGGATCTTTAACGCCCCAAAGAAGGCCCTGCAGACCTTAGCATAGCACTAACCTTTTGTCCTTGATTGATGATGTCCTAATTTTCTTTCTCCCCAAAAGCAGACTCTGGGTCAACGATTTGGGACTGGGCAGCTTATTTGGGAGGTATATGAGTTTGTTCAGGCTGCCATAACAAAATATTACAGGCTGGGTGGGTTAAGCAACAGATACTAGTTTTCTCATAGTGCTGGAGGCTGGAAGCACAACATCAAGGTGCCAATAGAGTCAGATTCCTCTGAGGCCTCTCTCCTTAGCTTGCAGATAGCTGCCTTCTCACTGTCCCTTCACACAATTGTCCCTCTGTGCACACTCTCCTGGTGTCTCTTTTTGTGTCCAAATTTCCTCTTCTCGTAAGGACACCAGGCATATTTCCATTAGGGCTCCACCTTAATTGCCTTATTTTAACTTAATCATGTCTTTAAAGGCCCTAACTCCAAACACAGTCACATTCTAAGGTCCTGGCGTTCGGGCTTCAGCATATGAATTTGGCAGGACACACTTCAGCCCATAGAAGGAGGTGATCATGGGTAAGGAGAACACCGATAGAAGATGCGTTGAGGAGCGGGGGTTTTCTGTGGGCAACTGGGGCTCAGGCTCTCAGGGGGCCTCGCTGGGAGAGTGCACTACAGAATTATCCCACCAAAGGGCAAGGAAGATGGGATGCTGATGCACCCATGGATCCCCCATTGATCAAGTATTCACTACTAAGGCCAGGTGTGGTGGCCCACACCTGTAATTCCAGCACTCGGAGAGGCTGAGGCGGGAGGATTGCTTGAACCCAGGAGTTCGAGACCAGCCTGGGCAACATAAGGAGACCCCATCTCTACAAAAATACAAAAATTAGCCGGGCAAGGTGACGTGCACCTGTAGTCCCAGCTACTCGGGAGGCTGAGGTGGGAGAATCACCTGAACCTGGGAGGTCAAGGCTGCAGTGAGCTGATTGTGCCACTGCACTCCAGCCTGGGCAACAGAGAAAGACCCTGCCTCTCTCCAAAAAAAAAGAGAGAGAGTTCATGCTAGAGGCAGTTCCTACCCTGTTGCTTTCCAGGCTGAGGGCATGCCCGTGACTAGAAAATACCCTCAGGCAGAGAGAAAGGAAGCCTTGGGAATATACTGGAAGGACTGCAGGTGAGATGCCCCAGAAATTCCAAAGGAAGGGCAACCACTTTGAAAAGAGAGAACAACAGCTGAATTTTATTTCCAGCTGTGATATGATTATTATTTAAAAGTGATAGTTATAAGACTACACTGGCTCAGAACAGGATCGTCTACCCCAAGCTCCCTTCTTTACAGGCAGTTGTGGCTTAGCAAGGTGACCTGCCATGCCTAAAGTTGACAAAGGGAAGGAGAGAAATGAGACCTAGACCCGAATGTCCAGACTTCCAGACCAGTGCCGTCTCCACCCCTACAGGCTGCTTCCTCGTGTTCCTTTTTTTTTTTCTCAGTGAGCAAGAGCAGGCTTGGATTTGATAGTCCCTTCGCTGGTTAATAAACTCTCAGCACATCAGAAGATACAAATGAAAACAATGAAAAATCTAAAAAAGGTCAATGGTCATTCCCTTCCCACACACCGTTTCCACATCAGGAGCCAGCTAGAGACCCCAAGAGCCAGTCAGAAAAGAGAAGCCACCCTCCAGTCATAGAAGGCTGGATGTTAAGCCATGCCCAAGTCCCACATGTGAGCAGAGGAGGCTTCCAGAAGCTGCAGGACCTTGCCAGAAGGCGCCGAAGTCTTCTAAGTGCCCCATCCTACAGAGAAGTAGGCTCTCCCTTGGGAGTCAGAACCATCAATAATAATAAAACAAGACACTTTTATAGATTTTGCAATTTATGTTGCTCATTTATTCCTCACAACGACCTTGTAAGGTCAATATCACTGGCCCCATTTTATGGACATGCAAACTGCACACTCTGGCTCAGTGAATGTCACTTAGGACCATGCCTTCAGGTAAATTGAGCACTTCATCTTGAAATTGGAATGCTTACTCGGTTGAGGCAAAAGTCTCCACTAAGGCAGCCTGCAAAGGCTGGTCAAAAATCAAGGCCCTCCTGCTTTCATCTCTACAGGGTGCCAAGGGCTGCTGGCACCAACATTTCAGTTAAAGCTTTTCCATCTCTCACCAGGGCCCATGAGGTTTCTAGAACGTTCCAAGAGCAGCAGCTCCAGCAGTAAGTCATGCAGAACTGCTGCTGGTTATGAGCCACAGCAGAGCAAGGAGAAAGCTGTGAATGCTGGCTTGCAGCCTGAGGAAAGGAAGATGGTGGACAGTCACTCTACTGTCCACATAGGGAGCATCTTAAGTCCACTGAGGAGGAAAAAATCAAATTCCAGAACTGATGACCACTGAACTGAACTTTTGGAGTCTGCTCATGCCGAGAGGACCTAGGCATGGTGAGCAAATCTCTCACCAGGGGCCAACCAGCATTATGCGTCTTCAGATGAAGCCTGAAAGACAGAGGCCAGTGGAGCATCTGCCTACCAGCCACTCCATCCATCCATCTATCCATTCTTGCTTTCATCCAGTGAATATTTCGTAAGTGCCTGCTCTGTGCCAGGCATTGTTCTAGGCACTAAGGACACAATAGTGAACAAAACAAATGAAATATTTGCTTTCACGGAGGCTTCCATTCCAATGGGAGGAGGAATAGACAATAAACAAGATCCATAAAAAGGGTACATATGCAGCCAGGAGCCGTGGCTCACGCCTGTAATCCCAGCACTTTAGGAGGCTGAGGCAGCAGATCACCTGAGGTCAGGAGTTCGAGACCAGCCTGGCCAACATGTTGAAACCCTGTCTCTACTAAAAATACAAAAATTAGCCAGGGGTGATGGTGCGCACCTGCAATCACACCTACTCAGGGGGTTGAGTCAGGAGAATTGCTTGAACCTGGGAGTAGAGGTTGCAGTGAGCCGAGGTTGCACCACTGCACTCCAGCCTAGGCAACAGAGGGATACTCCGTCTCAAAAAAAAAAAAGATGATGATGCTATGGGTTTTGGACTGCTCAGTGGACCGCTGGGGCTGCAGGAGGCTGTAAGGAGGAGCAGGTGTGGGGGCAGGTTCAGGCCATGCTGAGTTTCTGCTGTCTACTGGACATCTAAGGCCACCTTTTTAAGTGTGGCTCACAGCAGGCCTTCCTCAGGCTGTTGGATCTCTTCTCTTCTGTTTATCTGGCCCCTTGGTGGCCTCGCCCCACCTCATAGCTCTACATGCTGAACATTCCCGAAGGAGCAATGAGGCTGAAGAGGCAGCTGTGGTTCAGGGGAGAGGCCCAGGATAGAGCTATGCATTTGAGCCCATGGACCCCAAGAGTGGATGGACCCCAAGATCTAGGAGACCAAGCCTAAAGGAGAAAACAACAGGTCAGACGCCTCTGCTTGCAGGGAAGTGCCTGCACTGCTAGGAAATGAGGCACAGCCCTCACTCTTGGCAACCAGGACACCTTATGCCCGGGACACTGGGGGTGGGGGGTGGGGTATGGAATCTGTGGGTGTGCCAGGCAAACAAAGAGCAGGGTGCAGAGGCATGGGCGGGGCCCCTGACGCAAAGGACCCCTCTCCAGTTCTCGATTAGCTGGGTTCAAGCAAGGCCTGAGGGCTAAGGCAAGCTATTCCAGGCTGATTCAGAGCTGTAATTGCCAGTTATATATTTCTCTGATTGACTGAAAAACAATCAAATGAATGAATTCATGACTAAACAATTTATAGACAGACTCGGGAGGTGACACTCAAGCTGCCTCCTGACAGTAGGCTGCGAGCGAGTCAGGAGGGGCTGGAGAACATTATTATTCTAGAAAAAAAGAAAGTCATTGGGGGCAGCCATGTGGGGTGCGCTGGGCGCACCGGTAGCTTGGTGTTTCTGCAGCAGAGGGCGAGGAGCATTGAGCCTGGAGAGGTAGCTCAGAGAGGGGATTATAAACCACCGCAAGGAACTTGGCCTTCATCTCCAGACACTGGAAACCCCACAAACGGTTTTCAGGAGGGAATAACAGAGTCCAATGTGCATTTTAAAGAGACCATTCAGGCTGTTCTGCGGAGAGCAAATTTGAATAGCATGGGGCAGGCAGTCGAGAGGCCTGGGAGTGGAGATGGGCTAGGGAGATGCTCCCACTGCGTCAATGACTTCCCCCACCCCCCAGCCCCGGTGGAATCCAATAGGCCAGGAATCTCTGGCCTTCCCCACATAGCCACTGTCAACCTGGGAGTCCTGGGAGAGATTTCATAAAAGGGGTCCCTAGGGGAGAAGGGTGGGGACCCACTGCTAGGGAAGCCTCATCTGTCAGTCTTCCTGGAAGCCAATGACAGCAGGGCCCCTTGGGAATGCAGATGACAAGGCGTCTCCAGGCAGAGCAGGAGGCTGAGAGGTGAGGCAGGAGGGGCCACGATTCTCCATTCCGCCCTTGCCAGCCCAGAAAACAATCACAGGAACCAAGGCGTATTCATTCCCAGCAAGAGTGGGTCACTGGGAAGAGAGAGGCACCCCGATTCCAGATGAAAGTTTTGATCCCCCCAAAAAGAGAAGGCCTGTTCTTCAGGCCCCTACAGCTCAAAGGGAAGGTCCAGGGCTGTCTAGAGCCCTTGGATGTGCATTCCCTGCACCCACCCTCCGTCACCCTACCCTGCCTGCTGGCTCTGTGTGTGCTGGACAGATGGATAATAAGTTCACAAATCAACACATCAAAGCCGACTAAGAAAAGGCAAACCAGGGAAACTGAGGCCTAGCCAACTGCAGCTGAACTCCATGCTGAGAATTGAGGTCTAGGCTCCGGCCCGCAGAGAAGCCATCCCTCTCCCCACGAGCACGGCCCCCTCAGAGCCCCTCGCTCCTTTCTCACTGTTATTCTTTGTTTTCCACAAGGATTCCTCGCGCTGGTTCTGCTAAGGCCCCAGTGCTGGTGTTAGCTCAGGTCTACACTGCAAGCCTAGGAGATTAAAGAACTTTCCCCAAATCCCCCCGCAAATCAGAGTAGCGCCGGTGTAGCCAAGATTCCCAAGCAGAGAGCAGAGAGCAAATCCCATCCAGGCACCAGGGAACCCTCTCTCCGGGTCTCTCAAGGCCTCTGAAAGCCACGGGCTGGCCAGCGAGAGACCTCATTAAAACGGCTCGGTGGCCTGCGTTTGCTGCAAACCCATTAAACAGCCAACATAATCCATTCATACATAAAAATAAGGGAAGGGGAAGGAGCGTGGTCCCACAGGATGTGTGTCTGAGAGAAACCGATTCCATAAAAATCCAAACAGAAACGAAGTTCACGGGGAGGTTTTGGCTGCAGTCGTGTTTTGGCTTCTGGAAATTCCAGCTAGGAAAAGCTTCCCTTTGTGGCCCGTTTGGAAGCACTCAGGCTGGGATTCACAGAAACAAGGGAGAAGTGAGGGGGTACCTGGTTTCTTTGCTAACCACCCTATAGCTAAGGAATTATTCTAGAAACCTGGGGTATTTGTTGAAAAGGGCCAGTTAGGGTCCCGGTGGCAGCTCAGAGGGCTGGAATATGTGGAGAGGGCAAGGTACTAGTTAACATAGACCTACCTCGGCCACCCCAAAGCCAGGCCACTAGGCTGGGTGTCCACAACAGCTGTGGCCATGGAGATGCTCCCAGAGCTTTGGAAAAGGAAGGAAGACTCCAAGATTTAAATAACTCAGGCAGCAGGATCCCTGTTCTTCCCATGGGAAACTATTTCACAGGCCAAGAAACCCCACCATAGGGACCCTTCTCTACAGCCCTCACTGAGGCCAGTACACCATGTGTACTCGAGAACAGATACATGTCATCTTGCAGAAGAGAAGGTTAGGAGCTGTTGGATGATTTTTTTAATAAGCTGGTAAACCAGTATTTTTATTCTCTGTCATCTAAAAAAAAAAAAACACAGAAGAATGCAGCTAGTTTCTTAAATTAGAGATCTGTTGTGTAATTAGTCCATTTTATCTTCTGCGAGTTGTTGCTGTTTTCCCTCTGTGGTTTCCAGAAATGTCATTGGCTGGGCTTAAAAGTAGGGTTTTTTTTTTCTTCCAGAGAAAAATTCTATAAATATTTTCTCCCTTTTAGCATGTTTTAAATTTGAACGACATATTGTAAAGATAGCAAGAGTTATGAAAGCCTCTCTTGGCCGCCAATGAAATGCAGTGGGAAAACTGATTAGAGAGGGAACTTCTACCCACAGAGAACACAGTTGGGCCCTCCCCAGAGGGGTTCAGGAGCCAGAGTACCCCAGCTTCCTCTGCTCACTGGTACTCAGGCTTGGGAACTGGAGAGAAGGGGAGGCCACTCTCAAGGTGGGCAGGCAGGCTATACTTGAGGAAATGGTGTCCCTTGCTGATGGTCAGGATTTCACCCTTAGTGATTCATTTCTTTGGATGGGATTTTAGGCATGAATTTGACATAGTCAGGTATACATTAATGGTTTTCCATGTTAAAATGCATACCCTTTTCTCCAACAAAGGTATACAGGTATACCATATGTGAGTAAAAATCTATGTAAAGGGATCTTCATGACAGGATGATTTGTAACTAAAAATGACCAGAAACAACCTGAGTTAAAATCCATTGATAGGAGACTGGTTAGACAAAGTCTGTTATACCCATAAAAGATGTTATGCTGCCATTAAAGAGAATGCAATAGAACTATAGATATTGGTGCAGAATGTTGGGTGAGATTATACTGTTAAGTGAAAAAACAGGAAATAGGGAATTTTATGGTATGTTTATGATACGCCATCATGTGTCTTTTTAAAAAGGACATATGTGCATAACCTTGTGTTAGAAGTTGGCAGCTGGGATAGCCTTCAAGAAGGAAAGTAGAGCCAGGAGGGGGACTTGCTTTTTACTATACACACTGTTCTCCTGTTGTACTGTCCACTCACAGTGCTATCACTTGCCTTTCTTTAAAATAACACATTTATATATAATCATATACATATAGCCTTGTATATATGCCTCAATTATCTTGGGAGGCATATATAAGAAGTTGGGAGGCCAGGCGAGGAGGCTGACACCTGTAACCCCAGCACTTTGGGAGGCCAAGGCAGGCGGATCACCTGAGGTCAGGAGTTCGAGACCAGCCTGGCCAACATGGTGAAACCCTGCCTCTACTGAAAATACAAAAATTAGCCAGACATGGTGGTGCACGCCTGTGATCCCAGCTACTCAGGAGGCTGAGGCAGGAGAATCGCTTGAACCTGGGAGGCAGAGGTTGCAGTGAGCTGAGATCGTGCCACTGCACTCCAACCTAGGCGACAGAGCAAGACTCTGTCTCAACAACAACAAAAAGAAGTTGGGGGAGGCGGGGCTGGGCACGGTAGCTCATGCCTGTAATCCCAACACTTTCAGAGGCCAGGGCAGGCAGATCACTTGAGGTCAGGAGTTCGAGACCAGTCTGGGCAACATGGGGAAACCCTGTCTCTACTAAAATTACAAAAATTAGCCAGGCGTGGTGGCAGGTGCCTGTAATCCCAGCTACTCGGGAGGGTGAGGCAGGAAAATCGCTTGAACTTGGGAGGCGGAGGTTGCAGTGAGCAGTGATCATGCCGCTGCACTCCAGGCTGGGCAACAGAGCAAGACTCTGTCTCAAAAAAAAAAAAAAAGGAAGTTGGAGGCAACAACATAGAGAAACATCTCTTGATTCCAAGGTATGCCCTTGAAGTAATTTGACATTTGAAAGAGGCTGTTCAGCCGGGTGCAATGGCCCATGCCTGTAATCTCAGCACTTTAGGAGGCTGAAGCAGGAAGATTGCTTGAGGCCAGGAGTTCAAGATCAGCCTGGGCAACATAGCGAGACCTCATCTCTACAAATAAAAAAAAAATCAGCCAGGCGTAGTGGCTTGTGTCTGTGGTCCCAGCTACTCGGTAGGCTAAAGTGGGAGGATCACTTGAGCCGCACCACTGCACTCCAGCCTGAGCAACAGAGTGAGACCCTGTCTCAAAAAAAAAAAAAAAAAAAAAAGAGAGAGAGAGAGAGAAAGGCTGTTCTGGGGATGATTTTAGATGGGTGGGCTGATCCCTCAGAAGGTGGGAGAATAAATTCTATTCTGCATGCCTTTGGATCCACATAGAGAACATGGGTTAATGTTCCCAGCCATATGTTCCCAAAGGCCCCCTGGTATGTCCTATTCTGTGCCCACAAAACCCCATGTCTATTGCTATTGCTGCATGTTAGGAATCGGGTTTCTTTGCCTGTCTCCATCCATGGACAGGATGTTTGTTGCAGTCAGGGATGGGTTTATTCCAGTTTGCAGCCCCAGGACCCAGCTCAGAGCCTGTGGCTTAGAAGTAGGTACTAGCATCAGTTAGATCTGGGCACAGCTATGAGACTTCAGGACTCAGAACCTCACTTTCTTCATCTGTAAAATGTGAAGGGTACTAAATCTTCTTCCTAATGCTGGTTATAAAGATGACATCATATAACAAGTCTGCCCGGCACATGGCGGGGGCTTAGTGATGATAATAGCTTAGTCTAAGATAATATCTCAGTAAATGTTTATTGAACGAATAAATTCCTCCCATGAGGTTGAGGTGGGTTAAAATGCAAATACCTGGCCTGGCACAGTGGCCCCCACCTGTAATCCCAGCACTTTAGGAGGCCGAGGCGGGAGGATCACTTGAGGTCAGGGGTTCGAGACCAGCCTGGGCAACATGGCAAAACGCTGTCTCTACTAAAAACACAAAAAATTAGCTGAATGTGGTGGTGCATGCCTGTAGGCCCAGCTACTTGGGAGGCTGAGGTGGGAGGATCCCTTGAACCCAGGAGGTGGAGGTTGTAGTGAGCCAAGATCGGGCCACTGCACTCCAGCCTGGGTAACAGAGTGAGACCCTGTCTCAAAAAAAAAGCAAATACTCCCGACACTAACACTTTCAGATCCTGTTGCCGGTTAAGAATAAGTTTATCAGATAAGTTCTCCTCCCAGCCCCTGTGGCTGCCTGAGACCACCTTGCACCTGAAGAAAGACGGTGGGCAAACAAGGAAGAGCAAGGAGGAAGTACTTGCCAAGGATGGGAGACAAAGCACCCAGGAAGAGTCACAGCAGCTACATCCCTGAGCACTTGTCATGTGGCTGGCATTGAGCCCAGCTCTATTAAAAAAAAAAAATGACAGCCAGGCATGGTGGCTCACGCCTGTAATCCCGGCACTTTGGGAGGCCAAGGCAGTTGGATCATTTGAGGTCAGGAGTTTGAGACCAACCTGTTCAACATGGTGAGATCCCGTTTCTACTAAAATACAAAAATTAGCTGGGTATGGTAGCAGACACCTGTAATCTCAGCTACTTGGGAGGCTGAGGTGGGAGAATTGCTTGAACCCAGGAGATGGAGGTTGCAGTGAGCCAAGATTGCACCACTGCACTCCAGCCTGGGAGAGAGTGTGAGATTCCCTTTCAAAAAAAAAATAATTTAAAAAAAAACAAAATATGAGATGGTGTCTTGCTATGTTGCCCAGACTGGTCTCAAACTCCCGGGCTCAAGCAATCCTCCTGCCTTGGCCTCTCAAAGTCCTGGGATTACAGGGGCCCGGCCTCAGCTCTTACAAGTGCTATCCAGTTGAAGTCTCCCAGTAACCCTGGAAAGAATCTTTTATTGTCCTCATTTTCCAGACCAGGAGACTGGGGAGCCAGGAAGGAAAATAACTCACAAGATTATGAAGCCAAAATTTGAACCCAGTTCCATCTGACTCCAAAACTCATGCTGTCACCCAGCCTTGCCAGCCTGCCTGCTGGTGGGCCTCCTGGTGGCTCTGTGTAGCCCGGGCCTTGTACATGCCAGTCGCTTAGGTCTGTCACGCCCCAGAGTGTTGGTTTACTGAGAGCCAGGGAAATCTTCGTGCCAAAGGGGCCTGAAAACCTCTCAGTCACAGATGAAAAACAAATCTGCGTATGTCCATTCGGGGCTCGTGCGGCTGGTAGCGGCCAGGCCCTGGGGAGCGCCCCTTCTCTGAGCCATCACCAGGAGGCAGGCAGCCTCTTCCACGGCTCTTTCCCTCCCAGAAGCCTGGAGGCCACTGACTGTGAGGACATCACTAAGCTCTCCGAGAGGAATGGACTCAACTGCAGGGGGTTCAGTGACTCACCTCCAGCCAGGCCCTCCCAGGAAGAACCTGTGGCTGTACAACCCTCCACCCCCCAGTGCCATCTTGCCAAGGTTTTGCCCGGCGTCGTCGACCTGGGGTGCAGAAAGCAGCCGGTGAATGGCAAAAAAGGGGCCTGCAGTCAGCAGGGCCTGCCTGTACCTCCCCACACACAGAGGACCTCGCTCGGGCCACCGGAGAGTGTGCTGGTACTGCCTGGAGGGGCCCAGGCAGCCAAGGAACAGCCTTCTTGGGCGGCCGTGCAGCCTGCCTGAGGGGCCAGGTCTCTCCAGCCTGCCAGAAGCCGGTGGCCCAGCACTGGCAGGAGACTCTCCTGACCTGCCCCAGCAAGCCCACAGGGGAAGGCTCAAGCTGTTAAAGTGGCACTAGCAGAAGGGAAGTAATGGGCACTGGGATTCTTGACAACATTTCCGTTCGGGCTGGTTCCGCGTTTCCCTCAAGCGAAGGTAATGCTGTTTCCAGCATCTGAGCTCCTAGAGGAGAGGGAAACATCCCTGCTCAGTGCCTGGCTGCAGAGGGAGGGGTAAGACACACAGGAGCCTGCTGGAGGGTGAGGGAGGGGAAAGGGGCAGGACAGCCACCTGTGCCCAGGAGAACCATCTGCCTGGTCACTCTTAGCCCAACAAATGGCCAAACAAAGATGAGCTTCTGAGTGACCCCGACAACTGAAAGCGGCCAAGGCTGAAGTCCACGGTGGGAAGCCAGAACTTTGACATCCACTAGCTTACAAGTCAACGTTGCATTCTCTCTCTCTCTCTCTCTCTCTCTCTCTCTCTCTCTCTCTCTGCAGTCAGGAACAGCACTGGAAGCCAACAGGCCAGATGGAGTTAGTCCTGAAGTCAAACTTTCAGAAAGAAAAATGTCTTAGTCTTCAAGGTGAGTGTGCCAGTTGCCTACCAGCAGATCAGTTGGTCATAGTGGACCCCAGACTGCACAGGCTTTGGAAACAGTCTGCTGTTTAGAGAGTAGTCTAGGTTCACTTTGGAGGGCTTCTGGAGACCTGCTTCCGTGTCCTCTTTGTCCCCCACCCCACCCCACCACCTCTGCCAGGCCTGCCCCTTAGCAAACTCAACCCTTAAGCATTGAAGCATACTAGGGCTCCTTGGTTCTTAAGGTAACTTGAGATCCCTCAGGTGTGGCATTTAAAAGCAAAGGTTCTAGATTTGGACAAATTTAGGTTTGAATCCCAGTTCTGCCTCCTACTAGCCGTGGACTTTGGGTAAGCTATTTGAGCTCTCTGGGTTTCACTTTCCTTATCTGAAAAATGAAACTAATAGTAATACTTATGCAGGGTGGCATTGTAAAGTTTAAAGAACAGAAGTGAAGTGTTCAGGGTTTAGCCCAGCACCCAGCACACAGTAGACACTCAACAAATGTTGGTACCTCCAGCACCCCAGAATTCTAGCCTGGGACAATCCAGGGCAGGCTGGCTGAAGCTCAAAGCAGCAAGACGGCCGCCAAAATGTAATCTACTCACTGGCTGATTCTCCAAAATACCCTCCCAGTCTATGCATCCTGGGCTCTGTCCCTAAGAGGAAGCCAGACCTTTCTGCTCACCAACTCGTCCCCCTGCACCTTCCTGATTGAAGCCACATTCCACGTCATGCCTGTACATCTTCCCCTCGCCCTTCAGACCCAGGTAGGGGCGCTCCCTGAGCCCCCAGCGGGGGGTGGGGCGGGCACCCATTGGCAGAGAGCAGAGACGCTGGGCTCCTGACCTCAGCACACATAGGTGATGCTCCAAGGGGGCTGCGCTCAGACACATCTTAAGGGGAAACCACAAGACTGAGCCATTGTGCTTATTGGCGCCATAAATCACCAACGGTTCCTATCTTGCTGCACCTCCCTGCCCCCGCTCCCTTCCAGCTAAGCTGTCCCAGGGCCCGCCCCCCCACCACCTCCCGACACCACCACCAGGGCCTGCATGACTCCCCAAGTCGGGGGCCAGAGCCACCCGCTCACTTACAAGCAGGATGAGTTCCGCGGAGTTTATTTGTTCTCCTTCTTTTTCAAAAATCTGAACTGCCTTTGTTCCTGAACAATAAGGAGTGTGCAGCTATGGAAGGTGAGGGGCCACGGGTGGATTGGGGTGGGGTGAGAACAAGGGCTTGGGGGGTCGAGGGCAGGCCTAGAGAGCTTGGATGCTCGGCAAGCCCAGGGCCAGCGCTCCCCTGAACTCTGGCCCCTGGCCAGCCCTCCTCAAAGCTGAGATGACTTCCTGGCTTCTGTATCCAGAACACATTCTCTATTACTCTGTCCACAGCCCTTTTTTCAAAATGGTCACAGGGTTCAACTCAGCCTAACTGGACACAGGCCTGGTCCCTGCAGCATCGAAGAAGCCAGGGGTAGCATCTTTGGCCAAGTCACCCACTGACCCCCACGGCCTGGCAACTTTTGTGCTTCCCACCTGCATGTCACCTCTGGGGGTCCCTTCCCTCCAAGAACGTTGCCATCAGGTGGTCTTTCTGATTTCCTCTGCTTCAGCAAAGGCCTTATTTTTTACTCAAGAGCCTGGCTTCCTGATCTGCACAAAAGAGACTCTCCAGATGTGTCCTGGAAAATCCCCCAAAAGTAGGGGGAAAGGTCCCAGTCAAAGCCAAAGCAAGGAAGAGGAAAAAGAGGAAGGAGGAAA
Organism: Homo sapiens; assembly: GCF_000001405.40. Taxonomy (NCBI): domain Eukaryota; kingdom Metazoa; phylum Chordata; class Mammalia; order Primates; family Hominidae; genus Homo; species Homo sapiens. Next base: position 39,938,436 of record NC_000023.11, read on the forward strand.
CTGTCATGGGATAAGATTTTGTCACATATCTGTAATTAAAGGTCCTCTTATATGTGCATACACAAACACACGCACGTATACGCATAACACGGTTAACAAATATTAAGATCTTAACAGTGGCCTTCTCTAGGAAAGATGGGATTATGGGTGACTTTGATTCGCCTCTATCCTAGCTCTCCTCTTACTAGCTGTGTGATTTAGAGCAGGTTAGCTAGCCTCTCAGTTACTCAGTTTCTTCACCTGTAAAATGGGGCCATCATTCTTCTCAGTGTACTATATTGTGAAGATTAAATGAGATTATACATATCAAGATCTCAGAACAGTGCCAGGCACACGTAGTAGAGGTTGAGCATTCTTAATCTGAAAACCAAAAATCTGAAATGCTCCAAAGTCCAAAACTTTTTGAATGCCAACATGACACCACAAGTAGGAAATTCTACACCTGACCCCATGTGATGGGTCGCAGTCAAAAGACCATCAAAACTTTGTTTTGTGAACAAAATTATTAATAATATTGTATAAAATTACCTTCAGGCTACACATGTAAGATGTATATGAAACATTAATAAATTTTGTGTTTAGACTTGGGCCCCAACCCCAAGATATGTCATCATGCATATGCATATATTCCAAAATAAAAAAAAATCCAAAATCCAAAACACTTCTGGTCCCAGGATTTAGGATAAGGAATATGCAACTTGTAACAGAATCAACAAATACAACAACTATAATTATTTCTCCCTGTCTCCTTAGCCTTTTGCAAAGGGTATGCATTGCTTTGTAAATTTTTTTAAGCGTTGTATTGTTTTAATTCAAAAAGTAGCTGGCACGGGGGCTCACGCCTTTAATCTCAGCACTTTGGGAAGCCGAAACGGGTGGATCACGAGGTTAGGAGTTCGAGACCAGCCTGACCAACATGGTGAAACCCCATCTTTACTAAAAATACAAAAATTAGCCGGGCGTGGTGGCGCACGCCTGTAATCCCAGCTACTCAGGAGGCTGAGGCAGGAGAATTCCTTGAACCCGGGAGGCGGAGATTGCATTGAGCCAAGATGGCGCCACTGTACTACAGCCTGGGCAATAGAGTGAAACTCCGTCATAAAAAATAATAATAATAATAAAACAAGTAATGTGTGCTTATTTTAAAAAGCAAACAATTCCCAGAAAAAAAAGGTGAAACTCTCCCATCACTCTGCTTCCTGATACAGCTTTTCTCCCTAGAGGGACCATGCCTGCAGCCTGGCCGTAGGGCTCATGGCCTTTCTCTCTGTGTTAATAAGCACACACAGGGATTGTTATGTACAAATGAACTCAGGCTATACATATGGATTTGCAATTGGCTTTTATTCACTTCATTTCTGGAAGGACATTCTATCTCAGTCCATATTATACTTTTTAACTGTTATATAGTATTTCATGACATGGATATTGCTTATTTATGTAACCATCCCCTTCTACTGGACATATAGGTTGCTTCGCAATTTTTGTCATAAAACAATGATGCTGTAAACGTTCCTGGATATATGCCTGTCTGCTCATGTTGGTTTGAAGGAATGAGACCTAAAAGTAGAAATTCTGGGCCAAAGGCTATGACCACATTTAAATGCACAAATATGGTAGAATTGTTCTCCAAAGAGGCTGCCCCAACTTAAATCCTCACAGGCAGCATGAGCGTGCCTCTTTCTTTTTTTTTTTTCTTTTTTTTTTCTTTTTTTTTTTGAGACAGAGTCTGGCTCTGTCGCCCAGGCTGGAGTGCAGTGGCGCAATCTCAGCTCACTGTAACCTCTGCTTCCCAGGCTCAAACAATTCTCCTGCCTCAACCTCCCAAGTAACTGGGACTACAGGCGCACACCACCACACCAGGCTAATTTTTGTATTTTTAGTAGAGACAAGGTTCCACCATGTTGGCCAGGCTAGTCTCAAACTCCTGGACTCAAGTCATCTGCCAACCTCAACCTCCCAAAGTGCTACAATTACAGGCGTGAGCTACCGCACCTGGCTGAGAGTGCCTCTTTCTTTCTACCATCTCCAATACCATTCTTTTCTTTTTGCCAACGTGATGGGTAAAAAACAGCATCCTGTTGCTGCTCGGATGTGCATTTCTCTGCCTAAAAGTGAGGGTGAGCATCTTCTCACATGCTGTGGGTTATTTGTGTTTGGGAGGCCTTCCTACCCCCATGATTATTACATAATCCACCATAAGATTTCATCCCAGGTTTTTATAGTTTTTTATAATGTTTAGATTTTTAATCTACCTGGTATTTATTTTTCTGTAGACTGTGAGATTATGTTCTAATTTTATGCTAGCACTGATTACAATTTTTTTAAAGAAGCTATTTAAAAAGAAAGAAAGGAGCTGGACGCAGTGGCTGACGCCTGTAATCTCAGCACTTTGGGAGGCCAAGGAGGGCAGATTGAAGTCAGGAGTTCGAGACCAGCCTGGCTGACATGATGAAAACCACTTCTACTAAAAATACAAAAATTAGCCCAGCATGGTGGCAGGCGCCTGTAATCCCAACTACTTGGGAAGCTGAGACAGCAGAATCTCTTAAACCCAGGAGGCGGAGGTTGCAGTGAGCCGAGATCACACCACTGCACTCTAGCCTGGGTGACACAGCGAGACTCCGTCTTAAAAAAAAAAAAAAAAAGAAAAGAAAAGAAAGGAGCTGGATGTGGTGGCTCATGCCTGTAATCTCAGCACTTTGGGAGGCCGAGGCGGGAGGATTGCTTGAGGCCAGGAATTGAAGACCAGCCTGGGCAACATAGCAAGAAACAGGTTTCTGCAAAAAAGAAAGATAAAAAGAAAGAAAGACCCTCTACATAGACACACACACACACACCAGCTGCATGTGTGAAGCAAACAGCCATCTTAGTACCTGGGGGGAAAAGCACAGGGTGAACCTGGGTGTGATGCCCAGGTCAAGAGGCCTGGGGCCCCCTAGTCAGTGCTGTGCCAGGAGGTTCCTGCAGGCTGGGTCAGTGCCCTCAAACCAGGTGTCAGCTGGAAAAGGGGGAATCTGACCATCTTTCTGGCCCAGGCTTCCACCTCCTTGCGCAGCAGGCAGGAGTCAGTCAATCATGAACGTACCCCTGGCAACTCACACTGCCAGGCAGGGGGACCCCACAGCTAGACTTGGGCTTGGCAGGGGACCTGTCCACAGACCCAGCATTCCAGGCCACAGACTGAGAGGGAAGGTAAACCCAGACACCAGGAATGCAGTCTGCTCCTGCAAAATGCTGCTGCAGGCCGCCCAGATCCCCATCATAAAAGCTTAACATAATTATGCAGGAACAAGCGACTTCCGGTCTGAGTCAAGACGAAGGCATTCTAATAAGGCCAGGCCCCCCACTGGAAGACTAACTTGGCTTCCAGATCTTCCTCCCCCACCTAGCCCACCCAAAGCCTACAGGGGGCCCAGGACTGATCTCCAAAACAAAAGTCCCACCCACAGCAGAGCTGAGGGGCTGTGGACAGCCTGAGCACCACCCAGACAGTGTGGCCCATTTATCACCCACCATTTATGGGGCTTGCCATGGGCCCTGACCTTGTCTTCAAAAAGCCTCCAAGCCAGTGATCATATGCATGAATAGTTAGGGAAGGAAGGTGAAGGGCAGCCTAATGCAGCCTTGGGAGGGCCAGGAAAGTTCTAGAGTTTACTAGTGGGGGAGTAAGAAAGGTGTGCCTAGCAGGAGATACAATGGGTACAAAGCAATGGTGGATCAGGGAGGCCAAAGTGAATGAGCCCAGTGAAAAGGTGCAGAGGGGCTGGGGAGGGGAGCAGGCACAGTGCAGGCTCCCTGGGTCTGTTGGCATCACCAGCCTCAGAGGGAGGGACCAGAACTGAGACAGACACTGCCTCTCTTGTGATCATCTCCTTTTCAGCTCATCCTCCCCATTCCACCCCCAAAAAACCACTCCGTCCCCTGAGATAGGCCCGGTGTAGAGTGCCCTGCATAACAGGTCATAGCCTGTGGACAGTTCTTCCCCAAAACCTGCCTGAAGACTCTAAAGGTTTCTCCTCTGCATGCCAGTCCCCATGTTCTGCTCTGGTGACACCGCAGTGAACGGAACAGGCTTGGCCCCCACGCTGGTGGAGCTTACATTATGGCGTTGGAGACAGAAACTCAACAACTAAACATGCAAAAGCACCTACAATTAGAAGCTATGGAAAGTATGAAGGGGAATAGTCATGAAAACAATGGAGGAATAGAACGGGGACCTGCTTCAGATGGCAGGCTATAGCGACATTTCAGCCAGGAGCTACAGCTAGCCAGGGGGAGAAAAGGGAGAATAGCAGATGCAGAGTGGCAGAGGAAGGGAAAAGTTTGGAGCTTTGAGGAGACCAAAAAGCCAGAGTAGCAGGGGCAAGAGAGCAAGGAGGAAGGGACATGTGGCAAGGGGTGTCTTCTAAAGCACGCTGTTCCACAATGTGACTTTGGCATTCTTCCTCCAATGAAGAGTTGGGGTCTATGTCCCCTTCCCTTGAATCCAGGTGGAAGAGACACCATGTGACTCTTTTTTTTTTTTTTTTTTTTTTGAGACAGAGTCTTGCTCTGTCACCCAGGCTGGAGTGCAGTGGCACAATCTTGGCTCACTGCAACTTCCGCATCCCAGGTTCAAGAGATTCTCCTGCCTCAGCCTCCCCGAGTAGCTGGGATTATAGGCATGTGCCACCATGCCTGGCTAATTTTTGTATTTTTAGTAGAGACGGGGTTTCAACATGTTGGCCAAGCTGGTCTCGAACTCCTGACCTCAGGTGATCTGGCCACCTCAGCCTCTCAAAGTGCTGGGATTACAGGTGTGAGCCATTGTACCTGGCCGACTTTCAAAGCTAGGTCAGAAAGGAAAATCAGCTTGGACCTTTTTTGCTGGAACATAGGTGCTTGGGTCCCTGGGCCACCACTAAAGAAGTATAACTGCTCTGAAGCTGCCATGCTGTGAGGAAGCCCAACACACACGGAGAGGTCAGCGTAGGTGCTCTAATCAGCAGTCCTAGTCTTCAAGTCATCCCATGCCAGGTTCCTGCCGTGTGAGTGCACAAGCCTTTGGATGGCCCCAGCCCCCAGCCTTCGAGGCTTCCAGCTGAGGCCCTGGACATCAGGGAGCAGGGATAAGCTGTTCCCATGATGCCCTGTGCAAATCCCTGGCCCATAAAATCTGTGAGCATAAGAAAATGGTGGTGGTTTTATGCTGCTAAGTTTGGGGTGCTTTGCTCTACAGCAGCTGTAACTGGAAGAAGGCTGACGATGTAATTGAAGAGACAGGGAGGACTTAGAGCACCTAGATTTTATGGGCCACGTGGGCATACTGTGCACATGCACTCGGGAGTCACTGAAGGGCAGTGGGCAGGAGAGTGGATGATCAGATTTGCCTTTGCTTATCAGTTTTTTGAGGTCTCTCATGCTGCACTGTGGAGAATGGATTGGAGGAGTGAATGTGGGCGACCCAGTGACTGGCTGATACAGTGGTCCTGGAGAGAGAGGCAGGCGACTGGATGAGGAAGGGACAATGGCCATGGTGATAAGTGGATGGACTTGAGAGACTTGCTGCAGGTAAGATGGTCAGGGATTAGAGCTGAGTTGAATGAGGTATCAAGGATGGCCCCCAGGTTTCTAGAAGGAGACACTGGAGGGCTGGAGAAGCCATTGACTATGGTGGGAAACACTAGAGAAGTAGGTTAGGGCTGGGGGTGTGGAGATCAGGTGTTCCACTTTGGACACGTGGGGTTTGTGACACCAGTGAAACCACCACATGGGATGTCAATAGGCAGATAGGCTGTGGTATTTGGAATTCTGGGAAGAGGTCTGGTCTCCAGTTATTAGTAAATGGGCAGCATTTTAAAAGCCATGACAAAGCCTGGGCAACATAGGGAGACTCCATCACTACAGAAAAATCAAAAAATTAGTTAGGTGTGGTGGCACATGCCTGTGGTCCCAGCTACTCAGGAGGCTGAGGGGGGAGGATCACAGGAGCTCAAGAGGTCGAGGCTGCAGTGAGCTGTGATTGCACCACTGTACTCCAGCCTGGGCAACAGAGCCAGGACCCTGCCTCAAAAATAAACAAATAAATAGTCATGAGGGGAAATGAGATCACAGGGAGAGAGAGGCCAAGATAGGAACACAAGGGCCCAAAGACTGAGACCTACAATGGACCAACTCATAGTGGTCAGCCAAGGAGGAAGTCAAGGAAGAGAGACAAAGAGGGAGCCTCCAAGGCCCCTGAGGGAAACCCAGACACAGTGGTGTCCTGGAAGCCAAGCCAAGAGACAGTTTCAAAATGAAAAGAGTCGTCATAGGCACTCTACTGACATTCCGTACATGGGACCTTTCACATAGAAACGCAGATTATCAGCCAGGCGCGGTGGCTCATGCCTCTTATGCCACCACTTTGGGAGGCCGAGGCAGGCGGATCACCTGAGATCAGGAGTTCGAGACCAGCCTGGCCAACATAGTGAAACCCCGTCTCTATTAAAAATACAAAAATTAGCCGGGCATGATGGCACACGTAGTCCCAGCTACTTGGAAGGCTGGGGCAGGACAATCACTTGAACCCGGGAGGCGGAGGTTGCAGTGAGCCCAGATCATGCCACTGCACAGCCTGGGTGACAGAGCAAGACTCCATCTCAAAAAAAAAGAAAAGAAAAGAAACGCAGACTATCCGTCAGTTCACTGATTATGAAGTCATCCTTGCCGTGGGGTTATTCTGGGTCACAGAAGGAGCTGCTCTGGATTCAAAGTCAACGGCCGGGCACAGTGGCTCACACCTGTAATCCCAGCACCTTGGGAGGCCGAGATGGGCAGATCACCTGAGGTCAGGAGGTCGAGACCAGCGTTGCCAACATGGTAAAACCCCTTCTCTACTGAAAATACAAAAATTAGCCAGGCTTGGTGGTGCATGCCTGTGATCCCAGCTACTCAGGAGGCTGAGGCAGGAGAATCACTTGAACCTGGGAGGCAGAGGTTGCAGTGAACCAAGATGGCGCCATTGCACTCCAGCCTGGGCAACAGAGCAAGACTCCATCTCAAAAAAAAAAAAAATTCAACAGCAAGTAAAGGAGGCCATTTCCCACTCAGGGCCCCCATGAGACACCTTCTTGAGGACTAGGAGCCCAACTTCAAGAAGCTTGTGGTCTAACTGAATAAACAAGGCCATGCAGTAAATGACAATAGCCACCTGGGTCAGGGATTGATCTGTTCTGCCTTCTTCCTCAGTTGGATTACTCCCAAATTTTACCTGCGTATATAGCCACCTTGAACAAAGACTACATTTGCCAGGCTCCTTTGCAGTTAGGTATGGTCCAAATTCTGGTCACTGGGTTGTAAAAGGAGTGTACTATCCCAGGAGTGTACTATCACTCCTGGGAAGTGAGGAGCACAACAGAGGGCTTATGAGCTCAGACACTGGCATGAGACTGTCTGAATTCAAATCTTGGCTCAAACACTTCCTAGCTGTGTGATCTGCCCAAGTTACTTAACCTCTCTGTGCCTTCCTTTCCTCATTTGTAAAATGGGGCTAATAATAGTAGCTACTTCATAGAGTTACATGAGAATTAAGTGCACTTGGTTTTTCTTTGGTTTTGGGGGGGTTTTTGCAGGGGGGTTGTTTGGTTTGTTTTTGTTTTTTGGGTTTTTTTTTTTTTTTTTTTTTGCAGGGAGGGGTTGTTTTGTTTTGCTTTTGAGACAGGATTTCACTCTGTCACCCAGGCTGCAGTGCAGTGGCACAATCATAGTTCACTGCAGCCTCCAACTCCTGGGATCAAGCAATCCTCCCACCTCAACCTCCTGAGTAGCTGAGACTATAGGCACATACCACCACACCTAGTGAATTTGTTTAAATTTTGTGTAGAAATGGGGTCTCACTATGTTGCCCAGACTGGTCATGAACTCCTGGCCTCAAGTGATCCTCCGGCCTCAGCTTCCCAAAGTGCTGGGATTACAGCCACCGCACTTAGCCCAAGTGTACTTGAAACAGCAATTGGCACACAGTAAATGATGCATAGGGATTTGCTGCTATCATTATTATTATTATTATTATTATTATTATTATTACTAACCCTGAAAGGAGGCAGCACCTCCTCCTTCCCTTTCCTCCTTCTCATGGCCTGGAGTGAAGTCATGATGGCTGGATCTGCAGCAGGCCTCTTGGTCCATGAAGTGATACTGGGAACCAAGGCTACACACGGCAGGCTGGGCTAGCCAGACAACTCTTGGAGAAGTGGAAAAGAGAAGAGGAGCTCCTAAGATCAGCAGGTCAAAAGCAGAGAGAGAACTAGATCACGCTCATCAACACAATCCCAGCTCAGAGTCTCAGCTGCTCAAAAAGGGAGGTAGCTTCCACCCAAGAGTAATGGCAGAACAGAAAGGGAGAGCCACTCGGTTCAGTCTCTGGAGATTCTTAATTCAATGTCAGGAGGAGTGCAGGCTTGAGCAGGGAGTAGGGAGCCACTGAAGGTTTGTCAGCAGAGGAGTGACAGAACAAGAGCAGACCCTGGGATCCGGGCTGACGGCAGCGAGCTGGTGAATCAGAGGAAAGGAAACCCTGCATGGGGCAGCTGTCAGGGGCCACCACAGGAATCCAGGAAGGAAAGGAAAGGCTTCTCTGTGGTGGAAGAGTCACCAGACCTCAGTGACTTTTCTCTTCTGCCACCATAGGCATGTTTGTAATCATAACTTATTATTTCCAAGCCCCACCCCATATCTGGGACTGCTCTAGGCTCCTCCTGCATCTTAAGAAGTCAGCAAAGCTTCCAACCCAAGGTGGCTGGCCCCGGCAGCTTGGAATAGACAAGGAATCCGATGCCATGGCTGCATCAACCTCCTGAGCCGGGGTTTGGCAGAATTGGCAGATGGGCCTCCCGGTGTTGGGAGTGAAGGTGCCTGCCTCCTGGGTTATGGATAGGGGCAAAACTGGATCTGCATGTCACTGGCTTTGTATCCCCTGCAGGGCCTTAATTTTCAGCCCATTGATGGTGAGGAACGGAATGAAACAAAATCTCAACAAAAAACTGGAGGAAGACTATTGTGACACACAGCACAACTCACACTCACAGAGATGACGTGGGGTGAAAGGAGCTAGACCCAAGGACAGGGGCAGTGGCTCACGCCTGTAATCCCAGCACTTTAGAGAGCCAAGATGGGAGGAGAGCTTGAGGCCAGGAGTTTCAGACCAGCCTGGACAATAAAGCAAGATCCTCTCTACAAAAAAATTTTCAAATTAGCTGGGCATGGTGGCATATGCCCATAGTTTCAGTTACACAGGAGGCAGAGGTGGGAGGATCACTTGAGCTCAGGAAGTAAAGGCTGTGGTGAGCCGTGATTGTACCACTGCACTCCAGCCTGGGTAACAGAGCAAGACCCTGTCTCTGAAAAAAAAAAAAAGAAGCCAGACACAGAAGCAAACAGTGCTGGATGATTCCATTTTACAGTGAAAAAGCTGGCACTCAATCTATGGTGATACAGGTCTATGGTGATAGAGGAATAGTGGTTGCCTCTGTGGGTGGGAGTACTAACAGGAAAGGGCACCAGGGAACCTTCTGGAATGATGGGGAAGTTCTCTGATATGATTTTTATCAGAGGTATAGACATACATAAAAATTTATTGGCCGGGCGCAGTGGTTCATGCCTGTAATCCCAACACTTTGGGAAGCCAAGGCGGGCGGATCATCTGAGGTCAGAAGTTCGAGACCAGCCTGGCCAACACGGTCAAACCCCATCTCTACTAAAAATACAAAAATTAGCCAGGCATGGTGGCGGGCACCTGTAATCCCAACTACTAGGGAGGCTGAGGCAGGAGTATCGCTGGAACCCGGGAGACGGAGGTTGCAGTGAGCCCAGATCGCACCACTGCACTCCAGCCTGGGCGACCAAGTGAGACTCCGTCTCAAACAAACAAAAAATATTTTTATCAAGCTGCACATTTAGTGCACTGGAAGCTGATCTTTATATCTCAAGGAAAAAGAAAAAATACAGAAAAAAGGCTCATTAGGGGTACCACAAAAGGTTTATCAGGGGTACCACTGCCCCCTTCCCCTTACAGTGGCACACGCCCTTAGAGTGGGAAGGGGGCAGTGGTACCCCTGATAAACCTTTTCTTTTTTCTCAAAGTCCTGTGCAGAAGCTACAGACACTCTGCCAAGCTCTGCCAGGCCCCTCTCCTGCAGTCCCTCTATTAGCGTAGCTCTCCTTGGGTGAAATGCAATTAGGAGAAAACAATGTCTGTGGCCCAGATGCCACTGCGGAAGTGACCAGGAAGAAGGGGAGGGGGATCAGGGAGGACCCACTGGGAGTCTCCGGGAGCTGCCGGGGAAGAGAGAAAGCAGACGCGAGGCTGAGCTGTGCCAGCCAACTATTCCCCCACCCACAGATGCAACTCTTTGCTGGGGCCCAGGGAGAACCGTCACTGAGCCTAGGAGCTCAAGGCCTTGCAGGGGGAGACGAAGTGGAAGCCACACTGTCACAGGCTCTCCAGCCTCTCTGCTGAGGTGGCGACACAGGAAGTGTTTAAACATAACTAAACGGGAGTAGCGAAAGGAAGGAGCAGTAACAAAGGCAGAGGGAAAGGCAAACAAGACCAACGGCTGGAAACCAGGCATGTCTCCGGCTGTAATCTGAAGTGCTCCTGTCTCCTGTCTGTACAAAGATGCTTCTGGAGCCTGGGCGCATGGGAGGATGCAGGTACCCCACCAAGCACCAAACTGAAGCAACCCCAAATTGCCCAAATGCTCCAACCCCATTTGTCCCACCAACATCCACTGCAAAAATGGCTGCTGCATTTTCGTGGAGCCTCAGACCCCTGATATTCCTGCTTGTCTTAAACCCATGTCCAATATGGGAGATATTGAACTCACTAAATTGCTGAGGCCGAATCGTGCCATTTCAGTCTTTCCAATTAATATAGATATCTCCAGATCAGTCAGCTCCAGAAAAATCAAAATTCGATATTGACATCCTAGAAGGGCTCCCTCCAAAGCAGACCCTGATATAAGGATTTGAGTACAGGCTGACTCAGTCCTTCTGGGGACTTTCAGAGAGACTGTGTAGAGCATGCCACTAGATTGTCCCCGGAGGCAATGGAGCCAGGGTAGGTATCCATTCACCTCCATTCTTCATTAGAAGAGGGTCGTTCCTGAGACATTAATTCCCTGGCATTTTAGAATTGCCTAGCTCAGCCCACCCCAGCCCCACCATATGCAGGCTAAGCATGGTCCCGGAGCCAGAGAACGCCTCAGGCAGAGCAATGCAGGAAGCCACTGGCCTGTAAGCGAACAGCCTGCCATGACCCCCAGCATGGGCCAGCAGGGCACCATCAGTTCCTGCCACGCTTGGTCACCATATACAGGAGCTACGCTCTGCTGCTCCAAGATGCTAAAGGCAACTCCCAAGTTTGCCCACTGTATTGCAAGAAACACAAAGCCAAGTCAAATTAGCTGAGACCAAAGCGGGAAAAAAAGGACAAAAAGAAGTGGGATAGGATTTTACTGACTCTTGTAACCAAGGAGTCAAGGGAGAGGAATGGCTTCAGGTATAGCTGGATTCAGAGGCTCAAGTGGATCCAGAGCTCTGCCTTCCTCCATGGCTTGGCTCTATCTGACTCTGTAGACAGGCAGACCTGCCAACCCAGGTAGCACCAGATTCACATCCTCCCAGCTTAGCAGTCCCAGCACAAAAAAAGAGCCTCCCTCCCTATTGACTGTGGCAGAGATACTCTGAGGAAGATTTTGACTGGCCTGTCTAGAATCACATGCTCATCCCTTAACCAATCACTGCTATCAGGGAAATAGGACAATTTGATTGGCCAGGCCAGAGACACATGCTGCATTCCTGTGGCTACAGGAGGATGAGGCACTATGACACCCCCTCTGGCTACAAGGAATGGGAAAGAGGTCCTTTCAAGAAGAAAAAGGGCCCCACAGATTAGTGACTTGCTAAAAGCCATGGGGTTATTCAGAAGCAAAACCCAAACCTTGACCTAGCTGCTTTATTCCCAGAGACAGCCTGTTATCAATCAAGAAACACAGGCTTGCTGCCTCAACAACCAGGCTGCAAATCTAGCTGGGTATTCTTGAGCAAAGGTCTTAACCTTTCCGAGCCTCAGTGTTCTCATCTATAAAATGGGACTATTAATACCTTCCCACAGGGTGGTTGAGATGCTTACATGACATAACCAGTAGAAAATGCTTGGTGTGTATGCCCACGGCATTGCTGCCGTACTCCAAAACCACACATCTTCTCATCTTCTTTTTCAAGCTTCCAACATCATCATAAGCCAGGAATAAAGGAAAGACATCAGTGAAGTCCTTGAAACATTTTTTTTTCTTTTTCTTTTTTTTTTTGGTACAGACAGGGTTTTGCCATATTAGCCAGACTAGTCTCAAACTCCTGGCCTCAAGTGATCCACCGTTCTCGGCCTCCCACAGTGCTGTGATTACAGGCATGAGCCACCACACCTAGCCCTGGAAACTTTCAAATGACATCTTAAAGGACAAGGAGAAGGTTATCTATTACTTCATAATAAATTAGCTCAAATTTATGCAGCTTAAAATCACGCACGCTATTATCTCACAGATTCTGTGGGTCAGGAATCTGGGAGTAGCTAGGCTCAGTTGTTCTGACCTAAGATCTCTCATGAGGTTTCAGCCAAGGTGTGGGCTAGGGCTGCAGTCATCTGAAGGCTCAATTGGGGCTGCATAATCTGCTTCCAAGATGGCTCCCTCATGTGGCTGTTGTCAGGAGGCCTCAGTCTTCACCATGTGGGGTTCCCCATAGGCCGCTTGAGTACCCTCACCACATGGCCGCTGGCTTCCCTCCTGAGAGGAAGAGTATCAAAAAACATATGGATGTATCTTTCAAAGCACCACAGTGTCTAGTGCAGGGCAGAGTTGTCCACCAGCTGTTTCCCCCTTTCCTCACACCTGTCCAGCTGGGCTCCCCCACCCTTCTCTCCCCTTGCATGGGACATATTATCAAGGACAGCAAGTTTCAGAAGCAGAACGTGGCTTTTCTCAAAAGCAACCATATAGGTCATGCAGAAGAAATGGGCAGAGCAGAGTAGCCTTGGGATGTGGGCAGAGTTCAGGGATGAGGGAGCCTGAGCTGTTATTACTACTATGCCTCTAAGGGCCCAGGGCGTGTTGTGACAGCATTTTCTGCACTGCCCATCTGGGCATCCTCTGTACTCCCACAGTGGTGCCCTCACAGGAGTGAGGCTGTTACACAAGCCCAGTGGCTATGGTGGGCCCTGCCAGGGGCTGGGCTCAAACTGAACGGTTTCCATTGCCAAAGGAAGTTCCCACAGGGATGTCAGCTCAAAATGGGAGAGCACGGTTCTGGGGGTTCTCAAGGGTAGGCACCTGGGCAGAATACTGGGCCAGTAGGCCCACACCATTCTCTCTTCCTGCACTTCTGGAAAAGAGATGGCCATGAGAATGTCAGCCTCCAGTCAATCAGACTTGGCCAATTCCCACTTCGGCCACAGCATATGCCCATCTGAGCAAAAGCTGACAGATCAAGTATTTCCACATATCCTACAATTGAACCAAAATAATTACTAGCTCTCATGGAGCCTTTTCTAGGGGCCAGGGGCCAGACACTCCAGTGCATCTTCTTATTTTAATCCTCACAAACACTCTCTAAGAAAGGAGCTGGTACCAGCCCCATTTTACAGAGGAAGAAACTGAGGCTCACAAAGGTGGAGTAACTCACCCCAAGTCACACAGTTAGTAAGCAGCAGAGCCAGGCCTTCAACCCCAGCCGTGTTCCTTGCACTAAAGCACTTCTATGTTATACTGCATTTAGCATATTATTTAGGGCAAGGTTGGTTTCTTTCTTTCTTTCTTTCTTTCTTTTTTTTTGAGATGGAGTCTCGCTCTATGGCCCAGGCTGGAGTGCAATGGTGCAATCTCGGCTCACTGCAACCTCCACCTCCCAGGTTCAAGCGATTCTCCTGCCTCAGCCTCCTGAACAGCTGGGACTAGGGGCACCTGCCACCGTGCCCAGCTAATTTTTGTATTTTTAGTAGAGACAGGGTTTCACCATATTGGCCAGGCTGGTCTCGAACTCCTGACCTTGTGATTCGCCTGCCTCGGCCTCCCAAAGTGCTGGGATTACAGGTGTGAGCAACAGCAACCAGCCTGGGGCAGGGTTTCTTAATCTTTGTCACCAAAAGGCGTTAACAGCCTTCTAAGGGTGTCAAGGTAGAGTCCAAAGTGGCACCTCAGCAGGCTGGGCACGTCTTGATGTACCATGTTTGGCATCGCTGTTCATGTCCATCTACATTCTATTCCATCAGAGGGCCCTGTGCTTGTTTGAATAGAAGAGCGACATTGACAATCACTTCAAATCCAATACAATTGATCCTCCAGGAAGCGCTGCCACCTTTACCCTGTAGTTTCAAGTGCCCTAACATCCCTGAAGAGACTGCAGAGTACAGGGACCCAGTCTAAAATCACAGAAGGCTGCCCCTACAGTCCTGTCCATTGCTGTTACGCTTCCTTCTCTGTTGTCACCCTTATCCCTGGGGGATTCCCAGCAGCTCTAAACTGAGGCAAGAAAGAGGGAGTGAGGGTTGGGGTGGGAGAACCACTCCTCTCACCTTGCTGCTTCATTCACAGCTCCCTCCTCCTCTTCCACCACCCCCACCCCCACAACCCCACTGCAGCCCAGAACAGAACTTGGCACATTCTAAAACTGAGTGGTTGCAGCTGCCACAGACGCCTGAGAGGAAGGGGTTAAAAACATCTTTCATCTCTCAGCAGTGCCTTTATATAGTCCATGTGTGACTCTGAATGGTTATGGCTTTATATATAGTGTGCTCTGTGTGGAGACAGAAAACACTGTAGTTAAGGGAACAAAGGCGGTTCTAGTCTAATGACCTGCTCTTATTTGTGGGGACCTCATCTCTAAAGGGCGGCCTTCAGGTGACATCTGCCATGTTGAGTGTATGCCTGAAGAATCACACCAATAAACACTGGAGATGCAAATACAAGAGAGGTAAGAACGTGCACAAATAAACTAAGGCCACTCATCCTGTTTATTGTTTCTAGAAAAAAGAAAGCACACGTTTCCCTTTGGATGTTTTCACACATAGCCAAACCTTAAAATGTCAACTTCTGCAAGGTATTTGACCTAAAAATAGTAAAATTTCTGTGTCATTTAAAAAGCCATTTAAAATGACAGACTTAAGCCTGATTTTTCAAACATACATCTGGAATGACAAACCGAAGTTGCATTATTTAGGGGCAGAGTCTTTGAAAGCAGCTGCTAGGCCTTCATTTTACTAAAATCTGCCTGTTCCTGTGGTTTCTCGTAGGTGACATCTGCTTGGATTTTTTGGACGACAGGTCTCTTCTTTGTCCCTTGGTGATTAAGAGAAACAGGAAAGAAAGAAGGAATAGCTCGGGGGAGGTGGAAGGAGCTGGCAGTAACATGATGGGAAACCACGCACCTTTGCATCTTAGATGATAGCCAGCCTCTGCTCCCTCTGGGGCACTAAAGGGCTCAGACCTACATTTACACACTGCTGCACTCAAAAGGAGCAAAGCCAGGAGTTCCAATCGAACCAACCTCGCTTGGCCAGAGAACGTCACATGCACCCTGGCAGGCAGGCAGGCAGGCCGCCAGAAGCTCGCGGTTTGTTTAGACAGCACAGGTCACTCCTGTCCACACCCAAGGCTGACGCGGCTTTATAAACACTGAGCACAGAGTGCGGTCTGTGCAGCAGCCCCATCAGAGACCTGCACTGCACCGGGGCAGGGCACTGAGGACAGGTTCAGTTGTGAGTTCAGAGGGAGCCACATTTCTTCACCCACTGGAAGAACTCAGCTTAAAACAAAGTGTGCCAGGAAAGGGCCCATTGGGGTCCCCTTAGCAGCCCCCACAAAGCCCTGGGAGCGCTGGACTGGGAAGCACGAGATGAAGGTTCAAATCTTACCACAGCTCGTAACTGGTTGTGTGACGTGGAGCAGGTCACTTGGAGCACACCTTTCTGAGCCTTCCTTTTCCAAATACAGAGCTTAGACTACTGGCTCCAAAAGTCTTATCGTTCTGGTGGATCATCAATTCACATTTATTCAATGTATGAATGAACAAATGAAGGAAGGAAGGAACTGAACCACCGAACAAATGAACAGCCTGAAATAGGGGTTCCCAGCCCAAGCCACCTCTGCCTTCCACCCAGCTCCGCACCGCACCCTTCACACCCTCTGCAACTCCCTGAAGGGAAAAGGAAAGCATTTGAAAAAGGCTTCCTACAAACGTGAATTCACAGTCACATTTTAAAAGCTCCAGCGCCAAAGCATCTCCCCAACCCCCCACTGCTTCGACCATTTACCTAAGGAGAAGCTCACCACCAGTTTCTCCGACTCCCTCATTCTGCCCTCAGCTTCCTGCGCTGGAGCCCCTGGGAATTCCGGCCCATAAGCTGCAGCCCCAAACCTTAGTGAAGAAACAAACGGGCTGCCCTCTCTCTCCTTGCACTTCACCAGTGGGTTCGTTTCAACGCCTGTGGGTGTATTTCAATGAGAACAACATGAAAACATGGGCGGATTCTTTTCTGTCTAAAAGAAAAAACCTGGACCAATAAGCTGAAGTAATAACAAAGCAGAATGTGGACATCTGCTCCCCGCCCTGAGCGACTCCCCACCTCGCATTTCCTGGGGCCTTGTCACACCCCCCAAGGCATGGATTGCCAAAGTCAAAATTAATTCCCCTACATTGACTGGGCATTGCAACCTGCTGATGTGTTGCTTGCGACTTATTTGTTCATTCATTAAACTAAAATGCAGTGAGCCCTTTCTAGGTGCAAGGCGCTGTGGAGGCTTCATTTTGAACAAGCCTTTTAGGAAGCCTGCGGTCTAATGGGAAGCCGAGACAAGCCCATTAATAACTGTGATACAGGAAGAAACGAGGCGAGGCATCAACCCAGGAAGTGCTGGGAAAGAATAAAAAGAACGTTTGTTTGTGTGGAGGTGGGGCTGGAAGTGCTGGTCAGGAAGGCTTCATGAAGGTGGTGGCGTTTCACCTGGGCAGTACAAGTCTGGGCAAGATTGCAACAAGCCTGACTGGAAGGAAAAGCACTCTGGGTACAGGATGCTGAGTGAGGAAAGGTCCAGAGGTGGGCAGATGCCAGAAGCAGGGTCCCAGCATCATCCACCTTTAGTGAGAACACGCAGAGGCAATGGCAGACAAGCCTAGCAAAGCGAACAGAAATAGTTCCCAGAGCAAGCAGAAAGTCAGGCTGAGGAGTCTGGAGTTTATTTGGTGGATAGAGGGGAACTACAGAAGGCTTCTTGGCCAGGGAGTATCTGTCGTTTGTCTCTTCTGAGATCCATTTCCTTCCCTTCTCTTGCTCTGCTTGGTGCAACAGGAAACTACATTTCCCAGGTTCCTTTGCAAGTGGCCTCTATTATGGTTCAGCCAATGGGGTACACTGGTGGGAGCCAGAGGGCAGGAAGAGGGAGAAATCAGGGTATTTCTCCCCATTCCCTTTGCCTTGGGCAGCATCTCTAGCATCATTTGCTTCTCCTGCATCTTCTGTGTGGTTCCAGCTCCCGTCAGTTGACTCCAGCTCCCACGTCCCCTTAGTGCTTCCTTTCCCCTTTGTCCTTCCAGCCCTAAGGGATGCTAGCTGCCATAGCTAACCTCTGGGTTATAGGGGACCTCGCTGTCCCCTATTTGGCTTTTCAGCTTCTCAAGCATCTGTGAAGCCAGTTTCCAGGATTCTATTCCTTATATTTTAATACCTGGAGTGGTTTCTCTTCTCTTGGCTAGACTCCCACTAATCCAGGGTAATTGGATACAATTTGGTTCCAGCAGGCTCATGCTGGCTGCAGAGGGCCCCATCTGACAGTTTTTGGGGTCTCCCAGGGGAAGGGTGAGCAATGCCTGAAGCAGCACACTGGCACGAGAATAGCCAAAAGAAGACAGTCACAGAGCCACCAAAGAGGTGATCCAACATTACCACTCAGGGATGGGGACACCAATGATGATGGTGATTTTCAGCTTGAATGCCCAGGAGAATGACTCGGCCATCAACAGAGGTGACACCACAGGGGAGAAACTGCACCGGACAAAATCTCGCTTTGTCATCCAGGCTGGAGTGCAGTGGCACGATCTCGGCTCACTGCAACCTCCACCTCCCAGGTTCAAACGATTCTCCTGCCTCAGCCTCCCAAGTAGATGGGATTACAGGTGCACACCACCATGCCTGGCTAATTTTTGTATTTTTAGTAGAGACGGGTTTTCTCCATGTTGGCCAAGCTGGTCTCGAACTGACCTCAAGTGATCCACCCCCCTCGGCCTTGCAAAGTACTGGGATTACAGGCATGAGCCGCCACGTCTGGCTTGGACTTTATTCTTTTTCTCCTTTTTTATTGCTTTTTTTCTTCTTCGTTAACTAATCCATGCACCCAACTATTGGGCTTTTTCTCACTGATTTTGGATTGAGGAGATTGAAGGAAGAGATCTCTAAAGGGAGAGAGCACCAGGAGACAGGAGCAGCAGAAGAAGACAGCTTCAGGCCAGTAGGAGGGGCTGAGCCATAGGCAAAGCCATGAAAGAAATGTGGGGATTGGGCACACAGGAACCTGGAGAAGGGCTATTATGCAAGAGGTCGAGAGCCCAGCACTGAGCAGGGGCCAAGGGGATGAAGGGAGGGGAGTGATACTGGGCACATCAGCTGTCAGGGGCCTGCCCAGAGCAGAATCAGGAGATCAATGGAGGAAGGAGTCAGACCCGGGGCAGTGAGCACAGACAGGTCTCAGACAAGAAGCCTTCCAGAGGCCGGGTGTTACGGTCCATACCTGTAATCCCAGCACTTTGGGAGGCCCAGGCAGGAGGATCTCCTGAGCTCAGGCATTCGAGACCAGCCTGGGCAACAAGGTGAAACTCTGTCTATACCAAAAATACCAAAAATTAACTGGGTGTGGTGGCACACGTCTGTAGTCCCAGCTACTCAGGAGACTGAGGCACAAGAATTGCTTGAACCCAGGAGGCGGAGGTTGCAGTAAGCCGATATCACACCACTGCACTCCAGCCTGGGCAACAGAGCAAGACTCTGTCTGAAAAAAAAAAACCAGAAAAAAAAGCCTTGCAGAGAAGAAAGGCAGGAAAAGACTTGCCCAGGGATGAGGTACATCTGAGACTACAGAAAGGAGCCCAATGAAAAGTAACAGCCCAAAAGCCCAAGGATGAGTGTGTTCATTCATTCATGTATTCATTCATTCATTCATTCACTCAACAAGCATTTACTGAGTGCCTCCATGTGCCAAGTACTGTTTTGAGCTCTGGGAATGGAGCAGTGAATGAAAGAGATGAAAAGCCCCTGACTGCCTAGAGCTTCTATTTCAATAAGGAGAAATAGACAATAAACAAGAACACATCAAATATGTCATATTGCAGGTGATGGTAATGGCTATGGGGAAACAAGAATGGGGTTGGGGGGTTGCAATTTAAATAGGTGGTTTGGGGGAGGCCTAATGGGAAGGAGACTTAAGCAAGCAAGCCATGAGGATTTCTGCAGGAAGGGCATGTCAGACGGGGGAACAGCCAGTGCAAGGGCCCTGAGGCAGGAATGTGCCTGGTGTGTTCTGGGAATGACAATGAGATCAAGTGGAGCCAGATGGGGCCCGGGGTGCAGGGTGACAGGATACGAGGTCAGAGAGGTAGAGGAGTCAGATCAGGGAAGGCCTTGTCAGAGTAGGGACTTGGGCTTTAATCTGAGGGAAATGGGGAGCCACGGGAGGGCTTGGAGCAGGAGAGTGATGTGATCTGACTGAGAGCAGTGACTGAGTTAGGGAGGTGAGTAATCTGAGGACCGGGAAGCTACAGCAGTGAGCTGCCTTCCTGTGGGAACCATTGTCCCAGAGGCCCAACTGGGGCACACATATTGGGAGAGGCATGGCTTCCTGAGAGCAGGCAGAGTGGGGACAGGGCCAAGGAGTACCTCAGGCCTTTGTCATGTCTGAGGCCCAGATATGTGAGTGCACTGGGATTTGCCAGCTCACAGTAGGAGCCTCCCATGCTATTAATAGTCCCTGGGTTCCACACCCACAATTCCATGGTACAAAGTATTTATGAGCCTCCCGAAGACTTCTCTCTTCCCTCAAAGCCCTGAACAGGGCTTTACTCCCCACCGCTGGTGTCCACCTGAGGGAGCAGGAACTATGAACCCTCTGAACTTTGTTCCCAGAAGCCCCTGCACTGAAGCCTGCCCTCATGCCCACCCTAGGGCTCTCCAGGCTGCTCACTGGCCTATCCAAGAGGCAGCCTGCAGACAGGGGCAACCTAGATGCACCACCCACAGCCTGCCTCTGCCCCAAGAGCCCTCTTCTCCCCCAAACCCACCAGCGTTTGTGGACCTCAACACTCCTATAGCACTCCTCACTCCTAAGATGGCCCATTTCTAGGAAAGCCGTGACTGTGGCTTCTACAAACCTTCAACCAGCAGCGGAACCCACAGGGCCAGGCCTTGCCTGGCTGTGTTTCATTCTAGAGCCTCAGCCTAGCGTCTTCCCTTCAGTCTCTTGGAGCAGCCACAAGAGTATATATCTCTGCACCTGTGAGCACACGCCTACTGGACCTCTTTTTTAGGAGAGTGGCTCCTCACAGCCTGAATCAGCAATTTACCCTCAGAACTCTGAGAATGACAGTAGTCCCTGGCAGGCACTCAACAGCCCTCATTGGCAGCCTTGTTGGAACTGGTGGCCATGTTAGAACTAACTGGTGGCCCTTTCACAAAGGGTCCATCCAAAAGCAGGCATTGAGATGTCATCACGGAGGACATGGAGCTCTTTGCAGAAACGCTGCTGCCACTGTATCTCCTCACAACCCCAAACTCGGTCTCAGGGAGTCTAGGTATATTCAGCTGGGTGCAAAAGGCACTGCCTTTGGCTTTAGAGTCTGTTCCTAAATCCTCCACAACAATAAAGTTTAGTCTCCCTGCTTCCCTTATGAAAGTCGACACTTTTGTACTCTACATAAAGTTGAATGTTAAAAATAATAGCTTTTGTGTTGGAGTATACACTTTCAATATTCATTTTCCACGCTTCAGGATAAAATATATGACCATTAAGTCACTACAATAAGTTGAAAAACAAGATTACTGCTTTCACATCTTGTGTGAGTTGCTAATAATCTTGCTGTTATCCTGACATTATGGTCAAAAGATATTGCTTTTAAAGTTATTGGGATGCAGTGTGCCCAACATGATGGGGTTTTTTTTGAAAATATACAGCAGGGAAAGATGGAGGAGGGGGAGTTTTGATTTTATTGGGGGGCGGGGGTGATGTCTTTTTAAATTTTTCATTACGGGGAATTTCAGACACATTCAGAAGTCCAGGGAATCGTATAAGGAACACTATGACCTCATCACCAGCTTCAACAACCTGCAACCTGGGGTCAATCTGGCCCTACCCTCACCCCACGTCCCAGGAGGCTGTGAAGTCAGCCCCCAACAGCACAGACTTCACCCAGACGGCACCCATTTGGCTTAATAACGTAGAGGATTATTGTTGAGGGGTAAGATCCTTGTTCCTAGGCTTCTCTCTGTACTTGGGTGAAACAGAGATGAACTTCATCCTGGCCGATCCCCGGGAAGCCTGGGACGTTGCTTCCTAGACCTTCGTGCTGCCTGAACCTTTGCTGCAGCGGCTGGAACAGAAGACGTGTCTGCAGCTTAATGAGGGTCCGAGAGGGGAACTGGGAGGGAGACTGCATGCAAGGCCTTGCTGCCAGGGCCGCCCTCCATCCCTGCTGCCTGTGGGAAAAACACTCCATCTGCAAGAAATGACCTTTTGAAAAAAGCTCATCTGACCCCTTCATTTAATATCAGCTTAATATTATTTATGGGACTTTCCACGCCCCTCAAGAGCAAGGCCAGAGAGGCCTGGTGTGCTCCAGCTCTGACAGTCAGTCCCCCACACCACCCTTCCACCTTCATCCCTCCCCTCCGTGCCTCCCACTCCAACACACATTGAACAGGTCGCTCTGGGCACCTAGTGGAGGCGCCTTGGCTGGGTCCCATGGGCCAGGTTCCAGGACATTCACATTTGCTGAACTCCCCATCCAGAATACACAAATCCCTTCCCACTAACTGTATACCTCCTGGTCCAACAAAGCTCAGCTCCAGTCACCTCCTCCAGGAATCCTTTACTGGGCTCCCAAAAAAAGAACCAGGCCCACTCTCTGTGCTCACAGAGCACCCAATATTGCTTGTCACTGAACCTTTTTTTCCAACAAATATTTACTGAGCAGCTACTATGTTTCAGGTACTATTCTAGCCACTAGTGATGTAACAGTGTCAGGAAAAACTGTAAATAACTGTGTTCCCTCAAGGAACTTCTACTCCAGTTGTGAAGACAGAAAATAAGATACTCATACAACAAATAAGATAAGCTGGGGTGGTGGCTCACACCTGTAACCCAGGGGACTCAGGAGGCTGAGGCAGGAGGATCGCTTGAGGCCAGGAGTTTAGGACCAGCCTGGGCAACATAGTGAGACACCTCCCCACTCCACATCTAAAAAGGAAAAAATAATAACCATACCAAGTGTCAACAGGATATGGAGTAACTATAACTTTCCTACACTGCTGATGGAGGTGGAAACTCTCCAAGAAGGAAATGCCATTCGAGGTCAGGTAAATAGTCCAGTGTTGGCCGTGCACGGTGGCTCATGCCTGTAATCCCAGCACTTTGGGAGGCAAAGGTGGGCAGATCTCCTGAGGTCAAGAGTTCGCGACCAGCCTGGCCAACATGGTGAAAACCTGTCTTTACTAAAAATACAAAAAGTAGCCGGACATGGTGGTGCATACCAGTACTCCCAGCTACTAGGGAGGCTGAGGCAGGAGTATCGCTTGAACCCGGGAGGTGGAGGTTGCAGTGAGCCAAGATCGCACCACTGCACTCCAGCCTGGGCGACAGAGCGAGACTCCGTCTCAGAAAATAAATAAATAAATAAATAAATAGTCAAGTGTTGCTTCTCTCATGAGGTCCCCAGGAGACACTGACTGTTAGTGTTAGCCTCCCGGGACCTCTACCTCTGATCGTCTGCACACCTAGGCCAGCCCATCAGTGGCGCTAAGCAGTCTGCATTTCCCTTACCTTCTCACCTTCTTCACTCCCTCTCCCTTTCCTCTTTTCTCACCTGTAGCCCAGGTGAGCAACTGCTTTCTGCCTTCATCTTACTGCCTCATTGCTCACCTGAGCTATGACGTCAGCCTCCCCACAAGTCTGCCTTCCTCTACCCTTCCCACACAACCATTCTCCATACAGTTGCCTAAGAGATTTTTACAAAGAAACTTTTTTTTTTTGTTTGAGACAGAGCCTGGCTCTGTCACCCAGGCTGAAGTGCAATGGTGCAATCTTAGCTCACTGCAACCTCCACCTCCCAGGCTCAAAAGATCTTCCCACCTCAGCCTCCCCAGTAGCTGGAACTACAGGCACACGCTACCATGCCCAACTAATTTTCGTATTTTTTGTAGAGCTAGGTTTCTCCACATTGCCCAGGCTGGTCTCAAACTCCTGAGCTTAACCAATCCACCCACCTCGGCCTCCCAAAGTGCTAGGATTACAGGTATAAGCCACTGCTCCTGGCCAAGAAACTTCTAATTGAAGCAAAATGTACATAAAGAAAAGTATACATGTCACAAGTGTACAGCTTGATGACATTTCACAAAGTGAATTTAAACCCGTGTAACCAGCATTCAAATCAAGAAGCAAAGGAGGCTGAGGTTTGAGTCCAGAAGTTGGAGTCTGCATTGAACTATGACTCTGTCACTGCACCCCAGCCTGGGCAACAAGAGTGACACACTGTCTCTAAAAGAAGAAGAAAAAAAAGAAGCAAGGGAGCCAGACCAGCACTCCAGAAATCCGCTGGGGCCCCTTCTGGAGACTCCTGTATAGCCAAGGATAGCCATTATTCAACCTTCCAATATCATAAATTAGTTTTGCCTGGTTTTGAACTTTGTATCAATGGAATCATACAGCATACAGTATATGCTTGTCTTAGTCTATTCCAGCTGTTATTAAAAAATGACATACATTGAGTAATTTATAAACAACAAAAGTGTATTGCTCACAGTTCTGGGGGCTAGGAAGTCCAAGAACAAGGCAGATTCTGTGTCTGGTGAGGGCTCATTCTCAGCTTCATAGATGATGCCTTCTCCCTGCATCTTCACATGGCAGAAGGAGTGAGGGAATTCTCAGGGGCCTCTTTTAAAAGGGCACCAATCCCATTCATTAAGGCAGAGCCCTCATGACCTAATCACCTCCCAAGGGTCCCACCTCCTAATACCATCATATTTGGGATTAAGCTTCAACATATGAATTAATGAGGGTGACACAAACATTCAGCCCATAGGAGTGCTCCTTTGTCTCTGGCTTCTTTTGCTCAACATGATGTTTCTGAAAGTTTCCATGTTGTCCTGAGGGGCAAAGTTTGCTCATTTTCATTGTCATTATTATTCTATTGTGTTAATATGCCACATGATTCATTGATTCAATCTGTTACTGATAGCAAGCTGTGTAGTTTTCATGTTTTTTGTTTGTGTCGCAAGTAGTGCTATAATCATATATGGACACTGAAGGAAGCTGTCTCAAGGAGGGCTATGATTTGAATGTTTGTCCCCTCCAAAACTCATGCTGAAATTTAACTGCAATTGTAACAGTATTAAGAGGAAGGACCTTTAAGACAAGATCAGATCATAAGGGCTTCATCCTCATTAATGGATTAATGCCAAGATAAAAAGGGCTTTGGGAATGGGTTTGCCCCCTCCCTTCCACTCTTCTGCCTTGTGAAGAATAGTGTTCCTCCCCTCCGGAGGATGCAGCATTCAAAATGCCATCTTGGAAGTGGAGACTGGGCCCTTACCAGACATCAAACTTGATGGTGCCTTGATCTTGGACTTCCCAGTCTCCAGAACTGTAAGCCAATAAACTCCTGTTATTCATAAATTACCCGGTCTGTAGTATTCCATTGTAGCATCAAAAACAAAGACAAGGTGCAAGGTGACATGAACAAAAAACAAAACAGCCAAGAGATTGGCAGATAAATGGAGTTGGAGCCCTGATCACACCACACCTGAAGCTCACCCTACTGCTGGGTTTTTTAGTTACTTGAACTTTTACATCCCCTTTATTTTATTGTTTAAGCCAGGCTGAGCTGGATTTTCTGTCACTTGCAGTTGAAATCATTCTAGTTGGTACAGAGTGTGGGAAGGAAAGAGCCTCAAGGAAGTATAAGAAAAGCATATATAGGATGAGAAAAAAATTAGAAGTCTTGGGTCAAGGTAAATAGGAAAGAGGCTATAAGGGTTTGTTCCAAGGCCAGAGCACCTCTAGAAAGGGTGGTCATTTCAATTACAGTTTAGTAAATAGTCACCTCCTCTCCCTCCCTTTGTGGGGCAGGGTATACTGTCCTTCCCCATTGATGTTGTGCCAGACAATGTGGCATAGTTTGTCCAATGAGATGTCAGAAGACTCTAAGGTTAGCAAAGGCTTAAATGTGCTGGTGCAGCTGGGCTTGGCCTCTGATGTTTCTGTCATCAGCATAAAGAAAGTGCCCTAGGTGGTCCAATGGTCTTGTAAGAATGAGAGACACAAGGAACAGACCTGAATCCAACTCACAACCTGGAGCCAAAGCTAGCTGACCAGCAGATGCACAAGTATAATTAAATGCTTGGGGTCATATGCCACAGATTCTGGAGGTGGTTTGTTACACAGGATGATGACAACAATAGCTGACTGATACATAAGGAAAGAGGAAGGATCAATATGACCAGGGGAAATTCGCCTAGGAGAGTGGATTTTCTTGGTAGGGCTGCAAAACCAAGTACCACAAGCAGAGTGGTACACAATAGAAATTGTGGGGTGGTAAGCAATGGACATGTATTTTCTCATAGTTCTGGCAGCTAGAAGTCCAAGATCAAGGTGTCAGTAGGGTTGGTTCCTTCTGAGGGCTGTGAGGGAAGGATCTGTTCCACACCTCTCTCCTTGGCTTTAGGTGGCTATCTTCTCCCTATGTCTCTTAACATCATCTTCTCTCTATGCATGTCTGTATCCAAATTTTCCCTTCTTATAAGGACACCAGCTATATTGGATTAGGGCCCACACTAACAACCTCATTTTCACTTGATCACCTCTGTACAGACCCTGTTTCCAAATAAGGTCACATTCTGAGGTATTAGGGGTTAGGACTCCAACATATGAATTTTGGAGAGACACAATTCAGCCCATGTCAGTGAGCATGTTTATGATCACGGCAAGGACACCAACCCCGATAATAAGGAAAATTCTCTCTGCTACCTCTGGGTCTCATGCCAAGCATTGGTGTCCTGCTCCATATACTAGTGTCCACCACTGGGTTGATGTAGTGGGTTCTCCACTGCATGGAAGAAGGCAGTATAGAAAGGGTTTACAGTCAAACAGTCCTGCACTCAAAACCCAACTCTACAACTAACTAGCTGTCTGACCTTGATTATTGGAACCTTCTGAGCCCCGGTTTCCTTATCTATGAAATAGACTTGCTAATTCTATCCCATTGAATTGTCCTAAGGAAAAAATTGCGTGTGTCCTTTAGATGAACATTTGGTCAGTGACAGAAAACACAACAGACCTTCGCTTAAACAAGTAAAGGATTTGTTTCCTTCATACAAAAAGAAATGAAGAGGAGGGTGATCTAAGACTAGTATGGCAGCCCAACAATATCTCTAAAGACCAGATTTCTTCTCTCTTCCTTCTCTAGCATCCTCAACATATGGCTTTTGTCCTCATGAATACAATATAGCTGCTGCACCTCCTGGCATCAAGTCTGCATTCCAGACAGGATGATAGGGGGAGGGGAAAGAATAAGGAGCTAAAGGGGCATGCCAGCTGAGATGGCCCTTTGTCAAAGGTTCCTCAAAAAGCCTGTCCTGCAGCTTTTGCTTATAACCAATTGGCTGGATCTGGGTCACGTGGGCACCACAAGCTGCAAGGGAGTCTGGGAGATTGCATGTTTGTGCTTTCCAGCCTCTAAAATAGAAGAGCACAAGGGAGAAGCCAGTGTGTACAGCTAGTCCACAGTGTCTGCCATGTCAGATAGGCCAAAAATGCAAGCATAGCACCAATACATACAGGTTTTTAAATAAATGTTTGCTGAAGCTTATTTTGTGGAATAAAACATCTGGATGAAGTATGGGATGCCATGTGATCCACACCCCCTTATTCACTGTAATACCTCCCAACCCTATACCAAATTCACTGTAATAGCTCCAAACCCTATACCAAAATTTCCCCATCACCAGTTAGATTAGAGAGTTGCAGAGACAAGTGTGAACATCCTTGAATCTGATTCTAACTCCTCCTCTCCTTCAAGCCTGGGATTACCAGCAGAGGTTCTGGGTGCTACAAAAGGCATTGCAAAACCCTGTCCCAGAGTCTAGAGACAGCATCCAAAATCTACAATTGCCAGCCAAGAGCCGGGGACATTTGAAGGTGCTGGGCTGTCGTAGAAGGGACCCCAGCCACAGAAAACCAGCTGGCATCTCTGAACACCCTTCCAGACCACAGCTGTTGGCTGACCTGACACTCAGACCCACAGAAAGGGCACAGACCCCAACCAGAAGGGGTTGGCTCTCAGAACAGGGCTTCCCAACCTTCTCATACCCAAAGCCCACTTTTTATAAGGTCCAAAAATTCCCCTCCTTGCTGCACTTTTAGTATATGCTAAGAACAGTACATGGTGACATAAAGCAACTCAGAATGCTGGACGACCTGGTAATGACATATTTTACTCATCACAGCAGCACTATAGACATTTAGAAAATGGTCGTATTTCTACATCCAGGACATAATATTTATTCAGCCTACATACATACAGAGTGCCTAGCACAGATATGGATTTGAACACCCCTTGCTCTAAGCAGACAGCCTAGGCATCGCGTAACAGAAGTCAGCTGCCAGGGAGTCCCAGGAGGCGTGGGAGGAAGAAGGCAGCTCATAAGACGAACTCAGCTTGCTCTCAGAGAGAAGCCAATGTGTGTTGGGAGGCTGGAGGCTGCAGTGAGCCCTCGTGTTGGAGAAAATGTCCTCCAAAAGCCCGCTCGGGAGAGGTGTGAGATTGCACTTAATATGTCAATAAAGGTCAGAGACCAAATAATGAGACTGTGGCACACTGCATATTGTAGCTCCTTGATTAATGAACGCTACCTTCTCAAAAATGTTCTGTGCTCACCCCCGTGCCTTTTACCTTTCCGGATTGGTGGGGTATCCTGGGGAAAGTCAACTCTTCCAAACTGTAGTTTGAGGAGATGACTCTGGGAAAGACAGCATGCCTGCGGCCGCCACCTCTGCTGTCTATGCTGTGGAGGCCAGGATTGCCTTTGTGTCCCTCCTCTCTGAGTTGAGTCATTTCCCAGGCTTACAGCTCAGGCAAGCTTCCCTGCTACAGGGGGCTTCTTCCCCTTCTACTCAAATCAGCTGGGGCCAAGTTGGCAAGGAAGAACCAGGTAACTATGAGGTGGCAAAAAAATAAAAAATAAAAAATAAAAAAAACACCCAGGTACACACCCACTAGCCACCGAGAAGCAACCTTGCATTTTTTTTGTTTTCTTTTTTTTTTTGAGACACAGTCCCGCTCTGTCACCCAGGCTGGAGTGCAATGGCGGGATCTCAGCTCACTGCAATCTCCGCCTCCAAGGTTCAAGTGATTCTCCTGCCTCGGCCTCCTGAGAACCTGGGATTACAGGCACACACCACCATGCCCGGCTAATTTTTGTATTTTTAGTAGAGACGGGTTTTTGCCATGTTGGCCAGGCTGGTCTTGAACTCTTGACCTCAGGTGATCCACCCGCCTCAGCCTTCCAAAGTGCTGGGATTACAGGCGTGAGCCACCGTGCCCAGCCCACCTTGCATGTTTAAATGCAGCTGGGTCTCCAGACACAAGAGCCTCCCTTCACCTCCTGTCCTCAACCCTGATCCAGGCCTAACAGGTCTTTCTGCTTCTAGTCTTCCTTGTCCTTCCGCACACTGTTCTCCTGCAGTTATTTGAAATGTACAACTCATCACCTCACTCCTGGCTTAAAACCCTAGCCTGGAAAGCCCTTCCCATAGTGCTCATCTAGTTAACCCCTTCTTACCCTTCCAATTTCAATGCAAATATGGCTTCTGCAGGACAGACTTCTTAAGCAGATGCCTCAGACCAACACCTCAGACTGAGTCAGGGCCTTTACACCGTCTTAGCTATCCCTCCCCCACCCAACCTCCCGTGTCATGGCCTCATGGCAGATGGCAAATTTCTACACTCCTAGGTCGCCTAATGACTGTCTTCCTGAGGCTGTCAGCTCTGCGAGGCCAGGCACGGGCTCTATAACCCCAGTGTCAATGAATGCCTCCTATATGGTTGGCACTCAATACATATTTATTGAAGGGATAAAAGTAGAAAGAAAAAGACATTCATTTTCTTTTTTTGTTGTTGTTGTTGTCTTAGACAGGGTCTCACTCCATCACCCAGGGTGGAGTGCAGTGGTGCAATATCAGCTCACTGCAACCTCTGCCTCCCAGGGCTCAATTGATCCTCCCACCTCAGCCACCTGGGGCTACAGGAGTGCATCACCACTCATGGCTAACTTTTGTATTTTTTGTAGAGATGGGGTTTCGCCATGTTCCCTGGGCTGGTCTCGGACTCTGGACTCAAACGATCCTCCTGTCTCGGCCTCTCAAAGTGCTGGGATTACAGACGTAAGCCACTGCTCCCAGACCCAATATGTTCGTTTTCAATTGCTTTTTCCTAATTTCAGAAAGTAATGTGTTCCTGGCCGGGGGCAGTGGCTCACAACTGTAATCCCAGCACTTTGGGAGGCTGAGGTGGGTGGATCACTTGCGTTCAGGAGTTCGAGACCAGCCTGGACAACATGGTGAAACCCCGTCTCTACTAAAAATACAAAAAAATTAGCTGGGCAGGGTGGCACATGCCCGTAATCCTAGCTACTCAGGAAGCTGATGCAGGAGAACCGCTTGAACCCGGGAGGCAGAGGTTGCAGTGAGCCGAGATCACACTGCTGCAGTCCAGCAGGGGCGATAGAGCAAGACTCCGTCTCAAGAAAAGAAAAGAGAAGAGAAGAGAAGAGAAGAGAAGAGAAGAGAAGAGAAGAGAAGAGAAGAGAAAAGAAAAGAGAAAAGAAAAGGAAAAAGAAAAGAAAATCAACCACATGTCTAGAGATGAACACTGATAACAATTTTATGTGTCTCCTTTCATCCTTTCTCTACATACTTTTTGTTTTATAAAACTGAGATTCTATTGAATATGTAGTACAGAGCATTATAGAACAATTATTTCCCAAAAACACGAGTGTACCATTCCCTCTATTCTTTTTTCTGTCACTTTTTTTTTTAAGATTTAACAATAGCACGTGGCCACTGTAGAAAATTTGGAAATACCAAAAAAAAAGGCATAAAAAAGAAACATAAATTACCTATAATTGAACGCTAAGGATTTTCTACGGGTAAAGTAGCCCTGTGTTTCCTTTTAGTACTTTTTTCTGTGCACAAATTTTGCTGCATTTATTTCTGATAAAATCACAACAGTAAATTTCCAGGTGATCCTCGCCCAGAAAGGGAAAAAGGTGTTTCTTCTCCAAGCTGCTTAATGTGAAGGATGTCCTCTGGGGTGAGTGGGCCACTTTAGGGCCCTGGTGGGAGTGGCTTGCTCTGCCTCAGCCTCCACCTTCACTCGCCTCTGGCCCCAGGGCCTTTTGTGTGTCCCAGGCCTCCCGTGAAGCCATCAAGGCCTGGAGTGCTTTTGTAACCTGATCACCTTCAACCCTAACCATCCCTGCAGGTTTTCTTAACAAGACCAAATTTATGAGTCCCACAGGGAACCCAAGCCGCCAGCCTCCCCCAGCCCGGAGCCCACCCACCGCCGCTCCCAAAGCCACAGGGCATTTACAAGGGGGTCGGGTGGGTTTTGATGAAACTGAAGCAGCCCCTGGTGTCAGGTCGGAAGCCCCACCTCTCTGAGTTCTGGGTTCACAAGACACAGTCATAAACAGGAAGCATTTCCACCGCGCCTAGCGGGAAGGCAGGCGGGGCTGCTGGATGGATTCAAGTCTGAAAAATAAAGAGGGGCTGGGTAGGTGCTTGAGGCCACCTCAGTCACAGAGCTCTCGCCCTGCAGGGGGTTCCAGCTGTCATTTAGATGGACTCGGCAGTTAGGTGACGTCAGGGCCGTTATGATGTTCAGCTCAGTTAGCAGGCAAAGAACAGGGCAGGCTGACAGCCCCTATCCATCCCTGGGGTGTGGGGATAGCTAGGCATTGTGGGCATCCAGATATGTTGGGAGTGAGGGTAACCCCAACCCCCAAAGCCCTGACTGAGTCTTCAATGGCAGGTACCTGGCTCCCAGCCTAGAGAGAAGGGGAAAGGCCAATGGCACCATGCCAATACCAAGAAAGGCTGTCCCAAAGTCAAGCCTCCAGAAAAAGTCTTCCTGGAGTAACAAAACACAGGAAAAATGAATTTCCCGGTCCAGCCCGACAGTTCCTAGAACTACGCCTCTCCGGAAGTAATGCTTCCGGGAGGGCTCTGCTCACACCCACCAAGGGCCAGGCAAGTCTTGTAGGCTGAAGTGAAGATGGGCATCACAGGGCGAGCTGGCAGGGACCCCTTCTGAAGGGAACTTCCCACAATGGACCGTCGGACTCAAGTTCTACCACCGCCTCTGGTCTAATTCCATCCAATCAGAATGATCCAGGTTTGCTATCGGCGCCTTCCTGAAACTACTCAGAGCGCAGAAATCAGAGAATCAGAACTGCAAATGACTTTAAGCATGGCTAGGCTGGTGTTTCCTGAAGCGTGTATTGTGAGATCCAGTCGTATGAACAAAGGCATTCCTTGGTCAGGAAACTTTGGGAAACACTTCGTGGTAGAGCACCTTGATGTCCCCAATTCTTTACCCCTCCCGGAATCCACGCCCTTTGCCACAGAACTTTGCAATGCACTCCTGTCGTGGGCGGGGTGACCTGCTCCACCCCTTGACACTGCCTTGTGATTTGACCAACAGGATGCAAACAAGCATGAGGGAAGCAGAGGCTTGCAGTGAGCTGGGACTCTAGGACTGGTTCTCTTGAGCGTCTGCCATCAACAGGACTGCACGCCAAGGTGGCCTGCTGGAGGCTGATAGACAGGTGGAACAGAGCAGACCTGCCCTAGTCATCCCAACCAGAACCAACTGAGATGGACCTCCGGCCACATGAGCATACCTCGCCAAGAGCTGTAGAGCTGCCCACACAAACCCCAGGTGACTCCAGACACAGGAGCACTAATTATGCATTGTTGAAGGTCCTGCCATTTGTGGTTGTTTTGCAGCATTGTTGAAGCAAAAGACAACTGAGACAACACTGCATACCATTATCTTCCTTGAGGAGAGTCACAATCCACATGAGCATATTAAAGGTCCTGAGAAGACCTGTAGTAGAGAAACCTGTTCAACTCTGCTCAACCCAGCATTTCCCAAACCGATTTGCTCTCGGAACCCTCTTTTCCCTAGTAATGCCTTAAAGAAGTAGTTAGTGTTCAGATGAATGCGCAGCAGGGAACACTAATGAAGACCCACCCTTCATTTTATAAGTGAGGATACAAGACCCAGAAAGGGAGCTGTGGTGGCTTCTGGGCCACAATTTCTTTTCCTTGGTGATGTTGCCATTTGCTCTAAGCAACATGGCTATCTCCGTTTACTGTATTGAGTTTTGAACCACACAACTTTGCATTTGACTATTTGCCATATGGTATCTTCTAATTCAACAAGAACTTTTTATTGAGTACCTACTGTGCTATGCAAGGAACTGTGCTGGGCACCAGGGACACCAGGAGAAAACATCATACTTACCCTCCAGCAGCTCACAGTCTAGTGGCAGAGGAAGGCAAAGAAAAAGATGGTGACAATCTAACATGAGAAGCGCTGTGATGGGAAGCTTTGGATGGTGTGGGGCACAAAGGATGGGGAGGTTACGCATATCAGAGAAAGCTTCATGGAGGAGGCAACATCTGAACTGCGTCGTGAAGAATGAGTAGGAGTCACCTACATGAGAAGGATGGGATAGGAGGAGACAGGGTAAGGTGGAGCCATGGGGGAAGATGCTGGAGGCATTGGGAGTAAAAGCTTAAGTGAGCAGAGCTGTTAGGGATCAGGGGTCAGTTGCAGAGAATAAAATCCACTCCAGCTAGTTGAAATAGACAGGGATTCCTTGTGGGGTATTAAGGGGATAACAGGATTATTTGGAGAGCTAAAGAGGCCCACATGATGCTGAAAGTCCCCCACAGCCACACCCACAGAACTGAGCTGCCAGCACCAGGGAGCCCTGACACAATTGGAAGCCACCCCCGCCAGCTTGAGAACCATGTGGGCTCCGTGATGACCCATAGTAGCAAAGTGTGATCCTCTCTCTCTCTTTAACTGGGGTCCAAACTCCAGTTTCACACAAAACATCTGATCAGCTGAACCTCCTTATACCTGGAACCCTAGCTGCAAGGGAGTCTGGGAAATGTGTGATTCAGCCATCTACAAGAGGTTGAAATGGATGCCTAACATCAAGCTGTTGTATCTTTCTCAAAAGCACATTCTAAGGAATTTAGGGCTTATCTTCATAGAAATATTCTCACTCCTTAGGGTTTCTTTTTCCTGTCTCCCTCATGATGCCTCTCCCAACTTCTGGGCATGCCATAGGCACTCATTAAAGGCCTCCAGAAAGCCTGAGCTTATTAACTGGCCTCCTCACTACTTGATCTCTGGGGTGGGCAATTATCAGGAGGAATAAAGACAAACTTTTTTTTTTTTGGTCTTGCATGGAATAAATTGCTGCTTTCTTGAACACACAGAAGGCTGTATTATTACAAAGCTGTTCTATACTATTACTGAGAACAATTATTCAGAAGCCAGAAGCCCAGAGCTGACTAGGGTGTAGGGTATATCCTCGGAGGAGAAATTCCAAAAACCATTACTCATTAACTGTTGAGCTTGTGAAAATAACCTTTTCCTTCCCCGTTCGTGGCTCTCCACCCCAAGGAAGGACTCACCCCTCCATGGTCATGCTGCATGGGAGAGTTCAGGCTGGAAGGCGGTAATCTCTATTCAGAGCCCAAACCTGACAGGCAGTTCCCGGATGCGCTCCACAGAGGAGGACTCTGGGACTAAAGCTTTGGCTTGGGAATACTGAACAGTTGTTTTTCCAGAGAACTCCCATGAGCATTCCTAATGAGTGAATCCCCATCTGCCCAGGCCTTCCTGGCAGTGATGGGTCAGATGGAATGACGCCTTCATCACTGTCCAACCAAACCACCCTCACTCTGCCCTGGTATCAAGAAGGCAGCACCCCTGGAATCAGACATCTGTCCAAACCCCACAGGAGGCAGGGAAAGCCTAATTAATTAATGTCTGTGGGTTACCTATACGGCCTCAAATGAGAGGTGTGAGGTGACCACAAGCCCAATTAATTACCACTATTGATGGAAGCTTCTAGCCCCACCTCCTCTTTCATTTCACCCAGCTTGCGCTGTCATAGGGCAAAGTCGGGCAGGAGCTGAGGAGGCTACTGAGTGGAAAGAAAAGCCAGCCGAGAGAGCCTGGCCAGAGCCTCAGCTCCACCTGGCAAGGGGCCGCTAGCTCTTGAGTCCTGGAGGTTTTCTGAATTTGACCTTCTTTCCTCAGAGAAAATGACTATATTCCTCAGAGAATGAGTTTCTTCTTTCACATGTAAGCCTTTTTCCTCAGAGCAAGGCACTAGCGCTGAGTGGAGACATGTACCTAAAATTCTGGCCCCTCCTTTAAAGTGAACTAGAGGCCAGACATGGTGGCTCATGCGTGTAATCCCAGCACTTTGAGAGGGCGAGGTGGGAGGATTGCTTGAGCCCAGGAGTTCAAGACCAGCCTGGGCAACATGGAAAAACCCTATCTCTACAAAGAACTCAAAAAATTGCTGGGTGTGATGGCACATGCCTATAGTCCCAGCTACTAGGGAGGCTGAGGTGGGAGAATGGCTTGAGCCCGGGAGGCAGAGGTTGCAATGGGCAAAGATCACGCCACTGCACTCCAGCCTGGGTGACAGAGTGAGACTCTGTCTCAAAAAAAAATGTGGACTAGATCTCTCTTGGATGTCTGCAAAGTCCAACCAACTCCAAGGACTATGTTTAAATTCACCAGAGTCAAATGCAGATTCCAACACACATCTATTTCTCTGCTCTTATCTTCTATATTTCTTTCCCACGCTCCAACATCACCCCCTGGGGAAAGGGGAGGAAAAGGAAAAAATGTCCATACAGGAGAACACAGTTTTATTAAAGCAAAGTGAATGCACAACCATCCATAAATGGAGTGTGGAAAACAAGGCTATGTCACATGTGATTCCTTGTTCATTTTATTGCGTAAAAGATCTTTTGTTGTTTAATTTTTCAGCTCCAAGCACAGGCTTCCGCCAGCACAACTCCCTGGATGGAAGTTCAAGTTTGCCTTGGCCTTCCTTTGTCCACAGGCCACAAGAGCTAAGCAGGCCTGGCGGCTAGCAGGGCTGACACCGGAGCACGCAGGGAGGCTGGGGGTGCAAGGTGAGGGTCAGCAAGGTCAGAGAGTGTGAGGCCAGGGCTTGCACTGCCAGGGGCTATGTGGCCCGGGCTTGCATAGCCAGATTCTGTCTGGCCAAGGTCTGCATGGACAGTCTGTGTGTCACGGCCATTGCCACCCGCCTTAACCAGTCTGAGGCCTCCTGACCCAGAAGAGAGAGATGCTTTGCAGGCTCTACAAAGCTTTGTAGCTAGAACTACAAAGCTATAACGCAGTGGGAATGGGGGCCACACTGGGGAAGTGTTGGGCTGTATCTAAGCACTCCTGGGGAGTGACGACCCCCTGGAGGACTCCCAGCCCCCTTCTCTTTAGGCAAGAAGCCTTGCCTTGGACCTCTGAGGCTGAGGTGGTTTCCTTCCCAGCCCCATGGTCCATTCCACCTTCAGCATCCACCTCCTGCTTTTCCCTCCACCTACCCCCGCCCCCCAGCAGCTGCTTTCCTGTCGACAGGGAGGACAATGAGCTAGGAGCTGTGTGCGCAGTGGCCTGGGCAGGCAATCCTGCCTCTCTGGGTGACAACAGAGGGTTGTTTTCCTTACCTTCCCTGACCTCAAAGCAAAGGGGGCTCCTGCCACATTGCTCAGGCAGGGGAAGGGCTGGGGGCCTGCTGGGCTTGCAGGCTGGGGAGAGACATGCTCTGAAACACCGCGAAAGGAACTGTCAGCCTTCATTATTAATACCCAGTGTTAATATTTAATGTCAGAAAACTGCAGCTCCCTTCCCTGAACCGTCATCAGACCTGCCCGGTCACACCAACCAGAATTCTCCCAACTCAGCACCCCCTGTAGCCCCGTGCCAAGACCAGCAAAGCAGTTTAGGCTTACTTGAAAGTGTAGGAGCAAAATGAATTCTAAACAAAGAAAATTCATATGAAATAAGACTAGGAAGTTATTTTCTTACTTTTGAAATCAACTCTATTCTTTAAACATCTCTAATACTCTGTGTTCACGTACCAGAAAATTTAGAAATGGAGTAAGGCGTAAGTGCAACCCTTAATACAGGAAGGTTTTCATTCCTCTGAGTATTTTGTCTGTTGTTGATATTCCAGTCATATTTCTTAATCAGCAGCAGCAGTACAGTATAGATGCAACTAACAAAATCCAAAGGATCAGGAACTGACAGACATCCCAAGATGAATTCGAGATATTCAAAGAACAGGAATATCTACCATTTAAGCAATCAACTAATTCTTACCTATTAACTAACTTGTTTCTCAACCTGGGGCACCATTAGCATTTGGGGAGGAATGTTCTTCATGGCACAGGACTGCCCCACACACAGTCTGTGATGACTAATCCCAAAATGGCCCTCTGACATTGTGATACCAAAAACACAAGGACCCATTCATTTCCAAATGCCCCTGAGTGGTGCCAGTGCAGCCTGAGAGTGGGAACCCCAGATCCAGGTGCACTAGGCTGCTGGGGTGAATTTTTTGGCAGGCACAGAGGTAGAAAGGCAAACTGAGAAATGATCAAAGCACAAGGGAAGACCAGAAGGTCTGGACCATCCTCGCGCTGAGGCCCTGGGAAAGGCAGCAGGGTCTGGGGCTTGGCTCCACAAGGTGAACTGAAGTGGTACCCCACCCCCACTCCAGGGCAGTGGCCTCCTCCCCTGTCTGCTGAGAGCAGGCTGCCACCTTCATTTGTGGTGGGGAGTGGCCATGGCTTGCAAAGCTTTCATCTTTATGACTTCAAAGAACAGCCTCAAAAAAATGCCCAAGGCATAATTTTCCAGGATCCAGGAAACTGAATGACTCACCTGTGCTGGCACCAGCCTAGGGGCCTGGCTTGCCTCTCCAGACTCGAACCGCACCTACCAGGCCTCAC
This sequence comes from Homo sapiens, assembly GCF_000001405.40. NCBI lineage: Eukaryota > Metazoa > Chordata > Mammalia > Primates > Hominidae > Homo > Homo sapiens. Next base: position 39,975,842 of record NC_000023.11, read on the forward strand.
CTGGCCACCAGCTCGTGGCAGGCACTTTTTTTTTTTTTTTTTTTTTGAGACGGTCTTGCTCTGTCACCCAGGCTGGAGTCCAGTGGTGCAATCATGGCTCTTTGCAACTTCAGCCTCCTGTGCTCAAGTGATTCTCTGGCCTCAGCCTCCTTAGTAACTGGCACTACAAACCCAGCTATATTTTTGTTTTGTTTTGTTTGTAGAAACAGGGTTCCATTATGCTGCCCAGGCTGGTCTTGAACTCCTGGGCTCAAGCAATCCTCCTTCCTTGGCCTCCTGAGTAGCTGAGACTACAGGCGTGAGCCACTGCACCCAGCTAGCAAGCTTTTTGTTTTGAGATGGAGTCTCGCTCTGTCACCCAGGCTGGAGTGCAGTGGCACGATCTCAGCTCACTACAACCTCTGCCTCCCAGGTTCAAGCGATTCTCCTGCCTCAGCCTCCCAAGTAGCTGGGACTACAGGTGCATGCCGCCATGCCCGGCTAATTTTTGTATTTTTAGTAGAGACGGGGTTTCACCATGTTGGCCAGGCTGGTCTCGAACTCCTGACCTCAGGTGATCCTAGCAAGCATTTTTTAAAGAGCCTGTTATCAGAGCTTGTCCCTGACTTTGTTGGGAAGGCCATTTAGAGAGCTATAAATAGATGGTAATTTAATTTCAAGGGAATCTTCTCCCTGTAAAATTTTTTATAGTATTTTATTGAGAAATAATTTACACACAGTAAAATGCAGAAATCTCAAATGTGCAACTTGATAATTTTTACATATGTATACACTCACTTGCCTTATAAAGTTTTAAAGGACCTAAAAAGAAATGTTAATTAAAATACACACAGAGACCAGCTGGAATCACTAAAATCAAAAAGAATGACAACACCAAAAGTCAGCAGGCAGGCAGAGCAACTGGAACGCCCATACATTTCTGATAGGAGTGCACTTTGGAAAATAGTCTGGAGGTTTCTTATCAACTTAAACATACACCTATCCTATGACCTAGCCATTCCACTCCTAGGTATTTGCCCAAGAGAAAAGAAAATATATGTATATAAACGTGGTGCCCAAATGTTCATAGCAGCTTTATTTGTAATAGCCAAAAATTGGAAACGACCCAGATATCCAGCAAAAGATGAAGGGATAAATCAATTGTAGTGTATCCGTACAGTGCAATGCTTCTCAGCAACAAGAGGGGACAAACAAAATGCATGCAACCTGGATGAATCTCAAAGTCATCAGGCTCAATAAAAGAAGCCAGAGTACATGCTGCATGATTCCATTTACATAGAATTCTAGAAAATGCAAACGACAGAAAATGATCAGTGGCTGCTTGGGAATGGGGGACAGGGAGAGGCAGCAAGGATCAGAAGGGGGTACAAGGAAACTTTGGGAATGATGGGTATGTTCATTATTTTGATGATGGTGATGGTTTCACAGTTGTATGCATATGTTAAAACGTATCCAATTGTATACTTTTCTTTTTCTTTTTTTTTTTTTTTTTTTTGAGATGGAGTCTCGCTCTTGTCACCCAGGCTGGAGTGCACTGGCGCGATCTCGGCTCACTGCAACCTCCTCTTCCCAGGTTCAAGTGACTCTGGTGCCTCAGCCACCCGAGTAGCTGGGAATACAGATCTGCGCCACAGGCCCGGCTAATTTTTTTGTATTTTTAGTAGAGAGAGGGTTTCACCATGTTGGCCAGGCTGGTCTCGAACTCCTGATCTCAGGTTATCCGCCCACCTCAGCCTCCCAAAGTGCTGGGATTAGAGATGTGAGCCACTGTGCCCGGCTCCAATTGTATACTTTAAATATGTGCAGTTTATTTTATATCCAGTATACCTGGATAAGGCTGGAGTTTTTTTGTTTGTTGGTTTGTTTTTTGAGACAGAGTCTCACTCTGTCGCCCAGGCTGGAGTGCAGTGGCACAATCTCGGCTCACTGAAACCTCCACCTCCCGGGTTCAAGCGATTCTCCTGCCTCAGTCTCCCAAGTAGCTAGGACTACAGGCGCCCGCCACCACATCCAGCTAATTTTGTATTTTCAGTAGAGACAAGGTTTCGCCATGTTGGCCTGGCTGGTCTCGAACTCCTGACCTCAAGTGATCTGCCCGCCTTGGCCTCCCAAAGTCCTGGGATCACAGCCGTGAGCCACCGCTCCCGGCCAATAAGGCTATTTTTTAAAAAGAGATATGTGTTCTACTGTATAAAAAGTACACCTCCATTTTTGAGGTGCTGGAATCCTTCACCAACCTCCTCAAAAAAAACAAAATCCAAACACATACAACAAATACAGTTTCCAAAATTCCTCTTATCATCCCATCTTTGGGATAAAAATCCTACTTTAAGCCCAAGGCAGTGATATAACTGTGGCCACCACACTGCAGCAGTGACAGGAAGGCAAGTCTACACAGCTGAGCCCAGACCTGCCTTCCTGTGATGTGGCCCCGGCTCTCACTTACATCACAGGCTAAGAACACGTTAAAACCAAGCAATTATTCCCAGAGTTAAGCACAAATAATGCATACGTTTCCACCTTTTCTTCTCTCTGCCTCTTCCTGTTCCTCTCCTTTTGGGTGACTATTCATGGCAGGAACTCCAAACCAGCAACCGAAATACTGCACTGTGACAACTTCATCTCTTAATTACAGTAAACATTTACATAATGCTTAGGCCCAGCCAGTGAAGAAAGATTCGTTAATGCAGAAACATGCCCTTTAACCATCTCGTTTTATTACACAAACCCCCCGGGACCTGAGCAGCCCAAGATTTGCAAAAGATGATGGAGAAATTGGCTGAGATATTAAGCCCCTTTCCAGGTGCAATTAAAAGTGGGACCAAGACACTCCTGTTCTCACAGATATATAGTAATTTTTTTTTTCATTCTGAATTCGCATTGTAAGGATTCCAAGTGCCTGGTTGCCCATCAGATTTCTGACATTCACTGGAGATGGGGCTGTGTTTTTATTCTCATCTCTACCTCTCCATTTCTGAATTGACAACCCTGCAAGTTTTGCTGTGTAGTCTAATATTTCCACAGCTGCCCAAGCATGGGGCCTATGAAATAAGCCTGAGTGGCAAAGATTCCCATGAACAATCTGAACATTCTCCTTGCTTGAAGCCTTCAATTCCTTAACACAGACTCTCTCTGAAGGGACCAACTGTATTCAGAATCCCTGGAGCAACACCCAGCTAGCCTGAGGAGGGACAGCCCAGGCCGGGCTTAGAGCAGGTGAGGAGGTGCTGGCATGCCACAGTGGGCTCCCCACTTTCAGGAGGATCTAGACCAGTGTACAAGGAAGGTCACTGGAGGAGGAAGCAGAGCAACAGTGGACTCTGAGAAAAGTCAAACCTTAGCTGTCTCCTAGGCTCCCCAACTTCCTCCCCATCCCCAGCCTCTCCCTGGCTGTGTGGCCTTTCAAAAGTGACCCCTCCCCGCGTCTCTGTGCCTCAGTTGCCTCATCTGTAAAGGAGCAATAATGGTACCCACTTTGCCAGGATGTTGTGCGGCTCTAGTGAGATGGTTCTATATACAGCCTGCAGCCAGGGCTAGCGGGTCAGCACCACGCCGGGCTCGCTGGCTGCTCAGAGGTGCCATTAGTATTTTCTGACTATCACCGGTATTATTGCCGTACATCTTAAACCTTAGGCAGCAAAAAGGATCCCGCATGTCACCTTCCTAGCAATGAACTGATAGTCAAGTGCTCTTGCATCCCCCTTGAGAAACCCTTGAGGCTTAAAAGATGGGGCCTACAGCAAATCAGCTTGAGAAGGCCATCTCCAGGGTCCCCACCCAGGTTGGCAAGAAAGACTCCTGGGCTGAGGCTGTGGTGGAAGAGGTGGCTCTGAGCAGCGGGCAGCTAGGGGTGGGTATGGCCGTCCAGTGGGAGAGTGGCTAAATGGAAGAGGGATGGAAAGGGAGGAGAAAAGGCTGAAGACAAGGCCACCCAGGAACCTAGAGAGAAGTTCAGGATCCGTGAACTTGCCGTGAGCCCAGCTACCCAGCAGTCCGAGGCAGAAGGCTCAGTTGAGGCCAGGAGTTCAAGACCAGCCTGGACAACATAGTGAGCCCCTCAGTCTCTGCAAAGAATTTTTTTTAATTTAGCCAGCCTTGGTGGCTCATGCCTATAGTCCCAACTATTCAGGAGGCTGAGGTGGGGAGATTGCTTGAGCGCAGGAGGTCGGGGCTGCAGTAAGCTATGATCATGCCACTGCACTCCAGCCTGGGCAACAGAACAAAATCCTGCCTCTTAAAAAAAAAAAATTAAAGAAAATAAGACCACAAAAGAGCAAGAGTGGCTGAGCAGCAACACCCAAGGACAATCCTGGGGAGAGGCATGAGCCCTGGAGTGGGCTTTGACTCAGGCACAGACACGTGCAATAGGAGATGCCCTCCCCTATGATAACTTTCAGTTCGGTAATTTATTGCATAGACATTTATAAAGCACTTTGGCTGTGCCAGGCACTGTTTTAGTGCTTACAAATCCTCATAACTCGGCCAGGCGCAGTGGCTCACACCTGTAATCCTAGCACTTTGGGAGGCCGAGGCAGGCAGATCACTTGAGATCAGGAGTTTGAGACCAGCCTGGGCAACATGGTGAAACCCCATCTCTACTAAAAATACAAAAATTAACCAGGCGTGGTGGCGCACGCCTGTGATCCCAGCTACTCGGGAGGCTGAGGCACGAGAATCGCTTGAATCCAGGAGACAGAGGTTGCAGTGAGCCAAGATTTCACCACTGCACTTCAGCCTGGGCAACAAAGCGAGACTCTATCTCCAAAAAAAAAAGAAAAGAAAGAAAAAGAAAAAATCCTCATAACTTTTTGAGACAGATACCGTTATTATTCCCATTTTACAGATGCAGCAGCTGAGGCTCAAAGAGGTTCATGAACTTGTCCAAGATTGCAGAGCTAGGAGGTGGCAGAGTTGAAATTCGAACCCAGAGAGTGTGGCTCCAAAGCCACACACTCTAAACTGTAACAAATAACAAGGTAGAGGCCCAGCCAGCCTCAGCTGGGACTGGAAGGATTGGATAGGATGGGTTGGGGAGGAGAGAGAAGCAAAGGGCTCTGCAGGTGGGAGGAAGAATGTGAACAAAGACTTAAGGCAGAAATGAGGGCTACTGCCAGGAAGAAAAGGGCTAGGGTGGAAAAGAATTTGTGTCATTGGCTGGGGGATGGGAAAAGAGGATGTCATAGATATTTTTGACTACAAGTTACAGAAAACCTCCACTCAAACTGGCTTAAACCAGTGGCTTTAGAACTCTTTTGCCATGACCCACAGTAAGGAATACAGTTTCCACTTTGGCTCTGAACGCACTAGACAAAAGTTTCACAAAGCACTACTACATGTGACACACTCTGATATTTTCCATTCTGTTCTTCCCTATTCTAGCTCAATTTTTCCATTGGTGATTGTGAGCCATTTAATTGATTTCACAGCCCACTAATCAGTTCTGATCCACAATTGGAAAAGTATTGGCTTAAATACTAAGGAAATTGATGTCAGTAACATGGAGTGCAGAGGTGGGCTGGCTCCAGGTAGAGGGCATTGAGCAGCTCAATGATGTCAACGAGGACCTGGTTGTCCCCATTTGCCCACTCAGCTGGCTTCCTGTCAGCCTCACGCTAAGACTGGTTTCTCTTAGTATGGTTGTGAGGTGCTCACAGCCATCCCAGAGGACACATCTAGGCAGACACAAGTCCAGAGGAAGAAAAGGGTAGGCTGGCCAGGCACGGTGGCTCACGCCTGTAATCTCAGCACATTGGGAGGCCGAGGTGGGTGGATCGATTGAGCTTAGGAGTTTGAGGCCAGTCTGGGCAACATAGTGAGACCCCCATCTCTACATAAAAAAAAAAAAATTAACTGGGCATGGTGGCACGTACCTGTAGTCCCAGCTACTCAGGAGGCTGAGGTGGGAGGATTGCTTGAGCCCAGGAGGTTGCAGTGAGCCAAGATCATGCCACTGTACTCCAGCCTGGGTGACAGAGCAAGACCCTGTCTCAAAAGAAGAAAAGAAAAGAAAAGAAAAAAAAAAAGGTAGACTAGACTCTGAGTATCTCCCTTCAGAGTGAATCAATATTTCCCAAAAGCCTCCACCCAGTAGATCCCCCACCTCATTGGTCAGGTCTGAGCCACAAGTACATTTCCAACCCAGTCCCCAGCAAAAGAAATAGACTGAGCATGCAGAGGAGTGATAGGTGTCAAAGAGTCAGTCACCATGCCCTCCACAAGCCCACAAGGGCATGCTCTCATTATAGATGACCTCCAAGAAATGCAACTCATGGGGTTTTCAGCAGATGTGACTGACAGGGTTAAATGTGGCAACAGACAGGGATCCACAATGGCTGCTCTGAGATAATGCTGGACTGTGGGTGCGGAAGGCATGCTGGGTATCCACCAACATTGAGCAGGGCTGTGAACCACGAATGGGCAGAGATCAACTTCCCCCAGGGCCACCCTGACCGATACATGGAGGCTGGCTCTTGTAGGGCAGCCTGGGACAGTGTGCATGTTGGCACACAGTCCCAGTCCTACCTGCAGAGAACATCCAGTTGAGGCAAGAGAGCCAAGTGTCAGTTTGTGGGCAATTGAGAGCAGAGAGCTGTCCAGAGGGATCAGGCCTGGAAAAGTAGGGTGGGAAGAACTAGGTTAAGTTTGAAGGGGGGCTCAATCTCAAGAAGGAACATGGAAGATGTCTTAGCTTTCTGTTGCTATAACAGAATACCTGACACTGAGTAATTTATAATGAACAGAAATTTACTTCTCACAGTTCTGGAGGCTGGAAAGTCCAAAATCAAGGCACCGGCATCTGACGAGGGCTTTCTTTCTGTGTCTTCACAGAGTGGAAGAGCAGAAAAGAGAGGAACCTACTCCTGCAAGCCCTTTTTATAACAACATAATCCATTCGTGAGAATGGAGCCCTCATGACTTACACACGTCTCATTAGGACCCACATCCCAACACTATTGCATTGGCCATTACGTTTCAACATGACTTTTGGAGGGGACAAAAATATTCAAACCATAGCAGAATAAGTTTTTTGGAGTGTTCCCCCAGAGGAATACGTTAAGACAAGGATTCCAGTGCAAATAGTGCATACATGTTTCAGTTATCTATTGCTGGGCAATGAACCACCCCAACACTTGGTGGCTTAAAACAAACAACCATTATTTGCTCACAATTTTACAACTTGAGCATCAGCTAGGGCAGCTCAAGTGGGGCTGGAAGAATTGTTTTCTAAAGAGCTAGCAAGTTGGTGCAGGCTGTTGCCTGGCAGCTTGACAGCGGCTATGCAGGCCTCTCCATGCGGTTGCCTGGACTCCCCCAACAGCACAGTGACTGGGTTCCAAGGCAGATGAAGTGGAAGCCACCATGCCTCTAAAGGTCTAGGCCTAGAACCAGCACAGCATCATGTTGCCACGTGCTATTGCTCAAAACCATCCCAGGCCCAGCCCAGATTCAAAGGAATGGAGAAAGACACTTTGTTAGTTTGCTAGGGCTGCCTTAGTAAAGTGCCACACAGACTGAGTGGCTTATTTTTTTTTTTTTTTTGACAGTGTCTTGCTCTGTCGTACAGGCTGGAGTGTAGTGGTGTGATCTCGGCTCACTGCAACCTCCGACTCCTGGGCTCAAACGATTCTCCGCCTCAGCCTCCCGAGTAGCTGGGATTACAGGCGCCCGCCATCATGCCCGGCTAATTTTTGTATTTTTAGTAGAGACGGGGTTTCACCATGTTGGCCAGGCTGGTCTCGAACTCCTGACCTCAAGTGATCCACCCACCTTAGCCTCCCAAAGTGTTGGGATTACAGGCATAAGCCACCACGCCTGGCTAATACTGAGTGACTTTAAACAATAGAAATTCATTCTTTCACAGTTCTGAAGGCCAGAAGTCTGAATCCAAGAGGTCAACAGGGTTGGTTCCTCCATGGGGGTTCTGAGGAAGAATCTGTCCCAGGCTTCTTTCCTGGCTTCTGTGGTTGCCAGCAATCCTTGGCATTCCTCGGTTTCAGCAGCATCACCTCATCTCCACCTCTGCAGTCACGTGGTATGTCTGTGCATCTGTCTCTGCCTCTTTGCATGGCCTTCTTCTCTCTTTGTGTTTGTGTGTCTCTGTGCCCACATTTCCTCTTCTAACAAGTACATTCGTCATTAGATTCAGGGCTGCTCGCCCTAATCCAGTATGACCTCATCTTAACTTGATTACATCTGCAAACAGCCTGTTTCCAAACGAAGTCATATTTACAGGTACTGGGGATTGAGACCTCAACATATCTTTTTGTGGGACACAATTCAATCCATAACAACACCCTATCTCTTAGTAGGGGGGATGACAAAGAATTTGCAACCATCGCTATTCCACCCCAATCAGAATGATCCCAGGAAAGGAAGCAAGGAAGCCAGCAGAGAAGGGAAGGAAGCCAAGAAAGCTTATGTAATCAAGGCAGCTGTTACTGTGGGCAACTGGGGCTCAATCCTACCAGGGATCTCTGGGAGACGGCGTAGAACACGCCTCAAAGTTTCCCCAACAGAAGGATGAGGCAGCTGGAGTATTTATCTGCTGATCCCCCCGTCACGGCTGCATTTCTGGCCTGCCCTGCGTGCTGAAAGAGTGCACAGCCAGCAAAACTCCCTCAGGCCGAGGCATGGGTGTTTGAGGCTACAGGCAGGCGGGTGGGGCACCAAAAGTGTCTGCTACAAAGAGCAGGTCAAGACAAGCCACCAGGAGGAGCAGAGATGTCCCCTGGCAAAATTCCAATCCCACAGGTTGAACCACTAGCGAGGGTTGCAGGGTACATGGGGCTACAGAAATGAACCCTAGGGGCCACCCCACAACCATGTAGCTAGGGAACCAAGGCAACCAAGCTCCAGGATGAGGCTTAAGGGAGCAGCTTCCCAGCCTGGGAAGACAGAGCGGGGCAGTGGGGAGCTGGGTCTGCCACAACCACATCCCCTACTGTGGGGGCTAAAGTCCAAGACTGGAGCATGGCTGGGCCTCGGCGTTCACCCTAGCAGCTTTTCCTGCCCAAAACAGTTATTCTGACCCAAGTCTCAGGAAAAAAGAGGAGGCGGGAGGCCACAGAGAAGCAGGCTGAATGTTTTTCGCTCTCTGTTTGTCACCTCCCCTTGCTCACCCCACAAACCCTCGCAGGCTCTCATGGCCTGCAAAGCCGCCTGCAGAAATCACAGCCATGAGTTTCTCATGAATGATTTTAAGTGATTCTTGCTCTGTCCATGGAGGGAAATCACTTATTGAAAATCCAGCAAAAGCCTGGCCAACTGAGGGCTGCTCTGACAGCATGGCCACTGGCGTTCAAACCACAAGGGGTCCTGGGAGAGAAAGGGGATCCTTGGGCCAAGGCAGGCATGAGCCCGAGGCCATACCCTCAGAAAATCAGGCCACTGTGCCCCCACTCTGTGCCTCGCACGCATGGTCTCATTTAATCCTTCCAACCCGTCATTCGCTGGCTCAGTCATTCGTTATGCAACGAATAATCACCCAGCACTTGCTGTATGTCACTCGCTGTTGTGGGCCCTGGGAAACTGTGGTGAACAAAACAGATTTAAAAAAAAAAAAATCCCTGCAGTCAAGAGCTTACATTTTTGTGGGAAAGAAAGGTAGCAAACAAATAAGCCAAACATGTAGTTTTATGGTAGTGAGTGGGAAGGAGAAAAGGAGACAGGGAATATAGGAGCTGGGGTTTGGGGAAAGGATGCAGTTTTCAAAAGCGTGACCAGGGACTTACTTGCTGAGAAGTTGACACTTCAACAAAGACCTTGAGCAGTGCAGGAAGGAGCCCTGCAGACAATACAGAAAGAGCAGGCCAGGGAACCGCATAACAGCAGAGGGAATAGCCAGTGCAAAGGCCCTGAGGGAGGAGTGAGCTCAGTGTATTCCAGGAACGGCAAAGCAGCCCATGTGGCTGAAAGGGAGGAAGGGAGGGGAGGTGAGTGGCCTTGAGCTCAGAGAAGGGAGGGGGCAGGAACCAGACCAGCCAGGGCCTTCCTAACACCCTTGACTTTCACTCATATAACACAGGAAGGCTCTGGAGAATTGTGTGCCAAAAGGGACAGGATCTGACTCGGGTTTCAGGGGATACCTCTGGCTGTTGTTTCCAGAACAGACTGTAAGGGGTGAGGACAAAAGGGAGGACCTCAGTGACCAGTCATTCTCCATATCCAGATTCTCAGAACCACGAATGTAGTCATAAATATGATTTTAGCAAGAAGTGTTTTTAACTTCACTACTAGCATTCTACAAAACCTACCTTCATTATTCTCATTTCAAAGATAAAGTAACAGGCCAGTTGGTGGGTACTTTGACCAGGAAAGCTCTAGTATGAATTTCCCATGAGGCCAAGGAATATGAAAACCCAAATTTCTGACTTTTTTTTTCTTGTTGCTTCCTCCTTCCTTCAGGTAAAACACACACACACACATAAACACACACACACACACACACACACACACACACACTTGTTTCATCCCCTGGTCTTTGAGTTCATGCCCAATTCCTTCTGGTCTTTTCCTTGGGAGGCAAAGTGGCATGAACCCAAGCTGAGGAATCAGATGGGCTGGGCTGAACCCCAGCTCTGCCACCCACCCATGGGCAGGGCAGTTTACAGAAACACAAATCTGGGCTTTACCTCCTCCTGTTGTAGGGTCCTTTCCCCTCCATGGCCCTAGGCAGTAGCCAAGCCTCCGTGTTCCCCTGCCTTTGGGCTTTATGGGCAGGGCCGCATCTGATGTTCTCAGGCACTCAGGAGCCAACCCTCCCTCCCAGGCTTTTGTTTTCAACTGAAACCAAAGCATCAAAAGGATTATATGAGATCAGCCATTCCCAGAGCCTGTTTTGTATACCGATGGAGGTACACGGACCCATGTGTGTCTATGTGTTTGTGTATATATATATATATATATATATATATATATATGTTTGTGTGGCGGGCGACCTTGCTGGGGATAGACCTTTTTTTTTTTTTTTTTTTTTTTTTTGAGATGGAGTCTGGCTCTGTCACCCAGGCTGGAGTGCAGTGGTGCAATCTCCGCTCACTGCAATCTCCGCCTCCCGGGTTCAAGCAATTCTCGTGCCTCAGCCTCCCGAGTAGCTGGGATCACAGGTATGCACCACCATGCCCAGCTAATTTTTGTATTTTTAGTAGAGAAAGGTTTTCACCATGTTGGTCAGGCTGGTCTCGAACTCTTGACCTCACGTGATCCACCTGCCGTGGCCTCCCAAAGTGCTGGGATTATAGGCGTGAGCCACCACTCCTGGCGGACTCGTATTTTTTAATAATTATAGTTATGTATTTTGATGTGCTAGGAGGAACAAATGGCACAGCTAACCCATAACTTCACGAATATTACTGCTCAGGAAGAGGCTAAAGTATTTAGGGTTCTTCCTTTTTAAGAGAAAAAGACGATTATAAAAAGTATTATGTTAATAATAACATATGTGATACAGATACAGCAAATATCATGGAGGAGGTAAAGAAGAACCCATGGTAGGTTGTCTCAGGAGAAAGGGAGGAGATGAAGGGGAGGGCTTTCCACCTAGTTTTCTGAAAGGATTTTTAAAAATCTCCTTTTTAGGCTGGGCGCCCTGGCTCATGCCTGTAATCCCAGTACTTTGGGAGGTGGGCAGATCACGAGGTCAGGAGATCAAGACCATCCTGGCTAACACGGTGAAACCCCATCTCTACTAAAAATACAAAAAAAAAAATTAGCCGGGTGTGGTGGCGGGCGCCTGTAGTCCCAGCTACTTGGGAGGCTGAGGCAGGAGAATGGCGTGAACCTGGGAGGCAGAGCTTGCAGTGAGCCAAGATTGCACCACTGCACTCCAGCCTGGGCAACAGTGCAAGACTCCGTCTCAAAAAAAAAAAATCTCGTTTTCAGGCCAGGCACAGTGGCTCACGCCTGTAATCCCAGCACTTTGAGAGGCTGAGACAGGAGGATCACTTGAACCCAGGAATTCGAGACCAGCCTAAGCAACATAACAAGACCTTCATCTCTACAAAAAATTTAAAAATTAGCCAGGTGTAATACACACGCCTGTGTTCCCAGCTACTCAGGAGGCTGAGGTGGGAGAATCGTTTGGGCCTGGGCGTTCGAGGCTACAGTGAGCCGTGATCATGTCACTGCATTCCAGCCTGGGTGACAGAGTGGGACCCCGTCTGGAAAAAAAAAAAAAAAGAGGCCTGGCATGGTGGCTTACTCCTGTAATCCCAGAACTTTGGGAAGCCAAGGCCCGGGGATAACCTGAGGTCAGGAGTTCGAGATCAGCCTGGACAACATAGTGAATCCCCGTCTCTACTAAAAATACAAAAATTAGCCAGGCATGGTGGCGGGGGCCTGTAATCCCAGTTACTCGGGAGGCTGAGGCATGAGCATCACTTGAACCCAGGATGCGGAGGTTGCATTGAGCCAAGATGGCACCACTGCACTCCAGCCTGGGGGATAGAGTAAGACTCTGTCTCAAAAAAAAAAAAAAAAAAAGATCCTTTTAATATAATGGAAGAACAAGCACACTGTTCTAGAACATTAGCAAATATAGACCATCAAAAATGTTAAAATAAAAATATCACACTGTCACCTCCCAGGTATCCCCACCATCAACACTTTAGTGTACAGCTATCTTTCTTGTCTACTGCTGTATAACAAATTACTACAAACTTAGTGCTTAAAACACCACCTATTTATTACCAGTCCTGTAGGTCAGAAGTCTGGGTGGTTTTCTGCAATGGGTCTCAGAAGGCCAAAGTCAAGGTGTCAGCCAAGCTGGGCTTTCATCTGGAGAGGCCTGGGGAAACCCCACTGCCAAGCTCATTCAGGCTATTGCCAGAATTCAGCTCCTCATGGCTGCAGGATGGGAGTCCTCATTTCCCTGCTGGCTGCTGACCAAGTACTGCTCTCTGCTTTTAGAGGCCACTTTCAGGTTCTTGCACATCTTCAAGCCAGAACCAGCACTTCTAATCCTAATGCTCCAAATCTCTCTGACTTCTCCTTCTGTCTTTCTGGTTTTTTGTTTGTTTGTTTGTTTTGTTTTGTTTTTGTTTTTGTTTTTTAAGACGGGGTCTCACTATGTTGCCCAGGCTGGTCTCAACTCCCAGGCTCAAGTGATCCTCTCACCTTGGCCCCCACAAAAGCTCCAGGATTCCAAGCCTGAGCCACTGTTCCCAACCAATCTTCCTGTTCTGCTACCAGCCAGAGAATATTCTCTGCTTTTAAAGGGCCCCTGTGATTAGATCAGGCCCATCTGTATAATCATGCCACTGAACATAACGCAGTCACAGGAGTGAAATCTCATCACATTCACAGGTTCTGGGGATTAGGGTGTGGAATCTTTAGGGGCCATTTTTTGGAATTCCGCCTTCTACAATATCTTTCCAGATCTTTCTCTGTGCAAATATATTTATAAGTACATATATGTATTACAGATACAATAAGTAACGTGTTTTTTTCCAGTCAGTGATCTCCACTGGCACCCTCTCACCTCTAAGAGGAATGTGTGAATTGAACCATACAAGCTGTGGGCTCAGGAGCCATGGCAAAGATCCCCATCATTGAGCCCAACAGGGAAGCAAGCATGGTGGCTAAATGCCCCAGCTCTATGCTCCTTGGGTGGGTCAGCTTTCTGCTGACTTCCACAAGTCCCAGCTAGACTGGGCTCCACTTGGCAACAGTAATAACTTGCCTGATAACCCTCTGATATGGTTTGGCTATGTCCTCACCCAAATCTCATCTTGAATTGTAGTTCCCATAATCTACACGTGTCATGGGAGGGACCCAGCGGGAGGTAATTAAATCATGAGGGCAGTTACCCTCATGCTGTTCTCATGATAGTGAGTGAGTTCTCACAAGATCTGATGGTTTCATAAGGGGCTTTTCCCACCCTTCCCTCTCATTCTTCTCCTTCCTGCCACCATGTTAAGAAGGACATGTTTGCTTCCCCTTCCACCGTAATTGTAAGTCTGCTGAGGCCTCCCCAGCCCTGTGGAACTGTGAGTCAATTAAACCTCTTTCCTTTATAAATTACCCAGTCTCGGGCAGTTCTTTATAGCAGCGTGAGAACAGACTAATACACCCTCCTTTATGGGTTTACTTCCTTTTCTTTCCCTTCCTTTTCCCTGGTCATTTCTTTGTCCCCCCCATTGGTGCATCTTGAGGCCACCACCCAAATAAATGACTTGCACTCACATTCTTATGTCAGAGACTCCTTCCTGGACCTAAGCTAAGATAGAAGGGTGCAAGAGATTGGAGTTGGCATGAGATTGCTTCAATGTTTTACATTTTTTTATGCTGGCATGTATTCATTTATTATTAATGCAATTAGAAATCAATTTTAAATAATAAATGTTGTAAGAGGAGAAACTACAGCTGGAGGACAGAAGCCACTGAAAGAGACCACACTCTGCATCCTCCATTCCCTATCCTCTTGCACTGACTGAGACCCCACAGACCCACTGAATCCCACACCTGCCTCCACACACCCTTGAACATGACAATAGCAGGTCATCATTTCAAGAGGAGCCGACATTTGTGGAGCAGATACTGTGCAAAATGCACTGTGCATGTTATCTGTTTTACATACTTGGGGCACATGCATTTATCTCCCTTCTCCCTCCCAAGATCCCTATAATAGGATGGTGTAGGAACAAAAAAAGTATAAAGCCACAATAAGGAAGGGGAGGTGTCAGCAGATGAGAGATTTCAACGTGTTTCTGGAAGACAGAGAGCAGAAGGAAGGGTGGTGACAGGTGACACAGAGCAGGGAGAGCCACAGCTGGAACCTTCCCAGGCAGGGAGATATGAGGAAGAGGCTCCCGGCTAAGATCTGGGGGGTCCCTGAGGGCAGGAGTGTGCAGTGTGGCTGGAAACTGGACTGACCAGGGGCCTTCAGCTGAATTGGCTGGTTACCCTACCACTGTCTCCATCTGCCTGGAAGAGGGGGACAGAGAGAAGAACCAGGAGCAAGCTTCTTGGTTTCTTGTTTTGGTTTGGTTTGGTTTGGTTTGGTTTTGTGATGGTGTCTCACTCTGTCGCCCAGGCTGGAGTGCAGTTGCTCAATCTCGGCTCACTGCAACCTCCACCTCCCGGGTTCAAGTGATTTTCCTGCCTCAGCCTCCCAAGTAGCTGAGATTACAGGCGTGCGCCACTACACCCTGGCTGATTTTGTGTGTGTGTGTGTGTGTGTGTGTGTGTGTGTGTGTATTTTTAGCAGAGACAGGGTTTCACCATGTTGCCCAGGCTGGTCTCAAACTCCTGACCTCAAGTGATCCGCCTGCCTCGGCCTCCCAAAGTGCTGGGATTACAGGCGTGAGCCACCGTGCCCGGCCACTTCTTGCTTTCTTAGTCAACCACTGGAGTCTATGCTTACACTTCCTGACAACCGCAACAAGAAAAATGGGAAAGACCCTTTTCTGAAGAACTGGAACACATTTTTCAAGAACTGGAGCCGCTTGTGTGTTTATTAGTGCCTTGAAAGAAAGCTCCCCAACAATCCATCATTGGGGGGACCCCAGCTCACCCACCAGCGCTTCCCACCCCGTGCACATGACCCTTACAGTCCACGTTCCTCTTGCTCCACAGGAAGTAGCAGCCACCATGGTTGCTCATCTAAAGAAAGCCTGCAACATAAAAGAGAAAGACAAAGGTGAACAACAGAAAAATTGATCCTGGAAGAAACAGAGATAATTTAAAGCACAGAGGAGAACTGTTTAAAAAAGAAGAAAGCTTTACATAGTACCCTCAGAGAGATTTGTGAGGCTACTGCATCCATAAAACAAGAAGACGGTGCTAACAATTAGAAAGAAAGCAAGAGCCCTTGGAAATTAAAAACATGGAGACAGAGTGAATGATATCGATTGAAGGCCTGACAGAAAAAAAAAAAAAACCAAGAGACCCTTCAAGAGCATAGAGCATAAAGAAAGAGACAGAAAATGTAAGAGAAAAGATAAGAGACATAGAGAATCATTCTGGGAGGTCCAACATGTGACTAATAATAGGATTTTCTGAAAGAAAGAATATAGATGGCAGAGGGAAAGAGCCTGCAGACGGTACTGGGCAGGCTCTGTGGGGCTGGGTGTGACCCCTGTGCTTTGTAAGCCAGGGTGCTTTTATGTTTTTTTGTATTCTGTGTCGGTTTCCCTTTTGTCCTCTCCCTCCTTCCCTATTTAGTGGTCTCAGCTGAGCGAGGAGGAGCCAATGAGGGAATAGTGCGTCCATGCAGGGGACCCAGCGTTGTGGTATCAGAGGACCTGAAAATGAGGGTCCCCTAGGGGAAGGGGACTCTGGGGGGGCACAAGGTCAGAACTGTTCACTTCTCATCCTGCTGAGAGATTATCTTTCCCAAGCTAGGTCCTAGAGGCCCTAGGTTTTGTCTAAAAAAGGAAAGCCTGGGTTTTCCCTTACAAGCTATCTTGTGGGTAGGGAAGCCAACTTCTTCTACACATCTTCTATCCAGAGGGCACTAAGGTCAGTAGATGGACCTAATAGGAATTGATTGGAGCAGAAATTATTTTAAAAAAACCTTTTTAACCACGTTTTTGATACTGGAATGGGATGTCTGCCGAAGGACTGAGCCCTCTGTCACTGAAGGTATTTAGGCAGAACTCATACAAACATCCGTCAGGAAAACTGTAAAAGGACTTGGAACCCTAAAATAAACAAATTCACAGACAGAAAGTAGAATAGAGGTTACCAGGGACTGGGGCAAGGGAGAACGAGGAGTTTTTGTTTAATAGGTATAGAGTTTCTGTTTGAGATAAGGAAAAGTTCTGGAAATAGTGGTGATAGCTACACAGCATTGTCAACAGACGTAATGTCACTGAAATGTACACCCAAAGACGGTTAAGACCGTCAGTTTTGTGTTATGTATATTTTACCCCAATTTTCAAAATAAAAAACAAAAAGAGGCCGGGCTCACACTATAATCCCAGCATTTTGGGAGGCCAAGGTGGGTGAATCACGAGGTCAGGAATTCGAGACCAGCCTGGACAACATGGTGAAACCCCATCTCTACTAAAAACACAAAAAATTAGCTGGGCACAATGGCGGGCACCTGTAATCCCAGCTACTCGGGAGGCTGAGGCAGGAGAATCATTTGAACCCAGGAGGCAGAGGTTGCACTGAGCCGAGATCGTGCCACTGCACTCCAGCCAGGGCGCCAGAGCAAGACTCCATCTCGAAAAAAAAAAAAAAGAAAAGAAAGGAATTGGAGCTCACATACACTGCTGGTGGGGATGAAAAATAGTACAACCACTGTGGAAAACAGTCTGGCAGTTTCTCAGTGAGTTAAACATAGAGTTGCCATATGACCCAACAATTGCACTCCTAGGTATAGACACAAGAGAAATGAAAACATACATCCTGGCTGGGCACAGTGGCTCACGCCTGTAATCCCAGCACTTTGGGTGGCTGAGGCAGGGGGATCACCTGAGGTCAGGAGTTCAAGATCACCCTGGCCAACATAGCAAAACCCCGTCTCTACTAAAAATACAAAACTTAGCCAAGCACGGTGGCAGGCACCTGTAATCCCAGCTACTGGGGAGGCTGAGGCAGAAGAATTGCTTGAAACGGGGAGGCGGAGGTTGCAGTGAGATGAGATCGTGCCACTACACTCCAGCCCAGGCGATATACATTCACACAAAACGTTTATACAAATGCTCATAGCAGCATTATCCACAATAGCCAAAAAGTGAAAACAACCCAAATATCCACTAATAGATCAATGGGTAAACAAAATGTGGTGCATCCATACAATGGAATATGATTCAGCCATAAAAAGGAATGAAGTACTGATGCACACTACAGCATGGATGGACCTTGGAAACACTGCTGAGCTAAAGAAGCCAGATAAAAAATGCCATAATTGCATGATTCCATTTATATGAAATGTCCAAAATAGATCAATCCATACAGATAGAAAGTAGAATAAAGGTTGCCTAGGGCTGGGGGTTTGGGGGCAAATTAAGAGTGACTGTTAATTTGTATCTTTTGGGGTGATAAAATGTGGTGATGGGTGCAGTGGCAAGTGCCTGTAGTCCCAGCTGTGTGGGAGAATCACTTGAGCCTAGGGGTTCAAGACCTGCCTGGGTAACATAGCAAGACCCTGTCTCTACAAAAAGAAAAATAAAATATTAGTTGGACATGGTCCCAGCTGCTCGGGAAGCTGAGGTGGGAAGATCACTTGAGTTGAGGCTACAGTGAGCCATGACTGTGCCTCTGCACTCTAGCCTGGGCAACACAATGAGACCCCATCTCAAAAAAAAAAAAATGGTGATGGTTGCAAAATTCTGAATGTACTAAAGAAAACCACTGAATTGTACACTTTAAAGGATGAATTATATGGTATGTGAATTATATCTCAGTAAAACTGTTTTGGGTTTGTTTGTTTTTTGACAGGGTTGTCTCCCAGGCTGGAGTGCAGGGGTGCCATCTCAGCTCACTGCAACCTTCAACCTTCACCTCCTGGGCTCAAGCAATCCTCCCACCTCAGTCTCCCAAGTAGCTGGGACTACAGGCACATGCCACCACACCAAGCTAATTTTTTTATTTTTAGTGGAGACAAGGTTTCACCATTTTGGCCAGGCTGGTCTCGAACTCCAACCTCAGGTGATCCTCCTGCCTCAGCCTCCCAAAGTGCTGATATTACATGTGTGTAATGCCGAGTTTAAAAAACAAAGGGCGGGGGGAATAGGAGCTTCCTACCAAGATGGAGGTGGGGGCAAATGTGACGTCTTTCCATTCCAAGGCTCCTGGATGGATCTCTCATGTCTCTCCCTCCTTCGGGTTCCAGACTCCTGGAGAGCTTTCTCAGCAGCACCCCATACCTTCCCTGCCATGGTGCCTGCTAGCAGCCAGGTTGGAAGCTTCAGCCACACCAACAAGGTACAACCTGCATCACATCATCAGCCTGGCCCCCCGGGTTGGTTTGTTTTTCCAGGGCATAAATGTATTTTATGGAGAAATAAAATGCACAATAATAAAAAGGGGGAGGGGAGTGTTTCCACAGGCCCACATTTTATCCAAAGGGGCTGTGATTTGGCATCCCTGGCTCGAATATGAAATTATTACACAAGAATTGACTCTCGGTGTCTCCGATGCTCCCTGGGATGATTGCTTCTATAACTTATGGAGACAGCTGAGCGTTTGTATTCAAGTGATCACATAAATTAATATCCATATGTGGAAATGGTGTGCTGGGAGCTGGCCTGGTTTAAGAATGCATTCCTTGTAATGATCCTTGCACCTGAAGAAAAATGCCCATCCAGGGGCCCCGAGCGTAGGTCTGGAATACTCTCGTCATGGCTCAGAAGGTTTGAAGTAAAATAAGGCATGCAAAATGTTACCCCTTTAAAGTTGTGAAGAACTGGGTGCTGTTTTCGGCCATGATGTCATCAGAGGGAATGAAGGGAACTGCTTTACTTAAATAAATACATAAATACGCATGTGCCTTAAAATGTAATGTTTCGCTCCTCAGGGATGAGTTTAGCCCAAAGTTCTAATTATACGTATGGCAGCAAAGGCCTCCCAGTCTTCATGCTTGCCAAAAGCTTTTATTTTGCTACGTGACAGAAGACAACATTATTCCTTTCTCCTTAGGAGATTGCCAACACCATGCCAAAGGATCGACAGGGGTGGCAGCAGCACCAGCAGGAACTGCTGAAGGCCTTTGTGTGGGCCAGGCAGGGGACCGGGAGGTAGAAAACCCAGGCCCTACCCTTAGATCACGTAGGTGAGGCCGCAAGCCACAGCCAGGCAAGGCTGCGCAAGCTGGGGCCCAGGGATCCATGGAGGCATGGTACCTGGCACAGACCCAAAAATATTTACTGAATGAAAACACAAAAGAAAAGGAACGGAGTCATCCGAGGCTCCTTCCACCCTCACTTGCTCACTCATTCATTCATTCACTTATTCATTCAGTAAACATTTCTCGGGCTCTTACTGTGTGTCGGCAAAACCCTAAACAATCCTGACTCGAGATAAAGGGGTGTGAGCCAACAGAGCCCTCTCACATGGCCAATGTTTAATTCCACCCAATTCATTCTGGGGCCTTCCAATGCTGGGTAGATTTATAGCCTTTTCAGGTGATGGATGACGAACATGTGCTCAATAGAAAAGGATGGCTATGGGTGGCCCCTACAGATCTGGCCACTTCTTCCTATTCTTCCCCAGACAAGTCTACCTCTGTCCAGGGCAGCCAATCAGCCTCAAATGGGACTTGGCTAAATTTAAAAATAAACTGTTGCTGGGCACAAGGACTCATGCCTATAATCCCAACACTTTGGGAAGCTGAGGATGGAGAATCACTTGAGCCCAGGAGTTCGAGACCAGCCTGAGTAACATAGCAAGACTCCATCTCTAGAAAAAAATGAAAAATGAGCCAGACATGGTGATGCGTGCCTGTGGTCCTAGCTACTCAGAAGGCTGAGGCAGGAGGATCACTTGAGCCCAAGAGATCCAGGCTGCAGTGAGCTGTGATCTGCCCCACTGCACTCCAGCCTGGGTGACAGAGCAAGACCCTATCTCTAAATAAATAAATAAAAAGTGTTTGAAGGCTTCCTTTTTGTATCAAGAGCTGGACAAACCTGGGATAGTGGGACTTCTTCATTCACACACACACACACACACACACACACACACACACACACAACCTTGGTTCTCCCATATCCATCTCTTCACCCCATCCACCTCCATCTCACAAACTTTCACTTTGCCTTTGCAAGGAGGACAGCAGACTTCTGAGAAACCTTAAGAAAGACTCTTCTAAGGTTTCAAGGCCATGGACTTTTCCCTCAGCAGCAGTAATGTGCTGGTAAATATTAAACAACCGAATCTCCCGGGGGTGGGGGGGAAAACCCCGATTGTAGCATTTGCTGATTTCTGTGGTGTAAATACTCCCACCAGGGCCAATTCCAAGCTACCAACATCACATCACTGACTGCAGGGGTTGGGAAGAGACATGTGTCATCAGCTCTCATCGTCTGGCAAGTGCCAGCTCCCACTTGAGAGCTTCAGAAACAAGCCTGGCATTTCCCAGATGCAGCACGAAAGCAAAGGGGAGTGAGGGAGCGTGCTCGTCGGTGGTCAGAGGGCCAGGTCTCTCTTTCCCTGGGACTCTGAGATGCAGTACGGTCATCTCAGGGGCTGCCTTGCTCCCCCCTGGAATCTGTTCCCATGAGAAAGAGAAAGGAAAACCTGCGATCACTCCAGCAGAACCTCAGCTACTCCCCCCAGTTTAGACAAGATTCCTGGCTTCTCTCTTCTTGCTCTCGAAGGACCCAAATGGTAAACACCTGGGAGAGAAGACTCCACACTCCAGAAAGTGAATTGTGATTTCCTTTAAAAGCCTATGCATTCCCACAGTGCAATATTTCATAATAAGAAAATGGGAATCAAAATTCTTCCCCACTAAGAAGGAACAGTGGAATGAGAGACGGAGAAGTCACTGAGGTGGAAAAATTGATTTGCAATATCCACAGCAGATTCGGCGGCTTTAACAGCACCTGGATAAACCCAGCACTTCTGCCAAAGCCTGGATGTTTTTAGAGCAGTGTGCAGCTTCACTACGAGCGATTTGCATCCAAGCCATAAAGGATATGTGGCGGGTTCCAATGCCAGCCTCCAGCTCCTCTTCATTGCGGAACTGCTGATAATCTTTACCGGGCCCCTCTTCCTTTTGCAATTCCTTATGTGGTCCCAAGCAGGTTGGGACCACCCCTCTGGCTTCCAGCCCTCATAACTGGAACCTTGGTTTTTGCTCATGCACTCTGGCAGACTGTATGGTTGCTCAGCAAACTTTACTTCCCTATCCCCACTCCAACCCCTCCGTGGAAGAAGTATACTTCCCAGCCCCATAGATGTTAGATTCAGTTCTATGACTTAATTTGGCCAATGGAATACAAGTAAATGTGATCCGGCTGTGCACAGTGGCTCATGTCTGTAATCCCAGCACTTTGGGAGGCTGAAGTGGGAGGATGGCTTGAGCTCAGAAGTTTGAGACCAGCCTGGCCAACGTGGCAAAACCCCGTCTCTACAAACAATACAAAAATTAGCCGGGCATGGTGGTTCACACCTATAGTCTCAGCTACTTGGGAGACTGAAGTGGGAGAATCACTTGAGCCTGGGGGGGCGGAGGTTGCAGTGAGCCAAGATTGTGCCACTGCACTCCAGCCTGGGCGACAGAAGTAGACCCTGTCTGGGGAAAAAAAAAAAACAGTAAATGTGATCCAATTAGAGGTTTTTGATGTGCTTGTTTTGTTGGGCCTGGCCTCCTACACTCTCACGGTCTGCCATGAGAAGAACATTCCCCCGAGGTACTGCTGCTACTTGAACCTGGGACCGACCCTGGAATGAGAGATGGATGGTGCTAACCTAAATCCAACCCAAAGCCTGAAGGAGAGAAGCCACAGCCATCCGTGAGTGAGAAATGAGTGTCTGTGGTAAGCCACGGGGATTTGAGGTCATTTGTTATGCAGCTGGTTTGCAGTGATAGTTATTACATCCACTCCAGGTTATGTTTCTTTTTTTTTCTTTTTTTTTTTCTTTTTTTTGAGACGGAGTCTCGCTCTGTCCCACAGGCTGGAGTGCAGTGGCATGATCTCGGCTCACTGCAAGCTCCGCCTCCCAGGTTCACACCATTCTCCTGCCTCAGCCTCCCGAGTAGCTGGGACTACAGGCGCCCGCCACCACGCCCAGCTAAATTTTTTTTGTATTTTTTAGTAGAGACGGGGTTTCACCATGTTAGTCAGGATGGTCTCGATCTCCTGACCTCGTGATCCGCTCGCCTCAGCCTCCCAAAGTGCTGGGATTACAGGCTTGAGCCACCGCGCCCGGCCTAGGTTATGTTTAAATATAGAGGCTTTACCAACTTGTTTCTGCAGAAGACTTGGCCACTCACCAACATGGTGTTGGAGACCTTGCAAATCAACTTCCAAATATACCAGTACTTCAAGGATGTATGCATGCCTTTGGCTACAGCAATTACACACATATATGCTTGCCTGAATTAGCAATGGTGTTTGGTTTATGCTTTATCTCTGACAATGAATCATTTGTTAAGTACCTACTGTATACCAAACACTATGTGTCATGTACCTGGACCCTATAATCAAGAACTCACAGCTACAGTTGGGAACTCGAGTTCATAAAAAGGAGAATATTTTAAGGCCCAAGTGAATGATACAGAATGCTGAGAATTCAACAGGGGAAAAAAATCACTTTTAGGATTAGGGAGAGTGGTGGGCACCAAGAAAGTTTTCACAGAAAAGGAAGAAATTGAGATAACCCTTAAAGAAAGAGTTGGTCTCAGATGTAGGCTCAGGGCCAACATTCCAGGCAATGAGTCCAGGTGTGCTCATGTAAGATTTAAGGGGTGATTCATGGAACAGACCAGTTAAGGAAATGGTAAACTGAGCCAATTCACAGAGGTTTTCAATGTCAAAAGACTCACAACTCTGTTCTGTGGGCAAGAAGAACTATTAGCAATTTTCGAGCATGACAAAGCAGTCCTCTTATACTTTGGTTTAATCTGGTGGTAACGTGTAAAATGTGGAAGGTAGAGCAGACCTGGACATCAGGAGACCAGATGGCAGCCTCAGACAATAAGGCCTAAACACAAAGTAGAGACAATGGAGAAAGCTATGCTTATAAAATCAGAATAGGCCAGGCATGGTGGCTCACACCTGTAATCCCAACACTTTGAAAGGTTAAGGTGGGAGGATCGCTTGAGCCCAGGAGTTTGAGATCAGCCTGGGCAACATAGGGAGACTTCGTCTCTACAAACAATTTAAAATTAACCAGGCATGGTGGTATGCACCTGTAGTCCCAACAACTCAGGAGGCTGAGGTGGGAAGATCACTTCAGCTCAGGAACTCGAGGTTACAGTGAACTCTGATTGCATCACTGCACTCCAGCCTGGGCAACAGAGTGAGACACTGTCTTAAAAAAAAAAAAAGATCAGCATATATTAGAGTCAAAAAATCTTCTAAAACAAGTACTCACAAATATTCATTTTACAAATGAAGAAACAGAGGCCCATAGAGGTGAAGTCACTTTCCCAAGACCACATAATGAGTTAAAGCTGAACTGGGAACAGAGTCCAGGAATATCAGTTAAGAATGCTAGGGCCTGGGCACAGTAACTCATGCCTGTAATCCCAGCACTTTGGGAGGCCGAGGCGGGCAGATCACTTGAGCTCAGGAGTTCGAGACCAGCTGGGCAACATGGCAAAACCCCATCTCTACAAAAAAAATACAAAAATTAGCTGGGCGTGGTGACAGGCGCCTGTAATCCCAGCTACTCAGGAGGCTGAGGCTGGAGAATCTCTTGAACCCTGGAAGTGGAGGTTGCAGTGAGCCGAGAGGCAGCCACTGCACTCTGGCCTGGGCAACAGAGTGAGACCCTATCTCAAAAAAAATCTTCTGGCCAGGTGCAGCGGCTCACACCTGTAATCCCAGCACTTTGAGAGGCATTGGCAGGCAGATCACTTGAGTTCAAGAGTGCAAGACCAGCCTGGCCAACATGGTGAAACCCCATCTCTACTAAAGAATACAAAAATTAGCCGGGCGTGGTCGTGGGTACCTGTAATCCCAGTTACTCAAGAGGCTGAGGCAGGAGAATCACTTGAACCTGGGATGCAGAGACTGCAGTGGGCCAAGATGGCACCACTGCACTCCAGCCTGGGCAACGGAGCAAGACTCCGTCTCAAAAAAAAAAAAAAAAAAGTCTTCTCCATTGAAGGTTTTGCCTTATTTGGGAAGGGAACCCCTTCCCAAAAATCTCTGCTTACCTCTAATTGACCAGCACTGAATCACATGGCTACCACTAGCTCTAAAGGAGCCTGGGGACTTGAGAATTTCACTTATGTAGCCTCTGTGGTAGAGGATGAGAAGGCAGAAGGGAGCTGGAATGGGTGTAAGACTAACTAGAGTATTTGCCTGATGCCAGCTCTCTTATCTCCTGGTCCAAGACTTGTCGTATTTTACATCGTGACAGGGCTGGCTGCAGTGGGGTAAGAAGGAGAGGGGGACCACACACGTTTATCTAGACCAGAGCCAGGGAAGATGGCCACCTTTTTCCCAGATGTTGATAACACCTCTCTGGGGACATTAGGAACTGCTCAAAAGAAGGGAGACAAGCTGCTAATGTATGGTGGACAAGGAGAAAGAAGCAATGTAATTTACCCCACAACAAACTAACGATTACCAGGCATTTACTACTATGTGGTAAGCATTGTATTCAGACCCAGATCTGGGTAAAATATAGAAGATCAAATTAAGAGAAATGGCCGGGCATGGTGGCTCATGCGTGTAATCCCAGCACTTTGGGAGGCCAAGGCGAGCGGATTGCTTGAGGTCAGGAGTTCGAGACCAGCCTGGCCAACATGGAGAAACTCCATCTCTACTAAAAATGCAAAAATTAGTCTGGCGTGATGGCAGACGCCTGTAATCCCAGCTACTCGGGAGGTTGAGGCAAGAGAATCGCTTGAACCCAGGAGGCAGAGGCTGCAGTGAGCTGAGATGGCGCCACTGCACTCCAGCCTGGCAACAGAGCGAGACTCCGCCTCAAAAAAAAAAAAAAAAAAAAAGATCAAATTAAGATAATGGATAGAAGTCAAGAAAATGTCCTTGGAAAGAGGGCAAGAAAACAAAACAGAAAACCAAAAGAAGAGAACTTAATCCTAGGAGAACAGCTTAGGAAAGGGTTTGAAAGCAAAGCATGAAATCCTGAACAGGCTCCACCAGAAATAAAAGCAAACATTCTCCTTGGCACCAACTAGGATAAAAGATGCCCCAGCACACCAGGCTCACTTCTGGGTGGGTCCTTCAGAAAGATGTAAAAAGACCAGAAAAACAACTAAAATAATGACAAAGCTTCTTGAGCTATGCCCTGTGGTAGAGGGAGAGGTCTGGGTTTCCATCCAGGTTCCATGCCTCTTAGATCTAATTTCTCCAAATCTCTACATTTCTCCGAGATGGCAGGTAAATCAAGACTCTGTCAGCTGCAAGCGATAGAAAACTTAAGTCAAAGTGATGTAAGTAAAGAAAGGGAATTTATTGGCACAAGTAACTGAAATATCCTGGGACAGGGCTAGCTTCAGGTTCAACTGGATCCAGGGGCTCAAACAATGAAGAATCTGTTGCCGGGCTCTACTCTGTCTTTGCTGGCTCCATTCTCAGGCCGCCAGTCATCCCAGGCTTATAGCCTATCTTTTTGGTAACCCCAATAGAAAGTGCAACTCTTTTTTCCACTAGAAACAGCAAGTTCTGGCCAGGCGCGGTGGCTCATGCCTGTAATCCCAGCACTTTGGGAGGCCGAGGCAGGTGGATTACTTGAGGTCAGGAGTTCGAGACCAGCCTGGCCAACATGGTGAAACCCCGTCTCTACTAAAAATACAAAAAATTAGCCGGGCGTGGTGGTAGGCGCCTGTAATCCCAGCTACTCAGGAGGCTGAGGCAGGAGAATCACTTGAACCAGGGAGGCAGAGGTTGCAATGAGCCAAGATCACGCCATTGCACTCCAGCCTGGGCAACAAGAGTGAAAGTCCATCTCAAAAAAAAAAAAAGAAAAGAAAAGAAAAGAAAAGAAAAGAAAGAAAGAAAGAAAGAAAGAAAGAAAGAAAGAAAGAAAGAAAGAAAGAAAGAAAGAAAGAAAGAAATAGCAAGTTCTGAAATTGTCTCTCTGGGACCCACTTGGGGTCCACACCCACCTCTGAACCAACTGTTGTGGCCCAGGGTGGGGTGAGGGAGCAGGTTCAAATGCTCTATTCATCCCTCTTCTACAGCCAGGAGATGGAGTTGGTCCCCTCCCCACAAAGCACAGGGACTGAGAGTCACAGAGCAGTGGCTCCCCCAAAGTGTGGGTTCTGAATCTAGAAGGGGGGCCAAATGTTAAACAAGCAAAGCCAAGGCTGTCTACCACAGAGGAGTTGCCAAAAAAGCCATAAGTACCAAAACCTCCCCAGTCCATCAAAAGCTGCCATTCGCCTCTACCCAGCTACATCCAGTTTTGGGGATTAGAACCCTAGCTACATCTGGCCTTATCAAAGAGAATACCAGAATGTCTAAGCTGAAAAGACCCTTGCAAATCATCGCCCTCCGCACCCCTCAGCTCACCAGGGTGCAGAGAGGGGAGGAGGCCTGCCTAAGTGTGCAGGAATAGCTCAGCTGCAGAACAGGACAAGAACAGACCTACAAAATTGCAGCCAAGCGTTCTTTAACTTCCTCCTGCAGCCTCCTAGGGAATGGTGCATAAAGGACTAAACAAAACCCCAGAGAATGTCACCAGAAATGGGAACAGGTTCTGGCCAGCCTACTGTGATAGCTCAGTGAAGAATTTCTTTGGGGAAAACAAAATCCTCTTGGACTGAAGGAGGCCGGGGCTGCACAAAAGGCTGGGATGTCCGGGGCCCTTCCGGCCTGGATCAGGAACAGTGTGGCTAGGGACCTAGCATTTTTCTACGACAGGCTGATCTGGGTGGAGGAGGTCCAGAGCTGAAAGACCCCCTCATGGACATCATAAAACATACACCAATGAGAAAGAGCTGGCTGAAGCAGCTCAGAAAACCACACACCTTCTTCCTGAGAACAGCAGTCCTGGTATCTGATCAGTAGTACCTCAAAGGCCTACCACTCTGACCTGCTCCCTGCAATGACATCTGCTTCCCACCTGCCCCCAGGGAGGCCACACGTCCCCTTCATGTTTTCACCAAGAGGGAAAAGATGGTCTCTCACCTGGCTTCCCTTTGATCTTTCCCTTCCTGGCCAACATCCAGGCCTGGCAGTAGCATTTCTCAGAAACCTGGGGACAAGTTTATCTGAGCACCAGATCCATGTCAGGGGGGATGTTTTCACGGAGATGTGTTGCAATGTTCTTTATTACATGCTTTTTCTCTCCTTGCCTTTTTTTAACAAGACTCCAGTGGGAACACCAAATGGCCTCAGACCCTAAGGAATTTGAAAGGATTATCATGATTACTTAAGCAGGGGTTTTCTGAAACTCCCAGCCAAGTGGGAAAGAGAATGAAACTTCTAAAGTTATATCCCTTCAGCGATTGGTTAGATAAGTGTGGGGCCTGAGCAAACAGACAAACCAGGAGCAGCATTTCTCCAATTAACTCTTTCAAGGCCTAGAAAACACACACTGGAAGCCTTTGAAAGTCCCTCGGGGCACTGGTACTCTATAATTTACCAAGACAAGCCTTCATTCCTTAAATAAAAGTTCATGAACCGATCCTTTCTTCATCTGTTTTTATGCCTGCCCGATCCCCCAAAGCGCTACAACTCCATCCATCCCAAGCCATCTCATTCTTCCAAGCAGAAAGCAGTCCCTGAGGGAGGAAGGCAGCTGCTGCAGGGCTGGCCAGAGACTGTCCAAGAAGTCTCAGATCTCGTGGCCATGAGAGGAATCCCATCTGCAAGTCACCCTAGTAGCGGAACCAGATGGAAGGCCTGGCCTGGTGGCAATTCTGGTCTGGCCTCCCAAGATGGCATCACAGGCCTCCCCTGGGTCTGAGAAGCACCTGTGAGAAAGCCTCAAGGCACATACAGCGACAGGAGCCTTTGCTGCAGAAAGAAAACTGCAGGAGACAAATCTCCCTAGTTCCAGAGATATCATCCCGGATCAACATGACAAAGGTGGAGGTGGTTGCTGGCTTGTGCCCAGGCACGCAGGCATAGATAGGGCAGGGAGCCCCAATGTCAGAGCATAAGAGCAGGGAATCTCTGCTTTCAAATTCCCATCGAGTTTGCAAAAAAGGAAGAAAATATCCCACAAAAAGTGACGCAAATTTGTGTAAACCCAAGGATTCAGGATCCAGAGTCCTGGCCTGTCTGTATCTGGGGGAACCCAGGTTAGCTCACGGGACAGGTTTTATCTTAATGAGGGCAGACCCAACCCCTGCAGCTTGGGTTTGGGCAACTAAAGAGAAATGGGTAAAAGACAATAATATAATAACTGTATAAAAAGAGGTGCTTTTGAATTCTGGAAACAACCCCTACAAAGTACGAAGGGCATCAAGACAGGTTGGAGCAATAACTTTTCCAAGAATTGACGACCCCCCCACCCCGAGTCTTGCCAATCCTGGACCCAGGAAAGAGGATGGGGCGGGAGGGGTCTTAATCTGCCGCTCTACAGGCTTCCTGCATAGGCAACCACCCAAAGTCAGTCCCAGCCCGCGCGCAGGGCTCCCTCCTACCCTACAACAGCCCCGAGGGGCCTCAAGTCCCACTGCCTGGAACCCCACAAGCCACCCCCGCCCCCGCGCCATTTCCAGTCCTCTGGGCGAGGGGGGTCAATGTCGTTCAAGTAATTTCTCTGCGAACACAAGATGGCAGCCTTAAATAAATGCAACCCTGCGCAGCTTTTAATCTTACACATCATTAAATTCCTAATTTACACATTATGTTTTCGTGGGCCAACCCATAACTCATTAGTGTTGAACTCACGAGGTATAAAGACCAACGCACGACGGGCGCCGGGGCGCCGTCACCTGCCTGGGTTAACAGTTCCTGCCGCGGGGGCAGGGAGAAAGGCGCTAGAGGGGCGCGGGGTGCCGGCGGGGCCGAGCCCGGGGCGCGGGCGAGCCCTGGGTGCCAGGCCCTGCGCCGCACGCCACTCTCGCAGCGCTGCCGCCGGGAAAGTGCCGGCGCTGGCTCTCCCTCCCCTCCCGGGAATAGCGGGCGCAGGCACGCACATCCACACACATCCACACACACACACACACCGCACACTCACACACCCGGGTGGCCGCGCGGGGCTCCGAGCCGCGCAGGCCTCCTTGGCAGACATCTTCCTGTGGGAGGATTTCAAACGAGCCGTGAAAGCCAGAAACTACACGGGTTACAAACTCCGGAATCCCTGGCCGGCCTCGGCCTCCCTCCCCACCTCCGGCCCGGCCCCCTCCGTTCGGCCCGTGGCCAGGAGCCCCACCAAAGGACAAAGCTCACACGCCGAAAGCGCGGGGAGATCCGGGGGCGCAGAGACTGCCCCGACGGCCCTTCTACCTTCTGACCCTGGGACCCACGGCCAAGTGCCGCGCAGCCGAGGTCGGCCTTGCTGATCTGTGGTGGCCCAGGGCGACCCGAAGCGCACCGGCTTCAGGGTGCGCCCTGGCCAGGGCGTGGGGTGGAGGGTCACATAAGCCACCTGGCATCCGAGGGTGGCCGCCTCGCCCCCTCAACGCCGCTCTCCAGGGAAGGAGGCGGCGGGGTCACCAGGGCGCAGCTGACAGCCCCAGGCCCCGGCCAGGGCGCACCCTAAAGAAGAGGGAGGCTGCTGCCTGAACTGGCCTGGGGGCAGAGGGAAGTGGGCCCCGCGCTGTGGAAGGCCCCAGGCTGGAGCGCCGGGGACAGCTGTCCAAGCGGCGAGGGCTAGGAGTGGCCTCGCCTAGCGCTGAGCCGGCCAGGCCCTGGAGGTGCTCCGCGCCTTCTCGGCCAAAAGCCAGCTCCGCGCCGCTGGCGGAGTGGGAGGGAGGCGGCCAGGCGAGCGCCCCGCCTTCGTCGCCCGCGGTCACAGGGGCAATTACACTCCTCGCTGCAGACGGTTACCAGCTCGCCCGCGCATCCCTCTCTCGGCTCCCCTCTCCTCCCCTCTCCTCTCCTCCCCTCCCCTCCTCCGCGGAACTGCTGGCTCCATATTAGCGAGGGTGCCCTGGCAGCGCGACCGAGGCCAACTACCCCTGGGGACCCTCCCGAGGCTCCCCGCACCCTGCACACCCTCAAGATCGCCAAGGCGAGCCCACCGCACCCCACAGCGCGTCCCAAGGGCACCACAGCCGAGGAAGCGACTTTTGCGGTAGCGAAAGGGTGGCAGTACCCAGCTCCACGCGCTGCAAGACTCTAGCAGCCGCGCTTCACCCCAAAACTCTGCCCCTAGCCAGCACAGCTCCCCTAGCGCCCCAAATCCCAGGTGTGCCTGTTTCCCTGGAGTCCCGCCGGCGTGCTTTGCTATTCGCAGCTCGACGCCTAGACCTCCTGACTGCAACCTCCGAGGCCTTTGCGCTCCCAGGCGTCCTTTGCTGCAAGCAAACAGGCCCCCAACCGCCCCCTATGGTTTGTACTCTTCTGGAAGGTGTCTTTGGCGCTGTGAATGCAAACTCAGGCTTTGGATTAAGGGCTTCATTTTCAACTAACTGTGTGATTTGAGGCCAGTTTCTTAACCTCAGTTTCTTTATCTACAAAATGGGAGGGATATTCGTATAAGTGTGGCTACGAGGTTTAAAGAAGATATAGTTATATGTCAAATGCTTAGCACAAAGTCCTGGTGGTTAGCATTATTATTACCATATGGCCAGAACTGTGAGGACATTAAAAGTGAAGTAGGCTTTTTCCCACCAGGGGTAAGCCTCGCGGAGTCCTAGGACACATCCCACAAACCGAGGTGAACCTAAGCCACCGGCTACGTCTGAAGGGAGGACAGACGAGACGAGGGGCAGCCAACTGAGCGAATCACTCTGCCTTCCGCCTTTGCAAATGAATAGGGCTCTGTCTACAGCTTCCGCCATTCCTACGCCAGATCTGCAACGCCTAAGGCTTAAACTTGGCGCGGCGGTAAATTTAGCCCGAAGGCAGCGGCTCCTAAGGGGCGGGGATGTCTCCTTGGAAGAAGGAAAGGGAACAGGGTAAGAAAATGGAGTTGCCTCTAGGAAGAAGAATCAGGCAGAGGAAACATTCAGGGCCGCTGGCGGACCACTGACAAAAAGAAATCGGACGCAAAAGAAACCTCCCCAGAAGAAACTGGGCCACCGTGGGAGCCGTGCGAGACAGACTTCCCATCTGGGAAGGGCTGCCTACGGGTAATTGGGTTTGCTCGAGTTGCCTCTATAATTAATAAGTGATTTGACTTGGAGATTGGAAATAGTCATGAAAGGAAGCCGCGGGCGTAGGGGTGTGAGGCCCAGGAGCCTCCATCCGAAATCCAAAGACCGCGGAGGAGGACGGTTTAAGGAACAGGACGAATGTGATAATATTGGCATCTAACCTTCTAGTGTTTGAGTAATTCGTTGCTTAGCTACTTTGGATAGGCCATTATTTTGCAAACTGGAAACATTTGCAAGTGGTGATATTTTGCTCTTGCCTGACGCAGGGGCTGCAAACCTACGCCGGCTCTGCTGAACTCTTCGAAATATATATGCATAAATTGTTCCTAATGAGACCATCTGTTTTTTATGGCCCCTCTGGAAGCAGGAGGAACCCGAAGCCTGCTCCGTCTTGCAGAAATCTGTGGCCAGGCAGGCCTGGGAAATAAATAGGGGAGATTAGAACGGTGTGCGTGATTTAACAATACGCAGAACGGCAAGTTCGGTGGTCGAGATGTGTGCCTCGATTCCCAGGGGTGCGGGTCATTTAGGGTGACTCCAGACATGGGGGTTCCTCCTAGGAGGCCCAGGGACTTTGCGGAGTTCCACGGCACACACGAACCTCGTTTTTCCATATCTGGAACATCGCCAGAGCCACAACGCGAAACCACGAGCCTGTAGCTGCTCTGGGGACCCAAAACAAGCACCCAGGTTGTAGGTGGTCCCCGACGTCGCCCACTATCTAGGGCCTCCTTCTACGGTGGTGAAGGGAGCTGAACCTGGGCCACAGAGGCAGAGAACGAGCATCACTCCACCCCATACCCGGGTCAGAGCACAGAGCTCATTCCGGGCCTATCCCAAAGACTGAGCTGCTCCGCGAGCGTCTGGCAGGCCCAGCGCCCCGGCCTGAGACCGCACTGAGGGTGGCAGGGCAAACACTTTTCACATTACCGCGTGGCTGTTAATTGGGGCAGTGCAAAAGACGCCGCGACTACCCCTTTGCGGCGGCGGGGGAGGGGGGAGCGGGTCAGGAGTGGGCAGTGGGGGCTGCTTATAATAGAAGGACTGCCCTGGGGAGCCTCAGATATCGGTAACCCCCATGATTAATTCATAACTCTCCACTGCGCCTGGCACCGTCTCGGGTCTTTAATCGGTTCTGAATGTCAGCGAGGCTTCCCCGACAGCCTGAGCACTGCTTTTTCAATGTGTTGAAAGTCGCTGCGCGCACACCAGGAGACAAAGTTGCCATCTGCTCCGGGGACCAAGGCAACTGGGCGCTGGGAGGGGCCTTCCTCCCGCGGCTCCCGCTGCCCCGGGCGGCCTCCTCTTCCCGGCCTGCCCCAAAGCCAACACTGTCACCCGGAACGTCCCCGCCCCCCGCCCCGGGTGCATGCATGGTGGAAACTCCGGCTTGCAGCGAAACAGAGCGCTGCGCGCGGGCGCGCAGGGAGCCTCGCGGTCACCCAGACCGAGACCTATGCTAATGAGATTATAGGCCCGGGTTGTTTGTGTGCGCGGACGTCAAAGGGGGGGCGCAGATAAAGTGTGGAAACCGGGATGACTTGGAGGGGGGAGGGGCAGGAAGCCCCAGGAGAACAAAGCTCCTGGCCGTCGGCCTCCAAAGAGTCGCAGAAGTGACCGCCACTGGCTCGTGCACAGGCGGAAGCGGGGGAGGGCGGGGGACGCCAGGCCTAAAGCGCCTCGTGGGTTTAGAGAACTCAGAGAGGGCACCGGGTGGGGGTGGGAAGAAGACTCAACCCGTAGCTAAATGTTTGGCCTTTGGCTATTTTTTAAGGAAACGAATCTCAGGGAGGTCGGGGCGCGGGGGATGGGGGCATCATCGCGCCTCGGAGATGGGAAGCGAGTTCCCCTCCGCTTTCTGGGAAAAGCCTTGTCTCCCTTCTTTCCCCTCCCCCCATCCTGCTGAGGGTTTGCGTTGACCCATCTCTCCGCTCGGGACCGGCAGGAGGACGGAGCCGCAGGGGCTGACCGCGGCCCAGAGGCTGCCCAGGGGTCGCGCTGCTGCCGGCCTGCGCTTCCGCACTCCCGGGTTCGGTGCGTCGCCTCTCGCGGCAGCGCCTCGCTTCTTCCAGACTGTAATTCCACACTCCCGCAAGCGCTGGGGCTGCGGAATCGTTTGAGGGAGTTGGAACTGCATCAGATGAGCACGCCGGGAGGTGAGATCGGGTAGGAAATAGCCGAAACTTTGAGTTGTGCGCCACCCCACCGCCCCCAACACACACACACAGGCACACACACACACACACACACACACACACACACATTTACCCTCCCCCTTCCCAGCCGCAACCTCCGCCACCCTCTCGATTCTTCAAGGTTTGCAGCCCAGTCCTGTCATATGGTTTTGTTTCTGTGCTGCTGTTTTTTTTCAGACACGAAAATTGGACACGTGGAGAATTAGCCCTGCTGGAGAAGCGCTGGGTGCAGACTCAAACAATGGTTTCCAGCGCCGAAGCTGAGGCATCACCTTCCCCACCTCCACCCTCAAATGGCAGCTGCCTCTATATACAGCGGGCACACCCCTTCACTACCCACCCCCTCCCCCAAAGCCTGGTTAGGGACCTATGTGGGCTGCACGCTCTGGAGCCCCTTGCCCGGACACAAACCCTAGGTGGGCCTGGGCTGCCCGCTGAGTAGCTCATTGCGCCTGGGATCCCCTGGGATTTAGAAGTATAGGGCTCTCTATTTTTCCCTAGGAAGGTCCTGTCTCAAAGATGCCACCCCCAAAAATTAATGTGTAAAAACCCAACCAAGCTCCAGTCTCTGTGTCCTTTGGCAAATCTATCTTTCCTAGGGCATACTTTCCTAAGCTGCTGGGACCTTGCCCCCCATCTGATGAGCCATACGCAGGTGGTCTGGCCTCTTCAGAGCAGCTTCCTTTAGTTATTGTCTTCTCCAGAGGCCCCATCCTCCACGGCAGCCCTAATCTTAGCCCCCCAGCCTCTCTGAGCCCCCATCCCACCCCCACACTGCGCTGAGCTGGCAGCAGCCACAGCTCCCCCAGGCAGTTCCTCTCTCACTGCGCGGCCTGTGCATCTCGCTGGGGCACACACTCCGCACAGAAGCTCCCTCGCCTCCTGGAGCTGGTTTCCTCTTACAGGCTCCCCTTAGAGCTGCTGGTGCTGTGACAACGCCTGCATCTCTGTGTCTCCCTGCAGCGCTGCGAGCTGTGAATCTGCCTTCTCTTCCCTTCCTGCAAAGGTCAAGCTGCCTCCTTCTCTCGCAGGGCCGCAGTTCAGTTCTGGCCTGCAGAGCTTCTACACTGCAACTTGAATATGGGAATGGGGTGGGCATCGTGCAAGGGAGCAGTCACACTCAAGCCAGGAGGCAGGGACAAAAGGGTGTGCGATTCAGGGAGGGAAACACTGAGGACAACCCTCAGAAAGCAGTGCAGGATTTGCAGCTAAAGACTCAAAAGAGGGAGAGAAAACGAGGAAAAGGCTGTTACTAGGTCGTGAGTCCTGAAGTGTAGGCCTTTCTCCTCCCACCCCGTGGGTTGCCCTAGGGGAAGGCCAGAAGAGGCCTCAGGTGTCTGCACTGTGTCCTGTGCAGTTCCTAGGGCCATGCACTTCCGGTGAGGCTGCACTTTACTCCAAGCAGGAGTCAGAAGCATGGAATTCAGTGGCCGCAGGAGCTCAAGTCGGCTGCAGCCCTTTCAAAGAGGGACCCCGAAGAGGCCTTTCTGCCACCCCAGCCCCAGAGAGGCTATGAGGCTCTACAAGCAGCAGAGAGAATGATACGGAGAAAAATGAGAGGAAACGCTATTAAACTTGCTTCCTCTAAAGAGCGCTACCCACCGTTTTCTCTGAACTGTACCTAAAAAGTCAGGAGAGAACTCGTTAACTTTTGTTTGGTTTAACATTGCCAGCTTCAAGTCAACCGTAGGCCCCCCGAAGGTTTTGTAAAATATTTAATCTAGCTCAGACAATTTCCTGCAGTCCCTAACCAGACCACCCCACTTACTGAGCCGCTGCCAAAAAGGATGCTTGACTGCAGACTGGCAACCAGAGGCCTTCCAGTCGCCTGGCTGGCCTTGACCTCCACTCGAGGCGCCAGGAAAGACCCTTCCCGGAATCCCGAGAGACCAAGACCTGGGTAATCCTGGAGGTCTAAACCCGTGAGGAAGCCCAAGAAATGGAGTTAAAGACCCTTTTCGCACAACCGATTGTTGTCTGTGTGACCTTCTGCGGCCCTTGCCCTCTCTGAACCCTCTAAAATGGGCATGAGGATGTCTCACCTTCCTCTGGGTGTTATGCATTTTGAAGCGTGGGCACTATGGGAGAGGCTGACGCTCTGTGTTCCCCAGCGCCCTCCACTCCCACCCCTTCACTGTTTTCTTCGACATTATCTCCCTAGAGAACACAGCAAGCAGGAGCGGGATCCTTCGACTCGGCTGACTCTCAACTCCTTCCAAACGTGAGGCTGACGGGGAGAACTCCTGCTCTGCCCAGTTTCCATTCCCGCCTCCAGAATAACGAGCCGAAAACATGTGTACTGTAAATAAAGCCTGTCTAAATAAAGCACTCGGGTAAAGGCTACCGAGAAAACACTCCGCATCGCTCTGTGCTCAGAGCGTGAGTCAGCTTCCCAGCCCCGGGGGAACAATGGGGACCTTGCCAAGGGTCCCCTTCTGTCGACCCCTGACGGCCCCCAGGCCCGTTTGGGTGGCGGGAGTGCCGGCACCCTGGGACCTTCGGGCCCGAGGTTCGGGAGGGCTAAGGGCGCTCCAGGCGACCAGGGTTGGGGTCCAGCCCCAGGATTAGCGCGGCCAGGAATCCCTCTGCCCGCAGCTGCCGCGGAGGGGTTGAGGGTTAAACAGACACCGGGCAGAGGAGCGAGCCTGCCGGCTGCGGCCGGCGCGGCGCGGCGCGGGGAGAGGACGGGAGGGAAGAGGGCGCACGCTACCTAGCCTCCCGACGAGAAGACGTCTCCTCCCCACGTCAGGCCGGGCTCTCGCCCACTCGGCTGGCCGCCTCTGCTCCCTGGCCTCTCAAGTCTCAGCGGAAAGAAACGTAGCGGCTGCCAAAAGCACCCCACTCCTTTTATTGTCCCCATAAGCCTATACACGTACACTAGCCACCCCCCCAACACACACACACAACACGCACACGTGTGCGGGAGACTCGAGGATGCCCTGCCTCCATCGCTCACAGAGTGAGTACCAAGGCCGAGCGAAACGGCACCCCTTTGGTGGAAGACACAGTGTTGGGACCAGTGGTGGCCTCCGCGCTACGTCTTCTATCGCAACCTCTGGGTTTCCTTTGCAGAACTGCATACCCCAGAGCAGAGGCCATGTGGAGACCTGCGGCTTGGTCCCGACTGGTGCAGTGGCCTCTGCTCTGGTGTGGGCTGGCGGTTTCCCCGCGCCCGGTGACCTTAAGGGGGTTTCCGGAGTCGCGCAGCCAGCCCTTCCTCCCAGCTTCTCCGGCCAAGGCCGCTCTCGGCCGCCCAGCCTGGTCGGGCTCGGCTAGTCGGCTCCTCGCCCCGGGCAGGAGTGCGGTTGGTGAAAGCACTCGGGGCCTCACCCACGCTCTGTGCACACGCGCCCCGCCGGGGCGGGAGCCGGAGCCGCGCTCCAACAGCCCGAAATTGCCAAATGGTCGCTGGGCAGGGTTGGGGATAGACTTTGGGAACCGGGTTTGAGCTGGAGAAGACGAGGAAAACGAGTGAAACGGGAGAGGCGGGGTGGGGTGACGGCTCATAAATCATCCAGCCCCACCCTCGGGCCTCAGTGCAGAGGCGCCCTAGCCCCACGAGGAAGAGGAGGTTCACCCAGCCACTCCTGGCCGACCTCTGAGCTCTCCGGGAGCCAGCGCCCCACCCTAGGCTCAGGCCGCGCTAGGACCAGCTCCCGGCCCAGATCGTAAACCACCCGCCGGAATCGGCGGAAAGCCGCCCTTGGACACAGCGCGCATCCGCCCAAGGGGAAGTTTATTTATAGCTTGTAAACGTAAAGGAAACCAGACCGCGCTACCTCGCCGCGCTCCGGCTGCTTCGCTCCCCACCTGCCCACCAGGAGGGCGCGACGGGTGGAGGGAGGTGGGGTTTGGTTCTGTGCCCCCCCTCCCCCGCTCCCGCTCCGCTGCCAGGGGAGAACAGGGTCCTAAGAGGCTGGCAAGCCTTACATTCCTCTCGGGACGCCTATCCAGTGCCATGAAAGCCGGAGGGGGCGGAGGACAGGGCCCGGGCACCGGAGTGGTTAGGGTGGGGGTGGCCGAGCTGGCCCACTTGGCACGGAAGGGCAGGCAGGCCAGGCGACGCGGCGCGAGATTCCACAGCTCCCGCTCCGGACCGGGGGAAATCCTGGAGTGCCAGAGAGCCCGGGGAGGGGGCGCTCCGGGAGCCTCTCCTTGAAAGGCGGGATGCTTTCCCCGTTCCTCCCGCGCACGTGTCCTCAGCAGAGCAGGCAAGCGCTGCGCGCCTGGGGCTGCGATCCTCGGGTGACAGCGACTGAGAGCGCGCCCTCTCCACCCCCACCCCCGCCGTCGCCGCCTCTCCTGGGGAGCTCCAGTCTCCAGGGTGCGCTCGGGGCAGGCCCCAAGAGCCAGAGAAACGGAAAAGTGCCGGGGAGGCGATTAGGAAGAGAAGACATTAAAAAGCCCAGCCCTGAAAGACAGGCAGCCGAGCTGAAAAAGACGCCTGCGAACCCCCACCCCGCCGCCCCTCGCCTACTGCGCCCAGACGGCCCCTCCTTGTCCCGGCTGAGCGCACCCACCCCCGGCCTCGGCCGGGGCGAATTCGTGTGTGTGTGTGTGTGTGTGTGTGTGTGTGTGTGTGTGTGCGCGCGCGCGCGCGCGCTCGAGTGCCGGGAGGGCAGTTGCGAAACGGGCTCTTGGCTGCAGCGCGGCATAATGGAGGTGGCTGGAACAATGCGCGCTTTGTGCGCGCGGGGAGTTGTTTTCCACCCGCCTCGCCCCCCTTGCTCGGGCCGTATGGCACTTTAATCTCCGCCACGACTCGGCACAAATGCACTTGTGTCCTGCGGGTCACTGGGGGCCGTGCGGCTGGAGCCGCCCCCACCCCGACCCCCGCGGAACCCACCGCCGGCTGCCCCATCTTCCTTCCTGAGCACCCCCCACCACCACCTCAATTCCCGGCGTGGGCCGGTGAGCTGGCGTGGAAGCTTCCGGGCCCGCCGGCCACTTTTATTTTCCGTGAAGACGGCCCCTCCCCCGCTCCACGAGCGCGCGCGCGCACACACACACACACACACACACACACGCCGCCCGCAGGCCCCACACTCACCGCCCTCTCTCGCCTAGCCTCTCCTCGGCCCGCCTCCGCCCCCGCCCCCGCCCCCGCCCCGCGCTCCGGACTCCTGCGAACAATAGTAAATGTCAACAGATTCCGCGCGGCGAGTGTCTGACTCGGCCGAGATAAGGGTGCGCGGTTGGCCCCGCGCTCCTCGTCGCCGCGGGGGGAGCCCACCCTGACCCCGGCTGGAAGGAACCGGCTGTGACTAAACCCGTGCCGGGAGAGGGGGGCGGGAGGGCAGGGCACCAGTCCCAGCTCGGTGGGGCAGCCTCGCCAGGAGACCAGGCCCTGCCCCGCCCCCACCCCACTTAACCCGTTGCCGATGGGGGAACCTATGGGCACCGTAAAAGCCGCGGGGTCGACGTGGCGGTCGGGCCTGCTTTTGGCCCACAGCTGCAATCTCCAGAGGATATCGGCAAAACGCTGATCCACGTGAGGACTCGCAGTTTTCGACCTACTGGGAGCCAGCACCTGAAGCAAAGGATTCGAGTCCTGATGTCCGGAGACTCATTAAAATATTTTCCTAAGCGCGCACACACTCGCAGGTCCTCCTCCTTGGTCGTCGGTAACCCACCACCCAACCGAATTAAAATTCGCAAATTGATTCCCACGCGTTGGTATTAATGGGTTGTTCCTCTTAAATTGTTGCCAACTTTGCTAATGGATTATTATTTAAATGATTTCTTTTTCATAAAGTACGTGTTGTTTTATAGATGCGTATTTACTTAAAGAAATCAACTGCATGTATTAACATATTAAAGAGAGAATAAAGCATCGGGGCCGGTGTAATGTACTGTTCAGCCTTACTTTGGGTGCTCTCGA
This sequence comes from Homo sapiens, assembly GCF_000001405.40. Lineage (NCBI taxonomy): Eukaryota > Metazoa > Chordata > Mammalia > Primates > Hominidae > Homo > Homo sapiens. The sequence continues at coordinate 40,015,722 of NC_000023.11, forward strand.
AGATAGGAAAATCTTATTTGTTTAATAATAAGTCACTCATGAATATGCAAATGGCATCGGTGCAGTACCTCACTTCTGTCACTATTAATGAGTTGCAAATTAATGTGACAACAAAAGGAAAATCTATTTAGTGGAGGAACTCAGGTTCCTACCTGGGGAGATCACAAGCAAGCCTGGAACTTGAGTCTCCAGGCAGGAGAGGACTGGGGATGGACACGTACCTCCTCACGTAGTGTTTTCCTGGAGCCTCCACTATTGTTTGGTTTCAGGGACCTGCTTTGTCAGGAACCCCTTAAAATTCCTGCTCCAGACCAGAGGAAGAAAGGCTGCTCCAGGGTAATTAGGGCCAAGTGTGATTAATGGAAATCAACCCACAGTTTGAAGTAAAGCAGTTGGCCAAGCAGATTTTGGGGGGTCTCCTCCCCCGAGCTTAAAGATTCCCCAAAGCCTTTTTGACCTCTGTTGCTTTGGACAGGGTTGAGGACGTAAATAGCGAATTAGCCCTCACAGGCCTGATCACAGGTATTAAGACAGCACCCTATGCACTTGAATTTTACGAGGTGACTTTGCTGATGGGAGATTTAAGAGCAGATCAGCTCATTTTCCTGCCGACCTACTTCCCAGAGGTTACAGACTGAAGTCTGGTTGTCTTCCATTTGAGCCTTCATTCTTTTCTGGCCTACACACCAGAGCCTATTTTTATTTCATCGATGATGCTGAAGAGAGTGTTTCTAATTCAGTTAAGTTTGGAAACATCGCTGAGAAAAAATAAATGTTGAGCTGTCCAGAACTGTGAACGAATAGTTCAGGTGCCTGGATAGCATTTCAAAGAAGCTGTTTGACTAGGGAACCTTCTGGAAAGATGCACGTATTCGATATCTAACCTGGTTAATGGTTACATGGTTTTATACATATGTAAAAATTCATCAGGCTGAGCATTTAAGATCTGTGCACTTCACTATGTCTAATCTATGACTATGTAAAGCCACCCCAAAGCTTAGTGGTCTAAAACAACAATAATTTATTTTGCTCAAAAATCTGCAATCTGGGCAGGGCTTGGCAGGACAACTCACCTGTGCTCCATGCTGTCAGCTGGGGCAGCTCAACTGGAACTCCACTTTCAAGATAGCTCACACACATTGTTGTTGCTGGCTGTGGTTCTCCACGTGGGCCTCTCCACAGGGTGGCTTGGGCTTCCTTACAGCATGGTGGCTGTGTACCAAGCATCCCAAGAGAGAGGAAATGAAAGCTGTCAGTTACTTAAGGCCTGAGCCTGGAAGCAGATTTTTGGGGGGATTTCCCCCACCCAGCTTAGGTATTCCCCAAAGTTTTTTTGGCCTCTGTTGCTTTGGACAGGGTTTTGGACTATAAATCCGGAATTAGTCCTAACATGCCTGATCACATGCACTAAGACAACACCCTATGCACCCTATGCACCCTATGGCAGTACCATATCTGCCAAGTTCTTCTTTTCTTCCTTTCTTTTTTTTTTTTTTTTTTTGAGGCAGAGTCTCGCTTTGTTGCCCAGGCTGGAGTGCAGTGGCGCAATCCGGGCTCACTGCAACCTCTACTTCCCAGGTTCAAATGATTCTCCTGTCTCAGCCTCCTGCATAACTGGGATTATAGGTGCACGTCACCATGCCTGGCTAATTTTTATATTTTTAGTAGAGATGGGGTTTCACCACATTGGCCAGGCTGGTCTCAAACTCCCGACCTCAGGTGATCCGCCTGCCTCAGCTCCCAAAGTGCTCAGATTACAGGCGTAAGCCGCCTTGCTTGGTTTTTTTGTTTGGTTTTTTGTTTTTTTGTGTTTTGTTTTTTTTTGCCAATCTCACTCTGTCACTCAGGCTGGAGTGCAGTGGCAAAATGGTGGCTCACTTACAGCCTCAACCTCCCAGGCTCAAGCAATCCTCCCACCTCAGGCTCCTGCGTAGCTAGGACTATAGGCGTGTGTGACTGCGCCCAGCTATTTTTTAAAATTTTTTTTGTAGCGATAGAGTCTCAGTATGTTGCCCAGGCTGGTCTTGAACTCCTGGCCTCAAGTGATCCTCCTGCTTTGGTCTCCCAAAGTGCTGGGATCAGGCATGAGCCACTGTACCCAGCCTACATCTGCCATATTCTATTGCACAAGTAGTCACAGAGCCCAAACTCAAGGAGGAGAGGACATAGAACCCTCCCTCCCGCTTCTCAATATAAAGTGTATCAGAGATTTGGGGGGGGGGGCTATTGTTTTTAAAACTACTATATATCTCATTTTAAAAGAAAATAGAATATGTGACATCAGCCGGGCATGGTGCTCACACCTGTAATCTCAGCATTTTGGGAGGTTGAGGCAGGCGGATCCCTTGAGACCAGGAGTTAGAGACCAGCCCGGGCCACATCTCGAAAACCCATCTCTACAAAAAAAAACAAACAAAAAATTAGCCGGGCATGGTGGTGCCTGCATATACTCCCAGCTTCTCAGGAGCTGAGGTGGGAGGATCCTTTGAGCCCAAGAGGTTAAGGCAGTGAGCCATGATGGCACCACTGCATTCCAGCACCTGGACGACAGAGAAAGAGCCTGCCTCAAAACAAACAAACAAAAAAGAATATGTGACTTCATTTGTTGCTTCATGTCCCAGCCCACTTTGACTTTCTTCCACATCTCTTTTCTCCCAGTCATCAATGGGTTGCTATCCCACTAAATTCATGTGGGTGTGTATAGAAAAAGACCATTTACATTTGAGTTTTAAGTTGTTATTAATTTATCAAAGTTCCAAATTTTAAAATCTAGACTTTTACAAGCCTTAAAATTTAGTTTATTTTATTATTATTTATGTATTTATTTATTTGAGATAGGAGTTGCACTCTGCTGCCCAGACCAGAGTGCAGTGGTACAATCACAGCTCACTGCAGCCTCCACCACCCAGGCTTAGGTGATCCTCCCCCCTCAGCCTCACAGGTAGGTGGGACTACAGGCTTGCACCACCATGTCCGGCGAATTTTTGTACTTTTTGTAGAGACAGGGTTTTTTAGAGACAGAGCCATGTTGCCCAGGCTGGTCTGGAATGCCTGGGGTCAAGCAATCCACTCGCCTCGAACTCCCAAAGTGTTGGGGTTATAGACATGAGCCACCAGGCCTGGCCAAATTCAATTTATTAACTTTGTTATTTTTACATAAAATTAGAGCAGTCATTTTTCAGGATGGCTTTCTTTTTGTTTTTGGAGACAGGGCCTTGCTCTGTCACCCAGGCTGGAGTGCATTGGCACAGTCATAGTTCACTGCAGCCTCGAACTCTTGGGATCAAGCAGTAACATTTACAAATCAAGTAAATTAAATACTTAAATATTCTGAATATCTAGTTGTCTTAAATAATGCAACTCTGCTATCCAAGTCAAATTGCAATTCATTTTACCTTAAAATCACAAATTTTATACAATTTTATGCTGGAACCATAAGGATAATGTATCAAAGTCTTTTTTTTTTTTTTTTTGAGATGGAGTCTCACTCTGTTGCCCAGGCTGGAGTGCAGTGGCACACTCTCGGCTCACTGCAAGCTCCACCTCCCGTGTTCACACCATTCTCCTGCCTCAGCCTCCCGAGTAGCTGGGACTACAGGCGCCCGCCACCACGCCCGGCTAATTTTTTATATTTTCAGTAGAGACGGGGTTTCATCCTGTTAGCCAGGACGGTCTTGATCTCCTGACCTCGTGATCCACCCGCCTCGGCCTCCCAAAGTGCTGGGATTACAGGCGTGAGCCACCTCGCCCAGCCCTCAAAGTGTTTAATACACCCAAATTGTCGTAAACACTGGAAATTAAATCACAGACATAGCTTGTTCCTGAACTTAACACCAAAATATCACTACAGTATATTTGATTCATTTCATCTTCTCCATATTCAATTCTCAACCTTCCCAAGGTTAAAAGGACACCCTCTGAAGAATGTGTTTTGCCATCTCAAGGGAGTTGAGGTTACTTGATGTAAGGAAAAATTTAAGGCTTTGGAATAAGCAAAAGAGATTACCGGCTATTTTTTCAATGGAATGCTTCGTGGGGGTAGAGGGGTAGATTGTCTGAGCCTACAGGGATATAAGTCTTTGTCTTTGACTAGGCTATTTTACGACTCTGGAAGTGTAGATAACTAATAGCAATGTGAATACTTCTTGCCTCTAGACAAGCAAATAACTTCTATCTAGGGAGCGGAGAATCCCCACCCCCACCCCAAAAGCCAGTTTTGCATCCATATGCAAATTTATTTCAATATTCTTGATGTATAAATATGTCTTCTTTGAATTCATCTTTGAATTAGTTGTACTATCTTACCCATTCCCTCATTTAGTTAATGAATTAAACAAAATCTTTGACATGTGCTCATTTATATTTGTATGAAAGTCATGCTTTTGCCTTTTTGGTGAAAATTATCAGCCGGGAACAGTGGCTCATGCCTGTAGTTCCAGATACTCTGGAGGCTGAGGTGAGAGGATTGCTTGAGCCTGGGAGGCAAAAGGTGCAGTGATCACACCACTATACTCCAGCCTGGGTGACAACATGAGACTCTGTCTGAAAAAAAAAAAAAAGAAAAGAAAAAAAAGAAAATTATCCTTTAACATTGGTCAGGCAGGAGGCGGTGTCTCATGCCTGTAATCCCAGCACTTTGGGAGGCCGAGGCAGGTGGATCACCTGAGGTCAGGAGTTCAAGACCAGCCTGGCCAACATGGTGAAACCCAGTCTCTATTAAAAATACAACAATTAGCCAGGCATGGTGGCGGGCACCTGTAATCCCAGCCAGCAGCTACTCATGAGGCTGAGGCAGCAGAATCTCTTGAACCCAGGAGGCAGAGGTTGCAGGTTGAGATCGTGCCACTGCACTCCAGCCTGGGCAAAAGAGCAAGACTCCGTCCCAAAAAAAAAAAAAAAAAAAAAAATTGGTCAATAGGTTATCATTCCATATAGATAATATTTATAGCCAGCTATAAATTACAAGCCAAGATGCAGGATATGGGACCTGTAAATATTCAAGGAGGCTATTCCTATACCCCAGACAGATCAACAGAGCCCTTTTTATCCTGTTTATAGTTGCTATGACAATTGAAGATCCAAGGCCATATCCTTCAGGTGGAACATTTTGCTCAAGCTCAGGTGCCCAGTTCAAGGTAGTTCTTTGTTTTTTCTTTTTTTGGAAACAAGATCTCACTTCAACACCCAGGCTGGAGTGCAGTGCCACAATCACAGCTCACTGCAGCCTCAACTTCCTGGACTCAGGTTATCCTCCCACCTCAGCCTCCCAAGTAGCTGGGACCACAGACATGCACCACCACGCCTGGCTGATTTTTTGTATTTTTGTAGACACGAGGTTTCACCATGTTGCCTAAGCTGGTATCAAACTCCTAGGCTCAAGCAATCCACCCGCCTTGGCCTCCTAAAGTGTGGGATTATAGGCATGAGCCACCAAGCCTGGCCCAAGGTAAATTTTTACCTGATTCATTCTAACCTCTTCTCTCTCTCAGCTCTGTCATCTAATGGGTGGAAAGAAAATATGTAGCTACTACCCATATTGTTGCAACACTTTTTTTTTAGAGACAAGGTCTTGGTCTCTTACCCAGGCTGGAGTGCAGTGGTGTGATCACAGCTCACTGCATCCTCAATCTCCTCGGCTCAAGCGATTCTCATGCCTCAGCTCCTGAGTAGGTGGAACTACAGACGAGTGCCACCACATCTAGCTAAATTTTTTTTAAATTTTTTGTAGAGATGGGGTCTCACTATATTGCCTAGGCTGGTCTTGAACTCCTGGGCTCAAGCAATCTTCCCACCTCGGACTCCCAAAGTGCTGGGATTGCAGGCATGAGCCACCACACCTAGCCTAGCTGTCGCAACTCTTGATTGGATTCTAGTAACCTATTTACCACCTGTAGTGGTTTTTAAATATGTCCACAAGTTATTTGATACTCCTCCCTTCAAAAGGTGGAGCCTAATTTTCCTCCCCTGAGTTGTGGGCTGTACTTAGTGACTTACTTCTAATGAATAGAATGTGACACAAGTGATTGTACGTGACATCCATTATTAGAATATAAAAGGCATTGTGGCTTCCTCCTTGCTATCTGAGGGAAGCCAGCTGCTGTGTCATAGAGACATTTAAGTAGCCCTATGGAGTGAGTAATGTGTCAAAGAATTAAGGCCTTCTGGCAACAGCTATGTGAGTGAACCATCTTGGAAGCAGATCCTGCAGCCTCAGTCGAACCTTCAGATGACTGTAGCCCTAGCCAACATCTCAACTACAACCTCATGAAAGTCTGAGCTAGTACCATTTAGTACTAGCTCCTGAATTCCTGACCAACAAGAACTCTGAGATAATGAATATTTGCTGTTTCAAGCCACTGAATTTTGGGGTGACTTGTTACACAGCAATAAAAAATGATAATAATACAGAAGTCAATCTTGCATTTGGGCATAGCTCTAAACCAAATAACACTAAACACAGTTCTGTTTTGCTCAGGGGATTGGCTATCCCTTTTCCCACCTCCAAAGCAAGACATTCACCTATTTTTCTCAACCTTGAGAACCATTTTCTAAAAGCCATTAGGAATAACCTAAATTACATTGCTAGGAGCAAGAGAAAAGCATGAACATATACAGCAAAATAAAGTTTCCGGCAATAACAGTGATGGTAAACTTGCAGAAAGAGTAAAACAGTTTTAAATAGTTCTTTTGATCACTTTGCAGTTGAAAGTCAGAGCTTTGTAAGAATTCATTAGCATTTTAACTTAAAGAAAGGAACCATCCTTGTGGGTAGAGTCAAAACGAAACCAAACACACATTCATACCTTATAAGAAGCCGCCAAAGGTGTGAAGAGCAAAACTAGGATGATTAAGTTCTGCAGGAGTAAATCTCCCATAGGCATGCCCTGAAGAGTTACTTAAAGATAAAATAACTTCCTTTCTATCTGCATTGGTATTTTTCGACAACTGAAATGATAAAACATTTAGAGTGTGACCTAAATGACTCAGGTTCCTTCCTGTCCCAAGAGCAGGGACATTGCATTCTAGCTAAGACATTGTATTCTAGCTAAAGGAGTAGGTAGACCATCCCATATTCAAATTACTTAGTCCCACTCTTTCTGTGAGCTCAGATGGAAAAAGGGAAATCGTGTGTGTGTGTGTGTGTGTGTGTGTGTGTGTGTGAGTTACTTCCACAAAGGATTTGAGTAAATATATAACAAAAATGTAATAAATGGATAGAAAAGTATACATAGTAAAAATCCAGAATCAGGGTGAATTTAACCAGGAGTAGAAGGATGAGACAATACGAAGGCCAGAAGAGGAATACTTTTTTCCTAGCGATTTGTCAGCATTCAGTATTCATTTTTATTTGATTTTTTTTTTTTTTTTTTAAGACGGAGTCTTGCTCTTGTTGCTCAGGCTGGAGTGCAATGGCACAATCTCGGCTCACTGCAACCTCCGCCTCCCCAGTTCAAGCGATTCTCCTGCCTCAGCCTCCAGAGTAGCTGGGATTACAGGCGCCCGCCACTGCGCCTAGCTAATTTTTTTATTTTTAGTAGAGACAGGGTTTCACTGTGTTGGCCAGGCTGGTCTCGAACTCCTGACCTCAGGCGATCCACCCGCCTCAGCCTCCCAAAGTGCTGGGATTATAGGCGTGAGCCACCACCCCTGGCCTTCATTTATTTGAACACTATTAAGCAGCTACTACAAACTAGAAACCAAAAATAACAAAAAACATACAAGGCACAGCCCATTGTTAAAGATGCTTGCTGGGCGCAGTGGCTCATACCTGTAATCTCAGCACTTTAGGAGGCTGAGGCTGGTAGATGGCTTGAGCTCAGGAGTTTGAGACCAGCCTGGCCAACATGGTGAAAACCCCATCCCTGCAAAAAATACATACAGATTAGCCAGGTATGGTGGTGCATGCCTGTAGTCCCAGCTACTTGGGAGACTGAGGTGGGAGGATCACTTGAGCCAGGGAGGTCGAGGCTGCAGTGAGCTATGATCATACCACTGCACTCTAGCCTGGACAACCTGGTGAAACCCCATCTCCACACAAAAATACAAAAGTTAGCCAGGCGTGGTAGTGCATGCCTGTAGTCCCGGCTACTCAGGAGGCTGAGGCAGAAGGATTGCTTGAGCCCAGGAGGTCAAGGCTGCAGTGAGCCGTGATTGTGCCACTGCTCTTCAGCCTGGGCAAGAGAGTGAGACCCTGTCTTAAGTTAAATAAATAAATAAGTAAGTCTTTGTAGGTTAGTCGGTATATGTGCCACCAGAATTGTATATACCTGTATAGCATCACACCTGACAGCAATTAACTTAAGCATAGCTTAAGCACTCTTAGACTGAAGGGTCATGGTCTAAGAAGAATGTGTGTTTGGAGCTCCAAACTAAGGAATCTGGGAGTGGTCATCCCTGAGATTTATTCCTTATCCGTGAAGGACATCTGAACCCCCAGTCTATCCCTTGGAATGCAGGCTGTACAGCAGATCGAGGCCCTTTGTTTGGGGTTGGATGGAGGTTGCTAGGTGGAGGGTGCTAGGTGGCGGGTGCTAAGTGAAAATGCCATATAAACGGCATGCTTGTTACAAATTGAAGCAGTTGTCCTGTCCAGCCCGCCGTCACTGGACCACTCCTCTATGTAAGTCCTTATCAATAAGCCCTATGTCTCGTTTGTTAGCTGAGTCTCTTCTTCAGCCTCTAGGGCATGGAGCCATCCCTATTGGAGTCAACAGGTGTCCAGCACGCACGACAACATGTTCATCAACAAACATGTTCACCAAAAAGCTGCACTATGGGTAATGGCCTCAAGCTGGCTTTTATCCCAGTGCCCACCCATAGCAGAACGCGAGAAGAAACTGCGGTGTCCACACAATGAGATATTACACAGCAGCAATGAGAATAAACAATCTACAGCTACACATAACAACCCAGAGGGATCTCATAAACATAATATTGAGTGGAAGAAGCCAGATAGAAAAACGCACAGTGGCGGGGGACTGTGGCTCACGCCTGTAATCTCAGCACTTTTGGAGGCCAAGGCGGGCAGATCACCTGAGGTCAGGAGTTCAAGACCAGCTTGGCCAACATGGCAAAACTCCATGTCTACTAAAAATACAAAAAAATTAGCTGGGCGTCATGGCAGGCACCTGTAGTTCCAGCTACTCGGGAGGCTGAGGCACAAGAATCGCTTGAAGCCAGGAGGCAGAGGTTGCAGTGAGCCGAGATCGCAACACTGAACTCCAGCCTGGACGACAGAGTGAGACCTTTTCTCAAAAATAAATAAATAAAATACAAAAGGGCACAGACTGCATGATTCCATGCAGATAAAGTGTGAAACCAGGCCAGACTAACCTATGTAGTTAGAAGTCAGGAAAATAATTACCCTTTGTGGGGAGGGGTGTAGTGATGGGAGACAGCCCAAGGAGCACCTCTGGGAGACTGGGAATGTTCTGTTCCTTCATTTGGGGGTGGTTTATGTACAATTGCAAGTCTCTTTATGAAAGTCTGTTGAGCCATACACCTTTTTCACCTTTTCCTTAATTTTTGTTGTTGTTGTTGTTGTTAAGAGAGACCAGGTCTCACTATGTTGCCCAGGCTGACCTTGAACCCCTGAACTCAAGCAATCCACCTGCCTCGGCCTCCCAAATTACTGGGATTACCGGTGTGAGCCACCAAGCCCAGCCTGAGCCATATACTTAGAATACTTGCAGTTTTATGTACGTTTGCAGTACTTCAATAAAATGTGTAAAAAAAAAAAAAAAAAAGAAAAGTCCACCCTTCAATAGAGTGGGTGGGCCAATGAGGAAGGAGTGGTTAAGGTGGAGAGCGGGGAAAAGCTTCCTGGAGGCAGTGAGGCAAGCTTTGTCTTCACAGATAAGTCCACGTTAGCCTTGGAGGTGGATGAGGGAAGGTGTTCAGAGAGAGGGGAAGCCCAAAAGCAAAACCAGAGAGGCCAGAACAGTCTGAGCCCCAGGGAACTGTAAGGGAAGAGTTGCAAACTAACAGTGGCCAGGACAGAGGGGCCAGCCTTTGGCAAGCACTGTCAGAGAAGCTGCTCCTTCCACATGCTCACCAGTGTCCGCTAGAGAGTCAGAGCTGGAGGGGACAGAGTGACATTTGTACTCTCAAAAGCTCCCTCAATGGCCTGTCGTGGTGGCTCATGCCTATAATCCCAGCACTTTGGGAATCTGAGCCAGGCGGATCACTTGAGGTCAGGAGATTGAGACCAGCCTGGCCAACATGGTAAAACCCCATCTCTACTAAATATATAAAAATTGGCCAGGCATGGTGGCATGCACCTGTAATCCCAGCTACTCAGAAGGCTGAGGCAGGAGAATTGCTTGAATCTGGGAGGCAGAGGTTGTGGTGAGCCTAGAATGCACCACTGCACTCCAGCCTGGGCGACAGAGCAACACTCCGTCTCAAAAAAAAAAAAAAAAAAAAAGCCAAGCCCAAGCAGTGGGGTGGGTGGCGGGTAGCACTGGGCAGGACTGAAGGCTTAGAGAACCTCCCAAAGTGAGGTCCAGGCCAGAAGCAGGGGGGCGTGGCCTGCTGGGTGGTGGAGCTGGAGAGGAGCAGAGAACACGAAGGAACTCAAAGAGGAGATTTAGAAGTTTCCAAAGAATGTCAGGGAGCAAGGAGGAGCATGAAAGGTGGGGTATTTTTAAAGCTTCTAGTTACACATAAAAAATACGGTCAGTTCAGCTATCCATAAAGGCAGCTTCACTGAATTCTTAAGGACAGAATCAGTCATCAAAGGGATGCTCTGATTTCTCTCTAAAATAGGGCTTCTTAACTTGCGATCTGTAGATAGAATTTTGGGGACTTGTGAATTTGGGTGGGAAATATTGGTATTTTTCTTTTCATTAACCTTGAACTGCAATTCTGCATTTCCCTTGGTCATGCATGTAAGCCACAAATACAGTTGTTTTAGCAGCACCTATAACTGTCACCATTCGAAAGCACAGAATTTTCATATTCTATTACAGGTGATGCTGATATCTCAACATACAGATTGCACTCACCACTAATTCAAAATCATATTTATCAGGCCTGCCATTAGATCTTATTATTTAATTCACAATTGATCTTTGCACATCTATTAGTGTTGTGGGTATCTACGCCATGTAACAAATTACCCCCAAAACTTAGTGGCTGAAAACAGCAACAATCATTTCTTTAGCTCCTGAACCAGCAGTCTGGACAGGGCTTGGCAGGATGTTTCCTATCTGCTACAGGCAGTCAGAAGCCTCAGATGGGATGACCCAAATGACTGGAGGCTCCTTGGGCATCTCCACCAATCTGTCCCTCTAGGCAGTCTCCTGGCCTCTCTCTGTTGTCCCTTCAAATGAGCTCTCTGGCATGGTAGCCTCTGGGTAGACAGACTTCTTACATGATATCTTACAGTCCCCGAAAGAGTGCTCTGGCAAACAAGGAAGAAGCTGCAAGGCGTCTTCTGACCTAGCTTTGAAGTTCCAGAATGTCACTTCTGCCATTTTCTATTGGTCAAGTAAATCTTTTACTAAGGTCAGCCTAGATACAAGGGGAGGGGACACCTCCCCTCTCACCAACCTCTCTATGGGAGAAGTGTCAAAGAATTTGTGGCCACAATGATTGCATCACAAATATGTGGTTTTTCAGGGTTTTTTTTTTGTTTTGTTTTGTTTTTGGTTTTGTTTCTTTTTTTTTTTTTTTTTTTTTTGAGATGGAGTCTCGCCCTGTCACCCAGGCTGGAGTGCAGTGGTATGATCTCGGGTCACTGCAACCTCCGCCTCCCGGGTACAAGTGATTCTCCTGCCTCAGCCTCCCGAATAGCTGGGATTACAGGTGTGCGCCACCACACCTGGCTAATTTTTGTATTTTTAGTAGAGACGGGGTTTCGCCATGTTGGCCAGACTGGTCTCGAACTCCTGACCTCAGGTGATCCACCTGCCTTGGCCTCCCAAAGTGCTGGGATTACAGGCATAAGCCACTGTGCCCAGCTGTTTTTTTTAGTATTTCGATAACTGTATTTCAATATAATTGGCTTTTTTTGTAACCCTATTCTTTTATTCTATGCTTTTTTTTTTTTTTTTTTTGAGACAGAGCCTTGCTCTGTCTCCCAGGCTGGAGTGCAGCGGTGTGATCACTGCTCACTACAGCCTCCACCTCTCGAGCTCAAGTGATCCTCCTGCCTCAGGCTCCTGAGTAACTGTGACCATAGTTGCAGGCCACCATGCCTGGCTAATTTTTTAAAAAAACTATTCGTAGAGACGGTGTCTTTCCATGGTGCCCCGGCAGGTCTTGAACTCTTGGCTTCAAGCGATACTCCAGTCTCGACCTCCCAAAATGTTGGGATTATAAGTGTGAGCCACTGTGCCCAGCCCATATGATCTCATTTAAACCTCACAGCAATCCTATGGGGCAGGCATTATTCTTATTCTGGTTTACAGAGGAAGAAACTGATTTGAACCCAGATCCCAGTTGAAGGGTAGATCTGATAATTATTCTCTTTACTTTTATTTATTTTTTCCTACTACTCATTCTCAAGTTAACTTGTGATCTTCTCCTTGTGTGCATATGTCTGCTATATCAATTAGTACTAGGGTTGGTTATGTGACATAAAAGTCCTATAATAATAATTGCTTGACAAGAGTGATGCTGATTTCTTTCACTGAAAGATGTATAGGGCTGATATGGCACTCCATGTCAGGGACCTGGTCTTGTATTGCTCCAGCATCCTAGGCATGATGTGGCTGCCTGAGCTCCAGCCATCGTGCTCACATTCCCATCTGTAGGATGGAGAAAAAAGGTGTTACTGTTTCATTTCTGCTTCTTGCCACTTGCCCTCAAACCCAGTGTTTTCTGGGATCTTCTCCCTGTGCTATCGTGAAATATATATTTGGTGTTCTCCCATCTCTTGGCGTACAACTCCTAAAATACTTGGAATCTCCAAAGCGTTGGTATCTTTTTGTATGCTAATGAGATGACTGCTGTCTGGCAACCCCTATGTAGCTTTGGGATAGGGGCTGGTCACCAGAAAGACAAAGACAGGATTAGAGGGTTGGGACTTTCAGCCCCCAACCTCTGGGGAGGGGAGAGGGGTTGAAGATTGAGTTGACCACCAATGGCCAATGATTTAATCAATCACGCCTACATAACAAAGCCTCCATAAAAAGGCCAAAGGACAGGGTTTAGGGAGCTTCCAGATAGCTGCACACGTGGAGGTTCCTGGAGGGTGGTGCACCTAACCCCATGCCTCACCCTATGTGTCTCTTCATCTGTATTATTTGTAATATTCTCTATAATAAACTGGTAAACGTGTTTCTCTGAGTTCTGGGAGCCACTCTAGCAAATAAATTAATTGTACCCAAGGAGGGGGTCATGGAAATCGCAATGTACAGCCAGTAGGTAAAACAACCTGGAGCTTGCAATTGGCATCTGACATGGCAGTGGGGGCAGAGAGCAGTCTTGCGGACTGAGTCCTCGACCGGTGGGATCTGATGCTGTCTCTGGATAGGTAGGGTTGGAACTGAATTGGAGGACACCCAGCTGGTGTCCACTGCAGGGCTGATTGCTTGCTTGCTGGTGGGGACAAAGCCCCACACATCTGGTCACAGAATTCTTCTGTGTTGATTGTTACGGTGTGAGAGCAGAAGAAAAAGAGTCTGTTTTTTCCACTCACTCTCCCACTAGACGGTAAGCTCCAGGAAGTTGGGAACTGTGTTTGACATTGTACCCCAGGTCCCAATATGTTGCCTGACCCCTAGTAAGTGTTCAATAAGTAGTTCTGAAATAAAGTGAATATCAGGGTGCAAGCAGCTCTGTGATTTGTATTCTATTGACTGCCTCTGTCTCTTGCCTCCTGCGTCTGCTTACAAGGGCCCTTCTCCTAGGCTTTGCTTTTGAAATGCCACTGTCCTTCAAGACCCATATATTTTGTCACCTCTCTAGAATACATCTGCTGTGAGTTGAATTGTGTCTCCCCAGTATTCACATGTTGAAGTCCTCACCCCCAGTACATCAGAATGTGACCAAATTTGGAAATAGCAGGTTGCAGATGCAATGAGTTAAGAGGAGGTCATGCCAGAGTAAGGTGGCCCCTAATCCAATATGAATGGTGTCCTTATAAAGAGGGGGAATTTGGAGACATATGCACACAGAGAGAAGACCATATGAAGATGAGGGCAGGGCCGGACGCGGTATCTTACACCTGTAATCCCAGCACTTTGGGAGGCCGAAGCAGAAGAATCGCTTGAACCCGGGAGGCGGAGGTTGTAGTGAGGCAGAGATGGCGCCACTGCACTCCAGCCTGGGCAACAGAGTGAGACTCTGTCTCAAAAAAAAAAAAAAAGAAGAAGATGAGAGCAGAGATCAGCTTGATGTTTCCACAAGTCAAAGAACCCCAAAGACTGTCAGCAAGCCACCAGCAACGGGGTGAGAGGCACGAACAGATTTTCCCTCACAACCCCCAGAAGAAACTAACCCTAGCATCACCTTGATCTTAGACTTCCAGACTCCAGAACGGAGAGACAATAACTGAGACAATAACAAAGTATCATAAATATGGCACTTTGTTACAGCAGCCCTAGGAAACTAATATAAAATCACACACCAAGCCATTGAGAGTGCTGGGCTCTCCATTCCCCTGGGCCCTTTCTTTACAAGCAGGTGGCGAAATTAGCTTTGGACAGGGGCCTGTTTGACTTAGTCCTCTATGTAAGTTCCTGAGGAATGGGCATTGTGGGTCCTCCAGCGTGTAGCCATCTTTGCCTGATACCCTGCAATTCACAGATATTTGTGAATTTGGCAGAGTCACACAATTGTGCAGAGCCCCAGGACTTAGGCTGTGTTTGAGGTGGTAGTGTGACTTAACCATATTTTTCTTTCTTTTAATTAAAAAATAAAATCAGGCAGGGCACAGTGGCTCACGCCTGCAATCCCAGCTACTCTGTAGGCTGAGGAGGGAGGATTGCTTGAGGCCAGGAGGTCAAGGCTGCAGTGAGCCATAATCACACCACTACAGTCTAGACTGGGTGACAGAGCAAGACCCTATCTCAAAAAAAATAAAATAAATAAAAAAAATTAAAAATAGGTCGGGCACGGTGGCTCACACATGTAATCCCCGTCTCTGCTAAAAATACAAAAATTAGCTGGGCATGGTGCTGCGTGCCTGTAATCCCAGCTACTTGGGAAGCTGAGGCAGGAAAATCGCTTGAACCCAGGAGGCAGAGGTTGCAGTAAACTGAGATTGAGTAACTGCACTCCAGCCCGGGAGACAGAGCAAGACTCCATCTCAAAAAATAAAATAAAATAAAATAAAATAATAAATAAATAATAAAATCAACAGCCTCCAATGCAAAAGAAGTAGTGCCTTTTTAACTGTTTTAAAACCAAGCAATACAATCCGAAGAAATCTTTTTTTTTCTTTTCTTGTGGGGTGGGTGGGGGTGGGGTGATAGTACAGCTTTCAAGAAAGGTTTGTCTGCTTTGTGGATTTCCCGATTAAAATGACAGGAGCCTCGGCAACATAGTGAGATCCTATCTTTACAAAAAAATAATAATAATTTAAAAAATTAGGCGGGCATGGTAGCACATGCCTGTAGTCCCAGCTACTGGGGAGGCTGAGGTGGGAGGATTGCATGAGCCTGGAAGATCAAGGTTGCAGTGAGCTATGATCGCACCATTGAGCAGCAGCTTGGGCGAAAGAGTGAGACCCTGTCTTCAAAAAAAAAAAAAAAAAAAAAAGAGGAGAATAAGTAAACTTGGGGAAATGATGCAAGAGGACTGGAAAGGACGGATGTAGGTGTGAAAAGAGCAGCCCAAAATCCAGCTGGAGAAGAGAACGGAAACATTCTCGGTATTGGTGAGCTGGCGAATATAGCATACAGTTCCCAAGGTCAAAGGCACTGCTGCCTTGGGGTGGGGACCTCAATTCTGAAATGGCTGAGCCTCTTCTTTCCAGAAAGATGCTGGATAGTTTAATTAACTAGTTAGTAAACAAACAAACATAAATAAAAATGACGGCATTCCTGCTTTATGCTTCTCGGAGGGACCAGTGACTCTCCGTGATTTCTTTTTGCTGAGAGGGGAAGGGTACAATTCTGCACTTACTTTATTTATTTATTTATTATTACTATTTTTGAGACAGGGTCTTGCTTGCTCTGTCGCCCAGGCTGGAGTGCAGTGGTGCGATCTCAGCTCACTGCAACCCCCCACCTTCCCTGCTCAAGCAATCCTCCCACTTCAGCCTCCTGAGTAGCTGGGAATACAGGCACCACGCCCAGCTAATGTTTGCATTTTTTGGTAGAGATGGGGGCCTTGCCATGTTGTCCAGGCTGGTCTTGAATCACTCCTGACCTCAGGCGATCCACCCGCATCGGCCTTGGATTACAGGAGTGAGCCATCACACCCAGCCATTTCTGCACTTTTAACCAGGGCCGTCCCTGAGTCAGGCCTGGTACTAGGGCTGAGGGAATACAAAGAAAACTCTCTTCAGCCTGAAAGATCTTGCAATTTAGTGACAGACAATACAAATTCCTCCAGGTAGGTTGCCTGGGATACAAAGTGGCCAGTGTATAGAGCATATACAGAGAGTGGTGGAGGGCTGAGAGATGGGATTGTCTCCCTTCTTTAAACCGGTAATTAAGGAACCCGGGCCAAGTCTGCCCACATCTTTGAAGGAGGAGCCATTGTGTGCAGAGGGCTGAGGAGGCCTTGGTGGCTGTCCTCGGGGAACTTAGAACACACCAGGGCAGAAATGTAGTGCACCTGTACTGCTCCCGGACCTGAAAAGAAATCAGCCAAGACATCCCACCCCCGCCCCCGTTTCCAGAAACTTCATTTTAAGCATGGTGGCTTAAATTTCACTTGATTTTGTTTTATTTATTTTTAGAACTGCAGGGTTGGGAAGGGTTTCCAAAAGGGCTAAGAGGCCGGTTTGAGGGAGAAGGTGAGATTTGGAAAGTTTTGCGCAGAAGAGATGGTGGTGGCGGTGCCGCGGAGGAATTTGAAGGGGAAAAGGGCTGTCGGAGTTTGTATTTGAGACCACACAGCCTTGCTGCCCGGCCAAGAATGGCCTGGGTTTTGGCTCTTCTGGGGGCTTGGACCTGGGGGAGGAAGAGGAGGGCAGTTCTCAGGCAGGCGTCTGCCAAACCCGGGTTGGTTTGGAGGATGACGTGGAGCGCTTCAGACATGAATACGCTATGAGGGGAGCTGACAGCTGGGATTGGGGGACGTGTAAAGGGGTGTACGGACGTCTGACTGCGGATTTCAGGAAACAGGGAGTCTTGAGCCTGGGAACTGCAGAGTGTCACATGGGCCATAGGCAGGGAGAGGTTGGAGTTGGATAAAGGGGAGTAGGAGAAGACTAGGCCTAGTGTGTGGAAAATGGCGCTCTTCCGGTCTCCAGAGAGTTCCTCTCAGAACACGATAACTCTCCCCACCGTACCCAGACACCCCCACCAAGGCCAGGCTTATACACACCTCCCTCCCAACCACCCCTTCAGCCTACCTTGCAGTCTGACATTAGACAGGGGATACACGGTGAAACAGACAGAGCCAGGCCTAACCAGTAAAAATAGGTCCAATGGGCCTGGTACGGTAGCTCACACCTGTAATCCCAGCACTTTGGGAGGCCGAGGTGGGTGGATCACCTGAGATCAAAAGTTCGAGACCAGCCTGGCCAACATGGCGAAACCCCTTCTCTACTAAAATACAAAAATTAGCTGGGCATGGTGGTTGGTGCCTGTAATCCCAGCTACTCGGGAGGCTGAGGCAGGAGAATCACTTGCAGTGAATCAGGTTGCAGTGAGCCATTGCACACCAGCCTGGGTGACAAGAGCGAGACTCCGTCTCAAAACAAACAAACAAAAAACAGGCCCAATGGAAGTCTAGAAGCAAAGGCAAGAGGGCAGGGCTAGTGGTTGGAGATTTTGGTGGAGAACAGGGGTTTTGTACAGGGCAGGGACAGAGGAGAGGGGAAAGGCAGAGAAAGGAAGGAATCTGAGGGAAGGCAGAAGTTTCTAGAAGACCCAGGTGACAGATCTGTCAAGGACTAAAGGACCTAAGGCTAGACCACATTTTAGTCCAGAAAGTGGGGACTTTAGGGCACTCATGAGCTTTCAGGTCTAACCATGTGTCCTTGTTCTTTGTTCCTGGTTGCGGCTGTGTCTGATCTTTAGTCTACATGTTAGGTGTGGGAAATGACCCTGATGAGCCATAGAAAGTGTCAGGGTGGTGGTAGTGGGGTGAGTGTGGGAAAAGGATCCAGGACTCCTCTCTTTCACAAGTTGGTAGTTTATTTGTGTAAAAAAGAATGAAAAAAATTTAAATTAAAAACATTTTGGCTGGGTGCGGTGGCTCACACCTGTAATCCCAGCACTTTAGGAGGCGGAGGTGGACGGATCACCTGAGGTCGGGAGTTCAAGACCAGCCTGACCAACATGGAGAAACCCAGTCTCTACTAAAAATACAAAATTAGCCGGGCGTGGTGGCACATGCCTGTAATCCCAGCTACTCAGGAGGCTGAGGCAGGATAATTGCTTGAACCTGGGAGGCAGAGGTTGCGGTAAGCTGAGATCGTGCCATTGCACTCCAGCCTGGGCAACAAGAGTGAAATTCTGTCTCAAAAAAAAAAAATTAAGTTCATGTTCAACACTGGATTCACTTATTAATTTACCAGGTAATTAACCAAGACCTGACGCTCAATGAACTCACTGTACTGTTTCTCTAGGGAGCATTTTAGACAGGAGGCTCTTGAAATGGTCTCCTTTCCCCTACACAGGTGTGAATAATCTGGACCAAGGAAGAGCACATTTCTGTAAACTTTTATTCCATATTTTCATGAGTGAAAAACTCTCCACAGATTGACACGAACATTTAGAGTCTGGTGGGCCCCAGGCCTAACCCACTTTGGAGATGGTTTTGTTTGGCTTTCTCAGTGTTTGATAAGCGTTATGAATAATTGTGAGGGTTCACATCAAAGTTGACATTACTGGCTTCTCTTCTGAAAAGTCCAAAGACCTGGCAGCCCAGAGTGCCATTGCAGCAATGGGCTGGGGCAAAGCAGTGCCCGGTTCCTATAAACAGGGCACGTGCTGTTCAGTTCAGCAGTCTGTCTCCGCCATCCTCGGGGATAACCGTGAGACAGATGCAGGGGATCTGTTCGCTCAAGTTGCCTATTTACATGGCCCTGTGGTCTCTGCAGGGGTTTCAGTGGGGTACCCTGGTTTCTATGCACTGCCTGGGTTCCCCTCTGTAAATATTTGTGATGTATATGGGGAAAAGCAAGTGTAATGTTTTTAAAACACGAATGCAAATTCTCTGATATTCTTCCCACAAAAGGTGGGGTCTAATTCATCTCTTCTTTTTTTTTTTTTTTTTTTTTGAGACGGGGTTTTGCTCTTGTTGCCCAGGCTGGAGTGCAATGGCACGATCTCAGCTTACCGCAACCTCTGCCTCCCTGGTTCAAGCGATTCTCCTGCCTCAGCCTCCCGAGTAGCTGGGATTACAGGCATGTGCCACCACGCCCGGCTAATTTTGTATTTTTAGTAGAGATGGGGTTTGACCATGTGGGTCAGGCTGGTGTCGAACTCCCGACCTCAGGTGATCCACCCACCTCAGCCTCCCAAAGTGCTGGGATTACAGGTGTGAGCCACCGCATCCGGCCTCATCTCTCTTGATTATGGGCTGCCCTCAGTTATTGCCCTCTAACAAACAGGGGACAATGTGTGACCATCAAAAGTAGGTCATAAAAGGAAGTACAGCTGCGTGTGGTGACTCATGCCTGTAATCCTAGCTACTCAGGAGGCGAAGGCAGGAGGATCACTTGAGGCCAGGAGTTTGACACCAGCCTGGGCAAGATACTGAGACCCCCATCTCTTCTGAAAATTAAAAAATTAGCTAGGCATGGTGGCGTGGGCCTGTGTTCCCAGCTACTCGGCTATGGAAGGAGGATCACTTGAGGAAAGGAGTTTGAGGCTGTGGTAAGTCATGATTGAAGCACTGCACTGCAGCCTAGGCAACAGAGCGAGACCTCATCTCCAAAAATAAAAAATAAATCAAGGAAATGCAGCTTCCAAGTGGCCCCCTGTCTCTTCTATGGATGCTTATCCTTCCTGGAACCCAGCCACCAGGTAGGGAAGAGTCCTAGGCCACACGCAAAGTGAAAGTGTTCCAGCTGACAGCCCCAGCTGGAGTCCCAGCCCATACCCAGCTTCAGTCACCAGACATGAGTGAACGAATGTACCAGCCCCCAAAGGATTCCAGCTCCAGACCTTGAACCACCTCAGCTGACGCCAAGTGGAGCATAGGTGAGCTCTCCCAAGGGAGGCCTGTTCAAACTGCAGATTCACGAGCAAACTAAATGCTCTTGCTTTGAGACACGAAGTTCCTTTTAAAAATCTTTATTGAGATATAATTCACATACCATAAAATTCACTTATTTAAAATGTACAATTAAATGGTTTTAGTATATTCGGAGTTGTGCAGCCATCACCACAATCAACTGGAGAACATTTTCATGACTTCCCAAAAAGGGTCCAGAATCCTCCTTCCCTCCACCCTCTCCCCTGCCCCTGGGAACCATTAATCTACTTTCTGTTTCCATGGATTTGCCCATTTTGGAGATTTCATATAAATGGAATCACGTGATATGTGGTCCTTTCTCACTGGCTTCTTTCACTCAGCATGATGCTTTTAAGGTTCACCCATGTCGTAGCACAGATCAGAACTTCATTCCTTTTAGTGCCAAATAATATTCTTTGTATGTTTACACTGCATTTTCTTTTTAAGCTTTTTTTTATTGCCAGGCACAGTGGCTCACGCTTGTAATCCCAGCACTTTGGGAGGCTGAGGCGGGCTGATCACCTGAGGCTGGGAGTTCGAGACCAGCCTGACCAACATGGAGAAACTCCATGTCTACTAAAAATACAAAATTAGCTGTGCGTGGTGGCACATACCTGTAATCCCAGCTACTCTGGAAGGCTGAGGCAGGAGAATTGCTTGAACTCGGGAGGCAGAGATTGCGGTGAGCCGAGATCGCACCATTGCACTCCAGCCTGGGCAACAAGAGTGAAAACTCGGTCTCAAAAACAAGAAAAAGAAAAAGAAAAAAAAATCTATTATGTTATTTTATTCTTTTTTTTTTTTTTTTTTGAGATGGAGTCTTGCTCTGTCATCCAGAGTACAGTGGCACGATCTCGGCTCACTGCAGCCTCCACCTCCTGGGTTCAAGCCAAGCCATTCTCCTGCCTCAGCTTCCCAAGTAGCTGGGACTACAGGCGTGTGCCACCACACCCAGCTAATTTTTGTATTTTTTAGTAGAGACGGGGTTTCACTATATGTTAGCCAGGCTGGTCTTGAACTCCTGACCTCAGGTGATCTGCTCGCCTCAGCCTCCCAAAGTGCTGGGATTACAGGCGTGAGCCACCATGTCTGGCCATGTTATTTTATTCTTAGTTTATTTTTTGAGGCAGGGTTTCACTCCATCATCCAGGCTAGAGTGCAGTGACGTGATCACAGCTCACTGCAGCCTCGACCTCCTGGGCTCAAGTGATCCTTCAACTTCAGCCTCCTGAGTAGCTGGGACTAAAAGCTTGAGCCAACATGACTGGCCACATTTTTCTTATTTATTCATCAGTTGATGAACATTTGATTTGTATCTACTTTTGGCTCTTATGACTAATGCTGCTTTGAACATTCATGTACAAGTTTTGGTGTAGACATATGTTTTCATATCTCTTGAGTGTATACCTAGGAGTGGAATTGCTGGGTAATATGGAAAGTCTGTATTTAATATGTTGAATGTACTGCCAAACTGTTTTCCAAAGTGGCTGCTTCATTTTGGATTCCCACCACCAGCAATGTATGAGGTATCCAATTTCTCCATGTTCTCACCAACACTTGTTATTATGTGTCTTTTTTATTTATTAGAGCTGTCCTAATGGGTGTGAAGTGCTGCTTCATTGTGGTTTTGATTTACACTTCCCTAATGGCTAATGATGTTGAACATATTTTCTTGTGCTTATTGGCCATTTATCTATCTTCTTTGGAAAAATGTTTATTTAAATCATTTACCAAGTTTTTAATTGGTTGACTTAATTTGTCTTATTATTGGGTTGTAAGAGTTATGCACACACACACATACACATATATTTACAAATGGGGTCTCTCTGTGTTGCCCAGGCTGGTCTCAAACTTCTGGGCTCAAGCAATTCTCACATCTCGGCCTCCCAAAGTACCGGGATTACAGGCATGAGCCACCGCACCTAACCTAGAGTTTGTTTTGTTTTGTTTTGTTTTTGTTTTTGTTTTGAGATGAAGTCTTACTCTTGTCAGCCAGGCTGGAGTGCAATGGCGCAATCTTGGCTCACTGCAACGCCTGCCTCCCAGGTTCAAGTGATCCTCCTACCTCAGCCTCTCTAGTAGCTGGGATTACAGGTGCCCGCCATCACGCCCAGCTAATTTTGTATTTTTAGTAGAGACAGGGCTTCACCATGTTAGTCAGGCTGATCTCGAACACCCAATCTCAGGGGATCCGCCCACCTCAGCTTCTCAAAGTGCTGGGATTACAGGCGTGAGCCACCGCGCCCGGCCTAGAGTTATTTATATATTTTGGATACAAGTTCCTTACCGAGCACATGATTTACAAATATTTTTCTCCCATTCTGTGGGTTGTCTTTGTTTTTCTTTCTTTGTTTTTTAAGAAATGAGGGACCGGGAGCGGTGGCTCATACCTGTAATCCCAGCACTTTGGGAGGTTGAGGCAGGCGGATCACCTGAGGTTAGGAGTTTGAGACCAACCTGGCCAACATGGTGAAACCCTGTCTCTACTAAAAATACAAGAATTAGCCAGGCGTGGTGGCACATGCCTGTAATCCCAGCTACTCAAGAGCCTGAGGCAGGAGAATTGCTTGAACCCGGGAGGTGGAGGTTGCAGTGAGCCAAGATCACGCCAGTGCACTCCAGCCTGGGCGACAGAGAGAGACTCCGTCTCAAAAAAAAAGAAAAGAAAAGAAAAGAAGAGAAATGAAATCTCACCATGTTGCCCAGGCTGGACTGGGTTCAAGTGGTCCTCCCACCTCAGCCTCTTGACTAGCTAGAACTATAGGTACATACCACTGTGTCTGACTGACTTTCTCGATGATATCATTTAAAGCATAAAAGTTGTTAACTTTAAGAAAGTCCAGTTTATTTTTCCTTTGGTTGCTTGTGCTTTTGGTGTTATGATGTCATATCTAAAAAGCCATTGCCTAATGGAAGATTTACTCCCGTTTTTTTTTTTTCTCAGAACTTTATAGTTTTAGTTCTTACACTTAGGTCATTGATCCATTTTGAGTTAATTTTTTTTTTTTTTTGATATGAAGTCTTGCTTTGTTGCCCAGGCTGGAGTGCAGTGGCACAATCTCGGCTCACTGCAACCTCTGTCTCCTGGGTTCAAGTGATTTTCCTGCCTCAGCCTCCCAAGTAGCTGGGATTACAAGTGCTCACCACTACACCTGGCTAATTTTTGGATTTTTAGTAGAGATGAGGTTTCACCCTGTTGGCCAGGCTAGTTTCAAATTCCTTTTTTTTTTTTTTAGACAGAGTCTCACTCTATTGCCCAGGCTAGAGTGCAATGGCACGATCTCAGCCCACTGAAACCTCTGCCTCCCGGGTTCAAGCGATTCTCCTGCCTCAGCCTTCTGAGTAGCTGGGATTACAGGCACGCACCACCATGCCCAGCTAATTTTTGTATTTTTAGTAGAGACGGGGTTTCACCATGTTGCCCAGGCTGGTCTTAAACTCCTGGCCTTGTGATCCACCCGCCTAAGCCTCTCAAAGTGCTGGGATTACAGGCATGAGCCACCACACCTGGCCCATTTTTAGTTAATTTTTGTAGACGGTGTGAGGTAGAGGCCCAACTTTGTTCTCTGTGTGTGGATCCAGTTCTCCCAGCATCGTTTGTGGAAAAGACTGTTCTTTCTCCATTAAATAATTTTTGTACCCTTGTCAAAAGTCAGTTGATTTTTGACAGTATTGTCAATAATCAGTGCTGTATAATTAGTTGATTATACAGTATGTGTGAAGGCTTATTTCTGAGCTGTCTATTTTATTCTAGTCTATTCTATTCCATTGGCCTATATGTCTGTCCTTATGCCAGTAAAAGCCATGAAGTTTTGAAATAACTCTTATGCAGCCATTGTAACTGGAATAGGGAGGCGTCAGGGATTAAGTAAGAGATGGGGAAGGAGAAAGGTGAATGAAAGGAGAGACAGGAACCTACCTATTATTTGCCTACATTTGTTTTTTGTTTTTTTGGGGTTTTTTTGTTGTTGTTGAGATGGGGTTTTGCTCTTCTTGCCCAGGCTGATTGTGCAATGGCATGATCTCGGCTCACTGCAACCTCCACCTCCCAAGTTCAAGCAATTTTCCTGCCTCAGCCTCCTGAGTAGCTGGAATCACAGATGCGTGCCACCACGCCTGGCTAATTCTTGCATTTTTAGTAGAGACGGGGTTTCGCCATGCTGGCCCAGCTGGTCTCAAACTCCTGAATGCAGGTGATCCTCCTGCCTCGGCCTCCCACAATGTCGGGATTACTGGTGTGAGCCACCGCATTCAGCCTATTTGCTTAAATTTGAATACTCTAAAAGTGCCAACCTTGCACAAGCATAAGCAACCATCACCCCAGGGGCTAGACCACGAGGACTGCTCACTTTTGGACAGCTGAAATCAAGTGGTGGAACAGAACAACTAGACCGACTTCCAAATGTTTGGGACTTGTCCTTCTCACTCCCACACTTTTAGTCTGAAGCCTTTAGTTGGGGACATTGTCAGGACTTGTATGGACCTTGCAAATTTAGCAGAGTTGGGGTTGGGGTGGTGGAAGCAGAAATAAGTTTTGGGTCAATCAGCCAGTCTCTCAGTTGTCTCCTAAGTGTGTTCAGGGTGAGGATCCCACTCCCTGGCAATATTAATCTGTAAAAGAAGGCCAGCCAGTTAAGGAATAATTGCAAACTCTTACAATATTCCTTCTAGGACTGCAGACATAGGATGTTTCTGGAGACCAGAAACGCTGTTTACTTCTGTTATTTTAAGTACCACTCAGGCTGCAGTGAAAAGAAACTTCCGGTACCAAAGTTCATATCTTGGCATTTTCTGCCTTTCCTTGTCCCCTCTCTTTCTCTCTCACTCCCTCCCTCTCCCTTCCTTCCTTCCTCTCCCCTCCTCTTTACGCAGCCTGGCCCCTCCTCCTTCTCCTTCTTTTAACCACTTCCTGCCCTCCACTGCCCACTCACCCAAATGTATCTACTGTCCTGGATTTGGTAGAGATCACTCCTCTTCTTGGTTTTATATCTTGACTAATTAGTCAGAAACCCATTAACAGTATAATGGTATTTTTGCCTATTTTAATATTTTATATAAATGTGTCACATTACATGCATTCTTCTGCAATTTGCCTTCTATTTTGGTCAATGTTATGTTTGTGACATTTATGTGTCTTGACTGGAGTAGCTGGGGTATGGCATCTTATTGTTTGACTACAAGGCAATTTATCCACTTGTCCTGCTCAAAGGCCACCTCCCCAGAGCAGCCTTCCCTGACCTGACCATTCATCCAAAGTAGACCTTTTACTGTCCTTTTCCTCTTCTTCTTCCTTTTCCTATTCCTCTTCTTCCTTTTAATAGAAACACACACTGAGGGCTGAGTACCATTTCTCACACCTGTAATCCCAGCACTTGGGGAGCCCAAGGAGGGCTGATTGCTTTAGCCCAGGAGTTCGAGACCAGCCTGAGCAACATGGCAAAACCCCGTCTCTACAAAAAATACAAAAATTAGCCGGGTGTGATGGTGCATGCCTGTTGTTCCAGCTACTCAGGAGGCTGAGGTGGGAGGATCACCTGAGCCTGGGAGGTGGAGGTTGCAGTGAGCTGAGATTGTGCCACTGTACTCCAGCCTGGGTGACAGAGTGAGACCCTGTCTCAAAAAAAAAAAAAAAAGAAAGAAAGAAAGAAAGACAGACAGACAGACAGACACACTGAGGGAAAACACCAGCTTCCAGTAGCACATCTAGCCCCTACTAACTCTGGCCCTAGCCCTCTTTTATTGGACATGTGGCAGAGAAAAAGTGTGTGCCTTTAGGTGGGACAAGAAGCAGATGCCAAGATGGGCTTAGACAGGTAAGAGATACATTGGGGGAGAAAGCAGGAAAAGGTGAGGAGGGCCTTCACACCGAGATGCAGGTCTGACTCCTGTGGAAGGAGAGGAGAAGGAAGGAGGGGTGTATAGGAAGATTCAAAGCCTGCAATGTAGCTCCAAGAAAAGTGGCCAGGCTGATGGTGAGTCCTCAAGCCAAAGATGCACATCCTGCCCGAATGAGCCCACCTCAGGGCCCCCGTGATGCCCACTGCATGGTGGGGAGGAGCCACAGGAAGTGAGGCCTCTTTGCGAGTGCGGTGGTGGCAGAGCAAGGACAGCAGGGCATTCTCACAGCCAGCCCTGCCACTCTAGCCAGCAGCTTCCTTCCTGCTGTCTGGCCACAGGTGCTTAACGAGGTTGAGACCTGGCTGATGAATCCACCCTCAGAAGTCCTTCCACTTATCTAAACCAAAGGGCTTTGGGAAAGACGATGACTTCAAAGTGAGGAGAAGAGAACCCCCCACACACACACACCAATCCACCCGAAACAGACCCAGATCCAAACCCTGAACTCTGAACCCAAGTTTTGCAGAGGAGAGGCTGCCAAACCTCTTGGGCCCTGTGTTTTTGACAGAATGTTATTACCTTTTAGAAAAAGGAGAAGAGTGACAAGGTAATAAATGTTTTAACCTGTCTTTGTTTCACCCTTCTCTGAGGAAACAGTAATGAGAGGTATTGAAAAAAGTGTGAGATGGAAATTATGATTTTTTTTCCCTCAACATTATTTCGAAAAATCCCAAACCTATATAAAAGGTGAAAGAATGGCCGGTCGCAGTGGCTCAAGCCTGCAATCCCAGCACTTTGAGATGCTGAGGCGGGTGGATTGCTTGAACTCAGGAGTTTCAGACCAGCCCGGGCAACATGGTGAAACCCCATCTCTACTAAAAATACAAAAGTTAGCTGGGCATGGTAGCACGTGCCTGCAGTCCCAGCTACTTTGGAGGCTGAGGTGGGAGGATTGCTTGAGCCCAAGAGGTTGAGGCTGCAGTGAGCTGAGATCATGCCACTGCACTTCAGTCTGGGCAACACAGTGAGACTCAAAAAAAAACAGTGAAAGAACGATTTAATATACCCTTTACCTGGATTCCCCAATTATTAATATTTTTCTATGCTGTTATCTGTGTAATAATAAACATATTAATATTTTTCTGTGCTTTTCTTTTCTGAACCTTTTGGAAGTCAATGACAGACATCCTAATTCATCCTTGAACACCCTAGCATACATATCTCAAGAGTATGGACATTCTCCTACATGACCACAATGCCATTATCGTTCCTAAGAAAATGAACATTTATTCAATAATATCCTTTAATTTATATTCTTTATTTCAATTTCCCCATTGGCTCTATAGTGACAGAAACCACATCTGTGGTTGCTTGGGGTCAGGGAGGTGTTGAAAGTAAACGGCACAGGGGAACTTTCTGGGGTGACAAATGTTAGATGCTTGATTGGGAGTGGTAGTTACATGGATGTAAAATTGCCGAAACTCAGAACTGGGTGTCTTTGGTTTGATATAAATTATATCTTAATAAGATTGATTTTTACCAATTTTACCAGTAGTCCCTAAAGTGTCTGATAAGGAATTTTTACCCCGATCTAGGATTCTATCAAGGTTCATGCATTGCATTTGATCGTCTTGTTCTCCTCAATCTTCCCTAATCTAGAACATTCCCTCTTGCTTGTTTTCATGACATGGATTGAAAAAAAAAAAGGCGGAGGTGGGCGTATTGCTTGAGGTCAGGAGTTTGAGACCAGCCTGACCGACATGATGAAACCCCTTCTCTACTAAAAATACAAAAATTAGCCAGGTGTGCTTGCTTGAACCCAGGAGGCAGAGGTTGCAATGAGCCGAGATTGTGCCACTGCACTCCAGCCTGAGTAAGAGAGAGAGACTTTGTCTCGGGGAAAAAAAAAAAAAAAGCCAAGCCAGTTGTCTTGTCTTCCAGAATGTCTGTTTCCTCATTATTGGATTCAAGTTATTTTTTTTTTTTCTCTCTTTTTTTGAGACAGGGTCTCACTCTGTGGCCCAGGCTGGAGTGCAGTAATTTGATCATGGTTCACTGCAGCCTTGATCTCCTGGGCACAAAAGATCCTCCCAGCTCAGCCTCCCCAGTAGCTGATACTATGGGCATGTGTCACCATGCCCGGCTAATTTTTTCTATTTTTAGTAGAGATGAGATATCGCCATGTTGCCCAGACTGGCACATTTTTGATAAGAACACTGTAGAGGTAATGCTGGGTCCTTCTTATCAGTGCCATATGGAGCTAGTCTGTCACAGTACTGGCTAGGCTCACTCACCTTGTATGTTCTCTGCTATAGACTCTGGGTCAAGCTTTTCTGCAGGCAGCCCCTGGTTCTTGACAGCAGGAAATGGCATTTAGAAACCAAGAACTTAGTGCTAGATGTGCTCATTGCTACTAGGGTGTCAACGTTTGTTAGGCCCTTTTAGTAGACAGAGCTTGGGAATCCACATTGTATTTGCTGAACTCTTGAATTGGCAATTCGTAGCCAACATCACAAGCTTCTTTCTCCCTTCTCCACATTTCATGTTTGTATATCCCTTCTCACAGAGTGGTTCCCATTACCATATTTATCATCTCATCTATCTCACAATGCATGTAAAAGGCTTTCAGAATTACAATACAATTACTAATTACAATTACAAATACAATACAGAATTACTACAAGAGATCTGCTGAGTAAAGTTCCAAGATATCTTTGCAATTATTTTTGTCCTTGGAATATATTTCACTAAGGATGTTCAAAACTTACTTTGGCAAATTCTTTTTCTGTGTGGTAATGTTATCAACGCGATATGGTTTCATTTGTTCCTGTTTACACTCAACTTCAATATTTGCCTTTATTCATCTATTTTTATTGAATTTGGTTTCTTGAATATTTAAACATTTACATGGTTCAAATGAAAACAACTATATCAATAGGAACACACAGAGAATTCTTGTGCCGTCCCTGACCCATCTCGCCTTTGCCACTGAGGTTTCTCCCTCTTTCCAGTTTTCCTGGTGAACAAACAAGTCATCACTAGATGGTAGAGATGAGAAAGGATACACATCTAGTTTGGAGAAATATGCAAACTGTGTGCAAGCAGAGGCAAGCTCCTTTCAGAATCCACTCCCCCCTTTTTAAGTACAGACCTTTTTTAAAAGGAGAATCTAAATATTTATCTAGTGTTTACTACCTGTTGGGCATTGTGCCAGGTGCTCAACATATATGGTCTCATTTAATCCTCACAACCCTGAAAGATACGTATTGTTTTGGGTTGAATTTTTTTGAGACAGGGTCTCACTCTGTCACCCAGGCTGGAGTCTAGTGGTGCAATCATGGCTCACGGTAGCCTCAACCTTCGAGGCTTAAGTAATCCTCCTGCCTCAGCCTCCCAAGTAGCTAGGACTACAGGTGTGTGCCACCATGCCTGGATAACTTTTAAAAGTTTTTTGTTTTTTGTTTTGTTTTGTTTTGAGACACAGTTTCGCTCTTATCACCCAGGGTGGAGTGCAATGGCATGATCTCAGCTCACTGCAACCTTCGCCTCCTGGGTTCAAGTGATTCTCCCACCTCAGCCTCCTGAATAGCTGGGATTACAGGCACCCACCACCACGCCAGGCTAATTTTTGTATGTAGAGATGGGGTTTCACAATGTTGGGCAGGCTGGTCTCGAACTCCTGACCTCAAGTGATCCGCCAGCCACAGCCTCCCAAAGTGCTGGGATTACAGGCGTGAGCCACCCTGCCCGGCCAACCTTTAAAGTTTTTATAGAGATGGGGTCTCCCCAGGTTGCCCAGGCTGAGATGCTCTCTTTCAAAAAATAACTTATTGTAGAAAATTTCAAACACACACAAAAATAGAGAGAAGTGCACAATTCAGAGACCTCCATGTACCCATTTCCTGCTTCAAAAATTACCTACTGATGGCCCGGCCAGGTGCGGTGGCTCACGTCTGTAATCCCAGCACTTTGGGAGGCCAAGGCAGGCAGATCACAAGGTCAGGAGATCGGGACCATCCTGGCTAATGCGGTGAAACCCCACCTCTACTATAAATACAAAAAATTAGCCGAGTGTGGTGGCAGGCACCTGTAGTCCCAGCTACTTGGGAGGCTGAGGCAGGAGAATGGCGTGAACCCAGGAGGCGGAGCTTGCAGTGAGCCAAGATTGCGCCACTGCACTCCAGCCTGGGTGACAGAGAGACTCCGTCTCAAAAAAAAAAAAAATAAATAAAAATAATTACCTACTCATGGGGCTTGTTTCATCTACATCTCCATCTTCTCCTCCCACTGGGATGATTTTGAGGCAAATCCCAGATATCATATACATAAAGATTTCAGCACACATTGCCAAAAGATTTGGAATAAAAAAAAAAAAAGTTCTGGGCCAGGCTTAGTGGCTCACGTCTGTAATCCCAGGCCAAGGCGGGAGGATTGCTTGAGCCCAGGAGTTCAAGATGAGCCTGGCCAACACAAAGAGACCCTATCTCTACAAATAAAAAAAATTAGTTGGTTGTGGTGGTGCACGCCTGTGGTCCCAGCTACTTGGGAGGCTTAGGTGGGGGAATTGCTGGAAACCAGGCAGTAGAGGCTGCAGTGAGCTGTGATTGCACAACTGCACTCCAGTCTCCGTGACAGAGCAACACCACATTTTAAAATTATATATATAAATATATATATATATATGTATATATATATATATATATATATATGTATATATATATATATATATATATGTATATATATATATATATATGTTCAGCATTCCTATTTCCCTGGTTTTTACAAATTTTGCAATTTTTTTTTCTTTTTTATAGTTTGTTCAAATCAGACTCACAGATCCATGCTTTACATTTGCTGGTATTTCTCTTGTCTCTTTTAGTCTAGAGGTTTCCTCCTCTGTTTTTTTTCCCCTTGCAAGTTATTTGTTAAATAAACTGAGCCATGTGTCTTTTTTTTTTTGAGATGGGTTTTTGCTCTTGTTGCCCAGGCTGGAGTACAGTGGTGTGATCTCGGCTCACTGCAACCTCCACTTCCCTGGTTCAAGCAATTCTCCTGCCTCAGCCTCCCGAGTAGCTGAGATTACAGGCGCCCGCCACCATGCCTGGCTAATTTTATTTTTATTTTTTTGTATTTTTAATAGAGACGGGGTTTCACCATGTTGATCAGGCTGGTCTTGAACTCCTGACCTCAGGTGATCCACCCACCTCAGCCTCCCAAAGTGCTGGGATTACAGGCCTGAGCCACCGTGCCCAGCCCCATGTGTCTTATAGAGTCTCACAGTTTGGCTTTTGCTGAATGCATACCCATAGTGTCCTAACGTGTTTCTCTGCCCCTTGTATTTCTTGTAAACTGGTAAGTAGACTTAGACCTACATTGTCCAGTGTGGTAGCCAGTAGCCACATGTGGCTACTGAGCACTTGGCAATGTGGCCAGTTCAAGCTGAAAAGTGCTGCAAATGTAAAATACACATTGGAGTTTCTAAAGTCTTGGTATAAAAAACAAAAGTGTCTCGTTAATGATTTCTGTATTGATTGCATGTCAAAATGGTAATACTTCG
Source organism: Homo sapiens (assembly GCF_000001405.40). Taxonomy (NCBI): domain Eukaryota; kingdom Metazoa; phylum Chordata; class Mammalia; order Primates; family Hominidae; genus Homo; species Homo sapiens. Next base: position 40,047,424 of record NC_000023.11, read on the forward strand.
GATATACGGAGTTAAACAACATATGTTATAAAACTTACTTTTGGCCGGGCACTGTGGCTCATGGCCTATAATCCCAGCACTTTGGAAGGCTTAATTTTTTTGACACAACCCCACTGGCTTCTTGTATATATCTATACTCCCTTCCAATTCTTCCCTGCCCCAAACTGGAATCAACCATTTCTCAAATAAAGCTCAGTTGTTTTTAATGAGGAAAGGTATTTAGAAACCATAGGCTGGGAGCTATGGTGCTCATTTCTATCAGTCATTGTTTCCAGGCTTTTTGAGAGGACAGAGCTAGGAAACAAACTTTCCTAAGATAAAATATTAATACATCATGAGTTCATAGTGATACTTACAATTCATGTTCAGGGCTGGATAATTTATCTAACCTTGCCAATTCTATATTTTCATCTCCTTTCTCTCATGTTGAAGTCCCAGTTCTCAATACCAACATTTCCTTTTGTTTTATCTCACGACACAAACAGGACAGACTCAGAATAACAATACTGACACTACCAAAGATAAGATTACTGAAAACAACTATAAAAATGTTTTCAGGCCAGGTGTGGTGGCTCACTCCTGTAATCCCAGCACTTTGGGAGGCCAAGGTGGGTGGATCGCTTCAGCTCAGGAGAACAGCCTGGCCAACACAGCAAGTCTCCCATCTCTCCAAAAAAACAAAATAATTACCCCAGAATGGTGGTGCTTGTCTGTAGTCCCAGCTATTCAGGAGGGTGAGGCAGGAGGATTGCTTGAGCCTGGGGAGTTGAGGCGGTGGTGAGCCATGATTGTACCACTGCACTCCAGCTTGGGCAAGAGCGAGACGAGACCCTGTCTCAAAAAAATAAATAGGCCAGGCATGGTAGCTCACGCCTGTAATCCTGGCACTTTGGGAGGCTGAGGCTGGGTGGATCACCTGAGACCAGGAGTTCAGGACTAGCCTGGCCAACATGGTAAAACCCTGTCTCTACTAAAAACATAAAAATTAGCTGGGCATGGTGGCGGGTGCCTATAATTCCAGCTACTTGGGAGGCTGAGGCAGGAGAATTGCCTGAACCCAGGAGGCAGAGGTTGCAGTGGGCAGAGGTTGCAGTGAGCAGAGGTTGTACCACTGCACTCCAAGTCTGGGCAACAGAGCAAGACTGTCTCAAAAAATAATAATAATAAATAATAAAATAAAATAATAATAATTGGAAGACCACTCTAAAGCAAGTTAGGGAACTATTCCTCAATTCTTTTTCCAGTTGCATAGTATTCCACTGTGTGGGTGTACCATTGTTAACTCGACCAGTGCCCAACTGATGGAGATTTGGGTGTTTTGCTATTACATCAATTAACGTAAATGGCAGGTAGGGTAGGGCTGGTATGGTGGCTTGGTTCCAGGAGATTCTCAAAGACCCATGCTCCTTCAAACTTGTCCAGCAGTGCTCGACTTCGATACTTCATGGTCCAAGGTGGTTGTGACAGCTATAGCTAGAGCAGCCACATTCTAGCCAGGAAGAGGGAGGACAGGGCAAAGGAAAGCATGTCCTGATCCTAAGGGACACCTTCAGAATTGGAATGAACCACTTCTGCTGTCTACCCGTGGTGAGCTCCACTGCACTCATGTTGACCTTCATGGAAACTCTTCTATGTTGCTGGTGGGTTCCTGGACACCCAAATGAGGGCCTATAAAGGTCTGCTCTGTACCTCTGGTGAGCTCTTCTAAACCCATGGTGTTTCTATACGGCCAATACGATCTCATCTATGCCTGTGGTGTCTTCTACACCCACTCCCTTCCCCCCAGGAGGAGTTCTACTGGAATGGGCACTCTACCTGCAGTGGGATCTCACTTACACCTGTGTTAACATCTTTGCCTGTGGAGAGCTCTTCAACGCCCGAGGTGACCTTAGATCATGATTGCTCCAAACCTGTGGTGAGCACTTGAACACCCATGCTGAGTTCCTCTCAACACACAATAAGCTCCCCTACCTTCTGGTGACGCGTCCCTCTCCCTGTGGAGTGTGATCTGGCCCATACCTGTGGCCCACTCTATGTTCATGGTGAGCTCTATTACCCATGGGGAGTTCCTGAGCAGGGGTGGGGCATTGCTCTACATCCAAACCTTTCTCAGCCATGGGGATCTCATCTATACCCCCAGTCAGTTCTACGTCCATGTTTCCAACCACCCTGACAGTTCTTGCACTAACTGTTCTGACTACTAGCTCCTCCAACTGCATGAACCACAGCCTTAAATGTCTCCTGCACCAAGCTGCTTCTTCTGCACACCCTAACCTTGTGGCTCTCACCTGTTTTCCTAGCTTAATTAACAGAATGACCTTCATCCAAGATAAAAATCTCAGTTGGCCTTGGGCTCCCCCTTTGCCTCCAACCCCAATACAAAGAGCCGGATGCCCTTAAGTTTTTATTATTTTTTAAATCTGGGTGTGTAGGATCTCTCGTAGCTTTGATGGTAGTTCAGCTTCACCAGTCCTCTTCTGCTTAAATCATTTCTACAGGTCTGTTTTACTGGTCTTGTCGTCTGTTTTTTTCCCTTCAACACTCCCCCTAGCTATTTGAGGGGACTTCCTGTAAAACAAAAACTAAGTAAACTGTTAATAGTGGTTAACATGGGTGGGGGAGGGGAGGGGATAATAGGAAACGTGTCTATTTCTGACATGATTGGGTTTTTTAAATAAGGTATACATTTTCTAATATCAGAAAAATTAGTAAATAAGATGGTAGGCTGCCTTTTGTCTTCAAGATACACTCCAAACTTCATTCGTAGCCAACCTTCCCCCAAAAAGGGCTCTTGCATTCCTCACATGGAATTTCTTCATTCCCAACAATGCCTCACTTTTCCTTTTTTTTCTTCCACAGTGTTTGCTGGCCTGACAAATACAGTGTCCCCACAGCCTCTTTCCTCTGCTTTCGCAGTCCTAGTGTTCCATGCAGGATCAGAAAGCACTGAGGGCATTCGGTGCACAAATGGATTTGACACAAGGACCCAGATGAATAAGGTCTTTGGAAGGGCTGGGGGAACAGGAGTCAGGGACAACTCTGGATCCACAGGGTTCACGAACAATCTGCTGAGGCTGTCATCCAAGAATTAGAAAGCTGCCACTGCCACAACCACTACTGTATCTCATCACCCACCAAGCTGAAAACCAGACACTGGAATGCTGGTCAGTCATTCCAACTGGCTGGCATTCTCTTCAAATTTTCCTATCCGCAGCCACTATAGTAGGAAGGTGCCCCTACCTCATGCTGCCCTCCAAACAGAATATGCACTCAGAAAGCTAGCTGCAAGGGAGTCAAGTAGTTTTCAGCTTTCTAGCCTCTATAGTGAAGGACAGGCACAAAAGCAAGTGAGATGGAAATCAAGGGCCAACTGATAGTGCCCAGTGCAGATACTGCTGGGAAAAGTCAAGAACAGAGGAAAGGCTGGCTCTACAGGCCTTGACTCTCAGGCCATGCAACAGAAGGGCTGCAGAAGTGACATAACAAATGCCTAGCTTCAGAAAAAACACTCCTAGAGAGTTGGCCATGACGTGGGACTGAAATAGGTCAAGGCCAAAGGCAGTGCAAAAGCCTCCATAAGCATCAAAGGAGACAGGAAAGAGAAGGTTCTAAGAGACAGGAAATATGTCCAAGAATTGGGCTTTCAGAATAGGACTCCAAATTATATTCTGAGTATAACTCCTCCAAAATCCTCCAGTCTGCTTTGGTTTCCAGAGACTATAAATTGCTCTAAAGTTATCTATAGGGAATACATCACCAGCACCATTTAAGAAGAATCAGGGACAACAATAATGCTTTAGGAATACATGGGACACAAGGTACTTCAATTTTCTCCTTTCCTCAACAGTTTTATTGCCTTTTAAGAAAATTTTTGTAAAATATAAATACAAAGGCAGAGAATTTACTTACAAAGTTAAAACACAGATTTCAAACATAAACACACGATTCAGAAAATTTTAGTTTTATGTACATTTCCAAGCAACCTCAACATATTATGTTAGTTTTCAATATTTTACAGGGTACAGAAAAAAATAGCTCAAAGTCTTCTTTAAATAAGAGCATAAAATGTTTAAACATATAAACAATCCGGTTTGATGCGTGAAAACTAATTTCACAGCTTTTAAATTAGGATATAAAAGTTTCATACAATTAGTTGTTGTGTGTGGATATGGTTTGAATTTATATTACACACTACTGGATTACATCCAATAGCATTTACCTGGCCCGAGCAGGTACTCTGTAAACAAAACAAAGTTATATCACCAAGTGCCTTCCCCGAATTCGCTCCCTCAAACCAACCACACAGTTCTGACCACTCTACAGTCATGGCCTGTCATCAGAGCTTTGTATGAAATTAAGTCAAAGTGTGGAGCTCCTTTTACTCATTTTTTTTTCTCCTTAAAAAAGAAAAGAAACAAATGTTCCAAGTAAAAACAAACGTATCCCAAAGCATGTGTGCATTGAAAAGTAAAGAAACATTATAACAACTTCATAAAAACTGACTTAAAAGTTTAAAAGGAAAAAAACATGTTTCTAAGTCCTTCTGACTGGAGTAATTTCTCTTATATAAAGAAGAGATATTTTCATATGTAATAGTGTCCTTTCTTTACAGAAATAGTTGTATTATGACACATATGCACAAGGATTAACACTATAACACACTGTACATGGTGGGTCCAGCTTGCTCACCAGTAGTTGTCTGAGGCCAGATCACTGGGGTGGAGCCACTCTACAGAGGAGCCCAGCAGAGTCTGAATTTCGTTCGTGAATTCCACCAGATCTAACAGCTCCTTACTTTCAGGGTTGAAGGCTTCCAGGTCTTTGGAGCAAGAGAACAAGAGACTTGCAGAAACCTGCCGATAAAATTCTGCCTCTGCAATGGTGACAATTTCCACGTTTGGAAAATTGCAGCGAAATATGCGGGAGGACATTTTCAATTTCTTAAGGACATCCGAAAGCAGTAGCCAGTTTCGTGGCCTACAAAACAGAAAGGAAAATGCTTTGAGTTTCCAGTAAAATGAAAAGTGCGCCCAACTATTAATATTAACTACCAACCCAAGTGGACCAGCCTCTATGTCCTTTCATTCTGCTCCCACCCCTCATTTCTCACCATACCTACTCTCTGATCACCATTTTTTTTTTTTTTTTTTTTTTTTTTGGAGACGGAATCTCGCTCTGTCGCCCAGGCTGGAGTGCAGTGGCGCGATCTCAGCTCACTGCAAGTTCCACCTCCCAGGTTCACGCCATTCTCCCGCCTCAGCCTCCCGAGTAGCTGGGACTACAGGGGCCCGCCACCATGCCCGGCTACTTTTTAGTATTTTTAGTAGAGATGGGGTTTCACCATGTTAACCAGGATGGTCTCAATCTCCTGACCTCGTGATCCGCCCGCCTTGGCCTCCCAAAGTGCTGGGATTACGGATGTGAGCCACCGTGCCCGGCCATCGCCATTCCTTTCTAAGGTGAGGCAGAGTAACTACTTCTAGCAGTAGGAACTCTGGACTCATCTGTCCATCTAGGGAGGACCATCTGAATAAGCCCCATTTCTCCCCTTTCTGGGGGTAAAGTCCTGCTCATTCAGCTGTGACCACAACTAGGGTCAAGCCTATCCAAGTGCCCTGCTATCAACAGTCACTGGGAGAGTAAGTCTGTATCCCCATTTCTTTGATCTCTTCTCTCCTCAGACCCTCACTAACAGCATTATAAACACACAAGGCTGTCTCTCCATTCAGGCATGTCCACTCCCATCCTTCCATTCTTTTGGGAGTGACACTTTTGAGAAGGAAGGTGTTACATTCCTTGCATACAACCTACCATACTTTATGATTTCCATCACTGTTTGTAATGGCATATATGTTTATAGCTTCAGGGCTGAGGAGGATGTTACTCATCAAGCAGCTCTGTCAACACACAGCAGAGCAGTCTCTTGACAAGTACACCCAAGATGATTGGTCACTGGCGAATAGGGGCTCAACCATAGGGGGCAGAGGGGATTAACTAAATCTGATGACACACCAATATCCTAAGTGTCATGTACAATGATTGTCCTAACCTTACACAAGGTGGTTTATCAGTGTAGTCCGTACATCTCAAAACATCCTACAGTGGTCTGTTGCAGGCAGTCCTAGGGAGGACACCTTCTCAAAGTGTTTAAGGATTTAAGTATCCAAGGTGCTGACCCTTCCATAAAGTTCCAGTCACCCACTTCTCTGGGGAGTGACTTAAGCCTTGGTGTTAGTGATGAGGGCAGGTTTATACCATGCTGTGCCCCACCCCCCACCACACTGGGTGTAAGGAAGCTGATGTGTACCCTTTCTGGAAAATATCTACTGCATTGTGTGAGGTTCGTGGACAGTTAAGGAGGTCACTCACCCACCCACCCTCATCTGCTCAAAGCGCATTTCTAACTCCTGTCACCTCAAGAGCAGCTCAGCTAGTTTTCAATCACATGACAGCCATGCTCACCCCTGAGCCACAGATACTTGGATGTTATAACACGGTAAGAGGGGGGTCTCTGAAAATTCAAATTCAAACACATCGCTATAGGCATCGTCATCATCATCCTGGTCTTCTGGTCCTGGGGGGTTGGCTAAAACATCATAGCCACTTTCATCATCTGGTTCTAATGGAGGGCAAATAAGAGAGGAAGGAATCAGTAAACTACAGCAAGATGTCCACAGTTGTCAACAACAACAAGGAGTTTAAATAACAAGATTCTTTCCCAAGTGAGTCCTGCTTCCAGTGCCCACCATCCACTTTCCCTCACCCATACCAGACAGAAATGGACTTGAACTTGTTCACCTCCTACGGAACTAGAGCAAACAATGCAGCTTACCACAAACAGAGCTGCCATAGAAGTCCCAAGTGCCACTGGCGTCATCATCATTGCGACCCTGGAGGTCATTTAAATAATCTGGAGGGAGAGAAAAATAAAAAAACAAGATAAAATCTACTGCTGAGAACAAAATGATGGCAGAGCCACGTGGCATTTTTTCCTATACATTCATGACAGGCTGGAAGGTCATTTCCTGTCTTCCTCTTTCTCAGCAAAATAAAGTAGCATTACACTTATGTATCTCTTTTTTTTTTTTTTTTTTGACAGAGTCTTGCTCTGTTGCCCAGGCTGGAGTGCAGTGGCACAATCTCGGCTCACTGCAGCCTCCACCCCTCCACCTCCCGGGTTCAAGGGATTCTCCTGCCTCAGCCTCCCAAGCTGGGACTAGAGGCGCCCACCACCATGCCCAGCTAATTTTTGTATTTTTAGTAGACACAGGGTTTTACCATGTTGGCCAGGTTGGTCTTGAACTCCTGACCTTTGGTGATCCACCTGCCTCGGCCTCCCAAAGTGCTGGGATTACAGGCGTGAGCCAACTGTGTCCGGCCTACTTATGTATCTCTTCTTTGATAGCCTAACTAAGCTGCTTCTTCCAACAAGTGAGTGTAATTTAAGGTAAACAAGGGCAGGTCACCAGTGAGTTAGTGGCATTCTTTGGCAGGAAGTGCCTGATAAGGACTTTAACTGCAGGTGCCTGACACTCATGAAAACCTTGTGCTTCTGCTTTAGGCACTTTGTAATGCCCAGGGCTTAAGTAATGGGTTATCTGATGACCTAACACCATAAACCTGTCCAAATAATTTCATGTATGGAAGGTTTGAGTCATTTTTCCCAGACTCAAGATGTAAACCTATGAGCCATACCTAAGTTAAGAATGCATGTGTGGAAAATGGGAATAACTTTAGGAAATCTTTTAAAACATTAGGGTGAATAGATGACTTAGCTTCACTAGAACAAAGTCAAACCACACAAAAGTTCAAACACTCGGCTGCTCTCCTAAAAGCTTTACAGTTTCAGCCTTTGTGATTTCTGCCTAGTCAAATTCCAATCATCTATTGTATCGAGTTATCATCTAATTTTTGAATAAGACCATTTCTTGAACTTTGTCATACCTGTTAAGAACTTTTCCATAAGTTCACTGTGGGTCATTTTCATGATGGTTCTACCTGAGTACGTAGCCAAGGTGGGGTCAGCACCATAAGAGAGAAGTAGTCGGACAATTTCCAAGTGATCGTTCTCAACAGCATCGTGCAGAGGCCTAGGAAGAGAGGCGCAATAGAATTATGCTCATGCAAGCCACACTTGCTTATAAAGCAGTTGTCTCCTTTAAAAGCAACAGGCAAAGCTGGGCACATGTGCACCTTGGGTACTGAGCCTCCTAAGCACAGTATTTCATCCAGGAGGTGTGCACAGTCACCGCCACTGCACAGATAGGGAAACTGAGCTACAGTGAGTGGCTCAACGTCAAGCAATGAATCACTGTTATTTTGATGACTAACCCTTTACAGGGCAGATGAAGAGACTATTTCAGGCCTAAATCTCAAACCCAAATCTATCCTTTTTTTGCGGGGGTGGGGGTGGGGGTGGACAGGGTCTCACTCCACTGTCCAGGCTGGAGTGCAGTGGGGCGGATCATGGCTCACTGCAGCCTCGATCTCCTGGGCTCAAGTGATCCTTCTGCCTCAGCCTCCTCATAGCTGGGACTATAGGCGCATGCCACCACACCTGGCTAATTTTTTCTTTTTGTAGGGACGGGGTCTTACTATGTTTTCCAGGCTGATCTTGAACTCCTAGGCTCAAGTGATCCTCCTGCCTCGGCCTCCAAAAGTGCTGGGATTACAGGCAAGAGAGCCACTGCCCAGCTGCAAACCCTATCTTAATCCAAGGCCTAAGAAGGAAGTCAAGCCCAAAATGAAAACATTTTCAACAAATTTAAGTAGTCATGGACCATATGAAGGTAACTTACAGGGGATAAAAGAGGTCCCATCATCATGGAAGCCAATACAACAAGCAACTGTCACACATTAAAAAAAAAAAAAAAAAAAAGCCACCTCTGTTTTTAAAAGAAACTAGATGCAAAGAGATTAGCAGAGACTCTCCTGAAAGCCTGATCCCAGGACCTCACACAGATCAGTGATTAACCTCTGGCCCAGAAGCCAAGGGAACGGTGGGGAGAAGAAACAGGCCTGGTGGGGTGTGTTCTCAGCAGGATACAGAGGCCTCCTACCTGTGTCCATGGAGCTGGGGGTTGGGGTTGGCAGGGAGAAGATGGGTCTCTGCCCAATCTGAGGGAATGCTATTTGCAAAGTGTGAAACACCAAATACATTTCCGTTTGGCTATTTCTGTCACTGTCAGGAAACCCCCAGTGCCCAGCCTCATGGCAGCATCCCACTCACACAACCAGGAAGATGTTCAGGCTGACTCAGACCTGGGTCTCTGACCAATAAACCAGGGTCAAGGACAGGGTGAGGGCCACGGCTGGGGATGTGGGTGGCAATGGCAGGTCCTGCTGAACCAGCGGAGGGGCAGCTGGCACTCTGTGTGTACTCCTGGGACTTTCAGCTCAAATATATTTTAAATACAGTGACTTCATAGATGGTGATGAAGAGTCCAGGGTCTTAAAAGGCAACACCCCCAATTATTCATGCAGGCCTCAACATTTTCAGAAGCTTTGGTTCACAGGAACATTATAGGACTGATCAAAATTGGGAGCTTTACATCTACATTTGCCAGAAAGGTCTGCTGGATTCAATTCCAGAGAACCCAGTGGTCAGTGTGCTTACAGTCACCCTCTGTCTTTCCTCCTGGAATTTCCCGTATACACTGAGAACCACCACCGCACAGATAGGGAAGCTTGGTCTCAGCAGAGCCAGGCTGAGAACAAGACACATCACTGACCTGGTTCCATCCTGGGCACTACAGTTGACATCAGCGCCATATTCAAGGAGGTGTCGCACAATGTTGAGCCAGCCCCTAGCACAAGCTTCATGCAGGGCGCAGTAACCTGCGTTGTCCCGATGATTTACATCACAAATCTTGTTCTCTAAGCAGTACAGGACCACTTCCTGTGGGGAGGGGAGGGAAGAATGCCATCAGATCACTGCACAATGACCTTGTAAGGTGGACCTCTCTGTAGCTTTCAAAGACATACACCCTCAGGCCTGAGAACCTGAGAACCTCTCGGGCGGGCTGTGGATGTCTTGGTGAGGGGGAAACACATGTGCGAAGCGCCTGATGACAGGGACAGCATCATTTAGGGGTCTGCTGCCCAGCTGCCTGGCCCTGGGCGAGTTATGCTCCTAATTCTCCAAAGCTTCCTTTCCTACCTCTGGAGGAGAGTAACAGCGCCTACCAGAGGCTGCTAAGAAACTGTAATTAGAGACCCACACAAGCCCTTAGCTCAGTGCCTGGCACAGTGAGTACAGAGGGATTTGGTTGCTAATGTTTCAAACAACGCATGAATAAGTACAAGGACATCCTCCTCACTCAATCGATTCATCCAATAGGTAGTAGTGGATGACGACACAAGTTTAGATAAAAGCAAGGCCAATCAAGGCATAATGAACAATTAAATGAGCTGGAGAACGTTTCTCAACTTCACAGAGAGGAGGATGCCCAGGAGTTTAGGCTGGTCCTCACGCCCCTTGGAAAGACCCGGAGTTGGAGCCTGGGCGGCAGTGCCTCTGTTGGTATCATACTCATCAACAAATGACATCAACGCTTCCAATAACCCTACCTTCTTTTTGCTTCACTCTCCGCCCCACTTGGGGCTGAATCAATATATTTTCATATTTACTTAAGTTAATGACAGGAATCTAATACACCACATACCACAACCTACGCATTTCAAGAACTAAGTAAGACAATCCTTCCCTTCCCCCTTTGCAGAATGTGTTCCGCATCAACAGTTTGCATGAGAATCACTGTTATTAATCTCACTTCTTTGGCGTGTTAAAACATTAAAATGAACCGCTCCCAGTAAGCAGAGCAGTAATTTAGTCCATGTTTTATTACCTTGATTAAGAAAGTTTTCAAACACATGGAACAGTATCTGCCACCAGACAACAGGTTACACTGTTTTCCTAGCAGTCATGGCCAGCAGAGAGCTGTCAGGTTCTGAAGACTGGGGGGAAAGCCAGAACATGTGGGGTAGCCCAACACATGTTCCACTTGGCAAGGGGGGAGCTTGATGGGTCACAGCAGGCTCTCCTTTGTGACAACTCTTAAATAACTCATCTATAACCTAAAATAGGCAGCATTTGAGCCACCCATAAACGTGAGGTGAGTTCTGAAAATTCTTTTATGCCCTTTCTAAGACACATCAGTCAAAGGTGATCACTCACTTGAACACTAACTAGAATGTTCTAGATGCTCCCCCTGTGAACCTAAGGCTGCACGCTGGTAACCCTGGCCGGTAACCCTGTTGCTTCAGGACACTGCGGCAGCTCCCTTCCAAATCAAGGGGAGGAAGAGAGAAGGCATGCCCACAGATGCGTCTCTTCCTTCAGGCCCTCACCTGCCAGAAAGCCCACAATCCTCTGAGCTCCCAGGCCACCTGCCCCGAGCACTGGTATCCAGGATACCGCATGAAGCTGCTGCTCTTTTAGCAGGCCCTCACTAGCCAGACTCGAGTGGACGGCTGCAAGCTAATGAGCTGTGTACCCAGCCAGGGAGAGGCCCTGTCACGTGACTCAGGGATCAGCTCTAAGCGCCACCGACTGCTGTGCACAGATCAATCTACCCGGATCCCGGCAGCCGGCCTGGTGTCCTATCAACCCAGGGTTTATTTGCTCTGACAATTATGGCCTTCACCTGGAAACCTTCATCACTACTAGGGCTGATCTGAGGGAACATAGAAATGAAAGATGTCGAGGCTGAAGGGTAAGTCAACTCTGTTATCCTGGAGGATGGCAGGCAAGACAACAGTAACCCAACAACCAGGTCAGACGTTTTGCCATTGGCCACCGTAACACTTCTGATGTTCCCAAATGTGTATGTCATATCCCACAGTGACCTGTGAGATCTCAGGAAGGAAAAGTGGTATGAGTCTCATTCAACACTCAAGGAAGTTGAGGCCCAGAGAGGTTAAGCCCCATATTCAATTAACACAAAGTATCAGACCCATAACTCAGGTCTTTTGGCAACGGGTCTGCTGGGAAGTTTCCAAAGGCCCAATCAAGGGCCCTGGCTAGAGGGCTGCAATCCAGCCATGACCGGCATCCCTTGCACCTTTTCTGTTGGGGTCAAGCAGGCTAATGACACTCTCCTAGATGGGAGGGTGATGGGATCTTAAATGGGTGGCAACCGCTGTCACCAACAGAGAGAATGAAGAAGCCAGACAAGTCTGTCTACCCATTACATTACTTGGTTTATTCTCCACGCTGGAAATGGGAGTGTTTGAAGGGCAGCCCGCCCATTCCCAAACAAAATCAAACTGTTTTTGTTGGACAATTCTCTGTTAAGCAGCTATAAGCTGAATGACATTAACCGCAAAATGTAACCATAAAGGCCATAAACCCGACATTGTTAATTAATTAAATGCCTCATTAACTTTTTTAAAAACATGATTTATTCGATTCATAGAAAACTTAACCATCACTACTAAATGCACACACATGCGGTTCCACATTGGCATCTTAGCCTAAGAACAGACAGGTTCAACTGTAACTGGCCTTTCAGGTGGTCTATTACAGATCTGAAGACAGAGGGTGTTTCTAAACCTCAAGAACCAGATTAACAGAAAACAAAGCTTGAGCAGCCTTTTTATTGCATGTGGTATCTTTTTAGCTAAGCAGAAGACAATGATAAAGAGGGGTTTTGGGAAACCTCTCCCAAAGCTGTGCATTCATACCGTACCTTATCCTGTTAAGCAAACTGTTCTTTTATTTTAAAGGGTTTACACTGCCACATCTGAATGGACTATCATCCTAACATTTTAATTTCTGACTAAAGAAATCCCAGAAAGTTGGATTCAAAGTTGAAAGCTTTCATCTAGTAATTAAAACATTCAGCATCAAAACTGATGACCTGGGAAAGTTCTATAATGACATTTACATTTGAAGGGGAAAAGTTGTCCTTCCATAAACATTCTCAAGGCTTCTTGCACCAAAGGCCTGGTAGCCTAAGAAAGCATGGATCAGTGTTCCTTAGTCCAGGCCTGCTATAGGAAAACCACCAGAATGGAAACTGTTCCTTAGAGCACCCACAAGGGTCTCTTGAAGCTCTGGGCTCAGAAAGGTGAGACTGGCAGAAATGAAGCCAGGATCAAAGACCAGGCCAGGAGCCCTACCCCGCTATGGCCGGCAAGTTTGCTGCCCTGGAGCCCTCCCTTACCTCTGGTGTTTGCTGGAAGCACAAGTCCATTTTCCCAATCATGCGTAGGAATGAGTGGCCCTGCCTGGCACGCTGCATCTACCCTGTCCTCATAGGCGCCGCTGCTCTCAGCTTATGGGAAACCAACTGGCTGCCACTTGGGTTTAATCTGCAAGTAACTGAGCTAATTTTCAAATCCTTCTAGAGAGTTCCCTCAAAGATAATCCAGAGATATCGATAAGAAACAAGCTGGTATGAATAGACAAAGTCACATACAACCAAAAATACCTAGCTAGTGCTTCAAAGGACCATCCCACAGGTGTGAGCCAGCATCCCAGTTCCCACCCACACAATCATGCCCCAGGGTGGGCTCTGGGTCAAAGGGAGACTGGCAGCTGGGTCACCCCATCAGGAAAGGCTCAAGGCACAGCAGACTGCTGACTGCAGCATGGTTAAGGTGCATGAGCCTGGGCTCTGGCTGAATTCCGGGAGCCCACAGCTGAGCATGGCCTGGCATGGATCCTGTCGCCCGGGTGCTTCTCCACACTTCACACTCAGCCTGCTGAACCGCATTTTATTTTCACCACGACTCCTAGAGAGCTGATGCCAGCATAAAAAAAAATGTCTTTGCACTGTGGGCTATTACATCACTATCTCAACTGACAAGTGTGTGGTGGGGAGACGCACAGGGGCAGACGTAGGTTTTGAACTGTGAAAAGCGTGATTCCAATGGGAGCCAGTCCTGGAGAGGAGCCGAGTTTGGGGGGATGGGGGGAGACTGGGCTTTGGAGCCAGGCTGCTGGATTATTATCTGTTCAAATCATGTAACGCCTCTGGGACTCAGTTTCCTCATCTGAAAGCGGGAATAATATTAGTTACTACTGCACAAAGATGATGAAAGGGTGAAATGAGTTACTTTGGATCTTAGGGGCTCCGTCAACGTAAGCTATCATTGTCATGGCCCATGCTAGGAGGAGGATGAGCAGGGGGGCTGGGGAGAAGCAGTGAGTTGAGGGAAAAGTCTCAGTCCCTCCCTCCAGAGCCCTCAGCCCTAAGGCTACTGTACCCCCCCACTCAGAAAGAGACCTTAGGTCTGCCCCACCCCCCTCCCTCTGTGACCTACACAGCTACTTCCTGCCTACTCCCCCTACACGGCCACCCTTCCACCCGAAACAGTACAAGCAGCCCCAGATAGAGCTAATAACTTCTCTCCCCCTTGCTAATCAGAATCCAAAAGGGCTCATTAAAATTCCCCTAGTCGCCAAGCCCTGGGTTGTGTCAGATTTTATATCAGAGATAAGTTAGCGAGACTGGAGGATGCCGTAGCAGCCTACCTGCCTGAACACGAACTGAACATCAGAGAGGCCTTTCTTTCCACACCGCGATTGAACAAGCCACCAAAGAGACAGCAGTGAGAGTGGGGCTAACACAAACATCCTGTTGGAGCACCGGCCCAGCCCCGATGTGGAGGGGGCTGAGCTCTGCTCTCCATGTCCCTCCCCTCGCCCACCACAGTCCGCAGGCCCCGCCCCCCAGCCTGCAGCCCCAGGGAGCGCCCACAGGGACACACCTCATAGCCAAGCCTGGCTGCCCGCTGCAGAAGGGTCTCGCCAGCGTTCTTATTGACAATAAGTCTCCGTGCTTCCGGCGGCATAGGGCGAGACTGGGTGGTCTCCTGAGGGGAACTTGAGCATGGCAGCTGTGTGGACTGGGAGGCTGGTAGCAGTTGCTGCAAGCGGTCGAAGGGCTTTGGCTCCTGCTTGGCTGGTGACAGATCATAGTCCGAACTGGGCTCCGGCCGCTTTCTGAATCTCCGGACAGTCACCTATCATAAAACCAAGCAGCGCACACGGTTAAGCCCGTGTCCTTCTAACAGCCGCTGCTTCCCCTCCTCCTCCCCACGTGACAAACCTGCGTGGAGAGAGGCACTTTATTCCTTATCTTTTTTTGGGGGTGGGGGGTGCCTGTCAAAGGAGGGTTTGGGGGAAGGGATTTCATTCTTACTAGTTTGAAACTTCGCTGCCACCCAGAAGACATGCTCCTCTAGGACAGGGGAGTGACGTGTGGTGTGGGGGAGGAGTCCAGGAAAAGGAAAGCTTTGTCCCCTCAAGCTGGGAAGCAGGCAGGCGGGGATGTGTTCGCACAGGCCCCAGAGGGAAGCCGGGGTCAAGAGGTACCTTGCCATCGGCATTCTCCACGTAGTATTCCCCTGTCAGTGGCAATCCCCGCCTGGACTCCTGAGGGATCAAGTGTTTGGTTTTGCACAGTCTCTTCCCGGATGGCTTCTCGCTGTTGTCGGTGTATTTCTGCAGCAGGGAGGCAGCCTGGCAATCCTCTTCTTCGTCTGCACACAGCACATCTGTCTTCTGGTTTTCTTTAATTTTCTGCTGTTTGGCAGGCGGCCTGGAGGCTGGTGCGCAGCTTGGCTGAGCCTGCTTTTTGCCGCCTGCACTGGTGGATGAAAGACTCTTCATGGGCGGAGAGCCGGAGAACACAGGCAAGCCTAAATACGGAGGGGGTGACGGGGTGGCGGGCGGATGGGAGACGGGAGAAGAAGCGGGCGTTACACAGTTGTAGCCAGTGCAGGAAGAAAAGCCCATTGTTAACACTGATCACTGGAGCGGCTTCAGTTTTTAAAGATACACCAATTATGTTTTCAAAGCATTAATATTTTAATTATACCACATTCAAACGGCACCTAAGTTAACCCACAAAACGCCAAGTGGCAAGTTGCTTCAAAGGGCCCGGAAGAGAGGACAGAAGCTGGCTCTTCCTGCTTTCCTGCCCCCTACCCACTGGGTCTGGGTTGCTCAGGACCCAGAGACTGGAGACAGCCTGAGGCTGGAATGAAGGTGTTCAGACTTCCTTCCTGTGCAACCACGGGCAAGGACATCAAGAGAGAACTCCCTGCCTGCCACATCTTCGTTGAAGTCAATTGCTATGGCCTTCTAAGATCTCCTCAAAAGCCCTTTCCTACAGAGAGTGGATGACCCACCCTCCAGGAGCGGGGTGAACACTCAAGGGGTGGCCCCCGCATACCTTGTTCATTGTCACTGGGTTTAAGAGACTCTTCCGACCAGCTTCTGTTGCCTTTGGCCTCTGCCCTTTTCCTGCCAGGTTTCTCTTCAGTGATGTTAGTCCCCTGAGGAATGGCCTCAGGCTGAGTGGCCTGGGTCACTTCCTTCCTGCTTTGCCGGCCAGGTTTGCCATCTGCTGCCGACACCTGCTGCTCCCATCGTTCTCTAAGGTGCAGCAAGTGGCGTTGTTTTTTAGGATGGAGCCCTGTTAATTCAATGCACACCTTCAGGTTGGTCAGCTCACTATAATGTGGGTCTTCTAAGTGGTTAGAGGAACTGTTTGTCATTTCCCTCTCAGGCCAGTCATCTAATGGAGAAATAACTACAAATTAATCAAAAAGCCCCCCGGGGGGGAACAAACTGTCTTACGCATCACTAATGGGGTGGGGGAGGGGGGGTGTGGTCACTGGTCTCTGCTTTTGGGAAGGGGCCTAATCATCTTTGGCCATCTGGGTTCTGGCTTTGGGGGAGGGGAGGTGTGGGCGGCTCCCCCCGGGGGCTCCAGGGTGGGAACCTCACGAGGCAGTGTGGGAATGGAGAGGTCCGCTCCACTGCTGCGCCCCCACGGCTTCCCCTCACCGACTCTGTCTACGGGGGCAGCGCGCCGCACATCCACATCTCCTGTCCATCCACTGTGGCCGCATGCAAAGGCCCACCCCCCGGCAGGCGGGCGAAGCAGACAGGGCTCACCTTTAGAGACTCGTCGGCGTTTGGCTTTCAGCAGAGGGTCCTCTGGCACCTCCTCCGCAGTGGTCTCAGTGTGGCTGCTGTCACCTGAGACTTTGCGTTTCCTGTCCACCCGGAGGGTGGGGCTGTGAGGCATGTCCGAGGCCACCTGGTCTGCGGGAGGCTCGCTCACAGGCTGCCTCTCCACAAAGTACTTCTCCACAGGAAGATCTTTGTCCTCTGGGGCTTCAAAGGGATCACGGTGCTTGTTTCCAACACTATACTCGCCTGGGGGAGGGGAGACAAGAGGGCATTAATGAAGCCCGAAGGTCGCCATGAGAAGGCAGGATCTGGGGAGTGCGTGGGACCACCATGCCCAAGGTAATCTGCTATTGACAGCTGCTTCTTTGGAGACTGGGGTCCTCACACATGGTTAGCACAAAACCCTCAGAAACAGAACTTTCCAGAGGGAGGGTACATTGAAGACGAGTGGCAAGTAAAGCAGAGTGAGGTGCATGTCACACTCCTGACTTTCTCCTTCTCCCTTCTTATGGTTGGGGGCAAGAGGGAACCAAGAAAGATGGGGCGTCAATGCTACGTTTTTTAAAGCACTATAGTCCTTTCAGCAGAAGATGCAACCAAGCTGGGGCTGACCTAAAAATCTTTATGGAAACATTTGCTGAGGTCATTATTTTGAAATAAATGGCAGGCTGATAGGATAAAGTGACCAAATATCCCCAAAATGTCATCTATCGAAGGGATAACACCAATATTCACCTAGGCCAACCGGGGAGATGAAAATGGACTGGAGACAAGAGTGTTGAAAGAAAGCCTAGGTCCTTGATGGGCAGAAGTGACCCTCACTCCTGGGGGGCTCTGGGCCTACAGTCCAGGCCAGAGGGAGGCAGGGAACCCAGGCAGACCCAGGCTGCTGGGAAGAGGGGCGTGGCAAAGCCAAAGGCAAGGTTTCCTAACACATACACGAGTTCAGAGAAAACTTCAAAAAACTCGATTTGCTGGATGCACAGATGTGAAACCAATGGGTTGGGCTGTTCCCATTTCCTGTCCAACACAAAGGGACCCCCTTGGGGATGCTGGCCACCCCAGCTGACACTCCTCTTCACACCCTCTGTCACAGGCAAGCATCGACAGACATCTCCTCATTGTTGGTGTGTCCTTCCCATGCCAGGCCAGCGCTTGCAAAACCGCTCGTTCCAGGAACCCTGTGCTCGGCCTATCACGGGCCTTGGGGCTTTTCCTTGAATCACCTCAGCCCAACATCACTTCCTATTTTTGCTCTAGCCCAAGAAATAGCTCATTAACTGCTTTGCTGGTCACAATTTTTCTAATACACAATGAATATAAATGATAACTACTTAATGACCACTGCGAGGTTAAGGTGTCAGCCCTTGGCCCGCTGAAATGATCCCTCTCATCACCAGGGTTATGAGTCTGGTGTCTTGGTAACTCTGAGCTGAGGCACACAAGTCAATTTCTAGATGAAATAAGCACACGCCTCATCCGCTGATCTCATTCTTCCTCTCCCCAACCCACTTCAAATATTACTCCCACTCCTGACCAGCACCGCTCACCCGCTTCTCTCGGGGGCATTGCCAGCGGTTCACGGCAGTCAGCTGTGGGGGTGAGCTTTACAGGGGTGTTGGCTAGCCTGTGCTCTCAATGGTGCAAGGACCCATTCACCTTCTCTTCAAGGGTGTTCTAAGGGGGAACAGATGGGGCTGCATCTATTCTTGCAAAGGAATGGTAGAATCTCCCCAACCGTTCCTCCTCATCCTCACTCACGACAGTGCACTGTATGGACAGGGATGGCTGGGACTGGGATTCGGCACCCAAGCCCCCACCATGGAATACCACCCCAGGTCTCTGTAGGTACAACCAGCAACGGATGGGCGTCCAAAAACATGGCCAAGGTGGTGTTATGTCACAGCAGCAACAGGAGAAAACACACAAGCTGCCCAAAACTTACACTATGCAGAAGTGGTGACCACTGTGCTCAGCTTGGCCTGGGGACGCAAAGAGGGTGGGCTGCGACTCGAGTTGCTCTGTGTCTTAACCACTCTGGCAGTAACAGCGCCACTTTACAGTTTGGCCCCCTTGAGTTGTAAAGTGGGACTATTACTGCAAGCCACCTCCCCCGGTGGGCTTCATAAACACGGTGCAGCAGGGCAGAGGGTAAGGCTGGAGAAATTACTTACAAAAGGACGCTATGATCCCCAGACCAGCTTGATTTTTAGCCCTGATATTTATGAAAGTTTAAGATGTGAACTGATTGTCCTAGTTATATACTATTTGACTTTCTGGAGCCAATCAGCCGCCCCTGAAAGCCCTGTGGGAGGGGCTGGGGGTGCAATGTAAAAATGTAAAGACTGTGTTACGAAGCGCCACATGCAAGGTTACTTTTATACTTTTAAAGTGTACTCATTTCCCCTCCCTTTAGGTAGGAGAGAGGGTTTGAGCCAAGTGGTTTGAAAGCAGAGGTGACTAGGTAATGTCACAATGCCTTCCTGGGTCAAAATGAGGCAGCAGCTTAGCCAGTGTGGGGCCCCACCCAGAACGAACTGCCCTGTCTTGGCACCCTTCCCAGAGACACCCCCCCCCCCCCATCAAATCCCCATCAGATTAAGAATCTCTCAACCCTAGTGCTTTGGATTTGACTTCCACAGCTTCCATTTGAACTCCAGGTCTCACACAGCCACCTGTATTTGTAACAATCTCAACCAAGTCTAAGGCATCTTTCTCAGGGAGAAAGTTTTCCATTGGAGTTTTGACCTTCACTGCAAACTTCCTAATAGTGAAATGAGTTTATATCTCACCTACCTGGCCTTATGCCCAAACTGCCAGTATATTTTGTCCACAGAAAACCACCTAGAAGACTTGTAATCACTTATTTCACAGACTGGCATCAACAGGCAGTGACTAACTGGGGACCTAGTCTCTCTGCTAGGGAGCACCCCCATTAGATATGGGGAGGTCTTGCCATCTGTCTTCTCTGGGGCTCCCCATCTAGGAAAAGCTGCCCAGTGGGGGTGGGGAGGGCTCCCCTGCACACACCACCTTCTGCTCCCCATTCATGGGGAAGCCAGCAGGCTAGGATAAGGGGTGCGAAACACACATGCCTCCTCCAAGTCCCCACCATTCCCCGTTCAGCCGGACAGGGCCCCCTTCTGCCTCCTGAATAGTCCAGAACTATTATCGGGAGCCCTCCACTGCTGCATCTGGGGTTCACTGCAATCATGCCTGCCCACACGCAGTGTAGATGCTTCTTGTCCGCTCTCAAGAAGATCTTTCCGCAAACGAGATCTTTCCGCAAATGAGGCCTATTGTCCTTCCTTCAACCCCTGAGCCTCTCAAGGCAAACATCCCAATTCCCCTCAGTGAAGGCCCCCAAACCTTATGCTAGGGTTTCCCTCCATGGGCCAGTAATAATCCCAAAGAACACCCACCTTGACTGCCGAAGATACGTATGGCAAACAGCTATGAGGGAGAGGCTCCAGGTCACTTTCCTGTACACTTCACTTGGACCTCCCTCAAATGGGGCTATTCTTACCAGTACCCACAGAAATTACTCTTGAGGGCAAAGGAGATGGGTGCATAGACAGAGATGAAGGGATAGATAGGGGTCCTAACCATCAGGGTCCTCTTCCATTGCAACTACTTACAGCCCTTCTGTGAGTGGAATGCCATGTGCCTTTGGTCATGAGATCTAGGCAGATGTGAACATGGCTGAGTCCTACACCGTCTACCACTTTCTCCTTGCATCATGGTCCTATAAGGCACAGCACATACATCCCATAATTTACCATGGCTATGCCATTGCAATACCTCCTGGAAGCATCGCCATGGCAACATTTACAAGTCACCGTGGCAACAAAGCAACCTCACCACTGTTATAACCACGCCCAGTAAGCCCTAAACAGGATGGCAGAGGACTGAGATTTTTGAGGACTGCCCATGACATCTACTCCCTCTGCAGGCAACATCACCTCTAGCAGAGGCCAACCATGTTATAACTTCTACCCTCTCCAGCAGCAGAGGCATTGGTAGTCATCTGTCTGCCCAAACTCAAAGTAGTTTACAAAGTACATAGGGGCTGCTGTCCTGGAAGAGAAGTTTCCTGAGCCAAGAAGTCCCATGAAACCCTTTCACTTTCACTCAACGCTTTCTCCAGCTCCCGCTCAGGCATTGCCACTGAGTGAGTCCTAGGTCCACACAAGCCAAGTGGCTACCAAGGGAGACAGACACCCAAATTCAAGAAGGAAGGGCTAATATGCACATCTAATATGTATCAACAAAAGTAAATCAATCAATAAAAATAATAAAACTAAAAACAAAAAGGAAGGGCCCAACACCTCCGTGTTCCCTACCCCATCTTCAAAATGCCACTTATCATTCCTTAGGAGTTTGGGGACACTCCTAACTCATTTGTTCAATTTCTAAATGAAAAACTCAGCAACCCATACTATCACTAAGAGTCAATGAAAATCCTAACCACGGTGTTGTCCAGTTAATTCAGTTTTTTTAAACAAGCCCTCCCAACAAGATGCACCCACACGCAGGCAGCTGAGGCCGCACAGGCGGCACCTGCCATCTCAGAAGCTACTGGTGCTGTAGGAGTGGAGGGGAGAGGCTTCGGGGAGGCATCCTGTACCCTCTTTGTGACCCCTGCCTGCCCCAAATCCCCACCCCAGTTTCCATATGCTCACAGCTTGGCTCTGGGCCACAGTGACACCCATGAAGAGACGTGATGGCCGAGATAGCTCAGTGAATTTGAAGCCAAACGGATCCAGCGCATGCTGTACCCTGGATGAGATGGCAGTGGCAGCAGCAAGGACAACATTTCCTCTAGGTTCCTCCTCTTGATCAACCACAAACCTATGGTGCCCCAGCTCTTCCTTGGCCCTAGTATTTAAAAAGCAGCCTTCACCTTCCCCCAACTCTTCTTCTGCTCTCCCTGCCATGGCTCATTACCTGAGGAGCACTACGTGGTGACTTATGGCTTGCAGGGCCCTGTCCTGGGTGCTCCAAGAACACAGCCTGTTGGTATGAAGCTTGGAGGGACTTACAGAAAGGGAAAGGGAGGCCTTTCTACATCATGTGGGGCTTGGGCCCTGCTCCCCATTGGCCACACCGAGTTACTCAGATGTGAACGGAGGGTCTGGCCATGTTACTCAAAAACCACAGCAAGGGCAAGAAGGCTGGAAGCTGGCTAAGTTCCTGTCCCTTCCTCCAGGCCCCCAGCCATCTACTCAGAACAAAGAGGGATTCTTATGTATGGCACTCCCTCTTTTAGAAGCACCTTCCCCATCAACTCGGCCTTGCCCACTTCTCCCAGGTCCCTCTGACAACCTTCCCAAGAGCTGGTGTTGAGGCAACTCAGAGTGGGGGCTGCGAGTTGGCAGCAATCATCAGGGAGGAGGAAGGCTTTCTTTGCCACTTCACCCAAGAGTGGCTTGGACCTCCCACTGCCCTGTAGCCACTCTTTGAGGAAGAGTGAGCAACTTCAGGTACATTGAGTCCCTGCCACTTGAGTAAGGCCACCACCTATTAGCAGCAGAAACTACTTTCTTCAGCAATGACTTACAACAAATCAGTCCTGGTTTAGCTTACCCAGGATCCTGGCAGGTGGCCTTAGTCTGCTCCCAGGGATGAGCTGGAAGTGGAGGGAGGGGTGTGCGCTCCGAGTATCAAGAAGCACACTCTCCCTGATCACACATTCTTCCCAAACTCTGTCAGGCACCGATGAACTGTGTTGTGAATGTCAAACCTCCGACGGCCCATGGTGGGGAGCTCTCAAACATACCCAACACTTCCAAGTGTCCTGTGTCAGGAGGACTTTGCACCTACTCCTCCAGTTAGTTCACCCAGACACCCTAATTCCCCTTCGCCCAGTGAGGTTTCTCATGTTGCAAGCAGACCTAAAGCTTCAAGCTTGCATATTTAAGAAATAAAGAGGAAGACCTCCACTTGCTGCCAACACATCTTAGCACCCTAGAAGACTCGTGAGCAAATCCCAAAGTCAACCCTGTTGGTGGGGTGGGGGACCTGCTGTAAGGACCAAAGGGAGTGTACTGAGGAAGATACTAGCCTTCTCTTCACATCACTTGCCCTCCAAAATGCAAGCTGCCCTCTGTCCGGTGGGAAGAGCCCCCTCATGCATGCCAGGCTGCCTTGGGATTCTGTGGCCAATTCTCCCCCACCCCCCACGGTAAATCGTAACGCTCATCTTTATGGTGACTTCACCATGTTCATCCTACTTCAACAACATCTATGCCTTTGGAGGGAGAATATAAGGACTCTTCATTCCACATCAGACTGTCACCACAGGGGTGGGGCAGGAGATGGCTGGGAAGTGTCATTCCACTGCTACAAAATATAACCTGTCCCTGCACCTAATTTCCTACTGCCATACCTCTGCTACACTGCGTTATATTAGACTGTTATCAACTCTAGAACCAGTGCTTCTTTGGAAAAAAAGATGTGTCCCAGGAAACTATCTTTCACAGACGCCTCGTTCCTGGTTGCCACCATTCATAAGGACAATCGGCCCTTCATTCCATGCATGGCAAAAGCAGCCCATTTCTCCAAGCAGATGCCAACCGGACCTGAGGCCAACACAAGCAAACTGCTCAGGTTTACTTACATCTCTCACTTTCGTTCTGTTCTGCAATGGCCTCCTCCAGGGTGACCGACTTTGGCTTTTTGTCCTGATTTCCTTTCAACCTTTCCCAGTCGGCTGGGCTGAATTTGCACATCTCGGAGTCTTTGGTTGCTGGGTGGCCACCTTCTCTTTCTTTCATCTCCAACTCTGAGAAGCGCATCATTGCACGCTAGAAAGAGAACGGAGATGGAAAAAAAAAAAAACAACACCTTACCATAAAAGCTATTTCATTTGCCTTATCTTAAAGGAAAGTATTTTCAAAGAAAAGTGCCCAAAACCAACCACAGCTTATGAGATGTAACTCAGATATTTTAAAGTTTAACAGATAAAACTTAAGAGTATCTATATATAAGTAGTCACACATTCTTTATTCATAAAGTCATGTGTATATAGATATATATGCGATGTGTATGTATATCCACACATACACTATTGCATACAGACAGACATTCTCTTTTGAAGGTAAATAAAACAAAACGAAAACACAACGCAAAGAAAACAAAACAAAAACACAACAGAAAAGAAACAAAATACACAATGAATAAAGACGACCATGGCCCACAAACTTCCCTTTGTATATTTGGAAATGAAATTTAACTCAAAAGGTTTATGTAAGATTCTAGTAATAAAAATTTGAAGAACTGACCTCACAGTAAGCAGCGGGTAGACATAAAATACTGTCCTCTTGTAATCCTTCCATCTATGTAATTAAAATGGGCACTCAATGGATCATTTAGATAACTTCATCCATTTTTATAAGCATAAACCAATTTTTTTCTTAACATTGCAAAACAATTTGGCTTTATTCATCTTTTAATTAAAAGTAAAATATCTTAAGGAAATTCCTATACAACATCTATCATAATTCACTAGCAAGTTAAATACATACTCTATCCCTTTAAGCAACCTTTTTTCTTTTTTTTTTCCTTTCTTTTTGGTGAAAAATTTGCATGAATCCCACAGACATGCGGCTGCTACACATCTCTACCAGGTATCAAGTAAGGCATTCTAAGCAGCACTTCTAGGTATATTTGCTATCTTACAGGCAGAGAAATCAAAGCAATTGATAGGTAAACGTCATGCAGTCTTTAGATACCCTTCACAATAATTAAAACATCGGTTATCAGCAATTGAGTGGAGTTCCCTTATAATCTACAGAATAACTTAAAGCATCCAGACACGCCTCAGTGCTACCACTCACGTTCTCTTACTGGCCACATTGCATATATTCAAATTACCACAAGCTTCATTCACCAAATCTGCCTGGTGCCCTGCCCTACCATACTCCCCCAATCCTGTTTACACATTAAAAAACTGACAACTGGTAAAGTAACTGAAATTCAGGTGGGGGGGCTCACCTGCAATGCCCGTTGCTCCCGGCTGAGCTGACTGGAATCTGCATACAGTTCGGTAGTGACACATTTGAATCGGTCACCCACGTAACCCGCTGAGTTGGCGATTCTCTTTGCCAGCTTAGATGGCTTCGGTTTCAGAACTTTGCCATCATTTGATTCAGCCTCATCAGCTCCATCTTTGGTATAGGTGGGGGTCACATCCACACTTGGTGGGGCACTGCCCACACAAAATGGTTTGGGATCCTCTTGGGTTTTACCAAAAGTTACAGCAGGGCCATCGCTCCCCAGAGGTGGCTCCAGGAATGGAGTCGAGACTGGCAACCCTAGGTTCTCTTTGTTGGTACCTGCCAGAACACTGTCCTTGCTTACGGTGAAGACTGGCTGTTTGAAAGTATAAGTTTCGTGGAAGTCACTGATGCGCCCCAACTCCTCTCTCAGGGCGATGAAATCACGGTGCTGCTGCAGGGCCGGCTCAACTGAGGGCTTGGGGGGCTCAGCGCTCTGGCCAACACTCTCTGCTGCAAAGCTGGGTTTGGACACGTTTGTGTCAGTTTTAGCATCTGGTTCTTCTCGGAGAAGGTCTACGTAGACAAGCTTGTCGCTTTTGACAACAGTCTTCCCTTGATTCCAGTTGGGGTTCGGCTTTAGGTTCTTGTCGGTGGGGACATCTGGATGTAACTTGGTGCTGCTAGTTTCCAAAATCTCGGAAAACCGATTCCGGAGGGTTGGGTCCTCGTAACGGGCTCTCTCATGGGACCGGGATCTCCTCTCTGGTTTCTCCTCTTTAGTAATCTCTATGGGCGTGTGTGGTATCAACATGGGATGCACCATGCCCAACCCCAGGGCATCTTGGTAGGTCACAAACTCTGGACGGCCGGTGGGAAGCCCATAGGGCAGCCCAGGCTTTGGGGCAAGGTGCCCAGGAAACAGACTGCCATTGGGTAACAAAACTGGGTGAGGGTAGACAGGTCCTTTGCCATGTAAGGAGAGGGGACTTACAGCAATGCCCTCAGGGGCTGGGTAAGGGAGGTAACTCCTGGGGTAGGGAATTGGTGGGGACCTGAATGCCTCATTTGGAGACAGAAATATAGAGCTTGGTGGAAGGCCGTTCTCGTTTGCTTTGAAACTCGGTTCTGGGTTGCTGGCTTTGGCGCCCTTGCTGCTGGTGCTGCTACTGTGCTTGGCAGGAGTGGCCGGGGGCTGGCCCACGTGCTGAATAACGGATGGTGTGGTTTCTACAGAGCTCCTGCTGGTTTTGGTGCCATCTGCATTGGCATTGGGGGCGGGTGATGCGGAGGCTGGGCGGCCTGCACTCGACACTGACCCTGAAACGTTAGTGATGACAGCATCGGTGCCGCCCATGCGCGGGCATGATGAACTCCGCTGCTGTGGTATCGCCCAGTCCAATGCCTTGTTTTTCAGCGACATGCTTTTGCCATTGTTCTCTTCGTTAGGACTTGGCCCGGGCACCACCCAGGATGAGGGAGCAGTGCTGATGATTTCAGATCTATAGATAGCACAACCATTTCCTGGAGGAGATAGTGTTTCTTTCGGAATCTCACTTCCGGAGAGCACTAAGCCACTTCCAGCCCTGCTGTGAACCAGGACCGTGGGAGCCATCTTTTTCATGTGGTCAGCTTTGGAAGCATCTACATCCACCACTTTAGAAGACAAGTCTAGTGGCTTATCTGTGACGTCTTTGGTAACGGTCTGCTTCTCCAACAGAGGAGGTGAGCTGCCATCTTTTCTGTCTTGAACCGCTGTCTTCCGGGCATGCCCGGGCACTGGCTGGGCACCTTCGCCCCCTTCCGGAGCCTTGGGATACTTGCCATTGGAGAGCCTGGCCGCGGGGAACTCGCTGCTAACTGTCATGTATGGCTTTGACAGGGCAACTGAAGGAGAGGTGGAGATCCTGGCATAGTGCTTGTGGAACTCCGAGTAGGTGTCTGCAGCAGGCTGGGTGGGAAGGTGGACTCGGGGTGACGGCCGAGGCGAGGGGGGCAACAGGAGAGCTGTGTCCCCCGGCAGGCCACTGGTGACCGCCTTGGCAGAGGGAACCCTGGGCTGCTTACTGTTCTGGATGTGAGGATAGGCGTGGGAATCAACAGGATTCCCAGGGCTGACGCCCATCTTCCACGGGAGGCTTTTGTCTGCGCAATGGACGAGAGGCGGGATGGCTGGGGAGGCCGAAGGTGTCGAGAGCCTCATGGGTGATGCCAAGGACGATGGGATGTGGGGACCGACGTAGTGAGGTGGCGGCAGGTAGAGAAAGCGCTCCCCATTGGTGCAGACTGGAGAATACAGCGGCTGGGCCAAGCTGTAGGACTGCTGAGGTAGCAAGGCCTTGTACATGTTCAGTGAATACTTATTTGGCGAGTCGAGGAAAGGGTAGATGGCTGGCGTGGCACCCTCCATGTAAGGATTGACCCAGGGCAGCCGCAGATAACTAGCACCATTGATGTTGAGAGGGCTCTGTTTGTCGCTGGCAGGCCTGTCCAAGCCCAGCGCTTCTGCTGTGGCTACAGCACTTTTTTGTATTCCAGGCGGTGTTTTGTATATAGCACTGAAGCCATTTGGGGGTTTTCCAGAGACGGCAGAAGCCTCCACTGTCTCGGGTGTATTCGGTTTGAACTGCATCTCTGGATTTCTTTCCGAAGAAAACCCAAGGCCACCTAGAGTGCTTGTGGCAGCCTCCCGACCTTTCTCTGAGCCCAGTCCACACAAGCTAGAATAGACGATGTTTCCCGGGACCCGCAGCCCTTCCCGGATCAGGCCAGTGCGGTCCATGCTCAGTGCTGCCAGGCCATCGATCCTATGGGCCGTGCTCGCATCCACCTTTGCAGAAGAACAACATGGGTGTTACTGGGATACTCCTTCAAGGCAGCAGCACCCAAAGACACTGCCAACTAGTTCAACATGCCATCAGCCTTAACATCCAAGCACAAAGGGTTAAAGACAGGCTTCCGGCGGGGCGGGGGTGGGGGGTCTGTTTCCCCACCCCCTTATCCAAACCCCTTTGCTGCCTGCCTTCTCACCTCTCAACTAGTATCCTGGAAGCAGGGAAAACATTGGTCCCTTTGGACTTGAGGCCCATATATTAATTCAGTCATCTATTAAGTCTGAAGATTTTGGCCAGGCGCGGTGGCTCACGCCTGTAATCCTACCACTTTGGGAGGCCAAGGCGGGCAGATTGCCTGAGCTCAGGAGTTCAAGACCAGCCTGGGCAACATGGTGAAACCCCATCTCTACTAAAATACAAAAAAATTAGCCAGGTGTGGCGGTGTGCACCTGTAGTCCCAGCTACTCGGGAGACTGAGGCAAGAGAATTGCTTGAACCCGGGAGGTGGAGGTTGCGGTGAGCCAAGACTGCGCCACTGCACTCCAGGCCGGGCGACACAGCGAGACTCTGTCTCTAAAAAAATTAAAATTAAAAAATAAAAATAAAAAAGTCTGAAGATTTTTACCTTCTCAGCAAAAATTCTTTGCTACAACTAGGACACCAACTCCAAAACTCTCAGCATCACCCTCATGGGGTACAGAATTCACACTAACCCTCCCTGGGCCTGTCAGGCTTGGGGGTGGGTGTTCGCTTCATTTCCCCTGGGTGCAGGAAGGCATGACTTAACAGAACAAGAAACGATCTTCGATGGGACAACAGGAACAGAGGACTTTAGCAGCCTCATTTCTATATCAATATAGAGGCCATGGGTCAAACTGTGGTTGTGTCTTTTGACTTCCTCTCCCTTGTGTCTGAAGTGACAGTCCTGTGTTTCGTATTTTACTGGAAAGGTAAACCCTAAGGGGCTACTTGGAGGCTGGAAATTTATCCAGCTGGGAGCGCTGATGTGGCATCCAGCTTATGGAAGAAAAGAGAGTACACATCCCACCAGTCACTAGGGGACAGGGACATGTGTGGCGAGGCAGGAAGGCAAGACTGGAAGAGCTTGGGTGGGGGCCTTGTCCTCTCGCAGAGGCCTCCAACTCAGCCCTGCTCTGAACTGCCACCCCTCCCCCATTCCCCACCCTTTAAGGGCATGCAAATTAATACGATTGATTACAGATCACTGATATGCAGATATGGCATCAACAGAAGCTATTAATCTCTTACCACGTTGTGGTTCAAGGGATTCTCTTCCCTCAGTTCCAGTCTGGCTTTTGAAGCGTCACCATCATTTACAAGGATTTTCCTATTTAAAAAGATACACCAACTTCATGAAAGCATTCCTCACTGAATCCATCTTTCACAGATCTCCCCAGAACAGACCAGTTTCTACTAACCCAATTTTTAAAACTGTCCTTAACCCTCCGCCCCCACCAGCTGTCAATGGCCCATATTGAAAGTCGCCCCCAAATGGTGATTCAACTTGACCAGGAAAAACAAAGGAAACGCAAAGCTTTCATGTGTGAGGACATGAATCACAAATATGATGTCCCCAAGGTAGGTAAGCCAGAAATTAAGCACAACTACTTCTCCCTCGAGATTTTTTTCTCTAGAGGCCAAGTAGGCCAATCGGAGCTCGGCTGTCCCAGCCAACCCTTATAAACTCTCCTGGAGGGTAGACATGAAGTGGTAACACAGCCAAATACCAAAGGGGGCTGGAAGGCTGGTCGTGTCATCAACCACTTCCGTGTTACCCAGGAGGGTAGGCTTTCAAAACTTTTTCCAAAACAAAGTTAGGGACCATGTCCTACGAAACTGGTTTCCATGGTGATAAAAAAGCCATATTTGACTGCCTTTGTCAAAATGACAGGGGGATACACACTAGTATCATACAAATGTCAGCTGTTCCAGGCTGAAAAGGAAGCTGCACATCTGTGCCAGGCTGCTGCGGCTGCCCTGGGACTTGTTATCAGAGAGCATCGATAAAGAAAGTGCTTGGTGCCAACTTCCAAATCCCCAGGATAAAAATCGCTGACAAGCGGCAGAGGAAAAGTTTCCTCATTACCCCGAAGAGCAGCTTCAATCATCTACTGCTTAGCTGCCTCCACCCCACAACTCCAAAATTACTGATTAGGAAGCATAACAGAGCTGTCTGACGACCAAAAGCAGGCGCCAGTGGCCTCTGGGAACAGGCAGCAGAGGACAATGAGAGATCCTGGGCTTCAATGAAGGAAAACGGTGGCTCTCTCCCCATTTATTACTGAGCAAACTATTTGTTTTAAAAGCACATAGAATGCTGCTCCACCTGGGCCCACACTCCTGACATTTAGAGTTAAAGCAGTATATAGACTGGGATTAATTCTCCTTCATAAATATGAAATAATAAATTAAGGACGAAAGTGCACTGAAAGGCCGCTTTAGGGGCTAATCTTTTAAAGGGCGGCAATGCTTCACTGAGCCAGGTTGCCTGTTAAAACTGTAAATCAAGAGCGGCCTACTAGGCGGGAAGCTCTTTCTCTCCCACCCCTTTTGGGCCCACGGTGGCTGTGAGAAGTTGAGGGGGGCTTCAGCATGGGCGTGGGCTCCACTCAGGCCCGGCCCAGATGGGCGCATTCACCTGTCTTCGCTCGCCCCACACATGCGGACCCTCTCGCTGTTCATCCAGCTGTGAACGTTCCCATACAGGGGGGTTGCTGAGAGCATGTCGTCTTCTGGGATGGCAGCTTTGCTTCAAGCGTCTAGTCTGTTAAAAGGAAAGAAAAAAAATCCCAGGAGGTTCAGTAAAGGAGAGCCAAACAGGGCGCTAGAGAAGGCCTCTTTCTAGGTGATTCATAAAGGATGCAGATGGGGAAGGCAGGCTGTGCCTGCTGTCTACAGTGGTCTGGGAGCCAAGGACAGACACCTGACTCGAAGGGACAGCGGAGGGGCATGCAGCTTCCCTGGTAGGAGGTGCTGGGGCTGGGGAAGAAGTTTAATTCGAAACAGGTAGCCTCATCCAAGGCACAGAACACATTCAGGGCACACCACAGCACCCGCCCACTCCCTTTCCTCTGAAAGTGTACAGTGGTCATTCATTCTTGCCACTTGTTAAAGAAGGTAAAGAAGACTTGATTCAACAAGGGGAGGCTCTGACAATAGGTTCAGGGATGCTGCATCACTGGGAGGCACACAACTGATCTTTCCTGGGGCCAAAAGGGTGCAAGAAGGGTGGAAGGCACCACAGTGAGGTGAGCGGCAGGTCCAGCTCTCAAACTACCTGCGTTTCTAGGGCTGAATTTCCAAGGCTGTCGTGTGTGCAACTTACAGATCAAGTGTGAAAAAGAGTCGGTGGGCTGGTGAGCCGCCCCACCAGAGCCCTGGATTAGATTAAGCAGCTAACCCGGGTGGTTTTGCCTGGAAGCTGCAGAGAGAGGCGGCTGAGTAATTCAATGACGCCTGCTCACTGGGGACGAGAAATCATTAGCGAGCACAGAAGTCTTAGCAGCCCTGGCTGATGGGCTCCAAGCCGCTGGCACATGGGGAGCCGGCAGAAGCCACCCATTTTCCACGTTCCGGGAGCGGGAGGTTGCCAAGGCAGAGGAGCTCAGACCACCACCCACCCCCCTTTACCTCCTCTGCCCACCGCCCCCACCCACATCACATTCTAGTTTGCTGCATGAGTGAAGGGTCAGGACAAGCTGCATTTTATTAACAGGATTATCACGGCGCGTGATTTATCCTCGTGCAGGATTTTAATTGCTCTTTGGAGGTTGAGCCGTTTCTTTTGACTGCGCTTCAGCCCATATCCTGCTGTTAAATGCTGGGTTAATAAGTAGGGGAGCCTTTAATGCCTGGGACCGATGGCCCTCGGCAATTCCCTGCTCACAAACACATCTCAGTGTCCCTTGTCCAGACCGGCCATGGCATTTTTCCACGGGACCCAAACCTGGGTGTGAAATAATTGGTGTGCAGATCATCAGGGGAACTTTTTTCTCCTCCCTCACACACCCACCCACACAGTTTCCGAAAGCCCAAATGTTCCCTAAGTCGACACATTTCCTTTGTTAGCAGGAAAAAATATGCAAATGCTTGCTTTTACACTTTAGCACACGGAGCAGACTGCCAGGTCGGTTGGGTTGGAGGCACCAGGTCCGGGGACTCTTCTGTGAGAGTGACTGAGGGTGGGAGTTAAGGGGACACCTGGGGGATGGAATCCCAAAGCCGGTCTGTACTTTCTCATTTCTTTGTCCTAACTAGGTCTTTTGTCCACCAGCATCCCCCATGGGCCCCCATCCCCATAGAACAACGTCTGTTAACCAAAATCCACATGCAGCGACACACCACGTACAGTTAGAGCTCAACAATGAGGCTGGAAGAGAGGTAAAGGGCCCAAGAAAAAGGCAGAAATCTGCAGAGGCATCAGGCATGATGGGGTTCTGGAAAGCTATTTCCCTAGGAAGTGTCTCCAGACAGCGGCTCTTCCAGTTGACTAGCCACAGCGCCCCCAAAGGACCGACTCGGCTGTTGGGGAAGGTTCTATAAGGGTTCGTGGGCTTTTCTTCCATCTTGCAAATACACAAATCAAGTGGGGAAGGCCACCACTAGGGCTGGGCAGACCACAAGGCACATTCCCTTGTGCAGTGGCAGTGTCCCCTCTCCGGCCCCTGCTGCCCTTTCTAACAAAAGGAAGACATTCTGGGTAGGATAATAGAGAAGGTGGAACATCATTCCCCGGTGCCAGTGTGTCCCGGTCATCGGGCTGCAGCAGTGGGACTGCACCATGCCACCCCCTCACTGTGCCATGATGAAATACAGAAATTACATCATGAGCCAAAGGGTCACTCAACCAAACCCCCAAGAAAAGGATGAGGGAAGAAGCGTGTGCCTAATGAACCTCAATCTTCTGGTGTCCCCATTCTTAAAAATTGGCCTCCCCTTTAAAAAAGCTGCCTCTGGCCGGGCATGATGGCTCACGCCTGTAATCCCAGAACTTTGGGAGGCCGAGGTGGGTGGATCACCTGAAGTCGGGAGTTTGAGACCAGCCTGACCAACAAGGAGAAACCCCGTCTCTACTAAAAATACAAAATTAGCTGGGCGTGGTGGTGCGTGCCTGCAATCCCAGCTACTCGGGAGGCTGAGGCAGGAGAATCGCTGGAACCTGGGAGGTGGAGGTTGCGGTGAGCCGAGATCGCACCATTGCACTCCAGCCTGGGCAACAAGAGCAAAACTCAAAAAACAAACAAACAAACAAAAAACCTGCCTCTTACCCACCTCCCTTAAGTAGACACCTTGTGCAAAGGACCTCCCGGCACCTTCTTGGGAAACAGAATCATTATACTGAGGCCCAGCCCCGAAAAGGCCAGCAGCTGCTTCCCTTCAAAGAGCCTTTCTTCAGCAAAGTCCACCTGGACTTAGCAGAAAGGTGACTGCGGTTTACAGGCACCTGGGCCTACTGGGTGCTTTCAAAGCATCTCCCCTTCTCCAGGGCTCCTCCTTTGGGGCTTTCCATATTAATGGCGCACAGATAAATGATACCAGCCACCAGAACAAAGTGTTCTCAAATGCACAGGGTCAGATGGAGGGTTGAGGCTAGCAGAGCGGTTCACTGTCGTGTGTGTGTGTGTGTGTGTGTGTGTGTGTGTGTGTGTGTGTGTGTGTGTTTTGGGAGGGAAGGGGTGGAGGATGGGGCTGAACATAAAAGCAAAAGGGGGGAACACATTGTTGGATCCTGCTGTGGACTTACGCACACACGTGCACGCACGCACACGCGCACACACACACGCGCACACACACACACACTTATAATCTTTAGCTGCCCCATGAACTTTTTGTGAACTGTTTAAAAGTGGAGGTCTGTTGAACAAACAGCGGCGCCACTGCCAGCCATAATTTCATTGCAACAAGCTAAAGACTTTTAACTCTTCGGGTTCCTGGCCAAAGATGGAGAGGAGTGGAAAGGGCCAATGAGCAATGGCCCTGGCTCACAGGAGGCCCTCCTCCTGGGTGACAAAGAGCAGTCCAAACCTACAAAAGCAGGGACCTCCTTTGCAAAGGCCATACGGCTCACACCAAGCCTCTACTGAAGAACAGGGGTCACCATTACCTACAGCCCACCCTGGTTTCTCTGTCATGTACAACGAAGGGGACACTGGGGTAAGAAACAAAAAGAGACTGGGAGGCAAAGTATAGGGACATCAAACTTCTAGAAGCTGCTGTTGAAATAGCTGGGGACTTTTTTACCTCTAAGGCCAAGTGCTTCGAAACTGATGTTGCTGACCCTTGGCAGCGGAACACTGTGGAGAGGGCAAATGACCTGATTTCAATGACAAACAGAGCCTCAGGGTGCTTTGCAGCTATAGATGAAGCTCGTTTGCTTTTATTTTTCAATGCCCACCTCCACCCCCCACTTCTTCCAAATGCAGGCTATGCTTCCAGAAGTGCCAAGATGTGTGAAGTCACTCATGAAAAGCACTTTACAAGCACCAACCTGTTCCACTGTGAGCTGCGAAGCTGCACCTTGGATCTGGGGTTTAACCCCTTTTTCTAGTAGTGGAGAGAAGTGGGTAAAGGTGCTGGATAGGGATGGAGAGGAAAGACAGCTGAGAAGAGGTCAGATGGGGAGGGTGTGGGTCTCTAAAGAACAGACTGGGAACTGTTCCAGCTGCCTGCAGGAACACCCAGGGCCAAGTGGAGAGACCTGGCTTGTGAGAAGCAGGCGTGCACACTGCATACTGCATGGTCTCCAGCTCTTAGCACCAAGGAAGTGGAACACATAGGAGAGCTTGGGTCACCCTGGACAGACTCTGAGTAGTCATTCGCTCTTCAGCCAAGGGTTATGATGAGAGCACCTGAGCTTGGCCCGGACACGGGGGAGAAGGCCTGATTGGCAGAAGGGGGGCGTCGAGGGACCAAGATCATAAGCCATCACTCCAACCTTGGCATCCCTGAGTAGGGACACACCCACCCTCTGTGAAAAGATGTGAGGGCAGACCACAGGTCCCAAGCCTTGGCCCCTTTCCTTCCCCACCCCCAACCCTGGCCCCCTCTTGCACTAGGGCCACTTTCCACTGCCCCCACCCTTGAGGCGCCGATCAGTTAAAAGTCTGCACATTACACTTGTCAAGTGGCACTGACAATTTGGAAAGCATGGCCACCAAACTAACTCTGCTCACGCCTCCCTGCTGTCCACACAGGCATTGAGGGTGGCCCATCTCGGGGTCTTTTCTTGGGATCTCTCTCACTAGGTTCCCCTTGCCCCCACCGGCAGCTATCCAGCAGTTAACAGCCAGAAGAACTGGAGAGGTTCGCAAGGGCTTCCAGCTCAGGTGGCCAGGCAGGCATTCCCAGCCAGTGTGCTGGGGTCCTCTGGCAGAGGACTCTTCAGGGGAGGGGTCTCGCTACTGCATGGCTGGTTCTCTGTGGAGAACATGGTCACCACAGCCTCCCGGCTCCCACCCTCACTCACCGCGTGTCTCTGGGCAGGTGGCTGAACCTCTCCAACCTTGGTCCCCTCTGTAAATATTTGGCACTGTGTTTTCCAAAGGATTAAGCTGCACTATGGACTTGAGTTTTGCCTGGCAATAGCTGGCGCTGGCCACGTTTAACCCCGCTAAATAGTACCCGACTCCAATAAACACACTGTGTAATAAGCCCCAGAATCACAACACAGTTTCTTTGGGGCACTACCACCTCATCCTGCGGGGGAGGCTGAGGCAGCAACAGAGAGGGGATCAGAGCAGGGAGGGAACTTCAGCAGAACTGTGTAGATTTTACAGAAGCCCAAAGCTCACCACCCGCCAGCCCTTCCTGGGGTTGCTCCAAACAGAGACTGCGTCACAGCAGCAGCGCTGTGCTCCGGGTGTCAAGGAAGGGAGGGGTGAAGAAGTTCCTATTTTAGGATGTGAGGGGTGGGGGTGGGGTGTGTGGGAGTGGGAGATGAGAAGAAAAAGCTCTTCCGGATGTGCAGTGTGGGATGGGTCCTCCGGGTCTGCTGGAGAGTAAGATACCCCAAGGCTGCCCCCCAGGTCCCTGGGAGGCAAAACCGCAGGCTTCCAGGGGTGTGGTCGAGGGAGGTGGCTGGCCCGGTCCCACCCCTCCCGACCCCCTCCCCCGAGAGAGTTGGGGGTGAGGGAAGTGATCCAGCCGGCCCAGGTGCTGCCTCTTGGCACACTCCAAGCCACAGCCTTAGCCGTAGCCAGCACGGGCGTCCCCGCCCACACCTCCAAGTTTTGCATTAGTAAGGGGGAGGGGGAAGGGGAAACTCGCCGGCCCAGACCATTCCAGCACCCAGAACCTTCCCGGCCTCCTCCCGGGGCGTCGGGGTCTGAGCGGAGAGCCACCTGGGCTGGGAGTGAACTTGGCCCCGGCGAAGAAGAAAGGGGGAGGGGCGCCCCCTCCCCGGGCTGAGGCGCTTCAGCCCGGAGCGCGATCGGTCGGCAACAAAGGGATTTTCTCTCCCACCACACACACCCGTGCTGCTCGGGGCTCGCCCGCTCCTCCTCCCCGCTCCTCGGCGGAGGTCCCAGCGCGCGGGGCCGCACCACGGCACACACTCACGCCCTCGCGGCGCGCCCCCGCCAGGCCTTCCAGGAACTCCAGCAGCCTCCCCGGAGGCGGCCCGACCTTCCCAGTTCCCGACCCTAGGTAACCCCTCGGACCCTGCGGCCTGGCACGCTCTCCATGGTGCCCCTTCCCGAGGCCCCGCCGCACCTTCTCTCCCCATCAACGAATCTGACGAAAAGAAACTTTGGGTGGGCGCAGGGAGAATCCGAGACCTCCCGGGAAACGCCGCCGAGCCCACCCGGGGAATGGGCACGGCAGACCCCTCCTCGCCATCGTTCTGGGTTCCCTTCCGATCATACTAGAGCGCTGCTCCTCTGGACGCTTCCCCTTACAAAGATGTGAGCCAAGCGTCGCCTACTGTAACGTGGGAGGGGTGCGAATCTCGGGCGTTGGGGTCCGGGGTGGAATCTGCAGGGGTTGACCCTGAGGGTCGCTGCCGAACCTGGATTGTCCGCTACACTCCCCTCCTCCAGGCAGAGCCCATGGCCCGGGGTCAGGTGCCCCCAACCTCTCTCTCACAGGCCAACGGGGGACACTTGCCCGTCTCCCCGGATAATCTGTCCAGGCCACCCCACCGGCTTTTTGTTCTTTTCACTTTCCTTCATGGTTTTGCCACACGGGGAGTCAGGAAACCACGTGTGTATTCAAGAGAGGGCAAATTTAGAAACAGGTGTCCCTTCACAGGAGGCCACCCGGCAACAGAAACCCAAGTCAAAAGCCAGGAATCCCTCCTTACTATCTTCCCTCCACGCAAAAAGAAACCACTTGCCCCCTTTGATCTAGTCCCTGCAGA
Source organism: Homo sapiens (assembly GCF_000001405.40). NCBI lineage: Eukaryota > Metazoa > Chordata > Mammalia > Primates > Hominidae > Homo > Homo sapiens. Next base: position 40,084,561 of record NC_000023.11, read on the forward strand.
ACTGGGTCCCCACTTGGGAATCTACACAACCTGGGGGCAAATCCAGAATAAATGTTCCACACCATGCCTCCAAAGGCTGTGTCAATGCACTTTTGTTTCCACCAGGGCTTTGTAGGAGTAAAACACAAACGCCGTCGCCGCCACCCCCCCCCACCACCACCACCACCGAAGGGAACAAGCTATACCGTAAGGCTAATAACAACAGCTATCATTAGTATACACAGGAAGCACAAAGGAACTTTTAATGCATAAAAGATGTGTAAAATGCAGGGGTCCTGCAATCTGCAAGCGAGTCTCTCACTGATTGTGCAGAGCCTGGGAGTCCCAGAAAGGCTGGGATGAGGGTCAGAGAAGGAGAGGGGCACCCACCTTCTTTACAAGGAACAATAGGAATCCCATGTCTGCTACTCAGTCATGGAACTCAGAGCACCCAAAACAAAGCCATGGAACAACTATGGTATAGATGGGGGCCCACGAATTTTTGTAGCTGTTCAGGGCTTAATTACTCCTCCTTGATCCATGGGACTAGACACGACACCGCCAAGGTTAAAATGCCCCGAACAGCGCTGAGCAGATGTGAGCGAGCTGGCAGACGCGCAAATGAGGCCTGCCTCGGAGCACGATAACAAGTGACTAATACATTGCATATCGTTGAAAGAAAATTATTTTTCTCTAATTTGCATTTGCTTGGGGGAAAAAAAGCCAACGCGAGTCCCTCCTCACATGCACAAGTCTAATCCTGGAAATACAGCCCGGCTGCTTTAAGAGAGCTGGAAGGAGGGAAAGACTGCCAGTGTTTTGGCGTTGCAGGCTTGTTTATCTTTCCGCCTTTCCTCCAAGGCGAAACTCGTTTTGCAAGCAACATTCCTACAGAAAATGGCACACGTCATAAAAAGAGACCAATTTATAGAACTGGCACCGAAGTTCATGTCTCACTCCAGAAGCATCTCCCAGCTCCCCATCGGAAACCCAACTAGATGTAGAAGTCCATGTTAAAACTTAGAGAGTAGACTTAGGGAGGGGAGGTGCTGAGGGTGGGGGGGACAGGAGAGAATGAAGTAGATTTGCAGATATCCTGTAGGCTGTACACCCAGAGACCAAAGTCAGCCCTAAATGATCTTCCAAAACCCAAGGAGGACCAGGCAGGTGCCAGGGCTTGGAAGGCTTCAACCTTGGGACTCATGGGGGAGAGGAGTGAATTTTTACACCCAGCTTGCCCCAGGACGGTCCAGAGGCAGGTCCACATTCTTGGCCATCCTAAGTCCACCTGCTTGGGCCAGCCATGAACCTCCAGGACTGGCCTAGTGGGTAACTGCCACCACCAACTGCTCTCCCTCCCACCCTGGCGCCTCTCTGCAGGGCCTGGCGGGGTACCAGGAACTCAAAGAAAGCCTGTTGCTGTGGGCATCTAGTTGATGAAGTCAGAGTAGGTGGTGCTGTGGGCAGGCTTCAGGACGGCACCTTTGCGTGCTGCAGTTGAAGGCAAATGTGCTCTTGAAAACGGGAAGGCTTGGAAGAAAAGGTTAAGGGATGTGGGTAATCAAAAGCCAATCTGTCCTCCCTTCCCCCCAAAATACACCCCCCTTAGGGTACTGAACCTGCACACTTGCATTTCCAAGCTGGAAACAGTGTCGAGTGCACAGAACACAGCACCCGCCTGTCTCTAACTTGTCTGAATAACAGGGCCATTTCAGAGGGGAACAACGGCCTTCAGAGCCTCTGCAATTTCCAGAAAGCTTTCAGTTAATAACACATTCTTTCCAACAAGCTTACTTAGGGCTGAAAGTTATTTTCACAAATCTTAAAAACTCAGCCATAAACAGCTGAGGACCCAGTTCAACGGATCCTGGCCAAACCCCACCAACACGGTGACACTCACGGCCCCGTGGGCCTTCTCCCGCCACCTCTGCCTCACCACAAGTTCCCTAAACCACAACATACAAACCATCCTGCACCCCACCCCAATCCTGGGAAGTCATAAAGATGTGTGTTGGGGATGGAGGGCGGGTGTGCCGTGGAGCTTTCTCTCATCTGGGGATGCGCTGGCCAGAAACTGGCCGCCACCTCTGCAGCTCGTCCATGGGCCTGCATAGTGCGCGCTTTGTGTAAGTGCTGAGGAGGCGCAGCGCTGCTCGCGCGCCAACAGCTGTCACATTATTTGCACTCGCTGTAAACAGCCTTCACATTCCCCCCTTACCACATAGTTAAAGCCAGACTAACAATCCACAGTTAGAGATCAAACCAACAACAGCAGCATTGTGTCTGCCTTTGCTGCCTTCACACCAAGCCCAGCAGCTGGCAGGTTTCTCCGGAACAAGGGACCCCTTCTCCCCCTACCCCTCCGGGATCCAGCCAAGGCTAGCCAAGGAAGCATGCGTTTGTCAGCGCTGTTTGTTAAAGCAAAAGAGCACCGCCATTTCGCAGAGATTTCCGTGTGGCTCATCAGCCCTCTCCGAGAGTTTACTCCTTCTGGAAGCTCGAGGAAGCATCACGAGAATAAAGGTTGTGGAGACTCGCAGGGTTGGTTTCCATGCTCAGCAAAGTGGGGTCTGGCCGGGCTGGGGCCGGGGCCGGGACAGGGAGGTCTGCCCCTCTCCATGCCATGTCACAGAGGCCAGACAGGTCTGTGCTTTCTGCAGCCCTCAGCGGAATGCCTCCTGTCTTTCGGAAATTGCCCAACTCACTAAATACTTACTGGCCGCCCCACTGATCAAAATGTCTCCTTTATGATTTTTGGTTAAGTTGAACATTTCCATAATCGTCATTATTAGTGCAAATTACACGCCTAATCGGTCCTTAAATAGATTTTAATTAAATAAGCATACAAGGCTCATTTTATGACTTAAGAAAGGCATTACTTTTCGTTATAAACTTTCCACCAGGATATAGAATAACGATAGCAGACAAATACTTATTCTTTGAAAATCACCAATAACCGATGGGCAGAGTATCATGAAACATACCCTGTTTTACCCTCTGGAATCAAAGCTGAGACCAGACATATCACAGCTGTACAACTTTCCTCCTGGGATGGGAGAGAGGATTTCTTCCTCCAAAGCACTATGTCTGTCTTCCTTGTGGCCAGTAGAAATAAACCCCCGGTGCTGCTTTCCCTACCCATCTGATGAGATTTCTCTAGTTGATGTCCTCTAGCAACCACTCCTCCCCCACCTCCATCCATTTTCCACCCTTTCGCCTGCTTAGAGTCCTGGTGCAAAGCAGGCACGCTGTGCTTGTTAAATGCTGTGTAAAATGCTGTTAATAAAATAATAAATACAAAGGATGGAGGCTGCTGCTTCCATGGGTGTTTTGACTGGAAATGCCTTGGCACTTGTCATGTGTTTATGGGAGGGCAGACAACGCTAGGATTTACATAGTTTGGACATTTCTGTACTTCATTTATTCTTTCCTAAATGACGTAGGCCTCGAGCTATTTCAAGTTTGCATTTGTACAGAACTGTTAAATGCCTAGGAGTTTCTCCAATTAAACCAAGTTTAAAATCAGACCCAAAGCTGGAACATACACTCAGACTTGCCCAACTCCACCTTCAGCCTCGGTGGCTGGACAAAACAAACAGATCCTCGAAAACAATCAGTCCTCGAGCTCCCCACCTTCACCCCCCACTCCAGGAGGGCCCCTAGGGCAAAGGTTAAGGCGTCTCTAGATTCCAAGCCCCAGCCCAGGCTACACACTGAGGCAATCACTGCAGTAAGGCGCATCTTGTCCATACACTACCTTTAAAATCGTGCGCTAAAATCGGGGGGAAACTGCTGGCCTGGTAAAACCCACTGTTCACAAAACAATGTCAGCAAAGGCTGTAAGGCATTCTTTAGAGAGGGACCAGGGATTCGTGCCTACTGAAGCTCTTTCAGCACAAAGGCTTTTAGGGGAAGAAGGGAAAAAGAGGGAGGAGGAGGGGGAGAGGAGGAGAGAAAGGGAGGGAGGGCTCCTGTTTCAGAGCAGGCATCCCCTGAGAGTCAAGAACCAAGTGTAGCTTCAATCAAACACTGACTTCCCCTCTGGGAGTCGAGTAGGAAACCTGATCACAGTAGCTTACTACCAGCCTGGATCCATACAGGTCTGGTTTTCTTCTCATGCTAGTAATTTTTTTAAATACATATTGATATAAAAGAAGCAATCCCTGGCAGACTTTATTGAAAACCACATTGAGCCCTCATAACATCCGGACTTAATCCCTATCAAACAAACCACAGCACCTCTGGCCTCTGCACCAGGCCACCCCCTCTCACCTCTTCCAACCAGGTCTTGCCCCTCTAGGCACCGTGGTTCCCCCCTGAAATAATGCCAGGAAGCCTTGCCGAAGGGTACCTAGATGACGGTTCTGAAATGAGTTCCTAACCATATAATGATCCCACTTGGGGGTGGAGGGGAGAAGCAAGTCTTTTCATATGGAATCCTTTAAAAGGCAGAATGCAAACTACGGTAACAAAGGGAAAGGGGAACCCAGGAAGGTGGACCTAGAATACCCTCGTAGGGGAGATTTAATCTGCATCCTTGGGTCCCAGGACACAGGCCTAGCAAGTCTCAGGGGGTCTCAGGGGCAGCAGGGAATGGAGGAGCAACCTATAGGAACATGACAAGTCATTCAAAGCAATTATTCATCCTTGGGGCCTACTATGTGCCAAGCATTCTATTTAGATCCTAAAGGTGGATAATTATTCCCAGTCTTACAAATGAAAAAACTTACTGGGGCTCAAAGGCCATAAATAACTTGCCCCCAAGGTCACACAGCTAGTAAAAAATGGGCCACGGTCAAACTCAGTCCTGGAGTTGCGGAGAGGAGCCAATTATTGGTCTAATTGTGCCATTTGAAATCCTGATTTTCACATACTGTCTCCTCTGAAAAGCTTCCTTAGGCCTTATGTACCCAAGAACGAGGCAAAGAGTGTTTAACACCTATGTTACTTGGTCTACAGTGAGCCGTGAACCCAGTTTCTCCTGTATCTAAGTCATCTCCTGGTCCACTCAAAGTCTTTCACCATTTCCCCCTACATCCTACAAATCTCCCTACACTGTTATACCCTGGTGTAAGGCCAATGCTCTCAACAAGCCTCCCCTTTCCCTTCCTCCAGTACCCCAGAATAGTCAGGGGTAAGGTGGGTCGACTCCTTTCAGGTCTCTGGGAAAAGTGCTGACTACTGGTACTAGGAGCTAGGCTTGCCACCCCAGTTTCGCCACATAAAGCAATAAATCAAATTATCTAGATAGAGCAAAAGCCCTTTGGAGGGAGCTCCTCCATCTACCTTTCCTAGGATTTAAAGGAAAAACCCCAGGGAACAAAGTAGTGTGGGAGAGGGAATTAAGATGGAAGACGCCAGCAAGATGTTCTATTGGGCCACCCAGAGTCCCCCACAAAAGCGCAAGCCGGGGGATAGGCTATCTTGTCCTTTCCCCAACGTTTCTTTACAGAAGCGGCCGGCAGCAAACCTCAGGGCCCAACATCCCCTCCCCACCCTATCCCCAATTTCCGGGTCTGCCCCAGGCTTTCAGATGTTCCGGGAACTACCTACACCCGCAGAGCCTGCCAAAGCCACCTCCGGCTCGGCTCGATGGGTACAGGCAGGGGTACCGGACACTCGGGCTTCCCGGCCCTGGACTGGTTACTCCTCCAGACGCTGAAGCTCCGGATGTGCGAAATGGCTCCGCAGTGCGACCGAGTGTGCAGGGGCCTCGGCGGCGGGAGGGACGGAGGGGAGACGGCGGCGCCGGGGCGCTCACCCCGCTAGCCAGCCGAGCACGCCCCCGCAGGCCGGCCACCCCTGGCTGCAGGCCAGCCCTCTGCAAGTGGCGTTCTTTCTCTTTTTTAAACTTTCCGGCCTTGGCGAACGGGCAGGGTTTCCAGTCCTCCCCGGCCCCCACCCAGTTCGGGGAGGGGCGGGGCGGGGCGGGGCTGGCCCTCCTAACCCCTCCGGGGAGGCGATTCCCCCCAAGTCCCGGGCACCGCTAGACGGCGGCCAGGGCAGACGCCTTGCTCCACCCCACCCCACCCCCGCCTACTGTGGCCACCTGGAGAGGGCGGCTTCCCGAAGCGATCGCCGTCCAGCCAAGCCTGGGACCGCAGCGTCCGGGGAGGAACTCCCTACAGCGCCAACGGTCCTGGCCTGCCCGCGGTGCGCTCTCTCCGAAAAGTCTAATGCTCCGGGAAGGGGGAGGGGAGAGAGAGCAAGGCGGGAAGGGGGGGACGGGCTGCTTTTATTTATTTTTTAACTCTTCAAATGCAAGAGGTTTTTGGTGTCCCTAGCACGACTGCGAGCGTCTGGCCAGGCAGAACAATAGAAATGGAGGGGGGACGCCGGAAATGGTGCTGGAAGACCCCTATAACCCTATAAACCTCTCCTCTCCCTCTAAGTTCCTATTAGCATTGAAAGATCCTAGTGACTTCAATGCAAAATTGTCTTTTTATAACTTTTTTCCTTAAACACATTCCCCCTCCCCACATGAAATCACAAGGGCAAAGATCGCTTCCCAAGTTGTGACCTTCCGAAGCTCCAGGGCTTCTCACCTGCTCTGCCCCTGGCACCCTGACCTGAGTCAATCCCATCCCCCAACAGTTCCCCTGGTTTGCACCTAGACAATAAATTTAGTTTAATTTAGCTTCCGGTCTTTAATTTTAGCAGGTCTCCTTTTTGCATGCAAATCAATATGGCAATTACCATCTAAAAGCTCGCCCAGCCCCGGGTCAATGTAAATTGATCATTGTCCGCCTTCCACAAAATAACATCGGGAGTCTGTGGTGCATAATGAGATTATACTGGAAACTGTCTTTTAGATCACAAATTATTTTTTATGCTGTCAGGATCTTCTCCGAGTGGACTTCCCCGCTTCTCTAATCATGGAGAGCCGAGCCCGTGGGTGCCGGCTGTGGGAGACACAGCTCTAAAACAATGACGGAGTGAGGACCCCCGTTTCTGAGACCCTCGATTGTAAACACATGGAGGTGAGCTTGCGCCCCAAAAGGGAGCCTTCTACAGAAATATCGCAGAAAGGCATCGTTAATGAACTCCACCCAACAAAAAGTAAGATATCCCTTCCTGATGAACACGTTGAGGGCAACCAGAGAAAGCCGTCGGGCAGGGCTGGAGACCAGTGGACGCCCCCGGCCAAGTGCGCGCGACGAACGCGGCTCGGCTACCACCAGGGCGGCTGGGGGGAGACCATTTACTCCCGCCCCGGCGGCTTCTCCTGGCTCTACCACCTAGGCCTCAGCAGCGCGTCCGGTTTTGCAAACAGACGGAATCCCGTCGGCCATAAACACTGGCAAAGAAGCCGGGGCGGGTCAGGGCCGGCCCAGGCCTCCCCACCCAGCTTTGGGCGAGGCCCCCACCGGGCCCGATCCAGAAGATGGGCTGGGGCACCGAGGCAATAAGGAGGCTCCTCTTGACCCGCAGCACTGCTTTCTCCCACCCATCGGCGGCCCCCGGGGCACGAGTGTGACCTCGGGGCCTAACAAAGGGCCTTGTGAGCTCCTTTCGGCCTCGGGCCGGAGGGAGAAGGGTGGGGCGGGGCGGCCGAGATGGACCCAGGAAGTTCCCCGCCCCGCCGCGCCTCTCCGGGTCCGCCGGGCCCGGTGTCCTCGAGGAAACCACCGGGGTGGCATTGCCAGGGCTGCCCGCAGCTCCGGGGAACGTCCTGCGGGCTCCAAGCCTCCCGCCCAGCGCGACCGGACCCTGCCCCACTCCGCCCGGCGCGGGCCCCACCCAAGTGCGGTCTTCCCAATAAAAGCTGGAATTCCCGGCTGGGCTTAGACAAAGAGGGACCGCAGCAAATCGACGCCGCGGGCAAGCCATACCCTAGCCGGAGTTTACGTGCGCGTCTGGGGTCACCGAGGCGCCTGCTAATCCACCCAACACAGGCTGTCCCCGCCACGGTCTCCTCCAGAGGAAAAAAAAAAAAGAAAAGAAAGAAAGCATACCTCCCTTTTATTCCTCCCAGAGGCCGCACTTCTTCCTGTTCTCCTTCCCAGCCCACTGAGGCCCTGCTCCACCTTAGCAAATTGGACCCCAGCAGTGCAACAGCCATTCCTACTGACCACAAAGTGGAAAGCTACCCCTCTTGTGGCTACACGATCCAGCCACTCAAGGTCAGGAACTCAAAATCTCTTCAGAAAGGCTCCTACCTGCTCGTCACCAACCCGCTGCCCACTCCACCTCACCCCTAGAAGGGAAAGAAACTATAACCAGAGATAATCCTAGTTCACTGCACACCATCCATCCTTTAGGCTGCTAGCGTGGCCCTCAGTTTCCTTCAAGCCAAAGACACATTATTTCCCTGTGAATAAGTGTGTGAATGTGGTTGTGTGGCCCACTCTTCTGTACCCAAGTCGGTCTCACTCACTCGGCAGGAAAGTCTTCGTCAGGCATTGAGGAGTGTTTGTCATTCAGCCTGTGTATCTAAGCATGGATGTATGCATATGAATGCTTTTTGTGTTTCCAAGTGACCCTCTTCACACCTTTAAATGGGCTATTGTCTCTGGAACGCACTTACAGAAATTCTGCCCCAGTTTCCAGCTCAACAAAGTCTGGGATTTTTCTCTCAGAATATCGCTATACATCTCTGTATTTGCATACCCATGTTTACATTCCCCTTGGCCAGTTCTTTATCTCTTATGTATCTCTTGTTCCATTTGGGCAACGGAGCCCAAGTGTCTTGATTTGTCTCAGCACATGTCATTCAAGCGCACATCTTAATCTGAGCATTCGTACTACTTCCATTCTTTTTGCTTTGCCTATAATGTGGCTCTTTCCCAGGCCAGACCAATATGGGTTTGCAGTTTAAATGTAAACAGAGGATCCCTTAAGATCACAAACTCTTAAAGAAAGGAAGAGGAGGGAGGAGGAGACTGGAATGTTAGTAATGAGTTATTTATGTATAGGGTAACCCATCCGCCCATTTCAAGCTGAAGAAAGAACTAGATAAATGTCTGCAGAGGTGTATTAAAATTTTAGACCAATTTAATATTAGCCATATATATACACACACAAACGATGGATCTCACAACACATCAGTGTCCAGCTCCTCTTTGGAGGCTGTCTCCTTGCACATATCTAACTCCTCACAAGTTCCTGGTTAAAAGTATGTCTATTTATATAGAGACAACTCAAAGACCGCTTTGCTCTCTTCAGTGCATACCTGTACATGCTGGCGGGGCATTTCAGGCTCAGGTCCTTGGTCTGCAGCAGTCATAGTCAGAGGCCCCACCCGACTACAGCTATGTGCAGACCTTCCCGTCCTTGAACACCCGCATGAATTCTCTTTGGGAACATTGAGTCTACGTCTGTCTTCCAAACTCAGTTTTTAAAGTGAGGGTGTTCATTGTGTGTGTTCACAGCTCCCCGACTGAGAAATACCTGGTCAAACTAGATCATCTAGCAGCTGCGTTTGGTTTGTGGAAGAATCGAGCCCGATGCACCAAGATGTGACCGTGCACACATAAGAGAAAGGAAAACCCTAGGCCCAGACTCACAGCTCCTCCCCACTGCGAGCTACTCTGCCTCCAGGAATTTCCACTAGGCTCTTTGCCCCCCTTTCCCTATTACACTACCCCACCACGGCCTTTAAAGGGTTAAGAGAAACCCCCACGGCCTTCCCTCCACCCAGCTCGCTGGGCCCGGAGGCTAGCTCGCTCACTCGCAGCTCACAGAGTCTGCTGCCATCTCCGCGCCTCCCCCCCCTCCAGTCCTTCAGCCGGGAGGGAGCCTGCATGCCTGTCTAGACCGATCTATCACCGGCACACCAACAACACCCGCGAGAGCGCGGAGACCCTGCCCAGGTCCCCCGGCCCGCACGGTTCACGGCGGACAGAACCCGGGGAGCGTGACGGTGCCTGCGGGGTGGGGGTAGGGGGCCCACAGGCACTGGCCGCTCCGAGCGCACCACGGGTCCTCTCCAGCTCCGGCCCCCCGCGCTCCCACCAGCCCGGCTGCCGGGGCACAGTCACAGCTCCGCGCGCTGGGCAGTCCTATTTTTATCTTGTCTAATCCTAAACTGGGCGGGGAGCACAGGCGTCGTGCTTAGAGAACAAGAGATAGGCGCGGGAGGCGGGGAGGAGCAGCCAGGCAGCGACGCGAGCGGGAGCGAGTTAAAGACACAGTGGAGGCGACCGCGGGCAGGAAGAAAGAGCGGGCTGCGCGGGCCTCGAGGCGCCGCACGCAACGCGCCGCCCCGCGAAGTTACACTCGCTTCCCCGCCGTCCCTCGCTACCGGCCCCTCCCCACTTCCCAGCGGCGCTCCCCGCAGCCTGGACAGCGAGGCCCCGGCCTGTGTGGGAGGCGGAGGCCAGGACGGCCCTGCAAAGGGCTGGAGAGAATCGCTAATGAGCTGTGCAGCCCATTGATCCGGAGAACACTTCCTAATTAACTCTCAGTCACCTACTGGTGACAGCGCCTCAAAGGACAGCGCTGGGGCCAGCCGAGCCCCAGCCGCGACTTGCCGGCCGGGCGCCTGCTGCCCAAAACCCGCGCGCTCCCCTAAACACCCCAAGGCAATTGGTGTGCGTGGCGGTGTATACCCGCACACTGAAGGCCAGCCTCGGATTAAACCTGGATGGCATATTAATCATCGCCTTCCCCCCCCACTCCGCTCTACGCGCTGAAACCCTGCCCAAAATAAACACGAAAACCAACACTGCAAAACCCACACCAGATAACAGGTCGAGAGAGGAGTGGGCAGGGTCAAGGAACGAGCGTATTCCCTAAGTGTCCACGTACAGGAATCTTTGAGGCTGACAATTAAAATGCCTTCCACGCAAGCAATTCTGTTGGCAAAACCGAACCCAACACTTCGTAAGGATTGATTTCGGCCCGCGGTGTCCGTTTCCAGTGCCACAGGAAGTGTCAGATGGCCAGAAATACCCAAGTCTGTCTGCACTCACCACCCACCACCTTCTGGGGTGGGCCATTTCCTCCTAGTCTTTACTCCCAGGCCATTTTAAGGATCTTTCTCCAAAAGACTACCCCTAGAACCAAATACCACACTACCCCTCCTCTAGCGTCTTCTCAAAACGAAAAAAGGGGGGGAAAACACAGCTAAAACCCCGAGCTGTCTAGTCTAGACGCAGCGAGGCTGTGCGAATACCTATTTGAAGCGCGTTGGTTTCTTTTTAAGGTTTGTTTCTAAATACACATAACCCTCCTCCTTCCTTCTTCGCTCTTCCATTCCCCCCACCCCCACCCTCCAGACGCCGGCGGCGCGCGCCCTGGCGCGCGGGCACTCACAGCCTCTAGCTGGAGATCGCGGACTTTCTGGAAAAGATTCATTAACAGCAAATTACGCCTCGCCCGGCCACGGCCTACACGCTGCCAGACTCGTCCGTCTCCGGGACCCCGGGAAGGGCCCACTCGAGCGTGCGAGCGGCGGGAAGCCCGCCGGGACCACGCGTGACTTCGGCCGCCCTACTCCACACACGGTGCCCCAAGGCTCTCTCCGTAAACAGCAGGCGCTCGTCACCGCCGCCGCGAGCCCCCGAGTTGGCGGAGGCTCTGCGGCGCAGCCGCCCGCCGGCTCCGAGCGCGGGCCCCGCGGCGCCTCGCCCTCCCCGCCTTGGCCGAGGATCTTGCCCCGGTGCGCAAGTTCCTCTTCGCCTACAGCCTCCTTGCCACACGCCCTCCGAGTGGGACCAACTTCCTCCGGCCGCAGACTTTCACACGCCCATCAGGGCTACCCACCAGACTCCCCATTGCCCAGCGGAGGGCCCAGGTCTCGCCCGCCCCCGCCCTCCCTCCACGACGCTGCCCCCGCACAAGCACATTCTACACCCACCCCTGGGGGCTCATAACTTAAAACCTACGCTGAACATCGGGGAGGGAGAGGAGGGGGAAAGCGGGAGGGGGATCGCAGATTATAATCTTAAAAGAACATTTACAAAACAAAGCGTCTGACCTGGCTGGCGGGCGGGCCAAGTCGGAACCCCTTGCTCTGCTCGATTTCTTAGTAGTTTTTTTTTTTAATCCACGTGATTCGTGCTTTGGGGCAAGCCAAGAAAAAACGGGACTCCCCTCCCGAGTTGCGCGGCAGCGGCGGCAGGTCGAGCTCGGCTCGGCCCGAGGCACTCGCCACACACCCTCGCGCACGCACACGCCGACGTTCCACTTGGAGGAACGACCGGCCCCCGGAGAGGCGAGACGAGGCGGCGGTGGCGGCGGCTGGGGGTTTTTACAGTTCTTTCCCGAGTCGAAAAAGAAAGCAGACGGCAACCCGCTGCCCTCCCCTTCCTGCTCGCGAGCTAACGCCGAACCCAGCTTCCCAGCTTCCAGCCCACCTCCCCCCCCTCCGCCCGACTCGCGGCGCTCAGCGGCGACCGCGCTCCCGCGCACAGACACACACAGGCTGCAAACTTCCACTCTGCGAACTCCCTGCTCTCCTCCTGGCCCACCGGGAGGCGCCAGGCCCCCAGCCGCGCCCCCTCCCTCCCTGGTGCCCACGCGGGGCCGCTTAGGTTGGCTGCATTTTAAATAACATAGCTATGAAATAAAAACGAAAGCGAGCCAAGCAGCCAAAGGGAAGCGCGAGGCAAAAGCTTCGCGGGGTACGCTGCGGGAGGGGGCCCCGGGAGAGGGGGCCGACTGCAGCCCTCAGCGCGCCCGCCCGCCCACCCGTCCGCGGTCTCCCGGGGGAAAGGTGTTCCGGGCACTGACCTGAAATCCCCGGTGGGGGAGTAGGCAGGGAGCCTGCGATCCGGCTCTTTGAAGTTTTCCCCCAAGCGGACTCGAGGCGGCGAGAAGGAGCGGGGGGCGGTTGGGTGGGTGGAGAGAGATATGAGGGGTGGGGGGGGTTGGCGACGTTAACGAGCGGAGAAGGAGCCGGGCCGGAGAAGCGCGGCGAGCAGCAAAGTTTGCGGTCCCCGGCTGCCCGCAGCCCGCTCGCGGCGCCGCGCTCACTCGACTCCCTCGCCGTCTGCTGGCAGCCGGCTGCCCTCGGGGTCGGCCCCGCCGAGGGGTGGGCTCTGGGCCGGGTGGGGGCGGGGCGGGGCGGGCTCGGGGCCTCCGGGCAGGTGGCGACAGCCCCGTGCGATCCTCCGGGCTCCCGCAGCTGGACTGGGCTTGGCCGAGCTCAGCAGCTCCCGCGCTGCCGCCGCCGCCCGCGCTCGGGCAGGAGCCCCAGCGCCATGTTGACGGTTCGCCGCGAGCGCCCGCTCGGGCTGGGTGTGTGTGAGTGTGTGTGAGTGTTGGCCAAGTCGTCCCTGCGCGGCGACAGCGCGGCTTGGGCTCTCCGCCCGGCGGCTCGCGGGCTCCCCCTCCGCCGCCGCCGCCCGCCTAGCTCCCGCTCTCGGTCGCGGTCTGGGCTCCTGCGCGTCTCCCCCGCAGCCGCCGAGCTCGGCCCGCGTTCAGCGAGGAGCGCAGCTCTGCCTCACCTTGCCGCTGGGAGCCCAGGCTCCGTCTGCCGCCGCACGCCGCGATCCCAACGCGTCCCCCCTCCCTGGTTCCCTCCTCTTCCTCCTCCCCCTCCCTCCGCCCGTCCTCCCTCCCGCCCGCCCTACCTCCCTCCCTCCCAACAGCCGCCTCCCCTCCCCCCGCAGGCGCAGCGCTCGGGCGACAGCCGCCCGCCCGCCGCCGCCTCCAGCTCTCGCAAGTTTGAGCTCCGCCAGTCTCCGCTCACCCTCCGCTGCGGCGCCTCCGCGGCGGGGTTTCGGGAGGGGTGATTCCCCAGGAAAGGTTTGCCCGAGTTTCCCCGGCCGTCATCGATGCACGGCCCGGCACGTTTTGGCCTCTCTGGATCCGAACCCCGGACCACTTGGGTGGCGCCCCCCCTCCTCGTCCCCCGGCCTCCCCTCCCCAGCTCGGGCCGAGTTGGCTGCGCACGCCCGACCCGGGCGCACGTCCTGGGCGAGCCGGAGACCGACTTGGGCGGCGGCGGCGGCGAGGGCTGCCGGCAGAGCCAGAGCCGAAGGGATGGGGGCGGCGGGGGCGGCTCTCCCAGCCGCGCGCCGAGACTCCCCTCGCTACCCAGAAGGCCAGTGGAGGACCGCAATTACCATAAAGCGCCTCGCACTCCGCTCAGCCAAAGCTGTCAAACCCCAGCGGCAGCAGCCGCTGCCGCCGCCTCTTGCCACCAGCGCTGCGCTCTCCCGGCCTCGTCCCCTCCGAGACCCAGCGGAGCGTGGCCTGTGTGCTCCCGTGCTCACCCCCACCCCAGTTTGCCCCTTCCTCCCAGAGGAGCCCTTTCCCATTTCGGTGTTAAAAGCTACCTGAAAACACCACCCCAGGCAACGGTGGCCGTTCCGCCTGAACTCCGCGCCCGAGTTCCCCGGACGTTTCAATTGTGTGGGAATTGTTTGGAGGTGGGGGAAGGGGGGAGCAGCCCGTGGAGGCACCGGGAGGCGTGTGGGGGGCGGTCGGCGAGCGGAGATCCGCCTGTATTTCTCCCGGTTCTCGAGCATTTTCACGGTCTGTACCTCTGATGGTTGGAGGGGCTGCCCAGGCCCCTCGCCCCGGCGTTGGGAGATTATCTCCCGCGTTTTATTTTCCTTGACAGGGAGCAACTTTTGGCTTACACCGTTCGCCCCATAAATTTCCACTCGGTAACGTCGTGCTGATCGGTGCTTGGCGGCGGCGTACAGCCTGCGCCCGCAGCAGTTCAATTCAATTGACACGTATTGAGCTTCTCCAGCGCACCCGGCGCGGCTCTGGGCGCGGGGGGAGGGCGGGGGCAGGCGGGAGGGAGGGGGAAGCGGAGAAGCGAGGTTCCGGCCTCCCCGGAGCGCAAAGCCTCAAGGGCGAGCCGAGAAGCCCTAGTTGGTGAAGCTGGCGGGAAGGGGTAGGAGTGGGGGAGGGGGTATTCCGGACTAACCGCGCCCAGACTGCGGGCCCGGACTTCGCGGCCAATGGTGACCCCATTCGGCTGCCCACTAGGGTCTTTTTATACTGGGAAGGGGGTGGGGTGTCTCTTTCTGCCTAAGGACAAGATGGTGCAGGCTCCATGAAACATAAATCTGAAATGGAGGTGGCTTGTAAATCCACACGGAAAGTTTTTAAAATATCCTGGAGTGTCCCCATGCCAAAAATAATCAAAAGCATCTCAAGTTGATTACTAAGTCAAGGTCAAGGCCAAAATCAGCTCTAGCTAGCAGATATTTTCCCTTTTAAAAATTAGACTCACTACTGACTGTGGGACTGGTATTAGGTGCGATTTTATTCATTCTGTTTTAGTTCTCAGCACATAGTTATAAAAACAGCCCTTCTCAAAGCAGAAGTGAAACATCTCTACCGTTTGAAACCCGAAACTTCGGCAGAATTAAATCTTCATGCTCCAGAGCTGCTTATAACAACTGATGCAAAAGACAGGCGAGCAAGTGCCCCCGCGAGCAGTGCCCAGCCAGGCTGGGCCGCGAACGCTTCCAGGACCAGCGCCTGCAGAATGGAATGCACGCTTTTTTCTTCCTGGTCTTTCTGGGGGTGGATATCTCTGCAAGCCAACCCACACATTTTTTTAATCTCCGGTAACAAGCAGAAAGACACCTGGACTATTATGCTGTAAAACTATTTTTTATAAAGACATTTTAGGACCAGACATTAAAAGTTATTAGATTGAACGCATGCGAGTTACAGACACAGCTGGAGAAAAGGCCTCTGGTTGTGTGTTGTGGCAACATTTCTTTTTGAAGCGACTCCTTTTATTCAAAACAAGTCAAAAATAACCGGGAAGGCTGAAGCTGGGTATTTGTGGGGAAACTCTGAACGTGGTTCCAGGCGAGGAGGCCGCTCTGCTGCTGCAGGCTGGACGGGAGAACTGGCCTGGGCCAGTGTGGAGCCGTGCCAGGCTCTTCCGGCTCGGTTAGGCCGAACCGCAGAGGCCCTGGCCCGGCGCCCAGCCACCTTCTATCCCCTCCCCTCGTCTCCCCAACTCTGCCCCCAGGCACAGGCTTTTCTCGGAGTTCGAAGTCGCATGTAAACGTCCAGAACTTTTAGAAAATCCAGGAACCGAGCTCGGGGCCTGCAGCCTCTCAGAGTCTTACGGCCTCCCGGGGCTGCTGACAAAGAGGCCTGTTTGTCTAACTTTAAAAGTCCTAGAATTCGGGAGGCTGAGCCAGGAGAATCGCTTGAACCCGGGAGGCGGAGGTTGCGGTGAGCCGAGATCGCGCCGTTGCACTCCAGCCTGGGCAACAAGAGCGAAACTCCGTCTCAAAAAAAAAAAAAGAAAAGAAAAAGAAAAAAAAAAGTCCTAGAGTTAAAATGAACAGGGGTGGTGGGGGTGCTGTAAATGCGAAGGGGCCGAGGGGAGGGCTGACTGGGGGAGAAATTTGATGCTGGAGACAAACAGGCCAGTAAATTCGCCTTTGACGTAATTTGCAACATCCTCCCCCACCTTTTCTAGGGATCTTGCCTCCACGGTAGGCTGGTAGGATTAAAGGGTTTCTCCTCCATCTCCTAGGGATACATTTTTCAACTCCGTGGGATTTCAAAAATATCTTATTAAGGGAGTCCTAAGAGGCATGAGTGGTGGGGGGGATTCGTGACTCACTGGGAATTAAAATGTGGGATTTTCCCGAGGCGCTATAAGGCAGAGGGGGGGAGGGGAGATTACACCTATTGGCCCGGTTAGTTCCAATTGTTCTGGGGAAAACAAGCAGAAAGCTGTCGAAGGGCAATCCCATCTTGTGTCCTCACTTAAGAAGGGGCTCAGGGAGCTGGGGATGCCGCGGGGCCTGCAATGGGTGCCGGCGGTTTGGCCCTTCTCCTGCCCCCTCCTCTCCTGCCCTCCCACAAGCCCTTCGGGAGCTGACCCGGGGGTCAGGCTGCTATACCCAGCACTCAGCAAGGGGAGGATTTCAATGAAAACAGAGGAGGAGGAGAGAGTGAGCAAAGGAGTGCATGGGAGGGGAGGCCGTGCAGCCCACGGAGAAATAAAGAAATAGGTGCCGAAATGAGAGGTGCTGCGGATGGAGCAGCGGGGGCTGCCCCTCCGCCACCAATCTCCCTTCCCATGGAAGTGTCTCCTGATTATAACAAACCACTCGACCTCAGGCTAACCAGGCCCTGCAACTGGGCAATCGAGCTGGCCCTTCTAGGAGCAGGCCTTGAGCCTGGCTGCCCTTCTCAAGGCAGGTTGACTCTGCAAGACCCGCTAGGGCCTCTCCCACACACCTCCAGCTCCACCCTGGCCTAGGGGAAAGGCCAGGCATCCTGTGTTTGGGGGGACCCTGGCCTTCTAACCTTGTGTGCAAGATTTATTTATAACGTATACTAGGATCCACATCATAAAGCTTATAACGTATGTGTAGGCTTCCGATGGTCCTCCTCGGAGGCTGTTCTCAGGGCGATGACACTTGGTACTGGAACAGGTGGGACTCGGATGAGTACAGATAATGTATTTTTACATAATGTGAGGTAGCCTTTCTTTAAAAACACACCCACACTTATAGTCTTCTGGTCACTTTGTACAAGAACTCTGGGCTTATCCAATGGCACTTTAAAAAACATCCGCTGCCCCATCCTCCAAGCACAAGGCACAGCTGGCTTCCCCTCTGAAACTCAAACGAGGTAACAAACAGGAGGCGCATCCTCCTCCCAGGATTTCACTCATCTGGAAACATCTAAAGGTAGCTGCCTCCCAGGGCAGAAGACTGCTGGACTTAAGGGTCGCCAGGCTGAACATGACTGTTCTTTCTTCTTCCTAGCCTTTGGAGGGTTATTGGGTGTTTGGGGAAGGAAGGCCCTAAGGGCAGCCTCTCCGTGGTTCCTAGCAACCATCTTGGAATTTCTGGTCTGGGCTCGATTTGGGTCAGGCCCTGAGCTCCCCGAACACAGGCACGTGTGGGTGAACTGGCATCTACACTACGGGGGCCCGCAGGGTGGTTGGGTGTCGACCAAATGGGCATAATACAGGAGGCTTCTGGGAGGCTGGCCGCCTCTTGCGCTCGGCAAGGGCTTAAGAGCCCTCGACGCCGCCGCGCTGGGCCGGGTGCTCCTGCAGATAAACCCGGACGCCACGTCCCGCCTCGGCTGCTTATTTAGCAAGGCGCCTTCTGCGCATATTTTACCCGGCTGGGGGCAGTGAGTGGGAACCGCCGGGAGAGGGGGCGGGGAACCACCAACTACTCGCCTTCGGACCCAGTGTGCCGGCCTCCGGCCCCAGCCATTTTGTATCCAGCTTCCCTCCTCCACTCCCACCGGGTCCCTGCGAAGACGCACCACCCCGAACCCCTTCGCGGTACCACTCCCGAACTGGAGGGGTAGAGAAGGCTCTGCCAGCCCCTCGCCTGCAGCAGGAAGGTGGGTACGGACCAGCAGAAGGGAAAGCGGTGCTGATCTGTCTCTAAATACCTCTGCCCTCCCGCCCCCAACAAAGTCGGTCACAGAGGTGAGTGGCGCGGGATGGTTGCCTCGAGAAGGTCGCAGCCAGGAGCAAAGCTTTGGGGCTCACAACGGACTGGGCATTCCAAACGGTGTAATCTTCGGCACATTTCACCCGCTCCCATTCCACCTTCCGAACCACTCTGCTCTCGGTGCTCATCCTCCTCTCCATACCTGCGTTCCCAGCGCGTTAGCAGCCGCGCAGCCCCCGGCCCTGAGTGCGGGGGGTGGGGTGGGGGGGCTCAGGGTGGTTTGTGTGGTGCGGCCTGACAGAACCTTCTGTGTGCGGCGGAGGGAGGAGGCTAATGCATAATGCACAGCGCCTGGAAGCCCGGCCATTAGCGGCCTGTCGGTGACACAGACAAACGACTGAGAGGGAGGAGATCCAGCTCGCTCTGGAGTTTAAATAGACCAGCGTGGAGGGGAAACGCCATGATTTAAAAGTGTGTGTTTGCAGACACTCGCATATATTTTAATGATTTCCAGCAGGCTATGTGTCCTAGCCTTGCATCCCCCCCTCCCCAAAAGGAGGATGTGTCTAGAGGAGGGAGGATGAAGGCAGAGTGAGAGGCCTCAACCCAGACCCACCAGCAGCTTTTGAGAGATGAAGGAGGGGAGAAGTTCAGAAAGCGAGGCCTGGGGAAGCCACACGACCCAAGGCCAAGCCCAGATTTTGTTCTTAAAATAATAATTTAAAAAAAGAGCCACCCAGCCTTCCACCCTGGACTACACCCTGTGTTGTACCAGAAAGGCCTGGGGGAAAGAATAAATTCTGCCACCCTTGCTTCCCCCGGGAGCCCACATTTTTGAATCTTCCTTTTCCACTGACACTCCAGAGACCTCCTTCCTCCCGGTTTAACACACTAGTGTTTTTTAGCAATTAAGGCGAGAAGGGGGTGGGGATAAAGATAAGCCAATTTTTTTTTCCGCCATGCAAGTGTGAGAGATAAGATAACGCTAAGCTGGGGCAAAGCGGCTGCTTACAACCTCCCCTTAGCGATTTTGATCGGTCACTTCTTATCTCGCAAAAATGCTCTTTTCGAAAACTGGATCAAAAAAGAAAAAGAGAAAAAGAAAAGAAAGAAAGATTTTCATTTGGAAGTGACATTTAAAACCCACCTCCCCTCCACTGACAACCCACCCCCCATTGGCGGGGCTCCCCAGGAAAAGTCGCACCTCGACTGCAGGATTTCAGGCTTTCTCGCGGGGGGCAGGATTACTAGTGCAATTAGGCTGAATAAAACCAGGGATGCGTGATGAGGATTTATCCTGTATCCAACCCAAGCTCGCGGCTGGGTTTTCCTTCTCTTAGTTACTGGTCGATGTTTGTGTTTCGCCATCGCACTCAGTGCCTTCAAACTAAACAGGTAGTTATACTTGGGAGGGTCATATAACTATGTCAACATGAAGTGGTTGTTAATGCGAAATAAGAAGAAACTCTTCTGATATTTATAGGCCCCTATAAAGGGAGAGAAAGGAAATCACACTCCCTAGAACCCGAAAGCTCCCAGCCGAACCGGACCCTCGGGGAGTTTTAGAAATCCTTCTTTCCGCACAGGAATTTCGCGAAGGGGTTTCCGGAAGACTTTGTCGAGGAAGGTTTTGGTATCAGACTCCACGACCTCAGAGCGCCCTGCAAATTCCCCCCGGCCCAGTGGCTAGCCCCAGAATGCAAACCTCAAGGCGGGCGCCCCAGACCAAGCTGACCTAGCCTCTGCCCACCCCCAGCTCACAACCCCGAGGCTCCCACCCCCTGCCCCCGACCGGGTCGGCACCGTGGCGTCCGGCACATGCCAAGTCTACCGTCTCCAAGCCAGGCTGCAAGATCCAAAGGTTGGGGCCTGCCGCGGACGGATTGTCCCTGGGGAGCTGAAACCGCCCAGCGGGGAAACCCCTCCTCTCGCCCTTCCCCGAAAAGCTTGGCCGCGGTCTAAGCTCCGAGCAAGCGGGTATCCGCTGACAGCCGGGCCTCACGTAAGGCCCACACGCGTCCCATTAGTCAGCCCGAGTTCCCCTCGGGCGAGCCGCCTGGCGCGGCCCCAAGGCCGGGCTCAGGCGGGGAGAGGGTGCGGGGCCGCAGCGAGCTGCGGGCGGAGGTGCGGGCTCCGCGGAGCCCGGCCAGGCTCGGTTCCGCGTTCCTGGGCCCGCGGGTAAGCTGAGTCGGCGGGGCAGGCCGCTCCCTGGCTGGCGCCGGGGCGCCAAGCTGCGCTTCACGTGCCCGCCATATCAGCAGCAGCGGCGGCGGCGGCGAGGAGGGGGTGCTGGGAGGCGCGCGGCCGTTCCCGCGGGGTCTCCGGACCCCGCCTCCCCGCCCCTCCCCGTGGGGGCTGGGCCGAGACCACCCTGCGGCCCCCATCCCAGCGCAAGCCGAAAGCGGCGCTGCCAGACGCAGAGAGGCTCCTGGGGCGCCGTTCCGAGAGCCGCGCGGCGGCAGCAGCCAGGGGAGGGTGCTCCTCGCGGCCGCCCCGCCGCCGCCGCCGCAGTCACGGGGACCGGAAGCCCTCGCGCCGCCCCGAGCGGCCTCCGCTGGCCCCAGGGCTGTTCCAGACGAGGGCTGGCCGCGCGTCACCCCTGATCCCTCCTCGCCCCAGGCGACCACCCGGGCCCTGCGGTATCCCGGTGTAAGCCGAGAGGACCCTTCCTGCGGTCCGATGAGATGTCCCTGTCCCTCTGCTACCACCATAAGCACGCCCCCCCGCACCGCTCGCAGCTCCGCAGCTGGGACCGGAGGGGCGCGGAGCCGCCACTCCGGCCGGGCAGGAACACCTGCTCCCAGGCCCTGCAGCTGGGCGCGTGCTGCTGTGAGAGGCTGCCTACTGTTGTGTGCAGAGATCGCGGAGGAGAAAATAGGGCTCCGAAGCTCAGGGCCAGGAGCAGCCAAGCCTCGGCCACCCCCATCTCCCACCCACTGCAGGCGACAGAGCGCGAAGCCAGAGGGCCTGCTGGGGGCCCGGGTCTCCTTTCGAAGGTCGAAGGGCCGCCACCCCTGGGATCCGGCTTCTGGCCTGAAGAGGTCGTTCATAAAACAGATGGGGCAAAACCTGTTTTGGGAGCCTTCCCAGTGTCCGCCCCCGCTCTCCAAACCAGACACACTCATCTCCCCCTCAGCCCTACTCTAGCCTCCGGCGGGGGACGGGAGTAGGTCATGGCGGCACCGGTACTCCACCCGCCCCCCTCCACGTAGGGACGTAGGGTCGGCTGCGGGGCTCGGACTTTGCCACTCCACCTAGGGAAGGGCCAATGGACGCTCCCCGTCTCCTCCGTGTCCGGAGGAGATCCGGCGGCGGAGCTGACCTGCAAGGCTTGCCCTGCCTCACCCACCCCCCACCTCCGTCCCACCCTCCCCGACTCTCCTGGCCCAGGGCCCGGCCCGGGAAGGCGTTGTTTTGCCAGCGGGAGCCGAGCGAGTGCACAGAGAAAAGCCTCCCTACTCTAATGAGAGTGCACACAGCGCTGCAGCGAGGAGGATGATTACCCGGCGGGCGGGGGGCGCGGGCTCGGGCCGCGGGCGGCGTGTGCGGCGGCCCCGCGGGCCCGGAGTCCCCGCCTGTCTGGCTGCTAATCGCACGCTTTCTGCTGTTACGGAGGCAGGCGGGAGCCGGCGGCCGAGCCCAGCGCCGACGACTCGGCGGGTGACACGGAAACATGGCGCAGCGCCCCTCCCCCGCCCGCGCTCCCGCCTCCCGCCCTCCCCGCGCTCCCGCCTCCCGCCTCGCACTTCCTCCCGCCCGCGCGGCTTTTGCAGTTTTAATGCTCTGCTTTCGGCCTGGCACCATTACGCTAGCAGCCGCTTCTCCGCGGCCCCGCGCGTCTCTTTCCCCTTTGTTTTCGGGGTCTATAGAAAACGTTTGCTTTTGTCCCGAGCTCTCGTTAAACCAAACTTGTGGTGGCAACGGAAGGCGGTGCAGGCGGGGAGGGGTCCGGGGATTTTGGCAGTAGCCGGCCAGAGCGTGGTGGAAACTTCTCTCGCTGGGTTCTCCGCTCCCTCCCACTCCCCCTCCCCAACACAGAGCCGCCGGCCTCCCGACGCTTCTCCCTTCGCCCCCGAGAGGCCCCAGTGCTCCAGGAAGGTCTGGGCCACAGAGACTGTGACCAGGGGTGAAGAACTCAGAGTGCGTGTCTGTGAGCCCCGAGGTTTTGGCACTCGATGACCTTGCTCCCTGCAGCCCCGACTTACCTCTTTCCCTTTGGTCATTCGGGGCTTTGTATCAGTCGGTGAAGAAGGGGAGGGAAGAGAAAGTGTTTCTTTCGTGCGTGTGGTTTTTATTTTAAGGATTTGTTGGAATCTGTCACCCCCAACTGCACAGCCCCCTCCCGTATAGGATCTAGGGCGAAAGCGGGGAAACGTCGGATTTAGGGGGAAAGGGTCGGGTCAGAAACCTAGCCCTGGAGGCTGGATCGTACTCTCCTGGCGGGCTCAGCCACACTTGGTCGGCACGCGGGGCGGGGCGACCCAGCAGAGTGGGGGACGCAAGGGCCAGGTCCCTCGGTCCAGGAGACGCCAAACGTTCCAACCTTGGAGCGAGAGAGCAGGAACCCCCGCCCCCACCCAAGCGCGCGCGCTCCCTAGCTCGACGCGCAAGCCGTGGCTCTCCGCGCCAGAGCTGCTCAGGCGGCAATTTTTTAAGCCTGCAATTAAGCGAGGCGTCGCCGTGTCCTCTGCTAGTGTCGGTCCTGTCAGTCGCACATGGCCTTGGTGCTCCGGTCCGAGGCCCCGCGATTAGTCACAGGCTCGCTTCGCTCCTTCCCTAATCCGCCTCTGCAGGCAGCCTGGGGACGCGGCCGACTTGGCGGCGCTGGCAGGGAGCCACTGCCCGCGGGGCGGGCCTCCTGACCAGTGCCAGCCCCGCTGCGCCCGAGCCGGCGCGGGCCCTGGGGTGCGGGTTTGGCGCCCCTCCCCTCTCACAGCCCCCTGGCTGGGGTGGCGGCGCCCCTCCTCCTCCCGCCCCTCTCCCGGGCCTGCGAGATCTATTTGTGTGGTGTCATTTGCATAAAAATAGGACAAGTGTTTCTGTGCGTTCATACGCGGGAGGCGAAATCCTTATTGATGTGTCTGTGTGGAGCCTTCGATTGTCGGAGCGGTTTGATTTAGGGTGTTTGTGTTGCCTTCTACAAGAAAGGAGAGAAAGTCCTTCTCAACTCCTTCGGCGGCCTGGGCCCCCAGAAGCATGTCCCTCTGCGCGGCCGGAATGGTCCACCACTTGGGCCCCAAGCGCGCCGGATCCACAGCGAGCAGGTTGAGGGCCAGGCGGGAGGCCCATTATGACTCATAAAATCGGGCGGCCTAATCGCCAGCTGCCAACCCATTTACATGTGGAGCTTCCCAATGCTCCCTTCGCCCGGGCCCGGCTTCCTGAGGGTTTGCCCCGACACAGCTAGAGCCGCCAAGTGGGAGCTAATCTAGTGGCCTCTCCTTCCCGTCGGCAGCGTGGCTTCCCTTCCCCGGCGACCCCCGCTCTCTTGGCCTACTGCGCTGCTCGCCAGCAACTCCTCAGCTTGGACAAATAGCTGGGAGGGCGCCGGCCGCGCGGAGCCAGTAAATCAATCATTAACTCCCAAGCGAGGCCTGGACCAGGGGAGGGAGCGGCGGCCAGAGCCGAGTCCGCGAGGCGAGCGCAAAGCCTCCACCGGGGTTAGGAGCCACCCACGCGCCAACGAACCGGGTGCGTGAAGGCGGGTCCCGCCATGGCCTCCCGGGCCCCTCCAGAAGCCTCCGCCCGCCGGGCCTTTCAAGCCCGCACCTTGCCTGGCCAGGCAGGTCGCGTTACAGCGCTGCCCCTGGGAGAGCTTGAACATTAACGAGTCGCCTCGGGCCTCAGCGGCCTGCTCTCCACAGGAGAGCGTCCCGCGCTTGGGCAAGCTCCTCGGATCCGGCCGGGCTCCTCCTGGCTCAGGCTTGCTAAACCAAACTGATCGCACCCTGTATCGACCAATCTCCCTGCGGCACCCTCTTCCCTCAGCCCACGGTGGAGCCGGCACGCAGGGGGTTAAAAGCCCCGGTTCGCTCTGGCTCCTCGGCTGCGAGGAGAAAACGCTGATCAAAGTGCTTAAGGGGAAGGTAACACATGCACATTCGGTCCCGGGTCGAAGGAGGCCGACTGGAGACGGCTCCCGAGCCACCCGCCTCGACCCGCTTCCCACACTCCCGGGAACGCGGCGGCGGCGGCGGCCCTGGCCCGCACGATTCGCTCGGCGGAGCGCTGCGCTGCTGGGCTGGGAGGGCGGCGGGGAGGAGGAGAGACGAGGGGGCGGGAGGCGAACCCGGGCTGCGCGCCAAGAGGCCCGGAGCCGCAGATTAGTCACCGCTCGGCTCTGCGCTCCCGGGTGCGCCCGGGAACCGGGAGGGCAGGCGTCGGCCCCGCTCAGCCGGGCTCCCCGGTCCTCGGCGCGGGTGCCCCCACCCCCACCCCCGCGCGCTCCTGGCGCGGCTGGCTCGACTCTCGGGGACCCGCGCAGCCGAGATCCACTTGTCAGGTCAAGGGCAGGACAGAAACTCTGCAAGCGGAGTCTTGCTTGCGAACAGGAAATTTCTCCTTGATGAGGTGCTGCCCCTCCCCCACGCCGGGCTTCAAAACAAAACTCCAGAGCGGGCGGCCAGGTACCCAGCCTCGCTCGCCATGGCCGGCGACCTCCGCTCCTCGGCCCCGGCCCCGGGCGGCGGAGCCAAGCCAACAGAGCCGGCGGACGGACTCGGCGCCGGCCCCGCGGAGGGCGCCAGGCTGCCACCCTCCGGGGCCCGGACGGGGTCGGCGGGGGTGCGGAGCCCCGGAGCCCCCGCGCCTCCCCAGGTTCTACAGCCACCGAGCGGTTTTGCGGAGCTGCCCGAGGCCGCCGGGTCAGCGGCTCCCCGGAGGGCGTGGGGGGCGGGGAGGCCGCGCGGCGCCGCCGACTCGGCGAATCCCGCTGCGGGAGCCCGGGAGGGCTGCGAGCTCGGCCTGGCAAAGTTCCTGTGGAAACTCCATGTTTTGAAACTCCTGCGGCGTCGCAGAAGGAGGGGGAGAGGGGAGCGCGGGAAGCGCGCGGGGGCGGTCTGCACCCGCCTCTCCCCGCCGGGGAGTGGGTTCCGCGGCCCCCCGGGCCTCATGGGAAAGCTGGAGGGCGGGGACGGCCGGGTCCCCGGGCCCGTTCTTTTGTGTGTTCTCTCTCTCTTCCACACTCTAAGAGAAATTTATAAACCCGTTTCATTTAATGAATTCACCCGGGAGAGGAAGGCTGCCTTTTTAGGGACCATGATGTTCAGGGTAATTTCGTATTTGACACATGTAAATACTTAGTACTCTCAGGTAAGGTCAAATTATTTATCATCTTAATTTATATTTCAATAGGCCTACAATTTAGAGGCGAGAAATGCCTCCTTATGAATCATTATGGTCTATTAGGGGAAGTAATGTATAAACAGCACTATTTGGGAGGGAATCACTTATGTTGACATTTAAATAGCTCTTCAATAGTTAAAAAAAAGACATTTGAGTGTCTTTGATTAAATATACAATTTACAAGACCATCAGCATAGCCATCAGGAATATAAATTCTTCTTGGAATTTTTATTTATTTCCAATTTTTGAAACCTTCCAGGGCATGCGTGTCATTGAATCCCTATGGGGGAAAAAAATCTTAACATTTCAGGCAAAATATTCTCCTCTCCCCTAGCTTCCTGTCTTATCAGGAACTCAGGGAACTTCTGGAACTCTGAGCACACTTCACCAGCAGGGACCACAGTGGGAAGTTTGTAGATCCTGTACCTCTAAGACAATCAACCATTTTCTTTTCTTTTCTTTTTTTTCTTTTTTCCTTTTTCTTTTTTTTTTTTTTTTTTTTTTTTTTTTTTTTTTTTTTTTTTTTTTTTTTTTTTTTTTTTGAGACGGAGTCTCACTCTTGTCGCCCAGGCTGGAGTGCAATGGCATGATCTTGGCTCACTGCAACCTCCGCCTCCCGGGTTCAAGTGATTCTCCTGCCTCAGCCTCCCAAGTAGCTGGAATTACAGGCTCCCGCCACTACACCCAGCTAATGTTTTTGTATTTCTAGTAGAGACGGGGTTTCACCATGTTGGTCAGGCTGGTCTCAAACTCCTGACCTCAGGTGATCCACCAGCCACGGCCTCCCAAAGTGCTGGGATTACAGGCGTGAGCCACCACGCCCGGCCGAGAATCAACCACTTTCTAACAATATTGCAGCCAATTTGTGAAACAGCACAGCTTCCCTGCTGGAGTTGAACCTTCCAGAAGGCCAGTGTCTGTCCATCCATCCTGATGTTCCCGCAGCACCCAACATAGGATCTCACACTGTTTTAAGTCATCGTTTCATACCTGCTAAAATATCACCTTCTTAGAGGCTTTTCCTTGCTGCCTCCACCCTCACCCCCCATACCCTTTCTTGAAAGGCCCCTTGTTATACTTCTTTGCTTGAAGCATCACCCATCTTTATAATGCCCCTTCTTAACCTCGCATCTCCTTTGCTGGTTCCCTATTTATCTGTTTCCCTGTACACCTGGACTTCTTGAAAGAGGTGTCTCCATCCATGTGGAATTTCTGCAGGCTTACCTCATGTTCACTCTAAAAATCAGCTAGTCATGAAGTTATTTTAAGACACTGGAATAAGTGCAGCTTTGTTTATAACAGCATAGGATTATAAACAACCTAAAGAGTCAGCAGTGACATTGATGGCACATGCATACAATGGAATATTCTGTAGCTGTTAAAATAATAAAGAAGATCTGCTCTGTGTATTGATATGGAAAGACCCCCAAGGTCTACAGTTAAGGAAAAAAAAATAAGGTACAGAGCAGTGTGTACCATCTGCTACAGTTTGTGTAAAAACAAAATAGGGGGGAATATAGACACATATTTGTGTGTGCATTAAAGATTTCCAACACTGCAGGGGAGTGCCCCCTTCCCCCCCAGTTTCTCTGTAGATATGCATGTCCTCTGGTCTACTTTCAGAAATGGGAACACACTGCACAATCTGTTCTGTACCTCACCTATGAAACTTATCAATATATCTTACTTTTCTAGCAACACATGGAGACAGGCCTTGTCAATTTCCAGGCTGGTGGAATTTCACTGTATAGACACATGGTCATTTATCTCACTCCTCAACCCCTCCATCCTCCCTGGCCATTCTGCAGAAAGTGCTCAAGATCACTGGTTACTTCCTTGTTGCCAGGAGTGGGGGCCGGGGTGGGGGGGCGGCGTTGTTTTTCAGTCCTTGCCTTCCTTGGCCTCCCAGAAGCATTTACCACACCATGACCACTGCTCCCTTGAGCTGCTTGCTCACAGGGTTTTCATCCTAGCTGAGAACCGCTTTCAATTTCTTTGTGGGCTTTTCTATGCTCTACCAGTTGCCTTGGGCCTGGATCCTCCCCTTCCTCCCCACCAGTCTCATCCAGGTTTATGGCTTTAAATACCACCTACTTATTGATGACTTACATTTTTTTTTTCTAGTTCCAAATCCCCATATCAAACTTCAAACTTGGTATCTCAACTTTGCATCTACGCTCAGCTTAATAACAATAGCAAGCATTTACATCACGCCTGTTAGGTTGAAGCTCTCTTCAAAGTGCTTTCTATAAATTAACTATTAATCCTTACAACTGCCCTATAAGGTAGGCAGAGTTATTATGTACATTTTTTCCAGATGAGGAAACTATCAGAGAAGTTACTGAACATTCCTAGAAAATGGTGGTGCTAGGATTCAAATCCAGGCAGTCCTATCTTCAGAGTCCATGGTCCTAATCACTTTGCCACACTGCCTCGTTGGCATGTGTCTCGAACTCCTGACCTCAAGTAATCCACCCGCCTCTGCCTCCTAAAGTGCTGGGATTACAAGTGTAGCACCGCGCCCAGCCACAACTGAATTCTAAAAAGAGGAATTAATTTACAAATATTTGGGGGCATTTAATAAATGCCAGGCCTTGTAGCGGGTGCTAGGGAAACAGTGGTGAGCAGGACAAATGTCTCTTAGATAGAGAAGAGCTTTTCCTTTAGAACCTGCTCTTTGCTTTAACTCCCTTCCCCATCACAGAAAATGGCTCACCCACTCAGGTGCTTAAAGCAGAATCCTAGGGGGCCATTTTTGACCCATTTTCATTCATCTCCCCCTCACCTTCCTCCAGTCCACTGGCAAAGCTAACCCATTCTACTTCCAAATAGTCTATCTAGTAAGCCTACTTCTTCCCATTTTCCTACATCCACCTGAGGCCAGGCCACCATCTTGGGCCTGGATTATTATACAGGATGATTATTCTAGCAATCTCTGTGCTGCCACTTTTGCTATCCTCCAGTCCACCCGCAACGTGGCAGCTAGAAAGATCTTATTTATTTATTTATTTATTTATTTATTTATTTATTTTGAGACAGGATCAAGACCTCATCTCCACTTAAAAAAAAAGAGTAGTCAAGTGTGGTGGTGCACGCCTGTAGTCCCAGCTACTCAGGAGGCTGAGGTGGGAGGATTGCTTAACCCTGGAAGGTCCAGACTGCAGTGAGCCATGATTGCACCATTGCACTCCAGCCTGGGTGACAGAGGGAGACCATGTCTCAAAAAAAAAAAAAAAGTGTTGAATGTCACTACCCCACTAGTTCCCACTGCACTTAGAACAAAATCTAAATGCCTTAACAAGGCCACTTCATTGCTTGCCAGTGTTTAGCTCACCCTCTGAAGGCCAACCACACAGGCCTGCTATCAGCTCCTGAATAGGCTCTGCGGGTTGGTCCCTGGGAGGTCACCTCCCTCAGCAAGACCGTATCGTCCATAATGGTACAGTGTATCATCACCAGGTGCTAAGCTTGCATCAGTGTGCAGCGATGTACATATATCCATAATGTTCTCAGAATTTTGTTTCTGGCTGTATGTGCCCAGTGCCTAGCATGGTGCTCACCACATATTGATGAAAAAAAAATCTGATAAACAATAAATGAAGTATTGCATGCCTAATACTTTTTTTTTCTTTCTTTCTTTCTTTTTTTTTTGAGATAGAGTCTCACTCTGTTACCCAGGCTGGAATGCAGCAGCACGATCTCAGCTCACTGCAATCTCTGCCACCCGGGTTCAAGTGATTCTGCTGCCTTGGTCTCCTGAGTAGCTGGGATTACAGGTGTGTGCCACCAAGCCTGGCTACTTTTTGTGTTTTTAGTAGAGACAGGGTTTCACCATGTTGGCCAGGCTGGTCTCGAACTCCTGACCTCAGGTGATCTGCCCACCTCAGCCTCCCAAAGTGCGTGAGCCACTGTAGCCAGCCACTTAATACATTTTTGCTAACTGAATCGGTATTCTATATCCTGGCTAGAGAAGAAACCAGGTTCAAGAGAACAAGACAGTTGTGGAGAGGGTGCTATAGGAAAGGGGGTACCTGGACTGGTGGGGAGTGGCTCTGTAGTTCTGGTGAGGATTGGGGCAGAAGAAATTAGGAAAGTGAAGCATAAGGCTGGGGGAGACACTGTCTTTTGGGGAGGCCCGTGGGAGTATGGGACACCTGTGTACAGGTCTCTGTCGGCTGGAGGAGCCAAGTGACCTGGTGTGCATGCTGGTGGGGAGGCCTTGGGAGTCCTGTCCTTAACTAAGTCCTGCAGAATATCATCCCCAGGAGATGAGAAAGCCAAAAGGAAGACAAAACCCAAACCAGAGCCTTCTTAGAGTACTTTGCCTATTGCCAATCATTTGGTCCTTAACTTAGTGGCAGAAGATTGAGACTGTCTTTCTCCTTGAGACCCTAAGAAACCAGAAGTGTAGGTTCTTCTCACAGCTGACCCTGGGCAATTGGAGTTCTCTGAATTCCATGCCATTTGACCTCTAACAGTAACTGTGTCCCTGCGCTGTTTTTGATAGCAAAGCAAGTCTTTTAACAATGAATAATTCCTATGTGATAAAAATAGCTACTGTTTATTAAGGACCTTTGTTCATTTCAGTTACTTTATCAGGTACTTTTCCAAGTTATCTCACTCACACCCCAAAATAACCCTATGGCTTAGGTATTACCATTCACTTTTTTTTTTTTTTTTTTTTTGAGTTGGAGTCTCACTGTGTCGCCCAGGCTGGAGTGCAGTGGTGAGATCTCGGCTCACTGCACGCTCCACCTCCCGGGTTCATGCCATTCTCCTGCCTCAGCCTCTCATGTAGCTGGGACTACAGTCACCTGCCACCACGCCCGACTAATTTTTTGTATTTTTAGTAGAGACGGGGTTTCATTGTGTTAGCCAGGATGGTCTCAATCTCTTGACCTTGTGATCTGCCCACCTCGGCCTCCCAAAGTGCTGGGATTACAGGCGTGAGCCACTGCGCCAAAACACATGGCTAATCTAGGAGAGTGTGGCTACGGGGATTCTACCTGACTCCAAACCTAGGCTCTTTCCCATAGGGTATATTGTTTGTCTGTCATGCATATGCACTGTTTCCCCAAACCTTTAACTATTTCTGGGACCAGATCCTACATAGCTTCTGCAATTGCATCCTTCTGGGCCCATCCTGGCAACTCGCCAACTGCAGTAAGTATCATAAAAGGAGTTTCTTTCTTTCTGGGATCAGCAGGCCTCAGCTCATCTGTTGTGTTCACCATGGGAACCTAAGAATTGATCATCTGAATGAAGAGTTGCCTTCCTTCCAGGTAAGCCTTGAAAAAGTGTGGGGCCGGCCTGGGCTCGGTGGCTCACGCCTGTAATCCCAGCACTTTGGGAGGTGGAAGTAGGCGGATCGCTTGAGGTCAGGAGTTCAAGACCAGCCTAGCCAACATGGCGTAAACCTCGCCTCTACTAAAAATAAAAAAATTAGCTGGGTGTGGTGGTGCACGCCTGTGATCCCAGCTATTCAGGAGGCTGAAGCACAAGAATCGCTTGAACCCAGGAGGCGGAAACTCTAGTGAGCCGAGATCGCACCACTGCACTCCAGCCTGGGTGACAGAGTGTGACTGTGTCTCAAAAAAAAAAAAAAAAGTGTGGGGCCAAGATGTTCAAGGGAAGGACTTCCTCCCCAGAACAAATAGATTCTGTTTGAAAAATACCTGTACCTCCACCAATACTAAATTATGGCTCAATGTCTGGCGAGATTATAAGCTACCTTGCCCTTTCATATTCCTGGGCAACACTTTTCCCCGTTTTGAGCTTCCATAAAGACTACTCTTGTCCTTACCATGGGAAAAGGTAGTTCACGAAGGGATAACATGGGAAGAACTCATCACACAGCTCTTCTGAAGCAGAAGAGCTCTTGGGATTTGAGGAAAAGAGAGTCACTAATGTTCTTCAGCTCCTAGAAGAACAATAGCTAGAATTTATTAAGGGCTTTCTATCTGCCAGGCACAGTTCTAAACATTTTATACACATTAATAATCTCATGTCATATAGAAAACTGTCCTATATGGCTGGGCGCGGTGGCTCACGCCTGTAATCCCAGTGCTTTGGGAGGCCGAGGCGGGTGGATCACGAGGTCAGGAGATCGAGACCATCCTGGCTAACACCGTGAAACCCCGTCTCTACTAAAAATACAAAAAATTAGCCATGTGTGGTGGTGGGCGCCTGTAGTCCCAGCTACTCGGGAGGCTGAGGC
The DNA here is from genome assembly GCF_000001405.40 of Homo sapiens. NCBI lineage: Eukaryota > Metazoa > Chordata > Mammalia > Primates > Hominidae > Homo > Homo sapiens. Next base: position 40,116,403 of record NC_000023.11, read on the forward strand.
AGCAGAATGGTGTGAAACCAGGAGGCAGAGCTTGCAGTGAGCTGAGATAGCGCCACTGCACTCCAGCCTGGGCAACGGTGCAAGACTCTGTCTCAAAAAAAAAAAACTGTCCTATAATAAAGGTACTATTATTATTCCCATTTCAGATGGGGAAACTGAGGCTTAGAGGATAATTAATTTGCCTGCTTGCCTGGAAGCTCACTGCCCATTCCCAAAGCCCAGACTTATTCATGCCGTCACAGCCCCTGCCATCACGGTGCAACACTAGCAACTAAATTTCGGACTTTCCAGGCACCTGTGGTCAGCTTCATTACTCTGCCAATTGCACAAGTTCATGCTAATTGGGTGCTTTATTTGGATCTGAAGGCAGTGGCCTTACTGCATCCTGGCATGCAAATGATGTCCCCTGAGGACACGATGGGCAATGAATTTGTCCTGCAGGTCCCTGTGAGAGGCCTTTTCTCTTCTGTAGCTTCCTAAGCAGAAGCTATGGATGATCCACAGACAGAAGGTGGTCATCTCTAACCTGTCCTGTGACAAAGCATGCTGGTCAGCCAGTGGATGCCCCCATCGGTTCCATGCCAGTGGCTGCACCGGGACCCCTGCTTGCAGGCACAGGGAACCCGGAGGAGAGAAGATCAGTTTCCAAGATAATTTAGGTTCAGTCTTTCTTCAAACCAGCCATTGTCCTCTGCTCTAGATCTGACACCGATGATTAATGCGCCTCGTATTTGAGTATTTCTTCTTTTCGGCTTCTTCCTTGCTTTGGGTTTTATTTTCCAGCTGCTGCCAGAGTTTCTCCTCAGAAGAGAGTAAATACAGACTGGAGCATTGCCCTTGGTGTTGCCCTGAAAGCGTCCCAGGTGTCAGATCGCACTGGGCCATTCCTGGAGTAGGTGATGTTACTGTTTAGAGTTCAGTGCTAACCCACCACCTCCACCAATCGAGACCTAAGCCGTTAATTATTCTGAAAATACCAAAAATAAAGATTGCAGGGAAGGCAATTAATAGGATCATACGGTCTATTCCTCATTTGTAATTACATATTATTATTTTTCTCCCTACTTTGTTCCAATAATGATTTAAGGCTGCTTCCAAAGATACACAAAACCCAGCAAAGATAAATAGAAGAAGTGGAATATGAATTATAATGTCATGCCTGCTCACAACATCTCTGCCCCATTCCACATAATAGAAGTGAATTCATAACGCCTTTCAAAAATGAGGTAATTCAGCTATTTTGGTGGCAACACTAGGCTCTTTGTAAAGTGAAAGGGTGGTACACGATCATGGAAAAACCATGGAGGGGACACTCGATCCCCTTTCTAATGCTTGCTTTCTTGGTGTGTGACCTTGGGCAAGTCGCTCACCCTCTCTGGACTTCAGCTTCTGAAACTCTCAAATGTCTCTGCCAATCCCTGAGGCTTCCTCCTCTTTCTGACGTCCAAGGGCACCATCAAGAAGGCAGAGGCCAGTACTACTGCCCTCTGGCATGAGGCTTCCTAGAACTACTATTCGAGAGATAGTTTCCCAGGAAGTATACTATGCTCGCACTCTTTCTCTCTCTCTCTCTCTCTCTCCACCCCCCCCACCCCTTTTCCTCCCTCCCTATCTGTCTTCTCTCTAACACACCACAGGCACAGAGAAGTCTTTCTGGATGACTGAGATAATAGAACTGAAATTGTCTCCTCCCCCAAGGCAAGGACCCCCCCTTTCAGGAAAGTGACTTTAAGGGTAGCACTGAGGGGATCTTTTTGGGAGGCGGGGAGTCACAACCCTTCTGACCTTTCTGTCCTCCCCTCAGGTGTGAGCTTTCACTTTCTTTCCTCTTCTTGCAGTTCAAGACATTCTTTTATTTATTTTATTTATTTTTTTCTGAGACAGAGTTTTGCTCTTATCCCCCAGGCTGTTGTGCAGTGGCGCGATCTCAGCTCACTGCAACCTCCGCCTCCCAGGTTCAAGTGACTCTCCTGCCTCAGCCTCCTGAGTAGCTGGGATTACAGGCGCCCACCGCCGCACCTGGCTAATTTTTTTTTGTATTTTTAGTAGAGATGGGGTTTTGCCATGTTATCCAGGCTGGTCTCGAACTCCTGACCTCAGGTGATCCACCCGTCTCGGCCTCCCAAAGTGCTGGAATTATAGGTGTGAGCCACTGTGCCCAGCCCAAGACATTCTTACAACCTGGCCGACTCTAGATCCAGTCTTATCTTCCCTTCACCCCCTCTTAACCGCATCTTCCACTTTTGTATCCAGGCAGCATCTAACACAATGCTTAGCATGTCATTTGCTTAAAACACCAATGCTGTCCTCTGCCCCACACAAAGTCTCCACTGACCCCCTAGTTCCTCTACTGAGTATTCCACAGGCTACAGGGGCCTCCTGAGACTGGGCCCTGATCCCTTGCCTCAGGTGGGAGGCTGCTTGGGAGACTCTGTTTTTGTTGTTGTTGAGACGGAGGCTCGCTCTGTTGCCCAGGCTAGAGTGCAGTAGTGCGATCTTGGCTCACTGCAATCTCTGCCTCCTGGGTTGAAGCCATTCTCCTGCCTCAGCCTCCCGAGTAGCTGGGATTACAGGCATGCGCCACCACGCCCAGCTAATTTTTGTATTTTTAGTAGAGACAGGGTTTTGCCATGTTGGCCAGGCTGGTCTCAAACTCCTCAGCTCAGGTGATCTGCCCACCTTGGCCTCCCGAAGTGCTGGGATTACAGGCATGAGCCATCACCCTTGGCCTGAGACTCTGTTTTTTAAGATGCAAGCACACACAACACCTTGCAAATGAAAAGAAGCCAGCCTCAAAAGAATATGCACAATAGGATTCCATTTACATCTAGTTTGGGTGTTGTTTTTTTTTTTTTTTTTGGTGGTGGTGCCGGTGGGGGGTGGACAGGGTCTCACTCTGTCACCTAGGCTAAAGTGCAGTGGCGCTTTGCCTATGTCAAGTTTTAAAGTGGGCAAAGGTTTTAATCTGAGTTGTTATAAGTCAGGATGGGCCAGGTGCAGTGGCTTGCTCCTGTAATCCCAGCACTTTAGGAGGCAGAGGTGGGTGGATCGCTTGAGCCCAGGAGTTCAAGCCCTGCCTGGGCAACATGGTGAAACCCCATCTCTACACAAACTACAAAAATAAGCTGGGTGTGGTGGGCGTGCTGTAGTCTCAGCTACTCAGGAGGCTGAGGCCGCAGTGAGCTGTGATCACAGCACTGCACTCCAGCCTGGGTGACAGAGTGAGACTCTGTCTCATTAAAAAAAAGAAGAGGAGTCAAGATGGAGTTATCCTTGGAGATGGGGAGCACAGTGGGACTCCTTGGGGGCTGGGAACACTGCAGGTTGATCTGGAAGCTGGTTACATGGGTGTGTTAAAATTCATCAAGCTGTACTCTCAGGATTTGTACACTTTTCTGTCTGTGTGCTGTACTTCCAGAAAATAAAAAATAGAAACTAAAAAAAAATAATAAACCAGGGAGGAATCAGTTTTAAAACTGCAATCACACTCTGGGCAGATGACCTGATAGCAGGAGTGTGGGGTTGCTCTGAGCCAAGTTGGGGGGTTGGGGGAGGGCAGTGTGCTGCTTCTAGAGACAGCAAGGAAGCAAATTTTGTTAATAAAATCACGTGAATAGAAGCAAACTTACTGCTCCACAGTTGGGGCGGGGGGAGGAGCGGGGTGAGAGTGATGCGCCAGGCAGATGTGCCGTATTGGAGGCTTGGCAGCACTTCATCATGGCAGCCCTAGGCATGGCCCAGGCTTCCAGAGTGAAAGCGTGGAGTTGGCAGCATTAACGGGTTGCCTAGGCCCCCACCCTGTCTTCCTCACCTTCTCTGCAGGAACTTCCACTCCAGCCTAAATTGGGTTTTCCGCTATGCCCGGAGCAGACACAGCCTTTCCCCATTGTGGCCCATGCATGTTCCCTGCAGGAATGCCCCTTCTCTCTTCCTCCCCTTAAAACTGCTTCTTCTCCCTGGTCCCCACCAACCACCTGGTTATACATTCCAGAAACCTGAGAATCACCCTTGACCTCTCCAATCCCTTCACTCCCCAAACCGACCCTTCACCAAATCCGTTTTCTTTTCTCTGCGCAGTTTTAGGAGTCCATCCATTTCCCCCACATCCAGCGCCCTGCACTGCCTAGCACAGCTTCTCACCTACGCCATGGCAATGGCCTCCTCACTGGGCCCCCTCCTCTGGCTCCTACCCCTCTGCAGTCCATGGCCCCCACAGCAGCCACCAGCCACAACCACACCCGCAAATAACCACTGCTGCTGGGTGCCAGGTGCTGCTCCAGGCTCCCGACACACCCCAGGAAACAAAACAAATACCTGTCCTCGGGGTACTTGTATTCCAGAAGGAGAGAGATGGGCGATAAGCAATAAAGGTAAGAGGTCACAAAATTACCATGGATGGTGGACAGTGATGTATGCCATGGAAAGAAAAGTGGGAGCAGGAAAGAAGCACCTGGAAGGCAGGGTGTGGGGAGAAGGATTTGCAGGATTAAGGTGCTCAGGGGAGGTCTCTTGGGAAAGTGAGATGTGAGCAAAGACTCAACGGAGCCGGGGGAGCAAGCCAAGATTTCTGAGGTGAGAGTTTTGCAGGCAGAGGCAAAGCCAGTGCAAAGGCCCTGTGGTAGGAGACTGCCTGCTGTGTTTAAGGAACAACCAGGATTCTAGGGTGGCCAGATTGCAAAAGAGGAAGAATGATCAGACAGGTAAAAGGGGGGCGGGGGTTGATCCTGCAGCCAGAGCGAGGGTGCTCCAGTGGCTTTCACTATTGAGATAAAGATGGAAGCCCTCAGCCACCCTACTGGGCCCTGCCCCTCAGACCTTGGCTCTGGGCTTCTGTTTCCAGCCCCTTCCCACATCCAGCCGTTGCCACCGGGAGCTGGCTTAGATTTGCGATCCCTCCACCCGCTTCACTTAGTCATTCACAACTCTGTTCAAACAGCACTTCCTCCAAGATACCTTCCCCAAACAGTCATCCAGACCAGTTTAGTGGCTCAGCCTCACCCTCTCAAACCACCCTGCCCTTCCTCTACGCCACAGGCCTCCCCAGTGCACAGCCATCTAGCGTTAAGGCTATAATTACTTCATTTGGTTCATTGCAAATTTGGCAGTTGTTTACTCTGTGCCAAGCACTGTCCTGGGTGCCAGGGCACCGTGGAGAACAGGACTGACAAGGTCCTTATCCTATGGGAGATGGACCATAAACAGAGCAAATAAGGTAACTTTAGATGATGACATGTGCCACACAGAAGATGAAACAGAGCAGTGTGGCTGAGAGTAGTGGGAGGGAAGGCAGTGTTAGCCAGGATGGCTTGGGAGGCCTCTTTGAAAAATTGAGCTGAGAAGGAACCAGCTGCATGAGTATGGGGGAAAGAGAGTTTCAGGTAGCCGAGCAACAAGTGCACAGGCCCTGAAGGAGGACCAACCTTGGACCACCTGAGGAAGAGAAGGACAGCCCACATGGCTGGAGCAGAATGGGCTCTCTCTCTCCAGCTGGAAACGGTGCTGCACACGATTCCAGATCCTCTCTGGTCTCTTTGTCATCGCATCCATCCCTTGGGCTTGCTGACCGTTGAAGCTCATGGCATTCATTGAATGAAGGTGTAGCCATCTCATTTCTGCCCAAACTTCGATCCTGCTTTCTCCATGAACTCTTCCCAGCCACTTCCAGCCCTCCAAGAACAGTCTCTCCTCTATACAAAAACCTCAGAGCCCTCACTTGAGATCTGGGGCTGGTCTACTTGGGGCCGGACACCCCTGGAAATGCTGTGAAAATGGTGGCCCTCGTGCACATGTCCACTTTGCCAGGGGTACATGCATCAGAGTCCCAGAGGGCCTCAGACACCCAAAATGTTGACGAAACAGGACTCCCAAACCCCTCACTCTGCAGATGAGGAAACTGAGGGCTAGAGGGTAGAATGTGTACCCTGGGCCTACCTGACTTTCTGTCAGGCTGCCAGCTGCCAGGCCACAAGAACTACCCCATCTGGCTGTGGGAAGCCAGCCTGGGGTCCCTTGTTGGCACTTGGTGTCTCGGAGACTGTTCCCTTCTGCATGGTTGTCCTTGTTTTGATCTGTTAACGCACAGTAAGTACCCCATGGTAGGTCAATGTCTTCCCTTCTCAGATTATTCCTTGAGGGCACGATCAGGTGGTTGGTTTTCTTTAATGTTATTTTACTCCTTACTTTGTGTCTGCACAATTCCTGCTGAGGGACTCCACAAGTACTGGCTGCCCAGTCGGCTCCTTCTTCCCATGCCCCAAGGACCATGGAAGCCGCCACTCGGGGCGTTAACTGGCTTGTGGTCAGGCCTGTGACTGGATATTCTTAGCAGCCTTCGGTCACCCATCCCGAAAATTTAAACTCCCCGGTCACTGGGGCTTAGATCTCTCCCCGCCAAGGGAGAGATGTTTTCTATAATATTTTCAGGCAGTCAGCTCAGTACAGAGCCGAGTGTGCTTTTGCCATCAAAGGCTTAAGCTTTGGGGGCAAGGCCGAGCATCACACTGTCGCTACCCACCACTGCCCCGGGCCTGCCTGACGAGCGGGACTGTTTGGAACTGCTTAGCATGATGGAAGCTTTTGGCCACATCAGAGCCGTTATCACATCTGACCTCGTTCCTGGGCCCTGGGGCAGCTCGGAGGCCTGGGAGTCTCGGGCACTTACTGGCCTTCCTGTAGAGATGTCCACTGTGGGTCAAATGGCAACTTAAAAACAGGCATGGGGATTAGAGATCTCCATTTGGGCCATTTCCTTAACCTGCTAGGTGAATTCCCCTTCTAAATGCAACTGTTTCTCTCACTTTCAAGGAGATACCATATTCGGCTTGCCATCAAGCTCTGTGTGCAGTGGCAGGGAGTGAGAACAAGGATTGAGAAGGGGTCTTAGGGACCCTCCAACAGAGCAATATGGAGGGGAGGGTGGTGTATAGTCAGTAGGGGTACAGCAGTCACTTAAGCACACTTTTTTTTTTTGAGACAGTTTCACTCTTGTCACCCAGACTGGAGTGCAATGGTGCGGCCTCGGCTCACTGCAACCTCCGCCTCCCGGGTTCAAGCGATTCTCCTGCCTCAGCCTCCCGAGTAGCTGGGATTACAGGCATGCATCACCATGCCCGGCTAAGTTTTTTGTATTTTTAGTAGAGACGGGGTTTCACCATATTGTCCAGGCTGATATGGAACTCCTGACCTTGTGATCCGCCCGCCTCGGCCTCCCAAAGTGCTGGGATTACAGGTGTGAGCCACCGCGCCCGGCCTTCTTTTTTTCTTCCACACTTTCTGATTTCTCTTGGGGTGGCTACATCTGCAGCTGTGTTTTTCCTCCATTTATCTGGCTCTGGAAGTGCAAGAGCACAGACTGGGAGGAGACGTGGGCTAGGGGAAGAGAAGGTTTCCTGGTTGTGTGTGTGTGTGTGTGTGTGTGTGCACGCGCGCACGCATAAGAGGGTTCAGAGGAAGCAGAAATGTTTCCTCTCTCCCAGCACTACCATTCCACCAATCCATAGCAAGCAAAACTCAGGCTGAATGTTCAAACCCCATGCTTTTAAGGATGCCACATGGTGAGAAAGGGCCACCATGTAATGAATCCTGGGAAAAGGCCAGGGCCCTTGGGAGCGGGAGAATGAGCACCAGAGAAGCTGATAGGAGAAACCTTCAGAATCCCCACTGGCCTCTTTGCAACTTTGGGAATTGAGAGAACTCAGGGGAATATGGTGAACTACGGACTTAAGCGGACCATAAAGATTTTGAACTATTGGTCAGGCAGGGTGGCTCATGCCTATAATCCCAGTGCTTTGGGAGGCTGAAGCAGGAGGATCGCTTGAGGTCAAGAGTTCACAACCAGCCTGGGAAACATAGCAAGACCCCATCTCTATATACATTTTTTTTTTTCTTTGAGACAGCATCTCACTCTGTCACCCAGGCTGGAGTGCAGTGGCACGATCTTGGCTCACTACAACCTTCACCTCCTGGGCTCAAGCAATCCTCCCGCCTCAGCCTCCCAAGTAGCTGAGACTACAGGCATGCATCACCATGCCTGGCTAATTTTCTTATTTTTTGTAGAGACGGGATTTTGTCATGTTGTCTGAAACTCCTGGGCTCGAGTGATCCGCCCACATCGGCTTCCCAAAGTGCTGGGATTACACACGTGAGCCACGGCACCTAGCCCTTACAATTTTTTAAAAAGGTTTTAAAATCAATTCTATTCCACAAACACTTCTTTTTGAGAGGGGGGTCTCACTCTGTCACCCAGGCTGGAATTCAGTGGCGAGATCATGGCCCACTGCAGACTTGACCTCCCGGGCTCAACCAATCCTCCCACCTCAGTCTCCCGAGTCGCTGGGACTACAGGCACACACCACCACCACCTGGCTAATTTTTTGGTATTTTTTGTATTTTCTCAAATTCCTGGGTTCAAGTGATCCACCTGCTTCAGCCTCCCAAAGTGCTAGGATTACAGGGCCACTGTGACTGGCCCACAAACCCTTCTGAAACACCCCTTACATATATGTACAGAGCTATGAAAATAAGTAAGACATACCCTTAAGGGAGGCCGCCCTGGGAAAGACATTCTAGGCATCTTGTGGGGAGTGTTGGGTCAGACAGAGGATGGAGGGGTGTGTGTGGCGTCGGGGGGGCGGGTTGGGGAGGAGGGCATAAAAGCACACGTGGCCAGCCTGCTTTGTCCTGTTCTGGAAGGCCATCCAGTCTGCTCAAGGGCAGCTGAACAAGTGGGAAGAGAGGTGGCAAAGGCAGATGAGGTGGTCCCTGCAGCCTGCTATGTGCCAGGAAGTGATGCATTGGGGCAGCAGCTCCAGCAGCTGCCTGGAGAAGGTGGTTGATTATGGGAGAAATTGACTGTGGAGTCTCACTCTGTCACCCAGGCTGGAGTGCAGTGGCGAGATCTCAGCTCAAGTCAACCTTTGTCTCCTGGATTCAAGTGATTCTCCCGCCTCAGCCTCCCTAGTAGCTGGGACTACAGGTGCACACCACCACGCCTGGCTAATTTTTGTATTTTTACTAGAGACGGGGTTTCACCATGTTGGCCAGGCTGGTCTTGAACTCTTGACCTCAAGTGATCCATCTGCCTCGACCTCCCAAAGTGCTGTGATTACAGGCATGAGCCACCACATCTGGACCTCTTCAGTCTCTTCTAATCACTACATTTTTCCTCCCTCACGCCCAACCAAGTGAGTGAGCCACCATGGAAATGTATCATCCAGCATCCCAGCTTCAACTCCTCCACCTGAAGCCCCAAACATTGTGAGCAGAGACAATCCATCCCTGCTGTACTTTATCTGAATTCCTGACCCACAGAAATCAAGAGATAGAATACATTGTTATTGTTGGTTTATGCCACTACATTTTTGGGCAACTTGTTATGCAGCATTAGATAACTAATATGGGGGTGGGTGAGTTCCCTCAGAGCTGTCACAGCTGAGTGTGTTCACAGAAGTTAATGGCAAGCCTAGAGGGCACATGTCTCACAGCCTCCAGGCAGACAGAAGAAGTCACTAAAGAATCATCTGGGAGTCGGCCAGGCGCGGTGGCTCACGCCTGTAATCCCAGCACTTTGGGAGGCCGAGGCGGGCGGATCACGAGGTCGAGAGATTGAGACCATCCTGGCCAACATGGTGAAACCCCGTCTCTACTAAAAAAAAAAATACAAAAATTAGCTGGGCGTGGTGGTGCGTGCCTGTAGTCCCAGCTACTCGGGAGGCTGAGGCAGGAGAATCGCTTGAACCTGGGAGGCGGAGGTTGCAGTGAGCCAAGATCGTGCCACTGCACTCCAGCCTGGCGACAGAGCGAGACTCCGTCTCAAAAAAAAAAAAAAAAAAGAATCATCTGGGGCTGGGTGGTGGCTCACACCTGTAATCCCAGCAGTTTGGGAGGCCAAGGTGGGCGGATCACCTGAGGTCGGGAGATCGAGACCAGCCTGGCTAACAGAGTGAAACCCCACTTCTACTAAAAATACAAAAAATTAGCTGGGTATGGTGGTGCATGCCTGTAATCCCAGCTACTTGGGTGCCTAAGGCAGGAGAATCGTTTGAACCTGGGAGGCAGAGGTTGCAGTGAGCCGAGATCGTGCCATTGCACTCCAGCTCGGGCAACAAGGCAAAATTCCGTCAAAAAAAAAAAAAAAGAAAAGAAAAGAAAAAAAACCACGAAAACAACAACAAAAAAGAATCATCTGGCTGGGCACAGTGGCTCGCACTTTGGGAGGCCAAGGTGGGCAGATGGCTTGAGCCCAAGAGTTTGAGACCAGCCTGGTCAACATGGCGAAACCCTGTCTCTACTGAAAATACAAAAATTAGCCGGGTATGGTGGCGTGCGCCTGTGGTCCCAGCTACCCAGGAGGCTGAGATGGGAGGATTGCTTGAGCCTGAGAGGTGGAGGTTGCAGCGAGCTGAGATGGCACCACTGCACTCCAGCCTGTCTCAAAGAAAAAGAAAAAAAAAAAAAAGAGGAGGTTAGGACACACACACACACACACATTGGGAAGAACATGTGAAGACACAACAAAGAAGGTGGCCATCTTCAAGCCAAGGAGAGAGATCTCAGAAGGAACCAACCCTGCTGACAACTTGTTCTTGGACTTGCAGCCTCCAGAACAGTAAGACAATATATTTCAGTTGTTTGAGTCACCCAGTGTATGTTACTTTGTTATGGCAGCCCCAGCAGACTAATCTAGGGTGGAATCTCCATCTCTTCCTCGAGGATCTGAGTTGGCATCATGACTTGCTCTGACCAATAGAATGCACCAGAAGTGACACTGTGTGACTTCTGAGGAGAAGCCTTAAGAGACTTTGTAGCTTCCTGCTTCACCCTCTCAGGCAGTTCTGAGGCTGCCACGTAAGGAAGCCAGTCTCACATACTTGAGGATGTGAGGCCACAGGGAGAAGAGTGACAGTTCACTGCAGCTGACAGCTGGCACCAACTGCCACACTGTTCATGAGGCCATCTTGGATCTCCCCACAGCTGTTGGCTAGCTGACTGCAGCTGCATGAGTAAACCCAGATGTAACCAGCAGAGGAACAGCCCAGCCAACTTACCCAATTGTGATAGAAGAAGAAATTGTTGCTTTAAGCTACTATGGTTTAGAGTGTTTTGTTACATAGCAATAGCAAACTGATATATCTCATTGAAATATACTCTAGAAGAGTTTCCATCCAAAAGTCTTAGAAGCAAGTCTGTTGACTAGGCAGTGGCTCACACCTGTGATCCTAGAACTTTGGGAGGCTGAGGCAGGATAATCACTTGAGCCCAGGAGTTCGACACCAGCCTGGGCAACATAGTGAGACCCTGTCTTAAAAAAAAAAAATTAAAATCTGGCCAGGAGTGGTGGCTCTCACCTGCAGTCCCAGCTACTGAGGAGGCTGAGGTGGGAGGATCACTTAAGCCCAGGAATTTGATGCTGCAGTGAGCTATGATCATGCCACTGCGCTCCAGAGCAAAACCTTGTCTCAAAATAAATAAATAAATAAATAAATAAATAAATAAATAAATAAATAAATTTAAAAAAAAAAGGCAGCAAGAATACTGGGGAAGAGGCCGAGCGCTGTGGCTCACGCCTGTAATCCCAGCACTTTGGGAGGCCGAGGCGGACAGATCACGAGATCAGGAGTTCAAGACCAGCCTGGCCAATATGGTGAAACCCCATCTCTACTAAAAATACAAATATTAGCCGGGAGTGGTGGCATGCACCTGTAGTCCCAGCTACTTGGGTGCCTGAGGCAGGAGAATCTCTTGAACCCGGAAGGAGGAAGTTGTAGTGAGCTGAGATCACACCACCGAACTCCAGCCTGGGCAACAGAGTGAGACTCCTTCTAAAAAACAAACAAAAAAACAAAAAAGTATATTGGGTTAGAAGCCAGGTGCAGCGGCTCACAGCTGTAATCCCAGCACTTTGGGAGGCCGAGGCGGGCAGATCATTTGAGCTCAGGAGTTTGAGACCAGCCTGGCCAACATGGCAAAACCCCGTCTCTACAAAAAATACAAAAATTAGCTCGGCTTGGTGGCACACACCTGTGATCCCAGCGACTTGGGACGCTGAGGCTGGAGAATCGCTTGAACCCGGAAAGCAGAGGTTGCAGTGAGCCCAGATCACGCCACCGCACTCTAGCCTGGGCAACAGAGTGAGACCCTGTCTCCAAAAAAAAGAATATTGGGGAAAAACTCCAATGGCATCTGTGCTTACTGATTCCAATTCTAGGGCACAGCATAGATGTAACTCAGGAAATAAAAGGGAGCAGGGACCACCTTGCCTGAATCATCAGGGGAAAGAAAGGAATACCTCCTTTTCTTTATCTGCCCTCCAATAATAAGTGGCTCCCTATGCAAGTCATACCCTCAGATGGCTTTTTGTAAAAAACTATGTTGCCCAGGCTGGTGTCAAACTCCCAGCCTCAAGCAATCCTCCCGCCTCAGCCTCTGGAGTAGCTGGGATTACAGGCGTGCAGATGTCTATTAGTCAAATACTCTCTGGATACACAGGCCTAGAATCACCATGGAAATAGCTGCCATTTATTAAGTACCTACTATGTACTTGTTGCATATTCAATGCATTCCCTTATTCAATCCTCATGGAAGTACGGTCAAAATGAGGCACTAGTCACAACTAAATGACCCTATTTTGCACATGATGAAGCTGAGACTCAGAGAGGTTAAGCGGCTCTCCTGAGGTCGCAGAGCTAGTGGGCATAGACTCCCAAATGGACAGTCTTTCCTCTTAGCCAAGGTGTGATGTTTAAGGAAGGTGACATAGGAGAACGGGGATCTCAGCCCAAGTGAGTAGAAACAGGAAAAGTTAGCCGGGCATGGTGGCTCACGCCTATAATCCTAGCACTTTGGGAGGCTGAGGCGGGCAGATCACGAGGTCAAGAGATCGAGACCATCCTGGCCAAAATGGTGAAACCCCGTCTCTACTAAAAATACAAAAATTAGCTGGGTATGTTGGCACGTGCCTGTAGTCCCAGCTACTCGGGAGGCTGAGGCAGGAGGATCACTTGAACTCAGGAGGCAGAGGTTGCAGTGAGCCAAGATCATGTCACTGCACTCCAGCCTGGCGACAGTGAGACTCCGTCTCAAAAAAAAAAAAAGAAGAAGAGGAAAAGCTGGTCACATAATGGGGGGGCCAGGCCTCAGTGGCAGGGCTGGGGCCAGGCCAGGTATATAAGTAGAAGGAAGAACTGTGGGCAGAGCTTCCAGGAAATGTCTTAGGGAGAAGGGGAAACAGTCCAGACGGAGGGAGGGAGGAGCTGCGGGGCCTTAGGGAGGTGGGGGTTGGGGTATGGGCGAAAGCTGTTTCACTGTCCTTTCCTTGGGAGCAGGAGTGGTGGCTCTGCCTCTAAGAACAGACTCCTTGCCGGGTGCGGTGGCTCACGCCTGTAAACCCAGCAGGCGTGGGAGGCTGAGGCAAGCGGATAGCTTGAGGTCCGGAGTTCGAGACCAGCCTGGACAACATGACGAAACCCCGTCTCTACCAAAAATACAAAAATTAGCTGGGCGTGGTGGCGCACACCTGTAGTCCTAGCTACTTGGGAGGCTGAGGCACGAGAATTGTATGAACCAGTGAGCCAAGATCATGCCACTGCACTCCAGCCTGGGCAACAGAGCGAGACTCCATCCAAAAAGAAAAAAAAGAAGAAGAACAGACTTCACCCGTGCAGCAGGCACCTCCTCTACCACCCTCCGGGCCTTCTCCTCCATGACTCTGCCTCCCCTGCCCCAGCAACTCCCTATGCACCTGCCCTCCTTCCCTGTCCCTCTTCATCTAAATCTTCAACAGGTGGAGAGCAGCCTGATTAAGGGTGCACCCCAATTCCCTCCTTGTGGTCACACTATGAGGTGGGCACTTAGTTACTCTCCTTTTACAGGTGAGGAAACTGAGGCATGGAGACTGAGGGGAGGGCAGCCTGCACTATGACCTATCCTAATGACTCAATCTGGGAGGTTTCCCCTGGTCTTCCTGGTCCTCCAAGACCCGCTCTGCCAGGGATTCCGGGGTGCTGACTCACACATCACTCCTTCAGGCCCATGGTGTGAGTTCGTCAATGAGATCATGGAGACGTGTGACCATTTTTAGCCCTTGGCTAGGTGTGGGGCACATAGAAGGAGCCCCATCATGTGTCGCATCGCTGTGCAGCTCCAAGCCTACCCCTGTCTGCTCTCAGCAAGGCAGCTGCTGCATGTGAGGCTTGGTGGTAATGAGGGAAGCATGTCGGTGGGGAGGTTCAGGAGCCCCAGAAGGAAAAGAAGAGGACCAGAGAGAGCAGGTTCCTCGGAGTGCTAAACACAGGCCCAACTGCCTTTTTCAGGAATAAGGGTGTGGGCCAGAGGGGCAAACGACCCCCTCCACAAATGCCAGTGAATTGCAGCAGGCACATAATGGCTCCTCCCTCTTGTGTCCTGCCTTCCAAGGGTACCCTATTTGGCAAATCCTACCCACTCTGGCAGCCCCTGGAACCCAGCCACCCTCTTAATGCCCCTCATCCTGAGGCATCTGTCATGCAAGCCACCCCCCACCTTCCCTGGGGAGCTGGCTTGCTGGCCCCAGTGGTCTCCATGTGACCTTTCCTCAGCTCCTCCACTGTCTCCAGACCTGAGGTGAAGAAAGCAAGGTCAGAGAAGGGGCCCACTCATGACCGTGAGACAGAAGACCCACGCCAACCAAAGCTGCTCTCTTTCTCTCCAGCTGCCCCTCAGGCCACCATTGCAACAGATGACCCTCCTGGGCCCCAAACCAGGTTGTCTGACCTGAAAACACTCAGTACTCAGCCAGGTGTTCCCATTCGGAGCCCAGTGAGCTTGCACTTGAGATCAGGCACATGGGTAAGGCTGATATGGGGGTGACAGTGAACCACAGATCTTGCAGTCCCAACCTCCTGAGAGAGCTGAGCTGGTCAGAATGAGAAGGTGCTCACTGCACCCTGCATTTACTATCCAAAAGGACTAGAAATGACTAGAAACTGAGAAAAACAGGCCAGGCGCAGTGGCTCACGCCTGCAATCCCAGCACTTTGTAAGGCCGAGGCAGGCAGATCACCTGAGGTCGGGGGTTCGAGACCAGCATGGAGAAATCCCATCTCTACTAAAAATACAAAATTAGCCAGGCGTGGTGGCACATGCCTGTAATTGAAGCTACTCAGGAGGCTGAGGCAGGAGAATCGCTTGAACCCAGGAGGCAGAGGTTGCAGTGAGCCAAGATCGCGCCATTGCACTCTAGCCTCGGCAACAAGAGCGAAACTCTGTCAGTAAAAGAGAAGAGAAGAGAAGAGGAGACAAGACTGAGAAAAACGGTCCCTATGGCCCAGTAGACATGAACAACTGCAAGCGACTGGAGACCTGGCACCTGGCACTGGCTTTACCCTGTTAGCCTCCAGGCCTCAAATTAGAAGGAGGAGGGGAACTCATGCTTGTCCAGCACTTCAGCAAGATCATCTCACTGAATCCTCATAACAACCCCATGAGATACCGTGGTGGTTTTAAACACGCCCGCTAGTTATTCGACACTCTTCCCACCAAGAGGTGTGGTCTCTGTCTCTACTTCTAGAAGTCTGGGTGGGCTTGTGACTGCTTTCAACACAACAGAAGTGACACTCTGAGACTTGTAAGACAAAGGCAGAAGAAGCCATGCAGCTTGCTCCTGGCTCTTTTTGGGGCACTTGCTCTGAGAGAAGTCAGTAAGAAGTCTACTGCCATGGCAGAGACTCACAACATAGGTGCCACAGTCAACAGCCCAGCAGAGCTCCCAGCCAATAGCCAGCATCAACTGATTGCTACAGGAGTGTGCCATCTCGGATATCCTTCCGATGGCTGCAGCCCCTGTTGATGTGTGACTGCAACCGAATGAGATATCCCAAGTGAGAAGTACCCAGCTGAGTCCGTTCCAGAATTCCTAACCCACAGAATTGTGAACAAAATCAAAGAGTTGGGGTTTTTTTTGTTTGTTTTTGAGACAGTATCACTCTGTCACCCAGGCTGAAGTGCAGTGGTGGGATCTCAGCTCACCACAGCCTCGACCTCCAGAGCTCAAGGAATCCTCTCACCCTAATTTTTGTATTTTTGTAGAGACAGGGTCTCCCCATGTTGCCCAGGCTGGTCTCCAACTCCTAGGCTCAATTGACCTACCCGCTTCGGCCTCCCAAAGTGCTGGGATTACAGGCATGAGCCACCAAACCCGGCCAAAGAGTTGTTTTAAGTGGCAAAGTTCTGGGGTAATTTGTTGCATGGCACTAGTCACAAAACAGATCCGTGGTGTTCCCACTTGAAACTGAGGTGCAGAGGGGCTGAATAACTTGCCCATGGTCACACACCTGGTAAGTGGCAGAACTGAGACTCAAACCTGGTCTCTCAGAATCCAAATCATAGCCCCTTCTCACGGTGCCCCCCTAACATTTTCTCACTTCCAAGAAGAGAACATTCTTTTCAGACTCGACTAGTTTCCAAACCTGGCTGTGCGTCAGAGTCAGCAGTGGCGTGTTAAAGATAGAGATTTCCAGGCCCCACCCCAGGCCTAGTGAGTCAGTATTTTCAGGCGTGGGGCCAGGACTCTGAATTCTGAACTGGCACCCCAGGTGACCCTGAAGCAGTTAGTGCGTGAACCGGACAGTGAAACCCACTGCTCAGCCAGGTTATTACAGAAAACTGGAGGGGACCAGCAAGGTTTTCTTCAAAATATAGCAGTTTCAGAAAATCCCTCATGATCTGAGCTCATCTGCTTCAATTTCTTTTTTTTCTTTTTTTCTTTTTTTTTTTTTTTTGAGATGGAGTCTCGCTCTGTCGCCCAGACTGGAGTGCAGTGGCATGATCTCAGCTCACTGCAACCTCCGCCACCTGGGTTCAAGTGATTCTGCTGCCTCAGCCTCCTGAGTGGCTGGGATTACAGGCACATGCCACCACACCTGGCTCATTTTTGTATTTTTAGTAGAGACAGGGTTTCACCATGTTGGTCAGGCTGGTCTCGAACTCCTGACCTCGTGATCCACCCTCCTCGGCCTCCCGAAGTGCTGGGATTACAGGCGTGAGCCACCGCCCCCGGCCATCTACTTCAATTTCAACTTTTTTTTTTTTTTTTTCTTTTTGGAGACGGAGTCTCGCTCTGTCGCCCAGGCTGGAGTGCAGTGGCGCTACCTCGGCTCACTGCAAGCTCCGCCTCCCGGGTTCATGCCATTCTCTTGCCTCAGCCTGCCGCATAGCTGGGACTACAGGCGACGGCCACCACGCCCGGCTAATTTTTTTGTATTTTTAGTAGAGACGGGGTTTCACTGTACTAGCCAGGATGGTCTCAATCTCCTGACCTCGTGCTCTGCCCGCCTCGGCCTCCCAAAGTGCTGGGATTACAGGCGTGAGCCACCGCGCCCGGCCTCAATTTCAACCTTCTTGGCCCTAACATCTGGGGAGTCTTTTCTACTCCCACACCACTAAGAGACAGAAATTGATGGGAGGCTATCCAACCAGTAAGTACACTCATGTGTATTAACACCTTGCTAGGCTCTGTGGTCCCTGTGCTCTAAGAACTTACAACTGAAGCGAGGAGATAAGGCGTAAAGTCATTTCAGAGCAACCAAATGATAAGTTTTGTGGCTGTGACAATAAGCACAAAGGCATCTGGGAGAATTAGACTGAAATGTAACCCCCTAGAAATTTGGGAGGGGCTCCGCAGAGGAGGTGGGGCCTGGAGCTGGGAGTCAGGGTGAGCAGGGGGATCACTCCAGGCAGGGGGCTCAGGGGCTGAGGCTCCCTCCCAGGGCAGAACAAGCAGGAGGGCATGAATGGGTAGAGGGACTCACTGGGCTGCCCCAGGGGTGTGCTCTGTGGCAGCTGTGGAACCAGAGGAGAGGGGAAGACGAGGACCAGATCAGAGAGGGGTCAGGGGACTTGAAGTCTGATCCAGATTTTTATTTTCTCAGTTTCCAAAAGCTACTGTCATTTACAGATCAAGGACATGGTCAGGCGTGGTGGCTCACACTTGTAATCCCAGTACTTTGGGAGGCTGAGGCGGGAGGATGGCTTGAGCCCAGGAGTTCAAGACCAGCCTGAGCAACATAATGAGACCTTGTCTCTACTAAAAATAAAAAATTGGCTGGGTGTAGTGGCGCACACCTGTGGTCCCAGCTTCTTGGGAGGCTGAGGTGGGAGGATCACTTGAGCCCAGGAGGTTGAGGCTGCAGTGAGCCATGATCACACCACTGCATTCCAGCCTGGGTGACAGAATGAGACCCTGTCTCAAAAACCAAACACCAAAAAATAAAAAAGGCAGTCCCCCTTCCAAGTCCAGGCTAGGATTAGTTACAGAAGATGGATCAACTCACACACCTTTGGAGCCAGGAGCCAGAATTCTCCCAAATAAGAGACTGAATCCCCATGGGGCTCCACCATAAAACATATCTGCCCCAGTGCCCCAGTCTCTTTGCTTACAAGATGTAAACCTTGATGCTGCTACCTTGAATTTTTAGACAGTGGATTCCTTTGATTAGAACCACTCTGGGCAACGGTGATGAGATTCCATTAACCATCGGAATCAATTGAACCAAGAGCTTTCCTTCCTAAAGGGAAGGGCTAGGTTCCAGTACTTGGCTGACTGCAGAGCCCTGGAGGAATTCATTGAAAGGAGGCCCAAAATTAGAAATCATCACTTTCTGCAGAGACACTTAGGAATCCCCCCCACATTATTCAAGGACAGCAAGAGAAAGGTGGGCAGAACTGGGGGGAAAAGGAGCTGCAAGGAAGAACGCGAATCTTTGGCCAGCTCATATACCTTCATACAACAGATGAAGGTGTGTCCTGCACAGCCTGCGAGACTGGCTAAAAGTCTAGCTTTTAGTCACACCTCCTGGATCCTATGCCACATCTCCAAGACATGCTTAGAGGTAAGCAAGGAAACTTGCTCGGTCTGGGGTCTCCTCTGAGCTTTCCCACCTGTACCTTTCCTGCAAGGGAAACCCCTGTAGGAAGAAAGGTCTCCATTCCATCATGGCTTTTTTCTTTTCCTTCTTTTCTTTTTTTTTTTTTGAGAAAAGAGTCTCATTCTTTCGCCCAGGCTGAAGTGTAGTGACACAATACTCGGCTCACTGCAACCTCCACTCCCGGATTCAAGTGATTCTCGTACCTCAGCCTCCCGAGTACCTGGGATTACAGGCGTGTACCACCATACCTGGCTAACTTTTGTATTTTTAGTAGAGACAGGGTTTCACCATGTTGGCCAGGCCAGTCTCGAACTCCTGACCTCAGGTAATCTGCCTGCCTCGGCCTCCGAAAGTACTGGGATTACAGGTGTGAGCCACCGCGCCCGGCCCTTCATGGCCTTTTTGTCTCTCAGCATTGGGATGGCCGGTGGCCCATCTTCCCAGGTTTCCTGAGATTGGCGGCAATGACCCAGAAGCCTCTGGTGACATCATAAACCATCTCGGGGAGGGTAATGTAATTATTGCATGGATTTATTTAAATTTAATCTAAAACTGAAGGTTTCAACAAGGGTCGTTTTATCATTTGATATATGTGTTTGTATATATAAATGTCACAGCTAGAGATACATAGTTTTGGTTTGAAACACCTGTTTCAGATTGCATTACTCTTCCCAGTGCTTCACCTCCCCCTGTGTCCACACCTTTTAGAGGTAGAGCATGCCTCTTCATCCCACCGATGTCAGGCCACATGACTTCTTCTGGCCAATAGATGTAGGCAGAAGTAACAGTGTGCAAATTTTGAGTCCCGGACTTAAGAGTCATTGCATTTGCACTCTACCCTCTTGCACTTTTGCCATTGTCATGAGAAGAACATGTCCCAGGTAGCCCACTTGTCCGTAGAAGATGAGGGACACGTGGAGCAGCTTTAGATCCAATCCACACTTGGAGTCAAGCCCTGTTGAGCACATTCTAGACCAGTGAACCACAGGTGACCCACTGACATGTATGTAGGAAATAAGTGCTTACTGATGTTTTGAGGTGGTTTGTGATACAACAGTGTTGTGACAAGAGCTTATTGATATATCGCCTGAGCACGTTACTCGGTCAACCCAAGGCTCATACTGCACAACCTACCATCTAAAAGAACACTCGTTCTACCTGCTGTAGATAGAAATAACTAACTACATAAAAGAACATTCCATCTCTCTGTAGCCTCACACCCTTCTTAATTCTTCCGAGTATTTATTACAACCTGCAATATTATATATTTTTATTGCTCATGTACTTTTTCTCTCCCCAGTAAAATGTAGTTTTATGATGTCCAAGATATTGTTTTTGTTCCTGCTATAAATGTCCAAAGCTTTGGTAGGCGTATGGTGGGTGTTAAATAATTATGTGCAAAATAGATGTCTATGGTCTTTTTTCTCCTTGGTTAATATGCCTCTTACCTAATTTACGTTCCTGTGTGCAGCTCAATGACTTTGCACTAAGCAAAGTTGAGGAAGAAAAAAACATTTTGTAGAACAAAATATGCAAACAGGAGACCTCCCAATTTTGTCCCTGATGAAGAATGAGTTCTTCTTCCCCAAAGAGCCAGTCTCCATGGTTGGGGCCCTTAGAAACCACAGCAGACCTCCAGAACTGTGGCAAACCAGCAGGTGGCTTTGCCAGTGCCATCCAATATAACCAAGACGCAGCTAAATTTCTGGATACCGTATCAGGGGCTGTCCTCAACCATAGGAGGTTTCTCTGTGTGTCACTTCACTGGGGGGAACTTCAAAGGGACTTATGTGGCTTCCAAGAGCTGTCAGAATGTTTGACTCTCTGGCATTGTGCCGGCATCACACGTTAATTAAATTATATGGCAGATACACCTCAATGTCAAAGTCAGATATTATAGCCGTCAAAGCCTAACATTAGGTGCAGTATTTTATAGCACAGAGTATACCTTTAAACAAATTCCTGGCCGGGCACGGTGACTCACGCCTGTAATCCCAGCACTTTGGGAGGCCAAGGCAGGTAGATCACCTGAGGTTGGGAGTTCGAGACCAGCCTGGCCAACATGGTGAAACCCCGTCTCTACTAAAAAAATACAAAAATTGTCACGTGTGGTGGCACACACCTGTAATCCCAGCTACTTGGGAGGCTGAGGCTGGAGAATCACTTGAACCCAGGAGGCGGAGGTTGCAGTGAGCCGATATGGAGCTATTGCACTGCAGCCTAGATAATAGAGTGAGACTCCATCTCAAAAATAAAATAAAATAAAATAAAATAAAATAAAATATAAAATAAAATAAACAAATTCCTTTATCTTTCCCCAGTCCTCTCTTGCCTCTGGCTCTTAAGACATCTACCATTCTACACTTCCTATGTGAAGAAAATTCCAGACAACTTTGTCTGTTGGGGGGCCCCAAGACTCTCTGGCTTGCCAGACAGTGGAGGTTTCTGGGGTTGCACCTACTTGCTCTCTCTAACCCTTGACTTTCTGATCTCAGGCTTTTGTGAGCCTAGGCTTCACCCTGAGAGAGAAGATCTTACCGGTCTGTGGGTAAAACAAATGCTAGCTCTTTCTTCAAAGATGGTTCTATTAGCAGGGCAGCAACTAGCCAGGCTATAAAAGGGAAGTGGACGGGGGGCGACTTTCCCTCCAAATATCTTTTTTTTTTTTTAAGACAGAGTTTCACTCTTATTGCCCAGGCTAGAGTGCAATGGCGCTATCTTGGCTCACCACAACCTCCGCCTTCCGGGTTCAAGTGATTCTCCTGCCTCAGCCTCCCGAGTAGCTGGGATTACAGGCATGCGCCATCATGCCCGGCTAATTTTGTATTTTTAGTAGAGACGGGGTTTCTCCATGTTGGTCAGGCTGGTCTCGAACTCCCGACCTCAGGTGATCCACCCGCCTTGGCCTCCCAAAGTGCTGGGATTACAGGCGTGAGTCACCACTCCCGGCCTCAAATATCTTTTTAATAAGCACAGCTAGAAACTCTCCATGAGTGGAAACTGGTCACAAGAAGCCCCTGCTACTTATGTGCTGAGCGTAGGCAATCCTCTCAGGCGAGGGACGACTACGAAGCCACATTCCCGGTTTTCTTGGGTCTCTCTCATGGTTACCAAGGAAAACTCGGAGGCCATCAACTCGGCCAAATGACTTACATGCAATCACCAAAGCAAAGTTAATACCAAGTGTGTTTAAGTCTCAAGTGTCCCTAACACCTATTAAGCACTTTCTAGATGCCAGGCACTATTTTATTATTTATTTATTTATTTATTTTGAGACGGAATCTTGCTCTGTCACCCAGGCAGGAGTGTAGTGGCACGATCTCGGCTCATTGCAACCTCCGCCTCCCGGGTTCAAGCGATTCTCCTGCCTCAGCCTCCCGAGTAGCTGGGGTTACAGGCACCCACCACCACGCCTGCCTAATTTTTGTATTTTTAGTAGAGACGGGGTTTCGCCATGTTGGTCAGGCTGCTGTTGAACTCCTTACCTCAGGTGATCTGCTCGCCTTGGCCTCCCAAAGTGCTAGGATTACAGGCGTGAGACACCGTGTCTGGCCCAGGCACTATTTTACATGCTTTATGTCCATCAACTAATCCTCCCAACATCATTAAATATATTGTATCACTACCCTCCATTTCACAGATGGGGGAAGTAAGGTGGCGAGAGTAACTGCCTCAGGTCACACAGCTGGTCAAGTTGTAGAGCCAGGTTTTGAACCCAGACAGTCTGGCTCCCCCATACTAACTACGACATAGTCTTCGCTATTTAATCCTGCAAGCTTTAGGAAATGCCCACTATGCACGAGGCACACTAATAAGGTGCTGGGGGCTGGGAGGAGGGGGATGAACAAGCAGGCAACATGTCTATGAGGGAAAAGTACTCCTAAGTAACAGTTTAAGATAAAGTTAAACTAATTCAGACCTTTGAAGGGGTTTTGAATTCTTTCCAAGGGTAGGCGTGTTGAATAAATATAATGCTTTTGAAAACCTGCCTTCATATATGGGTGTTCATTGTACTGCTCTTTCAAGTTTTCTGTGGGTTTGGGATTTTTTTCAAAATAAAATTTAAAATATATATATATATATAATATATATACATATATATATATATATATATAATATATATACATATATATATATATATATATAATATATATACATATATATATATATATATATATATATATATATATATATATATTTTTTTTTTTTTTTAAGCATCAGCCTTAATAGGCCAGGCGCAGTGGCTGACGCCTATAATCCCAGCACTTTGGGAGGCCAAGGTGGGTGGATCACGAGGTCAGGAGATAGAGACCATCCTAGCTAACACGGTGAAACCCTGTCTCTACTAAAAATACAAAAAATTAGCCCAGCGTCGTGGCACACGCCTGTAATCCCAGCTACTCGGAAGGCTGAGGCAGGAGAATCGCTTGAACCAGGTAGGCAGAGATTGCGGTGAGCCAAGATCGTGCCACTGCGCTCCAGCCTGGGTGACAGAGCGAGACTGTCTCAAAAAAAAAAAAAAAATCAGCCTTAATAGACTATCTTGGGAAGAGTAAGCAATAAACTGGGAGCACTGGTTGCCTTCAGAGAGGCAAACTGAGTGACTGAGAAATGCGGGTGGGAGAGGCACCAAACATCCTTTTATAGCCTTAGAATTTTCTGCCAAGTGCAGGTGTTACCCATAACATCTGCCATGAACTTGATGTCACCTGGGCGGACCCTTTGGAGAGAAAGCACGGAATTCCCAGCTCCCAAGTCCCATTCAGCAGGTCAGCTGCTGGGAGTATGAGGGAGTCTTTAGTTTCCCAGCTTTATGTGTAAAGTGGGCAGAAACACACCATCAGACCTTTGGCTTAAAAAATATATATATACCTAAGCGGGGTGCAGTGGCTCACGGCTGTAATCCCAGCACTTTGGGAGGCCGAGGCGGGAGGATCACTTGAGCCCAGGAGTTCGAGACCAGCCTGGGCAACATGGTGAGACCCAGTCTCTACAAAAAAAAAAAAAAGAAAAATGATCCAGCTGTGGTGGCACATGCCTGTAGTCCCACCTACTCGGGAGGCTGAGGCAGGAGAAGCACTTGAGCCTGGGAGGTCGAGGATGCAGTGAGCTGTGATCACCTCACTGCACTACAGCCTCAGCAAGAGATAGATGGAGACCCCATTTAAAACAAACAAACAAACAAACAAAAAAACCAAAAAACTATGCCTGAGGAGTAATACCAGGGATTGCTCTTTCTCCTGGTTTTAGTGTAAGCACAATGAAGTTTTCAGCTCCATGGGGCTTATCTCTCTTGGGGAGACTTTATGTTCTCTAAGGAGGGGCCTGGGTCTTGTTAACCGGGGGTTTCCCCGAGCCACCCCAACAGCCACAAGCACAGTGCAGGACAGACAAGAGAGGCTTGAACGAATGCTAGTTGAATCACTGACTATGCTGTGTTCACCATCCACGAAGGACCATGTGGTCCAATATCCTTCCTATTCGTATGTGTGGGTAACTCTTGGAGCATGGATGCCACACTTATGACAAGTGAGCAGTGATTCTCAGCACAGAATGTGATATTTTTCTGTTGCACAAAGTTAAACAGTGACCGAGTGTCCACAATTGCCCAACATGGCCTGAAGCTGCCAGCCAAGGAATTGGGTCACCCCTGGTTCACTCTGAGGGGCTGGGGGATCCCCGTCTTGACCCATTGGCAACCCACTCACTCTTGGGAAGCTCTGGGTGAAGGGATTTTGGAAGCCATTCCCTGGCTCTGGAACTAGCAACCCACAACTAGAAGGGGGAGGGGGTGGTCTGAGAGGGCTGCCAAGGGGCAGCAGGGCTTCCTGGGGCTTGGGCTTGCTCTGGGGTGTGCCCAGGTTTTTGGGGGGCGACGGGGCCTGAGCAGTGGGCTGAAGAGGGCACGCTGCCAGCTCTGGTTGGCCCAGGGCCAGTAAGTCTGACTGAACTTGAGCCAGCCCTGTTGGCCCACAGACTCTGGAAGCTGAACTGCTCCAGCGCTCCTTGGCCTCTTTGTTTTCACTTCCCCACAGCTCTCTCTTAGTGTTTAGGAATGTGCTTTGAAGGTTCCAGCGTGTTTCGCCTCTGCTTAGGGAAACCAAGAGCAGAGGCTGGGCCCAGGCCAGATGGCTTGAGGAAGGGCACCTGTGATCACACTGAGAGCGCCCCAAGGGGCAGGTGGAATGCATGGGGCACTTAAGCTAGCCCCCTTCTCTGCTGGGAGACTCCGTGTGCAGTGCTAAACCTTGGAGATTCTCAGGTTTGTTTTGTTAAGGGAGGCAGTATTCCCTTACCAGCTCCCCCAGAGAGCCTACATTTGTCCAGGAGCTTTTGGGGATAAGCTGTGCTCTTCTGCTTGTTCAGGGCAAGAGAGAGAGCTGTAGCGTGTGCTTTTCTAGCTAGAAAAGTTGCCTCCTTCGTTGGCATTAGAATAAGTTTCCTGGCCTGCCTAGGGCAACAAAGTCAGGCCCTCCAAGGAAGGGGAAGTGAAGATGGCCTCTCTCGCACTCCCACCACTGGGAGGACAATCTTACAGGCGCAGGTGCTTAGCCAGGTAGGGTTTGGCTCAGGGAGGCCATAGAGGGGTCCATTGCTACAGGTTGCCCTCTGGCCTCGATGCCCACCTGTAAACTGCTATCTTCAAGAGTGGAACCCAGAGTGGTTGGCTTCCTCCTCCCATTCCCCAGCCCCTTCACCCACTGTCTTTCATGGCCTTTGTCACCAGGCACATATAAAGGGGAGAGTCTTCCCTGCTCAGTCCTTTGAGGGCTCATAGTGCTGGTAGCCCCCTTTGATGCCAGCATAGTGCTTTGCACACAGCAAGTGCTTAATAAATGCCAAATGACTAAAATACCAGGCCTCTTCAGTGACCAAGAGCACTCTGGATCTTTCTCTAACCAGCAGTCACTTTCCTCCTCTGGCTGTTTTCTGAAGCTGGGAGCTCTGGGTTCTGGTCTCTTTTGCCACAAACATGTCACCCTGAGCTAGTGTTTTCACCCTCTCAACTGATTTCCTCCACTGGGTTAAACAGAGCTCAATTAAAGCCCTGGTGGCTCTTGTATGACATCTGCATACATTCTTGTTTGCCGGCTGTCATTTTAGCTTCAGGTTGGGTCACTTCGATCCTGCCTGGGCCCAGGTGCTAGTAGGGTCTTTAGCCTTCAGCTGAAGGTTCTCCCCTGCTCCTCCACCATCTGTTTGGCTTTACAACACACACCTAGTCCTTGGACTCTTGACACATCTGTTCCTTTCTGTCCCCACGGCCATTTATACAGCTCCAGCTCCTGTGCGTGAGGGGGCCGTGGCACATGAGCAATAACTCCGATGCCACAAGGGCACCTGAGTCATTTTTCTGCAGCCAACACTGTCTGGAGCTACAGCAGACCTCCCTCCTGCTCTGTGGTGACATAGGCCCTGTTCAGGTATGTGTGGGCTATGGATTTTTTTCCCGATTTCCATTTCTCCTTGATTTCAGCACCCAAGTGAACATGCACTCCAAGGCTCTGCTGAGGGTAAACAGAAAGCACCATCGCAGGGGTCCTTCCTCCTCTCTCTCGGAAGATTCACTTTCTCTTCCTAGGTAATGACTGCTTTTTCCTCCCAGCTTCCTCTCAGCCTACGTATATTTAGTGCACGTTGCCCTGGATAGAGTTTAATTAGGCACCAATGCACCCAGGGGCAAAAACCAAGGACCCCTCTCGGGTTGAGCAAATGGGGCCAGCCTCCCCTGGCTGGTAAATGACGAGCTGAGCTGCCGGCAGGTAGAGGAGGTTGTCCATTCTCAGCTAATGATCGCCTTAGGCGCCAAGTGATGGAAAATCCAGAAGGACTGGCGAGCTGCAGGGGGCAGCCAGGGACAATTGTATGGACCAGTTTAACATGGCTTCCGGAGGGATGGCAGCAGGAATGCTGTGTGTCTGTGTGTGTGTGTGTGTGTCTGTGTGTGTTTCCTGGTCTCCTTTCTCTCCCCTCCCTGCCGCCTTTCCCTCTCTCTTGCTTTCGATTTTCTCTTCTGTTTCTAGCCCACACGAGTTGAAATTAGAAAGGTCTTTGAATTCATTTATTTGTTTTAATAAAAGCAGCATTTTTAAGCAGCATATTTGTAGCAATTGATTGTTAAACTAAACACCAAGCCAACTAAATGTGTTAGGGGGAAATGAAAAGTCAGTTTACAAGAAACATAATTAACACGTCCTTTGACTTCTCCTAAGCCTTTGTCTGGCTAGGGACAAGACAGAGGAACCATAATCAACTTTAATAAAACGAAAGATGGTATCAAGGCCAAAGGGGAACAAAAAACTTTGGAGTAGGAAACAAAAGCCAAAGAGGGGATTCTTAAGTTATAACAAATATGTTAAAAAACAAATCTTTTGGCCAGGCGTGGTGGCTCACGCCGGTAATCCCAGCACTTTGGGAGGCCGAGGCGGGTGGATCACGAGGTCAGGAGTTTGAGACCAGCCTGGCCAATGTGGTGAAACCCCGTCTCTACTAAAAATACAAAAAATTAGCCGGGCCTGGTGGCGCGTGCCTGGTAATCCCAGCTACTCGGGAGGCTGACACAGGAGAATCGCTTGAACCCAGGAGGCAGAGGTTGCAGTGAGTCGAGATCGGGCCATTGCACTCCAGCCTGGGCAAAAGAGCAAGACTCCGTCCTGAGAAACAACAACAAATCTTTTGTTTCCTAATTTTTGGTCATCAGCCATTTTCTCCTTACCAATAGGAAGGCTCCGGTTTGAACTCTACCTGTTCATGGGGACAGATGCTGAGACCTGGAGGGGAAGAGGGAAGGTGGTACAAGGAACCTGCAGGAGACTGCAGTATCAGGTGGCAGTATCAGGAGGCTGATAAATCCAGGCTAATGGAAATTACTATTGCACAACACCAGAGTCTTCACGTGGCCTGACTTTCAATAAACTGTTCCCCTCCTCACTCCTTGGAGAAAGTGAAATAAGACATTAGACTTTCAGTAATCTCATATGGTGATGATCAATCGAAACCTGGAGAAGAAGGCCAATTTATAGAAATTGTATCTGCTTCACTGGGTGGCTGGAACCAGGGAGCTGAAAAGAAAACGGTGCTCGCCTTTGATGTGTGAAGTTGCCCCAAAATGACAAACGCCAAAAAACACTGGCTATACATGTGGGGTATTCAAAGGGAGAGGGTACTCAGGAGAGGCCTTTGTTAGGTGGATCATTGCGGGGACCTGACCAAAGACACATGCACATGTTCAGGCCACATAAAAGCGATTTATTTTTCTTATCTTTTGGCTATTTTAAGTTGGAGTTTCCATCTTTCTTATTTGTTTTATCACCAATGAAGTTTATTTACTGAATTAACTTTTAACGGACCCTCCACTTTGTTCTTCAGAGTTGGCTTCCACGACTTGCGCCTGTTTAGCCAGGATTCCTCTTGCCTTTGTGACCGCCCCCCCTCCCCGCCAAATCCCAATCCTGGAGGTGAACGGCTCAGTCTCTGTTAACTCCTTGCCTGCTGGTGTTTTTTCTCTGTAGCTACTAATCACCTCCTTTTGATCACTGCCAAGTTCTCAGGTTGAAGGAAGGAGAAAGGACCTCTTGACCACTCTGGCTGGCTTTCCACATGAGCCTGAAAATGTCGACAAATTTGAAACATCTGCCGAGCTGCTTTGGTCTGATTGCTAAAATATGCCGACCTCAACCCCCCTCCCCCCGCCCCTTTTAATCTGTTTCATATTCACAAATTAAGCATTTAGTCTGGGTAATAAATCAAGGCGGTTTACGAGGCTCACACGAGACAAACAAGCGAGAAGGGCGCAACACAAGCCCCTGGAAGAGGACTGCACGGAGCTGCCAGGAGTCGGGAGCTCCCAGCGCTCGAACGCGGAGAGCAGCCTGGCGCGTCCTGACACGCCGCCAGCACCCACACTTTGGCAGGTCCCAGAGCCGGCGGGGCGCAGGCGAACAGCTCCGGACTGGGCCCACACCCCTGGAACCTTCCGCGCGAACCCGCGGCGCCCGGCCCGCCCCAGCTCTGGGCAACTCAGCCCCTCCGCCCCGCTAGGGAGTGGCCGCTGGCAAAGGGGACAACCTCACCCGACACACACCCTGTGGTGGGCCCATTAAGTCTCTCCCAGCCAAGCCGAGAAGGCTGAATCCCCCTCCCCCACCTCTACCATCCGGCAGGGCTTGGCCTTAAAGATCCCAGGCCCACACTCACCAGAAAGGCAAAAGAGTCCCCGTTCAGGTCCACGTGTGACCTCCACTAAGCCTGGAGGCTACCCCCTCCCCGCCCCAAACTCTCCGTGCTGCCTCCTCCCAGGTTTCGGTCCCAGCAGCCACAAAGCTACTTTCAGATTCAGATAGGGGTGGGGGTCTCCTGGAGAGCGGATCAAGGTTTAAGAGCGGCTGGGGAGGGTAGCAAAGGCACAAACAGGGTCCAGGCCCCCTCTGCAGAAACCCCGGCCCAGGCTTTTGCGACCACCCAAACTCAGGGGGCTCCAATCTGTGCGTTTCCCGCCCTCCCCTGTGCAGCAGCGAGAAGCGGACCCGGATTAGGGGTCTGGGACCATTCGCAACCCACGAGCTTGGGAGACCCCGGTGGGGAGGGTGGCTCCGGGGTCACCTCGACCGGGCCTCTGTTGCCCGGCTATGCTCAAGTTCCCTGTCGACTGGCGTTCTCGATGCTATCGTGGGACGCGGCGGCGGAGAGGCGGAGGGCGGGAAATCGGGAAGCCTGAACATGCAGCCCACCCCGGACCTAAGGGGAAGCGTAGGAACAATTCCCCACCCTGCAACACAGTACACGTCGCCCTTCCTCTTCCCCTAGCACACATTCCGACTGCGAAAGCCATTACTGCCGGCGCGCGAGAGACTTTTTAAATATTTACAGCCCGCTCTCCGCACGGTAGCCTGATCCATCTCGTGGGCGCGGAGGCGGGGCGCGGGGCTCCGCTCCCGCGGAGGCGCGGAGCCGGGGCTGGGGAGCCCGGTGCCTCCCCCCACGGCCCTGAGGTCCTCCCTGCGCCCCCACTCTGTTTAACCCCCAGGTGGGGAGAGGACCCCGAGACTGCACACAGCGCGCCCGGGGCCCTGCCGGGGCCTGAGCGGGCGGGGGACAGTGTCCGGGAGGAGGGAGGGCCGAGAGGCTGATTTAAAGGTTCTCACCGGGAAGCGAGCGAGGCACAGACCTGAGAGCCGCCGCGCGGTGAAATCCGAGGAGCTCTCTTGGCGAGGAGGGGCTGTCAGAGGCCATTTATCTCTCGCCAGAGTGGAGGCTCAGCTCCCACACCGCCCGCGAGTAACAATGGCAGCGATCAGCAGCTCTGCACGCGCTTCAGTGCATGAATGGATTGCGGAAGATGCCTGCGTCCGCTCCGCTCAGGAGGCTCTAGGAGCGCCCCCTCCCCGCCCGCCGCGCCCGCCCCCGTGGCCTCCCTAGGCCCTGCGGGCGCCTCGGGGTTCGCAAGCTGGGCCCTGCGGCGCGATCACTCTCACCCAGAACCCCCGCCGCCGTTCCCAGGGCCTTGGCACCTCGCCACCGAGTGTCATTGGGGGCTGAAATTTGACACAAGCCTTCCTGGCCTCCCCGACGCAGACACCGCTGTCAGCCCCCTCCTTTCTTCGCGCCCCTAGCCCCTGGCGGCAAGTTTACTTTCAAGGAGTTGGACCGTGTTTCCGCCGCAAAGGCCGGCGGCGTGCGGGCCCGGGAGGAGGGGGCGGGCTCGGAACGTTTCCTTCACCTGCTCGGCCGCCTGGGGTGTTTGTAGGTCCCCGCTGGCCCCCAGCCCTAGCGTCCATACGCGGCGCTCCCCAGCTTTTGGCGGCTAATCCACCGAGAGTCCCTGCGATCCGCACATGCACGTGCACTCTGGATACCCTCGTCCCAGCCCACATCAGCGGCAAAATCATGTACCCAAATTCTCTTTCTTGGCGGCTTACAGTCTTGAAAGTTGGGAGAGCGCCACAGACCTCGAAGTCTGCCGCAGAAATGTTCCCCGTCAACTCTGCAAAGTAGGTCTCATTAAAACAAAACAAAACAAAAAAACCCTCCAGTTTCGGCCTAGGGCTGAGAGAAGCGGGAAACGCAAGTGAAGGATACCCCAATCCCTCGAGTTTGTTTTGGTGGAGCTAAACCAGAAACCCGGGGATATTTCTGTTTGGGGGACCGCCAAGCCCGGGATGCGTCTGCCTAAGGCGAGGTGGGGAGAAGGAGAGCGCAAGAAGTGGACACTCGCAGCGATCCAAAGGCAAAGCCAAGTACCCCGCGGGAAGAGGCCGAGCTGACCCAGGTTGCAGGAAGACCGCCACATGTGCGCAAAGACGCACTCGGAGAGGCAGAGCGCGACCCGCCGACCTAGGAGACTGGCGAGGACAGGCGAGAAGCTGACAGCAAGACAAAGCGGGAGTAGAGAGCCAGGGAGGCTCGGTCGAAGACCCGAAAACGAAGGCAGCAGCAGCCGCCCGAGTCCCGAAGCGGAGGCGTGCGCAGCCAGGCCCAGCCTGGCATAGCCCCATTCTCACGCCTAAGGACGCGGACACAGACTCTTGGCATGACTTCCTGCCAGAGCTGGTCTCTGTAGGGCTTGGGCCTACAGTTGGCTGAGGCCTTCCCAGCAGACAGTGGGGTCCCCAGGGGAGGTCTTCAAGAATCCGGGCCCCTCTGGTTTCCGCCCCCTCCTTGAGCCCAGGACAAAGGTAGCGGGTTTGAGGAGCTCGGACTGTTCTCAGGGCGTCTACAAGGCCATCAGAGAGCTGGTGCCTCCACTCTCAGGGCCTCGGGCAACTTTTTATCTGACTTGGCGGCGCTGGAGGGCTGCCACTTTCCACCGCATTTCCATTTGGCCTTCGCAATTGCAATACCCTGAAGGCACTGCCCACACCCTAGCCTTCCAGCAATCGGGATTCAAGCTGGACTTCCCATAACCAGCAACAGTGTAACGTGAAGACACTCCTAGACTCAGGTTTCCCTCAACCCTTCTCCCGCTTGTCCGCACACGGGGCGGATCAACGCCCCCCACCCACGGCCCCACCCCCGCGGGCTCCGCAACCCAGGGCCGCAGCTACCGAGTGTGCTTCTCCTCCCTCCCGAGGCTGTTGGCTTTAAACACACTTGCTGCACTCACCCCCACCACACACTCAGTCGTTCTCACCCTTCCTTTCTCCCTGCTGGGCCTCCTCCAAACCGGATTGCCTAGCCTGAATGCAGAGTCCAGGCAGAGCAGGAAGCCTGAGAGATCAAGCAGAGGTGGCCGAGGAAACAGAAGAGAGGGCCCTTCATGGGGGAGGAGGCCCATGTCTGAGAAAGAAGGCAGCCAGGAGACACAGCCTGCAGGAGAGAGGGAGTATAAAGGGAAAGCCAGCACTAATCCCTCAGCCTGCCTACGTGGGGCCTGACAATTTACAAAAGCCTTTTCCCCGAATATTATCTCATGTGCCGCGGCAGCCTCACCACCAGCGCTGTGAGGGAAGTAGGACAGATAGCATCACCCCCATTGGCAAAGGAGGGAAATGGGGCCCAGCGGGTTGAGAGAGGTCTGTGCTAAGGTCACAGCGCGAAGAGTGGTGGAAGAGGCCCGAGGCCTGGGGTTTCCTGCCCCAAAGTTAACTTTCCTGTTCCATCGTTGTGTATGTGTTTCTGGGTGAGCATCTGCATGGAGGGGAAGGACTGCCGGACAGGAATGCACAGTCCAGTTAGGGAAGTCCAGGAAGGAAGAACACAGCCCCACACCTCTTCCTCTGCCCGGGTCTCACACAACAGCCCCTGCTCTTTCCACAACAGCCTGGAGCCGGCCCCCCACCAGCCTGCCTGGGGGGAGCTGTTAGTGCCTGGCTGTGCCTTCAGTAGTGCGGATTTCAGAGATCTCGTATCCTCTGCTCTGCTCCGCTCCGCTCAGCTCTCTTCTCAGCCTGTCATCCCCACCCCCAGCCTCGGCTGCAGGATGCCTTGCGTCCAACTGTGGTTTCCGGGCAATAAAACAACTATTAAAGTCTCAGGCACGGCTGGTGATTTGCATCACATCCTCTTGTGCATGGATTCAATGTTTAATACACAATATTGAATACGGATATTAAAAATCAATAGCTGGGGACCCCTGGGGAGGCGGCACAGTGCGATCCTGCTTCGGGAACACAACCAGCTCTTCTAAAAAGACAGGAACGGCAAGTTCAGCCAAGCTGAGCCCAGCGCCAGGGGAAGTGAGGAGTAGTGGATGCATCTCAGCTTCCTGATATGCTTAACTGCGCCATTCCCAGGTCAAGCTAAAGGGAAGCCAAAGGAATGGTGTGCCCCTAGGCTCTACTAGCTTTGAGATGGGAGGGTGGGGAGGTACGGTTTGTTTCCAAGCAGGGTACCAGCCAGGTGCGCGGAGTTGCTTTTTTTCCTTGTTATTTGCACTTAGGTTTGGTTCGAGTCTGAGTCTTACATGCAGGCTCTCAACTCTTCCCACCATGATGGCTCCTTCCTGGGCCTCATGACATCCATCACCATAGGCCCCATGGGGAGCTCTTGGCATAAGCTTTCAGAGAGATGGAACAGGAATCCCAATGGCTCCGAATATGCTTTGCACAGTAAAAGAAATGTGAATGCATGATACCAGGCTCTGAGCTGCAATCTTCTGAGGCACTCTGAGCCTTCAGAACAGAAATCCTCAGGCCGTGTGACCCGCCTAAAGGCCTGGTGATGGCTGAGTGGTGACAGAGGAAAGGGGACGAGAAGGAGACTGGGACATCGAAGCATTCCTGCTCCAGAGCCAGAATCCAGATTGTCCGTTAAACAGCCAGGAGAAGAGCAAGCTCCCAGGATGCATAATTATCTTTTCAGGCCTGAAGAGGAACATGTATTACTCTCTTCTTTATCAAAACATAGAAATATACCTTACCCTAAACAGAAACAAGGTTCTCACAGACTGATGGGGTAGGAGTGAAGGAGAATAAACATCTTTGAGAGGATTCAGTTTTTTTCCACTACGGAAAGGGAAGAGAAACTGACAGTGGGAAACACACTTAGGTTATCTGATTGGAAAGGCCTGGGGGATTTTAGATGCCAAAAACTGTGTGAACTTGACCTAGTGAAATGTCATCTTAGACACCAAATTATAATAATAATTTTATGGATTCATTTTTATCATAGTTTAAATCAATAAGGATTGAGTTGGAAATCTTGCTCTAGTTATAAATAGATGGAGAGAACACCTCAGGAAAACTCCAAAGTAGTAATTTGGGTAAAAGTTAGAAGCGGAGGAAAGAGGTGGAAAATGACAGTTAATGAGCCTGTGGCCTCCACTCTTTGTTACCTAACAGTTGTCAGAGAACCATCAAAGGGAGGGAACAGGCGCCCTTCTCAGAACCATCACAGGAAAAGCAGACATTCTCTGGCTGCTGCAGATCCCCCCGGTGGTGGTTCCTACACCCAGCCTCCTGGGAGTTTGCCTATGTGTATTTATGTGTTTCCGGGCTGGGGAGTGTAGCTACTTTCACAAGATTGGGCCCTGAGCCTGTGAAACCCACTAGCGAAAGTTCTACCACGAGGAAAAGCCATTCTAAGGCAATGCTGGAGACCAGGAACTGCTCTGCCATCATCAACAATATCTTCATGATTCCTGCACTAGCAAACTGCTTCACATCTTCCCACCTCAACCATGGGGCCGAGCTCTGGGCCTCTTACAGATCCATACAGGCGGGACCTTTTGCAGCTAGCACAGATGTGTGGTTAAGGCATGAGACAGCTGGCCAAGGGGAAAGGAGGCTAAGGCTGGGGATGGCTGGGAAGGACCAAGGCCCAGGAGGGCCTCCTGGTACAAGCATAGAACTGACCCAGCATGGGGGAGTTGTACCTCCAGAACCCACTAAGGGTGGCACTTCCCCCCTGGACCCACCAGGTACTCCAAACCAAGAGGAAAAGCATCCTTGTGGCATGTGGGTGGATTAGGCCCAAGGCGCAGGTGAGCTCTGCTGCAGAAGGAACCTACACACCAAGTCCCAAATGCCCAAGTGCTGACAGGGATTGGGGCAAGCAGGAGGGAGGGGGGATCTTTCTGCCTCCCATCACCTCACCCTTCTGTAATGTTTTCCTGGAATGAACAGAAGTCGCCAGCAGAGTTGTTCCTGGAGCCCCTCCCTCCGGGACTGTCACTACCTCCTGGTGTAAGACAGGGAGGACCATGGCCTTCTGCCGGGAGGATCCTCTGGCTAGTACCCGAGCCTTGGATTCTGGCACGAAGCCTCACAGTTCCGATAAGGCTTTACCTCCCTTCCCACGTCTCGAAGAAAAACACCCCCTGGAACTGCTGGGGTGAACTCGGAGCCTGAGGCCAGGGTCAGCGGGGGGACGGGTCCCCACCACCACCAAGTTGCCGGCAGAGGTAACAGCTGTGGAAGGGGGAGGGGAGCGACAGGCAGCCACGACTGAACGGTTGCGATCTAGAAAATTCAACAAGAGGCCGCAGCGGTGGCGGCGGCGGCGGCTCCAATTAGCTGAGCCAACTGGGGAGGCAGAGAGCGAGACGGCGGCCCCGCCGATCGTGTCCCGGGCGAGCAGGCAGGCGGGGGCGCGGGGCCTCGAGCTGCCCCGGCGGCCCTCGCTCGGCCCCTCCCGTGGGTTCTCGGAGCGCGCCTGGTGTTTACACACTGTCCTTTCGACGTGAGATCAAGTTTCAGGCCGCGCTGGAGGCGCCAGGGGCCGGCCACAGGCCCAGGAGAGGGGAAGAGGTGGAGCGGGATCTAAGGCAGCGCTGCGCCGACGAGAAGGCCTGGCGCTCGTGGGCACAGCTAGTGCAGCGGTCCCCACGGGGTGGGGTGGAGAGAAGTTCACTGGGCACGGTGGGTAGGGGTTGGTGGGGTTGCAGGGGGGTATCCGGAGAGAGAAACACCTCCAAGTCACTAGAGTATTTGTCTTTCGCTCACTCGGGCCGGGGAATTTAGTCCTGCAAGGGGACAGGCGGCGGCGGGGATATGCTCAGAACCCAGGCGCTTCGACAGCCCTGAGCGCCCCTTGTGCGCTCTTCACCCCTCCCCACCCCGTCCCTTTGATATACTACCGGATCTAGGCCATTGTTACGGGGAGGGGTATGTGGGCCGAAGGAACTCGGGGTTGGAGACCTGGAGCTTCCCAGCGCGCCCTGGCCCTGGCGCTGCGGAGGCCTCGGGTGGAGTGCTGGAGGGCTCGCCGCTGCGCATCTCCTCTGAGCTGGCAGCCAGCGGGTGCCCCACGCTGTCAAGCGGCGGCGGGTGAGCTTCCAGCAGCACAGGCACACTGTAAACAGCCGCGTGCACGCCCTCCCCGCCCGGGCTGGGAACCTCACCCAAACACCACGCCGCTTTCTCTCCGGCTACCGGGCGAGGCTTTTGTGGCCAAGCCTAGGGGAAGGGGGTCCCCACCCCACCCCCAGGCCACCCGGGCCCCGGAGCCAGCGTTCTGAATCTGCAGGAGTGCGGGGTGCTGCGGGGAGGGGAGGGAGTCAGCGCCTGCCCCCTCCTCACTGAATGTCTGCTTTGTTCCGGAAAACAAGGGAAGCATTAGGCGGCTGCCCCCGGGGAAACACAAAACTTCTTTTTGAATCTCGGGAAAGGCGGTTGACTGCATTAAGGAGCTCCCGAGACAGAATGAGGAAGGGAAAAGCCGAGAGGGCGGGAGGAGACAGGGAGACTTCCGCGGGAGGCCGATGGTCAAAGTGGGGGGTGAAACCGCTCAGGGTGACCGGGCTGGAGACCCAGGAACCCGATTCGGCGCGAAGGTGCCGCGCGAGTTCCAGCGAGCAGCCTGCCCGGCCAAGTGGCGCCTGCCCAGCCGTCGGCCGTGCCAGCTTCCTGCCCTGCCCAGGACCGCGGAGCAGTCGGGGACGCCGCCGCAGGCTGGCCCGGAATCGCAGGACAGCGGCGGGGGGAGGGGGTAGCCAGGCCGCAAGTAAACTCGCACTAGAGCTTTCTGCACACCTCCGCCCTAGAGAGGGGGCCCGGACCCCCGGTCTGTGAGGCGTCGGCTTTGGCCTTCCAACCTTGGGGTGCGCGAGGAAGCAAAGACCCAGGGGGCACCCCCACCCTCGCCCAAGGCCCGAGGGTGGGGGACAGCTGAAATGTCTTTGGTCTTGTTTGATGACCGCTTGGCGGATCTGCTCCCATCCGGGTTCTGCCGTTCCGAGAGTGCCGGGTCAGTGATACCCAGGCCGGTCTGAGCAGGCATGTGGATGAGCAAAAGCAAATCTGTCGCTCCTCCGACCGCCACCCCTCACTTAACCTTTCCTGCATCCAAGGAAGGGGAGGGCACCCAGACTCTGCCCCACCCCCCGCGGGGCGCTCCCTCTGCCTCGGAAGCTGAGACTAAGAGCGAGGGTTTTCCCCCTTTCCCCTGGGCTCGCTGGGTTTCTAACTTCCTCTAAACCTCCCTCCTCGCTCCGAAAAGCCCCGAGGAGAGGAGCTGAGAGGAAGCACGCCGCTAGTGTGCAAAATGAAGACCATGTGTGAGGACGGCGGCATCAGAGTGCAGCCGCGGGGGTTAGGGGGTGGCAAAGGCCCCCGCGCGGCCGGAGGCTCGGGGCCGCAGCAGCCAGTGCCTCTGCTCTGCGTTGGGGACTCGGAGCCGCAGCGAGAGGCAGTGGAGAGGCAGGGCTGGCCTCGTGGCGGGAGGCGAGGAGGGGGTGCGAGGGCTGCCGCGCCGTGGGGGGCAGGGGGCGGGGACGCAGCCCCGGCTTCCTGGGCCGCAGCTGCGACCGAGGGCGCAAGAGCAGATCGTGCTCTGCGGCGGTGGCGGCTCGGGCCCGCCGCTCTAGCAGCTGAGAATCAACAAAGGGAGGCGGCGGGGGAGGGGCGCCACCGAGCGTTCGCTGGCTGCTCTGGAATAATAAAAAATAATTAATAATGATAATAAGAGAAAAATCCCCCGGCTTTCATGGCTCTGGGTTTCCGTGTGGCTGCAGCGGGAAGCGCGCTGTCCTTGAGGCGGCCTCTCTCGCCTGGCCTGCCCGCCCCTCCCCCTCCTCGCCCCCTCCCCTCCCCAGGAACCGGGAAGAGAAAGGTCTGCAGCTGACAAATATTATCCATTCTCCCCATCGATCGCGGAGTGTACAGATGTGAGCGCTTGATGTGCCCGCGGAGCGGCGGATCCTCCCTGCTCGCTCGCTCTCGCCCAGGCTCCGCTCGCCGTCCCCCTC
Organism: Homo sapiens; assembly: GCF_000001405.40. NCBI lineage: Eukaryota > Metazoa > Chordata > Mammalia > Primates > Hominidae > Homo > Homo sapiens. The sequence goes on from NC_000023.11 coordinate 40,154,424, forward strand.
CTCCCCCTTTGTTCTCCTCCCCTTTCCCTCTCTTTAAATAGATTTCAGGGCGCTGCCTGTTGGAGAGCAGCTGGCGATCTCTCCCGAGAGAGGGAGCGAGCGAAGCCCGAGGTGCCCTGTCACCAGCCTCCCCTCCCCCACCTCGGCTTTTCTCTACGTCCCCCCCACCCCACCTTTCTCCAGTTTCCAAAATAGAAAACACCGGGAACACCCACGTCCACTGCACCGCGAGCCCCTGGGAGCCTTTGGACCCCTCGTGCTGTTCCTTGTGTCTGTGTCTGTGCAGAGGAAGGGCAGTGCAGGGAGGGGACCCAGGGCCGCGGCAGAAGAGCCAAGGGTCCGGATCTTTCCCTGGCAGCAGCAGGGACGCAGCGTGGGTCACGCTAACAGGGTACAGTTTACCCATTAGGGAAAGTCGGCGGAGACGGCCCTGTTATTCCTCTTTTGCAGATGGCAGATTAATCCGGCAGCACCCGGCCTCAAAGGGACCGGCTGCTCGGCAAAGGGTTAACCCGTCGGCCGGTAATCGTGGACACGCGCGCACACACACACACGCACGCGCGCGCGCGTCCTCTCCGCCTGCCCGAGCGCCCGCCGCGGCCCGCAGTGCGCCCGGGGCTGGGGGAGTAGCTGCGGGAGGGGAGGGGGTCGGGGGAGGGGCGGGGCGGGCTTAACCAGGCCGCTCGACTGAGCCGGGGCCACCTCGCCGTCTGTCACTTAAATGATTGTCCTCCGCTCCGCTCAGTGCGGTCAGTACGGGCTGTTAACAGGCAGTTGCAATCAGTTTCCGAAAGGTCAGCCAAGGTCCTCCGGCTCTCGCAGACGGAAGGCATTACGAAACCGCTTTTGTATCTGCAGGCACTTTAGAAAAAGAGGCGAGAAGGGGCGCACCGCAGTGCCGCGGCTGCTGCGACCGGGGGAGAGGGTCGGGGGCTGCGGAGCAGAGGAGTCCGCACCCCCGCGGCCAGGGTCAGGCGGCGTGGATATCACCCGCGGAGTGACCCAGGGCCTCCGGGTTTCGGTGGGGAAGCAGGAAGGGGGTGGGGAGCAGGCGGCAAGGGAAGGAGGAGTGGGAGGAAGTGGGAGAGGCGTCCTGGCTCCTCTCCTCACCCAGCCAACAGCCCACACCCGGACCCAGACGGGAGCGGGCGGCCTTGGACGCGAGGAGACCCCACTCGGACTCTCAGGCCCTCCTGGCGCCTGGAAGTAGGGAGGGGGTGTGGGGGGGGGAAAGACCCTCGCCGAGCGAGCGAGTCCCAGCGCGGTGTCTGAAGACGCTGCTGCCGCCGCCGCTAGAAGTCGTCCATCAGCAACCAGTCCAACCTGCCAGTGATAATGTGCGATCAACACCAAATCACCCCCGCCAGGCGCGATCCATCATCGCAGCGCGCCGCGGGCCCGCGTGAGGCTGACTCGCGGCTGGGGTGGGGAGGGGGGGCGCGCGGAGCAGGAGGCGGTCGCCCAGCACACCCGGACTCTCCGCGCACCTCGCTGCCCCTCCTGGAGGCCTGCACCCAGGCGCTCATAACTCTCCAAGTTCCCCAGCTACAGAGCGAAAACCCAGTGGCTCCGAGTTCTGGGCACAGCTCACTTAGGAATCCGCGCGTCCTCCGCGCCCTGCTGTCGTGGTCACACCCTGCAAAGCCATTCCAGCCTCGGAGCTGCCCTGCCCATCCCCTCCCCCTCCTCCGAGAAACCGTGGCTGGCAGGAAATTAATATTTAATATCGTGAAATTGATTAAAGGGCTGGAAGCCGGCGATGGGTTGGGGGGAAGGGTAGGGACTCCTAGCGTAATTAAAGATCTGAGAGTCGTGGTCGTTCCTTGTCGGCCCTGGCCGCACGTGGCCTTTGTGAAGCCGAGGCGGGGTCGGACTGGGCTGAGCCTGGCGAGCCGGGGTCAGGAGCCCGTGCAGCTTAGGCTCTGGCCCGCGCGGCCGGGTTTTTTCGGGGCGGGGGTAGGGCTGGGGCGGCACAGCAGCGGCAGGGGATGAGGAGGTGACCTTAGGGCACCCGGGGCTGCGCGCAGAGCCACTCTTCCCCTGCCCGCCTGCACCGTGGGCCACTGGAGCCCGAGGGTCGGGTGCTACAACTGCTGTCTTGCTTGTACAGCACAGAAGCGCCTTTACTGACCAGGTGGCCTCGAGGGCGCACCGCCTACCCCCCAGGCCCCCTTTCAGCAGCCTCACTCTGGGCCCCGCTTCGAGGCGCCTCCCCAACCCCTGACAGGAGTCTTCTGAGCCCCCCACGCAGCCCTTCGGGAGGGGAGTCAGGTTCACCTTTCCCCCTGCAACTTGGAAATCCTAGGGCTTAGGCGCCCCGGGGCCCCCCGCCGGTTCTCTCCTGTCCAGGCCCCAGCCTGGTACGCTCACGCCTGGGGCAGCTTAACTCGTTCAGCTGCGCTGCAGATGGGGCCTGCTGCTCGAAGCCGCTGTCTCCAGGGAGTCGTCACCGAACCAGCTCGGCCAGCCGCCTGTCGTGCCGTTTAAGGTTACCGCGCTTCCCGCGAGGGGCATCGGGACTGGACCGGGCAGGAGGTGGGTGCAGCTGAGGCTCCCTGGCCACCCGAGCTAACGCTAGGAGAGGAATTCGGTGTGCAAAAGGTCAGCGGTAACCCATTGGCCCTGGCTACAGTTTAGAAGTCGAATGGTTGGCTTGGTGGTGGGGTGACCCCAGCTCACGGAGGCCTGGCTCCAAAGGGCTGATGTGAACTTTTTCTTGTATCTGATTTTTTAGTGAAGCACTCTGAAAAGTACCAAGTGTGCAGAGGGGAGAAAACACAAAACACATCAAGCTGCGTCCTTGGCCCTAATCAGGGGAGCAGGAAGGCCCTCCAGACTCCAGGCCCTCCAGACTCCAGGCCCGCTGTGGGGAAGGTCAGGACCACAGAGGATTAGGCCCAGTCTTGGGTTTATTGCTGTACTTGAACAAAGTGCCGGGGGCTGCCTAAACTGGAGCAAGAGAGAGGTAATTAAGAGGGCCTGCAGAAGGAAGTAAAGGCTGGTGTGGCTGCTGCCCAGGGTAGGTGGAGGAAGTGTTTTCCATAAGAATAACAAGCCGGTGCAAATGTTATGCAGAAAGACTATTTCACCAAAACAAAACCAAAAAGTTCACATTCTGCCTCTCAAGCTGAGCTGATAAACAACATGCAAACTTTGGTTGGAACCTTGAACCAGTGGGAGGTGTCAACCCAGTTTACAAAGGGTAATGGGGAACCGTTTCTGGGTACTTCTCTGTTTCTACCATTGTGATTCTACCTGCATTAGCTGCTCCCTTTGGGGGCCCTTCTGACCTCCCAACCTGAGCCCAGCGGGAGATCACTCAGAATGCACCGCATTCATCAATGCCATTTCTGGTAAATTGGACCTCAGGTTTTGGAGTGTCCTAGGAGGCAGGCAGCCTACACTGCGCGCATACCGATGTCACAGCAAATGTGAGGAACCGCACATATTCTGTAGCCTTTACTGCCTTTACTAGAGAATACCGTGGATTTCACAACCAGAAGTAGCAGATTTTCCAAGACATTCCTGATTTCAAGTGCTTTGAGCCCTGTGTTTTTACGGGGCATGAAGCCCTACCTGCGGTTACTAATGTCGAATTGCGCACCAGAGGTGTCCCAGGGCTGGAAGAAATGGCTTGGGTGTGGGGCTGGCACCCAGTGGTCCCCGCTGGTCCCCTGTCCACCATGTCTAGCCAGGCGGCCATCCTCCTGGCCGTCCCGATCCCAGCCGGGGCCCGTCCAGGTAGGGCTCCGGGCAGGGGGCCTGTCAGGACGAAGTGGCAGGACTGGCCCTCGGGGTCCCCGTGGGTAAAGGAGGAGCGGCTTCGCGCCCTGGGACAGCGCGCGCCCCGGCTGACACGGGGCTGTCGCCGCTTCTCCCCCGGACGCGGGCGGCTGCGCACCGGCCGCCATCTTGGCCCGGCTGCGCAGGCGGCGCTGCCCCCGGCGGTAGGACCGCGGAGCCGCAGGCTGGGCCGGGGCTGCCGCGCGGGCGTTCCCGGGCTGCCGGGGGGCGCTCCCTCCCGAGGCCCCCCTCCCCGCTGCGGGCCACGCTGACCCAGGTCGGGGACGATGGGGCGGCCGTCCCTGGTGAAAGCGTGGCCTGTAGTGTCGCCCCTCCTCGAAACGCTGGAGCGGATTTTAATCCTGAGAAACGACCTCTGGTTCCCGGACTCCCGCGATGGTCAACGTGTTATCGCTTCTCCCGCGCACCCCAGAACTCTGTCCCCAGAGGCAACCTGCCGAGGCAGCTGGGGGTGGGGGGCGAGGCCTACCCACCGTTCACAGGGCGCTGTTGAGGCCAGAGAGGATTTGAGAGTTACCACGGTTTAGGGCTCCTGATTGGAGAACACTGGAACTTTATTTGTCCACTTTTTGAATTTAACATGCATTTATGGAGCGCTTGCTAAGGGCGAGGCGCTGTGTTAGGACCTAGGGGGATCCAAAAGTACAGAAGTGAATTTTTAAAAGACACCTTTGGCCCCCTCAAGTAATTTACAATCTAGTTGGAAAGGCAGACTTGTAAATGACTGAACACAAATAAAAGGCACCGTGAGGTGAACGTAAATAAAGGGCATGAATCTTGCAGTAAATGGCCTGGGTAAAGGCCAATTATTTTAAAAATAATCTTTATTTCTAAAAATGTAGAATCAGTTCGGGGGGGAGGGGAGGGTAAAGATTTACTAATACTGAATATTTCCACGGTTCCCGGGGCTAACAGTCATTACTTCTGAAAAGTTGTTGTTTAGGAAAAATGATGAAAGTTTATTTCAACCAAGCAAAATATCAAATATCAGAAACTCTGGATTAATTTCTCAGCTCTTGACATTAGCTGGGTGGGACAGACACAATTTCCCACCAAAACACAATACCCCATTTGAAATCAGTAAAAACTCCCACCGCATTTCATAAAAGTGTTTTTTTTGTTTGTTTTTTGTTTTTTGAGACAGAGTCTCGCTCTGTCGTCCAGGTTGGAGTGCACTGGCGCGATCTCCGCTCACTGCAAGCTCTGGCTCCCAGGTTCACGCCATTTTCCTGCCTCGGCCTCCCGAGTAGCTGGGACTACAGGCGCCTGCCAACGCGCCCGGCTAATTTTTTTTTTGTATTTTTAGTAGAGACGGGGTTTCACCGTGTTAGCCAGGATGGTCTCGATCTCCTGACCTCGTGATCCACCCGCCTCGGCCTCCCAAATTGCTGGGATTACAGGCGTGAGCCACCGCGCCCGGCCAAAAGTTTTAGAAAATAAAACTAAATGGAAGATTGGAAACTTTTTGAAAAAGTTTTCAGATTTAAAGAAAATAGGGATTAAAAAAAGAAACACAAAGCAAAAAAAGATCAGCCCATTTGCAGATGGTCTTCAAGATTTGGACATGCAGAAAATTGTCCTCAGATTAATTGTACAGAGGTTGGAAAGTATGGGAAAAGTAGTCATAGGTCAAAGAAAATTAGGCAAATATAAAAATGAGGCAATTATTAACTCCAGGAAAAAAAAATCTTACAAGAAAGGAACTGCAATCACTGAAGCTCATTTGGCTCAGCAATGAATGATATATATGTGGTTACAAAGTAAACACTGGATATGAATTTAGTAAGGCATTGTGCTCTAGTGCTATGGTAAGAATGGAGAAGGGAAAGTATGGTACAGAGATCTGAAATCCCCCTCCACCATCAGATGGTTGACATGGATTACTTTTTTTTTTTTTTGAGACGGAGTCTGGCTCTGTCGCCCAGGCTGGAGTGCTGGAGCGCAGTGGCGCGATCTCGGCTCACTGCAAGCTCCGCCTCCCGGATTCACGCCATTCTCCTGCCTCAGCCTCTCGAGTAGCTGGGACTACAGGCGCCCGCCACTACACCCGGCTAATTTTGTGTATTTTTTTTTTAGTAGAGACAGGGTTTCACTGTGTTAGCCAGGATGGTCTCCATCTCCTGACCTCGTGATCCACCCGCCTCGGCCTCCCAGAGTGCTGGGATTACAGGCATGAGCCACCACGCCCGGCCGGATTACTTTTTCTTTTTTTTCTTTGAGATGTAGTCTCACTCTGTCACCCAGGCTGGGCTGGAGTGCAGCGGCGCGACAGAGCGAGACCCTGTCTCAAAAAAAAAAAAAAAAAATCAGTCAATCAATAAAAAGAAGGCTCCCAAAGACCTCCTCAACCAGCCCATTACTGACACTAGAAAAGTTCCTTTTTGGAGTTGTTTAATTTTGATTGGAATTTCTTTCTTCAGATGATCCTCTACTTTTTTTTTTTTTTTTTTTTTTTAGATGGTGTCTCGCTCTCTCGCCCAGGCTGGAGTGCAGTGGCACAATCTCGGCTTACTGCAACCTCCACCTCCCAGGTTCAAACAATTCTCCTGCCTCAGCCTCCTCAGTAGCTGGGACTACAGGCACACTCCGCCACGCCCGGCTAATTTTTTTTTTTTTTTTTGTATTTTAGTAGAGACGGGGTTTCACCATGTTGCCCAGGCTGGTCGCGAACTCCTGAGCTCAGGCAATCTGCCCACCTCGGCCTCCTAAAGTGTTGGGATTACAGGCGTGAGTCACCGAACTCGGCCTTTTTTATTTTTTTTTTTTAATTTTTATTTATTTACATATTTTTTGAGACAGGGTCTGTCTCTGTTGCCCAGGTCGAAGTGCAGTGGTGCGATCTGGGCTCACTGCAGCCTTGACCTCTGGCTCTCGGGCTGGAGCGATTCTCCCACCTCAGCCTCCAGAGTAGCTGGGACTACAGGTTCATGCCACCATGCCCGGCTAATTTTTGTTTTTTTGTTTTTTGGGGTTTTTTTTTGTTTTTTGGGTTTTTTTGAGACGTCGTCTCACTCTGTCGCCCAGGCTGGAGTGAAGTGGCGCGATCTTGGCTCACTGCAACCTCCGCCTGCCAGGTTCAAGCGATTCTCCTGCCTCAGCCTCCTGAGTAGCTGGGATTAGCGCCACCATGCCCGGCTAATTTTTGTATTTTTAGTAGAGAAGGGGTTTCACCACGTTGGTCAGGCTAGTCTCAAACCCCTGACCTCGTGATCCGCCCGCCTCGGCCTCCCAAAGTGCTGGGATTACAGGTGTGAGCCAGAAACCAGGCCGATTCTCCCCTTTTTTTTTTTTTTTTTTTTTTTGAGACTGAGTCTCGCTCTGTAGCCCAGGCTGGAGAGTGCAGTGGTGCAATCTGGGCTCACTGCAAGCTCCGCCTCCTGGGTTCACGCCATTCTCCTGCCCCAGCCTCCCGGGTAGCTGGGACTACAGGCGCCCGCCATCACGCCCAGCTAATTTTTTGTATTTTTAGTAGAGATGGGGTTTCACCGTGTTAGCCTGGATGGTCTGGATCTCCTGACCTCGTGATCCGCCCGCCTCGGCCTCCCAAAGTGCTGGGATTACAGGCATGAGCCACCGCGCCTAGCCCTGTTAGGGTCTTGCACTCAAACACCTACATCAAGTACATAACGGTCTGCAGTGAACAATATGCCTTAAAATCTTCATATTCATAAACCAAAGAAACTCCCTCTGCCCAAGAAACAAATCCCATCTTGCTGGCTAAACAAGACACATAAGTAGGGTGACACTCCTGTCCTTCTCCCACCCACACTCCAAATAAGGCCTAGGAGGGACCCAATAACTTACGAACCAGTGCCTGCAGATGAGAGGTAACAAAACAAAGAGAGTGTATATAGGCCTACCGCGCCAACATGCTGGGTCAACACTGGCTTGGTCCAGTCTTAGGCTGATCCAGTGTGCTCCCAAGAAACCCTTTTGACCTCTATCTGTCCTGTGTCACCTTCTCTTTTCTTCTGGATCAGAGACATAATCTCTTTCTCCTTTGCCCTGAGAACAGAGCTGCCAGTAGCCTATTCTGTGTTTTGGCTGGGGACCTTTGTGCAGTACACAAACTGTACAATGTAATACAGTGACCCTGCCTGAGAAGCCAGCTTATTTCAAGGGCCATCCCCTGAATGTCGCTTAGTTCTGACCCACCTGCTGAATCTGGGTTTCTTTGTTTGGGTCTCAGGATAGGAGTTGGCCCTGCAGACCCAAAATCACCTCAAGGGAGGCTAGGGTGAACCAGATACATCCTGGGAAGCCGTGGTGAGGTCAGGAAAGGGGCAGGTGTGGCAGAGTTCACCCAGGTGTATTACACTAATTCGGGGCTCCAATCTGCACTGAGGTCTAAAATCTGAACGTCATGCCTCCAAAGTCTTACTGAAAATGAAATCTTCAGGAGGGGAGAGGAAAGCAGGCCAGAGGGTACACATGCCTTTTGGATTTTCAAAAATGGGAAAATGATTAGATTTTGGATTTAGGGAAGATGTGTCATGTTAAGGGAGCCATAGAAAATAATAACTGCCAATTCCCAAGCAAAACAAAATCATGTTTTCCACCACGTTTCTATCTGTGTCTCCTAGTCGAACCCACAATAAACTAGCAGATCAAATAGCAGATCAAAGGCAGAGGCAAATACAATTATGCCCGTGAAACCTCTAGCATGAAATTAGAAGTCAAACTCTCCATTCAGGGGTTAGAGACAAGGATAATGGGAACCTGGGGCCCTAGAGATGTACCCAGGCCCTTTCAGTCACAACACTATCCATGCTGGATATTTAAAACCACACCTCAGGGAGGGCACAAATAGTAAGTATTAATTGTTTTTCCATACACACTACAGGAAATGCATTGACTACATTCCTAGCTTTGTACCATATAAAGATAGCTGTATACTGGTGGTAGAGGGGGCGGTGACTTATAAGGCAATAGTGAAAATAATGTTGTTGGGAGCGATGAAGGGTTACTAGATCTTCCCCAAGACAGTAGGCTAAGGATGGCGGCAGATAGAATGCTAATCTTTTACCTGCTTCCCTTTCAATGCAGAAGAGCCTAAAACCCATCTGATCCCACCACTCAGTTCTCCCTCAGTCCTTCCCACATTGGACAAGATCATAGAGACAGCTGTCTTGATATATTTTCTATTTTTCCTAAAATCCATATTTGCTTTATAGGCTCTATTTCTTTTACCCTGGCCTAATTTTAGCTCTCTGAGTCCCCCTGCCCCCATATAATTTATGAGGCCTCTTGAGGGTAGAAACCCCTATTACAATGTAGACTAGTCTGTTTAGAGCTACTGCTAATTAAGCTTAGCTCTCAAAGGTGCCTGGTATGGCTTCCCCTACCACCTTCCCACCCCCACCCCCACCCCACCATGGCCACAAGTTCTTTGACACTCCTCCCAAGTGGAAGTAGGATCTCTGTCCCTTCCCCTTGAATCTGGATGGGTTTGTGACCACAATCGCAACCAATGAATATAGACTTCAAGGGTGGATTAGAAAAGGTGATGCAGCGGGCCAGGCACGGTGGCTCACGCCTGTAATCCCAGCACTTTGGGAGGCCGAGGCAGGCAGATCACCTGAGGTCAGGAGTTTGAGAACAGCCTGACCAACATGCTAAAACCCCGTCTCTACTAAGAATACAAAAATTAGCCGAGCATGGTGGTGCATGCCTGTAATTCCAGCTACTCAGGAGGTTGAGGCAGGAGAATCTCTTGAACCTGGAAGGCGGAGGTTGCGGTGAGCCGAGATGGTGCCACTGCACTCCAGCCTGGGCGACAGAGCAAGACTCCATCTCAGAAAAAAAAAAAAAAAAGGTGATGCAGCTTCAGCCTTATTTACTGCAATGCTGGTTTTCTGGAGCCCTGAGCTGCCGATTTGTAACTTAAAGTCCTATTACCCTCAAGGCACCATACTGTGAGGAAGCCCATGCCACATAGAGAGCCCTGTGCTCATGCTATGGGACACAGCTGAGGTCCCAGCCAACAGCCAGACATAAAGTAAAGACCCCTCCGGATGCTTCCAGCCTCCAGCTGTTGAGTCCACCAAATTCTGGACCCACAGATTCCAGGAGCAGAATTAAATTGCTTCTGAGCTCCCTTGTAGCTGACATGCTATAGGGGAAGAGATCAATTTCATAACTTATTGCTAAATCCATGGAAGAAGGTGAACTGGGTTAAAAACAAAAGTGTGACAGGCAGGAAATTTTTTTTAAGGAAATTTCTGATCATAACCCAAATCCCCCACCTTTGATAACGCAGTGTCTTATTCTTTCTGAAATCCCTGTAGGACAGTGACCTGTGTCTTCCTCAAATCTGATCTCACATTTTCCCTAGAGGATCTGGGTAAAGGACCCTAACTATTGTCCCCTCCTGACCTACATTGGCTGCACAAGGGAGCCAGTTCCCTAGGCAGGAAGGGAGAGGGGCAAAGCATTTCCACCAGGCTGGTTTTGCTCTCCCTTCTCTTCTCTTCTCTCTTGTTTTTCTTGCCTCTCCTGGAGGGTGCTCATCTCAGGGATAGGGAGGGATGAATTATGCAAGAAGTGTTAGCTTACTTCATTTTCTTCCCAATTCCCCTACAAATCCCACACCTTTTCATTCTGACCCCGACTACCAGACTTGTGTCACACACCAAATGCCATGAGCTTCCATTCACAAAGCTAGGAATGTGCAGCAGTGCAGCTGGCCTCTGTCCCCCACCATTTCCTCCTTCTCTGAGCCAGGCACTCACAGGCCCCTGATGCCCAGGCGGCCCATGGACCCTGACCCTCAGGCTGCCCTCCTGGGGAAGTGCCAAGCTCAGGGAGATGGGAGGAGGGGCTGAAAGACATCTGGAATGTGATGGACCGAGGAGGGGAATGGGGAGAGCCCAGGTCTTACCCCCACTCTCAAACAAGCAGAGCAGCCAGGGAACAGGCAAAAATGATAAAGCAGCTTGCAATGGGGAGAAAACCAGGCCACATTGTGTGGGGTGGGGTGGGGGATGAGAGGTGGGGAGCTACTGAGCAGACCAGAAGGAATAGCAAAGAGACGCAGGCAACCCCGCTTCCCCTCCCCGCCCTGCCAAATGCCAGAGGATGAACCCGCCAAAAATAAAATACAGCCATGATTACTGGAGCAGAGGTCAAAGCTGAAGGGGCAGTTCTCCTCTTGACCACAGAAAGCCAGCACCAACTGGGATTATCTGCCAGCCACTCATCTCCAGCAGCCTGGTCCGCAGTGCACAACTAGGCCCCAGCCACAACCAGCCCTGTGCAGGAGAGTCCAAGGGTCTAGGACCTGCCCCTTCCCCAGAGCCTGAGACCAAGGCTGGCTTGGCTTCCCAAGTTCACAGCTTTGGAGCTGCTTGCCCTGTTGGACAGTGCAGTGGGGTCCTGTGGCTCCAATTCACACAGTTTAGAAACAATTCCTTCTTCTGATCCAAATCCCAGGCCAGAGAGACCTGTGCCTAGCTAGGGTGTAACACAAACCTTCCTACTTACAATTCAAACAATATCAGTCCAAATCCTCTCTTCACTCCTTCAAGAGCAAGGGCATGAGATTATCTATCTATCTATCTATCTATCTAGTTTTGCTTTGTTTGAGAGAGTCTCACTCTGTCACTTAGTGGCACAATCTCAGCTCACTGCAGCCTTGACCTCCTGGGCTCAAGTGATCCTCCCACCTCTGCCTCCCGAGTAGCTAGGATTACAGGCCTGAGCCACCACACCCAGCTAGGGCACAGTATTTATTAAAAACTTTATTATCATCTTCCTGGTGCTTCACCTGCAACTACTTCATCGGATCTTTCTCCAATTTTTTGATGTAGGCATTCTCATACCCATTTTGTAGATAAGGAAACTGAGGCTCAGATAGGCTACACAACCACTGGGGGCAGAGCTCCCATCTTAAGCCCGTATGCATCTTGATCCAGAGTTTTCCATCGTAGCTTGTGATCTCCCATCTTGATTACTTATTTTGTGCCAGGTCCCGGGCCGGGCCTGCAAAGGTGAATAAGACAGTCCCTCCCCTTAGGGAGTTCACAGTTTAGTAAGGGAGACAGACTGCAACACAGTGGGACAGCAGCTCTGACCTCTGAATTCGGGTTGGTGGAAGTACCATGGGAGTCTTTGTGAACATCTCCATCATCACTGCCCCTTCACCCCGGCTCTATTTCCTAGCCCCTCTGGTTCCTTCTCATAGGCTGCTCCTTCTTGTCCTTCCTTAAGACAGACACTAGCTGCTGGCTTCCCTCCCATGCCTTTCTTTCCTCCTGTTAATGAGGTCTGAACCCACACACCTGGCAGGAATCTTGGCACCCTACCTGCTTGGAGAGGTTGCCTTAGTTGAGTAAACTTCCTTGGCTTCTGGGGCCCCAGGGGAGAGGCTAGACCCTGACTGCAGCCCCAGGCTGGCTCAGGTGGAAAGTGGGCACAGGGGCCCCAACGCTGAGCAGGCTGGTAGGCCCTCAAAAGGCTTTTATTGAAGCCTGTTAAAGGGCTTTGGGCTTCCTCTGATGAAAGGCGCTTAAGTGCATCTGGTTATGATTACAGGGGAGGAGAAAGCCAGGCGGTCTCTGGGGGGTTGGACCAGTCATCTGGCTCTGCCTTCCTCAGGGCAGAGCTGGCTGCTGGTGAGGCCAGGAGGCCAGGTGTGGGGGCAGGCAGGAAGCAGGACCAGTACAAAACTCTCCAACTCTCTGAGGCTCCTGACCCCAGCCTCTGACTTTGTCAGGCTGGACTACCAGAAACAGCATCGGGGCTCAGAAGTGCCAGGCTCCTTTGAGAAAATCAAGTTCAGAGTGGCTGCTGACCACCCCTGACTCACAGCTCTTCACTGATCTCCACCTCCCTCCATCTCCAAAATATCCTCCCAAGAACCCCTGACCCTCCATCTACCTTCTCCACTGCTCTTCTCCCTCGGAGGAAGTTAAAATAGGCTTTTGCCACAAGGGTTTCTGACAGTGATAAAAACTAAGGAAATGCAAACTTTCAAAAGTTAAAAAACCTCAACGTTTGCTTTCTCTTTTTCAACTAGCCAGGTATTGTTTCCCATAAAACAGACATCGTTAAGGCTGTTTCACGTCACTGTAACTGACAACCATGCCGAATTAAGGGAAGAGATTAATATGAACGTAACGTGGCTGCCCTGGAACGTCATCGGGCAGTCCCAAGCCACTCTGTGCCCGGCGCCTGTCCCTGCGCGGAACTCCACGTGTGCACAAAATGCTCTGGGGAGGGGAGGATCGGATGGGTTAAACACAGTCCGCGGTTCTAGAAACGAAAATACATTTCCTTATTCCCGCCCTGATTTAATCCTGCTGCGTGTTATTATTGTCAAGTCTCTTCGCACCACTGTTTCTAAAAAGAAAACCCGTGGGTCTGCGCGGCCCTCAGCCGCCTGCTCGGCTTTTATTGTGCACGCAGCCTGGTCTGCGTGGATCCAGCACGTCGTGACCGCCTCGCAGGCGCGCACGGACACCCTCGGATTGGCATTTCTATAAGAGCTGGGCGCATTGTCTCTGCGGCGACACACACACACCCACACAGATAATAAAGGGCCACGGACTCCTGACCAACCCTCCTCGCAACCCATAATTAGAGATGACCTTTGCGAAAGGCAATTAAAATATGGTAATGATCGATGGGCTCGCCTGTTTCCAAAAAGGAAAATACACAGGTGTTGGCTTCAGGAGGCTCCACCTGGCCGGGCCGCGAGGCCTCCTACAGCTCATGAATGAACTCTTTCTCCTGGGAAGCTTCGATTCCCCGCTACCTACGCTAGCGCTGGCTCCTCTCCTCCCTTTCCCCTCCCCCACCAGAGCTCTGGCAGCCAGGAGCTTGCTGGCGGCGGCGGGGCTTTGTCATCGGAACGCACACACAGACACGCACACGCGCGCACCCGGCCACCACGGGACCGCGGCAGCCGCGTCCTTCCTCGCTGCGCTTCCTTCCCTGCCCCCTCTTTTAAAGAGCTCCTCCAGACCCTTTCTTTTCTTCCGTCCTTTATGTGTGCGGTCCTTTTGCATCAAGGAGCTCAGGAAGCATTTTAGGGGGGCCTTCCGCGGAGCGCCGGACAGCTCCTGGGAGGCAGAACTCAGGACCCTACACGCGCGGAGAGGACGCGGGGACAGCCGGGCTTTGTTTTGTCTCTTGCCTCTGCCGGGAGGGCGGAGAAGCCTCGGCCGAGCTGGGGCCCACTGGCGAATTGGCGGCGGCAAACACCCCCCTCCTAGCCTAAGTGGAACCTGAAACTCCGGACTTGGTCCGGGTGGGGCACAAAGCTACGTGGAGGGTCTCCCAGTCCACAAGTGGCTCTCCCCACACAGACAAATGTGCAGTGTCATTATGGTGGCTCCTGTTGCTCGAGGCCTCGGGGGTGCTCCGGCGGTGCGCGCACACCTCACCTCCACAAGGCACGGAGGGCGAGAGGGGGGCCAAGGGGCTGGGGCTCCCCGGGGGGCTGCCTGGAGGAGACGCCACATCGGGCCTTCCCGCACCCCCGGCTGCCTTCCTGGACCGCGAGCACGGAGCCAGGGCGGCCTCTCGCCTTTCATTACGGGGCCTACGAAAGCAGCAGCCCAGGCAAATATGTAGCTATTAAAATTAATCGCCCCGCGTTGTCAGCTGAACATAATGCAAATTATTTATGGGCTGTCTGCGCAATATTTATCATCGTGCAGGCTCCAGGCGCTTCGTGCCTCCTGGCCTCCCCCGCCCGCCCGCCCTGGCCGGCGCAGGGCGAAGCTGCGCGCAGGCTGCAGCGGCCTGGGGGCTCTGGGAACCCGAGTGGGGTTCCAAGGGCGAGGCCGTGCGTCAGGCCGTCTTCCAGGCCGAGGGCCTCACTTTAGTTTCTGCCATTCAGTACACATTTATCGGAGGCCTATTACGTGCAAAATTAGGAGGTCCGCGAAATCGGGGTGAAAACCAATTTGGAGAAATCTAAACCAAACAGATGAGCTCGGGCTCGAGGGGCGATGCAGACAGAGGCTCCTCAGCTGCACAAGAGAATTTTCTCTGGCTCAAGTCGGTCCTTCAACCTGGGAAACCCATGTTTGCTAAAGCTGGATTCGCTCTAGGAGAAACAGGGAGCATCTGATGTGCTCAACAGATTCGAGTACAACGCTATCGACTGGAACAGGAATTCGGTGTCCTTCGAGCCTCAAAACTTGTTTGCTGATCGCAGATAACAGATTAACTGTTAATTGTCGAAATCGGCCAACCATTTAGTTTATCACTGTTGGGGGCCCCTTGGTATTCGCTGCACTTTTTATATGTAAAAACAGTCTTGGTACCTCCTAAACGGCTTTTGTGTGGCTTTTGTTTCTCTTTCAAATACGGTGTTTTAAAAAACAGCAGCAACACGCCACCCCACCCCCTCTTCAACCAAGCCTTCTGGTTTAAAAAAAAACAAAAACAAAAACCAGGAGGAGAAATAATCTATAGGACAATCCCCCCCCTACTGGTCGGAGCTGGCGTTGGGGCTTTTTACGCAGATCGAGTCGCCCAGGGCTGCGGAGGTAAACAGGCTTTCTGCACCGCTGCTAAATGAATCACGAGGGGGAAGAACCGAGACTGCTGGGCGAGGGAGGCCTCGGGATCTGGGCCGGGAGCCAGGGCGGGGACGGCGCTGCACGGGGGGCAATGAGGTGGAGACGGGACCAGGGTTAACCCTGGTCCAAGGCCCCAAGGCCAGGGAAGGGAGAGTAAGGCCGGTGGGCGGTCCAGCCGGAGGCCCCTACTCGCTATCTGCGAGGCAGGGTGAACGCGCAGCCTGGGCCTCCATCCCCAGCGCGCCTGGGCACCACCTGGGGCCGGTCACGCTGCCTGAGCCCATCTGCGAGGAAGGAGGTCACGAGGCACCCCCTCCCACAGAGTTTTAACAACTCCAGGCCTTCAAGACGCAGTAGCAGGCCTGGGTCTTCTGATGTTCATTTAAAGCAAAATGATCGCCTTTCTTCACTGTCCCCACCCCAGACGCCAACAACACCTTGCACCTAGCAGACCAAGCCTGAGTCAAGACGTCCTTCGGTCCTGGGGCTGGGGGAATGGCTACCAACGGGCATCTCTTCTGCAGACTAACAGAAGGGGATATAGCCAGGAAGCTACTATAAATTTATATTCTTCTTCCGGTTTTGTTTTGGTTTTGGTTTTTTTTTTTTTGAGACGGAGTTTCGCTCTTTTGCCCAGGCTGGAGTGAAGTGGCACGATCTCGGCTCACTGCAACCTCTGCCTACCGGGTTCAAGCAATTCTGCCTCAGCCTCCCCAGTAGCTGGGATTACAGGCGCCCGCCACCTTGCCCGGCTAATTTTTTGTATTTTTACTAGAGACGGGGTTTCGCCATGTTGGCCAGGCTGGTCTCGAACTCCTGACCTCACGTGATCCACCCATCTCGCCTCCCAAAGTGCTAGGATTACAAGCGTGAGCCACCGCGCCCAGCCTTCTTAAAATGTGATTTGACCCAATTTAAAGCCTCCCTTTCTTCCCCATTAACCTCCAGTTTTTGACAGATTTTCTTAGAACATTCCAAAGATTCTCTCATTACTTCAGAAACTTATCTCGAAATGATGTAAAAGGAGGTTCAAAATATTAGGTTGCTTTTGGGTTCCCTTTATCTCGAACATTGTTGCGTAGATTTGAGAAAGGGCTGATTTCTACTTTGTTTTCTAATCAGCAAGTCACTGGTTTTTCTACCTAAGAGAGACTGAACATTAACCACAGTGAAGCAGAAGGGTTGAGCCGCATTTACAAAGTGCCTTCACATTTTGGTCCTCAGAAACCCATCCGAGGGGGACAGAGTAGGTGTTACTGTTCTGATTTTACACATGAAGAGACTGGCCACTCGCCCCCACAAATTTCTGGAAGCTAGTCTTCCTCACTGAACTGGAGCCAGAAGCCATGTGAAGCCAGCCTGCTCCTGCCTACACCCTCCTTCCTCCAGGTCAATGTCATTTAGAATATATTGCATCCTTTTCTTGGATCTGTCTGCTAGGACCCGGGCCACCCTCCTGCTGGAGGCAACCCCGACAGCCCATATTTTAAGCAGCTCTTTTCACAGCCTGCAAACCTCACGGATTGTCTCTTACAACTGTCTGTTTACTCACTTCCCTCCACCCAGTCAATTCCGACTCCAGGCCCGGGAGGACAATTTTAAAGTGTTTCTGCAGACAGACCCTCTGGCCGCGCCGGAAGTGTTTTATGGACCTGTGAGCCGAGTTAATCCCAGGAGGCGCGGCTGGATTAGTCCCGGGTATGGGTGGGGGATTCATGTGTTTAGGTTTAATCCCCATGGGGGGGGGGCGTAAGGAGAATGGGGGTCGGGTGGCTTCAGCAATGTGTGCCCCCTCCCCATTAAACTCCGAGATTTGCGCTAGAGCGGATGGAAACCGAGGCACGCAGCCCTCGACCCCGGCCAGGCGTGGAGTAGGGGAGCAGGGGGTGCCCCGCGTGGGCGCACCCTAAGAAACCAGTGCGGACATGGCGAGCGAGACCAGAGCGCAGTTGTGTGTGGTTTTTCCCCAGGTTTTTATTCTTCCAGCCCTGTGGAAAGGAGGAGAGCCGCAACCCGGAGAGGGAGCCGGAAAGAAACACTTAATCACCGGCGTCTCGCTGCTCGTCACGCGAAGATGGCAGCGGCTCCCCTGGGTTTCAAGGTTCCGGGAAAGGCGTGTGTTCTGCCTTAAGGCGCGCGGGCTGATGCGCTCTCTCCCTCGGCTCGGCGGCCGGCTCCGGCTCACAGAGCCTCTCTCAACGCCGGCAAGTGCAGCCGGGCCGCCCAGCCCCCAGGCCAGCCTGGCCCCCTCTGGGCCTGGGGTTGGCGAGGGCAGCTGGGCGTCTGCGCTGCCCAGCCCAGCCGCGGATCCATGGGGTTTCGCGAGCTGAAAGTAAAGGCTTGAGGGAGTGGGGACACCCACACCGACCCGCGGCACGCAGGGGAGTCAAGCTGCGGCCAATGCAAGACGAGCAGGGTAGACTACTACTAGCGGTGGCCGGAGGCTCAGCCACCTTCGCGGGAGAGGGGATTTACCGCCACCCTCATCCACGCGCAGGCCCCACCGCCCGGTCCTCTCCTCTGATCCCCGGGCCATTGCGAAACACGGAGCGAACAGGTCCTCGCCAGCAGCCGTCATTTCCCGGGAAGATGGGAACCCACAAGCCTGACTGTGCTTCCTAAGGATACTAGCGTGCGCGCAGACCTTGGGGGGAAAGAGGGCAGCGCGGTCTCCCCGACCCGGACTCTTCCCTGGCGCAGCACACAACCGCCACGGGCTTCCGAAGCGCCCGAGCGGGGAGGAGGAAGGAAAAGCGGAGGCCCGGGAGGCGGGCTGCGCGCTTGGAAGCCGTGTGTGTTTATGTGTCTGCGCGCGCGCCCTGGCCGGACGGGTGTTGAGGGGAGAGTGATCGTGAGCAACCCGGAACCAGCAGTCCCAACCTGGACTGACGAACTGGGCTCTCCAGTCCTGGGCCGTGGGGCTCCATGCCTCGGGCTGGCGGGACAAGCGGCGGGGAGCCCGGAGCTTCGGAGCCGCCGCCGGGCATCTAGCCAGCTCCGCGGGAGAAGCCCGGGGGCGCGTCGGGAGCCAGGGGACTGGTGTGAACTAGCCGCCCCCGCAGGCGGACGTTTAGCTCCGGCACCCGGGAGCACTGACACTGGGCGATAAGGAGTTCCTCGGCAATCGGCTGTCCCCAGTCCCCAGTCACCTCCGGCGGACGTGACCGCCGGATGCTATGCAGCTAGGTGGGCCAGGGGGGCCTTTGCATTGCCTTCCCTGACCCCTTCCTTGCCGCGGAGGAGCCACAGTAAGATGCCTCTGTACGACTCTCCAGAACTTTCTTTTGCAAAATAAAGGCCAAATGTTGGGCCTTCTAGTCTCTTCATATTTTCCTTTGGAAGGTTGGGGTCCAGGCAGTCCTCTCGAAACAACCCCCAAACAGATCACTTTCATTACAAAACGCTAGAGAGGCAACACAGCCCTATTTCTCTCTCTGGTCAATCCAGGCCCTATCTCTCCCTCTGGTCAATCCAGGCCCTATTATCCCAAGCTGTGCGGCTTTGGGCAAACCGCTTAACAGTTCGAAACCTCGGAGTCCTCATCTGTAAAATAAGACCAATACTATTATCTACCTCGTAGGGTTGTTCTGAGGATAACATGCCTCCATACATAAGGTGCTTAGAACGCTGCCTCCAGTACAATGCTACGTGTGTTTGTTACTATGATCTGGCACTCCCTTTGGATGGGTAGGGAGTACAAAGTTCCGGGTTAAAGTTCCTGGAAGTTTACATGGAGCCAGTGGTCTTGGCAGGGTGGAAAGGGCACTATTGTATGGCCACTGAAAAGTGAAGGCCAAATGCCCTCAAACTGTCTAGGTCTCCACTAGACCGTCCCATAAAGGCTTGTGTGTGTGTGGTGGTGGATAGGAGGGAGAGTCCTTTTTAATGGTGCTCATTTAGACTGGATTAATAGCAAGTTCCGTCAGGGCTCAGGCACCATTACCCACTCTCTCCCTGCAGCCCTGGGGAAGAGCGCTGGTTTCCAGGACCTCCAGCCTACTCTTCCAGGACACCTTTTTTGATGGCTGAAGGCCACCTCTTTAAATCAGTTCTCGGAGGAGTTGGCCAAAAGCCATGTCCTCTGGGATGTACTTTGGTCTAACACTGGTGCAGGGCTGGCGTATGGCAGGCCTTGTCCCTGGGCCGCTGGCGGGCCACATTTTACTGGTGCACAGATGCAAATACCACTTCTGTAGACAGAATCGGTCAGACTTCTAATTTCAAAAGGCTTCCCATTACCTTTGAAATGGCGACTCTGGCAAAAAGGGGAGGAGTTGCGGCAAATAAGAGCCTAGGGAGGCCTCGGCCTCCCCTGCTTGGCCTCTCCAGGGTCACCCATAATTCATTAGGTGAGGCTGCCTTTTCCTTTTCAAACACAACGCAAATGGCCTTTGCCTTAAGTGGCTACCGGCGTTTGCCTAATCACTGAAATGTGCTGGCAGTGCGCTCTAGCTCTCAGTAGATCCTTATCGGAACTGTGCGTGCCAAGCTGCCAGCCCCGAGAAAGACAAAGAACACGGGCGCCTCCAGGTTTGCTTCTGAGGCCTCAGGGTCACCTCTGGGGCTTCCCCTTCACAGCCTCCGGCCCCTACAAGACGCTCCCAGCCAGCCTCCGGAACAAACCCGCAGCCCTAAATCAGAATTCCAGTTCTCGAGCGCCACCCGGAGAGTTCACATTTCCCCTCCTCCGAGGCCGCGTGGTGCGCAAGAAAGAGCCCGAGGGCGGCGGCAGCACACGTCTGGGCAGCCCCCTCCCCGTACCCAGCAGCGTGTACGCAGGAAAAGAAAAAGCCAAGAGAAAAACGTGGACTGTAAAAGCCAAAACGCAGAACCATCTACTACTAACTACCGACAACCCCAGGCGGGAGTTTGCAAGGAGTAAGCAACCCTCTAATAGAAACTACAACTAAAATAATTCCTCTCTTCGCGTTCTATTAAGGTCCTGGAAGGTGGAACGCAAAGGGGACCCTGTCTTCTTAGGACACAGACTGGCTGCGCCGATAGTGCTCAGCCCCGCACCTCCTGAGCATACATTTAATGTTAGGCAAAGAGCAAGTTTCCTATCTACCGTTTGACCACAGTTTCTCACAGTATTTCTAATTGATTCAACGTGTATTAGATTGAAACAAAAATGATCTTGGTTGGAATATACACGGGCAACCTGTATTTAGATGGGGTAAGTTCCTGCAGCTATCTGACCACATTTGTCTGGTCCCTCTGAGAATCCACGTTTTCTAGCCCGAGAAGGGGCAGGCGGCCCTCATGGCGCCTCCTTCGGCGGTTTCCTGGCGAAGCGCCCATCCTCCCCAAGCACCAGGAACGGAGGCCGTCCATATTAATACTCGCGGGCAGCCTGTTCTGACCTATACTGTCATTTTTTCCATCGGTCGGGATCGGGCTGGGGGTGGGGTGGGGCGGGGGCTCTCCTCCGAGGGGCTCAGCACGGATCGTTGGGTTTTCCCCGGCGAACTTAACACGGAGGCAAAAGGGGCAGATGGAAACCAGGCCCCGGCTGGCCCCGCGCGCGTAAGCGCGGCACTCAGCAGCTCGACGCAAAGCCAGGGCTGGATTTTCGCGGCCCGGGCCCGGCGGCCGCCCAGCGCCCGCGCGATCCTCTCTCCTTCGGGTTGAGCAAACGTGGTCGCCTAATTCCGCCCGGGAGACAGCAGCTGTGCGGCGAGAGGGGGAGAAAAAATATCGCAACTTTTCCAACAGAAAGTGTGTGCGCACACGAGAGGTGAAGGCCCACCCCGATTCTGTGCACGTATCGACACAGCATCTAATCAGTGTCACTGCCAGGAATACGCTTCCGCGGCGGGCGACACCGCCGCCCTCGCCAACCTGCAGGAGGGAGGGGGGATGCAAATGGCGTCTCGCGTCGTCCTAGACTCCGCGCAGCACCCGCTACCGCGACTCCAAGCAGACGTTGCAGCAAACTGGGGTGCAGCGTCTGGGGACGCGAACGCGCAGGCGGCCCGAGCGGTCGCAGGGAAGAGGAACTAGCACCACTCCCCGCTACGAGACCGTTCCCCGCCCCCACCTCCGGAAGAGCCGCCCTTACTCGACTGGGGTGAGGGGCGGGAAACTTTGCAAGAAGACTGTTCCGCGCCTTCCCCGCGTGGCACCTCAGAAGAACGTGGGTGGGTTTCCCGTCCGAGGCCAGACCACGCTACCCTACTTTTCCAGGTTTCGGACCTGAACCTCGTGGACTACGGGAGGGAGAGTACATTTCGGGCCACTGCGGGGGGCGGAGGGACACCAAAGACAGGCGTCTTCAAGGGTTCTGGCAGATGGCCAAGTTTGTGTCCTTTCCCTCCCACGCTAGAGTAGCGCACGCCACTTTGGGGAAGCGTGAGACCGTTCACCACCGGCCACGAGGCCACCAATGTCTTCCAGGTGGGGCCGATGGTTTGTCTGCAGCACTCCCTTCCGCCTTGCGGTCCTCGCCTGGCTCCCACAGTCCTGGGGAGCCCCCAGAGCTAGCCCGCGTCTTCCCTCGCCCGCTCTTCCGGGGGAAAGGGAGGCTGTTTGTGTGGTGTGTAGCCCCGCTCCGGCTTGCACCCCCGCGAGCCACCTCGCAGCCCTCCCCGGCCTCGGCCTCACGGATCCCCTCCCGGAGTAGCCCCGCGGGCCCCCCCGCCATGCGTAATGGGGCGCCCCTGGGACGCAGGCGGGGATGGCGGTTCCGGTCGTTCCGGGATTTGCGTGCAAGAAGAAAACAAGGCCGGCGACTACAAGAGCGGCGACTCCATTCTTGGGGTTCAGACGCCCTCGCAGCCTCCGCGTCGGTTCCGCTCTCGCCCCGGGAGCCCGCTTCCGTGTCCCTGCCCCCGCCCCCCAACGATTCCTCGTCCGGCCCGTGCCGCACCACGCGGAGCTCCGCGCGCCCTGGCTCCCACACCGGTCCCTCCATAACTCGCGCTCCTCCCTCGCTCCGGGCTCGGGGAGCCGCTCGCTCCCAGCGCCCAGAGTCAGCCGGTTCCACCTTCGGCTGCGAGAGCCGCCGCCCCGCGCCACCCCCGCCCGGCCCGGCCCTTGTCCCAGCCCGGCTCCCCCGCCAGCTGCGCCGCCACCGCCGCACGTGACCCGCCCCCGTCGCGGCTTCCGCTGAGCTGCCTGTTCCGGGGCACAAACAATTTTTGCTCTGACGCGGG
This sequence comes from Homo sapiens, assembly GCF_000001405.40. Classification (NCBI taxonomy): domain Eukaryota; kingdom Metazoa; phylum Chordata; class Mammalia; order Primates; family Hominidae; genus Homo; species Homo sapiens. The sequence goes on from NC_000023.11 coordinate 40,176,913, forward strand.
GTCTCTCGGGGGCCCTGGCGTCCTCTACTCCCTGCTCCCCACCCCACCCCACCCCCTACCTTCCGGGTAGGAGAACTCAAAACAACTCGCTGACCTTCGGGCCGACCAGCTCCGTCTTCCACTGACTCCAGCATTCCGTTCAAACCCAGCAGCCACGGCTTCTAAGATTTCACTCCGCTCTGGGCTGGGGGGGAGGGGGCGAGTTCTCCGGGAGGGGGTGTCTCAGATCGAAAGAGCCACTTCACGCTCTTTCTCCTCCTCCGAGGTGAGTTTTTAGACTATTTGGAGGCCTTGGGGAAACGCGAGCAGCCGCGTGCAAAGGAGCCCCCCCGCCTTCTCCCCGCACATGCAGCCTTGTCTAGTGTGACCCGATTTCCAGGGTCAGCAGCAGAGGGCCTGGCCAGCTTCGGAAATACCACCAAGCGGTGGACTGTGGCACCAGGCAGAGCTGGGGTGGAGGACTGTGCTAAATAATAATGGTAGCTCCTACTCACGTGGTCTGTGCTAAGTTCTTCACAAGCCTTCCAACTTTACAGAGTGAGAAACTGAGGCATAGGGAAAGGTCAGTCGTGTAAAACTGGGTAAAGCTCAGTTACTCAGCTAAGTAAGTGACTTAGTGAGGATTTGAACCCAGGTCTCTGAGTTCAGGGTGGTTAAACATGCTGTAAGTATGTTACAGTGCATACCTTGGTATCCACAGTACAAACCTGTCTACAAAACCCAGTGTTTGCTTGAGAGCTGTATATTTGGCGTGTAACATTGTGGCTGGCATATAGTAGGCACTCAATAAATATTTGTGGAATGAATGGGTGTCAGAATAAATGATTGACAGAATCATTGATGACAAGTGATGAGAGAAAACAGTCCTAACCATTGTTCTTCCTAAGAGAAATAAAAACCTCTAGCTGTTTTTTGAGTGTTCGCAGGTAACAGGAAACTCTTATTCAAAAATATATTAATCTCCTACCCCTATCCCCTAGCCAACCACCCTGGTAGTCATTTGAACTTGCTGGGGCACATAGCCAAAGCAGCTTCTACTTGGTCTCGGCCATTTTTTCCCAACCCTGTTCCTGTTCTGTAGGATTCTGCTCAGGGTCAGGCAGCCTGGAACTGCAATTGATGTGATTCTGAACACATAAGCAGCAGAGGAGGAGGGTACACCCGCCAAACGTGGTTCGTTGGCTTCCCTTCTACCCGCTGGTGGGGGCTCGGGGGAACGTGGCTTATATCTCTGTGGTTATTTTTGAATTCACGGACCACCCTGTGCAACTGGCTTCAACCCTCACCAGCTGTGAGGTTGCATCTCGAAGTGTAGGCAGTCATCTACTTTAACCGACAGCTCCGCGATCCCAGTCAGTGGGACCACATCTGTGATTTGAAGAGCTGCCACTGGTGCTCTGTACTGTCCTACTGCTTCTCGTGGCCCAAGAAAGGATGCATTAAAAACACTTATATTTAGATAGCTCAGTAGAATAGATGTTCATACCATATAGTGGGAGTAAGTAGGGTAAAGTTTAGAAAATCTCCCCTGTCCCTACTTCATTTTCTAAACCTTACCAGTTATCCTGTGTTACTAGTTGGGCAACCTGAAATGAGGCCAAATTCCACTTCATGTTACCTGAGTGTGAACTTTCTCCTTTCCAATTTGATCCATCCAATATCTATTGACTACTATCCTTCCCTCCCTCACTCCTTCCTTTTTTCTTTCCCTACCCTCATAGTTATCTATTTTTGCTCATGTTCCTATGATTATTAATGGAGAAATGAAAATGTATATATTCTCCAAGTTACGACCCTATCTTGATTATAAGGCTGGGGTTTCTGCCACCTCTTTTTTGGGGGTGGGGGGACAGAGTTTCGCTCTTGTCACTGAAGCTGGAGTGCAATGGCGCAATCTCGGCTCACTGCAACCTCTGCCTCCTGGGTTCAAGCGATTCTCCTGCCTCAGCCTCCCAAGTAGCTGGGATTACAGGTGCGCACCACCATACCTGGCTAATTTTTGCATTTTTAGTAGAAACGGTGTTTCACCATGTTGGCCAGGCTGGTCTTGAACTCCTGACCTCAGGTGATCCACCTGCCTCGGCCTCCCAAAGTGCTGGGATTACAGGCATGAGCCACCGCGCCCAGCCTCTGCCACCTCTTTTACAGTCTGGTCCGGAGTGACCAGCAAGACCTCATGACCTCAACTTGTGGCAAGCCCAGGTTGGAAGCATCTGATGATTCCCAAGGAGGTCACAGGCCTCAATCCCACATTGCTGGGTTGTAGTTGAGAACAACCTTGCCAAAACTCACCCCTCATGCCGAGGGGGCTGGTGACAAGTGATGCTGAACCAGAGGTTTGGGATGCTAATTTGATTTATTATCTGTGTACAGCCTGGGGAGGAGAAAAGGCTCATAAAAGTGTTCTAGGCTGGTCATTCTGAATGTGAGCATTTATTTATCTGCAAAGCTGCCGAATATCCCTGCAGGAAGTCGCAGGCGCAGCAACCCCTGACTGCACAGACAAAAGTCTCCCCTTTACACAGGGCTGCTTTTATTGTTTCCAACAGCTTTGTGCTTTCCCTGGGGGAAGAGGAGAGTCACATAGCAAGTGTTCTTCCTCTTTTCTCACGCTGCAGAGGAAGTGATGTTGTGGAAACAGTGGCATTAACTTGGCCTTCGAACCACACAGGAGCCAGAGTTGGGAAAAGCTCGGTGCAGGCAGACACTCCTGTGGTTCATTTAGGCCCTGAGAAACTCCAGCCTGGGCCTAAGCGTGGGGATGATGGGTGCACACAATGCAAGAGAAACCATACTTAGGAATTATTCCCCGGATACAAGGGGCCCCCAAGATATAGATGTTCTTGACCCCTTGAACCTGCTTCCCATTAGGAGTAAAGCCCCCAAGGGATGTATGGAGCATGTTTCTTTCATTCTTCACTGATTAGACATTTATTGATTGCCCACTTTGTGCCAGGCACTGTACTAGGCACGCAATGGTAAGCAAGAGACATGGTCCCTGCCCTCATGGAGCTTACATTCTACTTTTCTTGGCACACAAGCAAACAGGGTAGAGGATACAGCCCCTACCATCAAATCCTGCAGTGTCTTTCTCCTTAATATCTATCCTGTCCTCTTCCTCATCCAACTACCCTTCAGATCTTTTTGGACCCTTCAATAAACAGTTGGGCCCCACCCCTCCCCAAACTCATCTCCTCCATCTGATCATTCCACCCACTGCTTTAAGTCCTAGCAGCAAGGAGAGGGAAAGGGGCGCTCCCAGCTGCATCAGCCTCTTTTATAAAGATTTCCCAGAAGTCCCACCCAATGGTTTCCACTGACATCTCATTGGTCACCTCTTTGTTTCTCTTTTTTTTATTTTCTTTGAGACAAGGTTTTGCTCTGTCACCCAGGCTGGAGTGCAGTGGTGCAATCACAGCGCACAGCAGCTTTGACCTCCTGGGCTCAAGTGATCCTCCCACCTCAGCCTCTCAAGTAGCTGGGACCACCATGCCTAGCTAATTTTTTATTTTTTATAGAGACGGGGGTCTCACTATGTTGTTCTAGCTAGCCTCGAGCTCCTGGGCTCAAGCAGTCCTCCTCCCCAGCCTCCCAACGTGCTGGGATTTACAGGTATGAGCCACTGTGCCCAGCCTGGCCACCTCTTGCTGCAAGAAGGAAGCTGCATGTCTCAGTAAGTTCAGGCTGTTATAACAAATTACCAATTTGGGTGGTTTAAACAAAGAAAAAAGCAATTCTCACAGTTCTGCAAGTCCAAGATTACGATCAAGGTGCTGAGAATCGCTTGAACCCAGGAGGCAGAGGTTGCAGTGAGCCGAGATCTCACCACTGCATTCCAGCCTGGGCGATGGAGTGAGACTCTGTCTCAAAAAAAAAAAAAAAAAAAAAAAGAAAGAAAAAAGAAAAATCAAGGTGCTGGCAGATCTGGTGTCTGTTGAGGGCCTGCTGGAGCCGTCTTCTCATCGCACCCTCTCATGGTAGAGAGCAGAGAGAGGAAGCAAACGCTCTCCTGTCTTTTTTATAAGGACACTAATACCATTCATGACCTAATTATCTCCCAGTGGCCCCATGTCCTAATACCATCACATTGGGGTTAGGATTTCAACATACGAATTTGGGAGGGACATGAATATTCAGTCCATGGCACTGAGAAATGTCATCTTTTAGCTTGGGTACATTGTTATCTCAAATTACGAAGGAAGAGCAGGGGATGAATATTGGTGTAGGCAACTGGCCACCTCTGCTCCTAGTCTCATAGAGAGTATGAGAACATTAAGCATGTGGGTGGAGAAGATTCAGTAGAGACCTTTTGGGGTCTAGTCCTGGTTCACACCCCTGTCGCTGGGGGTCGGGATGCCAACAGCTTCTATGTAGCTGTAGCTACCACCAGATAAGCTAGTTCAATTTTTTTCTCCTGGGAGCAGTGGATTGGGAGAGAGAAGGCTGGTTAGTCAGGACAGGGCTGGCTCCATGGGCAAGCGACCCGTGCAGTCACATGGGCCCCATGCTTGGGGTTATTGCTCTGTAGCTACCATCTTGAAATTCTGGGAAAAAAGTCCAGGCGCGGTGGCTCACGCCTGTAATTTCAGCACTTTGGGAAGCCAAGGCAGGTGGATCACCTGAGGTCAGGAGTTCGAGACCAGCCTGGTCAACATGGTGAAACCCCATCTCTACTAAAAATACAAAAATTAGCTGGGCATGGTGGCACACGCCTGTAATCCCAGCTACTCGGGAGGCTGAGGCAGGAGAATCACTTGAACTCGGGAGGCGGAGGTTGCAGTGAGCCAAGATCACGCCACTGCACTCCAGCCTGGGCAACGAGAGTGAGACTCCGTCTCAAAAAAAAAAAAAAAAGAAAGAAAGAAAAGAAAAAGAAAAGAAAAGAAATTCTGGGTAAAATGATGATGTCCATGTCTTTTTTTTTTTTTTTTTTTTTAGACAGAGTCTTGCTCTGTCACCCAGGCTGGGGTGCAGTGGCAAGATCTCGGCTTACTGCAAGCTCCATCTCCCAGTTTCACACCATTCTCCTGCCTCAGCCTCCCGAGTAGCTGGGACTACAGGCGCCCGCCACCACACCTGGCTAATTTTTTGTATTTTTGGTAGAGATGGGGTTTCACCGTGTTAGCCAGGATGGTCTCGATCTCCTGACCTCGTGATCTGCCCGCCTCAGCCTCCCAAAGTGCTGGGATTACAGGCGTGAGCCACTGCGCCCGGCCAATGTCTATGTTTTATGAGTAAAGTATGATGAGACAACAAGGCATACACCAGAATCTTGCTGTTTCTGCTCATGCAGGGACCTACCTCCTGCTGCTTCCTGGCTCACCTCCCTGAGATGGGTCCACAGATGCCCACTCCCCAGTCCCTGGAGAGCCCTGGGCCCTGCCCAGACTCCCGCACGCCACCCTAGCCTTGGGACTGCTACTGCCCTCTGTCCCTGGCAGGGGCCTCGGTGCTAAAATTGGGAAGATCAGGGTCGTGGTCAGATATGTTTCATGGCATCTTGGGGTGGGACAAGGTGGTAGCCTTCCCTCCCCAGGCTGGCAAGGCCACACACATTTGGCAGGGGCCTCTCCCCAACCTGTGCACCAGGTGCACAGTGTCCCAGCACGAAGGTTGTGATTTCTTGGAGGCTGCCTGACTGCCATAGATTGGGGCAGTGGGCCTGGAAGAAGGGGAGATTGATTTCTTTGCCTGGGGCCCCGCTTATTTTATTTTGTTTTATTTTTTTGAGACAGGGTCTTGCTCTGTCTCCTAGGCTAGAGTGCAGTGGTGCTATCATAGCCCACTGCAACCTTGAACTCCTGGGCTCAAGTGATCTTCCCACCTCAGCCTCCTGAGTATCTGGCACTACATGTACATGCCGTCATGCCTGGCTAATTAATATTTATTTATTTATTTATTTATTTATTTATTTATTTATTTTTGTAGAGACAAGAGTCTCACTGTGTTGCCCAGGCTGGTCTCTAGCTCCTGGTTTCAAGTGACCCTCCTGCCTTGGCTTCCCAAAGTGCTAGATTACAGGCACGAGAGCCACAGTGTCTGGCTGGTCCTGCATTTTAATTTTTTTCTGGGCTCTGCAGATTATGTAGTCTGTTCTGACCACAGAGCCATTGTGTTTGAGTCTGTGTATGCCAGGCCAGGGAAAGCCAGTCTGCAGAAAAGCAGGGAAAAATTAAGCCGAAGTGCAATAGAGCTCCTTCAGAAACATGTGGCTCCAGAGAGAGGGCAAACATAGGCTCCTGACACGATTTCAGTGCCTGGGTCCTGGCCCTGGGAGGCCTGGCTGCACTTTTGCTCCTGTGTTCTTCCAGTCAGTTCCATTCTCTTCCTTGCACTACCATGAATGGATTTCCCTGATTGCCAACTAAAAGTTTCCTAACCAAGACCAAAATAAAAAAGAAAGAGCTTGGCTTGCAGTTCCAGCCCTAACTTTGCCATTTAACTAGCTATGTGACATTGGGCAAGTTAGTTATTCTCTCTGAGCCTTTGTTTCCTCAGCCTTAAAAAACTACTGGACATGATAGTACCAGTGCTATCAATTGCGATGAGGATTATCTGTTTTGTTTTGTTTGTTTTATTTTTTTGAGACAGAGTCTCACTGTATTGCCAGGCTGGAGTGCAGTGGCACGATCTCTGCTCACTGCAACCTCTGCCTCCCGGGTTCAAGTGATTCTTCTGTCTCAGCCTCCCGAGTAGCTGGGATTACAGGCACCATGCCCGGATAATTTTTGTGTTTTTAGTAGAGATGGGGTTTCACCATGTTGGCCAGCCTGGTCTCGAACTCCTGACCTCAAGTGATTTGCCCTCCTCGGCCTCCCAAAGTGCTGGGATTACAAGCGTGAGCCACCGCACCCAGGCCCTTCTTGTTAATAGAAGGATTGAAGGCACAAAAACATGCAGGACATTTAGAGTGAAATGACTTCCTTCTCGCACTGTTTTCTCCATACTTAAATACTGTTTATTTGAATCTGGTTAACTCTAGTAGGTAGAATAGGGCTGCATAAGATGGGTGTCAGGTTTGAACACTGGACAGGCTTGCTTAGTGCATTTCTAGACTAAGGACTAAACCTATAAGGTGGATATTCCAATTATCTATTGCTGTCCAACGAACAATCCCAAAACTTGGTGGTTTACAGTAGCAACTATGTCAATATATCTCATGGTCTTATGGGTCAGGAATTGCATCAGGACAAAGATGGATGATTCTTCTGTTCCACATGGGGTAAACTGGAGTCACTCAGTGGTACTCAGGTGGTGAATGTGGTCTGGACGGGGCCAAATCAGCCTCATGTACATGTGTGCTGCTTTGGTGGGGAAGGCTGGAAGTCTGGGCCCAGCTGGAACTGTAGAATGTGGTGCCCTTCCGTAGCTTCTCCAGCATGGTGATCTTAGGGTAGCAGCACATCTTCCATGGTGGCCCAATTTTGCAGAGCGAACCAAAAGACCAAGACAGAAGCTAGCCTTACACATCATGCAGTATTACTTCTGTTGATTCAATTAGTTACAAAAGAGTCACAAGCCCACCCAGATTTAAAATCAAGGCATTATACAAGGGTGTGAATACCAACAGGCATGGGTCTTTGGTGAAGGGGCATCTTTGGAGACTGGCTATCACAGTGGACTGATCATTCATAAAATCTGTACCCTTAGTCCTGGGTGGCAAAGTGTGACTGTGGATGGGAGAGTTTGGATCCATTCCCATTCATCATCGTAAGGGTTCCAACAAATCCTGAGTGAGGACCAGGAGATGGAAAGACTCTGGGGAACATCAGCCTCTGCAGAGTATCTGAGAGCTAAGCGCCTGGGCTTTGGATGTTAAACCTTAGTCCTGGTTCAAAACCAGCCTCTTGGGCTCTTGAACTTATGAAAAGTCTCAGATTCCTATGAGGGAGTTACTATAATTATCCCTGTTTTCTATAAGAGGAAGCTTAATTAAATTGCCCAGAGTCACAGCTAGAAGATGGTACAGCTGGAATTTGAAACCAGATATTTTAACACCAAAGCAGTGGACATTTTACGGTTTACAGTTTAAGTAACTTTTCTGAGGTCATGGTAAAAGCGCTTAGCAAACTTAGAAGGGAATGGAAATTCCTACGTCTGATAGGAGTATGTATAAGCAAAACTTGCAACAAACAGTATATTTAATGGTAAAATATTGAAAAATTTCCCCCTGAGATCAGGAACTAGACAAGAATGCTTGCTATCACTACTTCTATTCATGATTATACTAGCGGTCATAGCCACTGCAATAAAGCAAGAAAAAGAAATAAAAGGCCTCCAGATTGGAAAGGAAGATATGAAAGCGTCATTATTTGCAGATGGCATGGTTGTGCACACAGAAAATACCAAAGAACCTACAATTCAACTATTAGAATAAATGAATTCATTCTGAATAGCATTTTTGTCAGGAAAAATCATTTATGAATTCATCAATGTCACTGAATTTAATGTAGAGGATCTATTGTGAGGATTCAATGAGAAATTTATATCAGATACTAAACCCTTACCTACTTGCTCCTCACAACCACCTCTCTTTGGCCTGTGATACTGGTCACACTTCTTCCCTGACATCCTCTTTTCTCTGGCTTCCTTGACACTATTCTCCTTGTGTCCTGTCCTCATCACCCTCCAGATTCCTTTCCCAGTCTCCTGTTCAGGTGTCTGCTCCCACAGTGTCAGGCATGCTTAGGGTTCGGTCCACAAGCAGTGCTGTGTCAAGCACAGCTCCATCATGTTCTGTGTGGATAGCACCTCCTGTGGTTGTCTGACACCTTCATCATTTCTTCCTTGGACTCTCACTGACCTAGTCTTCAGCTCTCCTACCTCCAGTCTTGTTCCCTTTGCATCCATCTGTCACACAGCCCCCAGGGTGAGCTTCCTAAAATGCACAGCTGATCTTGCCATCCTTTCCCTGTTTAAATTCTTTCAAGACCTTGAGACACCTTGACTAAGTTTAGCATCCTCTGTGCGGTGGTTTTTTTTTTTTTTTTGAGACAGAGTCTTGCTCTGTCGCCCACGCTGGAGTGCAGTGGTGCAATCTCGGCTCACTGCAAGCTCCGCCTCCTGGGTTCACACCATTTTCCTGCCTCAGCCTCCCGAATAGCTGGGACTACAGGCACCAGCCACCACGCCCGGCTAATTTTTTTATTTTTAGTAGAGACGAGGTTCCACCGTGATAGCCAGGATGGTCTCGATTTCCTGACCTAGTGATCTGCCCGCCTCGGCCTCCCAAAGTGTTGGGATTACAGGTGTGAGCCACCGCACCTGGCTTTTTTTTGAGACGGAGTCTTGCTCTGTCACCCAGGCTGGAGTGCAGTGGCACGATCTTGGCTCACTGCAAGCTCCGCCTCCCGGGTTCACGTCATTCTCCTGCCTCAGCCTCCTGAGTAGCTGGGACTACAGGTGCCCGCCACCACGCCCAGCTAATTTTTTGTATTTTTAGTAGAGACGGGGTTTCACCATGTTATCCAGGATGGTCTCGATCTCCTGACCTCGTGATCTGCCCACCTCGGCCTCCCAAAGTGCTGGGATTGCAGGTGTGAGCCACCGCACCCAGCCTGTGCAGTGGTCTTATAGCCCCCGTGATCAGTCTGCTGCTCGCTGCTAATGTGCCATGTTCTCACTTCCATGCCTGTCTTTTTTTTTTTTTTTTTTTGAGATGGAGTCTTGCTCTGTCGTCCAGGCTGGAGTGCAGTGGCGCGATCTCGGCTCACTGCAAGCTCCACCTCCTGGGTTCACGCCATTCTCTTGCCTCAGCCTCCTGAGTAGCTGGGACTATAGGCATCCACCACCACGCCTGGTTAATTTTTTGTATTCTTAGTAGAGATGGGGTTTCACCATGTTAGCCAGGTTGGTCTCCATCTCCTGACCTCATGATCTGCCTGCCTCGGCCTCCCAAAGTGCTGGGATTACAGGCGTGAGCCACCGTGCCCGGCCCCATGCCTGTCTTAATTTGGGTACCTCTACAAGCTGATTCTGAGCCAAGGGTTTTTGAGCATAAGTAAGATGATCCCAGGAATCACAGTGAGGGCATGGGAATTGAGACAGGGCAGGGAGGAAGGCCAGTAAAGGGTGCATTCGTGAACAGGTTACCTATATGGGCAATTGGGGTTCAATCCTGCCGGTGACCTTCTGGGGTCCTGTGTAGCACATCCTTTAGGACTGTCCCAGCAAGGGGTGAGGAAGCAGGAGTATTTATCCACCAACTCCCACACAGGGGTGTGCTAGTAAACCAGCTTTCTGGTAGAATTTAAAAAGTCCCAATTTGTAGTGTTTGCCGATTGTCATGGTATAAATATTCCTACTAGGGCTGATTCCAGGCTCTCAGTTTTAGCAGTTGGCTGGCAAATTTTCCAAATATTTAACAATCCGGCTCTCCAGAGCTAGTACTGCTGCCCCAGCACACCACTGCCCTCATTCCTCATGAGTTAAGGGTTATCTCTGGGAAGCTGAGCACTTAGGATCTGCCCCCACACACAGTGTCTAGCTGAGCATGCTTCTGAGCCAAGAGAACATCCTCAGGTGGAGTGGCAGGAAGTCCTCATTGTACTTGGGAAGTCTTTCCAAGTGGCTTCCAGAGTGGATGGAGGGAAATGGGTGGGCACCATGGATCGCTTCAAGGGCTTTGCACAGGCTATTCACTCTGCTTGGAATGCCTGCTCCTTTTTTTTTTTTTTTCTTTTTTTGAGACAGGATCTTGCCCTGTCACCCAAGCTGGAGTTCATTGGCATGATGATGGCCCACTGCAGCCTTGAACTCCCTGGCTCAAGCAATCCTCCCATCTCAACCTCCTGAGTAGGTGGGACTATAGGCTCACACCAACATGCCTGGCCAATTTTTTAAAATTTTTTGTAAAGACGGGGTTTTGCTGTGTTACCCAGGCTGCTCTCCAACTCCTGGGCTCAAGCAATCCTTCCACCTCGGTCCCCCAAACACCCAAAGTGCTGGCATTACAGGAGTGAGGCACCGTGCCCAGCAACCTACTCCTTTATTTTTTATTTTTTTTAGACAGGGTCTCGCTCTGTCACCCAGGCTGGAGTGCAGTGGCGCAATCTCGGCTCACTGCAGCCTCAACCTCCCAAGTTCAAGCGACCCTCCCACCTCATCCTCCAGAGTAGCTAGGACTACAGGCGCACAGCATCATGCCTGGCTATTTTTTTTTTTTTTTTTTTTTGTAGAAACCGGGTTTCATCATGTTGTCCAGGCTGGTCTCAAACTCCTGGGCTCAAGTGATCCGCCCGCTTCAGCTTCCCAAAGTGCTAGGATCACAGGTGTGTGCCACCGAGCCTGGCCGCCTACTCCTTCTTAATCCCCTTGCCGATCTCCTGCTTATCCTTTGATCCTCAGTTACAGTGTCATCACCTCTGTGAAGCCCTCCTGGAGTTCCTGCTTGTCCTTTCTCTCATTACAGCACAAAATCATGCTCTCAGCTTGTCAGCTGTTACCCATCTTTCTCTTCCACTAGATTGCAAGCTGCTGAGGCCAGGGATAATGTCTATTACTTTCTGTACCAGGAACCTTGTCCTATAATCTTCTGTATCCTCGGTGTTTAACCCAGTGTAGCTACTTAATAAGTAGATAAGCGGCCCCACCCCACCATGGCACACAGTAATGGTTGAGTCAAATGAGCATTCTTCCTCCCCACTCCGCATTTACAGATCTGCTTCTCAATCCATCAACTGGTCTCGCTACAGCTTTATTGCTTATTCCCATCCATTTCCAAAGAGGACTTTAGGCAGCAAGCAGGTGCTTCCCTTCTCATGAAGGTGTGAGCGACCATATTTTCTGAAGCAATGATCAAGACACGTGATCTGACACATGTTCCAACACATGGTCTGACAATGGGACAGAATATTTTAAATCCCCACCGTCTCGACAAATCTGGGCTGCGTGGCTCTGTGTAGAAGAGAGCCAGGAGCCACGGCCTCGTAATACACACCCAGAGCAGGCAGGAGTTCTGTTTTAAAGACCTCTGTGATTTTAAGAGCGGCATGTGAAGAGAGCTGAAGAGAGAGGTTGATTTCTGCAGCTCTCTAGCTGTAGTGATCATACGGAGCAGGGAAAAATTTGTGGTAGAAACAAGCTCTCATTAAGACCATATGCTCTCTTACTAATCGATGGCTCTTAGAAGTAATTCCCCGACATTTCGTTCATTTTTACTGCCTCCCCTTCAGGGGCAGGAAGAACAGCATTGTTAGCCTGCATTTATAGATGAGGGTATTTAGAAACAGAGAGGTTAAATGGCTCAGCCCCAGTCACAGAGTGAATCAGAGACACAGGCAGCCTCGAATCCAGAATTCCAACTTGAGCTTCTGTGCCAAGATCCCTCGGGGCACATTTCCTCTCTAATTTGCATAAATCATCAACATTTTTTTCCAAGCTTGTGCTGAGAAAGCCCCTTTTCAAACAGCGGAAACTCCCTTTGCCTTCTGTCGCCTTAGTTTTATTTTATGAACCAAATTCTTTTACTTCAACACGTAGACTTGCTATTTTCTCTTCCAATGAGGCCTTTTCAAAAGAGGTCGTGACCTTTGCTTATAGATGCAATGGAAACGGGTGAACCCAAATGAAATAAAATAGATGATCTAGAGACCATATAAAGTGTAATTTCAACTAATGTTCAAAATACCATGCAGTTGATTATAAATCTTAGATCCTGGCAGGTTATCAGAAAAATAAGAATGGCTAAATGCCGCTACCAGTGTTTGAACCCTGTTGGGTGTAAGACACACCTCTGATTTGGGGAGCAGATTCATGGGATTAGAAATGAGAAACTGGACATCCCAGAGCTACACAAGTTTTGAGAAATTTCAGTTTGGAAATATGTATGGACTCATACCTGAGATTGACGATATGTGAACCGGGGCTTTTAATCACCAGCATAATCACACCATTAGTCCAGATTGTTTCACATATTTAAAAAATTCTTAGCGCATGACCTCATGTGCCTGATGGTCCTCGGGTGACTCTAGTATTAAGGTTTCTGGGCATGAACTGCACTTCCTGGGATCCCAGGTCAGCACTTAGCATGATGCTGCTGATTTAGGAATAGTAATAATCCTCTTGAGAGTAAAAACATATGCAATGTGCTTGGGAAAAACTTCCCTTCCCTGTCAAATATGTTAGAGAATCAAAATAATTTATGGCTCGTCTGTTAAACCATTAGAAAAAAAGGAATTCTATCTATTTAAAATCTTTGGTAAAATACAATTCCGCATGTAGAAAAAAGCTTTTTGCCTATATGGTATGGTTATTTTTCCCTTTATTTTTATTTTTATTTTTTTGAGAGAGAGTCTGTCTCTGTTGCCCAGGCTGGAGTGTAGTGGCACGATCTTGGCTCATTGCAACCTCCGCCTTCTGGGTTCAAGCTATTCTCCTGCCTCAGCCACCCGAGTAGCTGGGATTATAGGCGTGCGCCACCACGCCCGGCTAATTTTTGTATTTTTAGTAGAGACGGGGTTTCACCATGTTGCCCAGGCTGGTCTCGAATTCCTGACATCAAGTGATCTGTCCGCCTCGGCCTCCCAAAGTGCTGGGATTACACACGTGAGCCACTGCGCCCGGTCCTCGTCATTTATTTTATTACTTATTAAATTAGTTAGCTATTACTGCAATAATGCTGCATAACAAAAGTTTTAAACACACCAAAACTCAGTGACTTCAAGCTTGGATTTCATGCTCCTTGATGTGAAGGTCAGCTGGGGTTCCGTTGCTCTCAGCTGAGTTTGGCTGCACTCTGTGGCTTGAGTCCACATCTTCTCCACGTGTTCCATCCTTCGCCTTGGATCAGCAGCTTCCTGGACCATTCTTTTCTTCTGGAAGATCAATGGAAAGCAAAAAGGAGGCCAAACTGTGCAAGCATATGTATAGCCTGTGCTGGTAATGCACCTACTCATGTTCCATCGGGTAGAGCAAGTCACTCAGTCAAGCCCAAAGTCAATGGGTCAGGGAGACACACCAAGAGGGAGGGGAGGAGGAGTGAATATTTGTTGAACGATACTCCAGTCACCTGTAATTATCATCCCTAATAGCCTGTGGCTCCTGGCTGGTTATCAGAGAAATAAGAATGGCTATATGCTGCTACCAGTGTTTGAACCCTGTATTGGGTCTCCCCAAACATCATATGTTAAGGCCCTAACCTCAGAATGTGACTGTATTTGGAGACAGGGACTTTAAAGAGGTGATTAAGTCAAAATGAGACTGTTAATGCTGGACCTAATCCAATATGATTAGTGTCGTTATAAGAGGAAAAAATTTGGAAACAGGAGAGATGCCAGAGGGGTGCCTGCACAGAGGAAAGACCATGTGAAGATACACTGAGAAGGTGGCCATCCGCAAGCCAAGGAGAGAGGCCTCAGGTGAAACCAACTCTGTTGACACCTTGATCTTGGACTTCCAGCCTTCAGAACCGTGAGAAAATAAATGTCTGTTGTTTAAGCCCCTGAGGCTGGCATTTTCTTTCTTCTTTTTTGAGATGGAGTATCACTCTGTCATCCAAGCAGTGGTGCACTCTCGGCTCACTGCAACCTCTGCCTCCTGGGTTCAAGCGATTCTCCTGCCTCAGCCTCCCAAGTAGCTGGGAACACAGGCACATTCCACCATGCCTGGCTAATTTTTGTATGTAGAGACAAGGTTTCACCATGTTGGCCAGGCTGGTCTCGAACTCCTGTCCTCCAGTGATCCAGTGGCCTCGGCCTCCCAAAGTGCTGGGATTACAGGAGTGAGCCACCATGTCTGGCCTGGTATTTTCTTATGGCAGCCCAAGCAGACTAACACAGCCTGCAAACCCCCTGTGGGTTAGGGCTGTATCTTACTCATTGCGCTGTCTCCTTCCCCAGTTCTTAGCACATTACCTTGTTATATATTTCCTTTCTATTTGTTGAATGAATGAATGAATTAAATCTTCTCAGTTTCAAAATCAACAATTATTTTTTCAGTCAGAACTCATGATTGCAAGTGTTAGAAACCCACCTAAGCTTGTTTAAGCAAAAAACAAATCTTTTGGGTCAGATGATTGGGAATGTTCTGGGGTAGCTTCTAAAATCTGAGGAATGAGTCTGGGAGCCGGGGCCTCAGGTATTGGCACAGGGGACCACACACCTGCCAGATCCTCTCTCCATACCCTCTCCCTGAGGCAGTTGGCCTTGTTCTTGCAGAGGACGTGGCTACCAAGAGAATGGCAGATTGCATTTTCCAAAGATGACAGCAAGAGGCTCCCCCATATCCCAGATGCTCATCTTACAATGTGACTTGGACACTCCAAGTCACATTGTGGGGTCTGTGTTCTCTGCCCTTGAAACTGGGTGGGCCCGTGACTACAGTGGAAGTGACACCATGTGACTTTCAAGGCTAAGTGATAAAGGATGAAACAGCTTCTGCTTTGTCTGCTGGAGTGTTGCCTTTGGCATCCTGGCTGCCAAATCTGAGGTTGCCATGCTGTGAGGAATCCCAGGCCACATGGAGAGGCCACATGAAAGTGTTCTGGCCCAGAGCCCCAGCTGAGGCCCCAGCTAGCAGCCAGCATCAACCACCACATGTGAGTGAAGAAGCCTCTAGATGATTCCAGCCCTTGGTCAGCCAATCACTCTTGGCCTTCAACTCCTCCCTGCAGAGGCCCCAGATATTAGGGAGCAGACACAAGCCTTCCTTGTGTGCCCTGTAAGGCTTCCTGACCCTTACAGAATCTGGGAGCATGACAAAATGGTTGTTTGATGCTGCTGTGCTTTGACATAATTTGTTACATGACAATGGTAAGTGGAATAAAGAGCCCAGGATGTTCGGAGGCCAAGATGGGAGGATCTTTTGAGCCGAAGAGTTCGAGACCAACCTGGACAAAATAATGAGACCCCTGTCTCTACAAAAAAGAAAAAGAAAAAGAAAAAGAAAAAAAAAAATTAGCCGGGCATGGTGGCATGTGCCTATAGACCCAGTTACTTGTGAGGCTGAGGTGGGAGGATCACAAGCCTAGGAGTTTGGGGATGCAATGAGCTATGAGCACGCCACTGCACTCCAGCCTGGGAGACCCTGTCTCAACAACAACAACAACAACAACAAAAAGAACCCAGGACGTTGTCCTCATAGCTACTCCTCCACTTCCTCTTTAGAAAATTCTGGGATATCGGCCAGGCACAGTCGCTCATGCCTGTAATCCCAGCAGCACTTTGGGAGGCCAAGGTGGGCGGATCACAAGGTCAGGAGTTCAAGACCAGCCTGGCCAATATGGTGAAACCCTGTCTTTACTAAAAATACAAAAATTAGCTGGGCGTGGTGACAGGCACCTGTAGTCCCAACTACTCGGGAGGCTGAGGCAGGAGAATCGCTTGAACCCGGGAGGCAGAGGTTGCAGTGAGCCAAGATCGCGCCACTGCACTCCCGCCTGGGTGACAGAGCGAGACTCAGTCTCAAAAAAAAAAAAAAAAAAAAGAAAAAAAGAAAATTCTGGGACAGTTCTTCAGTTGGCCAATCTTGGATGACAGGCCTACCCCTTGAGACAATAGCTCTGTCCAGGAAGGAGGATAACTGTAGCTTAGGTGATGTGTTAATTCATGAGGGGTTAGATGGGGATGTCATTACTGCCAGCCACACCAGAGCCCCATGGCTGGACTTACTCCCCAAGGGCGATGGAGGTGGTATCAAAAGAAGGGGTATGATATTCTGTGCAGGCTAAAATAATAGCTACAGTCTATCACCTCTACTTTATTTGGTAACGTTTTCAATTGTTTATTTGGAGGTTTAAGATGGTTTTCTGTAAAAGAAGACTGGAGACCAGGTTCCATTACCCACAAGCCGTGTCACTTTGGAAAAGTTACTTTGCCATCCCTAGCCCAATAACGATATTTTTTATACCTGTTTGGCAAGTTGTTAAGAGCTCGTTAGAAACACTTTTTATTTTAGTTGAAAATCACATTGTCCTAAGTGAATTAACGCAGGAACACAAAAACAAATACTGCATGTTCTCACTTATAAGTGGGAGCTAAATATCGGGTATTCATGGACATGAAGGCAACAATAGACACTGGGGACTACTAGCGCGGGGAGGGAGGGAGAGGCACAAGAGTTGAAAAACTAACTAACTGTTGGGTACTATGCTCACTCCCTGGATGATGGGATCATTCATACCCCAAACCTCAGCATCGTGCAGTATACCCAGGTAACAAGCCTGCACGTGTACCCCCTGAATCTAAAATAAAAGTTGAAAAAGAAAAAAATCACATTGCATCAGCCACCACTTGGAAGCAGGGACTTCAAAGTCCTACTGAAGTGTCCACATTGCTGTATGCATTAATTTCCACATGGCTGCCATCTTCCCTTTTCCACCCCAAATACACAGGCATACACATTAGTCACATATGTGCACATGCAATTATTAAATATATTTTCATATATTCCTCCAAAACCCCCAAACTTTCTTCTTTTCTGAAAGCCATTGCAACCTAGAGATTTTTTATTCTTTTTATTTCATTTATTTATTTTATTTTTTTGAGACGGAGTCTTGCTCTGTAGCCCAGGCTGGAGTGCAGTGGCACGATCTTGGCTCACTGCAACCTCTGCCTCCCGGGTCCTGGTTCAAGCAATTCTCCTGTCTCAGCCTCCTGAGTAGGTGGGATTACAGGAACGCGCCACCATACCCAGCTAATTTTTGTATTTTTAGTAGAGATGGGGTTTCACCATGTTGGCCAGGTTGGTTTTGAACTCCTGAAAACTCCTGACCTCAGGTGATCCACCCGCCTTGGCCTCCCAAAGTGCTGGGATTACAGGAGTGAGCCACCACACCTGGCCTTTTTGTTTTTTTGTTTTTGTTTTTGTTTTTTGTTTTTTGTTTTTTGTTTTTTGTTTTGAGACGGAGCCTAGCTCTGTCATCCAGGCCTGGAGTGCAATGGCGCGATCTCAGCTCACTGCAACCTCTGCCTCCTGGGTTCAAGCGATTCTCCTGCCTCAGCCTCCTGAGTAGCTGGGATTACAGGTGCGTGCCACAGCGTCCGGCTAATTTTTGTATTTTTTGGTAGAGACGGGATTTCACCATGCTGGCCAGGCTGGTTTTGAACTCCTGACCTCAGGTGATCCGCCCACCTCAGCCTCCCAAAGTGCTGGGATTACAGGCGTGAACCACCGCACCTGGCCCACACCTGGCCTTTAAAAAAAAATTTTTTTTTATTTTTATTTTTTTATGAGACAGAGTCTCTCTGTTGCCCAGGCTGGAGTGCAGTGGCTTGATCTCGGCTCATTGCAACCTCTGCCTCCTGGGTTCAAGGGATTCTTGTGCCTCAGCCTCCCAAGTAGCTGAGACTACAAATGCGCACCACCATACCTGGCTAGTTTTTTGTATTTTTAGTAGAGACAGGATTTTGCCATGTTGGCCAGCCTGGTCTCAAACTCATGGCCTCAAGTGATTTGCCTTCTTTGGCCTCTCAAAGTGCTGGGATTACAGGCGTGAGCCACCCTGCCTGGCTGGCCTAGAGATATTTTTCAGGCCAATATTTTCTACCAGGTATTGGCAAACTTTTTCTGCAAAGGTTCAGAGAATAACTATTTTAGGCTTTGCAGGCCATATGGTTTCTGTGGCAACTATTCAACTCTGCTGCTGTAGGGCAGCCACAGATAATATATAAAATAATGAGTGGGGCTATTTTTCAATAAAACTTTATTTACAAAAACAGGCAGCTGGCCAGATCTGGCACACAGGCTGTAGATTGCTATAGAATCTACAGCGGTGCTGTCCAACAGAAATATAATGCAAGCCACTTTTGTAGCTGCAGGGAGAGGAGATGTCTCCCCAGCATCATTCCCCTGCATTCAGTAGAACCACCTCCCCTAGTACAGAAGAAAGCAACCAGGCAGAGCATCAGAGAGAGGTAGGTGCTTGAGGCAGCAAGTTGTCAGAGTACAGCAAATTGTCCATCACAGCTGCAGGCAGACTCAAGTAGGCCAAGGGCATAAGGGACAGGGCATCAATAGTATCTGCCTCAGGTAGCAAACCTGAGAATGAAGCCTGAGCCTTGGAAGGTAGAGCAGTGAAATGAGGAGGTATGAGGGCATTGGGGATTTTATGATGTCGCTGGATCAAGGCTTGCCCGAAGTGAGATATACCTCTGGACTTTTCGGTCATGTGAACCAGTCCATCCTCCAATCAATATTTAAGCCAGGGGCCGGGTGCAGTGGCTCACACCTGTAATCCCAGCACTTTGCGGGGTCGAGGCTGGAGGATGGCTTGAGCTCAGGAGTTTAAGACCAGCCTGGCCGACATGACGAAACTCCAGCTTTACAAAAATTACAAAAATTAGCCAGGTGTGGTGGCACGTGCCTATAGTTCCAGCTACTTGGAAGGCTGAAGTGGGAGGATGGCTTCAGAGCAAGACCCCCCATCTCAAAAAAAAAAAAAATTAAGCCAATTCAGTGGAGGTTTCTGTGTCTTGTAACAGAAAGCAGTTTTTACTGTTCCAGGAATTAAACAGGTTAATTATCTTGATAATTCTTTGGATGCTGAATATCTTCACTATGAGAATTAAGATTGGCAGAGATATCGATATTCTCATTTAAAGTATTTCTTGAGCCTGGTGCAGTGGTTTGCACCTCTAATCCCAGCTACTCTCAAGGCTGAGGTGGGAGGATACCTTGAGGCCAGGAGTTTGAAACCAGCTTGGGCAACATCGTGAGATCCCGTCTCTAAAAAATTTTTTTTTAATTATCTGGGCATGGTGACACACACCTGCAGTCCCCGCTACTCGGGAGGCTGAGGTAAGAGGATCGCTTGAGCCCAGGAGTTTGAGGTTACAGTGAGCTATGACTGCATCACTACATTCCAGCCTGGGTGACAGAGCAATATCCCATCTCTAATAAGTAAATCAATATTTTAAAAATTAAAAAAATTAAAATAAGGTTGGAGCAGTCCTCCCACAGTCATTTAGCTGTCCTAAAACCACTTTCATCCACCCTGACTTGGATCTGTAGCCCAGCCCACTGTTCAAGTCCTCTGAGGTTTCCCTCTCTCCCATGCTCCTTGGGAAGGTGGCATTTTGTCGTGTGGGTAAAGGAAGACTTACATAATTCTGAATTACACAGGATGACACTCAGTTGCCTGTACATGAAACCCAACAACTGTGGTGGCTTAACTGGACTTAATCATATAGTCTCAGGCAATGAGAAGTCAGGCTAATACAGTCCAGGTCTGGAATGGTGGTCCACGAAGGCCAAGAAGGAGCCAGGGTCTTTCTGTCTTTCCCTTCCTCCAGCCTTAGCAGTGGCTGCCGTATTTCCAGCCCCAGGCCCTTGCTCCAGCAAGAGGAGAAAGTGACAGAAGAGGCGGTGCCAGCTGATTTCTGCCTGTGTCCCATTGGCTAGAAAAGAGTCACGTGGTCACTCCTGCTGCACAGATGTCTGGGAAAGTGGGTTATTAGCTTTAGAATCTTGCCCTAGAGGACCTTCAGTGAGAGAATAGTTGAAACGAATGTTTAGGGAGCCATCCTACCACACTTAACTCCAGTCTCTTTTGCATTGATGGTGTGGACTCTGTTTACATTTTGCTTCAGCCAACACGCTGAGCCTTCCAGTAACCAGACTACCATGTGCAAGTCAGGGTGGCTTTTTGTTTTTTGTTTGTTTTTTCTGACACAGGGTCTTGCTCTGTTGCCCATGCTGCAGTGCAGTGGGGCAATCATGGCTCACTGCAACCTCAATCTCCCAGGCTCAAGTGATCCTCCTGCCTCAGCCTCCTGAGTAGCTGGGACTACAGGCATGCACCACCATGCCTGGCTGATTTTTTATATTTTTAGTGGAAATGAGGTCTTGCTTTTTTGCCCAGGCTGGTCTCAAACTCCTGAGCTCGAGCAATCCTCCTACCTTGGCCTCCGCAAGTACTGAGATTACAGGCGTGAGCTGCGCTACTGGGCCTGGTTTTTGTTTTTTGTTTGTTTGCTTTTGAGACGGGGATTTGCTCTGTCACCCAGGCTGGAGTGCAGTGGGGCGATCTTGGCTCAGTGCAGCCTTGAGCTACCAGACTCAAACGATCCTCCTACCTCCAGCCTCCCAAATAGCTGGGATTACAGACACACACCACCATGCCTGGCTAATTTTTGTATACATTGTAGACATGGGGTTTTGCCATGTTGCCCAGGCTGGTCTCCAACACCTGCACTCAAGTGATCCACCTAGCTTGGCCTCCCAAAGTGCTGGGATTATAGTTGGGAGCCACCGTGCCTGACCTTTTTTTTTTTTTTTTTTTTTTTTTGAGACAGGCTCTCACTCTGTCACTCAGACTGGAGTGCAGTGGCTCAGTCTGGGCTCACTACAGCTACAGCCTCAACCTCCCAGGCTCAAGTGATTCTCCCACCTCAGCCTCCCCAGTAGCTGGGATTACAGGTTTGTGCCACCAAGTGTGGCTAATTTTTTTTTTTTTTTTTAAAGACAGGGTCTCACTCTGTTGCCCAGGCTGGTCTTGAACTCCTGGACTCAAGGGATCCTCCCGCCTTGGCCTCCCAAAGTGTTAGGATTACAAGCGTGAGCCACCGCACCTGGCCCTTTAAGTTGAATTCATTTTGTTGTTTGATGGGGCAAGGGTGTGAAAGAAATTTCCGATTACATATAGAGGAGCTGAGAAATACTTCTTTTTTGTTTTTTTGAGAGACAGGTTTTGCTCTTGTTGCCCAGTGCAGTGATGTGAACATAGCTCACTGTAACCTTGAATTCCTTCCTGGGCTCAAGCGATCCTCCTACGTCTCAGCCTCTCGAGTAGCTGGGACTACAGGTGTATGCCATCATGCCCAGCCAAACTTCTTTTTTTTTTTTTTTTTTTGAGATGGAGTTTCGCTCTTGTTGCCCATGCTGGAGCTCGGCTCACTGCAACCTCCGCCTCCCAGGTTCAAGGAATTCTTGTGTCTCAGCCTCCCATGTAGTTGGGATTGCAGGTGTGTACCACCATGCCCAGCTAATTTTTTAAATTTTTAGTAGAGACAGGGTTTCACCATGTTGGTCAGGCTGGTCTCGAACTCCTGGCCCCAGGTGATCCACCCGCCTCAGCCTCCCAAAGTGCTGGGATTACAGGCGTGAGCCACCGTGCCTGGCCTCAGACTTATTTTTAAAAAAACTTTTCGGGGAATTCAGGGAAGATCATATAGGTTTGACTGGTGAATCCTTAAGAACAGAAAGTGCTAAGCCACCAACTTCTTTCCCTCACTGATGTAGACCATTGGGGAGTCTCTTAGATTCTACTGGTGGTGAGTGAGCCATCAGAAGCTAAACAATGACACCAAGCTTCCGGGTGGTGAAAATCTTATATTTTTTGAGGATTTTAGTGGTCACCAAACCCTTATCCCTCATGAAAAAGGCTTTTTGTTTTGGCTTCTTGCACTTTCTGGAACCCCCAGCATTCTCACCATTTCTCCTCCTGGTAGTTTATGGTGAAAAACAAAAACAAAAACAAAAAAACCCATCCCAACAAATTTCCTTTCCTGTTTGGCTTTCCAGAAAAAAGCCTAAGTGCTTGTATTATTTTCCACTTTTAATCACTGCTCGACGGAGATGGAAAGTTAAGTCATGTAATTGCTTTTGTGTTGTATAGCTCTTTTCACTATTTTGGAAAAAAGAAATAGTTCAATGGATAAAATGTGGGTTTGCACCAAACCCCAAACATCACAAGCCTTAATGGCAACCATGTGTTATTCCTGAGAATATGCATCTAATTTATTTAAGAAAAAGAAGAAAAATACAGCACTGCTTAACTTGGACACAGAGTAAGCCAGAAAGTGCCAAAGACATTTGGGGACAGATTCGCTGTTTCAGGTATCTCAAAGTAAAAAATAGGTTTTATGAACATTTGAGATGTAGATTGCAACAGGAATATTTGAGGCAAGATTGTCTTCCCAAAACTCTTGAGTCATAAAACATGTGTCTCAGGGTTGGAAGGCTGGAAATGCCTGGAGGCACAGCTGGCCCATCCTGCCGCCTTCTGCCTGGATTGTCCACAAAGCGACGAGGCTGGCATGTGACCCTCTGAGCAGCTGCCAAGAAGAGGACACATAAACAGGTGGAGCTGCAGCAAGACTGTGCAGAAGAGGTCCAGTCCAGCCCCCGGCCCCCTGCACCTTCTTCCGATCTGTTGCAACCAGAGATTTCCTGCAGCCCTGGCCCTAGCAGTGCGCACCCTGGGAATGGCATGAGGATGGGGGCTCTTCATGGAGATCGAGTCTTGGCCCAACACTAATCCTTCCCCTGAGAAGCCTCAGTGGGCTAGGGGTAGTAGAGGAATTAACTTAGATGCTCACTTGGTTCCTGGGCCTATGACTTTTTTTTTTTTTTTTTTTGAGAGCGAGTCTTACTCTGTCGCCTAGGCTGGAGTGCAGTGGCGAGATTTCGGCTCACTGCAACCTCCGCCTCCCAGATTCAAGCAGTTCTCTGCCTCAGCCTCCCCAGTAGCTGGGATTGCAGGTGCTTGCCA
This sequence comes from Homo sapiens, assembly GCF_000001405.40. Classification (NCBI taxonomy): domain Eukaryota; kingdom Metazoa; phylum Chordata; class Mammalia; order Primates; family Hominidae; genus Homo; species Homo sapiens. The sequence continues at coordinate 40,200,341 of NC_000023.11, forward strand.
CCACACCTGGCTAATTTTTTTTTTTTGAGACGGAGTCTCGCTCTGTCGCCCAGGAGGGAGTGCAGTGGCACGATCTTGGCTCACTGCAAGCTCCGCCTCCGGGGTTCACGCCATTCTCCTGCCTCAGCCTCCTGAGTAGCTGGGACTATAGGCGCCCGCCACCACGCCTGGCTAATTTTTTGTATTTTTAGTAGAGACGGGGTTTCATCGTGTTAGCCAGGATGGTCTCGATCTCCTGACCTCATGATCTGTCCACCTCGGCCTCCCAAAGTGCTGGGATTACAGGCGTGAGCCACCGCGCCCGGCCTAATTTATGTATTTTTAATAGAGATGGGGTTTCACCATTTTTGCCAGCCTGGTCTTGAACTCCTGACCTCGTGATCCACCCACCTTGGCCTCCCAGAGTGCTGGGATTACAGGTGTGAGCCACCGTGCCCGGCCAGGCCTGTGACTTTTGACCACTAAATCACAGTTTCCAACTGAAAATGCCCATGCAGAGCTAGCCTGGTGTGCCCCAATTTAGTGTTTGCACAGGGGCTCGAATCAGAGCTGTGTTTCCAAGTACCCCAGTCTCAAGTTGTAAAGTGGCTAGGAATTTTTGCTTGGTCACAAACTCTGGTGTGCAAAGAGCAATGCTCTCTATTTTCCTGAAACTAAACTTGGCTCTTGAGTCCCCATTTCCACTGATGATGGAAGAGGTAAGCGTGCCAATTCTAACCAACTCAAGTACTGCCAGTTTAAAGGCAGTCCCTTCCAGAGTAAATGGGATTCTCACTTGTCCTCCACCTCCTCCTTCCCTTCTCCCCTGGGGCAATCAAAAGCTGAGCCCTGGTTCTGGCATGAGGAAGGGACTCACCTGCCCCCACCGGTACTCACTGACTTCTGCCTGCCCAAGTATCTATCTCCAGCTGCATCCCAAACCACCCCAAAACTTAGCAGCTTAAAACGAACACAACAGTGATTTTTCTCATACAATCTGTCATTTGAGCAGGGCTTGGTGGGGACAGCTATCTCTGCTCCACGTAGTGTCAGCTGGGGTGGTTCGAAGGGTGGGTGCTGGGATCATCTGAGGGCTCTGACAATTGATGCTACTGTCATCTGTGACCTCCTCTGGGGCTGTCAGCTGGGACACATGGCCTCTGCTTGTGGCCTGGGCTTCCTCATAGCATGGCAGCTGAGTTCTAAGGGTCAGTGGACAGAGACAGAATGGAGACAGCCAGGCAGAAACCAATTTGCCTTTCATGACCCAGTCCTCAGAAATCATGTGGTGTCACTTTTGTCACATTTGTTTGTCAAGGCAGTCACAAAGGCCTGCCCAGTTTCAAGGGGTGAGAGAAATAAGCCCCACCTCTTGAGGAGGGAGTGGCAAGGTTCTGGAGGAGGATGTGAGGTCATATACAGTGGCAAGGCCACTTTCAGAATACAATCTGCTACAACCTCTCTTCTCAGTGCATTCTTACCACTGACCTTTTTAGATCTGTTATGGTCTCTGGTTTAGTTCATTCAGCCGGTTCAGTTCATTCAACCCACTAGGGTTTCTGCACTGCTACCCAGAGGCCTCTTGGTGTTCCAGCCTTAAAGCCATGTCTGTGCCCATCTTGAGGACAGGGAAAATTTGCAGAGTTCTTTTTTTTTTGTCCGAGACGGAGTCTTGCTCTGTCACCCAGGCTGAAGTGCAATGGCACCATCTTGGTTCACTGCAACCTCCGCCTCCTGGGTCCTGGTTCAAGCAATTCTCCTGCCTCAGCCTCTTGAGTAGCTGGAATTACAGGAATGTGCCACCATACCCACCTAATTTTTGTATTTTTAGTAGAGACAGGGTTTTGCCATGTTGGCCAGGCTGGTCTTGAACTCCTGACCTCAAGTGATCCTATGGGCAGAAAAGAGGCGGCCAGGCGTGGTGGCTCACGCCTGTAGTCCCAGCACTTTGGGAGGCTGTGGCGGGTGGATCACGAGGTCAGGAGTTCAAGACCAGCCTGGCAAAGATGGTGAAACCCCATCTCTATTAAAAATACAAAAATTAGCCAGGCATGGTGGCAAGCACCTGTAATCCCAGCTACTGGGGAGGCTGAGGCAGGGAACTGCTTGAACCCGGGAGGCGGAGGTTGCAATGAGCTGAGATCATGCCATTGCACTCCAGCCTGGGCAACAAGAGTGAAACTCCATCTCAAAAAAAAAAAAAAAAAGACAGATATTTTTGGTGCTGCTGCCCCATCTCTTCGTCCCCCTTCCTGCCTTGACCGTGTTGTGTTGAGGAAACTGTCTCTAACCATGTTCTTCCTCTACTCTCACACCACAACAACTGTCAACACAGAAGACTTCTGTGACCAAATGTGGGAGGGGCTTCCCCACACACCAAGCAGCGGGCACCAGCTAGGTGTCCTTGAATTCAGTTTTGACACTGTCTACCCGCGGATAATGTCAGATCCCACAGGTTGAGGGCTCAGTCCCCAAGACTGCCCCCCCACCCCACACACACCTGTTGCAAACCCAGGCCTCTGAAACTTCTGACTGACTGGCTTCAAGTTAAAGTTCCCATGACCCCCTCTTTGGGTTTGATTAATTTGCTGGAGCGGCTCACAGAACTCAGAGAAACACTTATGTTTACCGGTTTATTAGAAAGGATATTGCAAAGGATACAGATGAAGAGACACGCAGGCGAGATATGGGAGAAGATACGTGGAGCTTCCATGCCTCCCCTAGGCGAGCCACCCTCCAGGAACCTCCATGTGTGCAGCTATCTGGAAGCTCGCTGGACCCTGTCCTCATGGGTTTTTATGAAAGCTTCATGACATCAGCATCCCTTCCCCCAGGGTATAGGGGGGCACTCTGTCATGGCAGAGTCTTAAGACCCACAATCAGAAAGGTAGGAAAAGATTAGGATGGAAGGAAGCCAGAAGGGCAGAACCCTGCCCCTGAGGCCCAGTACACCCAACGTTATAACAAAAGACTGGAGCAAGGGCGATGGAGTTATAAGCCAGGATCTGCGGATGAAAACCAATATATATCATAACACCACACTGTGCAAGAGCTACAGCAGCCATCTTGGGGCCTAAAGGAGAGGCCAAAATAATCACAGAAATGCTGATCTTGATGTTTTAAGTCACTGAACTCACATCTGTTGAATCTCATTTTGGACTTCTTTTGTAAGAAAAATAACTCTGATGCATGTTCAGAATGCTGTTCACAGAGTTCTCGGTTCCTTGCACCCTAACACATTCTTTGTTTTTTTGTTTGTTTGTTTTTTTGAGATGGGAGGTCTCACTCTGTCATCCAGACTGGAGTGCAGTGGTGTGATCTCGGCTCACTGCAACCTCTTCCACGTGGGCTCAAGCCATCCTCCCACCTCAGCCTCCTGAATAGCGGGGACCACAGGTATACGCCATCATGCCTGGCTAATTTTTTGTATTTTTGGTAGAGATGGGGTTTCACTATGTTGCCCAGGCTGGTCTTGAACTCCAGAGCTCAAGCAACCTGCCCACCTCGGCCTCCCAAAGTGTTGGGATTACGGGCATGAGCCACCGCGCCTGGCCACACATTCTTTTTTTTTTTTTGAGATGGAGTTTTGCTCTTGTTGCCCAGGCTGGAGTGCAATGGCACCATGCAACCTCTGCCTCCCGGGTTCAAGCAGTTCCCCTGCCTCAGCCTCCCGAGTAGCTGGGATTACAGGTGTGTGCCACCACACCCGGCCTGGGCCATGCATTCTTAACTGATACAGTTGCTCAGGGTGCCAGAGTTAGTGGAAGCTGTTCGTAGATTTCCTAGTCACCGAGCCAGTGAGTCAGGCTTCTCTGTAACAGGCCAGCAAATGTTGGAACAGCACAGCCTCCCCTCGGCTGCAGAGTCCCAGTTCTCCTCTTTCCCCTCTCAGAATTCCATTTCGCAGCCGGGGACAGTGGCTCACGCCTGTAATCCCAGCACTTTGGGAGGCCGAGGTGGGCAGATCACGAGGTCAGGAGATCAAGACCATCCTGGCTAACACGGTGAAACCTCGTCTCTACTAAAAATACAAAAAATTAGCCAGGCCTGGTGGCGGGCGCCTGTAGTCCCAGCTACTCGGGATGCTGAGGCAGGAGAATGGCGTGAACCCGGAAGGTGGAGCTTGCAGTGAGCCTAGATAGCGCCACTGCACTCCCTCCTGGGCGACAGAGTGAGACTCCGTCTCAAAAAAAAAAGAATTCTATTTCGCTAGCAGGATGCACAAGCCCCCTGGAGACGCTGCCTCTGGGTGACTGGCAGGGCTGGAGAAGCTGCAGTCCGCCTCCTGCCTTCTGGAACTTCAAGTGTGAGGAATGCAGGCAGCTTCAGACCACTAGCAAGTCTTTGGACTAAGGCCTGCTTCACTCACTTTCCAGCCTCAATTTCCTTCTTTTTCACTTAGATTTACAAAGAGAGCAAGCCCTGAAGGAAAATGAAAATGATCTATCCATATTTTGGGGGCTATACCCTGATTCCCCTGTGAGTAATATTTCTTCTTTACTTTCTGTCTTATTTTGGCTTAGAATGCAAGCCCATGAAAAGTAGGCTTCCGGCTTTCTTAGACTGAGTTGTGTACAGTTGTTAACTGGTGCTTACTGAAAACCCAGATGACTCTGAGCTTGGGGAAATACCAAGGAAAGAGATGACCTGTCCTGCCCTAAAATGGCATACAGTTTAGTTGGGGAGCCACACCGAAGCCATCCAAGAGAGCCTGGCCTTAGAGAGGCATTATTGCTTTGGGACTATGAGCATATATTTGCAAACAAATCAGCCTGGATTGAACAAGTTACTTAACCTTTTTATGTCTCATTTTTCTCCTCTGTAAAATGGAGAGAATAATCATATCGAGTCCTTGGGGCCATTGGTGCAGATTAATTAAACTAGCTATGGTGATGATGATGGAAGTTACGTGTTCGTTCTTCGTCTCCACACGTGCTCTGTGCATCCTAAAACTGAGGGGCTGGTTTCCCTCATTCAACACCTACCTGTGAGTATTTTGTTTGTACCAGAGGCAGTGTGAAGGGATCTAGGTACCCCCCGCAGGAGTCTGGCGACCACCTCCTGCAGACAACAGCCACGTGGGGAGATTAGCAATGGAAGATTAATTTCTCCTTGTCATTTCCCCAGGGGCCTTAAGCAATCTCGGGAGCAATTTTCCTCACCTAGAACACCGCCCTCGGGAAGCTGGCGGGGATCGACTGCCTGGCGGCGCCGAGCGAGTCCCGGGTTCCAAGCTGCGTCGCCAGCCAGAGAGAAATGTGCCTGCTGAACAGTCAGTGCCATAATGCAATGGACGCCGAACACAACTTTGCTGCGTGTGCTTTCTATTTGGCTGGGGAGCGTGAAGGACGCCTGAAACGGAGCTCCCTGCCTCTCAGCGCAGACGGCCACGCGGAGCCGCGCCGGGCAGCCTTTGTCTCGGATGAGATTGCTTTTCATAGGTGAGGCTCTGCCTGGAGGGCAGAGTGCTGAGTGCAAGAGAACTGTTTCCTCCTCCTGCTAAAAAGGAGCAAGAGGGAAGAGCTGTCCTGTGCTGGGGTCAGCGACCAAACCGCACTCCAAGAGGGGAAGCTGAGGTTAGAGCTTAGGAAGGACTTCCTGGCTGGAAGGGTAGTCTTCAATCTGGATTTTGATTAGAGGATTTTCCGTGAAACACACACAAAACGTTGTTGGGGATGCATTTGAAGATGCTTAGGCTGGGCATCGAAGGGATTTTCTGAGGATTGGGACAGGGTGTGCCTCACACAGGATTGTGTTTCTGGGCCCCAAGATGGGCTGTGCCCTTCAGCAACTCAGCCGCACCCCGTGCTTAGGTGGCCATTCTCCCATCACATATTTGTGGTGCACTGATTGTGTTTAAAATATGGCTCCACCACTGTGACCTTGGATGGTCAAGTATTGTATTGACCTCTGAGGCTCCATTGCTTCATCCCTCAAATGGGCTTAAGAATGCCTTCCTCGGCCAGGCGCGGTGGCTCATGCCTGTAATCCCAGCACTTTGGGAGGCAGAGGCAGGCAGATCATTTGAGGCCAGGAGTCTCTACTAAAAATACAAAAATTAGCCCGGCGTGGTGGTGTGTACCTGTAATCCTAGCTACTCAGGAGGCTGAGACAGGAGAATCGCTTGAATCCAGGAGGCGGAGATTGCAGTGAGCTGAGATCATGCCATTGGCTAACATCTCTAAAGCAATTAATACGTTCAGCAAGGGCATCAGATGGGCTGCCTTCAGCTGCAAGGCATAGCAGATCGAACTCAAAGTAAGTGGCTTAAAGAAAAGGAGACTTGGCTGGGCACGGTGGCTCATGCCTGTAATCCCAGCACTCTGGGAGGCCGAGGTGGGTGGATCATGAGGTCAGGAGATGGAGACCATCCTGGCTAACACGGTGAAACCCTGTCTCTACTAAAAATACAAAAAATTAGCCGGGCATGGTGGTGGGCGCCTGTAGTCCCAGCTACTCGGGAGGCTGAGGCAGGAGAATCACTTGAACCCGGGAGGCAGAGGTTGCAGTGAGCTGAGATCACGCCACTGCATTCCAACCAGGGCGACAGAGTGAGACGCCGTCTGGAGAAAAAAAGAAAGAAAAAAAGAAAAAGAAAATGAGACTTTGGCCGGGCACAGTGGCTCACACCTGTAACCCCAGCAGTTTGGGAGGCTGAGGTGGGTGGATCACAAGGTCAGGAGTTCGAGACCAGCCTGGACAATATAGTGAAACCCCATCTCTACTTAAAATACAAAAATTAGCAGGGCATGGTGGTGCCTGCTTGTAGTCCTGGCTGCTCGGGAGGCTGAGGCAGGAGAATTGCTTGAACCCGGGAGGTGGAGGTTGCAGTGAGCCGAGACTGCCGCCACTGCACTCCAGCCTGGGCAACAGAATGAGACTCCGTCTCAAAAAAAAAAAGAAAAAAAGAAAAGGAGACTTATTTTGTTTTGTTTTTGATTCAGGATCTCTGTCGCCCAGGCTAGAGTGCAGTGGTGCAATCATGGCTCACTGTAACCTCCACCTCAGGAGCCCAGGGGCTCTGGTTGTTCTCCCACCTCAGCTTCCTGAGTAGTTGGGACTACTCACACCGCCACACCTGACTAATTTTTAAAAAAGGTTTTAGTAGAGGTGGAGTTTCACAATGTTGCCCAGGCTGGTCTTGAACTCCTGGACTCAAGACACCCTCCTCAGCCTCCCAAAGTGCTGGGATTACAGGCATGAGCTACTGTGCCCAGCCAAAAGGAGACTATTATCTCAGAAAAGAATTCCTGAGGCAGGATGGTTTCCAGGGGCTTCTAGCAATTAAGGGGCTTTCCATCTCTGCTCTGCTAGCCTTGGCTAATTGGAGGTGACTCTTCATGGTCTAAACACAACTGAAGCAGTTCCAGGCACCATATGTTCAGCATGAGAGAGATTGAAAGAGATTGGCATTGCCTTCTCTGTGAGTATTGTATTAGTGGATTTTATTTCAGGTCCCATTGTCTAGGACTAGGTCACATGGCCATGCTCCACCCATCTTTGGTAAGGGAGATGAGGCCACCGTGGTTGGCTTAGACCAAGCATGATTCACCCCGCTATGACTCGAGAGGAGGTCGCCTTCCCTGACCACATTGGAAGGTGAACCCCAGAACAAAATTTGGCCTTAGCTACTGGGGAAGAAGGAGGGGGGTGGGGTTACAGGCCTAGAAGAGAATTGACCATGAAATAGGCAACCCATAGTTTTGACAACAGTTAGTTACCTGCCTACCTACCTACCTACTTACCTTTTTATTTTTATTTCATTTATTTATTTTTATTTGTTTGAGACGGAGTCTTGCTCTGTCATCCAAGGTGGAGTGCAGTGGTGTGATCTCAGTTCATTGCAACCTCTGCCTCCTGGGTTCAAGCAATTCTCCTGCCTCAGCCTCCCTAGTAGCTGGGATTACAGGTGTGTGCCACCACACCCGGCTAATTTTTGTATTTTTAGTAGAGATGGAGTTTCGCCATGTTGGCCAGGCTGGTCTCGAACTCCTGACCTCAGGCAATCCTCCTGCCTTGGCTTCCCAAAGTGCTGGGATTACAGGCATGAGCCACCGCGCCTGGCCATCTTTTTATTTTTGATCATATGCCATGTTTCCACTAACAGAGAAAATATAAAACCCTTGCTGGCTCGAAGCCTGTTTATTTTTATATTTCCCAGGCACATAGTAGGCACTTTATAAACATTTGTATTGATGATGATGACATGATATATAAATTATTGCAAACATCACGGAGCAATAGAGTTTGTGCATATTTCTCTTTTTTTGAGAGCTATCAAGGACTCTAGGAAACATAAGATTATAATTTTTTGAAGCAGTACTTAAAGGGTTACTCTGAAATTCATTAAGAGAGAAAGATCAAGGATGGTGAGAGGAAGTCAGGAGAAATAACAATAACCAACATACATCTAAGGGAATATATATATATACACAGACTTTTTTTTTTGTCGGACTTTCACTTCCTGCTTTACCAAAGTACTCTATTTTTTTTTTTTTTTTTTTTTGAGACAGAGTCTCACTCTGTCGCCCAGGCTGGAGTGCAGTGGCGTGATCTCGGCTCACTACAACCTCCGCCTCGCGGGTTCAAGCAATTCCCCTGCCTCAGCCTCCCGAGTAGCTAGGATTACAAGCACCCGCCACCATGCCTGGCTAATTTTTATATTTTTAGTAGAGATGGGGTTTCTTCATGTTGATCAGGCTGGTCTTGAACTCCTGACCTCAAGTGATCCACCTGCCTCGGCCTCCCAAAGTGCTGGGATTACAGGCGTGAGCCACCATGCCAGGCCCAAAGTACTCTATGTTGAGGCTGTCAAACCCCACCCACCCAACGCCCCATAGTAAAGCATTTTTGCATTTTGGTTAACCAAACAAATCAATAGTGGCACCCAGTGGCTAGAAGGGTTAATCAGGGAATGGCAATTTCTCTTTGCATCTCAGTTCTACCAACTACAGCTGTATTTAAAAATTAAACTGGCCGGGCTTGGTGGCTCATGCCTGTAATCCTAGCACTTTGGGAGGCCGAGGCGGGCAGATTGCCTGAGCCCAGGAGTTCGAGACCAGCCTGGGCAACATGGTGAAACCCTGTCTCTCTACTAAAATACAAAAGAAATTAGCCGGGCATGGTGGCTTGCACCTGTAGTCCCAGCTACTGGGGAGGCTGAGGCAAAATAATTGCTTAAACTCAGGAGGCAGAGGTTGTAGTGAACCGAGATCACGCCACTGCATTCCAGCACTCCAGCCTGGGTGACAGAGCAAGATTCCGTCTCTACAAAAACAAAAAAATTAAACCACTGAGTCAAGCATTTGAAGAAAATGTCTATTTGGGCTTAAACTCCTGGCAGCATTTTGCTTCCCACAAAAGCCTGTCCAACGTTCTCCTCCTTTTCCTTTCAGCAGCGGAGTCTGTGAAGGCCCATCCTCCACCTTAAAGCCCAGGGCTGGTGGGCGAGAAAACCTCAGTAGTCTGGCACAGTTATGGAGATTGTTAAAAGTTTATTTATTCTACCTCCTCTCTAAAATTGAACAAGTATAATTATGTGCATTGCTAGAGTTCCAGGTATTTCCTCAAGAGGACGTCCCCTCTTGAGGGGACGTCTGGTCCTTACTGGATTTCAGGAGGGACAGGAGCCAGAGGAAACCTAGACCTCTGCCAGTTAATGGGCTAATCAATGAACCAAACCAGTGAGAGGGAACACAAAAGTGCCCAGGCCTGGCTTTTGAGTTTCATCTTCATCTTTCCAGCCTACCATTAGTAAGGGATACATGTGATTTAGGCCGGGCCAGTAATTACTTAGTCACCAGGCTTTTCAAGGCTCTGAATCCTATTTATTAAGCTGTGTGGACTATGCCTCTGACTCAGAAGGGTAGGTAGGCCCTGGTTACACACTGACATAGAGAATGAATTGTTCCTTGTTCCAAACAAGCTGGAAGACCCCCATGGCAGAGGTCATTAGCTGTCCCTAAATAACTACCTCCCTACCCGCCACATTTATAATAGAATTTTAGCCAGGCACATGGCCTCCTAGAGAGAGAGAGAAAAAAAAAAAACCCCTATATTTCCCACCCTCCTTTGCAAGCTAGGTGTGGCCATGTGATGAAATTCTGGCCAATAGAATGTAAGTGGAAGTCTTGCATCCGACTTCAGAGGAGTGGGAAGTATCCTTTTTTTGTTTTATTTTGTTTGTTTATTTATTTATTATTATTTTTTATTTTTTTTAGTATTTATTGATCATTCTTGGGTGTTTCTCGGAGAGGGGGATTTGGCAGGATCATAGGACAATAGTGGAGGGAAGGTCAGCAGATAAACATGTGAACAAGGGTCTCTGGTTTTCCTAGACAGAGGACCCTGTGGCCTTCCGCAGTGTTTGTGTCCCTGGGTACTTGAGATTAGGGAGTGGTGATGACTCTTAACGAGCATGCTGCCTTCAAGCATCTGTTTAACAAAGCACATCTTGCACCGCCCTTAATCCATTTAACCCTGAGTGGACACAGCACATGTTTCAGAGAGCACGGGGTTGGGGGTAAGGTTATAGATTAACAGCATCCCAAGGCAGAAGAATTTTTCTTAGTACAGAACAAAATGGAGTCTCCCATGTCTACTTCTTTCTACACAGACACAGTAACAATCTGATCTCTCTTTCTTTTCCCCACATTTCCCCCTTTTCTATTCGACAAAACTGCCATCGTCATCATGGCCTGTTCTCAATGAGCTGTTGGGTACACCTCCCAGACGGGGTGGCGGCTGGGCAGAGGGGCTCCTTACTTCCAAGACGGGGTGGCCAGGCAGAGGCGCTCCTCACCTCCCAGATGGGGCGGCGGTCGGGCAGAGACACTCCTCAGTTCCCAGACGGGGTCGCCGCCGGGCAGAGGCGCTCCCCACATCCCAGACGATGGGCGGCCGGGCAGAGACACTCCTCACTTCCTAGACGGGATGGCAGCCGGGAAGAGGTGCTCCTCACTTCCCAGACTGGGCGGCCGGTCAGAGGGGCTCCTCACATCCCAGACGATGGGCGGCCAGGCAGAGACGCTCCTCACTTCCCAGACGGGGTGGCGGCCGGGCAGAGGCTGCAATCTCAGCACTTTGGGAGGCCAAGGCAGGCGGCTGGGAGGTGGAGGTTGTAGCCAGCCGAGATCACGCCACTGCACTCCAGCCTGGGCACCATTGAGCACTGAGTGAACGAGACTCCGTCTGCAATCCTGGCACCTCGGGAGGCCGAGGCAGGCAGATCACTCGCAGTCAGGAGTTGGAGACCAGCCCGGCCAACACGGCAAAACCCCGTCTCCACCAAAAACTGCAAAAACCAGTCAGGTGTGGCGGCGTGCGCCTGCAATCCCAGGCACTCTGCAGGCTGAGGCAGGAGAATCAGGCAGGGAGGTTGCAGTGAGTGGAGATGGCAGCAGTACAGTCCAGCCTTGGCTTTCACAACTTTGGTGGCATCAGAGGGAGACTGGGGAGAGGGAGAGGGAGACGAGGGAGAGGGAGAGGGGGAGGGGGAGAGGGAGAGGATTTATTTATTTTTTTGAGACAGATTCTTGCTCTGTCACCCAGGCTGGAGTGCAATGGTGTGGTCTCAGCTCACCACAACCTCCACCTCCCGGGTTCAAGCCATTTTCGTGCCTCAGCCTCCCGAGTAGCTGGGACTACAGGTGTGCTACCATGTCTGGCTAACTTTTTCTTTTTCTTTTTTTTTTTTTTTTCCCAGTAGAGACGGGGTTTCACCACGTTGGCCAGGCTGGTCTTGAACTCCTGACCTCAGGTGATCTGCCCACCTTGGCCTCCCAAAGTGCTGGGATTACAGGCGTGAGCCACCGCATCCAGCCTCAGGCAGCCATCTTGAATTCTGAGGTGGCACAGAATGGTCAAATACCCACAGAGAAGAAACCTGGGTCCTTGAGTATCAGGTGAATGCTCAGGCCCTAACCCAGACCTACTGAATCAGAACCTCTAGAAATGTGGCCTAGACATTTATGTTTTAACAAGCCCATGGTGATTCTGATGCACTTTACAGTTTAAGAACCATCGCCTTAGAATTTTTTTTTTTTTTTTGAGACAGGGTCTCCCTCTGTCACCCAGGCTGGAGAGCAGTGCTGTCATCACAGCTCACTGTAACCTCAAAGTTGCAGGCTTAAGTGATCCTCCTGTCTCAGCCTCCTGAGTAGCTGGGACCACAGGTATATGCCACCATGCTGGGCTAATTTTTAAAAATTTTTGAGGCTGGACGCGATGGCTCACACCTGTAATCCCAGCACCTTGGGAGGCTGAGGCGGGTGGATCACCTGAGGTTAGGAGTTTAGGACCAGCCTGGCCAACGTGGTGAAACCCTGTCTCTAGTAAAAAATACAAAAATTAGCCAGGCGTGGGTGGCGGGTGCCTGTAGTCCCAGCTACTCAGGAGGCTGAGACAAGTGAATCGCTTTAACCCTGAAGGTGGAGGTTGCAGTGAGCCAAGATCACGCCATTGCACTCCAGCCTGGGTGACAAGAGTGAAACTTTGTCTCAAAAAAAAAAAATTTTTTTTTGTTGGACAGAGTCTCATTATGTTGCCCAGGCTGGTCTCAAACTCCTGAGATCAAGTGATCGTCCCACCTCGGCCTCCCACAGTGCCCAGCCTGCACTAGACTATTATTTTCCCATTAAGGTATTTTTTCAATAATTTTCTCCCAAAATCTATTAAGAAAAAGTATTGAGAACAAGGACACCATAACATTCCTTTGTTTTTTCTTCTACTTATTTTCTCCCATCAGGTTTAAGGGGAGATGCTGTCAACATCAATAAAATTATAAAAACATGTAAGTTATGTATGGGTGAGGCCAGGAATCATTAAAACATCAAATTTAGGACGAGCAAGAGACACACTGGTACTCCAAGCTAAGAACATCTGAGAATAAATCAAGTTGAGTACAAGGAGGACAGTGTGATGGTGAATTGTATGTCAACTTGACTGGGCCATGGGGTGCCCAGATATTTGGTGAAACCATAGCTAGGGGGGAGGTCTGTGAGTGTATGTTTCTGGATGATACATTTGAATGGGTAAACTGAGTCAAGCATATGGCCCCCCCCAATGTGGGTGGACCTCATTGAGTCAACTCAAGACCTGAATAGAACACAAAGGGTGTCTAAGAGGGAGCTTCACCGGCCTGACCGCCTGAGCAAAGACATCAGCCTTCTCCTACCCTCCCACTACACCATGAGCTCTTCTGGTTGTCAGGCCTTCAGACTCAGACTGGAACTGCACTACTGGCTTTCTTAGGTCTCCAGCTTGCAGTTGGCAGATCATAGGACTTCTTAGATTCTACAGTTGCGTGAGTCAATTCCTTATAATCTCCATCTCTCTCTCTGTATGTATGTATATATCTCAAATTGGTTCTTCTGAGAACCCGTACTAACACAGACAGGAAGGCAGTGTGGCAAAGAGCAAAGACCCAGGGAGCCCTGTATTTGAATTCTGGTTTTATCACTAACTACTTATGATATTGCTTAACCTTTTGAATCTCACTTTCTTCATTAGTAAAATGGAGCTAACCCTACCTTCTTTTCTAAGATTTTGACAAGACTAAAAGAGATAATGTTTGTAGAACACTTTACACAGGTTTTTAAATTTTTTTTTTAAATTTTAAATTTTTTGGAGACAGGGTCTCATTCTGTCACCCAGGCTGGAGTGCAGTGGGGCAATCATAGCTCACTGCAACCTTGACCTCCTGGGCTCAATTGATCCTCCCTCCTCAGCCTCCCGTGTAGCTGGGACCATAAGTGTGCACCACCATACCTGGCTAATTTTTTATTTTTATTATTTGGAGAGACAAGGTCTCACTTTGTTGCCCAGGCTGGCCTCAAACTCCCGGGCTCAAGTGATCCTCCTGCCTCAGCCTCCCAAAGTGCTGGGATTGCAGGAGTCAGCCACTGTACCCAGCTGATGATGGATATTCTTATGGTGGTGATGATAAGACCAGATCCATAGTGAATGAATATGGGAAGGAAAGACATATCCTGAATCTTTTTATTATTTTATTTATTTTTGATTAAGCGTACATTTGTTAGTAGTGCCCATCTACTTGGTTGTTGTAAAAATTGGGTGAGATCACTCAGTATAGTGATTGGTGAGATCACTTAATAGAATAAGCACTCATTTAATGGTACCTGCTCTAAACATGATCATCGTTACTACCATCATTATTATTACCTACCTGTCATATGCTGTTTAATCTTCACATAAGACACAATGATCAGGGAGTTCCCAGTCACAACATTACTAAGTGGCAGAATTTGAACCTGAGACCATTTGTCTCCAAAGTGCATGTTCTCCTTAGCTGAATCACTGAATTGTTTTAGATGTTGGTTCTTGGTTGGCATCTTTCTCAAAAGCCATGGGTAGGAGAGTCCATAATCTGTCTGACCTACTACCTTTGTTATTATTATGCATCATTGTATACTTATAGCGATGATGGGGGTGTGGTAGTCAGTCTCCAAGATGACCCCAGTGAGTCTTGTCTCCTGTCCTTGTGCAATCCCTTTTGACTCTGAATCAAGAAGCTATACTGAATCTATTGTGACCAACAGACTCCTGCAGATGTGCTGGTGTGTGACTTTTGTGGTAAGTTATAAAAAGCATTGAAGCTTTCACTTTGTTCTTGGATTGCTTGCTCTGGGGGAAGCCAGCTGCCATGTTGTTAGGGCACTCAAGCAGTCCTGTGGAAAGGCCCACAAGGGAGAAGAACCAACTTACCAGAAAAAAAAAAAAAATTAGCTGGGCATAGTGGCGTGCGCCTGTGGTCCCTGCTACTCATGCTACTCGGGAGACTGGGGCAGTAGGATCACTGGGGCCCAGGAGTTCAAGGCTGCAGTGAGCTATGATTGCACCACTGCACTCCAGCCTGGGCTGTTGACAGAGTGAGACCCCAGCTCTTAAAAAAAATGTTTAGGCTGGGCGCGGTGGCTCACGCCTGTAATCCTAGCAATTTGGGCGGCCGAGGCGGGTGGATCACGAGGTCAGGATATCGAGACCATCCTGGCTAACACGGTGAAACCCCGTCTCTACTAAAAATACAAAAAATTAGCCGGGCATGGTGGCAGTTGCCTGTAGTCCCAGCTATTCAGGAGGCTGAGGCAGGAGAATGGCGCGAACCCGGGAGGTGGAGCTCGCAGTGAGCCGAGATAGCGCCACTGCACTCCAGCCTGGGCGACAGAGTGAGACTCCATCTCAAAAAAAAAAAAAAGTTTATACATTGTAATTGGTTGATATATATGTCTCTTCAGTCTCTCTTTTTCTTTTCTTTTCTTTTTTTTTGTGACAGAGTCTCGCTCTGTCGCCCAGGCTGGAGTGCAGTGGCGTGATCTCGGCTCACTGCGAGCTCCACCTCCCGGGTTCACGCCTTTCTCCTGCCTCAGCCTCCCGAGTAGCTGGGACTACAGGTGCCCGCCACCGTGCCTGGCTAATTTTTTGTATTTTTAGTAGACGGGGTTTCACCATGTTAGCCAGGATGGTCTCAATCTCCTGAAAGTGCTGGGATTACAGGCGTGAACCACGGCGCCCGGCCTCTTTTTTTTTTTTTTTTTTTTTTTTTGAGACAGAGTCTCATTCTGTCACCCAGTCTGGAGTGCAGTGGTGTCATCTTGGCTCACTGCAACCTCCATCTCCTGGGTTCAGGTTATCCTCCTGCCTCAGCCTCCCTAGTAGCTGGGACTACAGGTGCATGCCATCACACCTAGTTAGTTCTTGTATTTTTAGTAGAGAGGGGGGTTTCACCATGTTGGCCAGGCTGGTCTTGAACTCCTGACCTCAGGCGATCCACCCTCCTCAGTCTCCCAAAGTGCTGTGATTACAGGCATCAGCCACCATGCCTGGCCCTCTTCAGTCTCTTCTAATCACTGCATTTTTCCTCCCTCACACCCAGCCAAGTGAGTGAGCCACCACAGAAATGTATCATCCAGCATCTCAGCTTCAACTCCTCCAGCTGAAGCCCCAAACATTGTGAGCAGAGACAATCCATCCCTGCTGTACCTTATCTGAATTCCTGACCTACAGAAATAAAGAGATAGAATACATTGTTACTGTTGGTTTATGCCACTACATTTTTGGGCAACTTGTTATGCAGCATTAGATAACTAATATGGGGGTGGGTGAGTTCTGTCAGAGTTGTCACAGCTGAGTGTGTTCACAGAAGTTAGTGGCAAGCCTAGAGGGCACATGTCTCACAGCCTCCAGGCAGACAGAAGAAGTCACTAAAGAATCATCTGGCCGGGCGGTGGGTCACACCTGTAATCCCAGCACTTTGGGAGACCGAGGTGAGTGGATCACTGGAGATCAGGAGTTTGAGACCAGCATGGCCAACATAGTGAAACCCCATCTGTACTAAAAATACAAAAATTAGCCGGGCGTGGTGGTGGGCATCTGTAGTCCCAGCTACTCGGGAAGCTGAGGCAGGAGAATTGCTTGAACCTGGGAGGCGGAGGTTGCGGTGAGCTAAGATCGCGCCACTGCACTCTAGCCTGGGTGACAGAGCGAGAATCCATCTCAAACAAAACAAAACAACAAAAAAAGAATAATCTATTTCCCTTGAATAAGTTCCCATTACCATGTTACTTAAGCTTACTTTTAAAAATCTAAGTATTACACAAGATTTTAAGATATTGTCTACAGCCTTGGCAACATAGTGAGACCCTGTCTCTACAAAAGAAAAAAAATGAAAAAATTAGTTGGGCATGGTGGCATGTGCCTGTATTCCCAGCTACTTGGGAGACTGAGGCAGAGGATCACTGAAGCCCAGGAGTCCGGGGCTGTAGTGAGCCATGATTGCGCCACTGCACTCCGGCCTGGGCAGCAGAGTGAGACTTTGTCTAAAAAAAAAAAAAAAGTGATTGTCTAAATAAGAAAACCTAAAGATACTTGAGAACTAATTTGTAATTAAGTTGTAGCCTCAGGAGACCAAAGCCCTAGATTTGTATTTGTATCAGTTAGGATTAGTTTGGGATACAAGGGACTGGAAACTCCGAATAACAGGGCTTTAGAAAGAGAGTTTATTTCTTTCTTTCTAAAGAGAAGTCCAGAGTAGGCAGCCCAAAGCTGGTAGGGTGGCTTCAAAAAGTTGTCAGAGACTCAAACTCCTTCAGTCACGTGGCTCTGACATTCTCAGCAGGGGCTGTAGCTCATGACCCAAGATGGTTGCAGAACTCCAGTTATTGCACTTGCATTCCAGCCAGCATGAAGGAGGAAGGGATAAAAAAGGATGCACAGGATCTTCATTTAAGGACACTTTCTGGAAATTGCACCTGAAGTTTTTGCTTGCATCCCATTGGCCAGAATTTAGTCTCATGGCCACACCCTGGCATTTAGAGTCTCACTAGGCTATTGGCTGGAGGCTGTCCTTAGCTCCTTGAGGCCACGTGGGATTTCCCCACATGGCTGCTTGCTACCTCAAAGCCAGCTAAGGAGAGAGAGACTCCATCTCTCCCAAGGATGCAAGGGACGTGGGGAAGTATAGTCTTTGCTTCAACAGCTTTCTTTCTTCCTTCTTTTCTTTTCTGAGCTTTGTCGCCCAGACTGGAGTGCAGGGACATGATCTCAGCTCGCTGCAGCCTCAACTTCTTGGGCTCAGGTGATTCTCCCACCTCAGCCTCCTGTGTAGCTGGGACACAGGCATGTGCCACCACATCGTGCTACTTTTTAAAATTTTTTTGTAGAGATGGGGTCTCATTTTGTTGCCCAGGCTGGTCTCGAACTCCTGGGCTCAAGCGATCCTCCCACTTTGGCCTCCCAAACTGCTGGGATTATAGACACAAGCCCCCACGCCCGGTCGACAGCTATGTTTCTAGAATGGATACTGGGGGACTCGGAGTTCATACTCCCACATTATATCAGTAGGGATTAGTTTCAACTGTGCATGATTGAAAACCCTAAATAACAATGGCTTAAACGAGATAGAAATCTAGTCACATAAAAGTCTGAGGAAGGCAATCCAAGACTGATATGGTAGCTCTTCTTTATGCAATGCTTCCAGATTCAGACATTTTCTACATCCTTCTAGGAATCTGTGGTGCGTGTCCTCCATTCCTAAGGTCATCCTATGGTTCAGTGGTTAAACATGCTGCTCAGGCTCCAGCCAGGACTTGCTACATAAATTGTGGGGCCTGGTGCAGAATGAAAATGCAGAGCCCCTTGTTTAAAAGATTATTAAAGCCGGGCGAGGTGGCTCATGCCTGTAATCCCAGCACTTTGGGAGGCCGAGGTGGGTGGGTTACCCGAGGTCAGGAGTTCAAGACCAGCCTGGCCAACATGGTGAAACCCCCCCTCTCTACTAAAAATACAAAAAATAGCCGGGCATGGTGGTACATGCCTGTAATCCCAGCTACTCCGGGGGCTGAGGCAGGAGAATCACTTGAACCCAGGAGGCAGAGGTTGCAGTGAGCCAAGATCGCGCCATTGCACTCCAGCCTGGGCGAGAGAGTGAGACTGTCTCAAAAAAAAAAAAATCATTAAGAATTTCAGGCTGGGTGCGGTGGCTCACACCTGTAATCCCAGCACTTTGGGAGGCTGAGGCGGGCAGATCACGAGGTCAGGAGATCGAGACCATCCTGGCTAACACGGTGAAATCCCGTGTTTACTAAAAGTACAAAAAAAATTAGCCAGGCATGGTGGCGGGTGCCTGTAGTCCCAGCTACTCGGGAGGCTGAGGCAGGAGAATGGCATGAACCCGGGAGGCAGAGCTTGCAGTGAGCCGAGATCGTGCCACTGCATTCCAGCCTGGGCAACAGAGCGAAACTCTGTCTCAAAAAAAAAAAAAAAAGAATTTCAGTACAGTAGCAGAGCTTTCAACCAAACACAGGGACCTTTTGAGTGTGGTGCCCTGTGTGGCTTATGCACCCACGTAGTTGGCCCTGTCATTCCAGCCAGGAAGGAGAAAGGAACTAAGATCACTGTGGCAGTAGCACGTGGCTACAGGCCACATCTTGCAGAGCACCTTCTGTGGAAACAAAGGGAAAATACACTCACTGCTATTGTTTTTGCCTATGCAGCTTCCATTCCCCCTCCCTTTGGTAACAGTACCTCTTCCCTTTCTTCATCACTGCACAACAAATACTCTAAAACTTAGTGGCATATAATAACCAAAATACCAACTGATGAATTCTGACGGTCAGGAATTTGGCAAAGGCTTGGAGGGGAGAGTTTGGTTCTTTCCCATGATGTCTGGGACTTCAGCTGAGAGAAGTCGAACAGCTGGGCCTGCAGGATCTGCTTCCAAGATGGTGTCTTCCTTCCTGGCTAAAGGTCCGACTCAGCTGTGACTTTTTTTTTTTTTTTTTTTGAGACAGAATCTCACTCTATCACTCAGGCTGGAGTACAGTGGTGTGATCACAGCTCACTGCAACCTCCACCTCCCAGGTTCAAGCAATCCTCCCACTTCAACTTCCTGAGTAGCTGGGATTACAGGTGTCCGCCACTGCACCCAGCTAAGTTTTTGTATTTTTTGTAGAGATGGGGGAGGGGGTGGTCTCTTCATGTTGCCCAGGCTGGTCTCAAACTCCTGGGCTCAAGCAATCCACCTGCCTCAGCCTCCCAAAGTGCTGGGATTACAGGCGTGAGCCACAGCGCCTAGCCTCAGCTGTGACCACTGACCAGAGCACCTGCATGTGCCTTCGTCAGGAGGGCAGTCTCATCAGGTCTTCATCAGGAGGGCTAGAAGGACATATTCGTTTCCCAGGGCTGCTGTAACAAAGTACCACAAACTGGGTGGCTTCAAACAACAAAAATTGATTCCCTCACAGTTCTGGCAGCTTGAAGTCCGAAATCAAGGTGTCAGCGGGGCCATACTCCCTCCAAAGCCTCTAAGGGAGGATCTTTCTTTACCTCTTTCTGCTTCTGGTAGTCCCAGGCATTCCTTGGCTTGTGGCAGCATCACTCCATTCTCTGCTTTCATCTTTGGATGGCATTCTCTCTGCAGCACATGACATTCTCTCTCTCTCTGTCTCTCTGTGTGTGTGTGTGTGTCTGCATGCAAATTGCCCTGTTCTTATGAGGACACTAGTCATATTGGATTAACGGCCCACCTTACGCCAGTGTAACCTGGTCTTAGCTGGTCCCAGCTGTACCTGTACCCACTGTTTCTTTTTCTTTCTTTCTTTTTCTTTTCTTTTCTTTTTTTTTTTTTTTTGAGACAGAGTCTGCTCTGTCACCCAGGCTAGAGTGCAGTAGCACGATCTCAGTTCACTGCAACCTCTGCCTCCCAGGTTCAAGCACTTCTCCTGCCTCAGCCTCTCGAGTAGCTGGGACTACAGGCACGTGCCACCATGCCCGGCTAATTTTTGTATTTCTAGTAAAGACAGTGTTCTGCCATGAGGTCCGGGCTGGTCTCGGACTCCTGACCTCAGGTGATAGGCCCACCTGGGTCTCCCAAAGTGCTGGGGTTACAGATGTGAGCCAGTGAGCCTGGCCTACCCACTCTATTTCTAAGTGAGTTCACATTCTGAGGATTAAGACCTCACTATATCTTTTAGTAGGGCACAATTCAACCCATAACAAAGGAGTTCTTACTTAGGACTGCAAGAGAGTAAGTGTCCCTCCAAACAAGGCAGAATCTGTATGGCCTTTTCTTACCCAGCTTTGGAGCTCTGCTGTTGGTGGAAGCAGTCAGAATTCCATCCATCAGGGGCAGGTGTCCTAGCTTGCTCCTGCTGCCGTAACACAATACCACAGGCTGGGTGGCTTAAGCAACAGATAGTAATTTTGTCACAGTTCTGGAAGCTAGAAGTCCAAGGTCAAGGCGCTGTCAGGATTGGTTTCTGATGAGGCCTCTCTTCCTGGCTTATAGATGGCCGCCTTCTCACTGTGTCGCCATACGGCCTTTCCTGTGTCGCCACACGGCCTTTCCTGTGTGCATGCAGAGAGAGATCTCTCTGGTGTCCTCCTCTTCTCATAAGGACACCAGTCTTATTGGATTAGGGCCCCATCCTATGACCTCATTTAACCTTAAATTATCTCCTTAAAGGCCCTATCTCCAAATATAACCACACTGGGAGTTAGGGCTTCAACATATAAATTTGAGGGAGTTGTGCAAATCAGTCCATAGCAGCAGGGGCCATAGACCTGACCTCTTGATGGCAGAGGTGTTAAAGAATTTGGGCCGTATTTTACAACTGTCGTGGTCCCTTAATTTTCCTCTAGGAAACCATCCTTCCCCCCTTCAATCCACATGCTTTGATCAGAGCTTATTTCTATTCTACCTCTCAGAGTGAGCTATGTATCCTGGTTGGTCAATTAAAGTATCACATTCCCATGGCCACAGTGATAGTTTCTGAGATGGGTATGTGACCTTGATTGGTTCAGTTGCCCACAACAGACACAATTCCAGTTAGTTTAAATAGTGTATCAGTTGCCTATTGCAGCATAAGAGATCACTCCCAAAACTCACTGGCCTAAAACAACCACCATTTATTTAGCTCATGGTTCTGCTTGGACTGCACCAGGCTGGGTAGATCTCAGCTGGTCTTATTCATGTGGCTCTGTGTAATTGGCAGGTTGGTTGGGACTGGCTAGTCCCAGATGGCCTCACTCACATATCTGGAGGTTGGTTGGCTAGCAGCTGGGGTGACTATGCCATGCGTCTCTCATCTTCCAGCAGGCTAGCTCTGGCATATTCACACATTAGTAGTGTTCCAAGAATGGCAAGTGCGCAAGCCCCTATGCACAAGCACTTTTCAAGGCTCTACTTTGGTCACTTTATTAATACTTTGTTTACCAAAGGAAGTCTCATGGCCCACACAGATTTAAAGGGTGGTGGTGGAGGATTTGATAGACAGATGTTTAGAGTGCTCCATGATTCCCCTCCTGGAATTCATGCCCATACATAAACTTCTCTCCTTCAGTGTGGACACAACCTGTGACTTGCTTCTAAGCAATAGAATACGGCAAAGGTGATGGGATGTAGGTGATTATGTGGCTACATTATAAAAAAGTGTAGCACCATCTTGGTGCAGTCTCTCACTCCTTTGCAGGTTTTGAGAAAGCAAGCAGCCATGTTGGTAAATTCCATGTGGCCTCAAGGAGCTTCAGGGCAGCCTCCAGACAACAGCTGCAAGAAACTGAAGTCTGGCTGGGCACCGTGGCTCATGCCTATAAACTCAGCACTTTGGGAGGCCAAGGCAGGAGGGGAGATCACTTCAGCCCAGGAGTTTGAGAGCAGCTTTGGCAACATAAGGAGACCCCGCCTCTACAAAAAGTTTAAAAATTAGCCAGGTGTGGTTGTGCACACCTGTACTTCCAGCTACGGAGGAAGCTGAGGTGTGAGGATCACTTGGGCCTAGGAGGCCCACTGCAGTCCAGCCTGGATGACAGAGTGAGACCCTGAGAAGGAAGGAAAGAAGGAAGGAAGGAAGGAAGGAAGGAAGGAAGGAAGGAAGGAAGGAAGGAAGGAAGGAAGGAAGGAAAGAAGGAAAGAAGGAAAGAAGGAAGGAAGGAAGGAAGGAAAAGAGAGAGGAGGGGAAGAGAGGGAGAGAGAGAAAGAGAGAGAGAGGGAGAGAGAAAGAGAGAAAGAAAAAGAAAGAGAGAAAGGAAAAGAAAGAGAGAAAGAAAAAGAAAGAAAGAAAAAGAAAGAAAGAAGGAAAGAAAGCAAGCCCTACAACCATGAGGAACTGAAATCTGCCAACAACCAATGATCTTGGAAGCAGATCCTTCCCCAGTCAAGCCTCAGATGAAAACACAGCCCCAGCCAACATCTTAACTGCAGCTTTGTGAGACTCTAGGCAGAGGCCTCATCTGAGCTGTGCCCAGATCCCTTAACCACAGAAATGTAGGTTGTTCTAAGCTGTTAAGTTTGTGGCCATATTGTTACACAGCAACAGATAACTAATACAGAGGGCAAGACTCTGTGGCTATTTTTGTTATGTGAGTCGATTATTACGTTGTCTGTACTTTATGGATTAGTAGGCTTGGGCTGCCATAACAAAATACCACAGACTGGGTAGTTAAGCAACAGATATATGTTTTCTCATAGTTCTGGGGCTGAACATATAAGATCTATGTCCTGGCAGGGTTGGTGTCTGTGAGGCCTCTCTTCCTGGTTTGTAAACGGCTTCCTTCTTTATGTATCCTCACATGGCCTTTCCTGTCTGTGAGTTTGGAGAGAGACAGCTCTGTAGTGCCTCTTCCTCTTCTTAAGGACACCAGTCCTTTTGGATTAGGGCCCCACTCATAACCTCATTTCATCTTTTTTTTTTTTTTTTTTTTTTTTGAGACGGAGTCTTGCCCTGTCGCCCAGGCTGGAGTGCAATGGCACCACCTCAGCTCACTGCAACCTCCGCCTCCTGGGTTCAAATGATTCTCCTGCCTCAGCCTCCCGAGTAGCTGGGATTACAGGCGCCTGCCACCAAGCCCAGCTAATTTTTGTATTTTTAGTAGAGACAGGGTTTCACTATATTGGCCAGGCTGGTCTTGAACTCCTGACCTTGTGATCTGCCTGCTTTGGCCTCTCAAAGTGTTGGGATTACGGGCGTGAGCCACCACGCCCGGCCAGCCTCATTTCATCTCAATTACTTCCCTAAAGGCCCTGTCTCCAAATGCAGTCACATTGGGGTTAGGGTTTTAACCTCTGAATTTTGGAGTGACATAGTTCAGTCCATAATGAAGTACTTCAGTGTAGATTGTGCGATATGTATGTATATTTTTGTTGTTTTAATGTATACTGTAGAAGAGGTGAGTTAACACTAAAATATCCTAATGAAGAATGCTTAGTTAGCATCTGAAAAGCTCAAATCAGAAATCCACACTTCAAAGACAGCTACCAGAAGCACATTAGCTACCTAAATCTATACCATAGGGTTGCCAGGCATGGCAGCTCATGCCAATAATCCTAGCTACTCAGGAGGCTGAGAGGCAGGGGGGTCTCTTGAGGCCAAGAGTTCAAGACCAGCCTGGGCAACATAGCAAGACCCCATCTCTCAAATACACAAATAGATAAATCTATGCCAGTAGGTTCACCAAATAGCATAAAGAATGTTAGAAATAGGCTGGGTGCGGAGGCTCACGTCTGTAATCCCAGCACTTTGGGAGGTCAAAGCGGGTGGATCACGAGGTTGGGAGATAGAGACCATCCTGGCTAACACGGTGAAAACCTCTCTCTACTAAAAAAAAAATACAAAAAATTAGCCGGATGTGGTGGCACGTGCCTGTAGTCCCAGCTACTCAGGAGGCTGAGGCAGGAGAATTGCTTGAACCTGGGAGACGGAGGTTGCAGTGAGCCGAGATTATACCACTGCACTCCAGCCCGGCAACAGAGCGAGACTCTGTCTCCAAAAAAAAAAAAAAAAAAAGAATGTTAGAAATAAATATTCATTGATAAAACAAGTGGCATTCAAGACATGGGGATTGACTTAAAATACTGTACTACCACGTCTGCAATTATCAGAAGCAGATCTATGAATCTAGCACACCAAACACTCTCAGGAGTCATGTTCCAGGCCACAGATTTTGTTTACTCCTTTGGCCTGCCATCCAACAGAAGACATTGAACCTGTTCTAACTGGAGGGTTAGTTGAATCCTGCTACTTAAATATTGTCACATCTATGCCCAGTGTACCTTTCATGCAAGGTACTTGTTGGCATGCCTAAGGGCAGAGACTTGGCACTTCACTAAGTTACAAGAGCATATTGCATGACTGTTTTTGTGCCAGTTTGTAAGAAATGTTATTACGTGTGACTGCTAATGCTGTTGGAGGCTGGCTATAATTTTTTTTTTTTATTTTTAACTTTTTTTTTTTTTAGAGACAAGGTCTCACTCTGTTGTGTAGGCGTGATCATAGTTCACTGCAGCCTCAACTTCCTGTGCTCAAACAATCCTCCTGCCTCAGCCTCCCAAGTAGGTGGGACCACAGATGCATGCCACCACATACAGCTTTTTTTTTTTTTTTTGAGACAGGGTCTCACTCTGTAGCTCAGGCTGGAATGCAGTGGTGCAATCATGGCTCACTGCAGCGTCAATCTCCCCAGCTCAAGTGATTCTCCCATTTCAGCTTCCCGAGTAGCTGGGACTGTAGGCACATGCTACCACACCCGGGTAATTTTTTTATTATAATTTTTGTATTTTTTCGTAGAGATGGGGTTTCGCCATGTTGCCCAGGCTGGTCTCAAACCCCTGGACTTAAGTGATCCGCCCACCTTGGCCTCCCAAAGTGCTGGGACTACAGGCGTGAGCCACCATGCCCAGCCTTGGTTATGATCTTTTGAAAAATGATTTTTAACATAACACCTGGCAGTGAGGTTGTGAAGGACAGGACAAATAGCCCTTACCTTGCTCTAGACCAGGGGCTCTTAACCTGAGGTTCAAGGATAGAATTCATGGGGCAAAATGACATCTTCATTTTTACTAGCCTCTAAGTGAAATTTGGCATTTCCTTCTATTACAAGTGTAGGCAACAAACCACAGTAGTATTAGCAGTACCTGTGAATTTGTCCCTGATCAAAATCATATTCCTGGCCAGGTGTGGGGGCTCACGTCTGTAACCCCAGCACTAAGGGAGGTCGAGGCGAGTGGATCACTTGAGATCAGGAGTTCGAGACCAGCCTGGCAAACTGGTGAAACCCTGTCTCTACTAAAAATACAAAAAAAATTAGCTGGGCGTGGTGGTGCACTTATAATCCTAGCTACTTGGGAGACTGAGGCAGGATAATCGCTTGAACCTGGGAGGCAGAGGTTGCAGTGAGCCAAGATCTCACCACTGCACTCCAGCCTGGGCGACAGAGCAAGACTCCGTCTCAAAAAAAAAAAAAAAAAGAAATATCATTTATGCTCATCAACACTATGAAATGACTGTAGTTATTAGACCAGCTATAGGATTTTGTTATTGAACGATTTAATAAAACAGCACCTATCTTTCTAATATATCACAACTTTTTTTTTTTGAGATGGAGTCTCACTCTGTCACCCAGGCTGGAGTGCAGTGGCAAGATCTCGGCTCACTGTAAGCTCTGCCTCCCGGGTTCATGCCATTCTCCTGCCTCAGCCTCCCGAGTAGCTGGGACTACAGGCGCCCGCCACCACGTCTGGCTAATTTATTTTTTTGTATTTTTTTAGTAGAGACAGGGTTTCACCGTGTTAGCCAGGATGGTCTCGATCTCCTGACCTCGTGATCCACCTGCCTCGGCCTCCCAAAGTGCTGGGATTAGAGGCGTGAGCCACTGCGCCCGGCCTCACAACTTTGTTTTAATAATTTGATAATGCTTTCAATGTCACCGGTTTCCTTTGTAATCCGATATATTTATTTATGGATAAGGACTGGATTCTGGAGGCTTCTGCTGTTCATCAGATAGCCCCAACATATGACGTACACTCAAGGCCAGGCTGATTAAAATGGTGGGATTGGAAGCTCATGTTTCAAACTGTCTTTTGATTTTTTTCAATTTGAGGGCCGGTTTCATCTCAGAACTTATTAGATTATGGTTGCTTTTGCCTCATAATGTGGCTGACAAAGCTCACACTAGGCAAAACATCTGCTCTGCCTCCATCTTGTTCGGGTGTGCTTGTATTATTATTATTATTATTATTATTATTATTATTATTATTATTGTTATTTGAGACAGAGTCTCGCTCCGTCACCAGGCTGGAATGCAGTGGCGCGATCTCGGCTCACTGCAACCTCCGCCTCCCGGGTTCAAGTGATTCTCCTGCCTCAGCCTCTCGAGTAGCTGGGACTACAGGCGCCGGCCACCATGCCCGGCTAATTTTTTAATTTTTAGTGGAGATGGGGTTTCACCATGTTGACCAGGATGGTCTCTATCTCTTGACCTCGTGATCTGCCCACCTCAGCCTCCCAAAGTGCTGAGATTACAGGTGTGCACCACCAGGCCTGGCCATTAGTATTTTAACATACAGTTTCTTCACAGGAATCCTTTTAAGCTCCATGGCTCATTTGGGAGTTAAGTTAAAACTAGGTCATATGATCAGTAAATCCTCATCACTAGGCACCTGTAAGCTGCAGTGCGTCACAGTATGCTGACAGTGGAGGAGGAAGCAGGCTTCCAGCTCTTCTGTTACAGTCACGCAGGTGCCACCTGTGACCACGACTCACGGTTTATGGGCCAGATAAGGGCATTCACGAGTGGCAATCTGCAATGGCAAGCATAAATGGAAGCTATTCACATGGATTTGAATCTACAAATTAAAAAGGAATTAATCTCAATACTTTCATTACAACTTTATGTATAGTTCTTATACTAAACACTAAGAAATTAGAGTTGTAAGGTTGTTCACACACCTCAATGGACAGCATAAGCCTTTGGTATTAGCATTTTTTTGGCAATCACATGACACAATAACTTCATGTGGCATTTACAAAAGCCCCTAGGTAATATTCACTCATGCATTTATTTTATTTATTCATTCACTTATGCATTCATTCATCAAGTATTTATTTGTCACTCTTCCATGCTGGCTTCTTTGCTAGCTGCTCAGATTCCAAGATGAATAATCTATATTCTCCACCTTCCCTTGGCCACGGTCTAGGAGAAGATGAGCAGTGACCAGTCCTGGAACACTGGGAGGAGGGTGCCCACATAGGTGGGTATGGGGGCAGGGGGCTAGGAAGTGACCCCTTGTCTGGATAGAGGGGATGCATTGGGAGTGGGCTAGGAAGCTGGAGACAATCTTCCAGACTCACAGAAGGAACTCACAGTGGGATGTTGGGGCAGTTGCTCATTATGGCTGCTGGGTGCATGGTGAGTGGCAGGAAGCAGGGTGGGGCCAAAGCCTGGAATACAAAGCTGTATTCTCCTTTGGAGGACTCAAATATACCATACAGCAGTGGTCCCCAACCTTTTTGGCACCAGGGACCGGTTTCATGGAAGACAATTTTTCCACAGACAGGGAGGTGGGGTGGTGGGGGGATGGTTTCAGGATGAAACCGTTCCACCTCAGATCACCAGGCATTAGATTCTCATAAGGAGTGCGCAACCAAGATCCCTCACATGCACAGTTCACAATAGAGTTCATGCTCCTATGAGAATCTAATGGCACCACTGATCTGAAAGGAGGCGGAGCTCAGGCTATAATGCTTATTTGGCCACCACTCACCTCCTGCTGGGCAGCCCAGTTCCTAACAGGCCACGGACCAGTAGCGGTCCTCAGCCCGGTGGTTAGAGACCCCTGCCATGGAGTGATGGGATAGATTTTTTAGTGCAGAATATAGTTTTTTTGGATCACAGACAGAACTTGTCATTTATTTTGACCTGTTGAGATAGTTTTCTATCCATCCTGATTGGTCCTACATGTTACACCATGAAAGTGATTGATTAGGATTGTGCTACCTAATGCAAATCACTAAAGGCAACAAATTCTACTGAAGGGAAATGTGTAAGGTGACAGACGCTTACCTGCGCTTCGGCTCTGGGTAGTGATAGGGAGAGAACAGTTGAACCACTTTCTCTCCATTTTGGTGTTATTTCAATTTCAAATAAATCGCTGAGGGAGTGAAAAATCCCTGGCCAGAAAATACATTCTGCCACGCTATGGTATAACAGCAAAAACCTTCCCTATGAAAACAATGAAAGGCCAGGCACGGTGGCTTATGCCTGTAATCCCAGCACTTTGGGAGGCCAAGGTGGGCGGATCACCTGAGGTCAGGAGTTCAAGACCATCCTGGCCAACGTAGTGAAACCCCATCTCTACTAAAAATACAAAAATTAGCCGGTGTGGTGGCTGGTGCCTGTAATCTTAGTTACTCGGGAGGCTGAGGCAGGAGAATCACTTGAACCTGGGGAGGCAGAGGTTGCAGTGAGCTGAGATTGCTCCATTGCACTCCAGCCTGGGCGACAAGAGCGAGACTCTGTCTCAAAAAAAAAAAAAGAAGAAGAAGAAGAAGAAGAAAAAGGAATCTGTGGCATCTAATTTTCCTCCAGCAAGTTCTTGTTCAATAAAGCAATGACCATTGCCAATGACCAGTTTCTCTTCTACACGACAGTGTCCAGATTTGGACATTTGGAATTTCCCACTTGGGAGACTCTGACACCATTTGAAATAATGATAGGGAGTTGAAAAGTTGATGTTTCTTTTCCCGTTTTAGTATGGTAAAATTGGCCCAGGTATTTTTGTCTTCCCAAATATGCACAAGGATGTGGCTGCTGGTGGCGGAAGGCAGAGGCGGGAGCCCGGCCTTTTCATCTTTGCATGGACAATTGGAATTCCAGCCAGGTTGTGGTCACTGAGCTTTACTCTCATCTTCTTCTTTTTTTTTTTTTTTTTTTGAGACGGAGTCTCGCTCTGTCGCCAGGCTGGAGTGCAGTGATGCGATCTTGGCTCACTACAACCTCCACCTCCCAGGTTCAAGCGACTCTCCTGCCTCAGCCTCCCGAGTAGCTGGGACTACAGGCGCACGCCACCACGCCCAACTAATTCTTGTATTTTTAGTAGAGACGGAGTTTCAGCATGTTGGCCAGGAGGGTCTCGATCTCTTGACCTCGTGATCTGCCCTCCTCGTCCTCCCAAAGTGCTGGGATTACAGGCGTGAGCGACTATGCCCAGCCTACTCTCACCTTCTATCTGCCGCTAGGTTAGAGAAGATTGCTGCAATGCAAACGCTTTCCCAATGTACCAGGTCTCATCTCACTGTGTCTCAACACACCTGTTCTTGTTCTTGGGGATGCCTTGCCAGAAGGCTTCTGAGTAGCTCCAATCGAGACTGGTTGCTTTTTTTTTTTTTCTTGTTGAGACAGAGTCTCGCATTGTCGCCCAGGCTGGAGTGCAGTGGTATGATCTCAGCTCACTGCAACCTCTGCCCCCAAGGTTCAAGTGATTCTCCTGCCTCAGCCTCCTGAGTAGCTGGGATTACAGGCACCTAATTTTTTGTATTTTTTAAAAATAGAGACGGGTTTTCACCATGTTGACCAGGCTGGTCTCGAACTACTGACCTCAAGTGATTCGCCCGCCTGGGCCTCCCAAAGTGCTGGGATTACAGGCTTGAGCCACCACACTGGGCCTGGTTGCTTCTTGTGATTGGGGCATAACTGTCATTCTGGGGCCTCTCTTCCTCATTGTGGCGATTCCCTCTGACTCCATCTTCCAGGGGATGCCCAATTTTCTGGATCTCACATTTTCCTTTTTCTTGATTTTTCCTAACATTTTGGCAGATCATCTTTTCCAGTAGCTTCCTGAGAAAGAATGCGTGAGCAGCAGGTTTCTGAGACCTTGTGTATCAGAGAAATATTTTTCTATACTCAACTGATAGTTTGGCTGAATATAGAATTCTAAGTTGAGTCATTTTCCCTTAGAATTGTGAAGGCATTTTTCCATTTTCTCCCAAATTCGTGTTGCTGTTGAGAAGTCCAAAGTCATTCTGATTCTTGAGCCTCTGTATATATAGTTTTTTCTTTAGACACTTCTAAGATCTTTGTTCCCAATGTCCTGAAAGTTCATGATGATATACATTTTTGTTGAGACAAGGGTCTTGCTCTGTTGCCCAGGTTGGAATGCAGTGGTACAAACATGGCTCACTGCAGCCTCAATTTCCTAAGCTCAAATGAGCCTTCTGCCTTAGTCTTCCATGTGGCTGGGACCACTTGCACGTACCACCGTGCTTGGCTAATTTTTTAATTTTTTGTAGAGATGGGGTCTTACTGTGTTGTCCAGGCTGGTCTCAAACTCCTGGGCTCAAGTGATCCTCTCACTTCAGCCCCACAAAGTGCTGGTATTACAGGCTTGAGCTGCTACTGTACCCAGCCAATGATATACATTTATGTGGGTCTATTTTTCCATTGTATTAGGTATTCAATGATCCTTTCAATCTATAAAATCATGTCCTTTAGGTATGGGAAATTTTCTTGAACTATTTCTTCGATGTTTTCTTCCTCTTTGTTTCTCTGTTCTCCCTAAAACTTTCATTTGGACTTTTGGAATAATCTTTTTTTTTTTTTTTTTGAGACAGAGTCTCACTCCGTCACCCAGGCTGGAGTGCACTGGTGTGATCTCGGCTCACTGCAACATCTGCCTCCCAGGCACAAGTGGTACTCTCACTTCAACCTCCTAAGTAGCTGGGACCACAGGCATTTGCCACCACACCGGACTGATTTTTGTATTTCGGGTAGAGATAGGGTCTTGCCATGTTACCCAGGCTGGTCTCGAACTCCTGGGCTCAAGTGACCTGCCCACCTCGGCCCCCCAAAGTGCTGGGATTATAGGCGTGAGCCACCGTGCCCGACCTGGACTAATTATTTTTTTAAAAACTTTTCTATTTCTCATCTCATTTTCTTTTCTCTATTTTTTGGGAAATGTTCCCAACTTCACCTTCCAATGCTTCTACTTAATTTTTCATCTCTGCTGTCATATTTTAAATTTCTAATAACTCAAATTTTATTCTCTGAACGTTCCTTTATATTCCCTGAATGCTGCTTTTTACTGCTATTAAAATAATGCCTCTTCTGGGACCTTATTGATAGCGGTGTGTGTGTGTGTGTGTGTGTGTGTGTGTGTGAAGGTTACATTTCTCAGCATAGTCTCTATTTCCTCCAGCTTGCTTTTATCTGCTTGTTTGGGTCTTGATCATGTATGTTAGAGGCTTTCCTTAGATTAGATGCCTGGTGACCCCCAGTTACTGGTCCACATTTTACAGCAGGGCACTTAAAAACTGAGGGGAAGCGTATGTGTGTAGATAAGCCTTGCCAATTGCAGACTTCACTCTAGAGCAGTGCTTTTCAAAGTGTGTTCCCGGGATGGGCAGCATCAACCGCAACTGGGAACAGCTAAGAGATGCACATTCTCAGGCTCTACCCCAGATTTACTGGATTAGAAATCCTGGGGGCAGGGCCTGGCAGTCTGTGTTTTAACAAACCCTCCAGGGGATTCGAATGCAGCCTCACATTTAAGATCCCCTGCTCTGTGGTGATCTGGACAAGCCTTTTCCTTGGGAAATCTCTGATGTCAGTATCAGTCTCCTTCTGAGAGGGTCTAAGCCTGAATGTCAAGTTCCTAGGAGCTGAGAGGGCAGGAGAACTTGGCTGGGGGCACAATATTCAGTATGACAACTTACACCTAATCTCCCTGTTTCCAATTGGGCATCCTATCCTTAACTATGCCTAGTCTCTCTATCTGAAGACACTCCCCCACCCCCCTTTAAAAAAAAAACCGTCCACATAATAAAAGTCCTGTCCAGGGCAGGGGGTGGGGGTGAAGGAACAGTCCCTCGGGTACACAGAGCAGGGAATGGCATCCGAATATCTGACTGCTGCTTAAATGGACTTTCAATGGATCCTCCTGTTTTGGGTCCTGGTTTCACCTTTACTTCCAGAAGCACCTGGTGTTGCCACTTCTGAGTCTTTGGGAGGGGAGAGGGGATTCGAACAGCTTCTCACCTATCCCCAATACCACATTGAGTCAGCTTCCTCAGCCCCGCTATAAGTTAGTTACCCTGCAACTTTCTGCTCTCCAGTTTCCAACACTCTGGTCTGTTTTCTCTTTTTCTGTCCTCCTTATATTTACAGGTGAATGCCCTTTAAAAATCCCTTTACTGGACGGGCGAGGTGGCTCACGCCTGTAATCCCCAGCACTTTGGGAGGCCGAGGCGGGCGGGTCACGAGGTCAGGAGATCCAGACCATACTGGCTAACAAGGTGAAACCCTGCCTCTACTAAAAATACAAAAAAATTAGGCGGACGTGGTGGCGGGCGCCTGTAGTCCCAGCTACTCAGGAGACTGAGGCAGGAGAATGGCATGAACCCGGGAGGCGGAGTTTGCAGTGAGCAGAGATTGCGCCACTGCACTCCAGCCTGGGCAATAAAGGGAGACTTCGACTCCAAAAAAAAAATTCCTTTACTATTATTTTAATGAAGCTTTGGAATGAAGCAGAGGAATGAATGCATGGGTTCAATCCTCCATCTTTAACTAGACATATCGTTATTCTCTTTGGGGCCTGGGAACTATAAACCATCAATGAGAGAACAGGGTTTCCAAAGTTGCTCCGTGCTGCTGCTACTGTAATCGGGGCTGGGGGCTCTGGCTGTACTGTGGCCTATCTGGGCCTCCTGGGTACAAGGGCAAAGGATCTAGGGCCTACTGTCATTTTGGCAGAGGACACTTCTGAATATAAGGCTCTCATCACTTGCTCAGAGGCCGAGCGTTGCCCCTTGCACCCCCAAGCCCCTCCATACACCTCCCCGCTCTCACCTCCCTTCTCCGGACCAAAAGCACTGGTGCTCCTGCCCCTGCCTGTTCCCTCACACCTAGAAGGGCCCCTCTCTCCCCTTTGCCTGCCCAAACCCTGACCAATCCTTAAAGTCCAGATGAGGTTGGCCGGGCGCGGTGGCTCACGCCTGTAATCCCAGCACTTTGGTAGGCCGATGCGGGCGGATCACGAGGTCAAGAGATCGAGACCATCCTTGCTAACATGGTGAAACTCCGTCTCTACTAAAAATGCCAAAAAAAAAAAAAAAAAAAAAAAAATTAGCCAGGCGTGGTGGCTGGCGCCTGTAGTCCTAGCTACTGGGGAGGCTGAGGCAGGAGAATGGTTGGCGTGAACCTGGGAGGCGGAGCTTGCAGTGAGCTAAGATCGCGTCACTGCACTCCAGCCTGGAAGACAGAGCGAGACTCCGTCTCAAAAAAAAAAAAAAAAAAAGTCCAGATGAGGCACCGCTCATTCTCTATGTGTGCTTTGGCTTCTCTCTGACTTCATGAACTCGTAGTCAGCATCACATAACTTAGCCCTACAGCATCACTCCACGAAAACAAGAGCCATCTCTGACCTTTCTTCTGGGCCCAACATCATGCTAGGAACACCATGGAGACTAAAAATATTTTTTTCATTGATCGGTGAGGACATACTGTAATAATCTCATACATTATTGCAACCTCTGCCTCCCAGGCTCAAGCAATTCTCCTGTCTCAGCCTCCAGAGTAGCTGGGACTATAGGCTTGTACCACCACGCCCCAGCTAATCTTTGTAGTTTTCTTTTTAGTAGAGACGGGGTTCTGCCATGTTGCCCAGGTTGGTCTCGAACTCCTAGCCTCAAGTGATCCACCCGCCTTGGCCTCCCAAAGTGCCAGGATTACAGGTGTGAGCCACTGAACCCGGCCATCTCTTATATTCTTGATTATCAATATATATCCATTATTAATGATGTATTAATATATGACACATAATATGTATTTTAGAAGCATTCTTTTTTCTTTCTTTCTTTCTTTTGAGATGGAGTCTTGCTCTATCACCAGGCTGGAGTGCAATGACACGATCTCAGCTCACTGCAACCTCCACCTTCCGGGTTCAAGCGATTCTCCTGCCTCAGCCTCCCGAGTAGCTGCGACTACAGGCACACGTCACCATGCCCAGATAACTTTTGTATTTTTAGTAGAGCCGGGGTTTCACCATGTTGACCAGGATGGTCTCAATCTCCTGACCTCATGATCCACCCACCTTGGCCTCCCAAAGTGCTGGGATTACAGGCGTGAGCCACTATGCCCTGCCTCATTTTTCTTTTTTTTTTTTTGAGACGGAGTCTCACTCTGTCACCCAGCCTGGAGTGCAGTGGGGCGATCTTGGCTCACCGCAACCTCCGCCTCCTGGCTGCAAGTGATCCTCCTGCCTCAGCCTCCCAAGTAGCTGGGATTACAGGCATACGCCACCATGCCCAGCTACACAATATGTATTTTTAAAGTGACAAGCAGTATCGTCAATTTCTCTTTCCTCATATTTTCTTCTTTTTTTTTTTTTTTGAGACACATTTCACTGTGTCACCCAGGCTGGAGTGAAGTGGCAACTGCTGTCTCCTGGGCTCAAACAATTCTCCTGTCTCAGCCTCCTGAGCAGCTGGGACTATAGGTTCATGACACAACTCCTGGTTAATTTTTGTATTTCTTGTAGAGATGGGGTTTCGCCATGTTGCCCAGGCTGGTCTTGAACTCATGGCCTCAAGTAATCTGCCCACCTTGGCCTCCCAAAGTTCTAGGATTACAGGAATGAGCCACCATGCCCAGCCCTCTTATACTTATTCTCTTGGTACAATCTTGCCCCAGAAGTCTTAAGACTAGTTAACAGTCTCTTTTTTATAATAGAATTTCTACCTGACAGGTTTTTCTTAAACGCATAAAGGAATACATTGTACAAACTGTGTTTGAACAAGTTTTTCAGAAACCAAAATGAATTCACTAATAGTCCCATTATAACACATTAAACAGCTTTCATTTTTCCATGTTTCCTTTCAATCTCCTTCTAATCCACTGTTCAAAAAAACTGAGACAAGCCGGGTACAGCGGCTCACACCTGTAATCCCAGCACTCTGGGGAGGCCAAAGTGGGAGGATTACTTGAGCCCGGGAGTTTGAGACCAGACTGGGCAACATAGTGAGAACCCATCTCCACAAATAATTAAAAAATTAGCCAGGTGTGGTGGCACGTGCCTGTACTCCCAGCTACTTGGGAAGCTGAGGTAGGAGGATGGCTTGAGCTCAGGAGCTTGAGGTTATAGTGAGCTATGATCACACCACTGCACTCCAGCCTAGGTGACAGAGTGAGACTCTGTCTCTAAAACACAACACAAAACTGAGGCAAAATTCACATAACACAAAATTTAGCATTTAAAAGTGAACAATCATGGCATTTAGTACATCAAGAATGTTGTGCAACCATCAGCTCTTTCTAGTGCCAAAGCATTTTCACCATCCCTAAGTTTAAACCCTGTACCCATTAAGCTGTTATTCCCTATTCACTCTCCCTCAGCCCCTGGCAATCACCAATCTGCCTGATCCACTTAAAAAAGTAGTTTCTGATTGTAAAGGATACGTAACATAAAATTTACTATCCTAACCATTTGAAGTGCAGATTTGTGGCCTTAAAGTACATTCACAAAGTTGTGCAACCATCACCATTATCCATCTCCAGAACTCTACAACTTCTCAAGCAGAAACCCTATCCCCATTGAACACTAACTCTCCAATGCCCCCTTCCTCAGCCCCTGGCAACCACCATTCTATTTTTTGTCTCTATAAATTTGCCTATTCTAGGTACCTCGTGTAAGTGGAGCCATACAGCAGTTGCCCTTTTGTGTCTGGCTTATTTCACTTAGCACAGTATCCTCAAAGTTCCATCATGTTGTAGCATGTGTCAGAACTTCTTTTTGAAGGTCGAGTAATATTCCATTGTATGGTTACACCATTTCTTGTTTATCCATTCATCCACTGGTGAATACTTGGGTTGCTTTCACCTTTTTGCAGTTGTGAATAGTGCTGTATGCTTGAGTCTCTGCTGCTAGTATACCTTTGACATAGCTGTGATGGTACCTTGGACAATTTGGAGTTCTGATATTTCATTTAATGTTATAGCACTTACGCCTTTTTCCAATTTGCCATGTGGTCTCTACAGTCATCCTTCTCCATAGCTGCATGATAGTCCATTTGAGTAACTCATTTTTTTTTTTTTTTTTTTGAGACTGAGTCTTGCTCTGTCGCCCAGGCTGGAGTGCAGTGGCGCGATCTCGGCTCACTGCAAGCTCTGCCTCCCGGGTTCACGCCATTCTCCTGCCTCAGCCTCCCGAGTAGCTGGGACTACAGGTGCCCGCCACCACACCCAGCTAATTTTTTATATTTTTAGTAGAGACGGGGTTTCACTGTTTTAGCCAGGATGGTCTCGATCTCCTGACCTCGTGATCTGCCCGCCTCAGCCTCCCAAAGTGCTGGGATTACAGGCATGAGCCACCACTCCCAGCCTCTTTTTTTTTTTTTTTTTTTGACGGAGTCTCGCTCTGTTGCCCAGGCTGGAGTGCATTGGCACGATCTCAGCTCACTGCAGCCTCCACCTCCCAAGTTCAAGCAATTCTCCTGCCTCAGCCTCCTGAGTAGCCGGGTTTACAGGCATGCAATACCACGCCCAACTAATTTTTGTATTTTTAGTTGTTGGGGTTTCTCCAGATTGGCCAGGGTGGTCTCAAACTCCTGACCTCAAGTGATCCACCCGCCTTGGCCTCCCAAAGTGCTGGGATTACAGGAGTGAGCTACCACGCCCAGCCTTTTTTTTTTTTTGGCAACTCAATTTCCAGAAAGAAATGAAGGGCCAGTTTAGACAACTCTTACAGACCTTTGCATCCATTCAAAAAGGTTTAGAGTGGGACATATTGTGTGAGATTTTAATTATTTTTTTGAGAGAGAGGTGTCTCGCTATGTTGCCTAGGCTGGTCTTGAACTCCTGGCCTCAAGTGATCCTTCTGCCTCAGCCTCCCGAGTAGGTGGGATTACAGGTGTGTTCCACCATGCCTGGCTAAAAGTGGGGCATATTTGAAAATGTCTCCCTAGGAGAAGTTTGAGCCCATAGCACAGACACCCCTTGCAGAGCTCTCTTCCTCTGATCCTCCCCCAGCCCCATTCCCATCAAAGCTCCAGAAAAGCGAAAGGAGACAAAACAGATAACAAGCTGAACAACAGAGAGGAGTTTCTCTGAAGTTCAATGCTGAAAATAAGAGGGGAGAAAAAAAGGAGACAAGAAAAAACTTTAAGAAAAGCAGAAGTGAATTCCAATGAGTTTGCATTCAGCTTCAGTGAGTAGCCGCAAGGCTTGCCAGGGAGGCGAGCTGGGTGCCAGGCCCTCGCTATTTCTGCCTTCACCTGCGCCCTTCGTGCGCATCCGTGGGTAGCACCCGTAACGCAGCGGGAACGCCGACCTCCCGGACTTGCCTCCGCTCATGTCAAGTGGTAGAAGCAAGACTCAGGATCCTTCAGGTAGCAGGGAGCAACAGAGGCATACAACAGCTTTAGAGAACCCAGGGACCCCTGCTGACAGCCCAGGGTGCCTGGTAAGGAAATAAAGTGTTTTGTTTGGCTTTGTTTTGTTCTGCACAGCCTTCTCTCCCAGCCCCATTCACCTCTACAGTATCACTTGAAGCAACAATGTAGCTTAATTATGCTGCCTTTATAAAACTTTGAACTAGGCAGGCTCCTTTCCTTGTGCTAAAATCCTTTCCTTCCTTTCAGAGCTGAAAGAGCTTCCCTGCTCAGTCTGGTTTTAAAACCCTCACATCAAGCATGGAAAATTCTATAAATACCAAATGCATACCTGGAGTTTAACCTTTAATTATTGTAGCCTCCAGCTCAACCTCCTGATTCTACCATTTTCTTTCTGCACATATGTCCTCTTTAAGCTCTGTCCAGAGTTTGATCAACATTAATAATAGTAAAAAAAATCTCCTTGGGAAGACTTTCAGAGCTGTCTGAAGAGGAACAGAAATTGTCAAAGTGGGTGCGATCTTTGGAGAAACACTCATCTGGCAGCCTGTGGCGCCGTATTGATGTTGGAGGTTTGGCTCAGTTTGGTGGCCTGAAATCACCACAATCCCATGCAAAGGAGGTAAAGCAGATATATACTGACTTGGCTCCATTTTCCCCCAGGTAGTCTCCTGGATGCATTTGTTCTGATGACCACTGTTCTGGTTATTTATTGCTGCATAATAAACCACCCCAAAATTAGTGTCTTGAAACACCAATCATTTAGTTTTGAAACCAAACCCATAGTCCCATAGACAGTTTTCTTTCCTTTTTTTTTTTTTTTTTTTTTTTTTTTGAGACAGAGTCTCACTCTATTACCCAGGCTGTAGTGCAAATGGCATGATCTTGGCTCACTGCAGCCTCTGCCTCCCCGGTTCAAGCAATACTGCCTCAGCCTCCCGAGTAGCTGGGATTACAGGCACACACCACCACACCCAGCTAATTTTGCATTTTAGGTAGAGACAGGGTTTTGCCATGTTGTCCAGGCTAGTCTCGAACTCCTGACCTCAAGTGATCCGCCCACCTCAGCCTCCCAAAATGCTGGGATAACAGGTGTGAACCACTACTCCCAGACGACAGGTTTTTTTTTTTTTTGGTAAACATAGAAATTGACCCTTCTGGTCTTAAAGCAGAAACCTTTATTTGTTTTATCCGAGTTCCTTCCTCAGGAAAGGACCTCCAGCCCTCTCAAAAAGTATCAAAGAACTGAAATTCACCAGATCATCACATCCAGACAAAGAGATGCCAGGCTGCTCATTCATCATGATTGCTTCCTTACCCCTCCTGAGTTCCTGTTTTCTCACGTATAGTTACATTTCTTCCTTGCTAAATAAACCTTAATTTTAGTAGGTCGAGGAGATGGAATT
The DNA here is from genome assembly GCF_000001405.40 of Homo sapiens. Classification (NCBI taxonomy): domain Eukaryota; kingdom Metazoa; phylum Chordata; class Mammalia; order Primates; family Hominidae; genus Homo; species Homo sapiens. The sequence goes on from NC_000023.11 coordinate 40,239,396, forward strand.
TTTTTTTTTTTTTGAGATGGAGTTTTACTCTTGTTGCCCAGGCTGGAGTGCAATGGCGCGATCTTGGTCATTGCAACCTCTGCTTCCTGGGTTCAAGCGATTCTTATTCCTCAGCCTCCCACGTAGCTGGGATTATAGACGCCTGCCACTACGCACAGCTAATTTTTGTATTTTTAGTAGAGACTGGGTTTTGCCATGTTGACCAGGCTGGTCTCCAAATCCTGACCTCAGGCAAACTGCCTCCCTTGGCCCGCCAAAGTGCTGGAATTACAGAGGAGATGGATTTGACACTGATCTCCCATCTCTTTGGCTGCAGTACGCTGCAGTACCCAATTAAAGACTTCTTCCTTGGCAATACTTGTTTCAGTGATTGGCTTCCCGTGCAGGAACAGCAGGACCTAGACAGAACCCCTGGTGTTTTGGTAACAGATTGCTCCCAAATTTGTGATCTGGGCAGAGTCGGTGGGACCAGTTTGTCTTTGCTCCATGGAGCATTCTCTGGGGTGGCTTAAAGGATGGGGAGTGCTCGATGGCTGGGGGCCAGAATCAGCCAAAGGCTCTGTGATCTAATCTCTCACAAGTCTGGTGTCGATGCTGGCTGTCCAATGGGACGCAGCTGGGGTTGTTGACTGTAGGCTGTCTGTGTGGCCTCTCTCTGTGGCTTCTTGGCTTCCTCATAGCATGGAGGCTGGGTTCTAATCATGAGTGTCCCAAGGCCACAAGGTAGAAGTGCATGGCATTCCCATGGCCTAGTTTCAGAAGTCACATAGCTTCACTTCTAACATGTTCTAGTGGTCCAGGCAGTCATGAAGTCCTGATTAGGTTCAAGGGGAGCAGGTGTAGACCCCACCACTGGAAGGGCCATTGCTATTGGGGTGTCATTGTCGCATTGTAAGAAGAGTCTGTGGGATGGGAGATTGTGATAGCTGTCTTAGTTTGCTTAGGCTGCCATAACAAAATAGCATAGATGGAGTGGCTTAAGCGACCAACATGCATTTCTCAGTCCTGAAGGGTAGAAGTCCAAGATCAAGGTGTCAGCAGGGTTGGTGCCTGTGAGGCCTCTCTGGCTTGTAGACAGCCGCCTTCTCATTGTATCCTCACATGGCCTTTCCTGTTTGTGTGCATGGAGAGAGAGATTTCTGGTGTCTCTTCTTACAGGGACACCAGTTCTATTGTACTAGGGCCCCACTCTCACGACCTCACTTAATCTTAATTACCTCCCTAAAGGCCCTGTCTCCAAATATAGCCATATTGGGGTTAAGGTTTCAACCTATGAATTTTGAGGGGGACACAATTTAGTTCATAACAGTGGCCATCTTTGGAAAATGCAATTTGCTACAAGCCCTGAGCTGTGTTCCTCTCTTTGGGTCTTTCAAGCTGAAATCATCCTTTTTGAGTGATAAGCAGGTCAAAAGGATAGTGTTGAGTTTGACCTGTAGGTGAGCTTTGGAAGATGTCACTCTGTAAAGGTCTTTTTCTTCCTGAGCCAAGTCTACCTGCCAAGCCTGGGACCAAGAAATATTTGAGGACTAGCAGCACAGTCTTCCTTTCTAAACTAGCTGTGTCACAGGGCCACAGGGGACACTGTGTTGATCAGTTTAAACCTTGACTTCTGTCACAGTTTTGTATTGTGTCACCTTGCCTAATCTGCAGCAGTGTTTCCCAGAATCCACTTCCTTTTATGGCTCCAGATTAGAGTTGGTCAGAAGACAAACTTACACAACATTTGGAAGGTGGAGGAGAAGCAGCTGTCACTCCTTTCTAGTCATCTGGTTAGATGCAGTGAAAGACAGAAGGTGCTGGAAGGTACTAGCATGTCCTTATTCTCTCCTGCTCTGCATCCAGCTCTTTTTCCCAACTACCAGCGCTGCTGAGCCACAGCCACTGTGGGCCACCACCAGACGTAGAGCCGCAGTCTCTATGGGCTTCTTTCTCCTTGAGCCCCACTCAGGCAGTTGGACATCCCTGGCTTCGAGAGGGCTGGCTAATTAATATTTTCTGATCCTCCAACTTCTCCTTTCAGACCCTTCCTCTCCCACACTCTCCCAGAATTGTGTAGAGGTAAAGTCTTAACTCCTACTCGAAGCCCTTACAGCATAATACTCATAGAATCTGTTTCCCTGCTTGGACCCTGACTGGTATAACTCTCCTCATCCTCTCTGCCTCAGTCTCTTCACAGAAATGCCCAGGTATGGGTGGCTTCCCATGAATTTGAGAATTATTCATAATGGAGACCTCAGGGGCAACCACTGTCCCCCCTCCACCTGCAAACCGCAAAACCACCTTTTGATTTGTTCGTTTGTTTTTGAGACAGGGTCTTGCTCTGTTGCCCAGGCTGGGATGCAGTGGTATGATCATGGCTCACTGCAGCCTCGACCTCTTGGGGCCAAGGGATTCTCCCGCCTCAGCCTCCCAAGTAGCTGGGACTATAGATGCATGCCACCATGTCCAGGTAATTTTTAATGTTTTGTAGAGATAGGGGTCTCACTGTGTTACCCAGGCTGATGTTGAACTCCTGGGCTCAAGTGATCCTCCCACCTCAGCCTCCCAAAGTTCTGGAGCTGGGATTACAGGCATGAGTCACCACGCCCCAGCCCTTTTTCCCCTTTTTTTTTTTTTTGCACACAATCACCTTACACTTGCAGTAGTCCCAGGAAAAACCTGGGGAAAACGATCATACACGTGCACCCCATTCCCTCAGTAGGTTCTACCCTCGCAGGACTGTAGGACACTGGTTCTCCCCTCCCTGAGGCCTGGCCATCCTTGAGCTAAGATACACACACTTTTCACTTTAAGTAAGGATACTTGAAGACAAAATGGATTCAGCCTTGTACAGGAGAAAGTACATAGCAAGAGTTTAAGGGACAAGGTGTAGGCTGGTGCAAAAGTAATTGCGGTTTTTGTCATTACGTTTTTTGTTTGTTTGTTCTTTTTTTTTTTCTTTTGAGATGGAGTTTCGCTCTTGTTGCCCAGTCTGGAGTGCAATGGTGCGATCTCAGCTCACTGCATCCTCCACTTTCTGGGTTCAAGCGACTCTCTTGCCTCAGCCTCCCTAGTAGCTGGGATTACAGGCATGTGCCACCACGCCCCGCTAATTTTTGTATTTTTAGAAGAGACAGGGTTTCACTATGGCTGGTCTTGAACTCCTGACCTCAGGTGATCCACCCGCCTTGGCCTCCCAAAGTGCTGGGATTACAGGCGTGAGCCACCATGCCCAGTCCACATTATCTTCTCTTTATGTGTGTCTGTGACCTTGACTGATTTTCCCTTTTTATAAGGACACCAGTCAATATTGGATTGGGCTCCACCCTAATGACCTCATTTTTAAAATTAATTAATTAATTTATTTATTTATTTTGAGACAGGGTTTCGCTCTTGTTGCCCAGGCTGGAGTGCAGTGGCACGATCTCGGCTCACTGCAACCTCCACCTCCCGGGTTCAAGCGATTCTCCTGCTTCAGCCTCCTGAGTAGCTGGGATTACAGGCTTGTGCCACCACGCCCAGCTAAGTTTTTGTATTTTTAGTAGAAAAGGGGTTTCACCAAGTTGGCCAAGCTAGGCTTGAACTCCTGACCTCAGATGATCCACTTGCTTTGGTCTCCCAAAGTGCAGGGATTACAGGTGTGAGCCACCACGCCCGGCTACCTCATTTTAACTCAGTTACCTCCTTAAAGACCCTATCTCCAAATAAGGTGACATTCTGAGGTATTGGGTTTAGGACTTCAACCTAGGAATTTAAGGGAGACACCAAGGCAGCCCCTAACAGTACCACTCCAAGGGTTGTCTTGCATACCACTTTGCATGTGCGTTCCCCGACCCTGGGGACCTTCTGGCATAGTGACCAGTGCAGAAACTTCTCTTGCCTCTCACTTTCTCTTCTGCTGGTCATGACTGATGCCTCTCAGCCCAGGTTTGAGCAGAGGACAAAGGCACCAGACTTAAAGACCCCACCCACAGCCCCAAGATGGATCAGGAGAAGCCCTCACCTCTTTGACCACACCATACCCAAGCCTTAGGTTGAGTTCACCAATGTGGCTCACACTCGCTTTGCTAGGGGAAAAGAAACCTGTTCTGTTGGCTATAAGGTGTCACCAAGGCAAGACTTGCATGTGCCTCTTACCTTGTGTGAAATTAGTAGTTTGACTCCCTTTAATGGGGTGTTGTGATATTTAATGTTTGCCAGAAGAGCCCCAGAGAAAAGGGTAGAGTAAATCCCAATGATGATTCTGTAGAACAATCCTGCTTTTCTTATTCATGCTCAGGAAGGGGTCTGGGACAAATGACTGAATTCAACACAAGTTCATGTTCCAACGAGCAGGGCCGCATGTACGCACGCAGTAAATATCTTTAACACTTTATAGGAGAGCAAAAGGAGGCAATTCTCTTAGCAGACTGCCCTGTAATGCTGGTCTGATTCATTCCTGACTGATGTGGCCCACATGTGTTCCCTGCGACAGCAGAAACAAGTGGCCTTTGTGCCCTGTCAGCGTTTTCCGTCCTGGCGTAAATTAGTTACACTCCAGCCATTTCATTAAGAAATTATGTCTCTGATGTGACGTGTCAGGTTTCCAGAGGTGGACAGAAAAGCCTGCCTGTGGCTGGGGGCGGCCTTTTCCCCTGAATACAATGACTGCTCCTGTGCCACTTGATCATTAGGGAGAGAGGGGGAGGGACAAACAGCCGTACTAGACACGCCACTACCACAGCGGAGTAGGACAAGAATGTAACAGAATTATCGGAGGCTTCATAGTCGTCCTCCTCACCCCCACGCCTGGGGTTAGAATATTACAGACATCTGGAATTATGACTGGTTAAATGCAGTCAAACACAGATTTCTTTTTGTGGAAATATTCTGATCTAAGACCCAGGAGGGCAGGAAGATTGGGTAATTGCCATCCTTGCAATAAACATATTATGGAAGTTTATAAACTTGGCCTATCTCTTTGGCTGCTTTAGGCTTCTGGTGTGCCTGGGATGGCTTTGATTTTGAAATTACTTAGACGATAGGCAGACTTTTCCTCTCCTCAAATTCGCAGCTCAATCTGATAAACACATCTGCTGCAAGTCCTGTTTTGGCTAGTTTGGGGCACACCAAAGGACAGCGTACTTTTTATGAAATAAATATCTAAAAAGCATTTATGTGACCCAGCCGGAGTTGGGAAGAATGGAAAGTATCACAAGATATTCCGTGCACACGATATCTAATCTCCTTTTTATACAGAAGAAATTCAAATGAGCCTCTGCCATTAAAACTTTGATTATCAGAAACTTCGTTTTAATCAGAGCTTGCCATAAACGCCGCGTGCTCAGCTGACTTGTGTATTTAACATTCTTGATATTATACGCTGTTCCAATTATCCAAATTTTTCTTAAACTCAATTTCCTGGGGCCTCTTGGTGTTCAGCTAATCAAGCTTTAACTTTTTAAAAAAGTGTTTATCTCTGGGCTTTCTCTATACACATTGTGTATATATACACACAGGGACCAGATCTAGGAAGATGCCAGGGTGCATTTTTCAGGCTGCCAAATGCACACTCATGGTGTGGGACTTTGCTGATAAAGGAAAAACGCTGGACAGTTGGAAATTTAAATGCTGCCAGCTTTATTCTCGACCACCTCAATGCCCTGCCTGAACAACTGGCCTCATATTCATACCGCCAGCCCGGGCCACTCCACACTCCCCCGTGGCACCTGGTACTGACCACCGGAGGCAGATGGCGCACTCTATGGATGCAGATTTTGCTGGCTGCCTGCTTTCCTCTGCTGTCTTCCCAGTCGCTCAGAAAGATTAGCTTTCAGTGATGTGGTTAGCATACACAGCACTCATAACTCAATCCAGTATATCACACAATCACAGGAAATACCGCGTGTCATTACAACGTGCATGCTTCTGAGGCAGTCCCCCTGCACAACACACATCGTGGCATATGCACATGCACATATTGCACCCAGACACACACACCCTCCATTCTGCACCCACAATTCATTGTGCAGGCTGTTGCATATTTGGGCAACAGAGCAGTTTGGGGAGAGGATTGACTTTTTTTTTTTTTTAATCTTTGTGGCTACTTTGCTTTCTATTCTAGGCTCGGTCCACAGGGGTCAAGAATTGTTAAGAAAGTCCATCTTGGCCTCAGTCCATTCTAGCCACCGGAAGTGTTGGAGCCAGTGATTGTGTTCTTTCACTTGAGGGAGGGCAGGTCAGCTACAGCAGGCCCCCCGCTGCCTGCCTCGGATCCAGCATGATTGCATCCCGCAGACCGGCCGCGCCAAGCCAAGCCAAATGTCCACTCAGCATCTTCTGCGCATGCCTAGCAAGTCCCTTTGCCCTTTGAACCAAGCTCTTTTCTGCCATCGGAATGTTCTTTCCCCCTTTTTCTGTCTATTGAAATCTTCCCCTTTTCTCAAAGCCCACTCAAGCCCCACCTCCCTTGAAGAGGCCAGCTGGAAATGATCTCTCTCTCATTTCAGCTCCTCGAAGCCCTTATTCTCTATAGCACTTCTTAGATCCAAAGTAAACACTACCATTGGGTGTTTGGGGTGTTTTTTTGTACGTGTAAGAGCAGGGACGTTGCCTTGTGCTTCTCTGCCTCCTGATGGAGACTAAATATGATGACTTGCACATAATAGGCATTCAACAAATGTTTGTGGTTGATGATACTGCTACTAGCAGCTACTGTTGATTGAACACCTATTGTGTGCCACGCATTCTCTATAGATAATTCTATTTCATCTTTTTGTTTGTTTTTGAGACAGAGTCTTGCTCTGCTTCCCAGGCTGGAGTGCAGTGGTGCAATCTCAGCTCACTGCAACCTCTGCCTCCCGGGTTCAAGCGATTCTCCTGCTTCAGGCTCCCAAGTAGCTGGCACTACAGGCACCTGCCACCACACCTGGCTAATTTTTGTATTTTTAGTAGAGACAGGGTTTTGCCATGTTGACCAGGCTGATCTTGAACTACTGACCTCAAGTGATCCACCACGTCGACCTCCCAAAGTGCTGGAATTACAGGCGTGAGCCACTGTGCCTGGCCCTTTTTGTTTTTGATTAAGTAAATTTTACATACTTGATGCTTTAATATGTTCTCCTTACAAAGAATTAAAATTTAATGCATAGGGTAAAAAGTGAACGCTTCGGCTGGGCACAGTGGCTCACGCCTGTAATCTCAACACTTTGGGAGGCTGAGGTGGGTGGATCGCCTGAGATCAGGAGTTCAAGACCAGCCTGGCCAACATGGCAAAACTCTGTCTCTACTAAAAATACAAAAATTAGCCAGGTGTGGTGGCACATGCCTGTAATCCCAGCTACTCGGGAGGCTGAGGCAGAAGAATCTCTTGAACCCGGGAGGCGGAGGTTGCAGTGAGTCGAGATCGCGCCACTGCACTCTAGCCTGGGTAACAGAGTGAGACTCCGTCTCAAAAAAAAAAAAAAAAAAAAAGTAAACGTTTCTCCCATTCTGCCCCCACCTTCTTTATGCCCCCACCTTAATTTCCCTCCCCAGAGAACCCACTGTTAATAGTTTGGCCTACCAGACTTTTGCCTAATATATACAACTGTGATTCACAGTTTAAACTTCACAACATCTTAAAAAGTATTATTATTATTATTTATTTATCTTTAAATATTTTATTTTAAAAAATAAATAGAGATGGGGATCTCACTATGTTGCTCTGGCTGGTCTCAAACTCCTGGGCTCAAGCAATACACCTGCCTTGGCCTCCCAAAGTGCTGGGATTACAAGCGTGAGCCCCCGCACTCAGTCTACTTTCATTTTAGAGTTGAGAAAAATTGAGTCGAGAGGTTAATGAACATTTATTTCCAAGGTCACACAGGTAGTAAGTGGAAGAGCCAGGATTTGAACCTGGCCTTTGCACTCGCATCTGAATCATTGTGGGGCTTACAGAGTTGCCTCTGGACTGCCTGTATTGTAACAGTCCCTTACAGGTGATTCCAGTGTATGCAAAGGTTTATGAAAATACTGCTCTAAAAGCATCCAGGGCGGTCTCCTGCCTTCTAGCACCTGTCTACACTGCCCCATCCCACCCCCACCTGCTAGAGGGACAGCCAGAGGCAGTAGAGTGATGGTGTTGCCCACATGAATCACACCATCTGGATTCAGATCCTGGCTCTTCTACTTCCAACTGTGTAACTCCAGTAAATTAATTAACCTCTCTGGGCCTCATTCTCCCCATCTGTAAAATGGGGATGGTAAATAATAACACCTTACCCACAAGGTTGCTGTGAGGATTAAATTAGGTTAATGGACATAAGGCATTTAGAATCATACCTGGCCAAGTAGCAGCTGTACCCTTTGCTGCTGTTATTAGAGCTCAACTAATCTGGAAGCTTTCTGGGGAGCCCCTTAGGTCTCTCAGGCCATCATTTGACAGTAGGATCACAAATTGTAGTTCTCAGTGACATTCTCAGATTGGGTCTTTTTTGAGCTCAAACATCCTGCTTGTGACTGCCTGGAAAGACCCACGTGAGTGGAGGCCATTCCCTGTCCAATCCCTTCCAGTGACAGGCAGCTGGAAGGAGCTTCAGAGCATCCAGTGGCCTCCAGAGCTTTTTCTTATGTCTATCCTACTTCTCTCCTACTGTCTTTTGAGAGGCCAGCCCTTCGTGGGTGCCGTTGGCGTCCAGCCAGATTCCCTGTACTGGCCGGTGCGTACATCCCCAGACAGATGGCTTGCGGAGTCAGCCTTCTCTGGGGAATTGCTATCAGCCTCACCCAGGGATGACCATTTGGGCTTATGCCCTCCTTTTGCCCTCATGGGGGTGGCCTGCAGTCAACCAATGACTGATTTGGGGACAGAAAAGCCTGGCTGCCTTGTGTCAAGTATGGGGAGGAGTGTCGCTATGATGCCATTCATAATCCAGAACCCCCACCCCACCCTCAGTCTGACGCTAGACTTTGGCCAAATCCCAATCTTTGCTTGCCTTCCCCACCCCCACTCTGCTTCTCTCCATCCTTACCTTTATCTCCCGAGAGCCCTCCCTCCTCCATCTTTCATTTGCACAAGAATCCCTGTCTAAGGCTCTCTGCTTCCAGGGAACCTGACCTAAGATACCACTGGTCACCACGGCCTGCAGTAATAACCCTCGCAATGCATGGAGACTGTTACCAAGCCATTCCTTGGCCTCTCCGTCCCCACTTAAGTAATTAGTTCCCTCTCAGGGCTTATTTTCTAACCCTCTAATCAGAAGCTGGCATCAGAGGGAGAGGATGATAAATGAAATAGGGGGTGGTGGTGCCGCGTGGAGCTGAGCAGCACAGTCACCTGGGAGCCAGGAGCAGCGGGAAGCTCCTACTCAAACCGCAATGTCAGGACCACCGGCTGAAGACACTAATTTGCGTCTCCTTTCTGCACATTTACACCCTGAGGTCAGGAGACTTAATACCAAGAAAATAACATTAGTTAGTTCTGCTTGCTGCAGATACATTAAAGCCAACAGAGAGAAGGTTGGATATGTGGGAAATACAGAAGAGACTATTCAACCGGTTCATGTCGTGCATCGTAGATTTGGAGGGGCAGGAAGGCGCTGAGTGCACGCAGGCCAGGGAGGTGTGTCTGCCCTGGTCTATCACAGTATCACAGAAACAAAGCAGTTGCCAGGAACGGCTGTCCCGCCCCACTGCCTTTTGGTCCAACACTTTCTCGATAAATATCTGTTGACATCAGAGCCTTTGTCTTTCTCTCTGCAGTGCAGTTCCCTGAACAGTATCTCTCCAGAAACTGTTTTCTTTTTTTTTAAGATGGAGTCTCACTCTGTTGCCCAAGCTGGAGTACAGTGGTGTGATCTCGGCTCACTGCAACCTCCCCCTTCTGGGTTCAAGTGATTCTCCTGCCTCAACCTCCTGAGTAGCTCGGATTACAGGCGCCCACCACCACTCCGGGCTAGTTTTTGTATTTTTAGTAGAGATGAGGTTTCACCATGTTGGCCAGGTTGTTCTCGAACTCCTGACCTCAAGTGATCCGCCCACCTCGGCCTCCAAAAGTGCTGGGATTATAGGTGTGAGCCACCCATCCCAGCCCAGAAACTGTTTTCTAGGGAGCTAATACTGCTGTAATGGTGGACATTTCCCTTTTACCTTTCCTAATTCTCCGAAAGAAGCCAAGTGATACGTGACCTATTCCTTTCCTTTGGAGGTCAGGGTTTGCCAGTGGGTAGGGGACTCACAGCCATATTTACAGCAATAGGGTAACTGACATGGCCTAGAAAGGGGACAGCAGATATCATATTAAGGACACTTTTTGGTTATCTAAAAATTATTTATGATTTAAATACAAAACATGATACATTAGGGGGAAACATCAAGAAACACAAACACCTAGGGGCAATTCTAGCAACTTTCTGTATAAATTTTATTTCACAAATAAATGCTTACTCGTCCTTTTTTTTTTTTTTTAAGAGACAAGGTCTCATTCTGTCACGCTGTAACACAGTGGTGCGATCACGGCTCACTGCAGCTTTGACCTCCAGGGCTCAAGTGACCCTCCCTCCTCAGCTTCCCAAGTAGCTGGGAGCACAGGCACATACCACTATGGCTGGCTGATTTAAAAAATTTTTTGTAGACACAGGGTCTCGCTATGTTGCCCAGGCTGAAGGAGAACCTTTAATTTACTCTCAGCTAAGTTTTACTGAAGTTTGAAAACCATCAGTCCTGGGCAAATCTTCCAAACTCTTTCATAACTGGGTGTGTCCATGAGGATGATCCAACATCATTTACTGTTTTCTCTCTCTCTCTGTCTCTCTCTCTCTCTCTCTATATATATATATATATACACACACACACACACACACACATGTACTTCCACATACATACATATACCATTAATAGGTTTTATTTTCTAAAGCAGGTTTAGGTTTACAGGAAAACTGGGCAGAAAGTTTAGAGTTCCCATATAGTGCCCCCCAGTTTCTGCTATTATGAATATCTTGCATTAGAATATTGATTCAATATTGATGAACCACTATCGGTACTGATTATTAACTAATTGCTGTCACTTCTTAACTAATGTCCACAGTTTACATCAGGGTTCACTCTTTGTGTTATACATTCTACAATTTTCCACAAATGCATAATCACCATTGCAGTATCACACAGAATAGCTTCACTGTCCTAAAAATCTCCTCTGCGGCCGGGCTTGGTGGCTCATGCCGGTAATGCCAGCACTTTGAGAGGCTGAGGTGGGCAGATCATGAGGTCAGGAGATCAAGACCATCCTGGCCAACATGGTGAAACCCCGTCTCTACTAAAAATACAAAAATTAGCTTGGCGTAGTGGCACGTACCTGTAATCCCAGCTACTCGGGAGGCTGAGGCAGGAGAATTGCTTGAACCAGGGAGTGGGAGGTTGCAGTGAGCCAAGATTGCACCACTGCACTCCAGCCTGGCGACAGAGCGAGACTCCATCTCAAAAAACAAAACAAAACAAAAAAAAACAAACAAGCAAACCCCTCTCCTTCATGAGTTCATCCCTCCTGCCCTGCTCCATAACCCCTGGCAACCACTGATCCTTTGACTATCTCTATGGTTTTTCAATTTGCAGAATGTTATAGAGTTGGAATCACGCAGCATATGGCCTCTCCAGGTTGGCTTCTTTCACTTAGTAAGTGGCATTTAAGTTTCCTCCATGTCTTTTCATGGCTTGATGGCTCATTTCTTTTTGGCCCCGAATAAGATTCCATTGTCTGGATGTATATACCCCTTGCTATGTACTAGACATTGATGTCAGAGCTAAAGAGATTCAGAGGAGGCTAAAAATTGGTTTCTACCTTCGAGGAACTTCTAGTCAAGGAGAGAAGACATGCACCCATGCAATGTCATTAACATGAAACAGTAAGGCAGACACATCAGAAGACACACGTGAATGAAGAACCGCTGTGACACTTAGAAGGAAGGAGGGGTGACTGGGCACGGTGGCTCAGGCCTGTAATCTAAGCACTTTGAGAGGCTGAGGCAGGTGGATCACGAGGTCAGGAGATCGAGACCATCCTGACTAACACGGTGAAACCCCATCTGTATTAAAAATACAAAAAATTAGCCAGGCTTGGTGGCGTGCCCCTGTAATCCCAGCTACTCGGGAGGCTGAGGCAGGAGAATTGCTTGAACCCAGGAGGCAGAAGTTGCAGTGAGCAGAGATCGCATCACTGCACTCCAACCTGGGTGACAGAGCGAGGCAGAGGACGGACATGGGCTTTGAGGAAGGCAACGCTTGTCTTGGGGCTTTCTTAACTTTCTTTTTTGTTTTTGAGATGGAGTCTCGCTCTGTCGCCCAGGCTGGAGTGCAGTGGCGAGATCTCGGCTCACTGCAAGCTGTGCCTCCCGGGTTCATGCCATTCTCCTGCCTCAGCCTCCCGAGTAGCTGGGACTACAGGGGCCCGCCACCACACCCAGCTAAATTTTTGTACTTTTTAGTAGAGACGGGGTTTCACCGTGTTAGCCAGGATGGTCTCGATCTCCTGACCTCATGATCTGCCCGCCTTGGCCTCCCAAAGTGCTGGGATTACAGGTGTGAGCCACCGCGCCTGGCCTTTTTTTTTTTTTTTTTTTTTTTTGAGATCGAGTCTCACTCTCTTGCCCAGGCTGGAGTGCAGTGGCACAATCTCGGATCTTGGCTCACTGCAGCCTCCGCCTCCCGGGTTCAAATGATTCTCCTGCCTCAACCTCCCAAGTAGCTGGGACTATAGGCGAGTGTTACCACACCCGGCTAATTTTTTGTATTTTTAGTACAGACGGGGTTTCACCGTGTTAGCCAGGATGGTCTTGGTATCCTGCCCTCGTGATCTACCCACCTTGGCCTCCCAAAGTGCTGGGATTACAGGCGGGGGCCACTTCTCCAGGGCTAAACTCTTTATCTCTTTATTTGTTGGGGAAAGGGTTGGGAGTCCTGTTGCCTATACAAGATATGAACTGTGAGTGAACTCAACTCTGCTTGTTAGAGGCTAGCCTTCCCACCTTTGACAGTTCACCTGTGGGGCCTGTCGTTTAAAATATGGAGAAAATGTTAACGTCCCTTCCCTACCCTTCCCTGCACTGCACTCTTCTTCCCCAAAAGTTATGGATCCTATTTGTCCATGTGTAAAATGTTCTTCTAAATAGTTAAATGCACACATATATTCGCATATAGTTGTGCCTTATCTTTTGTTAATTCATTTGTAAAATGGCAAGCAAGTCCAAAATACAGGGGCCCCAAAGCCAGAGTTGGGGCAAGGACTGTGCCACCCCAGCAGAAGAGGGCTGGGTGGGTACTGGTAGGGGTATGGCAGTTGGGGAATGGGGGTGACCAGAGGGCCACAGAATTGGGAGCCATTCTTCATGTTTTCCTTTTTCTCCCACTTCTGGTAGCAAGATTTTTTTGTTTTTGCAGCTCGTTCCAGTGTCTATTGTCAAGCACACATAAGACAAGGCAAAGCTGAGGCCAAGGCCTGGTGGATCCAGCTGCTAAAGATGCAGTAGCCATTTTTAGACTCGAACAGTTCATTACTCACATAAACAGTGAAAGGAGGCCGGGTGCGGTGGCTCACGCCTATAATCCCAGCACCTTGGGAGACCAAGGTGGGAAGATCGCCTGAGGTCAGGAGTTCAAAATCAGCCTGGGCAACATGGCAAAACCCCATCTCTACTAAAAATACAAAAATTAGCTGGGCGTGGTGGCAGGTGCTTGTAATCCCAGCTACTTGGGAGGCTGAGGCACAAGAATTGCTTGAACCCAGGAGGTGGAGTTTGCAGTGAGCTGAGATGACACCACTGCACTCCAGCCTGGGTGACAGAGTGAGACTCCGTCTCAAAAAAACAAAAACAAACAAACAAAAACAGTGAAAGGAAGATTAGCGAAAGGTGCCAGCTCTCCTGGGTCCTTGTCCCACACCAAAAAGAATGACCCTGAAACAAAAGGGACAGAATGACTGCAACAGAAGTTGAGGGCTGCCCCATTGCCTAAGGGTTCATTCTAGACTGGCTGTATCCAACTGGCCAACTTGATAGGCCTGCTGTACTAACAGGGGGTGGGGCAGGAAGCCTCAGACCTCCTCAGAACCCAGGTGAAGAGAAACTGTCTCCTGACAGTCTCTAAAGAGAGATAGGGAGGCGTTGTGAGCTAAACTGTGCCCCCACCCCCATTCATTCATATGTTGAAGTCCTAACTCGCAGGATCTCAGAATATAACTGTATTTGGAGACAGGCTTTTTACGGAGGTGATTAAATTAAAAATGAGGTCGTGAGGGTGAGCCTTAATCCAATTTGACTGGTGTCCTTATGAGAAGAGGAAATTACGACGCAGACACACACGCAGGGAAGACCACGTAAAGACACAGCGAGAAGCCAAGGACAGAAGCCTAGGACAGATCCTTCCCTCACAGCCTTCACAAAGAACCAACCCTGCCAACACCTTGATCTCAGACTTCCAGCCTCCAGAACTGTGAGACAATAAATATATTTTGTTGAGGCTACACAGTGCATGGTACTTTGTCATGGGAACCCAAGCGGACTGCTCTAGGAGGCGAGTGGAAGATGGCCTCTGAGCAATTCCTCACAGGCCTCCTGTCTTCTCGTGTTCTGCCAAGAGCAGATAAGTTGCAGTTCAAGCCTTTGCCCGCATGGGCTATGTGGATATGTGCAAGGTAACTGGGGTGCTATGGTAGAGCCCTTCCCCCAGCTGTCACTAGCTTTGTGGATAGTGAGAGATGTTGTGCTATCTGGCAAATATTTCAATGCACACGTGTATTCACTCATATTATTTTAACTTGTTTTTGTTTTTCTTTTTGAGACAGAATCTCATTTGGTCGCCCAGGCTGAGTGCAGTGGTGTGATCACGGCTCACTGCAGCCTCCACCTCTCAGGCTCAAGTAATCCTTCCGTCTCAGCCTCCCACATACTTGGGACTACAGGTGTGCACCACCACACCCAGCTAATTTATTTTGTGTGGAGACGGGGTCTCACTCTGTTGCCCAGGCTGGTCTCCAACTCCTGACCTCAGGTGATCCACCCACCTTGGCCTCCCACAGTGCTGGGATTACAGGCGTGAACCACCACACCTGGCCCTAATTTTTGTATTTTTTAAAGTAGAGACGAGGTTTCACCATGCTGGCCCGGCTGGTTTTGAACTCTTGACCTCATGTGATCCAACCTCCTTGGCCTCCCAAAGTGCTGGGATTACAGGTGTGAGCCACCTCGCCTAGCCTTATAATGTTTTTTTAAAAATATTTTTTATATTTTTAAATTTATTATTATTATTTTTTAGACAGGGCCTTGCTCTGTTGCCCAAGGCTGGAGTGCAGTGGTGCAATCACGGCACACTACAACCTCAACTTCCCTGGCTCAGGTGATCCTCTCACCTCAGCCTCCTGAATAGTTGGGACTACAGCTTCTCGCCACCACATTTGGCTAATTTTTTATTTTTTATATTTATTTTTTGTAGAGATGAGGTCTTGCCATGTTGCCCAGGCTGGTCTTGAACTCCTGGCCTCAAGTGATCCACCCACCTCAGACTCCCAAAGTGCTGGGATTACAGGCGTGAGCCACCGAGCCCAGCTAGAACTCATATTGTTCTCTGTCTTGAGCTATACGATGATTACATGAATGTGTCCAGTTTCTGAGCCACACACACTTACGATTTGTATACTTTTCTATATGCACGCTGTACTTCAATAAGAAGTTTATTTACCTGGGAGGCTGAGGCGGGAAGATCTCCTGAGGTCAGGAGTTCGAGACCAACCTGGCCAATGTGGTGAAACCTCGTCTTTACTAAAAATGCAAAAATTAGCCAGGCGTGGTGGTTGGTGCCTGTAATCCCAGCTACTAGGGAGGCTGAGGCAGGAGAACTGCTTGAACCCAGGAGGCAGAGGTTGCAGTGAGCCGAGATCCCGCCACTGCACTCCAGCCTGGGCGACAGAGCGAGACTCCGTCTCAAAAAAAAAAAAA
Source organism: Homo sapiens (assembly GCF_000001405.40). Taxonomy (NCBI): domain Eukaryota; kingdom Metazoa; phylum Chordata; class Mammalia; order Primates; family Hominidae; genus Homo; species Homo sapiens. The sequence continues at coordinate 40,255,319 of NC_000023.11, forward strand.
AAAAAAAAAAAAAAAGTTTACTTACATTTCTTTAAAGGTATATATAATTAAAATAATGACTGGAACTGCCAAATCACCCTCCAAAAAAGATTGCACCAGTTTTCACGCTCACCAATAACACACACAAGTTATCTTTTCCCACATCTTTGCCAACAGCGGATGCTGGAAAGCTTTTTGATTTTGTGCCAGTTTGATGGCTTTTTTTTTTTTTTTTTTTTTTAAAGAAAAGGATCCTCTCAATTTCATTGGCATTTTTCTGGTCACCCGTCAGTTGAGCATCTCTCATGTTTATTGCGCATTTGCATTTCTTTTTCTATGACTTACCTGTTTATAGTCTCCCCTTCCCCATGTTTCTATTGAACTGTTTGCCTGTTTCTTGTTTATATATAATGGATATTCACTTTTTGTAGGATGTGTAGCAAATGTAGTCTCCTGAAGTATCTTTTGTTTATTCCTTTTGTTTATGGCAAATCTTGGGCAAGCAGCACAAATAAGTGAAGCAGGTGTGGAGGGCAACTGTCTAGGATTGGCAGCCCCTCCTGGGCTCCAGCCAACCACTGCTGGGTGGGAAGGTGGAAACCTGTGTGCCAAATCTTCTGATTTTTCAGGAGATGCCGTATATACGGGTTTTTACAGGAAAATTTCCAATTTTTTTTTTTTGAGATGGAGTCTCGCTCTGACAACCAGGCTGGATTGCAGTGGTGTGATCTCGGCTCACTGCAACCTCTGCCTCCCGGTTCAAGCAATTCCCCTGCCTCAGTCTCCGGAGTAGCTGGGATTACCGGCACCCGCCATAACGCCTGGCTAATTTTGTATTTTTAGTAGAGATGGGTTTTCACCATGTTGGCCAGGCTGGTCTCAAACTCCTGACCTCAGGCGATCTGCCTGTCTTGGCCTCCCAGAGTGCTGGGGTTACAGGCGTAAGCCGCCATGCCCAGCCAAAAATTCCAATTTAAAAACCCTGGCAACTCGTTCAAAAATTTGTAAGCACTATAAAAGACACCACCTGTTTGGGCTGGGTTGCATTTGCAGGACAGCAGTTTGCAACCTCTGGTTGATGATGTATTTTTGTTGCACAGGAGTTTTTTGTTTGTTTTGTTTTTTTAAAGAGTGTTCTTGCTATATTGTCCAGGCTGGTCTCGAACTCCTGGCCTCAAGTGATCCTCCCACCTCAGCCTCCCAATGTCTTGTGATTACAGGCATGAGTCACCACACTTGGTTGCAAAGTTTTGTGTTGTCACATCTGTCCATCTTTTCCTTTATGACTTTGGAGCCCTGTGTTATTCTTTTTCTCTTTCTACCATTCTTTTTTTTTTTTTTTTTTTTTGAGATAGAGTCTTGCTCTTTTGCCCAGACTGTAGTGCAATGGCACAATCTTGGCTCACTGCAACCTCTGCCTCCCGGGTTCAAGCAATTCTCCTGCCTCAGCCTCCTGAGTAGCTGGGACTAGGAGTGCATGCCACCACGCCCGGCTAATTTTTTGTATTTTTAGTAGAGACGGGTTTCACCATGTTGGTCAGACTGGTTTTGAACTCTTGACTTCAAGTAATCGGCCGGCCTTGGTCTCCCAAAGTGCTAGGATTACAGGCGTGAGCCACTACGCCTGGCCCTTTCTACCATTTTAGCATTAAAAAAAAAAACAAAACTCTTTAAATCCTTCTATTTTAAGGATACATACAGAAGCTTTCATGCTTTTTATTCATGTGTCCTTAATGAGAAATAAAAGAAAGTGCATACATTACTGGGCTTGGAGGGTAGGGCAAGTCCTGACCTTGGGGACTTGGGTGGCTAGGCCTTGGTATGGCTGAAACACCAGTATTAGAACTCTCATCAGCTCCCCATTTTCTTTTCCTTTTTTTTTTTTTCTTTTTTGAGACAGGATCTCCCTCTGTCACCCAGGCTGATCATAGCTCACTGCAACCTGGCACTCCTGGGTTCAAATGATCCTCCCACCTCAGCCTCCTGAGTAGCTGGGACTATAGTAGCTGGGACTATAGGCATGCATCACCATACCCAGTTAATTTTTTTTTTAAGTTTTTTTTTTTTGTAGAGATGGAGGATCTTTCTTTGTTGCCTAGGCTGGTCTCAAACTCCTGGCCTCTAGTGATCCTCCCATCTCAGCCTCCCGAAATAATGGGATTACAGGCATGAGCCACCTTGCCCGGCCTCCATTTTATTTATTTATTTTCTTTCTTTTTTTTTTGAGACAGGGTCTCACACTGTTGTCCAGGCTGGAGTACAGTGGCACGATCTCGGCTCACTGCAATTTCTGCCTCCCAGACTCAAGTGATTCTCCCGCCGAAGCCTCTGAAGTAGCTGGGGCTACAGGCACATGCCACCATGCCTGGCTAGTGTTTTTGTATTTTTTTTTCTTTCTTTCTTTCTTTTTTTTTTTTTTTGAGATGGAGTCTCGCTCTGTCACCCAGGCTGGAGTGCAATGGTGCAATCTCAGCTCACTGCAACTTTTGCCTCTTGGGTTCAAGCAATTCTCCTGCTTCAGCCTCCCGAGTAGCTGGGATTACAGGCGCCCACCACCACACCCGGCTAATTTTTTGTATTTTTAGTAGAGACGGAGTTTCACCATTCACCAGGCTAGTCTTGAACTCCTGACCTCAAGTGATCCGCCTGCCTTGGCCTCCCAAAGTGCCGGGATTTCAGGTGTGAGCCACTGCACCCGGCCTGTATTTTTTTTTTTTAAGTAGAGACACGGTTTCACCATATTGCCCAGGGTGATCTCAAACTCCTGAGTTCAAGCAATCCACCCATCTCAGCCTCTCAAAGTGTTGGGATTACAGGCGTGAGCTACCATGCCTGATCTTCCATTTTCTTATTTAAGGCCAAAGACCCCTGACATGGTGACATTTCAGGGGGAAATAATAAAGCTTCTCATTCCACGATGAAACCAGAGGCCCTGGGACACTTAAATTCATACTAAAGCGTAAATGACTTACCTCAAACTCTTTCTTGGGAGTACATGTGTGAGTTAGAGCAGGGAGAGAGCAACTGGGCACTGTAAGCCTGAAAGTGCAGGAGGGCAGAGGAGTTCAACTTGAGCCCCACTCCTCTGCCTGGGGGAACTTCCCCATTCCCAATTATGCGAGGCCCTCCCTGCAACACTTGGCTTCCACTCTGGATTGGTGCTGGCATAGCTCCAAGCAGAGTGGATGGGAAGCAAAACAAACACCCCCAACCATCTGGGGCTGTTTTATGGCCTTTGGTGGCATCATCTGGGCATTTGTCACCCATCATAATGCACAGCTTGCTTTGGCCAAAGCAGCCCATCCTAGAAATTCCTCCAAGGGTTATTCGGCTGTGTAGAAGGTAGGATCTGATGAGGGGCAAGACAGGAGATCACTGGCTGGGGATGGGGCAGGGCTCATTCCTTTTTCTGGCACAGGATGAGAGAGGTACTGGGCTCACCCAAGAGAGTTGGTGCTGATGGGCATGCATTTATTCCTAATGATTATAATTGCATTTATTGAGCACCTAGTGTGTCCCAGAAGCTGTACTAAGCACTGGATATGCACCACCTCAACTCCTTTAATCCACACCCAGCTTTCGAGGTAAGGCTGCTACTATATATGTGATAGGGCCCAGTGTAAACCAGGAAGCATGCATGAGCCTGGCCTCTCAATGCTAATTCCAGCCCAGGGCTTCCTGTCCTCCCCACCCCAGGCAGGCAGGAGTGGCCCTCCATTCCAGCAACCTCTCCAGCAGGGCCTTGCAGGGCCCTGGTCCCATCTCTCTAGTCCGGAGGAGGGTGGGAAGCAGCCCTAGTTGCTCACTGCGCAGGCTCCATCCTCGCCGGCCCCACCCCTTTTGCCTTCCTGGTTGCTGTTGCTCCCTGCCCATCTCTCCCCTTGTTGAGGACTAACGTGTCTTGAGCCACTCGCTGATAATCCAGGTGTGAACCAATAATGAAGGTGCTGGATGGGAAGGGTTTTAAGGTGTGACTTTTCCAAGCCTCTTGGATTTGTAAAAAGCAGCACAGACAATAACAGTTTATGTCCTGATTATGAAAGCAATTCATGGCCTTCATAGAGAAGTCAAGGATACAGAAAGATATAAAGAAGGAAAAACCACATCCTACCACTTGGAGGTAATTATCGTTAATATTTTCAGGTGGTTCTTGCCAGTCATTTTCATATATTTATATATAAATATATAATTTTAAGCAAAATTGAGATCATTCTAGCAATATACTTTCGGATTAGCTCTTCCCACAAATTGCATCGTGTGCGAGCACTTCTGAAAGGGACTCCTTGAAGGTAAAAGTCTTTTGGGGGCCAGATGTGGTGGTTCACACCTGAATCTCAGCACTTCGGGAGGCTGAAGTGGGAGGAACCCTAAAGTCCAGAAGTTTGAGACCAGCCTCGGCGAGACACTGTCTCTACAAAATAAAAATACAAAAAATTAGCTGGGCATAAAGGTGCATGCCTGTGGGCCCAGCTACTCGGAAAGCTGAAGTAGGAGGATCACTTAAGCTTAGGACTTCAAGGCTGCAGTGAGCTAAGATTGTACCACTGCTACATGCCTGCCTAGGCAAGAGAGAGAGACTCTGTCTCTCAAAAAAAAAAAAAATTCTTCCTGAGTCAGATGGGTAGAATCAAGGAAAGGAGAGGATGTGGAGGTTTGATCAGCTGGGGAACCCTCACCTCACCTTCACCCTGGACCTCTGCCTGGGGTGGAGAGTGGAGAGTGATGCCATCAGCTTGGGATGAGGGTGAGGGTGAGGGGAGAACCCTCTGCCACCCTGTTCACTCACCAGTTCCAGGGAGGTGGGGAGCCTCCCTGTAACATTCACCTGCCTTTGAGGTAGGGACCTCTGGTCATGTCTCACCCCCACCCCATTGTAAGCCAGGCGCCCCCTCGCCCTGCGCAGTCATCCCCTCCCCCGCCCCGCCTCCTCTGTGTGTGTGTGTGTGTGTGTGTATGTGCGTGTGTGTTGAGGGAGCTATGTCACACAGGGACAAATGGGCTGGCTTCTGGATCCTTGAGGCACTCTAGTGGCGGGGGCAGGGCACCCTTGGCCAAGGCATTTCCTGTCTCTTGAGAAACAAGCTGCCTTTTGGCCGTGACCATAGAGCTACTGATCCCCATTAGCTGTTTTCCTAGAAGTGAAAATGGATTTGCTCTGAGTTCTGTCATCTCTTGTGACCCAGGGCTCACAGAGGCAGGGCCAAGAGCACAGGACTCAACACCCAATGGAGCCATGTTAATCTACTCTCAAGGGGACCTGGGCTTGATGCCAGCCGTGTGAGCATGCTCCCTGGCTCCTTCCTCTAACCACCTGACAATGACAAAGCTCTAGAAAGGTGTGACAGTGGCTGGGTGCGGTGGCTTACGCCGGTAATCCCAGAACTTTGGGAGGCCGAGGTGGGAGGATCACAAGGTCAGGAGATCCAGACCATCCTGGCTAACACGGTGAAACCCCGTCTCTACTAAAAATACAAAAAAAAAATTAGCCAGGCATGGTGGCGGGCGCCTGTAGTCCCAGCTACTCGGGAGGCTGAGGCAGGAGAATGGTGTGAACCTAGGAGGCGGAGCTTGCAGTGAGCCGAGATCGCGCCACTGCACTCCAGCCTGGGCGACAAAGTGAGACTCCATCTCAAAAAAAAAAAAAAAAAAAGGAAAGAAAGGTGTGACAGTTTGGTGCTTTCCTGGAAGGTGATCCATTCACCGGTGCCGATAGAGGATGCCCTGCTAGATCACAGTTGTTAAAATCCAAGAGAACTGGGTTAGAGTCCCAGCTCTGACCCTGGCTGGGCCACCTTGGACAAGTTACTTAACACCTCTGAGTTCTGCTTTAAATGGCATACATTCCGCATCTCCCACAGTACCTGAAACACAGCAGGCACTCCATAAATGATCATTATTGTGTCTTAAATTTACTCCTAACTTTTGGCAGCAAATATTATCACCCCATTTTGTGGAGGGGGCCACAGAGGTTCAGAAAGGTTCACCAGTGTTTCAGTTCCTTTTTGCTGTGCAAAAACCACCCCAAATCTTAGTGGCTTAAAATGACAATTAATGATAATTTCTCATAATTCTGTAGATTGATTGGGTGGTTCTTGGGTTCCATATGGTGTCAGCTGGATCTCTCATGGGGATACAATCAATTGGCAGCTAGATTGGGCTGGAAGGTCAAAGAAGGCCTCTCACATGACTAGGGCCTTGGTGCTGGCTGTTGGCTGGGTGGCCTGAGCTCTCTTCTTCACGACCTTTTCATCTGGCTGGCTTGGGCATCTTCAAGTATGGCAGCTGGGCTTCAGGAGGGAGTGTTCCAAGAGGACAAGCCTCAATATGTGAGCAATTATCCTTCCTCTGCTTTTCGTCATGCTCATTAATATTCCATTAGCCAAAGAAAGTCACATGGCCAAACTCAGAGTCAATACATGGGATGTGGGAGGTACGGCTCCTTGAGGGCTGCCTGTGTAACAGTCCAGCCACAAAGGCTTGCCTCGGATGCCACAGCCATTGACTGGTATAGCTGGGATTTGAACCCAAGCCTGTCCGACTCCAGATCCACGCTCCTTCCTCAAGTATTGGTTGAGGCTGGCGTTTGTGGTTCCACTGCCTGAGCCTAGTGGTTAGGCGATTTTCCATCTTGTCTCCAGCCCACCCGTGTCCCTGGTACTCTCTGTGATGTTCTCATCGTACCTCTCCTGCTCCCAACAGAGGGGAGAGAAGCACCCTTCTTCTGCTGGGCTCCCCCTGCCCTTTACTCCTCCATGTTGACTGCAGAGAGCTACTCCTGCTTCCTCCAGAGTCCCAGCCAGGTCGGTGGTGGCCCCATCCCTTCTGACCCCTCCTGCAGCAGCAGCAGCCTGGCTCTGTGGGCCTCATGACCCACATGCCCTTCTGGGCCTCAGCTCAATTTTCAAGGGTACTTTTATTGGGAAAGCGAGGGATCACGAGAACAAAGGCAACATCCTTGAGATAAGCCCAAGTTTACAGCACGCTGTCGTCATCCCAGTGGACTTCCGGTCTGCCTACCAGCTGGGCCGTCCCCTGAGATGGGCCCCCTCCCCTGACCCCTGTCTACACTCAGCCAGAAGCTGATTTGAGCTGGTCCCACAGTGCTGCCTGTGGGAACCCAAGCCCTTCCTGCTCCTATCTGCCTCTGGCTGGATGACGCCCCGGGCAATTCCGCCCACTGTTTTGACCCCAGGCCCCAAACCTAGGTGAGGAACGCCCTCCTCACAGTCCTTCCCTGCTTCCAGTTCAGTGTTGACAGTGAGCAGTGCTCGCTTTGCTATGGCTAGGCCCTCACTCTCCTCTCTTTTCAAGGCCCCAAGAGAGTAAGCCATTTATTCACACCCTATCTTGACAGCAAAGCCGGGGCCTTGAACCTGGGGCACTGCTTTCAGCCATTATTCTTGCAGAGGCCCCAGAGCTCCCAGCCTGCATTTTTGGAGTCTGAGCAGGGCCCACAGCTGTTTTGCTTCAGCTAGGAGTGAAGGCTGACAAAGAGCAAGGTCTCTGGAGAAGGAGGAAATGTTTTCTGGATGCCAAACTGGTGACTGTGGGGAGGTGTGGGGCAGCGGGGAGGGAGGAGCTCTCACTTGTGCCTAGGGAAAGGTCATGGTCAATGAGAAAGCCTTTGATGGGGAGAGTCTGAGATGGGACCCAGGAACATCACCATGAAGCTGTCCAGGATGGATGTGGGACCCTCTGTCAGACCAGGCCAGTTCTCTTAATGTAAGATCAGCAGGCCAAGGTCCTGGGATATGGGAGCTCCCAGGAAGTGGACTGGGATGCCTGAGGGATCCAAGAATTAGCAGTGTCCTGTGTGGTCTCGCTGAGGGAAGCCAGGCAAAATCTAGCGGCTCAGCTGTAACAGCCGGAGCTCTTGGCTCCCAAGCAACAGGAAACAATTCTGGCTTATTTAAGCAGAAAAGGACTTTATCAAAAGGATCTTGGGGAACTCACAAAATAACCAAGAGGGCTGAAGAATACAGTTGGTGAGTCGACCAAGGAGGCTGCACAGCAGTCAGGACCACAGCCAAAGTCAGGCAATCCAGGGATGACCTCGCTGCCAAATCCAGGACTCCCTGGCATACACTGCCACCTTGGGACGTGGATATGGTCCCTGTCGCCCCAGGAACTGGAATGCCATTGACTTGGCGACTGCCACCATCCACCAGAATGGACTTCTGTGCTCCTTGCATCTCTGTATTATTAGTTCCCAACTCCAAGCCTTTGATGGGGGCATCTGATGGATTGAGCCTAAGGTAAGAGCCTATACCAACTGCAATGGCGGCTGGGAAAGTGCCCCTATCTGGGATTTTTAGCTTTTCTGGTGGGAGGCAACTAGGAAGATGAAGGATTCTCCAAACGTGGGAGGAGAGGCTGGAGGCTAGATACCTCACCTAGAAAAATGCAGGGCAGCTGAGTGTTGAAGAAACATGTCTCCAGAGACAGCCTGCGTGTGTATTCCCCCTCCTCCAGATGTCGATGTCGGGGGGCAGGGAGGTGAGGTCAGGAAGTATACGTGGAGTTAGGAACCCTGGGTTCGATTATGAGTCTCCTCTGTCTGTCAACCTGAGATAAGCTATTCACAACCCCGGGGCCTCAGTTGTGCCTCAGTGCCCACTGTCCAGCCTTTGAGCATGCAGAAGGTGTGTGCTAGCTTCTGCTGTCGTGTGGGCCCTCTGGCCGAAAGATGCCCCAAGACTGCCAAAGCCCCAAATGGAATGGGGCTGTTTGCTCAATATAATGATTGAAAGTATGGGTTTTGGAGTCAGGGAGATTGGGGTTTACCAGCCATGTGCCCTTGGATGTGTTCTTTAACCTCTCTGAACCTTAGTTTCCTTATCTGCAAAATGTAGGCATGGTGGCAGGCACACAGCCTCCCTTCCAACCTCGTCCTATGGTGCCCCCATGGTCTGCAGAGACTGGAAGGCTAAAAACTGGATTTCCCAGACACCTTTGCAGCTGGGACTGTGGATGAGAATTCAGTTTCACCAGTTAGATGCAATCGTGTGAAGTCTGGCTGTACCTGCTAGAGGTGTGTGTGTGTGTGTGTGTGTGTGTGTGTGTGTGTGTGTAACAACATTCTAGTGTTTGCTCAGTTACCGGCTTTGTGGGTGTTGAGAGGGGTTGTGGTGGCAGTGGCTTCCTGATCCTTGGATCGCAGCTATGGTAGTGCACTCTGGAAATCTACATTTCTAGAGGCAGGCTCCCTCACGCCTCACCTTCCTGATGGTGGCAGAGATGGCAGTAGTCTTGGCAGACCAGTTCAGTGGTGTTGTTTTGGGAGTCCAGAGACTGCTCCTCCTGCACCCTTCCAATAATTTTGTCAGCACCTAATTTCCTGTGTTAAATCTCTTCTTGCTTAAAATAGCTGGAGAGGTTCTCTCTTCCCTGCAATTGAACTCCAACTGCTGTCAGGGTAACCCCCATTTGCTCATTGATGGAATGAAATGAGATGGTAAAGCCCTTTATGTATGCTAGGTGTTTTTCTTTTTCTTTTTTCTTTTTGAGGCGGAGTCTCGCTCTGTCGCCCAGGCTGGAGTGCAGTGGCACTATCTCGGCTCACTGCAAGCTCCACCTCCTGGGTTTAGGCCATTCTCCTGCCTCAGCCTCCCGAGTAGCTGGGACTACAAGCGCCCACCACCACGCCCGGCTAATTTTTTGTATTTTTAGTAGAGACTGGGTTTCACTGTACTAGCCAGGATGGTCTCAATCTCCTGACCTCGTGATCTGCCCGCCTCGGCCTCCCAAAGTGCTGGGATTACAGGCGTGAGCCACGGCGCCCGGTCTGCTAGGTGTTTTACAAAAACGGGTCTCTTTTTTCAGAGGTGACTAAATGTGATAGAAACCCTGTGACAAGCCACCCTAATTTGTACAAGCTCTCAGCCAGTTGTTTTACATACAGTTGTTGGGGCAGGAAACAACCTGAAAGAATTCAGATTGAGTGGGTCGCCTGCTTTCAAAGGCTCATCAGGTCCTTGTACTTATTCAGGGGGAGTTCTGCCTCCCTGCCTACCATTAGAGCAATGACTGGCACCACAGGCATGGCACAGGCAGCTGGGAAAGGTGACAGGCTTCCTGGTGTGAGCCCAGAAGGTCAGCTGCCAGAGATCCTCCCCCGTCTGTGACTGTGCTCCACCATGATCGTTACTAGTTCGTGTTGAAGTGCACTGTTTAGGCTGGGCGTGGTAGCTCATGCCTGTAATCCCAGTACTTTGGGAGGCCGAGGTGGGTGGATCACTTGAGGTCAGGAGTTCCAGACCAGCCTGGCCAACATGGTGAAACCCCGTCTCTACTAAAAATACAAAAATTAGCTGGGTGCGATGGCTCACACCTATAATCCCAGCACTTTAGGAGGCAGAGGCAGGCAGATTACTTGAGGCCAAGAGTTCGAGACCAGCCTGGCCAACATGGTGAAACCCTGTCTATACTAAAAATACAAAAATTAGCAGGGGTGGTGTCATGCGCCTGTAGTCCCAGCTACTCAGAAGGCTGAGGCAAGAGAATTGCTTGAACCCGGCAGGCGGAGGTTGCAGGGATTGCGCCACTGTACTCCAGCCTGGGCAACAGAGCGAGACTCCGTCCCCGCCCCCCCCAAAAAAATTTAGCTGGGCGTGGTGGCGTGCACCTCTAATCTCAGCTACTTGGGAGGCTGAGGCAGGAGAATCGCTTAAACTCGGGAAGCGGAAGTTGCAGTGAGCAGAGATGGTGCCACTGCACTCCAGCCTGGGTGACAAAGCAAGACTCTGTCTCAAAAAAAAAAAAAAAAAAGCACGTTGTTTAATTCCTGACTCCTCCCCCAGTTAATCTCCACTTGATATTTACAAAACCTTCCCTTCCCCTCCCATGAAGAACAGGCTGACAAAGGATCTTGCTTTCTGTGGTGAAGAATGTTCTCATGGCCATGGCATTGGCCGCCTGAGTTAAGAGTTTCGAGAGAAAACAACTGAGAGGATGTAAATTGTACAGGGACAGGTTGCTTGGGGAGAAGTTCAAAAGACAAGGCTGGGCTTGGAGGACTGGGCCACCCGTGCAGAAGGGCGCTGGGTGCCGTGAAAGGAGAGGAACAGAACTGGAGAAAGGGTGTGAAAGTAAAGGGGGGATCTTGGAAAGCCCCCCCCACCCTGTTCAGTGGACAGAATGCTTCTCTCCCCTCATAGATCCAACTCCCTCATCTTCCCATCTCACCCTCTTGCTGTCATTCGATTTTCTGCCACAAAATGGGGACCCTCTGTGGAGTGAGGAACCAGGCAGGTGGCCCAGGGGGCCGCCAAGCTGGGTGGAAGCTGGTCTGGGGTTGGCTGCCAGAACAATCCAGGCTCCACTCCAGCCCATCAGGGGGCTTGAGGCTGGGTGGGTGAGATAAACTGTTTCAGTGGTTTTCAGGAGCCCTAATCAATTGCGAGGCAGAGCAAAGCCCTCTGCGGACAGATAAAGCCAGTCCTGCGTCGGTGCCCAGTTGGAGTTTGTGTGGTTTGAACTTTTGTGTGGTTTGGACAAGTTCGCCGGGTTTTGCTGGGGCGGTTTATTCTGTTTCCAAACTGCAGTAGAGGGAGGCAAACGGCCCTTGGACCCTACAAGCCACTCCTGAAATACGATAGGTGGCCTGTCCTCTCTCCCGCATGGTCCCAAAGGCTCAGGGAAGAGAGGCAGGGCAGGTGCGGGCCATACCCCGCCCTCCTGGTTCCCGCCGGTGGCTCCGGGTGTAGACATTTCTAGAAACGCTCCCCTGCCCAAGGCTGGCTAGACCTTCGCGTTGGGGAGCTGAGCTGCTGCAGGTTTGATTGTCTTCCCCTGCTTCCAAACTAGAAAGACGAATGCCCACTTTCGGATTCCATCTTCTGCCGCGGACGCATCCGGGACGCGCAGCCGCCCGGCGCAGAGGAAGCCCGGGACGCTGGGGACACCGCCTGGAGCCTCCGCGCATAGCACCGGGGCGTTTTTTCCTTCCAGCTGGAGGCTTCCCATTTAACCTCTAAGGTGCCAGAAGATCCGGATCCCTCGCGGGCAGGCCTTTGGCTGGCTCCGGGCTAGGCTGGGACCCCAGATCCCAGTGCCGCTGGCGAGCACTCGGCGTGCAGATGTCTGGGGGGCTGTGCGCGGGAGAGGAAGTCTGCCCAACGAGGTGGACGGACACTGGGCCCGCGGGGACCCATCTGACAACGCCCGGTCCCCAGGGAAGCCTGTGCGAGCCTGCGGGGGACCAGGGCAAAATAGAATCAGGAACATGTGTTGTTTGGGAGGGAAGCTGGGGCGCATGGCATGTCTCAATAGTGCTGGCACCCTCCAGGGACCTTCCTGCTTCCACAGAAGGTGGGGACGGGGAGGCGAGCATGGAGAGAGAGAAAGGGAAGTGGGAAGAAATTGGTCACGGAGGAAGCTATTTTTATGCTTTGCTACAGCTGCGTGCGTTTCTCTGACCAACTAGGCAGCGAAAATTAGACCGGCTCCGGCTGAAAACAGGCCCTAAACTTCACGGGGGTTGGGGGTAGTGGGACACGCGCAGGAAAGGGAAGGAGAGGGGGAAATCCCCATGGATCTGGCAAACCCCAGTGTCCCGGAAGCTGTCAATGCGCAGAGAACAAGCTCCCCTGCCCTCCCCGACTCCAGATGCCTCAACCTTCACCTTGGATGTCAGAGGCATCCTTTCCCCTCTGTGTGACATCTTGGGCATGACACAGCCAAGACTGAGGGTTAGTTCATCAGTGTCTTCTGCTTTTAGGCCTCAGAGGACTTATCCTTTTTGGCAGGGGACCAGACCTCCTGGGTGGCCTCCATCACCACTAAGTCACTTGGGCACCTGGAGAAATGGCAAAGGTCCCAAACAGGAAACCAAGATTGGGAAGTGAGGGCCCTAGAATTAGAATCTTTTGGGGTCTATGATTGTCTAGGTCAGCAGTTCCCAAAGTGTGGTCTGAGGATCCCTGTGGTTCCCTGAGCCCTTTTCAGACTGTCCTTTTCTAACTGCAAAGCTCCATTAGGCTGGATTTTCTTCAACCAAAACAATGTATCACAACGCATTGGATGCCCAAGCCCCTATGAGGAAGCAGCTGTTTTCAATTAAGCCAGATATTAAAGAGGTTTGCAAAAATGTAAAAACGATGCCACTTTTCTCCCTAAACTTTTTTGTTTGTTTTGGAAAATACGGTTATTTTTTAATAAAATTGTGCTATCGATGTTACCATGTATTTTATCCATTGCTGTGTAACAAGTTACCCCCAAAACTTAGTGGCTGAAAACAACAGACATTTATTATCTCACACAGTTTCTGTGGGTCAGGAATCTGGGAGCAGCTTAGCTGGGTGGTTCTGGCTCAGGGTCTCTTAGGAGACTAATCAGGGTGTGTTCCAGGGGTAGGAGCATCTCAAAGCTCAGCCGGGGAAAGATCCACCTCCAGACTCACTCATGTGGCTGCTGGCAGGCCTGGGTTTCTTGCCACGAGGCCCTCTCCACAGGGCTGCCTCGTGACAAGGCAGCTGGCTCCTCCTAGAGAGAGAAAAGAGGGCACCCAAGACAGAAGGCACAGTCTTTTTGTAATCCAATTTTGGAAGCCACATCCCTATAGGACAATAGATCTATTAGGAGTGAGTCTGTAAGTCCAGCTAGCGTTCAAGGGGAGGGAATTACTCAAGGGTGTGGGTGACAGAAGGTGGGAATTACTGGGCACCATCTTAGAGGCTGCCCACCACACATGTAATATATTCATAATTGTTATTTTTAGATCAATTAATATATAAATATTAAAAATGTTCCTTTTTTCATTTTTAATGTGGGAAATACTGACAAGACCAATATAACCAAAAGCATTTTGGAGTCCTCAATAATAAATAAAAAAGTCAAGGAGTCCCAAGACCTAAAGGTTTGAGAACTGCTGGTCTAGGTTTGTGGTATTTACAGGAGAAGTACCTTGGTACTATGTGGGGGCCAATCCATCCACCCACCCATCCACCCATCCACCCATCCACCCATCCGTTCATCCATCCATCCATCCCTCCATCCTTGCATCCATCTCAGCTATCCACCCATACATGCAATCAAAATATTCCAACTACTGGGCTAGGGCTGGTGCTTTAACAGTAAATAAGACCGCCAGTGATTGTCCTATGGAGCTATAACATGTTAACAGATGACACAATTAACAAATAAATAAGATAAATTTTAAAACAGTAACTTCAAGTTGTGATAAGTTGGGCCCCCAAAGCCTAGACCCTAGAGAAGCAGGTACTCTTGAATTGACACCATTTTGGGGGGCATCATAATAGGTGGCCCACACTGGGGGTGAGGTGGGCCCAGACTGCACGGTCCAGGGAGAAGGGAGTATGTCCCAGCTGTGGCCAGATAAGTGTAAAGCCCTAGTGAGCCAGAATAATCTGGTATCTCCCAGGTTCTTCATGCCTAGTTAATTTTTGGCCCCCCACCCACAATGAGTTTTTCATAAAAGTCCAGCTTCCTTTAAGTCTCTGGGCCCCCCACCCACAATGAGTTTTTCATAAAAGTCCAGCTTCCTTTAAGTCTCTAGTCTTCCTTTAAGCCTGGGGGGAAATCATCCAGGTTTGTCCTGGAAGCCAGGGTACTGGTGACTGTGAGACTTAGGGTGAGAGGCTCTCAAATGGAAGATGCAACCCATATGGGCAGAATAACTGGGACTACAGGTGCATTCCACCATGCCTGGATAATTAAAATAATTTTTTTTTTTTGTAGAGACCCAAGGTGGTCTCAAACTCCTGAGCTCAAGTGATCCTCCCATCTCGGCCTCCCAAAGTATTGGGATTACAGGCATGAACCACTGCTCTCCACCTGATAGCATTTTGATAGGAGGAGTAAGGGATAGTCTGGGGCAGAGACAGGCAGCGATCCCAGGCTGGAGACACAAGGAGGCCAGGCTGTGGGACAGGAGAAGCAGGGGTGGGTGGCTGGGATGGGAATAGAGCATAAATGACAAGTAGTGGCTGAGCGCAGTGGCTCAAACCTGTAATCCCAGCACTTTGGGAGGCCAAGGCGGGTGGATCACTTGAGGTCAGGAGTTCAAGACCAGCCTGGCCAACATGGTGTACTAAAAATACAAAAATTAGCCAGGTGTGGTGGTGCACGCCCACACCTGTGATCCCAGCTACTTGGGAGGCTGAGGCAGGAGACTTGCTTGAATTCAGGAGGTGGAGGCTGCAGTGAGCCGAGATCACCCCATTGCACTCCAGCTTGGGCGACAGAGCGAAACTCTGTCTCAAGGAGAAAAAAAAAAAAGACAAATAGTGACCTTTCCTACTTCAAACCCTTGCCTAGGCCAGCCCTGCTCTGAGCATCAGCTGAAAGACTTTGAGCATTTTTAAAGAGGAAATGTGCCCCCTCCCGCTCCCCTCAACTCGTGGTTTCACAGTGTAAATTGTGCTTCAGAAGGCAGGGCTCACCCCCTCAGGGGACACAGCAGCTTTAATCTGTTACACCTGCTTTTAGTGACCAGGTCCCAGGGCACAGCAGGCTCCAGAAAGACCAGGCCAGGCCTCTTTGGAATGACAGGGGGCAGAGGTGCTTTTTTCTAGGGTGGGTGGGTCTTTGCGGACCAGGCACAATTCTGCTTCCAGAGCAGTCTTCACCATAATGGTCCATTGGTGGCTTCAGCCTCAGGTTTGAAGGTGGGCTACATCACAGCAAAATGCTAAAACCTGGTGAATATTTGTATGCAAGTTCAAGCCCTATTTGGCTCTTGACCCCTTTTAAGAGAGAACGGGGTGTTGCCATTGGTTTCAGGTCTCATCTGTGGATTAAATTTGTGAGCTAATAATAACCAGTTCAACTGCCCCTGATATCAGTGGTTCTCGAAGCATGGTCCTGGCCCAGCAGCATCACTGGGAAGCTTGTTAGAAACACAGATGTTGGGGGCTCACACCAGACTGGCTGAGTCATACTCTTTGGAGATGGGCTGAGGCCCGGGGATCTGTGTTTTAAGAAGCCCTCCAGGTGATTCTGACGCCCATTCAAGTTTGAGAATCACTGTTTATTAAGTGTATTATCCCTATTTAACAGATGAAGAAAATGCAGTTCAGAGGGGGATAAGTAACTCTACCAGGATCAAGCTGCCATCAAGTGGAGTGCCAGGACTCAAACCTGGGTCTTTCATTGGAGGAATTATGTGGGCCGAGCGTGGTGGCTCATGCCTGTAATCCCAGCACTTTGGGAGACCGAGGAGGGAGGATCTCTTGAGGCCAGATGTTTGAGAGCAGCCTGGCCAACACAGCAAGACCCCCATCTCTAAAAAAAGAAAAAAAAAAAGAGAAGCTGTTTTTTCTTTTGATTCTTCCCGTCCATCCATCCATCCTCTTTCAGCCTCGATTCTCTCTCCTGGGGTTCTCAACTTGGCTGCATATTGACACCAGCTGGGGAGCTTTAAAAAATAATATTGACGCTAGGGCTTCACCCTAGGAAATGGCATCTGCAGGGGGTGGCTCCAGCATCCGTACTTTTTTCTTCCCTGCTCACAGGCAGCTTCACCCAGGTTCCACTGCCATTTAAAATGTTTCTTGGCCGGGCACGCTGGCTCACACCTGTAATCCCAGCACTTTGGGAGGCCGAGGCAGGCGGATCACAAGGTCAGGAGTTTGAGACCAGCCTGGCCAACATGATGAAACCCCATCTCTATTAAAAATACAAAAATTAGCCGGGTGTGATGGTGGGCGCCTGTAATCCCAGCTACTCAGGAGGCTGAGGCAAGAGAATCGCTTGAACCCGGGAGGCGGACGTTGGAGTGAGGCGAGGTCACGCCACTGTGCTCCAGCCTGGGTGAAAGAGCGAAACTCCGTCTCAAAAAAAAAAAAAGTTTCTGATGAATGCATTTGCACTAAAGTGTGCGTAACTGAATGTGTTACCTTTCTGGGGTATCTGCATTTGAAAAAAGAAACCAAGGACATAAAATAATGAATTGCATAAGCATCCCAGCAAGTGGGAGAGGCCGGCTTTTGATCCCGATTCGCACTTGCAGTAGATTGATTGCTCTTACGCACCCTGCTGAAATCTACCCGGCAGACCTGCTCCTACCCAGCCTTATCTGAGATTTCTGAATATGTTGTGTCTTTTCGAGGGGTGTTTTGGACTAGAAGAACTTGCATGAATCATTCTTGAATGCCCTTAAGCCATCAGCCTTGCCCACACAGGGCTGAGTTTCCCAAACGGCCAGTCAGTTCCATTCTAACTAGCCAGCAAAACCAAAATCGTTTTTAAAAGAACGTTATTTTTAAAGCATTCCAGAATGAATGCTAAGGACCTCTTTCCTCAGGCCTCTTCCCATGTCCATCCAAACATATTCTGCCACAGAAATTGCAGCAGCACCCAAGTCATAAGTTAGAGAAGAGTAATTCCCCAGACCCCAATTCAAACAAATTGTGTGAGACCCATAGTGTGGGTAACTCTAGGACTTGAAAAGATTTAGATGTTGACCTAGGCTGCAGGCTCCCTCCACCCCCTTTAATTTTAAGTTGTGATCAACCTTTGGTCTTTAAAAGCAAAGAGAAAGAAAAGACCACCCTAAAATGATTTTTTTTTTTTAATGGCAGCGACAGTCTCTACCCTGTTTCCCGCACCTGGTGGGGGACACAGAAACACCTCCGCCCTTCAGGAAACAGCCCACTTGTCAGCAGCTGGGCTCCCAGGAACAAAGGCCTAGGTTCATTACCACAGTATCGACCCTGACACGTTCCACCCCGGCCACCTCCCCCAGAGTTCCTCAATTCACACCCCAAATGAAGTGTAATTGGACCTGGACACCTTTGAAGTCCTCTAGCAGATTGCCAGCATTTTGAAATGTCCTTGATTTGCATGGTGAGGACCTGGTTGGAGGTGACATTTTCCTTCCCCTCATCCCACAGTTTTAAAGACAGAATTATTTTAAATGACATTCTCCAACCAGGAAGAGTTACCATGGAAGAAATAAAAATTCTCAAAGCCAAAAAAAAAAAAAAGAAAAGGAAAAATGTCCGATGATTTGATTAATTTCTAATTCACACTTTGGTCCAGTCCTGTATCTAAGGGTGCCACATAGGGAAGCCATGGTTTCCTCCCCAACTTCTCCCCAGGTCTCCAAGCTGGGGGATGACAAAGACCCTGGAGACTTGGCTAGGAGATTCTGACGGCCAGCAGGCCACTTATCAGACCTGAAATCAGAAAACAAGCGCAGCTGCAGGCCCTTGGGTTGGTGAGGGAGGCGGTGTGTTGATTGCAGACCATCTATCTTCCTTCCCAGCTGAGCCAGGGCTGCTCTGCGGAAATCACGTGCACTCCCAGAAATAAGCATGCCTGTGTGCACCATGAGTCTAAAGCTTGATGGTTTCCTGCAAGCCAGAGGAGGAAGGGCCTGCCTGGTGGAGTCATGCCTGCAGACACGTGTCGAGCCTAGGAGGGGCCAGCTTGGCAGTCCATTTTGCTCTGGGAAGCGGCCAGCACCCAGTTTGCAGCCGCCCCCCAACTTGTCTGCGGAGAGCTTCCTTGGGGGCAGCCATCCTCTGAAGCAAATGACCCACTTTCCCCCAGAGCAGCGCTGTCCGACAGAACCCTCTGTGAGCATGGAAAGGTTTTCTATCTGTGCTGTCCAACAGGGGAGCCACCAGCCACATGTGGTTACTGAGCACTTGAGATGTGGCTGGTGTGACTGAGGAAGTGAATTTTATATTTTCTTTGACTTTAATTGAAGTAGCCACATGTGGCTAGTGGGCAAGTGGGACGGCACAAAGACAGATGAACAAATAAAACCCATAAGAAGGCCGGGCACGGTGGCTGACTTCTGTAATCCCAGCACTTTGGGAGGCTGAGGCGTGAGGATTGCTTAAGGCCAGGAGTTCGAGACCTCATCTCTACCAAAAATTTTTAAGAAGTAGCTGGGTGTGGTGTCGCACACCTTTAGACACAGTTGCTTGGGAGGCTGAGGCAGGAGGATTGCTTAAGGCCAGGAGTTCGAGACCTCATCTCTACCAAAAATTTTTAAGAAGTAGCTGGGTGTGGTGTCGCACACCTTTAGACACAGTTGCTTGGGAGGCTGAGGCAGGAGGATTGCTTGAGCCCAGGAGGTTGAGACTGCAGTGAGCTATGATCGACCCACTGTACTCCAGCCTGGGGGACAGAGCAAGACCCTATCTATAAAAACAAACAAACAGGCTGGACGCAGTGGCTCACGCCTGTAATCCCAGCACTTTGGGAGGCTGAGGCGGGCGGATCAAGAGGTCAGGAGATCGAGACCATCCTGGCTAACACGGTGAAACCCTGTCTCTACTGAAAATACAAAAAAATTAGCCAAGCGTGGTGGTGGGCGCCTGTAGTCCCAGCTGCTTGGGAGGCTGAGGCAGGAGAATGGCGTGAACCCAGGAGGTGGAGCTTGCAGTGAGCCGAGATCAGGCCACTGTACTCCAGCCTGGGCAACAGAGCGAGACTCCATCTCAAAACAAACAAACAAACAAACAAAACACCCAGGAGTGGAAGTCCCAGTTTGCAGGGTATATAATGTTGACTATCAACTCCCCAAAAAAGACCATCAGAAAAAATCAAGCAGTGCTAAGTTTATTAGACCTGCTTCAATAAGAAAGAGCCCCCTTGACAGAATGTTACTAGCGTCTCAAAGTGGGGAAACTGGGGACATGTATTTATAGTGTTTTAGAGCCCAGACTAGGTGATTTGCAAATTGGGTCTTTCAAGGCAAGAAATTTGGACTGGGGAGAGTTTATGAAGAAATAGCTTTCGGCTCTTGAACACAGCAAGGCCAAAGTGCTGTAGTAACCCTTGATTGGCTAGCTAGCTGTTGGTCTTGACAACAAGTTATTTTAGTTGGTTCCATCTTATCTTTCAGAAGCAAGTATTTCTTAGGGCAAGTAGCTAAGTTATTTTTGCTTGTTTTCAGTATTATTTAAACATGGGGACATGAGCATATGCCTGGTCCCAGTATTGTTTAACATAGGGACAGGGAATAACAAATTACCCCAAAACTTTGTGACTTAAAACAATAAACATTTATTATCTCATAGTTTCTGAGAGTTAGGAATTTGAGAGTGGCTTAGCTGGGTGGTCCTGGCTTGGGGTGTCTCATGAGGTTGCAGCCAGGGTGTTGGCCGGCACTTCCAACAGTCATCTGAAAGCTTTCCTGGGGCTGAAGTATACCCACTTTCAAGGTGGCTCGCTCACATAGATGGTGCAATGTTGTTGGCTGTTGGCAGGAGGGCTCGGTTTCTTGCCATGTGGGCCTGTCCAATGGGACTGCTTGAGTGCCCTTATGGCATGGTAGCTGGCTTCCCTGAGAGCAAGTGACTCAAAAGAGAGCCAGACTGAGCCCACAATGTCTTTTATCACCTAACCTTGAAGTCTCAGTTTATCATTTATACACTATCTTATTGGTTATATAGCTTGGCCTCATTTAATGTGGGAGGTGACTGCACAATGAGTTAATATCAGGGGGTGAGAATCCCAGGGAGAAGGAATAATGTGGTTTCAGTTCTCAGTGGTAAGTGGGGATAGTAGTATAAGGGGGATGGAGGTTTCTGGTTTTCAGAGCTGAGAAGCAGTGGTGGCGAATCTGAACGTGTAGGTTGCGGGGACCCACTGACTGACCCAACCTTCCACCCACTTCTTATGGTATATTGTTCCAGTTATTGTTGCTACATAACAAGTTACTCCAAAATTTAGTGACTTCAAACAAACATTTCATTATGCTTATGGACTCTCTGGGTCAGGAATTTGTGCAGGGCACAATAGGGGATGGCTTGACTGTGCCCTGCGATATCTGAGGGCTCAGCTGGAAAGACTCAAAGATCAGAGATGATGTGATGCTTAGGAGCTGGGGTCATCTGAAGGTTCCAGCATTTACATGTCTGGTGCCTGGACTAGGAGGACTCAAACACTTGGACTGTGGATTGAAGAGTTTTCAGGTGACCTCTCCATGTAGCTTGGGCTTCCTCACAGCATGGCAGCCTTAGCATAGTGGGACTTCTTACATGGCAACTCAGGGCTTCAAGTGTGATTGTTCCAAGAAACGCAGCGGAAGCTGCATGGGCTCTTATGACCCAGTCTTGGGAACTTCCATGGTGTTGATTGAACGAGTCACAAGCCTGCCTGGATTCAAGGGAATGGGACACAGACCTCATTTCTCAATGTCAGTGGAGAATGTCAATGTCACATTGTTAAAGAGCACATGAGGTGGATGATATTGTTGCAGCCCTTCTTGGGAAATACAGTCTGCCATGCATGACAATTTCCTAAAGCTTTTGTCTTTGATGGGTGGGAGCAGTGGGGGTGGGAGGAATTAGGGCCCAGGGCATCCTACAGAGCTATCTTTGTTAGACAATGCTTGTTCTGCCCTAATCATAGCTTGCTGGCTGCAATGGTATAAACATTTGTGTCCCCCTAAAATTCATTTGTTAATACTAATCCCCAGTGCAATAGTATTAAGAAATACTAATACCAAAGGCCCAGAGGATGGGCCTTTGGGAAATGATCAGTTCATGAGGGCTCTGCCCTCATGGGATTAGTGCCCTTATAAAAGAGGCCCAAGGGAGCTTATTTGTCCCTTCCACCATGTCCTCACACATAGAAGGTGCCATCTATGACACAGAGGACCCTCACTAGACACTGAATCTGCTGGTGCCTCGATCTTGGACTTTCCAGCCTCCAGAACTGTGAGCAATAAATTTCTGTTGTTTATAAGCCACCCAGTTTATGGTATTTTTTTATGGCAACCTGAACAGACTAAGACACTGGCCCAAGCCCAAGCTGACGGGGACACACAAGGAGGAAGAGATGAATCTAGGAAAGGTGGTTCTTCACACAGGCCCATGGGACAGTGTCCCAGAGGATGGTGCCAGAGAGAGCTCTGCCACTTACTGACTGTGTGGCTTGGACAAGTGGCTTGACACTTGTGTGCCTTACGTCTAAATTGGGAATGATAAGCCCTGTCTCAGGATTTTTTTTTTTTTTTTGAGGTGGAGTCTCGCTCCATTGCCCAGGCTGGAGTACAGTGGCTCGATCTTGGCTCACTGCAAGCTCCACCTTCCGGGTTCACGCCATTCTCCTGCCTCAGCCTCCTGAAGAGCTGGGACTACGGGCACCTGCCACCACGCTCAGCTAATTTTTTATATTTTTAGTAGAAACGGGGTTTCACTGTGTTAGCCAGGATGGTCTCGATCTCCTGACCTCGTGATCCACCCACCTTGGCCTCCCAAAGTGCTGAGATTACAGGTGTGAGCCACCGTGCCCTGCCAGGATCTTTGTAAGGAGGAGGTTACGTACAGTGGGTCAAGTTATAGTAGAGTGGCTGGCACAGAGTGGGCATTCAAGGGATGGTAGCTGCCATCATGATATCATGATGACTTCCCCACCCCTTATCCAATCAGAGTCCAATGATCTGTGGCATAGTATTAGATGTGTCTGGGTAACAAATCACCCCAAAATTTAGTGGCTTAAAATAATGAAAGTCTTTTTTAAAACAAACAAACAAACAAACAAAAACAACTGCCCTTGTTCCTGTGACTCAGAATCCAGAGCTTGGCTGGGCAGGGTGGCTTAGGATCTCTCAAGAGGTTGGCTTCAGAAATTGGCTCGGGTGCAATTCTCTGAAGGCTTAGCTTCAGAGGTGGTTCACTCATGTGGCTGTTGGCTGGGAGCCTCAGTTCTCTTCACACGGGCCCTCTGCAGGGCTGTGTAAGTGTCCTCTAGGCATGATGGCTGGCATCCCCTAGAGCAGGGCTTCTCCATGATGGCAGAATCTGCGTCTGTCTTAGTCCTGCTAGATCTCCAGAGCTCAGCCTGATGCCTGGCCCAGAGCATTCTGTGAGGTTCCAAAGACTGAGAGCTGCCTTAAGTATTCTGTCCTAGTTCTTTACATTCTTCTGCAAGGTCTTTTGGTGTCTCTGCCTATGTTGGCAGTGAACTCCGGTTTTAAAGAAGATCCACACACCTCTGATTGGGAGAACCTTGGGGGAAAGAGAAAATTCAGGCCTGCCAAGTCTCAGGCCCCGCTGCCCCTCCTTGCCAGAGACTTTCCTTCTAGAGCTCAGCCTTGGGCTTCTGAGTACATTCTAATAGAGTCCACACTCATAGAAACCCAAATAACTGTTCCACAAGGCAGAGGGTTGTGTGGGCCCTACGAGAAAGGAGAGAGCATATAGGAAGGAGCTCACATCCTGCAAAGGATAGCTGAGGAGCCCAGTGTTCCAGCTGGGCCAAGAAGGACTGGTCAAAGTTGCTGTTCTGGTTAAGTAGCATGTGCAAAGGCCCTGGGGTGGGCAGATAAGGAACAGGTTCTGGGGCTGCTGAACAGCAGGGATGGGCTGTGAGGATAGGGACAGGTGAGACCGGAACAGCCTCCAGAACTGTGAGCAATAAATTTCTGTTGTTTATAAGCCACCCAGTTTATGGTATTTTAAAGCCGAATCAAAGGACGGTGATAACTGAGGCAGCCACAAGAAGGAAAATGGGGCTGGGGTGAAGAAAATGAAGCAGAGAGCTGAACCAAAGCCACAGCCCTGAGAAAGCGATGATGTAAGGGAAGGAAAGACGCACCGGGGAGAGATATTTAGATGTAAATCTGACCAGACTAGATGTCCAGATTAGATTAGAGGGGAGGAGGTGGGACGGGTGGGTGAGTGGTTTTCCCTCTGAATGTTTAGAGGCAGCTGTGTTTAAGGAGGCTTAAGGTGTTTACTCAGTGTCCTGGGACCAGAAAGAGACTCCAGAAAGCCTGGGGCCCGGCAGAGTTTGGGCCATGATGTCATTCACACAGGGAGTCTGGCTGCAGCCTGTCTGGGGTGAGGTCCCCACTGCGGCTTGTCTCCTAGGCAACCGACTCTGCTGAGAAACACGCAGTAATGACTCTCTAGATTTGCAGGTTACCAAGCAGTTGCACATATATCTTTGTCTCATTTAATTGTCCCAGTGGGAATTATCCCCATTCTACAGATGAAGCCACTGAGGCCTCAAGGCTCAGAGAGGTAGGGTATCTTCTCTCAGGCCAAGGAGATGGCAGAGCCAGGCCTGGAACCCAGTGGTCCTAATCCCTAGCCAAGTCTTCTCTCCAACACACTTTCCTGCGTTCTAGTCTCATAGCTCCCTTAAGAGCTATTTCTATTGAATCCAGTTCACAAGTATTTGCAGAGCTCCTCTGTGAGGTGGGCAGGTGTGGCAGGCTTCAGGTGAAGTTGCAGGCATCTCTGGGTTTTTGGGTGGGGGACCCTGAGAGAAGTGTGTTAAGAGTGTGAGTAGTATGATGGGCTGAAAGTGGAGGGGAGGGTCACCAAGATCAGAATCATCAATCAGAAACAGGTCCCTGAAGGCAGACCATCAGGACGACAAGGATCATGGGCAAAGGCCCATCAAGGCAAGTGTCAAGTTCACAGATAACTTGATAACAGGCCTCTCTGCTATCTCCCTCTTCTGGTGCCAGATGTTCATGAACTTGACCTCACCATTCTGGTTTTGTTTTGTTTATTGTCCCCACCGCACTGCAAGGACCTCCCCTCCCCCTACCACGCCCTTCTTTGTCCATTCCCTCTTCCAGGAATAGGTGGCCAGGGTAGTACCAGGACCCAGAGAGGAGCTATTAATTCCAGCCTCTTATTTCCTTCCTCAGCTCCCTTTGCCTCCGGAACACCTAAGCACTTTCTGTGACAAGCTCTCTAAATGATTGGAACTTTCTCCCAAATCAGCACTTTTTCATGCTACATTAGCATTTATTGGTTTGATATTTACATTTGGCAAAGGAGCACCCAGTCCCTGGGTCCCTGGGAGCACACACCATCAACTGAAACAGACGCTAATTGCCATTCATTGCTCTCCCTTCACCCCCTCAGCCCCGCCCCCATCCGCCATCTGCTTTGTCCTCCCCCCACCCCCAGTCCAGTAAAAGAAAGTTCTGAAGGGTTACCTTTACAGACCAAAAGTTCTGCAGGGGCCCTGCAGAGAGGAGAGAGGTATTCCCTACACAAAAGTCCTGGCAGGACCGATCTGAATTTGCATTGCAATAATGCATGTGTATGATAGCTCTCCTTTGGAGTATAAATTCCTTGAGGGCAGGAATCTATTTTGGTTCTTTGAATTTTTCCACATTCTCCTCCAAGACCAATGATCAAGCTGTCAGAGGTGTTTGAAGCAGAGCAACTCGACGTTGAATAGGGGCTCGGTAAAATAAGGCTGAAAACCTACTAGGCTGCATTCCCAGACGGTTAGGCATTCTTTTTTTTTTTTTTTTTTTTTTTTTGAGACGGAGTCTTGCTCTGTCGCCCAGGCTGGAGTGCAGTGGTGCAATCTCGGCTCACTGCAACCTCTGCCTCCCTGGTTCAAGCCATTCTCCTGCCTCAGCCTCCCGAGTAGCTAGAACTACAGGCGCCCGCCACCATGCCCGGCTAATTTTTTGTATTTTTAGTAGAGACGGGGTTTCACCGTGTTAGCCAGGATGGTCTCGATCTCCTGACCTCGTGATCCACCCGCCTAGGCCTCCCAAAGGGCTGGGATTACAGGCGTGAGCCACCGCGCCTGGCCTCCCAGACGGTTAGGCATTCTAAGTCACAGGATGCGATAGGAGGTCAACACAAGATACAGGTCATGAAGACTTGCTGATAAAACAGGTTGCAGCAAAGAAGCCAGCTGAAACCCACCAAAACCAAGATGGCCACCAGAGTGAACTCTGGTCCTCCTCACTGATACACTCCCACCAGCACCGTGACAGTTTACAAACGCCATGGCAACATCAGGAAGTTACCCTATATGGTCTAAAAAGAGGAGGCATGAATAATCCACCCCTTGTTTAGCATATCATCAAGAAATAACCATAAAAATGGGCAACCAGCAGCCCCAAGGCTATATGGGGTATATATGGGGTAGCCATTCTTTTATTCCTCTACTTTCTTAATAAACTTGCTTTCACTTTGCTCTGTGGACTCGCCTCGAATTCTTTCTAGCGTGAAATGCAAGAACCCTCTCTTGGGGTCTAGATCGGGACCCCTTTCGGGTAACAAAGCTAGGCAAATAGTAGTTTCTCTAAGAGCATTTGTCTACTCTGAAATTAGTAGAAAGTTCCTCCCTCCCTCTGTCTGGCAGCTGCAGTGAAAGACAGTGAAGGAATTATCCAGGGAATCACTAGGAGAATGGAGACCACATGGAAAGGAGGTAAGTTCTCCCTTTTCCCTTTCAAAATCCCCTACAGATTTGACCAAGGAGCCTAGCCCTGCAAGGTTGTGGTGGAAGGAGGAAGCTGTGTGGTAATGTGGTTAGAGCTCAGCTAGAACTGGCTCCAAAAGTCGGCGTTGCTATGTGACTAGTGCTGGGCTGTTTACTCCACCTCTCTGGGCCTCAGTTTCCTTTTTGGTAAAATCACACTTCTGATCGTTTCTTTCCTCATGGGCTGGTGGTGAAGATGAAGTGAGATCAGGCATGTATGTAATGGGCTTAGGGCACCCTGCCAGGCACACAATAGGCTTAGGAGATGTTGGTTCCTGGTATTTCTTCAGACCTTTGGGCCCCATGCTTTGTGAGAGTGGAGTCTAAGTGTAAATTATAATTCCCAAGGGTGTCTCAGTATATTTATGCTGTCCCCTGTGGTTTTGAAGGGCAGGCTCTCACATCAGCCTCAGAGCTTTGCTACTCAAAGTAGGGCCTGCAGACCAGCAGCAGCAGCTTCACCATCACCCAGGGGGCTGTTAGAAAGGCCCACTCTAGACCTGCTGAATCCAAATCTGCGTTTTAAGAAGATCCCCCAGTGACTCATATGCACATTAAAGTTTGAGAAGCACTTTAGAAACCCCCTGTGAGATATGCAATGTGGAAATGACTGCTCCCAATTTGAGGATGCAAAAATTTCCTCAAAGAATTGATGACATACTTTCCCCAATCCCATGAACATCTAGAAGAGAGAAGAGGGTTTGTAACTCCTGTGTGTCCTGGAAACTTCTCTCTACCCGTGGTTCTTCCTTGAAGGCTCAGCACACTCCAGTGAAAGGCAGAGATGAGTGGGCAAAGAGACTAGGGTTTCATCTGCAGGCACATATCCAGGAAGCGGGCAGGGATGCCTGCCGGCTGTCTGTATCTGGAGTTCACCAGGAGGAGTTTGGGATATTGGCCTATCGGCTTGAGTTGGGATAACAAGAAGGCAGGAGAAAAACGTCATGTCAACAGAGACAAACATTTTTTTGTTAAAATAGAATTTTCAAAAGTTTAAAAAGCTTGACTCTCATGCAAATATAAAATGATCACGTCAAAGATTTGATTTAGCTCATTAATTAATGAAGAAACCTGCAAGATGTTAAAACTTATACCCATGAAAATGGGAGTAACTAGTATTTATAGGCAATTTAATAGAAGAATGTTAGGATGAGATGGCTGGGTTGGAAATTATTTGCATTTCTATCGGACAAAAATGTAAAAGTTAACCTCTGCCCCTGCAGGGGCAATCAAGAGTGCAAGCCCAGCTTTGCACTGCAAGAACACCCAATAATCTCTTTTGCCTATTTCCAATTTGGGTTAATTTTTTCTGACACTACCCTCTGCTAGTCCTTGAGAATCCGGAAATAGCTGTTGCTTGAGAATTACCCTTGGAATGGAATGTGGGCCTTGGAAGAAAGGGGGAAAGAAAAGATGAAAGAACCCCTCTTCTACCAGATCTGGAGTGTCCTTACCCGTCTACCTTCGCTGAGTCCTTCAAAGCACAGTGCAACTGCTCCCAGAGGGCATGAGTTGGCATCATGCAGAGGGGAATGATGGCTCACAGGAGGGACACAAGGCAGCCTGCTCCTGACTCCTATTCTCTGTAACCTTGGCCGTTGCGCAGAGGGAGATGATGTATCTGCAAACATATGCAGCCTTGTCCAAAATATTTTCCCCTCCTATGTAGTTCTTGCCAATATTGTTAATCTGTGGGTTGACTTCAGACCAAAATAAATCTCCAGGCCCTGGCCACCAGCTAGCTAATTTTACTTTGTAACCAGGGAATAGAAAGTGCGGGCCCTCAGCCGACCATTCTGTGTTTATTTTGTTTTCTCTCTGCTGCAGTTTAAAATCACATTTGGAAAAGTAGACCCTTTATGCAAAAGAACAGACACTGAGAGAAACAGCAACAGAGATGGATGGATTAAAAACGGCAAGTTCTATCATCGCCACCCCCCCGCCCCGCCACATACTTTTCTCTCTTTTCAGGATTCTGATGGTGCCTGTTGGCTGCTTCCGTGATGTCTGGAGTTGCAAAATGTGCCAGAAAGCAGAAGGATACACCGCTATTCAGAGAGGATTTTCTTAGGGACTTGAAGAAATTGACCTCAAAATTTCAGTAGATGAGAGGACTGTGGCTGGCCTGTGTCTTTGGCACTGGGTACATTCTGTCATTCTTGTTGTACCTACATAAGAGAATTTAACTCTGGGTTCTCCCTGACTAATTCCAGAGGAAGTAAATGGGTAGACCTTTAACACTTCTGTGCCAGAAGTGGGACAGAAGGGACCTTGGAGGGCATCTAGTCCAACCTTGCCAGCTGAGAAGCAGGATTACCTGGTGGTTGGGAGCACAGACTTGAAGCCACATAGCCCCAGTTTGAAACTGACTCCACCGCTTACTAGCAGTATGACCTTGGACAAGTTACTAACCTCTGCCTCAGTTTCCTCATCTGTAAGGTGGGGATGGCAATAATTGTCGTTGCATCATGGGACTCTAGTGGGGGACTAAATGAGTTAACACATGTAAAGCACCAAGAACCTGCAAGGCATACAGTAAGCCCTTGATAAGATAAAGAAATGAGGCTCAGAGAGGAGGAGCAACCTCCCCAAGGTCACTCAGGGAATTGGCAAACTTAATTGGATTCAATGAAAAAAGAAAAGAGGTTATTGCCTCTTGGAAATTTTGACTAATAACTGTTTTCTTTGCCTGTGTTACATCATCCTGGCCGAACACTTGGAGAGAATTCTAATGTGGAAGTCAGGGCAGTGCATTCTGTTGCGGGTGCACCTCTCACTGATGGTGGCCCTAGTTTTGGGCTGGATGGTCTCTGGGATTCCTGTCAGTACTAACATCTTATAATTCAAAATCAGGGTCTGCACTCTCCATTCAAGCCAAGCCTGTCTTTTCCTACAACACTCTTTGCACTCTTTGTTTCCCTCCCCTGCCAACCCCCACCATTTTCCTCTGACATTTTGCCCACTGTATCTCACAGGCATCAACAACCAGTTTCCCCTTGGCTTTCTGACTCTGCCCCCCTCCTCATTATTCCCTCCCCTTTTCTCCTCTGCTAGGGCAATTATGGTCATCAACTGCCCCACACCTTAGCCCTGCAGTTGGCATATTTAAGTTGATTATACATGATCAGTCTTGTAGGTTCCTTGAAAGTTACCATGTTGGCAGCTTGAAAGTAGGGATTTCATTTATTCCTTATCATGACCCACTTTGAGGGCCTGATAGAGTGCCCTTGGCAGGGTTATCCTTTATGGTTTGTTGACTGACGCCAAAACGATTGGAAATATTGGATGAAATCTTACATTATCAAGACTCTTTCTAGTACATTCAGTACAGCTGTCATTGATGTCCTTTGTTTGCAAGGAAGCCAGTATTGTCAAACTCTAAAACCCAACAAAAAGGATATTTTAAAACAATTATAATTTTAAACTTGAAAATGTCCAGCTGGGACACAGGAGTACGTTAGATACTTCTCCTGCCACCCTCCTTTCTCCTCAACATCATCCCACCCCACTCTCCCTAATATACAGGCCCAAGTCAAATGTTACATTACCACCTATTGGTTAAATGAGCCATTGCAGCCCAGCTCTACAAGACATTGTAAATTTCTGGGTAGCAGTGAGTGGTGTAGATCCTTTTATGGTTCATAAGTATGTTGATTATGTTTTCATGCTATTGTGTGAGATGTACCTCCCTCAAACCTTGTTATGATGTCAGCACATTATCCATCTGATGTGAAAAAAAAAAATGGTGAGTGGAGAGTGAAATGCTGGGAGCTGAGAAGGTAGAGTCAGGTATGGCCCAGAGAAATATATTTTGGATTAGGCAGATCCCAAGGAAATAGTGAGGGCTAATAGCAGAGGGAGTCGTAGAGTACAAAAGAAATGACTAAGCACTTTAGGGGCTGCAGAGGAAAAGTAAACAGCTATTTGGGGACACCAACTTCTGCACTGCGTACTAATACTAGTGTAAATATAGCAAGGCCCAGTGTATATATAACAATGCAGATATAGTTGGCTGACCACCAATGTAATCCTGCTTTTCCCAAACCTTTTTCCCTAAAGTTGTTGGAGCCCAATGAAAAATTCTACATTGAAGACTAAGGGAAAAAGAGGTTTCATTATAGAGCTGGGACTGATTGCATTTTCAAAAGGTGGCTGCAACAATATCCCACACACTTTTCTGCTGTATAATCTGCCACTTCTCCATCAAGTAGAGGAGACAATTTCTCCCCTCCTTTGAATCTGAGTGAGTTCTGTGACTGTTTTGACTGATAGAATGATGTGGAAGACAGACTGTGTGACCTGAAAGGTGAGGTCACAGAAAGCCTTGCAACTTCCACCTGGCCTGTGAAGAACACTTGCTCTTGGGATACTCCTTCTTGGAACCCAGCCACCATGCTGTAAGAAGCCCAATCTACATGCAGACACCACATATAAGGCATCGTAGTCAACAGCCACAGTTAAGTTCCCAGCCGGCAGCCAACATCAACTACCAGTCTTGTGAGTGAGCTATCTTGGACATCCAGCTTGGTTAAACCTTCAGATGACTCCAGCCCCAGCTGACACCTGACTGCAACCACATGAGAAACCAGGAATGAAAATCCACCAGCTGAGCCCAGTCAACT
Organism: Homo sapiens; assembly: GCF_000001405.40. Taxonomy (NCBI): domain Eukaryota; kingdom Metazoa; phylum Chordata; class Mammalia; order Primates; family Hominidae; genus Homo; species Homo sapiens. Next base: position 40,286,092 of record NC_000023.11, read on the forward strand.
CATAGAACTGTGAGAGATAATAATAAGTTGTGGTACTAAGCCACTAGGATTGGGGCACCATGCAATAATAGGTAACCAAGACAGTAGCAACTTTGGTTAGACACATGAGCCATGGGATGACACATAATTAGGTATATTTTTAAAAACTTGGATTCAGCTTTAGGGCAATGTGTCCCTAACATAGAGAGGCACTATTTCAGTTCACATCTGCTGCCTCTGATCAAAACACTCTCTTGCACTTCCAGAGAGAGAGAGAGAGAGAGCAAATGTGTGTATTTACTGACAGGTGTCCCTTTGTGTCCCCATCTGTGTGACTGTGGAGCTCAGTGTCTCTCACACATTCTAGTATGATACTTGGTGCCATATTTGCAGGTCCTGAGGTAAGAACCCATGCTGTTGTCTTCAGAGAGTTTCATGGGTTGGACTGTGCCATATATGGGCAAAAATCCACCCACACGTTTTCTTTTAATCACCTTTATGGATGTATAATTTACATATATACTTTTTTCTTATTACTTTTTATTTATGTAATTTATTCATTTTTTGAGATAGGGTCTCACTCTCTTGCCCAGGCTGGAGTGCAGTGGAGTGATCATGGCTCACTGCAGCCTTGACCTCCTGGGCTTAAGCAATCCTCCCACTTCAGCCACCTGAGTAGCTGGGACCACAGGCACACACCACCACTCCTGGCTAATTTAAAAAGTTGTTTTTTTTTTTTTTTTTGTAGAGACAGGGTCTCACTATGTTGTCAAGGCTGGTCTCAAACTCCTGGGCTCAAGCGATCCTAGTGCCTCAGCCTTCCAAAGTTCCGGGATTACAAGCATGAGCCACCATGCCTGGCATCTTTTGTGGATGTGTAATTTACATACGTACAATAATATGTACCTATTTTAAGTATACAGTTTGATGAGCTTTGACGAATGTAGCCCACGAAACCACCACCATAATCGAAGTATAGAACTTTTTTTTTTTTTTTTTTTGAGACGAAGTCTCTCTCTTGTCACCCAGGCTGGAGTGCAATGGCATGATCCCGGCTCACTGAAACTTCCGCCTCCCAGGTTCAAGCGATTCTCCTGCCTCAGCCTCCTGAGTAGCTGGGATTACAGGCACCTGCCACCACGCCCAGCTAATTTTTGTATTTTTAGTAGAGACAGGGTTTCACCATGCTGGCCAGGCTGGTCTCGAGCTCCTGACCTCAGGTGATCCCCCCTCCTCGGCCTCCCAAAGTGCTGGGATTACAGGCATGAGCCACTGCGCCCGGCCTATAGAACATTTTAATCACCCCAGAGATGTGCCCCCTGTGCAGCCAGTTCCCTCCTCTCACCCCCCAGCCCCTGGCAAGCATTGATTTGCTTTGCCACTATCAATCAATTTTTGTCTTTTCTGGTATTTCATATGAATGGAATCATATAGGATAGATTTTTATGTGACTACACACTATTTTAGCATAATATTTTTGAAGTTCTTCCATGTTGTTGTGTATATCTATAGTTAATTTCTTTTTCTCACTGAATTGTATACCACTGTATGATGTATCACAATTTGTTTATTCATTCTCCCGTTGCTGGACATTTGGACTGTTTATTGTTTGGGGCTACTATGAATAAAACTGCTATGGATGTTTATGTACAAGATTTTGTGGACATACGTTTTTATTTCTTTTCGGTAAATATCTAAGAGTGCTATTACTGGGTATATTAGTCCATTTTCATACTGCTATAAAGAACTTCCCGAGACTGGGTAATTTATAAAGGAAAGAGGTTTAATTGACTCACAGTTCAGTACGGCTGGGGAGGCCTCAGGAAACTTATAATCATGGCAGAAGGTGAAGGGGAAGCAAGGCATCTTCTTCGCAAGGTGGCAGGAAGGAGAAGTGCCAACTGAAGGGGAAAGATCCCCTTATAAAACCATCAGATCTCTTGAGAACTCACTCACTATCATGAGAACAGCATGGGGGAAACTGCCCCCATGATTCAATTACTCTGCCTGGTCTCTCCCTTGACATATGGGGATTATGGGGATAATGGGGATTACAATTCATGATGAGATTTGGGTGGGGACACAAAGCTTAACCATATCACTGGGTTATATGATGTGTATATTTAACTTCATAAGAAACTGACAAATTTTTTACATACCAGCAAAGTATGAGAGTTCCAGTTACTCCATATTTTTATCAACACTTGACATAATCGGTCTTTTTACTTGTGGCATCCTTGGTGAGTCTAATGGCATCTCATTTGCCCACAGGTTTTTAACTGCCTACCCAACTAGGATGTCAGCAGGGATTTTTTTCACTGTTACATCCCTAGCCCCTGGAATAGCATGTAATAAATATTTTTGGAATGAATGGGTTCATGTCTCTGAGCTTCTGTGTTTTTCTGAAATATTGATTTCTCTAAGGGGTATTGTGCACAGAGGATTTATGTACTTATAATTGTGAGAGATACTGTCAAATTGCTTGCTTTTCAAAAAATGCTGAACCAACTTACTCTCCCACCAACACTGGTTATTGTAAATTGTTTACATTTTTCTGCCAATCAAACAAGTTAAAAATAGTATTTCATTGTGGTTTTAATTTTGCATTCTCCTTATCATTGGGCAAAATCAAGCATCTTTTTGTATGTCTATGGGTCTTTTATACTTCTTCATCTGTGATTTGTGTTCCTATATTTTGCTTATTTCTTATTAGACTATTTTTCTAATTAATTTATAGAAACTCTATGCTTATTGGTGATAGTAACATTTTGTCTGTGATGTATGTTGCAAACATTTTGTAGAGTGACAAGCAGAATGGTCCAGTGATGACTCCAGAACCTTTCTCATGTTGCCTGCTTGAGATGAGAGTCCCTCCTTCCCCCTAGTTGAAGTGGCTGTGACAAACCCAAATTGTTCTGGACTGAGGGCTCTCCTTTTTCCAGCATGTTTGCTCCCATATCCTGACTGTTTATTCCCTGTATGCAAAGCCACTCCAAGCTTACACAATTAAAAGATGGTGAACCAGGGTGGGGAGGCATGGGCCACTTCCCTGGATCACAATGGGCTGTGCTTCATGCTGCCGAGTGTTTACTTGAAAACTTCCCCAATAAAACCTGCTCCTTATACATAGTGGCATTTACCTTTATCTTCTCCAGGCAGTTTCTTCCAATCTGTCATTTATTGTAGACATTGTTTATGCTTCTTTTTTCATACACAAGGTTTTACTTTTTTTTTTTTTAAAAAGACAAGGTCTCACTATGTTGCTCAGGCTGGCCTCAAACTCCTGGGCTCAAGCAATTCTCCTGCCTCAGCCTCCCAAGTAGCTGGGATTACAGGCACATGCCACCACACCCAGCTTAAGGTTTTGCTTTTATATAGTTAAATCTGTCAGTCTTTTCCATGACTTCTGGATTTCATGGCTTGCCTAGGAAGGCTTTTCTCACCCCAATAGTGTAAAAAATTATTTTATATTTTTCTCTAGTACTTTTTGAGGTTTCTAATGTTTGGCTCCTTCATCTGTCTGGAATACACTATTGGATGTAGGGATGCCAACCTTCCAGGGATCAACAACAATGTTTCTGTCCTTGGAGCTGATTGTAATGTTACTGTACTCCACTTGTTGTTTATTGCTGTATGACATATTATATCAAAATTTAATGGCTTAAAACAAAACAAACATTTATTACCTCATAGTTTCTGTGGGTTAAGAATTCAGGAGCAATTTAACTGGGTAGTACTAGCTCAGGGTCTCTCATGATATTACAGTCAGGATGTTGGCTGGGGCTGCTATCATCTGAAGGCTTGACTGTGGCCAAAGGATTCACCTCCAAGATAGTTCACTTCCACTGCTCTTGGCAAGAGGTCTCAGTTCCTTACCACATGGGCCTCTCCCTGGGGCTACTTGAGCATCCTCACAATATGGCAGCTGGCTTCTCCCAGATAGGTTGATCCATGAGAGAACAGGGCCAAAGCCAAAAAGTCTTTGAAAATTCGGCCTCAGAAGTCATACTCACAACAACATCCTATTGGTCAGGGAAGGAATACACAAAGGCATGAATAACAGGAGGTGGGGATCAGTGGCCATCCTGGAGATGGGCTATCACATGCCATCACATGCATTGTCAGGCCAACATTCTTGACTCTGTGATTCTTAGCTGTGGGTCCAAAGTACACTCAAGAACATGAAGAGCTATCAGATAACTACTCTAAATGTCTGAAGAGGAAATTGAAAATTCTGGCTATGAACATATGGGCCCCAAAGACTCTTAATTTTGCTGTTTTTGATCCAAGAGGAGAGACACATTTTTCCAAGTGAATCAATCTGAGTGACAGATGGGGCCAAGGCTTGATCCCAGCGTTTCCGATACAAATTCTATGATCTCCTCCGCTCTCCTGCAAGCACTCATTGGTCCTTGCTAATTATATTGGTCAAAGTCCAGTCCAGAAAACAGAAACTACTCTAGGTATTTTGAACAGATGGGATTTAATGCAAAAAATTATTTACACATATAACAGAGAAGCCGAAAAGGCAAATAGGAGACCGTGAGACAACCCAGAGATAAGTAACTGCAGGAAGCTTCAATCGCCCTAAAGCTGGAAGGATTTCGCGAAGAGCCAGGTCACTGGACCCCAGCAGCTGGGGTCAGCCGGCAGAAGCTAGAGATGCTGTGAGCCTGTCCACTGGGATCTGGGGCCACAGAGGAGCTCCAGCTGCTGAGGCCGAAAGCCAAAGAGAAGAAATACCCTGGCTTTTCCCTCCCTCCTGTCCTCCAGTCTCCTTCTAGTGCCTTTGACTGTTGAATGCAGCTAGATGCCAGGAAACATGTAGACAAAACAGAGAAGGGGAAGAGCAGGGAGGGGGCATCTGAGGGCACGAGGCCCAGGACTGGCATGTTGGTGTTGGGCGTGTGGCAGATCTTATTTTTCCAAAATGACCAAACAATATTTCCAGCCCTACATGTTCATTTAGAACCATGACAGTCTTCTACCGTGTCAGGCCATTATTGAATTGTTATAAAGAAATACCCGAGACTGGATTTACAAAGAAAAAAGGGTTAATTGGCTTGTGGTTCTGCAGGATGTACAGGAAGCATAGCAGCATCTGCTTCTGGGGGAGCCTCAAGAAGCTTCCAATTATGGCAGAAGGCAAAGGGGAAGCAGGTGCATCACATAGCCAGAGCAGGAGCAAAAGAGAGAGAGAGAGCAGGGGTTAGATGTCACACCACACACTTTTAAACAACCAGAACTCACTATCACAAAGACAGCACCAAGCCATGAGGGATCTGCCCCCATGATCCAAAAACCTCCCACTGGGCCCCACCTCCAGCACATTATCCTGTCTCTTGGCATCCAATGTTTTTCCTTCAGAGCATTTTCTCAATTTGTAATTATATATTTACTTATAAGGTAATTTGTTTTATGTCTAAGGTTAAGAACTGTGCCTGTTTTATTTAAATCAAGCATATACCCATTGTCTAGCACAGTTTAGGCACCCACGAAATATGATTACAATTCAACATGAGATTTGGGTGGGGACAAATATCCCAACTATATCACATATCAACAGGTGGAGTCTGAATCCCCATCCTTCATCCTGGGTAGGACTTTGCTATTGCCAGGATGAATAGAGTGGGGCAGAAGTGTAGCTCTGTGACTCCTGAGGCTGAGTCATAAAAGGTGATTCAGCTTCCACCTGGCTCTCTCTTGCTTTTGGGATGCTCTCCCTTAGAATTCAGCCACCATGCTGTGAGCAAGTCCAGATCAGCCCAGCAGATAGTGCACGTGGAAAGGTAGGGTGTCACCAGGAGAGAAACTGAGGCTCCAGATGATAATCAACATAATCCTTCAGCAACCAGCCTCCATGTCTTCCATCTGAGGCTCCAGGTCTCATAGAACAGAAACAAGCTGTCTCTGCCATTCCCTCTGTGAATTGGTGGCCATAATTATTTTTATCCTTTTGCCACAAAGTCTTGGGAAAATTTGTTACACGGCTATTATAACCGGGACAGCTAGGGAGAAGGGCAGGAGGAGTTTGGGTGAATAGTTGGGGCTCAGAGCAATATCAGCCTCCTCTTGGATCTTCTCTGTTAGGATAGAATCCCAATCGATAATTGCATTTGGTTGGAGAGCCTGTGGAAGTTGGTCTCACCCCTCTGCAAATTCTTAAAACCTTGCTTTTTGACCCACCCCCTTAAATAATTCATTACTTGACTTAACACATATTTCGTGGGTGCCTAAACTGTGCTAGACAATGGGTATATGCTTGATTTAAATAAAACAGGCACAGTTCTTAACCTTAGACATAAAACAAATTACCTTATAAGTAAATATATAATTACAAATTGAGAAAATGCTCTGAAGGAAAAACATTGGATGCCAAGAGACAGGATAATAGAGGGTCTGGATTTTGTTTGGGGTGTTAGTGAAGCATCTCTTAGGAAGCGATATTTCTCTCTCTCTCTCCTCTCTCTCTCTCTCTCTCTCTCTCATCCCTCCCACCCCGGTTCTTGCACACTCTCTCTCTCCCCATTTATCCCTTAGCTTTCCTAAACTTACTTACTTCTTTAAAGCAATGAAATGTTTCATAGTACACTTTTTTTTTTTTTTTTTTTTTTTTTTTTTTTTTTGTGATAAGAGTCTCACTGTGTCGCCCAGGCTGGAGTGCAGTGGCATGATCTCAGCTCACTGCAACCTCTGCCTCCTGGGTTCAAGTGATTCTCCTGCCTCAGCCTCCTGAGTATCTGGGACTACAGGCACACACCACTACGCCCGGCTACTTTTTGTATTTTTAGTAGAGACGGGTTTTCACCATGTTGGTCAGGCTGGTCTCGAACTCCTGACCTCAAGTGATCCACCCGCCTCGGCCTCTCACAGTGCTGGGATTACAGGCATGAGACACCATGCTTGGTCTATAATACACTTTTAAAAGTTAGCAAAAAGAAATCTTTCATTGAGAATGGCAGTTGGATATGCGTACATTAAAAAGCATTTACCCGGCTGGATGCGGTGGCTCACGCCTGTAATCCCAGCACGTTGGGAGGCTGAGACGGTCGGATCACGAGGTCAGGAGATCGAGACCAGCCTGGCTAACATGGTGAAACCCCGTCTCTACTAAACAAAATACAAAAAATTAGCCGGGCGTGGTGCCGGGCGCCTGTAGTCCCAGCTACTCGGGAGGCTGAGACAGGAGAATGGCGTGAACCCAGGAGGCAGAGCTTGCAGTGAGCCGAGATCATGCCACTGCACTCCAGCCTGGGTGACAGAGCGAGACTCCATCTCAAAAAAAAAAAAAAAAAAAGCATTTACCCACAAGAAACCAGAGATCACTGAGTGTTTGCGGGGAGACACATGAAAATTCGGGACTCCCTCCCCCAAAAAATGGTCAGCTGTGCCAGTGCGCTGAGTGTGCCATAGAGTTTTAGGGGAATGACTCTTAGTCCCTGGGAGCCAGGGACTGCAGGTTATAGGTTATGTGTGGCTGGTCTCAGCTGTGACCTGTTTCCAGAAAGCAAGCACAGTGGAATTGGCTCCAGGAAAAGAGAAGGGGGTCGGTGTTAAAGGATGCAGGCGGGGCCAGGCGCTGTGGCTCATGCCTGTAATCCCAGCACTTTGGGAGGCCAAGGCAGGTGAATCACTTGAGGTCAGGAGTTCAAGACCAGCCGGGCCAACATGGCGAAAACCCATCTCTACTAAAAATACAAAGATTTGCCAGGCGTGGTGGCACACGCCTGTAGTCTTAGCTACTCGGGAGGCTGAGGCAGGACAGTCGCTTGAACCCAGGAGGTGGAGGTTGCCGTGAGACGAGATCACGCCACTGCACTCCAGCCTGGGCAATAGAGTGAGATTCTGTCTCAAATTTAAAAAAAGAAAAGGATGCAGGGGGATGGGGGGGGTGCTGCACCTCAGACTCCCAGGGGAGGGAGGACTGAGTTGCAGAATGGGGACAAGCCCAAGGAGCAAGTCAGGTCCTCCTCATAGCCACTGTGTCATGCCCTGAGTCTGTCAGTCACTGCATAGAAAGATGGAGGGAGATCGCTACTTGCAGCAGTTCCTGTGGGGAAAGGCGCAGGTCTGAGACCATTCCTGAGGCTCTTGATTTCTGTTTCACCAGCGAAAGAGGCTTCCCATGGAGATGGGCCTGAGGTCTTCACATCTGACTTCTCTCTTCACAGGGCCCTCCTGCCTGTGGTGCTATCTGTCTGGTCAACCCACAGTAACCTCACACACAGCACTCTTCCAATTGCATTGCAAACGCAGACTTGATAGTGAACATTGATGGTTGGTTATTCCACCTCTTCTAGGAGTGGCAATGGTGGCTGTTGATGCCGGCTGCATCCCCATAGCCTGACACCTAGAAGGTGCTCCCTATAGGTTGCTTGCAGAGATGTTTCTCAAACACGAAGCCAGACTTTTTTTTTTTTTTTTTTTTTTTATGAGACAGTCTCGCTCTGTCGCCCAGGCTGCAGTACAGTGGCACGATCTCGGCTCACTGCAAGCTCCACCTCCTGGGTTCACGCCATTCTCCTGCCTCAGCCTCCCGAGTAGCTGGGACTACAGGTGCCCGCCACCATGCCTGGCTAATTTTTTGTATTTTTAGTAGAGACGGGGTTTCACCATGTTAGTCAGGATGGTCTCGATCTCCTGACCTCGTGATCCGCCTGCCTCGGCCTCCCAAAGTGCTGGGATTGCAGGCATGAGCCACCATGCCCAGCCGAAGCCAGACTTTTAAAGCTGCAGTCCTGCTTCCCGATGCTATGAGGAACACCCAGGGCTCTTGCAATAGATAGGAAAATATGAGTGGGGGGCTTTAAGCCATGGCTGGCTGCCTTGATGGTGCTGCTTGGGCTCACTTCTGGCTCACTCCATCCAGGGGGCTCCCTACTCTGATGATTTCCTCCCCAAAGACATGAAGACCAGACTTACTAATGGATGATCATCTCAGACAGGGTCACCCTTAACTTTGTTGGGATCCGGTCCAAGAGTGCACCCAGAAGCCCACATACCATATCTGTAAATATTTTATTTTATTTTTTTAGAAGGAGTTTCACTCTTGTCGCCCAGGCTGAGTGCAATGGCACGATCTTGGCTCACTGCAACGTCCGCCTCCTGGGTTCAAGTGATTCTCCTCTCTCAGCCTCCCAAGTAGCTGGGATTACAGGCACCCGCCACCACGCCTGGCTAATTTTTGTATTTTTTTAGTAGAGACGGGGTTTCACCATGTTGGCCAGGCTGGTCCTGAACTCCTGACCTCAGGTAATTCACCCGCCTCAGCCTACCAAAGTGCTGGGATTACAGGCGTGAGACACTATGCCCGGTCTATAATACGCTTTTAAAAGTTAGCAAAAAGAAATTTTTCATTGAAAATGGCAGTTGGATATACGTACATTAAAAAGCATTTACCCACAAGAAACCAGAGATCACTGAGTGTTTGCAGGGAGACACATGAAAATTCGGGACTCCCTCCCCCAAAGAATGCTGTAAATGTTTAAAGACTAAAATAAAGCTTCCAAACCATTATGTCCAATCTGTTGATGAATATAACTTCACAGTGATAGGAAAGGCTAGGTTTGAATTTAGACTGCTTGGATTCCCCCATGGTTCTGCATGGGAGCACAGCAGCGTGGGGAGAGCCGGCTCCTGGCCCGTCTGTTCCCTTTTCTTGTCCTACCTCTGAGGCTCTGTCTCCCACTGGGAGAGGCCTTGTGTGCATACATGCATCTCCCCCACTGGCCCAAATGTCTCTGCTCTGTCTGATTCCCTCCCTCTACCCCAAACACCTCCCCTCTAAACAGTCATGTCTTGGCTACCACTCCGACTTAAGGGAGGGCTGTGGTTTGAATGTGTCCCTCTCAAATTCGTATGTTGAAACTTAATCATCAATGGGATGGTGTTAAGATGTGGGGCCTTTAGGAGGTGATTAAGTCATGAGGGCAGAGCCTACATGAATGGGACTGTGACCTTATCAAAGAGGTGTGAGGGAGCTGTTTGTCCCTTCTGTTATGGGAGGCCAAAGCAAGAGGTGCCATCTGGGAAGCAGAGAGCAGCCCTCATCAGACACTGAATCTGTGGGTGCCCAGATCTTTGATTTCCCAGCCTCCAGAACTGTGAGAAAATAAAATTCCATTCTTTATCAGTTACCTTGTCTCAGGTATCTTGTGTTATAGCAGCAGAACAGGACTAAGATAGGGTGTGAACAGACAGTGACATGCCCCCTTGGGACATGGGGAGGCCTGGGAATCCCCTGATAGTGAGCTTAGGGCTTTCAGGTAGGGAATTCTGGGTCTTAGGATCCCAGAGTGTTTCCAGAAGGGGAAAACGGGCTCCAGGCGGGTGTCCCTTTCGTCCTGTAGACTACGTGCCCACCGGGGTGGCCAGAGCAGGGGCCTCTGCAGCATGGGACCCAGTTCTAAGGTTGCTCTTGTCCTAGAGAGCAGACTAGGCCTTGCTCAGTAGAAGTGCTGTGTCCTTTGAGCTATCACTCATTTCCTTTCCCTTTTTTCCTGAGCAGCTGCTAGAAACCCTTGTTTGAGCTATTCACTTGCCTGGAACCCATTCTTCCAAGGGTGATGTTTCAAATATTTTCGCCACTGTATAGGATAGGCAGTGGCCCATCAGAGCAGATGCCTACTTAGTGCCGAACCCTCTGCTGCGCCAGGCATTGATCCTTCTGTTGCTGGGTCATGGGGAGATAGAGGAGGGGCCCGAGCCACAAGGAGAGATATTGAAGGAGAGGCTTGGGGAAGGAGCCATTTATTATCAGTAAAAATATTTCAATATTTTAACAACTATTCCACTGTACCTGTGAATGTCAGCTCTGCATTCTCTGCATCCTCCTTGGGTTTTATTAGGGGCAGCACTGTGTTTAGCTAAAAGACTATACCCCCAGCTTCACTTGAAGCTTAGAGGTGGCTGACGACATATAAGGGCAAACCTTCAAAGAGGCTCCTTGAGCTGGGAGGATCCCTTTTGCCCTTTGCGGTTCTTCTTCCTAAACCTGTCTGCCTGGAATGATGATGGTTGGAGCTCTAGTAGCCATCTTGTCATCTTGGAGATGGAAGCTCCATGCTAATGAAAGCAAAACAGAAATATCCAAGGAGGCTGGGTCCCTGGTGACTACCATACCAACCCCAAACTGCCCACCTCTGGACTTCATTTTATCAGACATTAAACCTCAGATTTGGCTGGGTGTGGTGGCTCACGCCTGTATTCCCAGCACTTTGGGAGGCCGAGGCGGGTGGATTGCTTGAGGTCAGGAGTTCGAGACCAGCCTGGTCAACATGGTGAAACCCCGTGTCTACTAAAAATAATAATAATTAAAAAAATTAGCTAGGCATGGTAGCGCATGCCTGTAGTCCCAGCTACTCGAGAGGCTGAGGCAGGAGAATCGCTTGAACCTGGGAGGTGGAGGTTGCAGTGAGCCGAGACTGCGCCACTGCACTCCAGCCTGGGTGACAGAGCAAGACTCCTTCTCAAAAAAACAAAACAAAACAAAACAAAACAAAACCCCCCTCAGATTTGTGTAAGCCTCTGTAGTTAGGTCTCTGTTATTAGCACCTGAACTCAAGTGCTAATTCATTTCCATGCCAGTCCTCAATGCCCATGTCTCCTCAGGGCTGGTCCAGAGTCAGGGATGCAGATGGAAAAGGAAGCTTCATTTGGTGAGCACCTTCCATGGGCTCGATGTGTTTTGTCAGCTAATCCTGAAAACCATTCTGGCCATCAGTGTTGCTCTCCTCAGTTTGACAGGTGAGAAAACTGGTCTGAGAGGTTACATGGCTTGACAGTGGGGAGGAAGGAGCAACCTGCTCCACCACAACTGAGGTCCCCTTCGTGTCCCTGGAGGAGTGCCCTGGGTGACCCTCTGAGGCTGGGCATTGTTGGCTTGGACTGATCCTCATTGGCACCCAAGTGGACTTCTGTCTGTCCAGAAAATTAGGGGAGATGAGTGTCAGAAAAGAGCCTTTATAAATCTCCTGTCTTTCCTCATTCTTACTCATGAGAGAAAACTCCAGAAAACTTCAATGAGGATAGGGGCCAGAGGGTAGGGAGGAGCTGTGAGGCAGGCAGGCAGGCAGTCTTCTGCCCTTTGTGCTCAGAGAATCACAAATCCCTCGGCAGAGGAGGAGGAGGAAGGGACCCATCTCTGAGGCAGGGGCCTCTGAGGGGCCTGAGAAGGTGTTCAGGCTTTGAAGGCTTGGAGGCTGCGGTGTCCTCGGCCTGGAACACTTGTTCCCCGTGAAACCTGAAAGTCCACCTTCTCCCTGACCTCTAAGGGCAGCTGCAGCAGGAAGATAATTTTCTGGGGCAGATTTATTATCTCAAAGGTCACTAGTAAGCACCGGTGAGCCCAGCTCCTGGAAGACAGGTCCTCCCGCCGCTCTGCCTGACTCACTTCCATTTCTAGTACATTTTGAGGAGAGGGAGAATTTTCCAGAAGCCCGAATTCTTCCTTTAGATCTCCCTGAGTTCCACATTTCCAGCTTTCCTGTTCAGGGGCCAGGGCCTCTCTTTCCTCCCCCTCTCCATCTGCCCAGGAACTTGCAGAGGTGAAGCCCAGCCCCGACACCCCTGCAGAGCGCAGCCCTGACACCCCTGCAGAGCGCAGCCCCGAGCAGGAGAGAGGAGCAATGGATTTCTCAGCACTGGAGAAAGAGCGAGGCAGACGCAGGGCAGGAGCACAGGCTGGAGGCTCAGAGGACCTCCTCAGGGCCCTGGCTGCCTCTAACAGCCTCTCCCTGTCCCTGACTCCCCTCGGAAAATGTGACCGGCCAGGCCCTCCGGACAAGCCCCCGACGCGCCTCCCCCTTCACAGGCTCTCAGGCGGAGGAGATGGAAAGCAGACCCTCCCGAATGTTTAACTTCAGCGGAGATGATAATAACTTTCCCATGGACGCAACTGTATCCTTTCCCTGTGTTCCTTCGGGGATCCCGAAACTCCATACGGTTCTCATTTGCAGCTCGTTCCTGAGGAGGCCTCATTTCCTCGCCACACACCCCTGATGTGGTCAGGGTCTCCCTCCCACAGCCCGGGCGGGGGCGGGGCGCGGGTGGGGGAGGGAGCTTCCCTGAGCTTTTCTCTAACGCCTGCCCCCACCCCACTTTGCCAGCCCTGGCCTCCCCGATCCCTCCCTTAGCCTCTGCCCTTTCCCTACCACGGCCCCCAGCTCCAACACCTCAGGCCTTTCAGCTCCTGCTCTCCACGGCCAGGGACCGCGGTCAGGGCTGGGGCTGTTCCCTAGGCAGAAGTGTCCTTTCTAGAATTTTCTAGCACCCAGCCCGATGGGCATGTGGAATGACTCCAGGGGTCACCATTAGCATTGTATCCTATGTGAATGGCGCCTCCTGGAGTTATAAGACGAATGGTTCCCCTGCTAGGTCCTAAAAGGAGAGTCGCTTCCCAGCCCCTTTCCAGCCAGGAAAAGACCCCAGCGGCTTTTTCCCACACCTCAACCCCCTCTTGCCAGCCAGCTCTGCTCCTTAAGCTACTCCCACCGCACCCCTCTCATAACTTTGATTTGCAGGAAGCCAAGAGGAGTCCGAAGAGGAAAGAAAAAACAGGAGACTCTCACTTTGCCTAGCACTTTGGTTTGGTTGATATTAACACTTTCACATTTACTGTACCTTTCAAGCTTCAAAACACCCCTGTCGGGGGCTTTGGGGAGGAGGTTTGTTATCACATTTGACAAAAGAAATGAGCAAGCAGAGACCCAGAGAGCATTAGAGGAAGAGCCTGGGTCCATTAGGTCCTGTTTCTGCCCCTCCATTTCAGAGGTCAGGAGGCAGGAAAGGAGGAAACGGAAGGTGAAGTCTCCTGCTCCAGCATATGTCAGCTGTGTAACCGCGCATGAGTCACGTAACCGCTCCGTGCCTCGGTCTCTTCATCTGTAAAATGGGCACGATGATAGCATAGCTCTGGGTTAATAAAGGGGAAGTATTAAGAACAGTGCCAGGCATGAAGTAAATGCTATTACTGTTCTTGCTGCTGATATTATGAGATGTGAATGAAAGATCACGGAACTCTGCTTCTCTTTTCCTCTCAGTCCCCAGTCTCCAATACCCCAGTCAGAGAACTTGGATGACAAGTAAACCCCGTTGATGGTGCTGCTGTCTTCTCTGCATCTGGCTGTCACTTCAGATCTGGCCATCATGTTTGGTTTTCCAGGCCTGGTTCCAGTGCATTCGATCCCCCTCTCCCCGTTGCCAGCCGGCCAGGGTCCGCCTGGGCCTCAGGGGTCCCAGATTTGCCTTCTTGGTTGCCCAAGGTCTCAGTAACCCACAGAGAAGCTCAGGAGCGAGGCTTGCCCTCAAAGGCCGGCCCTTCAGGGCGGTTCTTTTGTCTCAGGCTGGACCCAAGATAAATAGATGTGATTAGGAGATCAAAGCCTTTTCCATGGGTTTGGCCTGAGGGGGCCCTTTGATCGGCCAGCCATCCCTTCACTGCCACCCACATCACCCCCACCACCCCTGTGTCCTCTCTGCTCAGAAACCCTTCCCTGCTCTCCAGCTGCCGCCTCTGCTCCCCAAGCTGGGCCAGGCAAGCCTTGCCTGGTGAAGGGTAGCTGGGTTTCCCCCCTCCAGGTTGTTTACTAAATCACCAGTTCGAAGCCGAAGCCAGCACGCTGCAGCAGGTCTGCGAAACCCAAATGGTTTCATTTTGAGCCTCAGTTGCAAAACCTGAAATCTTGATATGCTTGTAAATGATGGGCGGTGAATCACGCTCTCTGGGTATCTAATTAGATACAGGTCCTGCCCGGTCGCCTAGAACTTCACCCAGTAAAGAGAGGGATCATTACGAGCATTCTTTCTTTTTCCTTTGAAAAGAGTAGGCATTCCCGTGTAAGTGCTTATTGCGGAGAACCTGTGGAATTTTCCTTAATTGCTCAGAATGTACCCTCTGCCATTGATGGGCTCCTGTTCAGGCTGTGCAGGCAGGCAGCTAAGCCCGAAACTAGAAGGGATGTATGTTTATTACTGGGCACATTACAGGACAGGACACCTCCTTGCCATCAATACAGGCCATGGGGGTGTTGGCTGGCCTGTCCCTGGGGCTGTCGTCCCTCTGTCTTAACACCATAGTTCTCTGGGCCCTGCTCAGGGAGTTGACAATGTGCAGGGCAACTGTGTGTCTGCGAGGGGAGAATTTCCTTGTAAGAACACAGTTGTCTGGGAGATGGAGGACCGTTTCAGGAGAGAAACTCTAGCGGGGAGGGACACCCCTGCTCTGAGATTCCCTCGGGATGGGGGCAGACAAATGGGGAGCTCTGGCTGCTTTTATACTTTCATCTCCAGAATGACAGGCCTTGGGGAAACTGTTTTTCCTAATCCAAGAGGGATGGATAACCTAGGTTCATTCGTTGAACAAACATTTAGTGAGTGCCTATCATGTGCTAGGAGCTGGTCCAGGCACTGGGGATATATCAGTGAACAAGATGGATACAAGATTTCATCTCTCATGGAGTGGGAACAGGAAATGTAATCACTGAGTAAATTTTCTCATCTGCTAAAAAAGGAGAGATGTGCTATGGACAAAAGTAAAAGGATGGAAGGGGAAGCGGGGGATTGGGCAAGTGAGCCGGGGGTGGTGGCTGTATTGATAGGGCGGTCAGAGAGGTCTTATCAAGAAGGCGACATCAGCTGGGCGTGGTGGCTCACGCCTGTAATCCCAGCACTTTGGGAGGCTGAGGAGGGTGGATCACTTGAGGTCAGGAGTTCAAGACCAGCCTGGCCAGCATGGTGAAACCCTGTCTCTACTAAAAATACAAAAATTAGCTGGGCGTGGTGGCATGTGCCTGTAGTCCTAGCTACTCGGGAGACTGAGGCAGGAGAATTGCTTGAACCCGGGAGGTGGAGGTTGCAGTGAACAGCAATTGTGCCACTGCACTCCAGCCTGGGCAACAGAGCGAGGCTCTGTCTCAAAAAATAAAATAAAATAAAATTAAAAGAAGATGAAGGGCCAGGCGTGGTGGCTCACACCTGTAACCCCAGCACTTTGGGAGTCTGAGGTGGGCGGATCACGAGGTCAGGAGATTGAGACCATCCTGGCTAACACAGTGAACCCCTATCTCTACTAAAAATAAAAAAAATTAGCCGGGCATGGTGGCGGGCGCCTGTAGTCCCACCTACTCGGGAGGCTGAGGCAGGAGAATGGCATGAACCCGGGAGGCGGAGGTTGCGGTGAGCTAAGATCTCGCCACTGCACTCCAGCCTGGGCGACAGAGTGAGACTCTGTCTCAAAAAAAAAAAAAAAAAAAAAAAGTAGAAGAAGATGAAGAAGGTGACATTGGCGCAAAGGCTTGAAGGAGGTGAGAAATTAGACCAGGCTAATTATCTGGAGTAATAGTGGTTCAGGCAGGGGAACTGAGGGTGCAAAGGCCCTAAGGCAGGATTGTCTGGAACGCCTCAGAAATAGCAAGGAGATCTTGGCTGGGGCAGAGGGAGAAGGAAAATGGGAAATGCAGGCCCAGAGGTGAGGGCTGGGGCAGATGATCGTACCATCTTGATGGCCATTGGCAGGACTCTGGCTTTTACTTAGAGTAAAATGGGGAGCCAATGCAGGGTGTTGAGCAAAGGGGTGACATGATTCAACTTAGGTCTTAAAAAGATTACTTTTCTTTCTTTCTTTCTTTCTTTCTTTCTTTCTTTCTTTCTTTCTTTCTTTTTTCTTTCTTTCTTTCTTTCTTTCTTTCTTTCCTTCCTTCCTTCCTTCCTTCCTTCCTTCCTTCCTTCCTTCCTTCCTTTCTTTCTCTCTTTTCTTTTCTTTTTTTTTTTGAGACAGAATCTTGCTCTGTCGCCCAGGCTGGAGTGCAGTGGGGCGATCTCAGCTCACTGCAACCTCCGCCTCCTGGGTTCAAGCGATTCTCTTGTCTCAGCCTCCCGAGTAGCTGGGATTACAGGCACCGGCCACCATGCCAGGCTAATTTTTTTTTTTTTTTTTTTTTTTGGGTATTTTTAGTAGAGACAGGATTTCACCATGTTGGCCAGGCTGGTCTCGAACTCCTGACCTCAAGTGATCCTCCTGCCTTAGCCTCCCAAAGTGCTGGGATTACAGGCATGTAAAAGGACTACCTTTCTAATACACATTTTTCAAATTTCTCATGCAGAATAAAAAGGGAATAAGCATTATTAAATTTCAACACTGAGTTTCTAATATGTGCTAAGCATTGTGTGTTCCAGATGCTAGAAATATAGCAGGCTCTTCATTCAAGGAACTCACTGTGTTGTTTGTGGGGAGGATGTCGTGTTGGAGACAGGAAACAAATTCAATTACAACACTAAGTGAAGAAGCACAGAGGTGACAGGTGAAGGGAGTAAATTGCTTCCTGGGATGGGAAGAGTCAAGGAAGGCTTCCTGAAGGGATATCTGACCTGGGTTTTGAAGGCTGAATAGGAGTTTTCCAGGTGGACAAAGGGGGAAAGGTCATTTCAGCAGAGAAAACTACCTGTGGAAAGGAATGGAGACTTGAAAGAGCAGAGAACTGTAAGTAATTCAGAGAATGAGTGGACATTGTATTGTGGAATGTGCTGGAGGGGGTGGCAGAGATGAAGTTGAAGAGATAAAGGAGAGTGAGAGACAGAAAGAGTGAAAGAGAAGAAATGCCCATCTCCTTTTCCATGGCAGTTGAAGATGCAGTCTCTGCCCAGGTAATATGGTTTGGCTCTGTGTCCCCATACAAATCCCATGTCGAATTGTAATCCCCACGTGTCAGGGAAGGGGCTTGGTGAGAGGTGCATGAATCATGGGGACGGACTTCCCCCTTGCTGTTCTCATGATAGTGGGTGAGTTCTCATGAGATCTGGTTGTTTGAAAGTGTGTGGCACTTCCCCCTTTTCTCTCTCTCTCTCTCCTGCTCCTCCATGGTAAGATGTGCTTACTTCCCCTTCACCTTCTGGCATGATTGTAAGTTTCCTGGGGCCTCCCAGGCATGCTTCCTGTTAAGCCTGCAGAACTGTGAGTCAATTAAACCTCTCTTCTTCATAAGTTTAACTCAGTCTCAGGTAGTCCTTTATAGCAGTGTGAAAACGGACTAATACACTAGGCTTCACATGTCAACAACCATGTATCTGGTTTCTGATATTTCACCAGATCAAGTCTGGTATGTTCTCTGTGATGTATTTCTTCCTAGTGTGGGTTCCCCCAGAAGCAGACCCTGAGTGCAAGGAGTTTATTTGAGGGATGATCCCCAGAGACACCAGCAGGGGCACAGGGGACAGAGATAAGGAAGGGAAGCAGAGCTGTAGAGGGCGAGTGAATGGCAGGTGGGAAACAGCCTTAATCCTGCCAGGGTCCCCTGGGAACCAGCAAGGAATTTGCCCCAGAGTCGTCTCACTTGAGGGGCTGGGGCATTTATCCTCCTGTCCCATCACTCATGAGTTAAGGGCTGTTGCCTGGGGTTGATGATTCCTTGGCCCTCCCAGCCTGCCCTGCAGCCAGGGCCACCCCCATGCAAACAGCTGGAGATATGAAAGTGAGTACCTAGGGTGTATGCTTAGGCACCTACCACGTCTGTCACAATTTTTCCAAGGACCCACTAGGTATACACCACTGTGCCAGAGGGGCCTTGGGCCCACCTGTGGCCAAGGAGGACGCTGATATGAGTAGAGTCAAAGGGAGACCAATTGAATCCCACCCTCGGGCGTTGGGGGCTCCATCTTGCTGCAGTCCACGTGACATAGGCTCAGAGGAAAAGGGAGAGAGGGATGAGGAAAGGGCTGGCTGGGACATTGGTTCTGGTGTTAGTTGTAGTAGAAGAGTAAAAAATCTCTTTCTTTTAGGCTGGGCGTGGTGGCTCACACCTGTAATTGTAGCACTTTGGGAGGCCGAGGCGGTCAGATCACCCGAGGTCAGGAGTTCGAGACCAGCCTGGGCAACATGGTGAAACCCCATCTCTACTAAAAATATTTAAAAATTAGCTGGGTGTGGTGGTGGGTGCCTGTGTTCCCAGCTACTCAGGAGGCTGAGGCACAAGAATCGCTTGAACCCAGGCGGCGGAGGTTGCAGTGAGCCAAGATTGCTCCACTGCACTCCAGCCTCAGTGACGGAGCAAGACTCTGTGTCAATAAAAAAACTCTATTTTTAAATCTTGGTTAAATATATATAACATAAACATTCACATTGTTCTATAACCATTAGCGCCATCCATTTCCAGGACTTTGTCATCTTCCCAAACAGAAACTCAGGACCCTTTGAACAGAAGCTCCCTGCTGCCCCCTTACCCCAGGCTCTGGTAGCCTCCAGTCTACTTTCCGTGTCTACTTGACTACTTAGGTATTTCATATAAGTGGAATCATACAGTATTTGTCCTTTCATGTCTGGCTTCTTTCTTTCATTTTTTTGAGATGGAGTCTCTCTCTGTGGTGCCCAGGCTGGAGTGCAGTGGTGCAATCTTGGCTTACTGCAACCTGCACCTCCCTCCCAGGTTCAAGTGATTCTCTTGCCTCTGCCTCCTGAGTAGCTGGGACTACAGGCACGCATCACCATGTCCGGGTAATTTTTGTATTTTTTTGGTAAAGACAGGG
The DNA here is from genome assembly GCF_000001405.40 of Homo sapiens. NCBI lineage: Eukaryota > Metazoa > Chordata > Mammalia > Primates > Hominidae > Homo > Homo sapiens. The sequence goes on from NC_000023.11 coordinate 40,305,586, forward strand.
TTTCGCGATGTTGGCCAGGCTGGTCTCCAGCTCCTTACCTCAGGTGATCTGCCTGCCTCAGCCTCCCAAAGTGCTGGGATTACAGGCGTGAGCCACGGCGCCCAGCCCATGGCTTCTTTCACTTAGCATACTGTCTTGAAGGTTCATCCATGTTGTAGCATGTATCAGAATTTTCTTCCTTTTTAAGGTTAATAGCCCATTGTATGAGTATACCACATTTTGTTTGTTTATGGACATTTGGGTTGCTTCCACCTTTTGGCTATTATGAATAAGGCTGCTATGAACAAGAGTGTACAAATATCTGTTGGAATCCCTGCTTTCAGTTCTTTGGGATATATGCCCAGAAGTGGCATTGCTGGATCATATGGTAATTCTATGTTTAACTTTTTGAGGAACTGCCACGCCATTTTCCACAGTGGCTGCACCTTTTCTCATTCCCACTAGAAGAAATACATGAGAATCTCTTAAAGACAATGGTGCAGCTCTCTATGCCAGCTGGTGAGGCGGGGACAGGATGAGGACCACCCTCTACCTGGAGAGATTTTGGCAGAGTCACTTGAGGACACACCCAGATTGACAATGCAAGGCCTAGTGACAGTGGAAGGGACCCTTTTGGTCTTTGAGTTTCCTGTTCATTCCATGCATAGCTGCATCACTTTGGTTGGATTATGTCACAGTGTTGAACAGCGAGAAGGACATGGGTTTGAGTCCTGCCTTTACTGTGGCTGTGTGACCTCAGGCAAAGGACTTCATCTTCCTGAGCCTTGGTTTCCTTCTCTGTACAAATAAATCAGAAGAGTAACAGGGTTGGGGTGGGCACTCAGTGAAGTAGTGCAAGTACAGGGCTTAGTGCAGGTCCTGGTAGGTGGCATGTGCTCAGTCAGGGGGTGCCATTGTCATTATGATCTATTCCTGGGGAGTCCTCTGAGGGCAAGCCTCTTGGTGACAACTTATGCACCTAAAGCCCAAGGTTAAGAGCCTATGTGGTATCGATTACTGTGCTAGGATTTGAGGCTGGAGTGCTGCAGTAGGGGCTGTGAGATGTCACCCAGACCCCCTTCAAGGAAGGACTTGCTGTCCCACTTTGCGGGGGTGCTTTCAGGGGCCCCCTCCAGCTGTTGGCACCTTCAGGGTCTGCCTCAGCTACAGAGAGTGCCTTGCTCAAAGTCACACTCTTCCAATGACCTTTTAATATGGGGGAATAAAGGCTTAGTCACCTCTGGACATATCTGGACAACTCTATGGTGGGCTGAATAATTTCTCCTCCTTCCCGCCAAGACGGCCGTGTCCTAGTTTCCAGAACCTGTGAATGTGTTCGTTACCTTACAGGGCAAAAGGGACTTTGCAGGTGTGATTAAGTTAAGGATCCAGAGATGAGGAAATTGTCTGGCATTACCCTGGCTGGCCCCATGTCATCACAAGGGTCCTTATAAGGGAAAGGTAGGAAGATCAGAGTCAGAAAAGAAGACATGACAACACAAGCAGAGGTCAGAGTGAATGTGATGGCCGGCTTTGGACGTGCAAGAAGGGGCCACAAGCCAAGGGATGCAGGTGACTTCTAGAAGTTGGAAAGGGCAAGGAAATGGATTCTCCCCAGAGCCTCCTGAAGGAATCAGCCCAGCTGACACCTTGATTTTTAGCTTCTGATCTCCAGAACTGTAAGAGAATAAATGTGTTGTAAGCCCGTAAGTAAGTGGTCATTGGTTCTGCAGCCGTAGGAAAGGAGTCCAGCTCTCCAACACTGAAGGGCTATCCTAGCTGCAGGGCTCCCCAGGGTCTGGCGGTCAGCAGAGGCTGTCAGCTCCCTCTGTCCAATCCTGCTCTCTTCCCCTCCCTTCCCCAGGTCATGGTGCCACAGGATCTCCCTAATAAACCCCCTGCTCCTTAAACTGCATCTCTTGAGTCTGCTTCATGAGGAACCCACCCTGAGACAGTTGGCAATTTTTTTTTAATGCTTTATTGTGGAAAAGTTCGAACATATACAAAAGTAGCCAGAATAATGTACTGATCTCCCATGATCCCATCACCCAGCTTTGACAAACAATCGTGTTTGCTCTATATGGCAATGGTATCTTTATTTTTTTATTTTTATTTTTTGAGACGGAGTTTCACTCTTGTTACCCAGCCTGGAGTGCAATGGTGTGATCTCGGCTCACGGCAACCTTCGCCTCCCAGGTTCAAGCAATTCTCCTGCCTCAGCCTCCCAAGTAGCTGGGATTACAGGCACGCACCACCACGCCTGGCTAATTTTTTTTGTATTTTTAGTAGAGACGGGGTTTCTCCATTGTTGGTCAGGCTGGTCTCGAACTCCCATCCTCAGGTGATCCGTCCGCCTCGGCCTTCAAAAGTGCTGGGATTACAGGGGTGAGCCACTGCGCCCGGCCAGCAATGGTATTAGTAGCTTAAAGGGAGAAGCAGAGCTCCTGCCCCGGAGATGACGACGGTCTAGCTGAGGAGTGAAGATGTTGCAGACACCTCAAGGGCCAAGAATGCCCGGCAGCAGCGACCACGCCAGCCAGGACTGTCAGGCCAGGGGAGCAGAGAACCATCCTTGTGGACAGGCAGCAAAGGAGAGAGCCGGCAGGGTGGGCCATGTCATTGTGAAGGAGTGGCTCCTGTGGTCCTGGGCACACCTGAGTCTGAGGCAGGGGGCATAGAGCCCTTAGAGAGAGTAGATACAGCATCACCCGCTTTTGTTTTTCATTCCATTGTCTTTCCAATCTGTTTTTGTTTCATTTTAATGGCCCTCCATCTGTTTCTCCGGACTCTGTTAATAGCAACCATGCTAGAATACTGCCAGGTACTAGGCTAAGCACTTCCCACAGCTTATCTCCCTAATCCTCCCAACCGCCGGAGGAGGCAGATACTATTTTTATCTCCATTTCATTTATCCCTATTTCACTGAGACTCAGTGAAGGAAGGCCACTTGGCCAGGGTTCCATGGATGGCGCATTCATTTCCTGGGGCTGCTGGAACAAAGTACCCCAGATTAGGTGGCTGACAACAGGCATGGATTCTCTCGCTGTTCTGGAGGCCAGCAGTCTGAAATTAAGGTGCCGGCGGGGTCACACCCTCTCTGGAGGCTCTCGGGGAGGATCCTTCCCTGCCTTGACCAGCTTCTGGGGGTTCCAGGTGTTACGTGGCTGTGGCTGCATCACTCCAATCTCTGCCTTCGTCTTCTTGCCACCTTCTCTCCATGTGTTTTTCCTCTATGTGTCTCTTATAAGGACCCCTGTCATTGGATTTAAGGTCCACCTGAATAATCCAGGATCATCTCATCTCAAGATCCTTAATTGCATCTGCAAAAACCCTTTTTCCAAATAAGGTCACACGCACAGGTTCTGGGGATTAGGACACGGTCATAGGTTTTGTGGGGCCACCATTCAACCCACTACGGGTCTCATGAGGCAGAACAGGGGTCAGAACCCAAGAAAAAGGATAGTTGTCACTTCAGTGTGATAGGATCTTGTTGAGAAGGGCTGCACCAGTAGGAATCCCTTGTGGTGGTTTTAAAACCTGTCCACAAATTCTTTAACACTCCTCCCACCAAAATGTGGCATCTCTGCCATGCCCGTTGAATCTGGGTGGGCTTGTGACTCACTTGTAACCCAAAGAACGTGGCGAAGGGATGCCACGTGACTTCCAATGGTGGGTCAGAAACTATGATGCAGTGACTGCCTTTTTCGAAGAAACATTTACCTTTGGAGCTCTGAGCTACCATATGAGCCGTCTGACTGCCCTGCAACAACCACGCTGGGAGGAAACCCAGGTCACATGGAGAGGTCACCTGTAGGTGTTCTTTCTTTCTTTTCTTTTTTTTTTTTTTTTTTTGAGATGGAGTCTTGTTCTGTTGCTCAGGCTGAAGTGCTATGGCGTGATCTTGGCTCACTGCAACCTCTGCCTCCCGGGTTCAAGCGATTCTCCTGCCTCAGCCTCCTGAGTAGCTGGGACTACAGGTGCCCACCACTGCCCAGATAGTTTACCTTTAGATGTTCTGATCTGCAGTCTAGCTGGGATCCCATTGACAGCCAGCATCGTCCCCCAGGCCTGTGAGTGAAGAGACCTCCACATATTCCAGCCCCGCCCCCAGCCATGGAGTCTTCCCAGCTGAGACGCCAGACATCATGGAGCAGAGATAAGCAGTCCCTGCTGTCCCCTGGCTGAATTCCTGACCCTCGGAATCTGTGAGTCTAATCAAATGGTTGTTTTCTGCCACTTAGTTTGGGGGTAGCTTGTCACACAGCAACAGTAACCAGGACACCTCTCCTTACTGGGAGAGAGAAAGCCTCAAATTGGGGGTTAGCAGTTCCTGAGAAATAGATCAGATTGAGAGACAAAAACAAATCTCCAAACAAAACAAAACAAAAAAACAAAAAAAAGAGAAGATCTCTTGTGCGCAAACCCTCCCCTCACCCCAATTCCCGGTGGTTCTGAGAGATGAGGTGAGGTGGGGAGGGGGCCACAGAAAATGGAAGCAGCCCCTCTCAGCATGAGAAAGCATCCCTCAGGCCTTCCACAGCTGTCTTCCCTCCAGCCCCAGCCGGAGAGAGGCTCGCAGCCCCTGAACGTGGGCTTCGGTGGAGCCCAGCTGCAGTCACAACTTCCCACGCAGCTGCGGTGGACTAGAGGCTCCAGCCACATTCCTCCCCAGGTCTTGGCCACCTGACTGACCACACCATCCCCAAGGTCCAGGCTCCCCTGCAGCAGGGGGCCAGCTGCTCCCCAGTCCTGTCTGCCAGGGCCCAGGCTTGTGTGCAGTGCCGGCCACCAATTACAGCACAAGCCCATTCATTTGCTGGATTGGATTTTTTGGATTTTGTCATTTGCTATGTGGAGGTTTTCTTTCTGACTAATTTGTTTACCAGGTTTAATTCTTCAATCATGTTTTCATTTTAGGAGATTTCAGGGTAATTATGAACTTTGAATAAATCCATCTGAGGCACCAAAGTGCTCTGAGCACAGCTCTGTCAGGGCCTGCCATTTCCTTGCTACGTTGAGACTTGGTGGGAATAGGACCTTTCCTGCCCACCCCCACCTCAGCTCCTGCAATTGGAAACAGCTGGGCCTCTAGGAGAGGCCAAGGTCAGGATTTGGGAAAAGCCCCAACTGAAAACCACACTGGGGTTGGGGAGAGATGGAATCAGGCCGGTGTGTGAGTGAGGCTGCAGAACCTTCGAGAGTCCGGGGCCCCACCCCACCCACCTTGCCAAGGCTACTCCCCAGGGCATGGAGCAGAGGGAGCGGAGACTGGGGCTGCCTCAGCATTGCCAGCCGCGTGTTTGTCGAAGCAGGGTGCAAGGCATTGTTGGGGAGGGAAAAATGCTTCCCTGCACCCACCTAGATTCTTTAGCTGGGTTATGAATTAAATTGACATGAAACAGATTAGCAGGAGAAAAATTTTTATTATACACATTTTAATTATACACATTCGTATGGGAGTCCCATAAAGCCATGAGACCCAAAGAAGGGCCAGATGATGGAAGCTTGCATCGTATCATGAGCTACAGAAAAGAATAGGGGTTCCAGGCTTTTGGGGAGTGCTGGAGAGAAATTTTGGGCGGGTGAGAAGAAGAAATGTCCGGAGAATAAAGGTTGCCTTGTTATGCAGATAAAAGTCTCTCAGGTGATAAAAGTTGAGCAGCTCTCTTCCCGCTACTGATACTTTTACTAATGAAAATGTCCTTTACAAAATGGGAGTTTTTCAGAGCTATTGCTGTGTCTGCAGTTTCTCAAACTAACCAGCTTGAAATAATCAATATGCCAAAGAGGTATATTTTGGGGTGGCATTTTCTGGTTTCCTACAGTCATGTTTTGGGGTGGTGTGTCCTGAGCCCCAGCAGGTGTAGAGACCAGAGGCTACAACTCTAGTTTCAGTAACGTAGCCCTTGAGCAGTGGGGCAGAGAGCGTTTCTGAGCCCTCAGGAGTAAAATAGAAATATATCAAGGATGATGATGTGATGAGGACAATTTCTGTTCCATCAGTTTGCAGACTTGTCGCAAAGAAGCTGAGGCAGGAGGAGACACTCTGTAAACTGTATCACGTGGCACAGTTGTGAGGTGGTGGTGGTGCTGTAGAACAAGGTCTCTTGGTCATAACAGCAGGGTCACACTGGCAGGCTGGGGAGATGTGATACCCAATCAACCAATATAAAGGTAGGAAATGCCACCAGGCCCCCAGATGTCTTGACTCTGTCACTGTTTCTCAACCCAATGGGTCTGGCTCCTGAGTGTGCTGGGATGGTCTCTATGGGAGTATGTGAGTGTATAAATTGGGTTCTGGTCTCAGCACCTTAACAACACCACACAGGAGGGCTGTCTGTGTCCGGAATCTTATTAGCACTAACAAATTAGAGTTGCTTAATCTGCATATCCATATCAAACCTACAGCCAGCTGGGTGGGTGTGTGGTGCAGAACTGGCATGTGCACTAATCATAACTAGGATCAATGCATTAGGCTTAGCAAATTTACATGCAGCCAATCACAGCAAAAGTGTAAAGAGCAAAACTGCCAAGAGAACCAATCACATACAGGGAATTCTTCACTGCAGAGTGTAAGACCCCTGAGCTCCTAGAGCTTTATGGCACTTGTTCCCACCACAGAGTATAGGCTGAATGGGAACTCCAGACTTGCTCTGATGAGAATTCGGCAGTAGATCAGGTCCACAGTGACAGTGACACCCTAGGCGGGGGCTGGTGCAAGGGAGGGAGTGTCCATACTGTCTTCATTTGGGTTCTCACAGAATCAAGCCTTGGAGAAAGAAACGCCAGCAAGGGCGTGCAGGTGTAAGGCAGGACAGCTAACGAAGGGTGCACGATCAAGCCAGGTACTCCTGTGCGAAACTGCTATGGCTGAATTCTGTCCCCCTCCCAAATTCATGTGTTGAAGTCCTAAATGCCAGGACCTCAGAATGTCATCTTATTTGGGAACAGGGTCCTTAAGCAGGTAATTAAGTTAAAATGAAGTCGTTAGGTTGGGCCCTAATCCAATGTGACTGGTGTCCTTTTAAGAAGAGATTAGGACACAGACATGCACAGAGAGAAGACCATGTGAAGACGCAAGGAAAAGACAGCCATCTACAAGCCAAGAAGAGAGGCCTCAGAAGGAACCAACCCTGCTGACACCTTGATCTTGAACTTCCAATCTCCAGAGCTGTGGGAAAATACATTTATGTTGTTAAAGACCCCAGTTGTGTGGTGCTTTGTTATGCTGGCCCTCGCAGACTAAGACAGTGAATACGACCCCTTTCCTTTGGGGGAGACAGTGTAAAACACAGGCTTCTGAGTTATCCCACCTGAGAGGTAAGGAGGCTAGGGTGTTTATCCACCAATTTGTATCAGCCATTTCCTGGGGGTTGTTCTCAGGGGGCATTAACTCCCACACTTACAGCCTGCCGCAGGGGCAGGCAAAGTGGTTTGGCAACCGGTGGAAGCCCCCAGATGAAGAAATGCAGGGATGGCCACTGGGAAGCTGAGCCTGAATGCACTCAGAAGTTAAGAGCAAGGGGATTTGTAAGAGGCAATGATGATGGCATCTGCTACACAGACCTATGAAACAGTGATGGACTGTCTTAGGTACCCGCCCAGAGGGTAAGGTGCTGTAGACTTTTACCTCTAACCCGAAGGAATATGCATGTGTGCGGTGTGTCTATTACTAGGGAGATTTTGTCTAGATAGAATACAGACGTTTCTATTGGATGATCCTGTGTAATGTTGTATAACCCTATAATAAATGTTATTTGCAAAGGTTACCTCTGGTTAGTTTCCATGCCAAAGCTGGTGAATTCAAGGGAACATGTACTAGGGTTCACTGTGGTCTTGGACCCCAGTAACTTTGCTGGTTTCGCTAGTGAGGCCTAGAGCAGTTCACTGCCTCTTGCTAATTTTAGACTTGTGTACTGGGCACAGCTAAGATGAGGGTGCTTTCAGTTAGGTTTCTTGGTTTCAAGCAGCCGAAACCAACAATAGCTGACTTCGATAGGAAAGGGATTTCTGGAAGACTGTGTTCACAGACCTGAGGGAAGGTAACAGGACTCACAGCCAAGAACACTCGGGTGGAGGAGTACATGGGGGGAGGGGACTTTTTAGCATAGTATCTGTAGGACACTGTCACTACTCTGGACCCTGGAGGTTGCCACCATGGTGACATTGTCCCTGCTTCTTTATGATGTTCAGTGTTAGTGGGGATGGAGATCTTAGCTGCTGGGAATGGGGGGTTTAGGGAGAGGAGCTTGGCCATGAGCTTCTCTAAGGGGGATCAGAACATGTGTTTCCCCTCTATTACCCAAACCAGGGCATGCCTCCCAAATGGGATAGACACTTGTCTTTGTCACGTGGGTGGGGGAAAATTCCAGAAGGGAGGGAGGAGTAGGGCGAGGATTTGTTCCTGTGACTCCTGGCTCATTTGCTCAGTTTCAGGTCAGGCTAGTGGAGACAATGGGTAGATCTGAGGTTTGGCTGGGTGTGGGGTGGGTTCCCTTGACCGGGGATCCCTGTGGGCCTCATTTGCCACCAAGGGGCAGAAGCAGGAAGACTGAGGGATGCTGGGTGGTCTTATCTACTACTGCACAACAAACCACTCCAAAATAGTGGCTTAAAACCATAGCAGTCACTTACGTTGCTTACTAATCTGGGCATTGACTGGGCTCAGCCAGGCAGTTCTCACTAGGGGTCGCTAGGGTTGCAATGGCCTGGTGGCTAGAGCTGGAGTCATCTCACTCACTTGTCTGCCTCCTGAGCTGGGAAGACTCAAACTGCCAGAGTGGAACCAGATGGGGACTCTTTGGGCCTCCTTCTCTCTGTGTGGTCTTGCCACACGGCCTTTCCAAGATGGCAGCTCAGGACAATTGAGCTTCTTACATATCAGCTCACGGCTTCCAAGAAAGAGAACCAGACAGCCGGGCGCAGTGGCTCATGTCTGTAATTCCAGCACTTTGGGAAGCTGAGGAGGGTGGATCACCTGAGGTCAGAAGTTCAAGACCAACCTGGTCAACATGGTGAAACCCCGTCTCTACTAAATATACAAAAATTAGCCAGGCATGGTGGCAGGCACCTGTAATCCCAGCTACTCAGGAGGCTAAGGCAGGAGAATCGCTTGAACCCGGGAGGTGGAGGTTGCAGTGAGCCGAGATCGCACCATTGTGCTCCAGCCTGGGCAACAAGAGCGAAACTTCATCTCAAAAACAAACAAACAAACAAAAAAAAAACAAAACCAGACAAAAGCTGTATCACCTTTTATGACCTAGTCTTGGAAATCACTTCCAAGTGATAGAGTGGAAGCAGCATCACTTCCACTGTATTCTATTCATTCCATGTGAGTCAGGAAGGCCAGCTTTTGGGGAGGGGCAGGGGATTAGACTCCTCCACCCTTTGATGAGAGGACTGCCACAGAATTCGTGGACATGTTTAAAACCATCACAGTGAGCTGGGCAGTGGCTCACACCTGTAATCCCAGCACTTTGGGAGGCTGAGGCAAGAGGATTGCTTGAGCCCAGGCAGTTCGAGACCAGCCTGGGCAACATAGAGGGACCTCCATCTCTCAAAAAAACAAAAACAAAAACAAAACAGAGAGAGAGAGAGAAAAAAAATAAAGTAAACCACTACAGTGGCTAGGAGATGGTGAACAGCCACTTCACTTGACGGTTTGACTGGACCAACACAATTTTCATTCTCAATTTTCTAACTTGGCTGCTTGTTTCCCACACTGCAGAAAGGCCAGGGCTCAAACTCCCCAGCAGCATATTAGTAACTAAAATGTTTGCACTTAGCGGGCTGGACTCTAGTTAATCCAGCTTCATCATTATGCCAGGAGAGCTCATTCCAACTGAAATTTGACTATTGGTTTTTAATTTTGGTGCCATTTTTCAAGATGATGGCTCTTCTGGCTGACAGTGAATTACCCGGGGTGCAAATTAAATACAATAGAATTGCTAATCAGGCCATTAGAATACATGGACAGGAGGAAAGCTACAAGTTGTCAGACCTGGGTGGGTTCTCTCCTTGCTTTTTGGACAGAATTTGTGTGACTTTGAATGGGCTTATGCATAGAACTGGTACAAATATTGGAAACAGACGCCTGCAGGCAGCGAGGGGGACAGAGCAAGTGGCTGCAAAGCCTGCGATGGTACACTGGTTTGGTTGGTTCCCCTTTGCAGGAAAAATCTTGTCCTATAAGTACTCATGTCCCTGGGGATTGCTGTCTAATGTTCCATACACTCTTCTCATGCAAGGAAGTGTCGAGATTTAATTCTCAACCTCCAGGCCCACAAGGAAGGCACCAAATATCTGACATAATGAACAGTGTTTTCGGATTTCTAAATTTAGAGGGAAGGCGAGAATGCACTAGTGGTTTTTCTCATGTCTAATTCTAAGCAAAGACAGAAAGACCGTCAAAGACTTCATGTAGCACATTCAGTCACAGTTTCTTTGTGTGTGTGTGTGTGTGTTTCTTTAACCCCCACGAGACTAACTGAGAAGAAATAGATTCAGGAGCCACTTCCTAAGGAGGCAGTGCTTGATGCCAAGAGGTAGTTCAGTAAATCAGGAAGTGTTTGACCATTGGAGAAGATAGAGTGTGGTTTTCAAGGGCAAAGATGCAAGCCAGGATGCTGTCCAGTAATGCTGCTAGGAGTGGAGGTGAGCTGGGGATCATATCTGCAAGTGAGGGAGGACTCCTACTGAATCAATCACAGGAAACACTTACCAAGGCCTGCCAGCCATGTCTGACCACTTGAAGTGCTTGCAGCATTTAATTTTCACAGCAGCCGTCTGAGGTGTGGATTATGATCACCCCCATTTAATGGATGTTAACTTGGAGGTTAGGTAACTTCCTGGAGTGTGTTAGTCAGTTTTGCATTGCTATAAAGGAATACCTGAGGCTGGCTAATTTATCAAAAAAAGTACGTTTCTGCAGGCTGTATGAAAAGCATGGCACTGGTGTCTGCTCCTGTTGAGGACTCGGGAAGCTTCCAATCATGGCGGAGAGCAAAGGGGGAGCTGGTGTATCACATGGCAAGAGAGGGAGCAAGAGAGAGATGGGGGAAGGTGCCAGGCTCTCTTAAACAACCAGATCTTGTGTGAACTCATAGAGTGAGAACTCACTCATCACGGCAAGGACAGCACCAAGCCATTCACGAGGGATCCTTCCCCATGACCCAAACACCTCCCACCAGGCCCGCCTCCAACATCAGAGGTCACATTGCAACATAAGATTTGGAGGGGACAAAAACCATCTAAACCACATCACCAGGGTCACCCAACAAGTTCATGGCAGAGCTAGTGTTTATTAGATTGGGTTCAGCTATCAGAGACAGGAGAAAAAATCTGAGTAAGGCATAAACAAGATAGACATCCTTTCTTACAAAAACAAAGATTCAGGGCCAGGTGCGGTGGCTCATGCCTATTATCCCAGCACTTTGGGAGGCCAAGGTGGGAGGATCACTTGAGGCCAGTGATCTCAACATAATGAGACCCTGTCTCTACAAAATTTAAAAAGTAGCCAGTTGTGGTGTGTGCCTGTAGTCCCAGCTACTTGGCAGGCTGAGGAGGGAGGATCACTTTAGACCAGGAGTTGGAGGCTTCAGTGAGCTATGATTGTGCCACTGCACTCCAGCCTGGTTAACAGAGTGAGACTCTGTCTCTAAAAAAGCCCCCAAACCTACGATGTTTTGAGGTATACAGTCTAATTCCATTACAGCAGCTCCATAACCATCTGCCACCCAAGTTCTTCTTTCTTGTTCCTCTACCATCTTCAACACATGATCTCTGCCTTGGGTTGCCAGATAAAATACAGGACAGCCAGTTGAATGTGAATTTCAGATAAATAACAAATAATTTTTTTAGTATGTGTCCCATGCAATATTAAATAATCAAATGACATTGTTTTGTTCTTGTTTGAGATGGGGTCTCACTCTATCACTCGAGCTGGAGTGTAGTGGCATAATTGCGGCTCACCACAGCCTTGACCTCCTGGCTTAGGTGATCCTCCCGCCTCAGCCTCCTAAGTGGCTGGGACTGCAGGTGCACCCTACTATGCCTGGCTAATTTTATGTATTTTTAGTAGAGACAGGGTTTCACCATGCTGTCCAGGCTGGTCCCGAACATGAAATCTTAAAATTAAATGAAGTATTAAAATTGTAAAATATTAAAAAATTAAATATTTTTATTTGCTAAACCTGGCAATCCTATCTCTGCCTCATGGTTCAAGATGGCTGCTTATGCTCCAGCCTTCAGGACGACCATACTTCAGGCAGCAGGAGGAAAGGGGATTAAAGAAGGGCCTCCCTTCCTTTGAACACACCTCATGGGAGTCATACCCAAATCAATTTCTCAACTCACATTGGCAACACATTGGTTTTAGGGAGGCTGGGAAATATGGTTTCTATTCTGGGCAGCCACAAACTCAGCCACCAATCAGGGCTTCTATATTAAGAAAAATGGGTATCAGGGGTCAACTTAGTTTCTGTCACAGCTTTCGAGTCTTGAGGCTTAATCACCCTGCTGTTCTGCCTTTTCTCTATTTCATGAAAGAAAGGGTAGAGAAGACACGTGTGTATTTCACACAGACTTCTTTGGTTCCTTTTGACGATTTCTGCGTGCCTCTTCCCTGATTCCTCCTTGTGTTTGCTGCTAACAGCCTGCCCATGTGAAATGCTTCAGAACCCTGCCCTTGGGCTCACGGAGTCATGTTGCCTACACCTGGGAATTTGGATGGCCCTTAGCAAGTGACTTACTCTGTGGGAGCACAAAAACCCAGCTCCCTTGGCTGGGGTCAGGACGAACACGTAAGTGTAATTTACACCCCAGAGCCCATCTGCAAGATCAGGCTGAGGCTGGGACTCCCCTGAGTGTGTGCCCTGGCTTGGCTTCTTCTCTTCCCTGTCTTGTTTTCTTGACTTCTTTACTGGTCTGTCCTGGAAGCACTTCCTTCATAAATCATGTGCACACAAATCCTGGTCTCAGTGTCTTAGCAGGCTCAGATAAGGGTTTACCCTGGAAAATATAAATAGGAAGTGGGCCAGCACTTTTGAAGACAAAGCTCTTCAGTTGCTGCATACCCCTCTGTGATGAAGAGGCTAAAGTGACTGGCAAAGCCCTTGAGTTTGAATCAGGTCACACCCAGCCTTATGGGGCAAATCCTGAGCTGTGACAACTTCTACTTAGTTGGACATTTAATATTTATTTCAATCTTCTCCAAGCCGTATGTTTTCTAAGAGAATGTGTATTAGTCAGGATTTGGTCAGGAAAACAGATGGCACTTGGAATTTCAAATAGGGATTTAACACGGAAGGTTAGGTACTTACAAACCAGTTGGGAGAGCTGGAAGAGCAAAAGTCTCTCAGATTTCCTCCCAACTCCCAGAGCATCAGAAAGTACAGTGAAGAAAGAGCCCGCCAGCCTGTGGGACCAAGATAGCTGATTCTCGGGGAAGTGCCTGGAGGTGGCTGCGAAAGCTGTACTTCCTGTGCCCCTTGTGTCTGTCTGCTGTTGCAGGAGAAGCAATAATAATCATGGCTTCTGCTTCTCTGGCCTTCCAGGTCTTGTGCCACTACAGTCAATCCTCATTATTTGTGGGTTCCATATTTGCAAATTCACCTGCTCACTAACATTGATTTGTAACCCCAAAATCAATACTCACAGTCCATTCGTAGTCACTCTCGGAAAGAGCTGCAAAAAACTTGAGTCACCTAAAGCCCACGTTCCCGGCTGAGCTGAATAAGGGACCTCTCTGCCTGGTAGTTTGAGCTCTCGTACTGTAAACAAGTGTTATTTTGGCCGTCTGGCTACTGCCATGTTTTTCACATTTTTGTGCTTTTTGTTGGTGATTTCACTGTTTAAAATGGACCCCAAGTGTAGTGCTACAGTGCTGTTCAGCGTTCCTAAATAAGAGAAGGCAATGATGTGCCTTATGGAGAAACTGTGTGTTAAAAAAAAGCTTTGTTCTGGCCAGGCGTGGTAGCTCGTGCCTGTAATCCCAGCACTTTGGGAAGCTGAGGCGGGTGGATCACTTGAGGACAGAAGTTCGAGACCAGCCTGGCCAACATGGTGAAACCCCATCTCTACTAGAAACACAAACATTAGCCAGGCGTGGTGGCAGGCACCTGTAGTCCCAGCTACTCAGGAGGCTGAGGCACGAGAATCGTTTGAACCTGGGAGGTGGAGGTTGCAGGAAGCCAAGATCACGCCACTGCACTCCACACTCCAGCCTGGGTGACAGAGCAAGACTCCATCTCAGGAAAAAAAAAAAAAAAAAAAGGAAAGATTTTTTCAAGCATGAGTTATAGCGCTGTTGGCTGTGAGTTCAATGTTAATGCACCAACTATATATATTAAATAAGGTGTCTTTAAACAGAAACACACAAAAGACAAAGTTACATATTGACTGGTTCACAAAAATATTGTGACCAGAGGCTTGCAGGAACCTAACTGCCTATCTCTCCTAGGAGCAATTGTTCAGTATTTGCTAATTCAACGTTTGAAAACTGAATAGATCATAACTACTGTGAATAATGAGAATCAATGATACTTCTCATTGATAGAATCTAACTAGTAACCTATTTGGGAAGGAATGCTGGAAAATGTAGTTCCCCAGCTTCCAGATGCTGTGATATATGGAAGATCATAGAAGGAAAAAATGGTGCTAAGTTTTTCACAGACAATCCAGAGCAGTATGTTAAATTATGTAATGCTTTCAAAACTTTTTAAAGGGTTGCTCTAGGGTTTACAATATACGTATTTCATTAATCAATATCTACCTTCAAATAATAATATACTATTTCATATGTAGTATAAAAACATTGTAAGAGTGTACTTCTAATTCCTCCCTCCCATCCCACAGTACATTTACATATCCTATAAACACACAATGCATTGCTGCTGTGCTGACTTTAGACAGTCATCTTTTAGAGCAATTTAAACATTTTAAAAGGAATTTTTATTTACCTTTATTTGTTCCATTTCCAGCCCTTTTCATTTATTTGTGTAGATCCAAGTATCTGTATCATATCATATTCCTCCTACCTATAACATTTCTTATAGAGCAGTTCTGCCAGCAATTAATTCTCTATTTTTGTTTGAGAGAGTATTTCTCTTTCACTTTTGAAATATATTTTTTGCCGGGTATAGAATTTGGGGTTGACGTGTTCTTTTGTTGTTGTTTAACATTTTGAAGATGTTACTTTATTGTCTTTTGACTTGTATGTTTTCTGATGAGAAGTATGCCGTGATTCTTTGTTCTACTTTATGTAATATGCCTTTTTTCTCTGGCTGCCTTTATAATTGTTCTCTTTCTTGGTTTTCAGCAGTTTAAATATGATATACCCAGATTTTTGTTTGTTTGGTTTTGCTTTTGGTTTTTGTTTTACCCTGCTTGGTCTTTTCTGTGCTTCATGGATCTGTGGTTTGGTGTCTGCCATTTAGTTTTGGAAAACTCTTAGCCATTATTCCCTCAAATATTTCTCCTGCCTTGTTTGCTCTTCTCCTTCTGGGATTTCAGTTACATGTACTTCAGACTGTTTGATAATTTCCCACAGCTCTTTGATGCTCTGTTCTGTTTTTTCCCTCCATTCATTTATCTTTGTGTTTCAGTTTGAATAATTTCCACTGACTTATCTTCAAATTTGCTGATTCTTTCCTCAGCTGTATCAGTCTCTTGATGAGCCCATCCAAGGAACATTAGTGTTTTTCATTTCTTGCATTTCCATTTGATTCTTTCTTATAGGTTTATTCTCTCTGCTAAAATTACCCATCTGATCTTCCATGTTGTCCGTAAGTGTTTATTCCCAACTCTCCTTGGAGGCACCTGTCTTTTCTTACTTAGAGTTTGGGTTAGTTGGTTGCCCTGTGACTTCGGCTGTCTGATAAGTTCAAGGTAAGTTGTGATTTGCAGATTGTCTTTCCTTTTTTGTTGTTGCTGTAAGGGTGGGCACAATGCTTTTACCAGCCTCCTACATTAGAAGCAGACTGCTGCTATTCAGAGACAGATGTTTCTGTAGAAAAAGTACAAGACTTAATTTTGTGCCTAATTCCTGGTTTCTTTCAGATCCTCATGCTATGCACATATAACCAAATCAAGGCACCAGTATTTACTGTGGAATTCAAGAGGAAAAGCTCAGTCTCTGTGGGAATGGCTTAGAAACAGTGGTAAGTGGTATAAAATGACAGATCAAATGTAATATGTTACCCCTAGTTGCAGGTGTGGTAGGTTCTTAAAAACAGCCCCCAATGAATCATGTCTCCCAGTGTTCACATCCTTTGCAATGTTTCTTTGCAGCTCTTTCCATCATGAGGTGGAGTTACTTCTCCAGCGTTTGAATCTGCTGTTTTGATCAACAGAATATGGCTGAAGTGACATGTGTGTTTGTGCCTGGGTGAAGATGGGGGGCATTTAAGTCCAGGGCTTAGGAGTTCTGGTAGCTTCCACTTTTGCCTGGGGGGTTTCCAGCCACCATGTGAAGAAGCTCAGATTAACCTGCTGGAGACAGAAGCCACTTAGGAGGAGAGCCAAGCTCCCAGATATATTAGTGAACCCGGCTGACCCCATGAAAAGAGAGAGGCCCAGCCACCCCAGTTAGCCCCAGCCATGCGAACCACCCCAACTGAGCCATCAGACATGTCAGTGTGGCCATTTTGGGTTTTCCAGCTCCAGTCAAGATATTGCAGCCCCAAATTCCTGAACCACAGAACTGTGAGATGTAAAAAGGTAGTTGTTTTATGCTACTAAGTTTTGGGGTGGTTTGTTAGGAAGCAATAGCTAACAGCAGACACTTGTAGTTGCTCCACAATATCCCTTCTCCCCCTTTTCCTCTTTAAAAGAAAGGCTGAGTTTTCTAGCTGGTTAAATGGCCACCTAAAATAAAAATTACATTTCTCAACTTTCCTTGCCACTAGATATAGCCATATGACTAAGTTCCAGTCAATGAGATGCAAGTAAGAATGGGTATATGCAACTTCCAGCGTAGTATTTATTTTGGAGGCCTTTATCTTACCAATATATCAGAGTCTAGCACTGGAAAGATAAGAATACCATGACCATCTTTCCTTCCTACCCTACCCAAATGAGATATGGGTTGCTTTGGAGTCTGTTAGGAAAAAAACAAGAGCAACAGCAACCCAAACACTGTAGTGTAGACAGGCCATGAGGATCAAAAGGTCAATGGAGAAAAAAAGGAGCTAAAAATGATACAGTGAGCACCAACTGAAAAGACTATCTTTAACCCACTAACAGTTTCTAACATTTTGAGTACCTTGAAAAATAAGTGGTGGTGAATCTTCTCATTGAAAATGAATTTAAATGAAGACATTAGGCCTTTTGACTCTGGGCATAGAATGTTCTCAGGGTAATAACACAGGTCTGGTACTTGCACCTTAATTACCCACAGATGGCTGTGGGTAATTACCCACAGATGGCTGTGATCTTGCTGTAGTAGAACTTACGGAAATCTCCTTGCCATATCCTGGACCCAGGTAAATAGTCCTTCCAGGTGTGGTAGAAAGTTGAGAGGTTTGGTTAAAACACTGCAAGGGAAGCCAAGACTAGCATAGATGCCTTCCTAGGGCTCCTCTTCCTGTTAGCATTAGGCTTTGTGCATTCTTCATCTCTCTTGATTCTGTCACGTTCTCTTTCTCTCTATGGCCACTTCCCTGTGTTCAGCCTTCACAATTTCTCTCTGGGGCTCCCTGTCCTCATGATGTCACCTCGAATCCATTCCTCACTCTGCACCTAAAGTAATTTCTCTAGAGAGTATATCAGATTCATGACATACCTGTGCTTACAATCCCAGCAAGTCTCCTCAATCCTTCCATAGGAAGAAGAAAGCCGCGCTCGGGCTCTGTGTGATCTAGCACCACCTTTTTTCCTTCCCTTATCCTTCCATTCCTCCTCTTTCACATGCTAGATGACATGTCCAGCCACCTTGGATGACTCGAAAACTCCTGAAGCACCCCAGCTATCAAATCCTTAGAGCCTCTTTCCTGGCCCCTTCTTCTAAGACAATTCTTTCTTGCCTTTTAAGATTCAGATCATGGCCAGGCGCGATGGCTCAAGTCTGTAATCCCAGCACTTTGGGAGGCCGAGGTGGGCCGATCACCTGAGGTCAGGAGTTCAAGACCAGCCTGGCCAACATGGTGAAACCCTGTCTCTACTAAAAATACAAAAATTAGCCAGACGTGGTGGCAGGTGCCTGTAATCCCAGCTACTCAGGAGGCTGAGGCAGGAGAATTGCTTGAACCGGGGAGGTGGAGGTTGCAGTGAGCCGAGATCATGCCACTGCACTCCAGCTTGGGCAACGGAGCAAGACTCCGTCTCAAAAAAAAAAAAAAAAGATTCAGCTCAGGTGTTCAGCCACCCCTTTGAGAAGGTACCTCAGATTAGGGCCTTCTTTGTGTTTCAAGCATGCCTCTCGTCATTACATTTGTCAGGCTGTTTTTCTGACGATCAGTCTCCCCCTAAAGCTGTCAAGTGCTTAATGTGAGTGCAGCACCCACTGCCAGTGCCCCAGATCCTTCCAGCACTCACCATTTCTGCACCTAGCAGCACGGGGCAGGATGAAAGTGCCAGGGGCTTAATGCCTTCTGAGAGCAGCTCTCAACCAATGACTGATGGGAGTTGGCGTATAACTACCCCAGCTCCCTTGCCCTTGAGTGGGTAACACTGAGGCATGTGCTCTTGGCCATTACACAGAGTTCACCTGTGGAAATGAGCTCCAACTGCCCACAGTGGTAGTCAGTAAAGCCCACCGTTTATTGCCTGACTTCCTTTCCTTGTCTCACTTCCCTACTTCTCTTCTGGTATTTCTTATCCCTCCCAAATAAACCATAAGCCAGCACTCATCCTTCTTCTTTTTTTTTTTTTTTTGAGAAGGAGTCTCGCTCTGTTGCCCAGACTGGAGTGCAGTGGCGCAATCTCGGCTCACTGCAAGCTCTGCCACCTGGGTTCACGCCATTCTCCTGCCTCAGCCTCCCAAGTAGCTGGGACTACAGGTGCCCACCACCACGCCCGGCTAATTTTTTGTATTTTTAGTAAAGATGGGGTTCCACCGTGTTAGCCAGGATGGTCTTGATCTCCTGACCTCATGATCCACCCGTCTCGGCCTCCCAAAGTGCTGGGATTACAGGCGTGAGCCACTGTGCCTGGCCGCCAGCACTCATCCTCTTATCACAGGATCTGCTCTGGGGAAATCCAAACCATGGAGGTACCTGTCTTACTGTCTTTGCATCTTTCCACAGCACTGAGTTTAATCCCTGACACAAAGTAAGTCTTTGATGATAGTTTGTTGTCTGGCTGTGTCTGTCTTTTTGAGTGAATAACTGAATTAATTAATGGTTATGATGACAATTTTTCTGGTATTATCCCTTATCCCTCTTGTGGTAGACACAGAGATGTGTCACCAAATCTGCATTCAATAAAGTTCACTTTGGGAAGCTGAGGTGGGCGGATCACTTGAGGTCAGGAGTTCGAGACCAGCCTGGCCAACATGGTGAAACCCCGCCTCTACTAAAAAAAAAAAATACAAAACTTAGCCAGGCATGGTGGTGCATGCCTGTAATCCCAGTTACTCAGGAGGCTGAGGCAGGAGAATTTCTTGAACCCGGGTAGCGGAGGTTGCAGTGACCCGAGATCGTGCCACTGTACTCCAGCCTGGGCAACAGAGCGAGATTCCAAGAAAGTTTTTGTTGTCCATTCATGGAGTGTGCAGAGAGCAGATAGCTCCCAGCTGCCAGCAATACCGGTCTGCCTCAGCTGCAGAGAGCCACCTCACTCCAGGCCACGGCCTCCTCAGGGCAACCCACACCTGGCGACTGCTTTAGCAGAAATCATAAAAGGGTGTAAGAGTCTGGCCATTTCAGCCAATTGCAGGAAACCTCTGGTGGCCGATCCCTGCTCCAGAGCTCTCCACTGGGTTGGCCGAAGCTATGCGGGTTTGCATTACAGTTCAGCTTCTCAGTCAGCCCTATCTTGCCTTCTCCCATTTCTTTTTTTCCTCACAGAATTTGATCTCTAATAAACATCTTGCATCTCAAAAGCCATCCCATCATCTGCTTCTGGAGAGTCTAACTTGCAGAATCTTCCATGGTGTATTAATCAGGATTTTCCAGAAAAGCAGATCCAATAGGAGATACATTTATGGAGATGAAGTGCTGATGTTCAAGGGCAGGAGAAGAGGGATGTCCCAGCTCAAGGACAGAGAGAGTTAATTCGCTCTTCCTCCTCCTTTTTGTTCTATTCAGGCTCTCAATGGACTGGATGATACCCACTGTATTAGAGTATTCTTGTATTGCTATAAAGAAATACCTGTGACTGGGTAATTTATAAAGAAAAGAGGTTTAATTGGCTCACGGTTCTGCAGGCTGTACAGGAAGCATGATGCTGCTATCTGCTTGGCTTCTAGGGAGGCCTCAGGAAAGTTCCAATCGTGGTAGAAGGCAAAGGGGGAGCAGGCATGTCACATGCCTAGAGCAGGAGCAAGAGAGGGGAGAGGGGGTACCACACACTTTTAAATGACCAGATCTTCTGTCAGGAGGACAGTACCAAGGGGGATGGTTTACCTCCCACCAGGCCCCACCTCCAACATTGTGGATTACATTTCAATGTGAGATTTGAGCAGGTACACTCATCCAAACTCTATCACCCACCGACATTGGTGAGGGTGATTTTTACTCAGCCTGCTGATTCAAATGGTAATCTCTTCCAGAAACTCTCACAGACGCACCCAGAAACAATATCTTATTAGCTATGTGAACATCCCCTTAGTCCGGTCAAGCTGACACATAAAATTAATCATCACTCATAGATTCCATGCTTTGTCATCCTGATTCCCTGATTCACTGTCACCTCAACAGACTTTGTGCTTTTCTGACTGCACTCCATTGTTTATCCCACTGTCCACTCCTCTCTGCCATGTAATAATATCTGGACAATGCTTCATAGTCTAAGTATTTCTCCATATGACATCAGATTTACTCCTCAACAATAGCCCTGCAAGGTGGGCGTTCTTATTCCCATTTTTCTGCTGTGGAGACTGAAATTTAGATAAATATAGGGATTTTCCCAAGGTCCCCAGTTTCTAAGTGGAAACTGGAACTCAGAAGTCATTGGCAAGTACAGGAATGTCCGCAGGTAACTTTCCTCCCTCTGGGTGGGCCTTGGAGATATGGGCCCAACAATACTGTCTGCTACAGGAACTATCTGCGGTATTTGCTTAGCAGGTGGGAGGTAAATCACCTATCTAATTCCTTTGGATTCACACACTGAAAGCTCCCTGTTGAATTTTCCTGGGAACCGTAATGGCCCCTAGTCCCTTAAGCTGAACTAATACGTGATTTGTTCTGGAGTCACCTATGGGGGTGAAACAGTTGTAGGAGAAGGCAGAGAGGTCCAGGACTGAGGGCTTGGGAGAGTTGCTGGTGGAGGCCCCTCAGTGCTTATGGATGATCGTGGGCACTGAATGGGAGGAGGGGAATCTGTCATGACTTTGAGCTGTGGGCACACCAGCAATCTCTTCTTTTGCTCTCAGAGCTGCCTGGGAGTTGGTATATAAATACACCAGCCAGAGGGGGTTGGGGGATTCCCATCTGGAATTTGACAGTTCCTCCCTCAGTTGACACAGAGGAGGGTCCCTGTGGAAGTCAGCTGGTAATCCTCCACCCAGGTGCTCCAGACTTGAGACAGATGAATGGGTGGCCTAGGCTGGGGAAGCACCCAAGCAAGCATTCCATCTCAGATAGTCTCGCAGGGGGTAGCCTCAGCCTGACTTGGGAGTGGAGGAGCTCTGGAGTGTGAGTTACAGGTCAGAGGGGTCCCATGCATAGGCAAGGGAGCTGGGCTTTCATACTCCTCCATCCACCAGCCATTGGCTAAGGACTGCTTTGTCCTGGGGAAGCATACATTTCCAGACATTTTCAGCTCTCCTCAATAAAGTTGCTCCAGTAGGCATGGGCAGGCCTCCAAATAAGTTACAGGTTTTGGAAACAAAGGCACACTGAAGCCAGGGGTGGTCAAAAACAGCACAGAAATAGCCAGGGGAATGCAGGTGTAACACAGACAACAAGAAATTATGGGGACCTCTGGCTTTTTCAGTGTGTGATCAATGCACCTCTTCTCTCTTTGTTTTTGCCGTGAGCTCCATGGGAGCAGAGACTGTGTAACTTTGTAGTCCCAGCAGTCAGCAGAAGGCCTGGTGTCCATGCCCAAATAACTGTTGCCAAAGGGGTGGAAGATGGAATGTTTTGTCCAAGAGTGTAAACGAATGCACAGAGCCAAGACTGAAACAGGGCTCTCTGGGAACAAGGCAGAGGTGTAGAGCCTGGACTGGGGCCTTAGTTGGCTTTGGAGTCATGGTTTTGAACCTGGGGCTGTTCTGCAGTTTCTCCATTATCTGCTAGCCTCTCCCTTTGAATGAGTGATGCTTTCTGGGGATGTTAAATATCTGTAGCTGTTAACTATTTGTGCATGGATAGAGTGGAGGGTTAAGAAACAAAGGTGCCTCACCTCCCCCAGGAAAGCCCAGGTGGTTTGAAGAGTGAGATGTCTGGGTCAGAGGGAAGTGGAAGTGGACTTTTAGGTTAAGCGAGAAGTCTCCAGGGCAGAGCTGATTTAACTCTGAAAATAGCTGGAGGAGGACTCTAGTGGGTGCGTTTACCCCTGCTGTGGCCGGGGTTGGATACTTATTATTCCCCTTTCAACTTTCTGTATCTTATTCTTTCTAGGCCTGATTGTTACTCTCTTTCAGAAACAAGAGGGCGGGGGTGGTAGCTCACACCTGTAATTGCAACACTTAGGGTGGCAGAGGCTAGAGGATGGCTTGAACCCAGCCTGGGCAACATAGCAGGACCACCTCCACAAAAAGAAAAAAAAAAGAAACAAGGACACTCTGGGGACTGACTCACGTTAATTAAAATCACGAGACTGGTATTAAAAACTCAGGAAGTCATTATTAACTTACAGCAAGAAATTCAGTCGTTTATTCATTTATTTATCCCATAAATATTTATTGATTGCTGACCTAAGCCAAATTGGTCATGCATAACCCTAAAGTTCTTTCTAGAAGGTAATATAGCCTCCTGTATGAGGCAGGAGACAAAAACCACAGTGGTTGTTTTAACAGAGAGAATTTAATATAGAGAATGGTTAGCTAAGTATAAGGAATCATTAACTAGTTATCGAAGAACTCAAAAAGCAAAAAAGAGAACTCTGTGGTATCATGAAGGTAGCAATTTCTGGAAGCAGCTACCACCTCTGAGGGACAAAGGGGGAAAAGTTGGAATTATTAAAACCTAGAAGCTTGGAGGAGTGATCGCATGGGGCTGAAACTCAGAAGCCTGAGGAAGGGGCACCTGCTGGCTAGTGCTGGTGTCTCTGAGCTCAGAGGAGGGGCCCCACGGAGGTGGAATCCAGACCTCTAAGGAGGATGAGCTGGCCAGCTGGCATCTGTGGGGTAGGAGATGATGAGGTTGGTTCTGTGGGCATTGCAAACCGGATTCAGCTGCTGCTACAGGAAGGGACTGCTGCTGCCATAGTGAAGAAGCATGGTGTGAGGGATGCCACTCACAGGATTAGAAAGCTAAGGGAAGAAGCCACTGGGAAGCCAGCAGAAGCCCAAAGGAAAAAAACAACTCCCTTCTCCCTCCTCTAGCCTTGAGTCTCTCTCTAGCGCTTCCTACAGGCAGAGCACAAGAGGGAGCAGCTGGCAAAGCAGAAAGGTGGTTTAAGTCCCAGCCCTAGCATCATAAAGAAGGGTGGGTTTGGAGCTGAGAGATGATCTCTTAATAATTGGCTGGGCGCGGTGGCTCACGCCTGTAATCCCAGCACTTTGGGAGGCCAAGGCCGGCGGATCACTTGAGGTTAGGAGTTCGAGACCAGCCTGGCCAATATGGTGAAATCCCGTCTCTATTAATAATACAAAAATTAGCCGGGCGTGGTGGTGCAGGCCTGAAATCCCAGCTACTTGGGAGGCTAAGGCATGAGAATCACCTGAACCCAGGAGGCAGAGGTTGCAGTGAGCGAGATCACGCCACAGTACTCCAGCCTGAGAGACAGTGAAACTGAGTCTCAAAAAAAAAAAAAAAAAGAAAAGAAAAGAAAAGAAAAGAAAAGAAAAAATCTCTTAATAACTGATACATCTCCAAAGAGTCTTGAGGTGAGTGAGGATTAGCTAACCACCCCCAGAAACCTCACCACCAGCTCACACAAAAGCAAATATCTGACCAAACTCTACCACATTTATTAAGCAAGCATTCGTTAGCAATCTGGCACAAACGCAATTGATGCAACCTTTTCTCTAGGCTTGAGGAAGTCCCAGCTCTCAGCTTACCCTTGCATGAAAGGTCACTGAAGGTGGATGCAACATTCCAGAAGCATCAGAGAACCAGAAATCCTCTAAAACTAAAGGTTGAATCAAGCCTCAGGTGCCATCTCTAAGGTGCAGGGCACAGACCTTGCTAGATTCTGATAATCTCTTTATCTAAAGGTGGAGAGTAGCATCTCCAATATATTCAAGTAAACCCATAGACCCTGAATACCTCTAACTTCACCAACAAGAGTCTATTTCTAACATTCGTCATGCTAATTAACAAGCCACCAATTTCATCAATGAAAACCCATTTTTGACTTTCACTTTGCTAATTAGCAAAGCCTCGGGTATTGATGGAGCCTTTGTGATCTTGTATTTGGATATGGTCTTTCTGATATAAAGCCAGCTGACTAGCTGGAGAGGGGATTTTTGGTGAAGGCAAATGACTGACTGCCCCTGGAATTGGAGTTTTAGCTGACACAGACATGATATCACACTGTTCAGGTGGAATTACTTCAAAAATCAAATGCAGAGGTCGGGCGTGGTGGCTCACGCCTGTAATCCCAGCACTTTGGGAGGCTGAGGTGGGTGGATCACCTGAGGTCAGGAGTTCAAGACCAGCCTGGCCAACATGGCAAAACCCTGTTTCTACTAAAAATACAAAAATTAGCTGGATGTGGTGGCACATGCCAGTAATCCCAGCTACTTGGAAGGGTGAGGCAAGAGAATTGCTTGAACCTGGGAGGCAGAGGTTGCGGTGAGCCGAGATCACGCCACTGCACTCCAGCCTCGGTGACAGAGCGAGAGTCCTCCTCAAAAAAAAAAAACAACAAAAAAACAAAAAAAACAAAAAAAAACCAACCAACCAAACAAACAACAAGAACAAAAACAAACAAAAACAAAAAACAAAAAAAAACTGCAGAGACTGTAACAAGTACTGTTTATACCAGGTGCCACTGTGATTCAGTGGTAAACAAGGCACAGTCTTTGCTCTCAAGTGGCTCACAGCCTGGGAGATGAACAGTAAACAGGTGACTGCAATATGTGCAGAGTGTACCTATAGGGGTCGGCCGGTTGGTACTGGGTACTTTTCTGAAAACATCAGGAGGACCAAATTCTGCCACTCGGTTGTCAGCAAACCTTCCCTGTAGGTTGAGTTGCCAGATAAAATACAGGCTATCCAGTTCAATTTGCATTTCAGATAAACAATGAATACTTTTTTTTTTTTTTAGCATAAGTGCTATATTTTATTTGCTAAATCTGGCAATTCTATTTCTAGGCAAAGCTATAAGGAAAGCCAAACAGGGCAGAAGTCAGCTCAGTGAGTGTGAGATTAGTCAAGGCAGGAGGATGAGATAGCTTTAGGTTCAATGCCTGAGTTATCTATTTCCATCTGCCTCCCCAGACAAGCCCAAGTATTTTAGAGGTCAGGGGGTCGGCTTCCCTGAGCAGTGCTGGCCAAGACACACGTGGTCTCTCTGATTTCCTTTTATAAATGCCACGCACATTCTTCTTAAACAGACCCCTCTGCCAGCACATTCTTTCTTATGCAGATGCCGTGATGGTTAATTTTATGTGTCAACTTGGAGGGTGTTTTGGGATAAAATTAACGTTGAAATTGATGAACCGATTAACATTGAAATTGATGAACAGATCCATAGTGTGGGTGGGCCTCGTTCAATCAGTTGAAGGCCAGAAAGGAGCAAAAAGACCAGCCTCCCTGAGCAAGAGGAATTCTCCAGAATACACTGCCTTCAGACTTCATCTGCAGCTTCAGCTCTCCCCAGTCTCTGCCTACCAGCCCACACTGCAGATTTTGGACTTGCTGGCCTCCATAATCATGTGAACCAATCCCTTATAATCTCTCTCTCTTGCTCTATGTGTGTGTGTATACATAGGTATATGTGTATATATATATGCGTGTATATATATATAGTATATGTGTATAGATATATCCATGTATTTATACATATATACACGCACACACGTGTGTGTGTTTGTGTGTGTGTGTGTACATCCTTTTGGTTCTGTTTCTCTGGAGAACCCTAATACAGACCCCCAAATAGCTGATTAGGTTTGAGGTTCCATAATGACAAAGCAGTTTTGCTTCCTTCTTCTAAACAGGTTCCCTGAATGGGATTCGTTTGCTCATAGTCTTCATTTTTTTCTCCATTAATGGATGATTTCATTTTTCTCTTAACACTCAGAGAGATTAAGAAACTTGCCGAAGCCTGGCCAGCTGAAATTTCATCTCACCTCTAGCTTCAAGGCTTGTGCTTGAAGCTGTTCTGCTGTTCAGTGTCAGTCTGTATCCTGGAAATTGTCTTCCTCGATACAGGGAGGTTTCTGTTGGGTAAAGTAAAGGATGCTGGGCTTGGAGTCAGAAGACTTTGGCCTTGTTCAGAAATGGAAACATCCCAGATGGGGTTAGCAGTTTGGAGAGGGCTTTGATGCTTAGGAGCTATGCAAGCACGTTCAGCAACTCCTGCAGGTTGACCTGACAGAACCTCTTGATAAACTTGAACTCTGGGCATGCAGGGCGAGCCAAGGCTAGGTCTCATTAGTGATGTCACAGCCCCAGGAGGCACAACAATTAAAGGAGCAGCTTTTTGGGTCAAAGGCAGGAGATCCTGCTGGTGGGAACTCAGGGAAGGTGTGGGTCCCACTCAACCTCTGCAAAACCAGTCCTATTATTCTACCCTTGTCTCCAGGCAATGCCTACACTCATGTGGAAGCTTCAAGGGGATGGAGGGCAGGTTTCTGATCCTCCTGAGGCATCACAATCCTCAAATCCACCAGGCTGGGGCCAGAAACTGATGGCAGGGCGGGGCAGTTGGGGAGGGCAGGAGTTAAATAAACACAGGTTTCATGGCTAGCCAGGTGTGAAGGTAAAGTTTTTCTTTACTAGCTGTGTTCTAGTTCTAGAATATTATGTACTAAATGTTTCTGTCCCTTCAAAATTCATATATTGAAGCCCCAGTCTCCATTGAGATGTTATTACGAGGTGGGGCCTTTGGGAGGTGATTAGGTTTAGATGACATCTTGAGGATGGGACCCCCCCATGATGGGATTAATGTTCTTATGAGAAGAGGAAGACCAGAGCACACTGTCTCTGCCATGTGAGTACACAGCAAGAAGATGGCTGTCTGCAAACCAGGAATAGAGCACTCACCAGGGAACTGAACTGCCTGGCACTTTGACCTTGGACTTCCCAGCCTCCAGAACTATGAGAAATAAATGTAAGTTCCTTAAGCCCCCAGCCTGTGGTATTTTGTTATAGCAGCCTGAGCTGACTAATACATAGAGTGACTACACAATGTCTCTTATTAGCAGTTTTCCCATGTAAAATCTCTTAGTAAACATGTACTGCTTTGTGTACATGTATGTTTTTTAATTTTTAAAATCAACATTATTGATGTATAATTTACATACAATAACATGTACCCATTTTAAGTGTACAGTTTGATGAGTTTGGAGAAATATACATACCCGTTTAACCACACACCAGTCAAGATATAGGTCATTTTCATCCATGATGGATCTTGGATCCATCACCAAGAATACAAGATTTCCCTTGTATTCTTTTGCAGTCAATCCCTTCTCTCCACCCTAGCTCTAAGCAACACTAATCTGCTTTTCCCACTGTAGATTAGTTTTGCCTGTTCCGGAATTTTATAGACATAGAGTCATATAACGCACACTTTATTGTGTCTGGCTTTTGTTCAATAGAATGCTTTTGAGATCATCCATGTTATTGCATGTGTCAATATTTGGGGATTAAAAAAATTGCTGTGTAGTATTCTGTTGTATGAATATACCACAATTTGTTTATCCATACTCTTTGGTATATTTTAAATTTATGTATATTCTGTTATATATCTCATTCTGGGTTTTAGATTTTTCACTAAGCATAGCTTTAAGACTCACTCATGTAGCTATTTGTATATCTAACTCATTGCTACTAAATGCTTCATATTACTCCATCATGGGCAGTCCCCAGGTTTTATCTAATCACCCCCTCAGTGATGGATGCCACTTTGCTACCCACCACACAAAAAAATACTGCACTGAGCACCTTTTACATGTACCTCATGGACCTCTGAATTTTCATGGGATATATACCCAGGAGGTGAATTGCTGGGTCATTTACTACATGTTTACTTAATTAATGTCAGAGATGTCAGCTTCTTCTCCAGAATGGCTGCACTAGTCTACACTCCTACCTGCAATGCCAGAGGGCTTTTTATAGCCCTATAGCTCCCCAGCACTTGGCATTATACAGCTAACTTTTGCAGTCTAATATAAAAAAGTGATATCTCATTTTTGTTTTAATTTGCATCTCCCTGATTGCAAATAAGTTTGAGCACCTTTGCAGGTGGGTGTCTCTCTCTAAACTGCCTGTTCATATTCTTTGCCCAGTTTTCTACCGGGGATGCTGTTTTGCTTCATGTTGATTTGCAGGTGTTTCTCACATATTTGACATGCTCATTTCTTGTTTTAGAGATTGAAAACATTTTCTTCCATTTTGGGCATACATCTATTCCCTTTGTCTGTGGTGTGCTTCAATAAACAGAAATCCTTAATTTTGAAGTAAATACATTTCCCTTTTCACCTAATGGTCTTTGCCTTTGAAGTTTTATTTAAGTAGTCTTTCTCTGCCAATAGAGATCACAAAGATATTCTTTTACAGTTTCTCCTATTAACTTTATAGTTTTCACTTTCACTTTTAGTTCTTCAGTCTACAGACTCCCCAGTTTATTGGTGGTGTTAGCTTGGGATACAGTTTTAATTTTTTCCATTTGGTGCACCAGTTTTTGTTTTTTTTTTTTTTCAGACGGAGTCTCGCTCTGTTGCCCAGGCTGGAGTGCAGTGGCGCAATCTCAGCTCACTGCAAGCTCCGCCTCCTGGGTTCACGCCATTCTCCTGCCTCAGCCTCCCGAGTAGCTGGGACTACAGGCACCCGCCACCACACCTGGCTAATCTTTTGTATTTTTAGTAGAGATGGGGTTTCACTATGTTAGCCAAGAGGGTCTCGATCTCCTGACCTCGTGATCCGCCCACCTTGGCCTCCCAAAGTGCTGGGATTACAGGCGTGAGCCACCTCGCCTGGCCCAGTTTTGTTTTAACTCCATGCAGAGGATCTTTAAAATCTTGGCTCTGGCCGGGCGTGGTGGCTCATGCCTGTAATCCCAGCACTTTGGGAGGCTAAGGTGGGCAGATCATGAGATCAGGAGCTCGAGACCAGCCTGACCAACATGGTGAAACCCCATCTTTACTAAAAATACAAAAATTAGCCAGGTATGGTGGCATGCACCTGTAATCCCAGCTACTCAGGAGGCTGAGGCAGGAGAATCGCTTGAACCCAGGAGGTGGAGGTTGCAGTGAGCCGAGATCATGCCACTGCACTCCAGCCTGGGCAACAGAGTGAGACTGTCTCAAAAAAAAAAAAAATATTGCCCACACCAATTCATGAAAATGTTTTCCTCTAAAAGCTTTATTATTTTATCTTTCCTATTTAGATCTACAATTCTTCTGAAATTGATTTACATGTATGGTGTGAGATAGGGATCCAGATTTATTTCTCCCCATTTAGATACAAAATTAACCCAGTGCCATTTATTTAAAAGATTATCTTTTTTCCACTATACATCAGTGTCATACTGTAATAAACCAGGTAAACTAAATGTGTGTCTGCTCTGGATTCTTGATTATTTTCCATTGGTCAGTTTATCTATCCTTGTGTAGTACATCACTGTATTCCTCAGAGAGGGCTTGTGTAGTCTTATGCTAATTTTAGACACTTTATAATTTTGTAGCTATTGTAAATGATTTTATTTTTATTACATTTTATAGTTTCTAGTTATTTCTGTAGTAAAAAGCAGCTACTGATTTCTGTAGGTTGATTTTCTAGTTAGAAACTTTATGTATATCCCCACTTAGAGTTGAGTTTATGGATTACATTTTTATTTCTAGATAGATGGTCATATCACTTGCAAATAGCAATTTTATCTTTTTCCTTCCCAAAAGTATATCTCCATGATGATTAATTTTATATGTCAATTTGGCTAGTCTCTTGTGCCCAGTTATTTTGTCACACAACAGTCTACAGTCTAGGTGTTGCCACGAAGGTATTTTTTAGATGAGATTAACATTTAACTCAATGGACTTTGAGTAAAGCAGATTACCCTCCATAATGTGGGTAGGCCTTGTCCAGTCAGTTGAAGGCCTTAAGAAAAAAGATGAACATTCTTGGAGGGAGAGACAATTCTGCCTCTAGAATGCCTTTGGACTTAAGCTGCAACATCAGTTCTTCCCTGGGTCTCCAGCCTGCTAGTCCACTCTGCAGATTTCTGACTTGTCAGTCCACACAATCACGTGAGCTAATTCCTTAAAGTAAATCTTCCTCCCTCCCTCTCTCTTTCTCTCTCTCCTCCCCTTACACTCTTTTTCACTGTCTGCATACATCCTATTGCTTCTCTTTCTCTGGAGAAGCCTGACTAATACAACCTCTTAATTATTTTCATTTTCTAACAATGGCCAGGACTTTCATGCCATATTACACAGTAAAGGTTGAGGACACATTTGTCTTATTTATAATCTTAAAGGGAATGTGTCTAAAGTTTCTCCATTAAGTATATTTGCTGTAGGTTTTTTGTTGTTGTTTCCGAGGCAGAGTCTCACTCCA
Organism: Homo sapiens; assembly: GCF_000001405.40. Lineage (NCBI taxonomy): Eukaryota > Metazoa > Chordata > Mammalia > Primates > Hominidae > Homo > Homo sapiens. The sequence continues at coordinate 40,336,554 of NC_000023.11, forward strand.
TCACCCAGGCTGGAGTGCAGTGCTGTAGTCTCGGCTCACTGCAACTGCTGCTTCCTGGGTTCAAGTGATTCTCGTGCCTCAGCCTCCTGAGTAACTGAGATTACAGGTGCCTGCCACCACACCCAGCTAATTTTTGTATTTTTAGTAGAGACAGGGTTTTGCCATGTTGGCCAGGCTGGTCTGGAACTCCTGATCTCAAGTGATCTGCCTGCCTCGGACTCTCAATGTGCTGGGATTACAAGTGTGAGCCACTACACCCAGCCTTCCGTAGGATTTGATACATAACCTTTATCAAGTTAAGAAAATTTCTTTATGTTCCTAGTTTGCTAAGTTTACTGATGTTGAACCATTGTCGAATTTCTGGGATAAAACCTTCATCATGATGGATATATATATATATATTTAAATCCTGTTGAGTTCTGTCAGTAAATCTTTTGTTTGGGATTTATACATCTGTTTTCATAAATGAAAAAGCCCTGTAAGTACATTTTTTAAAATTTTAATTTTAATTTTTTTTTTTTGAGACGGAGTCTCACTCTGTCACCCAGGCTGGAGTGCAGTGGCATGATCTCGGCTCACTGCAAGCTCTGCCCCCCGGGTTCATGCCATTCTTCTGCCTCAGCCTCCCAAGTAGCTGGGACTACAGGTGCCCACCACCACGCCCAGCTAATTTTTTGTTTTTTTAGTAGAGACGGGGTTTCACCGTGTTAGCCAGGATGGCCTCGATCTCCTGACCTTGTGATCCACCCGCCTCGACCTCCCAAAGTGCTAGGATTACAGGCATGAGCCACTGCGCCCGGCCATAAGTACTTTTTAAAAATTGTCACTAACTGGTTTTGGAATTAAGATTGCCTTGGCTTCAAAATGAGCTGGATGGCATTCACTCTTTTTCTAAACTCTGAAACAATCTGGGTAAAATAGGAATTAAGCATTTCTTTCTTTTTTAAAACAATTTATTTTTTTTTTTTGAGATAGAGTCTCACCCTGTTGCACCTGCTGGAGTGCAGTGGCATGATCTCGGCTCACTGCAACCTCTGCCTCCCAGGCTCAAGCTATCCTCCTGCTTCAGCTTCCTGGAATTACAGCCTCCCGGCTAATTTTGTATTTTTTGTAGAGACAGGGTTTCACTGTGTTGGCCAGGCTGGTCTTGAACTCCTGATCTCAAGTGATCTGCCTGCTTTGGCCTCCCAAAGTGCTGGGATTACAGGCGTGAGCCACCACACCTGGCCGGAATTAAGCATTTCTTAAAAATTTCATAGAATTCGCCTATAAAACTAAAAGGGCCATCAGTGATAGACTGGATAAAGAAAATGTGGCACATATACACCATGGAATATATGCAGCCATAAAAAAGAATGAGATCACGTCCTTTGCGAGGACATGGATGAAGCTGGAAACCATCATCCTCAGCAAACTAACACAGGAACAGAAAACCAAACACCGCATGTTCTCACTCATAAGTGGGAGTTGAACCATGAGAACACATGGACACAGGGAGGAGAACAACACACACTGGGGCCTGTCGGGGGGTGGAGGGCAAGGGGAGGGAAAGCATCAGGACAAATACCTAATGCATGCGGGGCTTAACACCTAGATGATGGGTTGATAGATGCAGCAAACCACCATGGCACACGTATACCTATGTAACAAACCTGCACATCCTGCACATGTATCCTGGAACTTAAAATAATATATTTTAAAAAACAAACTAAAAGGGCCTAAAGTTTTGGGGGAGAGGATGTCTTTGACTACCATTTCAATCTTTTCGTGCTTGGCCTGGAATTAGTCATCTTCTTGATCAAACTGTTGCATTTTATATATTTCTAGAACTTTATTTCATTTTTTTTTTGAGACGGAGTCTCGCTGTCACCCAGGCTGGAGTGCAGTGGTGTGATCTCGGCTCACTGCAAGCTCCGCCTCCCGGATTCACGCCATTCTCCTGCCTCAGCCTTCCGAGTAGCTGGGACTACAGGCGCCCACCACCACACCCGTCTAATTTTTGTATTTTTAGTTGAGACGGGGTTTCACCATGTTAGCCAGGCTGGTCTCGATCTCCTGACCTCGTGATCCGCCTGCCTCGGCCTCCCAAAGTGCTGGCATTACAGGTGTGAGCCACCACGCCCAGCCCCTATTTCATTTTTTTTTCAATTTTAGTAGTGCAGAGTTATTCATAATGCTTTTTTCTTTTTTAAATAATCACTTTAGTGCCTGTGGTTATTTCTTCCTTTTCTTTTTGTATTTTATTTATTCACATCCTCTCTTTTTTTTTTTTTTGAGACGGAGTCTTGCTCTGTCGCCCAGGCTGGAGTGCGGTGGCACATCTCGGCTCACTGCAAACTCCGCCTCCTGGATTCACACCATTCTCCTGCCTCAGCCTCCCGGGTAGCTGGGACTACAGGCACCCGCCACCACGCCCGGCTAATTTTTTGTATTTTTAATAGAGACGGGGTTTCACCGTATTAGCCAGGATGGTCTCAATCTCCTGACCTTGTGATCCACCCGCCTCAACCTCCCAAAGTGCTGGGATTACAGGCGTGAGCCACCGCACCCGGCCCATATCTTCTCTTTTTTATTCTTGATCACTCTTGCCAGAGGTCTGTCTTTAAAAACATCTTTTCATGGAACCAGTTTTTGACTTTTAAAATAATTCTCACAGTTTTTGTTGCTGTTCTGTTTCATAGAGTTGTGCCAGGACTGAGCCAAGCATTTGCAGTTGTTTTCAATAACAACTGAGCATGCAAACTAGAGGTCAACTCTACTTTCAATGTATCCATAATTGGTAACTGTATCTGTCACAATGTAGTCTCACCAAAGCTGTAATTATTCCAGAGAAGTGGCCAGCTTGTTACCTTGGCCACAGTACATAGATAAAGGAACTGTTCACAGGAAATCATGAGAATAGATGCAAATATTGGAATGATAGCAATATGGTTGACACGCCAGCACTCACAGTCTATTCAGCAAATGTACCTTCTTCTCTTTAGGAAGGGCCGTGAAATCCTGGCTGGGAATTTTGCAGGACCAATCAGAGACATTGCTTTCGATGCTCATTGTTCCATCTCAGACCCCTGCTCTCATGTGCTTAGGTCTTCAATGGGTGATTTCTAGCGTGGGTATGGCAACTCACTTATCTCTGCTAATGTGTCTGCCTGTGCCTCAGTTGAGTGTAGAGGATTTATGGACAGGAGCCTTATCCCAACGTTGCCATCCTCCCCCGTTGCCCCAGATAAATGGCCAGATGAAAAGGCTGGAACAGTGTGCCAAGGATGCTCTGAAGGAGATTGTTGGAAAGATGAGCCATAAGACATGCCAGGTTTCTGGCTGCTCAAAATGTCACACACTATTCAATTTTTACAGCCAGTCCTGCTGAATTACCGTGAGGCCATCCATCAAGAATGGTCTCAGCTGTCTCCACATAGATAAATAAGAATGATGTCTGAATGCCATTCTGTCTGTAACTATCTTTCACTTATTTTACCCTATGAGTTAGTCTGGTGGGGTTAAGCCAAGGGTGGGATCTGCTGCTAGAATAATGAATACCGGGACCCTCTGAGCACACTGGGTCCGTGTAACATTGTCTAATTGATCACTGGCAAAATCTCCCTCCCAGGGTAACTAGAGGAAGACAGACCAATAGAAATGCCTCCTTCAGAGTCACTGGTGTTGATTTTTCAGACTCATGAGGATTCCTCAAAGCTGCAAGGAAGGAAGCAATAACTCCTCAGGCACTGCAGCTACACCCAGTATTTCACCTGGGTAGTGCCCAAGAGTACCACTGTAAAACAGTTTGTCACAGGCCAGGTTTCCTGGGAAACAGACTCTGAGATAGAGATTTGCATGCAGGAAGCTTATTGAGGTGTGATCTCAGGATCTACACCTGAGAGGGCATGAGGGCTGCAGGATTGGGCAGAGAAAGAACCTGAACTGTGATGAGGTTGCACCCAAGGCCCATTTGACCCCATGGGGAGTTCTGGAGCTGGGATGATCCTTTAGAATTGTCTGCAATTGAGAGGAGGGGCCAAAGCCTTTGTTCTCCCACATTGGCCAGTCTCTGGATATGGGCTGCCCCCTGGGAAGGGGACATGATCTTGGGTGAGGCAGGCATCTTCAGCTGAAGGCAATCCCCATGTAGGGATTCAGCGGCCAGCTGCCAGCTGTCAACACTCCCTGCAGCAGGGAGAATGAGTGCTTCAGTGGGACATTTGCACAGTGCACCACAGCACCCATCACAGTCGTCACCCCTTGTGCCGCTCACACTCACTTGCTTCATAGAGTAAACTTGGAGCACAGCTCCTCCAGGTTTCAGGTGATCTTCATTTCCTGGAATAACTTACAAGAGGAGGGTCAGTGAGACAAACTACAGACCCAGCTACTCCAACTGGTCTTGAGGCCTCAAATGATATTCAGTGTCTCCCTTCTCTACTACCCATTCTAGATTCTCTTCACCATTCAAGAACAACTGTCAGCATAGGTGGCTTACCTGCTGACACAATACAGATTCTCATCCTTGAAGGGTCTGAGCCCTGGTCACCATCCTCTTTTCAGACCAAGGTTGCTATATTTGTCCATTTCCTATCAAAACCGAGCAAGGAAGTATCAAGAGGTACCCAAGGATATCAACTGAAGGTCGAATATAATCCTTCCTGTCTCCCTTGTATAACAGAGCCCTACCTCCTCCTGAAGATCATGGTTAGACCTGCCAGGATAGTGACTCCTCTTATTGCCTGCTTGTCTGTTAGTGTGTGAAACCTAAAGTGACTGGGTAGAAGCAATAGTTTAAATTTTAGTAGGACTTTTTCTGAGCCCCTAGTGGAAGAGTTACCTCTCTAGGAACCAGAAACTCCAAACCTGCAGAGCTGAGAGTTGCAGGACAAGAAGCACAAATTCAATAAGCACAAATTTCTTATTTTGTTTGTTTGTTTTGAGACAGAGTCTCGCTCTGTCGCCCAGGCTGGAGTGCAGTGGCGCAATCTTGGCTCACTGCAAGCTCCGCCTCCTGGGTTCACGCCATCCTCCTGCCTCAGCCTCCCGAGTAGCTGGGACTGCAGGCGCCTGCCACCATGCCCGGCTAATTTTTTTTTTTTTTTTGTATTTTTAGTAGAGATGTAGTTTCACCTTGTTAGCCAGGATGGTCTCGATCTCCTGACCTTGTGATCCGCCCGCCTCGGCCTCCCAAAGTGCTGGGATTACAGGCGTGAGCCACCGCGCCCGGCCAATAAGCACAAATTTCAATAAAAACTGAGCAAGCAAGCTGGAGGTCAACTCCATTTTCTCTCTCTCTTTTTTTTTTTTTTTGAGATGGAGTCTCGCTCTGTTGCCCAGGCTGGAGTGCAGTGGCGCCATCTTGGCTCATTGCAACTTCCGCATCCTGGGTTCAAGCAATACTCCTCACTCAGCCTCCTGAGTAGCTGGGATTACAGATGTGTGCCACCACACCTGGATAACTTTGTATTTTTAGTGGAGACGGGGTTTCACCATTTTGGCAAGGCTGGTCTCAAATTCCTGACCTCAGGTGATCTGCCCGCCTCGGTCTCCCAAAGTGCTGGGATTACAGGTGTGAGCCACCATGCCCAGCCTCATCTCCATTTTCAATGCATCGATAATTGGTAACTATATCTGTCACAATACAGTCTCATTAAAGTTGTAAGTATTCCAGAGAGGTAGCCAGATTGTTACCTTGGCCACAGTACATAGATCAGGGAACTGTTCACAGGAAAAGATGAGAATAGATGTGAATATTGGAATGACAGCAATATGGTTGATGCATGCCAATTTTGATGAAGTCCAATTTATCTTTTTGTTTTCTTTAGTTGCTTATGCTTTTGGTGTCAAATCTAAGAACCTACTGCCAAATCCGATGAAGATTTAACCCTAGGTTTTCTCCTAATAGTTTCATAGCATTACCTCTTAAATTTAGGTTGCTGACCCATCTTGAGTTAATTTTTGTTTATAGAGTAAGGTAGGATTCCAACTTCATTTTATGGTTATAGAGTTGTTCAAGCACCATTTGTTGAAGAAACTAGTTTTACCCATTGAATAGTTTTGACATCCATGTTAAAAAATCAATTGGCCGTAGATGTTTGAGTTTATTTCTGGACTCCAAATTCTATTCATTTATTTCTACATCTAGCCTTATGCCAGTACCACACTGTTTTGATTACTGTAGCATTGTAGTCAGTTTTAAAATCAGGAGGTGTAAGTCCACAAACTTCGTTTTTCATTTACAATGTTGTTGTGGCTATTCAGAGTCCATGCAGTTCCATATGAGCATCAGAGCCAGCTTTTCCATTTCTGTCATTGCAGGTCCTTTTGATAGGGATTGTGTTAAATCTGTAAGTCTTTTGGGGAGGGGGTATTGCTATCTTAACAATATTAAATCTTCCAAACTATGAACATGGAATGTCTTTCTATTTATTTAAGTCTTCTTTAATTTCTTTCAGCAGTATTTCATAGTTTTCAGTGTACAAGTCTTTCAACTCCTTGGTTAAATTTGTTCCTTGGCATTTTATTCTTTTGGAGGTATTGTAAATGTAAATTTTTTTTTAGTTTCTGTTTTGGATTGTCCATTGCTGGCATATAGAAACAAAAGTGATTTTTTTTTAAAGCTTTCCTGTGCTTGCTATTATAAGTAATACTTTAATTTTTTTTTTTTTTTTTTTTTTTGAGACATGGTCTCATTCTGTCACCCAGACTGAGACGAGTGCAGTGATGCGATCATAGTGATGGCAGGGGCTGCTGCCATCATGCCAACTGCAGCAGGGAGGTGTGGCTGGAGCTGTACACTCCATGGAGCCGGTGGGAGCCCTGCCCCTTCTGAGTTGGGACTGGAGCTCCCTGTGCGGCTGCAGCCGCCCAAACCGCAGCTGCAGACCCAGGCCTCCTGCTCTACGGAGCAGGCAGAGCCCCGCCCTCTTGGGCACCACCGCCGCCCAAACTGCAGCTGTGGATCCGAGCCTCCCTGTGCTCTTGGGGGAGCCGGGAACAGGCAGGCTCTGCACTCCCTGGTGCAGCCGTAACCACCCGACCTGCTACTGCAGGGCCTCCCACTCCAAGAAGCAGGCAGGAGCCAGGGACAAGCAGGAGCCCTGCCTATTCAGGGTTGGTGGGGTGGGAGCTCCTGGGTGCAGCTGAGGCTGCCCTCCCAGGCACAGGACCTGGGCATCTCTGTAGCCTGCACCCTTGGGCGCCCCAGGAAGGAGCCCCCATCTCTGCAGTCTCAGGGGTATCTCCTCCCACTGCCTGGCCTCTCTCCACTCCCAGCACTGGCTCCGATCTCAGAGTGGGGTTGGAGCCAAGCCCAGGGGCCATGAATGGCAGCAGGAGGCAGACAGAGTCCTGGGCAGAAGGGGGTGGGATCCTCAGTAAGGCCCCACTCTCAAACCAGGGAGGGCCTGAAGGCTGGGGGCTGGGCTGCCAGAGTGAGGACTCGTGGTGCCTCTTCCAGGCCCACCCACGGCCGCCCACAGACCAATCTACATTCACTTCTTCCCCTCTGAGGTTCATAAAAGCCCTGGACTCAGCCAGAGCAGGGTAGAAGATGGCCAGAGGACAAAGAAGGCAGAGAGATGGCAGGAGGATCAGCTGCAGAGAGGAGTACCCTTTATGCTGAGAGCTGCAGAGATGACCTGCCAGCAGAGAGAAGCTATCCTCTCCCACTGAGAGCTTCAGAGACCTGCAGAAATGTCCAAACGACCTGCCTGCAGAGAGGAGCTATCCTCTCCAGAGCCTCCTCTCTGCTATGAGCTGAATATTCCATAGGATGACCTGCCTACACTGAGGAGCTACCCACTCCTCTGAGCTGTTCTAACACTAAATAAAACTCTTCTTCACCCTTCACTTGTCTGCATACCTCATTCTTCCTGGATGCAGGACAAGGACGTGGGCAAAGGTGCCATGACCACAAAGGTTTCCAGCCAGGAAAATCAACACCCCAGATATCCTGTAACAATAGCTCTCTGCAGTCTTGACCTTTTGGGCTCAAAGGATCCCCCTGTGTCAGCCTCTTGAGTAGCTGGGACCATAGGCACAGGCCATCACACCCAGCTAATTTTTTAAATTTTTGTAAAGATGGGGTCTTGCTATGTTGCCCAGGCTGGTCTCGAACTTTTGGGCTCAAGTGATCCTCCCACTTCAGCCTCCTAAAGTGCTGGGATTACAGGCATGAGCCACTCTGCCTGGTCCTACTTTCAGCTTTTTATCTGGTCCTTACTTTAGTGTGTGTGTTTTAAACACCACAACTGTATCATCTCAGGGTTCTGAAGGTCAGCAGTCCAAAATGAGTTTTGTAGAGCTAAAATTAAGTTGTGAGCAGAGCTACATTCCTCCTGGAGGCTCTAGGGGAGAATCAATTTCCTTGCCTTTTCCAGCTTCCAGAGGGTGCCTGCATTCCTTGACTTGTGGCCATTCATCCTCAAACTCACCAGCGTAGCATCTTCAAATCTTGCTCTGGACTGGGCACAGTGGCTCAGGCCTGTAATCCCAGCACTTTGGGAGGCTGAGGTGGGAGGACTGCTTGAAGCCAGGAGTTCAAGACCAGCCTAGGCAACAAAGTGAGACCCCTGTCTCTCTTTTTTTTTTAAAAAATTAGGTATGGTGGCATGCACCTGTAGTCCCAGCTACTGGGAGGCTGAGGCAGGAGAATCACTTGAGCCCAGTAGTTCAAGGCTGTAGTGAGCCATGACTGTGCCACTGTACTCCAGCCTGAGCAACAGAGTGAGACCCTGTCTCAAAAAAAAATCTTGTTCTGATCCTGATTCTGATTCCTCCGATTCTGTTTCTACCATCATATCTCCTTTATCTCTGACCCTCCTGCCTCTTTAAGAAAAATTGTGGTAATATATATATAACTTAAAATTTACCATTTTAACCATTTTTAAAGTGAATAGCTTGGTGGCATTGAGTACATTCAGATTGTTGTGCAACCACAACTGATTTTTGTATGTAGATCTTGTACCCTACAAATTTGCTGAACTTCTTTATTAGCACTAGTAGTTTTTTGTGTGTATTCTATGGGATTTTCTTTTTATTTTATTATATTTTATTTTATTTTTTGAGACAGAGTCTCACTCTGTCACCCAGGCTGGAGTGCAGTGGCACAATCTCGGCTCACTGAAACCTCCGCCTCCGGGGTTCAAGTGATTCTCCTGCCTCAGCCTCCTGAGTAGCTGGGATTACAGGTGCGTGCCACCATGCCTGGCTAATTTTTTGTACTTTTAGTAGAGACAGAGTTTCACCGTGTTGGCGAGGATAGTCTCAATCTCCTGACCTCGTGATCCGCCCGCCTTGGTCTCCCAAAGTGCTGGGATTATAGGCATGAACCACTGTGCCCGGCCTTCTGTAGGATTTTCTATATGTAGGATGATGTCATCTGCAAACAGAAATAGTTTTACTTTTTCCTTTCCAAGTTGGATGCCTGTTATTTCTTTTTCTTGCCTAATTGCTGTAGCTAGGATTTCCAGTACAATGTTCAATAGCAGTGGTGAAAGCAGGCATCCTTGCCTTGTTCCTGATCTTAGGGGAAGAGCTTTCTATCTTTTACTGTTGAGTATGAGGTTAGCTATAGGTTTTTCATAAGGAATTCCTTTTTATTCTTAGTTTGCTGGGTGTTTTTTTCATGAAAGACTGTTGAGTTTTGTCAAATGCTTTTTTTTTTTGCAACTACTGAGATGATCATATGGTTTTTTTCCCTTTGTTCTTTTAATGTGGTGTGTTATATTGATCTATTTTCTTATGTAGAACCACCCTTGCATTCGTGGGATATATCCCACTTGGTTACGGTATATAATCATTTTTATGTTCCATTGAATTCAGTTTGCTAGTATTTTGCTGAGGATTTTTCTGTCTGTTCATAAAGGATATTGGTCAGTAGTATTTTTTTGTTTGTGGCATCCTTGTGTCTTTGGTATCAGGGTCATGCAAGCCTTATAGAATATGCTGGGAAGTATTCCTTTCTCTTCCATTTTTTGGGAGAATTTGAGGTAGCATTGCTGTTAATTGTTCTTTAAATGTTTGGTAGAATTCACTAGTGACGTCATCTGATCCTAGACTTTTCTTTGCTGGGAGGTTTTTGATTACTGATTCAATCTCTTTACTTGTTAAAGATTTGTTGAGATTTTATATTTTTTTCTTCACTCAATTGTGATTGTTTGTGTGTTCCTGGGAATTTGTCCACTTCATCTAGATTATCTGATTTGTTGCATACAGTTGTTCACAGTATCCATAATCCTTTTAATTTCTATAAAGTTGTTTTTAAAATTTCTGATTTTACAAAAAATTAAAAAAAAATAGATGTTGGTGTGGATGCAATGAAAAGGGAACACTTCTACACTGCTGTTGGGAATGTAAACTAGTACAACCACTATGGAAAACAGTGTGGAGATTCCTTAAAGAACTAAAAGTAGAACTACCATTTGATCCAGCAATCCCACTACTGGGTACCTACCCAGAGGAAAAGAAGTCATTATATGAAAAAGATACTTGCTCACACATGTTTATAGCAGCACAATTCACAATTGCAAAAATGTGGAGCCAACTCAAATGTCCATCAATAATCAACATGTGGTTAAAAAAACTGTGATATATATATCTCCACACAAACACAATGGAATACTACTAAGCCATAAAAAGGAATGAATTAATGGCATTTGCAGCGACCTGGATGGGACTAAAGACTATTATTGTAAGTGAAGTAACTCAGGAATAGAAAACCAAACATCGTATGTTCTCACTCATAAGTGGGAGCTAAGCTATGAGGACCCAAAGGCATAAGAATGACACAATGGACTCTGGGGACTCGGGGGGAAAGGGTGGGAAGGGGGTGAGGGATAAATGACTACCAAAAAATTGGGTTCAATGTATACTGCTGGGGAGATGGGTACACCAAAATCTCACAAATCACCACTAAAGGACTTACTCATGTAATCAAATACCACCTGTTCCCCAGAAACCTATGGAAATAAAAAACTAAAAAAGAAAGGGATTATATACTCCGGCCAACTGGCATTCATCCCAGGAATGCAAAGGTGGTTTAACATCCTAAAATCAATTAACATAACATACCATATTAATAGAATAAAGTGTCAAAACCATAAAAAAATTTCTGATTTTAGTTATCTTTGTTTTCTCTCTTTTTCTTAGTCATCCTAGCTAAAGGTTTGTAAATTTTGCTGATATCTTCAAAGAACCAACTTTTGGTTTGTTGTTTCTTTCTATTGTTTTTCTATTCTCTACTTCCTTTCTCTCTGCTGCCATCAATTTTTAGTTTGTGTGAACATTCTGAGCTTTCTCATCCATGAACCAAGCTTGGCTTTTTCCCTCTTCCATTAATTAGCTGGTCACAAAGAATACCCCATGAAGCCCTAAGTGTGAGCTGGGGCAGAGGCACAGATGGAACAGTGGTAGATGGTTGAGGGGTCTGCGTCTCTTGCTTAGCCACTTGCTTGTGCTCTCTGGCTTTGCTTGTAAATGATCTACATGTTCCACCTCCATCTTCTGAAGGACTGCTTTTTGGCCTTCCTAAACCTATGACTTGGTGGGTCTGACAGAACCCAGGTCATGATGGTTAGTTCTGGCTGTGTGATCACTTGATTCCCCTTGGTCAGGCACTTGTCTCTACCTGCCACCCACCTTCCTCTGAGAGTCGAGTGTCACCACCTACCATCTGTCATTTTGGGATTCCATCATCCTCATTGCTATCAGTGAGCTCCGTTCTGTAACAGCATATCCTACCATCATTCCCAACCATCCTGATGGATGGCCACTGAGTTTCTCATTGATGCTGGCTCTCCTGTTACCCATGCATTGTTTATTGCTTTGATAAAGTGTGTACTTGGGGGTCCTCCAGTGAGGACTTTATATAATACAACCCCTATATTAGTTGCTCAGGCTGCAGTACCAAAATACCACAGGCTGGGTGGCTTAAACAACAGACATTTGTTCTCTCACAGTTTTGGAGGCTGGAAGTACAAGATCAAGGTGTCATCAGGGTTGGTTTCTGGTGAGACCTCTCTTCCTGGCTTGCAGACAGCCATCTTCTTACTTCTTACTGTGTCTCACATGGCCTCTTCTCTGTACTTGCATGGAGAGCAAGATCTCTCTGAAGTCTCTTTCTCTCCTTATAAAGATACCAGTCCTGCAGCATTACAGTCCCACCCTTGTGACTTCATTTAACCTTAATTACCCCCCTATGCTCCCTATCTCCAAATACAGTCACATTGGAGAGTAAGGCTACAACATATGAATTTTAGGAGGGCACAATTCAGTCCATAACAATCCCCTAGCATGCCTATTTTTCTGTGCTTTTTGGTCTTCCTTCCACAGCCTGCCATGGCAGTTCTCCCATTTCTACCTCATTCAGTGGTGCCCATTGGTTTCTCCAAGCTTCCAACAATGTGTGTAACACCATCTCCCAAGGGTCCTGCCAAGGTTTAAAATCTCATATCATAGATGAGTGGGCATCTATCAATAAACTCTCCCTTAGCCAACTTTATGGCTTACCTCCTGAATTAGTTTACTCGGGCTACCAGAACAAAATACCGCAAACTGAGTGGCTTCCAACAACAGAAATTTATTGTCTCATGGTTCTAGAAGCGGGAAGTCTGAAGTCAAGATGTTGGCAGGGCCATGCTCCCTCTGAGACTCTGGGTAGAATCCTTCCTTGCCTCTTTCTAGTTTCTGGTGGTGCTGCCAATGCTTGGTGCTCCTTGGCTTACAGCTGCATTTAGCCTCTGCCCCATCTTCACATGGCATTCCCCTGTGCATCTTCACATCATCTTCCCTTTGTGTGTGTCTGTGTTCAAATTTTTTCTTTTTAAAGGACACCAGTTGTTTTGATGTAGGGCCCTTCTAGATGACCTCATCTTAACTTGGTTAAGTCTGCAAGAGTCCTTTTTCCAAATAAGGTCACATTCTGGGGTACTGGAGGTTTGGACTTCAAAATAGCTCTTACGGGAGACAGTTTTAGTCATAACCCCTCCCTTGATACAGAATCCTCAGAATCTCATCCATACTCTCTGGGCTTCTGCCATTACATGGTTTGCTCTTACAGTCTTTTGAAATATAGCCACTCTCCTCTCTTAGCAGGCCCGGCACTTTAGTGGCTGGGTAATGTTATGACTGAACCCTAGTTATTGACCTAGCAACCAGGAGAAATGGTTGGGGTAGATCCCAGTAGGGGGTGGGCTATGTGTTATCTTGCAGGGTAGAGGCCTCTGCACCGTCTTCAAACAAAAGGCTATCACTAGCCTTAAGTATAGTCACTCCACCTCTCTTTTTGGTTACTGTTTGCATGGAATATATTTTTTCATTCATTTACTTTCAATCTATTTGCGTTTTTGAATCTAAAGTAAATCTCTTGTAGATAGCATATAGTTGGATCATGTATTTTATTCATTCTGCTAATCTCTGTATTGGAGAGTTACACCTATTTACATTTAACGTAATTACTGATAAGAAAGGACTTACTTCTGCTATTTTGTTATTCATTCCCTGTATGTCTTACTTTTTTTGTTCCTCAGTTCCTCCATTACTGCCTTCTTTCATATCAATTGGATATTTTCTAGTGTAACACTTGAGTTCTCTTGCCATTTCTTTTTACTATACATTTTTGGGTTATTTTCTTAGTGGCTGCCCTGGCGATTATAATTAACATCTTACATTTACAACAACCCAGTTCATATCAATGCCAACTTAATTCCTTTTCTTTTTCTTTTCTTCAGAGACAGGGTCTTACTCTGTCACCCAGTGCAGTGAGGGTGCAGTGGCATAATCATAGCTCACTGCAGCCTCGAACTCCTGGGCTCAAGTGATCCTCCTGCTTCAGTCTCCCAAATAGGTGGAATTACAGGCACATGCCACCATGTCTGGCTAATTTTAAAACTTTTTGTAGAAACCAGGTCTCACTATATTGCCTAGGTTGGTCCTGAACTCCTGGGCTCAAGTGATCCTCCCACCTCAGCCTCCCAAAGTGCTGAGACCATAGGTGTGAGCCACTATGCCTGGCCTTAATTTCAATAGTATACAAAATTGTTCCTCCATATAGCTCTGTCCCCCTTCCCATGTTGTTATTGTCACAATTGTATGTTTATACATTATGTGCCCATTAACATAGATTTATAATTATTGTTTCTTATAGATGTCTTTTAAATAAGATAGGAAACAAGGAGCTACAAACCAAAAATACTTTCTAACAAAGTTTTTTATTATTATTATTATTTTTTAGACAGAGTCTCACTCTGTCACCCAGGCTGGAACGCAGTGGTGTAATCTTGGTTCACTGCAACCTCCGTCTTCTGGGTTCAAGCGATTCTCCTGCCTCAGCCTCCTGAATAACTGGGATTACAGGCACCTGCCACCACGCCCAGCTAATTTTTGTATTTTTAGTAGAGACAGGGTTTCACCATGTAGACCAGGCTGGTCTTGAACTCCTGACATTAGGTGATCCACCCACCTCGGCCTCCCAGAATGCTGGGATTACAGAGTGTGAGCTACCATGCCTGGCCAATACAGACTTCTATATTTGTCTATGTACTTACCTTTACTGGTGTCCTTTATTTCTTTATGTGGGTTTGAATTACTGTCCAGTGTCCTTTCATTTCAGCCTGAAGGACTCCCTTTAGCATTTCTCATAGGGTAGGTGTACTAGTGACGAACTCCCTCTGTTTTTGTTTATCTGGGCATGTCTTAATTTCTCTTTCATTATAAAAATCAATTATTTAAATTAGTTATTTTAAAGAAGAATTTCTTTTTCCTCTGTTCCATTTGCTTAGTGGTCAGCTAAAAATTGTAGAGATTTCCTTAAATTTCTGTGTGTTTGCATGTTGGGGCACACCTTCAACACTCAGCCAGGCAGTTTAAAACTCTGCCTTAGCCTTCACTTCCTGCTTGTATGGAGCCTGAAGGGCAGCCAGAGGTGGGAACTTAGGGTCTTCTCAGGTCTTTTCTGAGCCTGCACATAGTCCTGGGCATGCATGCGGCCTTTTGGATTCCCAGGAATATGCCAGAACTTTTCAAAGCTCTTATTCCCAAATCACCTCATTATTCAGATTTTTCTCCCAAGATTTTTGGTTAGTCTATTGCCTGTCCCAACTATTATCCATTGCCTCAGATAGCAGTGACTAACACAATTACCTATAAATGTTTTCAGAGTAAGTTAAAATGCCACAAAGCTCATCATTCCTACTGAGGTTCAGCCTGTTTTTCTTAAGTAGTCTCCTGGTTGCTGCAAGCTTTGAGTTAATTTCCAGAGTTCTGAAAAAGTTGATTCCAACCATTTTTGCCTGTTTTTTCATTGCATTTATGGAGGGATGAACTTTTGGCATTTCTTATTCCACCATTTTTGCTAGGCACTAGCCTTAAACAAGGTGGAGTGGGCCACTTCTGCAGGCCCAGAGGGTTTGGGGTATATGGTGAGTTAAGATTTTTTTGATAGCATTGATCCAGATGTCGTGTTCCATATCTCAAGGCGCCACTCCTTCCCAATCAGGGCCCTGATCTTGGTAGAGCGGACTCACTGGAGTTGAAAATTTCACTTTCTCTGGAGCTCTGATGCTCTTATAATTAACTCCTAGGCCTGACTCTCAGCTTTTTCTGTCCACTGGCTACAGTAGATAAGGGTCTCTTTTAATGCAGCTGGCATGGGATACTGCTGGCAAGAAATTCACTGGCCTGGTGCAATGTCTCAGGCATTTAAGAGGTACAAGGGAAATAGTAATTATAAAGACTATTGAATTTTTGAAATATATAATACTAAGAGAGTACATTTCAAATGTCTAATCATAAAAAATGATAGGTAATTGAGGTGATGAATATGTTAATTTGCTTGATTTAATCAGGCCACATTGTATTCATATATCAACACATCACATTGTACCCCATAAATGTAGATAATTATGATTTGTCAATCAAAAATAATATTGATAATAATTTTTTAAAAAACACATTGAACAAAAGATTATGGAATTGGAGGGATGTTTCTGGAAGCATCCAATGCATTGGAAAAAAATAATGAAAATTGAAGGTGATATCACTAATTAAATGCTAAGAATAAAAGCCATAGAGTCTCCTTAAAAATACTAATAAATGAAATAATATTGAAAAACACTAAATTGATCCAAATGATAGCATGACAAATAGCAAGCATTCATCAAGATGATTAGCTTAAAATTAAGTATATTGTAATTATATTATGTGTAAAGTAACTGGTTAGATATGTATACAAAGAATACACCAAAGAAAGAAAGGAAGCCAATGTGACTATATTTTCAGACAAAAATGAGCATTATGGACAAAAGCATTACTACAGATAAAGAAGATGTTATCATGATTAAAAAATGTTCGATTCACCAGGAAGATATACCAGTTCTAAATGTGTATGCTTCTAATAAGAAGGCCCCAAAATAAAGCAAAAATTTAATTACAAAAGGAAAGCCCAGTCCTTGATCACGGTAGAGATTTTACTTATTTATTTGTTGGTTTATTTATTTATTTAACAGACAAGGTCTCACTCTGTCACTCAGGCTGGAGTGTAGTGGTGTGATAATAGCTCACTGTAACCTTGAATTCCTGGCCTCAAGCCACCCTCCCCACTTAGCCTCCCAAAACACTGGGATATAGGCATGAACTGCCATACCCAGCCCATAGGGGAGATTTTGACAAACCTTGCTCAGTAACTGATAGTACAAACAGACAAAGGTATCAGTAAGGATATAGAACATTTGTACAACTCAACTAACAAACATGACCTAATAGGCATAGAAAGAATAATGTAGCCAACAAGTATAGAAAATAACTTCTTTATCAATTCCAATAAGATAGTTACAAAAGATTAACTGTAGATTGGGCCATAAAGCAAGTTTCAACAAATTTCAAAAAATGGTGCATGGTCTCTACCTCAATGCCAATAAGCTAAAAATCAATACTAAAAAGATAATGTAAAAGTCTCTTTGTGTTTGGCTTTAAAAATAACTAATAATAATAATTTCAACTTTTATTTTAGATTCAGGGGGCACATGTGCAGGTTTGTTATGCGGGTATATTGCATGGGGCTGAGGTTTGGGGTACAGATTCCCTCACTCAGGTAGTAAGCATAGTACCAAATAGGTAGTTATTCAACCCACACCCACATCCCCATCTTTCCCCAGTAGTCCACAGTGTCTATTGTTCCCATAAGTGAAAACATGCAGTATTTGATATTCCATTCCTGTTATTATGATCTCCAGCTGCATCCATGTTGCTGCAAAGGACATTGATTTTATTCTTTTTTTGTGGCTGCATAGTATTTCATGGTGTATATGTACCATATTTCATTTATCCAGTCCACCATTGATGGGCACCTAGGCCAATTCCATGTCTTTGCTATTGTGAATAGTGAAAATAAGACAATATTTTGAACTGAATGACAATGAAAATTCTATATACCAAAACTTGTGGGACACAGATAAAGCAGCATTCGTTAAGAAATTTATACCCTTAAATGTATGTATTGGAAAAAGGAGAAAGCCTGAGGCCGGGCACGGTGGCTTATGCCTGTAATCCCAGCACTTTGGGAGGCCGAGGAGGGTGGATCACGAGGTCAGGAGATTGAGACCATCCTGGCTAACATGGTGAAACCCCGTCTCTACTAAAAATACAAAAAATTAGCCGGGCGTGGTGGCACGCGCCTGTAGTCCCAGCTACTCGGAGGCTGAGGCAGAAGAAAGGCGTGAACCCGGGAGGCGGAGCTTGCAGTGAGCCGAGATCACACCACTGCACTATAGCCCGGGTAACAGAGCGAGACTCTGTCTCAAAAAAAATTAATGAGCTAAGCATCCATATCAAGAAGCTAGAAAAAGAACAGCAAACTTAAACCAAAGGAAGTAGAAGGAATGAAATACCAAAGAGTAGAAATCATGAAATAAAAAACAAAGATGTAATAGAGAAGTTCAACAAAACCAAAAGTTGGTTCTCTAAAAAGATTGATGAAATTGATAAATCCATGTCAACGCTGATAGAGAAAAAATGAGAGAAGACACAAACTTATTAGTGTCAGGAATTTTAAAAAAGATATCACTATAGATCCTTCTGATGTGACAAAGATACTAAAATGATATTTTGATCAGTTTTATTGCAATAAACTTTAAAATTAGATGAAATGAGCAAAGTTTTAGAAAAATAAAACATATCAAAAAGATGCGGCCAGGCATGGTGGCTCACATTTATAATCCCAGCACTTTGGGAGGCTGAGGTGGTCAGATTGCTTGAGCCTAGGAGTTCAAGACCAACCTGGGAAACATAGCGAGGCCCCATCTCCACAAAAATTTTAAAAAAGATGCAAGAAGAAATAGAAAATCTGAATAGTTCTAGAAATACTGAATAAACTGAATCTTTTAAAACTCCCCCACATCTCTCCCAGTGCGTCACCCATCACACCACAGAAGCTCTAGTTCTAGATAATTTCCCCTAAGAATTCTACCAAACATTTAGAGGCAAAATATTACCAATATTATAAAACTCTTCTAGACAGTAAAAATGAGGGACCACTCCTTGCACTCCTCTGGTAAAGCCCACATTACCTAGATAAGGAAACACAACAAGAGCATTATGAATAAGAAAAATTACTGGCCTGTCTGTCTCAAGAACATAGATACAAACTACACTAACAAATTATTAGCAGACCGAACCTAGCAATAGAACATGGGGAAAAATAAAAAGATAATATACTTTTACCATGTAAGATTTTTTTCAGAAATACAGTTATTTTGATAGTAGAAAATCAACCAATAGAATTTGCCACATTAACAGGAAAGGCAAGAAATATACAATCCTCCTTAAAAATGCAGAAAAAGTGTGTGTTTTTTTGGTGTTTGGTTTTTTTTTTTTTTTTTTTTTGAAACAGAGTCTTGCTCTGTCGCCCAGGCTGGAGTGCAGTGGCGCGTTCTCGGCTCACTGCAACCTCCGCCTCCCGGGTTCAAGCAATTCTTCTGCCTCAGCTTCCCGAGTAGCTGGGACTATAGGCGTGTGCCACCATGCCTGGCTAATTTTTGTATTTTTAGTAGAGACGGGGTTTCACCATATTGGCCAGGCTGGTCTCGAGCTCCTGACCTCGTGATCCGCCTGCCTCGGCCTCCCAAAGTGCTGGGATTACAGGCGTGAGCTACCGCGCCCAGCCAGAAAAAATGTTTTATAAAAGTAACATTCATTTATAGATACGAACTCTTGGCAAACTTCTCTATTCTGATGGAAGTTATCTGCAAAAAACTTACAGCAAAAATTATACTTAGTGGTGAAATATAGAAATGGTGAAATATAGAAACCTTTTCTTTGAGATCAGGAGAAAGAGAAAGATCCCTACAATGGTGCCAGCTATTCCAGCAAAACAAGAAAAAGAAAAAGAAAGTAAAAGTAAAAGAAGTAGACAAGACAAAGTAAAATGAATTATTTGTAGATAATGTTACTGGGTACATAGAATAGAATAACCAACAGAAACTGAAATTCAGTGCTATTTACCACGGCACCAAAAAATATCAACTACTCAGGAATGACTTTTTTTAAAAAAAGCACAAGCTGTCCTGCAGAAAACTATTAAACATTACTGAGAGAAATATTCAAAAATAAACAAAAAAAAAAAAAGAGAGAGAGAGAAATATACCATGTTCCAGAATTGGAAGGTTCAATACTATAGAGATATAAATACTTCCCAAATTGATCTTCAGATTCAATGCAATCATAATCAAAATCTGAAAAGGTGTTTTTATTTGTCTGTTTGTGGAACTTGACAAATTAAAAGTTTATGGAAATTCCATACTGAAAGTTTGTGGAATTCAAAGTCCCAAGAACTGTGACATGCTTGAAGATTGAGACTTGCTCTACTCTGTATTAAGACTTATAAACTGACAGTATATACAACTGAAAATAATTGAAATAAAAATAAACCAGCATGGCATAATAGAGGGTCCAGAAACAAATCTTTGCGTATATGGAAATTTGATTTACAACAAAGGTAACCTTGTAAGACAGTGGAAAAAGAATGATCTTTTCAATAAATGGTACAGGGATAAAGGGATACCTGTATTTGCAAAAATGAAACTTGGCTGACCTGAGGTCAGGAGTTGGAGACCAGCCTGGCCAACAGGGTGAAAGCCCGTCTGTGTTAAAAATACAAAAATTAGCAGGGTGTCATGATGCGTGCCTGTAATTCCAGCTACTCAGGAGGCTAAGGTGGGTGAATCACTTGAAACCGGGAGGCAGAGGTTGCAGTGAGCCGGGATCGTGCCACTGCACTCCAGCCTGGGCAACAAGAGTGAAACTCCGTCTCAAACAAACAAACAAACAAACACTCCTACAAATCATTAAGCAAAAGACGGACAAACACAGTAGAAAAGTGGGCAAGAGATTTGAACAAGCATTTAGGAAAAGAGTGCAAATAAATGACAAAAAGGGGCTCAATCTTATTAGTGAGAAAGGAAATGGAAATGAAAACCACAAGGAGATACCATTATACTCCCACTAGAATGGCTAAAGTTTAAGAGTGACAATACTAAGTCTTTGCAAGGATATGGAACAACAGGAACTTTCACACTGCTAGTGGGAGTGTGAAATAGAACATTTTCAAAAATAATTGAGCATTATCTACCAAAGTGGAGGATATGCATAACGCTGAGAACCAAAAATTCCACTCCAAGGTTTATATCAGTCAGAAATGCATGTACACGCATAAACTGCTCATAGCAGCAAATACTCATTAACAATAGAATGGGTAAGTACATTTTAATATACAAATGCGGCCGGGCGTGGTGGCTCATACCTGTAATCCCAGCACTTTGGGAGGCCGAGGATGGCGGATCCCCTGAGGTCAGGAGTTCGAGACCAGCCTGGCCAATATGGTGAAACCCTGTCTGCTGAAAATACAAAATTAACCGGCAAGGTGGTGGGCACCTGTAATCCAACTACCTGGGAGGCTGAGGCACGAGAATCTCTTGAACCCGGGAGGCAGAAGTGGCAGGGAGCCGAGATTGTGCTACTGCACTCCAGCCTGGGCAATAGAGAGAGACTCCATCTCAAAAGAAAAAATAATGCAATGGAACACTAGTGTACAGCAATGCAAATGAACCACCTGTAGCTTATATCCAACAACATAGTTGAATCTCGGAAACATAATGATGAGCAAATGAAACCAGACACAAAAGAACACTTTCTATGTTATCTCATTTATATAAAATTCAAAAACAGGCAAAACTGAACTAGTATGTTTAGGGATGCCTAACTAGGCTGTAAAAGTATAAGAGAATGCTAAGAAATTACTACCAAGAAGTTAGGTTAGTGGGGAGAAGAGTGGGAATGGGTGGGATACAGGGGGGTGCTTTGGTGGTGCTGGCAATGTTATGGTTCTTTTTTTTTTACTTTTTCAAAAATAAGTTTTTAAAGAAAAATTAGAGATGGGGTCTCACTATGTTGGCCAGAGTAGTCTCAAAATTTTTCTGGTTCTTGATTATAGAGTGGTCATTACACAAGTGTTTGCTTCATGATAACTCACTAAACTGTACAATTATGTTTTACAATTTTATTTTTAACAGCTTTATTAAGGTATAATTCACCCATTTAAACGGTACAAGTCTCTGGCATTTGGTATATTAAATTATTAATTTTTTGAAATTGTAGTAAAACATATATACCACAGAAAATTTGCCATTTTAACCATTTTCAGCATACAATTCAATTGCATTAAGTACATTCACAATGTTGTGCAACCTTCACACTACCTGCTTCCAAAACTTCATAAACCCAAACAGAAACTCGGTACCCATTAAGCATTAACTCCCCATTCTCCCCTCTCCCTAGCCTTTGGTAAGTTTTATTCGGCTTTGTCTCTTTAGTAACTTCTATTTGGCTTTGTCTCTATGAATTTGCCTATTCTAGATTTTTTTTTTTTGGAGGCGTTGAGATCTGCTTGATTTATTCCAATTATTTAATACCCACAATGTCGCAACTGTGATCCCAAAGTGTGCAAAGTTAAAGCCTTAAACTGCAGCTGAGGAGAGGGCAGGAATGGCACACCTGGGGACGGTGGTGAGTCAGGAACGATGGGCAGGTGGCCATGACCAGGGCAGTGTCCTCCCCAGGGCCAGGGACAGGGGAGTGGCCTGAGGAGCAGGACTCAATTGGAGCCCAGTGCCGGAGAAGCGGGCAGAGACCTCCCGCTGGCCTAGGTCAGGAGCTCAGAAGTGCCACATGGCTGAGGGGGCAGCAGCCTGGGAAGGGCCAGAGGCAGGGCCAGGAGAGTGCCATTTCTTGGGGAGCTGGGGGGCAGGGAGGTGTCCTACAGGAGAAGCCAGGAGGGGCGGCCTGCCCCTGGGGTGGGGGCCGGGCTGGAGCAGGCTGCAGCAAGAAAGACCTGAGGCAGGCGCAGGGCCTGAGAGCCTGGCTGGCTGGGCTGGGCTTCCCAGGGCAGCCTGGCCCAGGGAGCGGTCCTGACTTTGTGGGAGATGCCCAGCGAGGGGCAACAGTACCCTCAGGGCCTCCCGTCCTCTCTCCCTGGAAAGGAGCTGGGGAACCCATAGTGTAAATCTGTGGATCACTCAGTTAAGGAGGGAGGCTGTGCCCAAAGGGGGAAAGCGGGGCACGCCCCTTCAACCACCTCGGCCTCCACCACTCTCCTCAGTACAGCCACCTCTCGTAAGAGTGCAGGCCATGAACGCCACCCTCGATCTGGGCCGACACGGTCCCCTTCTCAAACTTGAGCTCTCCTGAGTACATCATGGACCGAAGGACAGCCAGGCTTCGGGCCCCGATATCCTGGCAACTGTGCTGGATGCCCGCTATGAGGTAGGGCACGAACTTCTGAATGGACCCTTTGTCCTGGATGGAGCCCAAGATACCCTGCGAGAACTTCACCTTATCCGCCTCGCTGAAGTATCGTTTCTGGCTGCTACTGCTCTTCTCCATGGCATCCACAGAGCCCATGCCCTGATACTTCTTGAGCGGCACCCCGTCTGAGAAGAAGTATTCACCGGAGGCCTCCGTGGTGGTGGCCAGCAGGGAGCCCATCATCACTGTGGAGGCTCCAAGGGCCAGGGCCTTGACCACGTGCCCCACGGTCTGGATGCCACCATCAGCTATGATGGGCACACCAAAACGCCAGGCATACTCGGCCACCTTGTACACAGCAGTGCCGTGGGTCCGACCACAGGCCATCATTTCCAGGGTGATGCAGATGGAGCCGCAGCCCATGCCCACGTGCAGCCCATCCACACCAGCGTCAATCAGGTTCTTGGCCTGGGCTGCTGTCACCACATTCCTCCCAATCACCTGGAGGTGGGGGTACTTCTGTTTGATGTAACGCACCATGGCAATCTGATACACCGAGTTCCCTTGGGACGAGTCCAAGACTATGACATCGACGCCCGCCTGGGTGAGCAGGCCCAGGCGGAATTTGTCATCTTCACAGGTGCCCACAACTGCCCCGCACAGCAGCTGCTTGTGGGAATCCTTGGAGGCCAGAGGGTAGTCTCGGTTCTTCTTCAGGTCCGTGCGGGCGATGATGGCCACCAGCTCATCATGATCATTGACAACAGGCAGCTTCCCTTTCTTGCTACGCTGCAGGATCTCATTTGCCTCTTTGAACGTCACGCCTGCTGGAGCCACCACTAGCTCCATCCTTGGCGTCATCACCTCACTGAGGAGGGTGTGTGGTCCTTCTCAGCAAGGAAGTCGATGTCTCGGGAGGTGAGGATGCCCACCAGCTTGCTGCCGATGGTGCCGGTCTCAGTAATGGGGATGCCAGAGAAGCCATGCCGCATCTTGGCCTCCAGCACATCACCCACAGTGTGCAAGGGGCTCAGTACCACAGGGTCTGTGATGAAGCCCTGTTCAAACTTCTTGACCTTCTGCACCTTGTTGGCCTGGAACTCTGGGGTGCAGTTGTGGTGAATGAAACCAATACCTCCCATCAGAGCCATCGCGATGGCCATGTCGGCCTCTATCACAGTGTCCGTGGGAAAGGAGATCAGTGGCGTCTTCAGCGTGATCTTCCGGGTCAGGGCTGAGGTCAGGTCCACCTCACCAGCTAGGAAGTCTATGAATCCTGGGAGAATCAGGAAATCGTTGTAGGTGAGGTCGTCAGCGCTGGCAAAGAGCTGCTGTGCGGTGAGCCCATCCTCGGGCTGGTAGCGGGTGCCGCCGCTGATGAGGTAGTCCGCCATGCTGCCAGCGACACCCTGCGACCTGACGTAAACACCCGCGCCGCCACCCGCCTCTAACGCAGCCGCTGCTGACGCCACGCCACAGGTAGGGCGGGCCAGGGGCTTATTCTAGATATTTCGTATAAGTGGAGTCATACAGCATTTGTCCTTTTGTGTCTGGCTTCTTTCACTTAGCATAGCATTTTTAAGATTCATCCATGTTGTAGCATGTATCAGAATTTCGTTCCTTCGTGTAACTAAATACTGTTCTATGATAGGGATACACAGTTGGCTCTCGTATTGTGGGTTTGGCATTCTCAGATTCAATCAACCTCAGATTGAAAATATTGAAAGACTATACGTAGTGGCCCATGTCTGTAGTCTCAGCTACTTGAGAGTAATGCGGGAGGATCCTTAGAGCTCAGGAGCTTGAGACCAGTCTGGGTAACGTAGTGAGATCTCCCATCTCTAAAAAAAAAAAAGAAAATATTACCCAAAAAAAGCCCAATAAAAATAATACAAATAAAAAACAATATGCTATAACAACTGTTTACATAGCATTTACATTGTATTAGGTATGATATAAGTAATCTAGAGATGATTTAAAGTATATGTTATATGCAAGTACTACACCATTTTATTTAAGGGACTTGAGCATCCCAAGATTTTGGTATCTGCTGGGGTCCTGGAACCAGTCCACTCATGGATACTGAGGAATGACTGTATTATGTTTTGTCTATCCGTTCATCTGCTGATAGACACTTGGGTTGTTTCCACCTTTTGGCGATTGTGAATAGTGCTGCTGTGAATATTGGCATACAATGTTGGCATACTCTCTTTGAATCCTTGCTTTTCATTCCTTTGGGCATATACCCAGGAGTGGGATTGCTGGGTCCTATGAGTATATTAATGTTTTCAGCATTTTTCTACAAGCTTTACATTTCACAATGAAAAAAAGAGAGAGGGAGGTGAGAAGAGGAAAAGGAGACAGCAGATATAGACAATTCTTTTGAATTTTTTTTTTTTTAAGAGACAGGGCCGGACCTGAATTCCTGGGCTCAAGCAATCCACCTGCCTCAGCCTCTCAAGTAGCTGGGACTACAGACGCATGCCACCCGCCTGGCCTCTTTTGAATATTTTGTTTCTATGGGAAGCAGAGAAGTGGGCAGTGGCTGCAGGAGGAAGTGGGCTCAAGGGAAAGTTTTTTAAGACAGGAGAAATCAGAAACGTTCTTATGCTAATGAGAGTGATGTAGTGAAGAGGGAATATTTAACAGCGCAGGAAAGGAGAGAATTGAGGGAGCTGTCCTTGCGTGGATGAGAGGGGATGGTGTTGGTTTGAGCTAAGAGCAGGGGACAGTTCATCCCAAGTGGCAAGTGGGAAGGCAGATTGGTGGGTACATATGGTGGCAGAGGCTGCCAAAGTCCTTTTTCTTTTCTTTTCTTTCTTCTTTTTTTTTTTTTTTTGAGACGGAGTCTCGCTCTGTTGCCCAGGCTGGAGTGCAGCGGCGCATCTCGGCTCACTGCAAGCTCCGCCTCCCGGGTTCACGCCATTCTCCTGCCTCAGCCTCCAGAGTAGCTGGGACTACAGGCGCCCGCCACCACGCCCACCTAATTTTTTGTATTTTTAGTAGAGACTGGGTTTCACCGTGTTAGCCAGGATGGTCTCGATTTCCTGACCTTGTGATCAGCCCGCCTCGGCCTCCCAAAGTGCTGGTATTACAGGCGTGAGCCACCGCTCCCGGCAAAGTCCTTTTTCGATGGTTTCAGTTTGCTGGACAAGCCAGGAACAAGGCCATTGGTTGCAAGGGAGGAGGAGCTCTTGTAGGTGGCAGCGCACGGAGGAGGTGGGAAGTTGTCACCTAGGAGAGTGGAAGGGGGAATGGACTGGGGATATGTAAGATGATGGCTGGATGGCATTTAGGGTGCAAATGAAGGTCCTGGTCAGATTCATTTACCCATGGATAGACCCGGCTCCCTCTTGGATTAATTCCCGCTTCCCCAGAAGCCCTTAACTGCATCAACAAAGGTAAATGGCAAGTCCTCAGTACTTTGCCCTCTCCTAGCAGGAGTCAAGAGGGGGCTGCGAGCCTGGGACAAAAATCACACCCCCGCCCCAAGCCTTCTACCTGACCCCTTTCATCAGGGATCAAGAGGGGCCATTAAGGATTAAACATTTACTGGGCAACCACTAGAAGCCAGGTAATAGCACTAATACCTACTATTTACTTACCATATGCACGATGCTGAGTACTTTACATTTATTGTCTAGTTTAACCCTTTTAATAACTCCATGAGCAAAGTACTATTAATTGACCCATTTTACAGATGAGAAAATGGAGTCTCAGAAGATTTAAACCCTTGTTTATAAATTCCAGAATCTAAACCCTTAAGACCTGGTGGATGACCTGAATATAAAATCCAGATCCAGTCCCAGACCTCAGGCATACAAACAGATTATTGAACTGCACTTTGCACATTTATTCTTTTGCCCTGGTCTCCCCAGTCCTCTTTCTACTTTTGATAAATGCAGACCCCACCCTCTCCCAGACCCCACCCTCTTCCTTTCCCTTTAGCTAAGCTAAGGTAACCAAAAGGCCAAGTTTGCCCAGGACTGATGGGTTTCCTGGGACTAGAGACTTTCGATGCTAAAGTTGAGACCATACCAGACAAAAGACCATTTCGTCTCCCTAGCTGCAGCTTACGCCTGAGTTGCTCCCCTCTCTCTCCCTCTTTCCCTTCTTCTTCAGTGTTTTTGTTTGTTTGTTTGTTTTTGAGACAGGTGACAGACTCGCTCTGTCGGCCAGGCTGGAGTGCAGTGGCGCCATCTCAGTTTACTACAACCTCCACCGCCTGTGTTCAAGCAGTTCTCCTTGTCTCTGCCTCCCAAGTAACTGGGACTATAGGCACCTGCCACCACGCCCTGGTAATTTTTGTATTTTTAGTAGAGATGGGATTTTGCTATGTTGGCCAGGCAGGTCTCGAACTCCTGGCCTCAAGTGATCCACCCACCTCAGCCTCTCAAAGTGCTGGGATTACAGGCGTGAGCCACCGCCCCCAGCCTTTCAGTGTTTTTGCTTCTCATTTCAGGCATGGCATTTCTTTTACCTCCACTGCCTCCTTGGGGGCCACGAATACTTCCTGGGTACCTTCTGGGAACCCAGCACCCTGGTTGGAACAGACTAGAAGTTGCAGCAAGAGTTTGGGAAGGGCATTTCTTTTTTAAAAAAAATTTTGGGGCTGGCACGGTGGCTCACGCCTGTAATCTCAGCCTTTGGGAGGCAGAGGTGGGTGGATCGCCTGAGGTCAGTAGTTCGAGACCAGCCTGGCCAACATGGTGAAATCCCATCTCTACTAAAAATGCAAAAATTAGCCAGGCGTGGTGGTGGGTGCCTGTAATCCCAGCTACTTGTGAGACTGAGGTGGGAGAATTGCTTGAACCTGGGAGGCAGAGGCTGTACTGAGCCGAGATTGTGCCACTGCACTCCAGCCTGGGCGACAGAGCGAGACTCCATCTAAAAAAAAAAAAAAAATTAACTCCTGTTTTAGATTCAAGGGGTACATGTGCAGGTTTGTTACATGAATATATTGCAGGATGTTGAGGTTTGGGGCATGATTGATCCTATCACTCAGGGTGGTGAGCATAGTACTCAATGGGTAGTTTTTCAGTCCTTTTCTCTCTTCCTCCCTTCTGCCCTGATGTCTATCGTTCTCTTCTTTATGTCCATGTGTACCCAATGCTTAGCTTCCACTTATAAGTGAGAACATGTAGTATTTAGTTTTCTCTTTCTGCGTTAATTCACTTAGGATAATGGCCTCCAGATGCATCCAGGTTGCTGCAAAGGACATGATTTCATTCTTTTTTATGGCTGCATAATATTCCATGGTGTATATTTACCACATTTTCTTTATCTAGTCCACCATTGATGGGCACCTAGGTTGATTCCATGTCTTTACTATTATAGATAGTACTGTGATGAATATACAAGTGTATGTGTCTTTTTGGTAGAATGATTTATTTTCCTTTGAATATATACCCAGTAATAAGATTTCTGGGTTGAATGGTAATTCTATTTTTAGATCTTTGAGAAATCTCCAAACTGCTTTCCACAGTGGTCGAACTAATTTACATTCCCACCAACAGTGTATAAACATTCTCTTTTCTCCACAGCCTCACCAATATCTGTTATTTTTTGACTTTTTGACTTTTTAATAATAGCCATTCTGACTGGTGTGAGATGATACTAATTGTGGTTTTGATTTGTATTTCTCTGATGCTTAGTGATGTGGAGCATTTTTTCATATGTTTGTTGGTTACTTGTATGTCTTCTTTTGAGAAGTATCTGCTCATGTTCTTTGCCCACTTTTTTAAAATGGAGTTTTGTTTTTTGCTTGTTGAATTGTTTAAGTTCCTTATAAATTCTGGATATTAGACCTGTCAGATGCATAGTTTGCAAATATTTTCTCCCATTTTGTAGCTTGTCTGTTTACTCTGTTGATAGTTTATTTTGCCGTGCAGAAGCTTTGTAATTTAATTAGGTCTCACTTGTCAATTTTTGCTTTTGTTGCAATTGCTTTTGAGGGCTTAGTTATAAATTCTTTTCCAAGGCCGATGTCCAAAAGGGTATTGCCTAGATTTTCTTCTAGGATTTTTATAGTTTAAGGTTTTACATTTAAGTCTTTAATCCATCTTGAGTTAATTTTTGTATATGGTGATAGGTAGGGATTCAGTTTTAATCTTCTGCATATAGCTAGCCAGTAATCCCAGCGCCATTTATTGAATAGGGAGTCCTTTCTCCATTGCTTATTTTTGTTGACTTTGTCAAAGATAGTTGGTTTTAGGTGTGTGGTTTTATTTCTAGGTTATCTATTCAGTTTCATTGGCCTATGTGTCTATGTACCAGTACCATACTGTTTTGGTTACTGTAGCCTTGTAGTGTAGTTTGAAGTTGAGTAATGTGATGGAACAGGGCATTTCTTGAACAGGGCTTAGTACTTTGGGTGCTCATAGTTGACCTGAACATCATTCCCAAGTGGACACATTATTCACATAAACAGTGAGGATATTCTGGACTTGACTGACACCTGGGGAGAAAGAAAAGGACAATTCCTCAAGCAGGTTCCCCTTCAATTCCTTCTTTCCTTCCTTCCTTCCTTCAATACTTATTGAGGGCCAATGATGCTCTAGATTCTTTTCTAGGCAGCAGTGAGTAAGCCAGATAGAATCCTTGCCATCATGGGACTTACATTCCCTGGTCCTTCTGTCTCCTTGAGGAAACATCTTGAGATAGGTGATCAAGTCTTCCCTGTATTTCAATTCCCAGCACCTTGCATGGGATCTGTTACATAGATGTTCAATAAAGGTCGACAGAATGGCTGTTTGAATGAGGGCATGAATAGATAAATAAGTGATGTTAATGCCTTAAGTTCCATCCTGAGAGGTCCACTAACTTTGATAAAGGCTTCCCATGTTGAAGGCAGGTATCACTGAGAGGAATAGTGGCCAACTGTGCTTAGTGCAAAATTGACAGCTGATGGAAGAGTTTGGGTCTTCAAGGGGCTGCAATGGAATGCCAAAGCAAAGGGGATATATTAGGCCGTTCTCACATTGCTATAAAGAAATGCCTGAGACTGGGTAATTTATAAAGAAAAGAGGTGTAATTTTCTCATGGTTCTGCAGGCTGTACAGGAAGCATAGTGGCTTCTGCTTCTGGGGAGGCCTCAGGAAGCTTCCAATCATGGTGGAAGGCAAAGGGGGAGCGAGACGTCTCACAGAGCCAGAGCAGGAGAAAGTGGATAGGGGAGATGCTCACACTTTTAAACAATCAGATCTCCTGAGAACTCCCTGACTACCACGAGAACGAGAACGGCACCAAGGGGGATGGTGCTAAACCATTCATGAGAAATCCACCCCCATGATCCAACCATCTCCCACCAGGCCCCACCTCCAACATTGCGGGTTACAACTGAAGTTGAGATTTGGGTGGGGATACAGATTCAAATTATATCAGGGGACTTTAGGGGACCCAGGCCTGCATGTGGTCCTGAATAATTAGGAGACAACAGAAGGCATTGAGCAGCTGGGGAGAGAAACCCTGGAGGAATGTCAGGCACAAACAAAGCCACCCACAGCCACCCTTGTTGCACTGCTTTCCTGGCCCTGGAGGAGGCAGGGCTGGGAGGAAAGTGCTGGCAGGGGAAAGAATGCAGGATGTCCCTCAGAACAAATCCTGATCCCTACACTGAACAAACTGCACCCGGGAAAGAACAGGGGCTCTGGAGCTGACCTATTGGCTTCAAATCCAGCTCCGTCACCAACTGTGCTACCTTGAGCAAGTCACTTAGCTCCTCTGTGTCCCACTTTCCCCACTCCTTAAATGAGGTAATGATGCTGATCTCAGAGGGTTTTTCTAAGGATCATCTAGGCTAAGTGATGTTAAAGGAAAAAAATACCTAATCTAAAAAGATTGATCATAAAAGTAGAGAGTATAATGGTGGTTATCAGAGGGTGGGGTGCTTAGCAGGGATGGGGAGAGGTTGGTCAGAGGATATATACTTAACAGTTAAGAGGAAGAAATGTCAAAAGATCTATCATACAGTAAAGTGACTATAGTTAATGACGATGTACAGATGCTTCTTGCGTGCTTTTGACTTGTGACATTTTCATTGGGACATAACCCCAGTATAAGTTGAGTAGTAAGTTGAGGAGTGTAATGACTGTGTATCACTTTCACTCCACTGTAAAGTCAAAAAGTTGTAAATCGAACCATTGTAAGTCAGGACCGTCTGTACTGTTCTTGAAAAATGTAAAGAGAGTGAATATTACGGGCTGTTACCAGAAAGTGGTAACTGCAAAGTAATGCATTTGTTAATTGACTTGATTTGGCCATTCTACAACGTATGTATTCTTCAAGACATCATGTTGTACATGATGAAAACATATTATCTGCCAATTAAAAAAATACATAAAACAAATTTAATGACACCTTGTTAAAGCACGCTAAGCCAGACTTTATTCAGGATCATCGAGATAGGTATAGGGAACACTACAATGGGATTTTGCAGTAGAGGAAAGAGATTGGGCTCATCCCCAAATACAGCATGGGCAAGTGAGAATTTACAGTTAAGGGGCAGGGTGAGGTCAGTGGATGGAAAATTACTAAGAAAGAACATCGTGGTACCCATTCTGCCTAAACCAACCTGACAGGACTCTTGCTGAAGGCTGGCCAGGGTGATCAGATATCACTCTGGGATGGTGGAGGGTGAGGAACTGATCAGATATTGAGAGTAGGGGGTTCTTACTAATATGAGTTTTTACAAGGATGGGCACAGATGGACCTAGAAGAAGGTTGGGGAGCCTAACTAACATTTGGTCCAACAAAAAATCTTTGTCAGTGGTTCTCAGTGTGGTCTTCAGACGATGAGCAGCATCACCTGCGAACTCATTAGAAATACAAATTCTCAGGCCCCACCTCAGACTTGCTGAATCAGAGAACCGGGGCTTTAACAAGCACTCTAGGGGATTCTGATGCTTGCTGAAGTTTGAGAAACATTGTGCTATGTCAGCATAGTAACAAACCCTTTGTAAGTGAGAAATTCTTTTTCTCTGCCCTGATGACAGAATTAGGGGACTGGGTCCCAGGACTGCTCTCCGGGTGCACAGCAGAGTCACCTAGGGAGCTTCAAAATCTCCGGAAGCCCAGGTCTCTTCCCAGACCAATTATTTCAGAATCCTGGGAGATGGGGAGGGATGCAGACATCAGTAGTTTTTCAAGGTTCCCAGGTGATTCCCCAGCCTCTTGCATTGGAGCTCCCTGGAGGGCTTGTTAAAGCAAAGAGTACCAGGGCCCAGCCTGGAGCAGCTGATTCTGCAGGTCTGGGGTGGGGCCCAAGAATGTGCATTTCTAACAAGCTCCCAGATGATGCTGAGCCCGGTCTGTGGACCACACTGTGAGAACCACTGTTGTAGGGGGATTTGATCAGAAAGGAGGTGTGTGGGAGTGAGGAGGTTGGGGAGAAACCACTGCTTCCTCCACCTACCCTTCTCTCTCCGCCTTGAATTAAGCATGGGATAACTGGGTGTGAACTTTGCTTACACATTCATTGTTTTTATTACTCTCTGCCTGCACAGGAGGGATGAGATCATTTGACATTTGTGGAGAAGCTAAGTGGTGGCATGGACCTCCCTCAGAGAGAGCAGGGATTATCTTCCCCAGGAAAATAAATCAAGGGGAGCCACCTGGATTAGGATCCCTTGGGTGGCGTGTGGGACAACCTTGGGGATCCCTCACCGCCACCCCGGCCCTGGCCCTGGCCGCCTTGCCAGTGTTTTCCTAGAAGATGCTTTCTTTTATGATTTTATTTCACTTCCTCTGGATCCCAATCTCCCCTAGTGTGGAGGGGGAGAGGGAACCAGGAGATAGGGGATATTTTCTGTGGGGTTTTCTTTTATTTTTAAGTTTTTTGGTTTTGTTTTTATACAGGTAGGGTCTGTGTTGCCCAGGCTGGTCTTGAACTCCTGGCCTCAAATGATCCTCCCACCTCAGCCTCCCAAAGTGCTAGGATTGCAGGCATGAGCCACCACATGCAACCTTCTATGAGGTTTTCAGTTGCTCTGAATTCATTCATTCATTCAACATTCATTTCATTCAACAAACATTCATGCCAGCTCTAGGGGCACAGAGAGTTTTGTCTGTTTTGTTTGCTGCTATATGCCTGGTGCCTGGCATATAGTAGGTGTTCAATAAATATTTGCTCAGTGACAGAGGACCAGTTATGGGCTACTCCTTCCATTGGGCAAGGAAGATTCAGCCCCTGCCATCAAGAGCCAGGGGAGAAAGACACTAAATCCTCAACGACAGCCCCTGTGACAGGCCTGATCACAGCCAGGGGTCTAGGACCGTTTGTCAGTGGCCCCATCCCAGGCTTGGGGCAGGGGAGTGGGGAGGGGGCCAGGAAAGGGTTCCCAGTGGGAGTGTGTTTCAGCCAAGGCTTGGAAGATGAGCACGAGGCAGCCAGGAAAGGACGGGAGAAAGATGCTCCAGGCTGAGCCTCAGACACTGCTGTGTGCAGTGCAATGGACTTGCTCGTGTTCTGGATGAAATCAAGCACTACCTGTGTAAATTAAGCTCCCGGTTGTCCTGCCTTCCTGATCACATCCTCCTTCCCTACTTCAGAGGTAACCACTGGATGAAATCTGCTGTTCCTAATTTCTATACATGTCTTCCCATTTTCATGACATAGCTGTGCATCACTGTGTAAAACGTAGTGGTGTGTGTGTTTAGGCATCTTGACCTCCCTGTTGATCTCGCCGAATTTCTTCTGCTGCTCTCTTAGCTTTGCAGTGTATCTGCTTGTGAGACTCCTCTGTGGGCATGTGGGTCTCTACCACATGTGTTTTTGCTGCTGTTTGGATTGCACTAGGGGATGGCACCACAATGAATGGACCTATTCTCTGCTAACCTTGTCCCATGGGCATCTCACTGGATCCTCAGAATAACCCCACGAGGGAAGTGCTGGTATTAACCCACTTTACAGATGAGGAATCCGAAGTGTAGTTCAAGCAAAGTTGGTAACTGGAGATGGGGCTGACTCCCACCTGGCCCTGGAAACGCCTCCTGCCATGTCCTTTCCATGTTACCTTGGTTCTCCACTCCCGCTTTGGGGAATTTGGGCTCCACTCCACATCCCCTTTCCCCCTCCTTGGTGGCTGTGGGGCCTCTCCCCGTCCCCTGCCCCAGAAGGCAGTGCTTAAAAGGCAAGAGTGAGGCGCTTTCTTATCCTGGGCAGCACCCTTGGGGGAGGCAGGCCTTCAGGGAGCTGCCTGTAACCCCAGTTTGCCCAAGGATGGAGCCCTGGAGCCCTGGACCTCAGTTGCCAGATCCCCTGTGCTGCTCTCAGCAGAGCCTTCCAAGAAGGCCCTTCTGCTCAAAGGGCCTGGGGGCCCCCAACTGGCAGGAGCAACCAGAAGCAGGAAGGTGGACTTGCCGGGGGGCCTGGCCCTGCCTCCTGCTATGTGACCTTGGGCAAGTCACTTCCTCTCTGGACCTCAACCTTCTCATCTGAAAATGGGGGCTCTGCTTTCATGTCTAAGGTTCATATTTAAGGTCCCTTCCAGCTCTAAAAAAACTTCTTTGCATCCTGGGCCACTACCGAGATGGAAGAAGAGATTCTGGAGTGTGCTCACAGGGTTTGGAGGTGAGGGGCTCCCGCTGGGGTAGCTTTGCTCCTTGTTGTTAAAGTAACTGAATGAATCTTCCTAAGAGGAAGATAATTTCTTTTTCTTTTCTTTTCTTTTTTTTTTTTTGAGACAGGGTCTCATTCTGTCACACAGGCTGGAGTGCAGTGGCATGATCTCAGCTCACTGCAACTTCTGCCTCCTGGGTTCAAGCAATTCTCCTGCCTCAGCCTCCCGAGTAGCTAGGACTACAGACGCATGCCACCACGCCCAGCTAATTTTTGTATTTTTAGTAGAGACAGAGTTTCACCAAGTTGGCCAGGCTGGTCTCAGACACCTGACCTCAATTGATCCACTCGCCTCCGCCTCCCAAAAGTGCTGGGATTACAGGTGTGAGCCACTGTGCCCGGCCAGAAGATAATTTCCTTGTCTTTTTGGATTGTCATCTTCCAGGGGAGATCCAGGGCAGGGAATCCGTGAACCAGGGTGGCCTGCCACGCTGCCTAGCTGGGAACTCTTGTACTCCCATCTTGATGAATCAATGGAACTCGTTACTTTAATCACAATGAGAGGTGATAGCCCTGTGAACAAGGGATATCCAGGCTGACAAATGGAACCTGCAGCCAAAACAGGTGAAACCCAGGCCCGTCCCAACCACTGTGCCTCAGGTGAGCCTGGAGGGTGTGGCATGAAGGAGGGAGCTGGGCGCTGCTGCTCAGGGCATGGGCAAAGCTGTTTGCCTTATGGGAAGGGGCTGGCAGGAAGCCCTCCTTCCCACCTCAGGGGCTGGCTTCCCGGCTATTGTGGGAGTGTCTGAGGTAGTGACTGAAGCTCTGAGACCCAGCACCTCCACACTGACTCAGCCGTCTTGCCTCTTGGAGAAGTTCTTTCCCTATTCCAACTATCCTAAAGTGGCCCTTCTACAACCGGGCTGTGTTCCTGTCACACAAAAAGTCCTTTGTGAACAGAAATGGTCAAAAGGCTTTGCCTTCCATTTAAGGCCTTGTCCGGGCCAGGCATGGTGGCACTTTGGGAGGCTGTCGCAGGGGAATCACTTGAGCCCAGGAGTTCCAGACCAGCCTGGGCAATGTGGTGAGATCCCATCTGTACAAAAAAATACAAAAATTAGCCTGGTGTGGTGGTGTGTGCCTGTGGTCCCAGTTATTTGGGAGACAGGAGGATGGCTTGAGCCAGAGAGGTTGGGGCTGCAGTGAGCTGAGATCACGCCACTGTACTCCAGCCTGGGCGACAGAGCGAGACCCTGTAAAAGGCCTTGTCCAATCCAGCTACCCCACATTTCCAGACTTACCTTTCCTGGCCCCACCCTCCCGTGTGTAGTGACATTTGCTGTAGCCACCCCAGCTCCCACCCCCTGCACTCACTTCCCACGTTGGGACATGGCCTTGCCAAAGTCTCCACCACACAGGAAAAGCTTTCCTGACCTCCCCTCACCTGTGTTGTCTTGGATGCTGTTCCTGACTAGCTTAAAATCCCATTATGTACCTTCAGCCCCTTTGTGCAACTTCCTGGCACATGGCTTCCAGTTGCGATAACTGCCGGCCTCTTCTCCTTCACTATCATCTGATGGCAATAAGCCACCTAGACCCTTTTCACTGCTGAGTCCCAGCACAGTGCCTGGCATGCAGCAGATGTCCAGTAAATATCTGATGAATGGGCAGATTTTTCCTGTACAAGAACTTTCAGGAGTGGGGATTACCATTACTGTTTTACTGATGAAGAAACAGAAGCTTAGAGAGTTAATTGCTCAGGGTCAGATAGACAAAGGGGGCCCACCAGGGCCCTGTTAAATAACCTCACCTCTCCAGAGACTCACTAGAAAGTGCTCTCAACAGTCCCCATGGTAGCCTTTGTCAATGGGTGGCAATAGCCCTTGGATGGGTAGCATTTGCCAGTGTAGGTGGGTGACATTTGGTGGATTTTGAAATGTGTATGTATGTGTTTAGGTATGGATGTGTACGTGTGTACATTTGTGTAGGTGTATATTTGTATGTATGCCTGCATATTTGTGTGTAGGTGTGTATATGTGTGCATGTGTATATGCATATGTGTATATGTGCATATGTATATTTGTGTGCATGTGCGTATCTGTGTATGTGTCGATGTGCATGTGTATATATATGTATATCTGTGTATGTGTATTCATGTTTGTGTGTGTATATGTTTGTATGTGTGCATATGTGTGTGTGTACGTGTGTATATTTATATGTGTGTATGTGCATGTGTGGTGTGTGTATGTGTGTGTACACGTGTATTTTTACATGTGTAGAGGTGTGTATGGGTATGTGTGTGTGCATGTGTGCATGTGTGTGTGTATGCATGTGTATTTATACATGTGTGTATGTGCATGTGTATAGGTGTGTATGGGTATATGTGTATGTGCATGTGTGTGTACACATGTGTATTTGTACATGTGTGTATGTGCGTGTATATAGGTATGTAGATGTATATGTGTGTGTGTGTTTGTGTGTGTATGTGTGCGTATTTCCTTCTAAGAGTTTTCCCCCTTCCCCTTCCTTCCCTTCACTACTTCATGGACTTTGAGGATCATGACTAAGAGTTTGTTTCCCCAAACTTAAGGTGATTAAAGACATTCTCTCAGTTCCTGGAGAGAAGTTTCCAAATAAGCCAGTGCGGGAGTGAAGCACCAAGGAGAGGCAGACAGGAGAGGGAGGCCCCCCCAAGTGCTCTGGGCTAGGAAAGCTGGGTCCTTGAAGGAGACGTGGGGGGAGCCTGTGTATCTAGGAGCTAGAGGGACAGGGCCTCTGTGATGGTCAATTGCATGTGTCAACTTGGCTGGGCCATGGGGCACCAAGATATTTGAACAAACATTATTCTTGGTGTTTCTGTGGGGGTGTTTTAGGATGGGATTAACATTTAAATTGATCCACTTTAAGTAAAGCAGATGGCTCTCCCTCATGTGGGTGGGCCTCATCCAATCAGTTGAAGACCTGAATTGAACAAAAAACCTGGCCTCTCCCAAGCAAGAGAGAATTCTCCACCAGACTACCTTTGGGCTTCATCTGAAACATTAGCTCTTCCTGGCCCTGCAGCAAATGTCATGAGATTGGAACTGCAGCATTGGCTCTTCCTGGGTCTCCACCTGCTAGCCCACCCTGCAGATTTTGGACTTGCCAGCTTTCATAATCCCATAAGCCAATTCCTTATCATAAATATCTTTCTCTCCCTTTTTATTTTATTTTATTTTATTTTATTTTTTTTGAGACAGAGTCTCAGTCTGTCACCCAGGCTGGAGTGCAGCCGTGCAATCTTGGCTCACTGCAACCTTCTCCTCCAAGGTTCAAGCAATTCTCGTGCCTCAGCCTCATGAGTAGCTGGGATTACAGGCGCCTGGCACTACGCCTGGATAATTTTTGTATTTTTAGTAGAGACGGGGTTTCACCATGTTGGGCAGGCTGGTCTTGAACTCCTGACCTCAAATGATCCACCCACCTTGGCCTCCCAAAGTGCTGGGATTATAGGTGTGAGCCACCGCACCCAGGCATGAATCTCTTTCTCTATCTAGACACATCCTATTGGTTCTGTCTCTGTGAAGAACCCTAACTAATACTGCTGGCTTCCTGCCAGAGTCTAGGATGGCTCCAGGGTCCATGCCCTAGGGTGGGAGAGAAGCCTCGTACCTAGTGTACCAGGATGAGACCCAAGACCTTGCCTCAAATCACAGTTTCTTGGGGCCTTAGAACTGGAGCTTCCCTGGTCAAACTGAGAAGCTGGTCATCCTGTTTGAGCCATCTGTTTTGCTATGTCACCTGCCAGCTTGGCCCTCAGACTCCAGAGCCTGGAGACAGTTGGAGCCTTGTGTTCTGCCCAACCTGCTAGGCCCAGATCTCAGCAGGAGGCTCTGCTGTTCCCTGCACCCTGGTTGCACGGTGACTTTCCTCCTGCTTTTGAAGGCATGGAAGGGCATTCTCTTTGGACATCCAGGGGGCCCAGATACCCTCTGTCTTAGTCTACTAGGACAGCCATAAGAAAATACCACAGGCTGGGTGGCTTAAACAACAGAAAATTCATTTCTCACAGTTCTGAAGCTGGAAGTTCAAGATCAAGGTGCCAGCAGGTCAGGTTTTGATGAGGGCTGTCTTCCTGGCTTGTAGATGAATACCTTCTTGTTGTATCATCACATGATGGGGAGAGAGAGACAGCAAGCTCTCTGGTGTCTCTTCTTACAATGTCACGAATCCCTTTAAATAGGAGTCCACCTTTGCAACCCTTTCTAACCTTAATTACTTCCTTATAGGTCCTGTCTTCAAATACAGTGACACTGAGGGTTAGGGCTTCAACATATGACTTTTTGTGGGAGGTACAATTCATTTCCTAGCAGCCTTGCAAATGAATTCCACTCCTCAAAGGCTACTGTCTACTTACTAATAGGGGTGGGCACCCCAGGCTCTTGCCTGGAGAAAGGGACATGTGTTGAAGGGTGATCTGGGTACTTTATTCTAAAACCACTTGTAAATCACCAGTGAGCCCAATCTGTTACACATCCTGCCCCACTAATTGTCCTATTCAGTGACACTCCCAGGACCCACTAGGATGGCAGGTAGATCAGTGGGTGCACAGTGAATGCTGTGAGGGCCAGATGCAGGATTGGGGTTGGGATTGGGCCTAGGGCAAGGGGGGTTTAGTGAAGAGACTCAAGGTTCACTCTAACCCAAGTGGGGAGCAGAACTCCGTGTATGTGTGTGTGTCTGTGCGCGCGCACGCACACAGACACACACGCACGCATGAAGACTCAAGAGACGTCACCCATCATCTAACCCTATCCCTTCACTTCACAGATGAGGATATCCAGGTGCAGCAAGTGGAGGGGGTGCCCACAAAGGAGACATGTTGCTTCAGCACACAAGTCACAGAGTAAGCACACAGTAGGCAGCAATAGATAACTATAGCAGTGTGTGTGTGTGTGTGTGTGTGTGTGTGTACACGCATGTGTGTGGGACAGAGAGAGACAGACACAGAGTGTGTATTTGTGGTGGAAAAGTGTGTGCTACCTGTGTGCAGACTATTTAAAAGGATTTTACAGATGGATCTTTCATCCAAAGGGCATTTTTCTTCTCAAGTTTTCTGCCTGCTGGCTAAAACTTCTGGATAGAGTTGCCAGATAAAATGCAGGATGCTCAGTTCAGCTGGAACTTCAGTGAAACAACAAATAATATTTTCACATACTGATGTACTTAACATCAGTATAAGTATATCCTGTGCAGTATTTGGGGGTATACTTGTACTAAAAAATTACTCATTGTTTATCTGAAATTCAAATTGAACTGGCACCCTGTATATTTATATGCTAAATCTTGGAGCCCTACTTTTGAAGGGTGGCCAGGTAGCACATGGGGATGCAAATCAGGGAGTATTAATAGATAACCAGGCCAGCACTGCGGGTTCAGCAAGTAGGCAAGCAAACCCCAGGTTGTAGGAGGAGCAGCTGCTGCCTCCAGAGACCCTTGGGAAGGAAGCAGGCATTGCTCAGCTCACACCTACACTGGTGGCTACTGCCCCCAACACCTTGCTCATTTCAGGGGCTTCGATGCACAGATAACTTTTCCCATATGAGCCTTTAGGAAGGGCTAACCTTGCCTGGCCTTTCGCTGACCCATGGCTTAGGGCAGGGCAGGCTGTTTGGGAACCTCTGTTCAGCACTGGGGTTTGTAGACACCCTATGTAGTTTCATGGAGGGGTAAAGGAAGTGTCAAAGCTGAGGGGTTTTTGGTGACCTCTGCTCATTCTACCTTTCAGGTAGACCTATAACAAGGGTAAGTCAAGGGCAAGTCCTCCTTGGACTAAAGGTCATAGGGGTGTGGCCTCTAAGGGGGAAGCAGATTGTAGGAGAAAGAAGAAGCTCAGCCTTTTGTTAGTGAGTTGGGATAGTGACTTTGCTTCTCTGAATCTTAACCTGCCCTTCTTTGGAAGGGGTTATACAAATATTTTCCTAGTATAATAGTTGTAAGAGTTCAGTGGAAATGGTATATAAAAAGAACTTGGCCTAGTTACTGGACAAAGGAGCTAGGGGAAGGGGAGCCAGGCCCTCAATGGTTCCCAGTACTCACAAGGTGCCCTTTCTGGCAATGTGTTTCCATTGGCTCTGAGTGTAGGACTAAGGTGGACAATATCTCAGTGGAATCTCCAGAAATAAGCCATCCAAGACTGTTTCAGAAGCCTCTAGTTCACTGAGGCCGGGCACGGTGGCTCACGCCTGTAATCCCAGCACTTTGGGAGGCTGAGGCGGGCAGATCGCCTGAGGTCAGGAGTTCGAGACCAGCCTGGCCAACATGGTGAAATCCCGTCTCTACTAAAAATATAAAAATTATCCAGGTGTTGCAGTGGGCGCCTGAGGCACAAGAATCGCTTGAATCCAGGAGGTGGAGGCTGCAGTGAGCCGTGATTGTGCCATTGCACTCCAGCCTGGGTGACAAGAGTGAGACTCCATCTCAAAAAAAAAAAAAGCCTCTAGTTCACTGAATACACAGTTATTTACTCATATGAGGGAGAACAGTCGATAGACTGCTCTCAAGGAACCCAGGCAAAAATAGGATCTACGAAAGAGAGAGAGAAAAAACCCTGCAGATAATCTGGGAACAGTGAGTCTTGCACTTTTGCACTTTTTTTGGGTGAAATGATTCAGTGGCAGCTGGCAGGGAGGCCAGTTTGGGTCATCTGCCTTCAAGCAGACCAAGTAGGGAAGCAAAGAAAATAATTTCAATAGTTTATGATTTCCCCTGAAAACCTTGAGAATGTAGCTGTCATGGTAGGTGGAGTTCTAAGAAGGCCCCAAGGATTCCCATCCCCTGATGTACACAGCCTGAATCATCCCCTCTTCTTGATTGTGAGTGGGATTTGAGAACATCATGGGATATCACTCCCATGATTATGTTACATGGCAGAAGGGATTTTGCCAATGTAATTAATGTCCCCAATCAGTTGACTTTGAGTGAATCAAAAGGGAGATTATCCTGGGTGGGCCTGACCTAATCAGGTGAGTCCTTAAAGTCAAAAAGGTAGAGCATCAGCAAGACTATCTTGCTGGCCTTGAGGAAGAAAGTAAACAGCCACATGTGAACTGCCTATGGAGGAGGCCACAGAACAAGGACCTGAGGGTGGCCTCTAGAAGTAGAGAGAGGTCCCCAGCGAACAGCTAGCAGTCCTACAACCCCAAGAAACTGAATTCTGCCAGCAACCAGTGAGCTTGGGAGAAGACTCCAAGCTCCCAAAAGGAAGACAGTGGGCAGACACTGTGATTGCAGCTTTTTGAGACCCTAGGCAGAAAACCTAGTTCTGCCTGGCTTGGACTTTGACCTACAGAAGCATAAATGTGTGTTGTTTTAAGCTGCTAAATTGTGGTAATGTATTACATAGCAATAGAAAAGGAAGGCAGCTGTGGTGTATTTTGAGAGACTCCAGGCTGTCTTTGTGTACCACCTACCAGCATCCTACCAGCACCTCCACTTTTTCTGTCCCATTTCCTCCATCAGAGTTTCACAATAGGCACTCAGAGAATTTTCTTTTTCTTTTCTTTCTTTTTCTTTCTTTTTTTTTTTTTTTTTTTTTTTGAGACAGAGTCTCATTCTGTTACCCAGGCTGGAGTGCAGTGGCATGGTCTCAGCTCACTGCAACCTCTGCCTTCTCGGTTCAAGCAATTCTTGTATCTCAGCCTCCCAAGAAGCTGGGATTACAGGTGTGTGCCACCACGCTCAGCTAATTTTTTTGTGTTTTTAGTAGAGACAGGGTTTTGCTATGTTGTCCAGGCTGGTCTTGAACTCCTGAGCTCAGGTGATCTGCCCGCCTCAGCCTCCCAAAGTGCTGGGATTACAGGCATGAGCCACCACGCCCAGCCTACTGAATTTTCATTGCTCCCTCCTTCCTCAAATTCTTATTTTCCAACAGATCATTCCTCCCATCCTGCAACTATATACAAGTCTCCCTGTTCTGAAGCAGTGTTCCTTTAACTCTTCTTGCTCAACCCAGATAGTGTCGTTTCTTGTTTCTTAGCAGTGTGAAATTTCTTGAGAGAGTAGCACTCACCTCCTCCTGCCCACTTACTGCATAGCTCACTGCAGCCAGCATGGCCTCCTTCTGATGACCATGTCTAATAGTCCCCATGCACTCTTCACCCTTCCAGAATAGATTGCTGTGGCCAACACTCATTACTTGCTCACCTAGCTTCCATTTGCCTTTCATCACAGCACCTAGAGTGTCCTTTGCAGATGCTTTTTCCCCATTGTCCAGCAACCATGTGATTTGGGAGACTTTGATTCTTGCCTCCCACACTGCCCTCCATGATGGGTTCAATTGGCCAAAGCCAGTCAGCATGATCCTATCTCTTTTACTGCAAGTGTTTGGTTCAAGGATGGGTGGGGAAAGATGAAAAGATACCAGGTCTTTGGTGATAGCATTAAACTTCTGGATCAAACTTGTCCTGAAGCCTCTTCTGATTATGCACTTTCTAGTTACATGAGCCAACCAATCTCTTCAAGGCTTATGCTAACATGAGTTGTCTTTTCTGTTCCATAAAGGGCCCTCACTGACACATCTTT
The DNA here is from genome assembly GCF_000001405.40 of Homo sapiens. Lineage (NCBI taxonomy): Eukaryota > Metazoa > Chordata > Mammalia > Primates > Hominidae > Homo > Homo sapiens. The sequence goes on from NC_000023.11 coordinate 40,379,452, forward strand.
ATAGTGTTTGATACTATTGACTGCCTTCTGCATGAGTAATGGAAAACCCAAGTAATTGTGGCTTAAATGTGTTAGAGGTTTTTTGTTTGTTTGTTTATTTGTTTTTTCTCCTTGTAATGAGAATCCTGAGGGGAATTGGTTGCTAGTGTTGGAGTCATTTCAAGCAGCTCAAAGATGTCACAGCAATTCTCTCAGCTTTTCCCTCATGATCCCACGACGGCTTCTGCAGGTGGAGCCATCACTTCCGTAGTTAAGGCTGAGAGCGGAAGGAGAGGGCAGAAGAGGTCCCATTACAAGCTGGCTTCTACTAATGTCTCACTGGTCAGAGCTCTGTCCCATGGCTGCTCCTGGCTGCAAGGAAGTCTGAGAAGGCAAGGTTTTAGCTTTCCAGAGCCTGTAGCAGGGACTGGCTGGCTAGAAGGGAGTGAGAGTGTGAGGGAGCCGATCTGGAGTAGCTTGCTTAAGCCCCCAGGGCTCCTTCAGTGAGCCTTCCTCCTCCCTCTTCCTCCTCCTGCAGCTTCTCTGCCTGGCTCCCAGGCACCTTCTCTGGGCCCCCGCTATCCCGTGCAAGCCCATCTGCTGCTGGAAACCTCCAGATGTTTACTTTCAGGCCCCACCTCCCTCCTGTGCTGCCCACCTGTTTGCTCAGCTGTCTGCCAATCATCTCCACCTGCTGTCCCTCAGGTGCCGGCCCTGTACACCACTTTCCTAGAGTCACTGAGGATCCAAAGTCAACTCAGCTCCTGTGCTCAAACCACTCACCCCAGTCGGCCGCAATACTCACTATCTGGAAAGCTCAGATCATGCCCAGAGCTGGCGATGATGGAGTGAAGTGAAGGAGAGCTATGTCCAAGAACCTCCCAGCTGGAGGGGAGGCAAGGTGGGCATGGGGAGGGCTGCTGCCGCATCTGGAGGGAGAGCCCCGGAAGAAAGGCAGCACTGTCGCTGTGGACTCACTCCATGGCTGGTTTTCACGGAAATTCTTGTGAGTCCATAGTGTGGTTTTAAAAATTCACCTGCCCTCTGGGCTTTGAGGTCCTCTAACAACCCAGGAGCAGGCCTTGGATTTTCCAAGGCCTGGGCAGACTTTGTGGCTTCAGATTGTTCTCAACCTCCAGAGGGTTTGAGGACAGGCAGCAGGAGCCCCTGGCCTTGCCCAGAAAGTAGCACAAAGTACGCACCCACACAAGTTACCAGCCGGAAGGGAGACCAGTGGCAGGCAGAAAAGGAAGGGAGGAAGGGAGGGAGGGAGGGAGGAAGGAAGGAAAAGAGGAAGGAAGGAAGGAAAAGAAGGAGGAAGGGAGGGAGAGAGGAAAGGAAGAAGGAAAGGGGCAGAAGCTGGCATGTGGGGGAACCCCAGGCCCCGCCTGGTTCTCTTTTTCTGTATGCAGCCTCAGGTCGCTTCCTTCTGTGGACCTCAATTTCCTCTTCTGCAAAAAGAAGGCCTGGATTAGCTCACTCCCCAGGCCTCTTCTAGCCCTGACAGTGTGATTTTCTAATTTCTTTCAGACTTCAGGGGCCTGCAGACCCCATGCTAATGTGTATGAATAAAACATGGCCATCTGAAAGCTCTGAATATTGCAAGTATTTGCTTTGGATGTGTTCTCCCTTAACTGTGCGAAGCAGCGTCCAGCTGGGGCCCCCGCAGCCTCCTGTTTGGATTGTTCGCGTGTGGCCTGACTCCCTGAGGTGGGGAGGGGTTGGGGGTGGGGGAGGGTCCAGCCTCCCGGGTATGCCTGGGCCCTCCTCCCTCCACCTCTCCCATACCCTGGCCCTGAGGAGGGCTTTGTTCTTAGACCTCAACCCCAAATCCACCTCACCAGTTCCCCTTCGAGGCGGTGCTCCAGGCCCTAATCCCCACTGCACCGAGGACATTTCCCTTGGCCATCTGCCCTGGCACCTTCACACTTCACGTGTCTGTCCGTCCACCCTGGGAGACAGCCTGTCCTCCATTGCAGGGCTGCACCTTCCGGCAGCCGAACGTCTGTCCCCTGGGACTGTAGCCATATCCTATGTATCTTTTGTGGGAGCTCAACAAATGTAGGCTTTTTTTTTCCCTTAATTTTCAGGTTTTTTAAAAAATTATTTTTAAAGAAGTTTTCAGTTTATAGAAAAATGGTACAGAAAGTACAGGGAGTTCCTGTGTCCCCTACCTCAGTTTCTCCTATTATTAATATATTGCATGAGTGACATTGTTGTTTACTAAAGGCCACAGTTTACATTAAGATCTACTCTGGGTGTTGTATGTTCTATGGTTTTTCCAAATGCACTATACTATCATACATAATAGTTTCACTGCCCTAAATATCCCCTGTGATCCACCTATTCATCTCCCTACCTCCCTCCCCACTGAACCCATGGCAACCACTGATCTTTTTGCTGTCTCCCTAGTTTGTTTGTTTGCTTTGTTTAGAGATGGAGTTTCTCTCTTGTCGCCCAGGCTGGAGTGCAATGGCGTGATCTCGGTTCACTACAACCTCCGCCTCTCGGGTTCAAGCAATTCTCCTGCCTCAAACTCCTGTATAGCTGGCATTACAGGCGCCTGCCACCAAGTCCAGCTAATTTTTTGTATTTTTAGTAGAGACAGGGTTTCACCACGTTGGCCAGGCTGGTCTCGAACTCCTGACCTTAGGTAATCCACCCACCTTGGCCTCCCAAAGTGCTGGGATTACAGGCATGAGCCACCGTGCCCAGCCCCTAATTTTGACTTGTCCAGAATGTCATGTAGTTGGAATCATGCAGCATGTAGCCTTTTCAGACTGACTTCTTTCACTCAGTGATATCTTTTTGTGGCTTGATAGCTAATTTATTTTTATTGTATAATAATATTCCACTGTCTGGATGGATCACTCAACAGATAGAATTTTTGATTGATCGATTGGTTGAAAAGACCTAAATTACTAGATGAACAACAATTCTCTAAACACAAAGTCTGTAAGAAATCTAGATTTCAGGACAGTTCTAAGTAATGGATACAGTGTATCTAACACAAAGAAAATCCAATATTCTGATAGTTGAGTTTAGAGGTGATTACTTTTATTACAGAAAAGTTCTTTCCTACATAATTGCATTTAAAATAGAATTCAATTAACAATTTTTTACAACATTTTAGGGATGCATTCACACTGCAAATTATCTATAACCATGCTAGATGTTGCGCAAAGAGGGAGGGTTTTGAGAGTAAAAGGGAGATGCTATTAATAATTATGCCAGACAGGCCAGGCGCAGTGGCTCACACCTGTAGTCCCAGCACTTTGGGTGGCCAATGCGAGCAGATCACTTGAGGTCAAGAGTTTGAGACCAGCCTGGCCAACATGATGAAACCCCGTCTCTACTAAAAATACAAAAATTAGCTGGGTGTGGTGGCACATGCCTATAATCCCAGCCACTCGGGAGGCTGAAGCACGAGAATCGCTTGGACCTGGAAAGCAGAGGTTGCAGCGAGCTGAGCTTGTGCCACTGCACTCCAGCCTGGATGACAGAGTGAGACTCCATCTCAAATAATAATAATAGTAATAATAATAATAATAATGCTAGACAACAAGTATGAACCAGGACTATCCCAGATAGTCTGCCTATTTATAACTGGGATCCATCTTCTTAAAATAGTAGCTGGGGAACATAGAATATTTTTGTGTTTCTCCAAAAATATTAGATGGTGGATCAGTTAAGGTTACACTAGCTGTGGTACCACATATAGTAGCAAATCTCAGTTTATTTCTCAACCACATAAAGTTCAAAATAGGTGTATTGGTGATTGGTGGGGGTGGGGGGTGGGCGGTGGGGTGGGGTTGGCTGGGGAAGTGGGGAGTGCCCTGCTCCAGGCATCCATTCAAGGACCTGGGCTGAGGGAGGCTCTGCCATCTGTCACAGGTGCCTTTCAAATTTGTCTCAGACTGAGGGGTTTCCCAGAGGGCAGACTTTCAGTGTTAAAATTGGGACAGTTCCTGGCAAGTTGGTACAGTTGGTCACCTATTTCCAAGGTTGCCCTAAAGATTGACAGCCAACTGGTGGGGAGGGGAAGAAAGAGAGCGGAGAATAGCATGATGGGGTGAGGAGAGGGTCTATAGGCCAGGCCACTCATCATATCTGCCTGCCTTCTATTGGCCAGAATGCAGTCTCATGGCCACACTTGGCTGCAAGGGAGACTGGGAAACGTAGTCTAGCTCTGTGCCAAAAAGGAAGGGGAAATGGATTGGGTGACGAACCAGCGATCTCTCTAATGGAGGGGAATTAATAATATCTTCTTTGACATGTGTCCTTAGATGAGATGGACGTCTTTGTCCACGGGAATATGTCTGGGATATTCGTCCACTGGAATATGATCTCTTTTGAAACTGAAGTCTCATTTGCCTAGCAGTCAATGGTGTTCAGCTCTGGGTGTCCACGTGTCCTAGGCCTCTGCCAACAGACAGCCTTGAACACTCTGGGCTTCTGGGAAGGTTGGGGATGGGGCATTGTGGAGGTGACAACTGGCAGCCACAGAGACCAACTAAAAGCGAACCAAGTCACATGCAAGGAGAGCAGAGAAGTGCCACATTGGAGGGTCTGCTTGTGCTGCAAATTGAAAACTTGTGGCCTGGGAAGCCACTCCAATGCATTCTGGCACCCACAATGAAAATGTAGCAATGTCATTAGTCTTCAATAGGTCTACTTTTTCCAGGCCAAGATCGTGGGTGAGTCATTTCACACAGCTGAGCGTTTCTGTGGCAGTGAGTGCACTTCACAATCATTAACTCTCATAGCATCCCTGAGAAGTTGGTGAGGGCTGTTAACCCCAGGCTGGGGGAATGCCCCATGCTTCCTTGCACAGGATCTGTCCTCCCCTAGGTACCCTTGATGCAGCCCGAGAGCAGCTCTGGGAGATCGTTTTCAGGTGCTTGATTCTAGGGCCTCAGACAGTTGGTCCAGGCTGTTCCTGCCTTCCCAGGTGAGGGAGCGTTTGTGCCGGAAGTGGAGAAGCAAATGATACTAATTTTCCTCGTATCCTTGCCTGGACACCTCCTGTGAGGATCAAAGTTCAAGGAGTTAGTGTGAGTGTGAGTTGACAAGACCACCCAGGGCAACCCTAGCTGGAAGGACTTGGTGTTTCTGCAGCCTCTACCCAAGGGACCAAAGGGCTTTCTTTTCCGAGGGTGGCCTTGGAACACAGATCTTTCCTTTCTTAACTCTCTTGTTGGGGTCACAGACTCAGTCAGCCACTGCATTTGTTTCTTGTGGCTGCTGCCACAAATTACCACAAACTTGACGGCTCACAGTTTTGGAAGCCGGAAGCCCCAAATCATTGTCACTGAGCTGAAATCAAGGTGGCCATAGGGCCAAGCTACTTCAGGAGGCTCTAGGGGAGAATCCGTTCCTTGCCTCCTCCAGCTCCTGGTGACTGCCAGCCTTCCTTGGTTTATGGCTGCAGCACTCCCTTCTCTGCCTCTGTGGTCACATACATGGCCTTCTTTTCTCCTCTCTATACTCTCCCTCTGCCTTTCTCTTATGAGGGCACTTGTGATGGCATTTAGAGTCTACCCAAATAATCCAGGATAATGCCCTCATCTCAAGACCTTTAACTTAATCACATCTGCAAAGTCTTTTTTATTTTGTCATATAAGGTATCACACGTTCCAGGCATTAGCACATGGACATCATTGATTTTTCTGGGGGGAGATTGGGGTTCTGTTTCGTTTTTGCAGGCGTAACAGGGAGAGGGGCACTACTCAGCCTCCCACAGCTACTGTGGCACAAAATATTTCAAACAGTGGGAGACTCTTTCTGGATATGCATGAGAGGGGGAGGCAACCGGCTGCTCTGTGCCAGATGCTTGTGATCTCATTTAATTATTCCAGAACCCTGTGAGCAGGTATTGTTATTTCCACTCACCAGTGTGAGACCCAGAGAGGTGAAGTGACTTGCTTAAGGAAACACAGTGGGTAAGAGAAGAAGCTGGACTTAAACAGGGCTGCCTGACTCTAGAGCCCATATTCTTTCTACGGAAACAGAGGAAGTTGCACAAGGAATCACTTGGTATGCAGATGAACAAGCACATTTCCACGTCTTGGCCAGATCAACCATATTCCCCGTGCAGGGGTTTCTGGCCTTTTGCCTCTCTCTGGGAGAATCCCTTAGCCACGTGCTAACGCGACCTGACTGCAGGCCCTGAGTGTAGATGCGGCCGACCCAGATGCCAGGGAGGTCCCAGCAGCTCTGTCGCGAGCCCCTTTTCATTGGCATTATCTCTTTTCACAAACCCATTTCTGGTTCCTTTCTTCATCTTCTCCAACTTAGATGAAACTATTGCTACTTTTCATACCCAGTGTTCTGGAACGTTTCTTCCCTTGTTACCACTGTGTGTTTGGTAATTTCCTCATTGACAGGAAAATAGGCAAAAGGCTGTAATACCCAATATAAGTGAGTCAATGTGTGTATAGGGCATACTTCATCACATGAGTAGACACATTTGTGAAACGTATTTACTAGACTGGTGCTTCAGATGTGATGCTGATTGGAGTGAATGATGAAGAGTTTAACTTACTGGTTCCCCTCTGGACTTCCTTTAGAGCAAATCAACTCTTTATGGTTTATTAGCCATACTCAGCTAACTTTTTGTATTTTTTTTTTAAAGACGGATTTTCACCATGTTGCCCAGGCCTTCTCCAACTCTTGAACTCAGCGATCTGCCCGCCTCAACCTCCCAAAGTACTGGGATTACAGGTGTGAGCCACCTCATCTGGCCTATTTTCTTTTAAACCAATGAATAAATAGATCTAAGCCACCTACCACTTCTCTCTCTCTCTTTTTTTTTTTTTTTTTTTGAGGAGAGATGGGAGTGGAAAGGAAAGCTAACTTTTGCATGTTAGCACTTGTGGCCCTATCATCAAATAGATTACCACTTGCTAGAGCATACTGATAGTTAAGAGCTACATGTGCACACAGGCATGCACATATGCATACAATTTAGCTGACTAGAAGATCCTATTCAGCACACTTTTGGGCTTCTCAAACCCTATTTTAGACAGGTTTTGAGGTTGTTTGCAGGCTAGGCTGCAACAACAAATAAACCCTTAACATCTTAGTGGCTGAACACAATAATAACTGATTTCTTGCTCATAAAGTGTGATGCAGGTTGCTAGGGCTCTTCTCTTTCCAGTAACTCAAGGATCCAGGCTCCCTTCAGTTGAGGATGCCATCATTTTAATGCAAGCCCTTCATGTTTGCCACTTTAGGGATAGCAAAAGATTGAAGACAGTACACTGGTTCTTTTTATTTATTTATTTTTTTGTGTGTGTGAGATGTAGTCTCGCTCTGTTGCCAGGCTGGAGTGCTGTGGTGCAATCTCTGCTTAGTACACTGGTTCTTAAATGCTTTGGCCTGCTACTCACATTTCATTGGATAGAGCCAGTCATATGGTCTCACCTACCTGCAAGAGTCCTGGAAAGTGTGGCGTTCTCATGTACTCAGAAAAAAAGAGAGCTGAATATAGGCACAGTCAATTCACATTATTCACGGTAGTTATGGTCCATAAAGTCTCAGTGAATACTGAATTAACTAATATGGAACCATTGCTCCTAAGGGCTGTATAGGGTTAAGTTCCTACAAGCCTCTGATCACATTATAATCAGCCAATCAATACATAATCTTGTTTTATGTGTGTTTCTGTTTAAAGACATCTTAATTAATACATAGATGGTTCATTAACATTGAACATAACAGCACTATAACTCATGCCTTAATGAATTACATGTATATATCATGTATTTTCTCTGTAAGGCATATCACAGTCCCGTTGCACCTAGGAACACTAGACAGCCCTTCAATACTACACTTGGGGGCCATTTTAAACAGTGAAATCACCAGGAAATAGGACAAAAATGTGAAAAAGGGGGCATTAGGTAGGTCTCAAAAAGGCCATGTTTATGGTATGGGAGTTGTAGTGAATTTTTATAATATGTTGTCTCAGCATCATTTTGAATATATTGGACTTTCTCATACCAGAAGCAGGGCTTAGTCACCCTTGACACAGTTTCCTGTTCTCCATCTCCTTCCTGTTCCTCAATGTGGTCGATCCAGATATCTACCTTATACAGTCACCTGCTGGTGACCACCTCCCTACGGGACAGCTAGATACAACCTACTTGACTGGCCCCACTGACACCCCACACTCTACATGGGCCGCACGGATCTGCCACAGCGACCCCTTCTCAGTCACAGCGTGCCTCCATGGAACTCCTGCCTGCTGGCTTTCAACCCACTGATGAGAACTCCCCACGGGAAAGCGGCCTGGGAATGCCTGGACCCCGATAAAGGCCTAGGCCCACAGGTCCCTCACTCTCTATCTTGCTCCCCACCTGCTGGCTAAGCATGGATGGCCCAGAGGGTTCCTTCCTTCTTGCTGGCCCTGAGAGGAATCTGTAAAGAAGATGCTGCCTCTGGTATTTTGCGCGTTCTGTGGAGCTGCCTCTCTGTGTCTCACCCCACCCACACACCCGGACCTAACTTCTTTCCCGGTTGGCGTTCTCCTAGAGAGTGGCTCTCTTGGCAGGAATAGACTCGACACAGGTCAGACAAGAGCCACAAGGGCGCCTGCGACTATAAACAACTTTCCTGTGAGAGGGACACCTGGTCATGGTTTGGACACTTAAGAATTAGGCTGTCTGCCAAGATAAAGAAGTGTCCTGTGAAAAGCACACTGTAAACATCCACGACCAAATTCCCTGGAACCCTGTTAAGGCAGACTGAGAGTTTATAGCCACTCTCATGAGACAGACCTTAAGACCAAATTAGAAAAAAATACAAGAGCTGAAACAAGAAAGCAGAGTGTCACCTTGTTTGACCGTGTTCCTCGGTGAGCAGGTATATGCAAATCTATCCCCAAAGGCCAGGGGAGCTGAGAGACCGAAAAAAGAGGCTGACAAATCCAGTTTCTCAGAAAGAAACATTTAATAGGGACTTACAAACAGAAGTGATGTCTCAGGTGGTCATGAGACAGTAGATCGCCGCACCCACCCTCCGGAAAATATCCTGTATTTAGCAAGCTTTTATGGCAAAATGTGTAGCTGGTCACACCTCAGACTTTCTTGTGAGACTTGTGACTACTGGGTTATATACGCATCTTTATGGGATGTTATCTATGCTACGGAAACACCTTGGTATGCAGGAGTCAACATCTGTCAACATGACGGTTTTGCTTCAAGATGGTGCCACACCTGCCATGCCACAGGCTGTTTACCTATAGACCTCAGCTGGGAATATGCACATTGGGTGACTTAAACTTGTTGCCACTCTGCATGTGTCCACAAATGACCACAAAAGCGTCTTAAGTAATCAGTTTGGGGTTACATATAAATTTTAGTAAGTAGAATTTGCAAATATCAAACACATGACTATGAGGACTTACTATATATTAGTTATCTATTGCTGTAGTATAAGCCATGCCAATACTTAGTGGCTTAAAACACCAACATATATTTTTTTCGGGGCTCTACAATTGCACAGGGCTCAGCAGGGTCAGCTCATCTCTGCTCCACTTGGCGTCAACTGGGGCATCTCAAAGGCTGGAGGTTGAAATCATCCAAGGCTAGCTCACTCACATATCTACCTCCTGGCCTGGGAAGACCCAAGTGGCTGGAGGCTGGAGGATGGTACAACTGGAGCCCTTCAGGCATTTACCTCTATGTAGTCACTCTGTGTGGTCTCTTCAGCATGGAGCTTTCGGGGAAGCCAGGCTCAGGGCTCCCAAAAAAGCCTGTGTCCTGAGAGAGAGCCAGATTGAAGCTGTGTCTCCTTTTATGGCCTGACCTTGGGAATCACACAGAGTCACTTCTGCCATACTTCATTAATTGAGGCAGTCACAAAGTTGCATCCAGGTTCCTGGAGTGATGACATAAACTCTATATGTTGATTGGGGAGTGTCAAGGTCATATTATATGAAGAATACATGAGATGGGAGATAGTGTTGAAGCATTTAGGAAAATAAAATCTGCCACAATGGGTGGGTATTTTTATAATAAACTACCACCATCAGTCCTCTGGCTTACAAATATTTGGTTCATTTTTTTTTATTCTTCTTTCCCCTAAAATAACATGCTCATCCCATTCCCAAGAAATTTAACCCAAAGTCTTATCCAGCAACTACATCCCAGCTCAAAGGTCAGGATCTCTGGGCATTGTAGTATCCACATAGGGCTTTCAACAATTTCTTTTACCTTTGTGCATGTGTGCTACTCCACCCGGCCAGAGGTGAAGTCTATTTCCTCTCCCCTTGAATCCAGGCTGGCCTTCTGACTCACTTTGGCCAGTAGTATATTGCAGAAGTGATGCCATGTCAGTTCTAGGCCTAGACCTTAAGAAGGGCTGGAGTTTCGGCCTTTGTACTCTGAGAAGCCAGGGCATGCCATAAGGAAACTAAGCTTAGGCTACTGAAGGATGACCTGCCATGTGGAGACAGAAGCCATGTGGAAGAGGATCAGACATGTGAGTGAAGTTTTCCTGGCCTAGTCACTAGCTAAATGTGGCTGCGCAAATGATTCCAGCCGATGGCAGGTAGAGCAGAAGATCCACTCAGCTAAGCCCTGCTTGAATTCCTGACCCAGGGAATTGTGAGAAATTATAAATCTTTGTTGTCTAAGCTAAGTTTTAGGGCATTTTCTTACCCCCTATAGACCCTTAAACATTGGATGATGCATAATAGTCCTACCTTCAGGTCTAGATGTTGCTTCTTCTAGTCTGGCAACCTATGAACCAAACAAAACAAGTTATCAGCACCCTACACCTTCAGCCTCAATCCAATGGTGGAGCAGGGGCAGGATACCACAGCAAACGCTAGCGTTCTGAAAGGGGAGGGATGGGAGACATACAGCAGTCACTAGTCCATAGTCATTCTCAGATCCTACTGTGAAGGCCTCATGCCCTGACGGTGAAGAAGATTTCTTTTTTCTTTTTATTTTTTTGAGACAGGATCTAGCTCTGTTGCCCAGGCTGGAGTGCAGTGGCACTATCATAGCTCACTGCAGCCTTCATCTCCTGGGCTCAAGTGATCCTCTTACCTTAGCCTCCCAAGAAGCTGGAACCACAGTCACGTGTTACCAAACCTGGCTAATTTTTTTTTTTTTTTAAGTAGAGAGAAGGTCTTGCTATGTTACCCAGGCTGGTCTTGAACTCCTAGGCTCAAGCAATCCACTTACCTCGGCATCCCAAAATGCTGAGATTACAGGCGTAAGCCACCACACCCAGCTAAGATTTCCTTATTAGACCCCAAGTTTTCTCCTGGAGGAGTTTCTTTGTTCATTTTCTCCCCAAGTCATGGCTCTGCCCTCTAGTTCTTTTTTCCTATAATATTTTTTGGCTATATCTAAATGGATACTGAGGAAATCCCTCCTTGAGGGTCATAGAACTTTCTTAGTCTACTTTTTGAACATGGTGGGAGCCCAAGGATTATTTTATCTTCATAGCTGACTCAAGAAAGACTTTTTTTTGAGGTCTAGGCTCAAGGTTTCTTTGGCTATACAATTCCCCTAAAAATGTAATGGGCCATTGATGTATTTGCTTATAGTCACTTCCACATGCCAAAGACCACATCCAAAGTTCTTTTCAAGATATAGTTTTCATATCTGCTATATGTCTTTGCTTTCTCATCCGTATACCTTGCCCCCTGCATTTAATCAAAGTTACCTTTAGGCTTCTGGAAATTTGGGGGAAGGCCATACCCTTAGTCTAATCTTTACCTTAAGTCATTTTTGCCACTCAAAGGTTTTCCCATCACTTACTATTTGCAAGTGGAAGCTTGACTGAATTTTTGTCACTGTGTAACATGGATCACTATTTTACCAACCTTTTTTTTTTCTTTTTTTGAGATGGAGTCTCCCTCTGTCGTTGCCCAGGTTGGGGTGCAGTGGCATGATCTCCGCTCACTGCAACCTCTGCCTCCCGAGTTCAAGCGATTCTCCTGCCTCAGCCTCCCTAGTAGCTGAGACTAGAGGCTCCCGCCACCACACCCTGCAATTTTTTTTTTTTTTTTTTTAAGTAGAGACAGGCTTTCACCATGTTGGTCAGGCTGGTCTCAAACTCCTGGCCTCAAATGATCTGCCCACCTCGGTCTCCCAAAGTGCTGGGATTACAGGCGTGAGTTACTGTGCCTGGCCATCTGGCAGCAATTTTTGTATTAGCCTGGGTAGGATAGACTATGCTGCAGAAACAAATTAGCCCCCACTGATGAGTTGGGCCACTCCTCAGGGCAGCACTCAGCCACTAGGTGAATCTGGGATCCCAGGTGCATCTATCTTACCATCTTAATACATAGCCTCTATGGTTGCTGCTGAAGGTGACAGTACAGTGGGAAGGTTGCACAAGATGTTTTTAATGGCAAGGCCTGGGAGGAGTGCTTTATATTATTTCAACTTACTTCCCATTGGCCAGAATCCAATCACATGACCTCAGTCTAACTCCAAGGGAGGCCGGGAAAGGTAGTCTTTCTGTGACCCCCAGAAAGAAGAAAATGAAACAGGATTTGGTGAACACACAGGTTATTTCTTTCACACACCCTTTTCAAAGCTCTCCATTCTCGTTCATCTGTCCCTGTCAAGTGCCTAATGCGCCCTCACTTATCCCCTACATCAGCAGACCTCTTCAGACTTCATTTGCACTAAGGAATATAAATGACTGATAATAATCTAAAACGTGACCCTTAGAGATAGTTGCATGCAAAAGCAAATGCAAGGTTTTGGCTAGCAGGTTAATGCAGTGACAGAATTTTAGGCAGGAGCAGACAAATAGGGAAAATATTTGGGTATTCCTGAAATGACTGACTGGGCAGGTCCTATGTGTCATCGTTTGTGCCATTTTGCCACTGCCTGGGGACCATTTGTGTGAGACACTTTGGAGTCAAGAGATATCAAACTAACAGTATGAGTGGCCATGCTATTAGATACGACCAGAACATTACAGCATGATTTTCATCTGGCTGTCTAGAGGTATTGATGTGAAGTGGGGATAAATTATTGTCTACTCCAGGAAATCAGCTTTCAAATCGTCCATCTCCCAGCCTTTACTCCCTCCCTCCCCACTACAGATGAAAGAAGCTTAATCCAGAGTGGGTTTGTCATGGGCCTGGAGAGGGAGTTGGAGTTTTCCCTGAGGTTCTGAGAAGACTGGAGTCTCTTGAGTTTCTCACTGTCAGACTCTGGCTCATCCATGGCTGTCTTTGCTCTTCCTGTCCCTAGTCCAAGGAGAAAGAACAGAGAGCTTATTATGACCACCTCTTTCATTTGCTGCACTCATCCCCTAACACATACTCCAGCCCTGTGATGCCTGTGTGCTGTGGCCACTAGTTAAGCTAGAACTACATTTCCCAGAATTCAGTTCTCTGCATGGTTCCAAGTTAGAGTTGGCCACAGGAGACATTTGTGTGAGATTTGGAAGGCAGAGGTGAAGCAGCGGCCACTGTCACACTCTGCAGCTCTGTGTGAGCCAGGCGCTGTTGCAGCTCAGATGTGTTGTTGCTGATCTCCTGGCTCTCCTTTTTGGCCTGGGGAATCAGCCAGGCCTGTAGCATCAGCCAGGCCTGTAGCTGCAACAGCTCTTTTTGGATCTTCTTCAGCATCTCCAGATTCTGGGTGCATGTGCAGTAATTGCAAAGGATGCCAGCTTTTCTTGCAGGTTACCCATACCATCAAGGTTGGAGATGGTCAAATGTGGATTCCAGCTGTCACATGGGTTCCAGTTTGTCTTTGCACCTGTCTACATACGTTCATGGTAGGCGGCCCAGGTGGCTGAGGCTGCAGTGAGCCATGATCATACCACTGCACTCCGGCCTGGGTGACAGAGTAAAACCCCGTCTCATCTTAAAAAAAAAAAAGACACTGTGGTTTCTGTCTTGGTCTCATTCTCTCCCTCTCTCTTTTCTCTGAGATCACTTGATGTGGGGAAAACCAGCTCCTATATCAGGAGGAGCCCTATGGAAAGGCCCATGTGGTGAGAAACTGAGGCCTTTGGCCAATAGCCAGCAAGGAACTGAAACCTCCTGTCAATAGCTATGTGAGGAAGCCATCTTGGAAGCAGACCCTCCCGCCCCAGTCAAACCTGCAGATAACCACAGGCCCCAGCTGGCACTTTGACTGGAACCTCATGAGAAAGCCTGAGTCAGAACCATCCAGCCAGGTTGCTCCTGGATTCCTGACCCACAGATGCTATGTGAGATAATAAATGTTCATTGTGTCAAGTTGAAAAATTTGGGGGTAATTTGTTACACAGCAGTAGGTAGCTACAACTGTGTCCATCCTTTCATCTCAACTGCTGTTCCTGCTTCAAGTCCACCATCAGACACAGGTTAGCATTCTTACATAGGTGGCTTCACCAGCTCCCACAATTGTGTCAGGCCCAATTCCACAATAAATCCCTTATTCTGCATCCCTCACAGTGGTCCTTCTTCCCTGATCAAACCCTATCTAATACCACAAGGAGCAAAGGGGAGAGAGACCCCAGTCCTTTCATCATTGGTTTCTCCTGAAGCAGAGGTTCTCAGCCTTTCATCAGAACCACCCAGGGAGCTTTAAAGAAAATACTATGCCTGGAGGCCAGGCGCGGTGGCTCACGCCTGTAATCCCAGCACTTTGGGAGGCTGAAGGGGGCGGATCACGAGGTCAGGAGATCGAGACCCTCCTGGCTAACACGGTGAAACTCCATCTCTACTAAAAATACAAAAAATTAGCCAGGCGTGGTGGCGGGCGCCTGTAGTCCCAGCTACTCAGGAAGCTGAGGCAGGAGAATGGCGTGAACCTGGGAGGTGGAGGTTGCAGTGAGCCGAGATTGCACCACTGCACTCCAGCCTGGGCAACAAAGCGAGACTCCACCTCAAAAAAAAAAGAAGGAAGGAAGGAAAGAGAGAGAAAGAAAGAGAGAGAAGAGAGAGAGAAAGAAAGAAAGAAAATACTATGCCTGGGTCCCACCTTCAGAAGTTCCGATTTAATTGGTCTGCCGTGTGGCCTGGGCAATGTGATCTCTTATAGCTCCCAGGTACTTTAAATGCACCGGCAGAGTTGAGAGCCACTGATCTACAGTCTGGCTGACTCAACTGGTCCTTCCAGGTTCCTACCTTCCCCGGCCTTCTTTGTGCTGGGATATGGGCACCAATCCAGGCTCCCATGGCAACTTTGCATCAGGAGCTCTTGACACCCAGAAGTAGGGGCCACATGGGATCTTCTCATTGGTGGTGGTAGCATCAGCAAGACGGAGTTCCCAGGGCAGCACATTGTGGCAATGGCCACTAGGGTCCATTTCTGGTTATTTAACTCCATTACTTCTGCCATCAATGCTATGAAATTTACCCAGTATCCTCTTAAGTATATATATTTTTCCTGCTTAGATCAGGGGACCCTGAAGATCTATTCCAATGCTGAGAGTCTGGATCTGAGAACCAAATCTCACATCAACTCCCAGAGTGATCTCAAGGGTCTCTAGCCCCTCATGGACCTCAGTTTCCTCATCTGTCAAGAAAAGGGCTGTGTTAGATGAGCTTCAGACCCCTTGTCTTGCCTTAGATTGTCTGAAAACAGGCTCTGAGATGGAGATTTCTGAGCGAGTGGTTTCTGGGGGTGTGCCTTTAGGTCAACACCTATAAGACAATGAGAGAAGCAAGGTTGGGCAGAGAAGGAGTTGAGCTGTGATGCAGTCATAACAGAAGGTCTCCCATGATTCCCTGGGAACCGTTGAACCAGAGATGTCCCCAGTTGAGGCAAGGGGGCCGGTTCTTTGTACCCCCAATAGGTCAATCATTGAATGTGGTCTGCCCCCAGGGAGGGGCTGTGACCTTGTGTGAGGCAGCTTTCCTGGACTGCAGGCAATTCCTGGAGAGAGACACAGCTGAGAGCTGTCAGCAGCCAACACCCAGGCAGCTGAAGGAAGAAGTTCCTCAGTCTTGAAGAGGGGTGTTTTCTGGTATTTTGTCTTGTGGCAAAATACCATAAACTGGGCAGCTCATAGACAACAGAAATTTAGTTTTCAAAGTTCCAGGGGCTGGAAAGCCCAAGATCAAGGCACTGTCAGATTCAGTATCTGGTGAGGGCCCACTTCCTGGTTGATAGAGAGCCATCTTCTCACTGTGACCTCACACGGCAGAGGGATGACAGTGCGCTCAGGGGCCTCTTTTATAAGGCCAGTAATATCATTCATGAGGGCTCCACTCTCAGAACCTACTCATCTCCCAAAGGCCCCACCTCCTAATACCATCACATTGGAGGTTAGAATTTCAACATATAAATTTTGGGAGACACAAATATTCAGTTCATAGCAAAGGGGATCTGAGCAATGAACTTCAGCGGGACTGTACCCTTTTGCTTCAAAGACTCTGTAGTTATAGCTTCAGCTGTAGGGCTATCTGTAGAGAAAGGGGTGAATTTCTTACTCTCTTTGGCTAGACATGGCATCAGACACCCCGGGAGAGTAGCTGGAAGGTTCTGGGAGACCAAGAGCTTGATTAAAGCCTAACAACTCTCCTTAAAACAGCCCTCATCATTAGCAGAGAGAGAGCCATAGGGAGGAGTCTTTACCTCTCCAAAGAGCTTGGGGGAAAATTAAAAGCCACTCCTGGAGGAAGGTGTGGCTTCCAGAAGGAAAGTCTCCCAGGTATAACACTCAACTCCCCAGAGCATGGAAGATGACGGAGCTGCAAGGGACTATGGTCGCCATGGTAATGGTATCTCAGATTCCAACTGAATGTGAGCTCCTGGCTGGGCTGTCAATCACATAGCATCTGCATTTACAGTGGGAACCAGACCCAGCACTGGTCAGGGGTGGAGAGGAGAAGAGACCACTCTGGTGCATGCACACAGCAGGCTCATGAAAGCATTTGTGCTCAGGTGGGTGTCTTTGCTTATATGATTCTTTATAAAGGCATTTGTGCACATGCTTGTGGTCCTAAGCATGCACAGGCTTGGTTTTCCTAAGCATGGAAAACCAAGTCCAATGTATGTGTGTGTTGGTGCTGGGGATGGGGGTCTGAATGCCGGACCCACTGCCCATGGATGTCAGGCAGAGAAGATTACTCCATTTAAGAGGCATGATTTTAGGGCCTCTTCACCCTTCTTCAAAATGTCAACAACTGCCATTGTCCATTCATCATTAGAAAGTCATTTCTTTGGATAAATTTTCTACCTTCAGTGGACTATTTTAAAATGCAAATAGTTGGCTGGGCACAGTGGTTCACACTTGTAATCCCAGCACTTTGGGAGGCTGAGGTGGGCTGATCACCTGAAGTCAAGAGTTCAACACCAGCCAACAGGGTGAAACCCCGTCTCTACTAAAAATACAAAAAATTATCTGGGCATGGTGGCATGCACCTGTAATCTCAGCTACTTGGGAGGCTGAGGCATGACAATCGCTTGAACCTGGGAGGTGGAGGTTGCAGTGAGCTGAGATCACACCACTGCACTCCAGCCTGGGCAACAGAGCGAGACTCTGTCTCAAAAAGAAAAAAAAATGCAAATAAGTGTCAATTACCAATCGACCAAGAATGGATGGGCATCCCCAAAAGATAGGTAAAGAGACACAGAGGAGAGCTGGACCTGCCATGAGAGGGGAGGGCCCTAGCTTAGTGCCTCTCGTATAGTAGCTGCTCAGCATATTGGTATGGACTTATGAATGCGTAAGTATATGAATAAATAGAGAGCTATGGTAGGGGAAGTGCAACCATGAGAGAGAATATTCTGATGGGCAAGTGGAAGGGTTCCTGGGATCAGTTTCAAGTCAATTCAATTCAATGTATTGCATAGCTTCCCTGTTACCAGGTATTGGGTTGGGGTGTAGTGGTGAACAGGGCAGATTGGGTCATGGTCTCTGGAAGCTCAAAGTCCTTTGGGAGTGTGGGTTTATCTTAGTTTGTTTAGGCTGCTATAACAGGATACAATGAATTTGGAAGCTAAAAACAGCAGAAATTTATTTCTTATGGTTCTGGAGGCTGGGAAGTCCAAGATCAAGGTGTCAGCAGGTTTGGTGTTTGGTGAGGGCCTGCTTCCTAGTTCATAGATGGCTGCCTTCTCTCTGTGTCTTTACAAGGCAGAAGGGGTGAGGAGCTCCCTAGGATCTCTTTTATGAGGGCACTAATCCCACTCATGAGGGCTCCACTATTGTGACCTGATCAGCGCCCAAAGGCCCCACCTGCTAATACCATCACATTGAGGGTCAGGATTTCAACAGATGAATTTTGGGGGGACATAAACATCCAGTCTAGCAGGGGTCCTTTGTGGGTTTCCTTGGTGCTGAGCTGAGAGTGCAATTCTTTAGAGATGCTGGGACTCAGCCCAGTCAGGGCTTCTGAAACGTTTGCTGACTTTAGCTAACTGGGCCACCCCAGCCAACCATGAGCCACAGAACCAGGCAAGCTCACTCCAGGGAGAGCAGAGCCCATCTCACTCTTCCTTGATATAAGCTCAGACTGTGGCCTATTGGTCCAGGGCCTTAGTGCTCAAGAGGCATTTGCAAGGGTCTGTGCTCCCATTCCCTGCTTACCCTCTTCTGTCTGCTTCTGATTGCTCGGTCAGGATCTGACATCCTCCCTGGACATTGGTAGGCACTCCTGTCATCTTCTGCTCACTCAGGGCTCCAATCCTCTTCTCTCCTGGGGCCTACTTTTCCACTCAGCCCCATCATCTGTTGGGAAAAGGACCTCTGGATTCTGTGCCTGAGCCTTCTTACTCTGAATTTAGAGGAGACTTGCCCTTCCTAGACTATAATCAGCTCTATTCACTCTAAATCTTCTGCCAAATGGATTAAGGATAGAGAAGGGTGAATTGGCAGGAGGGGGGTTGGGGCAGCCTCCCTTGGCTTAATCTCAAGTTATTAACTTTTCTACTCCATTCTTCTCAGATTCCCACCCATTTCCAGACTCCTTGGAAGTTAAATTCAAGTCAACAGCTGCCAAAGAACTTTCCGTGAGTCGAGGACACTACCAAGCATGGAAGGATTAGAGAGAAGTCCAACCAAGCCCATGACACTTGCCTGGAGGCCACTTCTGTACCAATCATCTCTGTTAGTGACACATCTTCTTTCTTTGGTTTTTGACCTGTCAAGGCCAATCCTCAGAGAATCCTAATGGCTGGAGAATGTACTGGGTTTCTGAAAGACAAGAGTTGGGCTCCAACCAAAGATGAATTGGCTCAACCTGTGGGAGCCATGAACTAGCTTGACGTGAAGCTTCGGGTCAGTGAGGATTGTCTACAGGAGGACTTTGTGACAAGTACACTATTTACCAAGGTAGTGAGGGGAGTGTACAGTCTCCCTGAAGGTTGCCAAGAATTTTAGGTTGTTTCCCAATCTGCAGGCACTGGTGTGTTGTCCCCCAGCTCTGGTCAGCATGTGGCTTCTGCCCAGCAGCTTTAATGTTGTTACATACTGCATATCCCCCGTGCCTTTTGCAAAATGGCTAGCAAGAACACATCCCTGTCTTTCCTCTGTCTGTGGTGAAGCAGAAGTTGGCTGCCATCTACCTCTACCATGTGAACTCATGCTGGTCCTACCACTGATGCTAAGAGAAGTGCTTTGCCCACAGGTAAACAATTCAGAAAGGAGCCAGCCTTTATTGGTTGTAAAATAAAAAATCCTGAATTGCCTTGCCACAAAAATCTGACTAGTATAGAATTAATAAAGTCAGATGATCACAGACTATGAAAGTTCTCAGAGACTTAGAAATCCTCTAACGTAGTCTTACTCTACCACCAAGAATCAGACCAGGGAGATCAAGACCTATGGATATAGGAAAGGCAGAATTTTGGAGCTCCAGTGGCACAATTGGTTATATAGGAAAGGCAGAATTTTTAGGAAGCACTGTGGAAGGGGGAAAATATTTCTGATCCTTTTGTACAACCCTCCTTCCCCAATCCTTCCCCCACTCATCATGCCTTTCCTGGTGCCCAGCAACAAAGGTGTAACATTATCACAGTGAGGAATAGTTTTTGCAGTGCTTTCACAAACATCATCTCATTCCCCTCCCCAAGCACATTGTGAGGTCTGTGCAGTGGGCATTATGAGTCCCATTATACAGATGAGGTTACCCACCAAGGCTCAGAGAGCTTAAAAGACTTTGCTCCAGAGTCGATGCATGTTTCAGTTAGGATTATGCACAGACACTCAAAATAGCTGTGGTTAAAACAACATAAGAGTTTATTTTTCTTTCCCATTGGAGACTGGGGGTAAGCTCTGCTCCACAAAGTTATAGGGACCAAGGATCCATCCATTGCTCTGCCATTACTAGGATGTGGTCCTTGCCTTCATGATCCAAGATAGCAGCTAGAACTCCAGCCATCACATTTTCATTCCAGGCAGCATAATGAAAGAATGGGTGGATGATAAAAAGAGGGAAGAAAAGCCTGCCCTTTCCCTTTAAGGACACTTGCTGAAAGTTGCACTCACCATTTCTACCCTGCCTCCAGAATTTAGTCACATGGCCACACCTAATTGCAAGGAAGGCTAGGAAATATGGTCTTTATTCCAGATGATCATGTGCCCAAGTAAAAATTCGAGGCTCCATTTCTGTGAAAAGAGGGACACCATATATTGGGAAAAACTAGTCATTTCTGCTACAGTGATTTTGCCATCGAGGGAGGAATCAGCTTTTAAATCTAGTTTATCTTTTCTTTCTTTTCTCTTCTTTTTTTTTTTTTTTTATAGAGACAGGGTCTCACTATGTTGCCCAGGCTGGTCTTGAACTGGCGTCAACCAATCCTCCTGCCTCAGCCTCCCAAAGTGCTGAGACTATAGGCGTGAGCCACCGCACCCAGCCTAAATCTAGTTTTTCTGACTCCAAATCCTCCCTTCTTTACCCTCCATGTCATGTGTGTCATGTGGCATTTCTTTTTTCTTTTTTTTTTTTTTTTTGAGACGGAGTCTCTCTCTGTCGCCCAGGCTGGAGTGGAGTGGCGCCATCTTGGCTCACTGCAAGCTCCACCTCCCGGGTTCACACCATTCTCCTGCCTCAGCCTCCTGAGTAGCTGGGACTACAGGCGCCCGCCACCACGCCCGGCTAATTTTTTGTATTTTTAGTAGAGATGGGGTTTCACCATGCTAGCCAGGATGGTCTCAATCTCCTGACCTCGTGAGCTGCCCACCTTAGCCTTCATGTGGCATTTCTTATGTATAATTTGATTCACAGAAGTATAGAATTTTGTCACTGGGAAGGACTTTGGGAGTTCTCCTGTCATCTGCTGGTTGGATGCCTGAATTAGCTCTAAAACCTACTAGACTAATGCCCATTGCCTTTCTCAAACATCTTGTAGGCCAGCCCATTTGGAAGCAGCTCCAGCTGTTAACAAAGATCTTTCTGTGACTGGTCCCAAACCAGCTTCCCTGGCCTCTCTGACCATTGGTCCTCACCGTGTCTTTTAGTACCTCTCAGAGCAGAAAGCATCTGCTCTTCTCTTCACTCCTCTCAAAGCAGCCCTTCAGATGTTTGAAGATGACCTTTCTGTTCCCTGAGCCATTTCTTCTCCAGGCTAAATGTTCCATATTCCGCCAACCAGTCCTGGACATCTCCTTCTGGACATCGTCCCAGTGATTTGTAGCTTCCACACTAGGACACACTAGCTAAGAAGAGAGGAGTCTTCCTGAAGACTAAGCAGCAGGGTACTCAACCTTCAACCCTTTCAGCAAGAGGGACTTATGTGCAGTGAATGCAGAGACTATTCACAGGAGCAAGGTCTCCGCTCCCACTCTAAATCCTCTGCAAAATGCATAGAGGGGGCAGGACCAGAAGAGACAACCCTGGGATGATGTCTTTGACATCTAGGATGCTCTTTCAAGGCTTCTTTAGTCTTTGGGATTCTAAGCCTTGCAGTAAAAGCACAGGCCCAGGGAAAGCTATCTGGATGCTCATATAAGTTAAGATCAAATTTGGCCACAAGTAACAGAAAACCTAACCAACAAGAAATTCAGGTTGGTGTCAATTTAGCCTTGTCATTAAAGACCCAGACTCCTTCTATTTCCTTGATCTTCCATCCTCAACATGGGGCTTTTATCCTCATGGCTGCAAGAAAGCTGCTGCACTTCTAGGCATTGCAACTGCATTTCAGGAAGGAAGACAGAGGAGTGCAGAAGACAAAGGGTGGTGTTTATTTGCTTGTTTGTTTTTTGAGACAGAGTCTCACTCTGTCACTCAGGCTGCAGTGCAGTGGCATGATCTCAACTCACTGCAACCTCCGCCTCCCAGGTTCAAGCAGTTCTACTGTCTCAGCCTCCTGAGTAGCTGGCACTACAGGCATATGCCACTACGCCCGGCTAATTTTTGTATTTTTAGTAGAGATGGGGTTTTGCCATGTTGGCCAGGCTGGTCTTGAACTCCTGACCTCAGGTGATCCACCCACCTCGACCTCTCAAAGTGCTGGGATTACAGGCGTGAGCCACGGCACCCTGCGGACAAAGGGTATTTTAAAAGAGAAATGTTCTCTTTTACCTGGAAGCCCCAAACTTGTGAGTTTCGTTTATAGATCATTGACCAGAACTGAGACACATGTGTCCTCTGCCCAGCTGCATGGGAGTCTAGGAAGAGGAGCATTTTAACTTTCCAGTTTCTATGGTAGAAGACAAAGGAAAAGAGGACTGTGAATGGTTTAGGGGTGGCCATTCCAGTGTGTGCCATAATGTTCTTCTGCAAAATAAAGGAATTAGACTCAATAGTTTCTCAATTCCTTTCCGGATGACATTGTGTGGGAGTGGACTGGTGAGAAGCTGCATGAGCTAATGGAAAAAACACCTGAGGCCGGGCGTGGTGGCTCATGCCTGTAATCCTAGCACTTTGGGAGGCCAAGGCGGGCGGATCACCTGAGGTCAGGAGTTTGAAACCGGCCTGGCCAACATGGCAAAACCCCATCTCTACTAAAAATACAAAATTAGCCGGGCGTGGCGGCAGGCGCCTGTAGTCCCAGCTACTCAGGAGGCTGAGGCAGGAGAATCGCCTGCACCCGTGAGGCAGAGGTTGCAGTGAGCCGAGGTCACACCAATGCACTCCAGCCTGGGCGAGAAGAGTGAAACTCCGTCTCAAAAAACAAACAAACAAACAAAAAACACTTGAAGTCGGTTTTGTTACTGTAAAGCCTGGAGTTTGAATCCTGGCTCTGCCATAACAAGCCCTGTGACCTTAGATAAGTCACTTAACATCCCTGAGCTCCATTTGCTTTATGTATAAAATGAGGATAATAATATTCACCTCTCAACGATGCTGTGAAGATTGGGGTCATATGTCAAGTTCCTAGCACAGAGATGGGCGCACATACTACTCACTCCTCAAAATGACAGCTGAGTCACAATGCTGGCTGATACGTCTCAGCTTTCTATGGGCGACCAGGATGCTGCTCAAGCTTTACCCAGGGCCAAGAGCTCCCTCCTCTCTCCCTCTCCCCCTACTTCCCCTGCTTGCAACCACCAATGGTGACCAGTAATGATCCAGATCATATCCAGACCTCTAAGGTAGCAAACTAATTGGTCCTGGTGGAGATAACTTGGACCACCCAGGCAGGCAGCTCAGCATGGATAGAGGCCACCTCAGTGGATGTTAAACATTAACAAAATCGTAGAGTGGAAATGCTGGCAACGCTTTAATCAGAGCAGGGCTGGCGGGTGTTGAGACCATGCAGATGAAGTGCGGCTCAGAGCTTGAGGGGCTATAGCTTAGGTGGCACCGGAGGTGGTACCCTGAGCCTGCCCTGAGCCAAGAAACGCCTCCATGCAAGGCCAGGGTGTCCTCTCTGGGGAGGAAGCCCCACGTGCTTGAAGGTTTCTTAAAATAGAGCCAAAAGGGTTTCTGCTGCCAGCGCTAAGGAGCTGAGGGCTTTTCCCTCTCCCGCTGAAGGTTGTAATTCTCCTGCCATGATTCGGGTTCCCCTTGCCAGGACTGCTTAGCATTACTGGCTGATCTGAAGGAGGCTTGGGGCCTTTGATGACACTGCCTGATGACTCAGAACTGAACGCAGCTTGGAAGCGCTAACTGAGCAGATTGTTCAGGGCAAGCTGGGGCTGTCTTCTGCCTTCTGAAGATCTATGGTTTGGGCCCTGTTATTGGCTAAATCATGTCCCCCACCACAATTCAGATGTTCAAGTCCTATGCCCTGGGATCTCAGAATGTGACTGTATTTGGAGACAGGACCCTTAAAGATGTGATTAAATTAAAATGAGGTCTTTATACTGGACCCTGATCCACTATGTCTGGTGTCCTTATAAGAATAGGAGGCCAGGCACGGTGGCTCACGCCTGTAATCCCACCACTTTCGGAGGCTGAGGCTGCAGGATTGCTTGAGGCCAGGAGTTCAAGACCAGTCTGGGCAACATAGCAAGATCTTGTCTCTACAAAAAATTTAAAAATTAGCCGGGCATGATCGTGTGCTTCTAGAGTCCCAGCTACTCGGAAGGCTGAGGCAGGGAGTTGGAGACTGCAGTCTTAAAAAACAAAACAAAAACTAAAGCGAAAACAAAAACAAAAGAAAGAGGAGATGAGGACACAGACGTACACAAAGGAAAGACCATGTGAAGACACAATGATAAGAAGGCCACATGCAGGCCAAGGTCAGAGGCCTCAGAAGGAACCAACCCTGTGACACCTCAATCTAGGATTTCCAGCCATAAGAACTGTGAGAAGATAAATTTCTGTTGTTTAAGCTTCCCAGTGTGTGGTACCTCGTTGCAGCAGCCCTCATAGTCTAATACAGGCTTTTACAACTCCGTTCTGTGCTTTGACCCTGAAAAAAGAAGAAGATGAAGGAGAGGATACTAGTTTGAAGTGATTGGCACTGATCTGTCTTCTCACACCTATAAACTGCTATATGCCTGGTATCTATTATGATCAGGATATATTTATAATAGACCACAGGAGCCGATTGTGGCTAATAGTGGTGAAACTGTCCTCACAAGGTTGACAAAAATTGCATGCCGGGTTCTGGACAGAAATATAGTTATCATTAAGCATCAGTTAGACTGCACTCTGGCCCACTTCCTTGTTGCTAAAAGTCCTGCAGCACTAGATACTGACCATTTGTCCTGTAGATAGGATTTCTGACTGTTTAAGAGTTGATTTGCATTCCCATCATTCCTACAGACAGGATCTCTGACATTAGAATCATAAGGTTTTTGTTTAAGGATGACTTACGATGGTTTTCAGACCTTGAATTCCCGCAACCAGTTTGAAGACCCCCACAGAGGAACAAGATCAGCACGAGAACAGAGTTTCTTCACCTTCTGGTCCCATGACTTCACTCTGCACTCTTCCACCAATCAACCGTCTCCACACTTTGGCCCACTCCAAAACCCTTAAGAATTCTAACCCCCAATTCCACAGGGAGATGGATTTGAGCTTCCCTTCCATCTCCTCATTCAGCAACCCTACAATTAAGCCTCTTTCGCTGTTGCAACCCGGTGTTTCAGAGCACTGACTTGCTGTGTGCATCGGGCAATGAACTTATTATGGTTACAACAGCATCTGAAGACTAAACATTTTGGGGGACTCTCTTTTTAAAAATGAATACAAAATTACAAATACAAAACCTGCTATGAAGGTGAACGTTTAAATGAGAAAAGAAATGACAATTATGAAATTTAAAAGCTCACAAAGACTTCAAACTTCACAAAATCCAGAAAAATATCTAGTGTTTTTACTAATTAATTGTCTGAAACACTTTTGTGATTCCTTTTTCTACTCTGGTGGGCTGTGCCGCTTTGATCGCCTTTTCATGTGATAACAATTTTAAAACATTGTTTTCTATAGAGACAATAGAAAGATCAGTCTTTCCTCCAGTGTGCTTGATCTCCTTTTTATAAAATTATTGATAGTGTTGTAAAGTTTCTTTCAGATTCACTAGTTGTCATTGGTAATTAGCTTCCATTGTGATGTATTAAGAGAGTGACATTTTGAAGTAACTGTGGGTCTCCTTCTACTTTACATTTTTGACTACTACTGAGATACTTCTACCTTCCTATCCTATTTGAATTTTGGTATGATGAGTAATTCTTATGTGTGTGTGTGTGTGTGTGTGTGTGTGTGTGAAATTAGCATGAAATTAAGGTGCATATATTGTGCTGCAGTGCTGCATAATTGAATAATAAAATAAAAATTACTCTTATGCTACATGCATTGATGTGTTGATAAGCCTGTGTAGTTTTGACACTAGAGCACTTGTTTCTTCAGGCTGTTTTGCAGCAACATTAGCAATTTTGCATTCCCTTTTTCCTTCTGGATTCACTGGACTCTGTCAGGACAAGATGCGTCAGATATGCTAAAATGCGATCTGAAACACTGGATGGATAAAACTTGCCACTTTTCAAACAGATGCCACTTGTGTTTGTAGGACTGTTACAGTTTCGTGCCCTATGAAACACATGAATTTTGATAAATCCTTTTTTGTGCAAGTCCCATCAGAAAAGAAATAAAAATATATGGTGTGTTATTAATTGCATACACTGCATTATTGAGTCTATTCCTGACAGAAGCAAATTTCCATTTTGACTAGGAAGATTTTCCACAGATTAGCTCCTGGCTCCGTACATTTCAGGCTTTGTTTCTTCTGCTACCTACATATTTTTAGGGGCTGGGTGCCATAAGACACCATGGAAGACTGTATTTTCCAAAATGGTCACGATCAGACCTTCCATCTCACATGCTCTTCTTATAGTGGGATATTGGTATCCCTCTCATTGAGGAGTGGGGCCTGTCTTCCTTCCCCTTATCTGAGTGGGTCTGTGATTACCTCAGAAGTGACACTATGTGACTTCCAAGGTGGTCATAAAAGGCAAGACAGCTTCCACTTGGCCCTCTTGGGACAATCACCCTTAGAACCCAGCCGCCATGCCCAGGCCCCACGGAAAGGCCACAGCCAGCTAGCTGAGGTCTCAGCTCACAGCCAGCATCAACCACCAGATACATGAACTCGGAGCCTTCAGATGATTCCAGCCCCCAGCCTTTGAGCCACCCCAGATGATGCCATGTGAAACCATGAGAAGCTGTCCCTGCAAAGCCCTGCCTATTACAGATTTGTGAACAAAACAAATGACTGTTGTCATTTGAAGCCACTGAGTTCTAGAATGACTTGCTATGTCGCAAGAGATACGCAGGACAGACACATTTATGTTATGAAACAACCTTTGGCACGCACCTTCAAGTCACAATAGTGGGCAAGTCAGCCCAGAGGCAGTAGGAGAATTCCTGAAGGCTATTTCTGCACTGCAATGTGTGATGGTTAGCATCAATTTTACATGGAAGTGGTTGCAAACCCCTAAACAAAAACTAATTGTATCCTCACTTTCATTTCCCCTTAGCCAGAACCCAAATATGCCTGCAGCTGCTCTTGCACCATCTGACCCAATGGGAGGTGTGTTAGAGGGGAAGTTAAACTGGAAACAGATGGTGGTCTGTACAAAACCTTACTACCCCTGAGCCAAGCTTGGAAGGGGCCAGTGTAAGTAAGGGACCTGAAGCTTAAGCTTTATTAGGTTCGCAGTAAATCCACTTCTGTAGCCAATATTTACTGAATGCTTACAAGTGCTATGTCCTGAGCTAAGCTCTTTACATGAACAGTCATATGTTTTTAGATTATGACCCTCTGGGTAGGTATTATTCTTATCCCTATTCTACAGATGAGAAAAGAGAAGCCCAATATAGGTTTCTGTTAAATCATGAATAATCCAATACATTTGGCATGTATTTATTGGGCACTTGATTTTAAAACCAATAACTATTTGTGTATTATCTTAATTGTACAAAGGATATGCAAATTCATTATGGATGTTATACTTACAACAACACTCCAGGCACAAATCTTTTCCTTTTGTTTTTTTAAGAGATGGTGTCTTGCTCCGTCACCCAGGCTGGAGGGAGTGGCACAGTCATAGAACTCCCGGGCTCAAGGTGATCCTCCCGCCTCAGCCTCCCAAGTAGCTGGGACCACAGAATTGCCTAGCTAATTTTTAAATTTTTTGTAGAGATCGGGGCTGGGAGGGTGTCTCACTGTGTTGCCCAGGCTGGTCTCGAACTCCTGGGCTCAAGGGATCCTCCCACCTCAGCCTCCCAAAGTGCTGGAATTACAGGCGTGAGCCACCACACCTGACCAGGCACAAATGTTATGTCCATTTTGTAGAGATGCAAACTGAGGCGAGGCACTGAATGGAGCTGTGATGAAGACCAAGATGCATTCCTCAATCTTGGGAGTCTGACTGCCTCAAAAAGCTAAGAAATGCTTTTAATTTGGACAAAATAACCAAAGACACTGGAGATGTTAGTGTCACATGAGGGAGGAGCCCTGGAGCACTGTGGGTTGGGCAAACAGGCCTTGAGGTAGAGTCTAAGAAGTGGCCCTCCACTCATTTGAAATTTGAGTATCGCCTTAACATTTCACCTAGTAAGGATGTATTTCCTCTTCTGGAGGACTAATGTGGCCTCTTCGGGTAAAATCATGGATAATTAACAAACATTTACTGAGGGCCTTTTGGGTATAAGACGCAGAGCTAGATTCTAGTCTTATCTTTGAAGAGCTTTAAGTCCTGCTGAGAAGAAAAACCAAGTAACAATAATAATGTTAACCACCACTCCAATTCTTTGAGAATCAGTCACCCTGCTAGGCATTTTCCCCCTACATTATATGTTCAAGCCTCAAAACAATCTTGAGGAGATGAGCATTATTATTCTCCTTTTTAACAAGAGAGAACTGAGGGCTGTGAGTTGCCCCAAGTCCACAGTTAATAGTTAGCAGAATTGGGATTTGAAGCAAAGACTTGCTGTTTCCCTGTCCATATGCCTTTCACTCTGGTTAACGCTATAGAGTTATAATCTAGAAAAGGTCCAAGAGATGTCATGGGAAGCCAGAGTGGAAAAAGCAGGAAGGCATACAGTTGGGAGTCAGAGACATTTCCACAGAGAAGGAATAACCTCAAACACAGAAGGTGGGGCCAATTTATCTGGGCAGAGAGATGTAGAGAGGACATTTGGGGGAGTAGCATGAACAAAGTCAGAGATTGACAGGACATTGGGGTGGTGCACAAGAGGGGGCTTGAGCAGAGGGTGTATAGCAATGATGAGAGATGATTTATTCCTATGCATGTGATGGTTTTTTAAATACTATTATACAATGATGTGTTTTTATTTTCCAATTTTTTCTGTTGCTAATATATAAAAAATGCAATTGGTTTTTGTATATTCACCATGTATCCCATTACTTTGCTAAATTCATCCATCAGTTCCAGTGGTTTGTTTGTAGATTTCCTTGAATTCTTAATATATATGATTGTATCAGCTGAGGACAATGACAGTTTTATTTCTTTCTTTCCAATTTTTGTTTGTTTCTTTTTCTTGTTTTATTGCACTGGCAAAGACCTCTAGTACAATGCTGAATAGAAGTGATGAGAATGGAGATCTTTGTCTTATTCCTAATCTTAGAGTGAAAGCAGTCTTTTATGATATAAGCTGTAGGTTTTTTGGTAGATACCTTTTATCATATTGAAAAAGTTCTCTTTCATTTCTAGTTTGCTGAGAGGCTCTATCCTGAGTTAGCCAAATCTTAAAATTTATAGCCTGTTCCCAGTTGTGCTGTGGGGATTAAGGAGGGTGGTAACTTTTTATTCATCTGTGGAGTATTTATTGACCTGGGTCAATGTTCTCATTTGGGAGACTGGGGAAACAGACAGGAATAGTCATCAGCAGAATATGGCCATGCCCAGTGGAGTGTAGACCTCCCAGGGTCAGTAGCAAACAGAGAGCTGCATGGTGACTAGACAGGGCAGAGCAGAGGGACCATAGAGATTGGTTCCAGGACACAGGTAAGGCAGTACCATAGGGAAGTCTAGAAACAATTGGGGGATGTGGGAAATGGGGATGCTTCTTCCAGCAAGAAGGCCAATGGGGGCTCACCATGATCACTGGGTTTAAAAACCAAGTGTAATTATATTACAATTTAACTGGGTAGAGGAAGCAGTAGTTCATTCTACTTTGGGATGTGAGAGAACTTTTTTTTAAAAAAATTAAATTTTAAAACATAGAAGAAAGTTGAAAGAATAGTGCAAGGAAACCTGATCACCTTCCCCACCTACTATGGTTTGCATGTTTGTCTCTTCCAACACTCATGTTGAAATTTAATTGCCTTTGTAATAGTATTAAGAGGTGAGACACTTAAGAGGTAATTAGGCCATGAGGGCTTCACTGTCATGGTTGAGATTGGTGCCATGTTCAGGCTCTCTCTTGCCTACCCTTTGCTCTTCCACTCTTCTGCCACATGAGGAACAATGTTCCTCCCCTCTCCTTTGGAGGATGCAGTGTTCATGGTGTCACCTTGGAAACGGAGACAGGACCCTTCCCAGACACTAAACCTGACAGTGCCTTGATCTTGGACTTCCCAGCCTCCAGAACTGTGAGAAATACATTTAAATTGTTTATAAATTACTCAGTTTGTGGTATTATGTTATAGAAGCACAAAATAGACTAAGATACCATCCTACTCCATATTCAACAACTGCTAACATTTTGCCACATTTGCCCTATCTCTTTGTATTAGGTTGAGTCAGATGAATTGCCTTTTTTGTTTGTCAAAAATGTTTGAATATCAGAAATTTCACATGGATTAACCTAACATATAAATACTTTGTTTTTGCCAAATCACTTGAAAGTTGCCGCTATCGCTATACTCCACCCCTAAATACTTCTACATACACCTACTAAGAAGAGGAATATTTTCCTGCAAAACCACAATACCATTTTCACATTAAGAAAGTTAATACTACCTCATACATGTGGTAGCCAGTCTCCAAGGTGGCTCCCAGTGGTCCTCGCCTCTTGGTATTCATACCCTTGTGGATTCCATTCCTACAGTGAATAAGGCTGAGCTGGGTAACTAATAGGATACTAAGGAAAGTGATGGAGTGTGATTCCTGAGGCTAGGCCATAAGAGACATTGTGGTTTCTTCCTTGCTTTCTTGGCTCTCTCACTCTGGGAAAGCCAGCTGCCATATTGTGAGGGTACTCAAGTAGCCTATAAAGAGGCCCATGTGGCAATAAAAAACTGAGGCCTCCTGCCAACAGTCAGAACCAACTTGCCAGTCATGTGAGAGAGCCATCTGGAAGCAGATCCTCCAGCCCCAGTTGAGCTTTTGGATGGCTGCAGCCCCAGCCTACATCTTAACTGCAACCTTATGGAAGACCCTAAGCCAGAACCACCCAGTCAATCTGCTCCTGGGTTCCTGATCCATGGAAACTGGATGATTTAATAAATTGTTGTTGTTTTCAGCCACTGAGTATTGGGGTAACTAGTTACTTAGTAATAGGTAGCAATTCAATAGCTAATACATCATCTAACATCTAATTCACATTCAGATTTCCCCAATTATCTCCAAAAGTGTCTTGGAGGTTTGGGGGAGATTTTTAGTTTTGTCGGGGTGTGGCAATCAAGGTTCACACACTGCACTTTGTTACTATGTCTCTATAGTCTTAGTGTCTGGGGTGCGGAGTACTTGTATGAGTGAAGGAAAAGTAGAACTGACCCACATGTGTTAGGAACACCAATGTACCAATGTAACGTAGGATTAAATAACTTGCCCCACATCATACAATGGTAAGTGGTGGAGCTAGGATTTGAACCCCAGCTGTCTGGCTCCAGAGCCCATGCTTTTAACCACTACACCATTCTATCCAAGCCATAGAAATATTTGCTACAGCCTTTTGAAAGAGGTCTAGAATGGTTCAGAAACAAGATTGAAAAGGGATAGAAAACACAAATCCTGTAAGAACCATTAAAAGGAATTCTACTTTATAATGTGGAGGAATTGTGGGGAGAGTAGTTAACCATCTCATTGTGTATATAAAACAAAAAATGTTGATTGGTTTCTCTTCATCTCTGTAAGGGACATAGCTCTATCAGAGGAAACACTGCTCAGCCACATCTACACAGTCTGTTCATGGTGAGGATGAGGAGCCACATAGCGCTGGGACAGGAAAGCTGTCTGGGTAGGATGATTAAAGTCTCATGTCCTGGCAGTAGAAAACTGAACTCTATAATCTCTTGGGGTTCTACTGAACCAAAGGATTTCATAAGCTTTTGTGGCCACTTGTGACTCATTGCTCCCCTTCTATCTTCCTCTAGCAGGCGCTGTTGGTAACCCACCTACCAACACCGCCTCCAGCGCTCATCTCTATACTCTGACAGCTGTGCTGTCCAATAGCATTTTCTGTGATGATGAAAGTGTTTTGTGTCTGTGCTGTCAAATATGGTAGCCACTAGCCACATGTGGGTATTGAGTGCTTGAGATGCGGCCAGTAGAGTGAGGAACTGAATTTTAAATTTTATTTAATTTAAATTAATTTAAATTCAAATAGCCACATGTGCTAGTGGCTACCTATTGGACAACACAGAACTTCTGAAGGGTGTTTACTGTGAGCACCTGCAACTGTTTGCCTGAGGGCTTTTTTTCTGGCCCAGGGAGCATCCCTGCCCCCAGACTTGGGCAATTTGGTGAGTTAAAGAGCCTCCTCCTAGCAGCCTCCCCCAATCAACAAACTGATAAGGCGGCTCGCTTGACTGGGGTCACTCTGAGACAGCTTCACTGGGTCCTAGAGTTCTCCCCGTGGGACCAAGCCCCAGTTGCCAACAGTGGTAAATGACTTGATATTAATGACCTTGTGTTGGTGGTGGTACCCTTCTGTGCTCCCTCCCAAGTGAACTACCTACACTTGAATCTCTCAGGGTCTGCTTCTGCAAGAACCCAAACTAAGACAGGACTGCCCTCAGCTAAGCCCAAATGAAAGAAACAAATGCCCAAGGCATTTGTACCTCTATTTACATACACGGGAAACATGATCGGATCTTCCTTTGCTTTTATTCTCCTTGGAATAGAACTGACATGCAACTCTGCCTTGATGGTGACAACTGCTGGGTACAACTCCATTTGCCTTGAGGACCCCAGGCTGGAAGGAAGCCCAGGATTTGACTGGACCCAACAGAGTCCCTCTGCTCCCTGCCAGGAGAACATGGATTCTGAGAGTGTAGGCGGAGCCTCAGTTTCCAGGTTGGGTTTTATCTTCAAGGTCAAAGTGAGGCTTGCTGAGGAGGCAAGCTCTCTGGGGAGGGTAAGAGCAAAGCTGTGTGGAGTCAGTCTATTGGGAAGGGTGGCTGGCCTAGGTTTGCATTTTATTTTTAAACCTTTTCCCTCAACATGTCCTGTATCAAGGAGTGACTCAGCCATGAGAGGAACATGTTTGAAAACTTTCAAATCAAATAAGCCTCCTTTATTCTGTCTCAGCATCTCTCTCCCCACCTGACCCCATCACTTCATTGACTTCCCTCATGTAATAATGGGCAGTGGGCTCCCAGTAGCCCTCTTGCAAGTAACCATGCCTATTCACATCTGTCTCAGGAATCCTGAGGTCAGAGATCTTTTCTTGTTTTTTCTCTTCTTTTAGAGATGGGGTTTTGCTTTGTCACCCAGGCTGGAGTGCAGTGAGTGGCACTATCACGGTTCACTGCAGCCTTCATCTCCCTGGCTCAAGCTATCCTCCCACCTCATCCTCTAAAGTAGCTGGGACTAGCAGCGCACACCACTATGCCCAGCCAATCTTTTAAAATTTTTTGTAGAGATGGGGTCTCATTTTATTGTCCAAGCTGGTTTTGAACTCCAGGGCTTAGCTGATCCTCCCGCCTC
The DNA here is from genome assembly GCF_000001405.40 of Homo sapiens. Classification (NCBI taxonomy): domain Eukaryota; kingdom Metazoa; phylum Chordata; class Mammalia; order Primates; family Hominidae; genus Homo; species Homo sapiens. Next base: position 40,413,079 of record NC_000023.11, read on the forward strand.
AGCCTCCCAAAGCTCTGGGATTACAAGCATGAGCCACTGTGCCTTGAAAATAGGGCTTGTCCCTTCCTTCCACTATATACAGATATGCACCCTGAATGAAAGCATTTCTTGGACTTAAGTGTTTATTGCCCTGTATTGTACCCCTTGTGAAGAGAGTTTCTTATAAAACTTTGTTGTGATACACCACTCCCCCTTGCTTTCTTGTAGTTTATTTTTTCTAGACAGTTCAGCCAATGGGCTGGAGCTAATAAAAGTGATGGTTTTTTTCTAAAGGATCAGGGCAGTCTGTCAGACAGGACTGAGTGACCTTGGAGAGATTTCCTCTGCCGCTTCACCCAGAGTGTGTGCAGTTCTGGGGACCCAGTGATTACCTGAGGGTGGAGGTTGAGAGAGAGCTTCTTTCTCTGACAGAGGGGCCCCCATCCCTCTGGCTAAAGAGCTGACTGACCCACCGCAGAACACACTGCCAGGGCTGAACGTGGAAAATTTGGAGCTGGTGTAATTGCTTATGTAGTTTTAATTGCTCATTCATCATGCTAACAGGCCCAGAGTGCTGATCGTTTGCAACGTGCTCAGTAATTAAAAGACCAGGGGTGACGTAGGGTAATGGGGAGTGGAGGAGTAAAATGAGGTGACCAAAAGCCAAACCGTATAGCACAGGAGGAAAATGGGGAGATGGCAGCCTGTCTCCTTCCTGACACCAAATGAAGCGTTTTCCACACTAGCATTTCACGATTGTTGGTTTTAACCAGGAACAACATTGCTCTCAGCTTCCTAGGAAGAGAACCGGTCCCTTGACAGCCCTTTTCAGTTTGCAAAGCACTTTCGCCCACAACGTTCCATTTACTCCTAGGTGGTCCAGGGAGTTCCACATGCTTTGGGGCCCACAGTTTTCAGGTGAGGAAAAAGAGGCTCTGTAAGGTCATTTGCCCAAGATTATTAGCAACTGACCACTGGTGGAGTTGACACACAAACTCACCTCTTCTTTAGGGACAGCGAAATATGGGGTTTTCTCTTGGTTTTATCAACATTGCCACAGTAGTTGGATTCTGGAGTGAATACCCAATGGTCTGGGAGGATTTACAATAAAATGTCTATTCCTAGACCCCACAGCAGGTGTCTTGATTTGGGTTCCTTCCCCCAGAAGCAGATCCTGAGTCAAGGATTTGAGTACAAAAAGGTTTATTTAGAAGGCGAAGGAAATGCTGGAAGGGTTGGGGGAAATGAGACACGGAAGGGAAGGCAGAAAATAGACGGCACATTATCCAGCAAGTTACCTCTGTAGGCAATAGGAGCTTAATCTCATTGGGAATCTCTAGGAGACAGAACAGAACATGCCTCACAGTGATCTCACCTGCAGGGTGAGGGAGCTGCGGTATTTACATTCTAGGGAGGTGGGGTTCTTAATTCTCTGTCACTGTCACTTTCAGCCTTCCCTGCAGGGCAGAGCAGGCTCCAGCACCCCCTCCCCAAAAGTCCTCAGGCAAAAGAGATGCAGATTCTGGCATTTGTAGGTTTGGCTGGTGCGGAAGGCCCCCAGGGATCCAGACAGGATGGAGACAGTGTCTCTACAGCAGGCATCTGCCATACTGCCTTAAGGGAGGCTCCTGAGTGCCCCTGTCCGCAACCAACTGTGATATTCATCTGCCTTCACTGGTGGCTCAACTGCTTCTTGAACAATTCGCAAGTTGAAATAGTGTTCCCCTAGGGGAGTTTTCTGTGCATTTATTTTCCTTCTCGTGTCTTCTTACCCTCCCACTAAAGGGGAAGATCCCCTCGCCCCAAAAGCCAAAGAGGAGTTAGTGACTGTTACTGCGAAGAAGGCAGTGGGTAAGGAGGGATGCTAAGGACAACTGGAAATCTGTGATGTGTGCCATTCATTTCATCCACAATTCAGAGAGCATTGTTCTTGTTCCCGGTAAAAGACACAAATAGATGATGTTGACATGTACAGCCTCCTCCAGAAAGTGGGCCCAGGATTCTGCCCAACTCCTGGCTTGATGACTGTATTTCTACAACTTTCTCTTCCACTCAAGAAAGTGCATCAGAAGGCAAACGAGTGTGAGCCATGTTATGATAGGGATAACTTTGAATGTATTCTAATTTATTTAGGCAAATAAATTGAGATTTTTGTATTTTATTGATCATAACAAATTTTGGGGGAGGCAACTTAGCTGATGCGGACACAGTTGTTGAGAACTACTATTCTATACCATCAAAAGGAAATGTGTTTGCTTGTTGTGCATCAAGGGCAAAAAACTCCCTGGAAATAGCTTATGTGCATGCATGGCTGGCTTTCCATCTGTTGATCAATAAATCAATCAACAAATATTGATTGTCTACCTTGTGCAAGGTATCGTGGGGATTTATTGTAAATATAAACATAGTCCCTACCTCAAAAGAGCTCATAGTCTAACTGGGGGTGAGATCTGTAGACATAAAAAGGTAATTTATAACATAAAGCAGCATATAAATGCTGAATGAATGGTGTACATTGATTGGCTTAGGGAGAAATCAACGAAGGCTTCTTGAAGGAAGGGTGATTTGAGCTGGGTTTTGAAGAATAGGTAGGCGTTACACAAAAGAGAAAAACAGAAGGTGTTGTAGGCAAAAGCAGCAGTGCCAAGGAAGAAACACTCCCGGCCTGTTTAGGGCCTATGAGGAGATTTGCCTGGCTACAGTGGGGTGCATGGATGGGACAGGCACTGCCCAAACAGACTGAGTCACCCTATTCAAAGAACCACCCAGTCCTCAGCATTGGAAGTTGGTCGCTTTCCACCCAATGGGAGACAGGTGCCTCCGGCATGTTTATCTGTGTTCGGCAAAGCAGACAGTTTCCAGCCAGGGTCTGTGGAGCTGGCAAGGGTCCCAGGGCCTCCCTGAGCCATGCTACTTAGCTCTGCCAGGGAGGCCTGGCCTCTACTGGCATCTCTGGAACCTGTAAGCCTTAAGCAACTGCAATTCTCTTTGCATCAGGGATATGCAGAAGGGTCAGGTGGGGATAACCTGCCCCCTTGTCCCACACCCCTCCCCGGGCCATGTGGGAGGAGGGCTGCCAGATTTAGCAAATAAAAATACAGCTATATTTGAACCTCAGATAAACAGCAATTAATTTTGTTAGTATAAGTATATCCTGGCCAGGTGTGGTGGCTCACACCTGTAATCCAGCACTATGGGAGGCCGAGGCGGGCCGATCACCTGAGGTCAGGAGATCGAGACCAGCCTGGCTAACATGGCAAAATCCTGTCTCTACTAAAAATACAAAAATTAGCCGGGCATGGTGGCATACACCAGTGATCCCAGCTACTCGGGAGGCTAGGCAGGAGAATCACTTGAACCCAAGAGGTGGAGGTTGCAGTGAGCAAAGATGGTGCCACTGCACTCCAGCCTGGGCGACAGAGTGAGACTCCATCTCAAAAAAAAAAAAAAAGTATATCCCATGCAGTATTTGGAACATAACTTACACTTAGAAATTACTTCTTGTTTATCTAAAATTCTAATGTATCCTGTATATTATCTGGTACCCCTATATGGGAGGGCTTATGACAAATGCATGGCCAAGCAGAATACTCCATGCTCTGGGTATCAGTGGCTAGTTCTGGATTGAGCATGTGACCCAGGGAAACCCTGTCCCCCAAACACACACTTTGACTTTTGTTGGTGTTGCCAGAACTGAAACCTCACAAGCTGTCAGGATGAAGGAAATCTTACAGTCATGGGAGGCCTCCCCCAGGGAGGTGCCTGTCTGACAACGGAGTTCACACAGAAGGAAGTAGAGCTGAGAGAGAAAAAAGATGCCTCAAGACTTTGCTTGATCAGCTTCATCCCTTGAACTTTGAGAATATAGGAGCCAATAGAGTCCCTTTTGAGCCCATGCAGTTTGAGTTGGGAACTCACAACTGGCTCAGAGTTCTTGCCAAATCTGTGGGGCAACATCCCTTCAGGCCCACAGGAACCAAACCTGACTAAATTCAAAGAGAGGGTTGCTCCTGCGACACCTCCATTTAATTGCTGAGCAAACAGAGGTTCCCTGGCCCAGAGCAGCTCAACTGGCCTCTCAGGCACCCTGGGGCTCCTGGGTATGACTCTGAGGTGCCACCTCTGTGATATGATCTTCACCTCTGCCATGTCCATGTCCCCTGCTGGCAGTGGCTGAGGGCCCCTTTGCTTCCCCTCCCCTCACAGGGGTTCTTCTGCTCTTCCTCCCCTCAGGTCCAACTCTTGTTTCTCTAGAAGACCTTCTTTGCCTTTTTTTTTTTTTAAGAGACGGGGGTCTCACTCTGTCACCCAGGCTGAAGTGCAGTGGTGCAATCATAGCTCACTGCAGCCTCTAACTCCTGGGCTCAAGCCATCTTCCCGCCTCAGCACCCTGAGTAGATGGAACTATAGGCATGCACCACCATGCCTAGCTAAATTTTTTAGTTTTTTTGTAGAGATGGGATCTCGATATGTTGCCCAGGCGTATCTCCAACTCCTGGCATCAAGCAATCTTCCCGTCTCGGCCTCCCAGAGTTCTGGGATTACAGGCACGAGCCAACACACCCAGCCGTCTTGTTTGCCTTCTAAGTGAGTCTTCTCTGCCACAGCTTTCTGTTCATTCTCTTCCTCACCATTCTCTTTGTGCTCACTTATAAGGCCCACAGACTCTCTAAACCACGGAGGGCCTGTTGATTCATCCTGGATAGCTCCTGGACTGGGCTAGAAATATTACAGCTGGAGGGACAATGGAGTTGATCCAGTCCAACCCACTCACCATCCCTATCTCGTAGAGGAGGAAACTGAGGTTCAGAGTGATTCTATCATAAGTTACAGGCTGGTCAAAGAATAGGAAAACTACATGGTTTGGGGGAAAACTACATGGATTTGGCTTCAGAAAGCCTGTCTGGTAATTTGGGCTCTACTACACTTAACCTCTTCATGTCCATATCTCCAGCTCGAGAATGAGTTTAAATACTGGCCCCTTCCACCTCAATATGACTTTCTAAGGCCGACAGAATTACAAAATGTCAAATGCATGTGCTGGACAAAGGCTACATGGTATTAGTGTTGTCGGTGTTACTGTTATTATTTAACAAGGCTAATCCACCAGTGAAGGGAATGAGCACACATCACGAAATTAATTATGGATGTTTTAAAAATGACTGTTTATATTGAAAGGAAGGCCTCACATTTGCCGCACAATTTCAGGATAAGTCGTGTTTTGAAAAAATATTATTATTCAGAGCTGTGTTGATTAGTTTCACTCCTGTTGCTAAGCAACAAGGTCCTTTGTAGCCTCTGCAGTGGTGGGTTTTGTCTGGGGTGGGGGCGGGGAAGGGGATGGGGAATAGGGAGAGGAAAGTACATTACAGTAAATTATTCTGCTGGTTCAGCCAATTCCAAAGTTGCCTCAAAAAAAAAAATCTACTTCTTAATAACCTATGTGATTATAGTGGTTGGATGAGGAAGGCCAAACCTCAGTCCAGAGCTCACCACTCATCCATGACTTGAGTTTCAGGTTTGGCAAGACTTGTGTTTACTAGCCCAGGACTGAACCACACAGCCCAGGGTTTGCCACCACTGATGTTCATCATGGCTCAGCGAAGGCAGCCTTCCAGCCCGGGGATTAGGGGGTCGGGAGGCTATGAGGAGAGACTGCAATGAATCAAATGATCCAATCTCATTCAATAGCTGCTGTGGCCTGCCAGTCTAATTCTACCACTTGAATGGGAGCCATCCTGGAGTAAGCCAAATAGCGTGTTTTCTGGACCAAAATGAAGACTCATGAATATTCGAAATTCACTGAAGACCCAGAACACATGACCCCAAGCAATACATGGAATTAACCTTATGGAGCACCTACAGTGTGTTAGGTGCTTTGCTGGGTTAGCTCACTGACTTCTGGCACCCACACTAGGAAGGATGTGGTAATGTGGCCACTTTGGGGACTGGGGTTCAGAGAGATTAAGCAATTTGCCCAAGGCTTTACTAGGGCAGAGCAAGGATTTAAACTCAAGTCTTTCTGTCTCTGAGTGCTATGTTCCCACTTAACTGGGCTGCCTGCCTTTACCGGTGTAAGAGGGGCTGGGAAGGGCATGAAGAGCCCATCTTGGGTTTGGATGAAGGTGGTTTGTAGCTTCTGTTAGGTTGAAGCCCGCTCAGTGGGTCTCTGATTTCATCACAGACAGCTTTATTTGTGGTACTCTTCCAGTCACTATTGCTGCATAACAAATCACTCCAACTTAGTAGCACAAAACCATACCTATCTTATTGTGCGCAAGGATCTGCTGGTCAGGAATTTAGGCAGGGTGCAGCTGGATGGTTTTTTGCTCCTCGTGGCATCTGCTGAGACCACCCAGTGGTGAGTGGGCTGGGTCTGGAGGATCCAACATGGCTCCACTCATATGTCTGGTGCCTCTGCAGGGAGAAGCTGTCACCCAGAGCATCGACATTTGGCCTCATCAGCACAGCAGTCTTGGGAAGGTTGGATTTCTTATGCGACAACTGGCTTCCCCCATAGCAACTGTCCTAAGAGAATCAGGTGGAAATTGCATGTACCTTTCTGGCCCAACCTCAGAAATCACATGATATCACATGTCATAGTCTATGGGTTGAAGCAGTTATGAGCCCACTCAGATTCAAGGGCAGGGGAGATAGAACCTAGTTTGTTGATGGGAGTAGTATCAAAGAATTTAGGGGCCATGTTTTAAAATGGCCATAGGTACCAAGTTCCTCATACCAGTGAGAAATGGGTACTCAAAAAACTCTGGGTGCCTTGAAAATTGCGGAAATGTATGAGCAGTAGAAATTTTGATATTCAATACTGTGAACCTCACTCGTTTTGATGAATTTAGAGGATGGCCAGTTTAATAAAAGATAGGGTTAACTAAAAGCTTTTCTTTGAGTGTTTTCAATTAATTAATTACCTATTGTTTTATTTTTAGAGATAGGGTCTCACTCTGTTGCCTAGGCTAGAGTGCAGTGGTGCAATCATAGCTCACTGTAACCTTGAACTCCTGGGCTCAAACAATCCTCCTGCCTCAGCCTTCTGAGTAGCTAGAACTTGAGGCATGTGCCACTATGCCTGGATAATTTATTTTATTCTTTGTAGAAACAGGGTCTCACTATGTTGCTCAGGCCGGTCTGGAACTCCTGGCCTCAGGCTTTCCTCCTGCCTCAACTTCCCAAAGCGCTGGGATTACAGTCATGAGCCACTGCCCCTAGCCCTGTTTTGAGTTTTATGTTCAGATGTTGTCATCAGCTGAGGAGTGTATCTTGCTGATGAGCTAAAGATTCATTTGTAATTAGTGGTCCTATTTGCATACTTTTAAAAACCTTCTTTCCACTGTGATCATATTTACCATAGTGGTTTGGTTAGAGAAGCCTTTTCTCATTGTAGAAATCAAGTAAGATGATGCAGGTGAAAATTACTTTGGATATTCTAATGAGTTCTGCAAATAGGGGAGATGATGACTCTAGTCAACTTCAGTTCTGGTCAAGTTTCCAACTGAAGTGATATGTCTTAATGGATTTTATTTTAATGTGTTAATGAAAAATGGGCCAAAGAGACGTGCATGCTGGAATTCAGAGTATTCTGAAGATGAAATTTCAGAGTTCAGCTCCTCAAACTCAAAATTCATCTCATCTGGCCTCAGAAGATTTCAGAAGGGTCACCAGGTTGCAAATATTCTTGCCTTATTTTTGTTAGAGAGAGGAAATAAGGGGCAAAGCTTTTGCCTCTGTCTTCCTAAGACTCAAGGGCAAAGGCTGTTCTAGAACCCCCAGATTCTGCCCTAGTCTTGCAGGAACTGGAGACAGAAAATTGACACAGGAAGGTGTGGGCCCTGAGAGCAGGATAAGATCAGGCATTGAGCCCTGGTATGCTTCTGTTGCTATTCCACAACCCACCTCAAAACTTAATGGCTTGAATGGCTTGAAACAATGAGTCATTGTTCCTTTCAATTCTGTGGGTTGACTGGGCAGTTCTTCTGCTCCACATGGTATTGGCTGGGGTCACTCATGCAGCTGCAGTCAGCTGGGAGCTTGACTGGGGCCAGAACATCCAACCGGCCTCCCTCACATGTCTGGCACCCTAGTAGCTGGGACTGAAATGGCTAAAGGCTGGCTGGGTCTCACTTTCTCTCCCTTCGTAGTCTCCATCCCCCAGGGCCTTTCTCCCTCCACATGGCCTCATGCTCCAGCACGGCAGCCAGACCTCTTTATATGGCAGTGGGCTGCCAAGAGAACAAAGGCACAAGCTGCCAGGCCTGTTAAGGCTGAGACCTGGAATTGGCACGAGGTCACTTCCATCGCATTCTATTCATCAGAGCAAGTCACAAGGCTGGTCCAGATTCAAGGGGAAGGGAAATAAGTCTCTACCTCTTGATGGGAGTTATGGGCGGCCATATTTGGGGACTTCCACACCAACCACAGCTTCTAGGCTTAGATAAAGGCATTGTGCCATCAGAAACCTCAGACCCAGCTGCTCCTTAACAGGTAACATCTCAGTTTGACCATTTGTTCATCCAACACCACCACAATAATAACCGTAGCTACTACTTATATAGCACATGCTATGTACCAGTTCCTGTTCTAAAGGCTTTACATTGATAAACTTATTTAACCTTCACAATAACCCTGTCCGCTATTATTATCCTCGTTTTACAGATAGGAAAACTGAGGCTCAGAGAGTTTAAATGACTTGCCGAAGGTCACACAGCTAGTTAAGTGGCAGAGCTGGAATTCAAATTCAGGCAGATGGTTCCAGAATCTGTGCTTTCACCCATTCTGCTATCTTACCTCTCATTCCTTGATGCTGTGTGTCAAGCTCCACTAGAGTTGCTTAGGATATTGAGATGCATAAGCCTATCTATGACAGAGACTGTTCCCCAGTATACTACATCCCCTTCTAACATAATACTCAAACCCTGATTTTCAGGTGGGCACATGGCCACTTAGAAGAAAGATTACATTTCCCAGCCTCCTTTGCAGGTAGGCATAGACATGTAATTAAGTTCAGGCTATTGGATTACAAGTGGAAGTGACAATGTGGCTGCTTCCAAGAACCTTCCTTAAGAGATGGCTGATATTTGACCATTGCCTCCTTTAGTTTTCATCTTTTGCTGCCTGGAATGTAGATGTGATGGCTGGAGCTCTAGCCACTATCATGAACCATGAGAACAAGGGCTTCACCTTCATCAATGTTGGGATCTGGAATGGTAGGCTGAAAGGAGCCTGGGTCTCTGAGATCTTCTTAGAACAACAGCCATTTCCATGCTGAACTGTTTATCTCTAAACTTTAACACACGAGAAACTGCTCTCACGTTTAAGCCACATTGCAATTTTGAGTCTCTAGCTCCTAGCCAAACCGAATCCTAACTGATAGAGTCCCTATCCCCCAAGGAGCTCACAATCTACTGGAGCAAAGTCCATAATTATGATCAAAGCAGAGTGAAATAAGTGGCCTAATCACAGTGATCACAATTTATAAACCAAGACTGAGGACAGGTAGCCTAAGTACAGGATTATGGGGTTGCTTCCAATTGGGAGAAATAATCTGGAAGATGTTGTTTTGATATTGAAATACTGGAATTACTAGGACATGTACAGGGAGGTAGGGAGATAGTGTGACATTTTTGAACTTAAGGCTAGCCCAGAAAACGCAGGACAAATGATAGCTATGCAGCAATGCCAGAGCCAAAAGGAAAATGCCATGTGAGCCCTGAGGAAGGAGCAAGAATTTCTAATGAGGGAATCCTGATCAGATTCACCGAAGAAGAGGTAAAAATTTTAACTTGGGCCTGAATTTGGGGATGGCATCCTAGCAGAGAGAAGAGCAAGACCAAAGGCCAGGTAGTGTGGAAATGGATGGGGAGTTTGCAGACAGGTCCATGTGGCTCGGCAGGAGACGGAGCTGGAGAGCTTTTTCCTTCCTTGTTGGGGAGGAAAAGGCTTTTTACCCAGCTCCCTCTGGCAGGCCTCAGGTGGTTGTGTGGGCCTGGGACATTTGACACGTGATGGACAATGGGGGTCTTGGTGGCCACTCTGCTATGAGGGTATCTTTGGCCTCATGTAGCTTTTCTCATTTTGAGTTCATTTTTGGCTATGGGGTGAGATGGCATGTAGATACGCAGTTTCCTTTGCCCACTTTCTGCCCCTTGTGCCCACTGCCTAAATTAAATGTTGAAGGTCCTGATTATGGGACAAGTTAGTGCCACATCTTTCAAGTGAACAAAATGAGGAGCAGGAGCAGAGACCGAGCCATGCCCTTGGTGCTGTTGTTCACTTACTTGGATGTGAGCAGTTTCGTTTTAAATATTGATGATCTCACTCAGCACATTCTGAGAAAGGCCCTGCTGGGAGTTGTGCAATGGAAAAAAGCTCCTAGAGCCCAAGCCTCTTTTTAAGTGCCTCTCCCCAGAAATCTTTTCTTTTGACTTGGTGAGGTTTAACAGGTTTGTGGATTAGCAGAGTAAGAATCAGCACAGTCCTGCTGAGAAGATGGCCAGTTGCCCAGAGCCTCAGTCCACAAAGCCTTTGTTAATAATCTGATGTGGAATTAGGGCAACGGATATAATAATGAGGTTCTTAATAAAACCTTTTTTCCAAGACTGGGTTTGTAAAATATTTTTGAACAATGATGATAATGCCTTAAGACATTGGGGGAGTTGGGGCACCGGACCTGTTGAATACTGGCTTTCCAAATGTCTGCCTGCCAGGGAAATTTAAAGGGCAGACAGCCAGGATAAGGAGTCAGTAAAGGAAAGCAAAGACTGCGCCTTGAAATATTGGTGTAGATGACCCAGGAAATGCTCCTTTCCATGGCAGCCATTCACATATGCACACATTCATTCATTCACAGCATGTTTGCTTTTATTGAGGTGAAATTCACATAACATAACATTAGCCACTTTAAAGGGCACGATTCAGTTGAATTAGTACAGTCACAATGTTATGCAACCATCATCTTTGTCTAGTTCTAAAACGTTCTCATCACCCCAAAAGGAAACCATTGATCCATAAGCAGTCAGTCCCTATTTCCCCCTCCCGAATCCCCTGGTAACTACTAATCTGCTTTCTGAATCTACCTATTCCGGATTTTTCACATAAATAGAATCCGACAATATTTGTCTTTTTGTGTCTGACTTCTTTCACTCAGCCTGAGGTTTTCAAGGTTTATTCATATTGTAGCAGGTATCAGCACTTTATTCCTTTTTATGGCTGAATGGTATTCCTTTATGGATATACCACACTTTATCCATTCCTCCACTGATGAACATTTGATTTGTTTCTACCTTTTGCCTATTGGGAATAGAACTGCAACGAACATTTGTGTACAAATATTTGTTTGAATAGCTATTTTCAATTCCTTTGGGTTTATACGTAAATAGAGGAATTGCTGAGTCATATAGTAATTCTGTGTTCAACTTTTTGAGGAACTGCCAAACTGTTTTCCATAGTAGCTGCACCATGTTACATTCCCACCATTAATGTACGTGGGTTCCAATTTCTCTACATCCTCACCAACACTTATTTTCTTTTTTTTTGAATTATAGCCACCCTATTGCATATGAAATAGTGTCTCATCATGTTTCTGATTTGCATTTCCCTAATGACTAATTAGATTGAACATATTTTCATGTGCTTATTGGCCATTTGTATATCTTCCTTGGAGAAATGTCTATCCAAGTCCTTTGCTCATTTTTAAATTAGGCTGTTTGTCTTTTTGTGGTTGAGTTGTAAGAGTTCTTTCTATATTGTGGATACTAGACCCTCATCAGATAAGTAATTTGCAAATACTTTCCTCCCATTCTGTCATTTCACTTTATTGATTGCATTCCTTGATGCGTAAAAGTTTTTAAAATTTTGATGAAGTCCAGTTCATCTATTTTTTCTTTTGTTGCTCATGCTTTTGGTGTCATATCTAAGAATTGATTACCAAATTCAAGGTCATGAAGATTTACCCCTATATTTTCTTGTAAGAGCTTCACAGTTTTAGCTCTTACATTTAGGTCTTTGATTCATTTTGAGTTAATTTTTGTGCACAATGTGAACTAGGAGTCCAACTTTATTCTGTTACATGTGGATATCCTGTTGTTCCAGCACCATTTGTTTAAAAGGCTATTCTTTCCCCACTGCATGGCCTTGGCACCCTTGCCAAAAATCAGTTGATCGTAAGTGCATGGGTTTATTTCTGGACTCTAAATTCTATTCTATTGATCTATGTGTCTATCCTTATTCCTTATGCCAGTACCCCACATATGCACAGCCTCCCCCACCATAACATCCTGTACCAGAGTGGTATATTTATTACAACTGATGAAACTACATTGACATATCATTGTCACCCAGAGTCCATAGTTTACATTAGTGTTTGCTCTTGATGTTGTACGTTCTTTTTTTTCTCTCTTTCTTTTCTTTTTGTTTTTTTAAAGACAGGATCTCACCATGTTGTTGCACAGGCTGATCTCGAACTCCTGGGCTCAAGTGATCCACCCACCTCAGCCTCTCAAAGTGCTGGGATTACAGGCATGAGCTACCGTGCCTGGCTTGATGATGTACATTTGATAGGTTTTGACAAATATACAATGACATGTATCCACCATTATAGTATCATACAAAATAGTTTCACTGCCCTAAAAATCTTTATGCGCTGCCTATTCATCCCACCCTCCCTTCCTAACCCTAGCAACTATTAACTTTTCTACTGTCATCTCCATAGTTTTGCCTTTTCCAGAATGTCATACAGTTGAAATCAGTAGTAGGTAGCCTCTTCAGTTTGGCTTCTTTCACTTAGTAACATGCATTTATGGTTCCTCCATGTCTTTTCATGGCTTAGTAGCTCATTTTTTAGTGTTGAATAATATTCCATTGTCTGGAATATTACAGTTTATTTATCCATTCATCCACTGAAGAATATCTTGGCTGCATCTAAGTTTTGGAAATTGTCAATAAACCTATTATAAACATCCATGTGCAGCACGTTTCTATGTGGATGTATGTTTTAAACTAATTTGGGTAAATATCAAGGAGTGAGATTGCTGGATCATAGGGTAAGAATATATTTAATTTTGTAAGAAACTGCCAAACTGCTACACTATTTCGCATTCCCACCAGCAACAAATGAGAGTTCCTGTTGCTCCACATCCTCACCAGCATTTGGTGTTGTCAGTGTCTTGGATTTGGCCATTCTAATAGGTCTGTAGTGATAGTTCATTGTTGTTTTAATTTGCAATTTCCTAATGACATATGATGTTGAGCATCTTTTCACATGCTTATTTTCCATCTGCATATCTTCGTTGGTGAGGTGGCTTTCCAGATCTTTTACCAATATTTTTAATTGGGTTGTTCATTTCCTCATTGTTGAGTTTTAAGAGTTCTTATATTTTGAATAGCAGTCCTTTATGAGATATGTCTTTTGCAAATTTTTTCTGTCTTGTCTTCTCATTCTCTTAATTTCATTTTCAGATTATTCATTGCCTGTGTACAGAAATACCACTAACCTGCATGTGTTGACCTTGTATCCTGCAACTTTGCTGAATTTGCATCCGTTAAAGAACTTGTAAATTGTAGAAGAGCCCATTCAAACTGACTTGAGGGGAATTGGGCATGGTGGCTCGCGCCTGTAATCCCAGCACTTTGGGAGGCCGAGGTGGATAGATCACTTGAGCTCAGGAGTTCGAGAACAGCCTGGCCAACATGGCTAAACCCTGTTTCTACTAAAAATACAAAAATTAGCCAGGCATGGTGGCATGTGCCTGTAGTTCCAGCTACTCGGGAGGTTGAGGCAGGAGAATTACTTGAACTTGGGAGGCAGAGGTTGCAGTGAGCCAAGATCGTGCCACCCCACTCCAGCCTCCAGCCTGGGAAACAGAGTGAGACTCTGTCTCAAGAAAACCCAAAAAACTGACTTGAATAATAAGGAAGATTTATTGGCTCACACAATTAAAATATCCAGTGGGCTTCAGGCATGCATGGTTTTATCAAGGCTCTGGCTCCATTTCTCTTCTGCACTGGTTCTTTGCTCAGGTGGACTTCCCTCGTGGTGGCAAGATGGCTGCCAACAGAAACTGAGTCTTCGAGCTTTTTCATTCACATCCAGGGAAAGAAAGAGAGCATACTCCTTCCCACAAAAGTCCTGAGCATCTCTTTGAGTGAACCATCCCTGCCACTGTGACAAAGGAAATGGAATTGATCTGATTAGCTTAGGCTATGGAGGTAAAAATGGGGTAAACTGCATGGTTGCTACATAATTTCGGGGGGAGGGGGCATTCTTAGAGGAAAATCTTATTGCTGTTAGGAAGGGGAAAGGAAATGTCCACCAAACTAATGAAATTTATACTGTGCTATGCAGTATTCAATAAATATTTGCTGAATGAATGAATGAGAAATCCTGTTAGTCCTCTCACTGATACATGGTTCCCTGGGACTTTGGCAGCTTCCATTCTGGAAAGGCCAGCCTTTCAACCCCTGGAAATCTCCTACTTAGATACCAGGCTCTTCTATGGGGAGGAGATAATTCTGCTTACAGGGCCCCATAACTTCTCTGATTTTTTTTTTGAGACGGAGTCTTGCTCTGCCACCCAGGCTGGAGTGCGGTGGCGCAATCTCGGCTCACTGCAAGCTCTGCCTCCCGGGTTCATGCCATTCTCCTGCCTCAGCCTCCCGAGTAGCTAGGACTAAAGGCTCCCGCCACCATGCCCAGCTAATTTTTTGTGTTTTTAGTAGAAGGGGTTTCACCGTGTTGGCCAGGATGGTCTCGATCTCCTGACCTCGTGATCTGCCTGCCTTGGCCTCCCAAAGTGCTGGGATTACAGGTGTGAGCCACCGCGTCCGGCCAACTTCTCTGATTTTTGAGCAGCAAGACTCTGGCAGAACAGACTGGGAGAGCTGAGGACACAGGTGAATATGCATATTGAAAATTAGCAGGGTGGGCCTTGTGAGTTAATGGCGTGGCTTTGAAGTCATCATCCACAAATTGCTCTCCAGGCCTGGTGCCTGACATTCTGCCATTAGGAATTCACTCCTCCAGTTTGAGTTTAAAAGACTTTTTCACCTTCAAGCCTCAGCCCTCCTACTGGGGCTTTGGTTTGCAACCAAACATCCTAACCGATAGAGTCGGGGGCCCATCTTTGTAGACTCCAAACCATAGCAACACTGATATACTCTGAAGAGTATGTTCAGTCATGAAGGATGATCTATACCAGAGAAACAGAGTCAGGGACAGGGGTCTCAGGAGTCTCATATCCTGAATTGTGAGAACTGACTTCTCTTCCTAGACATCCACGTTGGGTCTAGTTTCCTCAGCTATAGACTCAGCCCCTTCTCTGAATACTACTAAGCTCCAATGTAGCAGAAGGTATTTTCCAAAGATAACTGCAATAATATTTTGTGTCCCACAGGCTTTTCTTGAACCTTGCCACTCTTGCATCAACAGGTAAAATTTATGATCCTTATCTTTAAACCTGTGTGGCCTTTGACCAATAGAGTGTGGTGGAAGTGATGCTATGTGATTTCTGAGGCTAGGTCATTAAATATGTAATGTACACTTGCCTTAATACTCTATTGAGACACTTGCTCTTGGAATCCAGCAACCATGCTGTGAGGAAGCCCAAGCAACTCATGGAGAGGAACCAAAGCTCCCAGCCCACAGCCTCATCTATGCTTCCAGCCAATAGCCAGTACCAATTTGCCAGTTGTATGAGAGAGCCATCTTGAAAGTCAAACCTCATGGTAGGCAGCATCTCAGATGGCCCCCAATGATAGGATTCCTGCCCTTGTGTAATCACCTCGCCCAAACACTGATGTATTCTGAAGAGTATGTTCGTGATAAAGGATGAACTACACCAGAGAAAGAACCAGGGATGGAGGTCTCAGGAGTATCATATCCTGAATTATGAGAATTTACTTCTTTTTCTAGACATCCAGCTGCAGTGAGTCAGAGGAGAGATGTCTGGTCTCCCCCAAATGTAGATGGCACTGAGTACCTAGCTTCTAACAAATAGAATATAGCATAAGTGGTATCCAAGATTATATTATAAAACTGATGTGGCATCAATCGTATCTCAATAAAGCTGGGGGAGAAAAGACTAGCTTCCATTTTGGATACTCTCTTACATGTTCTCTCTCTCTTGCATGGCTTACCTGGGGGAAGCCAGTTGCCATATTGTGAGGCAGCCCTATAGAGGGTCCCTTATGGTAAGAGACTGAGACCTGCCATCAACTACATGAGGGAGCTTGGAAGCAGATTCTTCCACCAGTTGCACCTTCAGATGAGAACACAACTCCAGCTGACAACTGGACTGCAACTTCATGAGACACCTCAAGCCAGAGACGGCTAGATAAGAGGCACCCAGCTAAACCACACCTGCATTTCTGACCCACAGAAGCTATGTGAGATAATAAAAGTTTCTTACATTAAGCCACTAAATGTTGGAGTAATTTGTTACGCAGAAACTGATAACTAATACAACCTTCTATTCCCTAGTCAAGGCAGCCCAGCTGATGCTGCATGAAGGAGAGACAAGATGTCCCCACTGAGCTCCATTCTAATTACAGAATTGCGAGTAAAATTAATGATTTGTTGGGGTTTTTAACCCACTAGATTTTAGAATAGTTTGCTATGCAACTATGGTTTACTTTTTCTTATTGAAAGCTCCACGATGGCCAGGTGCAGTGGCTCATGCCTGTAATCCCAGCACTTTGCGGGGCTAAGGCAGGCAGATCATTTGTGGCCAGGAGTTTGGGATCAGCCTGGCTAACATGGTGAAATTTCGTCCATATTTAAAAAAAAAAAATACAAAAATTAGCTGGCTGTGGTGGCGCATGCTTGTAGGCCCAACTACTCAGGAGGCTGAGGCACGAGAATCGCTTGAACTTGGGAAGTGGAGGTTGCAGTGAGCCAAGATCGCACCACTGCACTCCAGCCTGGGCAACAGAGCCAGACCCTGTCTCAAAAAAAAAAAAAAAAAAAAAAAGCTTCATGACAGGTGCTAGGAAAACGAAGCAATAAACAAAGCAGGCCCAATCTTCTTTCATCCACTATAGCCTAGTGTGTTAGTCTGCTCACATTGCCATAACAAAATACCACAGACTGCAGGCTTAAACAACAGAAATTTATTTTCTCACAGTTTTGGAGTCTAGAAGTTCAAGGTCAACATGTTGTCAAAGTTGGTTTCTTGTGAGGCCTCTGTCCTTGGTTGGTTGGCGGCTGTCTTCTCTCTGTGTCTTCACATGGTCTTCCCTCTGTGCATGTCTGTGTCCTAATCTCTTCTTAATATTATTTTTTTATGTTGCCCAGTGATATGGTTTTGCTGTGTCCCCACCCAAATCTCAACTTGAATTGTGTCTCCCAGAATTCCCATGTGTTGTGGGAAGGACCCAGGGGGAGGTAATTGAATCATGGGTGCTGATCTTACCTGTGCTATTCTTGTGATAGTGAATAAGTCTCATGAGATTTGATGGGTTTATCAGGGGTTTCTGCTTTTGCTTCTTCCTCATTTTTCTCCTGCCACTACCATGTAAGAAGTGCCTTTTGCCTCCTGCCATGATTCTGAGGCCTCCCCAGCCATGTGGAACTGTAAGTCCAATTAAACCACTTTTTGTTCCCAGTTTCGGATATGTCTTTATCAGCAGCATCAAAACGGATTAATACAGTAAGTTGGTACCAGTAGAGTGGGGCATTGCTGAAAAGATACCTGAAAATGTTCAAGTGACTTTGGAACTGGGCAACAGGCAGAGGTTGGAACAGTTTGGAGGGCTCAGAAGAAGACAGGAAAATATGGGAAAGTTTGGAACCTCCTAGAGACTTGTTGAATGGCTTTGACAAAAATGCTTATAGTGATATGAACAATAAGGTCCAGGCTGAGGTGGTCTCAGATGGAGATGAGGAACTTGCTGAGAACTGGAGTGAAGGTGTCTCTTGTTATGTTTTAGCAAAGAGACTGGGGACATTTTGCCCCTGCCCTAGAGATTTGTGGAACTTTGAACTTGATGATTCAGGGTATCTGGCAGAAGAAATTTCTAAGCAGCAAAGCATTCAAAAGGTAACTTGGGTGCTGTTAAAGGCATTCCATTTCAAAAGGGAAACAGAACATAAAAGTTCAGAAAATTTGCAGCCTGACAATGTAGTAAAAAGAAAATAACATTTTTTTTTTTTTGAGGAGAAATTCAAGCTGGCTGCAGAAATTTGCATAAGTAGCAAGGACCTAATGTTAATCCCCAAGACCATGGGGAAAATGTCTCCAGGCCATGTCAGATACCTTCACAGCAGCCCCTCCCCATCACAGGCCCAGAGGCCCAGGAGGAAAAAGTGGTTTCCTGGGCTGAGCCCAGGGTCCTCGTGCTGTGTGCAACCTAGGGACTTGGGGCCCTGTGTCCCAGCCACTCCAGCAGTGACTGAAAGGAGCCAATGTAGAGCTTGGGCTGTGGCTTCAGAGGTGGAAACCCCAAGCCTTGGCAGCTTCCACGTGGTGTTGAGCCTGCAGTTACAGAGAAGTCAAGAATTGAGGTTGGAAAGCTCTGCCTGGATTTCAGAAGATGTATGGAAATGCCTGGATGTTCAGGCGAAAGTTTGCTGCAGAGGCAGGGCCCTCATGGAGAACCTCTATTAGGGCAGTGTGGAAGGGAAATGTGGGGTTGGAGCTCCCACACAGAGTCCCTACTGGGGCACTGCCTAGTGGAGCTGTGAGAAGAGGGCCACCATCCTCCAGACCCCAAAATGGTAGATCCACTGACAGCTTGCACCATGCACCTGGAAAAGCCACAGACACTTGATGCCAGCCTGTGAAAGCAGCCAAGAGGGAGGCTGTACCATGCAAAGCCACAAGGGCGGAGCTGCCCAAGACCATGGGAACCCACCTCTTACATCAATGTGACTTGGATGTGAGACCTGGAGCCAAAGGAGATCATTTTGGAGCTTAAAAATTTGACTGCCCCACTGGATTTCGGACTTGCATGGGCCCTGTAACCCCTTTTTTGGGCCAATTTCTCCCATTTGGAATGGCTGTATTTACCCAATACCTATACCCCCATTGTATCTAGGAAGTAACTAGCTTGCTTCTGATTTTGCAGGCTCGTAGGCAGAAGGGACTTGCCTTGTCTCAGATGAGACTTGGGACTGTGGACTTTTGAGTTACTGCTGAAATGAGTTTAGACTTTGGGGGACTGTTGGGAAGGCATGATTGGTTTTGAAATGGGAGGACATGAGATTTGAAGGGGCCAGGGGTGGAATTATATGGTTTGGCTGTGTCCCCATCCAAATCTCAACTTGAATTGTATCTCCCAGAATTCCCACATGTTGTGGGAGGGACCCAGCAGGAGGTAGTGGAATCATGGGGGCTGGTCTGAGAGCTGATGGGTTTATCGGGGATTTCTGCTTTTGCTTCTTCCTCATTTTTCTCTTGCTGCCACCATGTAAGAAGTGCCTTTTGCCTCCCGTCATGATTCTGAGGCCTCCCTAGCCATGTAGAACTGTAAGTCCAATTAAACCTCTTTTTGTTCCCAGTTTCAGGTATGTCTTTATCAGCAGCATGAAAACGGACTAATATACCCTGGCTGGAGTCAAACTCCTGGGTTCAAGCAATCTTTCTGCCTCAGCCTCCTGCATAGCTGGGACTGCAAGCAAACATCACTGTGCCTGGCCTAATCTCCTCTTATGAAGACACTAACCATTTTGGACTACCCCCATCGGCCCCATGGCTTCATTTTTCCTTGATCACCTCTTTAAAGGCACTATCTCCAAATATAGTTACATTCCAATGTACTAGGGGTTAGGGCTTTAGCAGATGAATGTTTGGAAGACAAAACTCAGTCCATAACAACCAGTTAACCTTATTCCTTTAAAAGGTCCTCAAAGAACCAACTTCCCAAGAGATAAAATGAGTCCCACCAGACGCCATGTTGCATGGCTGTAATCCCAGCCATTTGGGAGGCTGAGGCAGAAGGATCACTTGAGCCCAGGGGTTTGAGGCTGCAGTGAGCCACAATTGTGCCTGACAATAGCTACTGCACTCTAGCCTGGGCAACACAGTGAGACTCCATCTCTAAAAAAAAAAAAGTGTAGAAATATGTGTCCTTCTCTTTTCTTGCTGAAACATTTTATAATGGTACAGCTTTCATACTTTTCCCAAAGTTTTTAAAACTCATTTCTGCCTTTAGGAAAGCAATACCACCCTCCTAGTCATTCCTTCCACCTGCCTCCCTGTAGGCCTCTGTGGATTGCCATGGAAGGTCCAGAGTCCACAGTAGCTGGAGGCCCATGGCAGACACAAGCCCAAGGCACTCACAGGAACTATAGCAAAGGCTCAAGTGACATAGGCCTGTGGCAGACATGGGTCCACAGAGGTCACAGCGCTTCCAGAAAACAGAGTCCTCCGGAGGTCACTGAGCCCAGAGTCCAGGCAAACATCAGCTCCAGGGGCAAAACACCAGACCCACCTTCCTAGTTTTGTGGTGGCTTTAGTGAGTCAGAGGAGAGATTCCTGGTCCCCACTTGAGCACTTCTGGAGGATGGATAACTGTGGGAGAACTGATGGCCTGAGGGGAAAGCAGAAAGCTGTCCCTCAGCTCAGCAGTCACTCCATGCTTCTTGGGCCAGACACTTCTCCCTAGGTTGTTTTCTGTTTTCCTACAAAATGGGCGGAGGGGGGTGAGTTGGATAGAGGAGCAAGTTTTTCGCCACAAGATATCATTTCTCTCCAGCAGACCTCCCCTGCTGGGGATGGGGGGCATGGAATGAGGCCAAAACTGTGAGGCCACTGGTCAACGAAGGCTTTTCCTGATCCTGACCAGAGAAGCTTCTCGCAGGTGCTACTGGTGTTCGGGATCTCGGTTTCCCTCTGGCCCACCCTTCTGTCCTTTCAACGAATCTTCATTAACATGACCACGGGCCAAGCACTGTGCTAAGTACTTAATTTTCTTTAATGGCTTGAATTTACCCTGCTCACAGAAACCCTGCCAAGACCTTCCTCTCCACCCATGAACCCCAGCCTTGTACCCAGATGACTTGAAGCCCCTAACCCCACTCCACCCCTACCCCTCCAGTAAACAGGCTGTCCTGAAGGTTGTGGTCGTTCTTCTGTAGCAGCAGGTGGGGTGAAGGAAGTTGGGACGAGCCTCTAGATGGTGGCTTCTTCCCATCCAAGCTGCCCACAACAGGGGGGTGAGTGTTGGAGGCGCAAACAGGCAGCCTTCTCCATAGGATTCTTTTTTTTTTTTTTTGACAGAGGCTCACTCTGTTGCCCAGGCTGGAGGGCAGTGGCATAATCTTGGCTCACTGCAACCTCCGCCTCCTGAGTTCAAGCGATCCTCCTGCCTCAACCTCCTGAGTAGCTAGGACTACAGGCGCCTGCCACCACACCCGGCTAATTTTTGTATTTTTAGCAGAGACAGGGTTTCCCCATGTTGGCCAGGCTGATCTCAAACTCCTGACCTCAGGTGATCAGTCTGCCTTGGCCTCCCAAAGTGCTGGGGTTACAGGGGTGAACAACTGCACCCGGCCCTCCATAGGATTTTTGGCCAGCTTTCCTGCTTAGGTTTGCTGGTTGCTGTCAGGGACCACACCCTGCCAAGGAAAACGAAAACCGAGAGCTCAGGAGAGAAGCCACTGTGTACAGAGCACAAGCCTCGAAATGGTTCTTTAGCTCCTGTCTAAACTTCAGAAATGTGACTTTCGGGTAGGACAAAGGCTGCTGTAGAGCAAAATTGGGACAAATACATAACAAGGTAGGGATCCTGTAATTCCACTTAATTGCAGGTTGATACGGAAAGTGGCCCCCATTGCAGGCTCTCAACGTGCTACACGGGGGCAAGGTTTCATTTTATAGAGAGGTCCCCTGAGTCACTGCCTCGCAGGGTGCAGGGGTTGAGACGCAAGAGGCCCTGTCCAAGGAAGTGGGTGGGGGGCTATGCGCCACCAGGATTGCGGGCTGGCCTCCAGGTCTCAGTCCTGTCCTTGGCTGGAGCATGGAGATCCTGATTAACATGAAAACAGAAGCCAGTTCAGCGTCCTCGGGCAGCTGGCGGCTTCTGCTCTGCGTCTGAGGGGGAAGGGAACCGTTCTATCACTGTCTTTCTTGGCCAATTAGATGATTCAGCATATTCCCGGCCTCTCTCTTGGCTGAGGTGATTTATAGTGAGCTCTGCAGGCCTGGCGAGAGTGAGTGATGGGGAATAGGGGCCCATCCAACACGTGCGTGCATGTGCATGTGCGTGTTGTGTGCACACTTTACACATCACGTACACAGCACCAGATGGGGGTTGTGTGCGAGAGAGAGGAAAACATTTGCAGGCCTCTCCAGCTTCACTGGTTGCTGCCAGTTTCTATTGGAGAATTTCTCCTCTCAGGCGAAAATATTTACTTACGGGGATCCTCCAAGATCTTTTTTTTTTTTTTTTCTCACATGAGGGGTCGAAACGGAGGAATGGGAAGAAGTGCAGGAGTTTAGGGCTTAGTCTGCTTAGCTGTTTTGAGTTAAGAACTTCTGGGGAAACAAATGAGAAGGGAGGCAAGAGGGGCTGAGCCGTTTTGCCTCTGATGTCTGAACTCGCTTCTCTGATGATGGCAGCGGAAAATGGGCCTGATGCTGAGGGTGCAGCTGTGGGCGGGCATTACGGGAATGCGTGTGTGCATTTGGGACGTGAACAAGATGCCCTTCTGCATCAGCATTCAAGCATTTCTCATGGACATTTTGATGGGATGCTTTCATGGGATTGCTCTAATATACAGCTCTGTCTATCCTGGAGTTGGGATATATTTTTGTATCTACTGCACCAGGATGATGAAAGAAGCTATGTTGTGTCCTTAGGGGTAAGGTAGCCCCAGCCCAATCTTCCTGAAGGAGTCAAAGAGAGACCATGACAGTTTTTTGGCTGCTGTGAAGAGGAGTGGTTGTTTTACCTATCTATTTTTCCCCAAAAGATGGTTTCTAGCTTCTGTAATGGACCCCTTTTTTTTTTTTTCTAAACGGGGTCTCACTCTGTCTCCCAGGCTGGAGTGCAATGGTGCGATCTTGGCTCACTGCAACTTCCACCTCCCGGGCTCAAGCGATCCTCCTGCCTCAGCCTCCTGAGTAGGTGGGACTACAGGTGCACGCCACCACATCCAGCTAATTTTTGTATTTTTAGTAGAAATGGGGTTTCACCATGTTGCCCAGGCTGGTCTTGAACTCCTGGACTCAAGTGATCCACTAGCCTCGGCCTCCCAAAGTGCTGGGATTACAGGTGTGAGCCACTGTGCCCCGCCTGTAATGGACTCTTGATATCATCCATTGAACAGTAACCTTTCTAAGCCCCTTTCTAAGTTGCCCCTTTGAAGTTTGAACCCCTGGGCCTGACATCCTTTACCACCTTCATCACGGTCATTGTCAGCATCATCAATGTCTCCTCCCCCATGTTTATTAAGTGCCTAGTATATGCCAGCCATTATTCAAGGTGCTTTATATACTTCATTTATTCCCCAAGACAATCCTTTGGCAATACTGTTAGCATCCTATCATGGTTAATTTTATGTCAATTTGACTGGGCCACAGGGTACCCAGACATTTGGTCAAACATTATCTGGGTATGTCTCTGTGGGTGTTTCTGCATGAGAAGGACATTTGAATTGGTAGAGATAGCAAAGTAGATAGCCCTCCCTAATGTGGGTGGGCCTTGTACAATTGGTTGAAGACCTGAATAGAACAAAAAGGCTGAGTAAGGGGGTACTTTGCCTGCCTGACTGTTTGAACTGGAACATCAGTCTTCTCCTGTCCTTGGACTGGACTTACATCTCCCAGTTCTCTGGCTTTCAGACTTGGACTGGAACTATACCACTGGCTCCCCTGGGTCTCTAGCTTGCAGATGGCAAAATATGGGACTTCTCAGCCTCCATAATCATGTGAGCCAATTCCTTATATCTATTTATGTCTATCTATCTATCTATCTATCTATCTGTGTCTGTCTGTCTGTCTGTCTGTCTATCTATCTATCTATCTATCTATCCTATCATCTTCTACTTCCATTGGTTCTGTGTCTCTGGAGAATCCTGGCTAATACACATTTTGGAACAAAGAGTGGTTCTAGAGGAACAGAATTTTAAGGATGAGGTTTCTGAATTGGTTCTAGGGTTTCTGGAATTGGCTGTCTAATCTGATTAGATTTAAAAACATTAATGACTCTATTTCTAGTAGTAACAAGAGCACTGATAATCTACGGTGTGATCTGGCAATAAAGTTACACAAAATATCACCACTGGATGTTCCTAATCAACCTATAAGAAGCAAGGAGCTGGGTGACTGTGAATATAATATTTGTGAGCAATTTTTTTCAAATTAATGAATATGAGATTGGCTGGTTGCTTTTAATGTTGCTGTACAAAATGAAGAAAGAAAAGGATGAGCTCAGGGATTCAAATTCCTAGCTCAAGTACCACATAAATGATCTGAAAGCTTCCATGTGTCTCATGAAAGAGACCCTTATCTCCTGTAGCCACAGGGCTCAGATTGCCGAAAATCAGATCCAGAATCTCATCCTGTAACTGGCTGAATTACAATGCAAGTTGAACTTCTAGCCTCGTCGTTTGTCTACTAATGGAGTGGGGGCATTGATTGGGAAGGAATGGGATCCTGAAAGTTGGAATGGGGCTGTGTGGGAAAGGCCCTGATGAAGCTGGGGTCATTGAGCCCCTAAATTCTCGTTAATCTTCTTTGCCAATGGAAGAAGTCTCCCCAAGCCCAGTGGGAGCAGCATCCTCACCTCCAGTGGGAGCAGCTTCTCTATCCCCATCTGAGGAGATTAGTCATGCATTGCCTGAGGAAACTGCAATGGCTTCTCCTGAGGCAGTTGCTGTGCAAGACAATGCTGAGTCTCCTCAGAAACCACCCCACCATGCTTCTTTGCTTCTAGACCTATACCTAGACTCAAGTTCCAACAGGCCTCTAAAGGTGAGGTATGAAGTATGACCCATGAGGAGGTGCACTGCACTCCAACAAACTACTTGAGCTTTCTAATTTATACAGACAGAATCTAGGGAACATGTGTGGGAATGGATACTAAGTATGTGGGATAATGGTGGAGGGAACACAAAGTTGGATCAGGCCGAATTCATTGATATGGGCCCACTAAGCAGAGATTTTACATTAATATTGCAGCTTAAGGAGTTGGAAAGGACTCCAACAGTTGGGTTGGCTGGTTAGCTGAAACATGGACCAAAAGGTGGCCCACAGACCGAAAGGTGACTCACTCACAGTAAGTGAGTTGATCTGCCTTAGTTTAATGTAGAGGATAAAATTCAAAGGCTTAGGGAGATTGGAATGTTAGAGTGGATTTGTCATTTGAGACCTACTCACCCACCCTGGAAGGGTCCAAAAGACATAACTTTCACCAACACTGTGAGAAATAGATTTGTGAGGGGAGCCCTGGCATCCTTGAAGAGCTCTGGGATTGCTCTTCTTTGTAGGCCAGATCTTACAGTAGGAACTACAGTCACTGAATTGCACTAAACTCAATGGGGCTAATTGAATCCCAGGGTGGCAGGGGCCAAGTGGCAGGCACTTGACTGCCAAAGGCAAGGTGGGAATTGTTACCATAATGGATAGCAGAGCCAAAGTAGCAGTAAGAATAGTCTGGCTCATGCATACCTATGGCGTTCGCTAGATGATCATAGTGTTCCTAGAAATGAAATAGATAGGAAGCCTACTAGATTCTTACTTGATCTGTAGAATGTTAGGAATAGCGCTCAAAATCCTGAGGAAATTGAACACTCGAACAGAGGATTTTTAGCAAAGCAATTTTACTTCTGTGTAGAGGGGTGCCTCCTTGGCCAGTTGCCATGAAAGCACACCTGAACAAAGGGGCACGAGAGCCTTTATTCCTGACGCAAGTCCTGCCCCTGTACCCTTTCCCCATTGGCTTGGGTCGGGTCGTACAATCTAAACTAATCCCGGTTGGCTAAACATTTGATTTTTTTTTTTAAGATAGGGTGGGCGCATAAAAGAAAGTGGAGAGGGAGGGAAAGGGGTGTCCTTAATAAGCTAGAAAGTTAGTCCTCTTTCCAAATAAGGAAAGGAATGTGAGCTGGTACTGATAACAGTTGGTACTGTGGCATGCCTGGGCATCTAACAAAGGCAAAAAGGAAAAAAAAGGAGAAAAAAGGAGAAAAAAAGGGAGGGTACTATGAATTAAAGAATAAAAGATTGATCAGATTATTTCAAGAGAAACCTCATCATATCCCACAAGAAGCAGCAAAAGTTCTAGGTCAAGTGAACAAAAGTCTAATCCGAATTATATAAACAGATAGTCATAGCCCCTCAATCTATTGCCAGACTTGAGCCAGGTTGCAGACTCAGAACTCCTTAAGTGTAGGGAAGTCAGGGTTCCCTTGAGGAAGAACCCCAGTATACTGTCAAAATTTTATACTATTCTACTGGTTGTTTCTCTGGAGAACCTTGAATAACACATATCCACACTTAACAGATAGGGACACTGAGGCACAAGGTCTTACTTAGGAAGTTAGGATTTGCACCCAGGCAGTGTGACTCCAAGGCCCTCCTGCCTAGACCACTAGTTCTCTTGCCCTCTGGCTCCTTAGCTTCTGCATATTCAAATAATTCCTGGGAAGATTCAGCATGGGCAAATGAGCTGAGAAGCCTGAGAAGCCTGAGAATCCTGGGTCCTGGGCTGCCACTAACTTCCCCATCTAAACCGCCTTGGGCCACATCATGGAAGGATTAATGAGAACTGCTGAGGGCTGGCTTGCCACATCCTGGGTTGGAAAACCTCAGTCACCCTGAGAAGAAGGTGATGTAGTGGAAGCAGGAGGTAGGAGAACCAGCTTCTATTTCTACCTGCCCATTGACTTGCTGTGTAGCCATCTCTCTGCACCATAGTTTCATCAGCTGTGAAAGGAGAAGTGTAGGCGTGATTAATCTCTGTTGCTCCTAAATCCTGTGATTTGAAAGGGCTGTGGCCTTCAGATTATTGAGCAGCCTGAAGTAAGCAAGTCAACCATTGCATAATCTGAGTGCTTCACGGTATATGTACCCAGTTGCAGAGAAAGCGTGTCAGTCTGTTTTGCATTGCTGTAAAAGAATCCCTGAGGCTGGGTAATTTATAAAGAAAAGTTTATTTGGCTCACAATTCTGAAGAGTGTACAAGAAGCATGGCACCAGCGTCTGCTTCTGGTGAGGCCTCAGGAAGCTTCCACTCATGGCAGAAGGCAAGGGGAGCTGGGGTGTCACGTGGCAAGAGGGGAAGCAAGGAAGATGCCAGGCTCTGTTTATTTATTTATTTATTTATTTATTTATTTATTTATTTATTTATATATTAGATGGAGTTTTGCTCTTGTAGCCCAAACTGGAGTGCAATGGTGTGATCTCGGCTTACTGCAACCTCTGCCTCCCGGGTTCAAGCAGTTCTCCTGTCTCAGCCTCCCAAGTAGCTGGGATTATAGGAGCCTACCACCACGCCCAACATAAGATTTGGAGGGGACAAATATCCAAACCATATCAGGAATGAATTTAGAGGGTGAAAATAAAAGTTTAAATCCAGGCTCTTCTCTTTACTGTGAGACTTTGGGCAAATTCCTGAATTTCTCTGATTCTGTTTCTGTAAAATGAGAATAATGATACCAACTTTTGGAATTTCTGAGATATTTTAAGGAGGTAACACAGGCACTGTGCTAATATAAGTGGCTACACAGTCTGCAGTGTTTCCTTCCCTTCTTGACTCAATTGATGTCAACATGGCTCATTCTCCCAGCTGGAGGACTAAAAGTATTATTCATTTCTTTCCCCTTTTCTTTTCAGAAGCCCGAGAAAGCCTTGAGAGCACTATTGGAACCAGCTAGGTTCTTAAAGGGTCAGGCTTGCTTTCTGTCTTGATTTTCTTCCCTTCTTCCTTGTTTTCTGACTCCTTTCCCTGATTCTTTTCTCTTATTCAACAAGCAGTTGCTAAGAAGCTCTCTGTATGGGCATTTGTGCTGATTCTTTGAAGGTCAAGTTTGGCCAGCTTTCTGCGTGTAAAGCAAATGCCTTCCCTTCATCTCAGCTGGATGTCACATGGCTGCTTGAAGCAGGGAGGAGGGCAGAGTCTGCTTCAGTGGGGCCATGTGTGCATGTACACGTGGACACCGCATATGTGTGTGTGTATATATGGGAATCTATATATGTGTGTATATACATGAGGACACCCACACATGTACTGTGTACATGAGGAGACCCACATGTGTATATGTATGTGTATACAAGAACATTCACATATGTGTACACATGGACGCCCAAGTACATGTACAAGCTGACACCCATGTATGCACTAACACCAAAACATGATTCTCTAGCACATGCACAGATGGTTCTGATAAAACCTCTTCCAGGCCAGGCAGGGTGGCTCATACCTGTAATCCCAGCACTTTGGAAAGCTGAGGCAGGAGGATGGCTTGAGGCCAGGAGTTCAAGGTTACAGTGAGTTATGATTGTACAACTGCACTCTAGCCTGAGTGACAGAGTGAGACCCTGTCTCAGAAAACAAAACAAAGACAAAAAACTCTCTTCCTACCCTGCCCCCAAAGTGTAAACTGCCAGCAAAAAACAAGTCATTTCTAATGGGCTTGAAGGAAAAAAGACATGGCTGGGTAAAAGGAAAGAATCTGTACCAGATGGTGCTCTCTTCATTCTGAAGCCAAACATTTTGAGCTATGCCTTTTCTCAGAGGGGGAAGAAAATTATTAAATCAAACAAACAAATAAAACAAGGTGGAGAAGAGACATACCAGGTTAATGGACTGGGAGACTCAACATGGCAAGGATGCCAATTCTCTCCCAAGTCAATCTACATATTTACCATAATTTCAATCAAAATCCCATCACAATTTCTTGTAGATAAAGACAGACTGATTCTACAATGTATATGGAATGACAAAGAGGCTAGAATAGCCAAAACAATTTTGAAGAAAACAAATGAAATTGGAGGAATCACATTACCTAATTTTAAGACTTATTACGAAGCTACAATAATCAAGATGATGTGGTATTGGTGGAGAGATACATAGATCAATGAAATAGAATAGAGTCCAGACATAGGCAACTGATTTTTGACAAAAGTGCAAAGGCAATTCAATAGAGAAAGAATAGTCTTTTTGACAAACGGTGTTGGAACAATTGGATATCCATACGAAAAACAAAATGAACCTGAACTTAAACTTCACACCTTATACAAAAATT
The DNA here is from genome assembly GCF_000001405.40 of Homo sapiens. Classification (NCBI taxonomy): domain Eukaryota; kingdom Metazoa; phylum Chordata; class Mammalia; order Primates; family Hominidae; genus Homo; species Homo sapiens. Next base: position 40,442,252 of record NC_000023.11, read on the forward strand.
AACTGAAAAATGGATCATAGGTCTAAATGTAAAATATAAAACTATAAAACTCTTAGGAGAAAACACAGGGAAAAATTTTCATGACCTAGGATTAGGCAGAATTCTTAAACATGAGACCAAATATGTGATCCATAAAGAAAAATTTATGACTTGGACTTCAGCAAAATTTAAAAATTAAAAACTTTTGTTCTGTGAAAGACATCATTAAGACAATTAAAAAGCAACCTATGGACTGAAGAAAAACATTTGTAAATCATATATCCAACAAAAGACTTATATACAGAATATATAAAGAATGTTCAAAACTCAACAGTAAGAAAACTAGGGCCAGGCGTGGTAGCTCACGCCTGTAATTCCAACACTTTTGGAGGCTGAGGTGGGCAGATCACGAGGTCAGGAGTTTGAGACCAGCCTGGCCAATATGGTGAAACCCCGTCTCCACTAAAAAAATACAAAAATTAGCCAGGCATGGTGGCACGCGCCTGTAGTCCCAGCTACATGGGAGGCTGAGGCAGAAGAATCACTTGAACCTGGGAGGCGGATCAAGCAGTGAGCCGAGATCATGCCACTGCACTCCAGCCTGAGCGACAGAGGCTCTGTCTCAAAAAAAAAAAAAAAGAAAGAAAAAGAAAAAGAAAAAGAAAAGAAAACTAACAGCCCAATTAAAAATGGTCAAAAAGATAACCTCTTTGGTTATCCTCAAACAGATAAACAGATGGCAAATAAACAGAAAAAGATGTTCCACATCATCAGCCATTAAGGAAATGCAAATTAAAACCATGGTGAGATATATACCACACCCCTATCAGAATGGCTAAAATAAAAAAATAAAAAACCCACTGACCATATCAAGTGCTGACAAGGATGTGGAACAACTGGAAGTCTCATATGTCGCTGGTGAGAATGTAAAGTGGTATGGCCACTCTGAAAAATTGTTTGGTAGTTTTTTATAAAGTTAGACAAGCAGTTTCAATAAGACCTAGCAATCTGACTCCTAGGTTATTTACCCAAGGGAAATAAAAATTCATGTTCACACAAAAATCTGTTCACAAATGTTCATAGCAGCTCTAATCATAATTGCCAAAAGCTGGAAGCACCCTAAACATCCTTCAGTGGGTGAAGAGTTAAACAAATGGTGTTATATCCACACAATGGAAAACTACTCAGCCGCGAAAAGAAACAAACTACTGATACATACAACTTGGATGAATTGCAAAAGCATTATGTTGAGAGAGGGAAACCAGTCTTCAACAGCTCACATGCTGCATGATTCCGTTAATAAACACATGAGTGATGGGGCCTGGATCAGTGTTGGCCAGACACTAAGGGTGAGAGGGGCTTGACTGCAAAAGGGTAGCACAAATGAGTCCTGGGGATTAATGAAATGGTTCTGTACCCTGATTGTGGTAGTGGTTACAAAAATCTATACCTGTGTGAAAAGTCATAGAACAGCAAATTCACAGGTTAGTGCAAATAGAGGAAGGAAGAGGTTCTTAGGAAATAAAGAGGGCGAGAGGCATTTCACACACACACACACACACACATACACACCTGTGCGCGCGCACACAAGTTGGAAGGGGTGCCCCTTAATGAATTAAACACCCAATACCATTTGTCTATTCAAAAAAAGCATGACTTCATTCCTCTTTTAAGAAGGAAGATTTGATACAGGCGTCGGACAGACACATTTATCACCTGTAGAAATTGGAGGTTCAATATTCTGCAAAGAACTTCCCTACCACTGCCCCATCTGGATGCAACAATCCCTTTTTGCCACCATTTTACCCAGTCTGAAACTTTCTCTTCTAGCACAATGTGCCCATAACTATAGGAACGGTATTCTTGAATCCTAAGTGGGCCACATGGTCTCTGTAAGAATTAATAAACTTATGCACACAGCTGGACAAAATCTTTGAACTTGAGACTGGCCACAGGACAGCAAGGGCCCTTGGTGGTCCTGCCCTAACAGTGTCTCTGACTTGCCAGTGACCTCGTGTAGCTGCTGTGTCTGTCCCATTTGAAACCCTCTCTGTCATGCCCTCCCTGTTCCCTCAGAAAAGGAGATAGTGGTGGTGGAAATGCGGCTCCTGATAAACAGATAAGCAGATTAGGACTGGCAGAAATTAGGCCCCTCAAAGCAACCAGGCTGAAGATAAAAGAGAAATTTAATGAAAATTGAAAATACAATCCATATTACATAGCCATTAAAAATGATGTTTACCAGGAATTTGTAATAGCATGGAAAATGCTTGTATCACCACATTGAGCAAGAAAAGAGCAAATTACCAAATTGCATGTACAGTTGATCACAATTATATTTTAAAAGATGTATAGTGAAAAGACTGGAGCTAAATACACCGTCATGCTGGCAATGACTGACTTTCAGTGGGAGGAGGAGCCTCCCCCCACTGTTCCGTACTTTAATCTATATATTTCCAAATATTTTCTAGAATGAGTGCATACATCTAATTTAAATTAATCTTTAAACTTAGAAAAATAGAACGTTGGAACTTGCTTTTAAAAATACAATTTGGAGCACCGGTGCTATATGTGTAAATGATCAAATATTTATTCAGCACCTATCATGGTCCTCAGAATCCTTTGCATAATAAAACCATCACTGCCAACCTCTCCCCTCTCCCCCCATAGCAAAGCCTCCCCAGTCTCTCTCCCCGCAATACACACATACACCATCGTCTGTGTGCTGCATTTGTGACTAAGTGCCTCACCGAATACCTGAGGCAAGCTCAAGGATCTGGCACAGACATCATTGACAAGTCAGCTTCCTTTTGGCACTTTTGCCAAGACAGGCACTCTATAACAAATGAATGCCTGGGCCTCAAAGGTCCCCAGTTAAAACCCTGGTCTCTCCAATCTCATCTCTCACATGAAGTCGCGGGCTCCCTGTGACTCTGGCTCATCCTCCCCCCATTCCAGCCCAGCCCCCGGAGCTCATCAAACATCTCTCCTTTTGTATCTGGTGGCCCACTCTTTCACCGCCAGCTTGTCCTGATTGACAGAGTCCACCTGTCAATCACAGGCCCTGCTCAGCCGCCTTTGAGGAGTTAATGCGGGGGCCCCTCGGCCCTGCCTGATGGAGTTAATGCCTGCCTTCCCTGACATGGGCATTCTTCCCCTCGGGGCTAAGACCTCTCCCAGCCTCCCCACCATGCCCTAGGAGTGTCCTGCAGGCCTTTCACAATGCCTGGCCGCCTTCATTAGCCCTGGGGGTCTTCTGGGCCCCTTTCCAGTGCAAGGCGCCATTCACACTGATCCCCGCCCCCCAAATTCAGTATTAGGCCACCTGACCCCTGTCGGCAGCAATTTCTGTGACACAGCTCAGTGTGGGAAAGGCCAGTGACACCCTTTCTAGACCGATCAGGCCCCACACGGCCTCCTTTGACCCCACCCATCTCCTGCTGCCCCTCCCTACTGCAGGGACAGGAGTGTGGGTGGGATGGCACAGGGGCTGGTGACAGAAGCATGCTGGGCCTGGAGTGTACACCCTGCTGGGGACTGCTCTTCAATTTTGGGTCCCCATAGAGGATTCCAGAAAGGGCTCTCGCAACACTTATGAACCACAAAAGCAGTGAAAGTCAATAAAAGAGAAGTAGGCTTTGTGTGGAATCTATGACAGTGGAGAGCCGTGGAGCTGAGCCCCTGTTAGACAACAGGAAAGAGGAGGCAGAGCACAGTCACAGAGCAAGAGAATGAGAGTGACAGCAACAGAGAGACTGTCTCCATAGAGAGACCCAGGTGGTTTTGGCTGACTTAGCTCAAGAAGTCATTCACTGTCCCTTGCACTGCGTTCTATTGGTTACAAGTGGGTCAGTAGGCCATCTCAGATTCCAGGGGAGAGGACACAGATGACACCTCTCTATGGGATGAGTGTCAAATAATTTGCAGACTTGTTTAAAACTGCTCCAGACGATGTCTATGGGGTAGTCCCGCCCCTCTGTAATACACTGCAGGCTTTTGTCATGGCTATATTAAAAAAGAAACCTAAGGGTTCCTAATAATGCCATTGATGGATTTATTATGGGAAAAGCCTAAATCTAAGAGTTGCACATTATTTGAATGACAGCTTGAACCAGGGCAGCCACCAGCAGTAAGATCTTTCCAGAAAGAGCTTAAAGCACCTCAGCTCAAATACACCTTCTGTCACATGTGTTGGTGGTAACAGCAAATTCACAGGTTAGTGCAAATAGTGGAGGGAAGGGGCGCTTAGGAAAAAAAAGAGGGTGAGAGGCATTTCACCAATTAGTAAGATGGGAGGGCTTGTTCTCCCCTCCCTAGGCCCCTCTTAATAAGATAGCCCTAGGAGGGGTCAGAAATTGTTCAGGATTAAGGATTGGAGAACCACATGGCTTTGGACAGGTCGCTCGGCTTTCTGGCCTCTGTCTCCTCAACTGGAAAGTGAGAGGGTTGGATAAATGTCTCTGAGGTTAGTCCTGGGGCCAGCACTCCATAATTTTAACCAAGGGAAATGCATCCAGTTCAGCAGGGCTTTGCCAAGCCCACCAGCATGGGCCTAGGCAGGAAACAAGCCAAGTACAAGCTGAGTCTGTGCCCTCAAACTCCGGCATGTCTGAGGTCCCATTCTCAGCCAGTGGACAGAGTCACTAAGAATCCCATGGGTGTATTTCCTTTGTTAAGAAAAAAAGAAAATCCTATCCCAGGGAACTATTAAAGTTGATATTAAAAAGGAAAAAAAATCAAAGAATTCTTCTGCATCCGCAGTGCAACTTCAGGAGGAAAAAACTTGGCAATTATTCTAAGCTGGCTAAAGAGCCACGTGACAGATGGTTTTAAAAATACTGAGTGCAGTTCCTTGACACACCCCACGTGGAATCCTGGCCAAAGGTTTCCTCTACACTCACTCCTGAGCGAACCAATACACCACTGGCATACTCCTGAGGCTTGGGAGGAAATGCAAAGAGGCTGGCTCCGTTCCCCTGCCCTCAGAGTATTGAGCTCCACATCAGGACTTGAGGGAAAGGCAGAATCTTGGCTGATGAAAAAAGTCAGCACATACAACATGCGGGGTAGGGATTTGGTTCCATCAGGATGAGGGCCAGAGACCTGGCCACCTGGCACTTCCTAAGTTCCCTCTGCAGACACCAGTTTTCATCCTAGTAGAAGATGATATTTTCCCAAGATGGCTGCAACCAGAGCTCCCATCCATCCCACAGCATGTGGATGCTCTTCTTACAATGTACTATCGAGTGGAATCTATGTGCCCTCCCTCCTGAATCCAGTGGCCTGTGATTATGGCAGAAGTGACACTATTTGACTTCTGAGACTAGGCCATTAGAGGCCATCAAGTTTCCTCCAGGTTCTCTGTTAGGATTTTCACTGCTAGAATCCAGTGACCATGCTGCAAAGAAGCCCATGACATGGGAAGTGGCCCATGTGTAGGTATTCCAGCTGATTGCCCCAGTTGAGGTTCTAGACAATAGCCACCATCAACCACTGAATGTGGGACTAAAGGAGCTTTCAGAGGATGCCAGCTCCCAGCCTTTGAGACACCCCCAGCCTTTGACTCTTCCTAACTGAAGCCACAGACATCATAGAGCAGAAACAAGTTGCCCCTGTTGTGCCCTTTCCAGATTCCTGACCCACAGAATCTGTGAACAACATAAAATAGTCATTGCTTTAAGCCAGTAAGCCTGGGGATATTTGTTACATAGCAACAGTAACTGATAGATCTCTGAACTGACTGTAAAGTTGTATGTCTCAAACTGTAGTCCTTGGCCTGCCTATAGCAGAATGGGGGAAGACGCTGTTAAAGACACAGGTCCTGGCCCCACTCCAGGCTCAAGGAATCAGAATTTCTGGGGATGGAATCAGAAAAATTGATGTTTTAAACAGACACCTCCACATGATTCTTAGGCATATCAAAGTATGCAACACCACTGGTGCAGGACTAAGAAAACTATCCTAATCACGATTTTCTTCGCTGTTGTTTTGACTGCAAGTTACAAACTGTAGCTAACTTAAGCCCCCAGTGAGACTTTCTGAGTAGGCACAGAAATACCTCTCAACTCTTACTTTCTCTATGTGATCTCTTTATCTTTCCCTGTCTTGCAAACCAACCATCTTTCCTCCATACCACCTTGCAGCCAGCTGTGGCCATGTCACTAAACTGAGAAGTAAGGGGAAAGGTCATGTGACAAATTTCTGGGAACCTTCCTTCAAAGACAGTTGGCATGTGTCCTTTGCCCCTCTTCCTACCTGTCCTCCATTCTTCTGGCTGGAATGTGGACATGAAAGCTGGAGCCACAGCACATATTGGGCCAAGGGGCGACCTTGGGAATGGAGCCCAGGCACAGTTGAGTGACAAGACAGTAGGATCTTGTCAGACATACCTGGACCTCTGAGAACTTGGTGGAACAGAGCCATGATACCAGCCCTAGGCTTTATTCTTCTGGAATTCTGTGTTTGAAAGAAATAAACTATCTTGTAGGCTGCTGTGACTTTGGGTCTCAGCTACTTGCTGTTGTTTTTGAATTTAATTGGTACAATGGCAAATGCCATGAGGGAAAATCCCCAGATGATTTGGTACCTAAGGCCAAGGGCTGATTTGGAACCACCAGGATCCCCCTACTGCACGGGCCCAGAAAGAGTTGAGGCCAGAAATCCCTCCCAGGCCTAGAAACACACCAGAAGAAGCCTGCTAGCTGTTTTCAAGCTCTTTCAACCCACAGGTTGTTGAAGTCGTTAGTGACAGACTATCTGCCTGGTTCCAGGTTCCCCCAGGGAGCTAGATAACATCTATCAAAGCCAGCCGGATTCTAAGTTCTCACAGGAGGCTGAGGGCTCCCGGTGGCAGATGCCGAGAGTCTAGCTTCAAATTTAGGTTTGTGCCGAAGGCCTCAATGGGGCTAAATGTTTATCTAATTATTCTAATATTTGTTTATAATAATAGAGGCCTATATACTGGGCAAAGTGCTAAATGCTTAGCACACATGATTGCATTTACTCTCACAAGTGTACGTGGAGAAGGTTCTCTTATTAATAGGGTCAGAGGGGTTATGTAGAATGAGCCCACAGTCTCACAGCTAGCAAGTGGAGGAGCTGGAACTTGCACCCAGGTTTCATTGATTCCAAAGTCCAGGGGCGAACATTTCGGTGATTTCTTGTAGAAACTGACTCTCTCCCTCCATCCGCCTGGAGCCGGCTCCCTGAGCTGACACGTCTCCTTCCCTCAGGGAGCAGAAACCTGGGACACTCCCAAAGATCTGGCAATTTCTACCCTGGCAAGTTCTTTAGCGAGGCTGCAGATGAAGATGAAAGAGGACGTGCCGGAACAGGCTCTGGCAAGTGGGCAATGCCCCTGAAACGGGTTTGTAAAGGATCACTGGTCCAGGGCTCAGAGAGTGCTGGAGGTAAAGTGCTGTTGGCCTCAAGCCACAGAAGCCACCTGTGAAAGAAAGCTGGGTGTGTGTTTTGTCAAGCAGAATAGGGAGTATATATCTAGCCAGGGGTGACTACTCAGGGGCATTTCTCAACCTTGAAGGTGCCCTGCTTTCAAATGAATGAGTACTAATTGCTCATTCTAGAAAGCTAGGAGCCCCTCTCTCCTCTCACCTTTACCTCACTCTCTACCTAAACTTCTTGACTTGCAAACCACCAGTTAGGAGGTAACAGAAACTACCAGCTGTTAATTAATACTAATTAACAGGGCTACTTAAAGTAAATGCTATTTAAAAAGCCAAAAGTGTTTCCCTATTCCCCGGTTAAGTTGGAAAGGTCATGCAGAGGTCACTTGGCTGCTCTGATGTGTTCCATTCATTGTCTTTCTTTCCGGACCTTTCTTCCCCTCTGGCCACTGCACTGTCACTCTAATGGGTCTCCTGCCTGTCAGAGACAGAGACCTTGCTTTTCTTGATGGTCATCAGCCACCTCCTGCACCGTGCCCAGAATAATGTGAGAGCAGGGGATGTTTACGTAAGATGACACAGATACATAAATGAAGCTGGGCTCTCTAGGTCTTGGCAGATCAGAGTCTGCCAGGATGTTTGTGGTATCAGGAAACCCCAGAGTGTCTTCTAAAGGTGGTGTCGGGGGTCTGGGTCTTACAGCTGGACACTGTCACCTCCAAATCATCCTGTGTCCTTGAGTTTTTGTGCATACAAGTGAGAGTGCTGTGGAAGTCAAATCAGGGATGTCCACCAAATATTTCTGGCTCTCTGCCTTCCAGGCACATGGCGGAATTGCACTTCCTGGCCCCTTATAATTGAGTGAGGCCATGTGACCAGTCATGACCAGTGAGTTACAAGTGGGAAGTGATGTGTTTCACTTCTGGACCAGGACATTTAATTGCTGGAGTGAAGCCCTCCAGAGCTTGCTTCCTTTTGCTGGAACGGATGGCAATACTCTAAACAGTGGCCCATCAGCCTGTGTCTTGCAGTGAAGGCCAGATAAAGCGCAACACCCAGCCAACTCCAAATGGGTGTATTGTGTGTGTAAGAAATAAATGTGCTGTGTTAAGTTACTGAGAAGTAGGAGACAATTTACGACTGCAGCATAGCCTAGCATTTGCCACAGGGGTTCTAAACTCTTGGTGTTTGGGGCGATTTTCCAATTTGGGAATTCTTTTCAACCCGCTTGAAGGGATTAGAAATCTCATACAACACTAAACAATGACTTGGGCCCAAATCATTCCCTACTGCAGTTTTTCAGTATCTTTATCATCTTCCGCAGCTATCGGTCTTCAATTCTGTGCACGATTTGCCTTGGTCTTTTTTTCCAAGAACATTTTAAGTTGAAATACCATAGTTGTACATATTTTGGGGGATACATGAGATATTTTGATACTAGGTGTAATGATCAAATCAGAGTAACCAGGATATCCATCACCTCAAACATTTTTCTTTGAGCTGGGAACATTAGAATTTTTCTCTTCTAGCTATTTTGAAATATACAATAAATTATTGTTAACTGTAATTTCCCTACTGTACTATGCAACCCTAAAACTTATTCTTTCTCTCGAACTCTATTTTTGTACCCTTTAATCCAGGGTCCTCAACCCCCAGGCCGAGGAACCGTACTAGTCCATGGCCTGTTAAGAACCAGACCACACAGCAGGAGGTGAGTGGTGGCTAAGTGAGCATTACCGCCTGAGCTCCACCTCCTGTCAGATCAGCGGTGGCAATACGTTTTCATAGGAGCACAAACCCTACTGTGAACTGTGCATGCGAAGGATCTAGGTTGCATACTCCTTATGATAATCTAATGCCTGATGATCTGAGGTGGAACAGTTTCATTCCAAAACCATCTCCCCTCGCCCCTGTCCATGGAAAAAAATTGTCTTCTATGAAACCAGTTCCTGGTGCCAAAAAGGTTGGGGACAACTGCTTTAACCAACTGTTTGATTCCTGTCACCTTCCTTTCTAATGTTCCCCTGGAAGAAGCGTTCACCCATTTCAGAGAATCACGATTCTCTCAGAACTGGCTTGATGGACCCCTCACCTCTTTCTCATGCTCCCAACATCAGCTCCTGACATGCTTAGAACAATGTTCCATCTCACACGGAGCCAGCAGAATCTCATTCTCCATGGTTACTCAGTTGTCACGCGGGAACTCACCTCCATGCAGCAGTGGCCTCTGAGTACATGTCCAGACAAGATATCCAAGAGATCACAAGGAGAGAGGCTCTCAGACAAGATGAAAAGCTTAAATCACCCAGCGTATGAAATCCATTGAAAACACACAGCGAGAAGCAGGAAAGAGAGGTGGGGTGGGGTGGGTTCACACACTTAGGATGGGGTACAAGTGGATGGAAGGACAACACTGCCTGAACCGAGGGAGAGTGGAGGTGCTGCATCCACCCACCTTGCCTGCTGAGGGTGCTTCTGAGATCTGTGCTGAGGTTTGAAGTCCGCAGACGTCTAGAAGGTGCCTGAAGCCAGCAGCGCATACTTGGCTCCATTGAAGATATGCAGAGACAAAGACACTTGGCCACAGCTGTACTTCTCCAATTAGCCTGAGGAGCAGCCATGCATGGTATTTGCATTTCTTGGGCAGAGGACACATGGCGCTAGAATGAGTGTCACCAATGGGTGGCTGAATATTGAGTGCCTCGTATGCTTCATGTATATTTAGGTTATCATGAATATTTAGTGCCTCAGGTACCTTAAATATATTTAGAGCCTCATGAATATTTTGTGTCTCTTGTATATTTAGGACCTCATGAATATTAGGACTTTCTTGCTCCTTCCATCTCTTTCTATGTTCCATCTCTTTCTATGCTCTTCCTTATCTGTCTAACATTTCTCCAGGTTACTAACTTACTTATCAGTCACAAAGTTCATCCATCCGACTTATTTTCTTGGCTTCTGTGGCAGAATAGAACATTCTGTCTCTCTCTCCCTTTTCAATTGAGACAGGGTCTCACTCTGTTGCCCAGGCTGCAGTGCAGCAGCATGATGTCAGCTCACTATAGCCTCGAACTCCTGGGCCCAAGTGATCCTCCCACCTTACCCTCCCGAGTAGCTGGGACTACAGGCATGGACCACCATGCTCAGCTAATTTTTTTATTTTTTGTAGAAACAGGGTCTCCCTATGTTGCCCAGGCTGATCTCGAACTCCTGGACTCCGGTGATCCTCCTGCCTCAGCCTCCCAAAGTGCTGGAATTACAGGCGAGAGCCACCGTGCCAGAATGGAACACTGGGCATTCACCGGCCAGAATGGAACATTTTCAAACGCTATAACAAATATACATTACGTCAGCTGCAGCCAAAACTAAACGGCCTGTTCTCGGTCAGGATTTATCACATGTCTATGAGGGTTCACTGGACCTCAGGTGCCTCAGTCCACTGCTCTACACTTTCAGGGGTATCTCATGTAATCTGCATAACTACTCAGCAAGGTGGGCCTCGTTATCCCAGCTTTACGTATAAGCACACTGAAACAGAGAGGGTTAGAAACTTGCCACAGGTCACACAGCTGATAAGAAGCAGAGCCAGAATTTGAACTGGGATCTGTTTTATGTTCTCTCCATTACCTCGTGCTTTTGAGCTTTGGTCTCCACTGGGAGGTGGGTGATGTTCCACATCAGCTTGGTGCTGCTCATCTTTTTACCTCTGCAGCTTCTGCTCTGGTCCAAGCTGACTAGTACCATTTGCCTGGACTATTATAGTATCCAACTCTGCCTCTCCCACCCATGAAGTCAGTCTACACATGGTTTCCAGAGAGGATGCTTAACAACACAAATCTAATTCCATCACACCCTCACTTAAGCCATCCAGTGATTTCCCATTGCTCTTTTTTTTTTTTTTTTTGACAGAGTCTCACTCTGCACTCTGTCACCCAGGCTGGAGTGCAGTGGTATGATGTCCGCTCACTGCAACCTCCGCCTCTTGGGCTCAAGTGATTCTCCAGCCTCTGCCTCCCAAGTAGTTGGGACTACAGGCGTGCGTCACCACACATAGCTAATTTTTGTATTTTTAGTAGAGATGGGGTTTCACCATGTTGGCCAGGCTAGTTTCGAACTCCCGACCTCAAGTGATCCACCCGCCTTGGCCTCCCAAAATGCTGGGATTACAGTCTTGAGCCACCGTGCCTGGCTCCCATTGCTCTTTGAATAAAGATCCAAACTCTCACTAGAGCTTACAACTTCCTACCAGGCCACATGGTCTGTCCGCAGCTGACCACCTCTGTCTCTCTCTCACCACCATCCCCCTGGCTGTCTTCCAGCTACACACTGATGTTCTATCAGTTCCCAAATATGCTGTGTTACCTCCCATCACATGGTATTTACGGTATTTGCACATGCTGTTCTGTCTGTGATGCTTTGCCCTTCCTTCCTCACCTTGTTAATGCCCATTTATCCCATATTTCAGCATTTGTGTTCCTTCTACTTTTCTGATCCCTCTAGTGTCAGTCGGTTTTCTAGTTTATATTGGGTTGGTGCAAAAGCCATGGCAAAAACCGCAATTACTTTTGCATCAACCTAATAAATCCCTTCCTTATAGAACAGCAGTGTCAACCTATAATTATATTTGCATTGGTGAAAATGTTTACTGCTAACCTCTGTACTATACCTGTGGATGCTCTGAGATCAGGGCTTTTGCTCCCCACTGTATCTACAGTGCCCTCTCCATAAGTATTTATTGTTGTCAATATAGATTCTTTTTCTGAGGCATCACCGGAGCCCCTGCCTCAGGAACATCTCCAGCTAGTTCCTCTCTCAAAGGCTTGCCTTTCCTGGAATCAAAACTGATGGCCACTTGTGTAGTGTGACCTCAAGTCGTCTCAGAAGTACTATTTCTCCTATTATTCTGTGGGAAAATTCCACTGTGACAAAATCGTACCTTTTAGGACCTCACGAATATTAGGACTTTTGTTTGTTTTTTTTTTTTTTTTGAGACGGAGTCTTGCTCTGTTGCTCAGCCTGGAGTGCAGTGGTGTGACCTCGGCTTACTGCAACCTCTGCCTCCTGGATTCAAGCCATTCTCCTGCCTCAGCCTCCTGAGTAGCTGGGAATACAGGTATGTGCCACCACACCCAGCTAATTTTTGTATTTTTGGTAGTGACAGGGTTTTGCCATGTTGGCCAGGCTGGTCTCGAACTCCCGGCCTCAGGCGATCCACCCACTTAGGCTTTCCAAAGTGCTGGGATTACAGGCCTGAGCCACCGCGCCGCCCGGCCAAGACTTTCTTGCTTTATCCATCTCTTTCTATGTTCACACACATTCTTCCTTATTTGTCTAACATTTCTCCAGGTTACTAACTTGCTTATCAATGACAAGGTAAAATACAAATCTCTCTGGGAAGACTTTCACATGGACCCATAGCTCAGTTAGAATCATATTCCCGTCACATCTATCAAGCACCTACTGTGTGCCAGGGACTGTGCAAGGCAGTTACCACTGATGTGGCATATTAGTTACCTATTGTTGTGGAACAAATTACCCTGAAACTTAGAGGCTTAAAACAACAAACTATTATCTTCCAGTTTCTGGGGGTCCGGAATGCAGGTGTGGCCTAGTTGGGTCCTCTGGCTCAGGGTCTCTTGCAAGGCTGTAATCATGACATGGGAGAAGATCCACTTCCCAGCTCACTCATGCAGTTGCTATCAGCAGGCCTCAGGGCCTCATTGGCTGCTGGCTGGAGACATCGGTTCCATGCTCTGTTAGTCCGTTTTGTGTTGCTATAAAGGAATATCTGAGGCTGGGTAATTTATAAAGAAAAGAGGTTTATTTTGGCTCACAGTTCTGCAGGCTGTACAGGAAGTATGGCTCCAGCATCTGCTCCTGGTGAGGGTCTCAGGAAGCTTCCAGTCATGGTGGAAGGCGAAAGGGGAGCAGATGCACTCACATGGTGAGAGTGGGAGCAAGGGAGAGAGGAGGGGCGGCCTGGCTGTTTTAAACAACCAGTTCTCTCATGAACTAACAGAGTGACAACTCACTTATCATGGGGAGGGTACCAAGCCTTTCAGGAAGTATCTATTCCTATGACCCAAACACCTCCCACCAGGCCAACCTCCAGCTCTGGGGATCACATTTCAACATGAGATTTGGAAGGAACACATATCTAAATCATATCACTTGCCAGGTGGGCCTTCCCATAGGGCAGCTCACAAGATGGCGGCTGGCTTCCTTCAGAGCCACTGAGTGACACAGCAAGATAGAGTGGGCAAGATACAAACCAAAACCTCTTATAGCCTAATTTCAGAAGTGACATCCCATCATTTCTGCCTTACTCTATTTCTTTTCAGCAAAATTGAGTCAATAAGTCCAGCCCACATTCCAGAGGAGGGGATTACAAAAGGGCATGAACACCAGGAGGCAGAGATCATGGGGGCCATTGTAGAGGCTGCGTACCACATAGGGATTCTCATTTTATTCTCCCAACAGCTTTGTAAAGAACTTTTATCTTTATTTCAAAGGGGGAAAAGCTGGTTCAGAGAGGGTAAGTGTGGTGGTTACATTTTACGTGTCAATTTGGCTAAGCTGTGGAGTCCAATTGTTTGATTGAACACTACTCCAGATGTTGCTGTGAAGGTATCTTACAGATGTGATTAACATCTACAGTCAGTTGATTTTAAGTAAAGGAGATTACCCTCAATAATCTGCGTGGGCTTCATCCAATCAGTTGAAGACTTTAAGAGCAAAACTGAGGTTTCCCAAAGAAGAAAGAATTCTGCCTTGAGACCGTAACATAGAAATCCTGAGTTTCCAGCCTGCTGGCCTGTCCTGTGAATTTCAGGCTCAAAACTGCAACATCAAATCTTGCCTGAGTTTCTAGCCTACCAGCTTGCCCTACAAATTTCAAACTCGGGCCAGGCATGGTGGCTTATGCCTGTAATCCCAGCACTTTGGGAGGCCAAGGCAGGCGGATCACTTGAGCTCAGGAATTCGAGACCAGACTGGTCAATATGATGAAACCCCATCTCTACTGAAAATACAAAAAAAAAAAAAAAGTACCTGGGTGTGGTGGGTGGCATGTGCCTATAGTCCCAGCTACTTGGGAGGCTGAGGTGGAAGGATTGCTTGAGCCTGGGAGGCAGAGGTTGCAGTGAGCCAAGATCATGCCACTGCACTCTAGCCTGGGCAACAGAATGAGACCTTGTCTCAAAAAAAAAAAAAAAAATTCCAAACTTGCCAGCCCTCACAGTTGCATGTACCAATTCCTTTAAATATCTATATCTATCTATCCATCTATCTATCTATCCATCCACTGAAGGGGTTCAACACACACTATCCCAAGATATAATGCCTTGGCATATAGAATATTTTAGGTTGAAGGAATTTGAGAAATGGCAGTTGCAGGAAAGACCCTCTCACTCCCCTTTCTCCTCTGAAACAAATTGAAAGATCCTCATGTGAGAGGTGGCCTCTCTAGACCTGGAAGAAAAGATCATCCTTATATCTGAAGACAGAGGGACACCAATAGGAATCTGAACTAACAGGCCTTGCTAAGTCTCCCTCAGTTTACTCCACTTAGGGCATACCCCTTGGTCCTTTCTATCACATTTTTTCACTACTCTCCACTCTTCATCAAACCTAGTATTAAAATGCTGAAGCTTAACTTCATTTCCTCTGAAGGCTCCTGTGTCAGGTGAAGCTTCCATTAAATAAGTTTGTATGCTTTTCTCTTGTTAATCTGTCTTTTTTTTAGTCTAATTAACAGGGCCGCAGCCAGAGAAACTAGGAGGATGTAGAGGAAAAGATGTTTTTTCTTCCCCTACAATAAACACACACACACTCACACACACACACATATCCTACTAGTTCTGCTTCTCTGTAGAACTCTGACTGATACAGAAAGTGTTTTTCCCAAGTCATATAGTTGGTAAGTGGTGAAACAGGGAGGTGGAGAAAGAAGTTGAGAGCATAAAGCAGTCATTCAATCAACAAAGATTGATGAGTGATGTGGCAGATTGTGTTTTCCAAAGATGGTCACCACAACATATCCCAATCCACATGCTCTTCTTAGAATGTGACACTGAGAACTTTCCCATCAAGAGATGGGGTTTGTGCTTCCTCCCCTTGAATCTGAGTGGGTGTGTGATTACAGCAGAAGTGACACTATTTGATTTCCAAGCCTAGGTCTTAAAAGGTGACACCACTTTTGCCTACCCCACTTGAGATCTTCACACTTGGAAGTCAGCAGCCACACTGCAAGGCAGCCCAAACTAGCCCATATGGAGAGAGCACCTGGAAAGGCCACATGTAGGTTTCTAGCTGACAGTCCAGCTGCGGCCCAGCTGACAGCCAGCATCAACCCCCAGACAGGTGAGTGCGCAAGCCTTCAGACGATTCCAGCACCAGACATTCTGGAGTGGAAACAAGCTGCCCCTGCTATGCCTTGTCCAAATTCATGACACATGGAAACCTTGAAGGATTTTTTAAAAATTGCTAACGCTCTAGGCCAGTAAGTTTTCGGGGTGATTTGTTACCAACATCAGGCCTGGTTGGAGGCCCAAGGGATACACTGGTGAGTAAGATGGACATCGTCTAATGATGTTTTATATTAGTCAGCTAGGACTTTAGCAAAATATGTAGACTGGGTGGCTTAAACAGCAGAAACTTACTTCCCACTGTTCTGGAGGCTGGGAAGTCCAAGATCAAGGTGCCAGCAGATTTGGTGTCTGGCGAGGGCTGGCTTTCTGATTCATGGATAGTGCCTTCCAGCTGTGTCTTCACGTGGCAGAAAGGGCAAGGAATCTCTCTGGGGCCTCTTTGATAAGGGCACTCATCCAATTCATGAGAGCTCATGACCTAATCACCTCCCAAAGGCCCTACCTGCTAACACCATCATATTGATAGGCTTTCAACATACCAGTGTTGGAGGAATACAACCATTCAGTTCATGGCAAGTTTACATTCCAAACAGGGGAGACCATTCATAATCACATAACCAAACAAGGGGAAAATAAAACAGAGTGATGTGTTTCGGAGGTACCGTATGAACTTGGTTGGTCAGGGAAGGCCCCTCTGAGGTGGTGCTATTTGAGTTAAGATGTGAATGATGGGAAGAGGCAGAGGAGCAAAGAGCAGGGGAAAGGGAATCTCAGCAGAAGGTACAGCAAGCTCAAGGCTCTGCCCAAGGACAGACTTGGACAGGGGTCTCTGAAGGATGGCAGCAGCTGGAAGGTAGCAAAGACTTCCAAGGGGTCTGGTGGAGGTGGCCCCATGGCCTGAGGCAGGGATAGGAAACTTCATTGTATTTCTTTCGTTTTTTGCGACAGGGTCTTGCTCTGTCACCCAGGCTGGAGTGCAGTGGAGCAATCACGGCTCACTGCAGCCTCAGCCTCCCAGGCTCAAGTGATCCTCCCACCTCAGCCTCTCGAGTAGCTGGGACTACAGGTGTGCATCACCACACCCAGCTATTTTTTTAATTTTTTGTGGAAACAAGGCCCAGGTTAGTCTTGAACTTCTGGGCTGAATTGATCCTCCTGCCTTGGCCTTTTTTTTTTCCTTCTTCTTCTTCCTTTGAGACAAGATTTTGCTCTGTCGCCCAGGCTGGAGCACAGTGACACCATCAGGGCTCACTGAAGTTTGATCCTCCTGGGCTCAGGTGATCCTCCCACCTCAGCCTCTCAAGTAGTCGGTACTACAGGTTTGTGCCACCTGTAGTTCATGCCCTGCGAATTTTTTTTTTTTTTTTTTTTGTAGCGACAGAGTTTCATCATGTTGGCCAGGCTGGTCTTGAACTCCTGGGCTCAAACTATCCTCCTGCCTCATCCTCCCAAATTGCTGGGATTACAGGCATGAGCCACCTCACCCGGCCCAGGAAACTTCATTTATTGATAATGAAGTGCCAGGACCTTTTGCTTGCCCCATCATAGCTAACCTGTCGAGGGTCGGTGGAGGGTGGGGGACATGGGTCAAATCCAGTGCTCCAGGCAAGTCGGCCCTGGGAGGGGTCAGCAGAAGCTGCCTCAGAGTTGGTCCAGCCCTGCCCAAAGCCTGCCTTGGGCCCAGCTGGCCTCCACTCCTGGCCAGGAAAAGGGAGGGAGGGAAGGAGGGGAGGCGGGCCTCCCATGCATATCAATGGGCCCTTTCTCCTTTCAATAAGCTCAGCAGAGTCCCGGCCTTTGTCTGGGCCCCTACTCCCAGGGCAGATCTCATAAAGGGCCTCAAACTGCTGGCAGGGGCTAAGGACAGGGTAGTGTGAGTTGTCCTCACAATGGCAGGGTGAGGAGGTTAAAGCCCGGCATCAGCTGCCCAGAATCTCATCCCTGAGGCTTTTCCTGCTTTTGTTATTCCTGATCATAGGCCTGATATGTGATTTGATTTGGGCCTCTTTGCAGTTAATTGAAGAAGAAATTCAGGTGGAGGATGGCTAGGCTGGATTTGGCCAAGGTTACAATGTAGTAGTGAGCCCGGAGTGGTGTGGGAGAAGTAGGGCCAAAACAAGGGAGGTGTGCAGTCTCTGGGCTTTCAGACTCCCAGAATTATGGGCTCCATGGAGCTCCTCAATGTGTATTTTAGATCCCCACTATTTGGGGCAAGAGACAAACTGCTCATCTTGTAGACAACTCTTGTATGGCAGGTCTGATAGGGTTTTGAGGGAATGATCTTGCCATGCAATGACACTGCTGGGGGACTGAGGAGCCTTCACTCCTAGACTCTCCAGGAATTGTGCATTAATGCTCCAAAACTGCATATCCCCCAAAACAGGAGGAGGGTAGATAAATTGCAGTGTAATCACACAATGGAATACTACACAGCAATAAAAAGAACAAACCACTGAAACCTCTGTAACAGAAATGAATCTTATGGACATCAGGTTGAGTGAAAGAAGCCAGACACAAAAGAGTAACTATTGGATTCCATTTGTATGAAGTTCAAGAACAGGTGATGCCAATCAATTATGCTGAAGGTCAGAATGTGGCTGCTTATGGGGGCATGACTAGGAGGGGGCACAGGGGAACCTTCTGGGGTAGGTGCTCAAGTTATTCTGTATCTCCATCTGGTTGATGGTTACACACATCTATACATATGCACAAATTCATCTAGCTGTACATTTCAGATCTGTGTGCTCCACTCCCGGCATGGTGACATGCCCTTAGAGTCTCAGCTACTTGGGAGGCTGAGCTGGGAGGATCATGTGAGCCCAGGGGTTGTTAGTCCAACCTGGGCAAATCCCCATTTTAAAAGAGAGAGAGAGAGAATGAAAAGAAAAAATGACCCATCCAGGGAGAACTCTGTTTATGTAGGGGCTGTTCAGGGAGCCAGATTCCAGCTGTACTAATTGAGGAGTTCAAGCCGCATTCTCAAAACGAGTCTTTTGCTGACACCTGTCCCTCAATTCCTTTGTCCTGCACAGAGCGTTCAGGCAGGAACTGCCATTGACCACAGAAGCCAGAAAGCCCTCGGACCAATTACTATTTTAGTCCACACAGGCTGTTATAACAAAGTATCATAGACTGTGTGGCTGATAAACCACAGAAATGTATTTCTCACAGTTCTGGAGGCTGGGATGTCTAAGATCACAGTGCCCACAGGGTTGGGATCTGGGGAGGTCCTGCTTCCGACTGCAGACAGCTGACTTCTCCTTGTGCCCTCACATGGCAGAAAGAGGGAGAGAGAGCCCTCTGGGGTCCCTTTTATAAGGGCACTGAAGCCATTCATGAGGGCTCCATCCTCTTGACCTAATGATTTTCCAAAGGCTCCACTTTCTAATACCATCACACTAGGGGTTAGGATTTCAACATGAATTTTTGGAGGACACAGGCATCCTTTCCCACCCTCTGGATGGCACCTAAACTCACATGAGTAGGGGCCAGTGGCCTTTGCTCTCTGCACACTCTATGGAATCACTTTTGCTAGGTATTTTGTCCACCACTTCCTTCTCGCAGCAAAAAGCTGGCTATGGCTACACGACCATAGCCTTCCCCATGGAGTTCCTAACTTTTGCCTATTTGGGCTCTTGATCATATTTGCTGTTTTGGTTGAATCTCTCAGCTTTCTCTGGCCTATCCATCTGTCTCTCTGCTCCTCCCTTCTCCCACTTGAATTACTTCCCCAGTATGTAATCCACCCACCACAACCACACACAGACCTACAAGCAAACACACAAATGCTTTTCCAAAGGGGACTCCAGGCAGACCTGTTACCAAGCAGCTTGGGGAGGTCTCAGTGCTTCTTTGTATCTTGAAGCCAACAGGAATGAAAGACTAGAAATGAAGGCAGGGGTGAATGAGTGACTCAGTAAGTGTCCCTCACACTGGCCCTGTAAGCTAAGGCAGAACTAGGAAGCAGGGAACTTTTTCTGAACTGGCTTTACATTTGCAAGGGCAACAGACATCAGCGCTTAGGCATCCTCGGGGAGTATGGTGGAGACTGACGGTCCTCCTCAAATATCTCCTCCAAGTTGACCATCCTGTAGCCATCTCACCACTGTGATCCCACCAGTGTGGGATTCAGTGCAAATCTGTAAGTATCTATTGTGGGGCAATACCTAAGAAATACAGACTATAGTTCCTACTGCTGGAGCACCTCAACATTTATTGAACGGAAGAAATGGATAGATGACTTCCAATTAGCCATGGAATATTGAGCACACTCCCAGGCCTCTGATGTTTCTCCCAAAGCCCCCACTAAAATAACGGTTATGGGATATTTAAAAAATCTAAATCCATAAGGACAAAGGAGAGAGAGAGAGAGAAGAAAATGCAGCCGTTGAAAGATGGCATTAACATTTTTGAAGCCAGAAAGCAAATGGACAAAAGGTAACTGACTTAGCAGACTGACAACCAGAGAATGTTGGAAGCTAAGTGCCTGTGGGGGTAGAAGCTGTAAGAAGCAAGTCAATTCAGGCAGCACAACCCCAAAAAGGCTGAGGGACTGGAGGCACCAGGTACCGCAGAAGGTGCACGTGGGCTGAAGACAAGACTGTTGGCATGTCTAAGAGGCAGTTAGATTCTGCCACCTCTCCCAGGTAAGTCACTGTACCCTTGTCCCCTGACCTCATCAGAGCATGGGGTTCACTTTCTGGAGAAATCTGACTTGAAAGACTCTAGACTCAAGACACCATACTCAGTTGACCATAAAGGTGCTGTACAGGAAACAGGAGGTACCTACTGGAAACAAAATTAATGAATCGTTATCATCATTTTAAGCAGCTAAGTTTTGGAGTAATTTGCTACATGGCAGAAGATTAATAAAGAAAGTAAACTATGGACATGGAAAGCCTGGGATTCAGGAAACTGGAGAGTACACATCTTGGAGAGAGGCAAGGAGAATTCTCACTTTGATGACGAGGGGAGATCCCAGGCAGCCCGCTGGACAGCAGCCCAGAATGGATCCCAGGCAGACACAGCAGGAGCTGGAGCATGCAGGATTCCAGGCCGGGGACTCAAAGAAACAGAATACAAAGAAGTGGAGGGGCTTCTTTGAATGTATCCAGAAGAGACATACATATACTCCTTTGGTGGTAAATTCAGAATAGATATACAGAAAGCTAAACAAAAAGGGGGCAAGGCTGGGCATGGTGGCTCATGCCTGTAATCCCAACATTTTGGGAGGCCAAGGTGGGCAGATCATTTGAGGCCAGGAGTTTGAGACCAGCCTGGCCAACATGGCAAAACCCCGTCTCTACAAAAAATACAAAATAAATTAGCCAGATGTGGTGGTGCATGCCTCTAATTCCAGCTACTCAGGAGGCTGAGGCACGAGAATCTCTTGAACCCAGGAGGCCAAGGTTGCAGTGCGCCACTGCACTCCATCCTGGGCGACAGAGCCAGACTTTGTCTCAAAAAAAAAGGTGGGGAAGGGCAAGAAATAAATTATTAACTCTAATGTATATAGTAGATGACATGTATTTAAAGCAGACTACATGAAATGGCAGTGAATACATTTACAGACTTAGGAACACTGAATATTGTTGTAACAAAAAATTGTGATACAATTTTATTAGGATAACGTGAGCAAGAGACAGTGTAGGTGTGCAGGTGGTGGAGGGTCTAAATTTGATTTTCAAGTAAAAAACAAAAAACAACAGCAGATTAGTTTTGTAAGGCTGCCACAACAAAGTACCACAAACTGAGTGGCTTAAACAACAGAAATGTATTTTCTCACAGTTCTGGAGGTTAAAAGTCCAAGATCAAGGTGTCAGCAGGGGCATGCTTCCTCTGAAGGTGCTAAGGAGGAATTTGTTCCAGGCCTGTCTCCTAGCTTCTGGTAGTTTCTAGGTTGGGGCAGCATATCTCCAATCTCGGCTCACTGCAACCTCCACAACCCAGGCTCAAGCAATCCTCCTGCCTCAGCCTCCCACCCAAGTAGCTGAGACTACAGATGTGCACCATCACACCCGGATGATTTTTGTATTTTTTTGTAGAGACAGGGTTTTGCCATGTTACCCAGGCTGGTTTTGAACTCCCGAGCTCAAGCAATCCATCCACCTTGGCCTCACAAAGTGCTGGAGTTACAAGTGTGAGCTACCACACCCGGCCCAAGATAGTCTTGTTCTGTGCCCTAGTCCCTCAGAATCTCTCTCTGCAGCAGCAGATGATGAGTTTTCACCCAGTGGTTCACTGTAATCAATGTGTTAGCCCCTGAAAAAGAAATGAGTAAGCTGCTTCCCAAAGCCATTTTGCTGGACTACATTTCTCAGCCTTCCTTGCAATTAGGTGTGGCCACGTGATCTTGTTCTGGCTAGTGGCATGTGAATAGAAAAGATGGATGGAACTTCCGGGTCTGGCCCGTAGAGCCTCCCATGTGCTCTCCCCCTTTCCACACCTTGATACAGATGAGTCCAGCAAGCTACAAGATGGAAGGAACCTGAGACTCTGAATCACTCCCAGAGAGAAGAGCCTCCTGTCCTTTGGGAACACCCACTCTGGATTTTATGTCAGTGATAAATAATCTTTTGTTGTGGTAAGCCACTGAGTCTTGGAGGTTTATCTGTTATAGCAGCCAGCGTTTCCCTAACTACTATACCCCCAGGAAAAACACTTCCTTCTGAATGGGTCCTTGTCCTGTACTTTGGCAGTGCAGTTGGGGGGATGGTCTCATCAGTTGCTAGCTAAGATCTCTAACAACAAGGTGAAGGCAGTGATGCTCCACCTGTGCTAACTTGATAGGTGACTGCATCTGGGTGGGACCTTCCTGCTCTTTCACAGTCCTGTAGCCTGTGCGCCCTGTAGCTGCATCCTGACAGCCTGGCACTTGCTCCCCTTGTTCCCCTTGGTTGCTGAATGGAAAGTCTCTAACTGATGCCCATGAGAGAATGAAATCCCTCTAAGGGAGAAAAGACCCTCAGAACAACCTGTCTAAGGAGCTGAAGGCTTCCAGCCTTTCCATGGATGGCACACAGGTCACATGGGGCTTCCTTCAACATCCTTGGGTTTGACCAGTGAGGCTCACCATGATAGACAGGGAGCACGTTAGCATCAAAGATCTCATGTGACTCATTCTAATATGAGCAGCAAGGAGAAAGTCAAGGAAATTGGAATCACGATTTGAGTGAGGTCCAAGGTGGGTATTTCCTGGCAGAGGGATGAGGAGCACGGCCAAAATTCCCTGCCAGAATTCCCCAGCTCTGAGAGCCATGGATGAAGGGCACAGAAATTTTTTGCCTCATTAACCAATCTAGAAGGAGGCTCAGGCTTGGGAGGGCACACTTTGGGATGCACAAAGCTTGAGGGATCAGGGGGCACCCACATAGATGCTTCCAGCAGCTAGATGGGAATGGGGACCTGGGAGGTCCAAACCGAGGTGCAAGCTTGTGTCTGGAGAGAGGTGATGATGGAAGCCACAGTGCGGGAGGAGGTTGCTGAGAGAACCAGAAAGAATGCTACAGAGAAGCTTAAGTAGTGAACATAGTGGGGAGCTTGAGTCACCAGGAAAGCTAGACAAGCTGACAAATGAAGAGCTGGAGGACAGGGAGGAAGAGAAGGAGAGAGGGGTGACATGGCAGCCATATGGGGGGAGAGTGAGGAAGAAAGGAGTGGTCAGCCACGTGGGGCAATGAGAGGACAAGGAGCATGTGGTATGAAAAGGCCATCAGATCTGGTGACACGAGCTCCTTGGTGGCCTGCAAGAACAAAAGTTAACGCAGAAGGACACTCACTAGTTGGCAAGGGGAAGCCAGGTGGAGATTCAAAATTTATGGCAGAGAGTCTGAAAAAAGGATAAACTGCCCCTTAGGGACTGTGAGCTAATTGTACCACGTGGTGCACCTCGGGCAGGGATGGTCTAGCAGTGCAAAACAGAAACCCACTTGCACAAGCTTAAGTAAAAAGGGAGAATTTATGGGAATAACATGAGGCAATATCAGAGATTCAAGGACAGGAAGTGTAGCCGGCCTCTGGGGACTGGCACCAGCAACTGGGGAGCCAGCAGGAACTTTGGCAGCTATGTACTTTCCTTCACTCCTCTCTCTTTCTGGTGCTTTGAAGTCTCTGCTTCCTGCCTTTCTCTGAGCTTGCTTCTTTTTTTTTATCTCAGAGCCTTTTCTGCTACTGTATGCACATGGTAGAAAATGGCTGTCTCTGATGGCCCTCCCTGGTCTGTTCACCTGTGTCTTCCTTGTGCCCAGAGCTGTGCCTGGCACAAAGTGTCCTCTTAGTTCAAGCAGCCCACAAGGTGTGCCTAGAAATGCAAAGATGCCCTATGGCCACATTCCTGGGACAGCATCTGATTGGTCCAGCCAGGTCAGGTGCCCATCCCTTATCCAATCGGCTGTGGCCATGGGGAAGGTCTTGTGCCTCCAGCCCCTTCAGTGGAGGCCAGGGGGCAGGATCTTTGGAAAGGGGCCCCAAGTAGGCTCATGAAGAAGAGAACTTGGTGGCTGTCATAACCTGATGTTCCAGACAACTGCAGGCTCCTGGTCCCTCCTGGCACATAAAGAGGTTCATGAGGTCAGGTTCTGCTTTAATGAAACAAACAGCTCTCATGGAGACCGAGAGAGGTGAGGTATGTGCACCCACAGATGCGCAGCATTTCCGAAGATGAAACTTTCCCCGTGCCTCCCTCTCTCCACCCCACCCCCGCCACTACACCCCGCACCCTCAAACCCAGGGATACTACCTGAAGAGCTCCTTAAAGCCTCTCAAAACGTCCAGATATCCCCAGCCTCAAATCTCATCTTCTTGGAGATAGCCTGACTTCATTTTCTTCAACTAAAGCCTGAAATGAGAAGAGGACAAGAAGGGCTGGATTGGAGGGACTGCCGGGGAGGTGGGAGCAAGGCTTCCTCCCTGCTTGGAATGACCCTTACTTACCACGTGGCACTTAGATCAGGTTGGGTCCCAACAGGAAGCAGTTAAGATGGTTTGAGAAGTATTCATTTACAAAGGGGCCATCAACAAAGATGTGGGGGTAGGAGAACCACAGGGATAGTACAAGAAGCAGGAGCTGTTATCACCCT
Source organism: Homo sapiens (assembly GCF_000001405.40). Taxonomy (NCBI): domain Eukaryota; kingdom Metazoa; phylum Chordata; class Mammalia; order Primates; family Hominidae; genus Homo; species Homo sapiens. The sequence continues at coordinate 40,467,080 of NC_000023.11, forward strand.
AGAGCCAAAGGGAATAGGGGAGGTCGTGGCTACCCCAAACTTAGAAGGGGACAGAGTTGAGTACAGGAGGCCACCTTAAAAGAAATGGGGGCCTTCAGTGGAAGGATCAGTCAGCCCAAGTAGACTTCACAGGGAGGAAGATAGACTAAATGCGTCCCCTCATTCTCCTCTGCCCTCTGATCTCTTGGTGGGGCTTCCCTATTGGCTGGAACTGGCCAACGGGAGCCAAAGGGTGGGGGGCCCTTTGAGATGAGTGCAATGAATGCATAAGGGTCAGCTTCCTGGGGCACAGGGCAGGGAGGAGGGGGTGGAGGGTGGGCCTGGAGGGGAAGATGGAAGATGTCGTGAACATCTACTTCCATATTGGGTCGCACTCTACGGTGTGGACTCCTCTAGGTCAAGCTATTTGGCTCCTTGTTCTTTTTGTTCCCAGTACACAACCTAGCGTACGGCTCATGCTTCCAATCGTGTTTGCTGACACCCTGAATGAATTCCGTCGTGCCTCTTTGTTTCTCTCATTGGCAGTGTAGTGGCAGTTAATGACATTTCGACAGAATGGAACCGAAACACTTCCTTTTTTCTTTTTTTTCTGAGACAGGGTCTGGCTGTATCGCCCAGGCTGGAGTGCAGTGGCACGAATCTCAGCTCACTACAACCTCCACCTCCTGGGCTCAAGTGATCCTCTAACCTCAGACTCTCGAGTAGCTGGGATGCACACTACCATACCCGGCTAATTTTTTTTGGATTTTTTTAGTAGAGACAGGGTTTCGCTTTGGATTTTTTTAGTAGAGACAGGGTTTCGCCATGTTGCTCGGTCTGGTCTCAAACTCCTGGGCTCAAGAGATCTGCTTGCCTCAGCCTCCCAAAGTGCTGGGATTACAAGTGTGCGCCACTGCACTTGGTCTAGAAACACTTCCTAAGGTGAAAGTTTGGAGGGTGGAAGAAGAAAAAGAGAAAGGAACCAGAAATGCCCCAAAGATGAAGGCTGAATGATGCTGGAGCTGTTTCACTTTCTTCTCAGGAAGTGTAAATAATGAGCTGTACTTTCTTCTTCATTCACAGTAGTAATAAAAACACAATAACTGGCATATGCAGTGCTTCCAAGCCGACCAAGTGGTTTATATGCATTACCTCATCGGATCCCCTCAACAGCCCTGTAAGGTACACGATATTGTCATCCCAATCTTATAGACCAGGCTTAGAGAGGTTAAGTGGTTGGTCAGCCAGTGAGTGTTGGTGGAGCCACCACTGGGACTTTGAGTCCATTTCCACTGTCACCACTTGTGCTCTGCTGCCCTCCTGCCAGAACACCTCTCAGGCCTGTTCCTTACTGGGCAGGCTGTCCAGATCGGAACCTCCTCCTTTCAAGAGGCTAAACTAAACAGCTGAGCAGGAACAAGAGCAAACAGGGCAGGAAGAGAGGAGGAGCCCTGCAGAACACAGTGGCCCTTTGTTTTCTGCTGCCACCTCCTGGATCATCAACACCCTTTTGTCCTCTGTTCTCTGCTTCAAATACAGGCTGAGCTGGGGTGGCGGGGGGAATGCCCTTCCTACTCATTGCACAACTATATAATAATCTTGAATATTTTAAATTGAAGTCATTTAAAAAGGAAGGAAATTCTGACACATGTGATTGAAGACATTATGTTAAGTGAAATTAGCTGGTCACAAAAGGACAAATCCTGTATGATTCCACTCATATCATGTACCTAGAGTCATGAAATTCATAGAGACAGAAAGTAGAATGGTAGCTGCCAGGGGCTAGGGGGCGGGCAGAAAAGAGGAGAAGCAGAAGTTATTGTTTAATGGGTACAGAGTTTCAGTTTTGCAAGATGAGAAAAGTTCTGGAGATGGATGGTGCTGATGATTACAAAACAACGTGAGTGTATTTAATGACACTGAACTGTACACTTAGAAATGGTTAAAATAGTAAATTTTACTATATATATATATATGTTTCTTTTTTTTTTTTTCTGAGACAGTCTCACTCTGTTGCCCAGGCTAGAGTACAGTGGTGCAATCACAGCTCACTGCAACCTCTGCTTCCCAGGCTCAAGCAATCCTCCTGCCTCAGCCTCCCAAGTAGCTGGGATTACAGGTGTGCATGACCACACCCAGCTAGTTTTTGTATTTTTAGTAGAGACGGGGTTTCACCATGTTGCCCAGGCTGGTCTTGAACTCCTGACCTCAAGTAATCCTCTGGTCTCGGGCTCCCAAAGTTCTAGGATTATAGGCGTGAGCCACCACACCCAACTCTGCTATATATATTTTACACAATTTTTAAAAAACTGAATTCAGCAAACATTTAATGAGCATCTACTCTGTGCTCTGTACTGGGCATTTAAAACCATAAATCATCAGCCCCACCTTCAAGGATCTGTCAGTCCCATTGGGCAAAGTGACATAAATGTACCCAGCCCTGTGTGAAAAGTGCAACAATGGCAGAGTGCACACGCGACTGAAATAGCACCAAGGAAGAAGAGCCAGTTCTGCAGCAAGGTGTGGGGAGGAGTCATGAATCTTTCCTGAAGGAAGCCACATTTCCAGGAACTGAGATGACTTCACGTGTGTAAAGAGGTTGGGCGGGAAGTGGGGCTGCTGAGGACACACAGAACATTCCAAGCAGAGAAATAGCATGAGGAAAAATATAGAGGTGTGAAACGGCACATCGCTGAGTCTCCTCTCCAACTCCTTGCCTTGATTTGTGGGGATATAACTAAACCCATATCCCCTTATTCTATACGATTGATATGTCTACAGGAGTGTTTCTCAAACCATCTGTGATAAAGGACCAGAATATATATATATATATATATATATAATTTCTAGTACATCATAGACTGATATGTGACCCTACTGCATATGACTATTATAGAGTTCATGCCATGTGTGACTTACCATGGAAGATGGAATTGATTTATTTCCTATTCAACAAGAGTTCACTGATCACACACTTGGACATCACAGCAAGGTCAAGTTGCTTTCAAGGCTTCTCAATGGTTTACTGTCATTTTCCATGTTTATATCATTGTGATCCAGAGCTGGTTCACGGGCCACACTTTGAGTAGCGAGTAGCACTGCTGGTCTATAAGAGGGTGAGCCCCTTAAAGAGAGGGAACCATATCTTTTCATTTTATCTGTCCTTGTGCATGCCTCCTGTTTCTTAGCAAGCCCACCCAAAAAGCCCTCTTCTTGCCCAGAAAGGGATGCCCACTTGTTAATCAGCTAGTGTTTTCCCAGTGTTTTGAATTTGGAAAGCTCTGCTGGTATTAAATACTATTATTATTATTAGTCTTGTGTCCACTAAAGTGGATGCCATTTAATTAGAACTGCATAATAAGCAAATCTGCCTTAATTGGCTGGGATGTGGCTGAAAAACCATTTTGTGTCTGCTCTGCACTCTCTGTTCTGTGGCCATCACATCGAGTTCTCTGGCAATGGGTCATTTTGGAGACCTTGGGCAGGGTTTAGGGAAGGTTATCTGGCTACTGATTAACACTTAATTAGCACCTTTTTCATGTAGCACAGCAGTGACTTTGTAAATTTAAAAATTTCAGGGGACCACTTAATGTGGAATTAAAGTACAAGTACAATATTTAAGATGCATGAAATTGTTTTACGCATTACAGCATTAACTAGCTCTTAATTTATGCAGTGCATGCCAGAGAAGGGCAATTAAAGTGTAGCAGGGAAAAAAATTATAGATCTCTACGTTGTCCTGTCTTTTCCTCTAATGATGCTTTTGAAGGTTTTTGCTACATTCATATCTCAACTCCTGTTCTAGATTTAGGAGTAACTGGTAAGTTCTGAAGCTTGTTTGCCCCATAGGAATTGGCATTATCTTTAAGCCGAAGCCATCTCCAACCAATGTCTCCCTTCCAGGACCTAGAAATCCACTTAGCCTCAGTGATTGGTCCAGGGATAGGCACATAGCCTGACTAGCACCAATGAGATGTCAGGAGACTGTTGCTGGGGCCTTATGGAAAAGTGATGCTAAAGGTATCTTCCTCGGTAGCTGTTGGAGGGAGTTGTTCTCTTTTCCTTTGGCCTGTGTGGTGTGGAGATGTGAGGTGCGGAACCATGGCAGTCGTTTTGTAAGCAGTCTGGAGCGGCGGGGGAGGCGGTGTTTGAAATTTGGGGACGAATCCAACACCACAGGATTGCTATATGGCAAGATGAAGAGAAGCCCAACCCTGAGAGATATTGGGTTGGGACTTGTCTGAAGGCAGTATGATCTCTGGACTTTTGAATTAGATTGGAGTCTATACATCTGTTGCATATTCCCCTTCTCTGTCTTTTTTTTCTTTTTTTCTGAGACGGAGTTTCGCTCTTGTCGCCCAGGCTGGAGTGCAATGGCATGATCTCGGCTCACTGCAACCTCCGCCCCCTGGGTTCAAGCAATTCCCCTGCCTCAGCCTCCCGAGTAGCTGGGATTACAGGCACCTGCAACCACGCCCAGCTAATTTTTGTATTTTTAGTAGAGACGGAGTTTCACCATGTTGGCTAGGCTAGTCTTGATCTCCTGACCTCAGGTGATCTGCCTGCCTCGGCCTCTCAAAGTGCTGGGATTACAGGCGTGAGCCACTGCACCCGGCCCCTTCTCTGTCTATATTCATGTTGTTCCCTTTTACTGGAATGTTCTTTCCTTCCTTCTCTATCCTTTGAGGCCAAGTCCAAATGCCACCCATTGAAGAAGCGTGCCTTGACCTGAACCATGCTCGGGGTGGTCAGAGTCATGCCTGCTAATGACCCTTCCTTGAACTTCTCCTTCAGCACAGAGCACATACTGCCCTGAAAAGTGTGAAGCTGCAAATGTGTGACTCTCCATCTCCCCTGCGAGGACCTAAGCTATTGCTTCTCTCTCCCCAGCATTCGTATCACACCTGGCATCCTGAGCCTGCACAGTGCCACTGAACTGTTCCTAGAAAGGAATGTTAACTATGCTAGTATGGTGTAGTCAGAGGAGGAGAGAGTGGATGTGAGCATATGGTCTTCTGAGCTAAAGCCAGACGACAAGAAACAGTAAATGCTGCAGCTGGGTGGATTCCTGGGCCCCTGCAGCTGCTGAGAGCATGTGAGGACTTGCGAGAAGGAGGAGGAGTCACAGGCAGGAGCCAATTAGATTCTCTGTCTTTCCCTCTGTTTACAACTTGCATACATCAGTAGTCTCCAGGCGCAAAGTCAAATGCCAGGAAAGTACACATTTCCCCGGCCCCTCCTCCTCCCCACACCCCAAGCCTTCTGTGGCAGACGTGGGGTTGAGCTGCTCCGATCCCCTTCAGGAGCACATCTGCTGTGCAACTTCTCCGAGTGTTGTGAGCAGACAGCCTCAGGGCCCACCTCAACCTTTCCCACGTGTTCCCCGGCAAGCGGCTGAGCAAGGCGGGTGGTACTCAGGGCCAGCCCTTTCTGAATTAGACAGGGTTCCTCTGATGAGCACCTTTGCTCGGAACTCCCGCTGGGCTAGCAGAGACTTTTCAGATCTGCACTGCCACCTGATGGCTCTCCCTGCCCCGTCCTTCTTCCTCCCCTCCTCCTTCCGCGGTGCTACTTCCAACAAACCCTTGGCCCTCCTTACTCCACCTCAGCACCTGCTTCCATGAGAAATCAACCTGTCACACCCTCCCCAGAGGTCAAAACTGTTCATCGTGGGTGTACGTTCTTCCAGATAGTCTTTTCTTTGTATTTATATACATGTAGGTACGTATGCCACCAAAAGGTTTGTTATTACTCATTTTGTTTTTACATAAATGGGATTATACGGTGTGAATGGCTCTACAACTTTTAAAATTTAACACATCTTCATGAGCAGTCAGTATCGGTGCACATAGGTATGTCTTTTTTGTATTTGCTGTAGAGTATTCCACAGTATGGCTAGCCCATTATTTAACCATTCTTATACTGATGGACATTTGGGTTGTTTCCCTTTTCTGTTATAATTAATAGTACTGCTGAAAACATGCTATCAGTGGGTTTCAAATCACAATAATAAGCTGAACCTTATTCCAATCAGTATAAACCACGCACAATGAAACAGGACATGTATTAACCATGTCTCTTCTTCTTCTTCTTCTTTTTTTTTGAGACGGAGTCTCACTCTGTCACCCAGGCTGGAGTGCAGTGGTGCGATCTCGGCTCACTACAACCTCCACCTCCCAGGTTCAAGCGATTCTTATGCCTCAGCCTCTCGAGTAGCTGGGACTACAGGCACGCGCCACCGCGCCGGGATAACTTTTGTATTTTTAGTAGAGACAGGGTTTCACCATATTGGCCAGGCTGGTCTCGACCATGTCTCTTCTTTTCTGATGCTCTGACAACCGGGGCCTTGCTGACCTTGGAGGCACTGTCCCCTCTTAGAGTTAGCCAATTCCTAAATAGAGGAAGCAGCTCCTGCCTCTCACACTCCAAGCCACTATCCTAATAGTGGCCGCTATCCTAACAGCGTACTCCTAGCCCTAATTACCCCAGGGCCAGCCACTAGACAGCCTGGGACAGCCCCTACACCCCAGAGCCCACTGAAATTATTCAAACTAGCCAATCATAAACTTGCTCATGCTGCCTGGCCCATTCCTTGCCGCAGAAACCACAACAAAGGTACGTGCCCACCATTTCCTCCTCGACCTCTGCTTCCTGATCAAACTGAGCACTTCCTCGTGGTCTCCCCTCCCCAACCCATGGAGTGGCATGCCCCCTCCTGTTGGGATCTGTGAGTATAGCAAACTGCCTTTTCAATGGCAATGGTCTCCATTTTAATGGCAATGGTCATCCATAATGGCTGGCCTCACCATACTTGAATAACAGTAAAGCATATAGGTTAAAACAGGATGGAGCATTGGCAAGGGAAAAACATTGTCTTTTTCTCCGGAAGGTTCCAGAATGCTTTTGTTTGTGAACCCTTTCTGGGCAAATGTAAGTGCGAAACATGATGTGTGACTTAGGTCAGACTGAAGAAGGAACTTCCTGCTAGTCAGCAAGGCCACCTGCACTACCCAGTTCCTGGGGCATCCTTAAAATGGTGTCATCAGCAATACCAACCCTAGTGAGCTGATTTCCCACAGAGCAGAGGCAGGGACTGAGGCCATGCAGCCAGGCTCCTGCTGGCTTAAGGCTTTAAGGAATCTGCCACTCATCAGAGCATAGCCCCACCCCTTGCTGAAGGAGGCTATGAGGTTCCCTACAGGGCCCACGGTCCCTACAGACCGCTGACATCATCCTCACCTGAGAAGGGAGGAGGGATGGGATTACTGCCCTCTCTGCTGCCCTGGGGCTCTGGGCCCGATGACGTGGGGCATCCTGGCGGAGGCTGGCTTGTGTTCACAGCCGCCTGCCGGGAGCTGGAGCCTGTCAGCTCGAGCGGCAGCGAGGGAAGACGTTTCTGACACAAAACCCCAGGGGAATGCATGGAGGAGCTGGCTGTCATTACTTATTAACAATGGGCCTGATCCCCAGCCAGGCAGGCCCAGGGAAATAGCCTGTGGGGAGGCCGGCCTACCCCCAGCGAGGTGGATTAACACTTTCAGGGCAGGAGGGAGCCGTCTGAGGGGGTCAATTGTCACATTTTTGCATGTAAGCGGGCGGGGGGGGCGGGCAGAGGGGGGCTCTCTTTATGTTTTCGAGGCAGGAACACTCTTTTCCTTATCTTCCCCTCCCCTCTGTGTCCACATTTTTCTGTTCTCCTGCCTTGGCAGGTTTTGAGCAGGCACACTCACAGGATGTAGGAGACTGCTCAGAGGGGACAGACAGTAAGATTCCACAATGCACACAATCTGAAACCCAGGTCTAATGAGTGCCCTCACAGAGGGCCTACAGGGGCAGGAAGAGGGAGAAGGCAGCCAGGGCGGAGGTCAAGGAAAGGTCTGCAAATGAGCTGGTCATTAAAGCCGGTTCTTGCCTCTTCATCTCCCCTCGGGGGGTGCCCGGCTCTAGTACCAGCCTGCTCTGTCCAGCCTGGCGACCACAAGTGGACAGAGTGACCCACCTGTGCTGTTGCAGGTCAAGTTTCCTGGGGAAGGAGATGCTGAGACTGAGAGTAGCAGGCAGGACCTTTGCTAGGGAGCGCTGTTAGGATCAGCACCTGGGGAAGGGAGTGGGGACTAGACTATAATGCAAGCCCGACAGTCGCCTCAGCTGGCCTCACGGAGGGCTCTGTGTTTGGCGGAGGGCTCTGTATATGGCAGATGCGCCTGACAGCAATAACTGAAGAATGACCCTGAGAATGACCATGTGGTCTAAGAAGAGTGTGTATTCCAAGTCCCAAGCTAAGTAATCCCGGAGTGGCTAACCTGGAGATTCACTCCATATCTATGAAGGACATCTGAACCCCCAGCCCATCCCTTGGAATGCAGGCCATACAGGGGATCAAGGCCCTTTGTTTGGGGTTGGATGGAGGTTGCTAGATGGAGGGTGCTAGGTGGCAAGTACTAAGTGAAAATGCCATATAAACGGCATGCTTATTACAAATTGTAGCAATTGTCCTGTCCAGCCCGCCATCACTGGACTATCCCCGTGTGGAAGTCCCCCCGGTAAACCCTATGTCTTGTTCTCTATCTCTGGGTCTCTTCTTCGGCCTCTTGGATGCAGTGCCATCATTACAGGAGTCAATAAGGGTCCGGCACAACACTCTGGAGCTGGGTGGAGCCTTCAGATTTGGGGTGGAAGGCCAGCCTCTATAGCCTCCCATTGATCAGCTCCTGGACATGGGCTTCCCTAGAAGGCTGGCATAACCCTTGGCAGGGCAGTTTCTTCCGCCTTGGGGAGGGGCTGGCTGCAGGCAGTGCTCTCAGCAGAAGAAAGTAAGTTCTTCCTTCCTGAAGGGGGAGCACAGCAGACCCCACCCCCACCCTGCCCCGCACCTGCCTCCTGGAGGACCATGAATGAGGGTCTCCAAATCACAACAGAGGTGTTCCTCTCCTAGAGTGGCCCTGGCCTCTCTGAGCAGGGAGCAGGAGTCCTGCCTCCCTGTAGAGGCCAGCCTGGCCTCCTTTCCTGTTGCATCTCCTCCCAGCCCTCTTCCCACCCCTTCTCCACTGAAATTATTCAAATTAGCCAATTCTAAGCCTGCTCATCCTGTCTCACCTATTCCTCCCCACGGAAACCATAGTAAAGGCAAGTGCCCACCATTTCCTCCTCTCCCTCTGCTTCCTGGCCAAACTGGGTACTTTCCCATGTGCCCCACCCCCACCCCCATTCCAGCTCTTGCAGGCACAGAGTAGGAAAATCTGGCATGCTCCATGGTTTGTACTTGTATGAATGGCACCCTGGGCTTGATTCCTGCATGGTCCTGCGTACATCCAAATGCTGATTTGGTGGACTTTGCACCCCTCAGTCAGACTAGAAGGTTAGAGAATCCCACTGCTCGCCTCGGGCAAACTTTCCTGCAAGGCGCTGTTGGAGCATTTCAAAGGACAGAGAGCTGAACTTCACTGAACTTAACAGAACAAGTTGTATGACTGCTTTGCACAGCTTGCTCAGAAGACTGATGAGCAAGACTTCCTTGAAAGTGACCTGGTGGCCCAGTGTAGGAAGGGTACTTACCCCCCTCACCCATCTCTAATTACTGGAGGCTACAGAAGTTTCCCAAAAAGAGCCTAATAGTTTTGCATGACCAAATTGGCTTAGGTCAATTTGCAGCAGCCTAAAACCCCACCCCAGATCCTCTATAAAACCTTAATCAGCTGTGAATCTCTACCTCCCCACACCAATAACCACTGTATGCCTCGGTGTTTTCTCATGGGTATAGCAGGAATCTAATACTTGGTCCTCTGTCGTAAGAAGCTGTAAGGACTGTAAGTATTGTTTTCTTAAACGCTTCCAAAACAAGTTGGGTTCGCAAATTGGAGACTGACATCTTGGTGGGAGGAGGAAGATTTAAAAAAAAAAAAACAGCTGCCAGAAGTGTCCACAGATTTTCTTGTCCATGTCACAGCAAGGAAGCATTTATTAAGGGCTAGTGGGCATGGGCAGTGGGACGGGCATGGCACTTGAGCGAACTGCACTGGCATGGTCCCTAGTGTATCTGTGTTTACAGCTCAGGCTGGACGACACCACGTGAAGCCAGATTAGGGGCAGCCACCAACCACACACATCCTGCACGAAATCAGATAATCAATGCAAAACACGTCGACAAGGAGGTAAGATTAGATACATACATCTGATGGCTCAAAATGCTGATTGCCTACAGAAAACCAGGGCTGTGGATTATATTCTAAACTTGAGTTAAATCTTCTCTCCATACAGCCTGGCCCTGAAGGGTGGAGTCAAGGTCAATGGTGAAATGGATGGTTCTCAGGCAGCAGTAACATGCTCACCTGTGTGAGATAAACCCAGTGCTCAAGACCTTAGAGCACAGCATTAGTTTTGAGTGTCTGTGGGCCCTTTTAGTTGACAAAGCATTTTCACTGTCATTACCCAGTTAGACCATTACAGCTGATTCCAAGTGTGAGAGATGCAGGGTGGATAGCTACATCTCTTTGGGCTTACCGATAGCTACCCCCTGTTGCTTGCTGATAAGTGCCCAGTTTGTTGTTGTTCTTGTTGTTGTTGTTGTTTGAGACAGAGTCTCGCTCTGTTGCCCAGGCTGGAGTGCAGTGGCATGATGTCGGCTCACTGCAGCCTCCATCTCCTGGGTTCAAGCGATTCTCCTGCCTCAGCCTACTGAGTAGTTGGGACCACAGGCGTTCATGGAAGGTGGGCTCAATCCCAGGAGATGACTCAATTACCCTAGGCCAATCATCATGCAAAAACCAATTTTTTGATGATTTAGTATAGGGACGTCCCTGAACTGATCAATAAAACCTAGGATGATCCTGGTGGGTAATTTCTCAGAAATATTTTTCTCCCTGAAAAAGAGCAATGCTAAGGAGACTGCTGCCACTGTCACCCATCCACCTTCTTCCAGCCTTTGAATGCCATCGTAAGGATATTAGATGTAGGAGCAGCAGCAGCCATTTTTTGATTGTGAGGGGATGACAAAACAAAAATGTAGAAAGAGCTTGGGTCTTTCATGACCTCTTTTGCCACTCAATGTAAGACCACCTGCCTCTAGATTTTTTTTCTTTTTCTTTTTTTTTTTTTTAAGAGACAGGGTCTTACTCTGTCACCCAGGCTGGAGTGCAGTGGCCCAATCATAGCTCACTGCAGCCTTGAACTCCTGGGCTCAAGCAAACCTCTCACCTCAGCCTCTTGAGTAGCTGGGACCATAGGCATGTGCCACCACACCCGGCTAACTTTTATTTTTTAATTTTTTTTAGATACGGGGTCTCACTCTGTTGACCAGGCTGATCTCAAACTCCTGGTCTCAAGCGATCCTCCTGCCTCAGCCCCACAAAGTGCTGGGATTACAGGCACAAGCCACCATGCCTGGCTTTGGACTTCTTGTTATATAAGACGTTAATATACTGTCATTGTTTAAAAAAATTTTTTTTTGTTAGATACTCTGCTGAGAGTGTCCTAATGGGTATAATCCTGATTTAATAGTTGAAAAAGCTAAGGTTCAGAAGGTTCAGAGAAGTTGAGTCATAGAGTTAGTAGCAGAGAGGGGCTGCTACTAACTCTCTCCTCTGCCTCTGAACTCTACAGTCTTAGGGGATCCCTGGGGCCTCCTCAGGGTTGGGGGAGGGGTGCCAGTGGTTGAGCTCTGTGTTCCTGCCTCCCTTTCCCCACCCAAATCAGAGCAGTGGGGGCTTTTATCTGATTTACCTTACTGTCTTCTCACTAACATTCTGTTTGAAACAAAGGACTACAAGGTTTAAAAATATTTTAAGCCACAGTCTTACCACTTGCCCTTTAATCACCAACAGCGGCTCTATGCCCCACCACAGGGGAAAAAATTGCAAAGAAAATGTCTTTTTTAAGAGGAAACAGAGAGTGAGTAGTATTTTTATTTCCTAGGTTAAAGCCCAGAGATCCTAACAAACTGCTCACTCATGTGCGCACACATGCAACCTACAAACACATACACAAATGCACTTTTGAAGCATATACATTCAGACACACCACTCACTTTATTTTTCATCCTATTAGGCTCTCTCAGGTTATAAAGCACAGAGACACAATGAGGTTAGCACAGGTGCCGGGGTCTATAGAAGCCCCTGGAGGGCCAAGCATGAGCAAGAGCTCCTGCCTTGCTTCTGGAAATGGCAGCAGCCACAGCCAGACTTGTCATCTGGTCTTGTCCTCAGCTGCTCCAGACTCCAGAGCCACCTCCATTCTTGAGAACCAGCTTCTTTTGGCTTCTACTGCTCCCTCTCAAGGTGTCCAGAATTAGACACTTTCCCCCAGAGTGGATCTCATCAAGTGCGCTCCTCACCACACCGTGCAGATGCACCAGCCTTGCTGGGGCTCCTCAGAGTTCTCAAGCCAGGACACCTCATGCCCAGGGTGCAGATACCCGATCCAATCAAAGGTAACAGGGTAATCAGGTAACAGAGTTAAATGACATATAACACAGGTGGCAACTTATGCAAAAGGAACCTGTCTCCTCAAAATGGAATGATGAGCATTGCAAGTGCTTACCATTTAATCAGCCCCATTGCAGCTGCCTGAGAGCAAGTGGGGACTGCCCTCCTTTCCTCCCTCTCTGCAGTGCTTTCCTCCCTCTCCCTTCTTTTCTCCCCTCCTTCCTTTGCTCTTTTATTCAATGAACATTTCTTTGATGCCTGCTGTTCCAGTTATCTATTGCTGCATGATAAATGATCCCTAAATTTAGTAACTTCAAAGGAAAACCATTTTATTACATCTCACAACTTTGCGGGGTGTCAGAATTCAGGCAGGGCTCGGCTGGGCGGTTCTTTTGTTCCTTATATGGTATCTGCTGAGAACACTCAGCAGTATTTGCTAGCAGCCTGGTTGGTCTAGAGGGTCCAAGATGGGCTGTGTCTAGTGCCTCGGCCAGAAAGGTTAAAAGGCTGGGCTCGCTGGGCCACTCTCCCATATCATATGATCTCAGGGCCTCTCCATGTGATGTCTCTAGTAGGTGAGTCAGACATCTTATGTGGCAGTTCTAAGAGTGAGTGTTCCAAGAAACAGGAAGCGTAAGCTGCCAGGGTCTTAAGGCCTGGGCACCAAAATTGGCACAGCATCACTTCTGCCATATTCTGTTTGTCAAAGAAGTCACAGAACCCACCCAGATTTAAAGGAAGAGATCTAGACTTCCAGGAGTGTGAAAGCATTGGTGGCCATCTTTAATCCGCCACATCTCCTTTCTGCTGGGAATTGGGAGAAATGCTGTGGAATTAAAAATAAAATAACATGAACACTGCCATTTTGTTCCCTTTTTATTTCTGCTGGGTTCAGTCCATATCTGGGGGTAAACTTTCCCTAAGCTACAGGAAAAACTTTGACATTGCAATGAGTGTGTGTGTGTGTGTGTTGGCCAAGTGGGTCAGAGGGTGGTTGGGGGTGGAGTAGGAGATAGAAACTGATCAGGGCAGAGTTGCTCTCAAGAGATAATATTGGGTGGGGGTTAAGATCCAGGAGAAAAGAAACTGCAGCGTACAAGACTGGGGCCAGGCTAGGTAGGTGGAGGCAGAGAGGAAAGCTCTGTTGGCAGTTGTCAGGGGAGGGAATTACCTTGAGGATGCCTTAGTCTGGGTTCCCCCTACAAGCAGACCCTAAAACAAAGATTTGAGAGCAGGTAGTTTGTTGGGGAGGTGATCCCGGGAGGCATGATGAGGGGCTGGGGAAGTGAGACAGGGAAGGGAGAGAAACCAATCAAGGGTGTGCTAAGGAACAGGTAGGCAACAGGGCTCAATCCTGCTAGGGCCCCCTGTGTGGAACATGCCCCATACCCTGGGGTTGTTGACTGAAGAGCCCGGAACTAGGCTGTTTATGCATCAACTCCCCTCCATCTGTGATCAAGAGTTGTTCTTAGGATGTTAACCCCCCAGCACCAGTGACCTACTCTGCCACAGTGACCATCCCAGGAAACAGTCATTGTGTCTGTTTTGGTGGCCTCCAGCATTGGCGAAGGGAGCTTGGGCAGTGCCCTGATGAAACTCTTTATTCCCTTTACAGTGAGATATACACAGGGTCTCTGCCTTGCACACCTCCAGGGGCGATTGTCACGCTGTATCTTAAGTGAGAGTTACCCCCTGGCAACGTAAAACTCAGCAGCCTGGATATTTGGATGTAACTCCTTCCTCCATCTTCCCACAAATTCTTCATTACAACCTGCATGGCCCATGAATGCTTTAGGAATGAGCAGATTCTCTTTGGGGTGTGTGAAGAATGCTGAGTCCTAAGCTAAGGTCAGCTCTGAGCTAAAACACTTAGGCAGGGACAACTAGTACATGTGGTCCCCTTATCTGTCTTCTTGCAACAGAGAGAGTCTGGGAATAAGAGAAAGAGAGCACCTTCAGAACCATGAGACCAGCCTTGGGGACTTTGTCTTGTGTCTTCTAAGACTTCAGAAACACAGGAGTTCACTGAGAACAGATCAAATTAGCAAGTTCATTCACCCTTCGTGGCTCCATTTTGTCAGCCAGCCCCTAAGCGGACCTATCTTGTCCACCCTGGCGCTCCCCGCCTCTGCTCTCCAGCCATGTGGGTAGCACAAAGGGTACTGCCTGTGAAGTTCTGCAGCCCAGTTTGGAGACTTTCCCTGACATTCCTTATTTGTGTGACCTGAAGGAAATCACTTGACACCTCTGAGTTTCCGTTCCCTCATCTAAGATTATCTCTCAGGCCTCTTGGACTCTGGCAGTCTGTGATTTTGTGATTCTATGAAGAATGAGAGAGATGCCTATCAGTAAACATTGAGGAGTTATAATAAAACTACTATGCAACTGAAAGCTTCACATGATTATGACCGCTCTGGCAATGCAGAGCGCTCTGTGAGAAACAGTCTCCGTCTCATTTAGTGTTGGTCCCCCTCTATCGCAGGGGATATGTTCCAAGACCCCCAGTGGATGCCTGAAACCACAGATAGTACCGAGCCTAATCAAGGAATGCCAAGGTCAAATTTTCAGTTAAAAGGAAGCACTTTATGGCTTCTCTTTGGTATATCGGAATTGCCAGCAGCACTACTCTTGCACTTTGGGGCCATTATTAAGTAAAATAAGGGTTACTTAAACACAAACACTTTGATACCGTGACAGTTGATCCGATAACCAAGATGACTACTGCCTAATGGATGGGTAGCATAGATAGTGTGGGTCCTCTAGACAAAGGGATGATACACGTTCTGGGCAGAATGGAACAGGACAATGCAAGATTGCATCACATTACTCAGAATGGTGCACAATTTAAGTTTATTTCCAGAATTTTCCATGTAATCTTTTCGGACTAAGGTTGACTGCAGGTAAGTGAAAGTACAGAAAACGAAACCATGGACAAGGGGGTAGTATTGTATTCTCTTTACATAGGAGCCTCCCTACTCCACGCACTCTCACGCTGCCTCACACACCCCTAGCAACAACTCAGTGTCCTTGGTTACTCCGTAAAATTCAAGTGGAGAGCCTCTGCTTCTCCAGTGTTCTCTTCTTGATAGGGTTGGGGAGGATACCCCCAGATCCTTAGCCTCACCGATAAGCACTGAGAGGCCTCAGGCCAGGAGTGGATACAACACAGGGACTCGACTCACTAGTTCATGCCCACACTCTTTTCTGCTTAGGCTCTGATGATGCATTAGTCCGTTCTTGCACTGTCTATTAGTCCATTTTCAGGCTATTGATAAAGACATACCTGAGATTGGGAAGAAAAAGAGGTTTAATTGGACTTACAGTTCCACATGGCTGGGGAGGCCTCAGAATCATGGTGGAAGGTGAAAGGCCTCTTATATGGCGGTGGCAAGAGAAAATGTGGAGGAAGCAAAAGTGGAAATCCCTGATAAACCCATCAGATCTCGTAAGACTTATTCACTATCACAAGAATAGCATGGGAAAGACGAGCCCCGTGATTCAGTTACCTCCCCCTGGATCCCTCCCACAACACATGGGAATTCTGGGAGATATAATTCAAGTTGAGATTTGAGTGGGAACACAGCCAAACCATATCACACTGAAATACCTGAGACTGGGTATTTTCTTTATTTTTTATTTTTTCCTTTTTTTTTGAGACTGGGTAATTTATAAGAAAAGAGGTTTAATTGCCTCACAATTCTGCAGGCCGTACAGGAAGCATAGCAGCTTCTGTTTCTGGGGAGGCCTCAAGAAACTTCCAATCACAATGGAAGGCAAAGGGGGAGTGAGACATCTCACATGGCCAGAGCAGGAGGAGGAAGGGTGGGGAGGTGCCACACACTTTTAAACAACCAGATCTGTTGAGAACTCACTCACTATACAGTACTAAGGGGTGATGGTGCTAAACTATTCGTGGGAACTCTGTCCCATGATCCAATCATCTCCCACCAGGCCCCACCTCCAACAATGGCAATTACAATTCAAATTGAGATTTGAGCAGGGACACAAATCCAAACCATATCAGATGGGTTGTCATGTGTTGACACAGGCTGGCCTTACTGCTCCAATTGCCCTTATTTAGGGGGCCTTTCAGCTGTTCTGTTTCCAGAATGATCTGTAGGCTGCATCCTAAGGAGGATGCTTTCGGTTGCAAGTAACAGAAACCCTCAACTCAAAATGTTAAGGGAGTTTACTTTCACTTAACTAGAAACCCCAAGGCAGGAAGTGCCCTGAGATGCGCACTTCAAGGCTGCTCTTCTGTGATTCTCTCTGCCCTCCTTGGTGTATGTGTGAGTTTCAGCCTCCAACTGGTCCCAAAAAGGCTACTGCAGTTCCAGGCATCACATGCAGACACACAACCTCCAGTGGCAAGGAACTGTTCTCTTTCCAGCCAGGAGTGATATTCAAAACATTCAACAACCTGTACAGTAGGTCATAACCGACCAGTAAGAAAAAACTCTAGCTGTACTGGTACAGGCCAGCTGAATATCACGAATGTTTCCAGGGTTGCCTTCCTAAGTAAAATAAGGCCCCTCAACCGAATTAACTCACAGCTCATTGGCCAACACTGGATCACATGACCCCACTCCCAAAACCAGTTTCTGGGAGATTACCATTGATTGGGCTAGAAGGGTAAAGCTCTGCCTCTGAATTGGGATGGCATCCCCCTTCTTGAGGCTGGACATCTGAATTCGATTCGGGTTCCTTTAGCAGTGTGGAGGTTGAGGAGGCCATCAATCCCATCTGCTTCACAGGGTTATACCACCGGCCCCTCCAAAATCACAGGCTCCTTATGCTGGATTCAGATCCACTGCAAAACCTGGCATGGGCATCTCGTTTTTGCTCCCTTGCTTCTTTTTGCAACTGTAACTGCTTTATGCTTTTTATGAAATTTATCCTTATAATCTCTGCAAAGTACGAAATGACGACCATTTGGTTTGGTTAGGCCCATTTCACGGATGGACAAACTGAATGCTGTTAAATGAGTCATTTGGGAGAGCCTAGGATATGGTTAATCGAGGAGGCCTTGTGACAGACAAGCAGATCCTACTCAGCTGCCTGCCTTTCTCCCTCCCTCTTACTCACACCCACCTCTCCTTTGGCTTAATTGATAGGCAAATTATTGAGTATTCAGCCAGGCTGGGGGCCAGGAGGCTGTTTATAGCCTGCAGATCTTGCCTTTTCTACCTGGATGAGTCTGCCAGCAGCCATCAGATAATCGGGCTCTTCCAGTGACAAGGGCATGATGGATTTCCCCCATTACTTGATATCAATGCTTTTGTTAGTTTGCATTTTATGCAGTGCCTTTCCTCTCAGCAACTCAAGGCCTTTTGCAGAGTCTTATGTAATGGAAAATAGTTCTGCAAGGTAGGCAGACCAGGCAAGGCCAGAATACAGAAACCGCATTCCTTACACACATGCGCAGCAACCCTGCTGGGGCCCATCTGCGTTGGGGTGCGACATTCACAGCACTTTGAGATGATAAGAGAGTACAGACCCAGACGAAGTGGGACACAATTGCCTTTGCTGAGCTCCAAGGAGGCCCCTCTCTCTGTGCTTGGGCCACTGGCTTTTAAATAGGAAAGGGAGGGGCTTTAAGAAAGAGAGAGATCTTGGTCAAAACAAAACAAAAACAAAGAAAGAAAGAGAGAGAGAGGTAAGGGAGGGAGGAATGGGGTAACTATCCAAAAAAGTCAGTAAGGACAAGAAAGCGTGCTCAACAACATTGGTCATCTGGGAAATGGAAATTCAAACCACCACGAAATGACACTACCCCACCAGCATGACTAAGACAGCACAACAAAACAAATAACTGGTAATATAAGTATTGGTAAGGATGTGGAGTAACAGGAACTTCATAGCCTACTGATGGGTGTGTAACTTGGCAGAGCCACAGTGGAGAATTGTTCAGTAACCTCCGAAGCTGAACGGCTTGCTCCATGACCCAGCAGTTCTACTCCTAGGTAAATGCCCACAGATAAGCACATATATTCCCCCAGAGACCTGTGAAATGGTGCTCATCACAGCACTATTCACATTAGCCCAGATTGGAGACAACCCACCCAAATGTCTCTTGGAAATGGAATGGGTAAATAGATTGTGGTGTGTTTCTTCTGCAGAATATTATACAGCAATGAAAAAGGACAAAGTACAGCTTCATAGAACAACGTAGACAACTTTCATATACATAATGGGGAGGAAAGAAGGCAGACACGAAGGAGTGCATTCTGTGAAATTTCATTTATGTGAAGTCCAAGACAGGGCTAAAGTAATCTGTGGTGGCAGAAATCAGAAAAGCAGTTGCCTATCAACTGGGAAGCATGCAGGCATTATCTGGGGTGCTGATGATGGGCTAGATCTTGATCTCAGTGGTGGCTAACGGGTGAGTTGACTTTGTAAAAATGTATCAAGCTGCACCCTCATGGTTTACACACTTTACTGTCTATATGTTGTACTTCAAAAGAGGTTTGCAGTGAGGATGGGAGGAACAGGAAGAGGAGAGTAAAGGGAATACAGACATGCTTCTAATTGTAAACAAGTTGGATTGTAGTGACTGTCTTTGAATTCACTTGTTCATTTGCCCAAAGGGACCATCACTCCCTCCTCCTATTGGTGGCAGCAGAGTTAGTATACATTTTTTTTTCTGGTGCTTAGCTTGCTTTCTTTTCCTTCCTTCCTTCCTTCCTTCCTTCCTTCCTTCCTTCCTTCCTTCCTTCCTCCTTCCTTCCCTTTCCCTTTCCCCTTCCTTTCCTTTCCTTTCCTTCCTTCCTTCCTTTCTTCCTTCCTTCCTTTCTTCCTTCCTTCCTTCTTTCCTCTTTTTCTTCAGAGATGAAGGTCTTGCTATGTTACCCAGGCTGGTCTTGAAATCCTATGTTCAAGCGATCCTCCTGCCTCAGCCTCCTGAATAGCTGGTACTACAGGTGTGAACACACCACACCCAGCCAGTGTTTAGCTTTCTATCAAAGTCTGTGGCCCAAAATTTCATAAGCAGAGAAGCTTCTATTTAGAGTAAGGCCAAAGGCACTAGGGATACATGGCTTCATTCATTCACTCATTTATTCATTTATTCATTCATTCAACCATGAAAGACAGGAAGAATTACTATGTGATTCTGGAAGCCTTTGGCCAGAGCTAGATGTTCTGTTTCTAGTTGTCCTCTTATCAGCAACAAGACTTTTCAGTCCATCTGGGGTAAAAGTCGGAGGTGAAGGTGGGAACAACCACTTCTGTAAAAACTGCTTCCCCTCCCTTTTTCCCTAGATGCGTTGAATGAGGGCTAATATCTGCTAGAGTGGAAAGCGACAAGGTAGTGGCAGCCTTGAAAAAGAGTGTATTAGTCTGCTCTGGCTGCAGTGACAACATACAATAAACTGGGTGGCATAAACATCAGAAATGTATTGTCTCACAGTTTTCTGGAGGCTGGAAGTCCAAGGTCAAGGTGTTGGCAGGGTTGGTTTCTTCTAAGGGCTGTGAGGAGAATCTGTTCCCTGTTTCTCTCCCAGTTTCTGGTAGTTTCCTGGCAATCTTTGGCATTCCTTGGCTTGTAGAAGCATCACCCTGATCTCTGCCTGCATCTTCATGTAGCATTCTCCCTCAGGACATGTCTGTCTCTCTGTCCAATTGTCCCCTTTTTCTAAGGACACCAGTCACACTGGATTCAGGACCACCCTAATGACCTCATTTTAACTTGATTACAGAGGTAATTAAGCCTCTCCTTCTAAATAAGGCCACATTCTGAGGTCCTGGGGATTAGGACTTCAACACAGTTTTTTTGGGGGGAGACAAAGTTCAGCCCATAAGAGAGGTGAATGACTCCTGTATTAGTCTGTTCTCACACTGCTAATAAAGACAGGCCTGAGACTGGGTAATTTATAAAGAAAAGAGGTTTAATGGACTCACAGTTCCACATGGCTGGGGA
Source organism: Homo sapiens (assembly GCF_000001405.40). Classification (NCBI taxonomy): domain Eukaryota; kingdom Metazoa; phylum Chordata; class Mammalia; order Primates; family Hominidae; genus Homo; species Homo sapiens. Next base: position 40,487,396 of record NC_000023.11, read on the forward strand.
GGCCTCACAATTATGGTGAAAGGCGAATGAGGAGCCAAGTCACATCTTACATGACAGCAGGCAAGAGATTGTCTCCCCTTAATAAAACCATCAGATCTCGTGAGACTTATTCACTATCACCAGAATAGCAAGGGAAAGACCCGCCCTCATGATTCAATTACCTCCCACTGGGTCCCCCCCACGACACATGGGAATTATGGGAGCTATAATTCAAGATGAGACTTGGATAGGGACACAGCCAAGCCAAATCAGCTCCACTCCCAGCACTGTTCCTCCACTGTGTCTGGGGCACATAGGTTGGAAAAGGCTGACAAGGGACCAGAGGCTCCTAAAACACATTTAGTACCCATTTCCATATGGGAAGGGGAAATCAGCCTGAGGAAGACTTCAAGGTTTCCCCAAGGTAGAATGGGGAGAAGCTGTGGAAACAGATCATCATGGCTGCAGGCACAAGCTCAGGAGACAGATAGGTTTCGTTCAAATTCTGGCTCCACTCGTGGACCCACACTCCCATTATATGACATAGAGCATGTTACATTATGTTCTCTAAGTGTCAGTTTCCTATCATCTCTAAAGTTGGGACTCTAGTTTCCACCTGGCAGGGCTGTCATGGAGCTCGGCTTTGACAGAGCATATAAACTGGATAGGGGCCAGGGATGGTTGGCTTATGCCTGTAATCCCAGCGCTTTGGGAGGCCAAGAAAGGTGGATCACTTGAGGTCAAGAGTTCGAGACTAGCCTGGCCAACTTGGCAAAACCCTGTTGCTACTAAAAATACAAAACTTAGCTGGGTGTGGTGACACACGCCTGTAGTCCCAGCTACTTGGGAGGCTGAGGCATGAGAATTGCTTGAACCTGGGAGAGAGAGGTTGCAGTGAGCCAGGATGGCACCACTGCACTCTATCTAGCCTGGCCAACAGAGTGAGATTCCATCTCAATAAATAAATAAATAAATAAATAAAGTGGATAGGGCTGTACCCGGTGCTCAGACAGAACGTGATACATGCAAGGAATTACTGTTTGGTCCTGGGAGAGACTCAAGGTGGACAGAACCATTAAGTTGGAGCTTTAGTAGCTGTAGAGAGAGCAGCTTTTAAGCTGACTAAACAGTTTTTTAATTATTTACATCATATATGGATTTTTTTTTCTTTTTTTAGAGACAGAGTCTCATTCTGTCACCTAGGCTGGAGCGTAAAGGTGCAATCATAGCTCACTGAAACCTTGAACTCTTGAGCTAAAGCAATCCTCTTGCCTCAGCCTCCTGAGTAGCTGGGACTACAGGCATGCACCACAGTGCCCGGCTAATTTTTTTTTTTTTTTTTTTTTTTTTTTGGTAGAGATGAGGTCTCGCTATGTTGCACGGCCTGGGTATAGTTTTTTTTTTTTTAAAAATGCAAACACAGTAGAAGGGTTCAAGGTGAAAAGCACCTCTCCTCACTATCCCCCAGTCCTCTAGGCCCACACCCCTAGAATTTTTCCAAACATATGTATAATATCTATGTATTTTTAAAAAACTTTTCAGATACAGAAATGGGATCACTGCAGACGGTGTAGTGCTCCATTCATATCCCCTGGATCACCCCCACCCTCCTCCAGAGGCGCCTGCAGACATTTCACTCAAAGCCTACCTCTTCCTGTATCTCTCTCTGCAGGAGGATGCTCTCTGGCCAAGGAGCATGATCGCTTGCACTTGGGGCTGGCTGGAAATGCCGGGGAATGGATGCCCCTCAACCACTGAGGGGCAGGAGTTGGTGGATAAATATCCCAGCTTCCTTGTCTCTTGGCGACATGATTCTGAGGTTTGTTCTGCCCCATGGGATGGAGCCCCAGTTGCCCACAGTGGTAACCGGCTCATTTTTCCCAGCCTTATTGGCTTTCCTCCCTGTGCTGTCACTTCCCCACTCCCTCACTGTGCTTCCTGAATCACCTCCCAAATAATGACTTGCACTGAAATCCTTGTCTCAAGGTCTGCTTTGGGGGAAACCCAACTAAGATAGGGACAATACAGTCACACACTTCTCTGCGTCTTTTTTTCAGCTGGCAGTATGGCTCACAGATCTTTTCCTATCAGCACATATTGAAGGACTGTTTATTATAATCTGGGTGTGCCAAATTAACTTAGCCAGTCCTCTTCTGATGGGCATGTAGGTTGCTCTCAATTTTTTGCTCTTATGAACAAGGTGGTAATGGGCAGGCTTGTGCATGGATCTTGCTGCATATGGGCAAGTATATCAGAAGAGTACCTTTCTAGAAGAATTACTGGGTCAAAAGTTAAGAGAGGCCAGGTGCGGTGGCTCACACCTGTAATCCTAGCACTTCGGGAGGCCAAGGCGGGAGGATTGCTTGAGCTCGGGAGTTTGAGACCAGACTGAGTAACATAGTGAGATCCCATCCCTATTTTGACCAGGACCAAGGTGAAGGGCTCTGGAGCTCAGTGTGGAGGTGACCAAAGTAGAACAGAGGACAAGCCTGGGTGAGTGGCTCAAGCCAGGAGATCCTTTTTGCAGTGAGGGGCTGGCATACCTGAAAATCCTCTGAGATTCTCTCCAGAGGTCCCTGGACATTTTTGGGGGTGTGGGGGGATCTCTGTGTGCTCAGACTGACTATAGCAGAAGGACCTTACCCCCAGGTAGCTGTCTTCAAGAAGAGCTCCTCATGGGCCCATCCAACATGCTCGTGTCCTATTGCTATGTTTATGCCGTAGATGGTTGTTTTTCAAGCAAAAGTCCCCAGTTCGCAGATGAAAAACAACTTGTTTTGAGAGCACGCATTCCTGAGATCTTCAGGCTCTTCCTTTGGGCTGACTGTTGAGAAGAAATTAATTTTGAGGGTGGGAGGAATTGGTGAGGAGGTTGGGAACAGATCCATGGTGAGCGCAGGGAGTGTTTTCTCTAATTTGGTTTCTCTGCCCACTCATGAACGCTTACAGTGTTTACCTGATCATCAGTCTGCTCAGAAAACAAATTTTAAAAGCATACTTTTTTGTTCTCAAGTTATTTTCTGCTCACTGGCTGTCTACTGGATCTTGCCTTAAGATGCAGAGAAAGATGCCCCAGACCTTGCTCTGGGGGATTGAAATATCAGAGCAATGAGAAGAAAAGGTCTAGAAGCAGCAATGGCGACAACCACCCAGAAAGTCAATGTTACTGGCAGAGAGTAGGGAAGGGATTCTTCTTTCGCTGTCTTTCCTTTTTTTTCCTCTTTCTCTTGCTTTCCCTTTTTATCTTCTTTGTTTTCGCTTGTCATTGGGGGTGGGGAGCAGAGGCAGAAACGCCACATGTGTCCTCAGTAAAACTTTCCAGAAGGAGAGAGATCTGTGAAGTTTCAAAAGAGAAGAATGACCATTTTGTTGACTTTGTTTTCTGTGCAGGTGAGGTGTGGGTGCCACACCTACATACACATACCTACACACACACACACACACACACACACGCACGCACGCACGCACACAGAGCCCCAGTTTGAGATCTGAGCCCTGGTGGGATTCTCTGATGTCCACACCCCACCTGACTCAAACCCTAAGGCCCCCTTGGGTGTTATGATGATGGGGGGTTGCTCTGGGGAGAGGACTGCCCTCCCTGCCCTAGGGGAGGCCCCAGGTCTCACCTGCCCTTGGGCTGTACGGGAACAATCCCACTCTTAGAGGTGTGAGTTGTGGGATCTGGAGGGAGACTTGGGGAAAGGAGCTGGTCCTCCCAGGCACCCAGCAGAAGCAGGAAGTTGAATTTTTTTTTTTTTTGAGACAGAGTCTCACTCTGTCGCCCAGGCTGGAGTGCAGTGGTGCGATCTCAGCTCACTGCAACCTCCACCTCCCGGGTTCAAGCCATTCTCCTGCCTCAGCCTCCTGAGTAGCTGGGATTACAGGCATGCCCCACTACGCCCGGCTAATTTTTGTATTTTTAGTAGAGACGGGGTTTCACCATGTTGGTCAGGCTGGTCTCGAACTCCTGACCTCGTGATCTGCCCACCTCAGCCTCCCAAAGTGCTAGGATTACAGGCGTGAGCCACCACACCCAGCCGGAAGTCTAATTTTGACCTTGTTGCAAAAGGTGTGCAATTCAAGGGAAGGATGCAGTCAGAACGGGTTAGGAGAGGATAAGGCTGTCCAGAGTTCTTATTCATCCAGCACTTACCCCATGGCAGGCCCGTGTCATCAAACAGCCCCAAGTTCTCTTCTGCAATATCCAAATAAGGCCTTTGTGCCCATAGGATGTGTCTAAGGATTCTCAGACATGCACAGTCTCCAGGTAGCTGCAAATCACCTCCCTTGCCCGGCTCCTATTGCCTCCCACCCCTCAGTACTTCCTGCCCATCCTTCATGCTCCCGCCTTACCCTGAGAAGCAGCAGAGCAGATGGTTGTGAATGGGGACTTGCAGTCAGATGGTCTAGTCTGGAATCCCAGCACTACTGCTACCAGTTCTGGGAGCTTGGACAAGTTACTTAATTGCCCTGTGCCTCAGTTTCCTCATCAGAAAGAATAGCATCTACTTCATTTGGTTGTTATGAGGGCCAATATTTGGGAAGTGATTCTAACAGTGCCTGCCTAGCATGTAGTAAGCACTGAATACATATTTGTTAAATTAAAATGATTGTACGACTTCCTTGCCCTTATGACAGCCCTGTTAGGGTAGGTACTATTGTTACCCATTTCACAGCTGAGTAGATAATGGCCTAAATAGATAAGCACAAAGCCACTTAATGGTGGAGCTGTGATTTGAACACAGCTCTGTCTAACTTCTCCAAACCACTATTCCATACTGCCTTCATATACAACAAAGCTTTTTGTTTTGTTTTGTTTTGTTTTGTTTTGTTTTGTTTTTGAGACAGAGTCTCACTGTGTCACCCAGGCTGGAGTGCACTATCTCAGCTCACTGCAACATCCACCTCTCAGGTTCAAGCGATTCTCGTGCCTCAGCCTCCCGAGTAGCTGGGAATACAGGCATGCACCACCACACTTAGCTAATTTTTTGTATTTTTAGTAGAGATGAGGTTTTGCCATGTTGCCCAGGCTGGTCTCAAACTCCTGGGTTCAAGCAATCCACCTGCCTCAGCCTCCCAAAGTGCTGGGATTAGAGGCATGAGCCACCACGCCTGGCCAACAAAGCTATTTTAAAGGAGACCAGAGTGTCTGTACCTTACTCTATAAGTGACCCTGCTCCAGGTTCAGCAGAAAATACAGCTGCTTCTAACGCTGTGGAAAACAGCATGGAGGATCCTTAAAACATTTAAAATAATGATCCAGCAATCCCATTTCTGGCTATATACTCAAAGGAATTGAAAGCAAGATCTCAACAAGATATTTGCACACCCATATTCACGGCAACGGTATTCACAATAGTCAAGAGGCAAAAGCAACCAAAAGGTCCATCAGTAGATGAATGGATAAACAAAATGTGGCATATACGTAGAATGGAATCTTGTTGAGCCCTAAAAACAAAGGAAATCCACAGTCCTGAGTGTGGTGGTGTTTACAACTAATCGATCACAACCAGTTACAGATTCCTTTGTTCTGTCTCCACTCTCACTGCTTCACTTGACTAGCTAAACATAAAAAATAAATAGAAACAAAGGAAATCCTGTCATATGCAACAACATGGATGAACCCTGAGAACATTATGCTAGTGAAATAAGCCAGGCACAGAAACACAGATACTGCATGATTCCACTTATACGAGGGATATAAAGTATTCAAATAATTCATAGAAACAGAAAGTGGAATTCTAGTTTCTAGAGGCTTGGGGGGAAGGGAAATGGGTAGCTGTTGTTTAATGGGTAGACTTTCATTTTTGTAAGATGAAACAGTTCTGGAGATCTATTTCACAACAATGTGAATATACTTAACACGACATGAATATGGCTAAGATAGGCTGGGCATGGTGGCTCATGCCTGTAATCCCAGCTCTTTGGGAGGCCAAGGCAGGCGAATCACGAGGTCAGGAATAACATGGTGAAACCCCGTCTCTACTAAAAATACAAAAAAATTAGCCGGGCGTGGTGGCACGTGTCTGTAGTCCCAGCTACTTGGGAGGCTGAGGCAGGAGAATCGCTTGAACCCGGGAGGCAGAGGTTGCAGTGAGCCCAGATCACGCCACTGCACTCCAGCCTGGGTGACAAAGTAAGACTCCATCTCAAAAAAAAAAAAAAAAAAGAAAGGAAGAAAAAAGAAAATGACTAAGATAATAAATTTTATGGTTTTTATAATAATTTTAAAAATTTTAAAATAATTTTTAAAATACTATTGCTTCTGAATTGCTCAACTTAACACACTCTGACCTTCCATGATTTTTCTTTTTTTTTTTTTTTGAGACAGGGTCTCACTCTATAGCCCAGGCTGGAGTGCAGTGGCAAAATGTCGGCAAACTACAGGTGTGCACCACTACACCCTGCTAATTTTTTTTATTTTTTTGTACAGACAGGGCCTCACTATATTGCCCAGGTTGGTACTGAACACCCGGGCTCAAGCAATCTTCCCACCACGGCCTTCCAAACTGCTGGTATTACAGGTGTGAGCTACCATGCCCGGCCCCATAATTATCTTGAAATTTCCCTAGTAGAACACAAATCCTGGACCAGTATATCTGACTCTACCGGGAAGTTGCTAAACCTTCCCAAGGCTATCTCCAAGCAAGATGTTTCTTTTTATCTTCTTTCCCCAACCATGCCTAGTTCAGAGACTTTTAAATGCTCTTGGGTCTCCGGACCCTTTTGAGAATCTGAGAAAAGCTACCACACTCTCCCTACCTTCACACCCCAAATGCACATATGCATTGACACAACTAATTTTCCTTATGAGTCAGAGGACTCCTTGATAGCACGGGGCCTCTCCATGGTCCTCTGAGATCCTTACCTCCCTATGCACCACAGGGCTTCCCCTGATTGGCTCAAAGTTTTGTTAGTTACCTCTTTTCCCTCCCAGTGAAATCAAGGAAAGGGAGAACTTCTTAAAAGGCCACATGTAGCACCTCATCAAGCCCAGAATGGTATTATATTATCTGTGTGACAATTTACTCTAAAACACCTCTATATATGCAGAGTGGTGCGTGTGTGTGTGTGTGTGTGTGTGTGTGTGTGTGTGTGATTATACTTACCCTAGGGGTGGTTCGTTAGCATTTGAAAGACCCTAATAGGAATCTAAACTCCAGAAGTAATTACTCAGTGCTTCAAATATCCATATCTAAATCTACACCAGAGGGTTCCTTAATTGGCATAGAGATCTTAGAAGTATTAGGATATATGGCTTAAGACTGTGGGCTCCGTGCCCTGGTAGGAATGAGGCTAGAGCAGCCACCTGGCACCTTCAGAGCAACACTTTAATCTGGAGATCCATTTGGTCCTCTATCATCTCCCTATTTTCAGAGGATTGTGGTGCCTCATCCACCCAGAAGTTTGGCTGACAGTCAAGAGAATACCATCGCATCTGCCTCAGAGTAAATCCTGCATGCAAAGTGTCTATCAGAGGCCCTGAGGACAGAGTGGGGACATTTCCCAGCCTACAGGAACACATTATATCATCATCCTTGTATCTGCTTCCTAATAATCATATGGCTGGTCAAATTCCATCTGAGGGTTGCTTTCATTCTAATTCACCACCTGGCAGTGAGTGGTAGGGAAGGACAGGTAGAGCCCCTACCTATGTTCCTGGCAATTACTGAGGTGACAGAATTGCCTTGGGGATGCCTATGGGTCATCCACATCTGATGAGGCTTTGCTGTATTCAGGGAATAAACTGTTTCATCCAGACTCAGTTTCTCCCTCTCTCTCCTCCTGGGTCTGGCTCTCTTCCATTGCTGGCTTCATTCTTGGACTCTTCTGGTGATGCTAAGAGGCAACATCTCCTCATATTTGCTCTGGTTCAAGTTTGGCATAGAAAGTAAACAGCGTATTTTCCTGAAATCTCTTACAAAAGTCCCCAAAGCCTGACTTGGATTGTGTGACTGTCCCTGGTCCAATCACTATTGCTGGAGAAAAGATATTCTGGTGGGTCACATGCCACTTCAGATAGGGGTGTCAGCTCCACCAAAACCACATGGCTTGAGAGTAGTTAGGGATGAGCAGTGGATTAAAGCTGGCCACAAAATCTTTGACACTAGTTCCATTGAGAGATAAGAATCCGTTTCCCTTCCCCTTTAATAAAGGCCAGCCCTGTGTCTTGTTTTGGACAATAAAACATGGCAGAAATGACACTGTACATTTCAAAGCTGGGCCTTAAGAAATCTATGGATTTCACTTTCCCATGGTTAGAACACAGCATCATGGAACACTGTGAGGAAGCCCAAGCAGCCATGTGGGGAGGCCCATGTGAGGGAGAATTGAGGTGCCCGGCCAATTTCCCCAGCTGATCTTCCAGCCAGCAGCATCCAGGACTATCTGTCAGCCTTGTAGGTGGGGCCATCTTGAGCAGTCAAAAGCAGCTGAACCTTCAGATGCCAGCAGCACCAGCAGACACCACATGGAGCAGAAGAATCACCCAGCTGAGCCTGGTCAACTCACAGAACCATGAGAAACAATGAATTGTGATTGTTTGAAGTCACCAAGTTGTGGGTTCATTTGTTCCATAGTTATAGATAGCTGATACAAGGTGGTTCCCTGCTATGGTTTGAATGTTTGCCTCCCCTTCAAAATTAATGTTGAACCTTAATTCCAATGCAACAGTATTAACAGGTGGGGCCTTTTAGGAGGTCATTAGTCCCTGGGGACTCTGCCCTCATGGAAGGGATTAGTGTCTTATAAAAGGGCTTAAGGGGGGCCGGGCGTGGTGGCTCACACCTGTAATCCCAGCACTTTGGGAGGCTGAGGTGGGTGGATCATGAGGTCAGGAGTTCAAGACCAGCCTTGCCAAGATGGTGAAACCCTGTCTCTACTAAAAATACAAAAATTAGCCAGGTATGGTGGTGGGCGCCTATAATCCCAGCTACTCAGGAGGTTGAGGCAGAGAATTGCTTGAACCCTGGAGGCAGAGGTTGCAGTGAGCCAAGATCGCACCACAGCACTCCAGACTGGGCGACAGAGCAAGACTCTGTCTCAAAAAAAAAAAAAAAGGGCTTGAGGGAGCGAGTTTGCCCCTTCTGTCCCTCCCACCATGTGAGGACACAGGCGTCCCTCCCCTCCAGAGGATGCAGCAACAAGGTGCCATCCACGAAGCAGAGAGCAGCCCTCACCAGACACTGAACCTGCCGACACCTTGATCTTCAATTTCCCAGCCTCCAGAACTGTGAGTAATACATTTTTGCTATTTATAAATTACCCAGTCTGTGGTATTTTGTGATAGCGGCACATTAAATGTGCTAGATGATAGGCAACAAACAAGAGTCCACCACAATCACCTCCTCTGTGTAGTCAACCCTGCCTGGCAACTGATGGGCTCAAGAAGACATGGAATTTTCTGCAGCAGCATTCTGGTGTCCACTCATCAGTTTTGTCAGTATCCAGACAGTTGCTGTGGCAGCAGCGGCTGTACCCTGATTTGGAGCTCACAGCTCCGGCAGTGGGTTTTTAAGCACAGCTGTTTCTATTGATGGTTTCCTGGCTCCGGGCCTTCCTGCATGTAGCAAAGATAGCAGCTCCCCTAGTGGGTCAATCCTGCAGGTTCTGAGAGTCCTTGGAAACCCAGCCTAGAGTTTTCATAACAGCCCTCTGTAGTGGGTTACCATGGGGGCCTCTCCAAAGCTATGTCCCTGTCCTAACCTCCAAAACCTGTGCATGTGGCCCTATTCGACAAAAGAGTCTTTGTAATGTAATTAAGTATCTTGAGATTAGACCAGCTTGGATTACCCAGGTGGGCTCTAAATCCTTATAACAGGCAGAAAAGGGGAAAACACAGAGAGGAGAAGGCCTTGTAAAGATGAGAGGCAGAAATTGAAGTGATGCTGCCACAAGGAAGGCCAGTAGCCCCCAGAAGCCGGAAGAGGCAAGGAAGGATTCTCCCCTAGAGCCTCCAGATGGAGTGTGGCCTTGCTGACATTTTGATTTTGGACTGCTGGCCTCTAGAACTGTAAGGGAATCGAGTTGTTTTTAAGCCATCCAGTTAATGGTCATTTGCGGCCTCGGGAGACTAATACACCTTCCAATGATTCTGTAAGCAATGATTTCCTTGTTTTAAATCCCTTTCTGCTTAAAATGTCTGGAGCAGTTTCTATTTCTTGCACTAAACCCTGAGCGGTACAACTCCCTTCCCATTCTGGAAATGCAGGACTAGGCAAGCCAGAATACATTTTGTGAGTAGGAACTGGGGCCGAGGCTGGACAGACTCAGATTTGAGGCTCATAAAATGGTACCATCCCTCCCTCTGCTGTCAGCCTCACAGGCAGATGCACTTCTCCCGGTTCAGCAGAAGCATTGGTCTTGATAGTCTTTTTACTGCTACTGTGGCAGCAACCATTTATTTTTACTTTAAATCACTCTGCAGCCAGCACCCCGGCTCGCTTCTGCCAAGAGTCCCACTGCCTCCTCAGTCCGAGAACACAGAGCCAGGCGGGGCCTTTATGATGCCCATCTCTCTTTTCTTTACCCCTTGGAGCCCGATAAAGAGCTGGAAAGCACCAGAACATGATTGAGTCTTTATTCCGATACCAGTGTCATCACTTCCTAGAGGGCAGCTTGTCTTGGTCTTCATCCTTTTCCCAAACCAGGGCTCTATATGTTCAAGGAAATGCAGTGGTATGTGTGCCTGAGTGTCCATGAACTTGTGTGTCCGTGGGTGTCTCTGAGCCCATGTACCTGTTCCTGTGTGTGTATGTGCCTTTCTGGGAGTTTGCCTTTGTGTCTGGTGTCTGGATGTGTGCATCTAGTGGCTGTGGAGAGAGAGTGGCAGGAGAGGAAGTGAAGTGGCTGTGGTTACTGTTAATACCATAAACTTGAGCTATTGTTTTCATAAATAGGAGGCTGGAGATCGCCTCTTGCTGCTCTTACCACTGTGCTGTTGAAATTATATTACCGTGGAAGAATCCTTTCTTCATTCTGCAAGCATAACTGCTTAAACCAGGACAGAGAATTCTGCTCCGTGGAAACTCAGGTGGGATTGGCTTTATCCATGGAATTTCTAAGCCAGGGCACTATAGTACCTCATGGGCTTTGTCTTCGGAATCAAACTAGAAACCATAGAATTCTCTGCTACTAAAGTTGAGGTCACCTCAGTGCTTCCCAATAAATCCCCTGTGGTGCCCGTGTTGATGGTTATGTGTTAAGGACACATTCTGCATCGGGAGCTATTCCAGGCACTGACTTTCCTGAGAGGAGCTGGGCCCCAGTTGGGACCTCCGGGGCTCTTGATGATCTGATATGGTGCCATCAATGCAAAGAATGATATGAACCAGCATAGAGCTGGGCGACATTGAGTGCAATGACATGAGGCCTTTACCCTAGCCTTGGAGGAGGGAGTGTAATCGGGGGAATCTTCCCAGAAGAAGTAGCGCTGATGGGATGTCTGAAGGAATAAGTAGGGATTAGCAGGAGCCCTTAGAGCTCTCCATGATCAAAGGAGGTGCCTCAGCTCAGGCCAGGATCAGGCAGCAGCCGCCTTGTATAGAGAGGAGGTGGCAACTCTGCTTACTTGGGGCAGACTCATCCCATTGTGAGCCACATAGTGCCACTTGCAACATGAAGGAAGGGCTCTTGGCTGGGCACAGTGGCTCACACCTGTAATCCGAGAACTCTGGGAGGCCAAGACAGGTGGATCATCTAATGTCAGGAGTTCGAGACTAGCCTGGCCAACATGGTGAAACTCTGTCTCTACTAAAAATACAAAAATTAGCTGGACGTGGTGGCCTGCATCTGTAATCCCAGCTACTCGGGAGGCTGAGGCAGAATCATCTGAACCTGGGAGGTGGAGGTTGTAGTGAGCCGAGATCATGCCACTGCACTGTAGCCTGGGTGACAGAGCGAGACTCCATCTCAAAAAGAAAAAAAAAAAAAAGAAAAGAAAGAAAGGTTCTTTCTCCTCAATTCCCTCCCCAGCCCAATCTGAAAATCACACACCTATCCCAGCACTCTGGGAGGCCGAGGCGGGCGGATCACGAGGTCAGGAGATCGAGACCATCCCGGCTAAAACGGTGAAACCCCGTCTCTACTAAAAATACAAAAAATTAGCCGGGCGTAGTGGCGGGCGCCTGTAGTCCCAGCTACTTGGGAGGCTGAGGCAGGAGAATGGCGTGAACCCGGGAGGCGGAGCTTGCAGTGAGCCGAGATCCCGCCACTGCACTCCAGCCTGGGCGACAGAGCGAGACTCCGTCTCAAAAAAAAAAAAAAAAAAACAAAAAAATCACACACCTCTCTCCCAGACACTGCTGGCATAAAGAGTGACCAGGCTTTCCACCCTCACCACTCCTCCAGAGCTCACCCTGGGGTCAGCCACTGTGTCGGTGGCTCCTCTTGGCCCCTCCACATCTCTGCCCACCGTCCTATGCAGGTTCTGCACCCCAGGAGGCTGATCTGTCCTCCAGCTTCAGGAGACCCAGGCAGAAGCCCTAAGAGCAGGAGGATTTGTCTCCCCAAACTCCTCCCGCTCAGGCCCCTGCGTTCTGCTGCCAAAGGCTACCGCTCCTGTGGGGCTACCCTTCTCCTACCCTGTAATTACTCTCTCTGGATTCTGGAATTCAACCCTTCTCCTTATTCCTTCAGGGGCGGGGTGATAGTGGCTTCCTGCCATCGCTGGTCTCCGCTGGCTTCACTCCCCATTCTGGGCTTTCCCCCACCGGCTCTCACCTCTGTAAATAGTCCTTTCATTAAACTCTCCTCATATCTCCTGGCTGGAAAGTGGCATCTTTTTCCCACCAGGACCCTGGCCAGCACTCTCACCTCCCAACAGAGGGCACTGCCCTCTCCCAGGGTTTGGGCCCCTTCGATTTCCTGGAGGGCAAGGTGGTGGCCAAGGAGCCATGAAGCCACTGGTGGCTCAGGTCAGCTCTGGTCCCTCCCACTTTGGGCCCAGGTTGCAGGAAATGGGTTGTCACTTGGTCTTCATGACCAACCCCTGACCTTGGGCGTAGGCTCCTGAAGGGGATCCCGCTTTTGTGCTTAATTCCCTGGCTAGTTCCAAAGGGACAGGAGGGCCACCTGGATCCCCTCGTGCCTTCAGAATCCTGACTCTGAATTGCCCCCATCAGGCCTGGGGACCTGCTCCTGCTGTGGCCCGCCCTCTCCCACCCCCAGTGGTACATCCCTCCAACAGCCAGGCCACATCCAGCCCCTGACACCTGCCCTGCTGATCACTCCGGTACTCACTGCTGCAGCGGCTGCTGGAAGCGGTCTGGAGCTTGGGGCCTGCCATGCTCACCTCCCCATCTGGATATTCCCCAGCCCTTATTCCGGCAGCTGCCTTGGCAGAAGGTTCATATCAAACCTCAGCTTTCCAACCCCTTCAGACTCCTGCCCGTCAGCCATAAGTGCTCCCAAAATGGCGGTGTTAGCTGGAAGACCAGTCTCCACCATGCGGAGCATCGCCTGGGGCTGAGTGAGCGCCATGACCCTGGGCTCAGCCAGAGGACTGCACCAAAGGCAGCATTTCCAAGTTGATTCAGAGGAGTGAGAGGAAAGGAATAGAAGTCAAGGGGCAGAGCGGGGCTGAGGAAGGTGGGAGGAGGACAACCAGAGCACCTTCAACAACCTCACCTCCTGCAGGAGAGCAGCGTGCACTGTGGGCCAAGCGCTCAATACTTATTTGCATCAGGCGTCGTCACAACCCAAATGATCCCTGCCTTTTAAGGGAGGAAACTGAGAAATGACAGCTTGAGTGGCTTGCCCACAGTGAGGAAATGCAGTCTGATTCCCAAGTGCACCCTCTATGTCCTTGGCCTTCACGTGCTAACCAGGTCCTGCTACAGATTTCTCAGACCACTGACCAGATTTGCCATTTGCCTTGTTCCTGAGTTTCAACTAACAGACAAGCACGAATGGGTCCATCCCTCCTCCGCCCTCAGCTCTGTCTCCCCTTAGTGGCACCTGTGCTCCAGCCCTGTCCTCCCTCCCTCCCTCCTTGCAGCTCAGAGCATCATGGTCGCAGTCAGGGCCAGGGTCCCAGCAGCCTCTGTGCTGTCATCTCTTCCATCCATCATGGAGGTTCTCTTGCAGTGTCTGCGTTGAGAAACAAATGTTCTCCTCCTTTAGTAAATCATGTGAAACATCACACTCAGGGACAGCTGGTTAGAACAAAAGCTACTACTTTCCTACAAGGTGAGGACATTGGAGGCACAAAATGTATGCAGAGCTGCACACGGGCAGTGCCCAGCTTGCCAGCTCAGCACAACCTGGCCTCCCTCCACGCGCCCCTCTGCCTCAGGCTCCAGGCCAGCTGGGCATGGTGTCTCCCTCCCCAGCCCTTAAGGAAACAAGGGCGTCTTTCTGGCTGGTTACCTGGGCACAAAGCAGGCTTGGCAGATACACTCCTCCAGGCACTTCCCAATCACCTCCCAATCACCTCAGTTTGACCTCTTCTCTCGGGGTTCTCAAAATCAGAAATCTATGCCGGGCCCGGTGGCTCACACTTGTAATCTCAGCACTTTGGGAGGCTGAGGTGGGAGGATTACTTGAGCCCAGAAGTTCAGGACCAGCCTGGCCAATACAATGGGACCCTGTCTCTAAAAAAAAATAAAATAAAACAATTAGCCAGACATGGTGGTACATGCCTGTAGTCCCAGCTATTTGTGAGGCTGAGGTGGGAGGATTGCTTGCACCTGGGAGGTTGAGGTTGCAGTGAGCCTTGGTCACATCACTGCACTCCAGCCTGGATGACAGAGTGAGACCCTGTCTCAAAAAAAAAAAAAATCAGAATTCTTACCGACATGGATCCTTCCTTGGAGTTGGGGACAGTAGTGGGTAAAGCAACACTGGCTGTAGACTAATCGTGTTATTGGACTCTTTTATAGACTCTTCCCTTTGAGGTGCTGTTTCTTCTCTCTGTCTTCAGGCTCCCAGATCCAGGCCCCCATCCTTCAAAGTCTACTATTTGGAATAAATCTCGTGTCAGTCATTTACATGTTAGTATGAATTTGCGTCAATGAAATAATTCTCTCTCCCAGGAGGATTTGCACTGAAATCTCTCTGGATGCAAATCATTCTGCAATGATAGATTTTTCCCCATTAGAGGGATTTCAACTTGTAATCTCATAAGGCAGAGAGGCATGGGAGCGGGTATGCTGCTCGCAGACTGTGAATCTCACAACTTCATCCACTTCTCCTGTTTCCAAATGGTCTAGCTTAGGTTGACTTCTTCTCTCTGTGTTGTCTTACTCTTTCCAGCTTTTGCTCCTGGGGTTTACAGGTTTTGTCGACTCACCTTTCTGATTCATCTAAGAATCACAAGATTTCAGGTCTGGTGGGACATTGGACATCAAATAATCCAGCCCCTTAGTTTCTCAATGAAGACACAGAAACCCAGAGAGAGAAAAGTGACATGCCCAAGATCCCACAGCAAGTTACAGCAGAGCCAAGGCCAGCCCCTAGGCTTCCTGGCTCCTAGCAATGTCCTTTGCACTTTGCCATGCAAAGACCCATAAATAACTTCCAACCAAATATGGGCAGTCTTTGCAGAGCAAAGCCCAGGCAGAATGACACAGGCCACTTTTATGTGGCTTGAGAACATCACTCCTAGAAGCATTTTGTCTAGAAAAAGAGGCCCACAGAACCCTCCTTGTGCCTACAGGGTCTGGAGAGTCCTGAACCAAGCTCACTGTTGTCACTGTCCAGGAAAACACCTCTCCTGAATTTTGCGACAGTGCCTTTAGTTTTGTTTTCCAAGCAGCCCCTCATCCTTCAAAAGCAGGACCACCCTTGACCATACGCATCAGCCAGCTTTCTTAGTGCTTCCTCACCAGACAGCAGAAGGGCCCTCACCTATTTGAGATCAGCCTTGGCCTGAATTGGATCTGGACTTATCCCAGAAGTACAGGCCAAATGCAGAGGACCAGAATCAATATGTAGCCTAAAAAGGGACTAACAAGCCCTGGAACCAGACTGCCTGGGTTAAACGCTCACCTTTCCCACCTCCCAACTCCATGTCTTTGGGCTGTTTACTTAACTTTTCTGTGCCTCAGACCCCTCAACTCTCAGATAGGAGTAACTGGTACCTGCCTCCAGATTGTTTTGACAGTGAAATGGAGTCAATACATGGAAAGCACTTGGAACAGTGCCTGCATATAGTAAGCACTCAATTAAACTTACCCATAATGGAGCCTGGCACAGTGTCTCATGCCTGTAATCCCAGAGACTCAGGAGTCTGAGGCAGGAGGATTGCTTGAGGCCAGGAGTTTGAGACCAGCCTGGGCAACACAGTGATGAGACTTCATCTCTCTTTTATTTATTTATTTATTTTTTGAGATGGAGTCTCACTCTGTCACCCAGGCTTGAGTGCAATTGTGCGATCTTGGCTCACGGCAACCTCCACCTCCCAGCTTCAAGAGATTCTCCTGCCTCAGCCTCCTGAGTAGCTGGGATTACAGGTGCACACCACCACGCCTGGCTAATTTTTGCATTTTTAGTAGAGACGTGGTTTTGCCATGTTGGCCAGGTTGGTCTCAACTCCCAACCTCAGGTGATCCACCCGCCTTGGCCTCCCAAAGTACTGGGATTACAGGTGTGAGCTACCGAACCCAGCCCAATTTCATCTCTTAAAAAATACAAAAATTAGCTGGGGGTAGTGGTGCACAGCTGTAGTCCCAACTACTCGGGAGGCTGACGCAGGAGGATCACTTGAGCCTGGGAAGTTGAGGCTGTAGTGAGCTGTGATGGCACCACTGCACTCCAGCCTGGGTGACAGAGCGAGACCTTGTCTCAAAAAAAAAAAAAAAAAAAAAAGTTACCCATAATGTCTTTGGTGCCTCCCTTCAGAACCTCCCAGAAGTCTCTCCACCTCTTCCCTTGAAACTAAGTACTACAAGTCTTGGTTTAAAAAGGTTGGTGTCAGGGGTGGAGGAACATTAAAAGGAATATGTGCAGAAATTTCTGAAATTTATCCAAAAAACAGATTTACTGGCCATACCCACTTCCCACTTCATCCTGACATCAGGTTGAACCAAACCAAGAAAACTAATAAGATAAACAATGTTGCGCACGTGTGTGTGTGTGTGTGTGTGTGTGTGACACAGTTGTGGGAGTTTTTTCCCCCTTGCTTGAAATTAGCATTATTCTAGATCAGGTTGTTATCCCATAATCTTTTATTTATTTTTGACATGTTCCTTGTTTCTCACACACAGTTTTGTTAGTGCTGAGAAATACAATAATGAGGAAAAGAAGGTAGGCTGCTCGAAGGGGGCCTATGCTACATAAATATTTTAAGTTTCAAACAAACTTGAGTTCTGCACACGCGGCTCTCTTTAATCTCATGCTTTTACACTGTGGAGCAGTAAATCTGCGCAGCTCTGAGCTGGCCACCAGCATGGCCCAGAAACATCATTCCCTCCCCTCCTGCGTCGTCTGGGTACAGATTTTCAGTGGTGGTTGGGGAACCACGGTGCAGAAGCTGCTGTCCAAGCAGCTTGTAGAGCCCCAGTGGCCACAGTTTAGTGTTTATGGGTTCAGGGTAGACTGAACAGCCAGCTGTCTGCAGCAGGAAAGTCCCTTGGCCAAAAAATATATCCCCTACTGGTCTGTGGTAAATGCCTGAAATTCCACCATTAGCAATGCATTCCTTTGGTTATGCCCCACCATTTGAGCCACAATTTTAAAGTGAAAATGCTCCTCAGGGGACTAACACATGGAGACCCTGACACTTTCAATGAATAAGTGTTTCAGATCGGTTTCTGAGAGAGGAGGTGAGCCCTTGGCTGCCTCCCTGGTAGGAGTGTGGCTGCAGGCAGGGGGGAAGGAGTAGAGAAAGGAAGGGGTGGGGGCCTGGAGGGCTGTGGGCAAACTTGGGCAGCTGAGCCATTATGACGCCTTTAAAACAAGGCCTCAATTCTCTGACACTCCTTCCAATTGGAGGTGGGGTCTATATCCTCTCCCTTGAATCTGGGTGGGCTTGTGACTGCTTCAACTAATAGAGGATGGCCAAAGTGCCTCAATGTAACCTCCAAGGCTGAATCATAAACGCCAATGCAGCTTCCTCCTGGTTGGCTGGAGCCCCAGGTCATGGTGTGAGAATTCCAGCTACTCTGAGAACTATATGCTGGAAAGATCACTCTGGTAGACGACACTAGATTAGCCTAGCCTGCCAGCCATCCCTGCCTAGGTTCTAGATATGTAAGTGAAGCCTCCAGAACAAGCCATTCACTAGCTGAATACCACCGAGAGACCTCCCTCAATGCCTTTCGAAGCAGAAGAGTTGTGTAGTCAAACCTTGCTCGAATTCTTGACCTAAAAAATTGTAAAATATAATGAAATTATTGTTCTTTTTAGCCACCTGGGATTAGAGTAGTTTGATATGCAGAAATAGTAACTGGATCAGCCATAGCACCCAGAACTGGCTTGATAGAATCAGCTTCCCAGACAACTGATATAGATGCTTCTGGGAACTGGGGGTGGGGGACCACAAGTCCCTGGGAGTAATCAAGCCCACACTTGGGGCTTGCACCTTCTGGCCCACAATGGGCCATTTATCGGCTACCCCATAGAACTCTCTGGACATCCAGGGTTGGGAGTGGAAGATCTGGGAGAATCCTACTAGTCTTCTTTTCCAGACAAGGGCACTGAGCTCTTGAAATGCAGGGCAATTTGCAGCCCACAGCCGCAGGACCAGGCATCCAGCTCTTGAGTCCTAGAGGGGAGGTGCAAGGTTTTGTGCAAAAAGCTTGGTGTGGACTCAGAAACCAGAAAGACCTGGGCTCAAGAGGGGGCTTCTTCTGCTCTTGGCTTTGCTGGTTTTGATGAAGAGACTCAGTTTCCTCATCTGTGAAACAGGAACAACAGGGTTAATGTGAGGGTTCCATGAGATGGCATACAGGACAGCTCTGGAACACACAGAGCCACCTTCGTCCCCATACCCTCCCTCCCATTCTGTGGCCCTTTCCACCTCACCTCACCTCACCACACAGGACTCCAGCCAGGAAGCATCATCTTCCTGGGCTCCTTCTCACACCCTTCCTTACTTCCTGGACTTTGGTGGGGAGGCAGGATGACAATGCTTCTCTGGAACATCAAGAATGAAGCTGAGTTGCCCCAGACCACACTCTTCTGAGTGCTCCCCTGGGTTCCAGAGCCTCCCCTTGCTCATTCCCTAGCCCACATCAGTTCCCTCAAAGTGCCCTCTTATCAAGAGAGCGCTGTGGGGTGCAGGCCTCATCTTTACAGAATCAATAGGTTATGTTTTGGGCTTAGGGTTTTCCATTCCTTCCCTGGGCAACCTCTGAAACAGAGCTGTCACGTGGGGCTAGGACAAGAAATAAAGGAAAGCAAACACGAGTCCTCCAAACTGACTACAGCCAACCCCGGTGGTGGTCCCTTAAAATCTGTCCTCCAGATGGCCAAGGACCACGCATCGGGGGAGGGCCCCTCTTGCATAAGGAATCTGAGGATTCCAGATCCCTGACTTCATGGAGGGGGTGGAGGGAGAAAAGAAGGGCCTGAACCATACATAGAGAAAGCTCTGTCTCTGCTGCCTGCTGGGTGCCTACCCTGTCCCAGGCCCACCCTGGGGAGAGGGGAGTGTGGGGGCAGGAGGGCAGCCACACAAGGCAGCCAGAGACACTTGCTGAGCTTGGCTGGGTAGGGCTGGGCAGAGTTGGGTGAGTGGGTCCCACATTGTTGCTGTTCTGGAAAAACAGAGGGTTCATTAGAGAGAGAGGGTGGATTTGGGAGTTTAAAAAAGAAGACAGCGACCAGGCATGGTGGCTCACACCTGTATTCCCAACACTTTGGGATGCCGAGGCAGGCAGATCACTTGAGGTCAGGAGTTCAAGACCAGCCTGGCCAACATGGTGAAACCCCATCTGTACTAAAAATACAAAAATGACCCAGGCGTGGTGGCGCACACCTGTAGTCCCAGCTACTCGGGAGGCTGAGGCAGGAGAATCACTTGAACTCGGGAGGTGGAGGTTGCAGTGAGCTGAGATCACACCATTGCACTCCAGCCTGGGGGACAGAGTGAGACCCTGTCTCTAAATAAATAAATAAATAAGCCAGAGATTTTGATGGATGCCAGCAGAATACCTTTCTTCTGCGGAAGCAGTAGCCATGAGGCTGGTTTCCGCCCCTCAGAGTGTTTTCCATGCTTCCTTTTTCCTTGCTTCCCCAAATCCCTCCTTTCAACTCTGACCTCGTTTGGGCTCCCTCAGAAGCAGCCTCTGAGACCTAAATTTGAGCAGAACTGGTTTATTTGGGAGGAAACGGAGTGGAGTGGAGGAGGTGAGATGGGGAGGAGAAGGATGCCACACAAGGGGCTTCTCAAGAAAGTCACTCCGCTGTGGGCCACTGGGGCTTAATCCCTCCTGGGGGCGAGGGAGCTGAGGTGATATCTTCTAGCTCCTGTCTGATCTGTCCGGGGACTCCTCCCAGAGCCTGCAGCCCTCGAGCAAGCCCTCCAGCGGTCACCCAAGTACACATGGAAACAGTGAGCATGGGGGACATCTGTGCAGGGCCATGCCTGTGCCTGCTGCAAGTTCTCTCTCTTCAAACCTGTCTCTCGGCTCTTGATTCACACATGATCAGCTGAGCATTCAGTTGGGACAACTGCAAGACCTCAAACTGGGCAAAAGTAACCATAATGCCCTAGATCTTGTCTGAGCTGTGGAAAAGGAATGGGAGCCGTCAATCTGCCTTGGAGAACAGTGAAAACAGCCTTGGAGACAGCCAGATTGCTCCCTCCTCTGTGTAACTAACAGATAAGACTCCTCTTTCTGTTGGGTGTGGTGGCTCACACTTGTAATCCCAGCACTTTCAGAGGCTGAGGCGGGTAGATCACTTGAGGTCAGGAGTTTGAGACCAGCCTGGCCAACATGCCGAAACCCCATCTCTACTAAAAATACAAAAATTAGCTGGGCGTGGTGGCGCTCGCTTGAACCCGGGAGGTGGAGGTTGCAGTAAGCCGAGATTGTGCCACTGCACTCCAGCCTGGGCAACAGAGCAAGACTCTATCTCAAAAATAAATAAATAAATAAATACTCCTCTCTTCCCTGTGCCTGGCCCGGAGAGGAGAAGGCCAGGCCACAAGCTGCCCCTTGCTGTCTTTTACTCTTGCTGCCTCCCCACTCAGTCCCTGCTTGTCCCCGGGTGGGAGAGTGGGCTTGGCTTCCCCTCAGCCTTCTTTTTGGCAGGCTGCAGACCTCACCTAGCTTGCTAAGCCTCCACGTTTTGTTGAGTTGAGCCTGGCTGTCATTGTTGTGGCCAAGCCTTGCCACGAGTGGTGAGGTTTGTTTTTATTTTCCGTTGCCACGGCTTCTTCTCTCCCAGGAGCAAGAGGTGCTGGGGAAGCTGTAATTTGCTAAACAGGCATTAATCTTCACATCAATCCCGAGAGGCGGGTAGAATTGCTCAGTCAAAACACACAGTGTGATTAGATGATGCTGACAGGATAATGTGCAAGGATTTGCACCTCTCGGGCCAAGCCCTTTCTTCCCCAGGGCAGAACTTGCTGACCTTGACCTTGCCCCTGGGCTGTGGCCCACAGAAAACGTTCTCTTTGCCAAAGGGCAGAAGAGCCAGGTGGACAGCATCGAGGGCTTCTCCACTGCTCTCCAGGCCACTGCAGTCTCTCTCCAGCCCTCCTATCTTCAACAGATCTAGAGAAAGTGGCACGGCCTGAGAGGAAGACAGACCTGGGTTTGAATCTTGCTGTCACATGTTTGCATTCAACAAATATTCATGAGTCCCCTATTCTGTCCTGGTACTTTGAGGTTCTGGGGATATAGTGATAAATGTCAGGGTTTTAGGAGAGTCAATTAATAATATTACTTTCTCCCCTTCTCTGAGCAATCAAGAAAGGGATATGGAAGTCCAAAAGATGGGGCTCAAAATGAATGTCCTTTGTTGCAGAAAAGGCTATATTGGCAGATGTGGCTTGAGATCTGTCACAACAATTGTCTTGCCGACACTCAATGCCGGAGTTGATCTAACCCACTCAGCTACAAGCAGGAATGAAGACCACAGGGAGCTGAGAAGTTGTGCTTTTCTGGGTGGGCTGCCTCCCAAAGGGGACCTAGAAAAGCTTGAGTTTCCTGGGCCTGGATTCTTTTCCCCAACTCATCAATCAGATAAGTTACTCTCTTTGTTTGGGTCCCTCCAAAATAGCTCCTGAGAGGAGGATGTGAGTAGAAGTGGGGTGTTTGGGAGAGACCTCAGGAAACACGGGGAGAGCCTATAGGGATAGGCAGTCAATAAAGGAAACGTATTGAGCAAGGTTCGACTGTGGGCAGCGGGAGCTCAATCCTGCAGGCACATTTAGGAGACACCAAAGACCTCGCATCTAGAGTTATCCCATTCAAGGGGTGCAGGAGCCAGCTAGTTATCTCCTAACCCCCTTCAGCCCTTGATTGAGGACTGCTCCTGGGGAGCAGTCACCTCTCCACTAGCCTAACCCAGGGAGGGCGGAGCAGGCTCCAGAAGCCAGAGAAAGCCCTCAGGCCAAGAGTCACAGAGCCTGGCATGCAATAGATGCTCAGGAAAGGATAATTCTCGCTCATTCCTCACTCTGCAGGTAGGTACAGGTGACCGCAGGATTTGTCCACCCTGCCACCCTTAGGGGATGAGGGTGGAGAGAGGTGATATTAATGGCAGTGGCGATGCTGACATTGGAGCTTCCCCAACCTCCAACCAACGGTGACAGTAAAGATGAGGACAGGAAGGAAAAAGGTGAGGTGATCGGAAGGAAGGACCCCCTGCTTGTGACTGAGGGGGGACTAGAGATACTAAATGACTCTCAGGGATGCCACACTCCAGATTTCACCTCTAGCTCCTAGGCCTTCAGGTGTCTGACCATGGCCCAAAATAGATCTTCCCTTGACATTGGAGACATCATAGATGGGCACACACACATACACACAAGTATACACAAATGCAGACACATGAATGTCCATGTTCACACACAACACTCTCACACACGTATGTGTATAAATACATCTGCACACGACACACACAAATTACCCACATCCACACATACACAGCATGCTGGCATGCATATGCACACTCACACACATCCTCACACAAACATGAACACATATGCTCTCCCACACATGCTTTCATGCTTTATTCTGTTGGCTACTGGGATCCAACCAGGCACTTAGGGCCTTAAAGGGCAGTCCTAGGGATGTGATCTCTTCAACAGGAATCAGGCCTCTGTCCATATGAGGGTTCATACCCTTCCTTCTACTCGTGCCTCTTGCCCTCATCACCCACCCACCCCAAGCCAATAACTAGTCAGGAGATAGTCCCTCCATGACTTTGGCTATTTCTCCCACAATCATGAGCACAGCTTGGGATGTGATATGGTTTGATTGTGTTCCCACCCAAATCTTGTCTTGATTTGTAGCTCCCATAACTCCCATGTGTTGTGGGAGGGACCCGGTGGGAGATAATTGAATCATAGGAGCAGTTTCCCCCATATTGCTCTCATGGTAGTGAATAAATGTCATGAGATCTGTTGATTTTATAAGGGGTTTTCCTTTTCACTTGGCTCTCTCATTCTCTCTCTTGCCTGCCGCCATGTAAGATGTTCCTTTTGCCTTCTACTATGATTGTGAGGCCTCCCCAGCCCCATGGAACTGTGAGTTCATTAAACCTCTTTTTCTTTATAAATTACCCAGTCTTGGGTATGTCTTTATTAGCAGTGTGAAAACGGACTAATACAGGATGCCTCCCAAGTGAGGGCCTGGAACATGACCTAGGGGCCTAGCGGTTGGGGCAACCCTCCTCCCTGGCTCAGGGGCTCTCCCTGTGCGAGGGAGAGGTGAGAACAAGACTCACGGCCAGGCGTCTCGTGGGCAGGGCTGGTGCTCCAGGCTCCAGGCCAATTCTTACTAACCAGGTCTACACTTCTCGTAGGAAAATAAGAGGTAAATGTGTCTGCCTGGGGCACTGTCCCGAACCTGTTACTGGACCATGGTAGTGGCCTCAACACCGGCAAATGGTGCGGGGCCTCTGAACATAGCCTGCCTCATCCAATGGGCCGGTCAGCCTTGCTCAGAAAGGACCTGCAGCCTCTTGTTGCCAATTTGGCTTCAGCCAAGAAATGGGCATTCTGAGGGCTGGCAATTCTGCTGACGGCCAAGGGTCAAAGGGAGAGGGACAGAGCCTGGTCATAAAGAGAGAGGGAGGCAAAGGAACTGTGGCTTTTAGGACCACAAATGCTGGTGTCCCATCTTATATTTATTTATTTATTTATCGAAACAAAGTTTCACTCTTTCACCCATGCTGGAGTAAAGTGGCACGATCTTGGCTTGCTGCAACCTCTGCCTCCCAGGTTCAAGCAATTCTCCTGCCTCAGCCTCCTGAGTAGCTGGGATTACAGGCGCCCGTCACCACACCTGGCTAATTTTTTGTATTTTTAGTAGAGACTGGGTTTCGACATGTTGGCCAGCCTGGTCTTGAACTCCTGACCTCAGGTGATCCACCCACTTCAGCTTCTCAAAGTGTTAAGATTACAGGCGTGAGCCACCGTGTCTGGCCTGGTGTCCCATCTTAAATGAGTATAGAAGAGGTCGTTTTTTTCTTAATCCAACTGTTCTAGGTTTACTTCTATGGGATGGCTGCAGTGGGCAGAAAGTAGAGGTGGAATCTAGAATGTGCCAAATTGGGCACCTCCAAGATAATGTCCATCAGCCTGGCAAAAGAGGAAGCTGCCCAGCCTGTGCACTGATCCCAGTGCTTGGATGCCTCCCAGGGAAGGGGGTTGCTCTAGCTGCTTGAATTAAACTCTACCCCCAGGGGATGCCTCCCTATCCATTCAAAGAAACTTACAATCTAAGAGCTGACCTCAAATTAAAAACAAGAAGATCAAAGCTTTTTAAGTTCCTTTCGTTAGTCTCATCATCAAAAACCCGTTACAGGATAGCTGAGCCTGGTGGCTCATGCCTGTGGTCCTAGCTACTCAGGAGGCTGAGGTGGGAGGATCACTTGAGCCCAGAAGGTCAAGGCTGCAGTGAGCCATGATCATACCACTGCACTCCAGCCTGGGTGACAGAGTGAGACCCCAAGTCAAAAAAAAAAAAAAAAGGTACTCAAAGGCAGGGGTTCCCAACCCCAGGGCTACAAACTGGTGCTGGTCTGTGGCCTGTTAGGAATCATGCTGCACAGCAGTAGGTGAGTGGCTGGTGAACGAGCATTACCGCCTGTGCGGGTCGTCTCAGATCAGCCTAGGCATTAGATTCTCTTAGCAGAGCAAACGCTACTGTGAACCGCACATGCCAGGGATCTAGGTTGCACGCTCCTCATGAGAATCTAACTAATGCTTGATGATATGAGATGGAACAGTTTCACCCCGAAACTGTTCCCATCCCCCCGCCCAACCCCGTCTGTGGAAAAGCTGTCTTCCATGAAACTGGTCCCTGGTGACCAAAAGGTTGGGGACCGCTGCCCAAAGGGAGTGGAAAGTGAGTTTAATTTTGCTGGCCAAATGCTAGGGTTGAAATCAAGGGCTGAGGGAGTTGGGGGCTACCTATCTAGATCCTGCATCCCTCAGATGGGGTAACTCTTGGTGCAAGTGCCCACCGTCTAGTGACGGGCAGAAGCATGGCCCACAGTCCACAATGGGAGCTGGCTCAATAACTTTGTTGACTGCCTTCCCATCCCTGGCCCAAGGGCCGTGGTGGGCCAGGAGGCTCTGCTTCTGCTGATGGGAGCGAAGGGTTAACTGGGCCCTCATCCTCCAGCAGGCCAGCCTGAATTTGTTTGCATGGTGGCCAAAGATTCCAAGAGCAGCAAGTGGACAAACATCTATCACTGTGTGAGCTCTTTGGAACCCTCTGCTTACCTCACATTTGCAGCTGGCCAAAGCAAGTCAATGACTAGGTCCAAGGTCAGCGCGGGAGGGCATGACCAAAGACTGGGGAAGAATTGGAGCCAATTTTGCAACCTTCACAGGCAGTGTGGGCTGGCATCACTCAGCCTAGCGAGGAAGAGCTACTGACACTCTTCCTGGGGGGAAATGCAGGCTGTGAGCCACGACTCTAACCAGGCTGTGGGCTTATGCAGGAGGGGCCTGTGCTAGACTCATATCCCCTGCCCCAGATCAAGCATTGGGTGGGCTTGTCAAAGAGGCTTGCGGAGGGTCTGGATGGATATTGAATGCGATATGGTGTCCCAGCATGTCACTGCCGACTGCAAGGTGAGCAGCAAAAGGACTGAAGCCTCATTCTGACTCTCCAGAACCCTCTGTGGCCTGCGGTCCTCAGTGGGTGTCCTTGTCCCAGACTAGGGACACCTAGGGCTTGTGCCAACACATGATTACTTTCACCTCTCTCTTGAAAAATGGCCCATGTTTAAGGATTCATAAAACTCAGGGAATGCATCACTGAGCCTATAACGCCGCGAAAGCCCCATGTAGAGAACTACTTAAAAAGAAGATTCATCAAACTAATTACTTCTTCTCACACCCCCAGCCCCACCCCCGCCCCTCTTTCTGCTTGGCCTGCTCAGAAAAATGTACAGCCTCATCAGCTGGGCTGCTTTGAAGCCAAACTCCCCAGCCCGCTTGTGGAGGACGGGCAATGAAGCACCCCAGACCTCAAGATTTCTCCGGCTTTCTGGGCAGACAAGACACTTTTTTCTGCTGATTCATCTCTTCCGGGGGCTAAGGCAAGGCCAGGGTACCTCAGGGTGGAGTGAAGGAGGGAGGGGATGGGAATATTACGATGCAGTCAGGTTCCCTGTCACCAATCTCTCTGAGGCAAACTCTACACATCCTTGTGCAGTGCCCCACACCATGTTTCCTCGGCCTGCCTCTGAGTTCACCTGCAGCAGCAGGGGACAGTTCTTGAGCTAGAGTTTGACACTCCTGGGGGCAACCTCAGCCAGTGAGGGACAGAAGTCCATGGATAAACACTTCAGCTTCACATCTGTAGTGGGTTGAATGGTGGCCTCCAAAAGATATGTCCACGTGGAAGCTGCGAATGTGATCTTATTTGGAAAAAGAGTCTTTGCAGACATAATCAAGTATCTCAAGAAGAAATCATCCTGGATTGTCCAAGGAGGTCCTAAAGCCAATGGGAAGTGTCCTTAGAAGAGAAAAGGAGGAAGGTGCAGTTGTAGGTGGTGTGGAGCTGTGGTCCGCCCGCTCCTGCTCCTGACTCACTGCTGTTTACTCTTGCAGAAGAACAAGTCGGTCAGGAAGCCAAGCTGCAGTGATGGCTTATAAAGATACCAGGCCAGGCACGGTGGCTCATGCCTGTTATCCCTGCATTTTGAGAGGCCAAGGCAGGAGGATCACGTGAGGTCAGGAGTTCGAGACCAGCCTGGTCAACATGGCGAAACCCCGTCTCTACTAAAAATACAAAAATTAGCAGGGCATGGTGGAGCAAGCTTGTAATCCCAGCTACTCAGGAGGCTGAGACACAAGAATTGCTCGAACCCAGAAGGCGGAGGTTGCAGTGAGCTGAGATCGCACCACTGCACTCCAGCATGGGTAACAGAGTGAGACTCTATCTCAAAAAAAAATTTAAAAATTTTTTAAAAATTAAAAAAAAAAATAAGACTTTGAGAATCACTACAAGAAAAACTCCTTGTGGTAAAAGTTGTAAGACATGGCGTATTAGTCCGTTCTTGCACTGCATAAAGAAATACCTGAGACTGGGTAATTTATAAAAAAAAGAGTTTTAATTGGCTCAGGTTCTGCAGGCTGTACAGGAAGCATGGCTGAGGAGGCCTCAGGAAACTTTCAATCATGATGGAAGGCAAATAGGAAGCAGGCATGTCTTATGTTGCCAGAGCAGGAGGAAGAGAAAAAAGGGGGAGGTGCCACACACTGTTAAACAGCCAGATCTCATGAGAACTCACTCAATATCATGAGGACAGCAAGGGGGTAATATGACCCCATGATCCACTCACCTCCCACCAGGCCCATCTTCCAACATTGAGGATTACAATTCAACATGAGATTTGGGTGGGGACACAGAGCCAAACTATATTACCTGGGGTCCCTTCGAGATGAGAATCCACAAGCGACTCATTGGTTTGCACAGTCTTTCTGAGATTGTTGAGCAAATTACTTCTATCAGTATTGAGCCAGGAGTTGAGGTTGAAGTCACCATTGCAGATGCTTAAGTAAACTATTTTAATAAATTGATTGCCAGTTTTAAAAAAAATAAAAAATAAAAAAGAGGCCGGGCATGGTGGCTCACACCTGTAATCCCAGCACTTTGGGAGGCCGAGGCGGGCAGAACACCTGAGGTCAGGAGTTCAAGACCAGCCTGGCCAACATGGTGAAACCCCGTCTCTACTATAATACAAAAATTAGTTGGGCATGATGGCAGGTGCCTGTAATCCCAGCTACTCAGGAGGCTGTGGCGGGAGAATCCCATGAACCTGGGAGGAGGAGGTTGCAGTGAGCCCAGATCGCACCACTGCACTCTAACCCCGGGCGACAAGAGCAAAACTCCGTCCCAAAAAAATAAAGAATAAAAAAGAGAGAGAGAAGAGAAGGGGAGAAGACACATAGGAGAAGGTCATGTGAAAACGGAAGCCAAGATTGGAGTGATGCATCTACCAGGAACACCAAGGATGGCTGACAATCGCCGGAAGCTGAGAGCTGGGCGTGGAATGGATTCTTCCTCAGAGTCTCCGAAAGGAACCGACACTGCCAACACCTCGATGTCAGACTCCTGGACTCCAGAACTGTCCGGCAATACATTTCTGTTGTTGTAAAGCCCCCAGTTGGTGACACTTTGTTACAGCATTCCTCAGTGGGATGATTTGGAGGGATGCTTAAAATAGTTCCTCAGGGGGTCCCCAATGGGATAGAGCCCCCAGTTGCCCACAGGGACAACGAGCTCGTTTATACAACCTTGATGAGCTTTTCTCCCTTCCCTGTCTCGCTTCCCTATGGTCCTACTGGGATTTCCTAAGATCACCTCAAGTAAACCACCTGAACCCAAGTTCTTGGGATTTTGTTTTGTTTTGTTTTGTTTTGTTTTGAGACAGGGTCTCGCCCTGTCACCCAGGCTGGAGTGCAGTGGCACAGTCTTGGCTTGCTGCAACCTCAAACTCCTGGGCTCAAGCGATCCTCCCACCTCAGCCTCTTGAGCTGCTGGGACTACAGTTATGCACCACCATGCCCAGATAATTTTTACTTTTTGTAGAGATGGGCATCTCCCTATGTTGCCCAGGCTGGTCTCAAACTCCTGGACTCAAGCGATTATCCCGCCTCTTCCCCCCAAAGTGCTGGGATTACACCGCGCCCAGTCCCAAGTTATTGTCTGCTTTCGGGAGAACCCAAATTAAGGGCCCACTGCTCCATACCACTCATCCTTCATTAACCCAACCAATCACTATTTATAAAGGAGGCAGCACAGAGAGTGGCTGCAATAGCCCAAATAATAGGCCCAAAGACATCCACATCCTAATTCTCAGAACCTGTGAGTGTTATTTTACATGGCAAGAGAGACTTTGCAGATGTAATTAAGCAAAAGATTTTGAGATGGAGAGACCCTCCTGCCTTATCCACATGGGCCCAATATTATTACAAGGATCCTTTTAAGAGGAAGGTAGGAGATCAGAGTAGTGGGAGATCACATGACCTCAGAAGCAGAGGTTGAAGTAATGCAGCCACGAAGCAAGAAATACCGGCATCCTCTAGGAGCTGGAAGATGTAAAGGATGGGGCCAGGCGCAGTGGCCCACGCCTGTAATCCCAGCACTTTGGGAGGCTGAGGCAGGCAATCACCTGAGGTCAGGAGTTAAAGACCAGCCTGGCCAACATGGTGAAACCCCGTCTCTACTAAAAATACAAAAAATTAGCCAGGCATGGTGGCGCATGCCTGTGGTCCCAGCTACTTGGGAGGCTGAGGCAGGAGGATCACTTGAGCCCAGGAGTTTGAGGCTGCAGTGACCTGTGATTGTGCCACTGCACTCCGGCCTGGGCCACAGAGCAAGACCTTGTCTTTGTAAAAAAAAAAAAAAAAAAAAAAGGAAGGAAGGAAGAAAGGAAGGGAGAGAGGGAGAGAGGGAGGGAGGGAGGGAAAGAAGGAGTTGCTATAGCAGTAGTACTGGTAATACTACTAGTAATAATTGCTATGGTCATAGCTCTGCCATCACCAGTGCCCCTGCCTTGAGCTTCCATGTGCTGGTGGATGCTCAGCCTCCCATCTCAGAAGCCCTCCTCACGGCCCCAAAGTCACTGAGAATGGCAGCCATGCTGACTGAAAAGTCTGGGCTCCCTAGAGTCCTAGAAACCCTGCCTCAGCCCTGTGTGTAGTATAAGGGGATATAGAAGGTCCAAGATGGACTTGTGAACTGCTCCTTCTCTCTTCTCCTTCCTTCTCTGGTCAGACACTCACCTCCTCCCTGCCCAAGGAGTCTCAGATGGGAAACCCTTGGAGAGTTGGGCTTGGAAACTACACAGCAATTCTTGCCTTTGGTAAATGAAATGCAGTTGTCGTCTCAAGAGATATTTTGGGGCCAGGCGCGGTGGCTCACACCTGTAATTTCAGCACGTTGGGAGGCCGAGGTGAGTGGGTCACTTGAGGTCAGGAGTTGGAGACCAGCCTGGCCAACATGGCAAAATCCCCATCTCTACTAAAAATACAAAAGATTAGTTGGGCGTGGTAGCTCACACCTATAATTCCAGCTACTTGGGAGACTGAGGCAGGAGAATCACTTGAAACTGGGAGGTGGAGATTGCAGTGAGCAGAGATTGTGCCACTGCACTCCAGCCTGGGTGACAGAGCGAGACTCTGTCTCAAAAAAAAAAAAAAAAAAAAAATCTTGGCCAATAAGCAGTGTGGAGACAAAAGTGACTCCACCTTGGATGCCAATTCGCCATGTTGACTTTTGATTGGCTCTAGTCCCATAAGTGCCTTTGATTCCTACTTTATTTACTGTCCCTGTTGTAAGAACATGTCAACCTTGATGCTATCACACAAATTATAGGCTCTGACGCACATAGCAGTCTCGCCTGCTCTGGAGGGCTGCCTCTCATCGTCTTGCACAGAGCACTTATACCCTTTCCCTGTGGTGTACAATCTGGGTCTAGGGGGGAACCGTGTGGAGATCTACCTGTCTTCCCGCTGCCCAAGACCATGCTTCTCTCTGTTAGTTCCCACAATAAAACATCCTTTACTGACAAACTGGATTTGTCTGCCTCATTCTTTGGTTTCTTGGCTCCTTTGGCATTTGAGGGCCACTTTGCATATATGACCCTTTCACGAACAAGCAGGAATAAGACAACCACACCAATGTCTCCATAAAAGGATTCCAAAGCTACAGGTGGGAGGGACTCCTTCTGTCTGGAATCAGGGAAGGCTCCGTGGAGGAAGTGGCATTCACACTGAGGGCATGAAGAGGACAGGATGGGGATTCTGGGAGGGTATCACAGGAATGGAGGCTAAAGTGGGAATAGATTTGCAGAGCCCCAGGAGGGACTGTCCCAGGTGACCTCCAGGTGACCTTCCATGTGTCTGGTGGAATAGGGTGGGGAGGGGAGCCTTGTGAGCACTGCCCGCAATCCTGGCTTCCCACCCCTGAAAGCCCTGGCCACGCTTCACCATGGCAGCGAGGACCCTTCACAGGCCAGCAGCTCAACAGGCAAGTGGCAGGGCTGGGTGTCAGGAGGCAGAGAGCACCCCGGATAGGCAGCTCCATTTCACCTGGAGCTGGTCTGGTTTGCAGGGGGCCAGCCATGGAGGTATTCAGGAAGGAGATGTACTGACTGGAGGAGGGAGAGGAGGGCTGAGAACATGCCCAGGGCCCAGGTTCTTCTTTACTTTAGTGGAACAATCGATCTGCACAAGCTTCCTGGAGAGCAATTCAGCCACGAGTCAAAGGCTTCCAAGGTGACCCAGCAATTGTAGAAAGTCATTGTAATGAAATAGCTGACACAGGTGAGTTCATCACAGTGTTGTTTGCATAATACTGAGCACCTTCCCTAAATGAACCATAGGGGGTACATTTAATAAGTTACAGTATATGCATACAACAGAACACTGGGCAGCCAGTCACAGATTCATGTGGATCGAATTTTATTTAGAAAAATACAAGTCATTGTTAAGTGAATGAAGCAGTTTCTGAATTAGTTCACATGACATTTCTAATTTTGTTTAAATAAATATGTTGATATGTATATATCTGCATAGGTGAAAATCTGATCAGATGTATACCAACACGTGGCAAGGATGGTTAACTCTCAGTAGGTAGAACTTTCAATGGTTTCAATTATCACTATCTTGCTTATCACTGTTGTTGAGTTGGGGTGGGGTTTTTTTCCATTTAAAGAAATATAGTTGACTGGGCATGGTGGCTCATGCCGTAGTCCCAGCACTTTGGGAAGCCAAGGCAGGTGCATCGTTTGAACCCCGGAGTTCAAGACCAGCCTGGGCAAACATGGTGAAAACTTTGTCTCTACAAAAAATACAAAAAAATTAGCCAGGTGTGGTGGCACGCGCCTGTGGTCCCAGCTTACTCTCAAGGCTGAGGTGGGAGGATCACTTGAGTCTGGGAGGTGGAGGTTGCAGTGAACCAAGATCGCACCACTGCACCCCAGCCTGGGCAACAGAGCGAGAAAAGAAAAGAAATATAGTTAACATGTACCGCTTTCGTAATTTTAAAAGGCAAGGGTCAAGGCAGGAGGAGGGGGATCACTCAAGCCCAGGAGTTCAAGATGAGCCTGGACAACACAGGGTGACCCCATCTCTACAAAAAAAAAAAAAAAATTAAAAAGTGGTGCTGTGGCGTGCACCTGTAATCCCAGCTACTTGGGAGGCTGAGCTGGGAGGATTGTTTGAGCCTGGAAAGTCGAGGCTGCAGTGAGGTATGATCACGTCACTGCACTCCAGCCTGGGCAATAGAGTGAGATCCTGTCTCTAAACATACATACATACATAAATACAAGCATACATACATACATACAAACATACATACATAAAAGCGAGGGTTTCTTTGCTCATATTTTCTCACCCATAATGGAACTTAGACTCTTTTATTTGGGCCTACATGAGGTTCACTGGGAGAAACACCACCATATAGAATCCTGAGAGCACTGGCTTGACAGAGTGTCTGGTCAGGGCGGCCCACAGGAGCCATGAGACAGAATCCCAGTTGTAGTGAAGGAGGGTCATTGTAGTCACCATTGTCTGAGGGGCAAGGCCAGGCCAATAAACACAGAGGGAGGCCCAAGGGCAGAAGGCAGGGGATGGAAGGAATCAAAACCATTCAGGGAAGGGGCAGGGCAGGGCACCTCGGGCTGTGATTGTCTTCACCGAGAGGCCAGAGGTCTCCATTGTTGTGCCCAGGCGGCCTGGGGAGCTGGCACCTTAAAACAGCCACGCAGGCCTGGGCACAAAGAGATGCTCAGTGATATTTGAACTTGGCATTCTCTGTAACTCCAGAGTACGAAAAAGAAGTTAACATCCGGAATCTTCCAGTGGAGGGAAGCTGTTCAGAACACAAAGCCACATTTGTGAAAAATGGGCTCGATTTGCTATTTGGAGAGCAATGAAACTGAAATCATTTCAGATTTTAAATGCCCAACATATTGGGACCCGCCCTCCGATAGATCCTCCAAATTAGTTTGAAAGCTCCCCATGCCTCACTTCAGGAGGAGATTCGCTTCTTTGCTAAAAATGTTCCTCTCCTGGGTTGGAAAACAAGAGCATCTGGGTTGGTAGGTGTCCCTGAGCCTGAGCCCTCGGTGTGCTACCAAGCAGCTTCTGCAGAGGGCTGGAGATGGAGTATGTTTTTCTTCCTCTCTTAGGTAATGAATTTGATCTAATGGGACTGTCTAAATGCCCAGATACCATGATGATAGGCACCCCATAAACACAGAGATAAACAGGTAGAGAGATATATGGAGGCAAGAGTAATTTGCTTCTAAGTGCCTTTTCACTCGTATAAATAAAGCAAGAAAATAAAGTTGTTGGAGGCATTTGCAATACTAATGTAAGGAGGAAATTAAGCGGTAATTACAGCGTTAAGGATAAATGAAAGGCCCACATGGTTTGTGTGCATGTGTGTGCAGGGAGCAAGGGTGGGAGAGGTGAGGGGAAAGCACCAGGTTTATAGTCCCTCATGGGTCCTGAGGCCAGTGTAAATGCAGCCGTCTCCCCAAACTCCACCCAGGAGGTGGGTCATCTGCAGACAGCCCCCTCGTAGCCCACGGCTTCCTGTGTTTCCCTTCCAGAAGGCCAAAGGCCATGCTTGGGTTGGGGAGTTGGGAGGTGGGAGGGGGGATAGGCTGTTAATGTCCCAGGAGCGCAAGAGCATGAGGAATTGGAGTTGGAGGACAAATAGCCCAACTTCCTGGCCTCTCAGTGGTACAATTCTGGGGTATGCTCTACACAGTCCCTAAGAACGTCCTCAACAGGATTGCACCCCAGTTGCTCCTAAGGATAATCCACTCATTAACAATCCTTTATTGGCTTTCCCCACTTCCCTGTCTTAATTCCCCACCCCCTCACAGGACTTCCTGGGACTGCCTTTCAAATAACAACTTGCACCTACATCCTTGTCTCAGGGCCTGTCTGTTTTGGGGGGACTCAAACAAAGACAATTTTGCATCAGCTGACCAGTGAACTGGCCAGGAAGCACAGCCTGAAGCCTGCCCACAAGGTCAGCTTTGTGGGTGTGCAGCCTGTGCAATAAATAGCACAGGATCCCCTCTCAGAAGGGCCCTGTACTTGGCTTAATGCTCTACTGCCAACGATCTTGAAATCCTTGATAACGTTATCTTTGAACCTGTGTTTCCTCAGTAACATCTGATGGGTCGATGGAGCACGTGCGTGAGCAGCACAGATACATTGGGTGGCGCGGCAGGCACAGCCGACAGCACGGCCAAGAGATTGCCCTGGGAGCCCAGGACACACATGCATGCCTTGGGGCAGTTCAGGGTGTCGGGCAGTCCATGGCCCAGATTGGCAGTGGCAATGGCTGCAGCAGAAGTGGCAGCTGTGGTACAGCAGAGAGGAGGGGCTCTGCATGGGGTGGGAAGCCAGCTTGTCCCTCAATCCCTGGAGCCGATCCCTGTGGTGTCTGCACAAATGTTAACTCTCCAGCCTGAGCACCAGGACAGAAATTGACAGAGTTCAAACAGTAGATTTTGTCAGTAAATTATTAAAAAATAAAAGCATGCACATGGTTGTTGCAATAAAGCATATCAGAGAGTTGTTAGAATTTTTCAGAGTTTAGAATCTCAGGTTTTAAAAGCCACTGCAATATTATATGAAAAATATCCAAAGGTTTAGAAATAAAAATTAAATTTAAAGATTGCCAACTTGGACAGAAAAGAACACTATTTTCCTAGGAAGCTTCAGATGAACTGATTATTAACAAAGACAACTTTTAAATTAATTTTTCCTTGTAATTGAATATACAGTGATAGAATGCACCAACAGGCATTTTGAATTATATATAAATCATGAAGCCAGTTTCGATTTCTTCTATGACCTCCACAAGTTACAGGAAATGTCAGATAAAATATTCAAATGCCATTGTATAAATTTACATTTAAAATTAAATTCAGACTTGCACAAAGTTGATTTGTATAAAGAGTTAAATTTTTTTAGAAAAATTGTTTCATGAGAATTACCAGCTCTAGATGTACTGAAATATATATTTTGAAATAATTTAGCAGAAATTTATCCCAATGTTGTCACAGCCTATAAAAATTCTCTTAACAGCTTTAATAACAGTTGCATCAGCAGAAAGATCTTTTTCAAAATTAAAAATTATCAGTTATCTGCAATCTCGCATTTGCCAAGAGTGACTGATGTCGCTTTCAATTTATATCGATTGAAGATGAAGTTGCTAAAAGTATAAATTTTGATGACATAGTAAATGAATTTTCAGAAAAGTGAGCCAGAAAAATATTATGATCAATCAAGATATCACATTAATAAAGTATTATTTATTGTATTACATAAAATTATGACACCCAAAATATTGTTTTGTAATTTATCAGTTTATGTTGTTATTTACATATCACTATTACTTCTATTATGTTTTATAAGTAGTGAAACATTTTTAAAAGAAAAAGCTTTATATTTTAATGCTTGTAAGAGCACTTTTTCCTGCTTTTTAAGCAAAGGTCCCCACATTTTCACTTTGCAATGAGCCCCACAAATGTAGGTGACCCTGCCTGCTAAGTTTGCTCACCAAATTTTCCAGGACAAATAGGTTAGGTCTGTGGCCTTCAGGCCTGACCCTGTGACCTTCTTCTGGCTGCAACATCCCCTCCGTTCTTACTCTCATGGTTAGCAATAGTAATAACAAGAAGTAAAGAGTGCAGAGAAAGGCATTCTTGGACCTGAGACCTTCCTTAACCTTTGTCTTCACAAACTAGGCTTTTATCCCACCTTATGGTGGATTCCCAGAAAACAGACTTTGAGATAAAGTTGCATGAACAAAGTTGATTAGGGAGCGTCTTGGGAATTGTATCTATAAGGGAATGAAGAAGGCAGAACTGAAACAAAGGAGAAGCTGACTTGCAGATTGGTTGCAACTGAGACCTCAGACAATCCTATAGGGAGCTCTGGAGCTGAGATGGCTCTTCAGAGTCCAATTTGAGGCAGGAGGTCCTTGGTCTTTGTATTCCTGCAGCACCCAGCCAGTCATTGGCAGCAGCGAAAAAGCATGACCTTGGGCAAGGAAGTTCACTGTAGCTGAGGACAGTTCCCACATTGGGGACATGGCTATGAGCCCTCAGCAGCTGGGGGCTGGGTAGGTTGGCCCTGCTATCAAGTGGACAATTGGTCTCCTTAGCCCGGAAGAGAGATCTGGATAGAGCACAACAGTATCTGCTATAGTCCACCCTTGCGCCACTTCAGCCACTTGCTTCTTATGATGAGTTTACCCCATTTGGGAAGAGCTTGTCCAAGATTCTGGAGTCTTGTTTTCTGGGAAACTTCAAAGAAAAGGGTTAATGGCAGAACTGTAGCCTCTCCTGCTGCTGCTGCTGCTGTAGGTTTTGAAGCCATAATAGATCCTCCTCCTCCTCCACCTTTTATAGATTCCCCTTAACTAGCACCCCTGATATCTAGTTGCCTTTCCTGGTGAAGTGATAAAGACCTGAAAGGGCTGAACTCTGGGTTACCGTGGCCTTACTGGGCTGTGACTGCTGAACTTGTCCATTTACCATTAACATCAGGCATAAGAGTACCAAGAGATCCATCAGTGGATCATTTGGGAGCCTTATTCCTCACAGTCCCAACTGTGTGGCAGCAGCTCTGTCTCCTCCTAGTGATCAGAGATGGTGACTCCTTTCCTGGTTTGCTGGGTACTTGGCCTAAAGAGCCCAAAGAGACTGGGAGGCCACAGATTCTTAAAGTTTAGTGAAAATCCTACTGTTTGCCCTAATATGAGCATTCCTCTTCTGAGAACCAAGACCTGTAGATCCATTATGGGGGCCAGAAGCACAAATCTCCCAAGTGGATCAAAGGGATTGATAGTAAGTGGGGCCACTCCTACTTCTACCTCTTAGTTCCTGAATCCATATATCACACCTGTTGGGGCTATAGCACCATATAATCATTGTTGATGCAGAATAAGTACAATCCTCTGGAGGATAGCATCCCACCCTCACAGAATCTTACCTCCACATTGGTGTATCAGCTACATCATTAACAAACCATTTCTTTTCTCTATCATGCCAACAGCTTCTCGGTGGTACAGCATATGATAAACCAAATAGACAGTGGTCATGTGCCCACTGTTGTGTCTCATTTGCTGTAAAGAGGGTCCCTCTGTCTGAGGTGACATTATGTGAGATTCTAAATTACTGGATCGAACTCTCTATAAGCCCCCACTCAGGCAGTAGTGCTAGCTGAGCCTCAGTGGGCAGGAAAGAAAAACCTGTATTGTAACTATGTACTGATCTCAGTCAAAATGAATCATTGCCCTTTCCAGAGTGGAGATCAACTTGCTACCAAGTGGATGATTGGTCTACTTGAGGAATGGCGCCATATTGGGAGTTTAGCACTGATCTCTGTTAATGGCAGGTTGGACATTCAACAGTGCCAATAGTTAGATCAGCCTTAGTGACAGAGAGCCCATGCCACTGGGTCCATGAATAACCCCTGTCACTGTCCCCATGGCTACTTCATTCATGTGCTTATTATGGCATTGTGCCATCACTGAGGTGGTCAATGATAGATAATGGCTGATGTCAACTGGCAGGGTCATTTTGTCCACTTAATTGTTTAGTGCCTCTTCTAAAATAGATGCTCTCTGGTGAATATTTATGTGTGATACAAAGATGTTCACACTTTGTTTCCACCTTCATAGGTTCCCCCACATGCCTCTTCCCCAGAACTCCTTTCTCTAATCTTCTAATCTTTCTCCTTCCAGGATCCTGACCAATCAGCCTGGCCACTTGTCACTGCCCATGAGTCTGTGTATTTTCTTACTTCAGACCCATTCTCTTTCTGCACTAGGTATATGACCAGGTGCATCACCCAGATCTATGCTGTATTAGTCTGTTCTCACACTGCTAATAAAGACATACCCAAGACTGGGTAATTTAGAAAGGAAAGAAGTTTAATGGACTCACAGTTCCACATGGCTGGGGAGGCCTCACAATCATGGCAGAAGGTGAAGGAGGAACAAAGGCACATCTAACATGGAGACAGACAAGAGAGCTTGTGCAGGGGAACTCCTCCTTTGATGATTATAAAACCATCAGGTCTTGTGAGACTTATTCACTATCATGAGAACAGCACAGGAAAAACCCACCCTCATGATTCAATTACCTCCCACTGGCTCCCTCCCACGACACATGGGGATTATTACAATTCAAGATGAGATTTGGGTGGGGACACAGAGCCAAACCATATTATGTGCCCACTGAGGGATGTTTCTTCACTTCTGTCTTTCAGGGCCATCCTTGAGTAGGGTATAGCATGGCAGTTGTCTATTTTTGGCTTGCACCAGCATACCAAGTTGACCCATCTGTGAATTAAGCTATTTCCCTTATACATCAGCTGGTCATAAAGAACTTCCCAAACGTGGCTAGATGAGGTCAGCTAGGGACAGATGCTGGTGTAACAGTGGTAGATGGCATGGGCACCTACAGTACCTGTTTGTGTAACTTACTTGTGCCTTCTGATCCTACATGTACACAATCCAGGAGTACCATTCTCATCATACAAGGGATTGCTGCTGGGCCTGTTTGAACTTATGATTTGGTAAGTCTTACAGTCCCAGCTCATGATGGGCAGTTCTGATCACATGGTCACTTGATATTCTATATTTAGATGCTCCCTCTCTGCCAGGGTTCAGTAATACGCAAGGAGTTGCTTTCTGAAATGGCATGTTCTTATTCCAGGACCCTAAGCGTCTACATTTTGATTCTTCTATTGGTGCTTGCCATAAACTCCATCCAGCTTCTTTTCCCACAATACTTATCTTGAGTGCCAGGCCACATAGCCCAAGCCACAGGGTTCCTTGCATTGCAGCCTGGACATGCTGCAAAGCTCTTTCCCATTTGGGGCTCCACTCAAAACTGGCAGCCTTCTCTTTCACCTAGTCAATGGGTACTCACTCCCAAGTGCAGAACATGCTGCCTAGGCTGAGTGCAGTGGCTTATGCCTATAATCCCAGCACTTTGGGAGGCTGAGGTGAAAGGATCCAGCCCAGGAGTTTGAGACCAGCCTAGGCAACAAAGTGAGACCTCGTCTCTGCAAAAAATCAAAAAATTAGCCAGGTGTGGTGGCATGTACCTGTGGTCCCAGCTGCCCAGAAGGCTGAAGTGGGAGGATTGCTTGAGCCCAGAGGTCAAGGCTGCAGTGAGCCATGATCACACCACTGCACTCCAGCCTGGGCGACAGAGCAAGACCCTGTCTCAATAAAAATAAAATTAGGAAAAAAAAATGCTACCTTAAGACTCTGAGGAGGCTTACCAAACATGGTGCTCCTTTCTTGGTGATGGGATGTGTGAAATGCAATAAGTCGTTGTCCTTTACTTTGCAGGGGATAGCCCAGCATGCCCTAGTCCACCGGGTCCCCCAAACCTTCACTGATCTGATAGGTCTCTAATTTTCATAGGATCTATCTCCCACTCTCTGGAGCTCATGTGTTTTATCAAGATTTCCAAAGTACTTTCCACTTCTTGCTCATCTGGTTCGATTAATGTGATGCCATCAACATGGTGCATCCATGTGGTATTTTGCAGAATGCTTAGATAGTCCTGAGCCCTTCGGATTATACTATAAGAGAGGTTGGCAAAGATAACATAGCTCTGGAGCAAGACCATCCATGTCTACCGCTGTCCATTCCACATGAATGAAAGCCACTACAGATAGAAAACAATGCATTTGCCAGATCCATGGACACACACCATATACCATGGACATATACCATCCATGGACACATACCATGGACACATACCATGGACATATAACCATATGCCGGAACAAAGATA
Organism: Homo sapiens; assembly: GCF_000001405.40. Lineage (NCBI taxonomy): Eukaryota > Metazoa > Chordata > Mammalia > Primates > Hominidae > Homo > Homo sapiens. The sequence goes on from NC_000023.11 coordinate 40,527,806, forward strand.
CCATGTCAGGCAAAGCAGTTGCAATTGGTATTACTTCTTGAGTAAGTGGTTCACTCACATCTACCTTGATCCATCCAGTTGTTTTAGGGGCCAGCTGGTGAATTAAATGAGGATATGTTGGAGACCACAAACCCTGCATTCTCTCTTTTTTTTTGTTTGTTGAGACAGAGTCTCCCTCTGTCTCCCAGGCTGGAGTGCAGTGGTGCGATCTTGGCTCATTGCAATCTCCACCTCCCAGGTTCAAGTGATTATCCTGCCTCAGCCTCCTGAGTAGGTGGGATTCCAGGCATGTGCCACCACACCCAGCTAATTTTTTTGTATTTTTAGTAGAGACGGGGTTTCACAATGTTGGCCAGGATGGTCTTGATCTCCTGACCTCGTGATCCGCCCACCTCAGCCACCCAAAGTGCTGGACTACAGGCGTGAGCCACCGCGCCTGGCCAAACCCTGCATTCTTTATGTCATTGAGTATGGCCCTTATCTCTGCTATCCTCCCAGGGTATGATATTGTTGATGATTTACTATCTTGGTTTGGTGTACAAAGCGGCATTTCAGAGGCTTCCACTGTGTCTTTCCCTCTGTGGTCATCCTTACTCCTTACTCCATAGGCCAAGAAACCAATATGGATGAAGGTTCTGCTAACCTAACCACTAAGTATGTCCATTCCAGGGACCAGAGAAATGACCACTGGGTAGGTTCATGAATCCCATGGAACCACTGCCAGTCAAACCTGGGCCAGGACTCTATTTATTACCTGGCCTGCATGTGCTTCCCATTCCACTAGGGGCCCCATGTTGGAGTTTTGTGTCCCTGGCATCAACGTTCATACCAACCGTCCTTGAAAGGTCTGGGCAGTCTCTTTTTTTCAATGTTCTTTACCCAAGTCATTGACAATAGGACTCTTTGGAAAAGGAATGAGCCTCAACCAATAAGTTGATGGATAAGTACTCAGCTCCCATACTCATCTAGAACAGTTCTCCTCCACACTGTCTCCCAGAGAGTCCCTAGTGGAATTGCGCCTCAGTTTCCCACAGAAGAACCCCACTGTTTAAGATGAATGGATAAAGAGAATGTGGTATATATTACATATACACAATGGAACACTATTCTGCCATTAAAAAAAATGAAATCCTTTAATTTGCAGCAACGTGGATGAGCCTGGAGGACATTATGTTAAGTGAAATAAGCCAGGCACAGAAAAGTAAATACCACATGATCTCCCTCATATGTGGGAGCTAAGAAGGTTGATCTCATGAAGCAGAGAATAGAATAGTGATGACCAGAGGCTGGAAAGGGTAGAGGGGAGATGGGATAGGGAAAGGCTGGTTAATAAATACAAAATTACAGCTAAATAGGAGAAATAAGTTCTGGCGTTGTATAGCAGGGGTCCCCAACCCCCAGGCCACGGATCGGTACTAGTCTATAGCCTGTTAGGAATTGAGCCACACAGCAGGAGGTGAGTGGCAGTGGCGGGCGAGTGAGCATTACCGTCTGAGCTCTGCCTCCTGTCAGATCAGTGGCGGCATTAGATTCTCATAGGAGTGCGAACCCTACTGTGAACTGTGCATGCAAGGGATCTAAGTTGCGTGCTCCTTTTGAGAATCTAACTAATGCCTGATGATCTGAGGCGGAGGAGTTTCATCCCAAAACCATCCCCCACCACCTCCACCATCCGTGGAAAAACTGTCTTCCATGAAACCGGTCCCTGGTGCCAAAAAGGTTGGGGACCACTGTTCTATAGCATTGTAGAGTGACTACAGTTAACAATAACGTATAGTATATTTTCCTTTTTTTCTTTTTTTGAGACAGGATTTCACTCTGCCACCCAGGCTGGAGTGGCGTGATCATGGCTCACTGCAGCCTTGACTTCCCAGGCTCAAGTGATCCTCCTGCCTCAGCCTCCCGTGTAGCTGGGACTACAGGCACATACCACCACGCCCGACTAATTTTTGTACTTTCTTTAGGGAATGGGATTTTGCCATGTTGCCTAGGCTGGTCTCAAACTCCTGAGCTCAAGCGGTCCACCCATCTCAGCTTCCCAAAGTGCTGGGATTACAGGCATGAGCCACTGCACTCAGCCTGTATTGCATATTTTCACATCGCTAGATGAGAGGATTTTGAATATTCCCAACACAAAGAAATGATAAAGGTTTGAGGTGCTAGATATGCTAATTACCCTGATTTGATCATTACACATTATGTTCATATATCAAAACATCGCACTGTACCCCATAAATATGTACAATTATGATGTGTCAATTAAAATTTTAAAAAGGTATGAGATCAAAAATAAAGCCTTTGTAAAGAAGTAAGAAGAAAAAGAAAGAAGTGATTAGGTGCTGTGGCCCATGCCTGTAATCCCAGCACTTTGGGAGGCCAAGGCGTGTGGATCACTTGAGGTGAGGAGTTCAAGACCAGCCTGGCCAACATGGTGAATCCCCGTCTTTAGTAAAAATACAAAAATTAGCTGGGTGTGGTGGTGGGTGCCTGTAATCCCAGCTACTCAGGAGGCTGAAGCAGGAGAATCACTTGAACCCGGGAGGTGCAAGCTGCAGTGAGCTGAGATTGTGCCACTGCACTCCAGCCTGGGTGACAGAGTGAGATCCTGTCTCAAAAAAAAAAAAAAAAAAAAAAAGAAGAAAGAAAGAAAGAAAGAAAGAAAAAGAAAGAAGTAACTCGCTGTTTAGGTCACCCCTTGTTGGCATCCCTCCCTGCCCTGTTTCACTTCCCCAGGCAGCCACTGTGCTTCTTGGGATCTTTTCCCAAGTGAGCCACTTGTACCCACACTCTCATCTCAGGGTCTGCTTCTGGGGCAGGTCACACTAAGACAACAGTGCAGTAATAAAGCGACCTGAGAAGCCATCCTGTGTTTTCTTGACCTTTGGGCACTTCCAGCCTCCAGACATCCAGACAGTGGAGAGTCTAGTCTGTTTGCACATCTCTGCAGAGAAGATTCCAGCAGCCTCTGTGGGAACCCAGTCTACAGTCCAATTCTCACTGTCGGACCTTTGCTTTTTTTGTTGTTTTCCATCCTTAATCCCTCCTGCTGGAATTTAAAACCACTTCCTCACTTGATGATTTTTTTTTCCTCTTTTTCCTAGAGCTGGAGAATAGCTGGCCACCAACTTCAGGGAAAGACCCCCTTATATATTTTTATATATTTGAGTGTAGGTATTCATGTTTATGTCTCCAGGCTCAATAATCCCCGTTCTTTTTGAGATTGCCCATCAGTCCTGTTTTCCAGGCATTCAATCAGCTTTGCAGCTGTAAGCTGTCACCCCCAGCTGCTCATTGTAGCTCAGCCTGCGGGCTCCTGGAGACCACCAGATGCAGGTTTAACCCGGAGAAGTTCACAGGAGGGAGGTTCCCTAGCGGCTGTAAATCACCCTCTCCCTTGCCTCCTCCCTGAAGCTGGAGAACAAGCCCCAGCTTGCTGTGAAGGCCATAAAACTTCTCTTCTTTAAAGGGGCCCTTTGTTGAGCATGTTCACTGTAGCAGGCGTGCAAGTCCACCAAGGGCCCATAAAACTTCTCCAGGCTTTGTGTGGGTGACCCCACAGGCCCGCGCATCAGCAATACCACCCTTACACCCGCAGTGGAACTGTTGCCGGGTTCACCCAGAAACTGACTGGCCTCAATTTGCCTTGTGATTTGTTTGTTAGCTTTACAAATGGCTTTTGAGGCCAGACAACCCCTCCTAACCCTGAATACTGCATCAGTGGGAATTCAGGGACTGCCCGGGAACTGCTGGAGGAAGGGGAAGGGGGTTGGGTCACCACGGAGATTTTAAAACAATTCACCTTGGGCGTTCGCTGCCCTGAATGGTGAGCCAGGATTGGGATACGGCTGGGCTGTCCTTAGGGTGTTTTGTCTCTTGCCCTCGCCAGCCTCTGCCAGGGCCCTGATCCCTGAGAGGCCTCAGACGCCCTTGCCTGCTCCTGGATGCTGAATCCACTCCAGCAATTCTACCAGCCTTGGGAAAGTGAAGTCCAAGCAAAGCCAATCAGCGGGAGGTTAATATTATACTTATTTCATACATAGCTCAGTGGTTAACAGCACAGGCTTCAAATCACCCAAATGTCCATCAACAGAATGGATATAATTATGATGGGATATAACAGAATAAAGTGTGGATAGAGGCAGCCACATGGACTAGTCACACATACATTCTACTGAAAGAAGGAAGCCAGGCATGTGAGAGTCAATACTATCCACTTCCATTTGTACGAAGCTTAAAAAGAGGCAACATTTAATTCATGGTAGTAAAAGTCACAATGGTGGTTACCTCTGGGTGGCAAAAGGGGGATGGGTATTGACTGGAAAGGAGTATGAGAGAACTTTCTAGGGGGTGTTAGAAATGTTCCATATCTTGAACTGAGTGATGGTCACCTAGGTTTTTTTGTATATGAAAAGTAATTCAGGCCGGGTGCGGTGGCTCATGCCTGTAATCCCAGCACTTTGGGAAGCCGAGGCAGGTGGATCACTTGAAATCAGGAGTTCAAGACCAGCCTGGCCAACATGGTGAAACCCTGTCACTACTAAAAATACAAAAAATTAGCCTGGCATGGTGGCACACGCCTGTAGTCCCAGTTACTCTGGAGGCTAAGGTGGGAGAATTGTTTGAACCTGTGAGGCAGAGGTTGCAGTGAGCCACTGCAGTCTAGCCTGGGCAACAGAGCAAGACTCTGTCTCAAAAAAAAAAAAAAAAAAAGAATGAATTAGTGGATTAAGAATTATGTTCTAAATAGACAACTCTCAAAAGAAGATATACAAACAGCCAAGAAACATATGAAAAAAATCACAACATCATTAATTATCAGGGAAACTCAAATTAAAACCACAATGAGATAATGAGATATCACCTTACTCCTGCTAGAATGGCCATAATTTTAAAAAATCAAAAAAATAATAGATGTTGATGTGGTTGTGGTGGAAAGGGAACACTTCTACACTGCTGGTGGGAATGTAACCTAGTACAACCAATGTGGAAAACAGTGCGGAGATTTCTTTTTTTTTTTTGAGAAGGAGTTTCGGTCTGTCACCCAGGCTGGAGTACAGTGGCATGATCTCGGCTCACTGCAAGCTCTGCCTCCCAGATTCAGGCCATTATTCTGCCTCAGCCTCCCGAGTAGCTGGGACTACAGGCACCCGCCACCATGCCTGGCTAATTTTTTGTATTTTTGGTAGAGACGGAGTTTCACTGTGTTAGCCAGGATGGTCTCAGTCTCCTGACCTCGTGATCTGCCTGCTTCAGCCTCCCAAAGTGCTGGGATTACAGGCAGGAGCCACCGAGCGCAGCTGGAGATTTCTTAAAGAACTAAAAGTAGAACTACTATTTGATCCAGCAATCCCAGTACTGGGTATCTACCCAAAGGAAAAGAAATCATTATGTGAAAAAGACACACGCACACGTTTATAGCAGCACAATTCGAAATTGCAAAAATATGGAACCAGCCTAAATGCCCATCAACCAACAAGTGGATAAAGAAAATGTGGTATATATACACCACAGAATACTACTCAGCCATAAAAAGGAACAAAATAATGGCTTTTGCAGCAACTTGGATGCAGCTGGAGGCCATTCTAAGTGAAGTAACACAAAAATGGAAAACCAAATATCGTATGTTCTCACTTATAAGTGGGAGCTAAGCTACGAGGATGCAAAGCCGTAGAATGATATAATGGACTTTGGGGACTCGAGGGGAAGGACGGGAGGGGGGTGGGGATAAAAGACTACATACTGGGTACAGGGTACACTGCTTGGGTGATGGTTGCACCAAAATCTCAGAAATCACCACTAAAGAAATTATCCATGTAAACAAAAACCACCTGTACCCCAAAAAACTATTGAAACAAAACTAAATAAATTAATTAATAGTAAAATATTTTCCTAAAAAAAGAATTATGTTCTAATATTATCTAATATTAGAAATATCTAATATTAGAAATATGTTCTAATATTATCAATATTAGATAAAATAGGCCGGGCGCAGTGGCTCATGCCTGTAATCCCAGCACTTTGGGAGGCCAAGGTGGGTGGATCCCTTGAGGTCAGGACTTTGAGACCAGCCTGGCCAACGTGGTGAAACCCCACCTCTACTAAAAATACAAAAATTATCTGGGCCTGGTGGCGTGCACCTGTAGTCCCAGCTACTCAGGAGGCTGAGGCAGGAGAATCACTTGAATCCGGGAGGCAGAGGCTACAGTGAGCTGATTGCACCACTGCACTCCAACCTGGGTGAAGGAGCGAGATTCCATCTCAAAAAAAAAAAAAAGTTTCTGGCAGAATTCAGTTTCTTGCAGGTGTAGGATTGTAGTGCCCATTTTCTTTCTGGCAGTCAGTCAGGGGTCACTCTCAGCTTCTCGAGGCCTCTTTCAGGTAGGTCCAGCACATTCAATGCCATTAACAGAATCTCCTTGACATCAAATGTCTCTCAACTGTTGAATCCCTCACTTTAGGAGGAGCCCAACTTCTTTTAAGGATTAGCCTGATTAGGTCAGAACTACCCAGGGTAACCAATCTTTCTTTCTTTCTCCCTTCCTTTCTTTCTTCCTCCCTTTCTTTCTTTCTCTCTCTTCTTTCTTTCCCTTCCTTCCTTCCTTCCTTCCTTCCTTCCTTCCTTCCTTCCTTCCTTCCTTCCTTCTCTCTTTCTCTCTCTTTCCTTCTTTTTCTTGACAGGGTCTCACTGTTGCCCAGGCTGGAGTGCAGTGGCATGATCAGAGTTCACTGCAGCCTCTGCCTCCCAGGCTCAAGCGATCCTCCCACCTCAGCCCCCCAAGTAGCTGGGACTACAGGTGCACACCACCAGGCCCAGCTAATTTTTGTATTTTTTGTAGAGATGGGCTTTTGCCACATTGCCCAGGCTGGTCTGCCACCTCAGATTCCCAAAGTGCTGGATGTACAGGTGTGCATCACAGAGCCTGGCCATAATCTCCCTTTCCTAAAGTCAAGCTGGCCAGGTGTGGTGGCTCACACCTGTAATCCCAGCACTTTGGGAGGCCGAGGCGGGTGGATCACCTGAGGTCAGGAATTCGAGACCAGCGTGGTCAACATGGTAAAACCCCGTCTCTACTACTAATAAAAGATTAGCCAGGTATGGCGGCATGTGCCTGTAATCCCAGCTACTTGGGAGGCTGAGGCAGGAGAATCTCTTGAACCCAGGAAATGGGGGTTGCAGTGAGCCAAGATTGTGCCACTGCACTCCAGCCTGTGTGATAGAAAGAGACTCCGTCTCAAAAAAAAAAAAAGTCAACCTGGCAATAAGGCATAACCTAATCACAGAAGTGATGTGCCATCGTATTCATGAGTCCCACCCATACCCAAGCGGAGGGGAATCTATAGGGCGTGTGCTTCTGGGGGTGGGAATCTTGGGGGCCATCTCAGAATTCCACCTACCACACAGTGTATGCTGACCCCATGCTAGACATGCTATTCACTGAGACTGTAGCATTCTCCCGTCTATAGCAAGGGATTCCCGGACCACTCATTTTGAGAACTTCATGCTCATTCTTGGTTACAAAAAATATGTACATTATTATAAAATCTGCTTAAAGGGGTGCCTTTGGGCTGCTGCATTGTAGCTATGTTATTGACATTGTAGAATATTCCTGTTTCAGCTCATCACAGCAAAGATTTGTAATATAAGCTGGGTCCTATTTGTTCATTGCAAATTTTGATAGCCTGATTTAGGGGGAGATGGGGCTTTCCAGTAAAAACCGAAAAACCTGCTAGGCAAATCCTAAAAGAACTGTAATGCTAGCCTGATTCTTTTTAAAGAATCAATTACCAAAGAGAAACCAGTCACCAAAAAAACAGGACTGTATGATTCCACTTATATAAGATATGTAGAGTAGTCAAATTCACAGAAACAAAATGTAGAATGTTGTTTGTCAGGAGTTGGTTGGGAAGTGGGGAGTTGTTGTTTAAGGGGTATAGAGTTTCAGTTTTGCAAGATGAAAAAGTTTTGGAGATCCTATTTCATGACAACGTAAATATACTTAACACTACTAAATTATACACTTAACAATGTTTAAGGTAGTAAATATTATGTTATGTGGGTTTTCTTCAGCACAGTTAAAAATAAAAAGGGGCTGGACATAGTGGCTCACACCTGTAATCTTAACATTTTGGGAGGCTGAGCAGGTGGATTGCTTGAGTCCAGGAATTTGAAACCAGCCTGGGCAACATGTGAAACCCTGTCTCTATTAAAAATACAAAAAAAATTAGCCAGGTATGGTGGTGCATGCTCCTGGTCCCAACTACTCGGGAGGCTAAGGTGAGAGGATTGCTTAAGCCTGGGAGGCAGAGGTTGCAGTGAGCTGAGTTTGAACCACTGCGCCCCCGCCGGGGTGACAGAGCAAGACCCTGTCTCAAAAAAAGGTGGAGGTGGGGGCAGGGGGAGGGAAAAAAAGGAAAAGAAACATTCATGAAAGCTTTATGTGATCTGAAGTATGAAAGTGCTCTTCAGAGCAGCCTCAGGACCAGGAATAGTTAGTAGAGTTGTAGCAGATGTGGTGGGTTTGCTCTCTTGACATCCATCCCCCCACTCTTTCTCTACACTTTCCTCTACTGCAGAGCCTGGAGAGCTAAAATCTGCACTTACCAGACCCTCTTGGAGCTAGGGTTCTGGTTGTGAATTCAAGTCTATCAACTAGATGCTCTTTCAGATGATTTGGAAGGTGGGGCAAGGCGGAGGCCATGTCCCATTGACAAGCATGATTGTAGGGCCAGTGAGTTTCTGCAGCAATCTTCCAGTGTCCAACACTAGCCTAATGAGTGTCAACTGGCAGTTGCAGCAACAGCATGAGTGTCTTCCTGATCCCTAGGTCCCCGCTAAAGCAGCATGCTCTTGAAGTCACCAGTCCCCATAGAGCCTTCTAATTCCCACCTTCCTGATTGAGGTAGAGGTAGAGTCGCTCCCCTAGCAGGCAAGTAGTGTGTGCTGTCACTCTGATAGTCATTATTAGGGGGCCATCCCAAAGCCTCATCTTCCCTTCTATACACCAATTTTGCAAATACTCAGTTGCAACAGACTGAACGTTTTTGTCCCTCAAAATTCTGGTGTTGAAATCCTAGCCCCCAAGATGATTGTATTAGGAGATAGGGCCTTTGAGAGGTAACTAGGTCATGAGGGTGAAACCCTCATGAATGGGATTTGTGCCCCTATAAAAGGGACCCCAGAGGGCTACCTTGCCCTTTCTGCCATGTGAGGACAAAGTGAGAAGACACCATCTATGAACCAGGAAGTGGGCCCTCACCAGACACTGATTCTGCAGGAGCCTTGATCTTGGACTTCCCGGCCTCTGGAAGTGTGAGAAATCAATTTCTATTGTTTATAAGGTAACTTGTTTATGGTGTTTTGTTATAGCAGCCTGAACGGACTAAAACACGATCACCAGAATTAAATCCCTTTCTGCTTAAAATAACTGGAGTGATTTCTTTTCCCTGCACCTGGACCCCGAGTGTTGGTCATATATGATGAGACTCTATTTGCAATTTGATCATTCAATATTGCAGGGTTTTGGGGGCATCTGATAGAGATCGGCATTGCTGACTTTTTCCAGGGCTGTGCTGCACCCCTTACACGGGGCCTCACCCCCCCAGCCGGACTTTACTATCGTTGGGCAATGATCTCTTTCTCTCCTTTCTCTTCCATGACTATTTGAAAATGATTTCCCTCTGCTCAAGCTCCCTATCTCATTGTAGCAGACCCTAGGGCTGTCTGCTCAAGATATACCTCCACCTCTTTTCAGCTAACAGAATCCAGTTTTGTTTGGGTATTAGGCAAAAATCTTTTAACTTCAGGTAATACTCTCTGTGATGGGATTGTGACCCAGTTCTGGCTAATAAGGGGAAGTCTCCTGGGAGTCTCCTGAAGAGAATTTTTCTTCCTTTATAATAAAAAGGAAAAATAAAAAGCAGTGAGGAGAAGTTTTTTCACCACCTGACTGTCCATGGCTTCCTATCCTAAACAGGCACTTGATGCCTAGAGCAGCAGCAGCCATCTTGACACCACGAGTTGGCAAGCATAGGCAGAAATAGCTAAGGACGGCACAGCAAAGTGGCTGACAGAGCTGACGCCTCAATGCAACCAATGAACTGTGGACAAGCCCTGGAACTGTCTACCTCCAGACTTCTTGCTAGCTAAGCAGTAGAGATTTAAGCCACTGTTAGTTGGGTGTTTGGTTACCTGAAGTCAAAATCCCTCCTAAATAATACATCTAACCCATTCCTGATAACTCTCCAGATGCCCTTGCTTTTGACTCTACAAAGAAAATGGAGTCCCTTTCCTGTCCTCCACCCCACCAACACACAAGCTTTCTCCCTTCCCTCTTGTCTCATGGCAAGCCTCTGATCTGTGGTTAATCTCCTTTGCTCTGGATGCCACCTCCTCCATGATGTAGGGACATCAGCCCAGCAGTCAGCTCCTTTCTCTCCCACATCTTCCATCTCAGATTCTCCAGCAGCATCTTCTCAACTGTGGTCTTGAGTCAGCACCCCAGGCTATGTGTACAGGATTGAATGAACATGTCACCTCCTCATCACTGGATAACTGCTTCTAAAGGGCCCCTTTCGAGTGCCCTGGATAAGCCTCTAGGAGATGAAAGAAGCAAGAGTCTAAGGGTTTTGAACTGTCCTCTGTCTCCAGAGTAAGCGGTTGCCGGGACCATGTGTGTTCACTATGGGTGCTCAGGCCACAATCAACGCCTGCCTTCCACTGAGAGGGCTGTGTCCCTTCTGCTTTTTCTCCTCATTTTTATTGAGGGCGTATTTTCTTTATCTTTAAAGCTTTTATAGCTTTGTCTCTCTGCCTCGCTTTAGTACATTCTGTTGTTATGATTTATGCTGCTTTTACTGGCTCTTTACCCTCAGCACATAAACATGTTTAAGTTTTCCACATCTTAAAAAAATAAAATAAAATAAAAAACCCTTCCTTGACCCTGTGTTCTCATCTAGTTTCTGCATTCTCTCCCTCTCTCCCTGCCCCTCTCTCTCTCTGCCCTCTTCATTGTCAGCTCTTTAGAAGTCATCTGAACTCGCAATATTTTCTTCCATCCCACTGATTCCTTAACTCTACCGGCCAACTCACCTCTCCAAGAACCAGAAACTCAGCCCAGCTTTGCTTAGCACAATGAGGGGTTTTATTGGCAGGATGCTGGGAATACCTCAGGGCTGTGGGAAGAGAAGACGGGAAGAGGTGCAGCTGGGCCACCAGGATCCCCTGAGACTCTTTTCTTGTGGCCCCCACACTCTCTCTTCTCCGAGCTTCTCTGTTTGGAGTGATGGCATTCTTTCCTCCATGCGACTCCTAGCTTCTCCAGAGCCTTCTATCTTGTGGCTCCCACCCCCAGGGAAGGTTCAACTTGTTTGCCTTCATTAGTTGCAGTTTGAAAATCCCAGGGAAGGGTTCTGATTGGCCCACTGTGGGTCCGGTGTCTTCTCATGGATCAATCAGCCATGGCCACAGGAGTGAAAGTCGCACAGCAGAGACAAAACCACAGCTGGCTTCCTCCCTACCAGCAGTGCTTCACTGAAACTACTCTCATCCACCTGGGGGCGCCCCACCCACACGGCTCAGGCCTGACCTCTTCGTGTGCCCCTGCTGCTTCCGATTGCTGCTATCTGCGTGAAGCCGTGGAGCGCTACTGCTTGTGTGTACAACAGAGCAGCAGGGCCAACTTCAACTGATGATTCTCAGGTGTATAAATACCGCAGCTTCCTCAACCTCCGAAGTAGGCTAATGCGGTGGGCACAGAGATGAGCCCGCCAGGTTCCCCTCCAAGGAGGTATTCGTTGCCCCAGTTGAGCAGACAGTCTCCATCCAGCTGCCAAGAACCATCTCACCCATAGGCACTTCCTCCCCCCGGGGTAGCCCACAGCCAATGACTAGTCATTTCATCCCACTCCAAGACAGCACTGGCAGGCCAGACGCACTTCAGCGTTCCCCACGATGACTCCAGGCTTCAACAGGCCAGTTTTGCAATTCAACCCTCCCTCTGCCCAACCCCACTTCCTCCTCCTCCTACAGACGTTCCTAATGACAATCTTGCATGCCAAACTCCATTTCAGTTTCTGCCTGTTGAGAACCTAGCCTGTGACAGAACTGAGCTCTGTGTTCCACACTGTCTCTCAGAGGTCCCCCTTGGGACTGAGCGCCAGTTGCCTGCAGTGGGAACTGGCTTGGTGACACTCCCTTTATTGCTGGCTTCTCTCTCCTGTCTCACACCCCCATTCCCAAGCCCATATTCTCTGAATCTCCTAAAATCTAAATCTGTTTGCTCTCAAGCCCTTCTCTTGAGATCTGCTTCTGGAACAACTCAGACTCAGACACCAGGACTTTCTTGCTGTTAAATCCAGATGACCCAAACTTTATCTGCACAGTGTACCACTGTGACCATGAGCGCTTTTTGAAACACTTTCCTCCCTCAACTCCCTGAAACACTTTTCTGCTTCCCCTCTGGCCATTCCTTCTTCCCCTGCCCACTTCCAGGGTTGACAGCCTGGCTTGTTCTTGCAGCCAACACAGCTGAGAAGACCTGTCATTCCTCTGGAGCTGACTGCCACTACACAGGAATGACCCACACTGTCCATTTCCCATCCAGATCTCTCTCTCTATCTCTGTGTTGAACTCTGGACTCATATATCCAACTATCTCCCACCATCTCTGTGTGAATGTCCCACAGACACTTCAAATCATCATGGCAGGACTGAGCTCCTCACCATTTTCCTAAGCCAGCTTCTCCTGCTATACTCCTTTCTGTATTCTCCTACATTCCCCATCTCAGCAAATGGCATCACTGTCCCTAAAGCCAGCTATTCTGAGAGTCACCCAGCCTCCTACAAGTAAGTCTCCCTGATCCCAGGCTGTGCCATCCGCTAGCCACATAACCTTGAATAACTCATGAAACCTCTCTCAGCCTCAGTTTCTGCATCTGTAAAATGGTCTGTTAATAATAGTACCAGGCTGGGCGAGGGGCTCATGCCTATAACTCCAGCACTTTGAGAGGCCAAGGCAGGTGGATCACTTGAAGTTAGGAGTTCGAGACCAGCCTGGCCAACATGGTGAAACCCTGTCTCTATTAAAATACAAAAATTAGCCGGGCATGGTGGCGAGCACCTGCAATCCCAGCTACTCGGGAGGCTGAGGCAAGAGAATCATTTGAACCTAAGAGGTGGAGGTTGCAGTGAGCTAAGATTGTGCCACTGCACTCCAGCCTGGGCAACAAAGCGAGACTCCTTCTCGGAAACATAAAAAATAATAGTACCTACTCGGTAGAGTTGCTCTGAGGTTTAAAAGAAACTATAGGTGTAAAATGCTTAGAAAATGATATGGCACACAGTAAGTGTCTTAGTCCCCTTTGTGCTGCTATAAAAGAATGTCACAGACTGGGTAATTTATGAGGAACAGACATTGATTTCTTGCAGTTCTGGAGGCTGGGACATCCGAGATCAAGGTGCTGGCAGGTTTGGTCTCTGGTCCAAGATGGTGCCATGTTGCTGTGTCTTCCAGAGAGGAGGAATACTGTGTCTTCACATGGCAGAAAGTGGAAAGACAAAAAAGAATGAACTCTGTGGAACTCTGTGTCCTCATGTGGCAGAAGAGCAGAAGAGAGTGAACCCACTCCCACTAACCCTTTTTATAGTGGCATTAATTCACTCACGAAGGCAGAACCCTCATGACCTAAATATTTCACCAAAGGCCCCACCTCCCAACACTCTTGCATAGGGATTAAACTTCTAACAAATGAATTCTGGGGGACACATTCAGACCACAACAGTAAGCATTCAATGATTGGTAGTTTTTCATTATTGTTTCTGCTTTTGTTTATCTTTATCCTTTCTAAGGCTCTCCTCACTTTCTGTCTTGTACCATAGGTATTTACATGCCATCTTTAAATGCTCAACTGGTCTGCAAACTTCTTTCTTTTTCCTTTCTTTTTTCTTTTCTTTTTTTTTCTTTGAGACAGGGTCTCACTCTGCTGTTCAGGCTGGAGTGCAGTGGTGTGATCACGGTTCACTGTAGCCTCGACCTCCCAGGCTCAAGCAATCCTCCTGACTCAGCCTCCTGAGTAGCTGGAACCATAGGAACACATCGCCACACCTGGCTAATTTTTTTTTTTTTAATTTTGTAATAGAGGCAGGGTCTCCCTATGTCGCCCAGGCTGGTCTTGAACTCCTGGGCTCAACTGATCCTCCTCCCTCAGCTTCCCAAAGTGCTGAGATTACAGGTGCAAGCCACCATGCCCAGCCATGTCTGCAAGATTCTTGAAGGAAGAAGGTAGCTTATCTATCTAGCTACCTATCTATTTATCTACCCATTCATCTATCATCTATCTGTCTATCTAGATGTCTATCTGTCTGTGACCACTGTTGCCTTTTACTCCTACTTCCTGGTGGCCATACTCACCCTCAGATCAGGTTGCATTGGAGTGACTGGGGGATTTTTTTAATACATATCCAGCTAAGGGGAAGTTGAGTTGAGGATATATTTAAGTTAGGTTTAGTGGAATATTTTGTGTGTACTGTTTTGTTGTTGTTGTTGTTGTTGTTTTGAGGCAGATTCTCGCTCTGGCACCCACAGTAGAGTGCAATGGCGCCATCTGGGCTCACTGCAACCTCCGCCTCCCATGTTCAAGCAATTCTCCTGCTTCAGCTTCCCGAGTAGCTGGGATTACAGGCTTGTGCCACCACACCGGGCTAATTTTTATATTGTTAGTAGCGACAGGGTTCCAACGTGTTGGCCAGGCTGGTGTCGAACTCCCGGCCTCAGGTGATCCGCCTGCCTCAGCCTCCCAAAGTGCTGGGATTACAAGTGTGAGCCACCGTGCCTGGCCTTTTATGTGTACTTTTAAGACATTACTAGCTATCCCAGTGTCAGCATGGCTTCTGGGAAACTCTCACCACCCACTGGATCGACTTTCCAGTTGGTTCAGGCCCAGAGGTTAGATCTCAGTGTAAATCCATCTTATGGTGTCCAGAACCAGAAGTATAGTGGAAGAGAAACAAGGTTTGAAAAGTATGGAGTCAGAAACTACTCTGTGGAAAATTCAGGCATGAAAACTTGTAAGCAGAGGATTCAGTTGCCATCCAAGCCTAGACAAAACGGAAATACTCCCCTGTCTGAAATATATTCGGTGATGCAATGTATACAATTATGAACGTACCATATATTTTTCTTTTCTGATGGAATGTATGTGAAATAGAATGGATCAGAATTCCTGGTTTATAGGGCACAAACCTACATCAGTACAAAAAACAGAAAGCAGGTCTGTGTGTGAAGTCACATGTTTTATCCAGCCCAGTGAATTGGACTGCATCTTGGAGTACCTGATGTCCCTTGTCCTGATGAAGTCTGGCAGTTCCAGATGAAACGGCAGGCCAAATTGCCACTGACACAGCAAAATGCCCTAAAGAAACATATTTATCAACGAGTCAATTTTTATCCCATAAGAGTAATTCGATTACATAATTACGTAGCCCTGCACAATGTAGAGGAAATTTAAGAAGGCATTTGAATTGCCCTTATATGCCCTAATTTCAGATGAACTATATAATATATATATTAAATGTATTAAATGTGTGTGTATATATACATATATACACACACACACACATTTTTGGAATCATTGATCCCACTGAAGATTGATCAACCAGTATGCAGCCAAAAATGGCAAGATTAAAAACTGCTATAGAGGTGTGTTAGGCAGTTAATTAATAAAAACATGTTGTCATATTGTCTGAATTTTGTGAGGTTTAGGGTACTTGTCAACTGTTCAAAATTCAGAATTTCTTGTGATTTCTTTTCATACTAAAGTGTGTACCTGGAATCCTATATACTGTTACTTAAAGTGGAATTTCAAAATTGTGTAAGTTCCTGGCCCCACTTTGCCTGGGTCCTCATCAAGTGTCACCCCTGACATGTGTGGTACACACCACACAGCACACACATTTCCACAGGCGGTCATGCTGGGAGGTGTATCTCTTGGTGGGGGGAAGAAAGGGCCAAGGGCCTTGATGGAGGTAAAAAAGGCTATGGTTCTATCATGTAATAGAGCTGGGACTTGGAATCCACAGAGGTGAAACGGTGGGGCAAATCCAATCACTCGGCTTCCACTTTGGGGACTGAGGCACAAGAATGGCAAATAGAAAAAGAGGAGGGGGTTAGCAGTATCCATGGTCTCTTTAAAAAAAAAAAAGAAAAGAAAAGAAAAAGACGAAGGGGAGATAAAGACCCTTCTAAGTAGGTTGCAGTTCTGTATTTGGCCACAAGATGGTGGTAAAAGAGTGTGCTCTACATTCAGTCAAAAACTCATTAAGAGCTAATCAAAGCAAAGCGGGTTTTTCCTGTTTCCTGCCAGTGCTTTCTCCCCTTTTCCAAGCCTCAGTGCGTTTACTATTGTTCCATTCTTTTTGGTTAAAGTCATCACAAATCTGCGTTTTTGTTTGTTAACTCAGCTGTAACCTGCAGTTCGTCTTCTAGACAACTTTCCCTGCTTCTTATAGTTAAGGATTATGTTCTTATTAACTATTATTAGAAGAATTTTCTGACCCAGAAGTTTCAGGACTTAAAGCTATAGTCTTAGTTCAATAATTGTCTGATTACGTGCTGCTCTGCTTGGAGCTTTCATTACTCGGCTTCTATTTCGCGTGTGTTTCTCCATACCCCCTCCCTCAGGGCTCTGTACAGAGTTTTATCTGAAAAACCAGCTTCGACCCCCGTCTGTCCAGGAGAGATATGGTTCCATCTGGTTTTGCTGGGGCCCTGCGAAGGCTGAATTACTCCTATGTTAACCATAACAAAAATGGGCAACTTGCCTAAGAAAAACAATGACAGAAATAGAAGAGTCAGCCTTGCTGGATCCAATCCTTCATTTTCCAAGCTGGTTTTGGACACCATTGCCCCCTTCTCTCCTACCTGCCTCCCAAGATTTTGACAGCCCTGTAGGCCAACACTATTTGCTCAGAACACACCCCCCAGAAAGCACGGGGCAGCCACAACAACTGATCACCTTCCTAACCCCTTTTGAGAGTTTTGCCATCACTGAGGGCCCTTGACCTGAACATGTACTTGGTATATGAGCGGGGGCCTCTTGCTGGGAAACCATGCCAAAAATGAGAGGCAAAGGACACAGCTCAAGAGCAACCACGCTGCTCTCCTGAGTGTACAGGTACAGGAGCTCCTGCCTCTCCAGCAGTTGAGATGACCATGTTTATTTTGATGAGTCGTGTTTGCCTTCTTAGATTGATGACACTGCTGGCTGAGGTTAGAGAGCCATCTGTGTAAGAGGACACAGCAAAGTTCACTGGCCCACACTCACAGCAGATCTTGGCTGCATCCTTAGTAAGCCTCCCATGATCCTTGACTGCTCCAGGATTGACACGTCCCGTGAGACAATGGGCACTTTTGCAAAGAGGAGCAGAATTAGAAATCTCAGTCTGTTTCCTCTGCAAAGTGCCTTTCTCGCTCCAGATCCTGATTATTCTGGTTTGGCCTTGTATAAATGTCCTGCTCTGAACAACAGCTTGGATCCTCTGGTTGGGCAGAATGGGAGAATCAGTGCTGGACAAGGAGTTAGGGGACCCAGATTCAGACGCCAGCTGTGTCCCTTTTTTTGGAATGAAGGACTTCTTCCCCTAGCTTCAAAGAATGCCACCAGCAGACACCCTTCCCCCATCCCCATCAGGCCCTTAGCTATGGCCAGGGCCGCATCTTTTCCCAGGATAGCCCACATCTGATGACTGATTGACAAGGGGGAATTAAGGCTCGGCCCTCTTATTCCATCTTGGGACAGCTCCAAGGGTCATTCAATCTTTCAACCTCCTTATAGAGTGGGCTAAGACTTCCCTAAAGACTGCATCATAGCTCGACTTCTCCTTCTGCCCACTCTTGCTTTCTTCTCTTCCCTTCCTCAGTCATGGATCCCACAGGCTCTCCCTAATAAACCTCCCGCACACTAAAGTCCACTTCAGAGTCCTACTTCCCGGAAAGCCCAGCATGCAACAGGGACCCTGAGAAAGTTCAGTACCTTTTCTGAACTGTCAGGAGGTTGTCCGAGAGCCACAGAACTGTGTTTTGTGCTACCTCTCTTTGTGGTCATTTTCTCTCAGCTGCTCACTATAGATTCCACCAGCTCTTGGCAACTAGACCCACCAAGGAACCCAAAAAGGCCCAAGAACCCAGTCACAAAGATGTATTCATGCTGGAAGTGGCTGCTCACCATGGCAGGCTAGCAGGCGGTGCTGGGACACGGTCTATAGCTCTCGACTCCAATCCAAAGAGCATGGCTGTATTTGGTTTTCAAGCCCATTTGCTGCTTAATTCTAAGGAATAATTTCCCCACTCAGTTCCTTCAACCTGGAGACAGGCCTGGAAGGTTGTCCACTGGACTGCTTTATCCCACCATTGACCTTTTCTACCTCTCTTCCTATAGAGCAGCCCTGCCCAATAGGCATAGAATTCAAGCCACATATGTAATCTCCAATACTAACAGCTATATACACAAAAGTAAAAAAGAAACAGGTGAAATTGACCAAAACAATATACTTTACTTAACCCAATGTGTCCAAAATAGGATCATTTCAATATGTGATCAGCATGAAAATAAGGTATTTTAAATTCTTTTTGTTCATACTGTCTTTAACATCTGGTGTATCTGACATAGTACATCTCAGATTGGACTAGCCCCATTGCCCATTCTATTGGACTAATCACAATACAGTTTAGGCAACCGTATTGGACAGAGCTGGCATAGATTATACATCAAGAGAGTTGCAGAACAAGGCATATGAGAATCTAGGATTTTGTAGCAGAGCGCTTCGGTTTCTAAGGCCGATGAGTTTGAAGCCTCAACTCGTAGGTTTTTGCTGGCCCTTGTATCTCATTTTTCCATAAATTAAGGATAGGCCAGGCTCAGTGACTCAGCCCTGTAATCCCAGCACTTTGGGAGGCCAAGGCAGGCAGATCACTTGAGCCCAGGAGTTCGAGACCAGCCTGGGCAACCTGGCAAAACCCCGTCTCTACAAAAAATTCAAAAATTAGCCAAGTGTGGTGGTGCATGCCTGTAGTCCCAGCTGCTAGGGAGGCTGAGGTGGGAGGATCGCTTGAGCCCAAGAGGTCAAGGCTGCAGAGTTGTGATTGTGCTACTGCACTCCAGCCTAGGCAACAGAGCAAGACCCTATCTCAAAAAAAAAAAAAAATGGATAATGTAAGGATAATATTCTACCTGCCTCATAATATAGGTGTGAGCCTCTAACAAGATAATGCCCCTAAAGCAACAATGACATCATAGATTATCCCAAAACAATGGCTTTCGAACTGACTTCCCCCAACCCCAAGGCCTACCAGCAGCTAGCAACATTAGCCAGGACTGAGGCTTGTAATGTTTGAAAGCAATACCAAAGACATGTTTATTTAGAGTTGCATTTGTGTGCCTCTTACAAAGTCTTGACCAATTTTCTAATCCCAATCAGGAAAGGAAGCGTTTGGAGTGAGGTATAATGCTACGTGTTCCTTTAGAATGTAAAACGTTTAATTAGATGCCAAGAATTGAAAATCTTGATTCAGAGCCCGAAATGGCTAATAAGGTTTTATTGTTGCTATCACTTAGAGTTTTTATAGAACTTTAGGCTTGCAAAGTGCTTTTCAATCACTTGAGAGAATCTAAGTTTGTTAACAGCGAGATGAAAAAATGTTCCATTCATCAGGAGAGACAACATACATAATATTTTAAGTATTTAAGAATTATGACCCTGCTGTGAGAACTACTACAATTACTTCTATGTGGATACAAGAGATTCTAGTTATAGACATAGGACATTAATGCAGATACCAGTGTTATTACCCTGCTGAGTCTGCAAGGGCGAACTTTTGCAAGTCAGGAAATAGGAAAGTTTCTAAAACAAACATTAGCTGGCTCTAGTTACATATACGGAGCTTTTTGCCCACATGTGATTTTTGAACATTTTTATAAAGGGGCCCTTAAGGTTTTGTAGGTGATCATATTATAAAGTCATACATAGTTCCAAAATGGCATAATCTGTGGCCCTGGGTCCCTGAAATCTCCAGGATTCTGCTGTTGGGCCTCCTGCAATGGGAGACAAATTTGTACCAATTCCTCTACACATATTATCAGTGGGGCAGCATTGGCTGGAAAGCATGTGAAAAGCCAATTTCTCCTTCCCATGTATACCCAAGGCGAATTCAGGGCCTCTAGCCTGTTGGATGTATCAATTAGCTTCTGCTACAACTCAGCTCAGAGCATACAACAGTGAGTGTTGGTGGATCTGGATGGTTGGTTAGGTGACTCTGCTGATCTCACCTGAACTTGCTCACATGTTTGGGAGGCAGCTGGATGATGGCTGATCAAGCTTCAACTCAGCTTTGCCCTAAATGTTTCTCATCATCCAGCAGGCTAGCCAGGACATACTCTCATGGAGATGGAGCCTGGTATGGTGGTGCACGCCTGTAGTCCCACCTACTCCAGAAGCTGAGGCAGGAGGATCCTTGAGGCCAGGATGTTGAGGCTGCAGTGAGCTGTGATTGTGCCACTGCACTCCAGCCCTGGGAGACAGAGCAAGATCCTGTCTCTTTAAATCAATAGATAAAAAATTTAAAAATATCATGGAGATGGCAGAGGCCTAAGAGAGAGCAAGCTCCAATGCATGAGCCACTTCGAGCCTCTGGGTCATGCCTGCTAATAGCCCATTGGCCAAAGCAAAACACGTGCCTGAGACAATGTCCAGAGCAGGGTTAGATCAACGTACCTGCTATGGGAAGGCACTGCAGAGTCACATGACAAAGGGCACGGATGAAAGGAGGGGTGAGACTCGTGGCCATCCACACGTACTGCCATGGGTCGGGATGGATTAGAATCATTTTCACCAGGCACAGTGGCTCACGCCTGTAATCCCAGCATTTTGGAAGAAGAGAATGGGTAGACTGTTTGAGTCCA
The DNA here is from genome assembly GCF_000001405.40 of Homo sapiens. Lineage (NCBI taxonomy): Eukaryota > Metazoa > Chordata > Mammalia > Primates > Hominidae > Homo > Homo sapiens. The sequence continues at coordinate 40,548,757 of NC_000023.11, forward strand.
GGAGTTCAAGACCAGCCTGGGCAACACAGCAAAACCCCCGTCTCTACAAAAAATTACAAAAATTAGCCAGTCATGGTGTTGCGTGCCTGTAGTCCCAGCTACTGGGGAGGCTGAAGCAGGAGGATCACTGCTCTTGGGACGTCGAGGGTGAGTGAGCCATGGTTGTGCGACTGCACTCTAGCCTGGGTGACAGAGTGAGACCCCGTCTCAAAAAAAAAAAAAATCATTTTCTTGAAAAGGAAGATGCATTATTGACATATGCATCCATTTTGACTGAGAGAAAATGTTCACTGGAAACACCAAGCTAATGCCAAGCCACTACTTTCTGCCCTCACCTCTCAAAACAGTTAATAGGCCAAAGATCAAGGGAAATATTCCCCCAGCTTTATCAAAGTATGATTGACAAATAAACCTTGTATTTATTTAAGGTGTACAACATGATGGGGTTTTTTTGTTTCTTTTTTTTTTTTTTTTTTCTTTGAGACAGAGTCTTGCTCTGTCACCCAGGCTGGAGTGCAGTGGCGTGATCTCGGCTTGCTGCAAGCTCCGCCTCCCAGGATCACGCCATTATCCTGCCTCAGCCTCCCGAGTAGCTGGGACTACAGGCACCCGCCACCACACCCGGCTACTTTTTTGTATTTTTAGTAGAGACAGGGTTTCACCGTGTTAGCCAGGATGGTCTCGATCTCCTGACCTCCCAAAGTTCTCGGATTACAGGTGTGAGCCACTGCGCCCAGCCAACATGATGTTTTGATGTAAGTATACATTGTGAAATCATCCTCCTAATCAAGCCCTATTCATCACCTCACATATTTACCCTTTTTTGTGAAAACACTTAAAAGATGTCTATTAGTGGCCGGGCACAGTGGCTCATGCCTGTAATCCCAGCACTTTGGGAGGCTGAGGCGGGTAGATCGCCTGAGGTCAGAAGTTCGAGACCATTCTGGCTAACATGGCGAAACCCCGTCTCTACTAAAAATACAAAAATTAGCCAGGCATGGTGGCACGTACCTGTAATCCCAGCTACTCAGGAGGCTGAGGCAGGAGAATCACTTGAACCTGGGAGGTGGAGGTTGCAGTGAGCCAAGATCACACCACTGCACTCCAGCCTGAGCAACAGAGCAAGACTCCGTCTCAAAAAAAAAAAAAGATTTGTAGAGACAGGAGTCTCACTGTGTTGCCCAGGTTGGTCTCAAACTCCTGGCTTCAAGTGATCCGCTTGCCTCAGCCTCCCAAAGTGCTAGGATTATAGGTGTGAGCCACCATGCCTGACCAAGAATGCTTTTCAAGTGAACCCCTTCCTAAACAACACTAGCCCTCCTCCTGCCTGCCTCCTTTGAGTGGCCTCCACTTAACGCCCTAAGCACCCTGCAGAATTCAGCCTCAGAAAGCAGGAGGTCAGGAGTTGCAGGCCTCAGTAGCCATGACTTGGCTGTGTTTGGGCGGCTGCCACACATGCTGGGGAGAGATTCTGCTCTCTGCCATTCGGCCGTGCATCAGTTGGCCCCGCGCCAGGCCCACACTCAGGCCCGTCTGTCAGGGTGGCACCTGGCCCTCTCGCAGAAGCAGATGGTTTCCATTGATCTTTCCTTGCTAGTCTTTTCTGCATTAACACTCCAAACCAGCCCAGCTTAATCCTGGAACTTAATGGAATCCTCACATGTTCTAGTTTCCTGTATGTTTTCCCCGGTAGCCAAATTGTTTTTCTTTCTTCCTTTTTTTTAAAGTTTTAACTTTTCTGCAATAGTAGGATTATAAATGGATTTGTATATACAGAGGGAAAAATCAATAGCTTGTATTTTTGAGGACAAAATGTAACCTCACAGCAAAGCAAAGACAATTATGAAAAAATCATTTGTTTTTCCATTTCATAGGTCTCCACATACAGCTCACCTCACATCCCTAGACCAAACCGACCTTCACCTCCCTGGAGGCAGGAGACTCGGCCTAACAAAACCTTTCAGGGTGAGAGAGAAATAGGAAGGCTCATCCTTTCCTTTGCAGTGGCCCAGAGAACAATATGGATTGAAAAGTTTTGTTTTTAAAGAAAAGGCATGGAGCTGGGCGCAGTGGCTCACGCCTGTAATCCCAGCACTTTCAAAGGCTGAGGTGGGCGGATTACCTGAGGTCGAGAGTTCGAGATCAGCCCGACCAACATGGAGAAACCCCGTCTCTACTAAAAATACAAGAAATTAACCAGGTGTGGTGGCGCATGCCTGTAATCCCAGCTGCTCGGGAGGCTGAGGCAGGAGAATCACTTGAACCCGAGAGGTGGAGGTTGCAGTGAGCCCAGATTGCACCATTATACTCCAGCCTGGACAACAAGAGTGAAACTCCATCGCAAAAAAAGAAAAAGAAAAAGAAAAGGCATGATGTTTTCAGATGTTACAGATGTTCCAAAGGCAAAACAGCACGGCCGCCCTGAGGCTCCAGCTTGGGAAGAGACAAGTAGCTCTGGTGACCTGGCCCGGGGAGAGCAGGGCAATTTCCCTGGTGCCTGGGCCGGCTGATCTCTGCCTGCAACCCAGCTTCATGCAGGTTTAGCTTTGGCTAGCGAGGCTGCCCAGCAGCACCTAACAATGTGCAAATCACAGCCTTGGTTGGGCGCTCCTTCTGCTGTGTGCCCGAGATGCCAGCGTTAGAGTAAATAAAAGGGGAGGAAGATCTGGGCACGGTGGCTCACACCTGTAATCCCAGCACTTTGGGAGGCCGAGGGAGGCAGATCACCTGAGGTCAGTACCAGCCTGGCCAACATGGTGAAACCCCATCTTTAATAAAAATACAAAAATTAGCTGGGCGTGGTGGTGCACACCTGTAATCCCAGTTGCTCAGGAGGCTGAGGCAGGAAAATCACTTGAACCCGGGAGGCAGAGGTTGCAGTGAGCTGAGATCACACCACTGCACTCCAGCCTGGGCAACAGAATGAGACTTTGTCTCAAAAAAAGGTGGCGGGGGGTGTTGGTGGGGAAGACCTAGGAGCAAATACTTCAATATGCACAGACTAGCTCTGGCCAATAGAAATATACTGCAAGCCACAGGTGTGATTCAAAATTTTCTAGTAGCCTTTTTTTTTTGGATACAGGGTCTCTCTCTGTCACCCAGACTGGAGTGCAGTGATCAAGGCTCACTGCAGCCTCGACCCCCCAGGTTCAAGCAACCCTCCCACCTCAGCCTCCCAAGTAGCTGGAACTACAGGCTCATGCCACCATGGCTGACTAGTTTTAATATTTTTTGTAGAGACAGGGTTTCACTATGTTGTCCAGGCTGGTCTTGAATTCCTGGGCTCAAGCGATCCTCCCCGCCTAGGCCTTCCAAAGTGCTGGAATTACAGGCGTGAGCCACCATGCCTGGCGTAGTTTTTTAAAGTAAAAAGGAACGGTGAAAATAATTTTAATAACATATTTTATTTAACTCAGTACATCCAAAATATTATCATTTGAACATGTAATCCATATGAACTGTTATTAATGAAACATTTTACATTCTGGTTTTTGTACTAAGTCTTTGAAATCCAGTGTGTATTTTATACTTACAGGACATCTCAATTTGGAAGAGCTGAAAGCTTGATAGCCACATGTGGCTAGTGGCTGCTCTATTGGACAGCATGTGCCTGGGGTTTTTTTGGAAGGGGACTCAAGAAACAGTTTTAACAGGGATTGCCTCTCAGGAAGAAAATTAAGAGAGACTAGGGGAGAAGAGATGACAAGGTTACTTTTAACCATAAAGGCTTTTATAGCGCTTGAATTATGTGCCAAGTATATGGGTTGCATATTAAAAAAACACACACACCCTGATTTTTTTTGAATGATATATTCAGTGTTGGCAAGGAATAGGAAAATAGGCACGGTCCTACACTCTTGGCAAGAATGTATGCCGATCCCATCATTCTGGAGGGGGAATTGGCACAATTCTATGTCTAGAAACGTAGTCTAAAGACAGGAATCAGCTGGGCACAGTGGCTCATGCCTGTAATTCCAGCACTTTGGGAGGCTGATGTGAGCAGATCACTTGAGCCGTGTTCGAGACCAGCCTGGGCAATATAGCGAGACCTCATCTCTAAAAAAGAAAAGAAAAGAAAAAGAAATGACTCAACAAGAGAAGCCAGTATGTTATGAAAAAGGATGCTCACCTCAGCATCTTAGTTCCTACTGGAACATTGAAAACATCCTAAGTGTCATAAACCGATGTGCAGTGAAACTGCACCCTCTGGAGGGGGTGCCTTCTAAAGACAAGTGATCAGAGATTGAAATCACCAGTAGTCAAAACTGCCTCTGAAAATAACACAGGACAGCGACATAGCAGAGACTCAACACTAAATTCTACACAGCAAGGTCACTGTTTCTCAGAGTGAGTCCCAGATGCAGTAATTTGCTCACATGTAGGGGCCATACTGTGTGAGAAATATGTACCCTAGACACTAGTATCTCCTGGCAAGATTGGAGAGAGACATTTGAATTGAAAGCAGCGGAGGAAATAGAAGACTTGTGGCTTCCATGTCATGTTCATTCCTTGAGTGAACTGGTGGGCAAAATCACCCCTATCATTTCAGCTGTTTTCTCTTGCTCTGCAAAGTGTATACAGTGCAATTGACATATTTTAAAGGGTCAGATGATGTGACTCTGCTGCATATTGACATGTGACTATAAAGAAAACAGATGGAAAGGTATGCCCCCAAACATTATGTTTTTTAACGAATTATTTTTTCTTTTACCTTTTTGTTTTCATGTGCATTTATCTGTATTTTTACATTTTTCTCCAATGAACAGCCTGAGAGTGAATTTTGTATTACTTCTGGAATATAAAAATAATTGTTTTAAGTCAGTGCTTACCCACCACAAAGTAGCCCACCAAGGCCAGAAGAGTTAGAAGTTCATCTGGATCCCCCAGGGCCTCCTAAAAAGGGAAAATGGTGTGTTCTCTCCTTCAAGCCCAGGGTACATTCTATTTGCCACCACAGCCAAAGGGACTTGGGAGGCATTAGAGATGGTGCTGGTGCTTTCAGAAACTGCGGTCCTGCTGTGGCCCCCTGAAGACAGCAGCTCCCCTGCCCTAACACGATGCCACTGCCCCTGGGGTTCAAAAATATGAGAAACATCTCTTGCAGGGATGGCTCCCCATTCTGGGGACCCAGCTACCTCATCCCTTCCCCTGAGGGCTTCTGTCACCATCCCATTGATTGCCATGCCACACAGGGAGCTAGCGCAGCTGAACTACAGGTGAACTACACAGCAGGATAGACTTCGGTAAACACAGGACACCTTTCAGAGGAACGAGCAGAGCCTCAAAACACTCAGTTAGGTGCAGGTTGAAAGCGTGAAACAATCTCTTGCAGCAACTTGCTGCCATTTCCAGTCAGCAAGCTCCCGCCTCTGAACGTGCTAATAAGCATCACTCCCAGGTACCCACGGCTCACCTGGAGCATACAGCATCTCACTGAATGTGCAGAACGAGCCTCCAGCGGGCCGTCATCACTCCTACTCAACAGGTGAAGGAAGCCAGGCTCCGGGAGACAAATGAACTCACTTAAGTGTCTCAAGGTGCACTCCCTGGGAAGGAGACTCCTGAGGCAGAGTTGAGCCTGTAGGATGTTAAGTACTCTTGGAAAGAAGGAGAAAGAATTGGGGGAGCAGAAGGGAGGGAGGGTGGATGGTGGAGTGAGCTGTGATGCAGGCTCTGAGACAGCCTCAGCCATCCCCACGGGAAGCTGTGGAGCAAGACTGGCTTTTCAGAGTTGTCCTGAGTTGGGCCAACACATGGTTGGATTTTTAAGCTCTAGCTGGTCAACAAATGGGGATTTCCCCAAAAAGCGATGACCTTGATGAGGCACTTTCTGGAGCTGCTAAGGGCTGAGGGTGTCCGCAACAGCCCTGCCGATAGCAGAGGGAGCAACGGATCCTTCCTTGAAGGGGATCACCGTGACCACCACACCAAGGTCACCCAACTAATGAGTGACAGAGCCGCCATTGAGAGCAAGCAACTTATCAGTGCTTTCTGCTCTGCTACTGAGTTAAGCTGCCTCCTCTGAGCTCCAATTTTCACAGCAGCTCTGGCCCTCCACCTAGACTGGGTCCTCTCTCTCAGACCTTCTAGAAAAGAGCTAGCCCCTTTTGGAATCTAGATAACAATGCCGTTCCAGCTGCATGCAACCTGGGCCAAGTCTCAGGAGTTCCCTGACCAGCTATTCTAGTTTCTGAGGCTTTGGGGTCTTTTACTTTTGCCCCAGTTAAGCCAAACATGGCAACTTCTTCCTCTTTAGCCCAAGGGTGAGCCATTCTGCCCCCCAGCCCCCATCACCGCCATCACCTCTACAACCTCCTTCAGCCCCACCTCATTCTTTAGCAGTTTTAAGAAAGGCTGTTCCTAAGTGAATCAGCGCAGGAACAGAAAGGCAAATACTAGCCAGGGGTGGTGGCTCGTGCCTGTAATCTCAGCACTTTGGGAGGCTGAGGCAGGTGGATCACCTGAGGTCAGGAGTTCGAGACCAGCCAGGCCAACATGGCAAAACCCTGTCTCTAGTAAAAATACAAAAATTAACTGGGCATTGATGGCAGGCACCTGTAATCCCAGCTACTTGGGAGGCCGAGGCAGGAGAATTGCATGAACCCCGGAAGGCAGAGGTTTCAGTGAGCCGAAATCATACCAGATGGAGACTCTGTCTCAACAAAAAAAAAAAAAAAAAAAAAAAAGAAAGGCTGCTCCTAAGTGAATCAACAAAGGAACAGAAAGCCAAGTACCGCATGTTGTCACTTATAAATGGGAGCTAAACATTGAGTACACATGGTCACAAAGAAGGGGACAATAGACACCAGGGCCTACTCGAGGGTGGAGGGTGAGAGGAGGGAGAGGATTGAAAAACTACTTACGGGTGCTAATGCTCATTACCTGGGTGACAAGATAATCTGTACACCAAATCCCCATGAGAAACAATTTACCCTTCTAACAAACCTACACATGCACCCCCTGAACCTAAAATAAAAGTTGGAAAGAAAAAAAAAAGGCTGTAATTATCTGAAGGAGTTTTACCAAAACCTAAGGAAATTCACAAGGGAAACAAAGAACATTGGCAGTGCATAGTGGCAATTCCTAAGTATAGTTTTCTCATCCTGTGTTAGCTTACCAGGCATCAGTGAGCTGAATCAAAATCCTGATTCAGAGGTGCCCTTTTTCTTTTTCTTTTCTTTTTTTTTTAATTTTTAATTTTTAATTTTTTTGAGAATGAGTCTCCCTCTGTCACCTAGGCTGGAGTGCAGTGGCGTGATCTCAGCTCACTGTAACCTCTGCCTCCTGGGTTCAAGCGATTCTCATGTCTCAGCCTCCTGAGTAGTTGGGACTACAGGCACCCACCACCATGCCTGGCTAATTTTTGTATTTTTAGTAGATATGGGGGTTTCACCACATTGGCCAGGATGGTCTCGAACTCCTGACCTCCAAGTGATCCACGTGCCTTGGCCTCCCAAAGTGCTGGGATTACAGGCGTGAGCCACCGTGCCTGGCTCCCTTTTCTCTTTCTTCTTTTCTTTCTTTCTCTTTCTTTCTTTCTTTTTTTTCTTTTTCTTCCTTTCTCTCTCTCTCTTTCTTTTTCTTTCTTCTTTCTTTTTTTTTTTGCGTGTGTGTGTGTGTGTGTGTGTGTGTGTGTGTGTGTGTGAGACAAGGTCTCACTCTGTCACCCAAGCTGGATTGCAGTGGCCCAGTTATGGCTTACTGCAGCCTCCACCTCCTGGGCTCAAGGGATCCTCCCACTTCAGTCTCCCGGTAGCTGGGACTATAGACCTCAGCATCTCAAACAGCTGGGATTACAGGTGTGTGCCACCACACCCAGCTAACTTTTTAAAAAATATATTTTGTAGAGATGGGGGTCTCACTATGTTGCCCAGGCTGGTCTCAAACTCCTGGGCTCAAGTGATCCTCCCACCTCAGCCTCCCAAAGTGTTGGTATTATAGGCGTGAGCCACCGCACCCAGCTGAGATGACCCTTTTCACTTCTCAGGTGTGTGTGTGTGTGTGTGTGTGTGTGTGTGTTTTAAGGCAGGGTCTCACTCTGTCACCCAGGCTGCAGTGCAGTGGCACAATCACAGCTCATTGCAGCCTTGACCTCCTGGGCTCAAGTGATCCTCCCACTTCAGCCCCCCAGTAGCAGGGACTATAGGCATGCACCACCACACCCAGGCCACACCCAGGTAATTTTTGCATTTTTTGTATAGACAGAGTTTTACCATGTTGCCCAGGCTGCACTTCTCGGGTTTTTATGCCCCCTCTTCACCCCCCACCAGCCACACAGGGCAGGAGTTAGTGGGCCACTCATTCTTGTAGCCCATCCAGAGATGAGTGACAAGGAAGACAACCCACACAGGCAAACAGCAGGCCAAATCATACCCCTCACCCTTCCTTAGGGGAGGGTTCTTTCTTCCTTTCTTTTCTTTCTTTCCTTCCTTCCTTCCTTCCTTCCTTCCTTCCTTCCTTCCTTCCTTCCTTTCTTTCCCTCCCTCCCTCCCTCTCTCCCTTCTTTCTCTTTCTTTCTCTCCCTTCCTTCCTTCCTTCCTTCCTTCCTTCCTTCCTTCCTTCCTTCCTTCCTTCCTTCCTTCCTTCCTTCCTTCCTTCTTTCTTTCTTTCTTTCTTTCTTTCTTTCTTTCTTTCTTTCTTTCTTTCTTTCTTTCTTTCTTTCTTTCTTTCTTTCTTTCTTTCTTTCTTTCTTTCTTTCTTTCTTTCGATGGAGTTTCACTCTTGTTACCCAGGCTCCAGTGCAATGGCGCTGTGATCTCGGCTCACTGCAACCTCCACCTCCCGGGGTCAAGCCATTCTCCTGCCTCAGACTCCCAAGTAGCTGGGACTACGGGCATGTGCCACCATGCCCAACTACTTTTTGTATTTTTAGTAGACACAGGGTTTCACCATGTTGGCCAGGCTGGTTTCGAACTCCTGACTTCAGGTGATCCACCCGCCTCAGCCTCCCAAAGTGCTGGGATTACAGGTGTGAGCCACTGTGCCCGGCCCTGAGGACTGTTATTTCATTTGGAGAGAGTAGGATTCTGGGATCTAAATGCACACAGCAGTGGCTTGGGAACAGTGGTCTTGCTGGCTGGAGATTGGACAGAAATGAGTGGGTTGGGGGAAGGGCATTGATGTAGGAGCTGAGGGACAAAGGAAACAGGAGAAGAGGCAGAAATGGGTTAGTGATGGACAGGGACGGTAGCAGCCTTTGTCAGAATCCCACTTGTCCAGCCAAGTGTATTAGTCCGTTGGAACAAAGGACCACACACTGTCTGGGTTCACCATCAGAAGTGTATTATCTCAGTTCCGGAGGCTGGGAGTCAAGCTCCAGGTGTTGGCAGGGTTGGTTCCTCCTGAGGGCTATGAGGGGAATCTGTTCCATGCCTCTCCCTCAGCTTCTGGTGGTTTGCTGGCAATCTTGGGGGTTCCTCACCTTGCAGAAGCATCACCCCATCTCTACCTGCACCTTCTCATGGCATTGTCCCTATATGCATGCCTGTGTCCACATTTCTCCTTCTTATAAGGACACCAGTCACATTCGGGGGTACTGGGGATTAGAGTGCTAACACAGTAGGTTGGTGCAAAAGTAATTGTGGTTTTTGCCACTGAAAGTAATGGCAAAAACCGCGATTAATTTTGCACCTTTGCACCAACCTAATATATTTTGGTGGGAGGAGGGACACAGTTCAACCCCTAACACCTACTGATTCCAAACTTAGAGTGTGGGTGTCCCTGGCTTTTGTCTACACCGCATGCCTGGCTATCTTCTTCTGGTAACAGCACTCCTCTTCCTTTAGAATGAATCCTTCAGGCTGGGCACAGTGGCTCACCCCTGTAATCCCAACAGAAGGCGGTAAGGGCGGGAGGATACTTTACACTCAGGAGCTTGAGGCTTGCCTGGGCAACATAGTAAGACTCCGTTCTTCAACAAAAAGGAAAAACAAAAACAAAAAACAAGAAACAAATTTAGAATGAATCTTTTCTTTCCATACTGCTGCCAATAACATGACCCCATCTTCCCATTATATGGATGGGCACGTGACCCAAGCTGGCCAATCAAACTCTCTCTCAGCCCCTCTAGGTTCTTCAATTATTTAAATACTTCTAATGTGTGGATGGGGAAGGAGACTAGGCCTGTTTCTGAAAATTGACCCAGGCTCAGTCTGCTCCCAGTGTTTGCTCTTAGGGAAGTCCTCTACAATTACATGCCTGGATTGTTAGAAGTCCAGGGTTACTATGGCTGGGGAAACAGCGTGGCTTTGAAGTTGGAACCCCAACCTCCTCACTAACTGGCTGATTCAGTTTTCCATGTTGCAGTTTTCTCATCTATAAAATGTAATAACAACAGTGATATTTCTCTCAGCGCATTCTTACAAGGATCACATATGTGAGAATATGTAGGAATATTCTATACACATATTTATCATTATTAGAAAGGACAAATTTAGGAATAGGGGAGCCAAAGAGTAAGAATTTGTCCATATCAGGCCAGGTGCAGTGGCTCATGCCTGTAATCCCAGCACTTTGGGAGGCCAAGGCAGGTGGATCACCTGTGGTCAGGAGTTCGAGACCAGCCTGGCCAACATGGTGAAACTCTGTCTCTACTAAAAATACAAAAGTTAGCTGGGTGTGGTGGCACACACCTGTAATCCCACCTACTCAGGAGACTGAGGCAGGAGAATCATTTGAACCCGTGAGGCCGAGGTTGCAGTGAGCTGAGATCACGCCGCTGCACTCCAGCCTGGGTGACAGAATGAGAGTCTGTCTCAAAAAACAAAAAACAAAACACACACAAAAAAACAAAAAACAAAAACAAAAACACAGAACTTGTCCATATCTAAGCAGTCCTGGCTTAGAGATCTTGCATCATGCATCACCATGGAAGAGTGGGCCTCTCTCCTTTCTCCAAGCTGCCATTGTGCTTCTTATTTTATTTATAAGAGACAAGGTCTCTGCCGGGCATGGTGGCTCATGCCTGTAATCCCAGCACTTTGCAAGGCCAAGGTGGGTAAATCACCTGAGGTCGGAGTTCGAGACCAGCCTGACCAACATGGAGAAACCCCGTCTCCACTAAAAATACAAAATTATCCGGGTGTGGTGGCGCACAGGCAAACCTGGAAGGCAGAGGTTGTGATGAGCCTGAGATTGCACCACTGCACTGCAGCCCGGGCAACAAGAGTGAAACTCCGTCTAAAAAACAAATCAAAACAAAACAACACCACATCTACTCTAATTGCTCATAAACGTATTCAGTTACTTTTCCAAACTATTTTCTCACTCACTCTGTCACCCAGGCTGGAGTGCAGTTGTGCGATCTCGGCTCATTGCAACCCTCCACCTCCCCGGTTCAAGCGATTCTCCTGCCTCAGCCTCCTGAGTAACTGGGATTACAGGCATGCACCACCACGCCCAGCTAATTTTATTTCTTGTAGAGATGGGGTTCCAGATTGGCAGGAGTATCGAACTCCTGGCCACAAGTGATCAGCCCGCCTTGGCCTCCCAAAGTGCTGGGATTACAGGCGTGAGCCAAGGTGCCCGGTGGCTTCAAAGGTCTTTAGACCTAGGCAGGAAGATACGTACACACTTTTTAAAATTTTATTTTATTTATTTATTTTGAGACGGAGTCTCGCTCTGTCACCCAGTCTGGAGTGCAGTGGTGCAATCTCGGCTCACTGCAACCTCTGCCTCCTGGGTTCAAGCGATTCTCCTGCCTCAGCTTCCAGAGTAGCTGGGACTACAGGTGCACACCACTACACCCGGCTAATTTTTGTATTTTTAGTAGAGATGGGCTTTCACCATGTTGGCCAGGCTGGTCTCGAACTCCTGACCTCAGGTGATATGCCCGCCTCGGCCTCCCAAAGTGCTGGGATTACAGGCATAAGCCACCATGCCCAGCCTATGTATACACTTTTTAAGAGTCAAAGAAATGCAAAATCTGTTGAAGTGCTCAGCCTAGGTGGGGCTTATAGATTTAAGTGAGGAGACTAAAGAGGTAGTTAATGTGGGCTTTGAACACCCCTTGGAGTTATAGAATCATTGATTTAGCAACTTTCAATGTCAATGTATTCTTTTTGCCACTTCAAGCATGCTGATAAACCATTAGTTTCCTCGTGGGCAGGAGAGGAATTCCCCCGCCCAGCTCTCTCTAGTTCCAGAGCTTATCTGTGGCCAAAATTTCTGGTCAAAAGTAACTTCATTTCCCTGGAGTGATAACCATGTTCCTTAGTGGGTAACATCTTTCAACCCAGGTAAGATTTCTAATTAAGTTTAGAGATGTTTTAGAGTGGCCTATATTTTCTTATAAAGAATCTGAGGTGGCTGGGCACTGCGGCTCATGCCTGTAGTCCCAGCGCTTTGGGAGGCTGAGGCAGGAGGATTGCTTGAGTCCGGGAGATCGAGGGTGCAGTGAGCCATGATTGTGCCACTGCACTCCAGCTTGGGTGACAGAGTGAGACTTTGTGTTTAAAAGAAAAAAAAAAGGCCAGGCATGGTGGCTCATGCCTGTAATCCTAGCACTCTGGGAGGCCGAGGTGGGTGGATCACCTGAGGTCAGGAGTTGGAGACCAGCCTGGCCAACATGGTGAAACCCCGTCTCTACTAAAAACACAAAAAATTAGCTGGGCATTGTGGTGGATGCCTGTAATTCCAGCTACTCGGGAAGCTGAGGCAGGAGAATGTCTTGAACCCAGGAGGTGAAGGTTGCAGTGAGCTGAGATCGTGCCATTGCACTCCAGCCTGGGCAACAAGAGTGAAACTCCGTCTCAAAAAAAAAAGAAAAAAGAAAAAAAATACAAAAACAAAGAAGAAAATTATTCTCAGCAAATTGGGCATGATATGTACTTGTAATGTTTAACAAATTTAGCCAGTTGGAGAAACAGCCATGTGACTCTAAACGTCAAATATGTGACTGATTGTAGTTTTAGGATTTAAAGTTTAATTTGTACTATTGAATTGTACCAGAATATTCAGGAGAACTTTAAGTTCACTGGATTTAAAAGGTTAACTTGTTAGATCAATGTTATTTAATATTTGAGAAAGTTTTGTTCATTCAGACTGAAGTATTTTCTTTTTGTATTTTGGTTGGGTTTTTTTTGTTTGTTTTTTGTTTTTTTAAACAGGGTCTCACTCTGTTGCCCAGGCTGGAATGCAGTGGTGCAGTCACCGCAGCCTCAACCTCCTGGGCTCAAGCGGCCCTCCCACATCAGCCTTCCAAGTAGCTGGGACTACAGGTGAGCACTACCATGCCTGGCTAATTTTTGTTTTTTGTAGTGATCCTTCTGGTCTCCCAAAGTGCTGGCATCACACTCGTGAGCCACCACACCTGGCCCAAGTGAAGAATTTTGTTTTTCTTTTCTTTCTTTCTTTCTTTCTTTCTTTCTTTCTTTTTCTTTTTTCAGAGTCTCGCCCTGTCACCCAGACTGGAGTGCAGTGGCACAATCTCGGCTCACTGCAACCTCCACCTCCTGGGTTCAAGTGATTCTCCTGCCTCAGCCTCCCGAGTAGCTGGGATTACAGGTGTGCTCCCCCATGCCCAGCTAATTTTGTATTTTTAGTAGAGATGGTGTTTCACCATGCTAGCCAGGCTGGTCTCGAACTCCTGACCTCAAATGGCCCACCCACCTCAGCCTCCCAAAGTGCTGGGATTACAGGCGTGAGCCAGCGCGCTCGGCCTCTTTGGTCATCATTAATCTTTCATTCTCCCTTTCCTAGATAAAACATTGTTTATTCTTGTTGTGTTTTTTAAAATGTTTTATTTATATAATAGAGACAGGGTCTTGCTCTGTTGTCCTGGCTGGTCTCCAACTCCTGGGCTCAAGTGATCCACCTGCCTTGACCTCCTAAAGTACTGGGATTACAGCCACTGTGCCCAGCCTTATTCTTGTTGATTTGTATGAGGGAAAGGATATTTTCAAATTTCCAAAAGGATAGAGTTATTTGGGTTATTCATTCTTGTTACACTCTAATTTTGTTGTATTAAGGTCTGATAATTGGCTTATATGATACCTCTTTTGGAATATATTCAGAGTTTCTTTGAAGGCTAAGACTTGGTTAACTTTTATAAATTTTCCACAACTGAATAGAATATGTATTCTCTGTAAAGCACAGCGTTTTATATATTTCCACTGAATTCTGGGCCTGGAGTCATCTCGAAGGCTTACTCCCTTTATGTGTAGTGCCTGGGCTGGGAAGACTCGGCACAGCTGGGAGCTGATATAGCTGGGGCTCCTCCAGTTTCTGCTATCCCTCTGTGGTTTCTCTGCATGGTGGCATCAGGGAAACCAGACTTCTTATATTGTGGCTCAAAGCTCTGAAGACATTCCAAAAGGGATAGTGCCAGGCAGAAGTCATATTGTTTGTAATGCCTTTTGTGGCCTAGCCTTGAAAATCACACGGCCTCACTTCCACTGTGTTCTATTAGAGGCGACACTTTTTTTTTTTTTTTAATCTTGCTCTGTCACCCAAGCTGGAGTGCAGTGGTGCGATCTCGGCTCACTGCAACCTCCGCCTCCTGGGTTCAAGTTATTCTCGTGCCTCGGCCTCCCAAGTGGCTAGGATTACAGGTGTGTGCCATCATGCCTGCCTATTTTTTTGTATTTTTAGTAGAGATGGGGTTTTGCCATGTTACCCAGGCTGGTCTCAAACTCCTGGCTTCAAGTGATCATCCACCTGCCTTGGCCTCCCAAAGTGCTGGGATTACAAGCGTGAGCCACCTCACCCAGTCGCATTTTTTTTTTTTTGAGACAGAGTCTCACTCTGTTGCCCAGGTTGGAGTGCAGTGGCACCATCAAAGCTCACTGCAACCTCAACTTTCTGGGCTCAAGGGATCCACCCACCTCAGCCTCCTGAGTAGCTGGGACTACAGCCATGCTATTATGCCCAGTTAATTTTTTTATTTTTTGTAGAGACAAGGTCTCGCTATGTTGCCCAGGCTGGTCTTGAACTCCTGACCTCAAGCAATCCTCCTGCCTTGGCCTCCCAAAGTGCTGGGATTACAGGCCTGAGCCACAGCACCTGGACTGCCCCTGAGTTTTGTTGGTATTGATAAAAACCAGTAGTCTTTTTCTGTCCAACCATCCTAATTCACTGCAGCCCAGCCCCTGTCCAAGCCCCAAAGGCTCTCCAAGGAAGGCTGACCCCTCCCTCGTGGGACCCCTGGGATGAGGCACCAACAGCTGGGATCCCAAGTGTATGGCTCCTTGCTTTTCCCTGAAACACTCAGCTCTTGTTTCCACAACACGTCTGAGGTGTTGCAGCAGCAGCCCCAACCGCACCCTCGATAAGAATCTGCCTTTCCTGGCCGGGCGCAGTGGCTCACGCCTGTGATACCAACACTTTGGGAGGCCGAGGTGGGTGGATCATCTGAGGACAGAAGTTTGAGACCACCCTGGCCAACAACGTGAAACCCCGTCTCCACTAAAAATACAAAATTAGCCAGGCATGGTGGCGTATGTCTGTAGTCCCAGCTACTGGGGAGGCTGAGGCAGGAGAATCGCCTGAACCCGGGAGGTGGAGGTTGCAATGAGCTGAGATCGCACCATTGCACTCCACTCCAGCCTGGGTGACAAGAGCGAAACTCTGTCTCAAAAAAATCTGCTTTTCCCAACAACAATCCGTACCCCGATGTTGAGCTTCATCCAGCTTCTTTCTGCTTGATGAGTTCCCCAAGGGTTCCCACGTCCCCCGTCTGGCAGCTGAGCCCACCAAGAGCTCTCTCCACCCATCAGACAGGGACAGACCCTGAATTCTCTAATCTCAGGAATCTCTTTGACCCCTCACAAAAACTTGCTCTGGGATAGTCTTTGTGTACCAAGGGTTACTGGGAGAAACAGGTTATATTGAGACACAAAGAAAGATCTTGCTCTACCCGTCCCTGGGGCCAGTGGTTATCTGTTGCCAATAAGATTTATAGCAGTAAGAGGGGTGGACCAAGGTCAGCTCCAAGGTGATCTGTTACCTCCTCCTAGACAGACTGTGTTGTTGTTTTGCCTTCCTTTTGTTTGCTACTTAGTCTCACTCTATTGCCCAGGCTAGAGTGCAGTGGCACAATCTCGGCTCACTATAACCTCTGCCTCCCGGGTTCAAGCGATTCTCCTGCCTCAGCCTCCAGAATAGCTGGGACTACAGGTACATGCCACCATGCCCAACTAATTTTTGTATTTTTGGTAGAGACAGGATTTCACCATGTTGCCCAGGCTGGTCTCAAACTCCTGGCCTCGAGTGATCCACCCACCTTGGCCTCCCAAAGTGCTGGGATTACAGGCGTGAGCCACCGCGCCCAGCCATGTTCCTTTATTTTTTGAACTGGTAGTACATTTGCATGGTTCAAAATTCACAACGTAACAAAAGATATATAGTCTCCCCACTCCTGCCCTCAGCCACCCATATCTTCTCCCCAAAAGCAACCAATTTGATCAGTTTTTTGTGTGTTTCCTTCAGAGTTATTTTATGTATATACTAGCAAATATACATATATCTCTATATATTCCACTCCTTTTTACATAAATGGTGGTATGCAACACAAAATGTTCTGCTACCTTTTTTTTTCACTTAACAATATATCTACAATTGATCCATAGAGCTTTCTGTTCTTATTACAGCTTCAGAGTACAGTGTATTCTGAAGTATAAATGTATTCTAAGCTATTTAACTGAAAGTATTTTGCTGGTGGACTCTGGTTGGTTTACATGCCACTTACAAATACAGTCATGCCTCACATAACAACAGGGATACTTTCTGAGAAATGCATGGTTAGGCGATTTTATCATTGTGCGAAATCACGGAGTGTGCTTACACAAACCTAGATAGCCTACTACAGACCTAGACTGTATGGTGTAGCCTATTGCTTCGAGGCTACTAACCTATACAGCTTGTGACTGTCCTGAATATTGTAGGCAATTGTAACACAATGGTAAGTATTTGTGTATTTAAACATAGAAAAGACACAGTAAATGGTATGATTTTATGGGACCAGCTTCATATATGCGGTCTGGACTGTTGATTAAAACATCATTATATGGTGCATAACTGTAACTGTACTGAATAAACTTATAAACAGGACCCAGACAGCTTTTAACAAGTAAATTCTTTTGCTTAGAAATAAATTAAAATTCCAACTAAAGGAGGCATCCTGCTGTGTAAGATAAAGAATGATAAAATATCCCAGAGGATCAGAAAAGATACAACTTACTTTTGGCTGGCTCGGGACGAGGGAGACGATATGTGTGGAGTGAAAAGACTGAGTCTGGCCGGGCTCGGTGGCTCACACCTGTAATCCCAGCACTTTGGGAGGCCGAGGCAGGTGGATCACCTGAGGTCAGGAGTTCAAGACCAGCCTGGCCAACATGGTAAAACCCCTTCTCTACTTAAAATACAAAACATTAGCTGGGCTTGGTGGTGGATGCCTGTAATCCTGGCTGCTAGGGAGGCTGAGGCAGGAGAATTACTTGAACCCAGGAGGCAGAGGTTGCAGTGAGCCAAGATTGCGCCATGGCACTTCAGCCTGGGCAACAAGAGCGAAACTCTGTCTCAAAACAAAAAAGAAAAGAAAAGAAAAAGACTGAGTCTGCAAGAGGGGAAATCACAGATGGATTCATTTAGAAAAAAATTCAGTTACATTGAACTATGTATAGAATGCACGGTATTGGGGGGTGCATTTAATTGAGTTGTTAGCTCAATTAAAAAAAAACTCTAACTTAAAAACTCCAATATTAAAACGGCATTTTATATACTGCTTGCCTAGGAATGTAAGTATCAGGCTGTTCAAATAAATCACAGACCTACTGCAAAATCTGACCCAGTTCTTAGGAACACAGACTATAAAACACCGTAATGGAGGCAAAAATCCACATCAAAATCTCCTTTGTCTCGGAAGATTGGATTTAAAGAAGCCCTTCTCTATTCAGTGACACTATAACTGGTAAATTAGAATAATACTATTCTTGCCTTTTGTCATTAATATATGCTTGCCACTTCTTGGCAAATGTCTCTGGTTTCTTTTTGGTTGGTGGGTAGAAGGTGAGTGTAATGCAGTTAAGGTAGCAAATTTTCCCACAAACAGGCACTGCAGACATGACATCTTCCCACAATGCACTTGACGCTCTGAATTATTAATTAGGGCGTTATATGTATTGCTCAGTGCATGAGGTTATATTTAACTCCATGTACTGAACAATCTAAGCTTTCTACCTTCCTGGGTTTGAAAATTAATTTGTAACAAGATTTCTTGTGTGTTTGTTCAGAAAAACATTCTTGTAACAAGGGTGGGAAATCATTTTAAGCTGACCCAGAGAGGTGAAAAGTCAGTTGAGGTCTGGGATAGAATCCCCAAATAGGAACATCCATAATTAACTCCTGGCACCCCCAGGTTCAATCTTCCAGAAAATTCTGTCTAGAAGTATTGGGAAAGACATCAATCAGATCTGAGTTCAAATCTACATTCAGCCAAAATCTAAAATACGGCCAGGTGCAGTGGCTCATGCCTGTAATCCCAGCACTTTGGGAGGCAGAGGTGGGTGGATCATTTGAGGTCAGGAGTTCGAGACCAGTCTGGCAAATATGGGGAACTCCTGCCTCTACTAAAAATACAAAAATCAGCCGGGCGTGGTGGCAGGCACCTGTAGTCCCAGCTACTCGAGAGGCTGAGGCAGGAGAATCAGTTGAACCTGGGAGGCAGAGGTTGCAGTGAGCCGAGATTGTGCCACTGCACTCCAGCCTGGTGACAGAGTGAGACTCCATTCCAAAAAAATAAATAAATAAATAAATAAAAATACAAAAATATTTTGCAATTATTAAAAAGATTTTTGCAGACATTTTGTGAAACAGATGGTACTGCAGCATTTTATGTAAAGACAAAACACTGGAAGCAATTTAAATGTCTGTTGGAATGGGTTTGGAAAAATAAGTTATGATACGCTGATTATGTTGTGAAGTGACTTAGGCCAATTTGGTCAGGCACACATGGAAGCTCTCTGTAGCCACCATTAGTCCAAAGTAAGTGGAGCCTACTTATTCCCCACCTTGCTACTGGGTTAGAACAAAAGCAGGTCTCAGGTCCAAATTGGCCAAATATATTAACAAGCAGGCACAACAATTGTATAACCTCTTCGATGGACTCAAACCCAGCTCTTGGTCGTTCGTGCAAGGTTCATTTGCTGCAAAGGCTACAGTGTCCTGAAAACAGGATTCCTTTAGCCTTGTAGGTGGAATCAGGCAACAAGAATGTTCAAATTCATGGCTGGACAAAGGGCTTATTGGACATCTAGCCTTAGGTGCTACTGAGCATGGGCCACATGCCCATCTAGATTCAATCACCTTGGTTGTGTAAGGGTGAGGAGGATCTCTAGCATAGCTCACAGCCAATCCGTATACCTTGAATACTTCTTAATTCAACAATAAGAGCCTATTTCTAATAGCCATTGTGCAGATTGACTTGAACACTCATTATGCTCATTAGCAACATATCTGGCAACACCTGTAAAGGGCAACGGACTGTTCCAAGAGGGTAGCTTAAGGTAACTACAGTAACACACATTGCTAACACACTATCTGTATATTACAGACACCATAACACAGACAATAGAATACTATGCACCTATATACTTCCTGAAATGGCATGGTAGCTGAGATATTTTATCTTTTTTTTTAGAGAGAGACAAGAGCTCACTATGTTGTCCAGGGTGGTCTTGAACTCCTGGCCTCAAGCAATCTTCCTGCCCTAGCCTCCCGAAGTGCTGGGATTACAGGCATGAGCCACCTTACCCAGTTGCTGAGACATTTTAAAGTAAAATAAGCAAGAATGTGTAATGTGATATTTTTCTAAGAAAAAATTAAAAATTATATATATGATTGAATAGGTATAGCAGAAAGTCTAGACCAATATAGAACTTATTTTTACCTCTAGAGAGGGAAGAGATGACAGAATCCCTCCATGTTTTTCTTTTTTCTTTCTTTCTTTCTTTTTTTTTTTTTGAGATGGAGTCTTGCTCTGCCACCCAGGCTGGAGTGCAGTGGCATGATCTCGGCTCACTGCCACCTCTGCCCACCTCCCAGGTTCAAGCAATTCTCCTGCCTCAGCCTCCTGAGTAGGTGGGATTACAAGCGCTTACCACCACGCCTGGCTAATTTTTGTATTCTTAGTAGAGACAGGGTTTCACCATGTTGGCCAGGCTGTTCTTGAACTCCTGACCTCAAGAGAGCCGCCCACCTTGGGCTCCCAAAGTTCTGGGATTACAGGCATGAACCACTGCACCTGGCCCATGTTTTACTTTATGCATTTCTGTATTTTGAGGTTTTTTTTCACAAGTATGCATTACTTTGGTAACATAAATTTTAAAAATTAAACTTTTTATAAAGTGATGTTGCATAATAATTATGTGATGAGATGCTGATAATATATTGTTGGGTAAAATGGTATTCCATTAGCTATGACAGCCATTGTCTCCTTACCTATATGCAAACCCGTATGGCAGATTGTATTTTCCAAAGATGGCCACACCAATAAATATCCGAATCCACAGGCTCTTCTTACAATGTGACTTTGACTTTGACAAGCCTCTACTGATGGGTGGAGGGTCCATGTTCCCTCCTCTTGAACCTGGGCAGCCCCTTATATCTGCCTTGACCAGTAGAATAGAGAGGAAGTGATGCTCAGTGACTTTCTAAAGCTAGTTCATAAAAGGTGCTATGGCTTCCACCTGGTTTTCTCCTTTTGGGGACACACACCTTAGCCTTTGGAATCCAGAGTTTCCATGGAATCCATCTGGTTACCCTGAAGCCACCTCCTAGAATGTCCATGTGTGGAGAGGTCATGTAGAAATAGAGAGAGAGTTGCCCAATATGCCCCAACACTTCCAGCCCCCAGATGTTTGAGTCTTTCCAGCACAGGTGCCAGGCATGTGAGTGAAGAAACCTTAAAGATGACACCACCTCCAGCCACTGTCTGACTGCAGTGGCACTGAGAGACCCCAAGCCAGATGCCACCCAGCCAAGCTGCTCCCAAATTCCTGATCACAGAGACGTGATCCTGCCTCTACTAAAAATACAAAAATCAGCTGGGCATGGTGACAGGCACTTGTAATCCCAGCTACTCAGGAGGCTGAGGTGGGAGGATCTCTGGAACCCAGGAGGTGGAGGTTGCAGTGAGCCAAGATCGGGCCACTGCACTCTAGCCTGGGAGACAGAGCGAGACTCCATCCCAATAAAATAAATAAATAAAGTATGGACTTTATTATTAATACATTAATATTGGTTCTGACAAATATACCACACTAATGTATCATGGTAACAATAGGGGAAAGTTGGATGTAGAGTATATGAGAATTCTCTGCACTATCTTTGTAGCTTGTCTATAAATTGAGACCTATTCTAAAATAAAAAGCTCATTCAAACAAATTCTAACTGGAAAGTTGAACCGGGCACCAAGTGGAAAGCTGAACTGTGGATGAAGGAGAGAGCAAATGCCGCACGAGAAGTCTGAACACCACGAGAGTTAGGAACATGGGGCTGTAAGCTCCTCCAGGGTGAAGTCTCAGTCTGAGGCACCCTTCTCTCCCCATCCCCAGTGCCACACCTAGTGCAAACAGAACTCAACTTCTGTGCAGAAGAAATGGGTGAGGACAATGACAATGCAAAGCCAGGCTTCCATGCTCCTCTGTAGGCTCTCCCTAATACCCAAGAGCGGGTCAGTGCAAGGTGCTCCCGCAGGCCGCTAGGTGCAGGTTTCCTGGAATGGCCCTGCTGGGGATGAGGAAGGGTATCTAGAGACTGAAGATTTTTCATTAATAAGTCATCGCATTCATAAAGGGGAAGTAGCTACCAGAGGTGATGAGAGAAGAGGGAGCACAGTTGTTTTCCTGAGGCTGGTAATGGATCCTTAATGACCAATTCACACTCCCGAGTCTAGACTCTTTCCCCTATGGTCAGCAGGACGATGCTCCATAACTGGGGGAAGCTGGAGTGTGATCTCCCTAGAGGAGGGAGGGGCTTGAAGACTGCTGGAAGCTTTAAACAGCTGCAGGGATGGGGAGGAAGGGAGGAAGCAGTGAGTGGGGCAGGAGAAAGGGTGGTCAGGCAGGTTTGAGGGCCCACATGACAGCCACTTCCCAGGGGTAGGGGAATTTCCACAGCAGCAATCAGCAGCCCATTATAGAAAAAGAAGGTGGGCAGCCACATGCTGGGAGGAAAGGGAATCAGGCTGTGGTTTTTTGAATCATGGGTTAAAAGCGGAACGGGGAAGGCAGAAGAGACAGAAGCGGAGCTGGTGGGAGGAAATAGAGGACCTGCTCACGACATCAAGCACCTCAACCAGCTCCTGTCAGCTCCAGAGATTCTGTCTTAAAAAGAGTTGTAGCAGAGATGAAATCTTGCCCTGTCTTTGCTTTTGTAATTATCTGTGCTACCGGAAAGGGGTCCAGATCCAGACCCCAAGAGGGAGTTCTTAGATCTCGAGCAAGAAAGACTTTGGGGCGAGTCCATAAAGTGAAAGCGAGTTTGTTAAGAAAGTAAAGAAATAAAGAATGGCTACTCCATAGGCAGAGCAGCAGCTTAGGGTGCCCAACTGATAGTACTTATAGTTATTTCTTGATTATATGCTAAACAAGGGGTGGATTATTCATGAGTTTTCCGGGAAAGAGGTGGGCAATTCCTGGAACTGAGGGTTCCTCCCCCTTTTAGACCATATAGGGTAACTTCCTGACATTGCCATGGCATCTGTAAACTGTCATGGTGCTGGTGGGGGTGTCTTTTAGCATGCTAATGCATTATAATTAACATGTGATGAACAGTGAGGACGACCAGAGTTCACTTTCATGGCCATCTTGGTTTTGGCAGCCTTCTTTACCGCATGCTTTATCAGCAAGGTCTTTATGACCCGTATCTTGTGCGGACCTCCTATCTCATCCTGTAACTGAGAATGCCTAGTCCTCTGGGAAGGCAGCCCAGTAGGTCTCAGGCTCATTTCACCCAGCCCCATTCAAGATGGAGTCACTCTGGTTCAAATGCCTCTGACATCTGGAAATTGAACTTACTGTGATCCTTTTACTCCCAGAAAATTCCCTCCATTTCATACTTATGGATAATAGAAACCATCATTTGTTAATTTATTCATTCACTCATTCATTCATTCATTCCTTCATCCATTGCTGTGTGCTTACAATGTGCTCTGTGCACATTGGGCACTGCTAACTTGGAGCTGAACCACGTGGAAATAAGCTTTTTCTTCTTTACCCCTTCAGATGGGACATAAATTCTCAGTTTATTTCCCTAAGATTTAGCTCTGAAGTTATCAGGGCCCAGTGTTCACACAGTGCATTATAAACACACAATATTAAATAAAGGGATGAATGAATAGTGAATGAACAAATTCACAAATAATGTTTCCTATTCATGTGAGTTTAAATATACTCATCCACTAGGTGCAAACTGAGAATACCCTACTTTTGAAAGTTTTTAGATACAATTTGATATGGTTACATGCTTACATCTTTTTTCTCCCTTTCACACAGCTACGAACTCTAACTTGCATGAGTCTTAAGTGGACAACTTATTGCATTTTCACCTATGTATATCCCTCATGTAACCACCACCTAGATCAAGACACAGAACATTACCGGAACCCCAGACAGTTCCCTTATGCCCTTCAAGTCAGCCTCCCTCACCTTCAGAGATAATTAATATTCTGACTTCTATTACCATAGATTCAGAAGACACTCTGCATTTGATTAGGTTTTTTCAGGGGAGTTGGGAAGAACTATCCCAAAGTCACTGAAGTCAGTATCCAGTGTCTCAATGAGATGAAGTGCCCACTAAAACTTGGAAATAGGTTTGTCCTCTGCCTCAGTCGGGGTTTAGTCAGGAAAACAAGATATATCAAGTAAGGCCAGGCTCGGTGGCTCACACCTGTAATACCAGCACTTTAGGAGGCCAAGGAGGGTGGATTGCTAGAGCCCGAGAGTTTGAGACCAGCCTGGGCAACAAAGTGAGACCCCCCATCTCTAATTTAAAAAAAAATCTCAGGCCAGGCGCGGTGGCTCACACCTGTAATCCCAGCACTTTGGGAGGCTGAGGCAGGTGGATCACCTGAGGTCAGAAGTTCAAGACCAGCCTGATCAACATGGTGAAACCCCGCCTCTACTAAAAATACAAAAATTAGCCCGTCAGCTGAGGCAGGAGAATCGCTTGAACCTGGGAGGTGGAGGTTGTAGTGAGCCGAGATCGCACCATTGCACTTCAGCCTGGGCAACAAGAGTGAAACTCTGTCTTAAAAAAAAAAAAAATCAAGCCAGGCGCAGTGGCTAACACCTGTAATCCCAGCACTTTGGGAAGCCAAGGCAGGTAGACCACTTGAGGCCAAGAGTTTCAGACCAGCCTGGCCAACATGGCAGAAACCCTGTCTCTACTAAAACATACAAAAATTAGCTGGGCATGGTGGCACACACCTGTAATCCCAGCTACTGGGGAGGCGGAGGCTGCAGTGAGCCGGGATCATGCCACTGCACACCAGCCTGGGTGACAGAGCGAGCCTCTGTCACAAAAAAAAAAAAAATGCTGACAGATCTTAAGAAAAGGATGTACTCATCAGAAGGTGAGGTTTGTCAGTGGAAGTATATAGGGAGCCTGAGAAAAGAATAAGGATAAGAATAAGAATAAGAATAAGAATAAGAATAAGCAAGCAGTGTCCAGATGACAACATGCTCATTTTAGCCAAAAATATTTTGGTTACAAGTCCCCAGACACCCAATCAAACCAGCTGATGCAAAAGAGAAGGTTGACATCACATCCATTAGGATGGCTACTATCAAAAAAAAAAAAAAAAAAAAAGGAAAGAAAAGAAAAGAAAAAAAAACTCAGAAAATAGCAAGTGTTGCTGAGGATGTGACAAAATGAAAACCCTTGTGCACTGCTGATGGGATTGTAAAATGGTGCAGCCTCTAAGGAAAATAATATGGCAGTTCCTCAAACAATTAAAAACAGACTTACCACATGCTATGGTTTAAATGCGTCCCCTAAAGTTGATGCCTTGGAAACTTAATCCCCAATGCAACAGTGTTGAGAGCTGGGACCTTTAAGAGGTGATTAGGTCATGAGAACTCTGCCTTCATGAATGGATTAATGTTGTTATTGAGAGAGTGAGTTAATTATTTCAAGAGTGGGCTTGTTTTAAAAAGCGAGTTTGGACCTCTTTTGCTCTCTTGCTCTCTGTCTCCCTCTTGCCTTCTGCCATGGGATAGCACAGCAAAAAGGCCCTCGCCAGATGGCAGCACCTTGATATTGGACTTCCCAGCCTCCAGCACTGTAAGAAAGAAATACTTTTCTTCATAAATTACCCAGTTGGTGGTATTCTATTATAGCAACACAAAATGGCAGCTCCAGACACCATATGACCCAGCAATTCCACTCCTGGGTATATACTCAAAATAATTGAAGCAGGAGCTCAAAGAGATTTCTTTTTTTTTTTTTTTTGGAGACAGGATCTCGCTCTGTCACCCAGGCTGGAGTGCAATGGTGCAATCTCGGCTCACTGCAACCTCCGCCTCCCAGGTTCAAACGATTCTCCTACCTCAGCCTCCCAAGTAGCTGAGACTACAGGTGCCCGCCACCATGCCCAGCTAATTTTTTTTTTTTTTTGTATTTTTGGTAGAAACAGGGTTTTACCATGTTGCCCAGGCTGGTCTCGAGCTCCTGGGTCCAAGTGATCTGCCCACCTCGGCTTTTCAAAGTGCTGGGATTACAGGTGTAAGCCACCACGCCCAGCCTCAAAGAGATATTCGAACACCCATGTTCATAGCAGCATTATTCACAATAGCAAAAAGGTGGAGGGTGTCCATCCATGGATGAACGGATAAACAAAATGTGTTGTATCCCTACAACAGAATACTATTCAGTCTGAAGAAGGAAGACGATTCTGACACATGCCACAACATGAATGAACCTTGAGGACATTATGCTAAGTGGAATAAGCCAGTCACACAAAGATAAATACTGTATGATTCCACTTAGACAAAGTGTCTAGAGTAGTCAAATTCATAGAGACAGAAAGTAGATCAGTGGTTGCCAGGGTCTGGCATAATGGGGGAATGGGGAATTATTGTTTAATGGGTAGAGAGTTTCAGATTTGCAAGATGAAAGAGTTCTGGGGATGGACTGTGGTGATGGCTGCACAACAATGTGAATGTACTTAATGCCACTGAACTGTACAGTTAAAATGGTGAAGATGGTCAATTTTATGTTACCTGTATTTTATTACAATTAAAAATAATTTTTACGGAGGTGGTGGATCACCTGGGGTCAGGAATTCGAGACCAGCCTGGCCAACATGGCGAAACCCCGTCTCTACTAAAAATACAAAAATTAGTCAGGCATGGTGGCGCATGCCTATAATCCCAGCTACTCGGGAGGTTGAGGCAGGAGAATCGTTTGAACCCGGGAGGCAGATGTTGCAGTGAGCTGAGATTGCGCCATTGCACTCCAGCCTGGGCAACAGAGCGAAACTCCGTCTCAAAATATAATAATAATAATAATAATAATAATAATAATAATAATAATAACAATAATTTTTAAAGAAGAGGAGGTTGAGTTATAAGAATTCTGGGCCATCACACATAGTTCTAAATCAGGGGATGCAGCTGAGTCTCCCCACGGATGAGAAAATAATTTTAGAGCTGGCAGGAATTGCAGGCACATTTGGTCTTTCCTGTCTACTTGTCTCTGGATGTTTGCTTTGCTCCTCTCTTTCTGCAGCCCAGCTTCTCCACCTCTGAGTATGTGGCAAAAGATGGTAATTCATAGGTCTCCCTGTTCAACTGTTATACAAGAATCACTAGCATCTTTTGGCCTCAATCCCAGAATTCTAGGATAGAGAAGCCCATTGGCCCAGTCTGGGTCATGTGACCACTCCTGCTTTAGTCTGCCAGGGATGTGGACTCATAAAGTACAGACAGGGCCGGGCACAGTGGCTCATGCCTTTAATCCCAGCACTTTGGGAGGCCAAGGCGAGTGGATCACTTGAGGCCAGGAGTTCAAGACCATCCTGGCCAACATGGTGAAACCCCATCTCTACCAAAAGTACAAAAATTAGCTGGGTGTGGTGGCATGTGCCTGTAATCCTAGCTACTCAGGAGGCTGGGGCAGGAGAATCGCTTGAACCCGGGAGGCGGAGGTTGCAGTGAGCTGAGATTGCGCCACTGTACTCCAGCCTGGGCAACAGAGCAAGAGTCCGCCTCAAAAAAAAAAAAAAAAAAAAAAGGTACAGACAGGACCGTAGAGGTCATGGAAACGGTGGGAAGCTATCATAAATGGCAAGGTGTGGTCCTTGTAGTCATCCCCAATATATGGTTTATTACAGTGCCCTGTCAGTCTGAAACAAATATTCAGTCTGCTTCGTGTGTACGTTCCAGATGTGGACATGGATACAACAGAGCTTAATGCATTAAATATTTGCTCTGATTGTATACTCACCAAGTCTATTCTGACTAATTCAAAGAGTCCTATGTCACTTGCATTTTTGGAGAGAAAACACTAGCCAGGTTGACATGAATATGCAGACTACTACATACTTATATATCTCACTGTAAATGAACAAACTGCTGTTCGCAACATTAAGATCTTATGAGTTTATTATTTTGGGTTGATGTCACCCAGTTGGATTAACTCTCGGATGCTGATAGAACTGGGATTCTCAGGCTGGAAGGCCAAAGCCTGGCTTTTGCCTCATAGTGAATTCCCACAGGAGATAGCATCTCTACTATCTCTCGGAAGACAGCCATTAGCATGCCAACCACAACACTGGCCTTTCTTTGGAAACTTCCACACTCACTGAAGACATGTTTTGTAAACACAAGATTTTGCAAACATAATTTGAAACCACATACAAATAATTTCTACCAAGTCAAAAAGAAGTGCTCCTTCTCAAGACTCAAAAAAAGCAAACTAGATTTTTAAAACCTTTCTACTGGAAAATACAGCACACAAGTGAACATACAATATCAATGCTCAGAATATGGATAATCACAAAATGAACACTAGTGTGACAACCACCACCACCATTCAGAAATGACCAGCACCCCTAAATACTTCTCCATGTCTCTTTCAGACATATCTTTCTCCCCTCCACCCTGGAGGTAATCACTGTTCTAATTTTTTATGGTAACCATTTCCTTGCTTTTCTTTAAACTTTTGTCATCTATGCTGGATTCTTTAAAAATATAGTTTCTGGGTTTTTTTTTTTTTTTTTTTTTTTTTTGGAGATAGCGTTGCCCTCTGTCACCCAGGCTGGAGTGCAATGATGAGATCTTGACTTACTGCAGTCTCAACCTCCTGGGTTCAAGTGATCCTCCTGTCTCAGCCTCCCCAGTAGCTGGGACTACAGGTATGCGCTACCATGCCTGGCTAATTTTTTTTTCTTTTGAAACAGGGTCTCACTTTGTCGCCCAGGCTAAATTGCAGTGGCACAAGCTTGACTCACTGCAACCTCCGCCTCCCAGGTTCAAGCGATTCTCCCGCCTTGGCCTCCCGAGTAGCTAGGACTACAGGCACGTACCACCATACCTGGCTAATTTTTGTATTTTTTGGTAGTGATGGGGTTTCACCATGTTGACTAGGCTGGTCTTGAACTCCTGACCTCAAGTGATCCACTCGCCTAGGCCTCCCAAACTGCTGGGATTACAGGTGTGAGCCACCGCGCCCAGCCCAGACTTTCCTTGTTTTTGATGACTTCTGAGGAGCAGCAGTCAGATATTTTGTAGAATGCCCCTCTATTGGCATTTATCTGATGTTTTTCTCATGATTACACTGGGGTTATGGGTATGGGGGAGGAAGATCATAGAGGTGAAGTGCCTGCCATTATCATTGTATCACATCAAGGGCACACACTGTCAACATGACCGATCACTGTTGGTGTTGACCTTGATCACATCGCCTAGATAGTATTTGTTGGGTTTTTGCACTGCAAAGCTGCTCTCCCCTCCCCCACACCTTTCCATAGTGTATATAGTACCTTTTGAAGAACATAAATTCTTAATTTTAACTGCATGGTCTGGGAGAGGGGCATGATCTTCGCCTCCACAGGGCTCCTGGATGGGATGTCTCATTTGCAGGGATCAGCTCATGTTATCGCGCTCACTCCGGGATCACTCAGAACTCACTGCTGGACTTAATTGGGGGACGAGGGCGAGACTTAAGGAAGCAAATGGAATTATGTATTCTTTCAAATCTTGCATCTGGACCTCTAGTTTTGAAACTCAAGAGCCAAGAATTTGACATTTGTTTTCAGGTTCTCCTGAGAGTCCTCCCCTCAGGGCAACGGATGGCTGCAGTCTTGCCTATTTGGCCTGTGGGGAGGGTGGAGAAAGGCTTCTTTTAGGCTAACAAATGGGGTCATAACTTCAAATATTGTATTACCCTGCTACACACATATCCATCTCTAAATGCTTCAGTGGAAAAGTTAACCGCACATCACCAGTTGTTTACTGAGCGCTAAAGATTGAATCAGCAGGGCTGCATTCACGAAGCAGAACTGCTGACGATTCAGAATATGACCTTGAGTACATATGCCCTTCCCTAGGCTTCAATCTCTCAATCTATGAAACAAGGAGAGGGCTTCCGACAATGTTTATCTTGCTAAATTCCAAGGTTGTAGAGAACAACAATGCCCCTTTGCAACCTCAGGTGAAAAGGGCCCTTAGGTGTAAAGAATACACTATTCGCTGTTAGCTCAAAAGGGGATGTTATTTCTCAAGACATAAATGGATTGTGAAAGATTGTGAGGTTTTCTGGGGGAATGGGGGGGTGGGGACTTATTTTATATTCCAGTCTATTTACAAATTTTTTCATCTTCCTCAAATTCAAAGAAATAAGAATGTACTAGAAGTCTTAAGAACAGAAACATTCACTCCTTTCCCTGTTTCCTTAAGCTGGATGAAATGGCAGGAGGTCTGCTCCACTTTTAGCTGATTATGTCCCTAAATAAGGTTTAGATAAGTTCTTGCAGGGCCTGTGATTCAAAACCTGTTCTAAGACATGCAGGGAGATGGACAAAGAATTTTAGTTGGTGTGAAAAGATTGTGAATTTATCATGCTTAAAAATGAATTTTTAAAAATGATTAATTTTTTTCCGCCGGGAGCAGTGGCTCACGCCTGTAATCTCAGCACTTTGGGAGGCTTTAGTGGGTGGATCGCCTGAGGTCAGGAGTTCGAGACCAGCCTGGCCAACATGGTGAAACCCCGTCTCTACTAAAAATACAAAAATTAGCCGGGCGTGGTGGTTGGCGCCTGTAATCCCAACTACTTGGGAAGCTGAGGCAGGAGAATTGCTTGAACTCGGGAGTTGGAGGTTGCAGTGAGCTGAGATCGCACCACTGCACTCCAGCCTGGGCAACAAGAGGGAAACTTCGTCTCAACAACAACAAAAAAAGTGATTAATTTTTTTCGAGTCAGTCACATTAGAGTGGATGTTTTGGAGGGGTGCTTTAGACATTTTGGTTCTAATAATTTCACATGCCTGATGGAAAAATCTCTCTTCTCCCTTTCAGAGTTCTCTAAAGTCCCATTTGTACAAATTCTCCTCTAGAGGAAAAGCAAGTTTGAGAGTTTCCTGTTTCTTGACGTTAGGTGAGGAAATCGACTCTGTTCCCTAAATTTGAGAGTGGCTTTGGTAAGCATAGTGTGTTCTAGAAAGTTCAAACTATTTAGTGAGTGTTTCTCTTTTTTTGCTTTCTTTATTTTCTAATAATAAAAAGACAGGGCCTCACTATGTTATCCAGGCTGGTTTTCAACTCCTGGTGTCAAAGGATCTTCCCACCTCGGCCTCTCAAAGCGCTGGGATTACAGGTGTGAGCCACCACACCTGGCCTCGAGAGTGTCTTTCTGATTCAGTTTTCAGTTGGGCAAGGTTTTCCTAGGGTGGGTCTGCTACCTGGGGAACTCCTGGGGTCACTGTTTTTAACTCGCTCTCATTTTTTCATCCTCAGGAAACTCCAAGAAGAAAATGGGACTGGAAACTGAAGAAACAGTAAGGCATTCCCCCCCTCCCCCCCGCCAATAAGTCTGTCTTACATTTGTGCAGTAAATCATGCTCAAACGCCTTCAATGGCTTAGTGTAGGTCTCTTATGTACAATTTAAAATCCTCAATAAATGTGCCTAACTGAAAGTTTTAGCTCTGTGCCTCCTCTCTCATATAATCTCTTATTTGATTACTGATGCTTAACCTGACGGGGCTTTCTCCCCACCTTAACTACAGTTTTCACTGGAACAATCTCCCCATCTCCTATCCTTGGATATGAAATCATTTCCACCTTTCAAGGTCATCAGCTGGGGCGTCATTTTCTACCTACAGACGCTATAGTGTGTCCCTTCTTGCCTCACATCATAGGCAAAAGACTATGAACTGCGGGAGGGGAGGAGCCTGGTCTAATTACTATGTCTAGCCTTCATACATCCTCATAGAACACCTTGCCCAGATTGGAAACTGAGTGAATGGACAAATTAAGTAATTAATTAACTTTCTGTCCCATGACTCCTTGTAGATTGGAAAGTCTTTGGAGGTAGAGTTGCCAGACTTAGCGAATCAAAATATAGGATACCCAGTTATATTTGAATTTCAGATAACCAGTAATACTTCTTTTAATACAAGTATGTCCCATAAATTAATTGCGACATAATAACAAATAATCGTTGTTTACATGAAATTCAAATTTAACTGGGCGCCCTGTATTTTATCTGGCACCACTATGTGGAAGGCAGGGGTTCCCCGTTGCGCCTGGCTTCTTCCCAGTAGGTGCTCGGCGTCTGTATACTTGTTAGAGCGAAACCCCAACCAGCCCCGCCTTTCACAGCTGGCGTCCGTAGCCGGGCGGAGGCACACGACCAGGAAAGACAGACACCCTGGTTGGAGACCGTCGCTCGAGACTGGCAGAAAGATCTGCACTCGGGAGGCACCCTCACCCCGTGGGCTCCGGGACCCCTCGACTAGCTCCATCACCCATTCCGACTACCCGCCCTACGCTCCACCTCTTGACCCGTCATCACCGACCGGGGGGCGGGACTGCCCGACTTTTCAATCGCTGCCTACCATTGGTAGAACTCTCCATCCGTTACTTTAAGTCCCGCCTATCAGGCTGTCGCTTCCCAGGTTACGTCCCTTCCGTAGGCCGCGGCGTAACTGGTGATTGGTGGAGAAAGCGGCAGCTGTCCCAGCGGAAGCGACGAAGGGACGGGACCCGGGAGCCTGGACGAGTCCGAGCGCGTCACCTCCTCACGCTGCGGCTGTCGCCCGTGTCCCGCCGGCCCGTTCCGTGTCGCCCCGCAGTGCTGCGGCCGCCGCGGCACCATGGCTGTGTTTGTCGTGCTCCTGGCGTTGGTGGCGGGTGAGGAGCCGGGGGCCGGCAGGACGTGCCTGGGGAGGTCCTGCGCCGCGGGGCTTGGGGGTCGGGGGCGGCCGCGGGCGAGTAGCTGCGAGGCAGGTGCCGCAGTGCGGTCCGTCAGCGGCGGCCTCGCCTCAGCCGCGTCCCCGTCAGCATCTTCTCTGGATCGGCCGTGGCGGCGCGGCCTCACGGGCCGCCGGGGCCGGGGCTGGGCTGCGTAGGGGGCCCCTGAGCCTGCCTCCACCCTCCACTTTGAGGGCGGCGCGTCCGGCCGGCTTCTTGCGCCTGAAAAGGCCCTTCAGAGTACGGAGATGCATTTCTCAGTGAACTGGGATTGAGTCGCAGCCCGCTGCGAAGAAGAGAAGGCAGACTTTTTAGCTGCCACTGGCTGCCACGATGTTTTTGCATTTGTATGGTGCCTTCATTTCTAGTGGTTGTCATCAGTAATTGCTGAAATCCCTGCCCCTCCCTTCCCTTATGTATATTTCCGGATGCAAAAGTTGAGATGGAGTCATTATTTTTATATGACTTATATTTCTTAAGGCGAATACAAAGCACCTCTCAATAGTTTGTCAGAGTTCCAAATTTTAAGGATTTGGAAACAGGATGTGAGTCGCATTTTTAGGGTCACATGTCAATAAATGGTAGCTTTCTGAGTAGAACCTAGATTCCTAAGCATTCAGCAAGAGGTGAAGAAATCAGCTAATACGTGGCCTCTTACTGCATATCATGTGGTAATGTATTTCATTTGACAGCAGTCCTTAGAGGGCATCATCTTTGTTTTGCAGGGTGATCAACCTAAATAAATTACCCAACACTAAACAGGTTGGGTGCTGGATTTGATTTCAGATGAGGTGGTGCCAGCGCATCGGCCTTTTCCATTATATATGTTGTGTTGCACAAGTAACGCTATTACTGTGTGAGAATGTGGGAGTGATGGGGACTGAGACTGGAGGCACAGACAGTAGTGAACAAGAGGCCAAGTTGAGAACGGCTTGGAGGAATGGGTGCTCTGATCTCAGTGTGTCAGTTTAAAACCTATGGGAGGCCGGGCGCGGTGGTTCACGCCTGTAATCCCGGCACTTTGGGAGGCCGAAGCAGGCAGATCACCTGAGGTCAGGAGTTTGAGACCAGCCTGGCCAACAAGGCAAAACGCCATCTCTACTGCAAATATAAAAATTAGCCGGGTGTGTTGGGGCACACCTGTAATCCCAGCTACTCAGGAGGCTGAGGTACGAGAATCGCTTGAGCCCGGGAGGCGGAGGTTGCAGTGAGCCGAGATCGCGCCATTGCACTCCAGCCTGGGCGATAGAGCCAGACCTTGTCTCAGAAGCAAAAACAAACATACAAACAAACCAAAAACCTATGTGAGGTGTTGGGAGGTCCTGCTTGTGGAATGGCGATTTAATTCTGCACCAGTATGCTCTTGAAATCTGCAGATCTCTGTCCCTAGAGGTGCGGGGGTTTTGTGTGTTAATGATAGTTACGTTGTATCCATGCCCCAAACGTTTTCGAGTTCTTTGTTTCTTTCTTCTGTTTCTGGCTCTGGAAAGGTCTTTCTGATCTACTGAGATACTTTGAGGGAATTAATTTTAATTCAGTTTTTGAAATTTTAAAAATATTCCCTTTGATCCTGTGGTTTAACTGAACATCTATTGAGATTCCATGTTTTAATATTTTGACTGATATTATTTTGATTCAGTGAGGTATAGGCTTTTTTGTTTTGGGTCTGAGATAAAATAATTGCTTCTGCACATGGTTTGAACATGTTTTCCTTACTAGCATAGCCGAGTTCATACAGAACAAGAACCTGATCCTGTCAGCTTCTGAATTGCTCAGTCTTGTCAGATGAGGTTCAGTTATTATTTTCCACAATGACTAAATGTGATGTAGTGGAAAACATCTTTAAGAGCTCTGACTTCTCTATTCCAGGCAGAAACAAAAATAGAAATCCTTTAAAACAGTGTTGCCAAACTAGAGGGAGAACTAGGGACCTAGAGAGAGAGGAAGGGAACTAGGATTTTGAATACCATATCATGAGGCGTATTTGATAAAATTCAGATATTTAGCCTGGAGAAGAAAGGCCAAGGGTGAACACATGGAATTTGAAGTGATGTCATGTAGAAGAGGGAGATAGGATCCATTTTTTTATTATTATTGATTCCATCCACCATTCGTAGACGATAATA
Source organism: Homo sapiens (assembly GCF_000001405.40). Lineage (NCBI taxonomy): Eukaryota > Metazoa > Chordata > Mammalia > Primates > Hominidae > Homo > Homo sapiens. Next base: position 40,583,289 of record NC_000023.11, read on the forward strand.
GCACAGTATAGTGGAGTTCCTAGAGGGAAGGACACTTAGCCCAGACTGGGGAGGCTGAGGAAAATTTCCCATGGGAGGTGCCTCCCAGGGCTAATGTGTTGAAAAGTTGGGGTGGGAAGAAAAGGTATTTGAAACAGAACAGCATGTGTAAAAGCATGGCGATGTGAGAGCAAAGGGGCAAGTAGTTTGGTGGGGCTGAAATGTACAGGATTAAGTTGGGGAGATACCAGAAATAAGGCTGATGAGGTTTCTTGGGTGTTAATGCTTTGGGTTTTGCCTCAGAGTCTCTGGGCAGTGAGAGAAGGCATTTAAGCAGAAGGGTGAATGATCAGATCTGTATTTTGAAGCAGTTATGGGAAAGGCTGGATTAGAGAGTGGCATGACAAGGGTCATAAGGCACCCAATTCTAGCAAACCTGGAGAGGGCCTGAAGAGTGTGCCCTGGACATAGAGGGGAAAGGATTTGTGAGATAAGAAAAAAAGATGAAATTCAGTGGCTAATTAGCTGTGTTGCTGAGGAAGATTTAAAGACGACTGATTCCAGCCACTGGGTGGAAGGAAGGTGGTATCATCCTTCAAGATAGAATACAGGAGAAGTGTGTGGAAAGATGGTGAATTGGGTGTGTTTTTGGTGTTTGCAGCCTTAGGAGTAGTTGGGCTCAGCCTGGGAGAGATGTAGAATAGGAAAGCAGTAAGAGTCAAGAATGGAGCCCTCAGATCTCCAAAGTGGAGTATGCTAGGTGATCCATTTGGATGCCAGATGAATGTACTAGAAATTCCATTTATATCCTTTTTGTTTTTGTTTTTGAGACAGGGTCTCACTCCGTCACCCAGGCTGGAGTGCACTGGTGTGATCACAGCTCACTGCAGCCTCGACCACCCAGGCTCAAGCGATTCTCCCACCTCAGCCTCCCTAGTAGCTGGGACCACAGGCGCATGCCACCATACCCAGCTAATTTTTTGTTTGTTTTTGTAGAGATGAGGTCTCAAACTCTTGGGCTCAAGTGATCCTCCTCCTCAGCCTCCCAAAGTGCTGGGATTACACGCAGGTGTGAGCCATCGCACCCAGCCTCTATCTTTTTTTTTTTTTTTTTCCTTTTTTGAGACAGAGTCTTGCTCTGTCACCCAGGCTGAAGTGCAGTGGCACGATCTCGGCTCACTACAACCTCCGCCTCTGGGGTTCAAGTGATTCTTGTCCCTCAGCCTCCCAAGTAGCTGGGACTACTCTTGTTGCCCAGGCTGGAATGCAATGGCATGATCTTGGCTCACTGCAAGCTCCACCTTCCGGGTTCAAGTGATTCTCCTGCCTCAGTCTCCCGAGTAGCTAGGATTACAGGCATGCACCACCATGCCTGGCTAATTTTGTATTTTTTTAGTGGAGACGGGGTTTCTCCATGTTGGTCAGGCTGGTCTTGAACTCCCAACCTCAGGTGCTCTGCCTCTTGAGTAGCTGGGACTACAGGCATGCACCACCACATCTGTCTAACTTGTGTATTTTTTTGGTAGAGACGGGGTTTCACTATGTTCACCAGACTGGTCTCAAACTCCTGACCTCAAATGATCTGCCTGCCTCAGCCTCTGAAAGTGCTGGGATTACAGGCATGAGCCACCACACCTGGCCTCATTTTTGTATTTTTAGTAGAGATGAGGTTTCGCCATTATGGCCAGGCTGGTCTTGAACTCTTGGCCTCAAGTGATCCGCCTGTCTTGGCCTCCCAAAGTGCTGGGATTACAGGTGTGAGCCATCATGCCTGGCCTATTTTTATCTTATCTCTTTTTGAATAATAATGGTCAGGTATTTTGTAGACTGTCCCTCAATTTGGGTTTATCTGATGTTTTCTCATTATTAGATTGGGAAAAATACTACACAGGTATCTCATCCTTTTAAAAACTTTTATTTTTGTATGCTTTGTAATATAGCACAAATCAAATACATAATCTATTACTATAGTAGAAGTATATACTTTACATGGAGAGGATGAGAGGGACAGAGAGAAGAAAGAAGGGCTACTTTCCAATTTTGGGCTGACAGGGTTGAAATCTAAAAAGTTTGGCTACCACTGCTTTAAAGGACAGGAAGGGAAAGAAACAGAGGAGAAGCAGCCAAAGGGATTGCAAGGAAAACCAGGAGCCGTGGCTGCATGAAGACCAAAGCAGGGGCTTTTCAAGGAGGGAGTTGCCAGTATCAAATGCTTTGGGAAGTTAGATAAAATTAAGGGATGGAAATTGCCTTTTGAGTTTGGGGAGTCGTTTCAGTGGCATGGTGGGCTTGGAAGGTGTGGGCGGCCAGGTGGGGTGGCTCACGCCTGTAATCCCAGCACTTTGGGAGGCCGAGGCAGGCGGATTGTTTGAGGTCAGGAGTTCGAGACCAGTCTGGCCAACGTAGTGAAACCCTGTCTCTACCAAAAAAATACACAAGTTAGCCAGACGTGGTGGTGCGTGCCTGTAGTCCCAGCCACTCAGGAGTCTGAGGCAGGAGAATCTCTTGAACCTGGGAGGTGGAGGTTGCGGTGAGCTGAGATCCTTACCACTGCACTCCAACCTGGGTGACAGCAAGACCCTGTCTCAAAAAATAAAAATAAAAAAAATTTTTAAAATTTTGTGGGTTAAGTAGTAAACTTAAAATGAAGTATAGAAGCAAACGGTGGTTGACTGCTCTTCCTGGATTCTTCCTCTGAAGGGGAGCAAGGCTGGTAGCTGGTGGAGACTGGTAGGACCAAAGGAGGTTTTTTATGGTTTTAGTTATAGAATGGGAGTGCCTTGAGCGTATTTTTATGCTGAAGTGAAAGGGCCAGTGGAGAGGGAAAAAACTGGTGGTTTGAAGTGTGACTTCATTCATTCATTAACTCAACAAGTACTTATTGAGCACCAATGTGTCGGGCTCTGTTCTCAGCCCTGGGGATAGTGTGTGAACAAGACGCACTGAAATCCCCGCCTTCATGGAGCTTGTATTCTATAGGGCCATCTTTTGATGGCTATTACCATATAGCCACCTCACTCCTGATGTGTTGTCTGTCCTAGAAGAGTGGCTTCCTTAACAAACAGTGAAGGAACAAAGGTCCCTAAAAAGACTGAACACAGGATTGTCTTAGTCTGGAGGAGGGACATCCCTGCCCTCATGTCTGGAGGGAGAGGAGTTACAGATAGGGGCTTATGCAGATAAATTTGTGGTGGGGAGAGGAAGCAGGTAGCTCAAGAAATTCCTCTGTTTTCTCTGTGAAGCTGGAGATGAGGTTATCTGGTGAGACTGAGTTGGGGAGTGATAGCATAGGAAGTTGAAAGTTAGGAAGCCCATTTCAGTTCAGTACAAGGAAAAACTTTTCAAAGGACTAGAATGTTAGGAAAATGGAGCCAGTTGCTGGCAAATGTAGTTCGTATATTGAGGTGGTGTCCCCATCACTGGTAGTATTGAAATAGAGGAGGGGTGACTTTCTGCCAGGTATCCCTGAGACATGCTTATACTTATAATAAGCAGAAGTTTGGACAAATGACCTTCCTCTGTATAGGAGTCCCTGACTCTAAGGTTTTCTAAAGCTCTGGGCTTCTGAAGGACTGTTGTACAGGCATGGAAGTTGAAACTACGAAGCTGGGGCAAAGTTATTTGGTATAGGTTTGCCAGAATTGAATGAGTAGGGCCGTGTCTCAAAACAAGGGTATCTCCAAATCAAAATATGGTTTTTTAAATGTGTATGGTACCTGGGGCTGGGCGCGGTGGCTCACGCCTGTAATCCCAGCACATAGGGAGGCTGAGGCGGGCCGATCACTTGAGGTCAGGAGTTTGAGACCAGCTTGGCTAACATGGTGTCACCCTGTCTCTACTGAAAATACAAAATTTAGCCAGGCATGGTGGCACACACCTGTAATCCCAGCTACTTGGGAGGCTGAGGCAGGAGAATTGCTTGAACCTGGCAGGCAGAGGTTGCAGTGAGCCAATATTGTGCCACTGCACTCCAGCCTAGGCGACAGTGTGAGACTCTGTCTCAAAACAAACAAACAAAATATGTGTATGGTTCTTGGGAAGCATAGGTCTCTTGGTTCCCCATTTTTCTTAGTGTTTGCAGTACTACTACTTTAGTGAACCAAGATATCTATCAGTTACAAAAGACCATTCCATTCTGCTAATTTTTTTGGTCTGTCTTCAGCTAGAGCAGTTTGGACATTCCTGTTCTGACAGCTGTGCCGGATTGAAATTTGTAACTCCCGTGTATCAGCACCAACCTGAAGCCTTTTATTTACTGTCAATACTGCAACACCAAAACATTTACTGTTGCTTCCAACTTTATTTCCATCCCCTGTTAGTGGTACTTTCCTTAGGTCAAGAGAATAACACTGATTCTTTACTAAAGTCTAATTTTCCCATACTAGGTGTGGCTAACATTTGTTCTAGACTTGGAGCCCATTTTTTTAATAGGAACCCCAAATTAAAAAATCAGCCAGGCATGATGGCATGCATCTGTAGTCCTAGCTACTCAGAAGGCTGAGGCAGGAGGCTGAGGCAGGAAGATCACTTGGGCCCTGGAGTTTGAGGCTGCAGTGAGTCATGCAGACTCAAACTCAGCTTGGGTGACATAGCCAGACCCTGTCTCTAAAAAAATAACTAGGTACAAATTTCATCCTTAAATGTAAACAACCAATCGTGTTCACTTTGGTTGCCCAAAGACTACAAAAAGCTCAGGGGCTCTGCCCTTAGGCCTGGCAGTGAAGCAGTTCCCAGGCAGAGTTTCTGTTTTCAAGGGTGCTCAGGATTTGGAGAAAAGTTCCTTTCAGTAACTGAAATTAGCTACTTGTCCCTGTGTAAGCTAGACATCACGAGGTTAATAGATAATGGATGAAGAGGCCAAATACCTCATCCTTAGCTGTGGAGAGCTTATAAAATAGTCCCTTTATTCTCATCTTTATCTTTTAATCCTGAATCCTTAGACTAGTTGACTTTATCATTACAGAATACCTTTTCTTACCCTCTTGACATGTCAACTACAAATACTGTTTCCTGGACTTTGTTTCTAAAGTCTGAAGTGTTTTTATGTTTCTACTTGTGACATGTATGCCCCCCCCCCCCCCCAACATTTGACAGTCCTTATTTCACTAGGGTTGCCTATGGGACATAAGGAAAGATGTTACCTATCCTAAGACATAGTAACCTGGTAAAATCTTATAGTGAAATAATAGGAACTTTATGAATTTGCATTGTGTAGAAAGGATTGATGGTAGAAATAATTTAGAGATTTCAAGCTTCTTCCTTTTTAGTCTGTGCCTGGGCTTTGTTTTTTGTTTTTTAAATTTTGGAGATATGCCACTGATTTCTAATTCCTGCCAAATTGCCACATGCCTCTTTAAGAGCCATCAGTAGGAAGGTGTCTATATCATTAGGAAACCCTGTTTTGTAGTTGTACCTTTGTTGATCTCTTTTTGAGACTTTTGTTTGTTTCTTGTTCTTATCAGGCAGACCCTGAACCAGAATAGGTTCAGAGAGGCTCTGATAGTTGTACTTTTGTTCCAGCAGAATGTGTGGACTTAAATTCTTAGAGTGATACTTTGAAAAAGAATTTGTTATTGTTTAGGACTCAGCATTTTGACCAGTCATAATTTAATACGCTAAGTCAGTGGTGAATGGGGAAACATGTATTATATTTAATAATTGTCAAGGTAAATGATTTATGATGTTGATAATTCATTTACTGATCTGTTTTCTTTTCAGGTGTTTTGGGGAACGAGTTTAGTATATTAAAATCACCAGGGTCTGTTGTTTTCCGAAATGGAAATTGGCCTATACCAGGAGAGCGGATCCCAGACGTGGCTGCATTGTCCATGGGCTTCTCTGTGAAAGAAGTATGTATATATTTTTTAAATGTTTGGAGCTGCTTTTAAGAACATTTTTACTGATTTCTGCTAATAGCCCAAAAAAGCATCAAACGAACGTAGGTACGTTTGGTACAGATTACAAAAGTTAAAAAGCTCATCTGGACCAGGCACAGTGGCTCACGCCTGTAATCCCGGCACTCTGGGAGGCCGAGGTGGGAGGCTCAGTTGAACCCAGGAATTTGAGACCAACCTGGGCAACATAGTGAGACTCCCATCTCAAAAATAAATGAATTAATTTTTTAAAAACCCATTTGTAGTTGGGAAGATTTTGGATGAGTGCTTCAAGCTTGGCTTCTGAAACAAATCATTAGAAATCATTAACTATATAATTATTTATTCATAGTAGTGAAATTCTTTGTATATTAGAGAATGCATCTGTCCTACTCTTAATAGGATATCTACTTTCTGGTTTTTTTTTTTTAGTATAGGCGATAGATTCACTATGAATGATAAAATATATATGCATTATGCCTGAGGTTAGGAAAATAATGTGGTCAGTAGCCATGGGGCAGCCAAGGACCTTGGTTTCCTAGAATGGAGCTATGACCTGTTGTAGTAATTGGCTGCTTATGTGATTGTAGGGGGCGGGAGGGTCTAGATCCAGTCAATGTGAGAGATCGAAAGGTAAGGGCTCAGAAGAAAGGAAATACAGCTTGCTCGGTGCTATCATCTCCTTCTCTTTGTAAGTCTGGTGCTTTTGATGTGGTCTCTAGATATATATCATCAGTCACTGAAAGGAACTTTTCTCCAAATCCTGAGCACCCTTGAAAACAGAAACTCTACCTGGGAACTGCTTCACTGCCAGGCCTAAGGGCAGAGCCCCTGAGCTTTTTGTAGTCTTTGGGCAACCAAAGTGAACAGGATTGGTTGTTTACATTTAAGGATGAAATTTGTACCTAGTTATTTTTTTAGAGACAGGGTCTGGCTGTGTCACCCAAGCTGAGTTTGAGTCTGCATGACTCACTGCAGCCTCAAACTCCAGGGCCCAAGTGATCTTCCTGCCTCAGCCTCCTGCCTCAGCCTTCTGAGTAGCTAGGACTACAGATGCATGCCATCACGCCTAGCTGATTTTTTAATTTTTTGTAGAGACAGGGTCTCGCTATGTTGTCCAGGCTGGTAGGTCTTTAACTCCTGGCCTCAAGCAATCCTTTCTGCGTCAGCCTCCCAAAGTGCTGGGATTACAGGCACGAGCCACCACACCCAGCCTGTACCTAATTCTTTTTTTGTTTTGTTTTGTTTTGTTTTTTGCTACAGGGTCCCGCTCTATCACCCAAGCTAGAGTGCAGTGGCCTGATCTCGGCTTACTGCAACCTCCACCTCCCAGGTTCAAGAGATTCTCCCACCTCAGCCTCCCCGGTAGCTGGGACCACAGGCGTACAACACCATGCCCAGATCATTTTTATATTTTTTGTAGAGACAGGATTTTGCCATGTTGCTCAGGCTGGTCTTGAACTCCTGGACACAAGGAATCTACCTGCTTCAGCCTCCCAAAGTGCTGAGATGACAGGCGTGAACACCACACCTGACCATCTAGTTCTTTACAACCTTAAACTTGACTACTGATGGCTATTAAAATAACTGAGAAATAATTATTAGTAAACTAATGATAGTTACTTTTAGTAGGAATTGTTTTATTTATAAAGATCTTAGTCTAAAGAGGATGTTTTAATGACCATCTTGCTATGTCTCTGTGAAAGATAAAAGTGATGCTGTATATGAGGGCAAAAAATGATGTGGGGGAAGAAAATTTCCATGGCTACATGAAGAAAATATTTTGTGATCTGAAATTTGAAAGGTACCTATGTTTTGTTTACTTGCTTGCTTTTTTCCACAAAAGGTGTCAGATGACTTACTATTGGACTTTATTTCAAATCTGTAAAATTTTAAGAAAATGAAGAGGGTAGAAATCAGCATTCTTGATTAGGGGATTGCAACGACTGCCACAAATAAAATGTTTACTTTCCCTGTGAATTTTCCTTGTCAGTGTCATCTCAGAACCCCTTAACTCTGCTTATTAGATGTTATTGGGGAGGTGGGTTCCTGAGTTGATAATTAAGCACCGCTTTGTGCTTTTCAATGTTTAGGACCTTTCTTGGCCAGGACTCGCAGTGGGTAACCTGTTTCATCGTCCTCGGGCTACCGTCATGGTGATGGTGAAGGGAGTGAACAAACTGGCTCTACCCCCAGGCAGTGTCATTTCGTACCCTTTGGAGAATGTGAGTATTTATTATAAAAAATTAAAGGGATGCATTTTACATTTTCCCTTGTCAGCTGTCATTATGAATTGCATTCTAAACATACTTCTCTTATCTGTTTTTGATGCACAGTTTCTTTTGAAATTCTTTGACAAACACAATTTCTTTTTAAGAAAATTACATGATGATTGTAATTAACTGAGGCTTGGCTGTTCTCTGTGGATGAGAGTACTGTTTAAGATAAGAGATAGAGAAATTGCCCCACTCAGAATAGCCAGAGGCTTGAAAAAGAGAGCCACTAAAGGAGAAACCAGTTGGGGTTGTATCCTGCTACTGTTTTTTTGGCCATTGTCTTGTCATCTTCCCTGCAGGATTTTACCTCTTTTCGTGTGTAAGGACACTGGAGGCTGCTTGCTGGCTCACTTACTCCTTCACTGGCTATTCAGGCAATGTGGGTGACTGTGCTGATCTAAGAGGCCCTCCTTCCATTATAAGCATATAGAAGTGCTTGAAAGAATGTCACAAAAAACATTTTTACTAGCATAACTAAATTTGAATGCAAGAGGGGGTGATATACACAGGTGTTACATATGGATGGAAAACTCAGAAGCCATAGTGGTGAGCAGAAGCTGACGCTGAAACTGTGTTTCCTGCAGAAAGCCAGGGACTAGAAATGCTGTCAACTTGTTCTTGAAAAGCAGACTAGTAAAACTAGTAAAGCTGGCTTGCTGCCCTTGGCTGTTGGACCCAAAGAGTCCCCTGAGATAAATTAGAATTAGAATTATAGGCTTATGCTGTGCAGAGTGGTTCTTTGCAAATTCACATGACCTGCCCCATAGGGACATCTCCATAGCCAAGGGCTCCTTTGGTCAAATACGGAAGATGAGTGGAATTTACAAAGCACCTGAAGGAAAAAAAATGCCATGAGAAACAGGTGCAACAAACAGAATTCATCTCCTTAGAACTACGGAGAATAGGCCAATTTCCAAGAGATCTAAAAATACATACATTAAAATTGTGAAAAAAAGGGCCAGGCATGGTGGCTCACGCCTGTAATCCCAGCTTTGGGAGGCCAAGATGGGAGGATTGCTTGAGGCCAGGAGTTTGAGACCAGCTTGGTCAACATAGCAAGACCCTATCTCTAGGGGGAAAAAAAAAGAAAGAAAGAGAAAAAATTTGTGAAAAAAAGGAAGGAACAGAAACTATGAGGGAGTTATAAGACATTTTTGATACATGGTGCTTTAGCTGATACTTCAAAATATTTCATAATTTATATTGTGATTCTTTAACCCATGAGTTATGTAGAAGTATTTTTTCCAAATGCATGGGTTTTAAAAAAGTAATTTCTAATTTTTAAATTTCTAAGTTCACTGCATTGTAATACTGTGGTCTATGTGATGCTGAAGTTTTGGGATTTTTTTTTTTTTCAGACTTTCCTGTGGTCGAGTATAGATTATTTCCAAGTACACATGGCATACTTAGAAAAAATTACTGTGCAGTAGTCCACAAGGCAAATCTCAACAAACAATAAAGAATCAGTGTCATATAAACTAACTTCTCTGACCACAATGCAGTTAAATCTGAAAATAATAATAAAATGATATCTTAAAAGGGTATTTGGAGCCCGGCACCATGGCTCACGCCTGTAATCCCAACACTTTGAGAGGCCAAGGCGGGTGAATCACTTGAGGCGAGGAGTCCGAGACCAGCCTGGCCAACATGGCTAAACCCTGTCTCTACTGAAAATACAAAAATTAGCCAGGCGTGGTGGCACGCATCTGTAGTCCCAGCTACTCAGTGGCTGAGGCACGAGAATTACTTGAAACTGGGAGGTGGAGGTTGCAGTGAGCTGGGATTGCGCCACTGCACTCCAGCCTGGGTGACAGAGCGAGACTCCATCTGGGAAAAAAAAAAAGGTATTTGGATCAACATTTCTCCTTTCCCCATCCACCCGTCTCCCCCAGCGTCTTCTAACCATCATTCTACTCTACTTCTATGAGTTCAACTTACAAGTGAGGTCATGTAGTATTTGTCCTTCTATGCCTGGCTTACTTCACTTAACATAATGTCCTCCAGGTTTATCCATGTTGCAAATGACAGTTTCCCGCGCTTTAAAGGCTGTATAGTATTCCATTATGTTTATATACCACATTTTCTTTCTGCTTTTTTCTTTTTTTTTTGAGACAGAATCTTGCTCTGTCGCCCAGGTTGGAGTGCAGTGGCGCAATGTCATCTCACTGCAACTTCTGCCTCCTGGGTTCAAGGGATTCTGGTGTCTCAGCCTCCTGAGTAGCTGGGATTACAGGTGCATGCCACCACGCCCAGCTAATTTTTTGTATTTTTAGTAGAGATGAGGTTTCATCATGTTGGCCAGGCTGGTCTCGAACTCCTGAGCTCAGGTGATCCACCCACCTCAGCCTCCCAGTGGATCTCAGTGCTGGGATTACAGGTGTGAGCCACTGCACCCAGCTGCACATTATCTTTATCCATTCGTTTGATTATGGACACCGAGGTTGCTTCCATCCATATCTTAGAAATTGTAAATAGTGCTGCAGTGAACATGGGAGTGCAGATATCTCTTCAGCATACTGACTTCAATTGCTTTGGATATATATACCCAGAAGTGGGCTTGCTGGATCATGCTTTAGTGATCTATTGCACAAAATGGTGACTATATTAAATAATAATGCATTGTGTATTTCAAAATTGCTAAAGGAGTAGATTTTAGATACTTTTACCACAAAAAAAATATAAGTATGTGAGGTGATGGATTTGTTCATTAGCCTGATTTAATCAGTCTACTTTGTAAACTTATAACAAAACATAACATTGTACCCCATAAATATATACAGTTACTATTTGTCAGTTAAAAATAAAATAAAAAGTATTTGGAAATAGTAACAAACAGAAGATAACAACTCCTCAGATTTAAAGCATATGGAACACCCAGTAGGCAAAAGCCAGATCCACACCTACATACGGTGAAATTGAAGAGTCATCAAGGAAATGGAAAATCTTAAAAGCTGTGAGGGAGAAAAGACACTGTCATTACAAAGGAATGAGAGTAGAAGGAAAGCAAGGAAAATGTAGTGATTGTGTAGTATGAGCTAGGCTGAGTATTATTTGCATTGTCATAATAATGAAATGATGCTGATCAAGTGAAAATTTTGATATAACTATTGGGTAAGAGTGGGGAGATAGAAACAGAAGCAGAGCGCATGGATGGCTCAGCGCATGGATGGGGCAGTGGTTGGTGATGTGAGAGAGCTAAAGCCTCATTTTCTATAATGGATAGTAAATAGACAAGACCTAAAATTGAAAAATCAGGAGATGTAATTTAAGTGTCTTATTTAGAGATGTTAAAAGCAAAAAAAGTCAACAAGAAAAGATAGTTGGAATAGATGCACTCCTAAATAATTCATGGGTTGAGGAGGAAATCACTGTGGAACTTTTTAAATTATTTGGAACTGAGTAACAATGAATGTAGCATTTATTTACAAAATTGGGAGGTGCAGCTAACGTGGTAAGAAAAGGGAAATTTATAGCCTTAAATGCATGTTTTAGACAATTTAGGTTGTCTAAGAATGGAAATTAATGAGCTAAAGAAAGCGGAAGAACTTCAGAGTAAATACACATAAAGTAGAAGGAAGGGAACAATACAGATCAAAAGGCAGATTATTTCACAGGGAGCATTTAAGTCATTTTTTATGTGATTTCTGTGAAAATCATTGCAGAAGATTTTCTTTAAAATTATAAAAATCCAAAATGCCATTTTGAGATTTTTATTAGCATGTAATCCAAAAATAAAGATTTAAAAACAGACTAGCCTCATTTTACATGAGAAGAAGCTGTGCTGTGTGAGGAGCTCATTTTATTGCTTGGCCCTGGTTGGCTGCTCAATGCTTTTCCTAGCAGAAGATGGTAAATGAGATAAAAGATTCAGGGGCAAACCCCACAAAACATAAAAATCAGAGTATCTTAGAATTCCATTTAACGAAGCTTCCATTTGATTAGCTAGCTGTTTTAGTTAGAATTTCAAGTCATACAGGTACAGAAATTTGAGGACAGATATGCATCTCCCTTACAATACAGTGAGAGAAAAACCATCATTCGATATTAAGCAGCCAAGCTTTTTACTTTTTGAGCTTAGCTGCCTATATAATTATTTCTTTTCCTTCATTGGTGTTCATTTGATTCATGAGCTGCTTCAATTTGATCGCTATGGACATGGTTCCTAATCTTCAACTTTCCTGAACCGAGCGCCATTTCACTAAGTGAAGTGAGGCTGGAAAGTTTGCATCATTTGCTCATGTATTCCCCTCACAGCCTGAGGAGGTAAACTCTATGATCGCTAAAGGAAAGCACCTATAGATGATTCAGGGCGGCTGCTAGCAGTATGCTTTTGCAACTTTGAACTCTCTTCCCCCTCTTCACTTACTCATTAACTCATTTTGAGAGAATTTGGGGAAGAGTTAATAAGCATCTTGAGTAAGAGAAAAAAATTATTTCATTTCACAGAATCATAAAATTGATCACTTAATATTGATGCTGGGCCTGGGCATGGTGGCTCACGCCTGTAATCCCAGCACTTTGAGAGGCCAAGGCAGGCAGATCACATCAGGCCAGGAGTTTGAGACTAGCATGGCCAACTTGATGAAACCCCGTCTCTACTAAAAATACAAAAATTAGCCAGGCGTGGTGGTGCGTGCCTGTAATCCCAGCTATTCAGGAGGCTGAGGCAGGAGAATCACTTGTACCTGGGAGGTGGAGGCTGCACTGAGCCGAGATCGCGCCACTGTACTCCAGCCTGGGCAACAGAGTGAGGCTCTGTCTCAAAAAAAAAAAAATGTGATGCTGGGATTTTATCAGTAAGACATAATCACATTGATTTCTGCCTGTATCATATTAGCGTTACTTTGCTACTTGTAAACATGAATCTTTAAGTAGTAAGGGAACTACTGAATGAAAGATCAATGTAAGAAATCTCCATTAAAACAAAAACATGACTGTACTGCTTGTTTTAATACAGTAATACTGGGAATGAAATAATTTTTTTAGGGGAAAAATAACTGTAATTTATTTTTTTAAATCATGTACTGCAAAACAAATCTATGGGGATAGAAGTCAGAATTTTTGTTACCCTTGAGGGTGGAGGTAGTACTTCGAGGGCGCTGATAGTGTTCTGTGTCGATCTGGCTGGGCTACCTGAGTGCATGCATGTGTAAACATTTGTTGAGCTGTTACCCCAAGATTTGTATACTATATTATATGTATTTTGCACTTTAATAAAAAAATTGAAGGAAAAAAGTAGGTCTTATCACCATTGGTTATTTCAATCTAATAATATCAACATGTCCTAAGATAAAGGCTTCAAAAACCTTGTGACATACTTAACACCTTATCTAAGAGTCTTTAGGCTATCTGAAGACAAATGTTAAATCTCATTAAACATTTTTAAAATTTTGAAATGAAAGATGAATTCCATTTTTATTTCAATTAAATTCAATACTCAGATTCCTCTAACCTCTTAAATGCAAATTAAATACTTTATTGTGGAATATGCATTCATCGTGGCACATTTAGTCAATATTGAAACCAAATGTATTGCTGCTTCAAATACATGAATGACCACCAGAAAATGGTTTGTGCTAGATATAGTGTTGTGTCCATCAGGTTTAAGTTATTTTCCACTGAGGCATGATGGGAGATACAGACTTGGCTTACCAGGGGGCTGTTTAATCTTCTGTGCCCTCAAAAGGGCTTGTTTGGAAATGATTTCGGGCTTCTAAATTTCCATAGAAAGTGCTGGAAAAAAGTTTAAGGCTTCTTTTTAAATACCATCTGAATGATTTTTCTTCCCACTTTGGTTCACATAATAATTGCGTTCTTACTCTTAAATTTCAGGCAGTTCCTTTTAGTCTTGACAGTGTTGCAAATTCCATTCACTCCTTATTTTCTGAGGAAACTCCTGTTGTTTTGCAGTTGGCTCCCAGTGAGGAAGTAAGTGATAAGGGTTTTATTCAAGACATTTTAAAAAATAAGCTTTTATTATTTGAAAATTATGAAATGTAATTTTATTATGAAAATATAAAACTAATTTATGAACAATGTTGTCATACCTCTGGGTATTGGAACTAATCTGTAGAATTTGAGCAACTTAAAATTTTCTATTCTTCTTACAGAGAGTGTATATGGTAGGGAAGGCAAACTCAGTGTTTGAAGACCTTTCAGTCACCTTGCGCCAGCTCCGTAATCGCCTGTTTCAAGAAAACTCTGTTCTCAGTTCACTCCCCCTCAATTCTCTGAGTAGGAACAATGAAGTAAGTGCAGTTATTCAATGAATACATGAATATCATTAATTTCCGTCTTTTTAAAAAATAGAGACAGGGTCTCACTCTGTTGTCCAGGCTGGTCTTGAACTCCTGGCCTCAAGCAATCCTGTCTTGGCCTCCCAAAGTGCTGGGATCACAGGCTTGAGCCACTGCATCTGGCCTCCCATTCCTTATACTACTTGAAATTTTGGAAATTTTGCTATTTTAGAAAATGAAAGATTGTGCACATTTACTGCTGGGGTAGATTCTTCTTTAGTGTAATTTTCTTATGACTCTCATGAATAAACTGATCCTTTTTGTGAGTTGAGCTGTGGTAAATAACATCACATTTTAGCACGAGGGTTGCCACCTATTAATTCAAACAAGCCAGAGGTCATAGATCTACTTGGTGACTGGTGGAGCTGTGTGGATCTGGTAACTTGGAAGCCATTGTTCACTGCCTCTGCTGATTTGTTGCCACATTTTTCTCATTCATTCTGGACATTGCAGTGGAGGGAGCCACCTCTACTTTTGACTCCTGTCCTTCAGTTTCTCCATCTGCTCATGCGCCCTCTTAACCATGTGGCATGCCACTTTCGTGGTGGCCTCCCCTTTTTATTTGCTGTGGATGACCAGGGCCATCATCCTTTATTCTCTGATGTGGAAACTATTCAAGGGAAGTGAGCAAACTGGGCCAATGGTAGGATGTCATTGCAGAGTGCCAGGATATCCTGATGCTTTGAAGGAAAACCACTGGAGAACTTGGATGCTTTATCATGGTTTTGCCAAAAATATAGCTATTGAGTGGCAGTCACTGTGCTAGGGAATGGCCATCACCTTTTTGTTAGGAAATAATGTTTTATATGCATTTTCAATTGAAGCAAACATACCAAATGGAAGATAATTATATAAATTCACTTATATGATCAACATTTGTAATATCCTGTGCCTTGCTTGGTAAATGGCAAATAAAGATCTCTGGTGCACATTTAAAAGAATGCTCTTTTTTTTTGGGCTCTCTGAAGGTTGACCTGCTCTTTCTTTCTGAACTGCAAGTGCTACATGATATTTCAAGCTTGGTAAGTAGGCTGCTCTAATTTTTTAATTCCATTTATTTTGGTTTCTAGAGAATCCTTGAATAATAGTAAAGGCAGTTGAAAAGTTTGATTAAGTATGCCCTAGATTTATGATCCCATGAAAATTGAAAAATTAGTGGCAATATTGGGAATTTTGAACACATCCATGTTATAGTCAAATTATTTTGCATTTCTGCTTTTTAGGGAGAGACAACATATCTTCCAAGAACACAAGCCTGGGCGTAAGAACACCCTGGCCATAGTCCTAACTTGGCTGTTGATTTCTTGTGAGACTTAATTCCTATCTATATCTTTGGGCCTAAAATAGAAATAATAGTTTGGACTAATAATGCTGTCAGTCAAGTCAAGAAGGGACGAAATCCGTCTGAAGGGTATTTTTTTGGTGAATGATTTTTTAAAAATCATCCTTGTTACTGAAATAGAAATTCTTATCTGTTTGCTACCTTCTGAAGTTGTTTTCCAAACTTTTTCAACAGGTGTTGGTTCGGGGAGTCTGGAAGTGTAGTGCATTCCTGGGATCAAACTGGTCCAGCCATCTGTTCTTTCATACGTTGGCCCATACCTGAGTTTTTAAAACTGAGGAATTTTGTTGAAAGCTTTTATTAAATATCCAAGGAGTCTTGTACTGCTCCTAAACATGAGATTCGTGTTGGATTTATCAGAAACGCTTATTCAAACCAGTTTCTTTTGCCACCATTTTAGACTATTTGCATGTTGTGGTACACTGGTATGGTTTAGTTTAGCCTAGTTTAGTTAGGCATAAAACTTTAACTGGCTGTGTTTGACGTCTTTCATCTTACTTTATCCGCTACCTTTTTTTGTTTGTTTGTTCTCCTAAGCTGTCTCGTCATAAGCATCTAGCCAAGGATCATTCTCCTGATTTATATTCACTGGAGCTGGCAGGTTTGGATGAAATTGGGAAGCGTTATGGGGAAGACTCTGAACAATTCAGAGATGCTTCTAAGATCCTTGTTGACGCTCTGCAAAAGGTAAATATCAATGCGACATGAGAGGTTGGAGTATGACCATTTCACTTTTAGCCTCTTAATAGAAAAATCTGCTGTTTCAAACACTGTTGATTGAACTCTTATTTGCCTTCTTTGGGGCTCCTCTAATTATACTGGCCAAGGATGGAGTAGGGTCAAAAATGTATATTGATATATTTCTTCCTAATGCTAGAAAGAACAGCATTAGGAAAAGTTATCTCACACAAAGCTTTACAAAATTATTGTGGTAAAATATATATAACATAAAATTACCACTTTAACCATTTTTAATTGTACAGTTCAGTGGTATTAAGTGCAAGTACGTTCACATGTTGTACAACCATCACCATCTTCTATTTCTAGAACTTTTTCTTCTTCCCCAACTGAAACTCTGTACTCCTTAAACACTATGAGATAACTGAAGTAGAACACCCAGCACAGTACCAGACAGTAGATGCATAATAAATGCTAGTTCCCCTCTGCCCTTGAAGTTCTTCACCTGCATCCTTTCAGTGAGGCTTCATATTTTAATCTTTATAGATGTTTGTGATTAACCAGAGACCACTTAGGAAGATTTCATTTCTCTTTCCAACTTCCCTTCCTCCAATTTATATGCTGACAAATTCAGTCTCTTCTTAAAGTAATTTTAGTCTAAACATTTGAATATATGTTAAAGCTTAACACTTTTCTGTATAGTTGAGCAAAATCAAAACCTTTAAGACTTGCTTATTGTAAGATGTAGTATATTTCATGAGCCAGGAGGTAAGTGTACATTGTTCTTGTAGCTGCACAAAAGCTTTAAAAATAATTTTAATAAGTATGTATTTGACTCACTGCATAAAATGATAAGTAGGAGGTAATGCATATGTTAATTAGCCAATGTGGACTTAAGCCATTCCACAATGTGTACATATTTCAAAACAATATGTTGATGTGATAAATATATATGATTTTAATTTGTTAATTAAAAATGAAAAAAGTACATAGTTGAGATTCCCAATAATGTTAATAACTAACTTTCAGTTTGCAGATGACATGTACAGTCTTTATGGTGGGAATGCAGTGGTAGAGTTAGTCACTGTCAAGTCATTTGACACCTCCCTCATTAGGAAGACAAGGACTATCCTTGAGGCAAAACAAGCGGTGAGTATATTTTGAGATCCTGCTTTAAAACTGTAAAATTAACTTCTTATAAAAAAAAAAAAACCAAGTCCTATATCACCTAAGGGTGACATGAATGAGCAGTCAGTAAATCTGAAAAACAATTTCAGTTAAAACGTAAGCTTCTTGTTCACATACATATGTGTGCTTTGCCAGTGATGATCAGTTCTTTAGGGTTATAATCAGATAATGCAAGAATTTGAATTAGGGATAAAAGTAAATCTGTCCAAGATTATAATTCAAATATCAGTACACACAAGGAGATATCAGAAGTTAATGTGGCGCCAGGTGCAGTGGCGTGCATCTGTAATTGCAGCTTCTCAGGAGGCCAAGGCAGGAGGATTGCTTTAGCTCAGGAGGAGTTTGAGGCCAGTCTGAGGAAACATAGCAAGACCCTGTTTTGAAAACAAAAAGAAGTGAATGTGTGCGGGAGTGGTGTGGTGCCCACATCCTATGGGCTCTGCTTTTCTAGCAGGCACATTGTCTTTGTGGCGTAGTCCCTCACTTACTGAGATCCTCTGTGTGCACCTCTTTATGATTTTGATTTACTTAACAGTTTTTTTGGGTATGGATCTTGCTTTGATTTTAAGCATTTAGAGGGTCAGGGTTAAGCATTACCATGGTTGCTGGCCATGGTAAAATACATATCTGTTTATGTGTATGTACGTGCACATTTACATACATACATATATACTTACAGCTGCAGCAGAACCTAGGGAGGGTGATGGGAAAGAGTAGTGTAGATGCTCCCTAACATCCTACGTCTGAGAACATTGCTTAGGGCTGGCTGTATCACTTGCAGCAGATAGATATCCACTCAATTACATACACCTCCGCTTCAGACCCATTTGCAGCCCTCACCCTGCTCAGTTTTACTGAAGTCAGTGTGGGACTTGGAGTCGGAAGGTCGAAGCCAGTGCCTGTTTGAGATAGTCTAGCGATTACTGGTTTGAGATTGTTTCTTTCTAAATTAAATTGGGGATGGAAGGACCTTTGTTTCAGACAGCATGTCAGTCTAGACAACCACCCAAGATTTCCCACCATAAAACGTCTAGAAATGCTAGATAAAAATAAAGATCTTTTAAAAAGTACATAGTTTGGGCTGGGTGTGGTGGCTCACGCCTGTAATCCCAGCACTTTGGGAGGTTGAGGCGGGCGGAACACCTGAGGCCAGGAGTTCTAGACCAGCCTGGGCAACATGGTGAAACCCCGTCTCTACTAAAAATACAAAAATTAGCCTGGTGTGGTAGCGGGCACCTGTAATCCCAGCTACTTGGAAGGCTGAGGCAGGAGAATTGCTTGTACCCGGGAGGCAGAGGTTGCAGTGAGCCAAGATTGCACCACTGCACTCTAGCCTGGGAGACACAGCAAGACTCCGTCTCAAATAAAAAAAAAATTACAAAAATAAAAATACATAGTTCAGCTCGCAAGAAAGGGAAATTCTCTTACAGAGTAAATAAAGAAGAGGAGGCCGGGTGCGGTGGCTCACACCTGTAATCCCAGCACTTTGGGAGGCCGAGGTGGGTGGATCACAAGGTTAGGAGTTCGAGACCAGCCTGGCCAACATGGTGAAACTCCGTCTCTACTAAAAACACAAAAAATCAGCCGGGCGTGGTGGCGCACGCCTGTAGTCCCAGCTACTTAGGAGTCTGAGGCAGACAAATCGCTTGAACCCGGGAGGCGGAGGTTGCAGTGAGCTGAGATTGTGCCACTGTACTCCAGCCTGGGTGACACAGTGAGACTCCATCTCAAAAAAAAAAAAAAAAACCGAATGTGGTAAGCAGGCCGCCCTAAGGATATTTGCCAGCTGGGTCACCAAGAGTCCTTTGGTGCCTTGTGTGTGGGGGATGGGAATGGACAACTCCAGATAAAGCTGGGGACCCCGAGAGAGCTGTGCCCTCAGTGAGAGGGTAGACTGGAAATTTTTGCCCACCAGCACAGGGAAACAGAAAGGCACCTGGGCTCTGGGTGGTCAGCACATGTGTTGAGAGTGGGGATGCCTCCCAGAGAATTCTTTTTTTTTTTTTTTTTTTTTTTTTTTTGGATTTTTTGGAGATAGGATCTTACTCTGTCACCCAGACTGGAGTGCAGTGGCACAATCTCAACTCACTGCAGCCTCCACCTCCCAGATTCAAGTGATTCTCCTGCCTCAGCCTCCTGAGTAGCTGGAATCACAGGCATGCACCACCACACCCGGCTAATTTTTGTACTTTTAGTAGAGATGGGGTTTTACCATGTTGGCCAGGCTGGTCTTGAACTCCTGGCCTCAAGTGATTTGCTCACCTCAGCCTCCCAAAGTGCTGGGATTACAGGTGTAAGCTACCATGCCCGGCCTATGAGATTTCTTTTTAGGGTGATAGAAATGTTCTAGAATTAGATTGTGGTGATAACTATGAAACCACTAAAATTCCTTGACTTGTACACTTAAAATGGGTAGGAAAAAGAACATGTTTATCAAAAAAAAAAAAAGGAAAGAAACAAAGAGGTCTTCATGGGCGTGAAATCCTTTAACGTTTGCCTCAGCTCTGAGCTCCCCGCAGGTAAATATGCATGCCTGTGTACCCATTCTCTCCTACATTTGAAATCACTCTCTTCCATTAGTTTAAGGAGACAGGAGTTTAAGGAACATTTACTGAGTACTCACAACATTCCAGGTGCTGGGGCTGTAGGGACAAATAGATCTCGGTTACATTTTCGTTCTCATCCTCACTGCCAGGCACCCTGCCCCCATTTCTCCCACCTCATTTGACTGCCGCCTCCTAACTTGTCTGAACTCATCTGTCTCTCTGCTTCCCAGCTGGCTCCTCCCAAATCCATCCTACACATTGTCATCAAAGTTATCTTTTTTCTTTTCTTTTTTTGAGACAGGGTCTCGCCCTGTCCCAGGCCGGAGTGCAGTGGCGCAATCATAGCTCACTGTAGCCTCAAACTCCTGGGCTCAGGTGATCCACCTGTCTGAGCCTCCTGAGTAGCCAGTTCTATAGGCTTGAGCCACCACACTCAGCTAATTTTTAATTTTAATGTTATCTTTTTAAGACAAACCTGATCATGTCACTCACTTTCTGCCTAAAGCTTGTCAATGGCTCCTTATTGCCCAGAGGCTCATGTCAGATTTTCTGTAGCTTCCCTGCTTCTAGCTTCATCTCCTGCTGTGTTCCTACTTTTAAAATTCTCTAGCCAGAATGAATGATATTTCCCAAACAGTGCCTTTGTCAGAATGAATTCAGTTTCCCAAACAATGTTTTTACACAGCTCTGTATTTTAAAAAAAAGTGTTAAGTGGATCATACATACATAAGTATATAACATATTTAATACTAGTTATTTAAATAATAAAAATAATAACACTGTATAGCTCCGTTTTCATATGGCTATAAAGAGCTACCTGACACTGGGTAATTTATAAAGGAAACAGGTTTGATTGATTCACAGTTCCACATGGCTGGGGAGGCCTTAGGAAACTTACAATCATGGAGGAAGGGGAAGGGGAGGCAGGCACCTTCTTCACAAGGTGGCAAAAGAGAGAGAAAGTGGCACACTTTTAAACCATCAGAGCTCATGAGAACTCAGTATCATGAGAACAGTATGGGGGAAACTGCCCCCATGATCCAATCACCTCCCACCAGGTCCCTCTCTCGACACGTGGGGATTACAAATCGAGATGAGATTTGGGTGGGGACACAGAGCCAAACCATATCAATAGCTTAAGAGAATGCTTGCTTCTTTGAAGCTCCCTATTTTCTCCCTCTACCCTCCCTCATCCAGAGGTAACTGCTGTCCTGGATATCATGTTAATCCCTTGCTTTTCTTTACAGATTGACTGCATATGTATTTGTTCTTAAACAGTGTTGTTTGGTTTTGCCTGTATTTGAATTTTATATAAATTGAATCATACTACATGTATTTTTCTGTGTTCTTTGTTCAGTATTCTTTTTAAGATTCACTCAGGCTGACAAATGTAGCTGTAGTTTAGTCATTTTACTGTTACATATTCTGCTTGTAGGGATATACCACAATTCCATTCTGTTGATGATTTTTTTTTTTTTTTTTTTGAGACGGAGTTTTGCTCTTGTTGCTCAGGCTGGAGTGCAATGGCACAGTCTTGGCTCACTGCAACCTCCACCTGCTGGGTTCAAGCAGTTCTCCTGCCTCAGCCTCCCGAGTAGCTGGGATTACAGGCACCTGCCACGCCTGGCTAATTTCGTATTTTTAGTAGAGACGGGGTTTCACCATGTTGGCCAGGCTGCTCTGGAACTCCTGACCTCAGGTGATCTGCCCGCCTTGGCCTCCCGAAGTGCTGAGATTACAGGCATGAGCCACTGTGCCCAGCCTTGCTGCTGATATTCTTATACATGTCTCTTGGTACACATATAGAAATTTTCCCTAGCGTATGGACTTACTGGATCACAGGATATGCACACCTTCAACTTTATTAGGTATTGTCCAGTTTTCCCAAGCATTTGGACTGGTTTATACTTCCACCATCAGTGCAAGTGTCGTCTCCACAAAGGCGCTCCTTCTTGCTTCCTCCTAGTATAAGTAGCTGTTATGCCACTTATGAAGAAATGTTTGTTAGACAAATGAATCACAGTCACTAGACTGGGATAATTTCCTATTTTAAAATTCTTCCCTCTTGATTTTTCTTTCTTTTCTATATTGTAGAAGAACCCAGCAAGTCCCTATAACCTTGCATATAAGTATAATTTTGAATATTCCGTGGTTTTCAACATGGTACTTTGGATAATGATCGCCTTGGCCTTGGCTGTGATTATCACCTCTTACAATATTTGGAACATGGATCCTGGATATGATAGCATCATTTATAGGATGACAAACCAGAAGATTCGAATGGATTGAATGTTACCTGTGCCAGAATTAGAAAAGGGGGTTGGAAATTGGCTGTTTTGTTAAAATATATCTTTTAGTGTGCTTTAAAGTAGATAGTATACTTTACATTTATAAAAAAAAATCAAATTTTGTTCTTTATTTTGTGTGTGCCTGTGATGTTTTTCTAGAGTGAATTATAGTATTGACGTGAATCCCACTGTGGTATAGATTCCATAATATGCTTGAATATTATGATATAGCCATTTAATAACATTGATTTCATTCTGTTTAATGAATTTGGAAATATGCACTGAAAGAAATGTAAAACATTTAGAATAGCTCGTGTTATGGAAAAAAGTGCACTGAATTTATTAGACAAACTTACGAATGCTTAACTTCTTTACACAGCATAGGTGAAAATCATATTTGGGCTATTGTATACTATGAACAATTTGTAAATGTCTTAATTTGATGTAAATAACTCTGAAACAAGAGAAAAGGTTTTTAACTTAGAGTAGCCCTAAAATATGGATGTGCTTATATAATCGCTTAGTTTTGGAACTGTATCTGAGTAACAGAGGACAGCTGTTTTTTAACCCTCTTCTGCAAGTTTGTTGACCTACATGGGCTAATATGGATACTAAAAATACTACATTGATCTAAGAAGAAACTAGCCTTGTGGAGTATATAGATGCTTTTCATTATACACACAAAAATCCCTGAGGGACATTTTGAGGCATGAATATAAAACATTTTTATTTCAGTAACTTTTCCCCCTGTGTAAGTTACTATGGTTTGTGGTACAACTTCATTCTATAGAATATTAAGTGGAAGTGGGTGAATTCTACTTTTTATGTTGGAGTGGACCAATGTCTATCAAGAGTGACAAATAAAGTTAATGATGATTCCAAATTTGTGTCATTGCAGTACTAAATCTATTTTATATTGTAAAAACCTAACAAAACAGGCTTTTCTTTCATCAGGATTGGCTGTTTTGTTGTACAGATAATTTCATGGTGTTTCTTTTACACTTGTTTATTCTCGCTGCCTCCTGAGATTTAGTACTAATGTAAGGAAGGCATTTTAATTACCATTCTTGTTACTGAATTTATATAGGATATATGAGAAATGCATACTTTATGTAGGAAAGGGTTACATTTTTCTATAGCTTTTTTTTTTTTAAATTAAAAACATTTTAGAGACCAGTCTTGCTAGGTTGCCAGGCTGAACTCCTGGCCTCCAGTGATCCTCCTACCTCAGCCTCCCCAGTAGCTGGGATTACAGGTGTGCACCACTGCACCCGGCCCTGTAGCATTTTTAAAGATGAATAAGCAACTAATTGGTTAGAATATGAAGGACTGTCTCAGGTAAAGGTTTAAGGTAACAATTTGTTTTCTTTTTCAAAAAACAGGATCTTTAACTTCATTATTATATAGCAAGATTATTTTAGTATGAGCATTGTAGCCCTGACCCTGGGATCCTTCCTTGTATTTAGTATTAGCTGTTTCTGCATCTTCTTTGCAAAGATCATCAAATTATTTATACATAGCATTGAGTTTGGCAGGTTTGAGAAGGTAGGGTTTATTTAGTTGTCAATTACTGCAAGATGCCCTTGACAATTACAGTTTCAAACCCCCATAGAGTGAAGGAAATGTTGGTTTTCTTTTTGCCTCTCATTGAAGTATAAATAATAGGGAAACTGATACTCAGCTTCACAGGGAAGAAAAACTACATTGTTCTAAAATCACTCTTCCATCCCTACTTCCTGCCAGAGTGATGGGGGTGAGGGTTTTCAGCTGTTTATCACCAAAACAGTTCCCACTCTGACCCCATGGAACGCAACACTGCCTAAGTGTAGGGAGCAGGAACCTATCATGCGTCAGGGTGGTTAGAATCCATTTGTCTTTCACAACTTTCTTATATAAACATTGCCGGAGAAGTTAGATTGTTATGATTAAATATGAAATAAACCAATGCCTTTTTAATTTAAAACTGATGAGACTTTAAGTTCTAGGGGAAGAAAAAAAAATTAATTACATGACAGCACTAATCCATATAGGGTAAATGGCATCAGCATCCTTCTATCTATGTTAGGCAGAGAGCAATTCATTAAAATAAATGTTCTGCCAAGATTATTATACCTGTTGCTGATGATTTGCTCTTAAATTAAGTCTAATTTGCTCAGGAACATAAATCACAGTGTCGATTTGTGTGAGAGGCAGAAAAGGCAGACTCATGGCAGACGATTCCACTGACAAAGAGAAAACCCAATCACTTTACATCTCATTGGTGGACTATTCTAGGTTTATAAAATATCTGAGATTCTGCATATGTAGATATTGCTTATGGCCTAATTCTATTAGGAATAATATAGAATTGATTTTTATTTTCTTTGGTTATGTGTTTTTTTGAAGGAATAATCTGAATCCATTTTCATTGATACCAAGTAATATGGAAACTGTAAACTTACTTTTTTTTTTTTTTTGAGACTGTATCTCACTCTGTTTCCCCGGCTGGAGTGCAGTAGTGCAATCACAGCTCTACAGCATCAACCTCCTGGGCTCAAACTATCCACCCACCTCAGCCTCCCAAGTAGATGGGACCACAGGCATGTACCACCACGCCTGGCTTATTTCTTGTAGAGATGGGGTCTCTCTATGTTGCCCAGGCTAGTCTTGAACTCCTGGGCTCAAGCAATCCTCCAGCGTCAGCCTCCCAAAGTGTTGGGATTACAGGCACGAGCCACTGCGCGCCCAGCCTAAACTTAACTTTGTTAGGGGGACGGAGTCTTGCTCTGTCAGCCAGGCTGGAGTGCAGTGGCACAATCTCGGCTCACTGCAACCTCTGCCTCCCAGGTTCAAGTGATTCTCCTGCCTCAGCCTCCCAAGTAGCTGGGATTACAGGAACCTGCCACGATGCCTAGCTAATTTTTGTATTTTTGGTAGAGACAGGGTTTCACCATGTTGGCCAGGCTGGTCTCGAACTCCTGGTCTCAAGTGATCTGCCCGCCTCAGCCTCCCAAAGTGCTGGGATTACAGGTGTGAGCCACTGTGCCCCACTCTAAACTTAACTTTTTATTTTATTTTATTTTATTATTTTTGAGACACAGTCTTGTTCTGTCATTCAGGCTGGAGTGCAGTGGCACGATCCTGGCTCACTACAGCCTCCGCCTCCCGGGCTCAAGTGATTCTCGTGCCTCAGCCTCCCGAGTAGCTGGGACTACAGGCGTGTGTCACCACGCCTGGCTAATTTTTGTATTTTTTGATAGAGACAGGGTTTTGCCCTGTTGGCTAGGCTGGTCTTGAACTCCTGACCTCAAGTGATCTGCCCGCCTCAGCTTCCCAAAGTGCTGGGATTACAGGCATGAGCCACCGCGCCCGGCCTAAATTTAACTTTTTAACGGACGATCAAACCAACAATTTTCCATGTAGGAACCAGGGTCAATGATCATGCCGACTGAGTCATACAGTGGCATTAAGCCTTCTAACTTTGGGCACAGGTGGTTTTTTTCTAGCCTTTTCATGACAGAATGACTGACTATTCTGTGTTTTCTTCGGAAAATACAGTCGTTGGGGAAGGCCATCAGTAAAAAGCATTGTGAGTAAAATGCATCAAGAGTCATACAGGTGAATTCAGTTCACTGCGTTACCACTTACAAGTTGAACAATCTTGGGCAAACCCCTTAATCTCTCTGAATCAGCATTTTTAATCTATATAATGGGGGTAGTAATACCCCAGGTCTATAAAAGTTAGCATTCAGTAGGAGAACACAAAGTTTGTGAATGCTTAATAAATATAAGCTACAATCTTAGCACTAAACTCAAGGAACTCTGCTTGGACCCAGCATTGTGCCATTGATAGTGCTAGCCAGTTTCTTGCAAGCAACAGGAACAAACCTTGTTTAAATTTTGCTAGTTGTCCTGCTAATGCCCTTTTACTAGACCAGGGTCCAGTCCAGGAGCACGCATTGTGATACCATGTTTTCTTAGTCTCCTTTCATCTGACACAGTCCACCTTTGAAGAGTATTGGCCGGTTATTTTATAGGACGTCCCTCGGTTTTGGTTTGTTTGATGTTTGCTAATGATTAAATTCAGGTTATACATTTTTAGAAAGAATACCACTGGCTGGGCGCGGTGGCTCATGCCTGGGAGGCTGAGGTAGGAGGACCACTTGAGTCCAGGAGTTCAAGACTAGCCTGAACAACATTGGGAGACCCTGTCTCTACAAAAAATACAAAAATTAGCCGGGCGTGGTGGCTCATGCCTGTGGTCCCAGCTACCTGGGAGACTGAGGTGGGAGGATCACTTGATCCCGGGAGGTTGAGGCTGCAGTGAGCCAAGATCACGCCACTGCACTCCAGCCTGGGCAACCCTGTCTGGAGTGAGACTCTGTCTCAAAAAAAAAAGAGAAAAAAAAGAAAAAGAAAAAAGTAGTATTATTCTGTAGTTACTGTTTGTGTAAGACAGGGGAAATAAGGAAACATGCATATACAGGTTGACTACCCCTTATCTGAAATGCTCGGGACCAGATGTGTTCCAGATTTCAGGTTTTCTTGGACTTTGGAATCTGGTTGAGCATCCCCAATCTAAAATTCCACAATTGGAAATGCTTCAGTAAGCATTTCCTTCATGTGTCATGTCTCAAAAAGTTTTGGATTTTGGAGCATTTTGGATTTCAGCCTTTAGATTTGGGATGCTCAACCTGTATCTTCTTACTTTTGTAACGAGAAACATAGGAAATATAAGCCAGAAAACAATAAAGCTAATTATAAGATGTAGGAGTAGACAGAATGGAATAAATAAGGGAGGAAACAGCACTACTACAACGAGTAGACCATTTTGTGTAGTTTTAATGCCAGAAGGTCAAAGGAGACAGCTTCAAGGGGCTCCCACTGTCCAAAGTTGGGCCAATTTCAACATCAAACTTAAGAGGACAGTAATAGATTATAACCCACTGAATAAAGTGAAATAAAATGAATAGATTACAACCCAGTGAATAAAATGACCATATTGATAATAAGTAGATAAGCAACTTAATGGGGAGAGAAGGGAGGGTATTCCTTATATTAGAATGCTGACTGATATATGTATATATGTATATGTGTATACATATGTATACACAAATACATTTGTTTATATATACATATATGTATATGTATATATTCACATATACATATATACATCTATGTACATGCGCATATACATATATACATATGTATATATGTGTATATGTACACGTATATGTATACGTATATATGTATATATGTACGTATGTTTATATACATATGTACATATATGTATATAAATATGTACATATATGTATATGTAAATATTGATTGGACAGTAAATATTGATTTGGACAAGAATCACTGATGAATGCTAAATCTATGGGGGAGAGAGTCTGATAAAGAGCAGGCTATTTAAATAGTCTTTTTTTTTTTTTTTTTTGAGACAGGGTCTTGCTCTGTTACCCAGGCTGGAGTGCAGTGACACAATCATGGCTCACTGCAGCCTCCACCTCCCAGGCTCAAGTGATCCTCCCACCTCAGCCTCCCAGGTACCTGGGACTATAGGTGTGTGCCACCATGCCTAGCTAATTTTTGTTGTTTTTTTAAAAAAAAAATTTATTTATTTTATTATTTTATTTATTTTTTTCAAAACGGGTTCTTGCTCTGTCACCCAGGCTGGAGTGCAGTAGCATGACCTCAGCTTACTGCAGCCTCCACCTCCCAGGCTCAAGCGATCCTCCAACCTCAGCCTCCCAGTAGCTGGGACCACAGGCCCATGCCACCATGCCCAGCTAATTTTTTTGTATTTTTGGTAGAGACAGGGTTTTTGCCATGTTGCCCAGGCTAGTCTCAAACTCCTGAGCTCACGTAATCCACTTGCCTCAGCCCCCCAAAGTACTGAGATTACAGGAGTAAGCCACCACGCCTGGCCCTAATTTTTATATTTTTTGTAGAGATGGGGTCACGGTTTGTTACCCAGGCTGGTCTTGAACCCCTGGGCTCAACCAATCCTCCCCGCACAGCCTCCCAAAATGCTGGGATTACAGGCCTGGGCCACCGCGTCCAGCCGGTAGTCCCCTTTAATCTGGAATAAGACAGAGAAACAAAACAAAAGATTGGAGGAAACCATGGTTCAATGGGGGCTGAACACAACCCATTCCCTCCTGCCTGTTCATTGTACTGGGGGACGGAGACCAGACTACAATGACAAGGGGCATTTTATAGCTAGAGAAACTGAGATACACAATACACTTAACTAACGTTCTTGTAGCTACTGGAAGATGCTGGATAACCATACAGCCTTCAGCCATTGTATTCACATGAGGAAAACAATGAAAAAGGCAAAATATTAGAATCAGGGCCACAGATGGCTCTAAAATTACTTTCAGCAGTAACTGAAAATAGCAAGCCAATATATCTGCCTATTGTTTTATTCATTCAGCTTCTCTTGAGCCACAGTGCTATTTATTCCCTTTGGTAGAATTTAACAGCAAATATTCCAGGAAGTCAGTACAGGACATGGCAAAAAAAAAAAAAAATTTCATAAAATACTCAAATCCTAAGTGTTTTGTTTCACAGCCATAATTCAAAAGCAGGTATGTTTTTGTAAATGTTGGCCAGTGTTCCATGGCAAATTTAATGAACTACATTTCTTATTTTTATTGTTTTAAACCACAAGACAGAAAATCACTTAAAAAATATAATGTTGCAATCATTAGAGTGATACTGACTCAGACAAGAATCGTCGATGTACGCTAAAACTAGCAGGTTAAATATTTAATGAGGAAATAGATATTTACATAGTCTCAAAGTATCTCTGCACAAATTACTTATTAATTATAAAGGGAAAAATACTAACTTAGCAGTAGAGAAACCTGGTGAACACTACCTTAACATCACTAATAACCAGATATCACATGCCTCCCAATGTAAGGCACTGGGGACATGTCGTTGCTGTAGTGTTTGTGCCAAAAATGAACACCCTGAAGGTAGCTGTCCTAGTCCATTTGGGCTGCAATTACAAAATACCTTAGACTGGGTAATTTATAAACAACAGAAAGGTACTACTCACGGTTCCAGAGACCAGGAAGTCCAAGATCAAGGTGCCGGCAGATTTAGTGTCTGGTGAGGGCTCACTGTCTGCTTCATAGATGTCTCCTTCTCTCTGTGTCGTCACATGGCAGAAGGGATGAACAAGCTCCTTCCGGCTCTTTTATAAGGGCACTAATTCCATCCATGAGGGTGGTGCCCTCATGACTTAATCACTTCCCCAAAGGCCCCACCTCTTAATATCACCTTGGCGGTTGGTTAAGTTCCAACCTACGAATTTTGGGGGAAGGCATAAACACTCAGATCATAGAAGTAGTCATGAGGAAACATTGAACCCCAATTGAGGGACATACTACCAAATTGCGGGCTTGAACTCTTCTAAAATGTCAAGGTCGGCTGGGCGCCGTGGCTCACGCCTGTAATCCCAGCACTTTGGGAGGCCAAGGCGGGCGGATCACCTGAAGTCAGGAGTTCGAGACCAGCCTGGCCAACATGGTGAAACCCCATCTCTACTAAAAATACAAAAATTAGCTGGGCGTGGTGGCACACGCCTGTAATCCCAGCTACTCAGGAGAATCACTTGAATCTGGGAGGTGGAGGTTGCAGTGAGCTGACATTGCATCACTGCATTCGCATCACTGCATTCCAGCCTTGGCAACAGAGCGAGACTCTGTATCAAAAAAATAAAACAAATGTCAAGGTCATGAATGCCGAAGTAAGGTAGAGGACCTGGTCTAGATTAAAGGAGACTAAAGTGACATTACAGTTAAATGCCATGTGTAATCCTAGTCTGGATCCTAGACTAGAAAAACAAAATTGTTATATTGGACATTATTGAGACTATTGGTCATATAAGAATACTGATTGTAGATTATAGTATTATATCAATGTTAAATGTCTTGATTTTGATGGGTGTATTGTGATAATGTAAAAGAAAGTTTACAAAAATCTATATGCTTAGAAAATACACACTGAGGACAGGCATGGTGGCTCACGCCTGTAATCCCAGCACTTTGGGAGGCTGAGGAGGGCGGACCACCTGAAGTCGGAGTTCGAGACCAGCCTGGCCAACATGGCGAAACCCCATCTCTACTAAAAATACAAAAATTAGTCGGGCATGGTGGCAGGCACCTGTAATCCCAGCTGGAGATTTGGGAGGCCAAGGCAGGAGAATCACCTTGAACCTAGGAGGTGGAGGTTGCAGTGAGCCGAGATCGCGCCATTGCACTCCAGCCTGGGTGACAGAGACAGACTCCGTCTCAAAAAAAAAAAAAAAAAAAAAAAAAAAAGAAAGAAAAAGAAAAGAAAAGAAAAAAGAAAATACACACTGATGCTCTTAAGAAATACTGTTAAGGGCCAGGGGTGCTGGTTCACACCTGTAATCCCAGCACTTTGCTGAAGCAGGCAGATGGCTTGAGCCCAGGAGTTCAAGACCAGCCTGAGCAACATGGCAAAACCCGTCTCTACAAAAAATACAAAAATTAGCCGGGCATGGTGGCACACATGTAGTCCCAGCTACTTGGGAGGCTGAGATGGGAGGATCACTTGTGCCTAGGAAGTTGAATCTGCTGTAAGCCATGATTGCATCACTGCACTCCAGCTTGGGTGATACAGAGAGACCCTGTCTCGAATTAAAAAACAAAAACAAAAACACCAATACCCTTTGGCTAGAGAGAAGAGTAAAGCGAATATGGCAAAATGTTAACAGTTGGTAAATCTAGGTGAAGGGTATATGGGAGCTCTTTTGAGCATTTCTTTCTCTGTTATACCTGTTTTAGACTTTTCTAAGTTTTCTCAGCTTGAAATTATTTCAAAATGAAAAGTTAAAAAGAACAATTAAAATTAAATAATGCCACCTCTATGGTCTGCTGCACTGGACTTCACTGAAGATTTGTGTAGGTCCAGGGTCGTTCCCATCAAGCAGGATTTCGTAGGAACTGTGACCAAGAATCTTGGTTAGAAGAAAGAGTGCGATGCACATTTTTCACAACTGGGAAAAGGGATGAAGCCATCGTTGTATTTACTTGTCTTCTCCCGGCATTTTCTTTTGAAAGATAACAGTAAACTTGCCAGCCATGTCTCGTGATTGAGTCACATAGGACCTGACAGCTTCACGTTTGTGAGGCAGCGCTGAGAGTAGAAATGCCAAAAGCATTAATGGCAAATAAATATTATTTGAAATAATGATAAATCTTTAGCTGTTCAGTCTCATCTATTAAGCACAGTGAACTGTACAGCAGAACTAATTTACCTGTGAGGAGAGGTAATCGCTGGACAACATTACTGATGTTCTCTAATCCTAAAGCTGTTTCGTCACTACCTTTGCTTCAGACACGTAAAATCCTCTGCAGTTTTGCTGAATCCTAGCCCTGTATCTTCTCAATCCACCTTGGAGACCCTTTTACCTCTAAGTATCCCTTCAACTGCTGGCCAAGTTCCAAGATAATATCTTACCCTCTATTTCTAGTGTAGGTCTGGCACATTTGTCATGATTATAACAATCAACAAATGTCTACTAGACACATATGTTATACAAAGGCACAGCCAAGCGTCTACCAGGAAAGTTACATACACATCGTCTGTACCTCCATTTTTCTAAATTTTCTGTAAAATGCCCCTCTGGGTGGGCAGGCCTTGTCTTGTTCAATTTGGGTCACACCCAGTCAACATGTTAGAAAGGTTTGGAGGGAGAAGGAATATTTCATTTGGTGATTTCTTCCCTGGCCTAAAGGAATTTAACTACATAGTTAGAAAGACGTAAACATATCAGAAGTTACAGTAATTTGTGTAGAGGAGTGAGGTGAGAAATAGGAAACCTTACTCCTGGTTTCCCATGAATTCGTTGTGTCACCATGACAGATGACATGATCTCAAGGCCTCATGCCTCCTTTGTAAAATGAGATGGATGAACTGGGTGATAATAATGACAACAGCTAAAATACACTGAGCACTTACTATATATCAAGGCCTATAGTAAGCACTTACTGTGGATTAACATGCTGAAACCTTGCAACACTGCTGTGAGGTAGGTACCACTATCATCCTCATTTTACAGATAATCCATGAGATCCTTTCAACTCCAAATTTCTATAATTATGTGACTTCAAGTTAAGTAATATGGTAGATTGCATTTTTCAAAGGTGGACACAACATTTCCCATCTTATATGCTCTCTCTATATATAGACACACACATACATATACATATATGCACACACATACATGTATACATATATGTACACACATACATATGTACACATACATCTATACATATATGTATACATACATATATATACACATACATCTATACATACATGCAAGCACACACGCACACACATGTATACATATATGTGCACATGCATACATATATGTACACACATGCGTGCATATATGTACACACATGCGCGCATATATGGGCACATACGTGCATACATATATGTGCACATACATGTGCATATATGTGCGCATACATATGTGCACATATATGCGCACATATATGCATGCATGTATGCACACGCACATATGTGCGTGCATATATGCACACATATGCATATGTGTGACACATGTATATGCACATATACACATATGTATATACATATACACGTGTGTGTGTATGTATACATATACACGTGTGTGTGTATGTATACATATATACGTGTGTGTATGTATACATGTATACGTGTGTGTATGTATACATATATACGTGTGTGTGTATGTATACATATATACGTGTGTGTGTATGTGTATACATATATACGTGTGTATGTGTATACATATATACGTGTGTGTGTATACATATATACGTGTGTGTGTATATGTATACATAGATACGTGTGTGTATGTATACATAGATACGTGTGTGTATGTATACATAGATACGTGTGTATGTATACATAGATACGTGTGTGTATGTATACATAGATACGTGTGTGTGTGTATGTATACATAGATACGTGTGTGTATGTATAGATACGTGTGTGTGTGTATACAGATACGTGTGTGTGTGTATACATAGATACGTGTGTGTGTGTGTATACATAGATACGTGTGTGTGTGTATACATATATACGTGTGTGTGTATATGTATACATATATAGGTGTGTGTATATATATATATATATATATATATTGTGTGTGTGGCTGGGCACAGTGGCTCACACCTGTAATCCCAATGCTTTGGGAGGCTGAGGTGGGAGGATCCCTTGAGCCTGGGAAGTCGAGGCTGCAGTGAGCTGTGATTGTGCCACTCCACTCCAGCCTGGGCGACAGAGTGAGACCAGATCTCAAACAATCAATAAAGTATTTTTAGAGATGGGATCTCGCTCTGTCGCCCAGGCTGGTCTCAAACTCCTGGGCTCAGGCAATCCTCTTACCTCAGCCTCCCGAGTAGCTGGAACTATAGGTGTGTGCCACTGCACCCAGCTCCTATGCTCTTCTTGAAGTATAACTTTGAGAAGTGGGTCTATCTACCCTCCATTGAATTTGGGTGGCCTTGTGGCTATGGAAAAAGTGATGTCATGTTGACTTCTGAGGCTAAGTCCATAAAAACCAATATAGCTTATGTTAGTTTTCTATTGCTATGCAACAAATTACCCCAAACTTAGAGGCTTAAAACAATACCTATTTATTAGCTCATGGTTTTGTAGGTCAGAATTCTGGGCACAGCATGACTTGGTTCTCTGCACAGGGTGTCACACAGCTGAAATGAAGGTGTTAGCTGGACTGAGTTCTTGGAGGAGCAGAGTTGAGGTGAGGACCCGCTTCCAAGCTCATTACATTGTTGGTTGAATTCAGTTCTTTATGGTCATACGACTAAGATCTCTGTTTCTTTGGTCAGCTGGGGGCTGCCTGCATTTTTTGCCATCCATCTTCAAAGCCGGCTATGGAGAATATCCTTCACGTCAAATCCCTCTCATGTTTTGAATCTCTGAATTCCGGTCTCTGACCTCTAGACCCAGATTTAAATGGTTCCTGTGGTTACGGGAGGCTCACTTTGTGAATCTCTCTATCGTAAGATCTACTGACTCAAAACCTCAATTACATCTGCAAAATCTCTTTTGTCATGTAATCATGGGAATAATGTCTAATGATATTCATAGGTTCCACTCACACTCAAGGGAAGATTATACAAGGGTGAGGGTCATTGGGGCCATCTTAGAATTCTGCCTACCCGATAGCTTCTGCTTGATTCTCTTGTTTACTCTTGATTACTCTTGTTTACTCCTGGAACTCAGCCACCATACTGCGAGGAAGCCTGAGCACCCTGTGGAATGATCCACATGGAGAGAAACTGGCCCCTTAACAGCCCCAGTTGAGCTCCCAGCCAATAACCAGCATCAACGTGCTATGTGAGTGAGCCATTTTCAAAGTGGATCCTCCAAGCCCTAGGCTGAAATATCCCCACTGGTGATGCATGGGACAGATGAGCTGTCCCTATTAAGTCCTGCCCAAATGGTAAATTTGGGAGTAAAAGAAAAGATTGTTGTTCTAAGCCACTAAGTTTGGGGGTGATTTGTTATACAGCAATAGGTGATCAAAACCAAGTAACTTACGTGAGACAGTCTGTAAGTACTGAAAGCTTCTGTGGAAAAGGAGCGGTAGCTTCTATTTCTTTTAGGACATTGGAGCATCTGGCAGCGTAGGCCTAAAATGTCATTCAATACATGCTTGCTGATTTATTAGTTCAAACTTATACTGACCTGATTTACAACAGTATACCAGTCATCCATATTTGGAAGCTCCGCATTTTAAAAGGGTTATCTAAAAATTATGCCACTTTCCTTTGGAGGAATGGCTATACTATATATTTTTAAGCCATATTTGTAAAATGTTTGGGGTGTAAATGAACACAGATAATGAATATTCATTTTAAAGGTACAATAGGCTTGTATGTAAATCACTACATAAAGCATTAGTATTTCAATGCATGTTCAATCACTTCTCAACAGTTGCTGTTTTTGTTTTTGGTTTTTGTTTTATTTATTCATTTATTTTTGAGACGGAATCTTGCTGTGTCTCCCAGGCTGGAGTGCAGTGGCACAATCTCAGCTCATTGCAACCTCTGCCTCTGGGGTTCAAGTGATTCTTCTGCTTCAGCCTCCCGAGTAGCAGGGACTACAGGCACGCACCACCACACCTGGCTAATTTTTATATTTTTAGTAGAGATGGGGTTTTACCATATTGGCCAGACTGGTCTCGAACTCCTGACCTCAGGTGATCCTCCCACCTCAGCATCCCAAACTGCTGGGGTTACAGGCATGAGCCACTGCACCTGGCCAACAGTTGCTGTTTTTATTGGAAAAAAACAGAAAGCACTGGAAAAATAATCACCAGTTTTGTCATTAAGGAATTTGCATCCACAGATATCAAAACTATTAGGTGAAGGAGAGGCCAGGAGAGGTGGCTCATGCCTATAATCCCAGCACTTTGGGAGGCCGAGGCAGGCGGATCACCTGAGGTCAGGAGTTCGAGACCAGCCTGGCCAACATGGCAAAACGCCGTCTCTATGAAAAATACAAAAATTAGCCGGGAATAGTGGCACACACCTGTAATCCCAGCTACTAGCGAGGCTGAGGCAGGAGAATTGCTTGAACCCGGGAGGTGGAGGTTGCAGTGAGCCAAGATCATGCCACTGCACTCCAGCCTGGGCAACAGAGCGAGACTCTGTCTCAAAAAAAAAAAAAAAAAAAAAAAAAGGAAACTGTTGGAGAATAGAATATCCATACACTCTCAAGGCGGCTCCCCCTGGATTATTTGAAGGGAAAAGGTAACTGTCCAATGGAGAAACCAGGCGAATAACTTTTTTTTTTTTTTAATATATTCATTTTGTTAAATGCATCTGGTCTGAACCATGGAAGATACAGAAACAGTTTCGAAGAGCATTTAACACTGGTTCTTTCAACTGTGGACTGAAAAAATATAAAGCATATGGAGACACTGAGTCTGACAGCTACTCAAACAAGTGGGCCAGAGCTGGTTTCAATGGTGCCAAAAGTACAGGTACTCTACCCCCTGCCAAATGATCCTACCAAAAAAGATGCCAGAAGCACACAGAGGAGATGGGTAACAGACACCTGGAAGGTACAAATTCTCCATGATATGACATTTTCAACATACTAGTGGAACCCATATATGTAGGCTCCATTCTGTCTTGAACAATTCCAAAATATTAAAGAAAAACATCAGGAAGTAGATAGATTACTTAGAGAAAACTTTGAGTTACTTTTAACCAAAGTTATTTCTACTATGCTTTATCACTGACTCAGTAGCTGCCCTCAAAAAAAGAAATATTTTATATATAATATGTATTTTACTAAAAGTATTTTTTACCCATTTCCAATGGGTTGATTGACCAATCTCACTAATCAGTAAGAGTGCTCAACATTTCCCATTTTGGGCCATTTCTATCACTCTCAAATTTTGGTGAATCTGCCCTAAGTTCCCAGCATCACAGCATTCGTGGATCTGAGTAGACATTCCGGAAAACACAGAGATGTTCCAATACTCTCTGTTCTTAATTTCATCTAATTAGTTTTAAAATTTATTCTCTACTCACAAAGAAGCATAAATAAAGGTTTCACTCTTATGTAAAGACCTGACAAAACATACAATGGTCCTCTGCTGATGTGGAAGCAAGGACAGTTTTCTACGATAGTCTGTTCTTTATAACCTATAACTGTTGTGGGAAAAAAAGAAAATCCATTTCTTATTGTAATTATTTTTCTTGTTTGAGGTTTCTTTTCCACACCCTGAATCTACAATGACCCAACCACAAGTTTGGGAACATTGCTTCTGAGGCCCATTCTCTGATGAGAAAGTTCAGTCCCACCTGGGGAAAGTACCTGAGTCCCAGCCTTTTCAGCCTAACATTACACCTAATATCTAAAGTAAGAAATCAGGCTAGGTGTGGTGGTACGCACCTGTAATCCCAGCCACTTGGGAGGCTGAGGCAGGAGAATCGCCTGAACCCAGGTGGCAGAGATTGCAGTGAGCAGAGATCGCACCAGTCACTCCAGCCTGGGCAACACAGTGAGATTCCACCTCAAAAATAAATAAATAAAATAAAATAAAATAAAATAAAATAAAATAAAACATCCAAGTATCCACCTTGGGTTGCAGGAAAATAGTTAATATTATGCATTTACAAAAAATGTAACTATATAATGTGAAACACCATAAAGTCAGATGGCACTGCACGAGGCATTTTTGCTTGTTTTTCTTAGGGAAAAGGAGTTCTACGGAAAATTCTCTCATCCTCCTCTCTCTGCCGCCGACTCCTCTATGTCCAAAGTTTTTTTTTTCTCCCCCCTGAGAGGGAGTCTCACTCTGTCGCCCGGGCTGGAGTGCAGTGGTGCAATCTTGGTTCACTGCAACCTCCGCCCCCTTGGCATTCAAGCGATTCTCCTGCCTCAGCCTCCCAAGTAGCTGGGATTGCAGGCACGCACCACCATACCCGGCTAATTTTGCATTTTTAGTAGAGACGGGGTTTCTCCATGTTGGTCAGGCTGGTCTCAAACTCCCGACCTCAGGTGATCCGCCCACCTCGGCCTCCCAAAGTGCTGGGATTATAGACGTGAGCCACCGCACCCGACCTAGGTTTTTGTTTAAAATTGGGCCTTTGTTCTTATTCAGTAAATCTATGTCACAGGATGAGCCAGGATTTAAATATATAATTTTTTAGTATCTTTCACGTCAAATTAGAAACACATATTTGGAATTTACTGCTGCAGTCTCTACTGTGCTTATCATGGTAGTGGCTGAAACTGGAAGACATTTTTTTTTAAACCCTGAAGTCATCCATACTTGCTACTTATTTAGTCTTCTTGCTTGGAATGAAAAGTATTCACGAATACCACCACCTAAGCACCTGTTTAAAATGAAACTCAGCCTTCAGCTTGCAAAATGATGTCTTTATAATTAAGCAAACAGCAGAAGACCCATGCAAGTTGTTTCTTTCTTCCTGGAGAAGTTGGCAGGATAACTGGAATCCTAGGAGCTCCTCTGTATTGAATTTGCCAAGTCCTGAGTTCAGAATTTTGTTTTTGAGATGAATATAAAAGCACCTAATGGTCAAGGAAAATTTTCTTCCTGTGATAAGGAACCTTTGCTTTAGTGTAGATGACCACTCCCCTCTGCAAGGTAGGGAGGAAGAATGTTCGGTTAGTTCCTTTCCTCTGGCCGATCTCTTTTTTTCTTCTCTTCGCACAGTCCAACAGATGCGCTCGGCCTCCCGGGAGCTAGCCCGCCCCCGGCCCAGAGGCCAATTTACAGCCGCACGCCTCACTCCACCATCCTCGCAGCTTCTCCGCGGATAACTTCTTAACCAAGTGGCCGAACTTAGTACCACCAATGCTGGAACAAAGTGACATCATGTGCCTTGCATTGTGATGCAACTAAGAATACAACATCTCTTGTGAAGTTGTTTTATCAAAAAATGTTTAACCTAAATCTAACGAGAAAACAGACAAATCCAACTTACAGACATTCTGAAAAGCGACGAGCTTGGACTCTTCAAAAATGTCCATGTCATGAAAGACAAAAAGCCAGGGAACGCTTCTAGATTAAATATTAATCAAAGGAGTTAACTAAACTTGAATTTTGATTGAATCCTGACTTCCCCCTCCAACAAGAAGGAAAAAAAAATACAGCCGTAAAGCTATAAAATTTAAATATGCTCTGCATATTACAGTGTGGATTATTGCATTGTGGTTAAGTAGGGGTCCATCCTTGTTTTTAAGAGACAGATGCTAAAATGTTAAGGTGAAATGTCACTATGTCTGCAAGTAACACTCAGGCAAATTGTGTTAAGGGCTAAAATTCTGAACCCGGTTGAGGAATTTTGTATCAACATCTAGTCAACACTGTCCAGGGACTAGGCAGAACAAGCAGTTTCCCTTTGCATGGCTGAGAAGCAGGCAGCCTGACCCTCTCCTCTCCGGGTGGCACGAGTAACCCTCAGCACTTAAAAGCAGCTGCAGGCCTGTGGGGAACGCAGGCTGAGGCTGTGGTTCCACTTCTGCCAGAGGACACACACATGCACGCATGCTGTATGCACTTTATGGCAGTCCACGGAAAGCGCAAAAGTGCAAGGGTGAGGCTGCGCCCCTCCCCTAACCCCCACAGGAACATACGACAGCAGCACGTGCTGTCTGGAGCACTTTACAGCAGTCACGTCTGCACAAGGGCAAACCCACGCCCTTTCACCCCCACAGAACAGCGGCAGCTGCTGTCTGGAGCATTTTACGGCAGTCAGGCAAAGGTGCAAGGATGAGGCCAGGCCCCTTCACTCTCTCAGAACCGCTGCACGTGCTTGTGGAGCACTTCACAGCAGTCATGCAGAGGCGCAAGGGCGAAGCTACGCCCTTTCATTCCCGCAGAACATTGGCATGTAGTCTGGAGCACTTTACAGCGGTTACATGAGGCGCGAGGGCAAAGCCACGGCCTCGCACGCCCGCAGAACAGGAGCACGTGCTGTCTGCAGCACTTTAACGGCATTCAGGCAAAGGCCCGCGGGTGAGACCACTGCCTTTCGCCCCAATAGCACAGCGGCACGTGCCGTCTGGAGCACTTTACGGTAGTCAACGCGAAGGCGCCAGGGTGAAACCACGCCCTTTCATTCCGACAGAACAGCGGCACGTGCTGTCGGCGCACTTTGTGGCAGCCACGCGAAGGCTCGAGGTCGCGAGCGTGTGCCCAGTCAGGGTCGGCTGCGGGTACTCGGCTTTGCGCTCTATTTCGTTGTGGTCTGGCTGTTGATCCGTAGGCACGCCTACGGCTATTCCATCATGGCGAGGATGGCGGTACTGTGGCGGAAGATGAGAGATAACTTCCAGAGCAAGGAGTTCCGGGAATACGTGAGCAGCACTCACTTCTGGGGTCCCGCGTTCAGCTGGGGCCTTCCGCTGGCTGCCTTTAAAGACATGAAGGCGTCGCCGGAGATCATCAGTGGCCGCATGACAACAGCGCTCATCTTGTACTCGGCGATCTTCATGCGCTTCGCCTACCGCGTACAGCCTCGAAACCTGCTGCTGATGGCGTGCCACTGTACCAACGTGATGGCGCAGAGTGTGCAGGCCAGTCGCTACCTACTCTACTACTACGGCGGCGGCGGCGCCGAGGCTAAAGCCCGCGACCCTCCGGCTACCGCCGCCGCTGCCACCAGCCCGGGTTCCCAGCCCCCGAAACAAGCTTCTTAAGAACTGAGAGGGCCTGATCTCATCTCTGCAGGTCACAAGCACTGAACTGCCATTCCTCCTGAAAAAAGACCAATGAAGACCTCGGTTTTGACTCTAAAACAGTGCGAATCTGACTTAAACCTGCAGTTTGATTAATAAAGAAATACAAAGTAACATTGAACCGAAGTTGAGTGTTGCCTTTTTTGTAAACTGAAAATGTTTTTTAGAAGGGGAGGGTGGATTAGCTGGTCTTTCTCTTCACAGGACCTGCAACTCAAGATAGTTTATATGGGGGAGGAAGACTTTGAATGAAAAGCACTTCACAGTATTCACTAACTCGTAGCTTTTTTGTTTTTTTTTTAAAGCTCTCTTGGGAACGTATTTCTGTTACTTGTTTTGGATGTCCAGAGCGAACAGGGTTGCTTAGTATCACACATGACTCACAGCTTGGTGCAGTCACAAATCTGTATATCAAAAAAAGTCTGGGGGCTCTTTCTACTGAGGGAAATGTTTCGAAGTGGGTTTTAAATGAATGTCGTGAGGTACAGTGCAGCCTCAAGAGAACCTAGGATCTCTTGGCGACGGAGAGCAATTATAGAATCTGCCATGGAGACAGGATAAACAATTCTGAGGACAATTGCCATCAACCCTGGATTCTAGGTAAATAGGTAAAACGACAAAATCGTTCTTTCCTCCTTTAGTTATCCTTAAAAACGGGGGAAATGGCAGTTTGCAAAACTGGTTACCTATCAACTCTGTTGAATGCTAGCTAGAGCTGGGGGTGAGGGGTCAGTGGTCAACAGCGGCAGCTCAGAGTATTCCCCTAGGAATCTTGGGGGTTCCTACGGATTCTTAAACCACAGAGCCGAGAAAAGGGAAACGAGAAGGGTGGGGTGGTGGGGCAGTAGGCTAAGGCCATTACCTACATAGCAGAGGCTGCCCTCTACGATTTGACCCAAAAATTTCCCCTGTCCCTGCCTCTGAAGGATGCGGAAAGTTCCAGAGTGTTTACTGGTGAACCCCAAAGTAGGTGTTTAGAAGTGTTTGAACCCTGCTTTAGATAGAGGTTTCAAATGCAAAGAAATTTAAAAGCACTATCAAAGATTCTGAAGACGTTAGTTCTTGGACAAAACAGGCACATTAGTGGAATTCTAGAAGATTCCCCTTTATCTTCTCTGGCATTAAAGCAGAAGTCCTCTTTGTGGGCAGTCTGTGTCACAGTTTCACGAAATTCTGCATGTGGGGACGGGGTTAGCGGGGGAGTGGGGGGTAAGGGGGTGGGAAACGAACTATGGGGGTAGTGTATTATCTATGGCCGTGTAATCACCCCAACACTTAGTTTAAAACAGTTATCTGACGTAATTTCTGAAGGTCAGGAATCTGGAAGTGATTTAGTGGGGGACTTCTGGCTCAGGGACTCTCAGCTGTCAGCTGGGGCTGCAGTCTCTGAAGATTTGACTGGAGCTGGAAGATCCGCTTCCAAGCTCATAGTTGTTTGTAGGAGGCTTCAGTTCCTTGTCATCTGGGCCTCTCCATATGGCTGCTTGTGACGTGGCTTCCCCCAGAGTGGTGTTCCAAGAGATAGCCCAAGATGGAAGTTCTAGCCTTTTACAGCTTCATCTTGGAAGTCACATACCATCACTTCTGCTGTGTTCACACAAAACAACTCTGGTACACTGTGGGAGGACAATATGAGGATGGGAAGCAGGCGTTGTTAGGGGCCATCCTGGATGCTGGCTACCACACGTGGTGCTAAAATAAGAATTCTCACGCCTTTCTAGTAGTCAGTAGGAAAGTAAAGCATGTAAATTTGTTGCTTACCTTCCCAAAGAGAGGTCACAAAATGCTCAGTTTACAGTTTTGTGGTCATTGCTAACATGCATATATCATAGAGCATGGGTTTGAGAAGCAGAAATCTCTGGAAGATAACAGTGGGTCTTAATGTTTTAGATAATTCAGACTACAATGCAGTATTAAAAACCAGTGCTTAAAGTTATGAAATGAGTAACTTTATATCCACTTCACTAATGATTTCATGAGTAGAAATTAATATATTTTTAGGTTGTCTTACAATATGCATTTTGTAATTTGAGTCTATTTCAATAAAAGGCCATTGTCTGTTGAAGACATTTCAGAGCCGGTAGGTTTCTAATTAACCTGGTGAGGGAAAAGGAGGTAATCTCTGCTGCTAATTTCCTATTACTCTATACTTACAATTTAGAGGTCAAAACGATTCGAGGAAATATCCAAAAGATTGCAACACCTCCACAATAATGCAATGCTCCACTTACAGCATCTAATTCATAATATGCCCACCCAACTAAGTTAGCTGGGTTCACTTAGACCCTTTGTTGTCTAGGATATTAGTGTTTAAAGCCAAGTAAGTAATTCATACTTTAATAAAAATGAACTTTTTAAATCATTAGGGTAACAATCATTTCATAATCTTCCCAAACTCTCAAACGTAATCCTAACCTTGGCAATTTAAACTGTCTACAGATCTCCACAACTTTATAAAACCAGTAACATTTTCTGAATTGGCAGAGCTAGTTTTCCAGTTTTTGTCACCAACACACTTTAGTCATTTCCCAGAATCAGGTGTTTTACTCTGAGTTGAATATGTAATGTCTTCCTCCTTAGGTACTCTGAGCTCCCTGGTGAAGAATAGGCTAAATCCAAAGAACTGCTTTATCTTTGCAACTATAATGCTAATACCATTTTTTTCCTCTAATTCTTTCAAAACTATGAGCCACATATTGTGTCCCAGGGAGAGGCTGAGAACAAATCATATTGCTGGACGAAGACAAGCCTCTTCACGATGAAACAGACAGCCCTATGTAGAAAGTGATCCACTTGCTGGGCTTCTTCCCACGACCCTGACAATTTGCAGGTGACCCTGGAGGTGGAGCTACAAAATGGAGGAATGGAGGCTACAACATAGTCCAGGAAATGCGACACAGCCAGCTTGCAGTTTGAATTTATATTTTATTATTTTGAAATACAAAAATTTAAAAACATTTCAAAATACACCAGTACATGTTTGTTGTAAAAATTTCACCTAGGAGGATATAAAATAGAAAAGCCGAATATTCCTTCTAACTCTCCCCTCTACCTCAATTCCCTTCAGAGGTAAC
Source organism: Homo sapiens (assembly GCF_000001405.40). Classification (NCBI taxonomy): domain Eukaryota; kingdom Metazoa; phylum Chordata; class Mammalia; order Primates; family Hominidae; genus Homo; species Homo sapiens. The sequence goes on from NC_000023.11 coordinate 40,627,090, forward strand.
ACAGCAAAAAAAAACTGGGGAAAAGCAAACAACTTTCCAGACCTCTACTATTCTAAAACACAAAGAGCATTACAGCTTGCTATGCATTTTTTTTTTTGGGGGGGGGGGGTTGTTTTTTAGAGACGGAGTCTCCCTCTGTCACCCAGGCTGGAATGCAGTGGTGTGATCTCGGCTCACTGCAACCTCCACCTCCCCAGTTCAAGCGATTCTCCTGCCTCAGCCTGCCGAGTAGCTGGGATTACAGGCACGCGCCACCACGCCCAGCTAATTTTTGTAGTTTTAGTAGAGACAGCGTTTCGCCACATTGGCCAGGTTGGTCTCAAACTCCTGACCTCAGGTGATCCGCCCTACTCAGCCTCCCAAAGTGCTGGGATTACAGGCGCGAGTCACTGCGCCCAGCTGCTATACATTGTTAAACCTTTTGCTTTCTAGTTAATATGTCTTAGAGATCACTGCATGACCACAGTGCAGCATCGCTTCATTCTTTCCAACAGTTGCATAAGATCCTGTAGTATGGATGTGCTACACTTTAACAGTGCTGCTGTACACATCCTGTTGTGCACACCCTTGTGCCCAGGTGCACAGTTCTGTTAAATAGAAAGATATGAACAGGTTGATGCCTCTATATATGATGCTACATTGCCTTAAAGCCCTCTCTAGGGCTTTAAAAAGTTTTCGGAACCGTATCTTTAACAGAGCGGACAAATCCAGTAAGATGACAGTTCGTATACCATCATCCATACCTTACACATCCTTGTATTTATATCTACTTCAGTGGCTGGCACATGGTGGACCCTTGATAAAAGCTTCTTGGATAGATAGGCAGAAACTAACTAGACACAGGTATAAAATGGAAGCGTTCATAACCCAAAGTTCCTAAAATTAGAAGTCAGATCTTAAATTGGTTAGTGAATCAAGATTCCATTTGATCCCAAGTTTTGTACCTCACATCTAGAAGCTCTGAAATATTTCACTAAGTTTCCTCGTTTGGAAGAGTTGTGAGATGAATGAAATTTCTTTCTTTACTGTTGAAGTTTTCTCAAGGAATTTCATGAAATAAAGGGAGAAAGAAAATGTAAGACTAAAGACTAAATACTACCTGGACAGATTAAAGGAGGAAGTTACAGGCACATTTGCACTCATCTGGGCTTTACAAAGTGATATTAAGTGCATTTTAATGTAAAAATATACACCAAATAAACCCCTGCCCTCCACCCATTCTACAGATGACATCCTTGGTGGGCGGCTGGATAGGCACACATCTTCACTGGGCTTGGAATGGAGCCTTTCCTGCAGGCAGTGAGGAACATGGCAATTCTGTTCCTGAAGGTCCACAGGCAACTTGACCCAGTTAAGTACCACTGGCCTTGGAAACAAGTAGATGCGGGGAAAGGCGAAAGTGAGGCCGACTCCACGGACCACTGCCTATGATGGGGCAGTCATTGCGCAGTTTGGGAAACCAGCAGGAGGAACTCAGGAGTGGATGACTTTAGGGGTAAAAGGTATAGAAGAAGCATGAACGAATGTGTGAATTTGTTGAAAGAAAATGATGTCTTTGAATTTCCACAAGAATGTTGCAATTTCATTTTTAAATTTCGTAACAAAGGACCAGGCTTAGCTAATAGTATAACTAACATTTAGGCCTGTGAATACTCCCAAGCTATGAGGGGACCCTTCAGTCAAATATTCACTGAGCATGTGAGGGCCAGGCCCTGGGAGCTTACTTTTCAAAAGTGTACCATAAACCAGCTGCCAAGCGAGAAGCTCCCCTGCTCCTGCCTGACATCCCCGCTTGTAATGCTGGCCTGGGTCCTGCCTGTCCACTGGTCACTCGAGTCACCATTCTCCAGCTCCCCACAGACCAGCCTGGGCCCACCTCCTTGCCCTACTGCCTTAGGCTACTCCAACCTAGTAGTAACAGTTTTTGGGGTTTTTTTTTTTTTGAGACAGGGTCTTGTTCTGCTACCCAGGCTGGAGTGCAGTGGCATGATCATAGCTCACCACAGCCTTGACCACCTGGGCTCAAGGGATCCTCCCACCTCAGCCACCTGAGTAGCTGAGAATAAAGGTGTGTGCCACCATGCCCAGGTAATTTTTAAATTTTTTTGTAGAGATGGGGTCTCGCCATCTTGCCCAGGTTGGTCTCAAACTCCTGGGCTCAAGTGATCCGCCCACAGTGCTGGGATTACAGGCGTGAACCACTGCACCCAGAGGCAGTAACATTTCTGTACTAATTGGAAATGACTAGAAAATCACCTTTCAGGCAATGTTTCTTCTTGCTTTCCTCTAAAAAGGAAATATTTCTTTCCTATCCCAACATTTATATCCCAGCCCAGCCTTGGGGATCCTGGGTGAATAGGAATAGGACTTGCCTGCCAGTGGGTGGAGCACTCCAGGTGAGCCTCTGGCACAGGCCTGGCCAAACACAGCCTTTACTAAGTTAAGCAGCTACAGTTTAGTACCAGAAAAGAAATTCACCTTTTAAATAGCAGAAAATCCCTGGGTGGTAGCAAGTTTTGTTGTTGTTTTTTGTTTTTTTGGGAGACAGAATCTCGCTCTATTGCCCAGGCTGGAGTACAGTGGCATGGTCTCAGCTCACTGCAACCTCTGCCTCCCAGGTTCAAGCGATTCTCCTGCCTCAGCCTCCCGAGTAGCTGGGATTACAGGCACATGCCACCACGCCCGGCTAATATTTGTATTTTTTTTTAAGTAGAGATGGGGTTTCGCCATGTTGGCCAGGCTGGTCTCGAACTCCTGACCTCAGGTGATCCGCCCGCCTTGGCCTCCCAAAGTGCTGGGGATTACAGGTGTGAGCCATCACACCTGGCCTGGTAGCAAGTTTTGGCATAGAGTATCTAATATTTTTTATTGCAATAGATTATACAACCCCAAGTTTATAAATATTAAAATAGTTCCAAAGAGTTAGAGGAAAGTCCAGGACAAAACAACAAAAATTCCTTTTTGTTTGGGTACAATACTCTGGTAACTTTTTCCTTTTGCACAGAAAAGGATGTCTGAGATGGAAGCCATGCTGACTTTCACAGAACATGCCTGATTTTTGTTGACGGGCAACCTAAAATGAAAGAGAATGTTTTATTTATTTTTTTTATTTGAGGGGGGAAAAAGTAAAATGCTGAAGACAGTTACTCATTTTAAGAAGTTCTCCTTATGGAAATTGACTAGTCAATTGCTATTAATGCCATGGTAAGAGCTAGGCATCAATGGTGTCATTTTAAGGCAGAAATGCTTTTTGATTATGTTATAAAGCTGATTCATTTAATTCTAGACCAATGACTTCAGGTGTATTTGGCTAAACAGGGAGTTGATGCTGAATTACTTCACAGACGTAAGAATCATTAAGTGAAGAACACAAACCTCAGTGTCCTTTCTTTGAAACAATAAGGACAAAGGCAAACTTCAGATTAGATTGTTGTGTGTTCATGATGGCCTCACATGAGAGAATAGACATGAAAGAGATGAGGTGATTCTGTCCTTCTTTAACACCATCATCTGCCTGAACTCACCTCAGGCCTTCCTGTCAGGTGTTTGTCTCCCAGGTTCCTGTGAATCCAGTTTTTGATGTAGACAGAGGCTGTCTAGCTTCTGCATATCTTCTGTAAGGCCATTTCTAAGATCCTCATTGTTTCTCAGAAATTCCTTCACCACTTCCAGTCGATTTGAGAGCTGCAAGAGGAAACCATGCAATGTACAGCTTAGACGATTTTATAGCAGATTTGTAATTCAAATGAAAAACCTACTAGCTTCTAGACTGGCTCCTACTCACGTGCCCAAGAGACAGAAATCTTGGCTACAGGCATCTGTCCACAGACAGGTTAAAGTTTGAAAAACAAAACAAATCCTTTAAAACAAAGCATCCTCCACTCAAAAAATAAAAAAGTGACCCAGGATAACTGGTTCTGGGGGTACACAAGGGAATATTTGCTTGTCTCCTTCCATTTTTTTGCTTTAAAACTTCCTGCCTTTACATGAAAGGGCTTCATTTTATACATACACACCCGTGTGTGTGTACAAATAAATAAAATGCCCTTTTCTTTTGAATTCTGTACCTGAATTATTATATAGATGGATATATACATATGTTCATATATACGTGTGTACATATATATATACATGTGTATATATATGTGTGTATGTATATATATATACACACACACACACACACACACACACACACACACACGTGTATGTGTGTGTGTGTATATTTTTTGTTTTTTTGAGACAGTGTCTTGCTCTGTCACCCAGGCTGGAGTGCAATGGTGTGATCTCGGCTCACTGCAACTTCCGCCTCCTGGGTTCAAGCGATTCTCATGCCTCAGCCTCCTGAGTAACTGGGATTACAGGCACATGCCACCACGCCCGGCTAATTTTTGTTTTTAGTAGAGACGGGGTTTTGCCATGTTGGCCAGGCTGGTCTCAAACCCCTGACCTCAGGTGATTCGCCCGCCTCGGCCTCCCAAAGTGCTGGGATTACAGGTGTGAGCCACTGTGCCCAGCGATGAATGCTTTTAAATGGGGAACCCTCAACTGCAAGTTAAGTCAGGGTTATATAAATCTAATGAAGAAAAATAACGGAGCACCCTGCCCTAAGAGAGCAGTAGTTCTTAAACTGCAGAGCGTACATCACTGATTCCCATGCAGTAGGTCTGGGGTGGAACCCCAGCAAATACTCACGTTATCGTGAAGTAAGCAAATGAAAGAGCCAGATGCCAGATCATGGCTGCTGGGGATGGGAGGGAGGTGGACAGCTGTGGCCAGGACGCACGGGGAGCGGGGAGGGACAGGGAGGAGCTGCAGATGATCAAAGGGTTTCAGATTGGTCAGTAAGTAGACCGGGAATGTGCCCTTCAGGAGCTGGTTAATACACAGCTGGAAACTAGCCTAGAGCTCCTGCAAGATGCTTGGGCTTTAAATAATAAATCTGGAAACCAGAGACATGTGAAATGAAGATCACATGGATGACACTGTTCACAGCAAGCGTTAGGAACTGTGGGCACTGCATCGTTAGCTCTCAGTGACCGTGCCCGGTGCCCTAGACACACCTCAGGGTCTTCCTGAGGCTCTAATCAGATGTCCGTGATGGCACCAGCAGGGCCTGGGCACCACACGCATGATCACAGATGGACTTTTGCCCTCAGTGGGGTGCCCCTCCACTTGAGCGGAGACTTTCTCACATGATAACCCAGGAACGGTGGTCCTTGTGCTGCTACCTCCTGACCCCCCCTGCAGACTCTCAGGACTGATGTGCTCTGTTCCACTTAGTTTCTTTTCTTTTGCTCATGGTTTCAGTTCTCTTTTCCACCCCAAATTGCCTTTCTTTCCCATTATCTTCAACAGGAGTGTCCCATAGCTGACATTTCTTGAAACTTGTTTTCTCCTTTGTGAAATGCAACAAATGCATTTACTCTTGAAATGTGCTTAAGAGGTGTTCTGGCTGGGGTGATTATTTTAGCTTGGGGTTGGGAGGACGAATCAAAAGGAGGCTTTAAAAAAAAAAGTATTAAGAACAGGGAAGGTTTTGCATGTTTATAGGTAAAGGGGGAAGAGAAAGTAGAGATGGAAAAACTGAAAGTACTAGAAAAATTTGGAATGTAGAAAATTCAGACTTGGACACTGAAGCCCAGCTTTGTCACTTAACTAGCTGTGTGACTTTGGCCAAGACATCTGACCTCTCTGAGCTTACTTTTAGGTATACAAATTAAGGATGATGATAACAACACCACCTAGGATTCTTATGAGGATCAGAAATAAGCTACTAAAAGCACTTAGCAGCATCTCTGGTCCATTCCCTCCTTTTTAACTACATTCATTCAATAAATGTCCAATTTACTGACAGTCTACTACATGCTGGTCTACTGTTGGAGGTAAAAGACGCTCGGCAACTTCACTCTTCCAGTCACCTAAGCCAAAACTCTTGGCCTTGCTTTGATCTCTTTCTTTCTCTCACATGCCACATCTGCCCACCTTCACATCACCTCTACACTTCTACCTTCAGCCTGGCTACCACCATCTTTTACCTGGTCCACTGCAGTAGCCTCCTACCAGTCTACCTGCTTCTATCTCGGCCCCTCCCCTCCAGTACCCCGTAGTACCCTCACCACTTTAGCCAGTGGCTCCTTTTGTCATCCCAATGGCTCACAAGGCCCAGTAGGAACTGCTTCCTCTCCCTCCATTTCTCTGACCTCTTCACCCACTATTCTTTCAAGTCCTCTTCCCCTAGATACACGCATGGCTAATCCTCACCTCCTTCAAGGTACTGTTAAGTCTCACCTTCTCAAAGAGGCCACCCTAACTACCCTACTGCAACCTGACATTCGTCCCCACTCTGCCAATCCTGATCGCCCTCCCTCTGCTCTACACTGGATTTCTCCTTCTACTGCCCCACATCATTACCTTATTATGTTTACTGTTTAGTATCTGTCTCCCAGATACTAAACAGTATCTGTCTGTTTCATTCACTGATGCATACCAAGCTTCTAGAACTGTGCCTGGCACACAGTAGGTGCTCAATAAAAATTTCTAGAATATAACGAATGAAGTGCCATTTTCTATCCTTTCCCCAATGGCCTTGAGTACACACTGTCATCGTCCCTTGTCCCTAAGCTTCCCCACAGGTCTCTGTGAAGGTGGCTCCCTCACCAGGATTTAAGAAATCAGTCATGATTTTAAAGTCTGTGAAAATTATTTTCAAGTTTTTTAGCCACTAACTGTGCTCAATGTTCTTTAGTTGGATTTTTTTTTAACTCCCAGATCCTAACAGAGCAATGAGGGCTGGCAGGACTATGTGAAGGGCACTTAGGTGGCAGCCGAATTCTGGGGCAGATGAGCCCATGGCCGACACAAACTCCACATGTGTTACAAGGGGGCCAAGCAGCTGCTACTCCCATTTGGCTCCAAAGCAGAAAAAAAAATCTCACAGTCACAGCAATACATGCACAGTGTATTTTAATGTGAGCCCACTTTTTCTAATGTGCTATACCTTTAAGGGTCACCAAACGAATAGAAAATTGTGGAGATGGTGAGCTCTCTGTGGCACTCCATGATGTGTTTGCAGGAGCTGTCACACTGAATTACCACCATCAATCATTTTTCTCAACTTAGCTTTCTAACCCTACCCCTACATTTTTTGGCTGGTTGGTCTGTTTAAGAGATGGGGTCTCCCTACATTGCCCAGGCTGGTCCCAAACTCCTGGGCTCAAGTGATCCTCTCACCTTGGCCTCTGAAAGTGCCGGGATTACAGGCAAGAGCCACTGCACCTCGCCTTCACCCCTACTGTTTTAACAAAAACAAGAAACAGGTCTTGATAACATTTATAACAAAAGTCCTGGGGTCATAATATAATCACTGTATTTCCTGATCCCGGGATGCACACTTTTTCCTATTGTAACGTCTCAAATGAGAATGCATCTTACCATTGATAGTGTCTTGTAATAAACTGGCAGCATTATTTTTTCTTTCTTAGAAGTAACTGAAATAATGGTATGTTTTACAATTGACAGCATTTTACATTCATTGAAATCTGGTCCTAACAAATCCTCTGACTTTGGCAACTAACCCTAAAGAAGATGGAAAATCATATAGGGTACTGAACTTTCTGAAGACGTCAAATTTCATATATGTGGAAACCTGACCTCCAACTTTTTTGAGGTAACATGCCAATCAATCCTCACATTTTGACCAACTGAAATATTATGAGAAATGCCATGGTCTGCTGAAGAGAAAGCATGAAAAATGAGAATTTATCAACTCCACCTAGAGACTCCACCCAGAAGACAAGCCAATTAATCCCTATTTCCTTTCTGTAAAACAGATAATGGGGGTTCAAAACGTACAGCTGCCAGCTCCTCATTATATAAGATCTGCAGCACAGCAGGCGGGAAGCCACAGGATCAGAAGGGGGAGACCTGCGGGCCAGCCCTCAGACCCAGTGCAAGCTCCTTGGGGCCCTTGCCTCACATGCAAAGCAGGGGATATAAGATGACTGCCAGGTTCCCTTCCAGCTCTCAACTGACACAAAATCCTGGCTCTAGCTTCTGAAAACAGCAGCAGAAAGAAAACTGGGGCTCTAATGGCATTATAAAATAAAGACAGAGGAACTCAAACACATGGATTTAGAAAAGAGAAGATAAACATTCTAATACATCATTTTAAATACCTATGGTGTACCATGGTGGGCACACCCAAAAAACCAGGGGTACCAAGCCCTTGTGCTAAAGGGGCTCACCATGCTGAATAAAGCACCTGGATCAAAGCTGGAATGGTTAATACAGGCATAGTTATCTGCAAGGAGCACAGCTCCGTGAATTTGCATTTAATAAACTCTCCCTATGTTTAATGAGGTAACCAGCAAAACTACTTTCCTTGGACAAGGAGGAATGGAGAGGTGAAATGATTTTTCCAATATCTCCTGGTGATCTAGAAGTCTAATCCAGCCAGTGCTGAAATATTTCTGAACCTTACTGGAATATAATTCTACTACTGTTAATTTCTTTTATACCTTGCATGTGACAAAGGAGATTTGTTTCTCCTGTACTTGGGAGTTTAGACCATCATTAGTCTGCAGGTCCTAAACTAGAAACATTGATAATCCTTTAAACATTCCTCTCCCCACCTTCTCCACCCTTTTCCAGCCCCATGCCATGCTCCAAGTAATCTCCCTGGCCACCAATATCCATCGGTTCTGCTCAGGCACTGCCTCCAGAATCCAGTTCCTCCACAGCCCCTAGTTTCTGTTCTCTCTCACCTTCACACGACTGCAAGAGCCTTCTGGGTAATTGCTAGCCACTCATCCAACCTCCAACTACCACAAGAGTTAACTTTCTAAAAGCTATATCTGATCCTATCTCCCTTTCTTGACTGCTTTTTGGGAATGAAGCCCAAACCCCGTGGCATGGCCTAGAAAACCTTTTGGCATGTGGCTCCAGCCCACTTTACCATCCACAAACCTGGCCATAGCTCGTGTGCTCACCTGTTCTTGCCCAGGCTCAGACTATCCTTTCCTGCTTTTGCAAGTACTGTGCCCTCTGCCAAGAAGAATCTTTTTCTCTTGCCAATTTGTCAGACTCTTATTTGATTCTGTGAGCCACAGCTCAACAGCATCTTCTTGGCAAAATCTTTTTTGGCAATCCACCTGACCAGCAGAGAATGTCTAGAGCATTTTTTTCAGAATTCTATTGTAGCCTTTATCACATTTTTCCACTTTGTGGCACAGATTAGGCATTCAAATGTTTGCTGATGTGAAAGTGAAAATATTTGTTAAGAGGTAATATTACTCTGTGCCAAAAGCATATTCACACTTCTGGAAATTATTTAACTTATAAATCAAAAACACAATTAATTATTTGTTAAGATGAGCTACTCTTCCTCCCCAGAATCTTTCTTTGTGTTGTTAACTCACACAGAGCCTATAACACTTTTCTTTTACCTCTTCAGGCAACACCTCTTGTTCTTCTGCTTGAAGATATATCTCTTGAAGTTTCTCCTTTAGTAACTGCATTTCTATTTCATTGACTTGGCTCTCACTCAGGTAAGTTCCCATTTCACATTCACACCCATCTCGCTGATCTTCCTCGGGGATGTGAACAGCCCAGTCAGACGTCAACAGCTGAGGGATTGCCACACAAATATATGAACTGATTTCATGAAGAAGGCATTCCACTGAATTACTCAAATAATTTATAATTAAACACAATGAACTGGATCCATATTAATAGTGCACTGTGACCACAGAAAAGCTTCTCAGCCCAGCATAATTACAGATTTCATATTGGCATTCTTTCCCCTGCTTACATTCTAACACTTAGGTTAAATCTAATAAACTTCAAATTCTAAATGTGTGGCTGTTGTTGTTTTCTCTCTCTTCATTCTGTATGCCAGAACTATTAAACATGATTTTTACCTGTTCTATTCTGGAGTATACTGCCACAATCTCTGGGATGTTCTTGAATTCATTCAGAAAATTTTGGATCTTCATCTGAAAATCTCGAAGCCACGTAGAAGATACTTTCATCTCTGAAGAGTGCATGATCTCATTACGACATTTAATTACCTGCAGAAAGACAAAAAGATAAAAGGCTTCAAAATCAAACAATGGGGTAAACTGAGATCTTTCACTCCAAAGAAAAAATCATAGAGAGGCTTTGTTAATTATAAAATCAACAAGAGCAGTCTTCAGATGAGAAGGACTGGAACTTTCTTGGGATCATGGGCATAATCTGGCATGTACCTGTATCAGAGTGGAGGACACTTCAGCCCTCCAGCCCCGCAAGTTGGATCCACATTTAGTTTCATCCTGTCTAGAGGGCAGACACCAAGAAGTGAAGGTCTCCTTTTGCCTTCAAAGGTCAGGCAGGTAGCCTGAGGGAAGCTGGCCATGTGTAATGGTAAGGAGTCATCTCCCTACTAAAAGACTGGTTCAGGGCAAACTGGGGAGCAGAGGCCCTATCTCAAGGGGCAGCCTCTACTTAACACGTGGCTTGTTGCCATGGGAGTTACATGAGCCCTGTGTTCCCAGATCTTCTGATTTTTCATGAGAAACTGGAAATTTAGATTTTTATGACAACTAATTTGAAATTTTAAAAAATCATGCAGGACAAATAAGACATGACAATAAGCCAGATTATGGCCACAGGATTCTAGGAATAAAAAGATGGCTCCTGGGCAACAATTCGGCCTTTTCTCCCTCCTTGAGTCTCTGGAGCAGATTTCCAAGCAATCCAGAAATTCCTAACATAACCTGTAGGTACCTGTCAGTGCCGTTGAGGCTTGAGGGGGTGTTCAATCCCCAGCCACATGAATAATACATTAGTCAGGGTAAGAAATACAAATAAGCCTACAACTATTCTTAGCCCTTGAAGTCTTGTGGCCAGCTGGGTATTCCACATTCCCCCAAAATCCCTTAACTTAAAACAACCTGCCAAAGAGCAAGCGCATCAGCTCTTGGTATACCCAAAGGATGAAGCAGACAATACAAAAGTCTTTTAAATACTGTTGGAGCACCAGGAAGCTGGGTCCAGGGAGTTTCCTGATGTGGAAACCATGATGAAAAGAAAATAAACTTTGGCCTCTATCTTTAGAAAAATGGTCGTCTAATCATGTATTAATATATAATTCATATAGAGTCTTCCACAGTTTGGTTAAAAGATATCAAAGGGGTCAACTACTATGACAGTTCTTTGTTTCTGCCGATATCATAAAGGAGTCTCAATCCTGGTAGTTGCTGGTATGCAGACAAAAGATACATGCATTTTCTCTACCTATTATAACCAGTCCAGGTATAGCTATATACTCTTTCCAATGACCTTCAGGGTAATAAATGTATGAGTTGTTCTCTGGTGAACTAGAGAAAAATCTAAATTTCCCAGAGGAAATCTAACAAGCACAGTGATCTATTCTGACACTGTTATCCATCAGTGTTCACATTTTCTTCAGTTCCATACCATTTGGCCTTGCAGCTGCTTAGCCAATGAGATTCAGAAGGGTAGGATTCAAATGCTGGCATACAACAGGCAGAATGATGCAATGTTCTGTATTTTTTTTAATAAGGAAAATTACTTTGGTTCTGTTTATGGCAGAACAGGGAAGAGACTTTTAGGTTCATCTACTTCAGTGGCAAACGGCACAATGAGTTGTTAGGAAACTAATTCAGGAGAACTACTCTTGATTGCATTTGCACTGGGGTTCTTGGACATCACAGAAGACATGATATGAGCCACACTAGTTTGCTTAGCGATGCCAACTTCGAACCCAAGTCTAACTTTCTTTGTACACCACTGTTCCGGGGAGCTACTACGTGCTATACCTGCATGGTTGGCTTAGCATCACAGGTGTAGCTCATGACTGGCTCTCACAGCACAGACCCAACTGACTCAGGGTATGCTTTTGAATCTGACAGCTCTTACCTCTGTGACTTTCTTTCGATCAACCACGAAGTGATCGCAGGAGTTGATGAGACTTAAAAGAGCAACTGCATCACATTCCTCAGGTCCTTGTTTGTCTGCTAGTCCTCGGGGCATGAAGGCCTATAGCAAGGGAGGGAGGAGGGGGACCTGAGTCTCTTCCAACTCTAGGAGATGGAAAGGCAATGGTTACTTGTCTATTTTCCAAATGATGACTGAAGTTCTCTTATGCACTGAGGTTTCAACTTAAAGCCTCATGAGCCCAAAATGCAAGTAGGGAAACTGTCACAGCTAAACCTTGGCCAAGGGCAATAACTGAAGGGCTGTATTATCCCTGCTATTAGATACATATGATATAACAGGCTTTCCATTCTGTCTTAATGGCATATAAACAGAAAGCATAACTAGAAGGCATCTTTTTTCTTTTCCTTACTGAAATTTCAGTGGTTGAGTTGTTAAATAAGAAGATTTAAAAATAAAATAAAAGTGGACACTTTCTAAATGACTTGAGGAAGTTCCGTATGGAAGTATTATATTAAGAGTCTGGGCTTTGGAGTGCAAACTGGGTTCAAATGCCAGCTCTGCCATTTGCCAGCTGTGACCTTGGTCAAGTTACCCTCAGATTCCTTATCAGTAAATGGGGGATAACTGTCCTTATCTACTTCAAAGGATATTGTGAGAATGAAATAAGAGAATGCAGGTATAGCACTAGCACAGTGCTAGGCACGTGCTAGTAACCAGGACATCAATGTTGGCAATTATTATGTAGATGGTGCAAGGCGAGTAGGACCCACATAGGAGTTACAGATGGAATCCGGGGATGGGAGATACTAGATATGCCAGAAGGGCCTCAAGCTAGCAGGATCTTGCCTTTAGTAGGAATTTTATGGCACAGACCCCCAAAATGGTGTTATGGGAAAGCTTGGGCGTATTTCTTTCCTGAAATATTTCTCAACTTATACTGGGATGCAACAACTTTACTAGGCTAAGAATCACAAGGGTACACTCCTGCCAAGGGACTAGAACAAAAAGTTACTCGCAATAAGAACTCTAAATAGGCTGGGTACAGTGGCTCATTCCTGTAATCCCAGCACTTCGGGAGGCAAAAGCAGGAGGATCGTTTGAGCCCAGCCTGGGCAACAAAGCAAGACTCCCATCTCTATTAAAAAAAAAAATTAGCCATGCATTGTGGTGTGTGCTATAGTCCCAGGTACTCAAGAGGCTGAGGCAGGAGGATTGCTTGAGCCCAGGAGTTCAAGGTTGCAATAAGCTCTGATTCACCACTGCACTCCAGTCTGGATAACAGATCAAGACCCTGTTTCAAAACAAAAACGAAAACAAAAAACAACAAAAAAAACCTCTTTTATTTAAGAGACCTGTTCCATTGAAAACACATATCAATAGGCAAGCAACTACAATGCCTCCTACAGGGCTGCTCATGAAAGCATTCTGAAAAGGCTGGGGTAAGTGCTCATGTATGCCCAGGAGAGTCAGGGCTATGCTCCTGATGGTGGTGAAATCATACACCTGAGCCCCACATAATTCAGAATTTTGTAAACCCTGGCTGGCCCGTCAACAGGTACAATAGCCAGTATCATCACTATCTTTCTGTGCCTTAATAGCCACAGACAGGCCGACCCTCTGAAAGAAGTCTATTTTGGGCCGGGCGCACACCTATAATCCCAGCACTTTGGGAGGCCAAGGCGGGCAGATCACCTGAGGTCAGGAGTTCAAGACCAGCCTGGCCAACATGGTGAAACCCCATCTCTACTAAAAATACAAAAACCAGCCAGGCGTGGTGGCACGCGCCTGTAATCCCAGCTACTTGGGAAGCTAAGGCAGGAGAATCACTTGAACCCAGGAGGCGGAGGTTGCAGTGAGCCAAGATTGCTCCACTACTCTCTAGCCTGGGCAACAGAGTGAGACTCTGTCTCAAAAAAAAAAAAAAAAAAAAGTCTATTATGGATGCTACAAAGGTTAACAAAGAAGCTAACTAACTTATCACAGGCAAACTAATGCCATGAAACTGAAGAAAAGAAGCTCTGAAAAATACAAAAAAAAATTAGTCAGGCATAGTCGCACACGCCTGTAGTACCAGCTACTTCGGAGGCTGAAATGGGAAGATCACTTGAGCCCAGGAGGTGGAGGTTGCAGTGAATCAAGATTGTGTAACTGCACTCAAGCCTGGGTGACAGTGCAAGACCCTGTCTCAAAAAGGAAAAAAAAGAAACTGCTGAATTCAGCTGTTGCTGGGAGGAAAATGCAAAGTTAGTGGGGCCTTAGTCACCTCCGAATCAGGTGCAGTAGTTTTCTTTTCCATTATAAGGTAGGTCCTGTCTGGCATTTTCTCACCAATATAAGCCAATCTCTTCCATGTTAAAGTTTTTGTTTTGTTTTTGAGAGACAGGGTCTTGCTCTGTTGCCCAGACTGGAATACAGTGGCACAATCACAGCTCACTGCAGCCTCAAACTCCCAGGCTCAAATGATCCTCCCAACTCAGCCTCCCAAGTACCTGTGAGGATTACAGGCATGCATCACCATGCTTGGCTAATTTTTTGTATTTTTTGTAGACATGGGGTTTCGCCATGTTGCCCAGGCTGGTCTTAAACTCCTGGAGTCAAGTGATCCGCCTGCTTCGGCCTCCCAAAGTGCTGGGATTACAGGCATGAGCCACCGTGCCTGTCCTTGCTACAAGTTTATTTTAGTAATTATTCCCTTTCTTCAGAACTGGAAGCCAACAGGGAGGCTCTGCTGCATCCTTACAGTGAAAGCAGTGTCTTAAAATTGTATTGCATACCACCGTGTTCCACATGCCAAACGCACAGCAGTGAGAAACATGTTATTGCCTCTCTCTATCCTCCACTGTCTCTTCGCTGAGTAGGAGATGGGGCTGGAAAATAAACAGAGGCCCAATTGTGCAGGGCCTTATTGGCTCTGGAAAGGTGTGGGGTTTATTCTAAGGCCATCAGGAAGCCATCCAAGGGTTTTAGGCAAGGGTTATAGAACGATCTAATTCCCATTTGAAGACTGCACATGCTGCTGTGTGAAGGACCGACCACAGATGCTCAGAGCAGCAGAGGCCTGGTAGGAGAGGGTGAGAGTTGTGATGTGGAGATGGAAAAGAAGATTCCAAAAGTATTTTGCAGGTACAAACAAGGAGAGAGGGGGTACTGAGAGGGAAAGAGCTGAAACAAGAGTGACTCTAGAAAGTTGGTAATGGGGAACGGGCATAGGGTGGGGGGCAAAGACAAACTGTTCTACTTTAGAACTAAATAAAATGTGCTCCACAGGCGATGGAGTGGAGGGGGCAAGTAAGCAGTTGGATGTGTGCGTCTAGAACTCAGAAGAGAGGGCAGGGCTAGAGCCATCAATTTGGGAGCCAGTTAGCATTTAACTCCACAGGCCTGGACAATGTCACCAGAGAAGAAGGGAACAGAAGAGGCCTGGCCCTGAGTCCTGAGGAAGGCCAAAAGACATTCAGAAGGAGGCTGAGCAGGAAGAGCCAGGGAGATGGGAGGAAAGCCAAGAGGGTTTCAAGAGCAGCCAGTAATGCCAAATGGCTCTGGGAGGTAAGAGAGACGAGGTCACAGATGCAGTGGAGTGGCAGGGGCAGAAGCCGAGGCGGAGTTGGTTGAAGAGGAAGTGGGAGCAGAGGAGAAGATAACAGGTATGAAACCTCTTTTTTGAGATGCTCTGCTGGATTTGTGTATGGGAGGCAGATAGAGAAATGGGGAGATAGCAGGAGAGAATGGATCAAGGGACATTTTTTTCTCTTTTTTTTCTGAGACAGGGTCTTACTCTGTTGCCCAGGCTGGAGTACAATGGTGCCACCACAGTTCACTGCAGCCTTGACCTGCCGGGCTCAAGCAATCCACCCATCTCAGCCTCCCAAGTAGCTGGGATTACAGGCACACACCACCATAGCTGCCTAATTTTTTTTTGTATTTTTGGTAGAGACGGGGTTTCACCATGCTGGCCAGGCTGGTCTTGAACTCCTGACCTCAAGTGATCCACTCGTCTCGGCCTCCCAAAGTGCTGGGATTACAGGGATGAACCACCGCGCCCAGCCACGCCCGGCTAATTTTTGTATTTTTTTGTGGAGACAGTTATGGGGTTTCGCCATGTTGCCCAGGCTGGTCTCGAACTCCTGAGCTCAAGCAGTCTTCTCACCTCTGCCTCCCAAAGTGCTGTGATAACAGGCATGAGCCACCACATCCGGCCTCTTAAAATCTTATTTTCCAATTATTTATTCAAGTGTTTTTAAAAAAAACAGCTTTCTTGAGATATAATTCACCCATCTACACATTATAATTCAGTGGTTTCCAGCATATTTAAAGAGGTGTGCAACCACCACTACAGTCCATTTTAGAACATTTTCATTGCCTCAAAAAGAAACCCCATACCCATTAGCTATCATCCCTCATTCCCCAAAGCCCTGGCAACCACTAATCTACTTCTGCTTCTATAGATCTGCCTATTCTGGATATTTCTTTTCTTTTCTTTCTTTTCTTTTTTTTTTGAGATGGAGTTTCCCTCTTGTTGCCCAGGCTGGAGTGCAATAGCACAATCTCAGCTCACCGCAACCTCCACTTCCCAGGTTCAAGTGATTCTACTGCCTCAGCCTCGCGAGTAGCTGGGATTACAGGCATGCGCCACCATGCCTGGCTAATT
This sequence comes from Homo sapiens, assembly GCF_000001405.40. Lineage (NCBI taxonomy): Eukaryota > Metazoa > Chordata > Mammalia > Primates > Hominidae > Homo > Homo sapiens. The sequence goes on from NC_000023.11 coordinate 40,643,678, forward strand.
TTTTGTATTTTTAGTAGAGACAGGGTTTCTCCTTGCTGGTCAGGTTGGTCTTGAACTCCTGACCTCAGGTGATCTGCCCACCTTGGCCTCCCAAAGTGCTGGGATTACAGGCTTGAGCCACCGTGCCCCGCCTGGACATTTCTTACAAATGGAGTCTAAATGGAATTTATATAAAATGGACATTTCATATAAATATAATATGTGACTAGCTTCTTTCACTCAGCATACTGTTTTCAAGATTTATCCACATTGTAACTTGTATTAGTACTTAATTCCTTTGTTACATTGTTACAGCAAAACAATATCCCATTGTACAGAGATACTGCATTTTAAAAATTCCATTCATCAGCTGATGGGTATTTGGGTTGTTTCTACCTTTTGGCTATAGTGAATGGAGCTGCTATGAACATCTGCGTACATTTTTTTGTATGAATGTATGGTTTCATTTCTCCTGGGAATATACTTAGGAGGGGAATTGCTGGGTCATGTGGTAACTGTTTAATTGTTTCTTTTAAAAAAATTTAAATAAACCATGGCTATATTAAAGCTTTTTCTATGGAGATGGGAATGAGCTGCAAGAGAGAGAGTGGACAGCTGAAGCCTCAAAGGCCTTGAGCAAGAGAAAAGGGATAAGATCCAACACACGAGTGGAGGTATGAGGCAATAAGAGGAGAGACACCCTTCCTCCTCTGTAGCAGAAGGAAATAGATGGTGCACATGGAGATTAGTTGGTGTTGGCAAAAAGAAGAGGAAGTATAGTCAGCCCTCCATATCCACGAGTTCCGCATTCATAGAATCAACCAACTGTGGATGAAAAATTCTCAGAAAAATAATACAACAGTAAAAAGTAATCGAAATTTTTTAAAAATATAGCATAACGACTATTTACATAGCACTTACATTCTATCAAGTATTATAAGTAATCTAGAGATGATTTAAAGTACATAGGAGAATGTATGTAAGTAATATGCAAATACCACATACATCATTTTATATCAGGGACTTGAGCATCTGTGGATTTTGGTATCCTTGGGGGTCTTGGAAGCAATACCCCATGGATAAGGAGAGACAACTATGTATGTCCAAGGGCCTCCATCAATTCCGTGAAGCATGAGCAAGGGCGGAGGAACGGGAGCAGGGATTTGCCAGGGAAAAGTAGTAGTCTCCAGAAACTGAAGCCTAGAGAGAGATGTGGCCAGACCGCTGGGGCTCATGATCAAGAATGAAAGTGAAACCAGTCAGTTCCCTTGTGAGATTCTTTCCCACTAATCAGAAGCAGAAAATGTCATCAGGACTGGAGTTGGGCCAGGCAAGTTCAGAGAAAGGAGAAAAAAAAAGCTGAGATAACAGCAAGGGACGGATTATAATGATGGGCCATGGAATCTGGGCTAGCTGAGGTGACAAAGGCAGGCAGGAGGACAGAGGGTGCTGGGTATTCAGGAAGCAGTGGAAGCCTCAAAGAGGCGGAAGTAGTATGGGGCACAGGGTTGGGGGCAGGGGTGCATGAATAAGTGTGCCAAAGGCCAGCAGGATGTTAGACACTGAGACTTTCTGTGCCAAGGTCCAGGGTGTGGGCATGCAAGCCGGAGGCTGAGGGGGAGTGAAGCAGAGGATGCTGGAATCAGGAGCCCAGAAACTGAGAGGATGGGGTTGGACTAGAAGGTCTGTAGGTGACAGCAACCAAGAGGAGCAAAGAGTGGTATAAGGAGGTAGTACAGGCTACAAGAGGATTCCAATGGTGTGAAAGCAGCAACGCAGACCAAACAGATGAGGGACAGGCATTGTAAAGGGCAGAGTTTTCTTTCTTTCTGTTTTTTTTCTCTTTTCTAGGTAGAAGTAGAAGTCAGCAACTCTATGGCTGCAGTGGAAAAAAATGGGGAAGATGGTGTAGGTGTGGTGGGTTTACCGGCTCGTGATACCCAAAAGTCTGGGGACCCCTGATACAGTTCAATTTTTTAAGACAGGGTCTTGCTCTGTCACCCAGGCTGGAATGCAGTGGTGTGATCACGGCTCACTGCAGCCTCGACTTCCCAGGCTCCAGTGATCCTCTCACCTCAGCCTCCTGAGTAGCTGGGACTACAGGCATGCACCACCACACCCAGCTAATTTTTGTATTTTTTTGTAGAGACGGGGTTTTGCCATGTTATCCAGGGTGGTCTTGAACTCCTGAGCTCAAGCCATCCTCCCACCTTGGCCTCCCAAAGTGCTGGGATTACAGGCATGAGCCACCGCGCCCGGCCCCAATTCCTTTCATTTTTTTTTTTTTTTTTTTTTTTTTTTTTTTTTTTTTTTTTTTTTGAGACGGAGTCTCGTTCTGTCGCCCAGGCGGGAGTGCAGTGGCGCGATCTCCGCTCACTGCAAGCTCCGCCTCCCGGGTTCACGCCATTCTCCTGCCTCAGCCTCCCGAGTAGCTGGGACTACAGGCGCCCGCCACTGCGCCCGGCTAATTTTTTTGTATTTTTAGTAGAGACGGGGTTTCACCGTGGTCTCGATCTCCTGACCTCATGATCCGCCCGCCTCGGCCTCCCAAAGTGCTGGGATTACAGGCGTGAGCCACTGCGCCCGGCCGTCCTTTCATTTTTGAGATTGGGGAGCACAAGCTGGCCCAGTGTCACACCACGGCAGCTGATCCAGGACTCAGATCATCTGCTTCCCAGGCACTGCTCCTTTCCAGTGCCCACCCTGTGCCTGCTGATAACTACTGGCATGTAGACTGACTGCTAAAGTCAATTTGTGTTAGGAAGCCACTTCTGGCTGTCCCTCTCCGTCCCTTACTGGGCAAAAAAATTTCCTACTCGATCTACTTAGTAAGTGACATTGCCAAGATCTGAAGACAGATCCGGCTGCCTACCCCATTCCCAGCTACCCAAAGTGCCTTTAACTGGGCACTTAAGGTGCTATTTTAGCCCTAACTTCCCTTGGCTTACTCTGTCATCCTTACGGCATCCTATAGCCAAAAAAGAGCTGATGAGCTGTTCAGCGAGCCTTACCCTCAAACAGGCCACACAAGAGTCTCCCTCCCTCCCTGCCTGTGCTCATGATGCTCGCTCTGCATCTTGCCCCAGTATCTCTTGTAGAACTCTTTCCTGTAACTTTCCAAGCAGGGGTAACAAACTCAAATGCCCTCAGGAAGCAGACGGGTAGAAGAAAGCTTCTACTTCACTAAGCTGGGTTGGGTCCCGCATACCACCCCTGAACCGCCTAGACCCTTGATCAATCTCTCTCTCTGCATCTGTTTATGAGGCCCCGGCGACCACAAGACCAGATAGCCACCCCGAGTGCTGGGTGACCCGCCGCTTCCTCCTTCCGTCCCCGCCTCAGGCGCTTACCTTGGCCACCTCCCAGGCGTCCACGGGCCAGCGGCCCGGCCGGCAGTTTCCCCAGTGCACATCTCCATTTCTGTTGACATGATGTCTCAAAATCTCCCTTTTCCATTCAGCGCACACCTGACACTGAGGCTGAAACTACAGGGGGCGGCGGTGAGGAGGGGCCCAGGAGGGAGGGACGTCGCGGTGGGCCCCGCATCGCGGAGGGAACAGGACACTTGCGCTCTGGGTCTGGGACAGGAACGGGGATGAGGAGGGGTGGGGTGGGGGCGGTGGTCAAGGCCCCGAGCCAGGTGCTCACCTGGCGGGCGCGAGGGCTGCACCGTGAGCCGCCGCGGCAGACGGCGCGGGGCCCCAGGCCGGGGGCTGCGGCGAGTAGGCCGCGGTGGAAGGAGAGCACCTCGCGGCCGACGAAACCCTGCAGGCAGCTGCGCAGCAGTAACAGGCAGTGGCCCGCCTTCACCCAGTTCTTGTACTCGGCGCAGTTGAGGCGCGCCGCTAGCTCCGACAGCACCATGTCTCCCACTTGGAACCAGGAGGTTGCGGGGCGTGGCGGACGGCAGTGCGCAGGCGCGGAGCCTGGGAAGTACCCGAGGCAGCGGCGCCTGCGCCGGCGGCAGCGACGCCTGCGCCTGCGCGGCGCGGTGCCACCGATCCCGGGGCGGGGCATCTTGACTTCCGGGGCACGTCGGCTCCACCCCACTTGGGTGACGTCTGACGTCTGACGTCTAACAACTTTGGTGCTTGGGGAAGCAGTTAACTATTTGAAACCCTTAGGCCCTCTTCGTCCCCCAAACAGAGACCCTGTCAGCATCCGATTCGACTCCCTCTCCTAATGTAGGGCACTTCTGTTTTAACTTTTTTTTATTGTCCAGATGTACAAGGTGCTCAGGGCACATTGCTTGAATCGTGTATGTTCTTTGCATTATACAATTCTAGAGTTACTGGTTCCTAAGCCCACAGACCAGCTGTAGCAAATTGAGGTATTAGTGAAACGTGACCGCTGGCTGCCTGCGGTGTGCCAAGCTAACCCAAAACTCAAAATCCCCCGCCACTGGACCACCCAGAAGGGGGCGTTTGCCTGTTTAGGGCAACACATCACTTGGATTCTAGAAGGCTGCACACCTGAGCCAGATAAGGGCATCCTGAAGCACCTAGCAAAGGTTAGACGATAATTATCTAGTATTCTTGATTATATGATAATTAGTGCTCCTTGCACATGGAAGTCTGATTTAAGTTCCAAAGAAGTGCCACAAAGGTCAGAAGGCACTGGGATTGTCAACTCCAAGTGACAAGTCAGGTCAGTTTTAGTTGTTTTTAATGAGCTTTCTGAGCTTGGAAAACATGTCAAAATTGTGTGTAGTTAAAAGCCTCTGAGGAAAGAGTCTAAACATTAAACCTTCCCGACTGTGGTTCACAGCAAAAATGTCCAGTGTTTAGGAGCACTAGCTCAGACTCAAACTGCCCCTTCTTAGCAGTTTGATCTTAAGCAACCTTAATTTGATCTCAGGCAAATTACATTTCTCTGGGCCTCCATTTACTCATTTTTAAGAAGAGGATATCAATAACCTACCACATTGGGTTGTTGTGAGGATTAAATACACATTGAAATATTAAGAAAATGCCTAGCACACAGTAAGCTCTCAGTAAATACTTGCTATTATTTTATATTGACCTAAATATGCCCTTTCATCAATCAGTTATATTCTTGGGCAAGGTATTTTAACAAATCACTGGCCACTTGGAAGTGGAGGCAACTTGCAGAAAATTGTGAGCATACCATGGAGTTCCTGGAGTTGTGCAGCACAGTGCTGGCTGGCCTCTGCTAACTTTGTCTTAATAACCTCAATGCTAAATCCATCCTAAGTAAATTTAAATCACATCCTTAGACACACTGTCCATTCTCAAACCGAATGAAAAAAAAATTCCACAAGAAACAATGAAATACACATTAACATTTTCCCTCTATGTCCCTTGAATGTAAGTTCTCTTAAAATTTTCTGTATACTGATTTTATATCAAGAACACTTGGATGATAAATAAACATTAAGGTAAAATGTAATAGGCACTTCTTTTGGGGGGAAAAACTATGAAAGGAACAACTTTTTATATTGAAATTGCATCAGAATCCAGGGTAGCAAAGTTATAACTTCTTGAAGTTATCAAATTAACCACAGTCCAAAGAATGGCTGTTAGTATCCTTTGGCTGAACAGATTACTGTGTTAATTAGAACACAGTTATTAGTGGTTCTTAAATTCAAAGTCATATAAATTTTAGTTTATGCTTGCACTTAACTCACTCAGTTAATTTTCAAACATAAGGTTCGACTCCTGTTATTAGCGACTTGACACGTTCTGCTGAAGCTCTCACTTTTCTTCTAATTCTGAAAGTACTTTTATACATTCTGAAATGGCATTTCAGCAGATGGAAAAATGAAGGTGGCAAATCAGGACCAATTTCTTATTTCAAGGTTAAATTAATACTAAACCAGACTATTAATGAAAACATCTTCATCAAAATTAACTAGAGAGTTGGTAGTTCTCTGAAACTTTGTATAAATTTTATTTATTACTGTAAATACTAAAATCACATTGAAAACACCTTAAAGTTAAGTCCCAACCCGATTATTAGAGAAAATCACTTGGGCATCCAGTCCCCTTGATCGAACCTGGGTAACAAAAGAGGCAAAAGACATGATTTGTGATGAAACTTACTATTCAAATGCTAAATGTTTTCAAGCTTTAATAAGGTATATATCAATTCCAAGTACCAAGCATAATATAAAAATTCAAATTCATGGGTTTACTCTTAATAAGCATCAAAAGCAAATTTTGCGCACTGAATCCTATCTTACTCTTGATTGGCACAATGCATTCAGAGATGAGTTATAATTAGGAAAAAAGAGTGTCCACTGAATGCATCATGTGTAAAAATGCAATTAACATTTCAAAACCACATTAAAAGGGAAAATACCTAAAAAGTTAACTCTTAATAAAATTATTTGAAACAATATTATCCTGCAGATAAAAATACATTTCTTGTATATACATGTAGATTTCTACATGAAAGAAAAGATTCAGCTCCAAATAGAAAAGGGCTGACCCTTGATAAAGACATCTTAGATTGCCAAACTGATGTGATTACCACTGTAAGAACTAAAAACAGAAGGATAAAAAGATTAAGTTAAAGGAAGGATAAAAGTTTAGTCAACTGCTCCTGAACAGTGGCAGAGTTGGGTGAGAAGTGGGAGATGAAGGCAGAAATAAGACAAAGAAGAAAGGCAAAGAAGGCTTCAACTCTGATTGAAAATGAGTGGAGAATCAAACAAAGTTGAGAACAGATATGATATAGGTACAGTGAGATACTTGAAACTAGAATTTGATAGTTGATAGTTATAGAAGCTCAATTAAATCATCTTGAAGTGGAATTAGACAAAGCATCTACATTTTAATGGAGAACCAGTATTACAGTGACCAGGTAACTCGGCATGGTATTATCACTTAAAAATTTTTCCTAAATACCATGAAGTCGGTAGAAGACCTTTGCATCAGACCATGTTCTTTGAAGCTTAAAAAAGTCCCTGACTGACTAGGAAAGACAGCACAGTGCTCCAAAAAGAAACCCTGCAGAGATGTATTAATACCAAAAACTCCATTTGACCCTGGACAGGCCCAGGATTCGGGATTCTTCACAATGAGGGGAATGGACCAGGTTTCTTCCAAGCAAAACATTCTATCGTTTTGTTGACAATGAATTAAATTGAAATTGTTTAGAACAATCCCAATTTTGGTGGGGAAGGAAAGGAGGATAAGTTAAGCAAGATAAAGAAAGCTCACAGAAACTTCATGCAGAGGTACAGCATTAAAGTTCTTTGTTTCCTAATTAATGTTGTATGCAGAAGTATTCTGTAAACTAAATTTTCCTGACAGAAAAGTTCCCACATCCTCAACAGATGAGAATGATTGCATTATTTGGGATCCTTGATCAATACGAACCACATACTGTCCCTTCTCAAAGACTAAGTTCCTTATTTTTCACCCAAATCCTATATATTGAAAGACAACCAAGGTGCTAAATGTTAACCACTAGTCAAGTTAGGAATGTCTGAAGAAAATATATTAACCTTGACATAAAGAAGATGTTTTTGGTCAAATTTCAGACATGTATTATTATAAATTAATAACTGGCTCCATCCACCAGGTTAAAGATGAAGGGAGGGCCTAAGATGTCTCTAGAGTTTATATACACACAAGTGAGTGTCACTGTTTTGTTTTGTTTTTGACCTAGTTTTATTAAATATTGCTTCCTTGGGGTGTGTTTATAACAACTCCCAGAACATTTCATGTAAGGATTCAAAGCGGTCATATTAAAATACAGCTTCAATATAAAGTTTATCACAGTTTTACAGTATTCAAAAATGACAGACCTGCCTTAAAAAACAAAACAAAAACCAAAAAAGGACTATTACACCCAAAACATAAGAAAACAATTAAATAAACAAGTTTGGCATTTTCATAACTTTATAGTATAAAACAGAATATTAAATTTATTACTGGCAAACGGACACTGATTTATTTCCTTTGAAATGTGTCCCATTTAAACACACTATACAAGTTCATTATACAAAAGATGGATGATCATTTTGATGAAAGAAGTGCACCCTGAAAATTTTTGCCAGTTTAGAATATTTAGCTCTTAAAGTTTAAAAAAAAAGTCCTTTTCCTTTTTTAAACTGAAGGCTGAATTCAGATTTTTTTTGTTGTCTCATCTGTCAGCCTTCCTGGTTTAAAAACAATAGTGTCTATGGACGCCCACCAGGGGGCAGTGTAAGATTAGCCATTAAATCACGAACAGCTGCAAATATTGTGCATTCACCTGCAACAGAGAAAAATGGTCATTAGCTATTCACAACACAGGAAAGATGTTAACACACCGGTAAGGGAAGGGGTAATTAAATCTAAAATTAGTGAGAACTTTAAAGATCAAAATAAAAGACAATTTTAACTGCCCAGATTATTGGGGATTAAGCTGTGGTGTTAAGTATCAGATTATATTTGGTTTGGATTTTTTTTCTCAGGAGGAAACTTCAAGCAAGTCCCAGTTAGGTTTGTATTTAGGAAGATATGTCTAGAGTTTCTGTTTAGAAACACTGTAGCATTAGATAAGCCTTTGAAGTTGGGCTTTAAGGCTACTGAGTGCTTATAAGGGCATTTTGGATATCATAAAAACATCTAGTTTATATTTATGCATTAGTTACAACTTTGGTGGTATCTTTCAAACGTTGCATTAAAGGCCAGATAAAAATGTTTAGGACAGCGCTGTCCAATAGAACTTTTTGTGATGATGGAAATGTTGTATAAGTGTGCCATGGCTATTAAGCACTTGTAATATAGCTAGTGTGACTGAGGAACTGAATTTAAAGTTTTATTTAATTTTCATTAACTTAAATTTAAATAGCCACATGCTGGCTAGTGGCAGTTATACTGGACAGTGCATGTCTCTGACATCTATTGGAGTTTTCTCCCAAAATTCAAGGAAATGGTCAACTTCCAGAGTTCAACATTAAAATCAATTAAATACAAAAATGATTTTCTTAAAAGCACTTCATCAGAAGAGAAGTGATGGGTGTGGGAGGTGGGGTGGGAGACTGAAGTATGGTACACCAACAATCCAAAAACAGGATTTGTGGGTGGGGAGGGTGCTGGCGATTCATCCTGTCAACTTCTCCTTTGCTCAAAGAAACCAAATACTCTGCTTCTTGTAATTATTACAAGTATTTAAATATTATAAACCAAAAGCTGGATCCCTTCCTCTACAGCATGGTCTAACACTGTATACAGTGGCTGAAAGTGGGAGAACTGAAGACCTCATGTGAACCATGGCCTTTCAGCAAAGGGCAGGATGTGCAGTGATCCTGTGCACATGAGAAGGTACAGAAAGAAAAAGGAAATCCAAAGGTCTGCCCAGTCCAAGGGGGGAAAAAAATGAAAACACTTCCAAAATATCTCAACAATTTCTGAAAAGGAGAAGTATTGTTTTTTAAAAAACACATTTTCATTATTGATAGGCAAGAAAACTTGCTTGATCCCAATAGGATCAAAACATTTTCCTTTTAATTTTAAATTCCACAAGACATAATACATAAAAACACATAAGATAATGACAGCCATCTGCTTGTGAAGGAATGGTGTTTATTATCAAGGTTCTACTGGACTGTTACTTTGAGAATTCTGATAGCTTTAAACTTTGATTCTTGAGGACCTATTTTTAGCTGAAAGAAGAGAGAAGTCAAAGGATGAAAGCAGAAAATTGTAAGAAGTAGAAGAAGTATTACAACAAAAGAAGCACACCCTTCTCTACTGCCCAGTGTATTCCTTATACATTAAAGTGAGAACTCGCCTGCATATCCAATGTGGGGAAACAAATAGCTAAATATATCATTTCTCTCCTGATTCCTAGTTCTAGAAAACTTTGGACACTGTAGTACCTAAAAATGTTTCAGAGAACAACTTTCCCTCATTTAAAAACATAATTGTTATTTAACTATTCTAAACAGAGAGAGATACAGAGAACTTCCTTAATATTAGAAATAAGCAAATTTTAAATTTCCTTAATATTAGAAATGAGCAAAATGGAAGAAAAGTTCTCTTTGCTGAGCTTTGTATTTTGCAACCCCAAATTTAGCACTGCCAGGAGTTACGTGTTAAGTGAAGTCTACTCCAGTATTGCAGGGACCTTGTTTATCTTTCCAGAAACATTCTGGTTTCCTCGGAAATGTTCAGTTTGAGAGCTTCATTGTGCACATGGTGAAAAGGTTCACTTGCACCCACCTGACACTTATATAAGAAGCCCAAAAAAGCAGTAATGCCATTTGTATCAGCTTTTATTCTTCACAAAACATTTAGAAGATACAGAACTTTTAATAATATTCTTCTATTCGTGATTGAACCATGAAATATGAGAAACCAACATGCATTTCAACTTTGTGATGTACAGAGTGGCAGGTATTGATGGTAGGGCAGGAATTCACAGCCGTGGAAAATTCTATCATCCTAACCTAGGTCTTTGTGGCAATGTGTGCTATAAATACAAGCTTCTGGCATTAGCAACTGGGTCAGTCCCAATAGTAAATCACTAACAAAAAGTCCAGGCAGCAGAGAAATGGACAAAAATGAAGAACCAGTGAGAAAGGAAGAAAGCGACAGGCAGACATTAAGAGGGCCACGGCAACCAGACCTCTATTGCTATGATTGGGTGGTAGAGTAGGTAAGGAGGGAGAAGAGAAGAGGAGAAAGGGGTGTCTCTCAAAAGAACTTTTATAACATATATGCAATAAAATATTGTCTACTGGTCATGTACCTTGTCGTGGTGGATTCATCTCTGCAAACCTCTTCAGAATGTTGCTGACCATCATGGGAGCAGCAACAGAAGAGTTCTGCTGTCTGGGAATGTCTGCCTGCTGGGTTGTACCTGAAGCCATGTCATAAATGATTGGAACTATAATACTAACAGGTTCTTGGGGAGGGACCGATGTTTTCTGAGTTAGTTGAAGCTGTATACACACAACACACACAAAGAGAATAAAAACATCATAAAACATCTGTCTAAATGTATCAAAGGTACTATCATTTACTGTACTTTCAGATTAAGATAAGCAAGCAAAAGAAAATTACACATGACAAGAAAAGTGACAAACAACTGAATATTATGGTTAAGATGCAACTGTGCTACACAATTACCTGGTTCAATAAATTTCTGTTTTATTACTAAAGGAACCAGGATGTCATGACATCTACGCTGACAATTAAGGAATCCTGGCCTCTATTTGGCAACAAGAGATAATTTATGCAGTTATCCAAAAGTTGCTCTATTATCATGTGGCATTTCCCTCAGAAGCTCTGTACATGCACACATGCTGGGTGGTACTTACAAAAAATAGCATTTTGGATTTCAGCACCACAGCAGGCGTCCCAGGAGGTGCAATCGGCGGCGCGCTGGGAGGGATCGTCAGGCAAAACTGAACATTCCATTTTAGCTGTGTTGCTTGGTCAGGGAACTATTTTGAGGGGGAAAAATCAAGATAAAGGCATATAAACATTTAAAATCATATTCTAGGTAGGAAAGTCTGAGAGGTTAGAATTTTGTTTCATACCCAATTATTAACAGAACATAAAGTTAATAACTGCACTTTTTCAAAACAAATACATACATGAAGTTGCTAACTGAAAAGTCAACTGTGGACTTATGTAAGATTTTCCCCTTCCTTCCCTCCCACTTCGTTAATTCCTAAGGCCTATGGATTCGGCTTCTGCAGGGTCTCTGACATCTGTTCCCTCCTCTCTATATTCATTGAGGCCACCATGTGCAGGGCTTTATTACTTCTCCTGTGCTCCCCTAACAGCTCTTTCCAGTGGCTGCCTCTTCCAGTCCATCCTCATACCACCATCAGATATAGGTCCTACAACATGGTTCCAGTCAAGCTCACAAATGTTCAGTGACATTTAGTGACACATGCTATCCCCCTACCACCCACAACTGAGGACCAACACCTAGCATTCAAGGCCCTTCTTAACTGTGCCAATCTAGACTTCCCAGTCCTGTTTCCAACTCTTTGCCTAAACAAACTAGTCAAACTGTGTGAAAGATTTTTAAATTATATCCATTGGTGCTTTTTTAGCCACATAAATATTTACTCCTTTAAAAATTCAAATGGATTTCTTTTTGACATAAATAATGTTTCCTACAGCCTATTAGATCAGAAGCCAAATGTTGAGACTATTAGCAAAAGAACACTGTTGCCCCAATATTTATAGTAAAACGCTAACTAAAAAAAGAGTGAGGTAATTGAAGTTACTCAAATCAACACTAGAAACATTAAAATGAAAAGATCACCGTAAGACTGAAAAAAATACATCAGCTGCCATCTGGATTCCATCTATATAACTACATACTTTCACAGTATATATCTCCCCATACAGAGAAGATTGATTATATGATAAATGAGCATCTGAAAAAGTTGGATCCATACCTCCTCATATTTGACACCAAAACAAAGTGAGACCCTGTCTCAAAATAAATAAATAAAAATATATTTAAAATTTTAAATAATTAAAAAAAGGAATCCAAATGGTATTAGAAAAAAAACTTTGGGAGGATTATTTCAAAATCTGGGAGTGAGAAGAATCTAACAATGATACAAAATCAGGAAAACTTAAAAACCAATATTGATACATTTCACTATTTAAAAGAAAATTTTGCATAGCTAAACCTACCAAAAGTCAAGTCAAAACACAAATGAAAAACGCGGAAAAAATATTTACAATGAATATCCCAAGGGGCTAACTTCGCTAATGTACATACCCAATTCCTACAAATCAAAAGACCTAAAAATCTACAAATTAGAAAGACCCAAAGTCTAAACGCTGATAAAACTGTTGACAAGGATGTGGGAAAAAGCCAGTACTCTCATTGCTGGTGGGAATATAAACTGGCATAACCTCTATGGAGAACAATTTGGCAAAATCTACCAAAATTACAATTACATATATCCTCCGACCCAGCAATTCTACAGGTATACTGGCACATCCATAAAAAGGCTCTTTATTGTGGCACTGTTTGTAACAGCAAAATATCAGAAGAAACCAAAATGGCCAACAAGTTGGGACTACTCAGCAATTTTAATACATTCATCTAATGAAATACTAAGCTTTGTTAAACAACACAAAACAAAGACATCCTTTATATACTTATATGGAAACATCTCCAAGATTTGTTCAGTGAATAAAGCAAGATGCTCCTCCATTTCGAGCAATATGCCAGGTTAGATATCCTGGAAATCACATCCACCACAAACACTAAAAATACTGGGGGTGGAAAGGCATCTTTTTATTTTTTATTTTTTGAGACGGAGTCTTGCTCTGTCAGCCAGGCTGGAGTGCAATGGTGTGATCTCGGCTCACTGCAGCCTTTGCCTTCTGGGTTCGAGCGATTCTCCTGCCTCAGCCTCCTGTGCAGCTGGGATTACAGGTGCCCATCACCACACCTGGCTAATTCTTTGTATTTTTAGTAGAGATGGAGTTTCACCATGTTGGCCAGGATGGTCTCAAACTCCCAACCTCACGTGATCCACCTGCCTTGGCCTCCTAAAGTGCTGGGATTACAGGCATGAGCCCCCATGCCCAGCCAAAAGCCATCTTTTTAAATGCTATTATGCATTGAATTGCGCACCTGAAGAAGACATGAAGTCCTAACCCCCAGCACCCATGAATATGATCTTATCTGAAAACCAGGTCTTTGGAGACGTAATCAAATTAAGAGGAGGTCATTAGAATGGTCCCTAATCCAATATGACTGTTGTCCTTTATAAGAAGAGAAGAGACACAGGCAGAGACACACACAGAGAGAACACCATGTGACGACAGAGGCAGAGGTTGCAGTAGCTAAGGAATACCAAAGACCGCTGGAACCACCTGAAGCTAAGAGAAACGCATGGAATAGATTCAACCCTAGGGTCTTCAGAGAGCATGGCCCCACTGACCCCTTGATTTAGGATTTCTGGTCTCCAGAACCGTGAGAGAATAAACTCCTATTGTTTTAAGCCACTCAGCTTGCCATAATTTGTTGTGGCAGCCCTAAAAAACGAACACGAATGCAGACTGAGCTATGCAGAAACTAAGGGAAATCCCCCAAGGGCCAACAACAAACCAAGAACAGATATTCAGTGCTCTGAAGGCAGCTGCTGCCCACGGAGCATCTTGCTGTCTCTTACTTTGCACTTCAGATTGACTGACTGATTGATTTTTTTGGAGATGTAGTCTCACTCGGTCGTCCAGGTTGGAGTGCAGTGGCATGATCTCGGCTCACTGCAACCTCTGCCTCCTGGGTTCAAGCAGTTCTCCTGCCTCAGCCTCCCAAGTAGTTGGGACTACAGGCATGTGCCACCATGCCTGGCTAATTTTTTTGTATTTTTAGTAGAGACGAGGTTTCACCATGTTGCCCAAGCTGGTCTGGAACTCCTGAGCTCAGGCAATCGGCCCGCCTCAGCCTTCCAAAGTGCTAGGATTACAGGTGTGAGCCACCGTGCACGGCCTTTTTTTGTGTGTGTGTGAGACAGTCTCACTCCATCACCCAAGCTGGAGTGCAGTGGCATGATCTCGGCTCACTGCAACCTCCGCCTCCCGGGTTCAAGCGATTTTTCTGCCTCAGCCTCCCGAGTAGCTGGGACTACAGGCTGTGCCGCCATGCCTAGCTAATTTTTTAGTATTTTTAGTAGAGACAGGGTTTCACCACATTGCCCAGGCTGGTCTCGAGCTCCTGAGCTCAGGCAATCTGCCTGCCTCAGCCCCCCAAAGTACTAGGATTACAGGTATGAGCCACCGCACCCGGCCTGCACTTCAGTTTTAATAGCTATTCAGGACACAAAGTCTAGGACCAACAAAGCTGAGGAGTCAGATTTTTAAAAATTATATGTTATAAATTTATACATAAACCATCTCATAATAAAAATGGAAAAAAGTACAAAACAGGATGTGTAAATATCATTTCATTTAAAATATTTATAAGAAGGCCACGCACAGTGGCTCACACCTGTAATCCCAGCACTTTGGGAGGCCAAGGTGGGTGGATCACTTGAGACCTGAAGTCTGAGACCAGCCTGAGCAACACGGTGAAACTCCGTCTCTACCAAAAAAAAAAAAAAAAAAAAAAAAAAAAGCCAGGCGCGGTGGCGTGCACCTGTAGTCCCAACTACTCAGGAGGCTGAGGTGGGAGAATCACCTGAGCCCCAGAGGTCGAGGGTGCAGTGAACTGAGATCTCATCACTGCACTCCAGCCTGGGTATCGGAGTGAGACCGTGTCTCAATCAATCAAAAGTTTATGAGAGCAATGTTATTTGCTTTTATGAATGGACCATCTCTGGAAGGAGAGGCAAGCCATGGTAACTCTGGTTGGCCAGAAGACAGTTGGACAGGGATAGAGGGGACAGGGATAGCTAGACAGGAACTGATGGGAAATTTCTCACTATATTATCTTGTTTTAAATTCAAAAGATAAAACAGAATTGTGTTACCTATTCAAAGATAAATAAAATTTAAGTTAAAAATTAAGAATTTAAGAGAAAAATAGAAGAAACTACATAGATGGGTGAAAACCAATAAACACTGCTCCCACCAACTCTAACCTCCTCAAACAAACCTTGCTAGAAATGTATATCTCTGTGACTTACCAGCTCCAGCTTCATAATGTGCACACAATCCCTGAGGATGTGTGTAGGAGCTCCTAATAGCTTGGTGAAGGCTATTAACGTATTAGCTTTAAATGGTGGTCCTGCAACCTACAGGGATAAATAAAGCAAGTTACTCTTCATTCTACATTAATGCTTCTGTTTCATTAATTATATTCAAATTATGCACTATTAAACACATACTCTTGTTTCAAAGAATTTCTCCAAAACTTGAAGTTCATCAGGTTTCCACTGTCCTGCATTTTCAGGTGTCACTTTTAGCTGAAGCGTTTGGTTGGTTTTGGGACTAAGAGCTACTCTGCATTTCAGTGCATCAGTCTTAAACATGATCACTCCGGGTTCATTAGAATTTATCAGCTGCAGCTACAAAACAAGGACACATCAAATTAACATGTAAGTCAAAGAGAAAATGAAGATGTTACTGAGAATTGTTCCAAAAGGAAAACCACTAAGTTGATACCTATTCCAAAACAAAGGCACCTACAGCATTGAGCATCAGCTGCTGGCAACACTGCAAAAAGAGATGCGATCAGACATTATGTGCCTCTTGATGGAAGAACATAACTCTACCTATGAAGTATTCTTGCAAAACAACATAAAAAAACTTGAGCCTGAATTCATGCAGTAGTTTGATCCAGAGGACTGACCAATGTGATAGAAAACATAGGGATCAAAAAAATACTAAGTGATTCCGAATTGCATAAGGATGAAGAAGGAGAACTAGATGGGGGAACCAAAAGTTGTAAGGGGACTTAGAAAAACTTATTTCGGTTCTGATTCAAAGTGTAAAAAATGAGACAACCTGGGAAATCTGGGTATCAACTAGATATGTGATACAGAAATTATTTTTTTTAGGTATGAGAATGGTGCAGGTTGTGTTTTTTGTTTTGTTTTGTTTTAAGAGTCTATACTTTTTAGAGACATATGCAAAAATTTTTATGCAAGAAATTATGTCTGAGATTTGCTGTGAAAATCTGGGGGGAGGAGTTCTAGATGAAACAATACTGATATTAGTTAACTGTTGGAGGTGGGTGATGAGAGTACAGAAGTTCATTATACCATTCTACTTCTGTATATGCTGAACATTTTCCACAATATCTTTTTTTAAAGTGGCACATTAGAAAAAAAGAAGACAGAGTACAATTACAAAAGGTTAGATCTGGATTAGGCTCTTATTCTAGCCCCGGGGGTCGACAAACTTTTTCTGTAAAGTGTTATATAGAAAAAGTTGCAGGTTTTATGCACTATATGGTCTCTGTCACAATTATTCAATGTTGTCATCACAGCTGAAAGCAGCTATAGACAATAAATAAATGAACAGGTGTGGCTGTGTTCCAATAAAACTTTATTTACAAAAACAGGTGGTAAGGACATAGCACCAGGGGCCGTAGTTTACTGACCCGTTTTAGCAGAGTATGTTGATTATGCAGCTGAGCAAAATGAGGCCAAAGAGCTGAAAGCTTACATAGATGGTAAGTGGCATAGCTGAGGCTAGATCCCGGGTCTGATGATTACCATTTTGAGTGCTAATTTTAGTTTATTTTATTATTTTTCTTTCTTTTGAATGCTAATTTATTCAAAAACGTTTCCCCACCAAATCTTAGTATGAAGGTTGCAAAATGGCTTTACACTAAACATGGAGTGAATATTTTAAACATTCACCATTTTTAATTCTTTTTTTATTTTTTGAGACGGAGTCTCGCTCTGTTGCCCAGGCTGGAGTGCAGTGTCACCATCTCGGCTCACTGCAACCTCTACCTCCCAGGTTCAAGCGATTCTCCTGCCTCAGTCTCCCGAGTAGCTGGAATTACAGGCATGTGCCACCACACCCAGATAATTTTTGTTTTTTGTTTGTTTTGAGAGTCTCGCTCTGTCTGCTCAGGCTGGAGTGCAGTGGCACGATCTCGGCTCACTGCAACCTCTGCCTCCCGGGTTCAAATGATTCTCATGCTTCAGCCACCTAAGTAGCTGGGATTACAGGCGTGCACCATCACACCCAGCTAATTTTTGTGTTTCCAGTAGAGATGGGGTTTCACCATGTTGGCCAGGCTGGTCTCGAACTCCTGGGCTCAAGTGATCCGCCTGCCTCAGCCTCCCAAAGTACTGGGATTACAGGCATGAGCCACCACGCCTGGCCTTGTATTTTCAGTAGAGATAGGGTGTCGCCATGTTGGCCAGGCTGGTCTCAAACTCCTGACCTCAAGTGATCCGCCCGCCTCAGTCTCCCAAAGTGCTGGGATTACAGGCATGAGCCACTGTGCCCGGCCTAAACATTCACCATTTTGACTACCTCATTAGCACATGCATCTACCAATAATAACAGTAATTATAAATAATGAAAATGCCTAGACAGTATATTAAGGGCTTTACATGAACTATCTCAAATTCACACAACTGTTATCAGTTAGGTAAATACTATTATCTGAAGAAATTTGCCTAAGCACACATTAGCAGGTAGTATGGCTGGCTACAAACCCAGGCAGCCTGACTGTAGAACTGGTGCTCTCAATTATAAATTATCTCCTAAGGCTATCAGCATAGGATAAGTTAGAAGTCTCTTTTCTTCTTTTTTTTTTAGAAGTCTTTTTTCTACGAGAGTTTTTAAAAATTCAATTGTTCATTTATTTATTTATTTATGAAACACAGTCTCACTCTGTTGCCCAGGCTGGAGTGCAGTGGCGCGATCTTGGCTCACTGCAACCTCTGCCTCCCAGGTTCAAGCAATTCTCCTGCCTCAACCTCCCATATAGCTGGGATTATAGGTGCGCACCACCATGCCTGGCTAATTTTTGTATTTTTTAGTAGACGACGGGGTTTCATCATGTTGCCCAGGCTGGTCTTGAACTCCTGACCTCAAGAGATCTGCCCACCTCAGCCTCTCAAAGTGCTGGGATTATAGGCGTGAGCCACCGTGCCCGTCCTGTTCACATATTTAAAAAGAAGCTTTTGTCCTTGTAACCATAAATAATTTTCTTCAAATTTTTTTTCTCTTTTTATTTTTTTAGAGACAGGGTCTCACTCGATCACCCAGGACAGAGTGCAGCAGCATGATCACAGCTCACTGTAACCTGGAACTCCTGGTCTCAAGCAATCCTCCTGCCTCAACCTCCCAAGTAGCTAGGACTACAGGTGCATGCCTGCTAATTTTTTAAATTTTTTGTAGAGAGAGGGTCTTGCTATATTGCCTAGGGTGGTCTGGAACTCTTGGGCTCAGTGATCCTCCTGCCTCAGCCTTCCAAAGTGCTGGGATTACAGGTATAAGCCACCACACCCAGCCAATTATTTTATTTCAATAAAGACTCAGAGTCAAAATCAGCCTCCCCGCACGGGCACTCCAGAAGGCAAATAATTACTGGTATGCTATTCTCTGCAAGGCCAGATCCTGTGCGCAGTGCTCCTGTGTGCTGCAGAAATCTATCTCCAGGTCCATGTTAGCCATATAACATAGAAGCCACAGCACAGCAAACTGTATAATGCAGAAATATGTTAACATAAGAATGGAAAAGAAAATAATGGAGTCCATTTTTAATGCCAGGTTAGGGTGAAAATCATAATTCTAACAAGCTTGTTAAAGGAGGGAAGGTGAAGGAATGTCACGTTAGTTCAGATCCTATCCTGCAGGACAATTTAGCATTTTACCCTTAACAATCACCACTTAGAAGGTCATTAGGTACCCATACCGTTTCTTGTTGAATAATTCTTTGAAGATGTCGTCTCATGATGACTGATCCAAGGAATCTCTCAAGTGGAGAACAAAGGTAACTACCTGCCAGGCCGGGCACAAGGCCTGGAGTTGGAGAGGGCAGCAGTAAAATGTTCAAGGCACTGTGAGTGAGGATGGTAGGTATGGATGCCGCCCAAGAGCGCTGAGGTAGTTTACGAGGTGGAGGCATGTTTGTTGGCATTGTTTGAGAACCTTTTGGGAAGGAAAACATGTTATGTCATTTACAAATACATACTATCTCATTGCTTCCTGTTTTGCTTTCATCATAAATCTTTGATGTTCTAAATCATTCTGTACTGTTTTAGTTACTCCTTGTGGTGTAACAATCATATATTAACAACCTGTTAGCAAAAATGGCCACTATTTTTCTCCTTCTTATATCCAGGCCCCTTGCAATGTGACTTTGCAGCAACTCCTTTAAGGGGTGGACTCTATTTCTCCACCTGAAACCTGGCTGGCCTAGTATTTGCTTCTGACCAACAGAATGTGGTGGAAGTGACACTGGGCTAGTTGTAGGCCTCAGCTTCTACTCCCTGCCTTAAAATCCTGTTGAGCCACCATGTGAACAAACCTCAGATCAAGTGTGAAACCACACAAAGCAGAGAGAAACCTTGCCATCTGAGGCCATCTAGTCCCAAACCAACCCAGCAGCTGACTACAGACACATGAGTGAGCTGCCCAGCAGAGTCTGAAAGAATCACTCAGCTGTGCTTAGTCTAAACTGCCAACCTGCAGAATTGTGAACCAATATATAACAATCATATATTGTTTTAAGCCACTAAATGTAGCAAAAGCTAACCAATAAATGTGTACAATTCTCTTCTCTGTTATTATGTGTGATATTGTGAAATATATATTTGGTCTTTGTCCTAGCTCCTGGCATACAAATCCTAAAATTTTTGGACTCTTCAAAGTGGTTAAGTGTCCTTTTGTATGCTAATGAGATGGCTGATGGCTGGCAGCCCCTAGGTAGCTTCAGGAAGGGGGCTGATCACAGGAAAGACACGGCACAATTAGAGGGTTGGTAGTTTCAGCCCCACCCCCAAAGTTGATCACCAGTGGCCAGTGATTTAATCAATAATGCCTACGTGATGAAACTTCCATAAAAACCCAAAAGGACAGAGTTTGGAGAACTTCCAGATAGGCAAACATGTGAAGGCTCACAGAGGGCATGGAAACTGCACTCCCCTTATGCATCTCTTCATCTGCATCCTTTGTAATATCCTTTAAGTATCCTCTCTCAAAAAGTAGGTCATGACTTTCAAATGTGAGGATGCAACAAGATAGGTCACTTTGGGTTATACTAAAAAAGAACATAAAAATGTTGATGATACTTACTTGTTCCAGCTCGAGGGGAATGAGAAGCATCTGGAACCGGAGAATGTAGTGAGGGGTTGGCTGGTGACATTCCAGGCATGCGTGCTGCTGGTGAGGGGCCAGACACTTGAGGAGATCCTGGCCAGTTCCCTGCTCGTCCACTTGGTGACACCATAGTGTATGGGGAACTAGGGTCAAGAGTTCCTATAAAAAAGGTAAACAAATGATTCTCAAAACCTATATTTTAATAACTGAAAATTATTTGACAGCATTCAAATCTTTACACAGTAATAATTTTATTTTTTCTTCCAATAAGATGTTTCACTGAAGCTTGATGTGTGTTAACATGTCATGCCTGAATCTCTATTTTGTGTAAGGTACTTTTTAACATGATACAAAAATTAGAAAAATATAAAGCTTGAGAGAGGATAAAATTTACCTTCACACAAGCTTCAATGTATGTAATATGTAACAATGTATGCTACTATATGCATTAAAATATTAAGCAAACAATCTCAGAGTTCCTTTAAAGGCAGAAATATTATATTTTTAAACCAACTTTGACAAACCATATTTTCATTCTACTCTAAGTAGAATGAGGAGAAGGAAATTTTCCATATTCTTTATTTAGACTACGTTGACTAAGAAATGAACCAAGACTCAAGTTTTGAAAGCAGTGACTTCCTGAACAATTTGATATTTAAATTTCACCCTCCATTGGTATCTACGAAGATATTCAAAAATAAAAAATAAATAAATTTCATCCTCCAGATACCTTCAACATATTATTTATATCCCTCTGTAACCAAATGACAAACTGAAAAAATACTTTTACCATGTATATGTCAGAGAGTAAATGGTCTTTACTTAGGTCTTACAAATGGGCAAGAAAAAACACAAGAACATAGGCAAAGCATATATAACTGGGAGGTATAAAATAAGAAACACCAAAGACCGGCTAGGCACGGTGGCTCACACTTGTAATCCCAGCACTTTGGAAGGCTGAGGTGGGTGGATTGCTTGAGTCCAGGAGTTCGAGACCAGCCTGGGCAACACGGCAAAACCCCATCTCTACAAAAAAATACAAAAACTAGCCAGGCGTGGTTGTGCACATCTGTAGTCCCAGCTACTTTGCTGGGGAGGAGGTTGAGGCAGGAGGATCACTTGAACTTGAGAAGCCGAGGTTGCAGTGCACTGAGACTGCACCACTGCACTCCAGCCTGGGTAACAGAGTGAGACTCTGTCTCAAAAAAAACAAAACAAAACAAAAAAACCAAAGACCAACCAAAAAAGGTTCAATTTTCTTCACTAATAAAGAAATACATTAAACAGTAAGATACCATTTTTCACCTATGAAAATGTCCAAGGTCTTTAAAATATGTAATACTCCCTGGCGATGATGCAGGATAACAGACATTCTTGTATGATGGCATGGGAAATGGTACAGCCTTTCAGATGAGCAGTTATATGTTTCGAAAGCTTTAGAATTTGTCAAATCCCTTGATACAACAATTCCACTTCTGGAACTTACTTAAGGAAATAATCATGGATATGAGCACAGATGGCACCATTTTTAATTGTGAAAAAATGGAAACATTCTAAACATGTAACAATAGGAGAGCAGTTAAGTCATGGTATGCCCAGACAAGCGGATATTATTACACCATATGGTATGATGATGTGGAGTTTTTAATGACGGAAATGTTCCCACAAATATTAATAGTAAAAACTAAAATCCCAGATGCTACACAGCTTAAAAACTGAGGAACCTGTTTATGTTCTATGGTATCATACTCATGATATATTAAGTGAAAAAAGGCACTGAACACTGTAAAGTATGCTGTTGTGTGTGTAAAGGAGAGGGGAAAGAACACTTGCATGTATTTGCTTGTGTATGCATAAAACAGCTCTGCAAGAATATCTACATGTTTCTGGGAAGAGGAACTAGGTGGTTAGTGGAATAAAAAGGAAACCTTTCATTGACTACTTGTTCTATTTTTTATCTAGTTGAATCAATTCAAAATAAAATTTTGAGTTCAAAAGTTAAAAAATTCAAGTCTCAAAACAATTCATATGTTAGGGTACCCATTGTTGGGGGGCAAGGGCAGGTATTTGAGGGGGGAGACAAGCAGCTTGGTAGACAGCAAGTGAGAATAACAGAAACGTGAGAGGGCAGGCAAGCAGGGCATGTGTGACAGGAAGGGCAAGGCAGAGCAACGGAGACAGCAAGGGAGAGTCCAAGGCAGAGACAAACTCACTGGTCGTTACCTCTGTGTGGTGGGATTAGATAAATTTGATTTTCTTTTTGCTTGAGCAATATTTTTGCTACTTCCTCAATAAACAAGTATTAATTTTGCAATGAAAAAATTTACTCAACAAAAATTATTTTCACATCAAGCTCTTATGCTATATCGATTTCCATGTATGGACTCACCATGTGGACTAGCAAAACTGGCCCCTGGTCCTATTGAGATTCCATGCGAGGATGGGGGAGGAGTTGGAACAAATGACGCTGGTGATGGGGCTCTCAAAGCCCCACTGGGGGAGCTGGCAGCATGCAGATTTCCTAATAAAGGAAAATAATTATAGATAATCTTGCAGGACACATTTTATGTCCTGTCCAAGGACCCCAAGTTAAAAATCTCCCTATAAATTAAAGAAACAAGTAGTATAGCTCCCATATATATAACACAGAGAAAAACTGGCACGATTTCATTATTGAAAGAGACTATTCAATTCCATGCGCCCAAATTCTAGCTCTTATATTGACTGATTAAAAAAAAAAATCCGGTGTACTTTTTATTCAGTTCCTCATTCATTCAACAAGAAGGCCTGAATGCCAACTTCATGCCAAGCACTGTTTCAGGCATTGGGGATGCAGCAGTTAACAAAAGAGACAAAAATTCCTGCCCTCACAAAGCTTATATTCTAATAGAATGAGAAAGACAAGTATCTGTCAGGTAAGTGCTATGGAAAAAAACACAACAGGGTAAGGGGACAAGATTGTGTAGTGAAGGAGGTGGGTGTTGTTCCTTATATACAGCAATCAGAAAAGACCTCTCTAAGGAAGGGGGCATGTGAGCTGAGACGTGAAGAAAGTGAAGGATAAGGCATGAGGATACCCAGGGGATGAGATATTCCAGCCAAACAGAGAGCTAGTGCAAATGCCCCAAAGGTGGAAGCAGTTATCAGGGAGGAAGCCGGTGTGGCAAGAACAGAGTGAACGAGGGGGGCAGTGGGAAGAGAGGACACCAGAGAGGTTGGAGGAAGAGGGGTGGGTCCCAGATCACATGGGGACTTGTGGGCCACTCTAAGAACTTAGGGTTTACCCTGAATGAGTGGGAATCCAATGCAGAGTTTGGAGCGGAAATCATGGACGAACTTCTGTCCCAGAAGGATCATTCTAGCTGCTGTGGGACAGACTATAGAGCAAGGGTAGGGGTAGGGACAGGAAAACCAGTTAGAAACAACTGCAATAATTCAGGTGAGAGAGGACTAGTGGCTTGGTAAAGGTGACAGACTATGGTAGTGAAAAGTGGTTGGATTCTGGGTAAATTCTGAAAATCAAGCTGATAGTATTTGGTAAATGACCGAACATGGGTATGAAAGAGACGTCCAGCATGACTCGAAGAGCTTCGGCCCAAGTAGCAGGAAGGAAGGGCCTGCCATTTACTGAGCTGGGGTGTCTGTGGGAAGAGGAGCACTGGGGCAGTGAAGAGATCCAGAGTTTAGTTTTGGCCATGCTGAGTTGCAGATATCTACCAGACATTACATGGAAATGATGCCGAATAGACAGCTAGAAAATACAATACTAAGGCTGGGTGTGGTGGCTCACGCCTGTAATCCCAGCACTTTGGGAGGGCGAAGTGGGCGGTTCACCTGAGGTCAGGAGTTTGAGACTAGCCTGGCCAACATGGCAAAACCCCGTCTCTACTAAAAATACAAACATTAGCCAGGCACAGTGGCATGTGCCTGTAATCCCAGCTACTCAGGAGGCTGAGGCAGGAGAATCACTTGAACCCAGAAGGCGGAGGTTGCAGCAAGCTGAGATCACGCCATGGCACTCCAGCCTGTACGACAGAGCAAGACTCTGTCTCCAAAAAAAAAAAAAAAAAAAAAATCAAAGAAAAAAGAAAATACAATACTAGACTTATGGAGAGACTGAGATTGGAGATATAAAAAACAGTGAAACGTTAACTTATTTAAAGGCACAGGACTAGTTTTAATTTAGGATTATGAAAGTGTGAACTATGGCTACCAAAACTATGAATAAATGCAACATTTAAGCACTTGCTACATTATCATAATTACCTTTAATATCAGCATGTTTCAAATTCTCTACTATAGCAGTCCCCGCCTTATCCACAGGGGATAGGTTCCAAGACCCCCAGTGGATGCCTGAAACCTCAGATAGTATTGAAACCTGTTTTTTTCCTATACACATATATGATAAAGTTTAATTCACAAATTAAGCACAGTAAAAAATTAACATTAACAGTAAAATAGAACACTCTTAGCAGTAGATTGTAATAAAAGTTATGTGAATATGGTATCTCTCTGTCTCTAAATATCTTATTGTACTATACTTGCCCATTTTTGGTCCTCAGTTGACCTCAGGCCAACTAAAACCTTGGAGAGCAATAAGAGGGGGGACTGTACTATGTGAGATAATTTCATATTTTTGTGTTCTGTAATACCTAAAGCACTGTCTTACTTTCAATCAGTATGTTGATCAACTTGACTAACCTTTAAGTGTTTATGTTTACTTATTTAGCTGTATGATCTGGACAAGTGACCTAACTTCCCCATGTCTCAGTTTTCCTCCATAAAATGTGAATAATAATAGGACCTACACCACAGGTTTGCTGTGAGGATTAAACGGGTAAAGTGCTTAGAATAGGGCTTGGCACATAGTAAGCACTATATGCTTGTCTACCACTATTATAATTATTTCAAAATATTTTTCCCTTCCTACTATATAAAAACAATGTCAACTCCTATCCTAGAAACACACTCCCCTGGGGTTCTACAATCCTGTTTCTCCTGTTTTGTCTACTTCCTCCCTAGCTGCTACTTCCCCACTGACCACTGGTATTCCTAGGGGTGGACTCAACCACCCACTTGGGCTTCAATGACCCTAGACATGACAACAACAACTTCCAAGTCTTCATCTGTGGTCCAACCATCTCTGATGAGCCATAGGCTCATACAGCCAACTGCCTACTGGACATCTTGACTTAGTAATCTCTGGGGACTTGCAAAATCAACAGGTTCAAGAGAACTCCCCCCTCCTTTCTCTGTGAAATCTGCCCGTCCACCACTCGTCACTTTCAGTTGTACAAATTTAACCCAGACTAAAATCCAACAATGGCTTCCTATTTACCCATACAATAAAGGCCAAAATTGTTAACAGCGCCCTGTCTCTCCATACACCAGCCATTTGGAAGAGTCTACCATCTTCTGGAAGTTCAGACTCCACACACCCTGCACAGTCTGCCTGAGATATCCTCCTTGTCCATGTCCCTGCACCTGGGTAACTCTTGACCTTTCAAGTCTCAGCTTAACCAGTGTCGAAAGGAGGGAGGCAAACAACGCATCCTCAAGAAAGAAACAATCGAACCCCCCTTATCGAATGCTCTTTCAGAAGCCCAAGTGACCCTTTTTGTAACACTCATCATACTTGGCATTACAGATGAAGACTGTTTATCTAGGAATCTAAGCAGAGGAAGCACAACCCACCCCCCAAATAAAAGTGAATTTAAAGATTTTTAAAATGAGGATCTATTTTTTTAAAACGACACCACTGAAGTAATGTGAAGAGCAATATGAGTGGCTAAGTGTGAGACATGGTGGGGGTGGGATCTGCCAGGGTGTGAGTGCCTAGGCAGTGTGGGATGTCGAGCAGCCCAATCTGGGCAACAAGACAGATTACAATGGACTGGTCAAAGAGGCATTTGTCATGTACCACGCCCCAGGCTAAACACTTTATGTGAACTATTTCATTCGATTCTCACAACATCTCTATGGAAAAGGTTTTATATTATTCTCATTTTACAAATGGAATTAGCTATTGAATAAGTGATGTCACTACATCTCCCACCTGCAGATTAACAGATTCTCTGGTCAATACAAATTTCTCATATATAGACACACATATACATATCTATAAGAATTTTTGTATTTTATAAAGGAGAGGCCGGGCGCGGTGGCTCACGCCTGTAATCCCAGCACTTTGGGAGGCCGAGGCGGGTGGATCATGAGGTCAGGAGATCGAGACCATCCTGGCTAACAAGGTGAAACCCCGTCTCTACTAAAAATACAAAAAATTAGCCGGGCGCGGTAGCGGGCGCCTGTAGTCCCAGCTACTCGGGAGGCTGAGGCAGGAGAATGGCGTGAACCCGGGAAGCGGAGCTTGCAGTGAGCCGAGATTGCGCCACTGCAGTCCACAGTCCGGCCTGGGCGACAGAGCGAGACTCTGTCTCAAAAAAAAAAAAAAATAAAAAAAATAAAGGAGAACAGTATGCACTGCAAATTCTGCTTTTCAAAGTGAAAACTTAAAAGCAGATGTATTTGTTGGGTTTGCTACTTAAAAAATTAACGTAGTTTTGTTTGCCCTGTTTTCTGATAAGCCCGAATGCCTTCAATTGGTACAAAACTACTTAATGTATTCTTTAGTTCAGTGGACTGATATATTTACACTAGATAAAAGGTTTTATTACACATGCTTTTAAAAATCATTTAATTTCTTATATTTTACAACCTATATTACATATCACATCTTTTATGCTAAAACTTTCTTTGAAAAAAACATCATTATGCTCTGGAAATATTACTAGGACCTAGTAGGCAACGGGTCATTCTCCCCAATAAATCTGATGACCTAGCTTCCTCGCTAGATGATAAGCTCAAGAGCAGGGCTGGTATCCGGTTCACTGCTAAATCTTCAGCACCAGGCAGCATTTGGCACAGAGTAAGTGCTCAAGAGATACCACTGAATCATTCAGTTAAAAGCAAAAATTTGGCATTCTCAAGCACTTTTACGGTGCACTTCATAGGGCTGCCAACAAAGCCATTATGTCTGGACAAGCAGACTATGCACTGCCTAACTCTGGAGCTTGGGGGCAGGCCACCCTTCACCTATTCCGTGGCTTAGCAAACTTTTTCTGTAAAGGGCTGTCGTAGTGGGAAAGCAGCCATAGACATTATATAAACAAGTGTGGCTTCATTCCAATGAAACTTTATTTACAAAAACAGGTGACAGGCAGGATTTGGCTCATAGGCCTTAGAGTCTGTCAACCTGTAACATAGATCATGTTGTGATTAGCACCCCCTGGAGTTGTGCTGTGAGTCTGGCTCTGGGTGACATTAATTTAAACCTTTTAAAGTGCTCCCAAGCCTGGACACAGATTTCACAAACCTTCCATAATAAATGAGTGACAACTATCTAGCCATAGACTAGAAAGGGAATTCTCTCTGAAGCCTGAGACTAGATGCACAGTGCTTCTCAATGTGGGGTGTGTGTGTGTATTTTGGATTTGAAAGTTGAACATGACAAGAGAATAAGTAATATCTTACCTGGAGACTGTGTGTGCATCATTGAGGGAGACTGATTGACTGTGCTATGATAAGATGTAGGGGGTGAAGTAAGAGGATAAGCACCTGATGTTCCTGGCTGCTTTGGAAATGGCTGAAAAGAAGAAAATTAAATGTTGGTAAAATGGCCAACCGCACGGAGCATAAGAGTGTGGCTTTCACTAATTATAGCTACAGTGTTAATATTTACACACTTTGCTGGTTACCAAATAGGAAACATGAGATATAAAAGTGTGCAAAATAAATACACATCACCAGCACAAGTCTTTATAAACCCCGACTTTCGAAATGTTTTAAAATAGCAACATCCTCTTTCCCGATCTTGCAATGCTTTCTATCCCTCAAGATGTTTTTTGCTCATTTTCTATCTAGCATATAACCGATTTATCTCTATTATTTATCTACCATTTCATTGATTCTAAGACATTTTCCCCCCACACTTTAATATCTCTAAAATCAGGGTGTGTCTTTCCATTTATGGGATGTTAGTTTAACTGGCAGTGTTTTTTCTTTCTGAGCGGTAGATAAAAACTGATGCATCTTACATTTGGTGGCATTTAGTATCAATGAAATATGGTAGCTCAGCCTGACCTTTACTCATCTTTATCACTATCACAAGGTAGTTGTAACATTTTACATATTTTCTAGTGGCAAACGAGAGTTTCAGTTGTTCCTAATATCAAATGTTGGAAATAATTATCAATTTTTTTCTTAAAACCATTTTTGTGGGTGTGGAGTGTTATCTCATTGTAGCTTTAATTTGTATTTCTGTGATGGCAAATAATGTTTGAATACCTTTTCGGTGCTTATTGGCCACTTGGACATCCTATTATGTGAAATGACTTGAATCTTTTACCTACTTTTAAAACCAGATTGTCTACTTTTTTTTTTTATTGATTCTTTCTAAGCTATCTTAAAGAAATTATAGAATTCAGGCTAACTCATAAGGTACAAAATCATATATTTGCCCATACTGTTTTATCCAATAATGCAGAATGTACCTTTATGTTTGGAGATGTAAGCCATACTAACTTGTTAATTAAAACTATGATATTCATAAGCTTTTCTATTTTCTTCCTTTCCTTTCTCATAGACTAGCTTATGCACTAAAACTGCATTTTATATAAAAGAAGAAAAGCTACCTGCTAACATCAAGTAAAATGTACATGAATCCCTTTATGAACATTTTTTTCTCACAACTGTCTTATCAGGGAGACAAATAGTTTACAAATAGAAGCATAGCACAGATATCTGATAAACAGAAAAAAACTGAAAACTGAAACTGCTCAATCAAAGGCTCAATCTTTAGGAGGTACATAAAGCCAAAGCCACCAACTAAAGACATTTAACCATGGCAGATGAATATTCTTTTAAAAGGATTCTGACTTGGTATTAAGTGTCAAACTTTTTAACTTAAAAACAAACAAACAAAAAAGCTCTACCTACAGGTTGAATAGAGAGCAAGAAAAGGCAGAAAATTCCTCAAGTTTTCCCAAAGTGACAAATCATTCTAACTTTTCTAGAATATCCTAACCTTTGGCCAATCTACCCACTTCTAATCCTTCTGCCTTAGCCTGCAACTATTTTCCTACTTAGAAATCTCATGTTCAGTATGAAATGTTACTGGGTGTATATTGCTCTTAGCCAAATCAGAATATCTAATAAACTAGCGCTGCAGGCTCTCACTGTGTCAAATTATGATTTTTTTCAGTAACAAAAGCACTTTGGCAGGCCAAGGCGGGCAGATTACCTGAGGTCGGGAGTTCGAGATCAGCCTGACCAACATGGAGAAACCCCCTCTCTACTAAAAATACAAAATTAGCCAGGCATGGTGATGCATGCCTGTAGTCCCAGCTACTCAGGAGGCTGAGGCAGAAGAATCACTTGAACCTGGGAGGCGGAGGCTGTGGTGAGCTGAGATCACGCCATTGCACTCCAGCCTGGGCAACAAGAGCGAAACTCCATCTCAAAAAAAAAAAAAAAAATCATTATAGAGGGGCCAATGAACAACTTATTTTGGGAGAGGGAGAGAATAATGGACCACATTCTCCCTCCATTCCCCCTATAACATTGGCCCTGCTACGGCCATGGTCATCAGCCAGCCCAACTCAGTTACTTCTTTCCCCCAAAGGATGTGGCTCATCCCCTGCTCCATATCAGGTACAGGAAAGATTGAAAATGCAAGAAAGTGGCTTCCACAAGAAAAAAGCTGCTCTGATATCCGCTGGGCCAAGGTACTTCTCTCCCATGGTGGCCCAGCATCTTCAAAGGGCTAGTATCTCATCTGAGTCAATGTCTGTCACAAGAGCCCCGCACCTCGGCTACACAGAGACATTCGCATAGGCCTTTACTGAGCTTCCCTGTTCTACATGAAGGCCAAGAAGGGAAACAGTGACAAGGCAAGTAACCCTAAATAGCTGCCAGGAACAATACAGCTTCCACAAAACCCTCCTTCTAGTAAGAATCTAGTACTTTTTCAAAGATTTAAGCACTGGAAAGTTGTAGTCACTAAGTAGCCAGACCAGAAGCTAAGCAATAAAATAAGCTAAGAGGATTCTCTGCACAATGCTGGTTTCAAGCAATGTTATTCATGAAAGCTTCTGGATGAGAAGCAGTGAGCTATTTCGTAAACCAAAACTAAAGGATGTGCCAAAGAGCCTTGCCTACAGGCTGTGTGCTCATATACAACTAAAAATGAAGCCCCTGAAGACTCCGGCCCAGAGTCTACAGCCCCATTGAGGATTTTCCAGACTAGGGAGTCACAAAGGACTGTTGAAGGGCTAAACAATCACTGTTCACCTTCTATTTCAGGAGGGTCAGTGAGAGAACAATGGCTAGCCTAGGGGCCTGTTCAACTCTCAGACATGTGAAGGTGACAGGACAGAACTGAAAGCTCTTATGGTTCTATAATGTGGCTTATCCAAATGGTCTTGAGGACAGAACCCTGAAAATTTGTCCACCTGTTCTCTGTAGGAGTCCCTACTGAACATCGCTAGACATTTAGTCTACTGTGCTCTACTTTAATAGCATCTGTCCTTCAAGACAAGGTAAGGAAACTCTCTCAAAGATCTCAGATCCTGCGGATGGTATTTCCATCTCTGGAATCATATAACATCATTTTAAGTGTGTGAATGACCTGAGATTAATGCTGTTTCCAACACTATTCATTTCTTGTCACTGGAAGTCTCCTCGCCTCCTTCTGTAACTCTTTATTTCATAAGTATTTCCTGGGCATCTCAGGCCCACCAAGGACCTCCTTGTCTTTCAATGAAGTCTTGACACCTATAGAACCTGTGAAGTTACAGAAATGTGATACCACTTGGAATTCTGGCTAGATATTACCTGTTGCTGGGGTGGTGGCTGGAGCTGCGATATTAAAGAATCCATCATATCTCCTCCTATAGGAGAAGGGGGATTATCGTCCTCATTTACAGACCTTCTTCGAGCATCCTGATTGCTGTCAACAAACATATTCAGGAACGTCTACGGATATAAACAGGTAAAATTTAGATTATTTTACCTAACATTATTAGTAAAATATTTTAAATTATTTAGAATATTTAAACAGAAACACAGTATGTTGATCCTTGAAGATCGTTACTAGGACAACCTAGAAGAAATATTGTTAATTTTGAAGCGGGAAACTGAGGAAAACAGTTAACAAAAACAGCATCTAAAAAAAGTCATATTGACTAAGAAATATTGTGTGAGCAAAAAGTTGAAGAAAGAAGTACATCCTGGCACCTCTTACCATCAGATCATAATATTTTCTTATTAACTTCTAATCCAGAAATGGGGGTAAAAAATGAAAAGCATATTGGCCATAACTTCAATGACTTGGAAAATTTCCCAGCTAGTGAGCCATCTCACTTTTTAAACTAGAAAATATGAAAGGAAAACTGAGTAAGAAACGATCCAATTTTTTCCTTTTTTATATTATATAATTTAATCTTGAACCATTAAGAGTGGGACAGCCTTGTTTTACATATTGTCAAAACTGAGCAAAGCTATCAGAGTTTGTGTTTCAAGCACAGATTCTCTTTAACACTCCTCACATCCCCAGTATTCGAATATACACATATTTGAATCATAAGCTTATCAGAATCACTAGAGAGCTATTAATAGTCCATAGTGGGCTGAGCATGGTGGCTCATGCCTATAATCGCAGCACTTTGGGAGGCCAAGATGGGAGGATCCCTTGCGAGACCAACCTGGGCAATAATGGCAAAACCTCATCTCTACAAAAAATAGAAAAATCAGCCAGGCATGGTGGTGCACACCTGTGGATCCAGCTACTAGGGAGGCTAAGATGGGAGGACTGCTTGAGCCCGGGAAGTTGAGGCTGCAGTGAGCCGTGATCCCACCACTGCGCTCCAGCCTGGGCGACAGAGTGAGACCCTGTCTCAAAAAAGAAGTCTACAGTCTACTTTTAATTAAAGATGATGGGCTCACAACACACATTGCATTCTTTCCCCACTAAACTACTGGAAAGAATTTTTTGAAGCAATAAGTAACAAAGACAAAAAGAATAGGAGAAGAGAAGAAACAGCAATACATCCGGGAGGCTGCAAAGCAGATGGCTGAGTAGCAACTAGAACCATCCAATGTGAGAAAGTTGTATCCTAAGTAAGCTGTGGGAAAAGCCAAGAAGCAAGCTATTTCCATCCAGATCCCTGAGATACTTTGGAACTGGCAGTATCAGGCACTGATATGGTTTGGCTCTGTGTCCCCACCCGAATCTCATCTTGAATTGTAATCGAATTGTAATCCCCGTGTTGAGAGAGGGACCGATTGATTGGATTATGGGGACAGTTCCCCCCATGCTGTTGTGATAGTGAGTTCTCACCAGATCTGATGGTTTTATAAGTAGCAGTTTCCCCTGCTCTCACGCTTCTCCCCTGCAGCCATGTAAGGCGTGCTTGCTTCCCCTTTACCTTCCACCACGATTGTAAATTTCCTGAGGCCTCCTAGCCGTTCTTTCTGTTAAGCTCGTGGAACTGTGAGTCAATTAAACCTCTTTCCTTTATAAATTACCCAGTCTTGGGTAGTATCTTTACAGCAATGTGAAAACAGACTAATATGGGTACCTTTGGAAGTGGGGATAAAAGTGGGACTAATAACAGAAGGACTAAGTGAAAGTCTAAGAGACACTTAGACCCTCCCAGATCCTCTGCTATTCTCACTGAGCTCGGTTATCTCTTCCACCATGGAGGAGGATCTCTGACTTGAGGGATGCCAAAGACCAACTCAGAGAAGGACTACTATATAAAAAATGGGGATCAAAGTCTACATAAATTTGAGAATACTCGTTTTTTCATTTGACTTTCCCAATATTGAAAGCAAGATGCATACCATCTATGCAGAAGATTTGGATACTCCTGTCTTGGTACTCACACCAGCCCAACAAAAAGACCTAAAGCTACTGATATCGGGAGTTTCCCAAAGAAATGGCCCAAGGAGATCATCCTGCAATGAAGACCACAGTCAATAAGTCTTACCTTTAAATAAGAGCAGAGAGTTAAGAATCGCTTAACATTTGAGGAAAGACACTAATATAAAAGAAATCAATACCACACCCCCCCACACACAAAAGCAAGGTGAATAAAATAGAGATTATGTAGGATAAAAAGAAAAAGTAATGTTGCCATATAATAGAATGTTTAAAATAAACATTTAGAAACAAAAAAAACCTTTTGAAAAAATTTTTTAAAGAATGGCCAAAATAAAATATTGGTAGAAATAAAAAATAGAGGGATTAGAGGAAAAAAGTGAGGTATCTCCCAGAAAAAAGAGACAAAAAAACAAAAGAAATAAGAAAATTGGAGGACAAGTCCACAATGCCTAGCATCAGAACATTAGGAGTACTCGAACGAGCTAACAGAGAAAACAATGGAGATGAACCAAGAAATAGTGCAAGGAAATTTCCCAAAGCAAAAGGATATTAAGTTTTCAGACAGAAAGAGCCCACTCAAGTCACATAATGTTCAACAGTGTGAACTCATTACACATCTCAATAGTCACAATGGAAGCCAGGAGACAATGAAGTAGTACCTTCAAAATTTTTACAGACAATGATTGCAACCTAGAGTTCTTTATCTAGCCACTTCAGTTAGATGAGGGTAAACTAAAGATGCTTTCAGGCATATGTGATTTCAAATTAATTCCCCACCCCCCATGTACCTTCTCCCAGTAATCAAAACAATGAAGTAAACCAAGAAAAAAAACAAGGCGCCCACCACACAAGGCATGCAATGTGCAACATAAAAGAGAAATGAAGGAATCTCCCCTTTCATCCTTTTGCAGATTCTTAAGTGAACACTGTGTAGAAAGCCCAGACTGCTATCAGTCCAAATTGGAGCAGGTCAGAGGCCTATTGAAGAGATTTCTTCAAGATGAAATCAATAAGTTATCTTGATATGTTTGAACATACTAAAAGGAGTTACATAACTAGGAGAAGAGTTTAAGGTTAATTAGTGATAGGTACTACAGAGAAAGCGAAACCAAAAAAGACCCAATTAATAATTCCCAATAAAATAAAATGTTGAGCAAGACAGGAAAAATAATCATAGTAAGCTTGGTTGCAGCAGCGCTTACATATTCATAACTGCACAAATGCTGAAAAATAATCTAATCAAAATTGCTACCTAACCATGTTACAAAGATAGGAGGAAAGACAAATGTGTTTATGCACTGAGAGCAGCCTGGAAGGGGGAAAGCACACATAAAAAAAAATTTAATAAGAATTAAAGCCTGGGCAACAAGAAGAAACCCCATCTCTACAAAAAATACAAAAATTATCCGGGTGTGGTCCCAACTACTGGGGACGCTGAGGTGGGAGGATGGATTTAGCCCTGGTGGTTGAGGCTGCAGTGAGCCATGATCATGCCACTGCACTCCAGCCAGGAGGACAGAACGAGACCCTGTCTCCAAAAAAAGAAAAGAAAAACAGAAAAAAAAAATAGAAAAAAGAATACTCATCTTCCATTGTGAGAATCAGATAATGCCCTCAACCAAAAAGTAAACAAATAGCAATGTAGGCATTCTACTTAGAGATAAAGATATAAATACCAAGAGAATCAGCTACATAAGAACTGAAAACAAGGCATCTGGGGAGCAAGAAAATGACAAGAGTGGGTTGCAGGAGACTATTTTTCAAATCAAGCCTTTTAGATTTATTTGACTCTAGACTAAAAACACATACAACTGAGCTATCACATCAGTTAACCACTCTGGCAGTTGTGGTCCAGGACCTTACATTTTTAAAAAGCATCAGGCCAGGCACAGGTTACTGTGATTCTAGCACTTTGGGAGGGTCCCAGGACCTTACATTTTTTAAATGCATCAGGCCAGGCACAGATTACATCACGCCTGTAATCCCAGCACTTTGGGAGGCTGAGGCAGGTGGATCACCTGAGGTCAGGAGTTCAAGACCAGCCAGGCCAACATAGTGAAACCCCATCTCTACTAAAAATACAAAAATTAGCCAGGTGTGGTGGTGCATGCCTATAATCTCAGCTACTGGGGAGGCTGAGGCAGGAGAGGCACTTGAACCCACATGGCTGAAGTTGCAGTGAGCCAAGATTGTGCCGCTGCACTCCAGCCTGGGTGACAGAGTGAGACTCTGTCTCATAAATAAATAAGCATCACAGTAGAATTGATGACCAAACCTTTTCAAAAATCAATGATAAAAACTACTTTTAAAGTTCCAAAGACCAAACACAAATTGTTTTTAGTATCTTCACCCTACTGATCAGAAGGTAAGAATATAAAGAAAAATACTTTTAATCATCTCATACACATAAGCACAACACTTTATCAGAACTTCTAGCTCCTTCAGAATGACGTTATACAGATGATGAGTTAACACTGCTACTTACTAAATTTAAACAGGAATTTGTTGCTTTTCCCCATTATTTCCCCCTCAAAGAAACTATTTTAGAGATAATTTTTATGTTTACTCATGTTATAACACTAAAGTCTGTTACCTTTAGTCCTGGTGCAGGATAGAAACCTTCAACTAGTTTGCTGTTATCAAAAAGACTATAGGCACCATCCCGTATTGCCACAACACCTCGACTCCGGCAGTATATATCAATGCAATACATGTTCCTGAAGGCCAGTCTGATGTGGGTGGACGACTGTGGCAGAATGGAGAAGCACTGGTAGGCAGTATTGGTTCTCTGGGTCAAGCCCAACATCGGCACAGTGGGGAGTTTGTTGATGGCATTTAATGGAGCCTGAGTATCAAACAGTACCTATAAGGAACAAACACAGTGAGAGCAGCCAGTTTCTGTACAAATGTTAAAACCTCAGAATTTTCAGTGTATAACTGTCAAAAATGAAACAACGTCCTTCTGGCACATTCCATAAAACTTCCCCTTGAAGAGAATGCAAACTAGATCACTGGGTCCACACTGAATCAAAGAAAATTCTCAAAGAAGTGTTCAAGATATAAAAGACAAAATTATCAGCCTTAGTCATTAAAGACAAGTCCCCATGATCTTTTGAAGAGTTTTGCCTGAGACACTAAATGCTGTTTTTTGTTTGTTTGTTTTTTGAGACAGGGTCTCATTCCGACACCCAGGCTGGAGTACAGTGGCACAATCACCGCTCACTGCAGCCTTGACCTCCCCAGGCTCAGGTGATCCTCCCACTTCAGCCTCCCAAGTAGCTGGGACTACAGGCGTGCATCGCCACAACTGACTAATTTTTGTATTTTTGTAGAGACAGGGTTTTGCCACATTGCCCAAGCTGGTCTTGAACTCCTGAGCACAAGCAATCCTTCCGCCTCGGCCTCCCAAAGGGTTGGGATTACAGGTGTGAACCAGCACGGCTGGCATACTAAGTCTTATTTTTAGACAGAAAATAAACTTAATTACCTGTAATAACTGAACCACATTTGGTGTTTTGTTGAACATTTCTTGAAGCTGATGGAGAATGGTATTGTGACAGTTACTGCAACCTGAGTTTGGGCCAACAGTTCCCAAAGAAATGTGGAATTTTTGATGGATCGAATTCCATTGGATACTAATCTAAATAAAAAAGATTACATGTTTCAGAAACTGAGAAAGTAACAGATTCAAGTAGGAGAAAAAAAAAATGTTAAAAGTAAGGCAAAACGCCAAAAATCTAAATGGAATTTTTTTTTGGAAAACAAGCAATAAAATAAGACTGGATTCGAACTCCAGATGTGCTGTTAATATTGAACAGTACACTCCCTGACCATGTGTTAGTCCTCTTTTACTAAATAAAACAGAAAGGCGCTAAAACAACTTTATTAAACTTTATTTGAAAATTATCATTAGTGTTTCTTTTCGTTTTTCTCTTGAACTGAAGAAGAGTCACACTTTTGGTACCATCAACTAAGGAGCACTGTCATAAAGGGGAAGGGCGCCACTCTGGACACAGATACACTTGGTTAACAGATTTTAAAAAGCTCAAGTAACCTGACATTACTTGACGTAGAAGTCTAGAGAGAAACCAGCTGGCTGCATTTTTATACTACATTTCTAGGACTTTACATATGAGGTGGGAAAAAAAATAAAGAACTATAGATTACAGGAAATACTTCAAGATTAAGTTAAGATGAAATAATGTTAACATTCATGTGACCAAAAGCAAAAACATACCATATTGTTATAACCACTCATACACAATTTTCCTTACAATAATCACATTGCCAAGCAAATCTGTAATCAGTGAAGAAAAAAATACAAACACCATCAGTACATTACCTTGTCCAAATTGCTTCAAGATTATATACCCCATCATAGGGTATTATTTTTGTTTTCAATTTTAAAGAGTTAAGCATTATAGTATACTATATTTATAGCCACAAAGCATTTAAAATTTACCATTTTATCCCTAACTTTTACTTGAGCTCTTACTTATATTAAGGTAATTTTCATGTTTTTTTAATTCTTGATTTTTAAGATTCATAAGACAGGAACTTCAGCATTTTAATCAGACTTACTGAGCTTCCCTTGGTGGTTCCATAACACAAGATAAGTTTTCGGTAATTATAAACACGAACTTCTGAGAAAATATTTAGATGAGCAGGTATGTCTAAACAGAAGGAAACAAAAAGGAGATTAATATTATACATGTAAAATTTTAAAATATAAATTTGAGTAACAGGGCATTTTGGCAATATTATATGCCCAGACAGGTCTCTAGTTAAGTAATTTAGTTTTTTAAAAAAAGCAACAGCACAAACAGATAATATGCTTCCGTTTCTACAAAAGGGGGCAAGGGTAGGTGAGATATACTGAAGCAGTCTAGCATAGTGGTTAGAGGGTTCCAATTCCAACTCTGCCACTCACTAGCTATGGGACTTTATGCAAAGTTCTTAGTCTCTGCAACTTGTTTTCTTCTGTAAAATGAGGAATAATACCTACCCTCATGATTGTGATTGTGAAGATTGTGAAAACTCATTTGTTAACACAAGCAAACTGTTTATAATATTGTATGCCACACAGTAAATAAGCACTATTATTATGATATGGTATACCTGTGTGTAAAATTTTTGCAAACAAAAGAAACTTAACAGTGGTTGTCTTTAGGGGAAGGAAATTGAAGTCTGAAGTGAAAGGAATACTTAAGTTTTATTAGATATACTTTGATTTTTTTGCTTGGAACACTGTGCATGTTTCACTTCAGTTAAAAAAAGGGTGAGGGCTTTTTTTTTTTAATTTATTTAAAAAGGAGATTATCTCCACACGTACCTGGTAGAGAACGTGCAAATTCCAACACACACTCATATAATCGTGCAATGCTATTCCAGTCATTAAGAAACATTTCAACCACCTTTCTACCACCAACAGGCTCAGACAACAGATTTTCATATGTCAGGTAAACGTGCCGGGATGGTCCTACAGGATTAAAAGAGAATATTAATAGTAATCGATACCAAAAAAATCCAGAAATATGCAAAGACAAAATGTGTGAAACATCTCACCTTGCTCCCTAGTAGAAGTGCCATTAAGTGGACAATTTGCAAACACTAACTCTGCTACCCAAGTGCGGTTATTTCTACCTTGTAATCGGAAAGTGCAATCAAGAAGAGAGCGGTCCAGAGCCTTTTGGGTTTCCTCAGTTATACCCTTACAGGGAGGAATTCTGGTGATAAAAGACAGCATATGAAGTATACTTTACACAGACAAAGCACAATGTACACAATGACAGACAAGGTATGACATTACAGCTTCAGTTCAAACTCCACTTCTAGATACCTTCTGCAAAAGGAGGAAGCAATTCACAGCAATTAATAGTATTTAATCCATTTCCATTCACATCAATATGGATTAGAACTCTCATTTTAACAGTGATGCTTGTCTTTATTCATAATTTTGTTCTTTAAAAAAGACTACAATTCTACAGAATGAAAATCAAGAATACTGGTTTTCTACAAAATCTATCTAGAACATCCTCAAGGAAAAGCTAAGGGGACCAAATCCTTATAAAACCACTCTTTGAAGACAGAATGATATAGTACAAAGAATAAGGGCCTTGGAGTCAGAGACCCACATTCTAACTCTGACTCAGCCACATTTAATGTCTCTGAATTTCCCAGCTACAAAATAGAGATGAAGAATTACCTTATGTGTCATTGACGAAGAAAATGAAAGTGCTTATGGTGGCTGACACAGCAAGTATTCATATGTTTTGTTTTTTAAGAGATGTTGTCTTGCTGTGTTGCCCAGGCTAGCCTTGAACTCCTGAGCGATCCTCCCACCTCAGCCTCCCGAGTAGCTAGAATTACAGGTGCACACCACCAAGCCTGGCCCCATGTATGTTAATTCTCCCTTGCAGTAAAACCAAATCTTGGTCACTGACTGAATAACCATGATAAAATTCCAGGTTCATTATCCCCACTTTGCCACCTCCTCCTCTGTAGAGGTAACTCTTATTTTCATAGAGCTTTACATGTGTTAACTCATTTAACATACATATTGTCACACATACATCACATATACAAGAGGAATGTAGTAGCTTGGTGTCTTAAAATACCTACCTATCCATTTTCCTTCTACCGTTTTACAAACTATCTCATTGGTCATAAAACATGATGAGGTAATATATTTTAGCTATTCATGAGTTATTTCAGTGAGATGAAATAATGAGATTACTTAATTATATATAACCTTTAACTCATACAGAAGGTGGTTAATTCTCAGATTTGGTATAATAAATATTTATATTGAGGCAAAAAAACAACAAATATAATTGGAATTAGAGAATCTTGGTTCAGACCCCTTAATTCAGAATATAACAAAGTTTCTCAGTCTTGGCAGGATTGGCATTTGGGGCTGGAAAATCCTTTGTTGCGGGGTGAGGGGGCTGTCTTGTGCAGCCCAGGCCTCTACCTACTAGGTGCCAGTAGCACTTCCTACTCCCTCTTCTCAGTTAATGATCAAAAACATCTGCAGACATTGCCAGAAGTCCCCTGCAGGGCAAAACTGCCCTGGGGTTGAGAACCACTGACCTGGAATAAACAACTTAAGAGAGCAAAAAATAGATTGCATGTGCTAATTAAAACTTCTATCACAGCTCCTCTTCAATATACAGCTTTTGAAGTTTTTCAAAAGTTAATCTTTCACACTACATACTTTTTATCACTGCCAGAAAGATTTTGTGCAACTGTATTTTGGGTAGTTATTACAGAAATTGCATAAACTACCTATCCGTTCTTCAACGTGACAGGTATACTGAGGACTTGCCTGCCCTTACCCCTCACGACATAGCCCTCTCCGTAGGAGTTATAAAGCAGCCAATTCAGACAGATTTTTTAAATCTCAAGTTTGAAAATATAAATGCAGTACATTATCTTCCTTTCAAATAAAACAGGTTTTTCACAAAATCTATCTAGTTAGAAAAGGAAAGCACAGAAGCCAGCATGTGTTCAAGTGAGAACTAACATCAGTGTAAGCCTCTTTTCCCATTTATGCTCTTAGGGACAGCGGAACCCTGAAAGTGCACTGTATATCACTTTAATCTGTGATGCAGATACAATGAGCTCTACCTCAAGGAATTCGTAAAATAGTTACTTGCTTTTAAGGTTATGAATGGAACAGAATGAATAAAAATAAACTGTAACTTTTATCTTCCCAGCATGATCATGTGAGGGGAAAAAAGCAACAACCCGAAACCAGGTTCCCCAAAAGGAAACCTGACAAAATTGTTACAAACTTAAAATACTGCAAAATACTATTATAGTACCTAAAAATTAAGAACCGAGGAAGGTATTTTCTGGACAATGGATTAACCTATCTGAAAATTTTTACCAATTCAAAAATGTTTGATTTACACAGCTGCTCCTAACCAACTTTTCTCCTGTACTTCTCAGTACTAAACAAATTGAGGAGCCAGGCTATGGTCTTTTAAGGTCTGGCAGATGTGTGTCAGCTTTGTTGTGAGGGCTTTTACAAACATCATTAACCCCACTATGGCCCTGCAGTGCAAAACCAGGGAGATCACTGACAGTGCTAGCAAAAGCAGCATGAGTGTGCCTAAAAGGAAAGTGAAGAGGTTTTTATAAAGATTGCACACGTGTATGAAGGACAAGCTGGGCTGCACAACTTGCAAAAAAAGAGCTGTGCCTGTGCATTATCAGCATAAGCTACAGGAGGCAAAGAAACAAAATGGAGGAAATGAAAAACCCTCGTGGGTGTGGCCAGAGGACCTTTACTACTGCACATGACTGTGACATGAGTTCAACGAGAAGGTGGGAAGTTTGCTGAAGCGTTCAAAACTAGGCACCATGAGCATGCTGCTCTCTCAAAACTTGTGTCCCAATCCTAATTTGGGTTATAGGATCAAGGCTCTTGAATTTGCACAAGGCAACAGGTCCATGAATCATAGCAATCAAAGAAATTTACTATGATCCATTTGATACTATGATTGCAGAGATGCATCAAGGAGGCCTGCTTAACAAATTTTCAAGGGGATAAAGTAGAACAAGAACAGAATGTATTTTTGGCAAAGAGAAGGAAAGTGTGCCAATTTTAAAGCTTTGAAGTATCAACTCATATTCATATTCAATATTAATATATCCAGAACTAAAAGCTTGTTACAAGAGTTTCTAAAGAATAAATGCATGAGTCCAATTCCATACTCATTAGGTCTATATAGGATTTTAATAAAATCATGTTGAGACATTTATTATTTACATTTTTTTCTTCTTCACTTCTATACCCTACCCCAATAATGGACAGCACTTACTGGACCAACAGTCATCTTTAACATATCCGTTTATGTATATTTTCCTTTACATTTTAAAATAAAGAAAACAAAAGCCAAGATTAAAGACTTTAAGAATTATTATAAAATGAAGCTAAAAAATATAAAGTACTTCCTTCCTAGGTAGGACTCTTACGCATTCTCTTGAGTTCAAGAAGAAAGGAGACTGAAATTTCTCTTGTAAAAATGCCGAGAACAAGATATTTTTAAAATTTCACAAACCATGAAAAATACAACTAAGAGAATAGAATGCAAATGTTAACATTATCAACTTATCTACAGGTGCCTAGAAGAGTAAAAAGAAAAAAAAAACCTATATTCAAGGCAAAGCAATTCAAAACCAAATGCAATTGGAAGTATTGCATTTTCCTACTGATTTCCATTTTAAGACTAGCTCTCTCTCTCCTGAAAACGTTTTTGTGGAAATGTTGTTAAGATAGCCAGGAAGAGGAACTATTCTAGTTCAATTCTGTAGTATCTAAAGTGAGCACTAATGACACATGGGTTATGTGACACTATTTGCTAGCTCTATCTACCTTCCACGGAAACAGATTCCTAGATAACAAATGGTAAAGCCCCACTGCTCAAATTGCAGAGCTGCTATGTCTTAGCAGACAGAGGAATTCAATAAATAAAAATTGCTTATATAATTTATATCATTAAGCAACATCTGGGAAACAATAAAGTGTACCCCTCCTTTGCAAAGAAACCTGTTTCCTGGACCAAAAAGGTTGATCTCTTAGATGGTATTCTGGCTTTGCAAGTCCATACTGGGTCACTTTTAAAGCACATGTACCACATTAGCTTTACTTCTAAGCATCTTTTGGCTCCTCGTCCTTTGTCCATTAGAACTTAAGCCCTATGCCCATCTCCTTCTGTATACTCTTTCCTGGTGATCTAATTTACTACCCCAGCTCAATTACTATCACCATGGTGATGACTTTATCTACTTCTCCTTCCCAGATCTGTTACCTGAGCTTGAAACACATCTCTGCCTGCCCAAAGGGTATTCAGGCACCTTAAACTTAGCAAAGTCCATTCAAACTCACATCTTTGGTGTCCCTGATCTCAGAAAACACTGCCACCATCCATCATTTGCCCAAGATAAAACCAAGAATCATCTTTGCCACTTTCCCCTCTTTCTCACCTTCAACACCAATCTAATCATAACTCGTGAATATTTTCTCTCCTAACTCCTTGTGGAACGTACCCTACTCTGAGCTACCAACAACTCTAATGTGAACCACTTCAACAAGTGGTTTCATTACTTTAGTCTTGTTCCCATTCAATTTATTCTCCATATTGCTATCAGGTTGAGCTTTCAAAAACACCTATCTAATGATGTCAGTTTTAGCTTAAAATCATCTGATAGCTTCTTAGTGCCATTAGGATAAAGCCTAAATTGTTGAAGGACATTTACATAGGCCTAAAGGATGTGACCCCTTCCTGCGTACATTTCCAGCCTCATTTCTCCCATCTCCTGCCATGCCGAACTCCTTTCAGCACAAAAATGCCAAGCTCTCTCTTCCCTCCAAGCCTTCACATTAGCAGTTATCCCTCTGGTTAGGACCTCCCACTGCCTCTGCCCCACTTTCCTCTGACTAATTCTCACCTCTCCTTCAGTCCAAGTATAACTGGTACTTCCTCAGGGATACCCTTCCTGACTTCTGAACTAGCCCATATTCCTCTGCTTTATGAACCCACAGCATTCTGAGGGGATGTCAGAATTCAAGCCTGACACACAGTCACACTCAATGCATATCTGCTGAACGAATCAAAGAAATGCAGAGAAAAGACATCCAAAAATACCAAGTGAGGCCAGGTGCAGTGGCTTATGCCTGTAATCCCAACACTTTGGGAGGCCGAGGTGGGTGGATCACTTGAGGCCAGGAGTTCGAGACCAGCCTGGTCAACATGGTGAAACCCCGTCTCTATTAAAAATACACAAAAACTAGCTGGGCGTCGTGGTGTGTGCCTGTAGTCCCAGCTACTCGGGAGGTTGAGGCACGAGAATTGCTTGAACCTAGGAGGCAGAGGTTGGGAGGCTGCAGTGAGCCAAGATCATGCCACTGCACTCCAGTCAACCTGAGCAACAGAATGAGACTCTGTCTCAAAACAAGCAAACAAACAAACAACAAAAAAAACAAAACCAAGTGATGCTGGATTGCCACTCCATAGATTAAAGGAATCTTCCCCCAGACCCTAGTAACTCTATGCAGAAAT
This sequence comes from Homo sapiens, assembly GCF_000001405.40. Taxonomy (NCBI): domain Eukaryota; kingdom Metazoa; phylum Chordata; class Mammalia; order Primates; family Hominidae; genus Homo; species Homo sapiens. Next base: position 40,688,340 of record NC_000023.11, read on the forward strand.
CCACAACACCCACAGGTTCTGAACACTGCTTTATGTTGTCTCATGAAAGAGAAGCAGCTTTCAGAGTGTGACTGCAACATGTGGCACCAAGTGAAACATATGACAGGGGCTTACTTTAATAAGCGAATTGCATGGCTGAAGCCATCACCTTCCACTTGCACTCCTTGATGTGGAATCTCCAGATTGGACAACTAGAAAGAGAAAAACAATTATATCAGACGACCAATTTTACAAAAACAACTACCATTTCTAAGTACTACGGTCTCTATTCTTGTGGCACCTGTTCTAGGACCATCCTTTCCCCAAGTTACAACATATTAGGCATGAGTATTATCCCCATCATTAGATTCCCTGGGAAACGACATGAAGTCCAGTGGAACTCAAAGCTGTCCCAGTGCATCTAGTTTAAGAAACACCTCCACAAGTGGCAAATATTCAAAATTTAGGAGATTAGTCTAATTTTTGCAGGGAGCCAAAAGTAATCTAGAATCAATTTTAGTAGTTCAAGAGGCCACAAGAATGGTTTCTCGTGTAATTCTCTTCTGTTTGTTCAAAACAATGTTTGAGTCACTGTCATAGCTTATTTCTAAATGATATTTTTTAGTTTACAACATTTCTGAAATACATTTTTAAGAATTAAACTACTTCCTATGTGAAACCCAAGAAAAGATTTCCAATTTGTGCATTTACCCAATGACATCTCTTTCCCAATTAAAGGATTCAGAAAGCAAATTAAAAAGATAAATGCAGAGATAGTGCCTGAAACCCTTTCCATGGGACTGCAAGTAATTACAGTATGCCAGAAAGTCATCTGATCTAAAGAAATGCTTGCCTTTGGCAGATATTCCCAGGTCTTGCATGACAGACTATTTATATCTACCATGTTCTGGAAAGGATTTAAGGAAGTTCCAGGTATTTGAGTGAGCCCTGCTCTTTGGGCCTGGGAAAGGGAAAGGTTTAGAAAAATAGCTGCTACCAAATAGGAAGTAGGGGTTCAGATTCAAAAGGAAATGAAGTGTGGGCCAGCTCAAAAATGTTGCTGCTATTCTATCAATCAGATATATAAACATCCGGCCAGATGCGGTGGCTCACACCTGTAATCCCAGCACTTTGGGAGGCCGAGGCAGTTGGATCACCTGAGGTCAGGAGTTCAAGACGAGCCTAGCCAACATGGTAAAACCCCGTCTCTACTAATACAAAAATTAGCTGGGTGTGGTGGTGTATGCCTGTAATCTCAGCTACTTGGGAGGCTGAGGCAGGAGAATCGCTTGAATCAGGGAGGTGGAGGTTGCAGTAAGCCAAGATTGCGCCATTGCACTCCAGCCTGGGTGACAAGAGTGAAACTCCATTTCAAAAAAAAAAAAGATATATAAACATCCCTTATAAGATGAGATTTAGTTTTAGTTATTCACATCTCAGCCTAAATTACTTTAAGCAGAAAATATACTTGCTTTTATCTTTAACATAGCTAGAATGTTCACTGAGAATAAAAAGTAGGTAAGTTTTTAAGAGCTTGACTGAGTTCAATAGAGAACTACAGAATGTTCATCTGTGTCCCATATGTGCAGCAGGTATAGGAATACAGAGAAGGTGGACAGAGAGGACGTATGTCTACAGTCATTAACCTACGTAGGCCTACAAAGACACACATTTTTGCCAATTCTGGCCTGTGGGTAGGGGAAGAGAGGATATAAATGCATTGCTTTGCCTCAGCACCACATATCCATCTTCCCTTCCCACTGCAAAGGTAGTAACTGAATGATATTCATATAATCAATCCAAATAACACAATAAAAGAGTCCAAGAACACAGTCAATTACATAGGAAACATGGACACACTCCACAGTTTAGGAGCTAAGGCCAGTATCCAGATAAGAGGACATTCATCAGGCTCACAGTTCTAGGAGCTGGGTCATCAAGGACATGAGTATTTATTTTAGGTGCCTGTTTCTAGGCTTGGGTTTCTCTCTGGGCTCTTTACAATTTCACACCTTATCCTCTGCCTACAGATCCCAAATTCCTGTAAAGCAGGAGTTGGCAAACAACAGCTCATGAGCCAAATCCAGCCCACTGCCTGGTTTTTTTGTTTGTTTGTTTTGAGAAGGAGTCTCGCTCTGTCACCCAGGCTGGAGTGGCTTGATCTTGGCTCACTGCAACCTCCGCCTCCCAGGTTCAAGCAATTCTCCTGCCTCAGCCTCCCGAGTAGCTGGGATTACAGGCGCCCGCTACCATGCCTGACTAAGTTTTGTATTTTTAGTAGAGACGGGGTTTCACCATGTTGGCCAGGTTGGTCTCAAATTCCTGACCTCAGGTGATCTGCCCACCTCGGCCTCCCAAAGTGCTGGGACTACAGGCATGAGTCACCGTGCCCGGCCCACTGCCTGTTTTTGTAAATGAAGTTTTTTACCGTAACACAGCCATGCTCATTTGTTTAAATATCAGCTCTGGCTGGTTCACACTACAACAGCAGATTTGAGTAGCTATAACAGAGACCACTTGACCGACAAAGTCTAAAATATTTATATTTGGCTCTTTACAGAAAAAGTTTCCCAATCCCTGTTCTAAAGCATGAAAGCTATTTTCAACAAATCTTCCCAAGGCCATCATCATCAGCCCAACTGAAAAAGTCCATTTTCACATTTCCAGGTCTCTCCTTCATTCACAATAACTTACAGAGGAGGGGATTCTTACAAAACATAAAACTTTAACCTACAGGGAAATAACTGGGGTTTTAGTGTATCACTTTTGAGGGGCTACCCATCCTTGGCCAAACTCCTTTTTGGAAATACAAAAAGTGCAGGTCTGTTACCTCCCTTTCACGTTTGAGGATTATATTGGATATCACAACTGCGTATTCTTTCAAGGCACTAATTCTGCATAAATCTATTGCTTCTCCCATGTGAGAAAAGTAAAAATTTAGTTTAATATTCTTTCTGATCTGCTTCTTAGAAAGGATCCCGGTTTTACTAGGGCTTAATCAATATACATGGCTTTACCAACTCAAAAATAAGCCACCTGGCTATCAACTAACCATCTCTAATAGGCTTAAACAATGCTCCTACTAAGAGGTATAAAAGTAAAATGTTAATTCTTAAAAACTGTCCACTTGCTTTTCTTTAATTTTTTTAAAAGAGACAAGGTCTTGCTATGTTGCCCAGGCTGGTCTTGAACTCCTAAGCTCAAGCAATCCTTCCACCTTGGCCTCCCAAAGTGCTGGGATTACAGGCATCAGTCACTGCACTCAGCCTGTCCACTTTTTCTTTTAATCTTTTTTTTTTTTTTTTTTTTTGGAGACAGAGTCTTGCTTTGTTGCCCAGGCTGGAGTGCAGTGGTGCAATCTTGACTCACTGCAACCTATACCTCCTGGGTTCAAGTAGTTCTCCTGCTTCAGCCTCCCAAGTAGCTGGGATTACAGGCGTGTGCCACCACACCCGGATAATTTTTGTATTTTTAGTAGAGACAAAGTTTTACCATGTTGGCCAGGCTGGACTCAAACTCCTGACCTCAAGTGATCCACCCGCCTCGGCCTCCCAAAGTGCTGGGATTACAGGTGTGAGCCACCGTGCCCAGCCCTGTCCACTTTTTTTAACTGGGAAAATTTTACATTCAATTTCCATAAAGAGCAGAAGACCCAGAATCTGGAATCAGAGAGATGAAATAATTCAAGTCATGTTTTACATGTATACCATTAGATGCTATGATTGTAACCCTACCACTCCTCCCAAAATGAACAGGATCACAAACATTCTGCTTTTCCTAATGGAATCTATATATACCCTCAGCAACACATTTTAAAAACTACTCTTTCATTTGGGGTATCCAGAACTGTTCCAAAAAACTTACCTCCAACCGAAGTCCTACAAATGGCATATTTGTATCACACATAGCGACGAAGTGGGCTAAAACTTTATTGAAGGCACACATTTCTCCTGCTCGTTTTGTTTTCTTGGATTCTACTGGACATGGATCATCAGACAACTAGAATTTAAGTAAAGAACACAAACAGGTAAAAAAAAAAAAAAAAGTACATGTGATGCAATTCATTAAGATAGTTAAAATACTGGAAGAAAGCTCAGGGTTAACCAAAACAAATGTTATTGTATTTACTGAGTAAATACTGACCTAAACACTGGTAATTTATTAGTAAATATTTTGTGTTTCACAAGTTCTCTCATGGAAAATGGTGGACAATTATTTAATTAAAACAGAAGCATTTTCAAGAAAATGTAGACAATTGTTACTTAAGCCTTATTGCTGCCTCGTCTCTTAAAAACTGTATCTTAGTTCTTTCTCATATTAAAAATGAGTAAAGAACACAACCAAGTTAACACACACAAATTCTGTGCTCATTTTCATATGGAATCATACCTTGCGCTTGGCATTGGTTCTGGTCTGTTTCCCGGTTTTTGTACGAAAAACCAAGTCCTGAATGTTTTCCTTGAACTGCTGCAGCAGCAATGCCATTGCAGGGCTGTCTTCACGATCTGCAGCATTCACAGACATAAAGTAGTACTTGTACGACAGTTGTGTGGGTTTATTGGGAACCTCCAACATCTCCACAACCTAAAAATCCCAAAAAGAAATAAGACTTAGAGAAATAAGAAGTGTCAGATATTTTCCTCCGTACATCATCAAGTAAGGCTCAGAATTATAAATCTAATGTAGATGTCTTAAAAAAAAAAAAGGTTAAATCAATCGTATCAAAAAAAAGCATTCCTAGCAAATACATAATTTGTTTTCCAAAAAGTAGATGAGACCAAAGAAGAATGATAAAAGCAAAAGCAACCATAAACTATAACAAATGGGGCATTTAAACTATTATGTATTAAGTGTTCTTGATATTCACACCTCAGCTTATAAATTGAAAAAAACAAAAACAAATTTGCCTAAATCCAGTAGGTCTGTGATATGGTTTGGCTTTATGTCCCCACCCAAATCTCATCTTGTAGCTCCCGTAATTCCCATGTGTTGTGGGAAGGACCTGGTAGGAGATGACTGAATCATGGGGGCGGGTCTTTCCTGTGATGTTCTTGTAATAGTGAATGGGTCTCACGAAATCTGATGGTTTTAAAAACGGGAGTTTCTTTGCACAAGCTCTCTCTTTGCCTCCCACCATCCACGTAAGCTGTGACTTGCTCCTCCTTGCCTTCCACTGTGATTCTGAGGCCTCCCCAGTCACATGGAACTGTGAGTCCAATTAAACCTCTTTCTTTTGTAAATTGTCCAGTCTCAGGTATTTCTTTATCAGCAGTGCCAAAACAGACTAATACAGTCTGCTAGATTTTCTAGAATGGTATCTATTTTAAATTGCTCTGCTGCCTCCCTTAACCACTCAAACATCTTAAAAATTCCATTATTAAGGCAGAGAAAAATGACAACCATCCCTCATACTTGGAAACATGTAAAAACAAACCCTAATTTTTCAACTGAAAAATATGGTCACTGTGAGGGTAACAATATTGACAGTTAACACTGATACAAAGCTTAATATGTGCCAAGTATTGTCCTAATACTTTACAGATGCTAACATATTTAATCTTCCTAATAACCCTGTGAAGTAGGTTTGTTTGTTTTTTTGAGACAGAGTCTCACTCTGTCACCCAGCTGGAGTGCAGTGGCACAATGTCAGCTCACTGCAACCTCCGCCTCCCAGGTTCAAGCGATTCTTGTGCCTCAGCCTCCCAAGCAGCTGGGATTACAGGTGTGTGCCACTACACTAGGCTAATTTTTTGTATTTTTATTAGAGGTGGGGTTTTGCCATGTTGTCCAAGCTGGTCTTGAACTGCTGACCTCGGGTGATCCACCTGCCTTGGCCTCCCAGAGTACTAGGATTACAGGCATGAGCCACCGCAACTGGCCTATCTTTATTTTTGTGATGAGGAAACTGAGGCACAAAAAAAGCAAGTTACTTGCCCAAGGTCACACACGTAGTAAGTGACAGACTCATGCTTTGATTCCAGAAGTTTGGCTCCAGAGGCCTTGTTCTTCCTACTATACCTGCTTACTGTTTCCAAGGTCTAGCTAAAATTTAAGAAAAGTCCCCTAAATGCTTTAGTGACAAAAATATATGCCATTAGGAAAGGCTCCTGACCAACACACATTCTTTTCCATTTCTCTTCCTGCTTCCTTTCTCCCTTGCTCCCCCTCCTCCCCACACATACTCTTCAGGAAAGCATCACACTGATGATGTACCTCAGGAAATGTTAAAAGTCAAATGGCCATTTCACCAAAGAAGACAGGATGAGCACACGAAAATATGCTCAACATCTTCAGCCATTAGGGCAGTGTAAATTAGGCCTACGATAAGACACCACTACATACCTATCAGAATGGTTAATATTTTTAAAAAATTCTAATGACTAACTGTTGGCAAGCATGAGGAGCAACGAGAACTCTCATATATTGCTGGCTGGAATGCAAAATAGTACATCACTTTGGAAAACAGTTGGCAGTTTTCTACAAAGTTAAACACACATTTACCATATGACCCAATAATCCCACTCCTAGTTACTTATCCAAGATGAAATAAAAAATGACAACTTATGAACACACACAAAAATCTATATGCAAATGTTTAACAGCTTTAGTCAAAATTACCCCAAACTGGAAACAACCCCAATGTCCTTCAATGAGTGACTCATTAAACACAAACTGTGGTACTCCCACACCATGGAATGCTACTCTGCAACAAAAGGAAGGAACTATTATACACACAACAACACAGATGAATGTCAAAGGTATTATGCTGAGTCAAAGAAACTGGACGGAAAAGGCAAACCTATAGAGACACAAAACAAGTCAGTGATTACTAGTTGGAGGGGGCTGATTATAAGGGGTATTATGTGGCAATTTTGGGGGATAATGGATCTGTTCTGTGCCCTGAGATGGAGGCTACACAACTGTATGCATTTATCAGAACTCATGCTAAAAAGTCTGTATTTTTACTTTATGTAAATTATATCTTAATAAAGCTAACCAAAAAAGAAAGGTAAAATGGCAGAAAGACATTTAAGGGGATATCAACTGCAGCAAGACTTTCCTCTGTTCTTCTTAATGTCCATGTTAGTAGTTCTTTCCACTTCCATGAACATATTACCCCTAAGTGATAAATCTAGAGGACGAGGAATAATCTACATTCAGTTTTGGTCTAAGCCATATGAAACAAATTATTGCTTTATAATAGATCACTGGTCACTGACATTAAAGCGTGGTTAAATGTCATAAAATAATAAATTATAACCATTTTTGTCTTATTTTGTGCATGGCTGATTATAAGAGATCTTTGTATGTTCATGGGTTTCGCTATGATGCATGTATTCTGTATTATCATTTCACATGTAGACCAAGCAAGCTCACTGAGAACTGAAACAATAGTCTTTTGTAGTGGGCCAAATCTAGTTCTACAGCTGCTGTTTTAAAATTCAGAAAAAAGTAAAATTCAGATCAATGACAGACTCACTAGTCTACATAAGTATCCCGAGCTTAAGATATGTCAGCCTACAATGGTGTCCTTTTAAAATAGTATCTTTTAAAAGTACAGGTCAAAACCTTAAAAAGTTCACTCCCATTACTTTCAACAAACAATCTTGAATTAAAATTTTTATTTTATTTTTATAAGCGACGAGGTCTCACTATATTGCTTAAGCTGACCTCAAACTTCTGGGCTCAAGTGATCCTCCTGCCTCGGCCTCCCAAAGTGTTAGTTTTACAGGCATGAGCCATCACACCTGGCCTGAATTAAAATTTGTAAAACATAGATTCTTAGCCAACATATCTACTTGGTATATACAGAGATTTTTTTTTTTTTTTTTTTGAGATGGAGTCTCACTCTGTCGCCCAAGCTGGAGTGCAGTGGCATGATCTCGGCTCACTGCAAGCTCCGCCTCCCGGGTTCACACCATTCTCCTGCCTCAGCCTCCCGAGTAGCTAGGACTACAGGCGCCCGCCACCACGCCTGGCTAATGTTTTGTTTTTGTATTTTTAGTAGAAACAGGATTTCACTGTGTTAGCCAGGATGGTCTCAATCTCCTGACCTCGTGATCCACCCGCCTCAGCCTCCCAAGTGCTAGGATTACAGGTGTGAGCCACCGTGCCTGGCCAGAAATTTCAACAAGCAAGAAAATATATTCAGGATGGGTTCATATTTAAAATTATTGCAAATTTTAACTAATTCAAAAATAAAGAAACTAAAAAACATACAGAAACAGTGAAAAAGGAATAGAGAGGACCTTACTGTGCACTAAAAGGAACACATACTCAATAAAATGAAAGATGCCTTCAATCAAAGAAGGATGAAAAAATAAAGCTAATTCAGCCAGTCCATATTTGAAAGGTTTCACTATACAAGTTAATATTTCAAGTGAAACAAGTTTATCTGACATCAAAACATCGCCAGACCTTCATAGGAATTGGTCTTAAATTTTTTATTCTTACAGAGATGTCTCATTCCAATCAAAGACTAGGCCTCATCACAGGACAGACCCTAGAGTGAGGGATGGGGTTATACCTTATGTTCCCCAACTGAGACGTGACATTCCTCTCTCCCCAATTCTAAACCCCTGGGTTTCACTATACCAAAGTCAAATATTCAATAAAATTCATTGGCAAGTTAAACAATAAGTCATTCAAGATACTAACAGAATTACTAAACTTGATCACTCCAAATCACTCCTTTGCATACTTACAATGTAGTATTGTGGAAGGCGGGTAAGTTTAATGAACAGTTTATTCTTAGAAAGGTTTCCAATAGGATGAGTTGAGTAATTGGAAAGCTGCAATGTTTCACTGCTTATCGTAGGCAGATGTTTTATAGACTGCTTGCAACGCTGTTGTCCAAGCCAAAACCTGAATTTAAAAGTGATAATCCACATCAAATCTCAGACTTTTCTGATTATCTGTGCCCTATCGATTTACAAATGATTAAAGACCATTAAAAAAACAATTAATTGAAATTTAACTGAACTAATAAAAGGACACATGGCCATAATGACAAATCATTTTTTCATAGTTTTGCACTACTGTCAATTCTAGTTTTAGTTTAAGAAGTTTAAACTGCAATGTGAATGATCTTAGTTATAAGGTAGAATTCACTGTAAGGATGAGATACTATGTTAGTTTATTATTAAGGAGTGACAGATTTCCTACGGTTTAAAGACAGCACCAACTAATCTCAACATTCTTTATATAGCCCCAGTTTTTAAATTGTGTATGTGTGAAGTGTGTAGTATACCTAGCGGGTCCCAGTAGTATTAACTACCTTTGTTCCCACGTTCCTTTCAGGTAAGCTGCCAGATTTCACTGACGTTTTTAATATAGTACTCCTTTTATTCCTTTTATTTGATTATCTATCCTTGAAGCTAGGATATCATATAATATGTAAAAAAGGGATAAAATGGCTGGTTCACAAACTCCACTGATGCATAATGAAACTACAGAAAATAAGAATTTTCACAGCAGCATAACGATGCCACAACATCCCAGCTCATGATCAGCAGACTTGCCTTGATGAATAGGGCAAAGACCAGGTTGGGTGCTGATACATTTGTGTGGCAAGTTGCATGTGGTACAAACTGTATACCAGTTATGTGCAGTAAAACCATGTTATAATATATGACATTTTAAGGGTAGTTTGTCAACTGTTCTGGAAACCATTTTGTTTTTTTCATTGAAAGACAAATTTAACTACAACTCTACGGATCAAATGCAAGAACTGGTTACTGATGAAGGAATGAAGATAAATTTTGAAAATATACCATCACTTGCTTCATTTTGAATAAAAGTTAAAAATGAATATCCTGAACTTGCTAAAATTTATTTCAAATCTCTACTTTGATTCCCATCAACATACCTTTGTGAGAATGATTTCTCTAGTATGTATGTTATTAAAAGGAAAACATAAGAAACATCTCTCATGATTAGCATTATCATCAATCCAACGTGGACAAGTTATTACAAACAAGAAACAAGCTCATGTGTCACATTAAAAATTCTAAATACTGATATACAAGGTGGCCTTTTCAAAGTCAATCTGGAATTGCTATTTCACTCTTCATTATTTGTTATGATTCTGAGGGACAAAAAACTTGAGTCTAAGTGACTTTCTATATTAATTGCCTGTGTATACACTTTCAATGAAAAATGTACACAGTTTCTATAATTTTCTTTTTTCCTATGTTCTGATTATATTTACTGAAGTATAACTTTATCTGTTGATTCTAATAAAAAACATTGGGGCTTATATCTTATACATGTTCTTTCATTTCTTTTTTCCTAGAATTCATTTTTATTGCACATTATTTAAAAAAGTAATCACATGAACAAATAGATGCTCAACATCATTATTTGTTGGGGAAATATAAATGAAAATCACAATGAGATACTTCTTCATACTCATTATTAGGATGTCTATATTCAAAGACAGTAACAATTGTTGGCAAGGATGTAGAGAAATGGAAATTCTCGCAACATTACTGATGAGGTTGTAAAATGGCACAGTCACTCTGGAAAACAGTTTGGCATTTTCTTTTAAAAGCTAAACAAATTACTGTACGCCCTAGCAGTTCCATTCCTTGGTTCTACTCCAAGAGAAAAGAAAACATAAGTCCACATATAGACTTACACATGAATGTTCACAGCATCATTATGCATAATAACCAAAAAGTGGAAACAACCCAAATGTTCATCAATTGATGAATGGATAAACCAAATGTGGTATATCCATACAGTGAAATATTATTCAGTCATAAAAAGGAATGAAGTACTGATACATGCTACAATATGGATGAACCTTGAAAACATTATGCTAAGTGAAAGAAGCCAGTCACAAAAGACAGCATATTTTGATTCTACTTTATATGAAATGACCAGAAAAGGCAAATAGAAAGTGGATTCATAGTTTTCTGAGGTTGGGAATGGTTATTAACTATAAATGGACATTTCTTTGGGGTGATGGAAATGTCCTACACGTTCTAAAAGTGGATTGTGGTGATGCTTGCAAAAGTCAGTAAATTTACTACAAATCATTGAATTGTATACTTAAAATGGGTGCATTTTTATGGTATGTAAATTATACCTCAATAAAGTTATTTTGAAAAATCAGTGTCCCATGATAGATTAGTGATAAACTGGTCATTCACCACAAATCATCTGAGAAACACTATTATAAGTGACAATCAGGGGACTTTTCTTATAAATAAATCATGTAAGTTTACATACAGGCACACATTTGGTGAGTTAAAGGCTTTTGGAACTTAACTTTCTGGTTTTAGTTTATATTTTGGGCAGCTAGAACTGCCAGATAAACAACCTCAAGTTATGCAAGATGTGAATTATTAAGCATGTTAGGATATTTAAACCTTGCTTATTTAGCCAAAATGCACAATGATGCTAAAACACTAAAAGTTTTAGAAATCATTACCCAGATTAATGACTGATTTTTTTTCACATACAGATACACTAAATAGCTGCTCAAAAAAAAAGGCTCACATAATATTATCTATCTACTGGCTTTAAAAATCATGCCCTGCGCTGGGCACGGTGGCTCACGCCTGTAATCCCAGTACTTTGGGAGGCCAAGGCAGGCACATCACACCTCAAGTCAGGAGTTTGGGACCAGTCTGGCAAACAAGGTGAAACTCCGTCTCTACTAAAAATACAAAAAATTAGTTTGGCATGGTGGCACACACCTGTAATCCCAGCCATTCGGAAGACTGAGGCAGGAGAATCCCTTGAACCCGGGAGGGAGAGGTTGCAGTGAGCCGAGATGACGCCACTGCACTCCAGCCCGGGCAAGAGAGTGAGACTCTGTCTCAATAAAAAATAAATAAATAAATAAAATAAAACAAAAAATCATGCCCTGAATACAAAAATTGGCTGGGCATGGTAGTATGCACCTGTGGTCCCAGCTACTTAGGAGGCTGAAGTAGAAGAATCGCTTGAGCCTGGGAGGCAGAGGTTGCAGTGAGCTGAGATCACGCTATTGTACTCCCCTCCAGCCTTGGTGGCAACAAAGTAAAACCCTGTCTCAAAAAAAAAAAAAAAAAAAAAAAAAAAAATTCATGCCCTGCTAATGAAAACATTACTTGGTTATATTGAATTTTTCAAATATTGGCTAAAGGGAAGGGCAGAGGCTAAAAGATTATAAAAACAATAGATCCCACTTTATAGTCTTTTCTTTAGATACCGCCCCCCCACCGCCTTCTCCATTTGCCAGTTTTGGTTTTAGTCTCTGAATTTTTTTTTTATCCTTTGGAATTCTATTAATTTTAAGAAAGAGTTTGTTAGAGTTGCTATAAGGGTACCTTTGTGTACCAGAGTGGTAATGAAACTCCACAGAATTATATCTAGCTCCATTTTCAATTTTATTTAGTTTAACAGTGTGAAGCATTTAAAGGATTTTGAGACAAATTGAATGACTGTATTCGAGAAGCAGAAATGACTATTTTGAAAGTGTCAGTTGGTAGTCAACCATGACGATTACCCTGGATAAGAACAAATAGGACTTTATTACAGAGAACACTTGATACAATAAAATTCATTGTGTAAGTGATTTGTAAAGTGCTTGTATAGAAGAAAATGTGGTAAGGGATGAAAGCTGAGTGTTATGCCCTTCACACCTATATTTGCTCTAGAGGAGAATTTGATATGAGAAACTGACATCTTGGAACTATTCCAAGAGAATTTAGATTCTAAGGTACCAAACGGCACTTAAGTTTCATGTCATAAACCTTAAGGACAGTGAATGACCAAGAGTAATGATGGAGAAGAAAACATATCTTGTCAAAATAAGTTTCCATTTTTAGTCTTGAGCTATATAAATAAGCTTACTTAAGTTGCTGAATCCAGGGTATGATTCGTTTCATATCATCATTCACAGACTTCTCCATGTCATCCAGAGTGGCCTGGTCTACAGAATAAAGCACTTCATTAATTAATTGCTTATATGAGAAACAAAATCTTTATCTAGGTAGTGTAAAACAAATAAAACAAATGAAAATTATTGTTTAAGGCAGAAAATCATGTTGTTTTTGAGTCAGAGAAAAATTAAACTAAATGTACCATTAGATATAAGCCAACCTAATTTGTTTTCCCTCTTTAACTTTTAGGGAGCATTATAGATATGACAACTAATGGCAAATGTACACTGGCAGAAAGAACAAGTAACAAATACATGAATCCATTCTTTGCCTATATTTTAATTCCCCAAACTCCTAGTCTACTTAATCAGTATTTTTAAATTATAAGTATTTAAAACTCATAGTATTATTAGACTTAGAACCTTAAAAATCATAAAAACAAAAAACTCCACTGAAATATTTACTTATGAAACACAAATGATCTCTGGCATATGGAACAGCTGCTGGCTGAAGATCAGCTTGCAAATTAAGTCAGAATTTTTAATGACACTAGAAAATGCTAGTAAACAGAATAATGAGCAAAAAAAAGCAAGATACAAAATGATTTTGATTAATGGGGACAAAGTATAGAAAAAATTAGAAAAGCACTGCTATGGGGTCAACTATGTCCCCCCAAGATCCATATGTTGTACCCCTAATCCTCAGTGTGATGGTATTTGGAGAAGGGGTCTTTGGGAGGCAATTAGGTTTAAATGAGGTCATGAAGGTAGGGACTTCATGAAGGGATCAGTAGCAGACTTATAAGAACGGATGCCAGAGAAGTCGCTCTCTCAGCCATGTGAAGACACAGCAAGAAGGCAGCTGTCTATATACAATCTATATACAAGCTAGAAAGAGAGCCTTCATCAGAAATCAACCATGCTGACACCTTGATCTTGAATTTCTGGCCTCCAGAACTATGACAAAATAAATTTCTGTTGTTTAAGTCACCTAGTCTATGATATTTTGTTAACGGCAGCCTGAGCTGCTAAGACAAGCATACATCCCTAAAAGACTATTTTCTGTTGCTTTTCTAATTTTTGTGTGTTTAAGTTTTTTATTTATGAGTATGTACTATGTTAATAATCAGAAAAACAGTTAAATATAAGTTTTGTTTTTTTTTTTTTTTTTTGAGACGGAGTCTCGCTCTACCGCCCAGGCTGGAGTGCAGTGGCGCGATCTCGGCTCACTGCAATCTCCGCCTCCCAGGTTCACGCCATTCTCCTGCCTCAGCCTCCCGAGTAGCTGGGACTACAGGCACCCGCCACCACGTCTGGCTAATTTTTTGTGTTTTTAGTAGAGACAGGGTTTCACCGTGTTAGCCAGGATGGTCTCGATCTCCTGACATTGTGATTCGCCCACTTCGGCCTCCCAAAGTGCTGGGATTACAGGCGTTTGAGCCACCACGCCTGGCCTAAATATAAGTTTTTAAGAACAAACAACATTTGCCTTATTTGGAACCCACAGTTAAAGTAATTCATAAATGCGTCATTTAGCCATCATAAATGTGATGTCATTCAAAGTAATTAGTTCAGTTTTCCATGAGCAGCCCATAGAAAAAAAATCTATAGCTATAAAATATAACCAGAAAGCCCTTTATTTTCAACCTTTCTAGCTGAATATTAATTTCAAATAGCAGATGTCCTAATATATTCAAGAACACTGTCCAGTAGCAATACAAAAACACTAAATTCTTATTTCATCATTTCATAACACTGACTCAGTAACAGAACAAGTAAGAAATCAAACTTTAATTTCTACTGTGTTTAGGCCAGAAAAAAAAATCCTTTCCTCCAGGATTCTGTACCTCAAGTCATCTTAGATGTTTCTACTGTCATAAAAATGTTCTTCAGCCACAAATGACATTAGAATTCCTTATTGTGATTTCCATGTCACCCAGTGGTAAAATAGAAACTGAGCTACTGGGATAGATAAGTTAACCTAAAAAACAGCAGCCATCAACATTATTAATTTTGCATAAGGAAACACGAATGTGCGTTATACTGGGAAGTTTAACATCTGCTACAAGAAAATCCAAAGTAGTTAAAACGGCCCCGAGGAACTGACATCAGTCAGAGTTATGGTTTCCATACCCACTTTCAACACTGCATATACCATTCTTTCTAATACCTAATGACAGAAAATGTTTATTTTGTTTTTGTTAAAAATAATTTTTCTTACATTGAATGATTATATCATTTAGTAACTTACCAAGTCCATAAAGCATCAATTGAAACATTCCAGAATGTAAATCTACAAAAATGTGCAGACACTCTGAATTACCACAGGGCTCCAAGATGGGAACAACAAGAGCTGGGAGTGCAGTCTCTATGGAAGCTGAACAATCAAGAATTAAAAATTATTTTTCTATCTGAATATTTTCCAGAAAAATTATTTCTCAATCAATGAGTACAAACAAACCAACTATTGAAGGATCCTAAATGTTAGAGGAAAAACATGATTTTGCAAAATTTGCAATAGTATTATTATGTCAGTTAGCAGCTCAAAAAGGAAAGAATGTAATTTTCAAGGTGACTTGAAACAAACATGCCTGTCTCAAATACTACAGCAAAAAAAATCCAAAGTTTCTTAAAGAGGGTTGAAATAGCTAGTGAAAATTCAACTTCATCAGTGAGCTGAGTTCTAGTTTTACTTTCACTTGGTAATTACTAATAAGCTAATTAATTTTTAAGGATTTTCTCTTTTGTATAATGGAAAGAAAACTAGTTGTTTATAAACAGAATAAATATCTTCTATGGCCTCATGATTTTCAATGCCATTCCTCATAAAAAAGAGGTATTCTGGCAATTAGAGCCCATGTGTTTAAACTAATAAATATTATTGATTACCCAGGAAGAAAAATTTTTTTCAAGTCATTTGTATACTCCATTTCAAGTCACAGATGAATTAAGAACATAGGCAATTGCTAAACACAAATCCCCAAAGCTGACAATATGCCTGATCTAGAGTTTCACAGTATTTCCACGAGGCCCAATTAACTTTTCTCTTAATTCTGCAAGTGACATAATGAAATCCAGTAAACAAGCAAAACACTGAAAACACACTAAGTGCTGATCAGATTGAGGGGTTGTAAAAGGAATATGCTCTTCTTGTTACCAAGTTCCTCTGAAGCTACAGCACAGAAAAAAAAGGCAGATACAGAGGAGAATGGTGATGCAGGTGCTCGGAAGGAGAGGTAACGTGGCAGGCGCAGAGGGGAGTGGCGATGCAGGCCTTTCACCAGGCGTGGCTTCTGCCTGCTTTTTTGTCAAACAAGGAAAATAACATCTTCCCCTCCATGCCACAGGTTGTTAGGAGCAAGAAATGACAAGGCTGTAAAAGTGCTTTAAAAAGCAAAGTGTTTGACAAATGTATATTATCTATATTCCTTTTGAATCAAAGAAACAAACCAAAACCTTTTACTATAAATTTTCAATAATTCAAATGGATGACATTACCATTGGTACTGTCTACACAAATTATCAAACAAATTAATAAAGTAAAAGATTGCAGAAGACATATTTAATTAGAGAGAAATAAATTGCTTTAAAACATAGGGTGAGCATCCTAAACTCCAAAATTTGAAATGCTCCAAAATCCAAAATTTTTTGAGCGCTGACATGATGCTCAAAGGAAATGCTTAATGAAGCATTTTGGATTTCGGATTTTCAGATTTGGGATGCCCAACCAGTAAGTACAAATGCAAATATTCCAAAACCCAAAAAAAATCCGAGATCTGAAATACTTCTGGTCTCAAGCATTTCAGATAAGGGATACTCAACCTGTACATCTAATACATATTTGTATACAAAATGTTTAACATGCAAATCCAGCAGAACTCTGACCTGAAAAAAACAGAACAAAAAGGGCAAAAACAAAAATTTCTTTTACCATATAATTCAGACCAATGTGACAAATTAGTTCAAATCAGTGACATTTTGCTGAACTTACTATGTTAATAAAAAGTTATTACAAATGTGAAACAGAGTTGCTGATTTTTGAAACATTTCCATAGTGTCACAATTCCTGACAGGGTAGGAGTGAATTCTCTAAAGCAAAACCATTTCTAAAGCGTGGCAACAGAGTAAAACTAGTTCTGGGAATTGGGGTAACAATTATAATTTCAATCTAATTACCACAATTGAGTATTCTTAGAAAAATAGGGCATCAGAGAAGAATACAGATAACACAGTTCAAAAGACAAGAAATACTCTGATACAAATCGATGTACAATTTTTTGACTACCAATGTCCATATTTTTCTTTACAGAAAATAAAATACACAATGCCCTAAAGCATTTAAAGGCAACAGGTTTTAGGTATACAAAAATGGGGAAACTTGCAAAGAAAATAAAGAAGAGGGAATTAAAAGCAGTGTAAGATGACAGGACTTGCTGCTATTTCGTCCTGCCAGAACATATATATATCTCCTTTTATTTCTATCATTTATTGAGAACAAGATGAGAATGGATAACAGACAGAATATAAAGTGTGAAGAGTGAAGAGCGGCAACTAAGCTCAATTAGGAATGGCTGTGTGTGGTTCATAGCTTCCAAACTGATCATGATGCCCTGATTATAAGTGCTGAAGGGTAGAGTACAACATAAGGGAGCAGCACCCTGGCTTTCAAGAGTTAGGCAATGCTGCCAACTGGGCCATATCTCAAGTTACCTTTAGTACCTTGCACTGCTTTTTTGGAACTTATCTCCAAAGTCCTGCCTCCTCTCCCCTAAACCATTTCTACCCCCACGAAACCACATGCCTGAGCTGCTCAAAACCTGAAGTCTATGCCTTCCCCTAGCCTTCCCTTGAAATGCTCCACTCTCTGAGCTACTCATTTCCTTGGGTTATTCCAGTTAGGTGTTAGAAGAAAAGCCAGCTGATTTAAGGGTGACTGCGCTAAGGGATTCTAAGAATAGACTATGTAGTCCCTCATCCCAGTAAGGATCTTAATAAAGCATGCTCGCCCATCACAAAAAAGGATCAAGTAAGACTACATGGAGAGTATAAATGCATGCACATGAATTTAAAGAACAAGTTAAAGCACATGCCCTAAGATGGTGGGTCGGCAGACCCTTTCCTCTAGCAGTCCTCATTTCTAGAACTGTCCTGATTAAAGCAGAACTGAGGAGATCAACCCCGCATGCAAGCTTCTCCCTTCCTTCCAAATTATAGTCCCTAAGTCACCCTTCTCTAACACCTGGGACTCTACAAAACACCTAGGGCTTGAAAACCACTGGTGTAGCACATTCCTACTAGAGTTTAAGATCTAGGAAGAGCCTGGACTATTATAATATCCTCAAATTTCAGATGAGGAGAATGGCCCAAATAGTGTAAATGACTTGTTCAAGAGCAGACAGCTGAACTCAGATCTCTAACATTTCTACAAAAAGGAATTTTACACTTGGGTTCTGAAGATTTCTCTAAATTTCTCTTTAGAAATCTTCAGAACCTAGGTGAACAGCACACAAAACCATTCCTATGTAAACGTATGCTTTGAGTTTATTTTTCAAAGTAATTTAACTATCCCTTGGCAATCATAGTTTTTTGTTTCTGTTTTTTAACTTACTAAGTTTTTGTTCTGTTTTTTAACTTACTAAGCCTTGCTTACAGATGATACTAAAGTAAACCAGAGCCTATCAAAAGATTACAAACTCCCTATTTTCTGGAATCTCAACAAACGAAGTTTTGAAAAATTAGAAAAATTAAGATTGCAAAATACTTAAAGTCTTCTTTAAGAACAAAAGAGTTGGACATGGTGGTTCATGCTTGTAATCCCAGCACTTTGGGAGGCCAATGTGGTAGGATTGCTTGAGCCCAGGAGCATAAGACCAGCCTGTTCAGCAGGCCATGGACTTAAAATAGATACATAGATGGATAGATAGATAGATAGATAGATAGATAGATAGATAGATAGATAGAGACCAGCCTGGGCAACACAGTGAGACTCCATTTCTTAAAAAAGAACAAAAGGGGAATTTCAACAAGGGTGACAAGACAATTAAACAGGAGAAAATAGTCTTCAACAAATGTTACTGAGATAACTGCATATCCTCACGTAAAAGAATGCAAACAATAACAAGTATTGGTGAGGATGTGGAGAAAATGAAACCTTCCCACATTGCTGGTTAGATTGTAAAGTGGTGTTAAACACGTCAAAAGGTTAAACAGTTACAAGACCCGGCCATTACACTCCTAGGTGTACAGCCAAGAGAAATGAAAACTTACGTCCACATAAAAACTTGGGCATGAATGTTCATAGCAGCATTATCCACAATAGCCAAAAAAGAAAAACAACCCCAATGTTCAACAATGATGAATGGATAAACAAAAGATGGTATAGCCATACAATGGATTATTTGACAATAAAAGTGAATGAAGTATTGAAACATGCTGTGAACCTCAAAAAAAATGTGTTAAAAACAGTATGTAAGAGACCACACATTATGATTCCATTTATATGAAATGTCCAAATAGGCAAATCTATAGAGTTAGAAAGTAGATTAATGATTGCCAAAAGGGAGGCAGGAAGGGAGAGGAGTGAATGGGTTGTGACTGCTAATGGGTACACGGTTTCTTTCTGGGATGATTAAAATGTTCTAAAATCAAATTGTGGTGATAGTTGCACAACTCTTTCAGTAAAAACCATTGAATGAGGTAATTATATGTGAATTATATCTCAATAAAGCTGTTAAGAAAAAAAGACGAAAAGGCAGTGGTGGTTAGTAGCCTTTCTAATTCCAGTGAGAGTTTCAATTATACTTTCCAATCATAATTTTTAGGTCTGTATTTAACATCTTTGCTTGAGGGATTAAAGGGGAGGGCCTTCTACTGAAGCTTTTAATTAAATTAAGATAATGAAGTACTGATAAAGCTAATGTTAAACCCTGATAGGGCTAATGGACAGGCACCCCCAAGACACATCTAACCAATACATTCACCAAATTTCTGGCAGATCCTTTATTTCTTTTTTAAGGCCCATATTTGCATTTTTGTTAAGTTAGGCTGCCCCTCTCCTTAGTCTCTTTAAAAATATAAGCTAATGCTTTGGTTTATCTTAGATCCCCTCTTTCACCTCTATCTTTTCACTTTCCTTGAATGAGTATGTATTCTAAATACACACTTATTTTTCTAACTTTCTGTCTTTCCTTCAGGCAATTTTTTAAAATCTATTTCTGTCAAAGTGATTTTAATCCAGAGTTACTAGTACATACCTAAGAAGCTGCTTCTTTAAGTATAATGGATTGAGCTGAGCTCTGTGATGACAAAAGGCAGCACCTTCGTTACTAGCACTATTAAGACTTCCTACTTATAAGGCACTTCACTTACGTCATCTAACTTAATTAAAGACTGTGCACTGTGGGCACAAGGTAATTATGGCCAAAAACAATTGGGGCAGGGATAGTAAATATGCCCATTATGATGTTGCGAACCTATATTCCCAGAATGAAAGGGTTTACTTTCTAAATGACTGTCCCTCAAAGCTCTGAATATACTTACTAGGTAATTAAACTTGGAAGATTTTTCACTATGTCCATGTATCTGCATTCCTTATTTGAACTGTTAATAATTTTTAAAAATTTTTTAAAAAGACAAGGGATGAATTCTGCTTCACTCAAAGGGGCATATTTTACAAGTATATTATAAATATTTGGAATGCTGTTTTATCACTAGAAAAAAGTTTAAAAATAAGGTTCATATTAAAATGTTAGCTCATGTTTCATAAAGTTTTTCTTTTTTATTTAAAAAATTTTATAAATAGAGACGGGGTCTCATTTTTTGCCCTGGCTTGTCTAAAGCTCCTGGCCTCAAGTGATCCTTACATCTCGGCCTCCCAAAGTGCTGGTATTACAGGTGTGAGCCACCATGCCCAGCCCCATTTCATAAAGTTTTAAGGAAATCCAATACACAAATATTTCAAAAATAAGGCCAAGCTAAATAAGTAACAAGGGAAAAATTAGCATAAGTTTGGCAGATCACAAGTTAAAATGCAGAAATACCAGCTTCCACAATAAAAGCAAAATATCAAGAAAAAGTCATATTAAGATTCTCATCAAATAAAACTGGATTCTAGTTTAAACAAAAGAAAAACAAATGTCAATTTAAAAGAACCTACAGTTTTCATTGGCATTGAAGCCTCTAAGAATGGCCTTCAGTTCTTGGAGCTTCTGATGAGCTCTTGCATGGACACTGTCAATCAGGAGTTTTTCTATTGATAAGTGGTCGATCTGCATAAATAAGAACAACAAATTCAAATGTGCAATTTAAACATTTTTACTTTAAAAGCCCAAGAGTAGATTACTGTGCTTCAAAATATTTCCTTTTGGAATCACACTGATTAAGTGTTAACCCTAATAGAAAGCAAACTTAAAGTTAAAAATTAACTAATATGGTATTGAGTTAAAAATTAACTTACAATTGATAGCTTAAAAACTATAGTTAACATTTTGGTAAGTAATAGGAGAAGATATTACAAATCAGTTATGGTGCTCTAATGCCAGACCTTAAAATTAAAATGGTATCTGATCTAAATTATAAAATATGAAAGAATATCTTAAAAATTATATATTATAGTATCAGATGTTTTAAAAAAACAAATGTAAGAAGTGTAACATTTACTTAAAATAAGTTTCATAAAAGGTTTTAGGAAGAATTAGATATTTTTAAAAATTTGTGCTAAGAGTTTAAGGATAAATGGCAAGTTACATTCATTTAAACCAATATGAAAATATATTGAGATCTTTTACCTTCATGGCTCTTTCTACTAATTTGGAATCAGAAGCTGGCAAAGGAGGATCGTGAAAAATCTGTAAAGGCTTGGAGACATCATTCTCATCAATTTTAATTGTAACTTTGTGAACAGATGCTGTTCCAGTTTTTCTCCCAAGAACCTGTTGACTAAAGAAAAAAATGAAATGAAGAATTTTTTTCAACACAGTCTGTTAACTTCTAGAATAAAATAGAGACAATCCATTGTGCAGTTTAGCCACAGCCTGGAATACGGCAGGCCCCCAGTGTTTGTGGAGGGAATAATAATGGGAAGATAGCTATTCTGTAATCCAATACAATATTTGATTTATTGCATTTAAAAAAGACATATAATTTAAAAATAAAACATATGCACACATGAAAAAGAACCCCAAAACAAAAACTACCTGTCTTCTAAGTAGTATCTACTCACCTCTGACTCCTTTACAGAAAATGGGGGTCATTTGGGATAATAAGATGCCGGGGTGGGGAGAAAAACAGGAATCAAGTAAAGTTCAAACAGGGAATTGAGAGTTACAAACAGTCCAATAGGAATTTTCTCCCAAAGAAAGTTTTTAACAGGCACAATTCAAAGTGGAAAACTGTGATAAGCATGCATGTTTTAAAAAATGATACCCAACAATCTAACCTAATGGTCTTTTCTAACCTAACGGTCTTTTAGCTATTTGGTATAAACCCAAAGTAAACTAACCTCTCAAACTTTTTAAGAATAGTAAGTCTTAGTACAAACAGGTAAATGTCTATGTATTTAAAACATGTTCTAAGACAGGTGTCAACTATGGATGTCCTATGTGGTCTACATAATACTATGGGACCTTACTACACAAAAGCATGTTACTAGAGGTGCATAGCTATTGGTATACAGTCATTCCTTGGTATACTTGGGAGACTGGCTCCAGGATTCCCGTCCCAATACCAAAATCCACGCAAACTCACGTCCTGCAGTCAGTCCTGCGGTCAGCCAGCAGAACCCACGTATAGGGAAGGTTGGCCCTATACGCAGGTTTCACATCTTGCAAATTGATCTGCATATAAGTGGACCCACACAATTCAAGCTTGTGTTGTCCAAGGGTCAACTGTATATTAAATCAGATGTATGAGAGAAAAAGAGAAATAAAAAGAGTATTTACAGTCATAGCACGAACCCACCAGAACTGATTTTACTTACTTCCAAACTGAAAGGGAGAGGCACTTTCCAGCATGATACCTTTCCACCTGCACAAGGTCTCCCCACCGTTCTCGGATTAACATTAGAGTTTGGGAATGTAACACTTCTAACTGAAGTGATAAACAGAAAGAATCTGATAGATGTTGTTAAGTAAAATTAATACATTACACCAACAGTCAATCAAGTCCAGGAGAACTTCATTTAAGGAAGGTTCTCTTATTGAAAACCTGGAGAAAAATTTCTGAAGAAAATTTCTGAAATGATTATTTCTCCAATGCCTCATCGTAAAAAGTATTATAATTTATAGCATAATTTCAGAAAAAGGTTTTATATTTAATTTTAAACCAATATAAAACCATAAAGTCTGGGTTGTGTCTTAATTCATCATAGTTTAGAGAACATGGATTGACCAAATAGTACTATTTTTTTCACCAAACAGTACTTTTTTATTATTATTATTTTGTGTGTGTGTGTGACGGAGTCTTGCTCTGTCATCCAGGCTGGAGTGCAGTGGCATGATCTCGGCTCACTGCAACCTCTGCTTCCTGGGTTCAAGCGATTCTCCTGTCTCAGGCTCCCTAGTAGCTGGGATTACAGGTGCCCGCCACCACACCAGGCTTCTTTTTTTTTTTTTGGATTTTTAGTAGAGACAGGGTTTCACCATGGTGGCCAGGCAGGTCTTGAATTCCTGACCTCAAGTGATACACCCGCCTCAGCCTCCCAAAGTGCTGGGATTACAAGCATGAGCCACCGTGCCCAGCCTCAAACAAGACTATTTTTAACTAATCACTTTTTGCTTTTACCTGCAAAGTCAACAGTAAAATTTTAAATTTGGTTTATTACAAACATATCACTATTCTTCACTATTCTCCAGCCCTATCTGCACCTCAAAAAGGGTGGGGGAGATGGGGGCAAGGAATGTAGGCTGCTACAGTTCAAGACTA
The DNA here is from genome assembly GCF_000001405.40 of Homo sapiens. Taxonomy (NCBI): domain Eukaryota; kingdom Metazoa; phylum Chordata; class Mammalia; order Primates; family Hominidae; genus Homo; species Homo sapiens. Next base: position 40,712,113 of record NC_000023.11, read on the forward strand.
AGGACAAATGAAAAATGTGGGAGAGGTACCACAAAATCCTTACAAATATATGTCTCAAATTTCAGAAGGATACGTAGGCAGTTGTACATATCCTGAAGAGGTTTCTCATCAGCAAAGAGCCTAGACTGCACCAGTTGATGGATGAAGCTGATTTGCATGCTATGAACCAAAGCTCGCCCATCTTCCGTTGGCAGAAGAAAAGAAAGCAGTTAATTAAATAGGTGTACAAGTGTGTCACTATACCAACTAAGGAAGCACATAATAACAATGAATTTTTTTAAAAAGCACTGAAATTATCTACAGAAACTTGACATTGTACTCTGAGAAACACTGAAACTTCCACGGTCAACAGGCAGTTACAATTATAAAACTTGCTTCAAATTACAGGATAAATTGCTGCATGCATTTATTATTTTGCAGGAATATATATATAGAGAGACAGGATCTTGCTCTGTCACCCAGGCTAGAGTGCAGTGGCATGATCATGGCTCATTGCAGCCTCAACCTCCCTGGGCTCAGGTGATCCTCCCACCTCCCAACCCCAGCCTCCCAAGTAGCTGGGACTACAGGAACACACCACCACGCCCGGCTAATTTTTAAATTTTTTGTAGAGACAGGGTCTTGCTATATTGTCTAGGCTGGTCTCAAACTCCTGAGCTCAAGCGATCCACCTGCCTTGGCCTCCCAAAGTAGTGGGATTACAAGCATGAGCCATCATCCCCAGCCGGGAATATTTCAATAATATAAAAAATCAAACATTTAAACTAATACTTATGATTTAAATCACTACTTATGATTTACCTCCTGTTTCCTTATCCTCAACTAGAATTTCTAGCTTGAGAAGACGCCATGGAACATCAGGGTCATCTCCCATCACAGTCAAGGTGGCTTCAAATTCTCCTTCAACACGAAACTTCACCCGGCCATTTGCTTTTAGAAGAAAAAGATGAAGAAAAAGAAGTGTACTTTGCTAGAAAATGAGAATCTTCCTCCTGACCTAGAATTTTCAGTCTTACTTATAAAAATTTTTAAATAGATTGAAGGTTCTTTCATAAGGTTCCAACAATTCAATGGTTCCTGAATAAGAAGTAGCCAGCTTCCAGGTCAAGAAATGAAAGGCAACTCTTCTAACATAAATGAACAATATTTTCTTGAGGCACAACTCTGGGGACTCTTCTCTCTTTCCAGCCCCACTCCCAAGCTGCAAATACCAGCACTGTATTTCTAGGTACTAAAGAGAAATGATACAGCTGGCAAGTCGTAGAATCAAACACCATAAAACTGTCAGTCAAATCTTCATGATGCTATTTTTCCTTGAATAAAACCCAAAAAGCTGTTTAGGAAAATATTCTAACATGCAAATTCTGTCACCCAGGCTGGAGTACAGTGGTGCAATCTTGGCTCACTGCAACCTCTGCCTCCCAGGTTCAAGCAATTCTCATGCCTCAGCCACCCGAATAGCTGGGATTACAGGTGCGGGCCACCGCACCCAGCTAATTTTTGTATTTTTAGTAGAGATGGGGTTTCACCATGTTGGCCAGGCTGGTCTCAAACTCCTGACCTCAAGTGATCTGCCTGCCTCAGTCTCCCAAAGTGCTGAGATTACAGGCATGAGCCACCGCACCTGGCCATCAACTCTTAAAAAAATAAATTTCAGATACATACCAACTGTAAGATTTGCTAACTGAGGAGGAAGATCTGTGGTTACAAGCCGATGTCTAAGAATCTGATTCAGCTGATGGAGTGTGGCTTGTTTTTCAATTTTGGTAATTGGGTCTGGAGGAATAATTTTGTCCTGCAAAAAAATTTAAGTGATTTTTAAATAATGTACAAACGGGGATTTTTTTTTTCAATCTTTTCCTGTCTTTATACAGTGTTGCGTACTTTACCTAAGAGAATCTTAACACTCATTTCTGCAGTCTACTTACAAAAACAATGGCCATTACTATCATGCATAAGAGCAACAATGATTCTAGTCATTTAGCTAAGATCATAATACAACATGACCTCCCTTAATGCTCTATTTATAAACCAACTAAATATCACTTGATAGCTTCCACAAGTTCTTACAAGTATAAAATACAATATGGCACCAAGTCAGTAAACTACCAAAACAATAAAAGTTTAAAACACTTTCAAAAAGCAACTAGCATGTAGCATTTTCACATCTGAAATAGATGTTATGTCTGCACATCCGCGCATCCCTGGGGGAAAAAAAAATAAAACCTTCACCCATTTTGATATCTACTCACATCTGGCCCCAACTTATTTCAAAAAAGCACAACTTTAGTTACAGAGAAAAAAAGCAAACTATATGTACTGTTTGTTTTAACAATGTTTTTTGCTGGGCTACTTAATAATACAATCCAATCCAGTGCCAAAACCTTTAGTTTTTAGGAACATGGGGGCAAGCAAAGAACTTACCCTAATGCAGGTTGGCAGCCGTGGGTAAGATCCAGTAGTTAGTACATCAATGGCATATGGGATGGCAAAACTAGGCAGGCGTGCATGGACCAGAGCATCTCTAGCTAACGAGGCCAGGCGATCAGCAGTGTCCACAAACAGGATGGCTTGCTGATCTAAAAAGCTTGAAATCATCTTTAAAGTAAAGGGTAAATGTATTAAGCATCCCTGAAAACTATCTCCTTTTCACACTAAATATTGTTAAATCATTCCAAAGTAAACTTCAAGGGGAATTAGTATCAGTTTTCCATATTTCAAAGTAGTTCTTCAAATATTCTCCAGTAACTTGAAGAAGAAATATTTAATACACTAGTATTTGATATTAAGAGCAATAATTTTCTGTCACTTTAAGTAAAAGCTTTCTAATTCATTTCTCCATCCTTAACATTACACACACATAATATCAAAGTTAGGAAAAATAAGTAGAATAAAATGGTTTTTTCCTCTTACAGACTTCCAGAGTTGGTTGGTAATGAAGGAGTTAAAAGCATGGACTCCTAGACCTAGACTGCCTTGTTCTCCATTTTAACTCTGCTACTTACCAGTCTTGTAACCTTGGGCAAGTAACTTAACCTCTTTGTGCCTCAGCTTTTTTCAACTGTAAAATGGAGGTGATCATGATTCCCAATCTCATAAAGTTGTTCTCTGTATTAAGAGATAATGCAAAATAGAGAACACAGAAATCCACACATAGCCAACTCATTTTCCAAAAAAGCACCAAGAACATACACTGGGGAAAGGACAGTTTCTTTAATAAATGGTGATGGGAAAACTCGATAACCATCATATGCAAAAGAATGAAACTAGACCCCCATCTCTCACACTATACAAAAATGAACTGAAAATGAATTAAAGGCTTAAGCATGAGACCTGAGACTATGAAACTACTAGAAGAAAGCATTGGAAAAATGCTCTAAGACATTGGCCTGGGCTGGGTGCGGTGGCTCAGGTCTGTAATCCCAGCACTTTGGGAGGCCAAGGTGGGCAGGTCACGAGGTCAGGAGATTGAGACCATTCTGGCTAACATGATGAAACCCTGTCTCTACTAAAAATACAAAAAATTAGCTGGGCGCGGTGGCACGAGCCTGTAGTCCCAGCTACTCGGGAGGCTGAGGCAGGAGAATTGCTTGAACCCGGAAGGCGGAGGTTGCAGTGAGCCAAGATCGTGCCACTGCACTCCAGCCTGGGCGGTAGAGCGAGACTCCGTCTCAAAAAAAAAAAAAAAAAAAAAAAAAAAGGACAGACAACAAAAGCAAAAATAAACAAAAGAGATTATATCAAGCTAAAAAGCTTCTGCACAACAAAAGAAATAATCAACAGTGTGAAGAGACCACCCACAGAATGGGAGAAAATGTCTGCAAAATATCCATCTGACAAGGGATTAATATCCAGAATACATAAGGAACTCAACTCAATAGCAAAATAAAACCAAATAACTCCATTTAAAAAATGAGCAAAATACCTGAATAGACATTTCTCAAAAGAAGACATACAAATGGCCAAAAGGTATTATGAAAAAATGCAACATTACTAATCATCAAGGAAATGTAAATAAAAACCACAATGAGATATCATCTCACCCCAGTTAAAATGACTATTATCAAAAAGACAAAAAATAACAGATGCTTGTGAGGATGTGGAAGAAGGGGAACCCTCACGCTGTTGGTGGGAATGTGAAGTACTACAGCCACTACAGAGAACACTATGGAGGTTCCTCAAAAAAAAACTAAAAATAGGCTGTGTGTGGTGGCTCACATATGTAATCCTAGCATTTGGGGAGACAGAGGCAGGAGGATTGCTTGAGCCCAGGACTTGCAGACCAACCTGGACAACATAGGGAGACCCTGTCTCTACAAAAAATTAAAAAACAAAAAAATTAGCCTGGCATAGTGGTGTATGCCTGTGGTCTCACAGCTACTAGGGAGGATCACTTGAGCCCAGGAGGTTGACGCTGCAAAGAGCCATGACTGTGCCACTGCACTCCAGTCTGGGTGACAGAATGAGACCCTGTCTCAAAAAAAAAAAAAAACCACTAACAACTAAAAATATAATTACCATATGATCCAGCAATTCCACTGCTGAGTATATATATATTCAAGAGAAAGGAAATCAGCATACCAAAAAGATATCTGCACTCCCAGGTTTACTGCAGCACTACTCACAATAGCCAAGATACAGAATCAACCCAAGTGTCCATCAACAGATGAATAAAGAAAATACAGTACATATACACAATGGAATACTATTCAGCCATAAAAAAGAATGAAAGCCTGCCGTTTGCAACAGCACGTATGGAAGTGAAGGTCACTATGGTAAGTGAAATAAGCCAGGCACAGAAAGACAAGTATTGCACATTCTCTCTCCTATGTGGGAGTTAAAAAAGTGGATAACATGGAAGTAGAGAGTAGAATGCTGGTTAGGAGAAGCTGGGAAGGGGGGAGGAGGTATGAAGAAAAGTTGGTACAAAAATATAGTTAAAAGGAATAAGTTCCAGTATTTAATAGTAGAGTAGGGAAATTATAATTAACAATAATTTATTGTATATTCAAAACGACCAGAAGAGAAGAACTGTAACATTCCCAACACAAAGAAAAATGTCTGAGGTAATTAATATCCCAATTATCCTGCTTTGATCACTATGTACATGTATCAAAATATCACATGTACCCTCAAAATATGTACAACTATGATATATCAATTGAAAAAAAAAAGAGTTAACACATAAAAAACCTTTAGAACAGTGCCTAGAAAGAACATAGAAAACACTCCAAAACACCCATTATGAGATACAGGTCAACTTCATGCCCAATACAGAAATCCTTTCCATCAGTTTTCTACCCAATGCATTTCATAAGGATACCTAAACTAGTAGAGCTCATCACAGAGCTAAAAACTACCTCCCTAAAACCTTTATCTTCTAGTTCATGGTTTTTTTGTTGTTGTTGTTTCATTTTGTTTTGTTTTTGAGACAGAGTCTTGCTCTGTCGCCCAGGCTGGAGTGCAGTGGCATGATCTCTGCTCACTGCGACCTCCACCTCCCGGGTTCAAGCAATTCTCCTGGCTCAGCCTCTTGAGTAGCTGGGATTACAGGAGTGCACCACCACCCCCAGCTAATTTTTGTATTTTTAGTAAAGACGGGGTTTCACCATGCTGGCCAGGCTAGTCTCGAACTCCTGACCTCAGGTGATCCACCCGCCTCAGCCTCCCAAAGTGCTGGGATTACAGGCGTGAGCCACTGCACCCGGCCATCTTCTAGTTCTATTCTAGAACAACACTTAAAGTTTTCTCTCTCATGTCCTTCAAACAGGCTGTCAGTGGCCAACTTAAAACATAGTACCCAGAATTAATACCAACATCACACAAACACAGTGCTCTACAATTTCTCAGTGTTTTCAAACATTTTATTTGATTTTTGCAACTCTAGGAAGTACAACCAGATAATTACTATGATCTTAGAGATGAGAAAATTGAGGCTTAGGTTAAGACACTTGCCCAAAGAAAGTCAATAATCAGAAGAGCTGAAACAACAACAACAAAAATATTTCTTCTAATTCTTAGTTAGACCCAATATACAGCATGGTCCAGTAAAAATGCTACCTTCTATGACTAGTACAATGAATTTCTATCAATGCCACCAACACTAACTTCTTATTAACAGTCATGACACTGCTAATACATTCTCAACTTTTTAACTGGCTTTTACTCAGATTTAGGCCATCTCACATCTCCCTTAACTCAGGTCACTGTAAAAATGCTTATCAGACCAAGGTCAAGCTCAAAGAGTACCAAAGACCTCCCCGGCAGAAAGACATGCATCAACCCTACTGGGATGCCACAGTTTATCCAGCCCCTATCACTCCACTTAAACATAAACAATTAATGAAACACTCTCTAAACTACTTCACTGAACTCAAAATACACTAGCTTCAGCTACATTCCTTGAACTTAGAAATACAATTAATAAAGATAAAACTTGGCTGGGTGTGGTGGCTCACACCTGTAATCCCCAGCAGTTTGGGAGGCAGAGGCGGGAAGACTGCTTGAAGCCAGGAGTTCGAAACCAGCCTGGGCAACCAAGTAAGACCCCATCTCTATAAAAACTTTTTAAAAATTAGATGGGCACAGTAGTGTGAGTGCCTGTGGTCTCAGGTACTCAGGGAGGCTGAGGTGGGAGGGCTGCTTGAACCCAGAAGTTTGAGGTTGCAGTGAGCTGTGATTACACCACTGCACTCCAGCCTGGGTGACAGAGTGAGACTTCATGTCTTAAAATAAATAAATAAAAGATAAAACTTGAGTTTTGAGTAACTGATTAGTGAATCCATTCACATAGTCTTAGTTCACAAAGAACTAATCCATGTTATTTTTAGGTATTCACACACCAGCTGTGAATATGTTTAATAATAATCTCCTTTAGAATTTAACACCAAATAAATGTTTCTCTAAACAAGATACACAAATGGCCAATAAGCACATGAAAACAGGTTCAACATCTCTGGTCATCAGGAAAATACAAATTAAAACTTTAATGAGATGCCACTTCATACCTACTAGGATGGCTAGACTCAAAAAGTCAGGTAACAACCAGTGTTGGCATAGATGTGGAGAAACTAAACTTCCATACATTGCTGGTGGAAATGTAAAATGGTGTGGCCACTTTGTAAAATAGTCTGGCAGTTCCACAAAAAGTTCAACAAAGAGTTACCATATGACCTAGCCATCCCACTCCTAGGTATACAGTCAAGAGAAATAAAAGCATACATCCCAACAGTTGGACATGACTATCTACAACAGCATTAGTCATAATAATCCAAAACTGGAAACAACCCAAATGCCTATTAACTGATGAACAGATAAACAAAATGTAGTATATCCATGCAATTCAGCCATAAAAAGGAATGTAGTGACACAAGCTACCACATGAATCAATCTTGAAAATACTACACTAAAAAAAAAAATGCTAAGTTAAAGAAGCCAATCACAACACAACACATTTGATTCCATTTATATGAAATGTTCAGAATAGGCACATCTATTGAAACAAAGTACATTAGTGGCTGCTTAGGGCTAGAGGAGAGCTGGGGTGGTAACTAAAGGGCACAGGTTTTCTTTCTGAGGTGATTAAAATGTTCTAAAATTGACTGTGATGATGGTTGCACATATCTGTGAATATAACAAAAACCACTGAATTGTATACTTTAAGTGGGTGAATAGTATGGTATGTAAATTATATCTCAGTAAAGCTACTGAAAAAAATATCTAGGAGAATGAGAGATATTTTATCTTTTTCTTAGGCAAAACATTATCCAGGTTGTTTTACCATTAGTCAGAGTTCCATAAACTATGGATCTATACACTCATAACACATCTGGCATGGCTAAAGATCATTATCAAGAATCTCTAACAAACTAGTTAAATAATCATTAGGTTGAGAACAGAAGTGCTGAAACATGAACAATCCCTCTAATTCTCATTGATGGACTTTATCCCTGACATAAACACATCTGTATCTACATTCAGAAAACAAAAATGCTGAGAGGGTCAGAGCAAGATGGTGGAATACAAGCCAACACCAGTCACCCCCTCTCCAGGAACACGAAATTTTTACTATCTGCACACAGAAAAGCACTGTTACAAAAACCAAAAATCAGGTGAGCAATCACAGTACTTGGTTTTAACTTCATATCACTGAAAGAGGCATTGAGGAGGGCAGGAGAGGCAGTCTTGAATCCCTGACACCACCCCTCCCCTGCCACCCCAACAGAGGCCCTGCACTTAAGGGAGGGAGAGAATAGTGACTGGGGGACTTTACACTGAACTCAGTACTGCCCTGTCATAGTGGAGAGCAAAGCTGTGCTGGGCCAGAGGGAGCATTTGGACCAGCCTTGGCTAGAGAATTGCCCATCGCAGCGGTTGGAACTTGAGTTTCTCAGCAAGCCTTGCTAATGTTGGCCAAAGTACTCTGGAGTCCTAGGTAAACATGAAAGGCTGTCTAGGACACAAGCACTGCAATTCCTAGGCAACTCCTAGTGCTAGGCTGGACTCAGAGCCAGAGGACTAGGTGGCACATGACCTAGGGATACACCCGCTGGGGGGCCTAAGGGAGTGCTTCCACCACCCTTCCACAAACCCCAGGCAGCGCAGCTTTTGACAACAAAAGAGACTCCTTCCTTCTGCTTGAGGAGAGGAGAGCAAAGAGTAAAAAGGACTTTGTCTTGCATCTTGGATACCAGCTCAGCCACAGTAGGACAGGGTACCGGGCAGAGTAGTGAGGCCCCTATTCGAGGCTCTAGCTCACAGATGACAAAGACACACCCTGGGCCAGAAGGGAACCTGCTGCCTTGAAGGAAAGGACCCAGCCCTGGCAGGATTCATCGCCTGCTGAATAAAAGAGCCCTTGGGCCCTGAATAACCAGCGGCGATACCCAGGTAGTATGCCGTGGACCTTGGGCTCTGAAATGTGCTGACTTCAGGTGTGACCAAGCACATTCCGAGCTGTGGTGGCTATGGTGAAAGACTCCTTCTGTTAGAGAAAAGCAGGGGGAAAAGTAAAGGGGACTTTGTTTTGCACCTTAGGTACCAGCTCAGCCAAAGTGCGGTAGAGCACCAAGCAGGCTCTTGGGGTCCCCAAGTCCAGGCCTAGGCTCTTGGACTGCATTTTTGGACCTCCCCAGAGCCAGAGGGAAGCCCACTGCCCTGAAAGATGAGTCCCAGGCCTGGCAGTATTCACCACAAGCTGACTGAAGAACCCTTAGATTTTAAGTGAGCATCAGTGGTGGCCTTGCAGAACCCCTCCCATGAGCCGGTGATGGCCAAAGGGGGAGGCTCCTCTGCCTGTGGAAAGGGGAGAGAAAAGCAGGAAGGAATTCGTATTGTGGTTTGAGTGCCAGCTTAGCCGCAGTAAGAAAAGAATATCAGGCAAATTACTAAGGTTTTTGACTCTAATCCCTGGCCACCAGACAGCATCTCTGGGCTCACCCAAAGCCTGGGGAAACTTGCCATCCCAAAAAACACAAACCTGACTGGCTTCGCCACCTGCTGATCATAGAGCCCTAGGGCCTGGAGTGAAGGTAAGTGGTAGCCAGGTTACCAGTGTAACCAGTGGTTACACTGAGCCTTGGGCAAGACCCAGTGCTGTGCTGACTTCAGGTCTGAGCTGGTACAGTCCTAGTGGTGGTGGCCATATGGGTGCTTACATCACCATACCCCCAGTTCCAGGTGGCTCAGCACAAAGAGCAAGACTTTGTTTGTTTGGAAGAAACTAAGGAAAAAGAACAAGAGCCTTTGGTTGGTAATCCAGAGAAATCTTCCAGATCTTATCCAAGACCATCAAGGCAGTACCTCTATGAGTCGGCAAAAACCACAGCATTATTGAGCTTGGGGCCTAAGTACCTTTGAATATCTAGAAAGCCTCCTCAAGAAGGACAGACATAAACAGGCCCAGACTGCAAAGACTACAATAAATACCTAACTCTTTGAGGCCCAGATCTAAAAGCATCAAGATCATCCAGGAAAACAGGACCTCACCAAACGAACAAAAGAAGGTACCAGGAACTAATCCAGGAGAAACAGAGATATGTGACCTTTCAGACAGAAAATTCAAAATAGCTGTTTTGAGGAAACTCAAAGAAATTCAAGAAAACACAGACAATGAATTCAGAATCCTATCAGATAAATTTAACAGAGATTGAAATAATTTTTTTAAAAATCAAGCAGAAATTCTAGAGTTGAAAAATGCAATCGGCATACTGAAGAATGCATCAGAATCTCTTAATAACAGAGTTGATCAACCAGAAGAAAGAATTAGTGAGCTTGAAGACAGGCTATTTGAAAATACACAGTCAGAAGAGACAAAAGACAAAAGAACAAAAAAGAATGAAGCACACCTACAAGATTTAGAAAACAGCCTCAAAAGAACAAATCTCAGAGTTACTGGCCTTAGAGAGGAGGCAGAAAAAGAGAGATAAGGGCAGTAAGTTTATTGAAAAGGATAACAACAGAAAACTTCCCAAACCTAGAGAAAGATACCAACATTAAAGTACAAGAAGATTATAGAACACCAAGCAGATTCAGCCCAAAGACGACTCAAGGCATCTAATAATCAAACTCCCAAAGGTCAAGGATAAAGATGGGATCCTAAAAGCAGCAAGAGAAAAGAAACAAATAACATACAATGGTGCTCTCTAATATGTTTGGTAGGAGACTTTTCAGTGAAAACCTTACAGGCCAGAAGAGAGTGGCATGACATATTTAAAGTGCTGAAGGAAAAAAACTTTTACCCTAGGATAGTATATCCGGTGGAAACATCCTTCAAGCATGAAGGAGAAATAAAGACTTTCTCTGACAAACAAGATGAGAGATTTCATCAACATCAGACCTGTCCTACAAGAAATGCTAAAGGGAGTTATTTAATCTGAAAGAAAAATATGTCAATAAGCAAGAAGAAATCATCTGAAGGTACAAACTCACTGGTAATAGTGAGCACACAGAAAAACACAGAATATTATAACACTGTAATTGTACTATGTAAACTACTCCTATCTTCAGTAGAAAGACTAAATGGTAAACCAACAGGAAATCGTAACTACAACAACTTTTGAAGATACAGAACTTTTGAAGACAATAAGAACTAAAGAGAAACAAAAAAGTTAAAAAGGAGGGAGATAAAGTTAAACTGCAGAGTTTTCATTAGTTTTCTTTTTGTGTGTTTGTTTATGCAATCAGTGTCAAGTTGTCATCAGTTTAAAATAATGGGTTAAAAGACAGTATTTGCAAGCCTCATAGTAACCTCAAATCAAAAACCATACAATGGGCCGGGCGCGGTGGCTCACGCCTGTAATCCCAGCACTTTGAGAAGCCGAGGCAGGTGGATCACCTGAGGTCCGAAGTTCAAGACCAGCCCGGCCAACACGGCGAAACCCCATCTCTACTAAAAATACAAAAATTAGCTGGGCATGGTGGCATGCACCTGTAATCCCAGCTACTCAGGAGGCTGAGGCAGTAGAATCGCTTGAATCTGGGAGTCAGAGGTTACAGTGGGCCAAGACTGCGCCACTGCACTCCAGCCTGGGCAACAGAGTGAGACTCCGTCTCAGAAAAAAAAAAAAAAAAAAAAAAAAAAATACAATGGACACAAAAAATAAAAAACAAGAAATTACATCATGTCACCAGAGAAAATCACCTTCATTAAAAGAAGACAAGAAGGAAGGAAAAAAGAGAAGACCACAAAACAATGAGAAAACAACAAAATGGCAGGAGTAAATCTCTACTTATCAATAATAACACTGAATGTAATGAACAAAACTCTCTAATAAAAAGGCACAGAGTGGCTGAATAGATTTTAAAAAACAAGACTCAATGATCCGTTGCCTATAAGAAACATACTTCACCTATAAAGACACACATACATAGACTGAAAATAAAGGGATGGGAAAAGATTTATATGTCAACAGAAACCAAAAAGGAGTAGGAGTAGCTATACTTAGGCAAAATAGATTTCAAGACAAAAACTATGAAAAGAGACAAAGAAGGTCATTAATGATAAAGGAGTCAATTCAGCAAAAGGATATGATTGTAAACATATATGTATCCAACACTGGAACACCCAGATATATAAACCAAATACTAATATTATTAAAGAACAAAATGTCAATACAATAATAGCTGGAGACTTCAACACCCCGCTTTCAGCATTGGACGGATCTCCCAGACAGAAACTCAACAGAGAAACATGGAACTTAATCTGCACTGTGGAACAAATAAACCTAATAGATATTTATGGAACATTTTATCCAAAGGCTGCAGGATACACATTCTTCTCCTCAGCACACAGATCATTCTCAAGGACAGACCATATGTTAGGCCACAAAGCAAGTCTTAAAACATTCAGAAAAACTGAAATAATATCAAGCATCTTCTCTGACCACAATGGAATAAAACTAGAAAACAACAAGAGGAATTTTGGAAACCATACAAACACACGGAAACAATACACTCCCAAATGAACGGTGAGTCAATGAACAAATTAAGAAGAAAATTTAAAAATTTATTGTAATAAATGATAATGGAAACACAACACACCAAAACCTATGGGATGCAGCACTAAGAGATAAATTTATAGTTATAAGTGCCTACATCAAAAAAGAAGAAAAACTTCAAATAAATAACCTAATGATGCATCTTAAAGACTATAAAAGCAAGAGAAACCTGAAACCAAAATTAGAAGAAATAATAAATATCAGGGCAGAAATAAATGAATTTGAAATGAAGAAAACAATGCAAAAGATCAATGAAACAAGAAGCTGGTTTTCTGAAAAAATGAACAAAATTGACAAACCTTTACCCAGACTCACAAAGAAAAAAAGGGAGAAGACCCAAATGAATAAAATCAGGGATGAAAAAGGAAACATTACAACTAATACCACAGAAATTCAAAGGATCATTAGTGGCTACTGTAAGCAACTATATGACAATAAATTGGAAAATCTAGAGGAAATGGATAAATTCCTAGACACATACAACCTGTGAAGACTGAACCATGAAGAAATTCAAAACCCGAATAGACTAATAACAAGTAACAAGAATGGAGCTATAATTCATTATATTAATTATAATTTGTCTCCCAGCAAATAAAAGCCCAGGACCTTATGGCTTCACTACTGAATTCTACCAAACATTTAAAGACAAACTAATACCAATCCTACTTAAACTATTCCAAAAAATAGTGGAAGAGGGAAAACTTCCAAACTCATTCTACAAGGCCAGTATTACCCTGATACCAAAACCAGACAAAGACACATCAAAAAAAGAAAATTACAGGCCAATACATCTGATGAATATTAATACAAAAATCCTCTCAACAAAATACTAGCAAACCAAATTGAACAAAACATTAAAAAGATCGTTCATCATGACCAAGTGGGATTTATCCCAGGGATGCAAGGATGGTTCAAAATATACAAATCAATCACTGTGATACATCATATCTATAGAATGAAAAACAAAAACCATGTGATCATTTCAACTGATGCTGAAAACACATGTAATAGCATTCAACATCCCTTCATGATAAAAACCCTCAAAAAACTGGGTATAGAAGGAACATGCCTCAACATAATAAAAGCCATATTTGACGGACCCACAGCTAATTATCATGCTGAATGGAGAAAAACTGAAAGCCCTTCCTCTCAGATCTGGAACACGACAAGGATGCCCATTTTCACCACTATTATTCAACATAGTACTGGAAGTCCTAGCTAGAGCAATCAGACAAAAGAAAGAAAGAAAGGGCATCCAAATTGGAAAGGAAGAAGTCAAATTATCCTTGTTTGCAGATGATATGATCTTATATTTGGAAAAGCCTAAAGACCCCACCAAAAAACTATTAGAACTGATAAATTCAGTAAAGTTGCAGAATACAAAATCAACATACAAAACATCAGTAGTATTTCTATATGCCAATAGTGAACAATCTGAAAAACAATCAAGTTTTTACTCCTTAACGCTTCTTGAACATAGCATAAAACTTTATTTTTGGTAGATTTTAGCATCTTTGGTACACTGCACTGCATGTCACTTTGCATTCCAAAGAGTGATTCAACAGTCAAAAGACCATGAGGTTCTCGAAGGCAGGGACTATTCCTTATTGAAGATTCCATCCTCTGTGCCCTATACCCTGTGCTTATTAGAGGTTTAGAGAATTAGTAGATAAACAAACAGAAAAATGCTGTTATCAGCCTCTGTGACCTTGAAGAAGCCATGTAACTTCTAGGAACCTTATCATTTTGTCATCTGTAAAACTGGAAAAAAAAAAAAAAACCAACTCTGCCATTCTCACAGGATGTCAAGAATTCATAAGCAAAATTTAAGGGAGAACCTTGCAAATTCTAAGGAATAGCACGAATATAAACTAACAATTTTCCCCCTTTAGTTCCAGTCTCATATTTAAAGTCTCCTCACGTAATGATGTCTCCAGCTATCTCCTCTTCTTTCTGATCAGGTGTCCATAAACAAATACTAAGTTTCTGCAGAAATATACATTATCATTCAGAAATATGATTATTCACATGTCACTCAAATCAGCAGGGATAAGTTAAAGCTAAAATGTAAAACTATGTCTATCATAACATTCGAAAAGTTATTTTATACAAAGTAAAATAAAAAGTTTAACTCACCGCACATTTTTCCACTTTGCCAGCATTATTAGCCCATTTCACTAAAGCTAATAATCGAACGAAGAGTTGGCGTGTCCGGCTAGCAAACTGCACTATTTCTATTTTCCTATAAAATAAAACAACTCTTAATGAACCAACATATTAGAAACAGTATTTCACAATTTATTTCAGCTAAGCAAAAATAAATAAATAAATAAATCAGCCTTTGCTTACAACCACTACAAAATGAGCCACCTAAAATATTTATCTAAATATGAACTATTGTCACATTTTGTATATTATCTGCATATGCTTTTTCACCTCAGAGCAATAAACCCAATAGAATGTTTTAGCAATAAGTCACATTTTAAAATTAATTTTATATTGTAATAAAAGTTGTTTACAAAAATATACTAAATTCAGTATATGGTGGTAGAAGTAAACTGCTTCACAGAAGGGATTAAATGAGGAGTTATGAATTATAAGTTCATAACTGAAATTAGGAGTAATTTAATTAGTAAGTAATTAGTAACCCTTTTGGTAAGTGAAAGGAATTGAAACTGATCTTTACCAAAGCCTGAAACTGTATTCATTCTACAAAAGGGCACCAGTTCCCATCCTGCACCAGCATGAAAGATTGAGCAATTAAAGAACTTAACTATGTAACTCTTTACCAAACTAATTTCAATGACAAACTTGGATACATTAAAAAATATCCAAGCAAAGCTAAAGAAATTATGTTGAGTACTAAAAATAAAAGGTCTGTCCATATCTAGTTTTATCCTATACTCACTATTATTACTTTTCCCCTAATACTCATCAGTACTTTTATCTCATCCTAAAATCCCAAAAGCTTTACTAATGTCAATCAACGTGTTAGCTAGATCTCTCAACTTCATAGCAGCTATAAAACTGATAATCATATCTTTTATGGTTTACTTTAAAACACTGAAAAAAATATTCAACAAGCCAGGACCGATGACCAGACCCAGCAGGACACCAACCTCCCTCCAAGTAGACTCTGACCTATTAATCTTAGTACAGCTGTTCAATGACCTGCAGATCCAGTCCACATCTCTGCATCTTGCCAATACCACCACCATGACGCAATGCACCAAAGTAAAAGTTCTTGCTGAAGTACAATCCTGACTGAAGGCTAGAGGCTAGCTCCTACTGAGAGCACACATAGCCCACAAGCACCCTAAAAGGCTCTCTTAAAAATCGGCCAGCAATATGATTAGTGGTACTATAAAGAGAAGAATCAAGGGCATAATTATGACTCTTTGCCAGTGTCTACGAAGGATCATAAGACAAGACTGAGACATAGCAGAAATGTTAAACACACATTAAGATCCAGCAGATCTCAGGGCTGGGAACCTCAGTACCTTTCACTCTAACTCAGCAATGGCTTATAGAGGATGCAAGGTCTCTGCTCCTCTCACAGAGCAAACACACTTGTCTATCATTAATTCGGTTTCCCAAATGCAGTCCTCTACTACAATGGAGATGTCCCCCTTTGTAAACTATAGTAACATGGTTTTCTGACACCATGTTGTCTCAAGTGCTAGGCAACATGAGTCAGTTTTTCAAAGGCCCAGTTTCCCTTCATACCCCAGAGCGGACAGAACAAATCCTTGACTTAACGTTTTCCTCCTTTAATACTGACCAGCCAAACCATAACACAGGTTGCCCTAGTTGTCTCTTTCACTTCTACCTTCTTGATCTCTAATTCGATCAAAAAGTTAAGTTGGGGTTGGCAATGGAGTGTTGCCATTAAGAAATGCTAAAAAGTTGCCAAGTGATTTGGTATAAAAAAAAAAAAATCAACCAAGGAGCATAAGTAGTGCCAAAGATACGGTCAAGTACCATATACTTTAGTTACAATTTAAATCTCCATCAAATGATTTCTTTGAAACTTTAATTTCGCTTGTTCCTTTGGCCTCTGGAAACATTTTAGCCTTAAGTTAAATCTTAAGCTCCAAGCTCCAACTGAACCAAAATGTTAACTATGTAACAGTAGGAGCAGTAGGCAAATGTCAACTCTCTAAAGATACTTAATAGCATCATTGTTGCAAGTGATAAATTAGCAGCCAACTTTCTTTTTTTTTTTTGAGACAAAGTTTTGCTCTGTGGCCCAGGCTAGAGTGCAGTGGCGTGACCTCGGCTCACTGCAACTTCCACCTCCTGGGTTCAAACAATTATTCTGCCTCAGCCTCCTGAGTAGCTGGGACTACAGGCGCCCGCCACTATGCCCGTGGCAGTCAACTTTCTAAAGCCAGTCTGCTGCTCCTCAGCATCTTCCTTTACAGACTATACCTTCTTTATCTTAATATCACCCTTAGGGACTTGACCAGGTCAGTCACTCAATAAAGGTTTGTAGAACAGAAGATTTAGAACTGGTCTCACAACAAGTATTGTTAAGGGTGAGGAAATTACATTTCCCAGGACTCCCTAAATACATGGTGTGAAAAATCATTCTAGACTCTTTGGGCCTAGGTTTCCAATCCACAGCCCTACACCACCCATACCCACACACCAACACTCATAGATTGATCAATAAAGAGACTTTAAGGGTTTTTTTTTTCCATACTCACCTTTCCACATCAGATTTCCTTGGCAGTCTAAGAAGAAAAAAAAAAAACGGATTAGATACATGCATACCTTCATTCTAATGTGATAATAGTCTTTACTTTGACTCTATTAAATACGTTAATGTTTCAGAAAAACTGGGTAAACAGCTACTACAGGCTCATGTAGCTACCTACTCTTTTTTAGATTTATGAGTTTCCAGCAGTATGGTTATAAGGCAAAAACCAACAAAAGAACATTTTTCTCCATTCAAAATACTTCAAAATGTATTGCATGAACCTTAAACATTTAAAAAGCCCAAGTCCCACATTAGCACACTATATCATAGGGTGTCAGAGAAAAGATTATTTTAAGACCAAAATGGTCACAGATGCAGAAGAACTTACTACTTGGTTGCCAGCCTCCCTGTATCCAATGGATACCTGTTTCCAAGCAATAATCCCTCCACATTGTGTTATGGTGGACAAAACTGGAAGCTAAGCATACAAAAGGACCAGTGTATGTCAAGGGTTTTACAGTAATTATGCTGCATGGTGGTTAGATGAAAAATTTTTATTGCTTTTAAACAGCTCCAACAGGATTTTTAAGTTTCTTTTTGCTAGTCCTCCAATACTGATAGCCAGCAACCAATGTCAACTTCTTCCCAGATAAGCTATACCATTTAACATTCACATCCACTGATGCCTAGAAAGATCCTTAATGCCTCCTGAATTGCCACATTCTGTTAACCTCTATCCCACAGTCCAAGATTCAATGGCCTAAACAACTCTCATGCCTCTCCCACAGCTAATCAGTTCTTGAAGTACACACACCCAGCCATTTAGATTGTCTCCCACCCACGTGCCACAGGAACAGAAAAACTAAAACTACTTCCAGAGGTTCAAAGTACAAGGAGGAGAAAATATTAAAATGATCTCTGGCTTATAGTTACCTCCTACTCTTAGGGTAGACGGTGAGATGGAAGTTAAAGTTATGGTCAGAATGATAAAGGGAACTAGGTGGGGGCTGGAAGGGCCAGCAGACCGGAGAGATGAAGCAGAAATTAAGGCCCTGTTAGAAGACTGCAAATAAAGGCAGCTACTGGCAAGTTCCTCTACAAGCCAAACCTCTTGAGAACACTCCTTGAGAAGCCACAGCCCTTGTTTTCACCTCAAGGGAGGGGGAGAATGAGAACGATGGGTATCTATAAGGGGAGAAGGGGAGCAGAGTTTCTGGGGGTAGAAAGAACAGGAATCATTGTTCCCACTCCTCCTACCTGCCTCAGAGACCCTAAAAGAACCATCTCATGTCAGCGGTAGTATCAGTTCAGGGACAAAAGACAGGCTTTGCTGCCTGCCTCCCCTTTCCCCTATTCCTCCTAATCTATTTGAAATTCTTTTATGGATAAGAAAGCTACCATTTAGAGTAAAAGTTCTAAAATGCAAATGTTGGGAAGTAAGGCATAGAAACTTATTTACACCAAAGCACAATAAGACAAGATTACATGACTGAGATCCTGGCATTTTCTGAATTAAAAGAAGTTTAAAAAAAAGGGGGCGGGGGGGTCAGGTACGGTGGCTCACACCTGTAATCCCAGCACTTTGGGAGGCTTGGTGGCGGGGGGGTGGGGTGCAGATCGCTTGAGTCCGGGAGTTTGGGACCAGCCTGGGCACACATGGCAACCCCATCTCTACAAATAATACATATTAGCCAAGTGTGGTGGCAAGTAGTCCAGCTACTTGGAAGGCTGAAGTGGGAGAATCACCTGAGCCCTGGAAGTCAAGGCTGCAGTGAGCCATGATTGTGCCACTGCATTCCAGCCTGGGTGACAGAGCAAGACCCTGTCTCAAAAAAAAAAAATAAAGAGTAGAACCTAGGTCTCTAAAAAGTCAAGGCAGAGAGTAAACTCTAGGATGAGAGCATGTATGTTGAGGGGGAAGGGAGGTGGACAAGCAGAAGGAAAAAACCCAGAAATCTGAGACCAAAACAAAACCACCTAAGTTGCCAAGGTTGTCCTTTTTACCTTCAATAGTTCACACACAAGCATCACATATTACTGAAGTAACTGTTTCCCTAAAGACTCATAAAGTATACCTCGAACACTGGCTCTACATTAACATATTAATCCTGACAGTTTTTAGGGAAAATACACTATTTAGGAACTTCCATGGTAAGTTCCCAAACTAATTAATTAATAATTACCACAATCAAAAGTGAAAAAAGTTGTATACCTGTGTATCAAGAACAAAAATAACTTTTCCTATTAAATTTCCCATGGTTTACAATTCTTTTTGAACAATATTTTTATTGATGCATTAAGCATGTACAGTTTCACAGTACATATAATTTCATACATTTATATAATTTGTAAAGATCAAATCAGTGTACTTGTGATATCCATCATCTTAAATATTTGTTTTTTCTTTATGCTGGAAACATCTGAATTATTCTCATCTAGCTATTTTGAAATGTACAGTAGATTCTTGCAAACTAGTCACCCTACTGAGTTATCAAACACTAGTTATTATTTCTTCTATCAAACCATATATTGATTTATGACAATTCTAAACATTCATTCATTCATGTATTAAATCAATAAATACTTAGTTAAGCCCTGTGTGCCAGGCATTGTTCTAGGCACCAGGGAAAGTCACAAACAAATCAAAATCTCTGTCCTCATGGGGTGGGAATGGACAACAAACTAATAATGTCAGGTGGCAATAAGTGCTGTAAAGAAAAATAAAGCAGCAAGTAAGAAGGACAGAGTGAAGGGGCAGAGTACTATTTTATAGGTGGTCAGAGAAAATCTTTCTGATAAATTGTATGTAAACAAGGACCTAAAGGACTAATGAGAAAGCAATTCACACAGATTTCTAGGGAAAAAGCAAAGGCTCTAAGATGGCAGTGTGCTAGGCACTAACAAGAAACATCAAGAAGGTTTGGAGGCTGGGCACAGCGGCTCACGCCTGTAATCCCAGCATTTTGGAAGGCCAAGGCGGGTAGATCACCTGAAGTTGGGAGTTTGAGACCAGCCTGGTCAGCATGGTGAAATCCCATTTCTACTAAAAATACAAAAATTAACCAGGTGTGGTGGTGCATGCCTGTAATCGCAGCTACTCGGGAGGCTGAGGCACAAGAATCACTTGAACCCGGGAGGCGGAGGCTGCAGCAAGCCGAGATCACACCACTGCACTCCAGCCTGGGCAACACCGTGAGACTCTGTCTCAAAAAAAAAAAAAGGTTTGGGAGGCAGAGGTGGGAGGACTGCTTAAGCCCAGGAGTTCAAGATCAGCCTGGGCAACATAGTGAGACTCTTGTCTCTACCAAAAATAAAAAAATTAGCTGGGCGTGGTGGCGCATGCCTGTAGTTCCAGCTATTTGGGAGGCTGAGGCAGGAGGAGCAGTTGAGCCCATGTCGAGAGGCTGCAGTGAGCATGACTGTGCCACACTGCACTCCAGCCTGGGCAACAGAGTGAGACCCTGTCTCAAAAATAAAAAAGAAACATCAGGAAGGGTAATGTGGTCGGAACAGGATAAGCAAAGAGGAGAGTTTCAGGACATGCAGTTAAAGAGGTAAGGGACAAACCAAAAGTGGTTAAGAGGTTGGAGAAAAAAAAAAGGTTAAGGAACAGAGAAGGCACATCATGTAAGGCCTTAAAGGTAAGATGACCACATGTTCTGGTTTTCTGGTTTGCCCAAGACAGTCCTGGTTTATGCCTCTTGTTCTGACATTATTATCATCAGCCCCATTATGCTCAAAAGTGTCCCGGTTTGGACTATAAATTTTATGGTCACTATACAGATGATTATCAATATTTTTTTTTTTTTTTTTGAGATAGGATCTCACTGTCACCCAGTCTGGAGTGCAGTGGTGCGAACATGCTCACTGCAGCCTCAACCTCCTGGGCTCAAGCGAACCTCCTGGGCCCAAGCAATCCTCCCACCTCCACCTTCCAAGTAGCTGGAACTACAGGCTTGGGCCACCACACCCAGCTAATTTTCTATTTTTGGTAGAGACAGAGTCTCGAACTCCTGGGCTCAAGTGACCCCCTCCCCTGCCTCAGCCTCCCAAAGTGCTGGGATTACAGGTATAAGCCACCACACCTGGCAATTATCAACACTTTTTAATCTCAGTGAGATGGGGAACCATCGAAGGGTTCTAAGCAGAGAAATTTTAAAAGAATCATCCTGGCTATTTTGTGGAGAAGAAACTATAGAAGGGGCAAGGGAACTACAGAGATACCAGTGAACTGACTATTGCAGTACACAGGTGAAGGATTAGGTGGCTTGGACCAGCACTTGGTGGAAGTGTTGAGAAATGGTCAGACTCTGAAGTCAAAGATAACAGGACTTGCTGATGTATGTAGGATGTGAAGAGAGAGGAGCCAGGAGTTATTCCAAAATATTTGGCCTGAGCAACAACAGGAAGAATGGAGAGACTAGTGAGATAGCAAAGAAGGTTCTGCAGGAGGGAGGACAGTGGAATCAGGAGTTTGGTGCTGGAGTTGCTATGTTGAAATGCCCATCAAGATACTGAAATGTAGGCATCTGGATATAGAGTCTGGAGTTCATCAGAGAGGTCTGTGCTGGAGATACAAATATGGGAACCATCACATAAAGGGTGTGGGACTATAACTACATACTTATTCTACGGCAATAAAACAGATGTTCCTCTCTTCATAAGCCAAGTCCTAAAATAGTAAAAAGACAACCACAATTCAAGGAATTTCTACAAATCCCCTATGGAAAAGCAAATTACACCACCGATAGCAGCAGTTTTCAACATTTTTTTTCCCACAGCTCTATATAGGCACATACATGAAACTTTCTCATGGATATTCTTGGATTTTTATGAAATCCAACAATAAATGGTGCAGAGAGGTATATCATTATAATAGTCCCTAAACCTGACAGCGATTTAAATTTCTCATTAGCCATGGGTAGGCTTCTTTAACACTACTTTTTTCTGTCCCATTCAAAAAAGTACAATACATCAAAACTGAGAATGACGTTTTACAGGAGTTAAGTAGAGCCTACTCTTTCAGTCATCTGCAAACAAGTATCTGTTATCAGTCTCTAAAAACAAATTACTGTGACGCTTTAGAGCCTAATATCTGCATACTAATGTATCTCAATTGATAACCCTGATCTGAAGTCTTGCAATAGATAAAAAATAAAATTCTGATTAACTTTTTCTGAACCTGGGTTATAAGATGTACAACAGAGTCCCAAAATGTTACGGTGCCTTTTCTTCACACACTGAAATTCGTTAGTATATTCTGATCCTATTCTGAAGGGATTAACAACTTAATCATGCCCCAAGGCATTTCATGGGTAACTAGGTGATTTATAAACCCCCTTCATACTCCAAGAAATAACAGACTACTTACAAAAAAATTTTACTCACACTAACTTCATTAAGACCTCAAACACTCAAAAGTTCCAGAAAAAAAGTACTTTGAATTCAAATTTGTATTTTATACACAACGTATGTAGCTCCTGCATTAACTTAGAAGCAATAACAGCTTACATTTAAAACGTATCGTCAAGAGGCTGTAATACAAATTTCCCATCTATAGAGTTTTTTCTAAAAGCTCGAATATTATGTATTCCAGCCAAGAAATCAAGAGAGTTCTGTTGGGAACTCGGACAAAAATTTCACACAATTTTCAGTGGAAGTGTAACAACACGCAAAATTAACAAGTCTCTGTTGCATCGTTGCCAGGAAGACCCCAGATACAAAGCTTCTTCTCCACCTCTGCTGAACCCCAGGAGTTCAAAAATTCTAGACTAAGCAGTCCAGCGGAGAACACAGCAGCCTCTCGGGGAGAGGGAGGTGCAAACGTCTCAGCCGGTTGGGCGGGAAGGGGGGCTGGGGAACAGGCAGGGGTTTCGGGGCACTTACAGGTCCGTCAACACCATAAGCTCCGAGTAGGCCCGGTGCAGCAGAAATTCAATGAGGGTGCTCAGCCGGTAGCCCGGGCTAGCCGCAGCTGCAGCGGCCGCCGCCACGGCGGCTCCCGGGGGAGGAGGGGCTGGGGCTGACGGGGGTCCGCCGCTGCCCCCGCCGCCGCCTCCGGGCGGGACCAGCTGGTGGTTCTCCAGCTGCACTGGGGCCATGGCGGCGCAGGACCGGGCTTGGCGCAACGGCACACGATGCGGTCCTCGAGCCTCCCGGGCGCTCGGTCACCGCGCCGAAACGGGAGCGGGCAGAGTCGCCACCGCCTACCGCCGGGCCGCCTCAGAACAGGAAGCCGTGCGCCGACCGCGGAAGCCCGCCCCCATGTAGCGAGAAGTCCGCCGACCCCAGGGACAGGAGCGAGGGGCGGGGGGAGGCGGGGATGGGGGGGAAGCAGGGCGGCCCCGCAGAGGGGAAGCTGCGCCTCCGCAAACGCTCAGAAGCAGCTTCGCCAGACAGCCGCAACGTACATGTTGACTGCCCGAGGCGGAAGTCGATCGGCAGAGCGGAAGGGGGACCTGCAGAGGACCTTCCGACAGGTCTGTGTCTGTTCTCTCAGCTGTCTAGCACCGCAGCGCTGGGGGGCGCGTGGGAGTGAGGCGGTACCTGTGAGCGCGCGGGAGAGCGGAAAAGGGAGCCGCGCGCCGCCGGAAACCAGGGTGAGGGCTGAGCCGGAGTCGTCACCGGGAACGTCAGCAGTTGCCCCGCCCTTACCCTCGCCGCTCTCCCTCCCGCCTCCGCCCCCTGGCGTTGTAAAGGCGACAATTTGCCCAGAGAAATCCACCATCGCTTCCTAAGTGGGGCACAAACACAGCCAGGGGAGGCCTCCTCTAAATGTTCGTGAATTCTGGTTCTGGAATCGCGAAGAAATGGGAGCGGCCGCGCGCTTGTGATTCTCAGGCCTTTGCTCCTCCCATACACGTCCACGGCGCGTTACGTGGGAGAACGTTTTCGCCCCTTTTTTTTTTTTTCCAAACTGTGGGAAAAGGTGCTAGAAAATATGATTGCGGGTAGAGACAGGGCCGCTGGCAGAGTAACTCAATTTTAATAGAGTCGGGTGTATGCTGAGGTCGTCACCATCCCCCAAATCCTGTCAGTCCCACACAAAAACGGCCCTTAAATCCCCTGCCACGGGCTCTCATATAGTTTTTGTCCTTGCTCTTGCAGTCACCGCTCTATTCTGAAGGGCTTTTCAGTTCATCCATGCCTACCGACACTCCCGTCCCCCCCATCAAAGTCCACGTTTAATTTTTTGTACCTGCTTTAAAACAGCGATTCTCAACCTTGGCTGCACTTTGCAATTATCTGAGGAGCTGTTTTTTAAAAAAATACTTAGATATATGGGTTCCACCCCTGTAGATTCAGATTTAATTGGTCTGGCTTGAGGTCTGGGCTTGGGGAATTTTTGAACTTTCCTAAGGTGATTCTAACATGCCCTAACGTAGAGATTCACTATTAGAAGCATTCGTTGCTGCGACCCCTTTCAAACATCTTTTTGCAGTTTCATCTCCTCTTGGTGTAAGAGATGTTCATGATGTTCCCTAAGGTTAGAATATTCTTACTGTCATCACTTGGGTAATTCTTTATCATTGTTGAAAGCGGTTCATCTGCTTCTGAAGGTGTAAGCTCACTTGTTCCCTCCCTTGGTGGTCCTAAAGCACATTGAAACAGAATATCATTGTGCTAGTTATTAAAATGCATTGGGATTATTTATACCCCTTACAGATACAGTTGCTGGAAGGCAGCTACCTTATTTTTAAATATTATTTTTATTTTTAATTGATAGTATATACTTATGGCATACAATGTGATGTTTTGAAACATGTAACCATTGTGGAATGAGCAAATCAGGCTATTAACATCTATCAAATGATATACATACTTACTTCTTTTGGTGAGAACATTTAAAATCCACTTTTAGCAACTTTGGAAGATACAAAAGGTTATTGCTAATTGTAGTCACATTGCTGTGCAATAGATCACCAGAACTTATTCCGCCTATCTAACTGAAACTTTGTACCCTTTGACTAATATTTCCCCTTTCTCCACCCACTGTCCTACCCGGCCTCTGGTGGTAACCACCATTCTACTCTTTACTTTTTTTTTTTTTTTTTTTTTTTGAGACAGAGTCTCGCTCTGTCGCCCAGGCTGGAATGCAGTGACGCGATCTTGGCTCACTACAACCTCGCGTCCCAAGTTCAAGCGATTCTCCTGCCTCAGCCTCCTGAGTAGCTGGGATTACAGGCACGTGCCACCACGCCCAGCTAATTTTTTTTAAATTTTTATATTTTTAGTAGAGATGGGGTTTCGCCATGTTGGCCAGGCTGGTCTCAAACTCCTGACCTCAGGTGATCCACCCACCTTGGCCTCCCAAAGTGCTGGGATTACAGGCATGAGCCACCATGCCCGGCCTGAATTTCATTCTTTTTTAAGGCTGAATAGTATTCTGTTGTATATTTATACCACATTTTTTAATTCATTCATTGGTTGATGGACACTTTGATTCCGCATCTTAGCTATTATGAATAATGGTGCAATGAACATGGGAGTGCAGATATCTCTTCAACATACTGATTTCAGTTCCTTTGGATATATACCCAGAAGTAAGATTGCTGCATCCTGTAGTAATTCTATTTTTAGTTTCTTAAGGAACCTCCATACTGTTTTCCAAAATGGGTGTACTACAAATTTACATTCACATCAATAGTGTACAAGGGTTCCTTTTTCTCCACACCTTCACCAACACTTGTTATCTTTCATCTTTTTGATTATAGACATTCTAACAAAATTTGTTTGCTCCCTACACAAATTAATTGTGTGGTTTTAATTTGCATAGAGAGGCAGGCAAAGGCTACTCTGCTAATGGCTTTAGAGGCCACAGTAAGAAGTTTGGGTTTTATTCTAAATGCAAAGCCATTACAATGTTCTCATTTTTTTCTAGGTTGGTCAGACCATGCCCATGGTTCCTCCTCTCGACTTCACTATGAATGCCGCATCTGTTGAATGAATGCAGTTTCTGCTCTTGCTTTTGGATAGAAGTGATTGCAAATCTTATCAAAATAATGAAAAAAATTACTTTTCAATTCCTTTTCAACCCTTTTGAGTCTGAGGGGCAGCTGTACATTAAATGAAACCATATGTATCATAATTTCATTTTTCCATCAAAAGAGCTTTAAAGGAAATTCCCCTTTTTCTCCATGTTTTCAATATTTTTTGTTCCTTTTGTTAAAATCAGATTAATCTCATGAAACATCTGAAGCATTTAAGTCAATTTAAGAGCTGAGAAAATATCATGCTGCTAGTTCTGAAACGATCTGAAGTGTGAATCAGGTGATCACCAAATAGGGGAACAACTGAAAAATGTGAATGAAAGAAGTATGTACCTATACTATAGTGTCAAATATTGTACTGTAAGCTTTAAAATGATAAATTGGAAACTTTCCAAAAGTGGTTTGAATATGGGTCATTTATTTAGTAACTCAGCCAAACATGCTAACATTTTCTTTCCTTCCCCATTAATTTATTTTACTAGCCCTTCCTATGTTTGCCAAGTGGCTATGTTACTGAAACCAGCCCAATTGTCCCATAGAACCGATGTTTACAGTCTTCTAAAATAAACATAGATATTGACCCTTCCAGTTTTAAAGCTTGAAACTTATATTTGTCTTAACTGAGTTCCTTCCTCGGGAAAATAACCTTCATGCCTCCCAGATAGTTTCAAGAAACTGAAACCAGGTCACCATATCTAGACAATGAGAAGCCAGGTCCCTCATCCTTCATGATTTCCTTACCTCTCCCTAATTCCTGTTTACCCACATGTAGTTACATTCCTTTCCCACTATATAAACCCCCAATTTTAGTCAGTCAGAGAGATGGAATGACTACTTCCCTGGCAACAGTCGTTGTCTCAGTGATTGGCTTTCTGTGCAGGGAGCAATGGGACCTAGACCAAACCCCTGGCATTTTGGTAACACTATCTGGTTGGGAGGTGGGATATCACTGCACTCAGGAGCTTTCATTTACTTTACCTCTCTGGTCTCCAATAATTCAAGCACAGTAAGTTTCATAGTCCTATTGCTGAATTTTCACCTTATTTTTCTTTAGAACATTCTTTTTGATAAATAGTACTTTTCCATTTTTAAAGATACCTATTCAACTCACAGAAATTTCAATAAACTCCCCATCTCCTGCCACTTATTCCCTTACTACACTGTAACTTCACTACATAGTACATGCCATTCCCTCCCACTGAAGATAGCTTGCATTATGTTGCAGATACTTGAAATATTGTTTCCTGGCTGGCTTCTCATCCTTCAAGTATCAGTTTAATGATAAAATCCTCAGAGAGGCTTTCCTGACTATATTACATTAGGCATGTACAAGGAACTTCATTGCAGCTTTATTTGTAGAAGCAAGAAAATATGAACAATCTTAACTGTCTCTCAGTAGGAGAATAGATAAGTAAACTATATTTTTGCCCAGGCATGGTGGCTTATACCTGTAATCCCAGCACTTTGGGAGGCTGAGGCCAGCTAATTGCTTGAGGCCAGGAGTTCCAGACCAGCCTGGCCAACATGATGAAAACTCCGTCTCTACTAAAAATACAAAAACAACAACAACAACAACAACAACAAAAACAAATTAGCTGAGCGTGGTGGTGCAAGCCTGTAATCCCAACTGCTTGGGAGACCGAGGCACAAGAATTGCTTGAACCCGGGAGGCGCAGTTGCAGTGAGCCGAGATCCGCCACTGCACTCCAGCCTGAGTGACAGAGCAAGACTCTGTCCCAAAAATAAAAATAAATAAATAAATAAATATATTTTTATGTAACTGTTCAAATGTATTACAGCTACGTAAACTGACATGAATACATCTTAAAAACAATACTGAATAAAGAAAAGCAATCTTTCTGATACCACTTGTGTCCATTTTAAAAGCACACAAAAGCCGGGCACGGTGGCTCATGCCTGTAATCTCAGCACTTTGGGAGGCCGAAGCGGGCAGATCACCTGAGCCCAGGAGTTCGAGACCAGCCTGGTCAACACAACAAGACTCTGTCTCTACAAAAAATGCAAGAAATTAGCTAGGTGTGATGGCATGCACCTGTGGTCCCAGCTACTCGGGAGGCTGAGGTGGGAGGATTGCTGGAGCCTGGGAGGCAGAGGTTGCAGTGAGCTGAGATCACACCACTGCATGCCAGCCTGGGCAATAGAGCAAGACCTTATGTCAAAAAAAAAAAAAAGAGAAAAGAAAAGCACACAAAATAATACTCTATAATTTAGTATATTGTGTAGTAAAAGTAAAAAATATAAATGGGGATGATATATACCACCTTCAGGATAGTAGTTACTTCTAGGGAGGGCTAAAGGATAAGATGATGCTTTATTGGTTACTAGCTATTTTATCTAATGGATTTCTGGAAGAAAAACATAAAGGAAATGTGACAATATTAATATCTATTAAATCAGGGGATAGAGATCTGATTGTTAATATATTCTGTACTTTTCAATATTTTTAAATATTTCATAATTTTAAAACATTTAAATTTAAATGTTTCTATCAGTATAATTTACACTAGCTACCATTACAAACTCCAAAATCTTGGTGACTTAACAGAGTAAGAGTTTATTTCTCATGCTCATGAATCTCAATAAAGATGTACCTGATGGGGATGGTCCTCTAAGTAGTAACTCGGAGACCCAAGCTTCTTCCATCTTGGGAAGCCATCACTATATGAGAATTTTTTTTGTGTGTGTCCACCCATGTTCCATTAGCCAGAATTAGTCATACAGCCCATTTAAAGGCTAGGGACCTGGAAAATATGGTCTTCTTGTGTGCTTAGGGAAGAAATGAAATAGTATGATGAACAGATAGCATTGTTTTTACCACAATATTAAAGTAGTCTCCTCTTTTTTTCCCCTTAGAGCACAGCCCCTGAAATCAGACTGCTTAGATTCAAATCCTAGCTCTACCACACACTATCTGAACGCTCTCCAGCAAGTTACTTTACTTTGCGTGATCTCAGTTTCTTCATCTGTAATAATACTGCTTACCTCAAAGGATGATTGTGAAGAATTAATGAGTTGACATGTGCAAAGGGCTTAAAATAGTAAGTGGTCTTCATCCTTTGATGATCAAACAGTAAGTGATCATCATCATTTAGGATCAGTAAGTCTTGTATTTGCTTATTCACCTAATAACCTGTGAACTTTCTTCTTCTGTCCTCATGTGGCTATCTTTCTGATCTCCCCACCTACCATAGTGCCTAGCTACCTGGCTTTAATGAATGAATGGGATGAATATATTTTTGCACCAACCTAATATTTCTTCATTTATATGCTATAGTTCTATTTGTATTACATTTACTTTTGTAGGATTAATATTGACTTACAGGCTGGGCGCAGTGGCTCACGCCTGTAATTCCAGCACTTTGGGAGGTCAAGGCAGGCAGATCAGGAGGTCAGGAGTTCGAGACCAGCCTGGCCAACATGGAGAAACCCCGTCTCTACTAAAAAAAAATACAAAATTAGCCGGATGTGGTGGTGGGCACCTGTAATCCCAGCTACTTGGGAGGCTGAGGCAGGAGAATTGACTGAACCCAGGAGGCAGAGGTTGTAGTGAGCCGAGATTGTGCCATTGCACCCCAGCCTGGGTGACAAGAGCAAGACTCTGTCTAAACAAACAAACAAACAAACAAACATTGACTTACATATATTTACATGAAATAAAGTGTCAGGATTTTTTTGTGGAGGGGAGAGGGGACAGGGTCTCACTCTATTGCCTAGGCTGGAGTGCCATGGCACAATCATAGCTCACTGCAACCTCTATCTTCTGGGCTCAAGTGATCTTCCTGCCTCAGCGGAGACTACAGGCACACATTACTGCACCCAGCTGATTTTTAATTTTTTTTTTTTTTTGTAAAAAGGAGGTCTTGCTATATTGCCCCAGCTGATCTTGAACACCTGGCCTCAAGCTGGCCTCAAGCAATCCTCCTACCTTGGCCTCCCAAAGTGTTAGAATTACAGGTGTGAGCCTCCATGCCTGGCCTCAGGATTTTTTTAAAAATGCTTCAGAAAAAAATGTTGGGGAGTTACATGAAATAAGATTAGCAGAATGTTGACAGTTGTTAAAGCTGATGATGAATACATGGGCGTTCATTATAGTCTTCTTTTCTGTGTTTCAGAATATACATAATAAAAGTTCAAAAAAAAGACTGGAAATGGGGAGCCAACTAAAGGCCCAGATCTTTTCTCTTTCCTAATGAACAGCCTTTAATATATATCTATTCATTTTCAGATTTAAAAATTTCTAATTTACAGAGTGTCTAACATAAAAAAGAAAACTACACGGAAACTTCAATTATAATTGCCTATGAAAGAGATAAAAGTGTCAAATATTTTAACAGTTTTGGTTTCAGGCCTTGAAAAGAATGTTTCTGAGGAACTCTTAAAAAAAACTTATACAATTTTATAATCTTAAAATTTTCTAGCTATGCTAAAATTCAGTGTCTTTTAAATAAATGTTTTCTAATGGGTGAACAAAAGAAGAAGAAAAAGAAGGGCATTACTAGAAATAGAAACGAGGAGGAGGGAAGGAGTCCATTTAGAATTATTATATTCTTCATTAAGAGATAAAAATCTTGTCTTGCCTTGTTCTCTTTGTTGGAGAAGAGCCCCCTCACCTCTGGAAGGGGCAAGGAGTAAACCTGCCATCCATAGCTGCTCAAAATAAACAATGAAATCAGAGTAAGACACCAGGGCAAATAGCAGGGGCATGAGCATGGTAGCTCTGGTTCCAGTGCCTCCAAGTCTCACGGAGTGTTGTGATGAGCATGGAGACTATATGCACAGTGAGTTGTGCCATAGCTAATGGAACCCAGGGCTGAGGGCTCCATGCGTTAATTCTTACCAGTCAGATTGAAGCAAAGTTGCCTTGGTGCACATATGAGGAAGGAGCTGAGGTGTCATGCACAGCCAAATAGTCATGTTATTGTGAGGGTGTCAGGTATGGCTAAACAGTGCTGCTATTGTGAGAGTGTCATGCACAGTGAAATAGTTCAGATCCTGCCATACCTACATGAGTGTTCTGTTTTTATAGCATGAGGATGGGGATGGTAAACCCAGCAGCAGCGTTGTGTTGCCAATTGCAGCTGCCGCCTGACTCAGGTGGACCATGTGATTGTTTTGCCATGCTGCAGTGCTACATCTAGGGGACAAAGAAAGCATTAAATGTTTCCCCCCTTCCCACACCTCCTGGAGACTAAGGTATTCCTTCCCCAGGTCCCAGGTTTATTGCTCTTTCCATATAGTCCATTTGTTTTAAATCAGTAGCCACTATTTCTCCTTTCGCCCAGCCATCCACCACCTCTACCCAGATGGACGAAGGCTCATGGGAACTGGGCACCATGGGTAGAACTTGCAACAGCCTGTGATGTCCTCTAACATTGCCCAAGCAGGCCACTGTAGGGATACTCTAGTGCCCATGAATTTCACCAACTATTATCCTCATGGCCAGCACTCTTCCATATCCAACACCTGAAACCAAGTCATAGCAGAAGCAAAAGGTTGCAGTCACCTTCCTCCTGTTGCCTAACCTTAGGCTGAAACCAGTCAGGCTTACCAGGCACTAAGGGCCAGTGGAAAAAAAGAATAGGGGTGGCTGAAGATTGTCAGGATGCAATCATAGATACATAGCACCAGTCTCCCATTCCTCCTACCCCTTCCATCCTGGCCTTCCCTAGGCAATGGGAAATTTTGAATATAATTGATCAGAAAACTCTTTCAGTCATGTGCATATTCTAGGAATATCTAGTGTAGGTAAATTGTCACACATGTCTATGAGAAAGAAAAAATTTAATAAACTATTTATTTCACTTAAAAATATAGAGACAAGTAAGTTTAAATAATAGCCTTTGTTACTGTAGTTACATCCAGTGAGGAGCGAAGGGGGAAGAGCCCCTCATAACCAGCAGATCTTGTGAAAACTCACTCACTATCACAAGAACAGCATGGGGGAAACTGTCCCCATGATCCAATCACCCCCAACTGGGTTCCTCCCTGGACATGTGAGGATTATGGGGATTACAATTCGAGATGAAATTTGAGTTGGGACACAGAGCCAAACTGTATTATTCTGTCCCTGACCCCTCCTAAATGTCATGTCCTTTTCACATTTCAAAACCAATCATGCCTTCCCAACAGTCCCCCAAAGTCTTCACTCATTTCAGCATTAACGCAAAAGTCCAAGTCTCATTTGAGACAAGGAAATTCCCTTCTGCCTATGAACCTGTAAAATAAAAAACAAATTAGTTACTTCCAAGATACAGTGGGGGTACAGGCATTGAGTAAATGTTCCCATTCCAAATGGGAGAAATTGGCCAAAACAAAGGGGCCACAGGCCCCATGCAAATCCGAAACCCGGTGTGGCAGTCATTAAATCTTAAAGCTCCAAAATGATCTCTTTTGACTCCATGTCTCACATCCAGAGCACGCTCATGCAAGGGGTGGGCTCCCACAGCCTTGGGCAGCTCCTGCATGGGCTGGCATTGAGTATCTGAGGCTTTTCCAGGTGCATGGTGCAAGTTGTTGGTGGATCTACCATCCTGGGGGCTGGAGAACAGCGGCCCTCTTCTCATAGCTAGCTCTGTAGACCCTTAAGATTGGGGATAGGACCTATAGTCTTAGTTTAATTTTGGACACACTTGTTTCCTAAAAGTATACTACAAAGTCTGATTATAAAATCTTCTGTTAGTATTTGTCTGGGTTACAGTGTTCATATGTGTGATCTTCAGAGTCTTAAATGATATTATTCAGTCACTGTCACATAAATTGACTCAAAAGTTCATCTTACAGTGAAAGAAACATGAAGGATTGACTTTAATCCAACTATCCGAATAGCCTTCCTATCAATGGAACTCAGACAGTGGCGCAGATCTGGATTTCACAAAATAATGTCCTGTGGTCCGAATTTTATAGCCCTTGGCCAAAAGAAAGGACTAAGAAAGTACAACCTAGCTCAGAGTGAGAAAGTGTTACAGAAATCTGTCCAGCCATTCATTAGACTGGAATAATACACAGATAAAGTCAGCTACACAGTTCAGTATCAGGGGATGGTTAGGCCTTAGTGTGGCACACTTAGCAAGACTGTGCAAAGATCTTTGAGACCTATGGCGGACTACCTCACCTGTAAACCAGTAGAAAGATTTGTACAGAATTCATTTTTACTTCCAGAAAAATTAGCCCATTATTTCTAGTGATTTTTGAAGAAGATAGAATTGAGCCAAAAGGGAAGGAAACTTCAAATTCTAGGATAAAAGTAAAGCTTAGAGAGAAAACAATGCTCCTGAAGAAAATATGGATTATAATTTTAGTTTTGCTTTGATATTTATGAAACATGCCAAAATTACTTCCTTTGGATGTTATCAAAAGGCATAAATGAAATGTGAAAACATTTAGGTCTGCATTAAAAAAATATAGGAGGAAAAATAAGAGGAAAGATTAGAGCCCTCCAAACCAGAGATAATAGGCTAAAATTTGAAAGAAAATATAAAATCAGTATATTTTAGACAATTAGAAACCTAAAAGAATAATTGAAATGCTAAGAAAAGAACAAGACAATATGACAAAAAGAAAAGACAGACTAGGGAAAAATAACCATAGAAATGTAAAGATTAAAAAATTCGGAATTGCTTCTGAAAAGCAATTTAGTGAAAAGCTAGAAAGCAGATTAGACAGCTAAAAAGAGAAGAAATAAACTGTACAATAGACTTAAGGAAATTTTTCAGAATGCTGTGACACGGAGTTACCCAAAGACTGAAAATATTAAACAAGTTAAAAAGACCTAGAAGATAAAACGTGTAAGGTTCAGAGCAGTGTTTATGGAATGCTATCTTTGATGTAAGAAAAAGGAAAATAATATGTATTCATATATTATTATATTACCATAACAAATTCAGAGGATACACAAGTAGTACATCTGTTTGAATGTGGTTGTGGTGAGGGAAATAGTAGATTTGGGCAAGGGTGGGACTGAGACTTGCATTACTGTATACATTTTATATTGGTTTAATTCACAAACCATGTCTGAGTCCTCTGAGAAGCAGAAGCCAACATGGGATTGGACATGCAAGGATTGATTGGAGAAATCCTCTGAGGGTAAAAGGGGAGGGAGGGATCCCCAAGAGGTGGGAAGAGGCTTCAGGCCACTCTGCAGGTCTGATACCAATGAAAGGAGCATTGCATAGGCAGAGTCTAAGACTGCATTGAGATTCTAAGAAAGGTTCGGCCAAGTTGATGAGGCATCCTGAAGCCAAAGTAGCCTGTCAGAGGAGTCACATGTCTTACAGGAATGGGTCTACCTTATTATCCCTGCCATGCGGAATCATTGACTGAAAGCAGCCTGTGTGAAGTGTGGTCTCCATGTTAACAGGCGGTAGATTCGTAGCGCAGCAGCTGAGGCCATCTGTCAATTATGCTTCCTGTAGCAAGAGATCTGAGTGGCGTATTTTCATAGCTGCCACACCATGGGACTACATTTTGTATTCAAAGAAGGGCAAAATAAAGACATTTTCAGACAAAGATTAAAGGAGCTTATCATTCACAGACTGTCACCCTGAAAACCTCTAAAGGATTCACTTTAGAAAGAACTGTTTTGAATCCTGAAGGACAGTGTAGGATGCAAGAAGCAATGGTGAGCAAATAAATTGGTAAACCTGTGGGAAAGAAGTTAGTAAATATGCAGATAAATCTAAATAGACATTGACTATTAAAAAAAAACTAAGAAAATGGAAAAAAGCAAGAAAAATGGCAATAATGATTGAGTATATTTTTAAAAGATGGAGTTAAAATATTAGCAATAACATGAAAAATTGGAAGGAGAAATTGGAGGTAGAGTATTTCAAGGTCCATGCGTTAGTCAGGGGGACAGTAAAGATATAGATTAACTTTATTTTATTTTTATTATTTTTTTTTTTTGGAGTCAAGGTCCCACTGTGTCACCCAGGCTGGAATGCAGTGGCACTATCACGGCTCACTGCAGTCTCAACCTCCGGGGCTCAAACAATCCTCCTGCCTCAGCCTTTCAAGTAGCTGGGACTACAGGCATGCACCAGCACATGCCACTAATTTTTTTGTATTTTTTGCAGAGACGGGGGTCTCACTATGTTGCCCAGGCTGGTCTCTCAAATTCCTGGGCTCAAGCAATCCTCTGGCCCCAGCCTCCCAAAGTGCCGGGATTACAGGTGTGAGCCACCAAGCCCGGCCAATATAGATTAACTTTAGATTTCAAACCAAGTATGCCAAATTTAAGAGAAACTACTACAAGAGCACAAATGGGTTATATGACTTCCAAGCCAGAAGAGGAAAAAGAAGAGAAAAAATGAAGCATGGCGAATCCAATAATTGGCATGAAATGAGGAGGAAAAAATAAAGCAAAAGAATGGGAAATAGCATAAATTAAGAAAAAAAGAAATACTAATATATCAGTAATCACTATAACTATGCATTATTTTATTTGCACTAGGGATATCCCCCTTGTAAAGAGACCAAATAAATTGCAGGTCAGTTCCTTTAACTCTTTCCTTCTTGCAAATGTGTGTATGGGCATGCATGTGCATGTGTACACACGTGTACATTTACACACATATTTGTTTCCACATCTGTCTCTCTCTCTCTCTCTCTCTCTCTCTCTCTCTCTCTCTCTCTCTATATATATATATATATATATATATTAAAGCCATGAGTTCATACTGATACCTCATATTTCAATCCAACACCAGAGGTTCATTCTAGTCTTCCCCCTTTCCATATTTGTAACTTCCTTTTCTGACAGTGAACAATCTGGCTCAATATACTTATTTGCTCAATCCTAGAATACATAGAAAGTCGTTTCAGAATAGATAATCTATACCATTGTGAAAAACTAGCCTTCTGGGTTTGGAGGACAGTGGCAATACTGCCTCATTCTGAATCTCCCTACTCACCCCTCTCTCCACAAATAAACCTCATGAAATAAAGCAACATATGACTGATATAGTTTAGCTGTGTCCCCATCCAAATCTCATCTTGAATTGTAGCTCCCACAATTCCCACGTGTCATGGGAGGGACCTGGTGGGAGGTAATTGAATCATGGGGGTGGGTCTTTCTTGTGCTGTTCTCATGATAGTGAATAAGTCTCACGAGATCTGATGGTTTTGTAAGGGGGAGTTTCCCTGCACAAGTTCTCTCTCATCTGCTGCCATGTAAGATGTGCCTTTCACCTTCCACCATGATTGTGAGGCCTCCCCAGCCACATGGAACTGTTGAGTCCATTAAACCTCTTTTTCTTTATAAATTACCCAGTCTCAGGTATGTCTTTATCAGCATCACGAAAATGGACTAATACAGTGACTTATTCCTTCATCAGTATTTGGTAAAAGAGAATATTCTGATGTTTAAATTACTTGTAAGCAAAGAAATAAACCAAATTCTAATAGAGCTCCTGCCATCTGCCTGCTGCTGCACGCCTGTGGGTGCAGAGTGCAGAGGAGAAGAGGCGTAAAGAAATGCCATGAAAAAATATAGTGGGGCATAGAGGACTTGGATAAGGCACGGACAAAATAACCCTTAGAAAGAGAAAGCCAGATAAGATAAATGCCAAAATATAGAATATAGGTCAGGATATGGTAAGTTCATGTTAGTTTGTTATGCAACGATAGAAAACGAATATGGATTTTAGTACCTGAAAGTGTGGTGCTGCTATAAGAAATACTTAAAAATGTGGAAGTGTCTTTGGAACCAAGTTTGAAGAGGATTTTGTGGAGCATGATAACAGCCTAAGTTGCCTTGAACAGAATGTTAGTAGAAATATGGACTATGGGAAGGCGGCTGGTGAGGCCTCAGAAGGAAGTGAGGCTCATGTTATAAGAATCTGGAGGAAGTGAGATCCTTGTTATGTATTGGCAGCAAGCTTAGCAAAACTGAAACTTGTGTCCTGCAGTTATTTGGAAGGTAGAATTTGAAAGCAATGAACTCACATATTTAGCTGAAAAGATTTCCAAGTAAAGTTGTTTTTGCTTGTTGTTTTTTTTTTGGTTTTTTTTTGTTTTTTAGAGGCAGGGTCTCCCTCTGTTGCCCAGGCAGGAGTGCAGTGGTGCAATTATGGCTCACTGCAGCCTCAAACTCCTGGGCTCAAATGATCCTCCTGCCTCAGCCTCCTGAGTAACTGGGACTACAGGCACGTGCCACAACACCTGGCTAATTTATTTTTATTTTTATAGAGATGGGGTCTCACTGGATTGGTCAAGTAAAGTGTTGAAGGTGCCATCTAGTTTCTTCTTGCCGATTATAGTAAAACCCAAGAAGAGAGTGACAAATTGAGGAAAGGACTGTTAAACACAAAGGAATTGGGTAAT
Organism: Homo sapiens; assembly: GCF_000001405.40. Taxonomy (NCBI): domain Eukaryota; kingdom Metazoa; phylum Chordata; class Mammalia; order Primates; family Hominidae; genus Homo; species Homo sapiens. The sequence goes on from NC_000023.11 coordinate 40,749,642, forward strand.
TCTCAGCATATCAAGATTGACGAAGACACTAAAATTAAGAGACAAAAGGTTAGAGTATTTGATCACAAGAGGTTTATGCTGTGCCTCACAGATCTCATTCAAATCAGTGGCTTCTAGGAAGCTTAAGGGTGTCCCTGAGCCATCTCAGCAGCAGCCAAAGCTAGAGAAGGAATGATCTCTACCAGATTTGTGGACATGGCTTCTGTTCAATGTAGTGAATTCCTATGACATCCACTCAAAGCAGACAAGGTTCTTGAGAAATTTGTATCAGCAGAAATACTGCCAGCTTGGACTGAAAGTGACAGAGTTTGAAGTGAAAGGAAGCTGTCAAACTCCCAGAATTCCTCTGGCAGAAAGGAGGTTGATAAAACTACTCAGCTGTAAACACATTCTACCTTTCATGAAAAAAGGACGGCTCAGAGAGAGGAACTGAAAGCCCAGGGGGCACAGGCGAGAGCCAGAGGGCAGAACTGAAAGGCACGTGGAATTATTTCCAAGTCTTGAAACCCAAGGGAGTTTCCCAGCTTTTAAAACTGCTTTGGACTGGTGATCCTTTTTACCTTCCATTTTCCTCCCTTTTGAACTAGAATGTCTGTAACTCTTACCCTATGCCTGTTCCATCATCATGTGTTGGCAATAGATAACTTGTTTCTACAGTTTCATAGGTCCACAGATGGAGAGAAATTGTGCCAGGCGTCTCACCCACACCTAATCTAAGTGATTTGATGATGAGATATTGGATTTTTGAATTCATGAGATTTAGATGAGAGTTTGGACTTTGAGTTTAAGCTGTAATGGTATTGACACCCTTGGCAAATTTGGGAGAAGGTGAATGTATTTTGCATTTAGGAGAGACATGAATCATTGGGGGCCAGAGGGCAGACTGTGGTAAACAGAATTGTTCTTTTTATTTTTTTATTTTTCTTTTGAGACAGGGTCTTGCTGGGTCGCCTAGACTGGAGTGCAGTGGCGTGATCATAGCTCACTGCAACCTCGAACTCCTGGGTTCAAGTGATCCTCCCTCCTCAGCCTTCTGAGTACTGGGACTACAGGCATGCATCAACACACCTGGCTAATTAAAAAAAAAAAAAAACTGTAGAAACAGGAGTCTCCCTGTGTTGACCAGGCTGGTCTCGAACTCCTGGCCTCAAGTGATCCTCTTGCCTCAGCCTCTCGTAGTGTTGGGATTACAGGCATGAGCCACCTTGCCTGACCTTGATGTTTGATATATGTTTACATTGTGGAACGATTAAATCAAGCAAATTAACAAATTCACCACCTCAACTACTTAAACATCTCCGCTTTCCATGTCTACCCCTCTCCTCCAGCCTCTGGGAATTGCCATTGTACTCTCTACTTGTATGAATTTGACTTTTTAAAATTTCACATGTAGGTGAGATGGTGTGATATTTGTCTTTCTGTGCCTGGCTTATTTCACTTAACATAATGTCCTCCATGTTCATCCATGTTGTCACATGTGACAGAATTTTATTCTTTTTAAAGGCTGAATAGTATTCCATTGTGTATATATACCACATTTTAAAAAATCCATTCATCCATTGATGGACACTTACCTTGCTTTCAAATCTTACCCTCTGTGAATAATGCTGCAATGAACATGGGAGTACAGATATCCACTTTGACATACTGATTTTAATTCCTTTGGATTCCTTTTTTTTGAGACAGAGTCTCTCTCTGTCACCCAGGCTGGAGTGAAGTGGCGCGATCCTGGCTCACTGCAAGCTCCACCTCCTGGGTTCACGCCATTCTCCTGCCTCAGCCTCCCGAGTAGCTGGGACTACAGGCGCTCGCCACCACGCCTGGCTAATTTTTTTGTATTTTTAGTAGAGACAGGGTTTCACTGTGTTAGCCAGGATTGGATTCCTTTTAATCCCAGTAGTGGGATTGCTGGATCATATGGTAGTTCTATTTATTGTGGGGCTTTTTGAGGAAATTCCATAATATTTTTCATAATGGCTATATTAATTTATATTTCCACCAACAGTGTACAAGCATTCCCTTTTCTCTACACCCTTGTTAACACTTATTATCTTTTGTTTTTCTGATAATAATTCTATTATCACCTATTCTATTATAGATTTCATGATATTCTATCATATCACCTCACATTCGGGTGTAAGATGATATTTCCATTGTGCTTTTAATTTACATTTCCCTGATGATTAGGGATGATAAGTGTTTTTCATATATCTGTTGAACATTGGTGTATCTGTTTTTGAGAAATGTCAAGTCATTGGTCCGTGTTTTAACTAGTTTGTTTTTTTTTCTTGCTATTGAGTTGTTTGAGTTCCTTATTTTGGATATTAGTTTCTTGTCAGATGTATGGTTTGCAAATATTTTCTCCCAGTCCTTGAGTTGTCTCTTCATCCTGTTAATGGTTTCCTTTGCTGTGTGGAAGCTTTTTAATTTGATCCAATCCCATTTGTTTATTTTTGCTTTTGTTGCCTTTGCTTTTGGGGCTATTGTGGAGCATTTCCCCCATGTTGTGGAGCATTTTCCCCCATGTGTTCTTCCAGTAGTTTTACAGTTTCAAGCTTTATGTTTAAGTCTTTAATCCGCTTTGAGTTGATTTTTGTACATGGTATAAGAGTCCAAGCTCATTTTGCATGTGGATGTCCAGTTTTCCCAACACTCCTTATTGAAGAGATTGTCCTTTCTCATTGTGTGTTCTTGGCATCTTTGTCAAAAATCAATTGATTGTAAGTGCTTGGGGTTATTTTTGGGCTCTATTCTGTTCTATTGGTCAATGCATCTTTTTTAATGCCAGTACCATGCTGTTTTGATTACTACAGCTTTGTAATAGATTTTGAAGCCAGGTAGTATGATGCCTTCAGCTTTTGCTTTTGATCTTTGGGCTCCAGTTTTTTTGCTCAAGATTGCTTTGGCTATGCAGGGTCTTTTGTGGTTCCATACAAATTTTAGGATTGCTTTTTCTAGTTCTGTGAAAAATGACATTGTAATTTTGATAGAGATTTAACTGAACCCATAGATTGCTTTGGGTAGTATGGACATTTTTTAACAATATTAATTCTTCCATACATGAACATGGGATACTTTTTCATTTATTTGTATCTTTTCTATTTCTTTCATCAATGTTTTATAGTCTTTAGTGCACAGACCTTTCACCTCCTTGGTTAAATTTACTCCTAAATATTCAATTTTTTGATGCTATTGTGGATAGCATCAAATTTTCTTAATTTCTTTTTCATATAGTTTATTTTTAGTGTAAGGAAAGGCTACTGATTTTTGCATGTTGATTTGGTATACTGCAACTTTACTGAATTCATTTATTAGTTCTAACAGTTTTGGCATGAGTTTTTTGGGTTTTCTTTATGTAAGATTATGTTGTCTGCAAACAGGGGCAATTTAACTTCTTCCTTTCCAATTTGGCTGTATTTTATTTCTTTCTCTTGCCTCATTGCTCAAGCTACGATTTCCAGTACTATGTTGAATGGAAGTGGTGAGAGTGGGCATCCTTGTCTTGTTCCTGATCTTAGAGGAAAAGCTTTCAACTTTTCACTGTTGAGTATGTTAGTTGTGGGCTTTTCATATATGGCCTTTATTGTGTTTAGGTACGTTCCTTCTATGCCTAATTTGTTGAGAGTTTTTATCATGAAAGGATGTTGAATTTTCTCAAATGTTTTTCCTTTCTGCATCTATTGAGGTGATTGTATAGTTTTTGTCCTTCATTCTGTTATTATGGTTTATCACATTCATTGATTTGCAAATGTTGAACCATCCTTGAATCCCAGGGATAAATCTCATTTGATCACGGTGAATTATCCTTTTAATATGCTGTTTAATTTGGTTTGCTCATATTTTGTTTAGGATTTTTGCATCTATGTTCATCAGGGATATTGGCCTGGAATTTTCTTTTTTGGTAGTGCTATTGCCTGACTTTGGCATCAGTAATGCTGGCCTCATAGAATCAGTCTGGAAGTATTTCCTCTTCTTCATTTTTTTGGGAAAAAGTGTGAGGAGGATTTGTATTAGTTATTTAAATATTTGGTAGAATTCGACTGTGAAGCCATCTGGTCCTGGGCTTTTCTTTGATGGGAGATGTCTTATTATTGAGTCAATCTCATTGCTTATTATTGGTTTGTTCATATTTTCTGTTTCTTCTTGATTCAGTCTTGTTAGGTGTATGTTTCTAGGAATTTATCCATTTCTTCTAGGTTAACCAAATTTTTGGCATATAACTGCACATAACAGTCTCTTATGGTCCTTTGTATTTCTGTGACATCAGTAATATCTCCTCTCTTATTTCTGATTTTCTTTATTTTAGTCTTCTCTCTTTTTTTCTTAGTTGGTCTGGCTAAAGGTTTGTCAATTTTGTTTACATTTTCAAAGAACCAACTTTTAGTTTGGTTGATGTTTTCTATCATCTTTTTAGCCACTATTTCATTTATTTCTGCTCTGATCTTTATTATTTCTTTCCTTCTACTGATTTTGGGCTTAGTTCGTTCTTCTTTTTCTAGTTCCTTGAGGCATAAGGTTAGGCTGTTTATTTGAGATTTCTTTTTTTTTTTGATGTAGGCATTTGTTGTTACAACTTCCTTTGGTGATGTCTGTGTAGCCTTGCATTTGAAGGAGCAAACCCTTCTTTCAGTCTTTACAGATACATTTTGGCAAGTTAAAGTGTTCTCCTGTTAGGTATTGTATTAGTCCATTCTCACGTTGCTATAAAGAAATATCTGAGACTGGGTAATTTATAAAGAAAAGAGGTATAGTTGGCTCACGGTTCTGCAGGCTGTACAGGAAGCATAGTGGCTTCTGCTTCTGGGGAGGCCTCAGGAAGCTTCCAATCATGGCAGAAGGCAAAGGGGGTATGAGGTGTCTCACATGGTGGGAGCAAGGAGCAATAGAGAGAGGGAGGAGGTGCTGTACACTTTTAACAACCAGATCTCATGAGAACTCTATCAAGACCATGAGGACGGTACAAAGGGGGATGTGCTAAACCATTCATGAGAAATGCACACCCATAATCCAACCACCTCCCACCAGGCCCCACCTCCAACACTGGGGATTACAATTTGACATGAGATTTGGTGGGGGTACAAATCCAAACCATACCAGGTATCTGGGTTGATGAGATTGCCTCCAGGATCCCAGTTGAGTAGGGTTGAATCTAGATCATGTTGCTGGTGCCGGGTCTGCAGTGGAGACCAAAGTTAGTGGGCATGGGTCCTATATGGTTCCCTAGTGGAGTGGACTATTTCCAGGATCTTGGTCTGTGGGGCTGGTGCTAGGATGAGGATCCACTTCAGGATTCACAGATGGCAGGCCTGTTACCAGGTGCACTGATGGGTGTGGCTTCCTCTGTGATTCTGAGAGAGCTGCTGTTGGATCACTGGATGAGTCCCTAGGCTGGCCATATTGCTCTGGTCCATGGCTGAGAGGGGCTAGAACAGAGACACAGGATTGTTTCAGGGTCCGCAGCTGAGATCGAGATCTTCAGTCCTGTCTCCAGGGTCAGGGGTGGGTGTGTCTCCCGGTGGGCTTCTGGGTGAGCAGACCTGCCATCAGACTGCAATTGAGAAGGGCTGGAGTCTATTTATAGGGCTGTTTCAAGATCCACAATGAGATCGAGGTCAAGGAATCAGCCTTCAGGGACACTGCGAGACATGCCTCCCTCCAGGACCAAGATCCAGGGACTCAGAAGGGCACGTCTCCTGGCGGGATCCCAGCTGGGCAGAACTGTTCCCAGACCACAGCTGGGAGGGGCTGAAACTGAGCTTCAGTGCTATTTCAGAAACTGCTGTGTGACTGATATTGGCAAGCCCAACCTGGTGGCACCATCAGGCAAGACTCCCAACAGTTCCCTATGTGGGAAGGATTGCTCCAGGACTGCAGCTGAGAGGGGCTGGAGCTGAGATTCAGGGCTCCTTTAAGAACCACTAGGAGACAGAGTTTGGCAAGCCTGTCCCAGTGTGTCTCCCAGCAGTTTCCTGCATAGGTGGAATAGCTCTGGACTGAAGCTGAGACAGAGCCTTTTCAGGGTCTGCTATGGGATGTAGGCTGGCAAGCCTGTCCTGGTGACATAGACAGTCACGTCTCGCAGCAGTTCTCTGTGCTTTTGGGTTTGTTCCCAGACTGGGCTAGAGTCAAGCTTCCGCGCCCCTTCAGGATCTGCTGTGGGAAGGAAACTGGCAAGCCTGTCACAGTGGCTCAGACAGGCTAGTCTCCCAGCAGTTCTCTGCGTGGGTGGAAATACTCCTGGGCTGTGGCAGAGAGGAGCTGGAGCTGAGACAGGGCCCCTTCAGGATCTACTATGGGATGGAGGCCAGCAAGCCTGTCCCAGTGGCACATATGGGCAAATTTCCCTCTGGGTCCTTGTGCAAGTAGTACTAATCTGGGACCACTATTGAGAAGGGCTGGGGCCCAGTTACAGGATAGCTTTTGGGTATACTACCTAGACCAATTTTGGCAGGCCTGTCTGTTGAGGCACTAGTGTGCCTGATTCCTCCCAGACCCTTGGCAAATGGTTTTGGTAGCAGGCTCAAGGCCAAATGGTGTTGTAGCCAAACCCTTAGAAGAACAGGGCTATTTCCAGGTATGAAGCCAGGATAGCAGTCAGCTGGTCTGCCACCTAGGTATGGGTCTGCACTCTCAAAATGACCCTCCTAGGTCTTGGGCTCCACTGGGTTTCACAACTTCCTAACTGTATCCCAGGGATCCCACAAAGACACTTTTGTCTGTGGATGGGTACAGAATTCTTGTTGTGGGAGGATATGAGCGAGGGAACCTCCTATTCTGCCATTATTGCTCTCTCCTGTTTCCTGTTACAAGTTTTTTAGCTTAACCTTTTATATTTAGGTCTCTATTCCATTTTGAGTTAATTTTTGAGTATGGTATGCATGTAGATATCCAATTTTCTCAGCACTATTTGTTGAAAAGACTATCTGTCCTTTCCCCATTGAAATGCCTTGCACTTTTGTCAAAAGCCAATTGACCATAAATGTAAAGGTTTAGTTCTAGATTCTCAATTCTGTACCTTTGATCTGTATGTCTGTCTTTATGCCAGCACAACACTGTATTGATAACTGAGCTTTGTAATAAGTTTTGAAATTGAGAGGTAAAAGTCCTCCAACTTCGTTCTTCATTTTCAAAATTGTTTTGGATATACTGGATCTATTTCATTTAATTTCAGGATCAGTATGAAGTCAGAAACTGTGAAGGGTCTGAGATTTCACCCTACTTGCAAACTAACAAATTAGTTTGTGAACAGTTTCACATATATATGCTGACAGAAGATATCAGACCCCTGTGTTAAGGACAGATGGTTTATAACTCATGGCAAAAGCAGCATCCGGAGTACCAACTCACTAGTGCCTAATTCCCCACGCCCCAGTTCTCCACAGGGCAACACAAATGAGAGCCAGATGTTTACCTGCATAAACAATGGGTTTCACCATAGGAAAAAAAATCCCCAAATTAGGAGGCTCTGAAGTTATGTAAGGTTTGCTGGCACATCTGCCCATCCTCCCCTTTAGGAAGGGAGAGATAATGACTTTATCTTTTCTCTTGAATATAAACAAATCTTCACTGGAGAGGGGAGTGGAAGGCCTCTAGGTTTATTATCCTGAAATGTAAGCAAATGTCTACTGGGTATACACAGCTCGAAATCTCTAGCTTCCAAGGCCTTTGCCATTCAAACATGCTCTTTGTTCAGAAGACCTGGACTGTGTGGAGCTGTGAAATATTCATGGAGAATTGTCTCCCAGCAATCAATTTGTCAATTTCCTCAAAAAAAATCTGTTGGAATTTTGATAGAGATTGTGTTAATCTACAAATCAATTTGGAGAGAATTGCCATATTACTGAGTTTTCCAATCTATGATCATGGGATGTCTCTCCACATATTTAGGTCTTCTTTAATTTCCCTCATCAGTATTTTTAAATTTTCAGTGTACATGTCTTACACTTATTTTGTTAAATTTATTCTTAAGTGTTTTATTCTTTTTAATACAATCATAAATGGAGTTATTTTTTAATTTCACTTTTGGAATTTTTATTGCTCATAGTAATACAATTGATTTTTGTATACTGACTTAGTATCTCATCACTTTGCTGAACTTATTAGTTCTAATAGTTGTGTGTGTGTGTGTGTATAAATTCCTTAGGATTTTCTACATGATGATCATGTCATTAGCAAATAAAGACAGTTTTACTTTTTTACAATCTACATGCTTTTTAATTTTTTTTTTTTTTTGAGACAGAGTCTTGCTCTGTTGCCCAGCCTGGAGTGCAGTGGCGTGATCTCAGCTCACTGCAAGCTCCGCCTCCCGGGTTCATGCCATTCTACTGCCTCAGCCTCCCGAGTAGCTGGGACTACAGGCACCCGCCACCACACCTGGCTAATTTTTTGCATTTTTAATAGAGATGGGTTTTCACCATGTTAGCCAGGATGGTCTCGATCTCCTGACCCTGTGATCCACCCGCCTTGGCCTCCCAAAGTGCTGGGATTACAGGCGTGAGCCACTGCGCCCAGCGATGATTTTTAATTTTTTTGCTTGATTACACTAGAACCTCCAGTACAATGTTGAATAGAAGTGGCAAGAGTGGGTATTCTTGCCTTCTTCCTAGTCTTGGAGGCAAACATGCAGTCTTTCATGATTAGGTATGATGTGAGACAGAATTAGGAGAAATCCAGGGGGCTCTGGAGGATCCAGGGATCAGATTGGAGGCAGATAGGGCAGAAACAGTTGGAAGGGGGTGGGAATCAGGTGTGGCTGTGGAGTAAGCTATTTAAGTCCGGATTCAGTCTCTGCTAGTTCTTATCACTGGACCTGAATACAGGAGCACATCTGGATTAGAAGATGTCAGACTCAGAGGATCTTCCCAAAGGCAAGCACCAGATGCATTCACGCAGGAAATGAACCATGTTCACTGAGAAGCTACTGGAAGACTTGAACATCTTTTTTAATGAGAACCTATACCCAAACCCCAGCCTGCAGTGGGCTTCGAAAATTGACATACATCCAACAGTACTGGAGGTCTGGTTCGAAAACCACAGAGCAAAACTTAAGAAAGCAAAATGCGAGCATATTCAGCAAAAACAAGAAACTCAACAACCATCAATACCAGAGGGTGAAGTCAAGACTAGTGCTGGCCTGAGAAATACACACACGGTACTCAGATTCCCCAATGCTGTTCATCCTGTCGGCCTGGTGTATATGAATCTTTGGACACCCTTGTTCCAACTCATTCTGTACCCCAACCTTAAGGTCCCTACAAATGACTTCCCTGGCCAAAAAATAGTCCATTTTGGCTGCTGCCAAGATCCTAACATATACTGCCTCTAGCCCGTTTTGGAATCCCAAGTTTGTTCTCCAAGCTTCAATTCTAGTTCTTCTGCCTGTTCTCTCTACGAAGTCGAGAGAGATGCTAAATACAAAAAAAAATATTGTAAAAACAAAACAAAACACTTGTGGTTTTTGTGGATACTCTTTATCAGGTTGAAGGTTGAAGAAGTTCCCTTCTAAGTTTGTTGAGAATTTGTGTTATGAATTTGTATTTTTCTGTGTCTATTGAGATGATCACATGGCTTTTGCCCTTTATTCTATTATGTTCATTTCCACATGAATTTCATTTTCCTGAACTTTTACAAGGGAAATATAGATTTTATAACTTTATGACTAGAGCTCTCCTGTTGTTTTTGTGAAATGTCAAAAAATATGGTGGCTTAATTTCTGAGATCTCCAGACTCTGTTCCCCTCCCCTACTTTTTCTGGCCCTGTTCTTTCTTTCGTCTCTATTGTCACTTTAGATTGATCAGCAAGTCTCCTCAGTGTGGATCTTTATCCTCAAAGGATGCTTTGGCTGGTTAGTTCTAAGAGCTTATATGACCCAGACTATTTTAGATCTCTTATATCTTATTGCAGACCATTGCTATGGAGGTTTACCCCTACAGTTTTAGTTCCTGTTCTCACTTTGGCTCTCTGAACTTTCAGTGAGTACCTTTTGGTTATTTTGTTGTTCCCAGGTCAGTGAGATGCCCTGTTGCTTCCCTAAGCATGTTTCTGTACAGATGCCAATACCATAGGTATTGTAGCTATCACTGGTCCATCCCTACTTGCTCATATATATCTTTTTACTCTCCAAAACTTATTTTTTATTACTATACAAAATGTGCACTCTCCTCTCTTTTTGTGTCTCCCACCCCACCCCCCAGAGAACAGTACATGGTGTGCAGGGATGGAGTGACCAGGAGGCTTTTATCCTGCACCCTGCCCACAGGCTAAGCTCTGCCCCAGGTCTTTTCAGGCATTTAGATACACCCGTAGCCTGTCAGGCTGGGGCAAAGGTGTCCCAGCTCACATGTACTCCTTGGCAGAGTTGGACTTAGAGTAAGAGTGAGGTACACAGTACCCAGTTTTGCTCTTATTCCCAGAACAAGAGCAAGAGAATAGTACACCTCCTAGGGGGGTCAGAGAAGACTCTGCCCAGCCAATAAAGATAGCAGGACCAGACTCATACCTAATATTCAAGGGGATCAAGGGGTTGTAAAAGTCCGTGACAATCTGATGGCCATACCAGAAGAAAGCTACCAAGTCAGCAAGACCTGCCATGATGAAAATGACACCTCTAATCATGCCTATACTGCTATAAAGAAATACCCAAGACTAGGTAATTTATAAAGGAGAGAGGTTTAATTGACTCACAGTTTAGCATGACTGTGGAGGCCTCAGGAAACTTACAATCATGGTGGAAGGGGAAGCAAAGACCTTCTTCACATGGCGGCAGGAGACAGGAAGCATGTGAGAGAGCAGGAAAAACTACCATTTATAAAACCATCAGGGCCAGGCACAGTGGCTTATGCCTGTAATCCCAGTACTTTGGGAGGCTGAGGTGGGTGGATCACCTGAGTTCAGGAGTTCCAGACCAGCCTGGCCAACATGGTAAAACCCCGTGTCTACTAAAAATACAAAAATTAGCTGAGTGTGATGGGGGATGCCTGTAATCCCAGCTACTTGGGAGGCAGAGGCAGGAGAATCGCTTGAACCTGGGAGATGGAGGTTGCAGTGATCTGAGACCATGCCATTGCACTCCAACCTGGGCAACAAGAGCGAAACTCCATCTCAAAAAACAAACAAACAAAAAACCATCAGATCTTGTGAGAATTCACTCACTATCATGAGAAGAGTGTGGGGGAAACTGCCCCCATAATCCAGTCATTTCCCTCCCTCAACATGTGAGGATTACAATTCGAGATGAGATTTGGGTGGGGACACAGAGCCAAACCATATGAGCTATACAGGCCTTCTTCACTTTGTCATTTCCCCCACAACACATGCACTTCATGCCCATCGTGGCCACACACATATGGTCAGGAAGCCCAGCACCAGGTATGCCACCATTAGGGCTCAAAGGTCCTGCATGGCTGCTGGCAGGGTGAGCACCAAGTCATACATTTCACAGCTCATCAAGCCCATGCTCTGCATGATGTAGTCCATCCACAGTCCCTTGTACATGGCCTGGGCTGTGATGATGCTGTTGCCCACACATGAGCTCATCTGCCACTGCGGGATGGCGGTGCAGGCCACAAGGCCCACCCAGCCTAGCAGAGCCACGGAAAAGTTCAGCAACTGCAGGCCCAAATTGGCCATTTCCACTCTCAGAAAGAAACTGGGGGTGCTGGGCAGGCAACCCTACAGTAAAACAAATAAAACTTTGGGGCATCCCCACGAAAGACATCTTGGGGTAGAGTTTTTAAGTCATCCAAAGAGACAAAGAAGTTTTTGGCTGGGTGACCGCAAATCTTGTCACCCGAAGTACACACAAATTGACCCCTCTGGTGAAGTGATAGTCTCACAGCACAGGGAACAGGCCCATATTTTGTGTTTTGAGGAAAACAATTTATTGTCTAGCTTCGTTGTACAAATAACTGTTACTTTAAAAGAAAGCTAACAGCTGGATAAGTTGAACATGAAAATGGGAAACCAAAGAACAAAAGTGAGGTATGGCAACCCCTGGGACTATGATAGGAGTGTGTCGGGGGAGGGGGAATCACCTTTGTTAGATCACATCTTTGCACCAGGTGGCAGAAATAATTGGGAATGGAAAGGAGTAAACAAACAACAACAACAACAACAACAACAAAGGTGACACTTCACCTCTATTACTTCAACTACTACTTTAACTTACTAATTTGTGTTTTCTAAATTTAATAAAAAATTGCATTACATTAGGGAACCTGGAATCATATTGCATGCAGGTAGTTATGGGTGGGGAAGAAAGGAGATTAATGAACTGATGCACTGGTGTTGCAAGAGATGTAATTTGAGTCCTTCAAAGAAAATGCTTGACGTTTTTATCATGGTGAGATAATGAGACCTGTTATTATAGTAGATTCTCTGTTCAAGGAGGGAGACCTTGAGAGTGGATTTTACTCACAACTGCCATCAGTAGACAAATAAAATAAGTGAATGTTCATGACCTAAGTACAAGTGTTACTCAACAAAATTAATGAAGTCCAACAAATTTGAAACCAGTAAAAGTCATCTAGAGGGTCTCAGTGGATACTTTTTATTTTATTTTATTTTGAGAGGGAGTCTTGCTCTGTCGCCCAGACTGGAGTTCAGTGGTACGATCTTGGCTCACTGCAACCTCCGCCTCCCAGGTTCAAGCGATTCTCCTGCCTCAGCCTCCGGGGTAGCTGGGACTACAGGCATGTGCCACCATGCCTGGCTAATTTTTGTATTTTTAGTACAGACGGGTTTCACTATGTTGGCCAGGCTGGTCTCAAACTCCTGACCTCAAGTGAGTCACCTGCCTCGGCCTCCCAAAGTGCTGGGATTATAGGCGTGAGCCACTATGCCCGGTCATTGATTTTAAAAATAAATATTTTAAAATCTGGCATGCCATGTGATTAGAATCCTCAGTCACTAAATCAGGAAATTTCCATTTTAAAAAGTAAAATGTTGGTCTTTTGGATATTTCAAGCCCTCCTCCACACACACTATTCTTATCCCAAGACTTTTATTTCAGCCATCATGTAACATCTTAAATTTCTCCACAAGTAACTTTATATTTTTGTCTTAAAATCCTCAAATGTTTAAAATCATGCATTTTAAACCTTTTAAAAGTCCTAGTACTCTTAGTAATTTAATGGTGTCCAAATGTGGAAGTGTAACTTCAATTCATTAGCTGAGAATAACTTTTTAAAAATTACAGCAACTAAAACAATAAGGATTACCAGAAAGCATTTGTGTTGATTACTGAGCTTCCATGATAAAAAGCAGTAGATATACTTCTCAAGTCATTATATTTTATTTAGGACCCACAGAAGCAAACTCACATACTTATCAAATATTTTAATGTAAATGCATTAGAAAGCAAATCTTAATTTTTATTTATGTATGTATCTATTTAGGGACAGGGTCTCACTATGTTTCCCAGCCTGGGGCATAGTGGCACAACCATAGCTCACTGCAGCCTGGAACTCCTGGGCTCAATCAATCCTCCCACCCCAGTCTCCTGAGTAGCTGGGACTACAGGCACATCGCACCACACTTAGCTAATAAAAAAAGAAAAAATTAGAGATGGGGTCTCACTATTTTGCCCAGGCTGGTCTTGAACTCCTGGCCTCAAGTGATCCTCCTACCTCAGCCTCCTAAGTAGCAGGGAGGGGTTACAGGTATGAGCTACTGTTCCCAGCTAAATCTTAATTTTTGAATCAACTTAGTTTCAAATATCTTTCTGACTATCTGTAATATTCCAATTAAATGCCATAATAGCTGGTTTTGCTTTAAAATTTGGGGAAGACTAATTAAAAGTTTTGATAAGGAAAATTAAAAATACATTGCAGAGTGATGATGTCCAAATAAATTGAAAATCAGACTTAAAATTAATAGGCAAGTGCCTCATTAACACCATCAAGCAATTCTGATATTTGAGGAACACAGATGCTAGTTCCAGAATCCTCCCCTGCTTCTTTCTTTATCCTTCCAACTTAATTTGTACATGTTGTCAACAGAGAGAGATTTATAGTAAGCAGAGTTTGATGAATAAAATTGTATGCCTACTAATATCTGTATCTAAGAAATACTTAGCTTATTTTATTTAAATCTATTCAAAATTGAGATAACACTGAAAAGGAGATTACAGTGAAAGATTTGTTTTTCTGGATATCAGCCTGTCTCTCAAATTTCTAGGGTGGAGAACCGGGGAAGGAGAGGAATGAAACAAGAAAGGAAACAGATCACAAAGGAATTACTGACAGGAGAAAGAATAATACATACCTAAGAACAAAACATACAAAACCCAACATTATCAAATTCTCCAGTCTGAAGAAGGAGGAGCCCACATTCACAACTCCTATAAACACATTGAATGAGGATCTGACAATGTTATATTTTATTGTTTAGAGTTATACCCATTGATACTGTTCAAAGGCTGGGATTGAAGGATGTGGAAGAAATAACTTGTCAAAAATATTTGCTGGCCAGGCACAGTGTCCCATGCCTGTAATACCAGCACTTTGGGAGGCTGAGGCGGGTGGATCACCTTAAGGTCAGGAGTTGGAGACCAGTCTGGCCAACATGGTGAAACCCCGTCTCTACTAAAAATATAAAAATTAGCCAGGCGTGATGGCATACGCCTGTAGTCTCAGCTACTTGGGAGGCTGAGGCAGGAGAATCGCTTGAACGTGGGAGGTGGAGTTTGCCACAAGCCGAAATTGCGCCACTACACTCCAGCCTGGGAGACTATTTCAAAAAAAAAACAAAAACAAAAACAAAACACTACATGTTGTCACTTATAACTGGGAACTGAACAATGAGAACACATGGACACTGGGAGGGGAACAATACTCTGGGGGCCTGTCAGGGGTGGGTTGTGGGGAGGGAGAGCATTAGGAAAAATAGCTAATGCATGCTGAGCTTAATACCTAGGTGATGGGTTGATAGGTGCAGCAAACCACCATGGCACACATTTATCTATGTAACAAACCTGCACATCCTGTACATGTACCCCGGAACTTAAAATAAATAAGTAAATAAATAAATAAAAAGAAAAACAAAAACAAAATTTGCCCAGTGACCAGTATAGTCCTTAAAGCATAATATTCAGCCAACAGCTCCCTGTTCAAACACAATCAGAGTAGGCAACATGATTCATTTAAAATACTTACTTAGCATCTACTATATGCCAGGGATGATTCTAAATACTGAGACTAAATAAAATAGGTAAAAATTCCTGCCTGCATAAGATTATATTCTGGTAGGAAAAGCCAATTGAAACAGGATCAATAAGTAAAGTTATAGAATACAGATATAGATATAAAAAGAGCTATGTCAATAATGTTAAGTACTAAAGAGAAAACAATAAAGCCAGGAAGGGAAATAGGATGTTTGGGCAGGAGTGGCAGTGGTGGTGGTACGGATATTAATACAAAGGTGACATTAGGTAGTAGCTGAAGGACGTGAGGATATTCTGGAGAAAGAGCATTCCGGGAAGAGTAAATGCCAAAATCTTGAGACAGGGGCTTGTCCAGTGTGTTGGATGAATTACAAGCAGGCCAGTTGGCTGGAGTGATGAGGTCAGACAGGTACTTGAGGGCAGCTCATGCCCAGCCCATTGCAAGGTCTTAGAACTTGACTGTGAGTGGGCTGGAGAGACACGGGAAGGTTTGGAGGAGTATCATCATCTGAGTTATGATTTTAACAGGATCACCCTTACTGCTGTGATGAGAACAGAATGAATCAAGAGAGGGCGTTTGTATTAGTCTGTTCTCATGCTGCTAATAAAGACATACCTGAGACTGGGTAATTTATAAAGGAAAGAGATTTAATTGACTCACAGTTCAGCATGGCTGGGGAGGCCTCAGAAAACTTACAATCATGTCAGAAGGGGAAGCAAAAACATCCTTCTTCACATGGTGGCAGGAAGGAGAAGTGCCGAGCAAAAGGGGGAAAAGCCCCTTATAAAACCATCAGAACTCGTGAGAACTCACTCGCTATCACAAAAACAGCATGAGGGTAACCATCCCCATGATTCAATTACCTCCCACCGGGTCCTTCCCAAGACACGTGGGGATTATGGGAACTACAATTGAAGATGAAATTTGGGTGGGGCACAGCCAAATCATATTGGCGTCCTTTTAAGGTTAGAGATATAATAGCTTCTTTGTGGGTACACTGATGGAACAGTCCAGTAGAGAGGGTAAAACTGATGATGCGAAAGAGAGACGGGATATGTAATAACTTATAACTTATCAGCAATTTAGCAAAGACAGCTAACCAGTACCTTAGGTGACATGGTTTGGATGTTTGTCCCTTCCAAATCTCATGTTGAAATGTAATTTCCAGTGTTGGAGGTGGGGCCTGGTAGGAGATGATTGGATCATGGGGGTGGATCCCTTATTTACGGTTTAGCTCTATCCCCTTGGTGGTAAGTGAGTTCTCACTCAGTTCATGTGAGATCTGGTCATCTAAAAGTGTGTGACACCTCCCCACCACCACTCCTGCTCTTGTCGTATGATGCTGACTCTCCCTTCACCTTCTGCCACAATTGTAAGCTCCCTGAGGCCCTCACCCAGAGCAGATCTTGGCACCATGTTCCTTGAACAGGCTGCAGAACCATGAGCCAATTAAACCTCTTTTCTTTATAAATTATCCAGCATCAGGTATGTCTTTATAGTGACACAAAAACAGCCTAATACATTAGGCAATCCAAATGTATCTAACATACTATATAATTTACTTATTTATCATATTCGTTGTTCATTGTCTATCTGCCCCCACTGGAATGCAAGCTCTATGAAGGCAGGGACTTCTGTTTTTTTCATTTGCTTATCTATCCCACGCACAGGCTGTTACCCAGCACATAGCAGGTGCTCAATAAATTTTTGCTGCACAAACATATTTTATGGGCATAAAGAGAAAAAACAGTCTGTCATATAAGTACAACCACTTAGTTTGGAGTGTGGAGCAGCACTTGGGGATGATGAAAAGAGATGGTGCCTAAAGAAATACAGAGAGAAATGCCAAGCTAGCCATTGGCAAGCCACCATTCCATGGGGACACAGAAATACATTGTCTTTTTATCCTTCATGTTTTCTGCTTATTTTTGAAATCCCTTTGTATCCAGAGTAAAATGTAGGGAAGGAGCTTCATCATCTGTCACGTGTTTACCTGAAGTATATGCTTGATAAATATAGCAGTTTGAAAGGCTGCCTAGATGGAGGGTTCTACACTGTTTTTCACAGAGCTCACCAGGTCAGTGATTCTGGGGTTAGGCCATGTAAATCTCCTAAAGCATCCCTATTCCTGAAATACACACACTTATCACTGAGAATCACTACAAAAGATGAAATATTTTGAATATCTTAAAGGATATTTTTAGGGAAGCATTACATATTCACTTGGCCAGACAACAAAAGTCAGTTCTCTCGATGTTTTTATACAATATGCTGAGTATTCTCTCTGACAGTTACCAAGGCCTAAGGGAAAGTAAAGCTGCTGTGACACAGTGACACTCTTATCCGGAGCATAAAATAAATGTCAGAGTCTCTCCTGTAGTCTGCAAAACTTAAGAAAGGGCATATTCTCTATAACACAAGCTATAATTTCTAATGCTTAAAAGGTACCTTATTTGAAAATAATACAGATTAAATTGCTATTTCAAGGCTGAAACTCACATATTGCTTTGAGCTTAAGTGACCATTGCTCAGAAAATAAACTGGACATTATTGTAAGTGATAAATACACTTATCTCTTTGTTATAGAGAATAACACTTGCTTTTCCTGTCCTCAAAGAAACGGTTGTCGTCATCGTAACCGAATAAGTTACAGCTGAGTTCATCATCGCATTCACACAAGCCTGCCATTTTAAACAAGGAAGAATTACTGCAGTAAACAACTTTATAAATAGAATGGATAGAAGCCATATTTTCCATTTATTTTATGAACTTATTTTTTTAGAAATGGGGTATCACTATGTTGCTCAGGTTGGAATGCAGTGGGTATTCACAGGTCTCATCATGCCCCACTGCAGCCTCAAAGTCCTGGCCTCAAGTGATCCTCCCACCTCAGCCTCCAGAGTAGCTGGGACTATAGGCACGCACCACCACATCTGGTTAGAAGCCATATCTTTTAAAAGATTTCTTGATCCTTGAATCTTAGGGAAAAGGCAATTTTGATATCTCTTGTGACAGAGATGAACTGATCTGATAGGTTACTGGGTTTTTCTTTCTAATTAACATACAATATTATTGACGTTTTTGTGTGCATACACTTCTGTGAATTTTAACACATTTATACATTCCTGTAACCATGCCACAGTCAGATACAGAACAATTACGTCACTCATTCCCCACCCTGCCAACTCCCTTAAACTCTATCATTGTCACAGGAGTTGGCAAACTACACCTGAGTCAAATCTGGTCCATAGCCTGTTTTCTTAGGGCCCAGAAGCTAAGAATCATTTTAACATTTTTAAAGTGTTGTAAAAAGAACAAAAACAAGAGACAAAAGTAAGGAATATGTGACAGAGACCGTATGTGGCCCGCAAAGCCTAAACTATTTACTATCTGGCCCTCTACAGGAAAAGTTTGCTGTCTCCTGCTTTAGGATCACACCTTCCCCCAACTACTAATCCTTGGAAATCACTGACCTGTTTTCTGTCACTGTAGTTTTGTCTTTTCAAACATAGCATATATATTCCATTTATAAATAGAATCATAGAGTAGGTAGCCTTTTGAGTTGTTGTTGTTTTTGAGACGGAGTCTCACTCTGTCGCCCAGGCTGGAGTGCAGTGGCATGATCTCGGCTCACTACAACCTCCGCCTCCAGGGTTCAAGCGATTCTTGTCCCTCAGCCTCCCAAGTAGCTGGGACTACTCTTGTTGCCCAGGCCGGAGTGCAATGGCATGATCTTGGCTCACCGCAAGCTCCACCTCCTGGGTTCAATTGATTCTCCTGCCTCAGCCTCCCGAGTAGCTAGGATTACAGGCATGTGCCACCACGCCCAGCTAAATTTTTTTTTTTTTTTTTTTGAGACGTAGTCTCACTCTGTCGCCCAGGCTGGAGTGCAGTGGCGTGATCTCGGCTCACTGCAACCTCCGCCTCCTAGGTTGTAGCAGTTCTCCTGCCTCAGCCTCCTGAGTAGCTGGGATTACAGGTGCGCACCACCACACCAGGCTAATTTTTTTTTTTTTTTTTGAGATGGAGTCTCACTCTGTCGCCCAGGCTGGAGTGCAGTGGCGCGATCTTGGCTCACTGCAACCTCCGCCTCCTGGGTTGAAGCAGTTTTCCTGACTCAGCCTCCTGTTTAGCTGGGATTACAGGCACGCACCACCACGCCTGGCTAAATTTTTTTTTTTTTTTTTTTTTTTTTTTAGTAGAGACGGAGTTTCACCATGTTGGTCAGGCTGGTCTCAAACTCCTGACCTTGTGATCCGCCCGCCTCGGCCTCCCAAAGTGCTGGGATTACAGGCATAAGCGTGGTGGTGCCCAGCAATTGTTTTTATTTTTAAAACAGACAGGGTTTCACCATGTTAGCCAGGCTGGTCACGAACTCCTGGCCTCAAGTAATCTGCCGACCTCGGCCTCCCAAAGTGCTGGGATTACAAGCGTGAGCCACCGTGCCTGGCCTCCATTTCTATTCTTTTGTTACTTTGAGAATATTACATAAACGGAATCATATAGTATGTGACATTTTGAGGTTGGCTTTTTTTGACTTAGCATACAGCAGAATACCCTTGAGAACCATCCAAATTGTTGCATATATTAATAGTTAATTGCTTTTTAACTGCTGAGTTATCTGTGGTATGGATGTACCACAGTATGTTTAGTCAACTATAGAGGAACATTTTGATTGTTTCAAGGTTTTGGACATTGCAAACAATATTGCTATGACCATCTGTGTACAGGTTTGTATGGACACAAATTTTTATTTCTCTGGGATAAATACCCAGGAGTGTGATTGCTGGGTTGTATTTTTAGTTTTTGCCCATTTTAAAAATTGGGCTGTTTGTTTTCTTACTGTTTGGTTTTGAGGGTTCTTCGTATACCCTGGACTGGACATACAAGTTCTTTTTTTAAAAATGGATCATACTTTTGGTGTTGGGTCTAAGAAATCTTTGCCTAACCACTGATGATGATGATTTTCTCCCGTGCTTCTTCCTAAAAGGTTTACAGTCTTATGTTTTACATTTAGATATGGAATCAATTTCAAGTTAATACACTGTTGGTGGGACTGTAAACTAGTTCAACCCTTATGGAAGTCAGTGTGGCGATTCCTCAGGGATCTAGAACTAGAAATACCATTTGACCCAGCCATCCCATTACTGGGTATATACCCAAAGGACTATAAATCATGCTGCTATAAAGACACATGCACACGTATGTTTATTGCAGCACTATTCACAATAGCAGACTTGGAACCAACCCAAATGTCCAACAATGATAGACTGGATTAAGAAAATGTGGCACATATACACCATGGAATACTATGCAGCCATAAAAAATGATGAGTTCATGTCCTTTGTAGGGACGTGGATGAAATTGGAAATCATCATTCTCAGTAAACTATCACAAGAACAAAAAACCAAACACCACATATTCTCACTCATAGGTAGGAATTGAACAATGAGAACACATGGACACAGGAAGGGGAACATCACACTCTGGGGACTGTTGTGGGGTGGGGGGAGGGGGGAGGGATAGCTTTAGGAGATATACCTAATGCTAAATGAAGAGTTGATGGGTGCAGCACACCAGCATGGCACATGTATACATATGTAACTAACCTGCATATTGTGCACATGTACCCTAAAACTTAAAGTATAATAATAATAAAAGAAAAAAAAAGAAAAAAATTTCAAGTTAATTTTTGGAAAAGAGATGAGGTTTAGGCCCAAGTTGACTTTTTTTGTATATGGATATACAATTATTTTAATACCATTTGTTGAATAGTCTATTCTTTCTGCATTGAATTGCCAATGTGGTATTAATATTAATATATCATACAATGGAATGTTATTAGGCGTTAAAGAAGGAATGAAGTACTCATACATGCTACAACATGGATGAAACTTGAAAAGATTATGCCAAGTGAAAGAAACCAGTTGCAGAAGATCACATACTGTATTGATTCCATTTATATAAAATGTCCTGAATAGGCAAATCTATAGAGACAGAAAGTAGATTAGTGATCGCCTAGGGCTTGTGGTTTTGGAGGGTAAATGAGGAGTGACTGCTAATTAGTACAGTTTCTTTCTGCTGTGATAAAAATGTTCTAAAATTGTGGTGATGGTTGTGAAACTTTTAATATACTAAAAGCCATCAAATTGTACACTTTAAATGGGTGAAATTGTATGGCATGTTAATTATATTTCAATAAAGCCATTATAAATGTCTGGGGGGGAGGAGGGGAGAGGAAAGGGTCTTGCTCTGCCACTGAGGCTGGAGTGCAGTGGCACAATCATGGCTCACTGCAGCCTTGACCTCCTGGGCTCAATCAATCAAAACTTTTTAAAAAGAAGGAAGAATGTTTATGCAATCAAGCAATGACAGAGCACAGCAACAAGCAAAAATTAGGATAACTGAGCAAGAGGTAAATAGTTTTGGACAATTGTAGAGCAATAATATTAGTAAGAGGTGCTCAGAAAGCAATGTAGTGGGCCAAGCGCAGCGGCTCACGCCTGTAATCCCAGTACTTTGGGAGGCCGAGGCGGGCAGATCACCTGAGGTCAGGAGTTTGAGACCAGCCTGGCCAACATGGTGAAATCCCGTCTCTATTAAAAATATAAAAATTAGCCGGGCATGGTGGTGGGAGCCTGTAATCCCAGCTACTCGGGAGGCTGAGGTGGGAGAATCACTTGAACCTTGGAGGCAAAGGTTGCCATGAGCCGAGATCGTGCCACTGCACTCTAGCCTGGGTGACAGAGTGAGACTCTGTCTCAAAAAAAACAAAAACAGAAACAAACAAGCAAAAAAAAAAAAAATATAGTGAGTTTATGAAGTGTTGAATGAGCTTTGAACATAAAGTTCTTTAAAATGACCCAAGCCTATTACTCATACAGCGCTGGTGGCAGTATACATTGACGTAACATTTATGCAAAGCAATCTGTTAATTTATATCAAAATTAAAAAAAAACAAAAAACAAACCTAAGAGTCTTTTGTACCATTGAGTGGGGGCAGCAGAAGTCTATGAGATTTTCTTCTCCTTGCCCTAGCATTCATTCACTCCTCTTATTCGATGTGTCTGCTGAACTATCCCTCTTCTTTGGTCTGAATTTTAACAATTATGCATTTTAAGTGTAAGATGATGATTGTTTTAGACAATTGGGTGATAAAAAGAAACCAGTAAAGTTAACTTTAAAAGCACCAGGGACCGGCCGGGCGTGGTGGCTCACGCTTGTAATCCCAGCACTTTGGGAGGCCGAGGCGGGCGGATCACAAGGTCAGGAAATCGAGACCATCCTGGCCAACACGGTGAAACCCCTTCTCTACTAAAAAAATAAAAAATAAATTAGCCGCACACGGTAGCAGGCGCCTGAAGTCCCAGCTACTCGGGAGGCTGAGGCAGGAGAATGGCGCGAACCCGGGAGGCAGAGCTTGCAGTGAGCCGAGATTGCGCCACTGCACTCCAGCCTGGGCGACAGAGTGCCCAGAGACTCCGTCTCAAAAAAAAAAAAAAAAAAAAGTACCAGAGACCAAATGAGAGGACAGGTAAGCTAATATAATGAGTACCTGAACTTGTACTTGCAAATGACTAAGTACTTGTGAAGCTCTTATTTTGTTGAGATCTTCTCTTACAGTTATGGATGGCCATATGACTAAGTGCTACTTAATGGGATGTAAGCAGAAGTTTTGGGTGGAGGTTCTGGGAAAGCTCTTTTAAAAGGAGGTTGACTCACCTGGCAAGCGTCCTGTTGCCTCTTCTCTTTTCTCTCTTCCTCTTTCCTTCAGCCTGAAATGCAGACATGATGGCTGGAGTTGCAGTGGTCATCTGGCAACCATGAGGCAAACTTTAGAGTGGAAAATGTGTGCTAAGAAGGACAAAGCAGCGAGACAGAAGGAGCATGGGACTTGGATGACTTCATGGGCTTGACATGCCACTAGTGGATTGCCTACCTCTGCCTGCAAAAGACAGAAAATAATCTCCCAATTTATTTAAGCCACTCTTTATTTAGTGTCGATTGCTAGCAGCTGAACACAATTCCTAAAGCATTCACTAACATCCATGTGGTGGCATCATCTTATCTTCAATACCCTTCTTCAGATGATGCTAGTGTGAACCTTACATGGAATATTTTGAACCACTGAGTTAGGGCATTGTGTCTCAGTCAATCTCTCCCTCCACTTCCAAACATAGTGCCTGATAAATAGTAGGTGCTCGGTTAAAATGGATTGACCATTCATGAGCCTGGCTAAGTCTTGAGCCATGCTAACTCTCACACACCAATCTTCAATTTGGCCAGGCTAGCTAAATCGAAGACTATAGCCATTGTGGTTCCTTGAACACAGTGAACAAACTTTACTTCACTTTGAAGGTAGTAGAGTCCAAAACCATCACAAAGGTATTTAATAAAGAGCCAATGAAAACATCAGATTAAGACAACTCAGAAAAGGCGATGATGATAGAGAAGAAATTATTGCTGTTAAATTAAGTTTAGCCTAAAGCTGCCACCTGATATATTTTAAGTTCAGCCTAACGGCATCTCCTCACAGAGTGACCTGTAACCTAACTGGATGTGTAAACAAACTATAACCTACTCTGGTGCCAACCACCGAGTTTTGGCTAATCACAGGCAGCAAACTGTTCAAATCGTGTGTGTAACCAATCTGGCTGTTTCTGTACCTCGCTTTCTTTTTGCTGCCTGTAAATCTTCTTCTTCCACACATTCGGAGCACCGGAGACTCTCTGAACCTATTCTGGCTTCCTGAACTGTGAATAGTTCTTTGATCAATTAAACTCTGTTAAACTTAATTTGTCTAAGGTTTTTCTTTTAACACCACACACCAAAAAGTAACTATGGAAGGTAATGGACATGTAAATTTGTGTGACTGTAGTCATCATTTCACTATATGTATATGTATATCAAAACATGTTGTACATCTTAAATATACACAACAAAAAATAAAAGACGAGATTCCAGACCTGCATTTCTTTTTCTTTCCTAATCCAGCTCTCTGTGGTATATTTTGTGTCTCTTGTTCATCTCTCCTGTCCTTTAGAGTATAAATGCTCATCTGCTTCAGCATTTGTAAAACTATCATTTTAAAATAAAGTGACCTACATAAATAAGTAATTACCATGGATGAATAAATAATAAAGGAAGGAGAAGGGAGTACACACACATGCTCATGAGTCACACACATAAAGAACCAGCAGTGGCATTCGGCTGGGTCACCAGGATAGAGGAAAATCACCAGGAAGGAGAGAGGAGTCACGCAGAATATGCCTGGGGAAGAGGAAGGTTCACATAAATATTAGAGGAAGGAAGCATTACAAACCAGATCGGAAATTTTGTCTCTGACTTTCAAAAATGCATTTTTAAATGCCTGGAGGGGCTGGCATCTAGCTCTCCTTTCAGACTGTGGGAACTGTGTTATCCCTATGACAGACCTACAGCCAAGGAAAATAAAATGCAGTCAGCCCTTCAGCAAGAAATGTCTGGAGACCATGTCTATAAGGAAGAAGACATGAAACAGTTTAAACTATAGAGCAATGAATTTCTCATACATCTTTTCTTGCGACCTAAGATCAGGAGCTTCTGACCCTAACGTTATGGAAGAGTGTTTAGCTCCTGATTTGAAGAATATGTGGCATATGATAGAATGTTCAGAGACAGCAGGGTCAACTGGCAGGAATAAGGCCGTGAGAATTCATAGATTTGGACTTCCTGTCCATATTCTACTTCTAACTTTGCCCATTTCAACTTTGCTTCTTACATTTTTGGCTCAGCATCTTTTAAGAAACTTTTATTTTTCACGTCATTTTCTTTATCCTACTTCTTTATATTGAAAATTTTTAATCCTGTAGAAAAGTGTAAAACTAGTACAATGAACACCCACATACCCTTTACCTAGATTTGCCAATTATTCACATTTTGTCAAATTTGTTTTCTCTCTATTTAACTGTATTTCTGTTTTTGTGTAAATGCATACTTTTTTGTGAAAGATCCGAGAGGCTTAAACATAAGTTTCAGACATCTTGACATTTTACCCATACATACTGAGAAAGACATTCCTCTACATAACTATAATACATTTATCACACTCAGGAAATTAAACATTGATACTGTACTGTTATAAGCATTCCACATTCCTATTTCTTATAATAATAAGAACAATAATAACTAATAAAACTAATAACAATAGTGTCCTTTATATTGTTTTTCTTAAATCCAGATCCAATTAGAAATCATACATTACAGTTAGTTGTTACATCTCTTTCCTTTCTTTTTTTTTTTTTTTTTTTTTTTTTTGAGACAGAGTCTTGCTCTGTCGCCTAGGCTGGAGTGCAGTGGCACCATCTCGGCTCACTGCAACCTCTGCCTCCTGGGTTCAAGCAGTTCTCCCAAGTAGCTGGGATTACAGGCGTGTGCCACCACACCTGGCTAATTTTTATATTTTTAGTAGAGATGGGATTTCACCATGTTAGCCAGGCTGGTCTCAAACTCCTGACCTCAGGTGATCTGCCCGCCTTGGCCTCCCAAAGTGCTGGGATTACAGGGTGAGCCACCACGCCCGGCCCTCTTTCCTGTCTTTTAAAGGTTATCCCTGAGCTTTTTTTTTTTTTTTTTTTTACCTTTTGTGACATCGACATTTTTGAATAGTCCAGGTCAGCTGTTTTGCATAATGTTCCTGAATTTGGTTTGATTATTTCCTAATGAATAGAATCTGTTTTGGGAGGAGAGGGCAGGAATATTTAATGTGTGATCTGTGTCCTTAGTGCATCACATCAGAGGGCACGTGATGTCAATTTTTCCCATTATTGGTGACATTAAATTTGATCATTTGGTTTAAGTGGTGTCCACCAGACCTCTCCATTATAGAGGTAACTTTCCCCTTTATAAAATTATAACTAGTGGTACTTTGAGACTGTGACTATATTATTCTCTAACATTTCACTTAACGATTTTACATCTATTGATGATTCTTGCCTGAATCAATTATTACAATGGTGATTGCACAATGTTGGTTTTTTAATTCTAACAATCCTGCATTAATTAGTTGGCCTTCTTCTGTAAACAACTTTCCCGTCTCCTCCTCCCTACCTCTTAATTTTTTAAAGAATAGGGTTGGTTTGAATTCTTTATTTAATGTGTTATGATCTGTTCCAGTCCTTAGTTATTTTAATACTCAAAACTGTCCCATATTTAGCAAGTGAGAGTCCTTTTAAGCTGGCTTCTGCCTTCTTTCTGGCATGACTTTATCAGTTTTGTTTTTGTACAGTAAGTCCTCACTTAAGGCCTTCAATAGATTCTTGAAAACTGTGACTTTAAGTGAAACAAAGTATTAAAAAACCCATATTCCTTCCTTATCAGTGTTATAATGAAACAATGTTATTCAAGGACCTGCTGTACACCATTTCACTTGAAGTTGCAGTTTCCAAGAATGTATCAGTGAGGTTAAGTGAGTACTTACTGCACTTCCATATTTTGTGCCACAAGATATTCCAAGTTCCCTTTATACTTTCCCCACTCCAGCCTAGAATCGTCTATTTCTCCAAGAAGCCCTGGTTCTGTATAGTGGGAAATAATTTCTACAGACTAAGATCTGGGCACTAGATATGCTCATTGCTATCAAGGTATTATCCACAGATTTTTATTTTATTTTATTTTATTTTATTTTATTTTATTTTATTTTATTTTATTTTGAGACGGAGTTTTGCTCTTGTTGCCCAGGCTGGAGTGCTATGGCATGATCTCGGCTCACTGCAACCTCTGCCTCCTGGGATCAAGCGATTCTCCTGCCTCAGCCTCCCGAGTAGCTGGGATTACAGGCATGTGCCACCACGCCCGACTAATTTTGTATTTTCAGTAGAGATGGGGTTTCTCCATGTTGGTCAGGCTGGTCTCGAACTCCCGATGTCAGGTGATCTGCCTGCCTCAGCCTCCCAAAGTGCTGGGATTACAGGCGTGAGCCACCCCACCTGGCCTATCCACAGATATTTTAAACAGAAAAGAAATACCATCGAGAACAGTCATTTCAGGTGGGCTGTGTAAGGCTGAATTAGACAAGAATGTATAAAGTATAAGAAGAATTTTAGAAGGTAGGTAATATTTCTGATAATGGTTTTCATTTATGTAAGATGACCTAAGTGCATGACACCTGGTAATGTCA
This sequence comes from Homo sapiens, assembly GCF_000001405.40. NCBI lineage: Eukaryota > Metazoa > Chordata > Mammalia > Primates > Hominidae > Homo > Homo sapiens. The sequence goes on from NC_000023.11 coordinate 40,776,961, forward strand.
AAATTGACACTCATATTAAAAAGCCATATTGAACATGCCATGCTCTCATCAGCATGGTAATATGCATTTTCCATATATAATCTAGAATGTAATTTGCATCATTTAACATAATTTTTTTTTTTTGAGATGAAGTCCTGCTCTGTTGCCCAGGCTGGAGTGCAATAGCACGATCTCAACTTGCTGCAACCTCCCCCTCCCAGGTTCAAGCAATTCTCCTGCCTCAGCCTCCCCAGTAGCTGGGATTACAGGCGCATGCCACCACGCGCAGCTAATTTTTGTATTTTTAGTAGAGATGGAGTTTCACCATGTTGTCCAAGCTGGTCTTGAACTTCTGACCTCAGGTGATCCACCTGCCTTGGCCTCCCAAAGTGCTGGGATTACAGGCGTGAGCTACTGCACCTGGCTCGATTTAACATACATTTTAACCCCACATTTATTTATAGTGAAATTTTCTGCCTAGGTTTGAAACCTTATTCACACTTACAACTATTTTGGGGTTTTATTTGAGAAGAGGGGGAGAAAAGACGAATGAAGAAAGAGAAAGGAAACACAAGGTGCTTTAATTAGAGAAAACCACTGGATTTCTGGTAGTTGAATCTATCATCTGAATGAGTATTGACATAAAGCATAGGTTTATAGGTTTATAAAGGGATTTCCTTAATTCTCAGGGAAGCTGTGTGGCACAGGCTATTAACTATCCAATACTGCCCACTCCTCTAGAACTGAGCAAAGTAGGGATCTTCATAAATTATTTTTTAAATGATTATTGTATATGTAACCCACATAAAGCTGAGCTGTACCATGGCCCAGTCATAATATAGTGCTGTTTTCAAAGAAAACAGTTCAATATTCGAGAAACAATTTCAAAAGTAATTTAAATTTTAATAAATCATCTTAATTTTATTTTATTTTTGGTAAAACATTTTTTAAACTCCAAAGGGAGGTTCTATTTATATTACATGGGAAAACTTTTATAACTCTTTCCCCCACCATTTCTCCCTCTCTTCCTATGCCTAACTTCAACATCTTACGCACGTGGCAGAAATCCTCTGTCCAAAACCCTCCATCCTGTCTCCAAAACTCATTTAGAGCTAGCTGTTTTCTTTTTCTCCCTCTTTTATCACCTTCCAGATCTCATTTCTTTTCTTCTAGTATCCCCTGCCCTTTTTAAAACAGAGGTTTTTTTTTTTAAGCAGTTTTAGATTCAGAGCAAATGTAAAGGGAGGTACAAATATTTCCCATACTCCCTTCCCCCATACATGCACAGACTCCCACATTATCAACATCCCCCACCAGAGTGGTATATTTGCTACAATTGATGAACTTACACTTGACACATGATTATCATGCACAGATCAGAGTTTACCTTAGAGCTGCCTCTAATGTATATTCTATGGGTTTGGACAAATGTATAGTGACATATATTCACGTGGAAGTAACTGATTTGTTTTTTATTTTATAGGCTCATCGGCAGAAGGGATTTGCCTCTTCTCAAATGAGACTTCGGACTTGGACTTTTGAGTTAATGCTGAAATGAGTGAAGACTCTGGGGTACTGTTGGGGAGGCATGATTAGTTTTGAAATGTGAAAAGGACATGATATTTGGGAGGGGCCAGGGTGAAATGATATGGTTTGGTTTTGTCCCCACCCAAGTTTCATCGTGAATTTTAATCTGAATTGTAATCCCCACGTATTGAGGAAGGGACCTGGTGTGACGTGATTGGATCACGGGGCGGTTTCCCTCATGATGTTCTCATAATAGTGAGTTCGCAAGAGATCTGGTCGTTTGATAAGTGTCTGCTGCTTCCCCCTTCACTTTCTCTCTCTCCTGCCGCCATATAAAATGTGCCTTGCTTCCCCTTCGCCTTTTGCCATGATTGTAATTTTCCTGAGACTTCCCCAGCCATGCAGAACTGTGAGTCAATGAAACCTCCTTTTATCATAAATTACCCAGTCTCTGGTAATATCTTTATAGCAGTGTGAAAACGGACTAATATACCATGTATTTAAAGGACTTGAGTGTTATGATCTAAGTTTTTGGTCACTGCAGCCAGCATTACGGGGTAACTCAAGTCCAGTAACACTGTGGCTCTTGTAGACTCATAGAGGTGTCACCTTGTTGTTCTTGGATAAGATCCAGAAGAATTCCTTGTATTACCAGGCAAAGATTCTTGTTCTCTTCCCTTATTTTTTCCCAAACAAATGGAGCCTCTCTCTCTGTGCTGAGCTGCCTGGAACTGGGAGAGGGGTGACACAAGCACCCCTGTGGCCACTACTATTGGGACTGTGCTGGGTCAGACCCAAAGCCAGAACAGCACTGGGTCTCACCGAAGGCCTGCTGTAACTACTGCCTATGTTTGTTCAAAGACCTAGGGTTCTACAATCAGCAGCTGGTGGAGCCAGCCAGGTTTCCGTCCTTCTCTTCAGAGTGGCATGTTCCCACCAGCCCTGGGCAGGTCCAGAGATGCTGTTTGGGAGCCAGGGCCTGGAGCCAGAAACCTTAGAAATCTACCTGGTGCTCTATTCTACTGCAGCTGAGGTGGCATCCAAGCCACAAGACAAAGTCCTTCCCACTCTTCCCTCCACTTTCCACAAGCAGAGGAGTCTCTCCCTGTAGCCACCATCACCCCAGAACCATGGCAGGTACTACCTGGCTAAAGCCAATGTTCACTGAAGGGCCAAGGTCTCTTCAGTCAGTTTGTGGTGAATGCTGCCAAGCCTAGGACTCTCCCTTTAGGTCAGTGGGCTCCCCTCTGGCCCAGGGCAGGTCCAGAAATGCTGTCTAAGAGCCAAGGCCTAGAATCAGGGACCCCAAGAGCCCATTTGGTGCTCTGGCCAAGCTGGTACCTCAGGTGTAAGACAAAGTCCTCTTTACTCTTTCCTCTCTTTTTCTCAAGCAGAAGAAGTCTCTCCCTGTAGCCACCACAGCTGAGAATGTGCTGGGCCATACCTGAAGCCAGCATGTCTCTGAGTCTCACCCAAGGTCCACGGCAAGTACTGCCACTGCTAATTATTTAGGGCCCAAGGGATTTTTAGTCAGCAAGTGATTAATCCTGCCAGGACTGGGTTCTTCTCTGCAAGGCAGCAGGTTCCATTCTGGCTCAGCGTGTGTCTAGAAATGTCATCCAGGAGCTGGGGCCTTGAATGGAGGCCCCAGGACTCTGCCTCATGGCCTCTCCTACTGTGGCTGAACTGGTATCCAAGTGGCAATAAATGTCCTCTTTACTCTTCCCTGTCCTTTCTTAAGTAAAAGGAAGGGATCTCTCCCAGAGCTGCAAGCTGTGCAGCCCGGGGTTAGGGGAGGGGTGGCACAAGCATCCCCTTGGCTACTCCGGCTGGTGTCTCACTAGGTCGCATGCCTCCCAAGTGTACTGGCTCCAAGCCCAGCACAGCACCAACACTTGCCCAGGAATTGCAGTTCTTGTGGCCTAGACTGCCTTTCAAATTTATGTAGGACCACAGAGCACTTTAACGCATGGTGGCGAGGCTTGAAAGAACTCAGATTCTGACTGCCGAGATGGGTGATTCCCTTCTGGCTAGGGCTGCTCTAAATGCTCCGTCTGTGGGCACCAGCTGAGTTCTGCCTGGTGTTGCTTTCCACTGTGACAGGGCAGCACTGAGTTCCAATGCAAAGTCCCACCATCACTGTGCTCTCCTTCTCCCAAGCCCACAGATTCTTTCTTCCACACCATGCAGCTGCTTCTGGGGGATGGAGAAGAAGTGGTGTCAGCAATTCAAGACTGTCTTTCCTACCCTCTTCAGTGCCTCTTTCAGTGATAAGAAGTTAAAGCCAGGTACTGTGATCACTCATCTTTTTGGTTCTTAGGAAAGTGCTGTTGTTTGTGGATAGTTGTTCAATTTGGTGCTCCTACAGGGAAGATGATCAGTGGAGCCTTCTATTCAGCCATCTTGCTCCTCTGAAAAGCGTTTTGAAAATGTCCTATGGAAGCTTGACTTTCTGGCACTTTCCAAGGAATGGGTTTTCCTTCTTATGAAAAAGAAAGATTTTATTATATTTGTGATCACTGTTTTTAAACAAGCTCTGTCAAATGTAACTGTATCTTTCTATGGAGATACCCGCATGTTTGTAATCAGAGAGTATAAATAACAATTGCAAATCCCATCTTTATACTTCAGGGTCTCCATGGCAACATCACCTCGTCCCCTTGTAGATAGGCAGAGCCATGTGATTTGTTCTGGCCAATGTTCTGTGAAGGGAGGAGTCATTCCTGGACTGAGGTGGTGAAAAGTTCACCTGTGATTCTGTCTCTTCCTCTGCTGGGGGACTAAAGAGGCTGCATGTTCCAGACAGTATAGATACAAGGTGTTGAAGCCTCTGACAGCATAGGTACCTGGGTGACTGAAACAGACTTTTGTTGTACTGTATCAGGCCACTAAGATTCAGGGCTTGTTTGCTACCTCATTCCTTATAATCAGCCTCTCCTTGTTTTTCATATCTATTCACTATAAGTAACATTTTAAGCTAAACTATTTAAGTTTAGCTTGGGCCCTAAATAATCAGCAGTGGCAGTACTTGCCGTGGACCTTGGGTGAGACTCAGAGACATGCTGGCTTCAGGTATGGCCCAGCACATTCTCAGCTGTGGTGGCTACAGGGAGAGACTTCTTCTGCTTGAGAAAAAGAGAGGAAAGTGTAAAGAGGACTTTGTCTTACACCTGAGGTACCAGCTTGGCCAGAGCACCAAATGGGCTCTTGGGGTCCCTGATTCTAGGCCTTGGCTCTTAGACAGCATTTCTGCTGTCTAACTATATATGCATTTATATGCATCTACCAAAAATCAAGTATATATTATGTATATTGCTATGGTTTGGCTGTGTCTCCACCCAAATCTCATCTTGAATTGTAGCTCCCATAATTCCCACGTGTCATGGGAAGGACCCAGTGGGAGGTAATTGAATCATGGGGGAGGATCTTTCCCATGCTGTTCTCGTGATAGTAAGTCTCATGAGAGCACATGCTCTCTTTGCCTGCTGCCATGGAAGATGTGACTTTGCTTCTCCTTTGCCTTCTGCCATGATTGTGAGGCCTCCCCAGCCATGTGAAACTGTGAGTCAATTAAACCTCTTTCCTTTATATATTACCCAGTCTTGGGTATGTCTTTATTAGCAGTGTGAGAACAGACTAATACATGTATATAATATATAAATTATAAAAGTAATATATCAAGCATGTATATGTTATATACATCCACTAAATATATTAAATATATATAATATATTCTCCATACCTCAGCTGTGACAGCTATTATCAGTTTGATTCATATGCTTCCAGGCTTTTTCTATATAAAGGTATGAAAGCATTCAACATCTAGGTTTCATATGGCAACTTTGTCACTAATGTCAAGCTTTTTACCTTTATTAACTAACTCCAAATCCCCAAAGGAGAGTTAAAAGTTTGTTCTTTTAAATGTTAAAATATTAAAGTTTGTCTTCCACATTTCGCTCAGAGTGAAAACTGCCTTATGTCTCCTTCTTCGGCCTCAAATAGTTCTTTCCTCTTGGATGAGTTGTTAGAGTTGATCATTGAGAGGGCAAGAGAGCCTTCAATCTCCCTGGCTCTTGACAGCTTCTTCCTTTTGCTGCAAAGGTTGAAGAAGGAAAAGAAAGAAATTTCCAAAGCACAGTGTCCCAAGTATAGCTCCAGCAGGAAGAGGCGTTTTTCCAATGTACTCTTCTTAGTTTCCCCACCTCCCACCATCTCGTTAACCTTTTCTTTTCTTTTCTTTTCTTTTTTTTGTTTTTTTTTTTTTTGAGACAGAGTCTGGCTCTGTCACCCAGGGTGGAGTGCAGTGGTGCGATCTCCACTCACTGCAACCTCCGCCTCCCGAGTTCAAACGATTCTCCCACCTCAGCCTCCTGAGTAATCCCGAGCTGGCATTACAGACATGTGCCACCATGCCCGGCTAATTTTTCTATTTTTAGTAGAGATGGGGTTTCACCATGTTGGCCAGGCTGGTCTCAAACTCCTGACCTCAGGTGATCTGATCACCTCAGCCTCCCAAAGTGCTGGAATTACAGACATGAGCCACTGCACCCGGCCTCGTTAACCTTTTCAACTAGACTACTATAGTAGATAATATTGCAGTCTCACAATTAATCCCTTTTACCAGCCCAGAGATTACTGTGGACACTCCCCATGCATACTGGTGGCTTCCTGCATCTCTCTGTGCCTTCTGGATGATTAAGCATGCTGAAAATGTCTGGGAATTAACAACCTCGGGAAGAATACTCAGGACCTCCACTTATGGGGGATAAGAATAAATAAATACATAAATCCGCACTTAATGTCATCAACAGGTTCTTAGAAACTGCCACTTTAAGCAAGCAACATATAACAAAACCAATTTTCCCATAGGCTAATTGATATAAACAAGAGTTAAGTTCCTGTAGCATATTTCTGGTCTTCAAAACATGACAAAACTTCTAAATAAAGACCCAAAACACTTGTAATTTAGCAAAGATTAACAAAAACCAGTAAGATAATTATTTACCCAATTTTTGGCACATCAGTGAGCGATGACAGTTGTGGTGGTAGTGGGTTAAATCAAGGAATAAATGTTTGCAAAGCAAACATTGTAAGGAGCATCTCATACCACCACGCAGTTCAAAACCAAACAATCATAAAGAGAGCAGGCTCACTGAGCGCTTTTTTACCGCATCTTTTATTGATTGTTGTGGACTTTATGAATTTTTATTTGACAATAATTTGTATTCATTCATTCATTCGTTTTCCAACCTGTTTATTCTAGTTCAGGGTCACGGGTGGCCAGTGCCTATCACAGCAGCTCAGGGCGCCAGGTAGGAACCCACCCTGACCAGGAAGCCATCTCATCATGGGCGGCACTCACACACCCATACTCACTCAGACTGGGGCCATGTAGGCAAGTCAGTTGCACCTCATGCGCACAGCTTTGGGATGTGGGAGGAAACTGGAGTACCTGGAAAAAACCCACACAGACTCCACACAGATCCTGGCCTGGCCCCAGCCAGGAATCAATTTTATTTTTTCTCATCAACCTTATAACAAAACAGCGTTGAATAAAACAGTGTTATTGGAGGACTTACTGTAAGCCAGCTTCTTTGACCCCCAGTGGCACAGTTCTGAGATATCTTGTACTCCCTGTCTCAGAGGACTCCTGCCGGAATTGAGCCTCAGTTGCCCAAAGTAATAACTTGCCCACTGACACACCCTTTATTAGCTTCCCTCCTTTCCTTGTCTCACTTCCTCACTCTGTCACTGTACTTCCTGGGATCACCTCCTAAATAAACTACTTGTTTCTAAAACTTTGTCTCAAGATCTGCTTTCGGGGGAGCCGAAATGAAGACAGCCATAAGGAAACTTGGTTGACTACAACACTACCTTATATCTCTAAAGGCCAGAACTCACAACTTCTGCCTAGGCTGGGGTTTCTACTTTACCCTGAGATGTCAAGATCAGTCAGGAAGTATGTTAAAAATACTGAAATATGTGAATGATTTCCTTCGTAAGTATGAGTTAGAGTAAATCCAGTTACTCTGTGAACAGTGCCATTCTGTCTCACTGAGACAAGGTGTGAACTTATAGCTCGCTAGGAATTGGTCCCACCTGTGTCACCCATCTTCTATGTTTCAGTGGAGAAATTCCTAGGCAGGTTTTTTTTTTTTTTCTTAAAAGGTCTGCATTCAGTCACTCAACAAGTATTCATTGTTTATTAAGTGCCAGGCATGATGCTAGGTAGTGGGTATCACATTATAAGTATTAAAATTTTTATATGAGTAGTTGGTAACTATGATACATTAATTTAGAAACTTTAGTGGGATGTATATACTTAATTATGTTCTTTAAATGTACTAAAAAGGAAATCGTGACTGTTAGGCAAATACTGTAAAATGGCTCACTTAACTCCTATTCTAATGTTGGTGGTATTTCAGGTGAAACTTTCCCGTGGGGTGATGGTGTATTTTTACTAACTACATTTTCCTGGCTGCATTATTTCTGGCTGAGTCATATCCAATCTCTTTCTGCTTAAACTAGCTAGAATGAACCTGTTGTCCATAACTATGAACTTTGAGTAAGAGAACTGTAAACACCAGCTGAGGAAAAGGTTGCAAAAGATACACACACTGGTCTGGGGAACAGGAATATGGATGAACCTATAGGAGAGGATACAGAGCGTGGGGACTTTTGTGTTTCATATTAATGACCACCAGAGAGCATCCACATAGGTGCACAGCATGATCCATCTTGTGTATGTCAGCCAACCTCTTTCCTCGGCCACCCTGGTTCCTGTGAACAGAGTAGTCATGGTGGCAGTGATGGAAGCTGTATATGGGCCCAACAACATGTACTCCCTTTCATCATGGCTGATCTAACTACTGTCTCTGCTAAATGCCCAACCTTCCAGCAGTAGACACCAAAGCTGAGCCCTCAAAATGGACCATTGCTCTGGGAGATCAGCCAGCCAACAGCATATGTTGTCAAACTTTTGAATTTTTGCCAGTCTTGTAAGTGAGAAACATTATCTCTGTATCATTTTAATTCGCATTTCTCTTACTGTAAGTAAAGTTGGATATCTTTTCACATATTTAAAGGCTGTTTTCATTTCTTTTTCTGTGAATGGTCTATACATATCTCTTACAACTTTTTCTATTTCTTTTCTTCTCAATTTAAGAAGTTCATTATATGTTAAAGATGCTTACTTCTTGATTGATATAAGTTGCAAATATTTTTTTCCAATTGGTCATTTGTCTTCTCACTTTTGTATAATGTTTTCTGACATGTAAAATGTTTTTATTTTTATGTGATCAAATTTATCTTTTTCCTTATTGCTTCTGGACTTTGAATCATAGTTAGGAATGTTTTCCCTCTCCCAGACTTCAAGGGATTCACCCTTATTTTCTCTTATTATTTGTGTAGTTTCATTTTTCACACTGAGAATTCTTCTCTATCTGGAATTTACCAGTGTAAGGAATAAATTGGATCTTATCTTTTTCTGTATGGCTATCAAGTTGTTCCAGTGCCACTTATTTAAAAAGTGTTTCTTGGGCTGGGCGCAGTGGCTCACACCTGTAATCCCAGCACTTTGGGAGGCCGAGGCGGGTGGATCACCTGATGTCAGGAGTTCGAGACCAGCCTAGCCAACATGGTGAAACCCTGTCTCTACTAAAAATACAAAAAATTAGCCAGGCGTGGTAGCGGACGCCTGTAATCCCAGCTACTCGGGAGCCTGAGGCAGGAGAATCACTTGAACCTGGGAGGCAGAGGTTGCAGTGGGCCAAGATTGTGCCACTGCACTCCAGCCTGGGCAACGAGAGTGAAACTCCGCCTCAAAAAAAAAGAAAAAAACAAAAAAAACCGTGTTTCTTTTCCCCATGATTGAAATAAGCTTTTATCATATACTATATTTCCATGTGTGTGTGGATGTATTTCTTGCTTGCTTTATATTCTGTTCCATTTGTCAATTCATATGTCAATATCATAGTGATTTAATTATAAAACTTTTAAATATGTTTTCATATCTCTTGGAGCTAGCCCTCCTCATCACTTTTATTTCCTAAGGAATGTCTGTTCTTACTTGTTTATTCTTCTAAATAAACTTTATAATCAACATTTCTGGCTCCAGAAAATAAGACTGATGAAATTATATTGAGATAGTGTTAAATCTGTAGATTAGCTTACAAAGAATTGACATTTTTATGTTGTTAAATTTTTCTATCAAAGAACGTGGTAATCTACTTATTCAAATATTTTAGGAGTGTTTTATAGTTTTTTCATAAAGATTTTCCACATTTCTTGTTATGTTTCTACTAAGGCACTTTATTTTATTTTGCTCTTGTAAATGGTGTTTTCTCTTCCATTATTTCTTCTAACTGGTTATTGATTAGAAGAAATATTGTTAAAATGTCCATACTGCCCAAAGTGATCTACAAATTCAATGTAATCCCTATCAAAATTCTAACGACATTTCTTCACATAAATTTTTAAAAAATCCTAAAATTCATATGGAACCACAAAAGACCCTGAATAGCTAAAGCAATCTTGAGCAAAAATAGCAAAGCTAGAGGCATCATACTAGTTGACTTCAAAATATACTACAAATCTATAGTAATCAAAACTGCATGGTACTGACATAAAAACAACACACATAGATCACCAGAACAGAATATAGGGCCCAGAATAAATCCACACATTTACAGTCAATTTATTTGTCAGTTTTTGACAAAGATGCCAAGAACACACAATGGAGAATGAACAGTCTCTTGATTATTATTTGCAGTAATTTGTTCATTGACTGTTTTAGGTTTTCCAGGTATATAATAATATCAGCTGCAACAAAAAAGATAACATTTTACTTCTTTCTTTCTCCTTATGATGCCTCTACTTGATTTTTTTTTCTAATTGCTTTGGCTAATACCTTCAATACAATTCTTAAAACTAGTGGATCCGGACCAGGCGCGGTGGCTCACGCCTCTAATTCCAGCACTTTAGGAGGCCGAGGAGGGCAAATCACTTGAGGTCAGGAGTTTGAGACCAGCCTGACCAACATGGTGAAACCCCATCTCTACTAAAAGTACAAAAATTAGCTGGGCATGGTGGTGTATGCCTGTAATCTCAGCTACTCAGGAGGCTGAGGCACAAGAATCGCTTGAACCCGGGAGGTGGAGGTTGCAGTGAGCTGAGATTGCACTACTGCACTTAGTCTGGGTGACAGAGTGAGACTCCGTCTCAAAACAAAACAAACAAACAAAAAACTAGTGGATCCAATGGGCCTTCTTATCTCAGTCCTGACTTTGGCATGAAAACCTCCCTTATTTGATTATTAAGTAAGATGCTGTACTTTGGGGGGAAATATATAAATATATAATCATGTTAAAGAAATATCCATGAGGTCCTGTTTTATCATTTTTAACATAAGTGTCAACTCCTAAATTTGTAAGTGGTAAAAAAATGAGTCACATTATTTATCTAAAAGAAAATCTGTTAATGTAACACATGATCATAGTAACTTCACAGACAAGTGTGTTCAAGAATGTCTATTCCAGGAGGTTTATAATCCCAGGGGAGGGGTGCCGCATGAGCCAATCACAGAATAATTCAAAGGCTCTAGGATGGAGAGTAGGGACAGTATAGTATAGTGGGTCCCTATATTAAAAAGACTCAGGTTCGAGTTCGAGTCCTAACTCTGCAACTGTGATCATGGGCAAGTTACTCAGCCTCTCAGGGCCTCAATTGCCTTTTATGTAAATGAGGATAATGATGCTAAGCTACCTGAAGGATTGCTGTGTTTAGTGAGATAATTGCCCCTGAAGATTTAGTTTAGGACTTGGCACATACTAAAAGCTCATTAAGTGGTAGCTCTTATCATTAAGTGCTAAAACAAGTAGTAAAGATAATAAATGCTATGAGGGGGTCTCTGGAGGAGGGGGGCATTTAAGCCAATTCTTTGAAAGCTTTGTAGGGTTTGAATAGACAGAGGATTGAGGAGGAAAAAGAGGACTTTCTAGGTAGGAGGGGAAAGATCTTTAAAATGTAAACGGTCATGCCAAAACAGTAGTTCATTTTAATTTGTGTTTTTTTAAAGTTCCAATTGCTTTTTTTGTCCAGCTGCCTTTTAAAAGCATCATTATTTAAAATCAAGCTGGGCATAGTGGCTCACACTTGTAATCCCAGCACTTTGGGAGGCCAAGACTGGCAGATCACTTGAAGCCAGAAGTTCGAGACCAGCCTCGTCAACATGGCAAAACCCCGTCTCTACTAAAAATACAAAAATTAGCAAGGTGTGGTGGCGCATGCCTGTAATCCCAACTACTCGGGAGGCTGAGGCACAAGAATCGCTTGAACCCAGGAGTTGGAGGTGGCAGTGAGCCGAGTTTGTGCCACTGCACTCTAGCCTAGGTGACAGAGTGAAACTCTGTCTCAAAAATAAATAAATAAATAAATAAATAAATAAATAAATAAAGCATCATTATTTAAAATTTGATTTGCTGTCATTACATTTTGCAGAATACTTGAATATGAATAGCATGTTTTATTACGCATATGAGAGAAAAACATTTTGAATCAACTTCCATGCTGCCTATCTTTAAGGCCCCCATTGGCTTCCTCATCCCTTATAATTTTTGTCTAGCTGCTACTTTGCATTTTAATTTGACCCTGCCTTTTATTTATTTGCACTTATTACCAGAGTGCTTTCTTAAATTAAAATTTTTTGTGTGTTTCCTATTCAGTATTTGATGACTGTTTATTACTGTAATTCATTGTTCAGAAAAATGTACCACATCCCACATCCATCATTATACTCCATTCTCCATGGGGTCTAAACCATTTTACGGAGTCATTAAATGAATATATTATTTGGGAATTAAATGAATGGAAAGAAAGGGAAAGGGTATCCAAAGGTGGTGAGGAGGTGAGGGAGGCAGTGGTGGGACTTATTCAAAGCACACCCTCCACTGCAAGCAGGAAGTACATAAAAAGCCTGAGCCTTTCCCTTTCCCCTACCTCCCCACTCTGCCCACTAGTCCTCTAATTTAGTGGAAACTTGCATTAATCTCTTTTTCAGACTGAGATTGGGAGTGTGCAGGGTGGTTGAACAAAAATTTGTGAAACATGTTGGTTGTCTCAGGTTTTGTTATCCAAGAAGACTGATATGGTTTGGCTATGTCCCCTTCCAAATCTCAACTTGAATTGTAGCTCCCATAATCCCCATGTATCATAGGAGGGACCCAGTGGGAGGTAATTGAATCATGGTGGTGGTGGGTTTTCCCATGCTGTTCTCATGACAATGAATAAGTCTCATGAGATCTGATGGTTTAATAAAGGGCAGTTCCCCTGCACAAGCTCTCTTGCCTGCTGCCATGTAAGATGTGCCTTTCCTCCTCCTTTGTCTTCTGCCATGATTGTGAGGCCTCCCCAGACATTTGGAACTGTGAGTCCATTAAACCTCTTTTTCTTTATAAATTACCCCGTCTCGGGTATTTCTTCATTGCAGTATGAAAATGGACTAATACAAAGACCCTGAATCAAGAATTTGAATGCCAATAGTTCATTTGAGAGGTGAACCTCAAAAACAACAGTGGGGAAAGGGGGAAGTAAAAAAGGAAGGAGAAGGAAGCCATGTTAAGGAGAAGGAAGGTATGTTATTGTCCAGAACTATAAAGGGTCATGTATTCATTTAAAATTTGAAAAAGAATAAATGCTTACTGGAGAAATTCCAGAAAAGATATATATGTATACAGATTATATGGATGTATATTATTATATGATATAAATGTCAAGAAGTGTGAAGGTTCTGAGATTTTACCGTACTTGCAAGCTAACAAGTTAGCCAGCCACAGATTCATAGATGCTGGCAGAAGACAGGAGACTCCTGGTTTAGAGGAAAGGGATATATTACTCATGGCACAGCAGGCAGTTCCCCACATTTCCACAGGGTGATGGGGAATGGCCCATATGGATGCTGCACATGCAGTATTAATCACCAAATTCCCATCCCTTTTCGACTAGGGCTGCTCCGGGGACCTTAACTCCATGGCACTTCTGGTCTATTGACCATTCTACCACACCCAGTTGTCAGAGCCAGTCCTGACCAAAATATGGAATTGGCTTTGATTACCAACTTCCCCTTCTCCAAACTTTCCCCAAGGTGACTGTCTCTACCTTCCCCAAGGAGAAAGTGGGTCCACATCTTTATGTGTCTTGGTCTCTTCTTTTATTCTCAGTGAAGTCTGCCATGGTAAACTCTTCATCTGCACTAGAGAGTAAATGGCTGGGAACAGCTGTGTTATCCTTGGAACTGGGATCAATGTCTTAAAGCTAAAGATTTAAACACCTCATTTAAGTGAAACGGGAGAGTTCCCTGATTCCCCTTGCGGATGTGTGATGGGGTGTCGCTTGCTTGGTCGCTGGCAGCTCAAACCCCTAGGGAGAGCATGCAGCTGGGCAGATGCAGAGGCCGTTGTGAGCACTTTTGGGCTCCGGCCCCAAGACAGCTTCTAGGGATGGGTGTCTGCAACTCCCGAAGCCCAAGTGGGCATGTGTTATCAAGCTCTTTCAGATTTGCCATCTGCAGGTGGCTTGTATGTTAAGCAGCTCAATGGACCCTCTGCCTTATTGCAAGGACTGGGGGGCAGTGTAACAGCCTTCTGTATCCTGAGTTATTGCCCAGTGTACCAGAAGAATCGGATCACACGTGGGCTCGAAAGATGAGTGCAAGATTTTATTGAATGGTGAAGGTGGCTCTCAGTGAGATGGATGGGGAGTCAGAAGGGGGTGGATGGAGTGGTAAGGTGGTCTTCCCCTGGAGTCAGGCCACCCAATGGCCAGATTCTTCTCTGACCGCCCCTAGCTGAATTCCCCTCAGCATCCAGATGTTACTCCTCTTCTCTCTTTCTCTGCTGCGTTGTTCCACTGTCGCTGGTCTGCTGGTCCCAACATTCAGCCACTTGTGTGTGTGCCCACTAAGGTCTTGGGTTTATACAGGGGCAGGATAGGCGGGGGGGACATGGCAGTCCAAAAGGCAACTTTTTGGGTGCAAAACCAGAAAAGCCTGTCTTCATTTAGGGCCGCAGGTCTTCAGGCTTGAGGGTGGGGTCTTTGCCGGGGAGCCACCTTCTTCTACCCAGTATTTCCCCGTCTCCTGTCCATCTCATTTCCCCCCTCTGAAGAGGTACATCTAACTGCTGTTAGAATATGTATGACAACTGACCTTAGCTACTTCCTGCTGACAGGGAGCATTGTTTTGGGGAAAATAGCAGTCAGATTCCTCTCAGAGGTCTATCTAAGGGTCCCCAGCAAAGCGGAGCCATTGTCTGAGGCTCTGGTTGCCTGACCATTTGGAGTTTGATGGTTTCTAGGTGTGAGAGAATAAAACAAGTTTTATAAGGTTAAGTATCCATGGGTTAAACGTGTATTATATAAGGAAAGAATCTAGTGCCAAGGGTTACAGAGATAAGAAGTGAGGCCGGGTGCTGTGGCTCACCCCTGCAATCCCAGCACTTTGGGAGGCCGAGGCAGAGGGATCACCTAAAGTCAAGAGTTCAAGACCAGCCTGGCCAACATAGTGAAACCCCGTCTCTAAAAATACAAAAATTAGCCGGGTGTGGCGGCGCACACCTGTAATCCCAGCTACTTGGGACGCTGAGGCAGGAGAATTGCTTGAACCTTGGAGGTGGAGGTTGCAGTGAGCCAAGATCACACCACTGCACTCCAGCCTGGGTGACAGAGTGAGACTCCATCTCAAAAAAAAAAAAAAAAGAAAGAAGTGAAATATACGAATTATTCTGAAAACATTATTGTGCTCTGTGGTATAGAACAGAACAAAGGTAAGAACAGCAAGCATAGGCAAGACTATAAAGAGGATACCCATGGAAGGCTAATTATTAACACTTATCTTTTGTGATTTTTAGCTTGAGGTCCCCAATCTCTTCACATTGGTACTTTGGGTGTTCTTCTGGGTCAACGGAGGTGACTCTGTTGGCTTCCCAAGTCTTTACTTGGGTATAATGAATCCAAGAGTCTATTCCAGTGACCTTCACTGCCACAGGAGTAGAAAGGAGTACAGTGTAGGGTCCCTCCCAACCTGGGCCTATAGAGAGAGAAAGGGAAGGGATATCACTTTTACTAGCACTAGGTCCCTTGGGTTGAACAGAGGTGGCCCTGGTTCACGGGATTGGGCCTCCAACAATTGTTTCAGTTCCTGTTGGAAATGGACCAAAGAGGTTATGTGCTTAGTTAAATTAGAGGTTTCTTGGTCTAGCAAGAGATAACTGGTGAGAAAAGGCTATCCACACATCATTTCAAAGGGACTCAAACCTAGCTTTGAAGGAGTGTTTCTGACATGTAGCAGGGCTATGGGGAGAAGGGTAGTCCAGGGGAGATGAGTCTCCTGAGACGGTTTCCTGAGGTGCCTTTTGATAATATCATTTGTCTTTTCTACCTTTCCCGGGGATTGTGGTCTCCAGGCATAATGAAGATAGTACTGTAGAACCAAGTGCCTTTGAGACCCCCTGGGTGACGGCCACCTTGAACGAGGGGCCATTATTGCTCTGGAGATACTTAGGAAGTCCAAAGCAGGGAATTATCTCATTGATTAGTACTTTTATCACCTCAGAGGCTTTCTCTGTCTGACATGGAAATGCTTCTACCCAGTTAGTGAACGTATCTATTTATAGTAGGAGGTACTGGATGCCCCTTGTCTTTGGCATATGGGTGAAATCCATTTGCCAGTCTTCCCCAAGGTAGCCGCTTGTCTTTTGAGTTCCTGGCCAAAGACGCTGTCGATTAAGGAGACTGTTTTTAAGGCAGATCTTGCCACCATTAACAACTTGTTTAACTCTTTGTATTAGATTTTTACCTGAGAACAATCTCTGGGCCAGTTGATAGGTTTTATCCTTACCTAGGTGGAAGGCCTAGTGAAGGCTTTTAAGTACTTTCCATTGGTTGGCAGCTGGTAGATGAAGCTTATTGTCCTCCGATTGTAGCCATCCTGAGGACTGCAGGATGTATCCCCAAGAGGTGGCCCATTCTATTTCTGCAAGAGAGTATTGAGGTTTTATTTCTCTGATGCGGCCCTCCCAGATCAGTAGGGCTTCAAGTGGATCAGAGACCTGGGCCCCCTTGCTGCTGATTTAGCTGCTTTGTCCTCCAGCCTATTTCCCTCGGCTATCTCATCCATCACTCTTTGATGGCCTTTACAATGTATTATTGCCAGCTCCCATGGGAGGAAAACCAAGGAAAATAGTCTTATTAATTTCCTGATGGTATTCAATGGGAGACTAATTAGCTGTGAGGAAGTTCTTCTCTTTCCAGATAGTAGCATGGGCATGGAGGACTAGGAAAGCATACTTAGAATCAGTATAAATGGGCCAGGCGCGGTGATTCACGCCTGTAATCCCAGCACTTTGGGAGGCCGAGGCAGGCGGATCACCTGAGGTCAGGAGTTCAAGACCAGCCTGACCAACATGGAGAAACCCTGTCTCTACTGAAAATACAAAATTAGCCGGGCATGGTGGCGCATGCCTGTAATCCCAGGTACCCGGGAGGCTGAGGCAGGAGAATCGCTTGAACCTGGGAGGCAGAGGTTGCAGTGAGCTGAGATTGCGCCATTGCACTCCAGCCTGGAAGTGCAATGAAGAGGAAACTCCGTCAGAAAGAGAGAGAGAGAGAGAGAGAGAGAGAGAGAGAGAGAGAGAGAGAGAGAGAGAGAGAGAAAGAATCAGTATAAATGCTGTTTTTCCTTTGCTTAACTTGAGCGCCCTCTTGAGGGCAATTAGTTTGGTTAGTTGAACACTTGTGCCCTAGGAGAGGTGCACTTTCAACTATATCGTTCATATAGCTGTTGCATACCCTGCTTTATGGGTTCTTTGTTCTACAAAAGAACTCCCGTCCGTAAAGAGAATCCAGTCTGGGTAAAACAGACTCGGGGCTGTTGCAGGGGGCACAGTGGGAGTGAGATCAGCTCTTTGGTTTGTGTGGGAGCTGGGTGGGGCCTGTGACTGCCGGCTTTCCCCCACTTCCCTGACAACTTGCATGACTCAGCAGAGGCAGCCATAATCCTCCTAGGAACACAACTTCAGTGACCTGGGAATCTCACCCCCATCCCCCATGGCAGCCGCAGCAAGACCCGCCAAGGAGAGCACGCCTAGCCCTGCTCCCACCTGATGGTCCTTCACTACCCACCCTGGTAGCAGAAGGCAAAGGACATATAATCTTGGGAGTTCTACAGCCGTGCCTACTGCCAGTCCCTCTCCACACTATTATAGTTGATGCTTTCTGGAAAGCACCACCTCCTGGCAGGAAGCCAACCAGCACAAAAATAGAGCATTAAACCAACAAAGCTAAGGACCCCCATGGAGTCCATTGCACCCTCCACCACCTCCACCAGAACAGGTGCTGGTATCCATGGCTGAAAGACTCACAGATGGTTCACATCACAGGACTCTGTGCAGACAACCCCCAGTACCAGCCTGGAGCCGGATTGACTCACTGGGTGGCTAGACCCAGAAGAGAGACAACAATCACTGGAGTTCAGCTCACAGGAAGCCACATCCCCAGAAAAGGGGGAGAATACTATATCAAGGGAACACCCCATGGGACAAAAAAATCTGAACAACAGCCTTCAGCCCTAGACCTTCCCTCTGACAGAGGCTACACAAATGAGAAGGAACCAGAAAACCAGCCCTGGTAATATAAGAAAACAAGGCTTGTCAACACCTCCCAAAAATTACACTGGTTCACCAGCAATGGCTCCAAACCAAGAAGAAATCCCCTATTTACCTGGAAAAGAATTCAGGAGGCTAGTTATTAAGCTAATCAGGGAGGGACCAGAGAAAGGCGAAGCCCAATGCAAGGAAATCCAAAGAAATGATGCAAGAAGTGAAGGGAGAAATATTCAAGGAAATAGATAGCCTAAAGAAAAAACAATCAAAAATTCAGAAAACTTTGGACACACTTTTAGAAATGCGAAATGCTCTGGAAAGTCTCAGCAATAGAATTGAACAAGTAGAGGAAAGAAACTCAGAGCTCGAAGACAAGGTCTTTGAATTAACCCAATCCAACAAAGACAAAGAAAAAAGATTAAGAAAATATGAACAAAGCCTCCAAGAAGTCTGAGATTATGTTAAACACCCAAACCTAAGAATAATCAGTGTTTCTGAGGAAGAAAACAATTCAAAATGCTTGGAAAATATATTTGGGGGAATAATCAAGGAAAACTTCCCCAGCCATGCTAGAGACCTAGACATGCAAATACAAGAAGCGCAAGGAACACCTGGGAAATTCATCACAAAAAGATCATCGCCTAGGCGCACTGTCATCAGGTTATCCAAAGTTAAGACAAAGGAAAGAATCTTAAGAGCTGTGAGACAGAAGCACCAGGTAACCTGTAAAGGAAAACCTATCAGATTAACAGCAGATTTCTCAGCAGAAACCCTACAAGCTAGAAGGGATTGGGGCCCTATCTTCAGCCTCCTCAAACAAAACAATTATCAGCCAAGAATTTTGCATCTGGCAAAACTAGGCATCATATATGAAGGAAAGATACAGTCGTTTCAGACAAACAAATGCTGAGAGAATTCGCCATTACCAAGCCACCACTACAAGAACTGCTAAAAGGAGCTCTAAATCTTGAAACAAATCCCGAAAACACATCAAAACAGAACCTCTTTAAAGCATAAATCACACAGGACCTGTAAACCAAAAATACAAGTTAAAAAGCAAAACAAACAAACAAAGTATGCAGGCAACAAAGAGCATGATGAATGCAACGGTACCTCACATTTCAATACTAACTGAATGTAAATGGCCTAAATGCTCCACTTAAAAGATACAGAACCGCAGAATGGATAAGAACTCACCAACTGGCCGGGTGCGGTGGCTCTCTCCCGTAATCCCAGCACTTTGGGAGGCCGAGGTGGACGGATCACAAGGTCAGGAGATCGAGACCATCCTGGCTAACAAGGTGAAATCCCGTCTCTACTAAAAATACAAAAAATTAGCCGGGTGTGGTGGTGGGCACCTGTAGTCCCAGCTACTCAGGAGGCTGAGGCAGGAGAATGGCGTGAACCCGGGAGGCGGAGCTTGCAGTGAGCCGAGATTATGCCACTGCACTCCAGCCTGGGCAACAGAGCGAGACTCCATCTCAAAAACAACAACAACAACAAAAAAACAAAAACAGAACAAACAAAAAGAACTCACCAACCATCTGCTGCCTTCAGGAGACTCACCTAACACATAAGGACTCACATAAAGTAAAGGAGTGGAAAAAAGGCATTTCATGTAAATGGACACCAAAAGTGAGCAGGGATAGCTATTCTTATATTAGACAAAACAAACTTTAAAGCAATAGCAGTTAAAAGAGAAAAAGCGGGACATTATATGATGGTAAAAGGCCTTGTCCAACAGGAAAATATCACAATCCTAAACATACATGCACGTAACACTGGAGCTCCCAAATTTATAAAACAATTACTAATAGACCTAAGAAATGTGATAGACAGCAATACAATAATAGTGGGGGACTTCAATACTCCACTGACAGCGCTAGACAGGTCATCAAGACAGAAAGTCAGTAAAGAAACAATGAATTTAAACCATACCTTGGAACAAATGGACTTAACAGACATACACAGAACATTTCATCCAACAACCACAGAATACACATTCTATTCGACAGTGCATGGAACTTTCTCCAAGATAGACCATACGATAGACCATGAAATGAGCCTCAATAAATTTAAGAAAATTGAAATTATATCAAACACTCTCTCAGACCACAGTGGAATGAAACTGGAAATCAACTCCAAAAGGAACCTTCAAAACCACCACGCAAATACATGGAATTAAATAACCTGCTCTTGAATGAGCAAAAGGTCAAAAACCAACTCAAGATGGAAATTTAAAAACTCTTCAAACTGAATGACAATAATGACACAACCTATCAAAACCTCTGGGATACAGCTAAGGCAGTGCTAAGAGGAAAGTTCATAGTCCTAAACACCTACATCAAAAAGTCTGAAAGAGCACAAACAGACAATCTAAGGTCATACCTCAAGGAACTAGAGAAAGAAGAACAAACCAAACCCCAAACCAGCAGAAGAAAGGAAATGACCAAGATCAGAGCAGAACTAAATGAAGTTGAAATTTAAAAAAACTAATACAAAAGATAAATGAAACAAAAAGCTGGTTCTTTGAAAAGATAAATAAAATTGATAGACCATTAGCAAGATTAACCAAGAAAAGAAGAGAGAAAATCCAAATAACCTCGCTGAGAAACAAAACAGGAGATATTACAACTGACACTACTGAAATACAAAAGATCATTCAAGGCTACTATGAACACCTTTACACACATAAACCAGAAAACCTAAAAGAGATGGATAAATTCCTGGAAAAATACAACCTTTCTAGCTTAAATCAGGAAGAATTAGATACCCTGAACAGACCAATAACAAGCAGAGCGATTGAAATGGTAATTTAAAAATTACCAACAAAAAATGTCCAGGACTTTTTCTGTCCAGGACAGAAGGATTCACAGAAGAATTCTATCAGACATTCAAAGAAGAATTGGTATCAATCCTTTTGACACTATTCCATAAGATAGAGAAAGAAGGAACCCTCCCTAATTCATTCTATGAAGCCAGCATCACCCTAATACCAAAACCAGGAAAGGACACAACCAAAAAAGAAAACTGGCCAGGTGTGGTGGCTCACGCCTGTAATCCCAACACTGGGAGGCTGAGGTGGGCAGATCACGAGGTCAGGAGATCAAGACCATCCTGGCCAACATGGTGAGTCCCCGTCTCCACTAAAATACAAAAAATTAGCCGGGCGTGGTGGTGCGTGCCTGTAGTCCCAGCTACTTGGGAGGTTGAGGCAGGGGAATCACCACTTGAACCCAGGAGCTGGAGGTTGCAGTGAGCTGAGATTGTGCCACTGCACTCCAGCCTGGTGACAGAGCAAGGCTCCGTCTCAAAAAAAAAAAGAAAACTACAGACCAATATCCTTGATGAACATAGATGCTAAAATCCTTAACAACATACTAGCTAACTAAATCCAACAACATATCAAAAAGGTAATCCACCATGATTAAGTGGGTTTCATACCAGGGATGCAGGGATGGTTTAACATACACAAGTCAATAAATGTGATACACCACATAAACAGAATTAAAAACAAAAATCACACGATCATTTCAATAGATGCAGAAAAAGTATTTGACAAAATCCAGCATCACTTCATGATTAAAACCCTCAGCAAAATCACCATACAAGGAACATACCATAATGTCATAAAAGCCATCTATGACAAACCCACAGCCAACATGATACTAAATGGAGAAAAGTTGAAAGCATTCCCTCTGAGAACTGGAACAAGAGAAGGATGCACACTCTCACCACTCCTCTTCCACATAGTACTGGAAGTCCTAGCCAGAGCAATCAGGCAAGAGAAAGAAATAATGGGCATCCAAATCTTTAAAGAGGAAGTCAAACTGTCCCTGTTTACTGACGATATGATCGTTTACCTTGAAAACCGTAAGGACTCCAACAGAAAGCTCATAGAACAGATAAAAGAATTCAGCAAAGTTTCCGGATACAAGACTAATGTACACAAATCAGTAGTTCTTCTATACACCAACAGAGACCAAGTGGAGAATCAAATCAAGAACTCAAGCCCTTTTACAATAGCTGCAAAAAAATAAAATACTTAGGAATGTAGCTAACAAAAGAGTCGAAAGACCTCTACAAGGAAAACCACAAAACATTGCTGAAAGAAATCATAGATGGCACAAACAAATGGAAACACATCCATTGGGTAGAATCAATATTGTGAAAACGACCATACTGCCAAAAGCAATTTACAAATTCAATACAATCCCCATCAAAATACCGCCATCATTCTTCACAGAGTTAGAAAAAACAATTCTAAAATTCATGTGGAACCAAAAAAGAGCCCACATAGCCAAAGCAAGACTAAGCAAAAAGAACAAATCTGGAGGCATCACACTACCTGATTTCAAACTATACTATAAGGCCATAGTCACCAAAACATGGTACTGGTATAAAAACAGGCATATAGATCAATAGAACAGAATAGAAAACCCAGAAATAAACCCAAATACTTACAGCCAACTGCTCTTCAACAAAGCAAACAAAAACATAAAGTGGGGAAAGGACACCCTTTTCAACAAATGGTGCTGGGATAATTGGCTAGCTACACGTAGGAGAATGAAACTGGATCCTCATCTCTCACCTTATACAAAAATCAACTCAAGATGGATTAAGGACTTAAACCTAAGACCTGAAACTGTGAAGAGTCTAGAAGATAACACTGGAAAAACCTTTCTAGACACTGGCTTAGGCAAGGATTTTATGACCAAGAACCCAAAAGCAAATGCAGTAAAAACAAAGGTAAATAGCTAGGACCTAATTAAACTGAAGAGCTTTCGCATGGCAAAAGGAACAGTCGGGAGAGTAAACAAACAACCCACAGAGTGGGAGAAAAATCTTCACAATCTATACATCTGACAAAGGACTAATATCCAGAATCTACAACGAACTCAAACAAATCAGTAAGAAAAAAACAATCCCATAAAAAACTGGGCTAAGGACATGAATAGACAATTCTCAAAAGAAGATAAACAAATGGCCAACAAACATATGAGAAAATGCTCAACATCACTAATAATCAGGGAAATGCAAATCAAAACCACAATGTGATGTCATCTTACTCCTGCAAGAATGGCCATAATCAAAAAATTAAAAAACAGTAGATGTTGGCATGGATGCAGTGATCAGGGAACACTTCTACACTGCTGGTGGGAATGTAAACTAGTACAGCCACTATGGGAAACAGTGTGGAGATTCCTTAAAGAACTAAAAGTAGAACTACCATTTGATCCAGCAATCCCACTACTGGGTATCTACCCAGAGGTAAAGAAGTCATTATATGAAAAAGATACTTGCACACGCATGTTTATAGCAGCACAATTCACAATTGGAAAATCATGGAACCAACCTAAATGCCCGTCAATCAATGGGTGAATAAAGAAACTGTGGTGTATATATATATATACAATGAAATACTACTCAGCCATAAAAAGGAATGAATTAACAGCATTTGCAATGACCTGGATGAGACTGGAGACTGTTATTCTAAGTGAAGTAACTCAGGAATGGAAAACCAAAACCAAACATCATATGTTCTCACCGATATGTGGGAGTTAAGCTATGAGAATGCAAAGGCATAAGAATGATACAGTGGACTTTGGGGACTTAGGGGGAAAGGTGGGAGGGGGACGAGAGATAAAAGACTACAAATAAGGTGCAGTGTATACTGCTTAGGTGATGGGTGCACAAGGATCTCACAAATCACCACTAAAGAATTTACTCATGTAACCAAATACCACCTGTACCCCAACAACTTATGAAAAAATAAAATGATTTTTTTAAAAAGACATAATCCAGTCTGGGTTCTCTAAGGGGGTTTCCTTGAGGTCCTCTCTGGCCACATAGGTTTGTGCTACTATTTGTTTGCAGTCATGTTCAAGTTCTCCAATTTCCTCTGGGAGGAAGGTGGCTAGATTTAGGGAGGGACAGGTTCTTAATTGGACCACAGATCCTTCTAATAACAGAGCTTGATACCTCAGGAGGCAGTTGTCTGTTAGCCAGAGACTCCCCTTAGAAGACAGTAGTCCTGCCACATTAAGTTATTCCCCATGGTTAACTTAGTAGCCTCTGGTACCAGCAAGGCTGCTAGTGTGATTTCCCGGAGGCAAGCCACCCATTCTTTGGTTACCAAATAGAGCTCCTCACTCAGGTAGCCTACAGGCTGCTGGGCTAGACCCTGGGCCTGTGTTAGGACTCCAAGTGTCATTCCCTTTCTCTCTGACACATAAAGACTAAACATTTTCCCTATGGGGAGACTAAGGGCTAGTGCCTTAAGCAAGGCTTGTTTTAATTGGTTGAAGGCCTTTTTAGCCTCCAGTTCCCAAGTTAGACAATGAGTTTTAGCTGCCTGAGTCTCCTTTATTATGTGATAAAGGGGATGAGCCATTTCACCGTACCCCAGGTATCCATACTCTGCAGAATCTTGTAATGCCCAAGAATCCCCTTAGTTGCTTGAGGGCTTTGGGGAAAGGAAAGGAGGAGATAGGTTTAATCCTCTCTTCGCCCAATGTTCTGGTCCCCTCTGACAAGACCAAGCCTAGGTACTTCACTGAAGTCTGACAGAGCTGAGCTTTAGATTTTGAAACTTTATATCCACTGTTAGCCAGAAAATTAAGAAGAGCCTTACTGCTCTCCTGAGAGATTTCCTCAGTTGGAGCACAGAGGAGAAGGTCATCCAAATATTGCAAAACTTTAACCTGAGGATAAAGGAACTCAGAGAGGTTTCTTAATAATGCCCGCCCAAACAAGTGGGGACTGTCTCAGAACCCCTGAGGTAACACTATCCAGGTTAACTGGGTGGTTTGGTTAAAGGGATCCACAAAGGCAAACAAATACTGGGAGTCAGGGTGTAACAGTATGCAAAAGAAGGCATCCTTTAGGTCCAGGACTGTGAACCATTTAGTTCCCTCCTCAGGTATTTGGGCTAGCAGGGTATAGGGATTGGGAACCACCAGGTGTGTTGGAACCACAGCCTCATTAACAAGGTAGAGGTGCTGAACTAGTCTCCATTCCCCATTGGGTTTTTGTACCCATAATAGTGGGGTATTACAAGGGCTGTTGCAGGGTTTGAGGATGCCTTACATCTTCAAGTTATCTATGATGGCTTCTAGCCCTTTCCTAACCTCTGGTTTCAGGGCATATTGTTTCTGGTTAGGAAAGGAGGTGGGATCCTTAAGATGGACCTGGACTGGTATGGCAGTGGTGGTTCCGCCAATCTTCCCTTGAGTTGCCCAAATTTCTGGGTTAATATTGGTCTCCACTGGGGGAGACAAAGACTTTGCCCAGGGGCCTTCAGGATGGTGGTCCCCATACAGGCCAGGATATCCCTTCCCAGCAGAGGAATTGGGCTTTCAGGCATAATTAGAAAAGCATGGGTGAACAAAAGGTCTCCCCAGCTACAACTAAGTGGTTGGGAGAAATATCAGGTTAAAGATCTTTCAGCGATGCCCCTCACAGTTGTGCTAAGAGAGGAGAGGAGGCCCAGATTGGAGAGGAGAACTGAGACTAGCCCCAGTGTCCAAAAGGAAGTCCACTTTCCTCCCTTCAATTTCCAGAATTACCTGGGACGCCTGGATGGTAATGGTGGTCTGGACCACCGGAGCTGGGGAAAGGGGCCCTGGGACCCCTCAGTCCTGCTCCTGGACTATTTGGATGATTGGTTCTGGACCCAGTGATCAGCATTCCTGGGAACAGTCCACCCCCCAGTGGTGCCCACTGCAGATTGGACAGGGTCAAGGTGGCTTTCTCATGCCAGCTGGGTAATCCTTTTTGAAATACCCTGGCTTGCCACATCTGTAGCAATTAGGTGCACCCTGGGAATTCTGGGATTTGTGGGCTTGCCTGGTGGCCATTAAAGCCTCTGTCTCTTTTCTGTATTTCCTCTCTCTCTCCTGGGCCTCCCTATCTCTATTATAAAAGACTGAAGTGGCTACTTTCAGGAGGTTCTCTAAAGCACTATCTGGTCCCAGAACCTGTTTTTGCAGCTTCTTCCTGATATCAGGGGCTCCCTGAGTAATATATTTGTCCTTTAGGATTATCTGTCCATTGAGTGGATCAGGAGATAAAGAGGTGTACTTTAACAAGGGCTCTCTTAACATTTCCGGGAAGGCAGTGGTATTGTCATCAAATCCATGGTCGATCATGGACAACTTAGTATAATTGAGAGGCTTGGTTCTAGTCCTACGTAAGCCCTCCATTATGCACACCTGAAAGTGTCTCCTCTTCCAGTTTTCTGTCTTGTCACTGGGATCCCATTTAGGGTCATCCCTTGATACTGCTTCTCTTCCAGTTGGATAATGTTTGCCCCCTTCCCTGATGCTATATGTGATGCAAAGCTTATCCCCAAATCTCTCTGCTGCTTGCAGAGTGGCCTGATTCTCAGCGTCTGTCAGGGTTTGATTCAAAAGTAACATAACATCTCCCCAGGAGAGTTCAAATATTTGGGTGAAATTGTGGAAAGCCTCTATATATCTGGCAGGGTTATCTGAAAACTTACCAAGATCCCCGTTACATTGCTTTAAGTCCTGTAGAGAGAAGGGGACCTGGACTTCACTGGACCCAAATTCACTAGGCACCTGTTGGAGGGGCAAGAGTGAGACGGGTTTGTCTAAGGCAAGGATTTCTAGGAGGGGGCAAGTGAGAGGCCGAAGCTGGACAGGGAGGTTGGGGTGGACCCGGAGGAACAGGGCTGGAGGGAGCTGGCTCCTCTGCTGAAGGTGCCTCTGGGATTCGTATCTTTAGTTCCCTGGGCTTGCCCCTTGCAGCCTTCCCTGAGATGGCAAACAGGAGGGCTGGGTCCATTCTACACTGTCAGCAAAGGTCTGGATTTCCTTGCAAGTTATAGGAAGCCTGCACAGATGGGACCTTAGACCAGCTGTCCTCACATCTACAGAAAAGGTCCAACTGCTGGATGATACAGAAATGAATGGTTCCTTCCTGAGGCCAACCCAGTTCTTCATAATTTGGTCAAACCTTTGTGCAGAGGGCTATGAGGTGTTTTTCCTCCAGATTCTGAGGATCAAAGCAGTCCCAACAGTTCAGGATACATTCCAGAGGAGTATAAACTGAGGATGGAGAAGAGAGCTGGTTGCCCATTCTGAAAGACAGGGAATAAAGGTATCCCTGACTTCTCTTCCTTCTTTCAGTGAAAAACTCGGGGTGCGATGGAGACAGAAAGTGAGCATCCTCCTTTTCTCTTCCATCTTTTTATCCCCGAGTCCCAGCGACCTTGGCAGGTGCTGCGCAGGAGTGCCCATGCAACATGCACCCATGAAGCAGGGAAGGCCTAGAGAATAGGCATTATCTGCACTGACCTGTGCCTCTGTCTTCCCCTGCTGTTGACAGCCTTTGAGTTCCCTGGGCCTCATTTATGCCATGGAGCATGGCCTCCTTCCACGGGCGTGGGGTGTTCAGTTGGCAGGAATCGGACCTGTCCATTTACATTGTGCCTGTTGCCTGGCTTTGGATCCCTCAGATCTGGTTTTCCTTTCTAGGGCCTCAGCCTGAAGCTTGGAATTGAGTTTGGGACTAAAAGGTATTTTAAGGGGCTGCATGTATCTGTTTAGATTAAGGCTCAAATGGGCCCTGCCAGCAGGAGCTGCTCCTCTGTTATTTTCCCTATCAACAGCAGAGTGCAGAAGAGGGGAAACCCTCTCACTTAAAAAAGAACAGACAAAAAAGAAAAAACACAGTTTAAGGGGCAAAAGGGGAAGGTCCTGGAGGAAGAACCCCTTGCTCAGTGCAAATGGGTTCCTTCAGTCATTGTATCTTTCTCCCAGTTCAAGCCTGGCTGAACTACTTGGCCAGAGGAGGTAGAGTTACAATGGTGTGGCAGATGGAAAACGATGGCCAGCCAGCCCTGCAGGGTCCCAGCAGTGGCCGTGATTTTCTCCTGTCCCTTGTGGCCACTGGGCATGGCCGGTGCATGCTGTGGACATGCCCAGGTGCCCGAGCTGGGAGGGGAGGGGGGCACCTGTGGCTGTAGAGGTGGAGGCGGGGATCGCACCTCGAAGTAAAAACAGAAACCATATTGTTCTGATTTGCACCTTTGGTAGCTGAGCCAAACGCTCACTCCATTTAATATGATAGCCGCAGCCTGTAGCTAAACTCTTAACATTATAAAGGAAGAGATAACAGCCATTTCAAACCGTGGGTGAAAAGACACCAATCAAAGTCTGGGGGTCTTGACCGGTGTCTGTCAGAACGGTAGGGGACAGAGTTCAGCAAGGGATGCCTTTGGTTGCCCCAGGTCTTTACTCAGGTCCCATGCAGTGGTTAAACCTCCCTGAAGGGAAACACAGCCTTTTGCCCACGGGAAAGAGAGAGAAGAGGCATATCTGACAGTTTCGCATTTGTACTCACCTTCTGACGAATATCCCGGATGGGGCCCCAGTTGAAACGGGAGAGTTCCCAGATTCCCCTTGCAGGACGCATGCGACAAGGGTGTGGCCTGCTTGGTCACCCCGCAGCTCAAACCACTAGGGAGAGCATGTGGACGGGCAGATAAAGAAGCAAGTATGAGCGCTTTTGGGCTCCGGCCCACGGCAGCATCTAGGGGTGGGTGTCTGTGACTCCCAAAGCCCAAGTGGGCATGTGTTACCAAGCTCTTTCAGCTTTGCCATCTGCAGATGGCTTGTGTGTTAATCAGCTCAATGAACCCTCTGCCTTATTGCGAGGGCTGGGGGGCAGTGTGATAGCCTTCTGTATCCCGAGTCCTTGCCCAGTGTACCGGAAGAATCGGATCACACATGGGCTCAAAGGATGAGTACAAGGTTTTATTGAGTGATGGAGGTGGCTCTCAGTGGGATGGATGGGGAGCCAGAAGGGGGCAGATTGAGTGGGAAGGTGGTCTTCCCCTGGAGTCTGGCCACTCAGCGGCCAGAATCATCTCCTACCACCCCCAGCCGAAATCCTCTTGGCATCCAGATGTCCCTCCTCTTCTCTCTCTGCCACAGTGTTCCGCCATCGCTGGTCTGCTGGTCCCGACATTCAGCCACTTGTGTGTGTGCCCTCTAAGGTCTTGGGTTTACATAAGGGTAGGATGGGGGGCATGGCAGGCCAAAAGGCAACTTTTTGGGAGCAAAAACAGAAATGCCTGTCCTCATTTAGGGCCGCAGGCCTTCAGGCTTGAGGATGGGACCTTTGTCGGGGAACTGCCCTTTTCTACCCAGTATTTTCCTGTCTCCTGTCCATATCATAAGGAGACCTCAGATATCAGATGGCAAATGGAGGAGGCTACGGGATGGAGGGAAAATGCCAACTTCACCAAGAATGGGATTTCCTGGATGATTCTCAGGTGTCTCGGGAGGTTTAATGCCCTATTCTGCTGAGTGCAGCCTCCTAGGCCTTGGAAAAAGAGCCCAGTGACATCCCTGCATCCTCCTACTGCTTCCCTTTGATTCAGCTCTGTACTTAATCACTTTGATTTCTTGATAAAATTTATAAGAGCCCAACAATCTTCCTACATTTACACTGTGTCCATTTTCCTCTCCCTTCCCTCCCTAAATTATAGATCACTGGACTGAAAATAAAATTCACTTGTTTCAGATAGATGAGTCACACCATGACTAAAGTACAGAGACTCCATTCTTCCTTCATCCTGTAGCCACCTAATGGGTTCACCTTGCCCACTGCCTAGACAGAGCCAATTTATCAAGACAGAGGAATTGAAATAGAGAAAGAGTAATTCACGCAGAGCCGGCTGTGCGGGAAACCAGAGTTTTATTACTACTCAAATCAGTCTCCCTGCGCACATTTGGGGATCAGAGTTTTTAAGGATAATGTGGTGGGTGGCGAGGGCCAGTGAGACAAGAGTGCTGATTGGTTGAGTGAGAGATGAAATCGTAGGGAGTCAAAGCCGTCCTCTTGTGCTGAGTCAGTTCCTGGGTGGGGGCCACAAGATCAGAGGAGCCAGTTTGTCAATCAGGGTGGTGCCGGCTGATCTTTTTAGTGCAGAGTCAGCAAAATACCTCAAGCATTGATCTTGGGTTTTGTAATAGTGATGTTATCCCCAGGAGCAATTTAGGGAGGGTCAGAATATTGCAGCCTCCAGCTGCATGACTCCTAAATCATAATTTCTAATCTTGTGGCTAATTTGTTAGTCTTACAAAGGCAGTTTAGTTCCAGGCAAGAAGGGGGTTTGTTTTGGGAAAGGGCTGTTATCGTCTTTGTTTTAAACAATAGAGTATAAACTAATTTCCTCCCAAAGTTAGTTTGGCCTACAGTATAAACTAATTTCCTCCCAAAGTTAGTTTGGCCTACGCCCAGGAATGAACAAGGACAGCTTGGAGGTCAGGAGTTAGTTAGGTCTTTCACTGTCTCAGTTATAATTTTGCAATGGTGGTTTCAATCCCAGAACGTTCCACTGAGAGGGTAACAGCTTGATTAAAGTACAAAGACTCCTTTCTCCCACCATTCCCAGCCAGCGACCCCAGAGAATAGACAACTCGGCATAGCTTACAGACTTGTGACCAGCTAGCACCACCCTCAGGGAAGCCAGCAGCATGGGTTGGAAGGACCTCAAGTCCCCAAGAAACTAATGAACAGAGCTCCTTGGGCTTTGTTCTAATGTCCAAATTTACCACTGTGGTCCATACTGCTAAGCTGTGTCTTTCCACTCTTGCTGAGGTCTATCTGAATTTCATTCACCCCAACTTTCTTTTTTCCAGGCTCGCTCTGAGCAAATGAAATAAATATAGTCATGCATCACGTAAGGACAGGTATATGTTCTGAGAAATGTGTCATTAGGCTATTTTGTCCTTGTGTGAACATCATGGAGGTACTTACACAAACCTAGATGTATAGCCCACTGTACACCTAGGTTATAAGGTATAGCTTATGGTTCCCAGGATACAAACCCGAACAGTCTGTGGCTGTATTGAATACTGCGTGTAATTGTAGCACAATGGCACATATTTGTGTATCTAAACATATCTAAACATAGAAAAGGTAATGCCTTGTGCTTTGATGTTACCATGGCTACAATGTCACTAGATGATAGGAATTTTTCAGCTACATTATAATCTTATGGCACCGCTGTCATACATGCAGTCCATTGTTGACCAAAATGTCATTACAAGGAGCATGACTATATATATATTCCATTTTCCAGTGATTTTTTATAAGATAATTTTTTTCTTTTTTTTTTCTCAGTGGATATAATAGTGGGTCAGGAGATAAGTATCTAGGACACTTAGCACCTTGCTATTATTATCGTTGCTATTGCCTACTGAGACTGTTCAGAAAAGGTCTGGTGGTTTCAGAAATACATCCTCTTTTATGACATTTATTTTTCTGAAACTTGCATTAGTTATCTGTAGATGTTTTTAATCATCTCTTCTAGACTGTCAAAGGTCAAGTCAAACATCCTTATATCCCAGGCCATACTCTGCTGTGCACTTAGTAAGTGCTCAATTAACATCCATTGGCCGGGTGCAGTGGCTCACACCTGTAACCCCAGCACTTTGGGAAGCTGAGGTAGGTGGATTGCCTGAACTCAGGAGTTCGTGACCATCCTGGGCAACACAGTGAAACCCTGTCTCTACTAAAATACAAAAAAAAAAAAAAAAAATTAGCCAGGTGTGGCAGCGTATGCCTGTAGTCCCAGTTACTCAGGAGGCTGAGGCAGGAGAATTGCTTGAACCTGGGAGGCGGAGGTTGCAGTGAGCCGAGATCATGCCACTGCACTCCAGCCTGGGCAACAGAGCAAGACTCTGTCTCAAAAACAAACAAACAAACAAACAAAAACTGTTTCTATTCCAGGGGGAGAGGGTGTTGGTCAAATATCAGGAAGTTGCTGCCACCCAGGAACTGAAGCTCATGAGCAGATACTTACTGCTGATATTACCTGGACCACTGCTGCCACTGCAACTCCACAGATAGAATGGCTTCTGCCTTCTTACTGCTTTCTAATCTAACATGACTGCCTCCTGTTGTCAGAACCCAACTGCAACCCAGCTGCCAAGGGAGTCTGGGAAATGTGTACTGTAGGCTTCCAGCCCTAGTGGTATAACACAGAAGGTTAGTATGGAGCTGAAGGACAACAGACATCTGGGATAGATGATCAGGTGAGTGCTGATTCCACTGAACCCCCTGCAGTGGAAGAGGTATGTAGGAGAAGAGCTGATCTCCACATTAGAACTTTGCTGCAGTCCCATCTTGGGGTCTGAGGCAGGAATTGCCTAGCAGCTGTCAGTCCTGACCACTTTGGAATAGCAGAGCCAAGTGGAGGCAGAGTTCCCTAGTCCCATCAGCAGTCACTGATGCCTCCTCACATGAGAGCCTGGGACTCTAGGGTGAGTCATCACCTCTTTCCTCAGAAGTTCATCACTTCAGTTAAAAGGCAGAGAGAAAAGTGGCAGATGGGAACACAGCAGGTGCAGTAATCCCAACCTACTGAAAATGTAAGTTCAAACCATTTAGCAATTTAGACCATAATGATCTTTTACTTTGCCCCCTTTCTACTGTTTCTGAGATTGGGAAGGTTGGCATTTATGGAGTGAATCTGGGAAGAGGAAAAAGCCGGATCTGATCCCATCCATATTTATTGAGCGGAATTATCTAGTCTGGTTGTCTCTACATAGCTTTATCTCATGAGATAACAATTACTGCTTTCCTTGACACTACTCATATGGATGTGGCTTTGTGGAACCAATTGTCTCTTGCTAAAGCAGTGGTAGACGCAGGAGGAAGATAAGGGAAGGGGTACCCAGAGAACCTGCGACTGGCCTGTGCCCTGGGAGAACAGGGTGGAGCCAGGGGAAGTTTACGCTGTTTGCAGTGGGGAGGAGTCTGGCCTCTTCAGTTCCTGTGTGGTGGCCTGGGATTCAATCTGTGAGGTGGGGGGCCTGTCAGCAGGACTCCATCTCACTTTACTGGGTTTTTTTTTTTTTTCATTTTTTCCCTTTTCACCCAATAAAATCCTGCTCTACTCACCCTTCAATGTGTCCACGTGCCTAAATTTTCCTCATCGTGGGACAACCACCTGGTTTTAGCTGAACTAAGGAATAAAGTTCTGCAACAGTGGGGCAGGGAAAGCAGAACTAGGTATGGTTGCTCTGGCATTGACAGCAGAGATAGTTTTCCCTCTCTGTGTCTGCCTGTTGCCAAGCCTTGAACATAGGCTACAGAGCCCAAAGAGATTATGACAGAGCCTGGAGCAGTATGTGACCAAGACACCCTTATTTGTCTTTGGCATACACCATTTTTGAAATAAATGAATAAAAAGAGATTTGAATTCCCCTCCCTTAACCAGAAATGTTTTACTCTGGTCTGTCAAGAGAGAAAAAAAATGTGTAGGCCAGGTGCAGTGGCTCACGCCTGTAATCCCAGCACTTTGGGAGGCCGAGGCGGGCAGATCACAGGTTCAGGAGATCGAGACCATCCTGGCTAACAAGGTGAAACCCCGTCTCTACTAAAAATACAAAAAATTAGCCAGGAGTGGTGGCAGGTGCCTGTAGTCCCAGCAACTTGAGAGGCTGAGGCAAGAGAATGGCATGAACCCAGGAGGCGGAGCTTGCAGTGAGCCGAGATCGCACCACTGCACTCCAGCCTGGGCGACAGAGTGAGACTCCGTCTCAAAAAAAAAGATGTGTAAATTTCCTTGGCAGTGTCTTTAGTCTACGTGGAATTGATTTTTGTGTGTGGTGTGAGATACGAATACAGTTTATTTCTTTTTCTTTTACACACAGAGATCCAATTGTCTCAGACAATTTATTGAAAAATGCATCTCTTTTCACTGATCTGAAATAACCGCCTCTGCTGTATATTGTGTTTGTGATTGTGTAGGCCTACTTCTAGGCTTTCTATTCTGTTCCATTAATCTCTTTATCTGTAGTACAATACCATACTGTCTCAATTACTATACCTTTATATTGACTTTTCATCTGGTAGAGCAGTTCTCCTTGCCTTGTTTTCCTTTGGGAGTAATTTTGATATTCTTGTCCATTTGCATTTCCTTATAAATTTTAGAAGCAGCTTCTCAGATTCCACAAAATGCTTCTTGGGGTTTTGATTGGGTTTGCATTGAATCTATAGATCACTTGGGGAAGAAGTGACATCTTTACAATATTAGTCTTCTAACCCATGAATATGGTATATTTCTCATTTCATTTAGATCTTTAATATTTCCTAATAGTTTTATAATTTTTTCCATAGAAAATCAAAACATTCTATTTTCCTTAATGTTCCCTGAAGTTGAGGTATACTTCCTATTCACCTTTACGTTAAAGGAATAAATTCTTTGGGTGGGGGCTCCATATCGTTTCACTCCAGAAAGCACCATATTCACATTTTCAGTGAACATGTTGTAGACTACAGTATGAATGGAGGTGCTTTCTATTGTTCTATTGTTGGGCAACATGGTGGTACTGCCTGCAGGGTCCCAGTGTTATAGAAGAAGGGTTTCCTATTAAATGTTCCACTTTGTGTGTGCCCTGATCATAGTCATCTCTTCTTTGCACTCCTTGAGACAAGAAGTTCAAAAAATTAGGTAATGTTGTTATAACAAAACTTCTTTCATTACTATTTACTTATTTATGTGGATAATTTTTCTCAACACTTTCATCTACAAAAATGAAAAATAGGGATAATTGATGTTCAACGTGTCTCATTTTAGCAATAAATACTAGTCATCCATGGATACATAGACTATTAAAAAAGCCCATCCAACTTATAAGCAATGTGTTTTAATTTTTAAAATCTGTAATAAATTTATGTAGTTTTGATCAACTGGGTATGACTAATTATTATAATGATAACTTAATCTAGAAGAACAATTATTTAACACTTGGAGCCTTTTGATCACAGAAAATTAAACACTTATTTTAATTTTCAATATATCTATATTTGTATATACCTATGTACACATACATATGTAAACACATATTTTTGCTTTCGTAGAAGTATGATAGGATGATTAATAAAAGGTTTTTAAACCTAAAATATATTACATTAGCATAACATTTCGTGGAGGAGGTGAAATAGAATTATGACTTCTAGGAGAGAAAGGAATAATATAACATATCCAGCTGTTAAAGAAGAGCTTGTTCGAGTATTTACAAAAATTGACAATGGTGGATATTAAACCACTACAGAATTTAGTGGTGGATATTAATCACTACAGAATTTAGCAACCATTGGATACATTTGATAAAATAATGTATATTTCATTTTAAAATTTCAATTTTAAAATGTTGGAAATTGTATCCTGTGATGGAAATTTCTGGCTGTCCCCCAAAATCTATTCTCTCCATTATAGTAACTGATATACTGCTACCCAAGTAGGGACTAAATTTCCTAGTCTCCCTTTGTTACCAATGGAAGGCGTCCAGGTTCTTGGCATTTTGAACAAAGAATTGGACAAAATACACAAACAAAGCAAGGAAAGAATGAAGCAACAAAAGCAGAGATTTCTTGAAAATGAAAGCACACTCCACAGGATGGGAATGGGCCTCAGCAAGCGTCTCAAGGGCTTGGTTACAGAATTTTCTGGGGTTTAAATACCCTCTAGAGGTTTCCATTGGTTACTGAGTGTACACACTATGTAAATGAAGAGGATGAAGTAAAGTTACAATGTCATTTACTTGGTGTACAACCTATGTAAATGAAGAGGATAGTTCCTGTCATAGCTGACTTGGTCTTAGACAGTTGGGGTTTTTCCGTTTAATTTAGTTCTAGGAAGTCCTTAGGTTCCCTGACCCCGGACCCTATTCTCCTGCCTCATTTCCCCCCTGAGAGACATGATCCCCATAAATCTTCATGGGACGCAGAGGGACCGATCGTCTTTCTTCTGCAACTGCTTCATGCTGGTTTGGAGCGTAGTCCCTACCTACTGGGGATCAGGGAACTCTCACCCTGCTCTGTCTAGTGGAGATAGGGTAGCTCCTTGATGGCCAGGGGTGGTGTCTTCACCTGGAACTGGTGATCATCTGAAGCTTGATGGTCTCCAGGCAAGAGGAAAGCAATTTGGTTAAAAGATTTAATGGGGGCCAGGCACGGTGGCTCATGCCTGTAATCCCAGCACTTTGGGAGGCCGAGGCAGGCGGATCACCTGAGGTCAGGAGTTCGAGACCAGCCTGACCAACATGATGAAACCCCATCTCCACTAAAAATACAAAAAATTAGCTGGGCGTGGTGGCGGGCGCCTGTAACCCCAGCTACTCAGGAGGCTGAGGCAGGAGAATTGCTTGAACCCAGGAGGTAGAGGTTGCAGTGAGCCAAGATTGTGCCACTGCACTCCAGCCTGGGCAACAAGAGTGAAACTCTGTCTCAGGAAAAACAAAACAAAAAAAAGATTTAATGGGAACTTCAGGGGTTGGATACCTATGCTGTCAGGAATGTTTGTTATAGAGATTTGCAGGAGAAAAACAACCTGGTCTGTTCTAGGATCTAAGTGTTTCCTTAAAGTCTTAGCACAAGTGACTCCACTTTGGTTTGGTTTGTTGGGGCCTAATGCATGAGCTCAGTACAAAACAATGGCCTCCCAGAATTTTGTTTCAAAAAAATTGCCCCTTTTTGGTCTGATTCTCACTTGGGTGAGAGTGTGACCAAAACTTAGGGCCTTAGCATCACTCTCAGTTACCATCGTTTTGGGTTTCTCAACTCAGCATGTCATTCATAGGTTACAGCGTCCTCCTGGTCACACATTTCTTTCAGCTCTTGTCATTCCAGTTGAAGAAAGACCAATTTGACATTCTAGACATCTCTAGAATGCATACAAACATTTAAAACCTTTGAGAAAATACAGCTAACAAGGTAGACTATTATTATGACTATCAGGAGGATAATAATAAGAGTTTGGAGTTTGATCCTTACCCAGGGTCCCCATAATCCAAACCATCTAAAATCAAATAGATCAAAGAACGAGCTAGATAAAGAGTCTACTCACTTAACTAAGCAATCTCTTCATTAATCCCCTACCACTGAATCTCTATCATTTTCATTTGATGTATTTCTCCATAGGCCACAAGTGCCAGCAGCTGCACAGATACTTCTTTATTCAGCCAATTCTATCATAACTTTCACAAAAGAATTTAAAGTCTGTTGTGTAACTATAGCCTTTACGGTAGATGTTCTCAGAAGATCCACTCTTTGGGTTTGAGATTGTGAAGGGGTTGATTGTCCTCCATGAACCATAAAAACCTTTGTTTACCTGGTGAAAATACAAAGTAGCATAATAATCTACTGTTATAACATCAGCCAGAGCGAGACTCCATCTCAAAAAAAAAAACAAAAAAAAAAAAGAAAAAAAAAAACAGAAAATGACAGTTGAATGAAATCCCTTTGTAAATGTTTAAGTGGCCCACCCATCAGATAGCCAAATGTACCTGAAGCTTTGATTGTCTTCCCAGGAATATGGATTTGACAAACCAAACATTGGTTATAAACTATTTTAGTCTGCGTATGGTGGCTCACACCTGTAGTCCCAGCACTTTGGGAGGCCAAGGTGAGTGGATCACTTGAGGTCAGGAGTTCGAGACCAGCATGGCCAACATGGTGAAATGCTGTCTCTACTAAAAATACAAAAATTAGCTGGGTATGGTGGCACATGCCTGTAATCTCAGCTACTCAGGAGGCTGAGGCAGGAGAATCACTTGAACCTGGGAGGTGGAGGTTGCATTAAGCTGGGATCATGCCATTGCACTCCAGCCTGGCAACACAGTGAGACTTCACCCCCCAACCAAAACAAAAAACTATTTTGGCAACTTATACGTCACCACACCAATATGTATTTAATTTGGAACCTTTAATAACAAAAGTTTCAGTGGCTGTCCTGGTTCTCCATGAATCTATGCTTAACATTGGACTTATGTTCACTTGAATCACTTGCTAAAATATAACCTGAAGAAGATTAAATATTATTTTTTATTTTGACAATGCTTCCCATGTAACTTAACATGTCAAATAATCCTGCTTACCTCTCTTTTGGATGCTTCAGGGGCCCTCTGTAGCATCTCAAAGTTAGAGGTCAGAAAATACAATCTTGAAGCTGAAATTTGATTTTGGGAAGCCTATTAAATATGTTAAATGTTTAAAATACTTCATATTATGACATATTGAGATGAATTAAGAATATTCACAAATAGTTTACAAATTTTGGAGAAATTAGGCAGAGAAAGAGAAATATGACACAACTTCTATTTACAAAAGTATACTTAATCCTTAAGTCCAGCATTATCACCATACATCCTGTGCAATCAAGAAATTCACTCTAGGCACATGACCAATAAGTACTACAGTGCCAGCACTATCCATGCAAAACAGTAAACATAGTGTGAAGCAATGCAAGCATGTATGTGAAATTTGGCTCCACACTTAGTGGAGCTGGCTTCATGCTTAACTATATTAAAAAAAGAATTGCCAAACTGATGATGCATTTCTTTACAATATTTCTTGTTTTACTTTAATCAAGACTAAGAGGTTTAACTATGAAAATGTTAATTAGCCAAATGTCTCCAATTCTCTATCAGGTTTTAAGGAATATTTTATTATCTAAACTTTTTCCATAATTTTAGAAACATATTTCCCCATATCGTAACCCTTTTTTTATTGGAAATTACCTAGATATTCAATGAGCATCAAAAATAGTTTCAAGATTATAACTTACACAAAAAGTTTACCTAAAACATTTATCTCATTTACCATACTCAATTCTTTCATTTTTAACAGTTTATCTAGATTACTTCTATAAACTGAAATATTAGACACTATCATTGTTTTTAATAGCCATTGAACATCAGGTGCTCACCTAATCCTAAGTAAGAGTCTCAAAGTTAAATACATAGGTATTTTTGCCAGTAACTCAGAAGATTTAGCTAACATTAAATTACTCTCATTTGTCAAAAAAAAAAAAAAAGGGCATGCAAACCAAGATAATTTCATTTTGACTGGGTTAGTAGCTTTATAACCTTCTATGCCCAACATTGACATCTCAAAACACCTAGCAAAGACAAACATAAAATCCAGACAAAAATGTATGCTGACAATTCTGTAGGTATTTCTATTTTTATTTTACCAATAATTTTAAAACCAGCTTGTTTAGTAAAGTTATACTTAAGTCACATGAACTTGAAAATTGCTTAGACTTATTTACTTAATTTATGAGTACTCTTACTTATAAGCCAATTTGGTAGATGCAATATATAACAATAAGTATACATACAACTAAACACATCTAGACATGTATACACACACACACAAATGAAGATCCAATAGCTTTTACCTTTGAACTCTAGCCATGAGATAGCAATACAGGCTTAACAGTTTTACTTTGTTTGCCCTAATAGATAATCCAATAAAGGCTCTGAACCAAAATTTTGGGTAAAGCAGTTTCCATGGCAGTTTCATTTGTAAAGGCCAAACCTCCCCAGACTGCAAAGAACACTGGGGACAAATAGTACCAAAGGAGAGCATCACACATAAACCAGGCCCTGCTTAGAACAGCAGCACAAAAGCCTGGATACATGCAACTCCATCCCACTTTCCATTCAACAGCAAATTCCAGATTCTAAACAATATGGGAGCCAAACAATATTGCAACTGTGAGAGAAAATTCTAAGGAGGGCTTAGTACTAGGCCTCAGAATCTCTGCCGAGGGCATCCTCTTTGGGGAGGTTGAGATCTGGAGGATCCCCTGGGGTGTCCCCCTTTGGGGTCCAATTTTCTAGTGTCAGAAATCTCTAACCTTAGGTGGGGTGGGCACTGGTGCCACTTTGCATGCATTCCCTCCAGAGGCAACGGCCTACTATGAGCTTTCCTTTGGTTCCTGGGTGTAATCCCGACTTTTAGCATCCTTATAATTTGATAAGGCCACACTTTCCCGTGTTTCCCATTCACTAGAGTGATAGCCATGAACTGTAATGACAGGAATTGGAGGCTGGGTAAGTTTCCTTTGTCCTTAGCCAACTGAGTAGCCGAAGGGAAGAATTTAGCGTAAGAAAAGAAGGTTTAAGTCACCTGAAATGCGTGTGAGGTCCCCCTGGGGGAGCGACTCCACAAGTAGGGATCAGGGACCAAAACTGGAAAAGTCAGAAAAGAGTCCTTCCCCTTTCTGGGCAGGGCAACTACCCTGTTTCACTCCTTGGCCTTCAGGCAACACTGGAGAGTGGCCCCAGCCAGAAACCTGCAGTTGCCTCCATGTTTAGGCGCTGCCCACCAAGGGTCCTGAGTTGGAAAGGAAGAGAGAGAGAGAGTTTCCCTTGTACAGAGCAGAAAGAAAGAGGAGAAAAATAAATCCCAAACTTTGGGCTTATCTCCTGGCTGGCTCACTAAAATATGTACCAGTGGAGGGTGTCCAGGTTCTTGGCGTTTTTAACAAAGAATTGGACAATACACACAAACAAAGCAAGGAAAGAATGAAGCAACAAAAGCAGAGATTTATTGAAAATGAAAGCACACTTCACAGGATGGGACTGGGTCTAAGCAAGCAGCTCAAGGGCCTAGTTACGGAATTCTCTGGGATTTAAATACCCTCTAGAGGTTTCCACTGGTTACTTGGTATACGCCCTATGTCAATGAAGAGGATGAAGTAAGTTACAAAGTCATTTACTCCGTGTATGCCCCCTATGTAAATAAAGAGGATATTTCCTGTCGTAGCTGACTTAGTCTTAGAGAGTTGGAGTTTTTCCATTTAATTTAGTTCTAGGAATTCCTTAGATTCCCTGCCCCCAGTCCCTATTCTCCTGCCTCACCTTGAAACTAGATGTTGAAAAAGAAAAGAAACTTTTTATCTGAGGAATATGAGCCCCTTTAAATTATCAAGTCCAGAGAGGCAGTGAAATATGACAGTAGTCACATCTCACTCTGTTTGAGATAAGTAATCACCTCTTGAAGTCACTTGCTATGTGGGTTCTAGACTGACGGATGCCAAGTAGCCATAAATTAACCTAACAATGCCATATTCTGGACACCATAACTCATACCTTGTAGTTCAACAATGTATAGCTAATTACTAATCAATGTTATTTCTGTAAACCAATGAGATTCCTATCAAACAACTTTATATCAACCCACTCTTTGTTTCCTTTTGCCTTTAAAATCCTACTTGTAACAAAATCGAAACAGAGTACTTCCCAGTGTTTCCTGGGCCGCAGTCCCCAACCTTGGCCCAAATAGACTCTCTACTTGTATTAATTTTGCTTGAGTTTATTTCTTTAGGTCAACAATGTGACCATAGGTCTGAGTTCTCATCAGTAGAATTTGAGCAGAAATAATGAGTACAAGTCTATTGCTTAAGAGACAGTTCCTGGCCCTGGATGATTCCTCCTTCTCCTGTTCCACTGGCTAGAATGAAAATGACTACAGTGACCTTGGAATTCTCATATTAAACATGGCAGATCTGTCAGAAGCCTGGATCACTGTCTGACTATGTGGAAACCTAGAAGCCTCAGGTTACAATGTGACATGAGAGAAACAGACTTCTCTGTTTTTTAAGCCTCTAAATTTGATAGAGCCTTTTTGTTACAGCAGCTAGGCCTGCCTTAACTACCACGACAGTTAGTACCATGAAAGTGGAGCACTACTATAACAAAAACCTAAATTTTATAGCACTTGCTTAATTCTCAGGCAGTGAGTGATGAAGAAATAGTGTGAGCCAGAAAGCTGGGAACCTCAAGATAACTGGTAAAACTGTTACCTATATTATTTAATAACTTAGAAGACAGACCACATGCCTACCAGTAGCTCTCTGGTAAGATCCTGAATGCTAACTGGTAGTGGTTTAGCAAGGTATTACAAGAAAGAGATAAGCTCAGGCAAGAATTGGTCAGTTTGCAAACAGAAGTGAAAGAGAATACAGAGAATCTTTATATTAAAAGCCTGACGGGATTGGAAAATCTAATTGTTTCTGGACCCAAGAGGTAAGCCTCTTATTCAAAGTTTATTTCAATACGTAAGCAAAATATTTATGGGGAAAAAAAAGAAAACAAAGTTCATTAGGTTGGTGCAAACGTAATCACGGTTTTTGCATTGTTGAAATTTGCCATTTGATATTGGAATACATTCTTAAATAAATGTGGTTATGTTACACATCATTTTAAGGCACTTTTTTTTGCTTTTTTTGGTAATGACTTACTGATTGCTGTTTATTTAATATTTATTTTAGACTATGAAAATGATGTTAGACAAAAAGCAAATTCGAGCAATTTTATTCAAATGGGTCATAAAGCAGTGGAGACAACTCACATCAACAACGCATTTGGCCTAGGAACTGCTAAGGAATGTATAGTGCAGTGGTGGTTCAAGAAGTTTTGCAAAGGAGACAAGAGCCTTGAAGATGAGGCACATAGTCACCAGCTATTGGAAGTTGAGAACAAATTGAGAGCAATCATCGAAGCCGATCCTCTTACAAACTACACAAGAAGTTGCCAAAGAACTCAACATCGACCATTCTATGGTCGTTTGGCATTTGAAACAAATTGGAAAGGTGAAAAAGCTCAATAAGTGGGTGCCTCATGAGCTGAGTGAAAAAAAAATCGTCGTTGTGAAATGTCATCTTCTCTTATTCTATGCAACAATGAACCATTTCTTGACCCGATTGTGATGTGCGACAAAAAGTGGATTTTATACGACAACCAGTGATGACAGCTCAGTGGTTGGACCAAAAAGAAGCTTCAAAACACTTCCCAAAGCCAAACTTGCACCAAAAAAAGGTCATGGTCTCTGTTTGGTGGTCTGCCGCTGGTCTGATCCACTACAGCTTTCTGAATCCTGGCAAAACGATTACATCTGAGAAGTATGCTCAGCAAATTGATGAGATGGACTGAAAACTGCAATGCCTGCAGCTGGCATTCGTCAACAGAAAGGGCCCAATTCTCCACAACAACACCCGACTGCACATCACACAACCAATGCTTCAAAAGTTGAATGAATTGGGCTATGAAGTTTTGCCTCATCTGCCATATTCACCTGACCTCTCACCAACTGACTGCTATTTCTTCAAGCATCTCAACAACTTTTGGCAGGGAAAATGCTTCCACAACCAGCAGGATGCAGAAAATACTTTCCAAGAGTTTGTCAGATCCTGAAGCATGGATTTTTATGCTACAGGAAAGAACAAACTTCTTTCTCGTTGGCAAAAAGGTGTTGATTGTAATGGTTCTTATTTTGATGAACAAAAATGTGTTTGAGCCTAGTTATAATGATTTAAAATTCATGGTCTGAAACCACAATTTGCATCAACCTAATATTTCAAGACTCATTGAAACCTCCATGTCAAGCTTAAGACAAACAATGGATCCAGCACTGAGGTAAGAATCAGATTATGATAATCACCCCTCCCCCCACAGAGTCTATTGTTTCATATCACATCAAGTTAGCTGCCTTTAATAAGAGATGAGAGTCATGGAAACAATAAGGAAGCAAAGAGTAAAGCAGATCTAAGAATTATGTCCAGGAAATTACTTTGATTGTGGATCCTGCCATATAAAAGTGACTGGAAGCAAACTAAATGGACACCTACTTTCATATTTCATCAATTTTAAGACACACTTTTTTTACATTTTAACATTCTAGAAAACAGGAGTATTTTACAAGTGATGGTGAATTACAATCCCTGTTCGTCAAGCATCTGTCCTGATGTATTTGTTGAAACATACAGGAATTTAGCCATAGCAATTCATATTGTCATCACTTAAGTTGAATTATATGTACTGTTGGCTGGGCACAGTGGCTCTCACCTGTAATCCCAGCACTTTGGGAGGCCGAGGCGTGTGGATCACTTGAGGTCAGGAGTTCGAGACCAGTCTGGCCCACATGGTGAAACCCCATCTCTTCTAAAAATACAAAAATTAACTGGGTGTGGTGGCACACAACCTGTAGTCCCAGCTACTCGGGAGGCTGAGGCAGGAGAATCACTTGAACCCGGGAGGCAGAGGTTGCAGTGAGCCAAGACTGCATCACTGCACTCCAGCCTGGGCGCCAGAGTGAGACTCTGTCTCAAAAAAAAAAAAATTATATGTACTGTTGATACAATACATGTTCAGTTGCCATTTTAAATATTTTCAAAAACATTACACCATCATTTGGCATTGAAATGAAAATGTACTGTATTTGCAAAAAGGTGCAGAACAGCAAGGCATGAATTTTATATTAGTAACAGTTCATATTTTCTCGGTAGGATCAAAAAAGTGTCAGCATCAAAACTTGCAAAGTAAGTACCAATGGCTGGGGAAATCACAGAGACAATAGTGGAACATTATTAATTCAGCACTGCCAACTCTACATGGCACAGAGGATGGTAATATTTGAGAAAACTTGGAACAGCAAGGACCGAGTTGTGAAAATCATACAGCTCCCATGAAGGTTATTTCCTCAACTCCTTCTTCACATGTAATGATGGGGAATAATGGACAAAGAAGAACATCCCAGAGAGCAAAGCCAGGCTCCCCAGAGGATAGTGGTCAAGATAATTTTTTTTTCCATCAGCAGAATCCAGGACAGTCAGATAATCTGGTCAAGGAATTTAATCTACTGTCAGGGCTGGGAGTCTTTGCATTTCCTGCTAAGTGGGCTTAACAATCACTATGGACCAATGACTACTAGTGTTTCTAATTCTTCTTTTTCCAAATAGGACTTTC
Source organism: Homo sapiens (assembly GCF_000001405.40). Lineage (NCBI taxonomy): Eukaryota > Metazoa > Chordata > Mammalia > Primates > Hominidae > Homo > Homo sapiens. Next base: position 40,821,698 of record NC_000023.11, read on the forward strand.
CTTATGGTTATCCTCTCCCACATCACCACTGGATATTGGGGAGGGAGGGAACAAATAACTAGTCTTTAAGTTTGTAGATCTACGGACCACGAGGAGAGCCACACTCACTAAAACCCAGTCTCCCTTCTTCCATAACAATAGAGTTGTAGCTCAGATGTGGCTGCCCAGCCTGCAACTATAATTCCCAGCCTCCGTTGCAGGAAAGCCATGGTCATGTGACAAAGATTTCTCCAAGGGAATGTGAGCGGAAGTGATATAGCAACTTGAGCTTCCCTTGCTTAAGAGAAATTCCCTGGCCATGGGATTCTGCTCTTTCTTTCTGCTGTCTAGAATAGTAACCACTAGAGTGATCTTAGAAGTCACATGTTGAGGATGAACCAGTCTGAAAGTTGAAACCATTATATAAGAGATTGAAACTGCTGTTGCAAAATTATAACTGAGAAAATTATTACAATAAAAGAGATCTGACCTAACCAACTCCATCTTGCTTCTAACCTCCAAGCTGTCCTTGCTCATTCCTGTGTGTAGGCCAATCTAACTTTGGGCGGAACTTATAGTTTAACTTTGATACAAAGATGGTAACAGTCTTTTTCCAAAACAAACCACCTTTCTACCTGCGGACTAGACTGCCTTCATAGGACTAACAAATTAGTCACAAGATTAGAAATTATGGTTTAGAAGTCATGCAGCTGGAGGCTACAAGATTCTGACCCTCCCTAAATTGCTCCTGGGGTTAACATCACTATTGTAAAACCTAAGATCAGTGCTTCAGATATTTTGCAGACCCTGCACTTGATTGATCAGCTGGCACCACCCAGATTGATAAGCTGGCTCATCTGATCTTGTAGCCCCCACCCAGGAACTGACTCAGCGCAAGGGGACAGTTTTGACTCCCTAAGATTTCATCTCTGACCCAACCAATCAGCACTCCCAACTCACTGGCCCCTACCTACCAAATTGTCCTTAAAAACCCTGATCCCCAGCCAGGTGCAGTGGCTCATTTCTGTAATCCCAGCACTTTGGGAGGCTGAGGCAGGCAGATCTCTTGAGCCCAGGAGTTCGAGACCAGCCTGGGCAACATGGTGAAACCCTGTCTCTGCAAAAAATATGAACACTAGCCGGGCATAGTGGTGCACACCTGTAGTCCAAGCTATTCAGGAGGCTGTGGCGGGAGGATAGCTTGAGCCTGGGAGGTAGAGGTTGCTGTGAGCTGAGATCACACCACTGCACTCCAGCCTGGATGACAGAGTAAGACCCTGTCCCTGTCTCAAAAACAACAACAAAAAGCCTAATCCCTACTGATTTGAGTCCTAACAAAACTTCAATCTCCCATACAGCTGGCTCTGTATGAATTAAACTTTCCTGCAATTCCCATGTCTTGATAAATTGGCCGTGTCTAGCCAGTGGACAAGGAGAACCTATTGGGCTCTGTATAAAGTGAAGTAGAGGTTCCTCTTCAAAGACTTTCCTCCCCATTTAATTAGGAATAAATAGTAACTTCTCTTAGAAGCAAAATTTATTCAAAGACCTCTGCTAACATTCTTAAATATCTGCTAGCCATGGTAAAGAAATCAATATACTTTATGTTCTTAGCTCCCACAATTTAGCCTAAGTATTTGTCCTGGCATGCTTATACTGGTCCAAGCAAGCGTTAGGTCATAGCCTGTTCCTCTTCCTTATTTGAAGGTGTTTTTACTTTTCTCAGCATTCCACAAGTTACTTCCTCCTTCCTTTGTTCTCCTCTGCCTTTGCCTCTTTTAAAAAGTTCTGAGTTGCTAGCCAATCGGGACAAATACAGAGTGTAAGGTCCCGTTCCAGCCAATGGAAACCGGACACAGCAGTAGCGTGGACATGGCAGGTTATAAATGTTTGGTGTACTCTCGTGGCAAAACTGCTGGCAAGTGTACCCTTTCTGCAAGAAGTAAAAATGGCCTTGCTGAGAAAATTAAATTTATGTTCAAGTGCTATTTCTTTATGGCACCGGGGAAAAAGCATTTCAAAGAGACTCCTTAGGCCCATCCTGGGACTATATTAACTTCTTTATTCTTTAAACTACTAAATGTTGGGGACCTCTTTGTTATAACATGTAGCCTTTCACCATAACTAACATACATAATTAGCAACTGTTTAAAGTTATAATGAAAAATATGAGAAAACTTCCAAATGTATGAAAAGGTAAATAGTTTGTTTAAAAACGCTTTTTTCTTTTAAGGAGTCATAAACGAAAAAAGTTTAGACTCCTAGAATAGTTTACACTTGATTGTCTATACTTCTTCACCTTCTAGTCACTCACCAACCTATTGTACCTTGCTCCCTCCCTCTCCAGAAAGAGAAGATGGAGATTCCAAAGAGGTTGATATATCAATCACTTGCTCTGCCCAGAGCAACCTCTAGATATATCCATTGACTTCTCTGCCCATAGTCCCTTCTAAGGGAACCTACCCCACCTTCAGCTCCTATTGAGACAGCTTCCTATTTTGTTCCATATGACCTAGTGTGCCCCCTTCCCTACCACCAACCATGATGATAGCAGACTTGGCCAGGGTGGGCACCTGACCAATGAGTGATAGTCAATCCATAGGTAGACCAGGAACCTATGATGTAGCCTGGCCCAAAAGCCAAACTGGCTTTATCATATTACCTCTCTTGGGTATCTGAACTGGAAAACATGAAACAGATGGCAAAGGAAGCTAAAGATGAGCACATGTTTAGAGAAAGGCCATGAATTACTGCTGGGACCATTAAGGGTCAGAACAAACTCAGATTACAAAGAAGCATAAACTGTGAATTGGCAAAAGCTAGGAGTTAGAGCTATGCAGAAAAGAAGAAAGGAGTAAACCAGAGAAGGCATTCTGTTTCATGCCAGTTATTTTTATTTTTCAGTATTTTTGGGGTTTTTTGTTTTGTTTTGTTTTGTTTTGAGACAGAGTCTTGCTCTGTCACCCAGGCTGGAGTGTAGTGGTGGGATCTTGGCTCACTGCAACCTCTGCCTCCCAGATTCAAGTGATTCTTCTGGCTCAGCCTCCCAAATAGCTGGGATTACAGGTATGTGCCAACACACCCGGCTAATTTTTGTATTTTTAGTAGATACAGGGTTTTGCCATGTTGGCCAGGCTGGACTCAAACTCCTGACCTCAGGTGATCTGCCCGCCTCAGCCTCCCAAAGTGCTGGGATTACAGGTGTGAGCCTCCGCACCCAGCCACAAGCCAGTTATTTTTAAAAACCTTCAACTACAAATATATGGGAATTCTGGATAAACATAACAAATATCCCTTAAAATGCATAGCAGAGGTGAAATAATTAAATGTGAGGGGAGACAGGACAAAAAGAAAGTTGAAACCAAGTTGGCAAACTTGCATTCATATTTTGGCTGCCCTGGGGTAAAAGCAAACAAGAAGCAACGCAGAGATGAGAGATAAAAGGTCCCTCACTGAAAGGATGAATTATTATTCTACTCACCAGCAAGGGACATGATGAAGATACTTGTCAATACAAGCTAGACAATTTTTGCCCTTCCTCCTGCAAGTAGAACCTACATCAGTTGGGGAACACAGATGAACAGTGTCTCCAATGTGGCCTTCTGGGCAGGTGATACACCTTAGAGTTCTGGGTTCTGTCTGAATAATTGAGTCTGGTCCTCATTTTTGGAGAGCTTGACTGTAGGGCAGTCAATCCAGCCTATTCTATTTGTCCACACCACCAGCTTGAGGGCATGTGTCACCTCATGGAATGACCGAGAGACAGCTATAAGAATGGGATTGGGGAAGACATCTGAAGATGCTGACAGGTGGTTTGTGTGAAAGTTAGCTCTTTGTGTTAAAGTCAGCTCTTCCACTGTTTCTGATAGACTTCTCAGTAGGACAAAGGACAATGGTGACCAAATTGTAGTTAAAGCTGTCTAGCAGAGGACAGCAGACATAGAAGTCAGTTTAATTTAAAGTGTACAAGCAAAACAGTTATGGAGAGCCACACCAGGGAATTTTTCCTTCAAGAGGAAGGCTCCAGGGGTGTCTCTAAAAGATGAAAGATCATTAATGTTCCTCCTTCCCCTGTTCGCCTTGGCATCTGGGGTGTTTCCTCCCCAGGCACTGGCATTGTTGTTCTCCCTCCACCTCCATAAAATTGGTGTGGCCTATTCCAGCAGTTATAACTTCACCCTTTCCCAGTCATCCATTACGCATATCCAGACCTTTTGTCCACAAAGGTCAGATGCAAGAGGGACAAGGATATTTTAATAAAACTTATAGAGACCCAGTATGTTCCCCCACTTTGGCCCTCCCATGTGGGTCATTGTAGGGTGGGGGGCCGGTGAGCAGTGTACTCAACCAAGTGGTCATTATCCTTATGATCTAGATGATGGCAGTCCAGCAAGAGAATCCAGATGGCTGAACTAGAATTAAGTTTCAATACTCTAGGTCCATTTTGAGCTGAGCTGCCATACAGAGAGTAAACCAACCAGGCTGGCTTGGGTTTCCCTTAAGGGAAAGAAAGAAGCAGCATGCCTAGAAATGATTACAAAAGTATTGAATTTTCAAAATAGATCTCTATAAACCTGACCCCTTTGTCCTGATCATTACTTAGGCAATAGCTGAGAAGGGACAGTTTTTTTTTTTTCTGGGGACAACTGCATTCAATGACAAATTGCCTTATTAAGGCATGTAGACCAGGAGGAGGTGAGGGAAGTAGAGTCAGAAACCTTTTTTTTTTTTTTTTGAGATGGAGTCTCGCTCTGTTGCCAGGCTGGAGTGCAGTGGCGTGATCTCGTGATCTCAGCTCACTGCAATCTCTGCCTCCCAGGTTCAAGCGATTCTCCTGCCTCGGCCTCCCGAGTAGCCGAGATTATAGGCGTGTGCCACCATACCCAGCTAATTTTTTTGTATTCTTAGTAGAGACGGGGTTTCACCATGTTGGCCAGGATGGTCTCGATCTCCTGACCTCGTGATCCACCCGCCACAGCTTCCCAAAGTGCTGGGATTACAGGCGTGAGTCACCATGCCCGGCCAGAAATCTTTTAAAGTAGATTTTGGAGGAGGTTGATCAGACTCAACAATACCAGATGCCTTTGGATGGTAGGGAGCATGGAAGGTCCATTGAATACCTTGACAATCAGCCCATTGTGTGTGGCTTTTGCAATAAAAGGGGCATTATTGTCGGCCTGCAAATGGTCTGGGAAGCTGATCACATGACATAGATTAGTTTCAAGGGTCACAGTGATCTGTTTGGACTCTGCTGATCAGACTGGAATAGCAACACAGTAACCTGAAAAAGTGTCAACAGCAGTGAGGCCCTGCTGATAGGCCCAAGAGGGGATCAAAGGTCCAATGTGGTGCGGTCAATCTTGCAGGAGCAGTGCCCTGTGCAATGTGGGCTCCTTTGCTATGAGACAGGAGTCCCAAGTCTGGTATGCCACGATAGCCTCGGCATCAGAAACATAAAGTCCTTCATTTTGTGCCTAGTTTATGAGGGTGGCTGTCTTGCCGTGTCTAGTCCAGGCAGCAATGATGGTAATCTGGGCAGTGCAGGTTTGATTAGCAGCTTGCTTGGTCTCATCAGAGAACAGGCCTTTCCATGGGCATCTACATGAGTGACCCAGATGGTTTGATCAGCCAGCCATTTGTTTCCACAGTACATGGCCCCAGAGAAAGATGTCTTTAAACTGTCAGGCTATCATTTTCCATGTGGCAAACCAAACAAATAGGCCATCGGCAATAGTCAAGAAGTCAGTAAAACCATAACAAGGTTCATCAAAGGAAGTATTGGTCGGAGCTATGAGAATGGCCTTGACTCTGCCCATTAAGTGGAGCCACATTCATTTTTGCTTCTGCATAGCTGGTGGTGAGGTCGAATAGCTGCAGCATTCCAGTAGACACTACTGGGTTTCAGTTTAGTTGAACCATCAGTGAACCAGGCCCAGGCATTAGAGAAACTTCTGTGAATCAACGGTCCCATGGAGTCAGTGGTTTTGCTTCAGGCAACCAAGTGGGGGATAATTGAATGGGGATAACTGTTACTTTTTCATCTAAGTCAAGATGCTGCTTGGACCAGGTCAGCTGCTTTCTTGAATACATTTCCTTTTGACAAGGGAAGCTTATTGGGCCCATTCCGACCTGTTAGTCACTGAGTTTGAGTTAACCCACCCCAAAATGGGGATATAAGGCTGGAGAGTCACAAGGCCTCCATGAGGCAGGTGTTCAGTTTTGACAAGAGCCGTAGCAAGCTAATAGCTGGTTTTCAAAAGGGTTGTTTCTAGTAACCATATCAGGGAGACGACTAGTCCCAAACCCCAAGGGGTATTTCTGGGTGGAAGCTGCCTCCCTTTGTCAGAGACTTCAATCAGCAAAATCATCTGCCATGATCATTAAGTTTATAGCACCCTAAAGGTAGAGAGCATGCCACAACTTGCAGGACAGCTTCAAACACAATTTATTGGTTTAAGCCCCACTCAAAGGATGCTGATTTGGCAGGTTCACTGATATAAAGATCAAGTAGCATGACTGAGTGAGGCACATACTGTTTCTAATACTCTAAGAGTCCAATAAGGTACTGGACTTCCTTTTTGATTTAGGGGACCAAAGAGATAGCAGTTTTTCCATGACCACCACAGGGACTGAGTGTTATAAATCCATCCACATAGTTCCAAGAAATTTTGCTTGGTAAGCCAACAAGTCACCATCTGTATAGTGAAAGCTTCGGACATCAAAAGGTAGAAGAACTCATGCTAAATCCTGACTCACCCACTGGTGACAAATGGCAGGAGAACTTAGGTACCCCTAGGGGAATGCCTATAATCATATATTGGAGGCCTTGCTACGTGAATGTGAACTGATATTGATCCTCAAGTGTCAGTGGGAAGGTGCTGGTAAAAGTCTAAGACAGCAAACCAGGTGTTATCAGCCTGTGTAATGGATTAATTTGTAGTTGCAATATCTGGAACAGCCATGGCTCTGAAAGCAACAACAGATCAGTCAGCAATAATCTACTGTAAGCCTTCACCACCTGCTTCACTGGCCATACAGGGTTATTATATTGAGATAATGCCTTATTTTCCACCTCTGATGCCTTTAAGTCCTTAATCAAGGCTATGATTTCCCTTTCTCTTCCTGGGGTTCTTTAGCTTCTGTTGGACCATCAGGGAGGAGACAGAGAGGTGGGCTGAGAAGCAGTGTATACCTCCCATAAACATTTCTCTATATGCCACTCCTCTGAATCCTGAAAATCTCCCCTCACTCAACCCTGGCACTTATGGGATGGGGATACAATACATCAATTCCTACTGTACATTCAGATGCAGAAGTAAAAACCACAGTGCACTGAACTGGCCCAATGGACCCTACCCACAAGTTAGATTTCCTTCTTCACTGTGAACCCTGCCTAAGCACCATTAGCTGGATCTGAGGGCTTTTGCCTTCCCCAGGTCTGGGTAGGATAGTGACTTGAGCACCTGTATTCAACAGAGCCATAGCAGTTTGAATTTCTCACTTTCCCCAAATTCCCCTTGGATGAGTAGACATGGTTTTCAATTTTCTTTAGGGTCAGGAAAATCTTGGCCCCACCTCTAATAATCTTTCTTTTTAAAGTAGCTGAGTTTGGGGTAGAAGAGTGGGGAGGGATCAGGGACATGGAGGGAGAGAGTGGCTCTAAGCTATTAAATAAAAAACTTTGCATTTAGGGAGTGTGGCAGAAGCTTATGGTGCAACCAAAAATCTTTCAGTGTTTTTTCCTACTCACACTTTATACTGACTGAATAGAGATCCTGATGGTTGACACTACCAATTTCAGCTTTGGAGACCCCTTCACTCAGTCATAGCTGCATGTTTTATAGCTGAAGCTATTGGGTTTGTGACCCCTAGCTGACTTGACCCAGGCTTGCACAGCAGCAACCTTCTTTGAGAATTCCACTTTAATTCAGGGCCTCTGCTGCCCCATCACCAAGATAACATCTCTTATGTTCTCACCTGGTTTCAACACAAGCGAAGTTTTCCAGGGCAGCAGCATCTACCTAGGTTTGATGGGGTCAGCTTCTCATTCTCCAGTGGGTCACCTTTGCCAGCACTGTAAACCCAAATTCAAGGCAGTGAGAGCCTGAATACTACTCAATGCCTCATCTACGGTTTCCCATAGGAGTTTGTCTGTTTCAGGGAAATCTCCCTGAAAGGCCCACAGCTCCCTTATTGCAGCCAGGATCTATTGCAAAAAAAAAAAACCAAAAAAAAAAAAAAACAAACAAAAAAAACCTCTAAGACCTTCTACTGTTCTCTCCTAGTGGATCTAAGGCAGACACGATGGACCGCAGGAGGGGCTGAGCCATAAGACCCAGTTTACGTTGCCATTCTTCCTTGACAAGCATTACTAGCCGCACTTCCTCATCTCCCAAGTGAACCAGCCAAACTCCTAATGATGTGCCTGGTTTCTGCCCATAGTGGTCATGAATTTCCCTCCTTCCACACATCTCTGCAATTGTTGTCTAAAAGAGGGCAGAATCTTTTATGTGCACCAGACAATACCTAGTACTAGTTGTTACAGTGGGGCAGACCTGAGGGTAACTCCAAATTGTTCAGGAAGTTCTACACCTGCATTAGAGTTAGCAAGAACCAGGGCACCATTTGAGCAGTGGTCTTTGAATCTGCTTGCTGGTACTCAGCCTGCATCCACCTCTTCAATCCCCATCATGAACAGGCAATAAAGTGAAGAACTATTTATGGCCTAGTTGAGCAGATAATTTGGTCAACATATTTCAGCGACTTTCTTCAAATTTGTTTTCTTTTTTTTTTGAAACAGGGTCTCGCTCTGTTGCCCAGGCTGGAGTGCAGTGGCGCGCTCTTGGCTCACTGCAGCCTCGACTTCCCAGGTTCGAGCGATTCTCCCACCTCAGCCTCCCGAGCAGCTGGGAACACAGGCACACATCACCATGCCCAGCTAATTTTTGTATTTTTCGTAGAGGCAAGGTTTTGCCACGTTGCCCAGGCTGGTCTCAAACTCCTGAGCTCAAGAAATCTGCTTGCCTTGGCCTCACAAATTGCTGGGATTACAGGTGTGAGCCATCACGCCCGGCCCTCAAATTTCATTAAATTTACCCACAATATCCTCATCCTTCTCCTTCTAGAAAGCCATGTCTCTGTCAGTATCCCGCCCTCCTCACTAAAGCTGTCAAGAACTATAAAAGGTCTGAGATTTTGTCCTACTCAACAAGCTAACAAGTCAGCCCACTACAGTTTCATGGAATCTGGTAGAAAACATGACACTCAGAGATGGACAGTGTTTTACTGTAGAAAGGTCAGTCACCAGATATCAACATTTTGGCACCAGTTTCTTGAGCCCCGATTATGTAGGGGAACTCCTCTGTGCTGGTGCCCTGAAAACCGTGCATATATCCTCATAGGCCATGTAAGCAAAGCTCAACTGCAAGCTGATCCATGCCGTGGCAGAAGGCTCTGTGATCCTCCCCAAGCATGAGAGGATAGGCAGTCTTGTGAGGAGCTGCCATACCGCCATTTCTCACTTGCCTTTCTATTTTTTTTTCACAGTAGCAAGAACATTTATTATAAAAATAGGTGGATAAAATAAGTGTGCTTTAACTTCTGGATATATGACAAATGCTATTGTGATGCAGTTTTTCAGTGCAGACATGTGGCTCTGCAATGATGGGGATGGGCCCCCTAGTGTGATGTGCAGCCACAATACTCCATTTGACAAACCTCCTGGTTCAAGGCAGAGAGGAGACACCTTATTCTATAGAACAGGATGGGGCTTCCACCCTGGGGACCATACAAGTGGCTCCCATAGGCAGCCACGCCTTTCTGGCAAGCTGTGGCATACCCAGGTGCAGGCTGGGGGAGGGGCTGGCACACCAGCCCCAGATTGCTCTGGCTTCAGCCTGATGGAGACACAAGACTAGGACCTCCCTCTGCCAGATGTTCCTGACCCCATCTCCACCTCCAGCCTCTAGCCTCGCTGGGAGTTCCCTGTGACCCAGCCTGTTCCATAGCCAAAGGGAGACCAAAGTGAACGATCACAGTGCCCCGCACCTATTCTAGGGGACTTGGATCTCAGTAGAGCTTAATCCATGGCATCTGAGAGCACCCACCCTGTCCCTGAGGGCAGCTGTGCCGGGCCAGGGGGCCGCAAGGGCATGGGTGGAATCTTGGTCACTGGCAGCACTCAGCCACGTGCCTGAGGAGCTCTTCACCTTGTTCGTCACTGAAGCACTGCAGGCAGTGAGGGCACTGAAGTTCCCCCTGGCCTCTCTGGGCTGCGCCAGGATGCCCGCCCTCTGCAGGGGGTTCCAACCGCCTGGGACCCAGTCCCAGGCCTCCAGCCACCAGGCACGATAAGCTCCACTGCATCGGTGGCCAAGTACTTGGCAGTTTTGCTCCCAGCGTGAATCCAGCCGGCGTCTGGCTCTTGAGAATCCTGTCTCCAGGACACCTGGTGCAGCAAAGAGGTGACCTTTTCCTCCAGTTCCTGAATCCTACCTTGAGCCTGTTCCCGATCTGCCCTTTCTGACATGAAGTCATCCTTGTAAGCGAGAATCTGCTATTCCAGTATCTGCACCCATTCCAGTGCAGCATCCCGTGCCGTCCTCGAGGCTGCCAGCTTCTACGTCAATTCTGCACAGTCGTTTATTTTCTCTTCCAACTATCTGTTGAGCCGGGAGATCTCCTTCCTCATCAGCTCGGGCTCATGGGGGGGGGGGGGTCTGCAGCCCCCTGAGCTGTGCATGGAGCCCCCTCATGTATTCGTCCCTGCTGACATCGTATAGCTGCCACTTGGCATAGAGGTCTTCAACGTGAGTCACCTTCTGTTTTAACAGTCGATTTTCTTCCTCAGTAACACTCTGGACAGAGGTGTCCCTACCTGTATGTTCTGACTTTCAGGACTTCTCTCCCCCACGTTCCTTTGTGCATGCTGTCGTTCATCCAGACACTTGGCCAGATGCTGACACATGTGGGCAGTGGAGGTCAGCGTCCTCCGCAGCTGGTGGGTCTCATTGGCCAAGGAGCTGCACAGAACGTCACTGGCGGGGTGGGCCGGTTCGCCCTCCGCCATGCTCCTCCGCATCAGGACGACTTCCTTCTCTCGCTGGTGCTGTGGCTGGCTCAGCAGCTGCTGCATCTCCCTCTCTTTCGCTTCTAGTCGCTCAGTAAGCCTCTCAATTTCCTGGCGCATCTGGGCCTCCGCGGCGCCGTTCTCCTGCCGCTGCAGCTGCTCCCGGAAGTGCGCCACCTGCTCCAGCAGCGCATCCACCAGGGACGGCGCAGTGTACCCCTCCAGCGCGGCCAGCCTGGCGTGGAGGCACGCGATGAGGGAGTCGCGGGCGGCCAGCTGGTCCTGCAGGCGCCGCAGCCGCTACCCGACCTGGTAGCACAGGCCGCAGAGCTCTGCAGCTGCGCGCGGGGCCCCCTCCCGGCCGTCCGACCCCGGGTCCCCGCACGTGACTGTGGGCCTGCCTGGGAGGCCGCACGGCCGCCGGCAACTTCGGTGCCCGGACCCTGTCGGCTCTCTATCTTGAGGGAGTTTCTCATCGCCTCTTGGTTCCAATGAGGTGTGGGACTTTCCAGCTTGTCCCCTCTCCCTTAGGGAGGCTAAGCTGCAGGCTATAAAACTACTTAGCAGCAGTATAGAAATGGCTCCTCTGGCGCGGTGGCTCATGCCTATAATCCCAGCACTTTGGGAGGCCGCAGCGGGTGGATCACTTGAGGTCAGGAGTTCCAGACCAGCCTGGCCAACATGGTGAAACCCTGTCTCTACTAAAAATACAAAAATTAGCTTGGCGTGGTGATGTGTGCCTGTAATCCCAGCTACTCGGGAAGCTGAGGCAGGAGAATCACTTGAACCCGGGAGGTGGAGGTTACAGTGAGCCAAGATCATGCCCCACTGCACTGCAGCCTGGGCAACAGAGCGAGACTGTCTCAAAAAAAAAAAAAAAAAAAAGAAAGAAAGAAAGAGAGAAAGAAAAAGAAAGAAAGAAAAATGAAATGACTCCTCAGCAACAGGGTGCCCCAACACTCATGTTTCTTGTCATTTGGCCTCTTTTGTTTGGGTGTCCTATTGTGGGACAAGGAATGCAGGGAGCTGACACCATGCTGTTGTTTCTTTTTCTGTCTATGTAAGTAATAAACTGTCTGAATCTAATCAGTGCTTGTTGTCCTCTTACCAGCCAAATCTGTAAGCCTGCTCAACACATTCTCACAGGGCAACTCTAAAGAGGACCAGGTAACACCTGCACGTGCAGTGGATTACATTATAGGAGAGAAACCCTGGACTTAGGGAATCTGAACCTTTCATAATGGGCAGTAATCATTCCTGCCCTTCACTCCAGAGGGAGGCTATTTTTATTATAGTGGACAGTAAGCATGCTTGCCCTTTTCTTTGGAGGGAGACACTACCTCTGTCTTTCAAGGATGCACTGTATACAAATATCCTGGAAAAGATAGTCCGGAACAAAGGACAGTACAGTGCCTTACTTGCAAGATGTGCAAGCACACAAGACCTATGAAGAACTGTCTCCCAACAAAGGATACATGCAGAAGGAGAAAAAACTCTCTTAAACAAAAAGAGGCAGAGCCGGCAGGGACCGAGCGGGTGCCTCAGTCTCCTTCCCCTCCCCTCGCCTGTCCTCGCCATCTTCTTCTCACAGCCGGACCGGAACTATGTGATCCCGGAAGTTCCGGGTCCTTTGGCCCTATATGATCCCGGAAGTTCCGGGGCTTTTGGACCTCTGTGATTCCGGAAGTTCCGGGGCGTTCCGGGGCGTTCTGGGGCCTTTGGAGCGTGGGATAAGCAGTAATGGCGGAGGCTGCAGCTCCCGGAACAACAGCCACAACATCGGGAGCAGGAGCAGCAGCGGCGGAGGCGGCGGAGACGGCGGCAGCAGTCTCCCCGACTCCGATCCCCACAGTCACCGCCCCGTCCCCGAGGGCGGGCGGAGGGGTCGGCGGCAGCGACGGCAGCGACGGTAGTGGCGGCAGGGGCGACAGTGGCGCGTATGACGGCAGCGGTGCGTGCGGCGGCAGCGACGCGTGCGATGGCAGCGGCGACAGCAGCGGCGACAGCTGGACTAAACAGGTCACTTGTAGATATTTTAAGTATGGGATTTGTAAGGAAGGAGATAACTGTCGCTACTCGCATGACCTCTCTGACCGTCTGTGTGGTGTAGTGTGCAAGTATTTTCAGCGAGGGTGCTGTGTTTATGGAGACCGCTGCAGATGTGAACATAGCAAGCCATTGAAACAGGAAGAAGCAACTGCTACAGAGCTAACTACAAAGTCATCCCTTGCTGCTTCCTCAAGTCTCTCATCAATAGTTGGACCACTTGTTGAAATGAATACAAACGAAGCTGAGTCAAGAAATTCAAATTTTGCAACTGTAGTAGCAGGTTCAGAGGACTGGGCGAATGCCATTGAGTTTGTTCCTGGGCAACCCTACTGTGGCCGTACTGTGCCTTCCTGCACTGAAGCACCCCTGCAGGGCTCAGTGACCAAGGAAGAATCAGAGGAAGAGCAAACCGCCGTGGAAACAAAGAAGCAGCTGTGCCCCTATGCTGCAGTGGGACAGTGCCGATATGGGGAGAACTGTGTGTATCTCCACGGAGATTTATGTGACATGTGTGGGCTGCAGGTCCTGCATCCGATGGATGCTGCCCAGAGATCACAGCATATACAAGCGTGCATTGAAGCCCATGAGAAAGACATGGAGTTCTCATTTGCTGTGCAGCGCAGCAAGGACAAGGTGTGTGGGATCTGCATGGAGGTGGTCTATGAGAAAGCCAACCCCAACGAGCACCGCTTCGGGATCCTCTCCAACTGCAACCACACCTTCTGTCTCAAGTGCATTCGCAAGTGGAGGAGTGCTAAGGAATTTGAGAGCAGGATCGTCAAGTCCTGCCCACAATGCCGAATCACATCTAACTTTGTCATTCCAAGTGAGTACTGGGTGGAGGAGAAAGAAGAGAAGCAGAAACTCATTCAGAAATACAAGGAGGCAATGAGCAACAAGGCATGCAAGTATTTTGATGAAGGACGTGGGAGCTGCCCATTTGGAGAGAACTGTTTTTACAAGCATATGTACCCTGATGGCCGTAGAGAGGAGCCACAGAGACAGCAAGTGGGAACATCAAGCAGAAACCCAGGCCAACAAAGGAACCACTTCTGGGAATTCTTTGAGGAAGGAGCGAACAGCAACCCCTTTGACGATGAAGAAGAGGCTGTCACCTTTGAGCTGGGTGAGATGTTGCTTATGCTTTAGGCTGCAGGTGGGGACGACAAACTGACAGACTCTGAAAATGAGTGGGACTTGTTTTGTGATGAAGAATTTTATGTCTTAGATCTATAGAAACCTTGCGTAGTGTGTGAGCTGGTCTGCTGACCCCAGATAGCAGCTGTCCCCTGTGGTGGTGTGGCAGTGCCTATGTTCTCTCCTAGGCAGACCTATCAACTCCAGGTGCTGCGGTTAAGAATATGTACCCAGGGCCTGTCTTGTCAACCCCTCACCTTTCCCCAAGGAGTGTGTTGTTTTCCCTGTTGGAAAAAGTTACAAAAATAAATGTTAAAGGTTTTTTTTGTTTTTTGTTTTATTGAGACAGAGTCCCACTCTGTCACCCAGGCTGGAGTGCAGTGGTGCAATCTTGGCTCACTGCAACCTCCGTCTTCCGGGTTCAAGCCATTCTCCTGTCTCAGCCTCCCAAGTTGCTGGGACTACAGGTGCATGCTACAATGCCCAGCTAATTTTTCTCATTTTTAGTAGAAACGGGGTTTCACCATATTGGTCAGGCTGGTCTCGAACTCCTGACCTCAGGTGATCCACCTGCCACTACCTTCCAAAGTGCTGGGATTACAGGCGTCAGCCACCATGCCCAGCCTTAAAGTTAGTTTTTTGTAACAGGCATGAGCCACCGCGCCTGGCTTTAAAGTTCGTTTTTTGTAACAGGCATAAGCCACTGTGCCTGGCCTTAAAGTTAGTTTTTTTGTAACACGAATTTAACTGTTGGACAGTTAGTTTAGATGTGTTGCATCATCTGTTTTCAACCAGATTGTGTTTATGGACTTTTCACACACTAATTTTGAGGACCCCAGGTTCAAAAGTAAAAGCAGTGGCCCTGCTTTGGGGTCCAATAATAGGAGTGATGGGTGAAGGGACCTAAGCTGGCCAGTAGCCTTCTGCTCCAGACATGGGACGCGGATCCTTGAGGTTTCTGGTTAAATCTGCACATCTGTGTTTTTATATCTGTTCCCTACCCCTGTAATCCCTACCGCATGCACTAGTTCTGTAGTTTTGGTCTCTCGTTTAATTGTATGCAAGTAGTACTACTGGGTAACCAGAGCCAAGCGTGAATGTGTTCAGATTTCTACTGTTTTGCATGATAGGAAAATTGAGAAAGAATACATATAAAAGATATAGAGGCATAACATCAATGCAGAGTTGGAAGTTGACCTCCACGGGGTGACATGGTGTGTGTGAGTGTGGGTGTGTGATAAGCTTCTCAAACCTGCATAGATGCAGTATTCTTGGCTTTGGTAGAAAGCCTTGGTTTAAGGCTGGGCGCGGTGGCTCACGCCTGTAATCCCAGCACTTTGGGAGGCTGAGGCGGGCGGATCACAAGGTCAGGAGATCGAGACCATCCTGTGAATGGTGAAACCCTGTCTCTACTAAAAATACAAAAAATTAGCCGGGCGTAGTGGCGGGCGCCTGTAGTCCCAGCTACTCTGGAGGCTGAGGCGGGAGAATGGTGTGAACCTGGGAGGCGGAGCTTGCAATGAACTGAGATTGTGCCACTGGACTCCAGCCTGGGTGACAGAGCGAGACTCTGTCTCAAAAAAAAAAAAAAAAAAAGGAAAACCTTGGTTTAGGGGTTTAAGTCTTATGTGGTGGTTAGATCTTAAAGGACAAAGCAGTATATTGGTAGTTGTCAATATAGCAGTACTAGCTCTGTTTATATAAATAGAGAAATGGAGTTAGCCATAGAGGTTAAAACTACCTGGTTATCCCATATATTAACCCAAACTGGGTCTTGGATACACAGTTGTATTTAATGTTTTACGATCTAGCCTTTCCAGTATAGGCACTTCCTGAAAAACCTTTGTCCTCATTTGGGGCATTTTGTTGTTGGGTTTCGCCATGTTGGCCAGGCTGGTCTCGAACTCCTGACCTCAGGTGATCCACCTGCCTCAGCCTCCCAAAGTGCTGGGATTACGGGCATGAGCCACCACACCCGGCCAGGAAAAGGTATTTTATATTTATCATTGCTGTGCTGTTTATTCATTTGTATAAATTCAAGTTCCCATCTGGTATTGTTTTCCTTCAGCATGAATAACTTCTTTGAACATTTCTTGTGGTTCATGTCTGCTGGCAACAAATTCTCTCAGCTATTTATCTGGAAAAGTCTTTATTTCACCTTCATATTTCACCTGTATTTTCTTTGTGTACAGAATTCTAGGTTGACATTTTTTCCTTAGTGTTTTAAAGATGTCATTTCATATTCTTCTGGTTTGCATAATTTCTGATGAGAAGTCTGCAGTTTATTTTCTTTCTATTTCTCTCTCTTTTTGCTCCTCTGCAAAGCCAATTCCTCTTGCTATTTTTAATATTTTCTCATTATCATTGTTTCATAGGAATTTGATTATGATTTTCCTTGGTATGATTTCCTTAATATTTATTCTATTTGGGACCATTGAGCTTCTCATAGCTGCATATCTGTATGTTTATAATTTTCATCCAGTTTAAAAAAAAAGTTTTGAGAAAGAGTCTCACTCTGTCACCCAGTCTAAAGTACAGTGACACGATCTTGGCTCACTGCAACCTCCGCCTCCCTGGTTCAAGTGATTCTTGTGCCTCAGCCTCCTGAGTAGCTGGAATTACAAGTGCATGCCACCATGCCCAGCTAATTTTTGTATTTTTTGTAGAGACGGGGTTTTGTCAAAACTCTCGACCTCAAGTGATCCGCCTACCTCGGCTTCCCAAAGTGCTGGGATTACAGGTGTGAGCCACTGTGCCTTGCCCAGTTTTAAAAATTTTGACCATTATTTCTTCAAATATTTTTTTCTGCTACTACCCTTTCTCTCCTCTCCTGAAAGTCAATTTTGAGTATGCTAGACTGCTTGATATTGTCTCACATGTCAGTGAGGTTGTTTTCCTTTCTTCTTTTTCTTCAGTCTTTTTTTCTGTGTCTGCTGCATTTTGGATAGTTTTTATTGTTATGCCTTCAAGTTCACTAATTTTTCTTCTGCAGCATCTAATCTGCTATTAATCTCATCTTTGCAGACTTCAAGTACACATCTGTTAGATCATTAATATTGTTTCTCCCAGGCCACTGAGGCTCGGTTCATTTTTAGCCTTTTTTTTCTCCTTATACTTCAGTTTAGACAGTCTCTATTGCTATTTTTTAGAGTTCATTGACCTTTTCTTCTGTAGGTTCTAATCTACTGCTAAGTCCATCCAGTGAATATTTCATTTCAAATACTGTATTTTTTAGCTCCAGAAGTTCCATTTGGCGCTTTTTTAAAAAAATTGTGGTACAACATACAGAACATAAAATTTACTATTATTACCATTTTTAAGTGTCCAGTTCAGTGGCATTAAGTACGTTCACATTGTTATGCAACCATCACTGCCATCCATCTCTAGAACTTTTTCATATTCCCAAATTGAAACTCTGTATCCGTTAAACAAAAACACCCAATTTCTCCCTCCCTCCCAGCCCGTGGCAACTACCAGTTTACTTTCTGTCTCTGTGAATTTGACTATTCTAACTGCTTCATATAAGTGGAATCATACAATATTTGTCATTTGGTTCTTTTTAAAAAGTCTTCTGGCTGGGCATGGTGGCTCACACCTGTAATCCCAGCACTCTGTGAGGCTGAGGCAGGTGGATCACTTGAGGCCAGGAGTTTAAGACCAGCCTGGTGAACATGACAAAATCTCATCTCTACTAAAAATACAAAAATTACCCAGGTGTGGTGGCGCATGTCTGTAATCCCAGCTACTCGGGAGGCTGAGGAAGGAGAATTGCTTGAACCTGGGAAGTGGAGGTTGCAGTGAGCCAAGGTCACGCCACTGCACTCCAGCCTGGGTGATAGAGCAGGACTCTGTCTCTAAATAAATAAATAAATAAAAATAAAAAGTCTTCTATTTTTCTCCTCTTTATGTTATGTTTTCCTCTAAGTATATTAACATACTTATAATAGCTGTTTAAAGTCCTTGTCTGCTAATTCCCTCATCTCTGTTGCCTCTGGGTCTATTTCTATTGACTGATTTTTCTCCTGATATGGGTCACATTTTTATGCCTTTTAGCAAGTTTAGTAATTTTGACTGGATGCTGAACATTATGAATGTTACATTGTTGAGGTCTGGATTTTATTGTCTTCTTTAAGGCATGCTGAGTTTTGTTTTGACACACAATTAAGTTCCATACAGTTCAGGCTGATCTTTTCATGGCTTATTTTTTAGCTCTCTTATGGCAGGTCTAGAATAGCCTTTCATCTAGGGCGAGTTTAGACCTATTATTGAGGCTTAAACTTTCTGGGCTCTACTGAATACCCTGGTGTTTCTCCACTCTGAGTGGTCAGAACTCAAACATCTCCCAGTCCTATGAAAGCTCTGAGAATTGTTCAGCTAACAGCTCCTTGGTGGTACTCCTTTCTGTGGTAGTTATCCTTTGCCTAATCTTGTGGGGTCTTACCCTATTATGTATGCATTAATTTATAGTCAGCCAAAGGAAGTCAGCCGATCATTTTAGCTCTCTCTGCATAGCTCACTCTTCTCTGGTAGTCTTCTTCCCAAATTCCAGCTATCTCAGCTTTCCTGAACTCCAATCTTCATCTCTTCAACTCAGCAAGACTTCTGTGCTATGCTTGGATTTCCCCTCTCACACTGCATTCTGGAAAGTGCCCCCAGTCAGTAGGTATCTCTTCATTTGGTTCCTTTCTTTCAGATATTGCAATTCCATGCTGCATGGTGTTCAATGTCTAGAACAAGTTGTTTCATGTATTTTGTCCAGTTTCTAGTTGTTTACATTAGAAAGGCAAGTCTTGTACTTGTTGCTCCATCATGGTTGACAGAGGAATTTACCCTATCTTTTTTATATAATGCTGGCAATTTAGTTCCTTTTATACGCTCCCTTCATGTGTGTTTAAAAAAAAAAAAAAAACTTTAGGCCAGGCACAGTGGCTCACACCTGTAATCCCAAACTTTGGGAGACCAAGGTGGGTGGATCATTTGAGGTCAGGAGTTCAAGACCAATCTGGCCAGTATGGTGAAACCCCGTCTCCACTAAAAATACAAAAATTAGCCGGGCGGTAGTGGCATGTGCCTGTAATCCCAGCTACTCAGGAGACTAAGGCAGGAGAATTGCTTGAGCCTGGGAGGCAGAGGTTGTGGTGAGCTGAGATCGTGCCACTGCACTGCAGTCTGGGCAACAGAGTGAGACCCTGTCTCAAACCAAAACGAACAAACAAAAAAACTTTAGACAAATGAAATGTAACAGAGTTTAGTTGAGCAAAGAACAATTCACGAATCAGTCAGCCCCCAGAACCAGAATAGGTTCAGTGTGACTCTGGAGCTACCACATTGTCAGATAATATTTATGAACAGAAAAAGGAAAGCAATGTACAGAAAATGGAAGTAAGGTACAGAAACAGCTGGATTGGTTCCAGCTCAGTGTTTGCCTTATTTAAACACAGTTTGAACAGTTGGCTGCCTGTGATTGGCTAAAGCTCTGTGATTGGCACAGAGTAGGTTATAGTATATTTATATATCCAGTGAGGCTACAGTTCACTGTGTATGGAGAAATGTTTAGGCTGAACTTAAAATATGTTAGGAGGCAGCTTTAAACTTAATTTAACATGTTTTTATGGCCAGGCACGGTGGCTCATGCCTGTAATCTCAGCACTTTGGGAGGCCAAGGTGGGTGGATCACCTGAGGTCAGGAGTTTGAGACCAGCCTGGCCAACATGGTAAAACCCTGTCTCTACTAAAAATACAAAAATTAGCAAGGTATGGTGGTGTGTGCCTGTAATCCCAGCTACTTGGGAGGCTGAGGCAGGAGAATTACTTGAACCTGGGAGGTGGAGGTTGCAGTGAGCTGAGATTGCGCCACTGCACTCCAGCCTGGGTGACAGAGCAAGACTCAGTCTCAAACACAAACAAACAAACAAACAAAAAAAGACATGTTTTTACAACCAATTCATCACCAATTTTTGCCATATTATTGCCTACATACCTCCACCATCAATTTCTTCCCTCCAATACCATTGCTACTTCTTCAATTGAGGCAATCTGCAGTTTGTAGTGTGGAGTGCTTCAGAGTTTTCTTTTTTTTTTTTTTTCCGAGATGGAGTCTTGCTCTGTTACCCAGTCTGGAGTGCAGTGGCGCAGTCTTGGCTCACTGCAACCTCCGCCTCCTGAGTTCAAGCAATTCTCCTGCCTCAGCCTCCCAAGTAGCTGGGATTACAGGCACCCGCCACCACACCCAGCTAATTTTTGTATTTATAGTAGAGACAGGGTTTCACCATGTTGGCCAGGCTGGTCTTGAGCTCCTGACCTCGTGATCCATCCACCTCAGCCTCCCAAAGTGCTGGGATTACAGGTGTGAGCCACTGCACCTGGCCTCAGAGTTTTAATAAAAGCTTCACTTTTCTAACATTGTGTCCCTCTGTACCATCTGCCACACAATACTCAGAATATTTGTAAAATACAAATATGACCCTATTGTTCTTCAGCTTATGAAACTGCCTTTGCAAAAATTGTAACAATGAGAAAATTATGTCAGTGAAAGACATCTAACCTAACCAACTCCATCTTGCCTTTAACCTCCAAACTGCCCTTGGTCACTCTTGGGCATGGGCCAAGCTAACTTTGGGAGAAATTTATAGTTTAGATGATAATAGCCCTTCCCAAAACTAAACTGCCTTTATAAAACTAATAAAAGGCCACAAATTTAGGATTATGAGAGGGGCCTGAATTCTGCTAAGATGTAGGTATAGCATCTACATCTTAGCTTGTGATCAGCTTGTGGCTGGTTAAACTATTACCAGCCATTGTTCTGGAGCTCATAAGATTTGTAGCTCCCCCAATTACTACTATAAATAACATCACTATTATAGAACCTAAGATTGGCCTTTTGAGACATTTTTTCTGACCTTTGCATTTCTGACAAACAGATGACTCCACTCAGACCCGAGACTCAAGACTCAACTGGTCCTGTGGCCCCCACTCAGAAGCAGACTCAGTGCACAAGGACCATTTTCCATACCTCTATGATTGCACCTCCAACCAATCAGCAGTACCCATTCCCTAACCCCCTGCCTGCCAAACTGTCTTTAAAAAACCCTAGCCTCTGAATGTTCAGAGAGGCTGATTTGAGTAATAATAAAACCCTAGTCAAGGCGGAGGTTGCAGTGAACTGAGATTGCACCACTGTACTCCAGGCTGGGCAACAAAGTGAGACTCTGTCTCAAAACACACACACACACGCACACACACACACACACAAAAACACACACACACACACACACACACAAACCCAGTCTTCTGTTTAGCCAGCTCTACATGTATGAAACTCTTTCTCTATTGCAGTTCCTCTGTCTTGATAAATTGGCTCTATCTGGGCAGTGGGCAAGATGAACCTGTTGTTGGTTACACATAAACCTTACAGTGGCTTCTCACTGCCTGTGATAAAGTCTGTTCTCTTCAGCTTAGTTTATGAGGTCGTTCCTTTAGGGTCCCAAACTAGATATGAACATCTCTTCCTGCCCCACCCTTCTTCCCTTTACCCTCCAACAACACTAAACTACTGGTAGTTCCTTAAACACTGTGTCAATTCAAGGGCTCTGAAAAGCAGGGGCAATGACAGACGTAGATGCACATGAGGTTTATTCAGGGAAACACCTCAAAAGGATAAAGGGCAGAGGGAGCAGGAATATACAGACAGAGCCTTCAAACTGTGATAGAGTTCTAACACCTGTGAAAGAAGAAAAGGATAGAAGGAAGAACTGGATAGGAGGAGCTTAGGTTGCAGTACAGCTCTCTGAGAAAGTCTTTGTCAGGCAGGTTGAGAGCCCCAGGGTAAACATTGACCACTAGGGAATCCCTCATCAGCAAGAAATGGCTCAGTTCTAGAACTCCTGTCAGAGGCAACCTAACCAGAGTGACTGCATCTTGAAAACAGGTGGGATAAAGCCAAACCTGCTGGGCTACATTCCCAGGGAATTGGACACTCTTGGTCACAAGATGTTTATGGTCAAGGGAATGAGTTAATGATGCTGACTAAATAAAGAACCAGAGCTTATGCAAATGTCCAAATATTTTAAGAACAAAAAGCAGCCGGGCAGGCACAGTGGCTCACGCCTGTAATCCCAGCGCTTTGGGGAGCTGAGCGGGCGGATCACCTGAGGTCAGGAGTTCGAGACCATCCAGGCCAACATGGCGAAACCCTGTCTCTACTAAAAATACAAAAATTAGCCGGGTGTGGTGGCAGGCACCTGTAATCCCAGCTACTTGGGAGGCTGAGGCAGGAGAATCGCTTGAACCCAGAGGCAGAGGTTGCAGTGAGCCATGATCAGGCCACTGCACTCCAGCCTGGGCAACAGAGTGAGACTCTGTCTCAAAAACAAGAACAGAAAGCATTCTTAGTTTAAGAATAGGTTTTGTTTTGAAGATAATAGTACACTTGGAAATTCTTGTTGAAATCAATAGTGACATAGGAAAATAATGATACTAATAGCCTAGCACAAGCTGATCGCAAGCTTTTGTAATAAAGTACACTATTCTTAACAGCCTATATAAGCAAGTACCATGCTTAAGATGGGGGAGTTTCTCCTCTTGCTTTCTGAGGATGCCCTACTCTGTAACAGAGTAATCTCTAATAAACTATCTTAACTTCACTATACTCTGCGACTCACCCTGAATTCTTTCCTGTGTGAGATCCAAGACCTCATGGGGTTTGGGGCAAGACCCCTTTTCCAGTGACACTCCTGCCATGCTACGTCATTGGCTGGGAGTAAAGCAGAAAAAATTTGGCCTCAGCATGAATGCAGTGGCAGATCCTGAAAGTGAGGTATCTGGAAGCTGTTGACCAACTACACTTCCTATAGCAGGTTTTCTTGAAGGGAGATCTTAGGAGCATGTTCACCTCCATGGCTACCTAGTGTGATTTTTCCCACTTCTTTGTCTTTGCTAACACAGTTTCTGCTATTTGAGATGCCTGACCTCCCCGTCTATTTCCCCCGAGACATGCATACTTATCTTTCAGGACTGACTTACCAGTCAGTCTTCCAAGAAGCCTTCCCTGACTGTCTATCCCAGCCCCCATTAGATGTCCCACCTTATACATAGTTTTATCATAGCACTTAGCATTCATATTGTAATTGTCCTTCACGTATTTTGTCCCTTGCCCTTTATTGTGAGAAACCATTTCTTTGTATCTCCAGTACCTCATTCAGTGCCTGAAACATGGTAGGTGCCGAATTGTACTTTACCTTTACATTATTGCACTTCATCAGCGTTGCTCCACAAATGCCAGAAAGTACGTGTCCAAATGAAATTATTCTCTATCAATAGGCTATAGAGGTCACCGTCCTTAATGCAGTCCTTTATTCATACAGTTTCCATTTTGTATTATATTTGTTCCTGTGAGAATCCATTGATAATCTCTGACAAACTGATTTACATTACAGTAAGTGGCACCCCCACTCTGACATTATTTGCATTTAAAAAAGTGAAGTCTGAAAGGGGGAATTCCTTTTGCCAAAGAGGAATTTCAAGCATCTGCTGCTGGTCACTGAGGTGAATTTTTTTGAAGGGGCCAGAGGCCGTTTCAGGGAGCAACTACCAAATCATCCCATAGAAGGAGGTGATTTTATTTTGGTCATAACTAGCGACAAGAACTATCTTGAAGACTTGAGCAAAGTCCCTAAGGAGGCCTGAATTTGGAAAGACAATGGGAGTGACCGCACTAGCATTTAAAGAGACATTTTTCGTTTTCCATTTTCCATAGCTAAATGCTGTGGTTGAATCTCTGCCCCTTCCCCCCATGTTTTTGTGTGAGAGAAATTCTGCTTCTGCTAGCAGTGCCTGGGATTCTGTCCAAACAGTGTGCTGTCAGCAGCATCAGCCAGCAGGAACGCATAATCCTCCCACCCTTTGGTTTTAGTGGGTAATGTTAACTAAGAAAATACTCCAGATTTTTCTTGTTCTCATGGTGTAACTCACTCACTTCAGACATGCCCCCTTCTCCAGTAGTTGCCCCCTATACTTGAGGAAATTTTTGTGTTTTTTTTTGGCAATACAATAGCCAATTCAGGAAACTAGTCAGCATCTCCCAGGACAAAAAGGCAGCTTTTCAGACTGCAATGTCACTTTCTTTCATTACTGTCATTCCTTGGGTCAAAGGGGCACAATGACCTCAAGTTTTTAAGTTTTTAACATTTCTGAGATCGAATTGTTACAGGAAAGGGGTCCCGATCCAGATCCCAAGAGAGGGTTCTTAAATCTCGTGCAAGAAAGAATTCAGGCTGAATCCATACAGTAAAGTGAAAGCGAGTTTATTAAGAAAGGAGAGGAGTAAAAGAATGGCTACTCCGTAGAGCAGCCGCAAGGTCTGCTGGTTGCCCATTTTTTATGGTTATTTCTTGATATATGCTAAACTAGGGGTGGATTATTCATGCCTCCCCTTTTTAGACAATATGGGGTAACTTCCTGATGTTGCCATGGCATTTGTAAACTGGAATGGTGCTGGTGGGAGTGTAGCAGTGAGGACGACCAGAGGTCACTCTCGTTGCCATCTTGGTTTTGGTGGATTTTAGCTGGCTTCTTTACTGCAACTTGTTTTATCAGCAAGGTCTTGATGACACATATCTTTTGCTGACCTCCTATCTCATCCTGAGACTTAGAATGCCTTACCCATCTGGGAATGTGGCCCAGTAGGTCTCAGCCTCGTTTTACCCAGCCCCTATTTAAGATGGGGTTGCTCTGGTTCACATGCCACTGACAACACTATGCTACAATCTAGTTCAAGCCAACAAAATTTATTGAAGATTTATTATATGCCAAACTCTATGATGTACATAGAGCAGAAAGATTTAATTTGGCCAAAGCATACTGAGGCTCACATGGAACTGGCACTAAGGCTATAAAGAATAAATCATGGCCCCTACCTTAATTAGCTCAGTGTGGTCAGAGAGACAGTCTACAATTAGAAAATGTGATAGGCCGGGCGCGGTGGCTCACGCCTGTAATCCCAGCACTTTGGGAGGCCGAGGTAGGTGGATCACCTGAGGTCAGGAGTTTAAGACCAGCCTGGCCAACATGGCAAAACCCCGTCTCTACTAAAAATACAAAAATTAGCTGGGCATGGTGGTGGGTGCTTGTGATCCCAGCTACTCGGGAGGCTGAGGCAGGAGAATCGCTTGAACCCCTGGGAGGCAGAGGTTGCAGTGAGCCGAGAGAGACTGCACCACTGCACTCCAGCCTGGGCAACAGAGCAAGACTCCATCTCAGAAAAAAGAAAAAAAAAAGAAAGAAAGAAAGGAAACAATGTGATAAGCACTATAGTGGAAGTACAGACGAAGAAACAATACAATTTTGTTTGGGGAATGAGACTTTAAAGTTCCTTACACAGCACTGTAATAGCTTTCAGATCCTTTGCCTTATCCCACAGTAAGTAATCCACATTTTTAATTGATGTTTTTATTGAGATAATTGTGGATTCACATGTAGTTGTGTTATGTAGCTAGCTAGTCAGACATAAACAAGGCAGGAGAGGGCCTTCCCAACCAGGAATGTCAGGTAACCATCAGGTGAGGGTCAGGCAGTTGTGAACCGTCTCTCTAAAATAATAATTGGTTGCAGCCAGTGCCAGGGAAAGGCAGTCTCCCTACAGAGAGGAAAAACCTGAAACTGGTGATCAGTAGTGTCCCAATAAGATCTCAGAAGCTGGGCGAATGGGCTCAAGCATGCACACAAAATGGCAGAGTTTAACTGGTATATATGACTTCCTAGGGACATTTGGCTGGTAAGGGAATAATGCCTCAAGTGAGCATGCATACAACTCCAGTAAACACACGGTGCATGCTCCTCTCCCAAGTGCTGGGAAGAATCAGGGGAGAAGGGATGCAAGACCCTGGAAGTATGCCAACATATAAAGCCCCAAGTCAAAAGGTCAAAGCACGCACTTGTCTTTCAAGTCATCCGCTTGGTCCTCTTTCAAGTGTTCTTTCCTTCCTTTTGTTCCTACTCTAAAGCTTTTTCAAGTGTACTTTCCTTCCTTTTGTTCCTACTCTAAAGCTTTTTTCACTCCTGCTCTAAAACTTGCCTTGGTCTCTCCTTTTGCCTATGTCCCTGAGTCAAATTCTTTCTTCTGAGGAGGCAAGAATTGAGGTTGCTGCAGACCCATACGGATTTGCTGCCAATAACAGTTGTAAGAAATAATATAGAGCGATCCTTATACATTTTGTTCAGTTTCCCTCCAATGTTAACATTTTGGCAAACTATACTGTCATATCACAACTAGGATTTTCTTTTTCCAAGAGTTAGGGCCTTGCTCTGTTATCCAGGCTGGAGTGCAGTGGTACAATCATAGCTCACTGCAGCCTCCAACTCCTGGCCTCAAGCATCCCAAGTAGCTGAGACTACAGGTATGCACCACCATACCCAGCTAAGTTTAAAAAAAATTTTTTTAGAGACGAGGTCTCACTATATTGCCCAAGCTAGTCTCAAACTCCTGGCCTCAAGCAATCCTCCTGTCTCAGCCCAAAGTGCTGGGATTACAGGCATGAGCCACTGCACCTGGCACAACAATTAGGATATTGATATTGATACAATACCCTGAACCTTTTCAGATTTCTCTAGTTTTACTTGTACTCATGTATGTGTATCTGTGTATGTATGTTTGTGTGTTGTGTGTGTAAGTTCTAAACTATTTTTATTTTATTTATTTATTTATGTTTGAGATGGAGTTTCGCTCTTGTTGCCCAGGCTGGAGTGCAATGGCGTGATCTCAGCTCACTGCAACCTCTGCCTCCTGGATTCAAATGATTCTCCTTCCTCAGCCTCCCAAGTAGCTGGGATTGCAGGCATGTGCCACCACACCCAGCTAATATTGTATTTTTAGTAGAGACAGGGTTTTACCATGTTGGTCAGGCTGGTCTCGAACTCCTGACCTCAGGTGATCCACCTGCCTTGGCCTCCCAAAGTGCTGGGATTACAGGTGTGAGCCACTGCGCCTGGCCCTAAACAATTTTATCACTTGCGTAGGCTCATGTATCCACATCATTATCCCTCACAGTCAAGATACAGACCATTTCCATCACTATAATGATCCCTCCTCTTGCCCTTTTATAATTATACCCACCTCCCTCTCACCCCCATTCCCCAACCACCTGCAACCACTAATCTGTTCTATGTTTTGAAAATGTTGTCATTTCAAAAAATGTTACATAAATGGGATCACACAAACCTTTTGGGTTTGGCTTCTTTTCATTCTGCATAATTCTCTGGAGATTGATCCAGGTTGTTGTGAGTATCGATAGTTTGATCCTTTTTATTGTTAAGTAGTAATAAAATACTACACAGCATAGAATTCCATGGTGTGGCATTGTTTGTTTAACCATTCATCTGTTGAAGAACAGCTGGGCTGATTCTAGTTTTAGGCTGTTACAGATAATGCTTCTAAGAACATTTGTGAGTTTTGTTTGGACATGAGTCTTCATTTCTTTGGGATAAGTGTTCCGGAATACAATTACTGGGTTGTATGGCAGTTGTATATTTAGTGTTTAAAGAAACTGACAAACTGTTTTCCAAAGTGGCTATATCATTTTTGTATTCCCACCAGTAATCTATGAGTGATCTACTTTCTCCGCATCCTCCCCAGCATTTGGTGTTGTCAGTCTTTTTAATTTGTATCCAGTCAGATATATGTGTAGTGATATCTCAGTGTGTGTTAATTTGTATTTCTCTAATGGCTAATCATGTTCAACGTCTTTTTATGTGCCTGTTTGCCATCTGTATATCCTCTTCAGTGAAGTGTCTCTTCATGTCTTTTGCCTGTTTTCCAGTTGAATTGTTTGTTCTCTTACTGTTGGGTTTGAGAGTTGTTAAAAAAGATGTTCTAGATGGTAGTCCTTTGTCAAATATGTGGTTCGCAAATATTTTCTCCCAGGCTGTAACTTGTCTTTTTATTCTCTTCACTTGGGCTTTCACAGAACAAAAGTTTTTTTAATTTCAGTGAGGTGCAGTTTATCAATGTTTCCTTTTATAGCTTATGCTTTTGGTATCAAGTCTAAGACTCTGCCTAGCTCTAGATCCAGAGGATCATCTCCTATTTTTTTTCTGTAAAAGGCACTTCATGAAAGCCTGTTACTAATTTCAGAGAAATCACACCAGAGCTTAGGGAAAGACAGGCAGTAAGCTCGAATTTAATAACAACACTGTATTAGTCAGCTTGGGTTGCCATAATAAAATACCACAGACTGGGTAGCTTAAACAACAGAAATTTATTTTCTCACAGTTCTGAAGGCTACAAGTTCAAGATCAAGGTGCCATCAGGATTGGTTTCTAGTGATGCCTCTCTTTCTGGCTGGTAGATAGCGGCCCTTCTTGTAATGTCCTCAACCTGGCCTTTCCTCTGTGTGCATGAAGAGAAAGAGAGAGACAAAGAGAGAGATAGAGAGTCAGAGAGAGAGACAGAGAGAGTGAGAGAGAGCACTCTGGTTTCTCTTCCTTTTCACATAAGGCACACGTCCTGTGGGATTAGGGCCCCACCCTTATGACCTCATTTAACCTTAATTACTTCCCTAAAAGGCCCTATCTCCAAATACAGTCACATTGAGGATTAGGGCTTCACCATATGAATTTGGGAGTGGGGGCACAATTCAATCCATAACAAACACTTGCAGTTACAGAGCACTGACAGAGCTTCTTTGGACCATCTGTGCTGGTTCCCACAGCCAGCACTATGTGCGGGCATAGGTGCCAATTATGTGCTCATCTGCTTCGTGTGTTCCTATTCCCTTCTCCCTCCCTGGTTTTCTGGGAATCACCCCTGCCCCTCCCACTTTGGTAATGAGGTTATTACCCTAAGAACTACTAACTTAGTACAGTGTGCCCATGGCACCCTGAGGACAGTTGATGAATCCAGGAAAGGGATTAGAGGCAAGCTGTACCAATCACAATCCTTCTCTGGAAATTGTGGCTTTTATTATTTTTTTCATTTTTGGTATTGTCTATAGAGACTCTTAACACTTAAACTCACTTTAGCTCTTCTATCTAACTAAGGAAATCTAAATTTGTGGGCCTTTGGTGGAGGCCATTTTCTGTCATATAGACTAGGAAACAGGGATGACAGGGTTGCTGTAAGAAAGAAAATGGAGCAGGCTGGATGCAGTGGCTCATGCATGTAATCCCAGCACTTTGGGAGGGTCGAGGTCAGGAGTTCGAGACCAGCCTGGCCAACATGATGAAACCCCGTCTCTACTAAAAAAAAAAAAAAATTAGCCAGGTGTGGCAGCACATGCCTGTAATCTCAGCTACTCGGGAGGCTGAGGCAGGAGAATCACCTGAACCTAGGAGGCAGAGGTTGCAGTGAGCCGAGATTGTGCCATTGCACTCCAGCCTGGGCAATAGAGTGAGACTCCGTCTCAAAAAAAAAAAAAAAAAAATGGAGCAGATGGAAAAAGAAAGAGGCAGAAACAAGGGACAGAGAACATTCTAGCCCTAACTTCTTTCCCGCTTTATCCTGCCCTTGTGTTTTATGAAACACCCAGGAATAAATTGCCCTTTTTGCTTTAAGGAAGTTGAAGGAGTAGGAAACGATGGGGAAGAAAAAGAAACCTCACTTGTAACCGTAATAGGTTTGTTGCCCAATGTGAGGGACAAATCAATAGGCTGTGACACTGGGTTGCAGCAGAGAAAGAGGTTTAATCGCAGGGTCACCAAATGAGGAGATGGAAAGGAACCTCAAATTCATATCTTTGAGGAGTTTGGGGCTAGGGATTTCAAGGGTGTTGGAGGAGGCCGAAGTGTTGAATTGTTGATGGGTTGAAGAGTGCAGGGTGAAGTCATGGGACAGGGAGAAGAAACAGCTGTATTCTCATGCTGATTCGGTTCCTCTGTGGGGGTCTTCAAACTGGTTGGCATCAGTTGTCCTAATGGAATTCAGAATCTGAAAAACACAGTAAGCAATTATTATTATTATTATTATTGTTTTGAGACAGAGTCTCGCTCTGTCACCCAGGCTGGAGTGCAGTGGGGCGCAATCTCGGCTCACTGCAACCTCTGCCTCCCGGGTTCAAGCAATTCTCCTCCCTCAGCCTCCCGAGTAGCTGGAATTACAGGCGTGCACCACCACACCCGGCTAATTTTTATATTTTTTGTAGAGACGGGGTTTTACCATGTTGGCCAGGCTAGTCTCGAATTCCTGACCTCAAGTGACCCGCCCGCCTCAGCCTCCCAAAGTGCTGGGATTACAGGCGCGAGCCATTGCGCCTGGCCTTAAGTAATTCTTAAACAAAAGCCTTATGATTCTAATGTCAGAAATCCTATCTATAAGAACAGTGGAGATGAAAATGGTCAGTATCTAGTGCTACATGACTTTCGGTTGCAAGGAAATGGGCCAAAGTGCAGCCTGATTAATGCTTAATTATAACTACATTTCTGTCCTGAATTATTCTTAATTCTGCCTGTGAAGACAGCTTCACACTGAACTCCCGTCCCATCTCTTTTCCCTGCCTATCCCAGTGACACTTTTAGTACCTTTAAAACTAACCTTCTAAGTTAGCATATTCTATAGAGCACCTCTTTCCAATAAAATATAATGCAAGCCACATATGTAGTTTTCAGTTTTCTGGCAGCCACATTTCAAAAAGTAAAAAGAAACAGGTTAAATTTTAATATTTTATTTAACTCAGTATAACTACAGTATTATCATTTCAACATGTAATCATTTCAACATGCACTCTGAATTTTAAAAATTACCTCAGGTGATTATCATTCAAAAGGTTTGGCAAATAGGATTATCCATTGCCTCAAGAGCCTTAGAAATTCCTCTGGGAAGTAGAAGCTGAAAGAGGAAGGGTCACCAGCCAGGCTAAACTCTGGGCTTTAATGGGGCTTCTTTGTGGCAGCTCTGAGCTCTGGGAACCAGGGCAACCATGTGAGAATTCCAGGTTTCAACTTGTAACCAACTTGACCACCTCTCTAAATAAGTCTGATTCTCATTAACCACTAAGAGCTAAGAGTAGAGACTCTCTTCCTCATGAACATCATCTATCTGTCTGTGCATCTGTTTGTTCATCCATCTGTCTACATATCTACTTTATCTACTATCTAATCTTTTGATGGGCTCTAGTGTCAGAAATCTCTGTATTTTTATCTGTGCCTCTTGTTAGCTCTGGGACTTTGGGCAAATTCAACTTCTCTGAGTTCCTCTTTTTACACCTTAAAAATGGGCATAATAATGTTACTACCTGCCTACCAATCATAGAATGAGGATTAAATGAGTCAAGTATTTTTAAATGTGAGGATGAAAGGCACAGTGGCCTATGTTAAGCGTTCCATGAATGGTGGCCACTATTATGCAGAGATCTCCTCTCTGCAGGACTAATAGCTTTCTAACAGCTAATGGGAAGAACAGAAAAGGCCACATACAAGAGATTAAGAAACAGAGACACTTCAAATTTTGATGTGTTACAATACCTAAGGCTTAGCACAAAACTTCCATGGGTTTCCACGTAAAGACCAAAATAAAATTAAGGTCCTTTCCTTGTCTTAGCATCTATTTGCATTGTAAATTTTAGCTTGGGCTATTCAAATGAAATTCTTCTTGTGCAGTTGGTCTTTCTCTTTCTGCAGCTCTTTTAACATTTTCATTGAACACACCTACTTTCCATTCTCTCTACAAGTCACGAGCCTTTGCTTCTGTCATTCTAAGTGATTTTCTTCTGGAGCATACATAAGTAATTTTAAACAGTGGCCCTGGAAACGGCTTTTACTGTGAGAAAAAACTTCTAAGGTGATATGTAAGTAGGTTTAGCTGGAGTCCACCCACATCCCCACAGAGCTAAATCCCCCTGTTACAGTAGAAAGGAGGACTTCAGAAAGAGAAATAAACTGCAGAAATTTCAAACTAAAAGGGACTTTAGAAAACATTTAACACAATTTTTCCTAAATATTGCACCACCAAGCACCTGCCCAGCCCACACTTGCACAGTAGCCCTCATTATGTTGCAATATGGTTGGTAGTGTGCCTATCTTGTCTGCTACCTTCTGAGATTGTGAAAAGAGGGATCAAGTCTTACTCATCTGAACCCCCAGCACCATACTTGATACATAGTAGGTAGTGAGTAAATGTCTGATAAATGAGTGAAAATGCTTTGGGACTTGTAACAATCTATTTCTAAAAGATCCATTAATAAAAGATCAGAGTGAGGTCTTTATGTCCCATCATTTTTGCTTTCCAGGGGTTGTCTTTGTTCTCTGTTATGGTTTTACACTTCCTGGGGCTCAGTTTCTGTAACATGTGGCTGACATTTTAAGTGGCATTTAAAATGTGGCTGACTGAGGTCCCAGGCATAATGTGAAACATAATTATCTGGTGAGGATTTCAAAGTACTACAGAATTAAAAATTCTCAACCTATCGCATCTTTAGAATGGCCATTTTCACTACCAAGTGGAGAGAACCTGCCTGAGAATGAAGCTTACACAGAGGAAATCAATATTAAGTGAAGGAGAGAAAGGTGTCTTTCTGATGACATCATCTGAGTACCTGGATCCAGCCATACTTGAATGAAGTCAGTACACCTGCACTTTTCTCTTATATGAGCTGATATATTGGCTTTCCATTTAAGCCAGATCAAGTTAGGCTTTGGTCACCTGTCACCAAAAGAACATTGATGAATAAACATCAAACAAGCCCAGTGCTGTGGCTCACACCTGTAATCCCAGCACTTTGGGAGCCCGAGGCGGGCGGATCACTTGAGGTCAGGAGTTCCAGATCAGCCTGGCCAACATGGCGAAACCCTGTCTCTACTAAAAATACAAAAATTAGCTGGGCGTGGTGGCACACGCCTGTAATTCCAGCTACTTGGGAGGCTGAGGCACAAGAATCACTTGAACCCGGGAGGCAGAGGTTGCAATGAGTCGATATTGTGCCATTGCACTCCAGCCTGGGTGACAGAGTGAGACTCTGTCTCAAAGGAAAAAAAAAAAAAGACCAAACAATTAGAGCACAATAAAAGCTAACATATAATAGGACTTGGGCAGGGCATGATTACTGTTGTAATCATAAAAAAAAAAAAGAAGGACTTCGTGGCTGGTAGACTATAACAGAACAGTATAGTATAGTACAGTACAGTACAGTATAGTATAGTATAGTTTAGTATACAATAACAGCATATTAGACAAGAAGGGAAGAAGGGTTGGCCAAGCACAGTGCTAGCCTTTATCCTCTTGTAAGGTTAAGAGGGCTGGTAGAATGGGAGGAAATCAATATTGTGCAAGACTGTTAGATTTGGACAGTCATCCAAGCATACCCTAGCATCTGGACTGAAGGTACTCTATTCTCTTTTTTTTAGGGGCAGGGGCAGGGTCTTGCTCCATTGCCCAGGCTGGAGTTTTATTCTAGTCTCTAGTCTAGAGCAGTGGTTCTCAACCTTGGCTGCATATTAGAATCACTTGGCGAGTTTTAAAAAAAATCCAGATACCCAAGCTGAACCAGACCATCTGAATCAGAATCACTGGAAGCAAGACCTAGATATCATTATTTTTTTAAAAAACTCCCCAGATGATTCCACTGTGCAGCCAAGGTTGAGAACAAATGCCCTGGGGCAGTGCTTCTCAAATTTTAATGTGTATTTGAATCTTGTTTTAACAAGATTCAGACACAATAGGTCTGGAATGAAGCCCAGAATTTAGAGTGTTAAATGTAGTTTAGGATGGTGGTGCTGGTGGTAGAAGGGTGTTCTTTCCAACTCATCCAGCCAGATTTCCCAGAAATAACCTTGGACAGCTAAGTGTGGTGAAAGATTGATGGACTGCATGATTATACCAGGTCTGACACAGGATATAGGGTGACAAACTGTCCTACTTTGCCTAGGACCCAGGGGTTTCCTGGGACACAGGGCTTTCTCTACTAAATCAGGAAAGTCCTGGGCAAACCAGGATGGTTGGTTACCCTATCCATCTCTGACCCTCAGTGAAGTTCTGATCACTGTTATAAAGCTTTTCCCACCAAACAGACACCATTGGTAAAGGGGGCAAATTGGACCTCAGAGGATGATTCTAGGAAAAGAGAAGGGAATCACTGGGTATATAATTTTCCTTGAGGCCATCAATAGATGGGCAAGAGAAGGAAAACAGGCTTTACCTGGCTCACAGGCACCTGTCAAAGAACAAAATTTCAGCAAATTGAGTTTTTAAAGATGAATTGGCTTTTATCAGTGATTCATGAACTGGGCAGCATCAAGTCTACAAAATAGAAAAAAGCTCTAATGAGCTGAGAAGAGTGGGTGGGCTTTATAGGCAGAAAAGGTTGAAGAAAACAGAAACAAGGGACAGAGAGTTGGTTATTTCAGTTACTTTCCTTATAGGGAATCATGTTGGCTTAGTGGGTTTGGGCTATCATCTTTCTCCTGATTCTTTGGAAGGTCAGATCTTACACAAGTAAACAGCTTAGGTTTCAGTTTGGTGATGTGGAACCCTAGCATGAGTGATTCCATTTTGAGTTGATATGTTGGAGCCTAGTGCAGGAGCTCAGTCCAAATCAATGGCTTCCCATAAATTTTATTTAACACACCTATGCAAAATAGGGCAGACCTGGGGACAGAATAGTCTTTGTTTAGACTAAATGTTTGTGTCCCCTCAGAATTCATATGTTGAAATCCTAACACCCAGTGTGATGGTATTAAGAGGTGGAACCTTTGGGAGATGATTAGGTTATGAGGACTCTGCCCCCATGAATGGGAATAGTACCCTTATAAAAGAGACCCCAGAGAGTTCACTTGCCACTCATGCCATGTGAGGACACAGCAAGCAGACAGCTGTCTAGGAACCAGAAAGCAGGCCCTCCCCACATATTGATCTGCTGGCACTGTGATCTTGGACATCCAGCCTCCAAAACTGTGAGAAATAAATTTCTGTTGATTATAAGTCACCTAGTCTGTGGTATTCTGTTATAACAACCCAAATGGACTATGAAAGTCTCTTGTCTTGGTTTTTTTTTTTTTTTAGATGGAGTCTTGCTCTGTCGCTCAGGCTGGAGTGCAGTGGCGCAATCTCAGCTCACTGCAACCTCCACCTCCCGGGTTCAAGTGATTCTTGCGCCTCAGCCTCCCGAGTAGCTGGGATTACAGGCGCCCACCACCAAGCCCAGCTAATTTTTGTATTTTTAGTAGACACGGGGTTTTTCAATGTTGGCCAGGCTGGACTCCTGACCTCAAGTGATCCGGCTGCCTCGGCCTCCCAAAGTGCTGGGATTACAGGGGTGAGCCACCATGGCTGGCCAAGTTTTTTGTTTTAACACGGAGAAATTGGAGGCTTCTTACTAATAAGGAAGATTCAAACTAGAGTGTACAGGAGAATTACCTGGAGAGCACGTGAAAAATGAAAACTTGACCCCCCACCAAGAAATTATAATTTAAAAGGTTAAAGGGCTTTTTAAACTAGCATTCCAGGTGATTCCAGGCCACACTCTGAGAAACACTGAACTAAAGGGCATATCTGCTGGTGGTTTGGTCTGTTAAGAAAAGCTTTCCTGCTCAAGGCATGAGTTGACCCAGAGAGACTCAGCAGAACTGGTAGGTGATGGTAAAGTTTCACACAGCAGTTCCAGCAAATATTTAAGGAATGGATAATTCTAATGCTTTTAGAGTTCCAGAGCATAGACAAAGAAGGAAATAGAATTCTATTAAGCTATAATACTGAAATAAAATCTAGCAAAAGTACACAAAATAAAACTGCAAACAAATCTCACCCATTAATATCAATGTAAAAATCCTAAATAAAATATTTGCAAACAAAATTCAGCAGCATATTAAAAAAAAAAATTATTTGGCCAGCCCCGGTGGCTCACGCCTGTAATCCCAGCACTTTGGGAGGCCAAGGCAGGTGGATCACCTGAGGTCAGGAGTTCGAGACCAGCCTGGCCAAACCCCATCTCTACTAAAAACAAAAATTAGCCGGGCATGGTGGCGTGTGCCTGTAATCCTAGCTAGCTACTCAGGAGGCTGAGGCAAAAGAATCACTTGAACCAAGGAGGTGGAGGTTGCAGTGAGCCGAGATGGCGCCACTGCACTCCAGCCTAGGTAACAGAGCAAGAAGACTCTGTCTCAAAAATAAATAAATAAATAAATAAATTGCTGTCGCCCAGTGGGGTTTATACTAAGAATGGAAGGATAGTTCAGTGTGCAGAAATTTATTACTATGATGTGATATTAATAGAGCAAAAAAATCACACGCTTATCTTTATAGATCATGTAACAGCATTCAATAAAATTTAGCATCTACTCTTACTGCTTTTGTAAAGGTCCATTATGAGCTGGGTATTAAATGATCTACCAAGCCACAAGCTTGGACATACGTAGCATTTTTTCATTAAAAAACTGAAGTGGAATATATGAAACCAGGCAGAAGCATATTTATTGAGTTTTTCAATGTTTAATTTTTGTGGGTACATAGTAGGTGTATATATTTATGGAGTACATAGTTGTTTTGATACAGGCATGCAATGCATAATAGTCACATTATGGAAAATGAGATATCTATCCCTTCTAGCATTTATCCTTTGTGTTACAATCAAACTATATATTTTTAGTTATTTTTAAATGTACAATTAAATTATTATTGGCTATAGTCACCCTGTAGTGCTATCATATACTAGGACTTATTCATTCTTTCTATGTTTTATATACCCATTAACCATCTTCACCTTCCCCCAACCCCCAACTACCCTTCCCAGCCTCTGGGAAGAGTATCTACTCTCTATTTACATGTGTTCAATTGTTCTGATTTTTAGCTCCCACAAATAAGTAAGAACATGTGATGTTTGTCTTTCTGTGCCTGGCTTATTTTACTTAGCATAATGACCTCCCGTTCCATCCATGTTGTTGCAAATGACAGGATCTCTTTTTTTTTTTTTTGAGAGAGAGTTTCACTCTTGTTGCCCAGGCTGGAGTGCAATGGCGCAATCTCGGCTCACCGCAACCTCCACCTCCCGGGTTCAAGCAATTCTCCTGCCCGAGTAGCTGGGATTACAGGCATGCACCACCACACCTGGCCAATTTTTTTTGTATTTTTTTTTAGTAGAGACGGGGTTTCTCCACGTTGGTCAGGCTGGTCTCAAACTCCCGACCTCAGGTGATCCACCGGCCTCGGCCTCCCAGAGTGCTGGGATTACAGGTGTGAGCCACTGTGCCCAGTCAATCTCATTATTTTTTATGGCTGAATAATACTCCACTGTGTATAAGTACTACATTTTCTTTATCCATTCATCTGTTGCTTCCAAATCTAAGCTATTGTGAAAAGTGCTGCAACAAGCATGGGAGTGCAGAGATATCACTTCAATGTACTGATTTCCTTTCTTTTAGGTATATAGCCAGCAGAGGGATTGCTGGATCATATGGTAGCTCTAGTTTTAGTTTTCTGAGGAACCTTCAAACTGTTCTCTATAGGGGTTGTACTAATTTATATTCTCACCAACAGTGTACAAGAGTTCCCTTTTCTCCACATCCTCATCAGCATTTGTTATTGCTTGTCTTTTGGATATAAATGATTTAAGCTGGATATCCAGTTTTCCCAGCACCATTTATTGAAGACACTGTCTTTTCCTCCAGTATATGTTCTTGGTACCTTTGTCAATGAGTTCCTTGTAGGTGTGTGGATTCGTTTCTGGGCTCTCTATTCTACTTCATTGGTCTATGTTTCTGTTTTAATGCCAGTATCATACTGTTTTGGTTACTACAGCTCTGTAGTATAATTTGAAGTCAGGTAATATGATTCATCCAGTTTTGTTCTTTTTGCTTAGAATAGCTTTGGCTATTCTGGGTCTTTTGTTGTTCCATATAAGTTTTAGGATTGTTTTTCTATTTCTGTGAAGAATGTCATTGGTATTTTGATGGGGATTGCTTTAAATCTGTAGATTGCTTTGGGTGGTATAAACATTTTAACAATATCGATTCTTCCAATCTGTGAACATGGAATATCTTTACTTTTTTGTGTGTCTTTAGTGCCTCTTTCAGTGATATGAAATTAAAACTATGAGGATTCACAGATACTGTGAGTGCTTATCTGATTTTTGGTTCACATGAAGGTGCTCTTTTTGTGTAGTTGTTAATTTGGTGTCCTTGCAAGGGGGGACAATTGATGGAGACTTCTATTCCACCATCTTGCTCCCTATGTGTATCCCAAGCATGTTTGGAAAGCAAGAGAAAACTACACTAGCAGGTGGCT
This sequence comes from Homo sapiens, assembly GCF_000001405.40. NCBI lineage: Eukaryota > Metazoa > Chordata > Mammalia > Primates > Hominidae > Homo > Homo sapiens. Next base: position 40,860,127 of record NC_000023.11, read on the forward strand.
CAGACTCCCATGGTATCTGCTCTTACCACTGTTGTGTCTCTCCTTCAGTCCATACTTCATGGCTTCCATTTCCTATGACCTGTTATCAGAGGAGGAAAAGGCCTGGGTCTGCCTCCCTAATGGATCTGTATATGTCTTAGTCCATTTTATGTTGCTTATAACAGAATACCTGAAACTGGGTAATTTATGAAAAAAGGGAATTTTTTTCTTACAGTTATGGGGCTGAGAAGTCCAAGGCCAAGGGGCCACATCTGGTGAAGACACTCCTGCTCCTGCTGGAGAGGACTCTCTGCAGGGTCCCAAGGCAGTGCAAGGCATCATATGCTGAAGGGGCCAAGCATGCTAGTGAAGGTCTCTCTTCCTCTTCTTATAAAGCCATCAGTTCCCCCCACCAAAAGAAAAAGAAAAAAAAAAAGCCAACAGTCCCACTCCTGTGATAATCCATTAATCCATTAATGGATTAATCCATTTATGAGGGCAGAGCCCTCATGACCTAATCACCTCCTAAAGTCCCCACTTCTCAATACTGCCACATTGGAGATTAAGTTTCAACATGAGCTTTAGAGGGGATAGTCATTCAAATCATAGCATTTTATTCCTGGCCCCCAAAACTCATGTCTTTCTCACATATAAATAAATTTCTTCCATCCCCATGGCCCCAAAGTCTTAACTTATTCCATCGCCAACTCAAAAATACAAAGTCTAGAGGCTCATCTATGAGCCTGTGAAATCAAAACAAGCTGTCTACTTTCAAGACACATTGATGGTACAGACATAAAAGGGAGAATAGGCAAAAAGAAATAAGTAACGGGCCCCAAGCAACTCTGAAACCCAGCAGGGCAGACATTAAATCTTAAAGCTGGGGAATAAACTCTTTTGATTCCACGTGTTACCTCCTGGACACAGTGGGGCCTCAGGCAACCCCACCCCTATTGCTTTGCTAGGTACAGCCCCTGTGGCTGCTCCAGGTTGAGGTCTGGTGCCTGAAGCATTCCCAGGTGGACATTTTATGCTGCCAGTGACTCCACAGTTCTGGGGTCATCATGGGAGTCCTAGTCCCATGGCTCTACCAGACATGACCCTAGTGGGGTCTCTCTGTGGTAGCCTCACTTCCACAGCTCCACTAGACATTGCTCTGATGAGGACTCTCTGTGGCAGCTCTGACCCCACACTTCTGCTCAGCATTGCTCTAGTGAGGGTTCTGTGCAGTGGCTCTGCCTCTGACAAGTCATTGCCTGGGCCCCCAGGCTTTCAGTGACATTCTTTCAAATCTGCATGGAGGCTGCCAAGGCTCCGCAGCTCTTGCTTTCTGAACGCCTGAAGAATTAGCACCATGTGGATGCTGCCAAGGCTTAAAACTTGTATCTTTTTGGGTAGTGGGTCGATCTGCACCTGGGGCTGCTTGAGCCATGGCTGGGGGGGCCAAGAAGCACTGTGCCAGAGTGTGGGGAGCAGAAGAGTCTTGAGGCAGCCCTGGGCGGCAAGCCCGTAGAGGGTGCCTCAGGCCCATCCCCTGAAGCCATTCTTCCTTCGCAGGCTTCTGGGCCTGTGATGGGAGGGGCAGCCTCAAAGTCCTCTGAAATGCCTCTGGGGGTCTTCCATTGTCTTGAGGAATAGCACCTGGCTCCCTTCTAGCTATGCTAATTTCTTTGGCAAACAGTCACTGGGCTACACTCTTGGTTTCCTCTGCTGAAAATACTCTTCCATTCTCTACTACATGGCGAGGCTGAGAGTTTTCCAAATCTTTTCAATTTGCTTTCCTTTTTATTATAAATTCCATCTTTAAGTTATTTTTTCCCTCTTGTAGCTTAATGTAAGCAGTTAAAAGTAGCCATGCCGCCCATCGTCTGGAATGTGAGGAGCGCCTCTGCCCGGCCACCCAGTCTGGGATGTGAGGAGCACCCATGCCCCGCCACCCCGTCTGGGAAGTGAGGAGCACCTCTACCCGGCCGCCCCGTCTGGGAAGTGAGGAGCGCCTCTGCCCGGCCGCCACCCCAGAGCATCTCTGCCCGGCCGCCCATCGTCTGGGATGTGAGGAGCGCCTCTGCCCGGCCGCCCCATCTGGGAGGTGAGGAGTGCCTCTGCCCGGCCGCCCCGTCTGGGAGGTGAGGAGTGCCTCTGCCCGGCTGCCCCGTCTGGGATGTGAGGAGTGCCTATGCCCGGCCGCCCCGTCTGGGACGTGAGGAGAGCCTCTGCCCGGCCGCCACCCCGTCTGGGAGGTGAGGAGCGCCTCTGCCTGGCCGCCACCCAGTCTGGGAAGTGAGGAGTGCCTCTGCTCGGCTGCCACCCCGTCTTCTGGGATGTGAGGAGCGCCTCTGCCCGGCCACCCCGTCTGGGAAGCGAGGAGCGCCTCTGCCCGGCCGCCCCGTCTGGGAGGCAAGGAGCGCCTCTGCCCAGCCGCCCCGTCTGGGAGGCGAGGAGCGCCTCTTCCCGGCCGCCCCGTCTGGGAGGCGAGGAGCGCCTCTGCCCGGCCGCCCCGTCTGGGAGGTGAGGAGCGCCTCTTCCCGGCCGCCCCGTCTGGGAGGTGAGGAGCGCCTCTTCCCGGCCGCCCTGTCTGGGAGGTGAGGAGCGCCTCTGCCCGGCCGCCCCGTCTGGGAGGTGAGGAGCGCCTCTGCCCAGCCACCCTGTCTGGGAAGTGGGCGCCTCTCCCGGCCGCCCCGTCTGGGAGGTGAGGGGCGTCTCTGCCCGGCCGCCCCGTCTGGGAGGTGAGGAGCGCCTCTGCCCGGCGGCCCCGTCTGGGAGGTGGGGAGTGCCTCTGCCCGGCCGCCCATCATCTGGGATGTGAGGTGCGCCTCTGCCCGGCCGCCACCCCATCTGGGAGGTGAGGAGCGCCTCTGCCCGGCCGCCACCCCATCTGGGAAGTGAGGTGCGCCTCTGCCCGGCCGCCCTGTCTGGGAAGTGAGGAGCACCTATGCCCGGCTGCCCCGTCTGGGAAGTGAGGAGTGCCTCTGCCCGGCCGCCCCGTCTGGGAAGTGAGGAGCGCCTATGCCCGGCCGCCCCGTCTGGGAAGTGTACCCAACAGCTCCAAAGAGACAGCGACCATCGAGAACGGGCCATGATGACGATGGGGGTTTTGTCGAAAAGAAACGGGGGAAATGTGGGGAAAAGAAAGAGAGATCAGATTGTTACTGTGTCTGTGTAGAAAGAAGTTGACCTAGGAGACACCATTTTGTTCTGTACTAAGAAAAATTCTTCTGCCTTGGGATGCTGTTAATCTATAACCTTACCCCCAACCCCGTGCTCTCTGAAACATGTGCTGTGTCAACTCAGGGTTAAATGGATTAAGGGCGGTGCAAGATGTGCTTTGTTAAACAGATGCTAGAAGGCAGCATGCTCGTTAAGAGTCATCAGCACTCCCTAATCTCAAGTACCCAGGAACACAAACACTGCTGAAGGCTGCAGGGACCTCTGCCTAGGAAAACCAGAGACCTTTGTTCACGTGTTTATCTGCTGACCTTCTCTCCACTATTATCCTATGACCCTGCCACATCCCCCTCTCTGAGAAACACCCAAGAATGATCAATAAATACTAAAAAAATAAAAATAAAAATAAATAAATAAAAATAAAAAAAATAAAGTAGCCATGCAGCAGCCTAAATGCTTTGCTGCTTCAGTATTTCTTCTGCCAGATACCCTACATCATTACTCTCCAGCTCAGCCTTCCACAAAGCCCTTGGGGATAGACACAGTTCAGCCAACTTCTTTGTTCATTTATAACAAGAACAGCCTTTACTCCAGGTTTCAATACCTTGTTTTTCAGTTCCATCTGAAACCTCATCAGAATGGCTTTTACTGACCATATCTTTATCAATATTCTGGTCATGACCACTTAACCAATCCTAAGGAGTTCCCAACTTTCCCTAGTCTTCTTGTTTTCTAAGCCCTCACCAGAATTGCCCTTAATGCTCTGTTCACGGAAATACAGGCTTTTTCTAGCTTGCTCCTCCAAACTTTTCCAGCCTCTCCCCATTATCAGTTCCAAAGATGCTTCCCCATTTTTAGGTATTTGTTATTAGCAACAACTCCACTTTTGGTACCAATTTTCTTAGTCCCTTTTTTCTGTTGCTTATAACAGAACGCCTGAAACTAGGTAAGTTATTTTTAAAAGGAATTTATTTCTTACAGTTATGGAGGTGGAGAAGTTCAGGGTCAAGGGGCTGTATCTGGTAAGGGGCTGTATCTGGTGAGGGCCTTCTTGCTGGTGGGGACTCTCTGCAGAGTCCTGAGGCAATGCAGGGCATTACATGGTGAAGCAGCTGAGCATGCCAGCTCAGGTCTCTCCTCCTCTTTTTATAAAGCCATCAGTCCTACTCTCATAACTCATAAATCCACTAACCCATTAATTTATTAATCCAGGGCAGAGCCCTCCTGATCCAATCACCTCCTAAAGGTCCCACCTCTCGATATTGCCACATTGGGAATTAGGTATCAAGATGAGTTTCAGAGGAGACAAACATTTAAACCATAGTAGCATGCTATGCTGGCATCAGCCAGAAGTGGACGTCTATTATACCACAGCCATATTCTGAAGTGGCCCTGAAAATGGTGATGAAGGAAAATCCTCCCAGGAGGCAGAACTTCCAGTGATTCATTTGGTTGTTCATTTTGTTGGGACTGAGAACAGCCAGATGACTGGATCCACACTGCCTCATAAGCAATGGCTAATGGGTTATCCAATTGGTCAGGGACTTGGAAAGAGCAAGACTGGAAAACTGGTGGTAAGGAGGTATTGGGGCAGGTATATGGATGGACCTCTGGGACTAAGCCCAAAATATGAAAATATCCATGTCCATATAAATGCTGAGTAGAGGGCATCTACTGCAGAGGAGGCTGTCAATAATTAGGTGGACTAGAGAATCCATCCTTGGATGTCAGTCAGACTCTTCCCCCACTTATCCTGGTGTTTCCTCGATGATCTTATAAACTCAGTGTCAGAGCATCCACAATATAGGCTTCCCTTACAAAGCTCACTGCTAGATGTCTGACTGGCCAGCAGCAGAGGCCAGCTCTGAGTCTTTGATATGGCACCACTCCCAGAGGGGATCAGACACATGAAACAGACATGAATGGAACTTGAAGTCTGGAGTCAGCCTGGTCCAGCTGCACCCAGCCTAAATCAGCTGAATCACAACCAACCCACACACTTGTGGCCAAGAAATAAAATGTTTGCTCTATTAAGCCACTGAGGTTATGGTTCTGTTTGTTATGCAGCAGGAACCTAATATACTCCTTTTATTAATCCTAATTGAATTATCCTAATTTGATTGTACCATCTGTTTTCTTTTGAGATCCTGACTAAATCACTGCCTATTTGCAGATGTCTTAAGGGTATACAGTTGACCCTTGAACAATTCAGGCTTGAAATGAACAACGCAGGTCTATTTATACACAGATTTTCTTGTCTCTGTCACCCTTGAGACAGCAAGACCAACCTCTCCTCTTCCTCCTCTCCTCACCCTACTCAATGTGAAGACAACAAAGACAGAGACTTTTATGATGATCCACTTCTACTTAATGAATAGTAAATATATTTCTCTTCCCTTTAATTTTTTAATATTTTCTTTTCTCTAGCTTACTTTATTGTAAGAATACCATATAATATATATAAAGATATATATATATATATCATACAAAATACGTGTTCATTGACTGTTTATGCTATTTGTGAGGCTTCAGGTCAACAGTAGGCTATGAGTAGCTGAGTTTTTCAGGAGTCATGGATTTTCTACTGTATAGGGGATTGATGTCCCTAACCTCCAAGTTGTTCAAGGGTCAACTGTATGTAGATTTCCAGCTCAGACCTCTTCTCTCAGTCCCAGATCCAAATGTAGTCAGTGATCTGCTTGATATCACCTCTTGGATATCACAAAAGCACCCAAAACTCAACACTCAATCTTCTGTCACAAACCTGGTCCTATTTCACTTGATAGTACCAACAATTGAAGAAACCTGTGAACTGTCCTTGACTTCCACCTCCCTGTCACCCCTATATTTAAGCCATCACCAAGTCCTATTAATTTAACCTCCTAAATGTCTCTCATATTTGTTCTCTTCTTTTTTCCACCACCACCAGCCCCACCTCAGCCCAAGCCACCAGTATCTCTCACTTAAAATATCCTCCCAATTGGCCCCTTTCCAGTTTGTTCGCCACACAGAGGTCAAAGATATCTTTGTGAAAATTCAGTTTTGATTATGTCCCATCCCTCAGTTGAAGCTTCTCAATGGCTTCCCATTGCTTTTAGGATAAAGACCAGAATATTTAACATAGGCTTCAAGGTTCTAAGTGATATGGCCCCTGCTCCCCTGCTTCATCTCCCCATCTCTACTTTGGCCACATGGCCTCTTTCTGCCCTTCAAATTTGCTATGCTCCATCTTACCACTCACTGTTACCTCTCCCCTAAAGCTCTCTCCCCCTTCTTTGCTGTGTTAATGCCTGCTCCTGCTTCACATGTCAGCCTAAGCCTTACCTCTTTGAGGTAACCCTTCCTGACCTCCCTAAATCTGCCTCATAGCATTATGTATTTTACATTTGTTTGTGTGATTGCTTTTAATATTGGTCACCCCCTACTCCTATCCACTATAATGTAATCTTCAAGAGGGCAGAGGCATGTTTGGTTTTGATCATCGCTGTATTTGCAGTGCCCAGCCAAGAGTCTGGCACACTGTAGGCACTTGGCCCCTATTTGTTAAACTAATAACTTGATAAATCAGGGGTTGGGCTAGAACATCTCTAGGGTTCATGTTAGCGCTAACTTTCAGGGCTTCCTTTTCAGATCCTTCTTGTAGATCAGAGGGGTGATGGGGAAAGCAGCCAACTGTGGTAAATTAACAGCTTCCACACAGTCAAAGCTGTTGGTTAGAACTCAAAGGAGCCCTTTTCCTACTTCAAAGATACTGCATGGCAGGCACCAGCATTGACCGGCCAGATAGTTTTCAAGGAATGCTTGATACAGGCCAGCAAACTAAGTGCCAGAAATCCTGGGACAGAGACTTTTGCCAAGAGATTCCCTGCTCTGGTGAGCTGAGCTGAGCTGAGAGATGGCTCTAAATGTCACTGATTAATCATGAAGGGTGCTTCTCAGCCATTCCAACACTCTGCTTTTGCTCCTTTTCAGGTCTTCACCCTTCGGCCCCTTCTAGAAAAACCCCAAGTGACTGCTGTCTAGAAATATCCTCAGATAATTGGCTTGGCTGATGCCCAGATGTCCCTTGTCTTATATTAAGGTGTTGGGGAAGGAGGCAGGGACAAGTTACTCTTCTAGCTCTTGCATTGTATGATTCTGTTATTCTAAATTTTGAGAATTTTTTTCCCTTTTAAAGAGTGAATTAATTCTATTTTGACAGCATGACTTGGATCCCATCCAGGGAAAAGAGGTAGGAAGTTCCAGGGATGTGAGTCATCTATCCACCGGGGCTGGAGGCAGTTCTTCTGTTCTTATCCCATGACAAGGACAAACTCTCTGTCAAGGTCAGATCATGTTCTGAATCCATACTCACCAGGCAGCCTGCCATTTCCAATGGCAGCTTCTCCTGGGGCTCAGGAAGGAGGGCTTAGGTGAGGCACCTGGACAATTTGGTCCTTAGAAAAGGGTGTTCCTCTGACTGTGAGTTAAGAATCTAATATCCTGTGTGAGGTGGGAAAAAGAAGTGAGTGCATGGCTGGGTCCTGAGTTTGGGTGGTAGAAAAGGTCTGTTTATAAGATGGAATACTATACAGCAGTATTGACATGGATGCCCTAGAGCCACATTAGCAACATGGACTAATTTTTTTAAGCTTTATTTTATTAATTGACACCAAAAACTGTACATATTTATGGGATACAATGTGATATTTGAATACATATATACATTGTATAATGATCAAGTCAGGGCAATTAGCAAATCCATCACCTTAAACATTTATCATTTCTTTGTGGTGAGAACATTCAAAGTCCTCTTTTCTAGGAAATTTGAAATATACAAAATATTGTTAACTATAGTCACCCTACTGTGCCATAGAACACCAGAACTTATTCCTATCTAACTGTAACTTTGTCCCCATTGACCAACCTCTTTCCATACCCCATCTCCCCACCCTCCCCAGCCTCTTGTAACCACTACTACTGTCTACTTCTATGAGATCAACTTTTTTAGATTCTGCCTATGAGTGAGATCATGCAGTATTTATCTTTCTGTGCCTGGCTCATTTAACATAATATCCTCTAGGTTCATCCATGTTGTTGCAAATGACAGAACTTTATTCTTTTTTACAGCTGAATAGTATTCCATTATGTATATATACAATATTTTCTTTATCCATAGTATTCCATTGTATATATTTTATTTTTATTTATTTGAGACAGAGTCTTGTTCTGTCATCCAGGCTGGAGTGCAGTGGTGCGATCTCAGCTCACTGCAACCGTTGCCTCCCAGCTTCAAGCAATTCTCCTGCCTCAGCCTACTGAGTAGCTGGGATTACAGGTGCCCGCCACCATGCCCAGCTAATATATATATATATTTTTTTGTAAAGACAGGGTTTCACCATGTTGGCCAGGCTGGTCTGGAACTCCTGACCTCAAGTGATCCACCCTCCTCAGCCTCCCAAAGTGCTGAGATTACAGGTGTGAGCCACCACGCCTGGCCCCATCATGTATATATACAACATTTTCTTTATCCATTCATCCACTGATGAACACAGGTTGACTCCATATCTTGGGTATTATGAATACTGCTGCAATAAACATGGGAGTACAGATAACTCTTCAACATGCCAATTTCATGTCCTTTGGATATATAACCAGTAGTGGGATTGCTGGATCATATGGTAGTTCTATTTTTAATTTTTTGAGGAACCTCCAATACTGTTTTCCATAATGACTGTACTAATTTACATTCTCACCAACAGTATGTAAGGGTTCCCGTTTCTCCACATCCTTGCCAACACTTATTATCTTCTGTCTTTTTAGTAACAGCCATTCTAACTAGTATGAGATGATATCTCACTGGTTTTGATTTGCATTTCCCTGATGATTAGTGATGCTGAGTATTTTTTCGTATACCTGTTGGCGATTTGTATGTCTTCTTTTGAGAAATGTCTATCCAGGCCTTTTACCCACTTTTTAATCAGATGGGGTTTTTTTTGGCTATTGAATTGAGTTCCTTCCATATTCTGGATATTAACCCCCTTGTCAGATGCATAGTTTGCAAATATTTTCTCCCATTTTGTAAGTTGTCTCTTCATTCTGTTGTTTCCTTTGCTGTACAGAAACTTTTTAATTTGATATAATCTTACTTGTCTATTTTTGCTTTAGTTGCCTGTGCTTTTGAGATTCTATCAAAAAAAATCCCTGCCCAGACCCACACCCTGAACCATTTCCCCTGCTTTCTTCTATCAGTTTCATAGTTTTGGGTCTTACATTTAAGTTTTTAATCAATTTTGAATTGATTTTTGTATATGGTGAGAGATAGGGTTCTAGTTTCATTCTTCTGCATGTGAATATCTAATTTTCCTAGCACTATTTATTGAGAAGACTGTCCTTTTCCCAATGTGTGTTATTAGCAACTTTGTTGAAAATCAGTTGGCTGTAGATGTGTGGATTGATTTCTGGGCTTTCTATTCTGTTTCAGTGGTCTATGTGTCTGTTTTTATGCCAGGACCATGCTGTATGCTGTTTTGGTTACTATAGCTTTGTAGTATATTTCCAAGCAAGATAGACTAATTTTTAAAACATAATGTTAGAAAGGAAGAACAAGTGACAGGACACATAGAAAGTGCTACCATTAGGCTGGGCATGGTGGCTCATACCTGTAATCCCAGCACTTTGGGAGGCTGAGGCAGGAGGATTGCTTGAACCCAGGAGTTTGAGACCAGCCTGGGCAACAAAGTGAGACCCTATCTCTATAAAAAGTTTTTAAAAAGTTAGCTGGGCATGGTGGTGTGCACTTGTGGTCCCAGCTGCATGGGAGGTTGAGACAGGAGGATTGCTTGAGCTCAGGAGGTCAAGGCTGCAGTGAGTCATGTTTGTGCCACTGCACTCCAGCCTAGGTAACAGAATGAGACCCTGTCTCAAAAAAAAAAAAAAAGTGCTACCACTTATAAAATGTTAAAATATGCAAAAATATCAAATCATTTAGGATAAACATATATCCCTAATGATTTATAATAGGATATAATGTCTATAGATTTATAATATACGTATATGTGATCTACATGTAATAAAATAATAAAAATACACATGGAAATGATAATACCAAACTTGTAGCTGTTTTGGGGTAGAGAATGAAAGTGAGACTTGGTACAACAGAGGGCTCAACTATATCTGAAATGGGTTTTTTTTTTTTTTTTTTTTCCTTTTGGAGACGGAGTTTTGCTCTTGTTGCCCAGGCTGGAGTGCAATGGCGCGATCTCGGCTCACCACAACCTCCGCCTCCTGGGTTCAAGCGATTCTCCTGCCTCAGCCTCCCGAGTAGCTGGGATTACAGGCATGCGCCACTACGCCTGGCTAATTTTGTATTTTTAATAGAGATGGGGTTTCTCCATGTTGGTCAGGCTGGTCTCGAACTCCGGACCTCAGGTGATCTGCCTGCCCCAGCCTCCCAAAGTGTTGGGATTACAGGCGTGAGCCACCGCAGCCGGCCCTGAAATGTTTTCTATCTTCAGCTGGATGTTTGTTACATTGTTCTGTATACTTTTTGTATATCTGAAGTATGGTTTTTAAAATAATTTCAACTTTTATTTTAGATTCAGGAGGTACATGTGCAGATTTGTTACATGGGTATATTGTGTGACACTGAGGTTTGGGGTACTAATCATCCTGTCCCCCAGGCACTGAGCATAGTACACAATAGGTAGTTTTTCAGCCCTTGTCCCCCTTTTCCCCTCCCCCTTCTAGTAGTCCCCAGTGTCTATTGTTCCCATCTTTATGTCCTTATGTACCCAATGTTTAGCTATCACTTATAAGCAAGAACATGTGGTATCTGGTTTTCTGTTCCTGTGTTCATTTGCTTAGGATAATGGCCTCTAGCTCCATCCATGTTGCTGCAAAGGACATTATTTCATTATTTTTTATGGCTGTGTAGTATTCCATTGTGTATATGTACTACATTTTCTTTATCCAGTCCACCATTGATGGGCATCTAGGTTGATTCTATACCTTTGCTATTGTGAATAGTGCTGCGATGAACATACAGGTCCATGTATCTTTTTTTTATAGAATGATTTATTTTCATGATTTTTTTTTAAGTGGAAAGAAAGGTTAAGTTTCAGTAGGCTTGAGTGAATGTTAAAGCATCAACTTGTGTATTCACTGGGACAGTCCCTCAATTATGACTGTACAAGTTGCTGATGTCCCATGAGCAAAATTACCTCTGTGTCCAGGGACTTTCCTCCTGATTGCAGCTGAAGCTATAAATATTCTCACCTCTACCCCTGCATCATTGCTGGGCCCACCCCTGCTCCTTTTCCCTTCGTCTTTCTGTCACTGCTGGGAAGCCCCTGCCTTTGCTCAGACTTCTGGATGCCTTCCAACTCATTTTCCTGTCCTGCACACTCCAATCCCCCATGGTGTAGGAATCCCCACTTCTGACAGTAGAGCACAGTAGGGAGGAGAGAAGGTGAGCTGAGTTTCTGTTCTCACAAGAAAACTTAGAGTGGATTTTCACCAGGAAATAACACTCTACCAAGTAACTGGTTCTTGACCATCATTAATACTAGCGTCTCATTTCCTGTGGGTGGCGTGGGCTCTGGTGGTGTGCTTAGGAACCAGTCATTCATATAGAACTGAAGAAAATCTGTTCTGAATTCTAAGACAGATTTTCCAACAAACTTTTGGATCAATACCAAGTTTTAAGTTGTCAGTTCCCTATAAAGCCCTAGGGGTGCCTAGCTTAGCTAAAGGGAAAGAATTCAAGGTTTCTGTGGGTGAAGTAAGACAGGGAACTTCAGGGGAACTCCAGAAAGAATTTCCTGGGAAATAAAATTGCATCACGGCTCACCTGCCTGAGCTGCTTAGAGTGTTCATGCTTCTACTAAAGAAGCCTTCTTCTCTCTGCAGCCCCACATTTTAAATACGAACAGTATAATAACAAACTCCACCAAGAAGAGCTGATCATTCACCACACAATGTGATTTCTAATTGCTTGAATAATACCGTATGATGGAATAATTTCCTACCCAGTAAAAATGATTTCTTTTTTTTTCAGAGTGATAATATCCTGTTAAAATATAATGCCATTCTAGACAGTGACTACACAATGGAGTGGTTTTTTTTTTTTCCTATATATAACCTTTAAATGCTAAGCATTAGGATCAAGGCAGTAGCAAGTGATAAAACAAGTTCCCAGATGAAGAAAAGAATTCTTTGGGTCTATGTTGGAATCTAATTACCCAACATCCTTGGGTAAAATAGTGAGTTGACAAATTTATGATACATAGATGGTCTTTGCTCTGTTTCTTCAGAGAAACTCAGTTGCACAAGAATGGAAATGGATTTTTCCATAAAGCTGGTGTGCAGTATAACATCTATATTTGGACAGGCACACACACACCATGTTGCTAATTTTAATGCGCCAATTAAATCCTCATTTTGTGCATCACTGAACCCATAAAAGCAGATTTTTTTTCTTTAGAAAATGAAATTGCAAGACATTTGTTGTCTAGTGACCTACTGTGCCAATAGGTATGTAGAGCATGAGGTGCTCTCTAGGAATACAGAGGAAAGTGAAGACGTGCTTTCCGTTCGTGAGGCATTTAGAACGCAGTCAATTACAAGTTCAGAGCAGAAAGCAGCCTCATATCAGAAAGATGAGAAAAGTGAGGCCTAGAGAGAAAGAATGACCTTCCAAAAGTCACACAGCCAAGGAGTGAAGTTGGTCAGATGAAAACCAGCTGTCCAGAAATGGAGCTCAAAGGCTAGCCTCTCAACAGCAGCCCTTCACAATACCCATGTGGAGGCAGGGACAATGCTGCGCTAGATTAAAATGTTTCTCTAGGTTGGGCCATGTTCCTGGCATATAGATTCTTCCATGGGGCTCATGGGAGGCTCCTTCGCTGGGCCCCTTTGATTGCAGCTCTGGTGATGCTCACCATACAGTGTTTCTCTAAAATCCACACCCCTTTTGGCTTCTGGTTCTTGGGCTGATGTGAGAGAGTGGGAGTAGAGGCTCGAATCCACACTTTCTTTAAGAAATCCTCTTTGGAAACACTTAAAACTGTTGTAGCTTTTACAGACACCACCCCTATAACTCTGAAGTCCCACTCCTAGATGTATGTGCAAGAGAAATGTGTACATATGTTTACCAAAAGACATGTGCTAAAATATCCGTAGGTATTCATAATAGCCCCCAGTTGGAAACTACCCAGATGTCTATCAACAGTAGAACGGATAAATTGTGGAATGCTCACACAATGGGATGCTATACAGTAGTGAGAATAAACGATCTACAACTACATACAGTATGGATGGCTCTCATAAATAGAATGTTGAGCAATGAAGTGAGCCACTAAGGGGTACACACTGTATGATTCCATTTATATAAAGAACAAAAAGAGGCAAAAATAATCTGTGCTATTAGAGGTCAGGATAGTAGTTACCCTTGGGGGTAGTAGTGACTGAAAGCGGGGTACAGAGACCTTATGGGATGCTAGTAATTAATCTTCTGGTTTTGTTGGGATATTCAGTTTGTGAAAATTCATCAAGCTATAAACCTGTTGTTTGTGCACATTTTAATATGTATCTTATATTTCCAAAAAGATTAACAAAAGAAGACTCCAACCTTTTTTTCTTTTTTTTTTCAAGAGTGGGTCTCACTCTGTCACCCAGGCTGGGGTGCAATGGTGCAATCTCATCTCACTGCAGCCTCCACCTCCTGGGCTCAAGCAATCCTCCCACATCAGTCTCCCAAGTAGCTGGGACCACAGGCGTGTACCACCATGCCCAGCTAATTTTTTTTTACTTTTTTTTTTTTTTTTGAGGCAGAGTCTCGCTCTTGCCCAGGCTGGTATGTAGTGGTGCAATCTCGGCTCACCAAAACCTCCGCCTCCCAGGTTCAAGCGATTCTCCTGCCTCAGCCTCCCAAGTAGCTGGGATTACAGGTGCCTGCCACCATGCCCGGCTAATTTTTGTATTTTTAGTAGAGATGGGGTTTCACTATGTTGGCCAGGCCGGTCTCAAACTCCTGACCTCGTGATCCACCCGCCTCGGCCTCCCAAAGTTCTGGGATTACAGGCGTGAACCACTGCGCTCAGCCGATTTTTTTTACTTTTGTAGAGATAGGATCTCACTATGTTGCCCAGGCTGGTCTCAAACAATCCTCCCATCTCAGTCTCCCAAAGTTCTGGGATTACAGGTGTAAGCTGCCATGCCTAGCGTCCAGCCTCTTTTTCCCCCATGGCTCCCACATGCAGAGGTGCAGCCCGCTATCACAGGCTGTCTTAATTCAGGCTCTGATCCTAGCTCCCCAACCACAGAGAACACACAGTTACCTCTTCAAGGGTCCCTTTAAAGTACCATTTCACGGACTTAAGGTTAAAAGGGGGCTCCCCATCACCTCAGGGGTCGGAGAGGGATGCCCACAGCATGGCAGTAGCCTTATCTAAAGAACCTTCTTCACAAATCCTTCTTACTTCTACCCTCTCTTGATGCCTTTGTAGTCAAAATTGTTGAGGGCATTTGAGAGTCTTAGAGCATACCTTTTGTAAAGTCAGCCTCTGTAGATCTGAGCACACTCCTTTTGGATGTCTCTTGTATTGGTGCAAAACAGCATTGGGAAGGTCCATTTTCATATCTTATTACGTAGGTAAATAAGAAATCTATCCATAATAATGGCTTGTCACATTCATGTAGTGCTTGGCCTTTATAAAAGAGAATGCAGATCTATTGCCTTAATATTCACAGCAACCCTACAAGGTAGGTGTTACTCTCGTGTTACAAGTGAGAACATTAAGACTGGTAAAGGAGAGGTGACCTGCCCTGCCTGAGCTTACACAGGCACTACATGAAGACAGGGATAGCCCAAGCCAGGGCTTGTGACTCCAGATTTATTCTCCCCCTCCCCCACCTCCACCAAGGGTAGGCCAAGGTGGAGATGTACCAAGGCAGAGAAAGAAGAGCCTGGGAAACTTCTGCTTGCTGTTCTGGGATGTGAGCTTTGGAAGATACCAGAATGGGTTTGAATGGCAAATCTACTACCTATCAAGTGCATGATTTGGAGTTAGGTTATTTCACCTCTCTGGACCTTAGATGATAACATCTACTTCTTATGGTTCTTGTGAACATGACATCCAATAGCCATGTGAAATGCCTTTTAAAGCATAAGGCTTTAAAAGGATATTGGTTTTCTTCTCCCTTTGAACAAAGCCTAAGGAAGTCTAAGGAAGAGTAGGTGGGGAAGGACAGTAAGCCAAGTGAAGGGTGGAGGGTTCTGAGTAGCTGATAAGGATCATGGTGGCACATTGGACAGAGTGAAACATGGACCTTTATCAAGTCAAGGCAGTTTATTCCTCCACTACACAGACTGTTTAGTCTGTTTAGTATTTGGAAAGAACAATTTAACCTCAGCTGCAAGACTAGGCTAGAGTCCAGGTTCTAGTATCTAGTAGCCAGCTGTCTAGAAATAAGGGAGGAAGGTAAATTGAAAGAACTTAAAACCACGGGTAGGGCTTTCCATGTCAAAAGTTGGAAATTATTCTATGAAAGAATCAGGAAAACTGGTCATGCCGAGGGATTCTCCCTACCTTTACCTCTTTTTAAGTGTTTCCAGCACGTTTTTGTGTGTGTATTTTCAGTAGTTCAAAATGATGAAGTCTAGCAGACACTATTGGTTACCTCCCCAAATCATTTCACCTTGCAGAAACACCTGGCCATGTGCTCAGGGAAGGTACTCCCCCAACACCCAATTCCCAGACACTTAGGGTGATTTCATTCCTCTAGTCTTTGATCAGTTTAAGCATGGGCATGTGATCTAAACTTGGTTAATGAATCTGATGGGGGAATCTTGGGAAAGTTTTGCTCACTCTTAGAAAGGGACACAAGACTGGAAACATTCCTCCCTTTTTTGCTCCCCCTCTCAATGCTATTTTGTGAGAATGTGACGCCTGGAGCTACTGAAGCCATCTTGTGATCATGAAGCACAAAACCCACCATACTGAAGATAGGGAAACAGTAAGAGAAATATCACGTAAGTCCTTGATAATGTACCACTGAATTAGGCAACTCTGGTATCACCTACATCTAGACATATATAAGTTACTAAATGCCATGATTGTTAAGCCAATTTTAGAGAAGTATTCTGTTTACAGCCAGAAGCAAACGTTTTGCGTAACCAAAATAGCAAACATTTTTGTACTATATTGTTCCTTTTTACACTATTAATGCTCATTTATTAGATGATGTAATTAAACCTACCAATAGAGGAGAGAGAACACAGGGTTCTACTGTAGGAAGAGACAAAGGAGGTCTTAGAAATGGAGTGAAAAGGTGGCCAAAAAAGGATGAGAAGATGGAAGGAATTCCCTTCACCAGATTGGAAGAAGAGCTAAAAGTAAGCTATAGCCCCGACACGGTGGCTCACGCCTGTAATCCCAGCACTTTGGGAGGCCGAGGCGAGTGGATCGCTTGAGCCCAGAGTTTGAGACCAGCCTGGCCAACATGGTGAAACCCCGTCTCTACTAAAAATACAAAAAATTAGCAGGGCATGGTGGTGGGTGCCTGTAATCCCAGCTACTTGGGAGGCTGAGACAGGAGAATTGCTTGAACCCGTGAAGCGGAGGTTGCAGTGAGCCGAAATTGAGCCACTGCACTCCAGCCTGGGCGACAGAGTGACACTGTCTCAAAAAAAAAAAAAGAAAAGAAAAACAAAAAACATGAAACATATCATTTGCCCATTTTCCATTGTAATAAATGTTTTAGTTCAAAAATAAAAAGAGAATCACTCGAGAAGTGCAGGCACAAACTTTGGTTTGGTCTCTCGTATTTGTTTGGTAGTTACCTTAGACAATTGATTTCTGCTGGCTCAGCCATGGCTAACTACAAACTAGCACTAAGGGTTTATCAGGATGATGGGTTTAAATCTTGCTTTGCCACCTTTAATGGTTTGACCTAGGGCAAGTTCTTTAGCTCTCTGTGCCTCTGTTTTCCCGTCTAAAATGGGGATAATAATGATACTTATAGAGTTGTGATAAGACTAAAATGAGAAGGTCTGTGTTCAGAATGCCTGGCACATAGTACTGAGTAAATGTTAGCCCTTATTGTTGTAATTGTTATTACAGTTTCCATGCTATCTAATCCTTTTAATGCAAATGTGCAAATAACTTAATATGCATATCATATTAAAGGGACCTTTAAAACAATGAGGCCGGGCGCAGTGGCTCACGCCTGTAATCCCAGCACTTTGGGAGGCCGAGGCAGGCAGATCACCTGAGGTCAGGAGCTCAAGACCAGCCTGGCCAACTTAGTGAAATCCCATCTCTACTAAAAATACAAAAATTAGCCAGTGTGATGGCATGTGCCTATAGTCCCAGCTACTCGGGAGGCTGAGGCAGGAGAATCACTTCAACCTGGGAGGCGGAGGTTGCAGTGAGCGGAGACGGTGCCACTGCATTCCAGCCTGAGCAACAGAGCAAGACTCCATCTCAAAAATAAATAAATAAATAAAACAATATGAAATGAGTTTGCCAGTGACTATTTACAAAAGCAGAAATCTAAGTGCTAAAGTTTGTTGAATTGAGTGGAAGGAAAATAAAGGCCCATAGTTATGGTATTAAGTAGACCTCAATTAAATTGATATTGCTGTCATTTGTATGTTATAACCATGATTCAAATACTGGGGAAAGAATTATATTTCATGTAAAAAGCTTTTACAGATGTTAAGATGTAGAGTCTATCCTCTAGGCTTAAAATAGCTTCTTTCATAATTTTTTAAACATATGCATTTTCATTCAGGACAGCAGGGGGCAGCTTTATTAGCAATGTTGATCAGTTAAACAGTAAGTTATCGTAAACATCTTGTACTGCACATTTTACCCTAATCGGGTGGAGTCAACAAATATGTAAGTGATATCTCTGTTTATATATTGTCAATAGTATTTATTTGCTTAATAAAGCTCCCGATGTGGCTGGTAATTGGAAACGCTGACTGAGTCAGTTTTCTTTGTACAAAATGCAAGACTTAATGCAATTTTATCATAACCCTGAGTCACAAAACCCGTTTTAAGCAAATTAATGGCCACCGATGGAAATAATCAAAGAGTGCCAACAAAAATTTCAATTAGTCATTTCACCAATATTCCCCCATCTTACACTTAGTCCTTTATCTTGCTATATCATCACAGTTTTTACAATTCAAAATGGGGTCTTTTATTTGACATTATTGGTGTTGATTGGTGGTATATTATGACACATTTTTAAAATCGCAAAATGGCCGAAGTTTCATTACATTTTAATTAGCATAATCAGCACAATATAAAACACAGTGCTAGGATTTCTACTCTCCAGTGTTCAGAAAAGCAGCTTAGTAAGTTAAGAGAGTGTATGTGGAAAGACAATTTAAAATACATTTTTGTCTTTATTATGTTCTCTGAAAATATAATTTATAAAATCTAATTTTCTAGTTAGCTCAGATTTGCAACTGGCAAGAATTAGGATCCCTTTAAAATCAGGTAACAGATGTGTCTAAGTTTGAGTGCAGATGACTCAGAAAGGCAAAGCTGAGCTCTTTTTAAGCTAATATTTTTTAGGTAGACATTTGGAGGCTTTTTTCTCTCTTGAATAAAAGGGAGGAAAAAGGCTCTGATGCCTGGTAAAGTTGAGAAATCTCTGAGTGGTCTTTATGATCCTGGAAGTGCTTTGCCTCTGTTAAAAGATTTAGTGTGAGTTCAAATACGCATTCTTGTCAAGCCTGGAGAGCTGGTGATTAGGAACCATTACAACTCAGTGACTCTTTCTATTTACATGTAGATGTTTCTATTCTTCGAAACATTCTCAGATTTTCTGTGGTCTTCATTTAAATCTTACTTTGGATTCCTTCAGAAGCTGACTGTGAGACAAGGGCTCGAGTACAAATAGTTTATTTGGGAGGTGTATTAGTCTGTTCTCACGCTGCTAATAAAGACATACCCAAGACTGGGTAATTTATAAAGAAAAGAGGTTTAATTGACCCACAGTTCCACATGGCTGGGGGGGCCTCACAATCGTGACGGAAGGCGAATGAGGAGCAAAGTCACATCTTACATTGTGGCAGGCAAGAGAGTTTGAACAGAGGAACTCCCATTTATAAAACCATCAGATCTCATGAGACTTACTGCCATGAGAACAGTATGGGGAAAACCGCCCCCATGATTCCATTATCTCCACCTGGCCCCACCTTTGACACGTGGGGTTTATTACAGTTCAAGGTGAGATTTGGGTGGGGACACAGCCAAGCCATATCAGGAGGTGAAGGAAAACACCAGTAGAGGAGTCAGGAAACAAGTCCACGAAGAGAAAGAGTTAAAGGATGGGTTATCCAGCAAGATAGAAGAGTGGCCCACTCTGGGCCTAATCCCACTAAGGAACTATGGGATATGGTATAGAACATGAGCCTCAGAGTCATCCCACATTAGGAGCGAGGGAGCTGGAGTATTTATACACTAACAAGCCATAGTCTTTGGTTGAGGGCTGCTCCTGGGGTTGTCAAATCCTTGACACTTCCAGCTTGTCAGCTCTGGGCCAAGCCCTCAAACAGATACAACAAATGGGGCACACTGAAGTGGTAAAGCCTGAGGGTGTGTGGATAGGACACCAAGAGCATCTGCTATAGGTTACCTCAGAGGATTTCTTTCTTTCTTTCTTTTTTTTTTTTTTTTGAGATGGAGTCTTGCTGTGTTGCCTGGGCTGGAGTGCAGTGGTGCAATCTCGGCTCACTGCAACCTCTGCCTCCCGGGTTCAAGTGATTCTCCTGCATCAGCCTCCTGAGTAGCTGGGATTACAGGCACCCGCCACTACGTCCAGCTAATTTTTTGTATTTTTAGTAGAGATGGGGTTTCACTAAGTTGGCCAGGCTGGTCTCGAACTCCTGACTTCGTGATTCACCCACCTTGGCCTCCCAAAGTGCTGGGATTACAGACGTGAGCCACTGCACCCGGCCACCTCAGAGGAGTTCTATAAGAAGTTAATTATTGCATATAATTTAGAATAATGCATGGCACAGAATAAGGATTAAATGTTAATTCCATTGTTTTGATAACATTGGCCTTCTTTTGTTTTCATGGCCAGAACCTGTGTCTACAAAAAATAAGAAAAGTTAACCAGGCATGCTGGCACCAGGAGTCTCAGCCACTCAGGAGACTGAGGTGGGAGGATTTCTTGAACCCAGGAATTGGAGGCTGCAGTGAGCTATGATCACACACTGCATTCCAGCCTAGGCTGCACTCCAGCAAGACCCTGTCTCAAAAAAATAAAATAACAAAACAAAAAAACTTTTCCCACAACAGCGGGGACCAGTAGTACTATACTACATAGGGAAGGGAGACTAGTCAAGTAATCCTTCAGAATTTTTGTTTTGTTTGAAATCTCTTAGGGGATTTTTCTAGCCCTCTCTAGAGCTTGAAGGGACAAATTTTGATTTTAAAAAAAGAGAGAGGGAAAAAAACCCACATATTTCATCCCCTAATGAGCTCCCCCCTGCAGGGCACTCTATCTGGGTGGATATTTTTATCAGATGCCAGGTAATTCTCGTGCAGCCTGGCCTAGACCCACATTCAGAAAACAATGGCCCCAGGATAAGGGTCCAACCCTCAGGGCAGCGTTCAAAGCCCTCCTATACTCAGCCCCTCCCCACCTCTTTGGCCCCCTCTGCTGGCCCCCCTTGCCTAAAAACATCAGCCCCAGCAACACAACAACCTGCAATGTCTTTTTACCCCTCCCTCTACCTAGCTCATTTCACCTGGCTGACTCCTATTAATTCTTATTCAATGTTTTCCTCCATTTCAGCTCCAAGTTCGGTTACATACCACTCCTCTGGACCCTGCCAATGCCCCATGCATACCTCTGTCATTGCACTTATCTCACTGTGTTAGAATTATCTCTAGGTCTGTGTCCTTTAATAGACTGAGAACCTTGAGAATGGGAACCATATATTAATAGTATTAATCCATGCACCTCCAGTATGGTTGACAGGGTACAGAAAGAAGGAAGCTGGGGAGGGAGGAAAAAAGAGAGGGATGGTGTTAGTTTGGGTCTTCAGAGAAGCAGACCCAAAGATGAGATAAAACACGCAAGAGATTTATTTAAAAAAATGCCTGTGAGAGAAAATGTGGGAGGGAGATGGAAAAGACTGGAAGATCTATCAGACTTCGTTGCAGGTCTGACTTGTGAAGGAGAGAGAAAAGGAAGGAAGGAAGTTTGCATGGAAGCATCGTACACTGCAGTTCAGTCTCAGAAAGGTTTGGCGGCCAGGCGCGGTGGCTCACGCCTGTAATCCCAGCACTTTGGGAGGCTGAGGTGGGCAGATCACTTGAGGCCAGGAGTTCGAAACCAGCCTGGCTAACATGGTAAAACCCTGTCTCTACTAAAAATACAAAAATTAGCCAGGTGTGGTGGTACACGCCTGTAACTCCAGCTACTTGGGAGGCTGAGGCAGGAGAATTGCTTGAACCCAGGAGGCTCAGTGAAACCCAGGAGGTTGCAGTGAGCCAACATTGTGCCACTGCACTCCAGCCTGGGCGACAGCAAGACTCTGTCTCAAAAAACAACAACAACAACAACAACAACAACAAAAAGATTTGGCAGGGCCAGTGGGGAGTCCCTGGGCTAAAGTTGTTGGTCAAAGGAGTTTCCATGTCTCTCAAGAACAGGCCTGCCTCAGTATCCCTGCTGCACTCAATCATTGCCCGGGGGCAGGCTGTAGGAAGCATGGTCTCGGCACCAATGTGATGATGGATTTCAGAGGCTGAAGCTGGGGCCCAAGGTCAATGGCACTTCCAGTGGTTAGAGATTTGAGAGGTGAATTCTCATGGATGCTAAAAAAGGAGGAAAGGAAGGAAGGAGGGTGGGACTAATAAACCCACTTATGGAAAGTCTGACAGTTTGTATGGTAACATGCTCACAGGAAATCTGGCTGTTCGGACGCAGGGTAGGGAAATGCAAAAAGCACAGGAGTCGAGGGGCATCTTGAGTTTGTGACCTGGTTTCATCACTGACTAGCTGTGTGACCCGGGCAACGCCATCACTCTATGTGTCTGTTTCCTGATCTCTAAATTAAGAATATTAATACTTGCCCCATCTATCTCACAGGATTGATGTCCCAACTTGGGGGTCCTGACTTCATCTCATTCGCCACCATATGTAGGAATACAGCTTTGGGGACTCGCTAACATCACCCCATGGATAGCCAGGGTTGCCCCTTGGCTTGTTAGCGTTCTGGGTCTTTGTGGGGAAGTGTCCACACAGAGTGGGCTGGGCAAAGGAGGACACAGCAAGGTTTCCTGGTCTAACTGGCATCACCCCTGCCAGACTTTCAGTAAGCGAGCTTCAGGTACAGATGGGGAAAGGTAGCCATCCGCCAGGCAATTGTCTACTGGCATGCAGATTGTGGGTCAAATGGGGTGGCCCTGGGTGACGGTGATAGAGGATTCCCCTGGAGAGGCAACTCGGCAGGCCAGTGATGAACCAGAATTCAAACCCAGCAAGATCTCTGAGCTCTGGAGCAGTGCCCCCTCAGTAGTTTTTCTCCTGGGCCCTTCACCACAGCTCTTCCAAATGATACCCACCTTTCCCTGCCCCCCAGGGTCACCATTCATTTCCTGCTAGGTATGGGAAAAGCTGCCTATTATACAATGGGATCGACACGAGATAAAAATGTAAACCCAGGCTGACCTTCCCCCCAAGGCTCCTTCTGGTCTTTAACCAGAGGTGTGTATCAGAATCACCTGTGAAGCTTTTCAAATATGAAAATTTCTAGCCCTGACCCTTGACCTACTGAATCAGAATCTCCAGGGAAGGGACCTGGGGATTTTATTTTTAAAAGGCCCCGGATGATTCTAAAATATAACTATGCAGCAGGAAATCACAGCCTCTTGAGGGCTGACCTTATTAACCCAGACCTAAAATGCACCAGAAAAACCCATCGCAGCTGGTCATCCCAAGGCTAAATTTTAGTTCCACACTTGTGATTTACTTAATGGTTTGTTTTGTATACTTCCTAATCTCCCTCTCCAGTGTTCACATTAGGAAATGAATTCAAAAGAGATCCTCAAATAGAAAACGCATCTGACCCCCAACCTCGGTCCCTCCATCTGGTTTGATTAACTAGGAGAAACTCAATGAACTTCCTTCAAAGCATGGCTTTTTACTATTATTGTTCTACTCCTATATTTACATTGGCACAATTAGCTGGCCTGTAAGGACCACCCAAGATGCTGGATGACAGTTTCAGAGATAGTTAGAGCAAAGAAGATTGAATTCATTTAGTACATAGTAAAATAGTCGACACATGCAGACATTTCGATTGTACCGGTTGTTGTGAATTTCTGAGCTCTCCAAGGATAGAGATTCTATTTTGTTGACCTTTTTGTTTCCAGTCTTGTTCAGTCCTTGACACACAGTTGGTACTTAATGTTAGTTAATGAATGAGAATTTAGGACCTGTGACCCAATTCAACGTTGCCTTCTATGATACAACATAATCAACATGGCCTGTGAGAATTTTTCTCGCTCTTTTGCTTTTATTTAGTTGCAGAGGTACTTCATGCACCTTGTAACCAATTGTATTAGTCATGGTTCTCTAGGGGGACAGAATGAATGGAATAGGTATATATCTTATGGGGAGTTTATTAAGTATTAACTCACACGATCAAAAGGTCCCACAATAGGCTGTCTGCAGGCTGAGGAGCAAGGAGAGCCAGTCCGAATTCCAAAACTGAAGAACTTGGAGTCTGATTTTCGAGGGCAGGAAGCACCCAGCATGGGAGAAAGATGTAGGCTGGGAGGCTAGGCCAGTCTCTTTTTTCACATTTTTCTGCCTGCTTATCTTCTAGCCACGCTGGCAGCTGATTAGATTGAGCCCACCCAGATTAAGGGTGGGTTTGCCTTTCCCAGCCCACTGACTCAACGTTAATCTCCTTTGGCAATGCCCTCACAGACACACCCAGGATCAATATCCTTCAATCCAATCAAGTTGACACTTATATTAGCCATCATACCAGTTTAACAAAGAATAGAAGGTTTAGAAAAACCTGGCCAAGTGCGGTGGCTCACGCCTGTAATCTCAGCACTTTGGGAGGCCAAGGCGGGTGGATCACCTGAGGTCAGGAGTTCAATACCAGCCTGGGCAACATGGTGAAACCCTGTCTCTACTAAAAATATAAAAATTAGCTGGGCACGGTGGCGCGTGCCTGTAATCCCAGCTACTCGGGAAGCTGAGGTAGGAGAATTGCTTGAGACCATGAGGCGGAGCTTGCAGTGAGTCGATATTGTGCCATTGCACTCCAGCCTGGGTGACAGAGTAAGACTCTGTCTCAAAAAAAAAAAAAGAAAGAAAAGAAAAAGTTTTACCTCCCAATCTAATCCCACGCTCTGGGATCACCAGCATTAGGTTTGGTTAATTCTTCTTCCACATCATTCTTTATGTTCATACAAAAATATACAAATGCATGTGTATTAATTAGTCAGGGTTCTTGGAATCAGCTTTGTTTGGGGCACAATGGCAGACACCAAGATGAAGTTGTACATAAGACATTTAAAATGTAGTAACAGCAATTCCCTCTTTTGAAAAACCATAAAAACCAATACATGTTATTAAATGTCCAGCAGAACAGAACTAACAAACATGAAAAATAACATCACCAAAAAAAGGAATGATCATCCTCAACTAATACACATCATTGTGATGCCACTGAACGGAAAGGAAAATGTAATCGTGCTGAGCAGGTAGGGAAGCGGCACTAAGCTTCAATTCCCCTTCATTTGACGGTGGCAAGGGGTGACGGAACAGGAAGAAAAAGCTGCCCTCTCAGAGTATTCATCAGACACCCTAGTTTTCAGTCCTTTAAAAATCTAATTAAGGCCGGGTGCAGTGGCTCACACCTGTAATTCTAACACTTTGGGAGGACCAGGCGGGCAGATTTCGAGCCCAGGAGTTTGAGACCAGCCTGGGCAACATGGTGAAACTCCATCTCTACTAAAAATACAAAAATTAGCCAGGCGTGGTGGTGCACACCTGTGGCCCCAGCTACTCAGGAGGCTGAGGTGGGAGGATCACCTGAGCCTGGGGAGGTTGAGGCTGCAGTGAGCTGTGATCGTGCCACTGTACACCAGCCTGGGTGACAGAGTGAGGCTCCTTCTCAAATAAATAAATAAGTAAATAAATAAATAAAGTCTAATTAAAGGACCCTGCATTACGAAGCCCATATTTTTGGCCAGCTTTTTTCAGGCTGGCAGATACTTTATCCAGGGATTTAGGAAGAAAAGCAGTGCAACAAAACATTGTTTTTCTTTTTTCTTTCTTTCTTTCTTTCTTTTTTTTTTTTTGAGACAGAGTCTCACTCTGTTGCCTAGGCTAGAGTGCAGTGGCACGATCTTGGCTCTCTGCAACCTCCACTTCCCAGGTACAAGTGATTCTCCTACCTCAGCCTCCCAAGTAGCTGGGACCACAGGTGTGCACCATCACACCTGGCTAATTTTTGTATTTTTAGTAGAGACGGGGCTTCACTGTGTTGGCCAGGCTGGCCTCGAACTCCTGACCTCAGGTGATCTGCCCACCTTGGCCTCCCATGGTGCTGGGATTACAGGCGTGAGCCACTGCGCTTGGCCCAAAACATTGTTTTTCAATGCCTACTATCAACGGTGTTACTCCTAAGGAAAATTATAGAATAAACTTAGATAGCATCTTATGTAGCTTAATGACTTTAACCATGGTCCAGTGTAGATCTAAATGAAGAATGATCCAGGTGTCTTCTGGAAGCCCCTTTCTAATCTGCGTACTATTTCATGCGGAAGTTACACTCTAGAATCCGATGAATTCATCCATGGGTATATGGAAATATTGCTAGAGGTTGCAACCATGGTCACCTGTCAGCCCCAAGCTATCTGGCTACATGGCCCCAGGAGAGTGGTAACAACTCTGTGACTCAAATCTGTAAAAGCAGGAACTTTGGACCACATAACTAAGATTACTTTCAGCAATCAGAGTCTATGGAAAATTACTAAGCTTGTCATTATTTTTGTTCAAAAGTAACTTATTTACCGACCTACCTCAGAAATATTATAAGTGTGGTTCCAGACCACTGCAATAAAGTAAATATCACAATAAAAAGAGTCACACAGATTTTTCGGTTCCCCAGTGTATATAAAAGTTGTGTTTATGCTATACTGTAGTCTATTAAGTGTGCAATAGCATTATGTCTAAAAAAAGTACATACCTTAATTTAAAAAATATTTTACTATTAAAAATGCTAACGATGGCTGGGAGCTGTGGCTCATGCCTGTAATCCAGCACTTGGGAGATCAAGGCAGGAAGATGGCTTGAGGCTAGGAGTTCAAGACTAGCCTGGGCAATATGGTGAGACTCTGTCTCTTAAAAAAAAAAAGAAAAGAAAAAAGAAAAGAAAATACTAACAATCATCTGAGCCTTTAGTGAGTTGCAATTGTTTCGCTGATGGAGGGTCTTGTTTCTATGTTGATGGCTGCTGACTGAGCAGGGTGGTGGTTGCTGAAGGTTGGGTGGCTGTGGGAATTTCTTTTTTTTTTTTTTATAATTTCAACTTTTATTTTAGATTCAGGGGATACATGTGCAGGTTTGTTACATGAATATGTTGTGTGACATTGAGGATTGGGGTACAAATGATCCTATCACCCAGGTAATGAGCATAGTACCCAATAGGTATTTTTCAGCCCTTGCTCCCTTCTCCCCTCCTCCCTCTAGTAGTCCTCAGTTCTGTTGGTCCCCTCTTTGTGTTCATGTGTACTCAATGTTCACCTTCCAATTATAAGTGAGAATGTGCAGTATTTGGTTTTCTGTTCCTGTGATAATTCGCTTAGGACAATGGCCTCCAGCTCCAATCATGTTGCTGCAAAGGACATGATCTTGTTCTTCTTTATAGCTGCATAGTATTCCATGGTGTATATGTACTACATTTTCTTTATCAAATCCACTGCTGATGGGCATCTAGTTTGATTCTGTGAATAGTGCTTTGATGAACGTTCAAGTACATGTGTCTTTTTTGTAGAACAATTTATTTTCCTTTGGGTATATATCCAGTAATGGGATTTCTGGGTTGAACAGTGGTTCTGTTTTTAGCTCTTAGAGAATTCTCCAAACTGCTTTCCACAGTGGCTGAACTAATTCACATTCCCGTCAACAGTATATAAGCATTCCCTTTTCTCTGCAGCTTTGCCAGCATCTGTTATTTTTTGTCTTTTTAATAATCATCATCCTGACTAGTGTGAGATGGTATCTCATTTTGGTTTTGGTTTGCATTTCTCTGATGATTGGTGATGTTGGGCAATTTTTTATATGTTTCTTGGCCACATGCATGTTGTCTTTTGAGAAGTGTCTCTTAATGTCCTTTGCCCAATTTTTAATAGGGTTATTTGGTTTTTGCTTGTTGAGTTGTTTAAGATCCTTATAAACTCTGGGTATTTGGCCTTTGTTGGATGCAGAGTTTGCAAATATTTTCTCCCATTCTGTGAGTTGTCTGTTTACTTTGCTGATAGTTTCTCTTGCTTTCCAAGCCTCTTTAGTTTAATTAGGTCCCGCTTGTCATTTTTTGTTTTGGTTGCAATTGGAGGACTTAGTCATAAATTCTTTGCCAAGGCTGATATCCAGAATAACATTTCCTAGGTTTTCATCTAGGATTTTTATAATTTGAGGTCTTAGATTTAAATCTTTAATCTGGATTTTGGCGATTCTAATACATATGTACTAGTATCTTGTTTTAATTTGCATTTCCCTGATGACATACAATGCAAGAATCTTTAAAAAATTTTTTTTTGTTTTCTTAATTTTTTTGGCTCCCCACAGGAAACGAAACCATCTTTTCATATGCTTATTTGCCACCTATCTTTGGTGAGGTGTCAGTTAAAGTCTTTCACTTATTTTTTGATCTGGTTCTTTTCTTATTGTTGAGTTTTTTACCTTGTATATTTTCGATAACAACCCCTTATCAGATATGCCTTTTGCAAATATTTTCTCCCAGTCTGTGGTTTGTCTTTTTATTGTTTCGATAGTGTATTTTGCAGAGCAGGAATTTTTAATTTTAATGAAGTCCATGAAGTTATTTCATGGGTCATGCCTTTGGTGTTGTATCTAAAAAGTCATCACCAAATCCAAGGTTATTTAGATTTTCTCCAAAGTTATCTTCTAGGAGTTTTATAGTTTTGTATTTTACAGTTAGATTTGTGATCCAGTTTGAGTGGAAGAGTGTAAGGTCTGTGTCTAGAGTCATTTTTTTGCATGTGGATATCTAGTTGTTTCAGCACCATTTGTTGAAATGTTTACCTTTTCTCCACTGTAGTGCTTTTGCTCCCTCAAAAATCAGTTGTATTTATGTGGGTCTATTTCTGGACTCTCTCTTCTGTTCCATTGATCTATTTGCCTATTCTTTCATCCATACCACATGCTTACTGTAGCTTTATAGTAAGTCTTTAAGTTGGGTAGTGTCAGTATTTCAACTTTGTTTTTCTCCTTCAACACTGGGTTGGCTATCCTTGGTATTTTGTTTCTCTGTATAAACTTTAGAATTAGTTTGTCAGTCTCTAGAAAATAAATTGCTGGGATTTTGATTGTGATTGCATTAAATCTATAGATCAAGTTGGGAAGAACTGCCATCTTGACAATATTGAGTCTTACTACCCATGAACATGGAATAGCTCCCCATTTATTTAGTTTTTCCTTGATACTCATACCTTTGTCAGAGTTTTATGGCTTTCCTCATATGTATCTTATAGATATTTTGTTAAATTTATCCTGAAGTATTTCATTTTTGGGGGTGCTAATGTAAATGTATATTTTAAGTTTCAAATTCCACTTGTTCATTTTTGATGTATTAGGAAAGCAATTGACTTTTGTATATTAACTTTATATCCTGCAACCTTGATATGATGACTTTTTTTAACTTTATGTATACATATTTAATTAGAATAGACATAAACCAAAAAGAAGAAAAAAATCAGAATAAAGTGTCGCTATCATTTTGTTTGCAAGGAGGAATCAGGGAATGGAACAAATTACCAGAAAAATATCCTAAGACCGTCCTGAAGTAGCTAGGTTACATAATCTTAAGAGTCAAATGCCAAAATTAAGTCTTATACCACTTAATCCACAAATGAACAAAAGAGGAGTCAAAAGTTTATCCTATTTAGTGTAATAATTTTTACATTAAATATATAGTGATTTGCTTCTCACAAAGTGGTACTGGCAACTTTTAGTAGAAAGAAGTTTCCATTATGCATTGACTAAAAAATCTCAAAAACAACTAAGCAGCTATGCTATAGCTCAGTAAGTACCATTAAACTGTTCTGTGTACATTTCAGGTTAATACATTTAATGGCTAGTGTACATTTCAGGTTAATAGAGAACTACATTTTGGGTTTTAAAAAGGCAGCAATAATTATATTTTGGCTTTTAGTCTAGATGCTTAACATAATTAAGGCAACAGTTCAAGCTGTGGCCTTTTAAGTGAAGGTAGTTAAAATTTAAGAACAACCATCATAATCTCTTGCAACCTACATACACTGTTTAATGCTTACATGGAATGAAACCAGTGTTCTTAATTGGCATGTTACACACACACACACACACAAACAGAATTTTTTAAAAAATCAAAGGCAATCATTCTAAAGGTACTATGGTAGCATGTTAAAAATGCAAATATGCTATAGAACTAAAGTAATATGAACAGCACTACTCATTACCTAGGAGAAAGGTGACTGGTTTTCACACAAAGCTAAACCTGTATCAGTCATCCTAATCACAATGGCTTAAAAAAGCATCAGGTTTCCAGTAGAGGAACTATTCTAGGAAAGTCAGTAAATCTCTTGAAAGTTTCACCTCTGTAAAACCAGGATAAGGCTACAACTATTTGGAAATCTGAACAAGGTATCAGATGAAATAGTAAGATTCCCAATCATAATGTAAGATAGAAGGCCAGGTGCGGTGGCTCATGACTGTAATCCCAGCACTTTGGGAGGCCGAGGCGGGCGGATCATGAAGTCAGGAGTTTGAGACCAGCCTGACAAACATGGTGAAACCCCGTCCCTACTAAAAATACAGAAATTAGCCAGGTGTGGTGGTGCACGCCTGTAATCCCAGCTACTAGGGAGGCTGAGGCAGGAGAATCACTTGAACCTGGGAGGCAGAGGTTGCAGTGAGCCGAGATCGTGCTACTGGCACTCCAGCCTGGGCGACAGAGCGAGACTCCATCTCAAAAAAGAAAAAAAAAAAAGATAGAAAGGTCCTCATGCAGCATATGCTCGCTGGCTCTGGGAAAGCTACATGTGCATAATACCGAAGTTGCCAAAGAAGGAAACTGGAGACGTTCAGTTATATTTCCATGGTGCCGTGAATTTTAAACCTCAGAAATGGTGTGGTCCATTAGGCTTTTCATAATGCTTGGTGCCATCTGCTTAATAATATGTTCAAAGATAAAAGCAGGCATGATTGTAATAGTAACTACAGTCCCAGATGTTGACAGTATGTCTGCAGTTTGAGAGTCCTTCGATTCAATGACATTCTGTCCATTGATTTCACAGATGTTATGTTCTGTGAGAAGACCATTTCTGGCTGCAGAGCTATCTTTCACTATGGATGTTATTTGTCCATTTTTAAAGATAAAACCAACATGTCCAGTGCTATCCTTATGCATGGTAATCGTCCATTCAAACGGCCTGTCATGAATGGTCATGGTAATCTCTCCAAAATTCTGTTTGAGCACCTTGTGTGCTTTATCAGAGCTCTACCCTGCACAGTTTTCACTATTAATCTGGAGTACTTGGTCCTCAATTCTCAGACCAACCAATGAGGCTGGAGAATTAGCCTGGACTAGCTGAACAAATATACCATTATCTATTGATTTAAGCCTGAGTCCAATTTTTCCATTGTGATCCTTACACAAAATGACTTCACAAATCCCTTGCTTAATTTCTGCTCTGTGAATTCCAACATCATTACCAGTTACAGGAGCCACCATATAGTTCATACTGGAAGGTCTTGCTACCAACTGCCCCTGAATTGGTGCACCAGAAACCATGGCCACATTTGCACATATTTCTTCTTCATTTAAACTCAGGCCCATGTATTGAGAGAGCTCTGGATATAATTTGGGATAGAGATTTCCATTTTGAGAGATGGGAGCAGAAGCTTCTGACAAAATTGCTGGATTGGCAGAGTTTGTAGAAAAAGTAGTTTGAGCCCCAATTACTTTGTCTACCTTCAAGTTTTCAAGAGATGGATAGAGAGACATTTTTGCAGGGTTCTTCTAGCCCACAGGGACCCACTTGCCACTGCAGCCTCCAGTCACCGGCACCAACTTTTCTATGATGACTTCTTAATTCCAAGAGTGTTTGTCAACTCTCTTGAATTTTCTACATAGATGACCATGCCATCTGTGAACAAAGACAGCTTTATTTCTTCCTTGTCAATCTGTATATCTTTTCCGTTTTTTTCTTGTCTTATTGCATTAGCTAGGACCTCCATTACAACATTGAAAAGCAGTGGTAAGAGGGGACATTCTTGCCTTCTTCCCAGTCTTACTGGGAAAGCTTTGAGTTTCTCACCAGAGGTGGTTTATTCTAAGGGATTGGCTCATGAGATTGTGGGGGTTGGCAAGTCTGAAATCTGAATTCAGGTAAGAGTTGATGTTGCAGCCTTGAGAATTCCTCCTCCTTCAGTGAACCCCAGTCATTGTTTTTAAGGCTTTCAACTGATTAGATGAGGCCCACCTACATTATAGAGGTAGTCTGCTTTATTCAAACTCTAGTGATTTAAATGTTAGTCACATCTAAAAACATATCTTTACAATAACATCTAGACTGGTGTTTGAGCAAACAACTTGGCACCATAACCTGGCCAAGATGATACACAAAATTAACCATCACAATATATAAACAGATTATAGGGATTTTTAAATTTGCTTTTCAAACCAGTGGAATCATACTATATGCTTTTCTGTGGAACTTGCTTATTATCTGACAATAATATGTCATATTATTATTAATAAAATAATATCTCATACTTATCTCTCCAGGTCAATCCTTATAGCTATTTCTCTTTCTTTTAAATAGTTGGGTAATAAAAAGGAATGAGATCATGTCCTTTGCAGGGACATGGATGGAGCTGGAAGCCATTATTCTCAGCAAACTAATACAGGAACAGAAAACCAAACATCATGTGTTCTCACTTATAAGTGGGAGCTGAAAAATGAGAACACATGGACACAGGGAGGGAAACAACACACACTGGGGCCTGTCATGGGGGCGAGGGGAGGGAGAGCATCAGGAGAAACAGCTAATGCATGTGGGGCTTAATACCTAGGTAATGGGCTGATAGGTGCCGCAAACCACCATGGCACATGTTTACCTATGTAATAAACCTGCACGTCCTAAACATGTATCCCGGAACTTAAAATAAAATAAAATTTAAAAATAAATAAATAAATAGTTGTGTAATATCCAACCATTTGCCCGTTTTTGGTGGGGAGATTATTTCCAGTTATGACCAATGCAAAAAACATCTTTACACATATATACTTATGTATTGGTACAAGTATTTCTATAGGCTAGAGTCCCAAAAGTGGGATTACTGTGTCAAAGAATATGTGCATCTTTGATTTTAATAGATCCTACCAAATTACTTTCTTAAAATGCTATAGCAATTCTCCAACAGAAATTAAAGAAACTACAAACTTTCCCACATCACTGTCAAAATTAGTTCTAAATTTTGCCTTATGGATGAAAAGTGTTATCCTATTATTTTTGTGTGTGCTTTTCAAAAATTTTTAATTGTCATAACATAAAATTAACCATCTTAATTTTTAAGTGTACAGTTCAGCAGTGTTAAGTACATTTACAGTGTTATGCAACCAATCTCCAGAACCCTTTTTAATCTTGCAAAGTTGAAACTCTCCACCCATTAAATAATAACTCTCCATTCCCCACCCCCCTTGGCCCTTGGCAACCACCATTCTACTTTCTGTCTCTATGAATTTGACTACTCTAGGTACCCCATATAAATGGAACCATACAATATTTGTCTTTTTGTGACTAGCTTCTTTCACGTAGCATGTCTTCAGTGTTCATCCATGTCATAGCATGAGTCAGACTTTACTTTCTTTTTAAGGCTGAATAATATTCCATTGTGTATCTATATCATATTTTGTTTACTCATTCATTTGTCAGTGGACATTTGGGTTGCTTCCACCTTTTGGCTATCCTGACTAATGCTGCTATAAACATGGGTGTACAAATAAATTTTTGAGACTCCGCTTTCAATTGTTTTGAGTATATACCCAGAAGTAGAATTGCTGGATCATGTGTAATTCTATTTTTTATTTTTTTGAGGAACCGCCATACTGTTTTCCATAGCAGCTGCACCATTTTACATTCCCACCAACAGTGCACAAGGGATTTCTACATATCCTTGCCAACACTCGTTATCTTCTGTTTTTTTTTTTGATAGTAGCCATCTGTTGCGTTCTTTTCTTTTTTTTTTTTTTAGTAGTAGTCATCCTTCTGCTATTATTTTAACATATATATTCACATATTTATAATCACGTGTTTTATAAATCAGTTATCTGCATTTTCTGTTCTAAGAATTACCTGTTTATAATTTATAGTCTTCACCTTTTTTCTGTTGGATTATCTTTTTCTTATCAATATATAGAAGCACTATGTGTTGGGTTGGCATGAAAATTGCCATTTCTTTTGGTCAAAAACAGTTGACTATCAGCAATTTTATACATTTCAACTTAATATTATGAATATTGATATTAATTCTAATATTATAGATATTAATCCTTTATCTATCATTAATTGCGACTATTTTCTCACAGCTTCTTAGTTGTCCTTTGACTTTTCATGGTGTCTTGTGCAACTGAAAAATTTTAATTGTCTATATTATCAATCTTTTTTTTTCTTTTATGTTTCTGAGTTTCTTGTGTTATTTAAGAAGGTCTTCCTAGCTAAATATTACATAAATATTCTCCTAAATTTTTTTACTTTACCTTTGTATCTTCTGTAATTAAAGATGAATTAAATAGGAGTTTGTCTTTGTGTTTTTCATGTGCTAGGCAATTATTCTAGCACCATTTATTAAATAAGCCATTACTGAATTGAAATGCCACCTTTATTATACACTGTATTAAGTTCTGATAAAATCAGTTTCTTTCTTCTTTATTCTATTTCACTGATCTATTCTCCAATGTCCTACTTTTTTGATTACAATAGCTTTATAGAGAGTTTTAATATCCATTAGGGCAAGATACTAGTAAGTTATTACTGGTCTTGTTTTTCAAAGCTTTATTGGAGATTATTATAGAGTTGGGTTATTGTTCCTCACACAAATCTACAGAGATCCCTAGTTAACAGTTAAATATCTTACACATCTTAATATCTCCCTCAGCTCAGGAAGCCAGCTGTGTTCAAGTTTCAACCAACACTTGAGAGCCTCTTTCTTACGTTCACCTTGGGAGGCCAGTACCCAGAGCTTCAGCCAGGTGATGAAGAGGAGAGGGAGGAAGAGGTGAGTTTCTCCAGAGGCCCTCAGCATAGGCCTATGGTTGCTCATAATTGTACCCCACTGTCCCCAGGATGGACCTCCCAGGTAGGTGGGGTAGTCAAGGAAGGTGGAAGGACAGCAGAAACAAACTACGTGCTTCAGAGTTTTGGTTAGGAATGGCCTCATTCTTTTTTTTTTTTAGATAGAGTCTTGCTCTGTCCCCCAGGCTGGAGTGCAGTGGCACAATCTCTGCTCACTGCAACCTTCGCCTCCCAGGTTCAAGCAATTCTCCTGCCTCAGCCTCCCAAGTAACTGGGACTACAGGCGCATGCCACCACACCCAGCTAGTTTTTGTATTTTTAGTAGAGACAGGGTTTCCACCATGTTGGCCAGGCTGGTCTCAAACTCCTGACCTCAAGCGATCTGCCTGCCTTGGCCTCCCAAAGTGCTGGGATTACAGGCGTGAGCCACCATGCCTGGCCCTCATTCTCAACAAATATCTAAATGACCCCAAAGTATAAATATCAACTCCTCTACCTGTCAGTCCTCAACATCAATTATCAAATGAAACACATGGAAGCTCCAATGCAGCCATGGGATCTCCCAGCAAGTGGTAAGGACACAGTGAGAGCCAGGTAGGGGCAAGCCAACTGGACAGCATCCCAGAGCACCTACGTCTGCAGGATGCCAGACCATCATGGAGATAAATCAAACATGCCATAGTAGTTAACTCAGGTTTCCACACAAACTCCTCACATAACTAGGGAAACGTACATGGTTCTATCCTCACTGAAGCAGGGGCTACCTTGAGCAGAAATTTCAAGTCCATCTTCAGTGGCCTTGCCCTTCTCATCATTTTTGTGATTTGTGTCTACAATGTGTACTGTGCTTCTATTATTCGTACCACTCAGAGTTACTGGTTACAATTAGTTCCAATTCTTTTTAAAAATAGTGTTATAAAAATTTTAAAGTAGGCCGGGTGTGGGGGCTCATGCCTGTAATCCCAGTGCTTTGAAAAGCCAAGGCAGGTGGATCACCTGAGGTCAGGAGTTTGAGACCAGACTAGCCAACATGGTAAAACCCCGTCTCAACTAAAAATACAAAAAAATTAGCCAGGCATGGTGGCACAAGCCTGTAATCCCAGCTACTTGGGAGGCTGGGGTAGGAAAATCGCTTGAACCTGGGAGGTGGAGATTGCAGTGAGCTGAGGTCACACCACTGCACTCCAGCCTGGGCGACAAGAGTGAAACTCCGTCTCAAGAAACAAAAACAAAAACATTAAAGTAAAATATAAACTTGGTTGTAAAAGCAACCTTTAAACACTAAAACTGAATACAGAGTAAAAAGAAAGTCTCTCATCCACTCCAGCCCCCCAACCTTCCTTTATTTGTATTTATTTATTTTTTTGTAGAGACAGGGTCTCACTATATTGTCCAGGCTTGTCTTGAACTCCTTGCCTCAAGTGATGATCCTGCTTCAGCCTCCCAAAGTGCAGGGATTACAGGTATAAGCCACCACGCCCAGCCTCCCAATCTTCCTTTAACCTCCCTCATGTCTTACATGGAGAGAGAGTTCCAGTAAAGCAGCTGCAAGAACCCAGTGTCTTGTTTCTGATTATAAATTAACATCCTGGTTTATTAAATTGCACATTGGTTAACTTTTATCTTCAAAGGAAAGGCCTTCTACTGTAGCAGATCCTACATTGCAGGCTAGGAATAAAGAGGAACTGAGCTGGCCAGTGGGAGAGGGAGCAAAGGCCAGCTGGAGCATGGAGGTGGAGTGAGCACAGGGACCCCAGGTAGGTCAATGGCCTAGGTGAAGTCCTCACAGACACAGGGGTTGTGTGTCCTCACTTCTGGTAGCCGCGGGGAACCTGAGGGAACCAGGTGGGGCTGTGAATGATCCAGGGGACCGGCAATGCTGAGGGTGTGTAGCAGCCCACTTGTAGAGGCAACTAGCCATTCAAGGCATGGCAGGGGACAAGAAATAGGGCTGGCATGGCCAGGCACGGTGGCTCACACCTGTAATCCCAACATTTTGGGAGGCCAAGGTGGGCGGATCACTTGAGGCCAGGAATTTGAGACCAGCCTAGCCAACATAGTAAAACTCCATCTCTACTAAAAATACAAAAAGTAGCCAGGCGTGGTGGCACGCACCTGTAGCCCCAGCTACTCGGGAGGCTGAGGCAGGAGAATCTCTTGAACCCAGGAGGCAGAGGTTGCAGTGAGCAGAAATCGTGCCACTGCATTCCAGCCTGGGCTACAGAATGAGACTCCACCAAAAGAAAAAAAAAAAAAAAAAAAAAAAAGAAAAAGAAAAGAAAAAAAGAGAAGAAAAAGAAAAAGAAAAAGAAGACTGGCAGGACAGGTATGGGAAGGTAGCCCCCTGCCTAGAGGCTGGGGCTCAGAGCAGGCATCCTCTTTCGTGGATGACACTGCCTTTTGTGGGCACTGCAGATGAACAGAGAGCCTACAACCCAGGCAGAACAGGACCAGGTAAGTTGCTCTACCTCCTGCTAGAAATACTCAGGAAGAGGCCACCCCAACCCCCCACCTCCACCCCCAACCCCACCAGAAGTGCTGATAGCAACCAACCTGGACAAAGAACTGCAGCAGAGTATTTCCAAAATCACATGGTGGACCACATGGCTTCCTTTGACCCCTCCAGACCCACCCCACCCTTCTCCACCCACTCTATGCTCCTAGAGGCGGGCCTGGATGAACTCCATCAAACGGTTTCTATGCCCTCTGCCTTCCAGTTGACCTTGGCTACCAGCAGGAGGTGGAAAACCGAAAGGAGAGAGGTCAGAGTATTTATTTCCCCCAAATACCTTCTTGAGAGCTGGCTGGCTGTGTCCCTGGACCAAAAGCCACAGCTCCTGTCAAGAGGCCCTCTTCACAGGATTTTCTCTCTCCAGTTTCCAGTGATTGCTCTCTCCTTCTGCTCCTTCTGGCCTGTGGTTTCCCTATACCCTGATATTCCTTTGTAAATAGTCTCTTTATTAAACTCTTCTCAATTTACTCAATCTGAGGGTGCCATCTGTTTCCTGCCAGGACCTGGAATGATACAGATGGCTTGTCTGACAGGACCTATTGATGGAGAGTCCAAGAACCCCTTATTATTCTAGGCAGAGGGGGGGCAGCCTGCATTTAGCTGGAGGTTACTAAAGGTGCATGAAATGAAACCAGAAACTTGAGCTCTTTGGGGGTGGGGACTGTCTTACTGGCTTTGCAACACCAGCACTATGGCAAAGTCTGTCTTTTAGTAGAGGGCCTTCTAAGAGCAGATTTCCTCTCTCCAGTTCAGGAACACTTTTCTGTCTTAAAAGGGTCTCCTTCTCAAATGTTGATGTCCCTGAGAGGTTTTGCTTTGAATGCTTTTCCGCTAGGATCAAAACAATCAGTGAGTGGCTGGGCGCAGTGGCTCATGACTGTAATCCCAGCACTTTGGCCGAGGTGGGAGGATCACTTGAGGCCAGGAATTCGAGACCAGCCTGCTCAACATGGCGAGACCCTGTCCCTACAAAAACATAAGAAATTAACCAGGCTTGATGGTATTTATATGTAAGTATATAATTATAGATAAATAGATAACTTGACAAAGACTGGAAGACACATGAAAATATGTTGGGGCATTGGGGTTAGAGAATAATTTTTTTCATTAAATTGTTAATTTCATGAAGTTATTCTTATGATACATGAATGTGGAGGAAAAAACATAAAACAAGTATGTATATGAAATTGGGCAAAATACTGTCTTATCATCCTCCTTTCCCTCATCTATATACTAAGAGGATAAAGAGTCTCTTCCATTCCAATCCATTCCAGGTAATACAAAATGTGATTCTAAACTCTTAAAATGAGTCATATGTGGACACAGAGAATGAGGCAAAAAAAAAAAAAAGACACAGGAGTTTTGATTATTTTAACATGTCCATAAAAATCAAGAAATAGGAATAATTGTTTTTGTTCCCACTAGGGGCTGTGGTAAGTGAAGTTTTGTCTTTCTAGCTTGCTTTCTCAATCCCTCCTCTGGGTCACTTGAAGATCCCCTCCCTGACTCCACATGACTATGATGGCTAGGTCAATCAGTGTCCTTTCCCGCCCTTGACATTTAGTGGTCAGAAGACTAAACCAGAGCCAATCAGATTCTTCTCTGAAATTGATGCATGGACAGGTGGACAAAGAAGGTCCCTTTCTTCCAGGGCTGCCAAATCTTTCTGCCTGTTACTTGGGTGACCTTAGACAAATCGTTTAACTTCTTTGAGCCTAAATTTTCTCACCTTAAATGAGGTTAATAATACAATCTATTTCATAGGCATTTGTAAGAATCAAATGATATGAAGCATGAGAAAGGTTATTATAACTTTAATGTGTTTTATAATGTTATTAATAAATGTATTGTTATCAAATGTAAATAAAATTATATGATAAATTAATTCATTGTAAGGTGTTGGTCAATGACATCTTAGGACATTAAATCTCCCAAGGGTATTTACATATTTTAAAGGGGCCCATTATATAAAGCACAAAGATAGAGAGCACTAATCTATACTGTCAGGAATTAGGATAGTGGTTAACTTTGCAGGGGTGGGGGGCTTGTGATCAGAGGGAACATAAGGAAGCTTCTGAAAGGTATTGGTTGTGTTCGGTTTCTTGATCTGCGTTCTAGTTACATGGGTGTATTGTTGGTAAAGCTTCATTGTCCTGTATGCTTAAGATATGTGCCCTTTTCCATATGTATGGTATGATTTAATAACAAGTCTTTAAAACTTGGAAATTCTGGCTTCCAAGAAGAAGCAGGCATACTTTTCCTTACTCCTCCTACTAAGTACAATGAAAAACTCTGGACATTATATATGAAATAAACATAAGAAGACTTTGAAAGGAGGCACTTTCTTTGAAAGGAGGAGACTTTGAAGAAGATGGCACTTGGAAATATCAATAAGTGCAAACTAAAAAAGACCTAACAAAAACTGCTCTATCTGGCCAAAGGGCCAAGAAAGGAACAACACAAGAAAAGAGAAAACTTTTAGACAGAAACTGCTCTGCTCTGACTAAACACCACAGGAAAAAAAAAAAATGTAGCCCCATCCTCATTCATACCAGCAGAGGCCAAGTGGGGAGCCTAGAATTCCACTCGCCAGGCTATAGCAATGTGCCCTAACCCACCCACTGGGATATCTTCAGAGAAGGCCAAGTATGGAGCCAGTACATTTATCCCTGCTGGGTAGTGATGAGGAAACCACATAGGCAACCTGTACTTCCAGCCCGCATCCTTCCTCCTTGGGCAGTATCAGAAGAAGCATAGTAGAAAGTCAGGACTTTCACCATTGCTCAGCAGTATTGATGCCATCCTCTCCCTGAGGTGTCAGTGGAGGCCTAGTGAGGAGCCTGAACTCCCACCCCACCCAGCAACAATAAAGAACACCCCCCGAGATGTCAACAGAGGCTGAATAGACTTTCTCTGCTGACCTGGCAGTAATGAGGGGACACCCCACCCCCTTCCCTTGCCAATGTAGTGTCCAAAAAGCCAGCTAAAACATCAGGTTTAAATAAGACACAGAGTCATAACATAATACCCAAAGTGTCCAAATTTCAATCAAAAATCACTCATTACACTAGAAACAAGGAAAATCTCAAACTGAATGAACAAAGATAATCTTTAGATGCCAACACTGAGATGAAACATGAGATAAAATTTTCTGACACAAATTTTAAAGCAGCCATCATAAAAATAATGCAATGAGCAATTACAAGCACACTTGACACGAATAAAATATAGAATAAATAAATAAATAAACAGCGCCTCAGGAACATGTGGGACTTTAACAAAAGATCTAGCATTGTTATTACTGAAGACCCAAAAGGAGAGGATAAAGAGGGTAGGGCTAAGAAAGTATTCAAAGAAATAATGGCTAAAAACACCCCAATTTGGCAAAAGACATAAACCTATAGATTCAAGAGGCTGAGTGAACTCTAAACAGAATAAACCCAAAGAAATTCAAACTGAGACACATATAATCAAACTTCTGTAAACTAAAGACAAAGAAAAAATTATGAAGGCATCAAAAGAGAAATGACATCTTATGGCAAGAGAAAAACAAGCGAATAACAGGATTTCACATTAGGAGACAGAGTAGAAGGAAGTGGCACAATATCTTTCAAGTACTAAAAGAAAAGAATTGTCAACCTGCATTTCTTTTCTTTTCTTTTTTTTTTTTTTGAGATGGAATCTTGCTCTGCCACCCAGGCTGGAGTGCAGTGGTGCAATCTCGGCTTACTGCAACCTCCGCCTCCCGGGTTCAAATGATTTTCCTGCCTCAGCCTCCCGAGTAGCTGGGACTGCAGGTGCCTGCCACCACACCCGGATAATTTTTGTATTTTTAGTAGAGACGAGGTTTCACCATGTTGGCCAGGCTGGTCTCAAACTCCTGACCTCAAGTGATTCGCCCACCTTGGCCTCCCAAAGTGCTGGGATTACAGATGTGAGCCACTGCGCCCAGCCTCAACCTGCATTTCTATATCCAGTGAAAATATCCTTCAGGAATGAAGGGGAAATAAAGACATTCTCAAATATAGGGAAACTAAGATAATTTGTTACCAGCAGATCTACTCTAAATAATGGCTAAAGGAAGTTCATTAAACAAAAAGGAAATGATAAAAGAAGTAACCTTGGAACATGAGAAGGAAGAGAGAACATGACAAGCAAAAGATCTGGGTAAATACAATAGACTTTCCTTCTCCTTCTGGGTTTTATAAATCATATTTGACAGTTTAAGCAAAAAATATAACACTGATATAGTTTTAAATGGCTCTGGAAGAAATTTCAAGACAATTATATAAATGGGGGAGAATAAATAGACATAGAGGTTAGATTTCTATGCTTCACTCAAACTGGCAAAGTGATGAGCCAAGTAGACCGTGATAGATATGTATGTATAATGTAATTCCTAGAGAAATCAATAAGAAAACAATACAAAGAGATACACTAAAGAACACTATAAATAAATCAATATGGAAGGCAGGAGAAAGAAAATAGAAAATGAAAAGGAGAAATAACAAACAGAAAACAAGAAATAAAGTAGCAAATATAATTATATTTAATGTAGATTGTCTAAATATACAACTTTGGCAGAGTGGATCAAAAAGCATGACCCAGCTATATACTGTCTATAAGAAGCTTATTTACAATATAATGATAAAGGCAGATTGAAAGTAAAAGGATGGAAAAAGATGTATAATACAAGCATTAATCACGACGAAATAGGAAAAGCTCTATTATATCAGATAAAGTAGACTGCAAAGAAAAGAAAGTTACCACAGACAGAAAAGGACATTATATAATGATAAATGGGTCAGTACACCAAAAGGACATAGCACTCCTAAAATGTGTTTGCACTAAGTAACAGAGCAGCAAAGTATGTGAATCAAGATCTGATAGAACTGAAAGGAGAAATATGCAAATTCACAATTACAGACGTCAACATCCCTCTCTCAACAACTGATAGTACAACTAGCCAGAAAATCAGCAAGGATATAGAAAAGCTCAACAATATCATCAACCAACAGGGTCTAATCAACGTGTATAGAATACTCTACTCAACAAGAGCAGAATATACCTCAAGAATTTAGAAAAATGGGTCCTGGTAGTGGCTATGA
Organism: Homo sapiens; assembly: GCF_000001405.40. Taxonomy (NCBI): domain Eukaryota; kingdom Metazoa; phylum Chordata; class Mammalia; order Primates; family Hominidae; genus Homo; species Homo sapiens. The sequence continues at coordinate 40,902,450 of NC_000023.11, forward strand.
GAAAAAAAATATAGAAAAAGAAAAGCAAAATAAACCCAAACCAAGCAAAAGGAGATGCGTAATAAAGATAAGAGCAGAAATCAATGAAATTGAAAACAGCAAAACAATAGAGAAAATCAATGAAACACAGAGCTTGCTCTTTGAAATCATCAATAAAATTGACAAATCTCTATCAAGATTGACAAAGAAAGAAAAAGATAAAATTACCAATATCAGAAATGAAATAGGGGCTATCACTATATCAGAAATGAAATAGGGGCTATCACTATAGACCCTGCAGACATCAAAAGTAAAATAAGGGAATACTATGAACAACTCTACACATAAATTTGACAACTTAGAGGAAATAGACCAATTAATCAAAAATAACAAACTAAAACAACTCACCCAATATGAAATATATAGTTTGAATCTCTATATATTAAGGAAATTGAATTTGTAATTTAACTTCTCCCAAAAAAGAAATATCAGATGATTCCACTGGAAAATTCTACCAAATTTAAAAGAATTAAACTAATTCTAAACAATCTGCTTTAGAAAATAGAAGAGGATGGAACACTTCTCAATTCATTTTATGAAGCTATTATCCTGGTAAGAAAACTAGACAAACATAGTACAAAAAAAAAGATATTACAGACCAATTTTCCTCATGAATATACATGCAAAAGTTCTTAACTAAATATTAGCAAATAAAATTCAACAATATATAAAAAGAATTATACAACATGATAAAGTAGACTTTATTCCTGGGGTGCAAGGCTGGTTCAATTTGCTAAAACTACTTAACAGAATTCATCATATTACTAAGCTAAAGAAGAAAACTCATGTGACCACATCAATTGATAAAGAAAAAGCATTTGACAAAATTCAATACCCACTTATGATAATCAGAAAACTCTACGCAAATTAGGAATAGAGGGGAACTTTTTCAACTTGATAGAGAGCATCTACAAAAACCCTACAGTTAATATAATACTTAATGATAAAAGACCGAATGCTGGCCGGGCGTGGTGGCTCACGCCTGTAATCCCAGCACTTTGGGAGGCTGAGGTGGGCGGATCATGAGGTCAGGAGTTCAAGACCAGCCTGGCCAATATGGTGAAACCCCGTCTCTATTAAAAATACAAAAATTAGCCGGGCATGGTGGCACATGCCTGTAATCCCAGCTACTCAGGAGGCTGAGGCAGAAGAATCACTTGAACCCGGGAGGTGAAGGTTGCAGTGAGCCGAGATTGCACCACTGCACTTCAGCCTGGGCAACAGAGCGAGACTCCATCTAAAAAACAACAAAAACAACAAAAGACTGAATGCTTTCCCCTTAGGATAGGGAAGAAGCCAAAAATGGCCACTCTCACTACTCATATTCAACATAGTACTGGAAGTTCTAGCCAGCACAATAAGGCAAGAAAAAGGAATATAAGGCATACAGATTGGAAGGAATTCTTTCAAACTGTCCCTATTTGTTGATGGCATGGTAGTATATGTAGAAAATCCTAAGGGATTTACAAACAAAACAAAACAAAACAAAACAAAAACCTACTAGAACTGATAAGTGATTTCAGCAAAGACAGTGTTCAAGAATAACATTAAAAATCAATTGTATTTTTATATACTGGCAATGAACATGTGAACATTTTCACAATTGAAAATAAAGTATCATTTAAAATAATTCAGAACAAAACATAACATTCTCCAAAGAAGATATATAGATGGCCAATAAGCACATGAAAAGATGCTCAATATCATTAATCATTTGGGAAATGCAAATCAAAATTACAATGATATAACACCTCACACCTACTAGGGTGGCTACTATTTAAAAAAACAGAAAGTAGGGCTGGGTGCGGTGGCTCATGCCTGTAATCCCAGAACTTTTGGAGGCCAAAGCAGGTGGATCGCCTGAGGTCAGGAGTTCAAGACCAGCCTGGCAAAACCCCGTTTCTACTAAAAATACAAAAATTAGCCGGCTGTGGTGGCTTGCACCTATGGTCCCAGCTACACAGCAGACAGAGGCAGGAGAATCACTTGAACCTGGGAGATGGAGGTAGCAGTGAGCTGAGATTACACCACTGAACTCCAGCCTGGGCAACAGAGGGAGACTCTGTCTCAAAAAAACAAAAGCAAGCAAACAAACAAACAAACAAACAGAAAGTAAAAGGTGTTGGTAAGGATGTGGAGAAATTGGAACCCTTATACACTGTTGGTGGGAATATAAAATGATACAGTCACTGTGGAAAACAGCATGGCAGTTCCTTTAAAAATTACAAATAGGATTGTCATACAATTCAACAATTCCATTTCTGGGTATATACCCCAAAGAACTGAAAGCAGGGTCCTGAAGAGATATTTATATACCCATGTTTATAGCAGCATTATTCACAAATGCTGAAATGTAGAAGCAATCCAAATGTCCATCAACAGATAGATGGGTAAGCAAAATGTGGTCTGTCCATTACAATGGAATATTATACAGCCTTAAAAAGGAAGGAAATTCTGGCACATGCTACAACATGGATAAACCTTGAAGACATTATGCTAAGTGAAATAAGCCAGTCATAAAAAGACAAATACTGTATGATTCCACTTATATGAGGTACTTAGAATAGTCAAAATCATAGAAAAAGACAGTAGAATGGTAGCTGCCAGGGGCTGGGGGAATTGGGAAGTGGGGAGTTATGTTTAATAGGTATAGAATTTCAGTTTTACATGATGAAAAGAATTATGGAGATGGAAAGTAATGATGGTTGCACAACATTATGAATATATTTAATGCCACCGAACTATACACTTAAAAATGGTTAAGGCCAGGCGCAGTGGCTCACGCCTGTAATCCCAACACTTTGGGAGGCTGAGGCAAGTAGATCACTTGAGTCCAGGAGTTTGAGACCAGCCTGGGCAACATGGCAAAACCCTGTCTCTACAAAAAAAATACAAAAATTAATCAGGCATGGTGGTGTGTGCCTGTGGTCCCAGCTACTAGGTAAGCTGAGGTGGGAGGATAGCTTGAACCCAGGAGGTGGAGGTTGTATTGAGCTGTGATCACGCCACTGCACTCCAGCCTGGGTGACAGAGCAAGATCTTGTCTCAAAAAAAAAAAAATGGTTAAAATGATACATTTTATGTATATTTAAACACGATAAAAATGAAAAAAACATATATAGGACTTATATGGTGAAAACTACAAAAATGTTGATGAAAGAAATAAAAGATTTAAATATCTGGAGAAATATACTATGTTCACGGATTGGAAGATTCAACATAGTAAATACATCAATTGATATACAGGTTTAATGCAAATACTATCAAATTCCCAGCAAGAATTTTTACAGATATACACAAGATTATTCTAAAATTTATATGGAAAAGTAAGGAACTAGACTAGTGAAAACAATTTTTTTTTTTTTTTTTTGAAATGGAGTTTCGCTCTTGTTGCTCAGGCTGGAGTGCAATGGCACGATCTCAGCTCACTGCAACCTCCGCCTCCCGGGTTCAAGCAATTCTCCTACCTCAGCCTCCCAAGAAGCTGGGACTACAGGCATGTGCCACCACCTCTGGCTAACTTTTTGTATTTAGTAAAGACGGGGTTCCACCATGTTGGTCAGGCTGGTCTCGAACTCCTGACCTCAGGTGATCCACCCGCCTCAGCCTCCCAAAGTGCTGGGATTACAGGCGTGAGCCACCATCCCCGGCCTCAATAAAAACAAAATTTAAAGAAGAATAAAGTGGGAGGAATTACTATACCCAATTTCAAGACTTATCATATAGCTACAATAATTAGGACTGTGTGTTATTGGTGGAGGGAAAGACACATAGATCAATAGAATAGGACACAGAACCCATAAATAGACCCACACAAGTTTGGTGAAATGATCTTTGACAAAGGTGCACAACAGCTAAATGGAGAAAATAAAGATTTATCAACAAATGATGTTGGAGCAATTGGACATCCATAGGCAAAAAAATGAACCTTGACCTAAATCTTACCCTTTATGAACAACAATTAACTAAGTGGATCACCAACTTAAATGTAATACATGAAATTAGAAAACCTTTAGAAAATAATATAGGTGAAAATTGTCGGGGTTTAGGCAGAGGCAAAGGGATCTTAGACTTAACATCGAAAGCACAAGCCATAAGTGAAAAATTGGTAAGTTGGACCTCATCAAAATTTAAAAATTTTTCTCTAGGAAAGATTCTGCTAAGAAGATGAAAAGACGAGCTACAAACTGGGAGAGAATACTTGTAAACCAATTATCCAACAAAGGACTGGTATATGGAATCTATAAAGAACTCTGAAAACTCAATAGTTAAAAACAAAACGAACAAACAAACAAAAAAAACTGACTGGGCACAGTGGCTCACACCTGTAATGCTAGCACTTTGGGAGGCTGAGGTGGGAAAATCGCTTAACGCCAGGAATTCAAGGAGTTCAAGACCAGTCTGGGCAACATAGTGAGACCCTATCTCTACAAAAAATTTAAAAAATAATCAGGTATGCTGGTGCGCACTGTAGTCCAGATACCCAGGAGGCAATGACAGGAGGATTGCTTGAGCCCAGGAGGTCAAAGCTCCTGCACTCCAGCCCGGGTGACAGAATGAGACCCTGTTTCTAAAAAAAAAAAAGAAAAGAAAAGAAAAAGAAAATGAAAGAAAGAAAAGGCTATATATACTGTATGATTCCATTTCTGTAACTTTCTTGACAAAATCATAGAAGTGGATAACAGATTAGTGGTTCCCAGGGATCAAGGTGAGATGGGAGAGGAGTATAGCCATAAAAGGGCAACATGAGGGAATCCTTGTGATGATGGAAATGTTCTGTACCGGTATTGACGATGTAATAGTGTCAGTATCCTGCTTGTGTTATTGGACTAAAGTTTTGCAAGATATTACCATTGGGGAAACTGGGTAAAGGATATATGGAAATGTCTCTATACTTTTTCTTACAACTGTATGTGAATCTATAATTATCTCAAAATAAAATGCTTAATTAATTTATTATTTGATTTATTTATTTAGAGACAGAGTTTTGCTCTTGTTGCCCAGGCTGGAGTGCAGTGGTGCAATCTCAGCTCACTGCAACCTCTGTCTCCTGGGTTCAAGCATTTCTCCTGCCTCAGCCTCCCGAGTAGCTGAGATTACAGGTGTTTGGCCACCATGCCTGGCCAATTTTTTTTTTTTTGTATTTTCAGTAGAGACGGGGTTTCACCATGTTGGCCAGACTGGTCTCAAGCTCCTGATCTCAGGTGATCAGCCTGCCTTAGCCTCCCAAAGTGCTGGGATTACAGGCGTGATAAAATGCTTAACTTAAAAAGAAATGGGCCTGGCATGGTGGCTCACACACGTAATCCCAGGAGGATCATTTGAGCCTAGGAGGTCGAGGCTGTAGTGAGCCATGATCATGCCACTGCACTGCAGCCTGGGCAATGGAGCAAGACTCTGTCTCAAAAAATAAAACAATAAAATAAAATAGTAGAGGATATTCTCTCTTCCTCAGCGCTGCCTACAGAGGTTGCAGCCATCTCCTCCTTGGCATCACAGCTGCCCTCAGACCCCTTGTGAAACTCAAGATTGTCAAAAAGAGAACCAAGAAGTTCATCCTGTACCAGTCAGACTGGTATGTCAAAATCAAGCCTAACTGGCAGAAACCCAGAGGTATTGACAATAGGGTTTGTAGAAGGTTCAAGGGCCAGATCTTGAAGCCCATCGTTGGTTATGGGAGCAACAAAAAAACAAAGCACATGCTGCCCAATGGTTTCCGGAAATTCCTGGTCCATGACATCAATGAGCTGGAAGTGCTGATGATGTGCAACAAATCTTACTGTGCTAAGATCGCTCACAATGTTTCCTCCAAGAACTGCAAGGCCATCGTGGAAAGAGCAGCCCAGCTGGCCATCAGAGTCAACAACCTCAATGCCATACTGCGCAGCAAAGAAAATGAATAGGCGGCTCGTGTGCATGTTTTGTGTTTAAAGAAAACCATAAAAACTGCCAAAAAAAAAAAATATAGTAGAGGGGGCCTGGTGTGGCAGCTCACGCCTGTAATCCCAGCACTTTGGGAGGCCGAGGCAGGCGGATCACCCGAGGTCAGGAGTTTGAGATCAGTCTGGCCAACATGGCGAAACCTCGTGTCTACTGAAAACACAAATATTAGCCAGGCGTGGTGGCACACACCTGTAATCCCAGCTATTCGGGAGACTGAGGCAGGAGACTCTCTTGAACTCGGGAGGCGGAGGTTGCAGTGAGCCAAGATTGCACCACTGCACTCCAGCCTGGGTGACAGAGTGAGACTCTGTCTCAAAAAAAAAATTTAAAAGAATAGTAGAGGGGCTCCTAAAGAGCAAAAAACCTGTAAGACTAAGAGGAAAAGCATCTAATGGTGTGACTTCAGGCATGTGACAAGTCACTAGAAGAGGGAGAGAGATACACCCTTTGCCACTTTCTTCAAAGTCAATCCTGGCACCTAATATAGAGAGATGTTAGTATTTACCTATGATTGATTTAAGGAAGATTCTTCCCCTATTACCCTCTGTAAAATTTGCAGTCATCATTGATAAAGACAAGACAAGAGTTTGACTCTTAGCCTCAAACATAAAGGACTTCAAAATCTTATTTGGTGCACTATTGGTGTGTTTGTATAATTTAACTATAAGTGACTTACATATTTAAAAAAATTATCACAATTTTGATCTGCACCAGAAAGGAATTTGCAGCTGAAAATAATCTGTTCCTATCTAGGTAAATTTTGAAAATATCTAAATTTTCTTAGTGAGAAAACATCCATGGTCTCAGATGTGGTTATGGGATAATGGTCTCCCAATGACTCATAAAATACCTCTCCTGGGAAAATACCTCTAGCATTACAAATAGGGTTGCAAATCTAAAAAGACAAATTTCATTAAGGCAGGAGATTTTTCTGGGCATGCTATGTAACTCCTGTTGTGGTGGTCTGGTGGAAAGGTTGGTGGAAAAGTGGGGGCTGGAGGGAAGGGGATGGACAGGAGAGACCCTTAAAGAGAGACTCTTGAAACAAGTATCTGTTGTTGGTATAAGAAGTTTAGGAAATATACCTTAAGATAAGAAGGAATTGTACTAAAATGTAGTCATTCAGATTCTTAAAAGGACTGTGTGAGGACAAAAAAATCCAGGGGAAATACATTTTAAAGACATGATCATAAACAGAGTGGCATTAATGGATCATTGTGGGCCCCCTTCAAGATTATGTATTCAGAGGCAGAAGAGAGGGAGGAGGGGCCAGGAAGTGACTGGTGTGGTTGGCGCTCATGGGTTTATTGTTGTCTACAGGTTCTGAATCCTACCCTAGCAATGCTGACCACTCTTCATGGGATGGCTGAGACGGGAACACCCAGTGCCTGGGGTAGGCAGCTGAGAGCCACCTGGTAAAATGATTTGGTCTTTAGAAGAGTATGGATATGCAGCCAGGCGCAGTGGCTCACACCTGTAATCCCAGCACTTTGGGAGGCCGAGGCGGGCTGATCTCTTGAGGCCAGGAGTTCGAGACTAGCCTGACCAACACGGCGAAACCACATCTCTACTAAAAATATAAAAATTAGCTAGGCATGGTGGCACACGCCTGTGATTCCAGCTACTTGGGAGGCAGAGGTTGCAGTGCAGTGAGCCAAGATCACGCCACTGCATTCCAGCCTGAAGCACAAAGCAGGACTCCGTCTCAAAAAAAAAAAAAGTATGGATATGCAACCAGCAACAAGGAAACTGAGGCAGAGTCTAGCCAAGAACCAAATAGGGGAGGTGCTGGTGTACACAAGGATGGGGAATGGCTTTTGTGGGGCCCTGAACTAGGGACAATAGCCAGGTCATCTAGATTCCGGGCTGAAGCCAACGGCTGAGCAAAGCTGGGCTCAGGAACAAATGAAGGTGTGGTAGGCAAAATTCTCCTGTATTAGTCTGTTTTGTGTTGTTATAAAGGAATACCTGAGGCTGGATAATTTACAAAGAAAAGAGATTTATTTTGGCTCACAGTTCTGTAGGCTGTATAAGAAGCATGGTGCCAGCATCTGCATCTGGTGAGGCCTCAGGAAGTTTCCGCTCATGGCAGAAGGGGAAGAGGCATCAGGTGTATCAAAAAGCAAGAGACAGAGCAAGAGAAAGGGGAAGAGGTGCCAGACTCTCTAAACAACCAGCTCTCACGTGAACTTATAGCTTGAGAATTCACTCATTACTGTGCAGAGGGCATCAAGCCATTCATGAGGGATCCTGTCCCCATGACCCAAACACCTCCCACTAGGCCCCACCTCCAACACTGGGGGGGGGGGGGTCACTTTTTTTTTTTTTTTTTTGAGACAGAGTCTCACTCTGTCACCTAGGCTGGAGTGCAGTAGCATGATCTCAGCACTCACTGCAACCTCTGCCTCCTGGGTTCAAGCAATTCTCCTGCCTCAGCCTCCTGAGTAGCTGGGATTACAGGTGCCCACCACCACACATGGCTAATTTTTGTATTTTTGGTAGAGATAGGGTTTTGCCATGTTGGTCAGGCTGGTCTCAAACTCCAAAACTCAGGTGATCCTCCTGCCTTGGCCTCCAAAAGTGCTGGGATTACAGGCGTGAGCCACTGTGCCTGGCCTGGGGGTCACATTTCAACATGAGATGTGGAGGGGACAAATATACAAACTATATCAACCCCCAAATTCCTGCCCCCTAGCATACACACTCTGTATCATTCCCTCCTTTTGAGTATGGGTAGGATCTGTGGATATGATGGGATAATTTTGCAGTATCTATCAAAATTACAGGAGCATATGATCTTGATCTTTGACCCAGTAAGTTCACTTCTAGGAATTTACTCCACAGGTATATTAGCAGACATGGGAAATTATTTATGCACAACGTTTTCCATTTGAACATTCACCTACCTATTCATTCATTCAATACATGTATATTGTTAGTAATTTTAAAAGGTTGGAAACAACCTAAGTAGCAGTCAATAAGGATGATTAAATACATTACTGCACAATGGAATACCACATAGCTAGAACAAAATAAAGAACAAGGAAACTCTGTATGTATCAATTTGGAAAGATCTCCAATACATTTTTAAGGGAAAAAAGCATGATGCGGAATAGAGCATACATCATATTAAAAGGAGGGGATTGGGGATGTATATTTATATTTGTTCATACCAGCATTAAAAAAATCTCTGGGCTGGGTGTGGTGGCTCATGCCTATAATCCCAGTACTTTGGGAGGCCGAGGCTGGTGGATTGCTTGAGTCCAGGGGTTCAAGACCAGCCTGGGCAATATGGTGAAATCCAGTCTCTACTAAAAATACAAAAAAAAAATTAGCCAGGTGTGGTGGTGCGCACTTGCAGTCCCAGCTACTCAGAAGGTTGAAGTGGGAGAATCACCTGAGCCAAGGAATTTGAGGCTACAATGAGCCAAGATCATGCCACTGCATTTCAGTCTGGGCAACCAGAGTGAGACTCTGAAAGGTTACAGTCACTGGCTATTTGGGGAAGATGGGACTGGGCAGATGGGGCAGGCCTTAGAGGGAGATGTTTCACTGTATATATGGTTATACTCTTTATGTATGGATCATTTTGAACTATCAGCTAAATAAAATGTTAAATGCATGTATTTTAAAATTAAAACATTTTAAAAGAGGTTTTGTCCCAATAGAGTTAGGGAGCCACATGATCTTTGTAGCATTACCTTCTCAGTTTTTGTTTTGTTTTGTTTTGGTTTGTTTGCTGTGTGAGACCAGGATGTCAGCAAAAGAAAGAGGCCCTTTCTCCCCTCACCGCCCACCTCCATTTGGATTTTGCAGCCTGAGCACCGTCCTCTAATGGAGCCACTACTTAGCTTTCCCACTTCAGCTCCCTAGGGAGAACTGAAGGGCTGCTTTCCCAGAAGCCACCAAGGCTCTCCAGCTGCACCCCCAGAGCCACTGCTGGCAGCTGAGTTTCCCCTGGGAGGTGAGAATCTGTGAGTCTTCCTAACCACCAGGCCCCAACCATCTGGGAACATTTGAGTTCAAATAACCCAACCAGTCCTGTCCTGCAGGTCTCGATCCCCTTAAGCAGAGCTAAGATCCACCTGGAAGGTATCAGCGCTAGTATTAGTACTAGTTGTTGACACATGGAGTCCATTCTGATGGGCTGGTGCCTGTCCTCTACCAGTTGTTAAGTATTTTGGCTATCACTTCTGTCCTCTGTTGCCATGCCTCGCACTTCAACCCCTCCTACACTCCTCCCCTGGGCTTCCTCCCCTAGTCCTGCCTTTCGCTGCTGATTGCCTTTGGTATCAGACAGGCGCCCAGTAAGCAACAGATGGCACACCCAAATTGGGTAATTTGAGAAGAATGTAATAAGGGACTATTTAGGAAAGTGTGGGCAGGGTATAGGGAAACCACTAGGGGTAGGGCAGTACCCCGGGGCAAGGGGAGGGACCAGTAATAGAGAGGGATGGGTGGAGAAAGCTCTGGTGTGAGCTGAGACCCCTGGCTGGTTGCTGGAGGCAGACAGCTCACTATTATTCATCAGTGAGAAAACCTGGGAAATTAAAAACCCCAATCTCCCTCTCTTTCCTCCCTTCCATCTCCTGTAGGTATCCCATTTTCCAAACCGAACAGAGGGCACAGGAGCCCATTGAACCATTCTATCCATAGAGGTCAGCCTCCCAGGCACAGAACATGGTGGGGAGGGGTGGAGAGTGGATCTGGAGGGGCAAATGAAATATATTTAGCCCCCCTCCCATAATATTTTAGAAAAACTTTATCATGAAAAAAATTCAAACATATTTTAAAAGCAGAGTAGTATAATAAACCCAAAATACCCGCCATCCAGCTTCAACAATGATTATTTGAGAGCCAATCATCTCATTTTATCTATATTCTCACTCACTCTTACCTCTTTATTATTTTGCAGCAAATGCTGGGCTTCACATCATTTCATCTGTCAATAATTCGTATGCATCTCTAAAAGATAAGGATTCTTTTTAAACCATAACACCATTAGCACAGCAAAAAAGTAAAAAATAATAATGATAAAATAAAAATAATTCCTTAATATTATCAAATGTCTAATCAATGTTAAATTTCCAATTGTCCAATAAATATTACGTATGGCTTTTTAAAAAACAATGTGTTTGCTTAAATCAGAACCCAAATAAGGGCAAATCCTTGCAATTGGTTCATATATCTTTTGAATCTCTTTTAAATCCACAGGGTCCCCCTCTATCTTTTTCTTGCAATTTTTATTTATTTATTTATTTATTTATTTATTTTTGAGACGGAGTCTCGCTCTGTCGCCCAGAGTGGAGTGCAGTGGCGTGATCTCGGCTCACTGCAAGCTCCGCCTCCCGGGTTCACGCCATTCTCCTGCCTCAGCCTCCCGAGTAGCTGGGACTACAGGCGCCTGCCACCATGCCCGGCTAATTTTTTTGTGTTTTTTTTTTTTTAGTAGAGACGGGGTTTCACCGTGTTAGCCAGGATGGTCTTGATCTCCTGACCTCGTGATCCGTCCGCCTCGGCCTCCCAAAGTGCTGGGATTACAGGCGTGAGCCACTGCGCCCGGCCTTTCTTGCAATTTATTGTTGAAGAAAACAAAACATTTGTCCTGTAGCATTTCCCATGGTCTAGATTTTGTTGATTGTATTCCCATAGTCTAGGACAAGCTGGTCCAACCCGCACCCCACGGGCTGCATGCAACCCAGGACGGCTTTGAATGTGGACCAACACAAATTCGTAAACTTTCTTAAAACATTATAAGATTTTTTGGCAATTTTTTTTTTTAGCTCATCAGCTATCGTTAGTGTTAGTGTATTTTATGTATGGCCCAAGACAATTCTTCTTCTTCCAATGTGGCCCAGGGAAGCCAAAACATTGGAACATGCTCTTTCCTGGTAGTATAACATGCTCTTTCTTCTGTATTTCCTGTAGTTTATATTTGGCTCTGGAGGCGGTATCAGATTCAGGTCGAATTTTTGTGATTACTTCATAGATGATGGTGTGTTCTTCCTTCAGGATGCACCAAAAGTCTGGTTGACAATTTTTTGTGAGGTTAGCAGTCACGATGATTGATCCATAGATTCATTAATTCATTTGAGGTTGCAAAGTGATGACATTCAGATTTATTATTTCTTCTTCATGTATTAACAACTATTTTGCATCTTGGTGTTTGCTTTTTCAATTCCCAATACCTCATGGAACTCCCTCATGTCACCTAGTATTATCCTAATTCATCCTTTCTAATGGCTGTGTAATATTCACATTGTGGATATACCATCATTTATTTAACCATTCTCCTATTGACAGCCTTTCACTTGGCATCCAGTTTTTTGCAACTACAAACAATACTGCAATAAAACGTCCTTTTATATATGTCCTTACTAGCACTTTCATTCCTATGGAATAGATTCCCAGGAGTGAGTTTGCTGCGTAAGCAGAATATTTTATTTATTCGTATATTCATCTATCTATCTATCTGTCTGTCTGTCTGTCTGTCTGTCTGTCTGTCTGTCTGTCTATCTATCTATCTATCTATCTATCTATCTATCTATCTATCTATCTATCTATCTACCTATCTATCTATCTAGTAGAGATGGTGTCTTTTCATATTTCCCAGGCTGGTCTTGAACTCCTGGGCTCAAGCAATCCTCCCACCTCAGCCTCCCAAAGTGTTGAGATTACAAGCATGAGCCACTGTGCTTGGCCCAGGATATTTTATTTATTTATTTATTTATTTTTATTTATTTTTGAGATGGAGTCTTGCTCTGTCACCCAGGCTGGAGTGCAGTGGTGTGATCTCAGCTCACTGCAACCTCCGCCTCCAGGGTTCAAGTGATTCTCCTGCCTCAGCCACCCAGGTAGCTGGGATTACAGGCGCCTGCCACCATGCCCAACTAATTTTTGTATTTTTAGTAGAGACAGGGTTTCATCATGTTGGCCAGGCTCGTCTCAAACTCCTGACCTCAAGTGATCCACCCTCCTTGGCCTCCCAAAGTGCGGGATTACAGGCATGAGCCACTGCGCCCAGCCAGCCCAGTATATTTTAATATTAACAGATATTACCAGATTATTTTCTTTTTTATTTTTTTTATTATTTTTTTTTTTTTTGGAGACGGAGTCCTGCTGCGACACCCAGGCTGGAGTGCAATGGCATGATCTTGGCTCACTGCAACCTCCGCCTCCCAGGTTCAAGCGATTCTCCTGCCTCAGCCTCCCAAGTAGCTGGGATTACAGACGCTGCACCTGGTATTTTTAGTAGAGATGGGGTTTCACCATATTGGTCAGGCTGGTCTCGAACTCCTGACCTCAAGTGATCTATCTGCCTCGGCCTCCCAAAGTGCTGGGATTACAGGCATGAGCCACCACACCTGGCCAGATTTCTAAAATGGCTATAATACTTCAATTTCCATATGCAGTGTACAAGGATACTCTTTAATCTATATCTCTTCCCACTATAAGTATTATAGCATTTGTTTGTTTGTTTGTTTGTTTGTTTTTTTGCCAGGTTTTAAGTACAAAATTATGTCTCATTGCTTCAGTCTCTGGAGCCAGACTGTCTGGATTTAAACTCTGGCTCTGCCACAAGCTGTGTACCTTGGACAAATTAACTTCTCAGCATCTCAGTTTCCTTATCTGTAAAATGGAGGTAATGATAATACCTGCCTCAACATTGTTGTAAGGGTTAAGTGAGTTAACAGATATAAAGTGCTTAGGACAATGCCTGGCTCATTGGAGTGTTCATCATTATTTTTCCATCTAAAGTCCTTTCTTTTGAAGTCTAGAGCTCATACTATATCACATCAATTCCTCCATTACCAGCACCTCAGCATCCTATGTCCCCTGTTCTTTTACTACGCCCACCATTGCAAAGGCCACTCTCCCCTCCTCTTAGCTTGGCTACCAGATGCAGTCATGCAGACAATGCCATTAGGAATGCAAGCCTTCTCTCCTCAGATAGGTCCTGAGCACTAATCAGAAACCAATCTGTGTCCTTGAGTCCATTTCCCCTCACCTCCCTAAAGCAGGTATTCTAAGCAGTCATCACATTTCCTGATCCCCTACCCCATTAGCCTTTTGGCAAACAACCTAGAATCCCTTACCTATAACCTGATAGGGATAGACTCAGCAGACTGATTTGTTCAACATGAATTTCAGTATGTAGAGTCTGAAAAGATAAAAAGCCCTTTTGCAGCCAGGGTTTGGGATGGGATTTGGGTTCAGTCAATTAGAGGCACTCATACATTACAGTGCACCATACATGACCTCATAGAGAAAAACAAAATTATTTCAAATTGCTTTAAAATACAGTGTTTTGACTACACAAACCAAGTGGAAGATACCATAAAGACAAAACACTCTAAAAAAATCTTTTTTTTTTTTTTGAGATGGAGTCTCGCTCTGTCGCCCAGGCTGGAGTGCAGTAGAGCCATCTCAGCTCACTGCAAGCTCTGCCTCCCGGGTTCACGCCATTCTCCTGCCTCAGCCTCCCGAGTAGCTGGGACTACAGGCGCCTGCCACCACGCCCGGCTAATTTTTTGTATTTTTAGTAGAGACGGGGTTTCACGGTGTTAGCCAGGATGGTCTCCATCTCCTGACCTTGTGATCCGCCTGCCTCGGCCTCCCAAAGTGCTGGGATTCCAGGTGTGAGCCACCACAGCCGGCCGATAAACATTAATTCTTTTAACTTCAGGAGTTCCTAATGATCCTTTAAAAATGAAACAAAATCCAGAAAGCTCATTGGTCATCACTGGAGTTTTGCTAGAGCACCAATTTATCGTTCTGCAAACTGGTTTTTTAAAAAGAGCAAGAATCAAACATTCTGCCTTTTTCTAGGTAACTAAATAGTTGATAAAGAGCATTCTTCTTTTAGAAGCATTCCAGCTAACAGGTGGAATAAATGATATAAGAATATCGCCATTTATCAGGTTCTAATAAAGACTATCAGTGATGATCATCAATGACAGCTAAAACCATTAGGTGAAAGCTTAACAAGAACTTTATAATAGATGAATCAGGCTGATACCACCTGATCCCACTAATCAATTTTAGCATCCCTACAAGTGAGACAACACACATGGTGTATCCCTTGATGTGATGGGATGTGAAGTACACAGTGTTGCCTATTCAATATTTTTGCCTACAAAAAAACGCTTAACCTAATAAAGCCTCTATGTCTAACTATCCATTCTCGGGAAACACAGAGAATAGAGAATGAGTTAAATGACACCCTGCAGAAGCAAGGGACCAAATCCAAAATGTAAGAAATTCTACAGGACAAATGATCTAGTTTTTTCAATAAATCAGTGGTACCGGGTGGGGGTCTGGGTTATATAACAAAATAAACTTAAGAGCTAAAATAATCAAATACAGTATATGAAACTTGCTCTGATCCTGATGCGAACAAACTAAGTGAAAATGATATATTTGTGAGAATTGGGGAACTTTGGATATGGCATAAGATGAGATTATATTAAAGAATTATTTTTTGGCCGGGTGTGGTGGCTCACGCCTGTAATCCCAGCACTTTGGGAGGCCAAGGCGGGCAGATCACGAGGTCAGGAGTTCAAGACAAGCCTGGCCAATACGGTGAAATCTCGTCTCTACTAAAAATACAAAAATGCATGGTGGCGTGCGCCTGTAGACCCAGCTACTCGGGAGGCTGAGGCAGAAGAATCGCTTGAACCCGGGATGCAGAGGTTGCAGTGAGCTGAGATTGTGCCACTGCACTCCAGCCTGGGCAACAGAGCAAGACTTCATCTAAAAAAAAAAAAAAATTATTTTTCATTTTTAAGGTATAATAGTGGCATGGTATTTATATTATCTTATGTCTTTATTAGGTAGAAATGTTTACTGAAACATTTATGGATGAAATGATATGGCCTGGGTTTTGTTTTAAAATACTTCAACAACAAAATATTGAGGTGGTGGATGAATGAAACAAGACTGGCAAAATGTTAATTGTTGAAGCTGAGTGATGAGTACATGGAGCTCATAATATTAATCTCATTTCTACTGTTGCCTATGTTTAAATTTTTCCATAATAAAAAGGTTTTAAAAATAAAGATTCCTTAAAGACCAAGAAACTATCACAGATTGAAGGAGACTAAGCAGATGATGACTAAATCCTATGTGGTATCCTGGGTCAGATCTGGAAAGAAAAAAGGGGAAAACCCAAATAAAGTCTGTAGTTTAGTTACAAGTATTATATCAATGTTAATTTCTTGTTTTGAAAAATGTACCATGGTTAAGTGAGATGTTAACATTAGAAGAACCTGGGTGAAGGGTATACAGGAATGATCTGTACTATCTTGGCATCTCTTCGGTAAATCTAAAATTATTTAAAAATAAAATGTTAAACATAAATAAATAAATACTCTTTACTCCTGACACATAACATGTTAAAGTGAATTTTTACCTTCAAAGAAAAATACTTCTGTCTCTATTATTGAGCTATAGGCTTTAAATAACTCTCAAAAGATGAGAACATTGGCATACTTGCACCACCTCCATGTTTTCCCCCTTCTAGAATCTCCAGAAATATATGATAATTTTTATTTATACAATTAGAGTATATAACGTTTATATGATATTCTCTTTCTGCAGTTACTTTAGCTTTTAATGGGCCCATTGATCGCTGTCATCATTTTTACTATTACATCCGTTTGTAGAAATTTATCAGACAATTGTATTTCCAAGAAGAAAGGCTCTCGGGAAGTATAAAGGCATCTGTTTGTGACATTATACTTGGATGACGGTCTGGCTTGGCACACATACTCTTTCCCTGAAGATTTGGTAGGCATTGCGCCTCCATCTTCTGATGTTGGATGCTATTATGGTGAGGTTGGAAGCCAGACAATTTTTTCCCAGTCACAAATGATGTGGTTTATTTGCAAGGATTCCCATAGGATTCTTTCCTAATCTCCAAAGTCCAGTAACTTCATCAGTATATGAACTGAACTTACTTGTTCTGTGGCAATTTTACCTGGGATAAGTTTGTTCTTTCAAGCTATGAATTCAAGTCTTATTACTAGAAGCACTCTTGAATGATATATTTGAACATTTTTGTTGATGTTGTGGTTCCATTTAATCTATTCTATTATTCAGAAACACCAATCATGCATATGGTGGATAACCTTTGTTCTCTATATATGTCACTTTCTTTACAATCCTTTTAAACTTTTAAAACTATTTATTATATTTTCATTCATTTTGCTCACTTTTTCCAAGCCTTCCTTCCATGCCCATAGCTGTTTTTTGAACAGTATCTGTTTTCCTTTTTGCTGCTCCTATTAGGGCCTTCATTTCTCTTTTATTTTTGTTTTCTCTATTTCTTTCTTGAGTGCTGTCAGCTCATTTTTAATCTCCTTTATTTTATTTCTTTCTTGAGGTATTGTATCTCTGCCTAAGCCCATGACTGATTCACAGATTTTCTTTTTATTACTTTTTTTTGCATATTTTTGGTCATGATTTTTATTTTTTTTCCATGGCAAACTATTTCTGCTGTGTGCTTTTCTGTCCTGTCTTGGCCATGCCCCTTTATTCTTGAGGATATTTTTGTATAGTTCCTATATTGCCTTCTTTTTATTATTACTAATATTTCAATGATGATTGATTTTGCTAGACCAGCTCTGTGGAAAGCAGAAGGGACAGTGCTGAGTTCTGAACAACAAAACATTTTGTTAGTTCAGAATTCCTTGGAGCCTCTCAAGGTACAAGATAGTGTGTGAGAGTTATTGGTTTAGTCTTTTCTTCTCCCCAACCAATAATGGTAGACAGGTGCCAGTCTGGTCATCAATCTCAATGTCCTTTCCACCCTACCACAGCAACAGACTGCTTATGCAAAGATGGCTTATCATCAATTCCTGGCCTGGCCCCACTTCAGCTACCACTTCTGCAGCCAGCCTGTGTACCTGTATCATGCTGGGGCAAGTCAGGTGTTAGTGATTTTGTCCACAATGGTGTGCCACATACCCTAGGGGTCTCTACCCTACTACATGTGCCTGGCATCAGAAGAGCCAGGGACTCTTTCCTGACCCCCATTTTTCCTCACTGCACTAAGCAGCTCTTCCATACTCATTGTAATTTCAGGTGATAGCTGCCTCTTACTCTCCTACTCTCACTGAAGGTGTGGTTTCTGTTCCTGTTTCTTTCTTTCTTTTTTTTTTTTTTTTTTTTGAGACAGGGTCTCACTCTGTTGCCCAGGCTGGAGTGCAGAGGTATGATCTTGGCTTCTTGGCTCACTGCCACCTCTGCCTCCCGGCTTCAAGTGATTCTCATGCCTCAGCCTCCCAAGTAGCTGGGACGACAGGCACGTGCCACCACGCCATGGTAATTTTTGTATTTCGCCATGTTGGCCAGGCTGGTCTCAAACTCCTGACTTCAGGTGATCCTCCCACCTCGGCCTCTCAAAGTGCTGGAATTACAGGCATGAGCTACTGCACCCAGCCTCCATTCCTGTTTCTCATTCTCCTTGCTGTATCTGGTTGTTTACAGAGAGGAGAACACAAAGATGATAATTAAGAATATATTCTCTGGAGTAAGACAGGTCTGTGTTTGAATCCAGGCTCTGCTATTCATTAGCTATGTAATCTTAGACAAGTTATGAAACCACTTTAGTTCTCAGTAATGGGATAATAATACTTACCCCAAAATGTTGCCAAGAGGATTAAAGGATATAAATTTCAGTTCTAGGTTCTGTACCAGTCATATAACAAGCTTTCACTGAATGTTAGCTTTTTAAAAATTACTATTAGTACAATAACTATTAAAGAAACTAAATTTGTAACTAAATATCTTTTAGAAAAGAAAGCTCCAGATCCAGATAGTCCAAAATTCTACCAAACATTTAAAGAATAAATAATGCTAATTCTGCAAATCTCTTCCAGAAAGTAGAGGAGAATACTTCCCAACTTATTTTATGAAGGCAGTATTACCATGATGCCAACACCAGATATAGACATTACAAGAAAAGAAAATGATATATTAAGATCCCTTTTGAACATAGATACAAACATTAGTAAATCAAACCAGCAATATATAAAGAGAATAATATCCTGTAACCAAGTGGGGTTTATCCTATGAATGAAAGTCTCATTCAATATGCAAAAATCAATGCAATCCATCATATCAACAAACTAATGAAGAAGAACCATATGATCACATCAAATGATGCAGAAACAGCATTTGTCAAAAGTTAACATCCATTCATGAAAAAACAAAAAACTCTCAGCAAACTAAGAATAGAAAGAAACTTCCTCAACCTAATGAAAGGCATCTATTTAAAAATCTACAGCAAACATCATTGTTAATAATGAAAGATGGAATACTTTGCTTCTAAGATTGGGAAGAAGGCAAGGAAATACACTGTCACTACTCCTATTAGATTTCATACTGGAAGTCCTAGCCAGTGCAATAAGGCAAGAAAAATAAATAAAATGTGTACATATTGAAAAGGAAGAAATAAAACTGTCCTTATTCACAGGTAAGATAATCGTCTATAAAGAAAAGTCAAAGAAATCCACACACACAAAATTCTAGAATTAATAAGGAAGTTCAGCAAGGTTGCAGGATATAAGGTCAACACACAATATTTCTGTACACTAATAATTTGGCAATCAAGTTTCTGTATAATAACAATTTGGAAACGAAATTTTTAAATGCAATTTACGTAGCTCCAAAAAATCTAGGCATAAATCTAACATAAATCTAAAAGTTTAATGACATTGATCTTAGCAATGATTTCTTGGATATGACACCAAAAGCACAGGCAGAAAAACCAAAAATAGACAAGGTAGGGCTATGTCAGGGCTGATAAGACAAGTTAGGGCTAAAAAGCTTCTGCACAAAAAAGGAAATAATCAACAGAGTGAAAAGGCAACCTATGGAATGGGAGAAAATATTTTCAAACCATGTATCTGATAAGAGGTTTGTCCAAAATATTAACATGGCATTTGAGGTTGGGGCATGGAAAAATACTGAGGCACTGTGTGTATGTTATTTGTGCATGGGAATGTAACTCCTTGACCCTGAAAACAGGACGAGGAGTGGAATGTGTGATAAGGAATGCTGTAAACAGCCTCCTGAGAATGCGGTTTGAGTGCTTTTACAAGGCCATAGGTGTCTAATGACCCAACCTCAAAAGGCCATCTAGTGGATGTTCGTAGTTTAACAAGCCCTTTCAATAAATACTTGGCGGACGGATTCCGGGGTGACACTCTTTCTCAGAAGAGTGATCCCCCGCCCTGCTCAGCTGGAATTGTCTGAGAACTCATTCTTGGTGTTCACTACAAGCTATAAGCTCTGCAGAAATAACCTGAATGTCCATCAACACATGAATGGATAAAGAAAATGTGGTACAGTATATATACCCTTGATGGAATATTATTCATTCCTTAAAAGGAAGGAAATCCTGTCACATGCCACAACATGGATGAACCTGGAGGACATTATGCTAAATGGAATAACGCATTCACAATAAGGACAAATACTGCATGATTCCACCTATATGAAGTATCTAAAGAAGTCAGACTCATTGAAATAGAGAGTAGAATGGTAGCTGCCAAGGACTGGGGGTAGTGGGAAGTGGGAGAGTTGCCATTCAGTAAGTATAAAGTTTCACTCATGCAAGATTAAAAATTCCTAGAGATCTACTGTATATCATTGTGCTTATAGTTAACAATACTGTATTGCACACTTAAAAGTTGTTAAGAGAGTAGATCTTGGACTATGTGGGTTTTTTTTTTTACTACAATTTTTTTAAAAGCTGAGGCTAAGCCTGAAGCCATTAACAGCTAAAGGCTATTAGCTAACTTAACTCCTGGCAGTTGAATGGTAAATTCTTTCTTAAAGATCACAGCAGAACACCTCCATGAACCTTGTGCTGCTCAACATTTTCAATAGCAGTGAGTGAGATGAAGGCACAGAATGATAGACTCTGACATATCTGCAGCTGACTCACAATATGAAGATAGTCTTTTGGTATGGTTTGGATGTTTTGTTCCCTCCAAATCTCATGTTGAAATGTGACCTCCAATGTTGGAGGTGGGCCTGGTTGGGGGTGTTTGGGGCATGGGAGTGGATCCCTCATGAATGTCTTGGTGCTGTTCCCACAATAATGAGTGAGTTCTCACTCTATTAGTTCACATGAGATCTGGTTGTTTAAAGAGCCTGGGACCTTGTCCCTTTCTCTCTCTCTCTTGCCATGTGACACACTGGATCACATGGCCTTTGCCTTCTGCCATGATTGTAAGCTTCCTGAGGCCCTCACCAGAAGCAGATGCTTGCACTGTGCTTCGTGTATAGCCTGCAGAACCATGAGCCAAATAAACCTCTTTTCTTTTCAAGTTACCCTGTCTCAGGTATTCCTTTATAGCAACACAAGCGGACCAACACATCCTATTATAGACAACAAAATCAAGTTTGAAAACTTTCTTGATGGCTGGGACAGAGCTGGACTGAATTCAACAAGATGAAATCCCATGAAGGTTAATGAAAGATCTTCCATTTAGGTTTGTGATAACCAATTATATAAGTACTAATGGTGAAATTTTTTTCCATCTATATGCCAGGATCTGAGAGTTTTATTTGACTACAAGACTAAAAATGATGCAAGAATGTGTGCTATGGCTACTTAAAGAGCAAACAAAGACTGGCCACATTAATAAAAGTATTGTGTCTAGAACCAGGGAAGTAATATTCTGTCTGAAGCAGGATGTTCCCTTCTGGGCATCACTATTTAAGAAGGACACTGACAATTTAGATACCATTCAGAAAAGGGTAACCAGGTTCTTGGAAGGTCAACAACAGATGAAGAAATAGGGTCCACTTGTTGTGTTATCATAGCACCCTATAGTTTTCCTGTGAGGGATTTATATAACATTGTAAAATAAATAATGCTGTAGTTGTACAAATGTTTTCAAATTTCTTTAACTTTTTATTTTGAGATTATTATAGATTTACAGGAAGTTGCAAAGATGGCACAGAGAGGTCCCATGAGCCCTTTACCTAGTTTACCTTAGTGATACATCTTATATATTTATAGCAAAATATCCAAACCAGAAAGAAAATTGACATTGGCACAATGTTTGTGTATAGTTCCGTGCCATTTTGTCACAAGTGTAGATTTGTGTAACCACCACCACCGGTTTTATTGATCTTTTTAAAGAACCAACTCTTTGTTTCATTGATTTTCTCTGTTTTTCTTTTCGATTTTCAGCTTCATTGATTTCTGCTCTTGTCTTTATTCTCTCCTTCCTTCTGCTTGCTTTGGGTTTATTTTGCTCTTATTTTTCTAGGTTCTTGAAGTTGGAGCTTAAATTATTTATTTGAAACTTTTCTTCTTTTCTAATGTAAGCATTTAGTGCTTTAAATTTCCCCCTCAGCACTGCTGTGTACCACAGATTTTTATAGGATGCATTTTCATTTTCACACAGTTCAGTGTATTTTTTAATTTCACCTGTGACTTCCCCTTTGACACATGGATTATTTGGAAGTATTTTGTTTAATTTCCTAGTGTTTGGAGATTTTCCTGTTATCTTTCTACTATTGATTTCTAGTTAGTTTACATTGTGGTCAGAGAACACACTGTATGATTTCAATTCTTTTACATCTGTTAAGGTTTGTTTTATGGCCCAGGATATGGCCAATCTTGGTATACATTCCATGGGCACTTGAAAATTATGTGTATTCTGCTTGTTGGATGGAGTGTTCTATAAACATTGATTCCATCCTGTTGGTTGATGTTGGTGTTTTTTATTCTGTATCCTTGCTGGTTTTCTGTCTAGCTGTTTATTAAATGTTGAGAGAAGAGCTCAACATTTAATTATAGTTGTCTCCAGCTATAATTGTGGATTTGTTTATTTTTCCTTTCAGTTCTGTCAGTTTTTGATTCGAATATTTAGCTGCTCTGTTATTTGGTGCATATACACATAAGAATCTATGTCTTCTTGGCGTATTGAGACTATTATCACTTGTAATGTCAGTCTACGTCCCTGGCAATTTTCTTTTCTCTGCAGTCTACTTTATCTGATATTAATATAGTCATTCTTGCTTTCTTTTGATTAATGTTTGAATTGTGTAGCTTTCCTGTGTTTTCTTTCCAATCTACCTATCTCATTATATTTGAATAGTGTTTCTTGTAGATAATATATAGTTGGACCATTGTATTAATCCCCACTGCCAGTCTCTGTCTTGGAGTTAGTGTATTTAGGCCATTTTAATTTAATATAATTATTGATATGTAGAAGTTTGTCTGCATTTTATTTTTTGTTTTCTGTTTATTCTTTGCTTTCCATTTCTGTTTTCTTTTTCCTGCCTTCCTATGGGTTACTTGAATATTTTTTAGAATTCCATTTTGATTTATCTATAGTATTATTAAGTGTATCTCCTTATATAGTTTTCTTATTGGTTCTTCTAGGTAATGCATTATATATATTATGTACATAATGTATATACAGTCATGTGCCACATAACAACATTTTAGTCAATGATGGACTGCATATACAGTGGCGGCCCCATAAGATTATAATGGACCTGAAAAATTCCTATTACCTAGTGGCATTGTAGCTGTCCTAATGTCGTAGCACAATGCACGTGTTTGTGGTGATGCTGGTATAAACAAAACTACGCTCTGCCAGTCATGTGAAAGCATAGCACATACCATTATGTGTAGTACATAATACTCAATAATGATAATAAACAACTAAGTTACTGGTTCATGTATTTACTATTTTTTTCATTATATCAAAGTGTACTCCTACTTACATAAAAAAAAGTTAACTGTACAACGTCCTCAGGCAGGTCCTTCAGGAGGTATCCCAGAAGAAGGCATTGTTATCATAGGAGATGACAGCTCCATGAATGTTATTGACCTTGAAGATCTTCCAGTGGGACAAGATGTGGAAGTGGAAGACTGTGATATTGATGATTCTGACCCTGTGTAGGCCTAGGCTAATGTGTGTGCTTGGATCTTAGTTTTTAACAAAAAAGTTTAAAAAAAAAAAACAAGAAAAATTTTAAAAATAGAAAAACCTTATAGAATAAGAACATAAAGAAAATATTTTGTACAGCTGTATAAAGTGTTTGTGTTTTAAGCTAAGTATTATTACAAAAGAGCCAAAAAGCCCAGGTGCGGTGGCTCACGCCTGTAATCTCAACACTTTGGGAGGCTGAAGGGGACAGATCACTTGAGGTCAGAGGTTTGAGACCAGGCTGGTCAACATGGCAAAACCCCATCTCTACTAAAAATACAAAAATTAGCCAAGATCGCGCCATTGAACTCCAGCCTTGGCAACAGAGGAAGACTCTGTCTCAAAAAAAAAAGCGTTAAAAGTTTAAAAGTTTATAAAGTAAAAAATTTACAGTAAGCTAAGGTTAATTGATTATTAAAGAAGGAAAAATATTTTTTATAAATTTAGTGTAGCCTAAGTGTGCAGCATGTATAAAGTCTACAGTAGTATACAGTAATGTCCTAGGCCTTCACATTCACTCACCACTCACTCACTGACTCAGTCAAAGCAACTTCCAGTCCTGTAAGCTCCATTCATGATAAATACTCTATACATGTGTAGCTTTTTTTATGTTTTATACCATATTTTTACTGTACCTTTTCTATGTTTAGATAAACAAATACTTACCATTGTGTTACCATTGCCTACAGTATTCAGTACAGTCACATGCTGCACAGGTTTATAGCCTAGGAGCAATAGGCTATACCATGTAGCCTAGGTGTGTAGTAGGCTATACCATCTAGATTTGTGTAACTACACTCTACAGTGTTTGCACAATGACAAAATCACCTAACAATGCATTTCTCAGAATGTATCCACATCATTAAGGAATGCATGACTATATATAACTTATCACAGTCTACTGATGTCATCATTTCACTAGTTTGAGGGTAGAAATTTTATCTCCCCTTGCATCCCTTTACCCTCCCCAATTTATAATTGTCTTAACTATCTCCTCTACATACATTTAGAATCATATAAGACAGTACTATAATTTTTTCTTCAACCATCAAAGATAATTTATAAAACTCAAGAGAAGGAGAATCTATTGTATTTATCTATATTTTTGCTTTTTTCTTTGTTCTTTCTTCCTTCCTGATATCCCAAGATTCCTTCTTTTATCACAAGAGTTCCTTTGTGTTAGAGAACTTCCTTTACCAAATCTATAGGATTGGTTTACTGGTGATAAATTCTCTTAGTTTTCCTTCATCTGTGAATGTTTTCCTTTTCCTCTTCATTCCTGAAGTATATTTTCATTGCTTATAGAATTTAGGGTTGAGAGTTCTTTTCCCTCAGCACTTGAAAATAGTGTGTCACTTCTTTCTGGCCTCCATGGTTTCTGATGAAAAACTCAGTCATTTAAATTGCTTCTCCCCTACAGATAATATATCATTTCTTTCTAACTGTTTTCAAGAATTTTTCTTTGTCTCTAGTTCTCAGAAGTTTTACTATAGTGTGTATTTCTTTTGATTTATCCTGTTTGAGATTCACTCAGCTTTTGAATCTGTATATTTACGTCTTTTGCCAAATTTGGGAAGTTTTCAGCCTCACATTTTTCCTCTCTCCTTTTGGGAACCCGATGACAAGATATTTTGTTACAGTTCTATGTGTCCCTGAGGCTCTATTCTTTTATTGTTCATCCCATTTTTCTCTCTGTTGTTCAGATTTTGTAATTTCTATTTTATATTTTCAAGGTCATTGATTCTTTCTTCTGCCCTTTTCATTCTGCTATGAGCCCATTCAATTGTGTTTTTTAAATTTCAGTTTGTATTTTTCACTTCTAAAATATCCATTTAGTTATTCTTTATATCTTGTATTTCTTTGCTGAGACTTTCTATTTTTTCATTTGTTTCAAGTATGTTTGTAATTTCTTTTTGAAGCATGTTTATGATGGCTGTTTTAAAATCCTTGTCAGATCATTCTAACTTCTTTGTCATCTCAGTGGTGGCATCTATTGATTATCTTTCTCAAGTTGAGATCTTCCTGATCCTTGGTGATTTTCTATTGAAATCTTACATTATGAGGCTTAGAATTTTAGTTAAATGGTGTGTTTTTAACAGACCTCTTCTGGTACCATGTCACCTCATCACTACCATATGGGCATAGACACCCACATTCTCTACTCAGTGTATGTGGACATTGGAAAAGCAGGAAGGTGGGACCTTGTTACTGCTGGGGTAGGGATGTGAGGTGAGGCTCCACAGCCAGCCTCTAATGATACTATCCTGGCTGGGAGCAGGAAGAGGACCTCATTACTGCTCCTCTCAATTGCTTCTGTTGACACTAGTAGGGGGTAGCCTCTTTACTGTTGAGCAGTGGTTGAAGTCCTGACTCTCCAGTGGGCTTCCTCTGATACCAGCCCAGCAATGGAGGGGAGGGGCCCCTCCATTGCTGGTGGGTGCTGGTGGGCATCCAGGCTCTCCAAGTAGTTTCTACTGACACTAGAGGGGTGGCCTATCTTCCCATCCACTGAGGATAAAAGTCCTGGCTCCCCACTTGGCCTTCTCTGATACTCCATG
Source organism: Homo sapiens (assembly GCF_000001405.40). Classification (NCBI taxonomy): domain Eukaryota; kingdom Metazoa; phylum Chordata; class Mammalia; order Primates; family Hominidae; genus Homo; species Homo sapiens. The sequence continues at coordinate 40,928,953 of NC_000023.11, forward strand.
ATGGAGATTCAGAACCCCTCATTACAGCCTGGTAAAGGTTGGCATTTCTGGGTTACCAGCTTCTCCATTACCCAGAGTGGGATATATGAGGCAAAAAGAAAACCTAAGAGCTTACCACCATGTCGTTTCTCAAGTCCCAAGGTCCCTAGCCAGTCTGCCTTCTCTCCACCTTTCAGAGTCTTCTTATGTTCATCCTAACATATAATATCCAGGGGGTTTAGCTGTACTTTGGTGGAAGGGATACTGGTACATACTTCTACTCCATCTTTCCAGAAGCAGAAGTCAATATGTTCTGATTGTTTCCCTACTTAGACAATGAGGCTCTGTGTTGACAAAGATCATTTCTGTCTTGCTCATTGCTATACCCTCAGCTCTTAACTCAATGTCTGGTATGTAATTGATGGTCTACAAATATTTGAAAAATGAATAAGCATTTAACCAAAAAAAGACAAAGCTTAGAGAAGACTAGAGAGTTACTTTTGAATATCTAAGGAGGTTTGGAGGTTTTTTGTTTGTTTGTTTTGTTTTGTTTTTGATATAGAGTCTTACCTGTTGCCCAGGCTGGAGAGCAGTGGTGTGATCTCGGCTCACTGCAACCTCTGCCTCCTGGGTTCAAGTGATTCTCTGCTTCAGCCTCCCGAGTAGCAGGGATAACAGGTGCGCACCACCACACTAGGCTAATTTTTATATTTTTAGTAGAGATAGGGTTTCACCGTGTTGGCCAGGCTGGTCTCGAACTCCTGACCTCAGGTGATCTGGCCGCCTTGGCCTCCCAAAGTGCTGAGATTACAGGCGTGAGCCACCACGCCCAGCCTAAGGAGTTGTTTTCTAGAAAAAGGGTTCAATTTGTTGTGTGGCATTCTCGCCCAAGGATAGAGTAAGAACCAAGAGTGGAAGGAACAGAGAAGGAAGTTTTGCCTGCATTTCTGGTAATTTGCAAAGCCCATTAATTTCCTAAAGACTACAGGAGTGCTGAAGTGAAGAAACTTGCTTAATTTTGTTTAACCTAAGTGTATCTGACCCCCAATTCTCATAACCCCAGTTGATATCTCAAAGGCCACTAGAGTCCATGTAACCCAGGTAAGAAGTGCTGTTCACAGGAGACTTTGGTATTTTTCTCTATCATAATGTATCATAGAAAGGGTATTACAGGGCTGGGCACCGTGGCTCACACCAGTAATCCCAGTACTTTGGGAGGCCGAGGCAGGAGGATCACTTGAGGTCAAGAGTTCGAGACCAGCCTGGCCAACATGGTGAAACCCCATTTCTACTAAAAATACAAAAATTATCTGGGAGTGGTGGTGGGCATGGGTAATCCCAGCTACTTGGGAGGCTGAAGCAAGAAGCAAGAGAATCACTTGAACCCGGGAGGCAGAGTTTGCTGTGAGCTGAGATCGCACCATGGCACTCAAGCCTGGGCAACAGAGTGAGACTCTGAAGGAGAGAGAGAGAGAGAGAGAGAGAGAAAGGAAGGAGAGGAGAGGGGAGGAGAGGAGAGGAAAGGAAAGGAAAAGAAAGTCTATTACAGTATTACACTGGTGTTCAAAGCAAGTGTGCCTTCTCAGAAAAACAATTAGATCCTTAACCTTGAATATGAAATGAAACTTCTTGTCTTAGCTTGGATTCTCCTAGAAGCAGACCACAAGACAAAAATATGAGCACAAATTTGGGGAGTACGGAGGGAGATGCTCTCAGGAAATACCGTAAGAAAGTGGGAAAATGAGACAAGAAAGAGAAGGGAAGCTTAAAAGGGCGAGTTATGGGCCGGGCAGATCACGAGGTCAGGAGATTGAGACCATCCAGGCTAACACGGTGAAACCCCGTCTCTACTAAAAATACAAAAATTAGCTGGGCATGGTGGCAGGCGCCTGTAGTCCCAGCTACTCGGGAGGCTGAGGCAGGAGAATGGCGTGAACCCGGGAGGCGGAGCTTGCAGTGAGCCGAGATCGCACCACTGCACTCCAGCCTGGGCGACAGAGCGAGACTCCATCTCTTAAAAAAAAAAAGGGTGAGTTATGAAACATGTTACAGTTATGGGCAACCGAGGCACCATCCCACTGGAGAGCTCTGTGAGAAAGTGTAGACTGCACTTTGGGGTTTAGTCGTACATCACACACACACGCGCGCACGCGCGCGCACACACACACACACACACACACACACACACACGGTATTTATCCTAAACTCTTTTCCATCTTTGGCTGAGGGCTGCTGCCAGGGGTGTTCACTCTCTGGCACTTCCTGCCTGCCCTGCCCGCAGCTGAGCGCCAGTGCACAGGCAGACTCACAGGTGCTTGCGGTTGGAGGCCTTAGTCTTGTACTGGAAGAGTGAGTGCCAAGGGAATGTGAGTAGGTCAAGGTCAATGTCTGTCACATGTTTGAATTTTTTTTTTTTTCTTTTGAGATGGAGTCTCACTCTGTCGCCCAGGCTGGAATGCAGTGGCGCGATCTCAGCTCACTGCACCCTCCACCTCCTGGGTTCAAGCAATTCTCCCGCCTCAGCCTCCCGAGTAGCTAGGACTACAGGGGCCCGCCGTGATGCCCAACTAATTTTTGTATTTTTCGTAAAGACGGGGTTTCACCATGTTGGCCAGGCTGGTCTCAAACTCCTGGGCTCAAACCATCTGCCCGCCTCGGCCTCCAAAGTGCTGGGATTACAGGTGTGAGCCACTGTGCCTGGCCTCTCTGAATTCTAAACATGTCTTTTCTACTTTCTTCTGTGCTCCAGTGTAGTTAAATATACAACCCTGCTGGTAAATTATTTTTGAAGATACTAAAACAAGCTATTTTTTTACTTCTATTTTTTTTTAAGTTCAGAAGACCCCTGAGAATGACCAAGTGGGCTGCAGTAAGATGGGGCATGCTGGGAAGTACTGGCACCTCAAACCACCTTCCCCTCGGCCTCTGGAATAACACTGATGCTAGTGAGACAGGCACAGCTGCAGATACATGGGTCACAGACCCAGCTTCTGAGCTGAGAGCAGTCCAATATAGCAGACAGCCCGTGGCATCTGACATATATGGCAAAGGCAGCTGACTGACCGTGGGACACAGGCAGCATTAGGAGGGCCAAAGATGGATGAACAGAATTCCCTAAAGGTGCTCAGAGCATCTGATGGAAATCCAGGCTTAAGCAATGCTTAGAGAGCCAAGAGGACAGACAGGCAATGGGTGACAGAGTCATCTGTCTCCAGTAGTTGGAGCCAATCACCAGGAAGGAGTTTTGGCAGCATTCTGGGTTATGGCAAGGAGCCTGCCAAGACTAAGTCAGGAGCCCCAGCCTTAGAGGGCATTAGGAGGCAGACAGGGGCCTAAGGCATGGCCTTAAATACAAGGAACAAATCCAAGACCAAGAGAGGGTCAAGAGTAGAACTGTAGCTAAGAACATGTAGAACTGTAGCTTCCAGTTAGGGAAACAAAAACCCCAAGGTCAAGACAATATAAGCAGCAAGGATGCCCTGTTTCCAGGTCCCAGCATATGGGGCTAGGGTTCCTGAGAGTCCAGCTAAGGCCAGAATTTGTCCTAGAGCTGAGAGAAGGCTGCACCAACAGATGGACATCAAGTGGTCCTAGCAGTAGGAGATGAAGTTTTTTGAGACCATGGTCAGGCAAGGCCTGGCTCTCTACTGTGATGTTTGCAGCCAGGTGGTCAGGGGTTCTTGCCAACCAACCCACTCATCCATCCCAATGCCTTCATGGCCTTACACATCCCCTCATCCTCTTGCCCCACTGACGGCCACCCTAGGCCTTTGGAGCCCTTGAAAAACAGTGATTATGATCCTGTCCACTGGCCTTGAAATTGGCTGACTTCTGGGATGGAAAATATGGCAGCCAACCATTCCTGTGACACCATCCAGAGCCTCCGCCCTCTGTAATTCACAGGGATAGAATCTGCAGGTCATTCGAAAGGGCCTCTGTTTTTTGTTTTATTTATTTATTTAGAGACAGAGTCTCACTGTGTCCTGAAGTGCAGTGGCGCGATCTCGGCTCACTGCAACCTCCGCCTCCCAGGTTCAAGCGATTCTCCTGCCTCAGCCTCCCGAGTAGCTGGGACCACAGGCGCCCGCCACCATGCCCAGCTAATTTTTATGTTTTTAGTAGAGATGGGGTTTCACCATGTTGGCCAGGCTGGGTCCTCTGTTTTTTAATATTTAAAATCATCTCTCCCCAAATTCCTAAGCTTACATGGCGTTAATGGCCCCTTCTCCCCCTTTCCCTTCAGATGGCACTGTACATATCTATTTTGGTCGGCTTCCTGTTAAAAGTGCTTCCTTTTCTCTTTCTACTTACTCATCTTTTCCCCTCTGCTTGTTTATTTGCTGGGGTTTTTAATTTTTTTTTTCCCTGAGTTTGACCTCAGCCTGCTGTCCCCATCCCCCATGCCCACACTCCTAACCCACAATAAGATTGGGATCTTTTCATTTATACTAAACACATCACCAGCTCTTTATTCTTCGTGGCCCTTTCCTACCCTTATTTCCTTTTCATTTTGTTTCGGTTTTAATCCTTCATTACCCAGCTTTTCCTGGCAAAGGTCCAAGACCAAACTGCATATTTTTCTAAGCTTTCTCTCTTTCAGTTCTTCTTTCCTTTCTCTCCTCCACCCCTGGCTTCCTGAAAGTCTGCCTCGGGATCCACATTATGTCTTTGTTTTTGCCAATAACAAATACTTCATTTACTGTTTTGAATAAACGCTGCTTTTCAGTTACTGGAGCGCTTGCTCCTTCTCTGAAAACACTGTATTGGAAGAATCAGATAAACCTCACTGATATTTTGATTGAAATATTTCTGCATTCTCTTCGCAGAATTCCAAGTATGTGGCAACACGCGTGTTTGGAGCCAGACTTCTGAGAAGATGCCCTCAATCACCCACAGCCTCTTTATGAGTTTTCCCCTCCAATGTGACTTCAGTTATTAAGATGTCCCAAGTGATTAGACTCACCAGCAGCCTCCTAAATACTCAGCCAAGGAAACCTGATATGGTGGGGAGAGGCTGTTCGGGGGAGATTACTTGGCAGTGGTAAAAGTCAGAAGCCTTATGTCTGCAGAACTTTGTTCACTTCTCAGAAGTCCTTTGACTGTGTGATATGAGGAAGTCACTCTAAATCTCATTGTCTCTTAACTGCAACACAGAGGCAACAATACCCCATTACAGGAACTCTGTGTGAAAAATATTACAAAATATTAACAAAATGCTTTGAATTCCTTGTATATTTCACCACGTTAGATCTAGCAAACTACCATCCCTCATCTGGGGCAGAGAATTGTTAAGTGTGGTTAGGCCAGCCAGAGGGCAGCCTCAGGCAAGTCCCTGTGAACTTACTAAGGCAGGGAGGGACAAGGGCAGGGGCAAGTTTGGGGTTGGTACAAACCCCTCCCTCTGGGCCTATTCCAGGAATCCAGGAATATTTCTCTAGCAACCTATTATTATTATTGTTGTTGTTGTTTTGAGATGGAGTCTCACTCTGTCACCCAGGCTGGAGTGCAGTGGCGCTATCTCGGCTCACCGCAGCCTCTGCCTCCCGAGTTCAAGCAATTCTCATGCCTCAGTCTCCCCAGTAGCTGGGATAACAGGAGCCCGCCACCATGCTCGGCTAATTTTTGTATTTTTTGTAGAGGTGGGGTTTCACCATGTTGGCCAGGCTGGTCTTGAACTCCTGACCTCAGGTGATCCACCTGCCTTGGCTTCTCAAAGTGCTGGGATTACAGGCGTGAGCCTCCGCGCCCAGCCAGCAACCCATTATTTTATACATCTGAGAGCTCATGATTTTCCACAATCCATTTCTTTCTTTCTTTCTTTTAAGAATCGGGGTCTCATTCCGTTGCCCAGGCTGGAGTGCAGTAATGCAGTCATAACTCACTGCAGCCTCAAACTCCTGAACTCAAGCAATCCGCCTGCCTCAGTCTCCCCAGTAGCTGGGATTACAAGTGTGCACCACCACACCTGGCTCAGAGGCTATATTTCTTTCTTTCTTTCTTTCTTTCCTTTTTTCACGCTTAATTCACTTTATTTTTCTTGTGTAAAAACCCTATGTTGTAGCCACAGCTGGAGCCTGAGTCCGCTGCACGGAGACTCTGGTGTGGGTCTTGACGAGGTGGTCAGTGAATTCCTGATAGGGAGACTTGGTAAATACAGTCTCCTTCCAGAGGTCGGGGGTCAGGTAGCTGTAGGTCTTAGAAATGGCATCAAAGGTGGCCTTGGCGAAGTTGCCCAGGGTGGCAGTGCAGCCCCGGGCTGAGGTGTAGCAGTCATCGATACCAGCCATCATAAGCAGCTTCTTAGGCACAGGTGCGGAGACGATGCCAGTGCCCCTGGGTGCAGGGATGAGGCGCACCAGCACAGAGCCGCAGCGGCCTGTCACCTTGCAAGGGACGGTGTGGGGCTTGCCGATCTTGTTCCTCCAGTAGCCTCTGCGCACGGGGACAATGGAGAGCTTGGCCAGGATGATGGCCCCACGGATGGCGGTGGCCACCTCCTTGGAACACTTAACACCCAGACCGACGTGGCCATTGTAGTCCCCGATAGCAACAAACGCCTTGAACCTGGTGCGCTGGCCGGCACGGATCTGCTTCTGCACTGGCATAATCTTCAAAACCTCATCCTTGAGAGAGGCCCCCAAGCAAAAGTCAATGATCTCTGATTCCTTAATGGGCAGGGAGAAGAGATATATCTCCTCCAGGGACTTGATCTTCATGTCCTTGACCAAGCGGCCCAACTTGGTGACGGGCATCCACTCCTTATCCTCGGCCTTGCCTCCGCGAGCTCCGCGGCCTCGGCCCCGGCCCCGTCCACGGCCGCGACCCCGGCCCCGGATGCCACTGCCGAAACCTCCGCGGAAGCCACCGCGGTTCCCCATCCCAGGGCCACCAGGGCCTCCGGACCCTCCTCGCTGCACCGGCGTCATCCGCCATTTGGTGTTTTCTCTGAAAAGAAGCTCTTTTTTTTTTTTAAATAACATCTTTTATTTGTATACAATTACAAATTACAAACTTGTTTTATTATGGTTTTTCTTATTTATAAAAAAATTTTTTTAGTCAACTTACTCCCTTTTATTTATTTACCAGTAGTTTGCTCTGACAGAATAAATTACAAACTATTGTTTTGCTTAATCCTTTTAACCACCATGTCAGGCACACAGATTGGAGGATATTAGCTCCCATTTTGCAGACAAAGAGAGGAAACACAGTACCCATATTTAGTGTAAGACAGCTGGGATATAAGCCTTGGGCTTCCATAGTCACAACTGCTTTTTTTCCATAACTTTGTAATACATCATTTGAAAGTAATCTGATTTCACAATGTTTTACAGCGTAAGAGTAGCATCTATAGCATCTCTTCTTGGAAGTTTACCTCTGGAGAGAACCAATCTAATTACCTCATAAGCTGGCACATTTTAAAGCAGTTACACCTCTAACTTGATTTCCCAGCTATGCTCGAGGGTCCCAGGAACCAAAATTGCAGCCAAACTGATCTGAAAGGAGCAGGGAATAGAATGGTCAAGCATGTCTCCAAGTTTAACCTAGGCCTGGGACATCCTCACCAACTGCTCAGATGGCAAGTAGGGGGCAACTAAGTGAAGGGAGTAGCAGGAAGACCCACTTGGGGTGGACACTGATGAAAAACACAAGCAGTATCAGACCCACTGTTTTCAGGATTAAAATCCCCAGATGCCCAGTTGCTGGTATACTATCTACTATGTCATTACCAGCAGGACAAAGGGTAATACTTATGAAGACTAGAATATGCAAGGAAAAAATTAAGCTGCCTGCCTGTCTGGGGCCTACAAAGCCAAACAGTGCTAATTTCATCCATGCCAAACACAGAAAATTGTTCATTCCTTCCTGATTTGGGTTTTAAGGAAGAGTGCTGATCATCAGAGAAACCAGGTAATTCTATCCTGAAGCCCAAGGGAAGAAATAGTGGCCATTTCCCAGTTATAGATGGTGCAGGGGGCAACACTATCTGCCACCATGAAGGGAAAAAGCTATCTTGGTAAGCTTTGGTCTTCACAGGACATGGAACCAGAGTAGCAAGATCAGGGCCTGCATGACTGATCCTGATTAAGAGCAGGACTTCCTCACATAAGGTACACAAAGGCGGGGCGCAGTTGCTCACGCCTGCAATCCCAGCACCCTGGGAGGCCCAGGCAGGTGGACCAACCAAGGTCAGGAGTTTGAGACCAGCCTGGCCAACATGGTGACACCCTGTTTCCGTCTCTACTAAAAATACAAAAATGAGCCGGACATGGTGGCACATGCCTGCAATCCCATCCGCTCAGGAGACTGAGGCAGGAAAATCACCCAAACCCAGGAGGTGGAGGTTCGGAGGCTATATTTCTTGTTGCTCAAGTTAATAAGGAGCCAGTGGAGTAGAATAATGATAGAGAGGCAACATAACATGGTGGTTAAGAATATAGATTTAGGAGCCAGATGCCCTGAGTTTGACACCTGTCTCTGCCATGTGATAGCTTTGTGACCTTGGGCAAGTTACTTAACTTCTCTGTGCCTCAGTTTTCTCATCTGTATATTCAGAATAATGTTATGAAGAGTAAGCAAGTTAATATTTGTAAAGGGTCTGTTTGGAACAGTGCCCGGAATATAGTGAAAGGAAAACATTGCCCTAATTCTGACATTTTTAATGTTATAAAATCTTTCTTGGAAATAATTAGGTAAGATATGACAAAGGATTGTTTGAGAAGATAGCCTTCTTGTCTCTATAGCATAAAGAATGTGGCGATGTGGAAAATAAAATATAAACATAGCAAAAATAAAATCAGCGAGGCCATGCGCAATGGCTCACACCTGTAATCCCAGCACTTTGAGAGGCCAAGGCGGGTGGATCGCTTGAGGTCAGGAGTTCGAGACCAGTCTGGCCAACATGGTGAAACCCCTGTCTCTACTAAACCCCATCTCTACTAAAACTATGAAAATTAGCCAGGCAAGGTGGTGCACACCTGTAATCCCAGCTACTCAGGAAGCTGAGGCACGAGAATCGCTTGAACCCGGGAGGTGGAGGTTGCAATGAGCCGAGATCACGCCATTGCACTCCAGCCTGGGCAACAGAGTGAGACTCTGTCTCAAAAAAAAATTAGGGAGCCCCCAGGCAGACCATCAGAATGACCCTGCTGGCAAGACGTCACACTGTGAAACAGTAACTCACTGATAGTTATGCTGTCTATAACTGAAGGGAAGGAAGAATGAGAGGGAAGGATGGAGGGAAGGAAGAAGGGAGGCAGAGATAGAGGGAAGGAAGAAGGGAGGCAGAGATAGAGGGAAAGAAGGGAGAGAAGAAAGAAAGTTCTCCGAGATTTTCATTTCTTTTTGAAGAATATAGATCCAAGATGTTTGGTGAGTTCCTGTTGAAATTTGGGAAGTGTGCCAGGTTGTATTTTCCCAAGATGACTGCATCAATGTGTGTATCCCACTCCACATACTCCACATACAATGTAGGGTCTACATTCCCTCCTCTGACATCTGGGCAGAGGCTGTGACTGCTCTGACCAATGGAGTATAGCGGAATGATATTAACATGACTTCCAAGGCTACGTTGTATAAAGGACACAGCTTCCACTGCACGCTCTCTCAGGATACTTGCTCTTGGACCCAGCCATCGCACTGTCTGGGCCACATGAGAGGACCACAGTGTGTAGATGTTCTGGCTGACAGCCAGCATCAGCCACCAGATATATGAGTAAGCCTTCAGAGGATTCCAGCTTGCAAATACTGAGTCTTCCCAGCTGAGGTCCAGACATCGTGGAGCAGAGACAAGCTGTCTCTGCTGTCCCTTCTCTGAATCCCTGATTCACAGAAACCATAAAAGATAATAAATGATTATTGTTGTTTTAAACCACTAAGTTTTGGAATAATTTGTTAGACGATGATAGATGACGAATATAGGAAGTCTATAAAAAGGTAGGGTGTGGTTTCTAGAAGAGAAGGACATCAAAGCATTCCCATGGTGAATCCTATTTGAGCCTTTGGGATCCATGCCATTGCGTATTTAAATCTTTCCCCCTTCGACCAGGCACTGTGGCTTATGCCTGTAATCCCAGCACTTTGGGAGGCCCAGGCAGGAGGATCACTTTAGCTCAGGAGTTTGAGACAAATCTGGGCAACATAGCATCTCTACAAAAATAAAAATAAAAAATTAGCCAGACACAGTGGCGCATGCTTGTTGTCCTAGCTACTAGGAAGGCTGAGGTGTGAGGATCACTTGAGACCAAGTGGGAGGATTGCTTGAGCCCAGGAGTTCAAGGTTACAGTGAGCTATGCTTACACCACTGCACTCCAGCGTGGGCAACAGAGTGAGACCCTGTCTCAAAAAAAACCAAAAAAACAAAACCCTTTTCCCTTTAGCAAGCAAACTTATAATTCATAAATTTTGTCAAATGAGCTATGCTTGATCTGAGTCACACTGGGAACCTCTGAACAGGTGCCATAGGTGGGAGTGCTGTAAGTCCCTCACAGAGATCAGGGCTCCCTGGCCCAGGCTGCCACCCAAAGACTTTGAGCAGGGCTGGGTGCAGGGACTCATGCCTATAATCCCAGCACTTTGGGAGGCCGAGGCAGGAGGATCTTTTGAGGGCAGGGGTTCAAGACCAGCCTGGGCAACATGGCAAAACCCATCTCTACAAAGAATACAATAATTAGCTGGGTGTGGTGGCACACACCTGTAGTCCCAGCTACTTGGGAGGCTAAGGTGGGAGGATCGCTTGAGCCTGGGAAGTCGAGGCTGCAGTGAGCCATGATTGTGCTACTGCACTGCACTCTAGCCTGGGTGATAGAGTGAGACCCTGTCTCAAAAAAAAAAAAAAAAAAAAAGGAATAAAGACTTTGAGCAAAGGAAAATTCTCATGAGAGTAATTATAAAGTGGCCTGGTGTCAGGAGCTTATCAAAAGCACAACCAACAATGTTCTGAACTTATCTCCTGTTATGTTGACTATAAGTGCAAACAAGAAATGTAATAAAACAAAATAAAAAATAACTAAAAGAAGATGCCAATCAATCCTCTGTTTTCCTAATTAAATATGCAAGTAATCCATATTTCATTTCAGATAAACTTTTTTTTTTTTTTTTTGAGAGGGAGTCTCACTCTCTTGCCCAGGCTGGAGTGCAATGGCGTGATCTCGGCTCACTGCAACCTCCACCTCCCAGGTTCAAGCGATTCTTCTGCCTCAGCCTCCTGAGTAGCTGGGATTACAGGTGCACACCACCATGCTCAGCTAATTTTGTATTTTTAGTAGAGACGGGGCCGTGTTTCACCATGTTGCCCAGGCTGGTCTTGAACTACTGACCTCAAGAGATCCTCCTCCCTTGGCCTCCCAAAGTGCTGGGATTACAGGCGTGAGCCCCTGCACCCAGGCCATTTTAGATAAATTAAAAAGTGAAAATTCAGGAATAAAATTTAAAACTACCATAACCCCATCGTCCAGAAATAACCACTCATAATATCTTGACATATTCTTTTTGTTACTTTTATTTTAATTGACAATTAATGAGGTACAATGTGATGTTATGATACATGTAAACATTGTGAAATGAGCAAATCAGGCTAATGTATCTATCACCTCACAAACTTACTATTTTGTGGTGAGAATATTTAAAATCTACCCTTTTTTGGGCCGGGCACGGTGGCTCACACCTGTAATCCCAGCACTTTGGGAGGCCAAGGCGGGCGTATCACTTGAGATCAAGAGTTCGAGACCAGCCTGACCAACATGGTGAAACTCCGTCTCTACTAAAAGTACAAAAATTAGCCAGGCGTGGTGGCAGGCACCTGTAATTCCAGCTACTGGGGAGGCTGAGGCATGAGAATCACTTGAACCGGGAGACAGAGGTTGCAGTGAACCAAGATCGCGCCACTGCACTCCAGCCTGGGTGATAGAGTGAGACTCAGTCTCTAAATAAATAAATAAAAATAAAAATAAAATCTACCTTTTTAGCAATTTTGAAATATACATTATTATTAACTGTAGTCACCATGCTGTGCAACGCATCACCAGAACTTATTCCTCCTGTCTGAAATTCTGTACCTTTTCCTAACATCTCCCCCTTCTCCACCCCCACAGATCCCAGCCTCTGATAACCACCATTTTACTCTCTACTTCTATGAGTTTGACTTTTCTAGATTCCACCTATAGGTGAGATTATGCAGTATATCTTGGTGTATTCTTTAAAGAAATATCAGTATTCAGATAATCTTTAAAGAAATAATATACAGATATATATACGGAGGTGACTGAAAAATATTCAGTTTCATATTCCACTTTCCTCACTTAACTATGTTTTTACATCTTTCCATGTCAATAAATATAGCTCTACTTCATTATTTTAATGATCAGAAAGTAACCCGTTGATGAAATGTACCATGATTAACATATTCAATTTCCCCTTGGAAATTTTGTCATTTCTACTTGCTTTCCATTACACAGCCTTGCAGTGAACATCTCTGCACACACATAACTGATCATTTCTTTATGATAAATTGCTAGAAGTAGAATTAGAAGATCAAAGGGTCAGAACCTTATAGATCTTTTAACAAACCATGCTACATTGCCCTCCAGAAAGGTTATGACAATTTACACATACACCAGCAGTGTATGAGAGTACCCATGCTAACACTCAGATTTATTATTTTTTAACTTAGCTAATCTAAGTTAAACATTATGTACATTGTTGTAATTTGCACCTTTAAAGGTGAACGTATTTTTGTTTTGTGTTTTGGTCATTTGTAGTTATCTGGGAGTTGCCTGTTTTATTCTTTGCCCTCTCATGTATATACAGTCGGCCCTTGGTATCTGCATGGTAGATGCTCAAGTTCCTGAGATAAAATGGTGTCATATTTGCATATAACCTACAACATCCTCCTGTATACTTTAAATCATCTCTAGGTTACTTAAAATACCCAATACAATGTAAATGCTATGTAAATAGTTGTTATACTGTATTGGTTTTTAATTTGTCTTCTTTTTATTGTTGTATTGTTATTTTTTGTTGGGTTTTTTTCCAATTTTTTTTTTACCCAAAGTTGGTTGAATCCACAGATACAGAACCCATGGATAGGGACGGCCTACTGTATATTTATTAATTGATTTGTAGAAACCATTTATATGGTAAAGATATTAGCTCCTTGGCTATCATAGTTCTTAAATGCTCATTTGTCTTTTTAAATTATTAGTGGTGTTTCTTTTCCTCCAAATTTTCTAAATAGAAAATACTTTTACACCTAGTGATGATAAACAAAAGCATCTGATATTAGTGTAAACCAGATATGCAAAAAGAGCTGGAGGAACAAAAGCCTCAAGGGAAGGTTGCCCTGGGTGATGCTCTTTGTACATTTCTATACATTTCAGATTTACTAAAATGAATAAATAACTTTTTTTTTTTGAGACAGAGTCCTGCACTGTCGCCCAGGCTGTAGTATAGTGGCACCATCTTGGCTCACTGCAGCGTCTGCCTCCTGAGTTCAAGCAATTTTTGTGCCTCAGCCACCCGAGTAGCTCGGATCACAGGTATGTGCCACCACACGGGGTTAATTTTTGTATTTTTAGTAAAGACAGGATTTTGCCATGTTGGCCAGGCTAGTCTCAAACTCCTGGCCTCAAGTGATCCACCTGCCTCGGCCTCCCAAAGTGCTGGGATTACAGGAGTGAGCCACGGTGCCCAGCCTGAATAAATAACTTTTATAATCTTAAAAAGTATTCTAAAGATTTTGTTTTTCTTAAGTGCAGGGAAATTTGTGTAATCTATGTGAGTGGAATGCCAGAAGCAAGAAAGAGAATGAGAGGGAAATACAATGAGAGGAATGAGAGGTAAAAGGTGAAGTTAAAAAAATAATGGGCAGGCCGGGCGCAGTGGCTCACGCCTGTAATCCCAGCACTTTGGGAGGCCGAGGCAGGCAGATCACAAGGTCAGGAGATCGAGACCATCCTGGTTAACACAGTGAAACCCCGGCTCTACTAAAAATACAAAAAATTAGCTGGGCGCGGTGGCGGGCACCTGTAGTCCCAGCTACTCCGGAGGCTGAGGCAGGAGAATGGCGTGAACCCAGGAGGTGGAGGTTGCAATGAGCTGAGATGGCGCCACTGCACTCCATCCTGGGAGACAGAGCAAGACTCTGTCTCGAAAAATAAATAATAATAATAATAATGGGCAAACATCATGTTGTATACCATAAGTATATACAATTTTTATTTGTCAGCTTAAATATATTAATTAATTAAATAAATAAAAAGAAAATAGGAACCAGACCACCAAGGACTTTGGATTTCCTGTTAGAGTTGCAGTCTATAGCCGAAGGCTTTTAGACAGTGAAGTGATCTGATAAGATCTGTATTTCAGAAATCTTTGGTTACAATAGAAAAGAGAAATTAGATTTTGGAATTAAGAAGCCATGTGTGATGGTATCAGTTGTTTATTGCTATCATAAAGTCATGTAACAACCACAAAATCTCAGTGATAAACAGAGTGTTTATTGCTTACATGTCTGGGGTCAACTGGAGGCCAGCTAAACAACCCTGCTCATCTTGGCTAGGCTCATCCACATCTGGGAGTGCTTGTCTATTGACTGATCTAGACTGCCATTTGCTTGTTCCAGACTGTCTTTTTAAGGATGTTTGTATGGCTAACAAGCTTGGAAGATAGAGGTGGCATCTCCCTCCAGAGTAAAGGGTAAGCATGCTCACCACCTATTATAAAAAATTTAGATTCCCTAACTCTAGTATTTTTCTCCTTTAATGCAATCCACTGTGTGTGCAGACCTTCATCTGAGCACATCCATATCACCATCATCAGACTTGGGGGACACAGGGAACTGATGTAAATGTGCTCATGCTTATACTGCTTGCTGTGTCATGAGTAATGAAATCCTTCGCCTTTGACCCAAGAGTCTCATGTTTTCTGTCCACATCCATGAAACTGTGACAAGTTATCTTATTAGCTTGTAAGTAGGATAAAATCTCAGACCCTTCACAGTTCTTGATGCTGGTCTGCTTCCCCTTCTCAACCATTGGATCTGTGAAGACCTTTCATAGCCATGTTCCCAGCACCAGGCACAGAGCTCAGTATATAACTGGCACTTCAGAAATATTTGTCAGTGAGGCTGGGCGTGGTGACTCACGCCTGTAATCCCAGCACTTTGGGAGGCCGAGGAGGGTGGATCACTTGAGGCCAGGAGTTCGAAACCAACCTGACCAACATGGTGAAACCCCATCTCTACTAAAAATACAAAAAATCAGCCAGGTGTGGTGGCAGGCACCTGTAGCCCCAGCTACTCAGGAGGCTGAGGCATGAGAACTGCTTGAAACCAGGAAGTGGAGGTTGCAGTGAGCCAAGATTGTGCCACTGCACTCCAGCATGGACAACAGAGCAAGACTCTGTCTCAAAAAAGAAAAAAAAAGGAAAGAAAGAAATATTTGTCAATGAATAAATTAATTATTATTTATTTGCTTTTCATTTTCAGTAGATAGGCTTGAAAATACCATTTCATTTGACATGGCCATCAATCTCCTGTCATTGTTACTCTAAATAAGCTTTCCTCTACCTCCTCAGTACTTGTTAAGATAGTGGTGTCCCAGCACTGGGATACTTGGGTATATCCTACTTTTTTTTTTTTTTGAGACGGAGTCTCGCTCTGTCGCCCAGGCTGGAGTACAGTGGCACAATCTCGGCTCACTGCAAGCTCTGCCTCCCGGGTTCACGCCATTCTCCTGCCTCAGCCTCCCGAGTAGCTGGGACTACAGGTGCCCACCACCGCGCCCAGCTAACTTTTTGTATTTTTAGTAGAGATGGGGTTTCACCGTGCTAGCCAGGATGGTCTCGATCTCCCGACCTCATGATTCACCCACCTCGGCCTCCCAGAGTGCTGAGATTACAGGCGTGAGCCACCGCGCCCGGCCCTGGTGTATCCTACTTTTTAAAGCACTCTGGAATGGAGCCCGATACAGGACTTCCTTATATCCAAAACAGCCATATATTGACTCTTGTGGATATTGTTTCTACTTTGCCGAAATTTATTTATATGTGGGCTTTGATTTCTTTATGAAAATTTTTCTCATAGACTTTAGAAAAGAAACTTGTAATGCTTCCATGTATACTTGTCGGTTGGATTCCCAACTATTTGTCAACTGAGCGGGTAAGCCCAGAATGAAGACGGGGGAAAATAAAAATAGGGAACCAACTAACTCAAAAGGAGAGAAATGAATAAATGTCAGGACAACTTGTCCATTCAACTGTATTGTGCAAGGTTTCTGCAGCTGTCTCCTCAGCTGCCAAAGTCTGGGTTAAAGTTCAAAGGGAAAACTCTCCATCCACATATTTTCCAATTTAAAAAAAAGTTAAAGTATTTGAAACTCAAATATTTTTATACATGAAAATCCAGGGGTGAATTTTAATAAAGCCTGTGGGCAGAACAGAAGTAATCCGGCTCTGATTTAAACATCATTAATGTTTAAACTGTATTAATTTTAAAACCTCAGCCCTGGCACACTTCGAAAGCCGGTCTTCCTCCTGCTAACTCTGGCAACAATCTCTGGGCTAAACGTGAGTCATAACTTGTGACACTGCAGACAGCATCTGTGAGGTGGGGTGTTTCACTTCTCACTTCGGCTCATGTTTCCTTGTGCTGATTGGGAAGTAAGGACATAAGAGGAAAGCAAATTGTGGGAATGAGGTTCTCCTAATTTCATTCAAAAGGCTCTAGGCTAGGAAATATTTAAAGATTTTTAAAAAAAGAACAGGTTTTTAAAAGTGAAACAGAGCTTCAATAAGTATTAAAATGCAGTAGATACTTAATGCCATAAAACTGTATACTTAAAAATGGTTCAAATGCTAAATTTTGTTATATATATTTTGCCACAATAAAAATGCAACAAATTAAAACCTATAAAACATGTTTAAATGTTTAAATTCATGGTGATATTTAAAAACTGGCCACCTTGAAAGATGTCAGGGGACCAATTCATCATCTGAAAACGGATAAAAAAGGGAAAAAATAAAACATATATCCTGCTTTTCCTTTAGAAACTGCACCACTAGGTAACCAAATAATAGATCGGGGAAGCATCTCTTTATAAAATTATCCAATTATCCCAACTAATAAATGAAATAAAATGATAGAATTAGATTATAATCATTTTGCAACACTCTATGAATTAATTGATCTAGGCAATGAGAATCAACCGCTGCTAAAATCACAAAAGGAGACACGACCAGACATTACATGTCTCAGAACTCAGCACCACTTATAGTCTTGCAAAAAAGATGGAAATTCAGTCTAATCAAACCTCTGGATCCAAATGACAATTTGCAAGAAAGGCAGGGAGCAGAATACATGTTGAAATGCACCATCAGTGTGTCATCAGCAAAATGCAGATTTTAGGAAACTATAGGTCAAATTGTCTTGTTCTTCAACAAGTAGAGAATAAAGAAAAGAAAGGGTCATAGACGGCCAGGGTGCGGTGGCTCACGCCTGTAATCTCAGCACTTTGGGAGGCTGAGGCTGGTGGATCACCTGAGGTCAGGAGTTCGAGACCAGCCTGACCAATATGGTGAAACCCTGTCTCTACTAAAAATACAAAAATTAGCTAGGCGTGGTGGCATGAACCTGTAGCCCCAGCTACTTGGGAGGCTGAGACAGGAGAATCACTTGAACCAGGGAGGTGGAGGTTGCAGTGAGCCGAGATTGAGCCACTGTACTCCAGCCTGGGCAACGGAGGGAGACCCCATCTCAAAGAAAAAAAAAAGTCATAGAAGAAAACTGTAGATTAAAAGAGATTTAAAAGATGAATCAAGTCCAGGCACGGCGGTTCATGCCAGTAATCCCAGCACTTTGGAAGGCCGAAGTTTGAGACCAGCCTTGACAACATGGAAAAACCCCATCTCCACAAAAAAAATATATATATACACATATATACGTATATATGTATATATACACATATATGAGTGTATATATGTGTATATATATTTATGTATGTATATATATTTATATATGTATATATATATTTATATATATATGCACCTGTAGTCCCAGCTACTTAACTTGGGAGGTTGAAGTGGGAGGATGGCTTGGGCCTGGGAGGCAGAGGTTGCAGTGAGCCAAAGTCGCACCACTGCACTCCAGCCTGGGCAACAGAGCCAGAACCTGTCAAAAAAAAAAAAAAATAGACAAATCAAACTTTTTAATGAGCATGGCACAACTAGAATGTCTAAGGATACACACTTGGGTGATAAAGCTGTAGAGAAGAATAAGGCAATGGTTGCTATAAAAATCAGGATACTGGCCATGGAGGGGCTTCCGGGGTGGCTAGCAAAGTACTACTTCTTGACCTGGATGGTAGTTATGAGGGTGTGCCCTTATAATAATGTGCTATTCTGTACTTTCTTTTTGTATGCTTTTCTGTGTTTTATAATAAAAATGGAGTTCAGCTGGGGCTTCTGGGATGAACTGTAGTCATATGAGTCACCCAGAACTGCTAACTGGACATGAACAGCTGGTCAGAGAGAAGGATGATGAGGGAACTGGTGAGCCCCCAGAGGTTACCTAACGGCCAGGAATTTGCCCAGCTATGTGTGGGCGGGTAAAACCTGAATTGTACCATCAGTTTGTGCCAGGACAGAGTTTTGAATTCCCGGCAGAAATGGATGGGAAAGGGCTCAGAAGTTGTTTTGAGTGTACCACATTTTAGTTCCTGGAATAGTTTAGTTCTTGGGCATTATAGCTCAGGCCAGCCAACTGCCAGCAAAACTTAAGCCTTCAACACTGTGCTGTTAGAGAGCTGCGAGTGAGGAAGTCCTAGCTCCAGAGACCCCATTTCATTACAGATAAATGCTGTAGCATCTTTATCAGCAATTCACAGTGCACTTAAAGCTGTATCAAAGGTTGCAGCCAGGTCTCCTTCCACCAAGAAATCTGGAGAAGGTGAAGACATTATTAAATAAATGATGCCAAAAAGCCTGGATGTAAGTCCCCAAAGAGAAGGCAGCATAAAATGTCAGAGTGGGAGAAACTGTGTGGTCTACCAAAGTAGACAGTACAATAGGTATCTGGTACAATCAGATACCAATACACAGCTATTAGAATCCTAAAATCCAAAGAAAACTGACAATACCAATTGCTGTTGAGAATGAGGAACAACGGTAATTCTCACTCATTGCTGACGGGGATGCAAAAATGGTACAGCCACTTTGAAAGACCATTTGGTCTTTCCTGCAAAGCTAAACATAGTTTTACCATACAATCCAGCAATTGTTCTCATAGGTATTTAACCAGCTAATTTGAAAGTTATGTCCACACAAAAACCTGCACACTAATGTTTATAGCAGCTTTTTTCATAATCACCAAGAACTGGAAGCAATCAAGAGGTGTTTTGATAGGTAAATATATAAACCAACTGTGGTACATCCATACAGTGAACATTATTCAATGATAAAAAGAAATTTGCTATCAAGCCATGCAAAAACATGGATGAATTCTAAATGCCTCTTGCTAAGTGGAAGCAGCCAGTCTGAAAAGGCTACATACTGCATGATTCCATTTTATATGACATTCTGTAAAAGGCAAAACTAGAGATAACAAACAGATCAGTGGTTGCCAAGGGGCCAGGAACGGGGAGGGTTGAAAAGTGAAGCACAGGGCAATTTGAGGACAGTGAAAATATTCTGTATGATATTATAATGGGGTTAGATGATATTGTGCATTATTCAAAAACCTATAGAACTTTATAGCACAAAGAGTGACAATGTATGCAATTAAAAAAGTCATTTAGAAGGTCAGGTGATTGCAAGATGGAATACAGAATATGACAAAAGAATCTAGCTGCATTACAAATGCATGAAATCATTTCACTGAAGGGGATAGGGAGGAAAGGTGCTGATGTATGTAACTTTGGAAATGAGTGGATACTGTAAGACCAGAGACGAAAGGAGCTGTATATAAACACTATACTCTAGTTGTTAAAGTTGTTTCCGATGAGGGTATGTGTTAACAATTCTAATCCTAGCCAGGCAAGATGGCCCATGACTGTAATCTCAGCAACTTGGGAAGCTGAGGTGGGAGGATTGCTTGCAGCTAGGTTGAGGCTAGGAGTTTGAGACCAGCCTGGGAAAATAGAGAGACTCTGTCTCTACAAAAGATTTTAAAAAGTAGCTGGGCGTGGCGGCGTGTGCCTGTAGTCCTAGCTAATCAGGAGGGTAAGGCAGGCAGACCTCTTGGGCCTGGGAGTTCAAGGCTTAAGTGAACTATGATCATACCACTGCTTTCCAGTCTCGGTGACAGAACAAATCCCTTTCTCTAAAAATAAATAAATAAATAAATAAATAAATAAATAAATAAATAAATAAATTCAACAACATTTGGGGCAACCGTCAACCATTAGAACTGCAATTTATTACCTACGGAAGGCTGGACCCTTTCAGGAGATCAGGGACAAGCAGGGAATGGTAAAGTTGAAAACGAGTGTATTAGTTCATTCTTGCATTGCTATAAAGAAATCCCTGAGACTGGTAATTTATAAAGAAAAGATGCTTAATTGGCTCATGGTTCTGCAGGCTGCACAGGAAGCATAGCAGCTTCTGCTTCTGGGGAGGACTCCGGAAACATACAATGATGGTGGAAGGCAAAGAAGGAGTGAGACATCTCACACGGCCAGAGCAGGAGGAAGAGAGAGAGTGAGGGAGGTGCCACACACCTTTAAACAACCAGATCTCATAAGAACTCCATCACGAGAACAGCACCAAAGGGATAGTGCTAAATCATTCATGAAGAATCCATCCCCATGATCCAATCACCTCCCACCAGGCCCCACCTCCAACATTGGGGATTACAATTCAACATGAGATGTGGATAGGGACACAGATCCAAACCATATTATTCTGCCCCTGGCCCCTCCCAAATCTCATGACCCTCTCACATGGAAAAATCCAGTTATGCCTTCCCAACAGTTCCCAAAAGTCTTAACTCATTCCAGCATTAACTCAGAAGTCTACAGCCCAAAGTCTCATCTGAGACAAAGCAATTCCCATCTGCTATGAGCCTACAAAATAAAAAACAAGTTAATTACTTCCAAGCTACAATGGGGGTATAGGCCTTGGGTAAATACTCCCATTCCAAAAGGGATAAATCGGCCAAAAGAAAGGGACTACAGGCCCCACACAAGTCTGAAACCCAGCAGGGCAGCTGTTAAAGCTTCAAAATAATCTCCTTTGACTCCATGCCTCACATCCAGGGCACACTGATGCAAGGGGTGGGCTCCCAAAACCTTGGGCAGCTCTGCCCCTGTGGCTTTCCAGGGCTCAGCCCACACAGCTGCTCTCATGGGCTGGCATTGAGTACCTACGACTTTTCCAGGTGCATGGTGCGAGCTGCCAGTGGATCTACCATCCTGGGGTCTGGAGGATGGTGGCCCTCCTCTTACAGCTCTTCTACGAAGTGCCCCAGTGGGGACGTTGTTTGGAGGCTCCAACCCCGTATTTCCCCTCAGCACTGCCCTAGTGGGGGTTCTCCATGAGGGCTCTGCCCCTGCAGCAGGCTTCTCTCTGGACATCCAGGTGTTTCATACATCCTCTGAAATCTAGGCAGAGGCTCCCAAACCTCAACTCTTGCACTTTGGGCTTCTGCAGGCTTAACACCATATGGAAGCCATCAGGGCTTATGGTTTGCACCCTCTGAAGCAGTGGCCCAAGCTGTACCTGGGCCCCTTTGAGCCAAGGCTGGATCTGGAGTGGTTGGGGCACAGGGAGCAGTGTCTCAAGGCTGTGCAGGGTGGCAGGGTCCTGGCCTGGCCCATGAAACCATCTTTCCCTCCTCGGCCTCTGGGCCTGTGATGGAAGGGGTTGCCAGGAAGGTCTCTGAAATGCCTTGGAGGCCTTTTCCCCATTATCTTGGATATTAGCACTTGGCTCCTCTTTACTTATGCAAATTTCTGCAGCTGCCTTGAATTCCTCCCCCAGAAAATGGGTTTTTCTTTTCTACTGCATGGCCAGACTGCAAATTTTCCAAACTTTTACACTCTGCTTCCCTTTTAAATATATGTTCCAGTTTCAGGTCATTTCTTGGCTCACGCATAAGAGCATAGTTGTTAGAAATAGCCAGGCCATATCTCGAATGTTTTGCGGCTTAGAAATTTCTTCTGCCTGATACCCTAAATCATCACTCTCAAGTTCAAAGTTCCACAGATCCCTAGAACAGGGGCACAATGCAGCCAACCTCTTTGCTAATGCATAACAAATGTGACCTTTGCTCCAGTTCCAAATAAGTTCCTCATCTCCATCTGAGACCTCCGTAGCCTAGACTTCATTGTCTATATCACTATCAGCATTTGGTCACAACAATTTAACAAGTCTCTAGGAACTTGTTAAACTTTCCCTCATCTTCCTGTCTTCTTCTGAGCCTTCCACACTCTTCCAACCTCTGCCACTTACCCAATTCCAAAGTTGCTTCCACATTTTCAGATATCTTTATAGCAGTGCCCCACTCCTTCGTACCAATTTTCTGTGTTAGTCTGTTCTCGCACTGCTATAAAAAAAATACCTGAGGCTGAGTAATTTATAAAGACAAGAGGTTTAATTGACTCATGGTTCTGCGGGCTGTACAGGAAGCATAGCAGCTTCTGCTTCTGGGGAGGCCTCAGGAAACTTACAATCATGACAGAAGGCAAAGGGGGAGTGAGACATCTCACATGGCCAGAGCAGGAGGAAGAGAGAGAGTGAGGGAGTGCCACACACTTTTAGACAACCAGATCTCATGAGAACTCTATCATAAGAACAGCACCAAAGGGATGGTGCCAAACCATTCATGAAGAATCCACCCTCATGATCCAATCACCTCCCACCAGGCTCCACTTCCAACACTGAGGATTACAATTTGACATGAGATTTGGATGGGGACACAGATTCAAACTCCAAACCTTATCAATAGGATAGGGGTTAAGGGCGGACATGAGGGGACACAGGTAAGTTACCAGGCTGAGTGGGTACAATTAGGAGCCTATGGTGGAAACAGACTGAGGCATCAGTGTGTGAGTGACCAAATCCAGGTGTATTAATCCATTCTCACACTGCTATAAAGAACTACCTGAGACTGGGTAATCTATGAAGAAAAGAGGTTTACCTGACTCACAGTTCTGCAGCCTGTACAGGAAGCATGGCTGGAAAGCCTCAGGGAACTTACAATCATGGCAGAAGGGTGAAGGGAAGCAAGCACGTTTTCACATGGTGGCAGAAGAGAGAGGGTGAAGGGGGAAGTGCTGCACACTTTTAAACAACCAGATCTCATGAGAACTCACTCACCATCCCAGAACAGCAAGTGGGAAATCCACCCCCATGATCCAATCACCTCACACAAGGTCCCTCCCCCAACATTGGGGATTACAGTTCAACACGAGATTTGGATGGGGACACAGAGCATAACCATATCACCAGGCAAGAGAATTGGTGTGTAAGAGGCAGTGAGGCCACAGTGTTGGCAAAGAAACAAGGTAGCAGAAACTAGGAAGCATCCAGAATAGTCTTGGACAAAGTGCTATGGAGAGCTTTCTGCTGTGAGGGGACCCTACTGAGGATCCTCCATCCTTATCCCTCAGGATGACCTCTGTTAACAGTGCTCAGTGTGTGCTACAAGCAATTCACAAAATTATGATTATTGAAATGTATAGATTGTGGCACAGATTGCTACTAGTTGCCTGCCCTTTTTGTTGTTGTTGTTAGACAGGGTCTCATGGTGTCACCCAGGTTGGAGTGCAGTGGCACAATCACAGCTCACTGTAGCCTTGACCTCCCAGGCTTAACTGATCCTCCCACCTCAGCCTCTCAAGTAGCTAGGACCACAGGTGCACGCCACCACGCCTGGCTAATTTTTGTATTTTTTGTAGAGACGAGGTTTTGCCATGTTGGCCAGGCTGGTCTCTAACCCCTTCTTTATTACTAATGGAAACATTATATTGTTGAGGGTGGCAATGTGCCCAGCTTTAAAGCAATACTTTTCCAGCTTGCCCTGCAGATATCGGTGGCTAATAAAGTGAAAGCAAAAGTCATTGCCTGAGTCGTCTGAGAAAGCTTTGGAAAAGGAACTGATTAATGTGAGTGATTTCACCTTCTGCCCTTGCCCCTTCTTCCTGCCTACAGCCTAGGATGTGGTATAAAATGTCAGTTGCAGCAGTCATCATGGGCTATAAAGCAACCTTGATGACGGGAGCCATGCCCTATAGGGGAGCAGAAAGAAAGAACCTGGGTCCTAATATATGTAGAGCTGCTATGTCACCACTGGACGCCCATCCTTGAACTCCTTTCACAGGAAAAAACAAAAAACAAAAAAACCAAAAAACCCATCATATTTAAGCCACCATAATTTGGGTTTCTGTGCCCAAATTTGGGTTTCTGTGCCCACCATAACTGATATGGTGACTAAGGGTTATAAAAGAAATATAATATTTGTGGGAAATTTTAAACTTTACATGTGAACTATCCTAATGAAAAACACTGGAAATGTTAGGTTTCCTAAGGTATTGATTAAGCCTGAAATCATTAGCTGATACATACTGAAAAGAGGAAATCATACATCTGAAATCATTACCTGATATATATACTGAAAAGAGGAACTTTAACTCAGCCAATAATTGTATCTTTCAACAAGGGAAATTTCCCTGTGAGCAAGTTTGTGGTACAAGGTCATCTGCAGCTGAACCTTTGCTGTGCCAAGGCTTTGGTGTGGGAGCACACACACAATTTTGAAGAGCTTGGACTTGATGTTCGTTTCCATGCCTGATGTGCCTGTACTATACATTGGAGAACATTAAGTCAGTAAGTATGGTATATGCCGGAGTCATGTCCTCTGGGGGTAAAAAAGCAACGAAAAGGAGAAACAAAAACTAATTTTAAAAAATCAGGCTGGGCATGGTGGCTCACGCCTGTAATCCCAGCAGCTTGATAGGCCAAGGCAGGTGGATCACCTGAGGACAAGAGTTCGAGACCAGCCTGGCCAGCATGGCAAAACTCCATCTCTACTAAAAATACAAAAATTAGCTGGGAGAAGCAGCACACGCCTGTAATCCCAGCTACTCGGGAGGCTGAGGCACGAGAATTGCTTAAATCTGGGAGTTGGAGGCTGCAGTGAGCCAAGATCACGCCACAGCACTCCAGCTTAGGCGACAGACTGAGACTCTGTCTCAAAAATAAATAAATAAATTAATTAATTAATTAAAAATTGTTCCCTTAGTCTTTGAGATAGAGAGGGAACAGAGCAGAGGGGACAAGGATGCACTTTTCTGAATATACCTTGCTTAGGAGACATAAAAATATTTTCACATAATTATGAAAACAAATTGAGGCCAGGCACAGTGGCTCATGCCTGTAATCCCAGCACTTTTGGAGGCCAAGGCAGAAGGATCACTTGAGCCCAGTGTTGGAGACCAGCCTGGGCAACATAGTGAGATCCTGTCTATAAAAACAATTTAAAAATTAGCCAGGCATGGTGGCATACGCCTGTAGTTCCAGCTACTTGGGAGGCTGAGGTGGGAGGATCCCTTGAGCCCAAGAGGTCACGGCTGCAGTGAGCCATGATGGTGCCACTTTACTTTGGCCTGGGTGACAGAGCAAGACCTTGTCTCAAAAATAAATAAATAAATAAATAAAAACAAATTGAAATCAAAAGGATAGAAATGAATCCCTGAATAACAAAAGAAAAGTGAAACAAATTAACATGTATATCAAGCTGGTAGGTTAACAACACAGAAAGAAATTATTTCAAATAACTTTAAACATGGGCTGGGCGTGGTGGCTCATGCCTGTAATCCCAGCACTTTGGGAAGCCGAGGTGGGCGGATCACCTGAGGTCGGGAGTTCGGGACTAGCCTGACCAACATGGAGAAACCCCGTCTCTACTAAAAAAAAATACAAAATGAGCCGGGCGTGGTGGTGCATGACTGTAATCCCAGCTACTTGGGAGGCTGAGGCAGGAGAATTGCTTGAACCCAGGGGGCGGAGGTTGCGGTGAGCCGAGATCGTGCCATTGCACTCCAGCCTGGGCAACAAGAGCGAAACTCCATCTCAAAAAAAAAAAAAAAACCACACAACTTTAAACACATGGTATTCATGGTAAATCTTTTGTGGGATATATCCTGTGGACAAAAAGATACACAAAAAAATCTTAAACTCTTAGTGATGATTCTATTATCGCTGTCTTGAAACTATTAGTGTGTATAATATATATACACACTTATAAGCACGTATATATAGTAAGATAAAACAAATAAGTAACTATGTTAATGTCATTAGGAACTAATATTTTCAGCCTAAGGGAAGAAAGACACAAATATTCAATGAAATATGTAAAAGCCATGTAATCTTAATTTTGAATTAGACATATCAATGTGAATTTATGAATTATTTTTATCTTTCCAGAAAGTACAAACTTTCCAGCTGTGCCTATTGAAAGGCAGTGATCAGCCCAGTAGCAATGAGTATACTTAATATGCAGATTGTGGTTTCTCAATGCGTTTACCCATTAAAGGGAACAAGGACTCCTTGGAGAAATAGCTGATTTCAGATCTGGGGCAGGAAATGTACATGATGTACAAACTGTTGCCGTGGAAAATATGGACGCTATCAAATACTATTGATATGTCCAAAGGACACAGTAACCAATTTTTTTTTTTTTTTTTGAGACAGAATCTCACCCTGTCACCCAGGCTGGAGTGCAATGGCATGATCTCAGCTCACTGCAACCTCCGCCTCCCAGGTTCAAGCAATTCTCCTGCCTCAGCCTCCCAAGTAGCTGGGACTACAGGTGTGCACCACCATGCCCAGCTAATTTTTGTATTTTTAGTAGAGACGGGCTTTCACCATGTTGGATAGGCTGGTCTTGAACTCCTGACCTCAGGTGATCTGCCCACCTCGGCCTCCCAAAGTGCTGGGATTACAGGCGTGAGCCACTGCGCCTGGCCGCAGTAACCAATTTTAATAGGGTCTACTTGCTAAAGATGGAACAAGTTGAACATCAAAAGGAGTAAAATCTTAAGGTCAGGAACAAAACAAGGATGTCTGCTCTCACAACTTCTATTCAACATTGTACTCTAAGTTCTAACCAGGGCAATTAGGCAAGAAAAAGAAATAAAAGAAATCCACATGGGAAAGGAAGAAATAAAAATTATTTCTATTTGCAGATGACATAATCTTGTAAGTAGAAAATCCTCAGGAATCCACTAAAAACTATTAGAACTAGTAAACACTTCTACCCCTTCGCTTAAAAAGATAGAGAAATTAACATAAAAAAATTTAAAAAGAGCTAGTAAACAAGTTCAGCAAGGTTGCAGGATACAAGACAAATATACAAAAATGAACTACATTTCTGTACACTAGCAATAAAATCTAAAAATAAAATAAAAAATTCCACTTATCATTAAGAAAATACTTAGGAATACATTTAACAAGAGAAATGCAAAACTTGTATGCTGAAAATTACAGAACATCTTTGAAAGAAATTAAAGATCTAAATAAATGGAAACATCATATATTCATGGGTCAGAAGACCTAATATTGTTAAGATAGCAATACTCCCCAAAGCGATTTACAGATTCAGTGCAATGCCTATCAAAATCCCAGCTTGCTTTTTTGTAGTAATTGACAAGCTGATCCTAAAATTCATTTGGAAATGCAAGAGACTCACAATAGCCAAAGCAATCTTGAAAAAGAACAAAGTTGGAAGACTCACATTTCCTGATTTCAAAACTTACCAAAAAGGTACAGTAATCAAGACCACGTGGTACTGGGATAAAGACAGACATATAGACCAATGAAATAGAATTAAGAGTCCAGAAATAAACCCATTCATTTACGGTCAAATGATTTTCAACAAGGGTGCTAAGACCATTTAGTGATGAAAGAATAGTCTTTTCAGCAAGTGGTTCTGGGACAACTAGATATTCAATTACAAAAAGAATGAAGTTAGACCCTTACCTCACAATATACACAAAAATTAATTTAAATGAATCAAAGATCAAATGTAAGAATTACTGCTATAAAACTCTTAGAAGAAAATAATAGGAGTAAATCTTCATGGCCTTGGGTTAAGCAATGAATTCTTAGGTGTGACACCAAAAGCACAAGCAGCAAAAGAAAAAAATACATAAATTAGACTACATCAAAATTTAAAACTTTTGGCCGGGCGCGGTGGCTCTTGCCTGTAATCCCAGCACTTTGGGAGGCCCAGGCAGGCAGATCACGAGGTCAGGAGTTCGAGACTATCCTGGCTAGCATGGTGAAACCCTGTCTTTACTAAAAATACAAAAAATTAGCTGGGCATGGTGGCAGGCGCCTGTGGTCCCAGCTGCTTGGGAGGCTGAGGCAGGAGAATGGCGTGAACCTGGGAGGCGGAGGTTGCAGTGAGCTGAGATGGCACCACTGCACTCCAGCCTGGGCGACAGAGCGAGACTCTGTCTCAAAAAAAAAAAAATTTAAAACTTTTCTGCTACAAGCAATACCATCAAGAAAGTGAGAAGACAACCAAAAAAATGGGAGAAAAATAATTGTGATTCATATACTTAAGAAGGGATGTATATCCAGAATATGTTTAAAAAACAAACAAACAAACAAACAAAACTCTTATGGCTCATACCTGTAATCTCAAAACTTTGGGAGGCCAAGGCGGGTGGATTGCTTGAGCCCAGGAGTTCAAGAACAGCCTGGGCAACATGGCAAAACCCTGTCTCTACAAAATAATAATAATAATAATAATTAGCTGGGCATGGTGGCACATGCCTGTAGTCCCAGCTACTGAGGAGGCTGAGGTGGGAAGATCGCTTGGGCCTGAAAGCGAGGCGGCAGTGAGCTAAGATCACACCACTATACTCCAGCCTGGGTGACAGAACAAGATCCTGTCTCAAAAAACAAAAAAACAAAACAAAAAAACCTCTTATAATTCAATAATAAAAAGGCAAATAACCTAATTTTAAAATGGGCAAAGGATATGAATAGACTTGTCTCCAAAGAAGATGTACAAATGCCAATAAGAACCTGAAAGGATGCTCGATTTCATTAGTCACTAGGGAAATGCAAATCAAAACCACGATGAGATACCTCTTTTCACCCAGTAGGTTGGCTACAATAAAAAAGACACATAATGTGGCCAGGCGCAGTGGCTCACACCTGTAATCCCAGCACTTTGGGAGGCCAAGGTGGGCGGATCACCTGAGGTCAGGAGTTTGAGACCAACCTGTCCAACATGATGAAACCCCGTCTGTACTAAAAAATACAAAAATTAGCTGGGTGTGGTGGCACATGCCTGTAATCCCAGCTACTTGGGAGGCTGAGGCAGGAGAATTGCTTGAACCCGGGAGACAGAATTGCAGTGAACCGACATCGTGCCACTGCACTCCAGCCTGGGCAACGGAGCAAGACTCCGTCTCAAAAAAAAAAAATTACACATAATGTGAAGAAATTGTAATCCTCATACATTGCTGGTGGGAATGTAAAATGTTGCAGCAGCTTTGGAAAACAGTTTAGCAGTTCCTCAAAATATTAAACATAAAGTTACCATATGACCCAGCAATTCCACTCCTAGGCATATACACAAGATAAATGAAAACATGTCCACACAAAAACTTGCACACCAATGCTCATTGCAGCATTATTCATAATAGCTGAAACGTGGAAACAATACTGTAATTAGTTTCCTAGGGCTGCAGTACCAAACTGCTACAAACTGGGTGGCTTAAAACAAGAGAAATTTGGCCAGGCGTGGTAGCTCACACTTGTAATCCCAGCACATTGGGAGGCTGAGGTGGGCAGATCACCTGGGGTGAGGAGTTTGAGACCAGCCTGGCCAACATGGCGAAACCCCATCTCTACTAAAAATACAAAAATTAGCCCGGCGTGGTGGCGCCTGCCTGTAATCCCAGCTACTTGGGGGGCTGAGGCGGGAGAACTGCTTGAACTGGGAGGCAGAGGTTGCAGTGAGCTGAGATCCCGCTACTGCACTCCAGCCTGGGTGACAGAGCAAGACTCCATCTCAAAAAAACAAAAAACAAACAAACAAACAAAAAAGAGACAGAGAGAGAGAGATTTATTCTCTCCTAGTTCTGGGGGCTAGAAGTCTGAAATCCAAATGTTGGTAGGGCCATTCTCCCTCTCAGCATTCTAGGAAAGAATCATTCCTTGCCTCTCCTAGCTTCCCGCAGCTCCAGGTGTTCCCTTGGCTTGTTGTGGCTGCATCATTCCAATCCCTGCCTCCCTCTCTATATGACATTCTCCTCCTTCTCCCTCTGTTTCTCCTGTGTATGTCTCTTATAAGGGCATTTGTCACTGGATTTAGGGCCCATCTGTATAACACAGGGTGATCTCATCTTGAGATCCTTAACTTAATTACATCTGCAATGAATCTTTTTCCAAATGAAGTCACGTTCACAGGTGCCAGGAGTTAAGAAAGATAGACATATCTTTTTGGAGGCCACCATTCAACCCACTACAAACCCAAATGTCCAGCAACTAATGAATGAATAAACCAAATGTGGTTCATCCTTATAATGAAATATTATTTGGCAGTAAAAAGGAACAAATGTACTGATGAGGCAGGAGAATAGGGTCTGGAGGCAGGGAATGTAAGGCTGTTTCACGCCAACTTCCTAAAACTAAATTGAAAGGAAAACCCTAACTTTCCAAGCCTAAGTAACAAAAGGACCAGAGGCTACTCCCTTTGACCTTTTCTGCGTGGTAGATGGGAAGTTGGCTGTCTGCAACAAATCAGACTGATTGCAGGCTACCACTTCAGTTACATGAGGTGAGCATGAAGTGGCCAATGGGAAACTTCTAGGGGGTATTTGAACCCTAGAAGATTCTGTATCTAGGCCCTTGAGCTGCTGCTTGGGTCCGCTCCCACACTGTGAAGTGTATTTTCATTCTCAATAAATCCCTGGTTTCGTTCTTTGTTGCTTCATTCTTTCTTTGCTTTGCTGGGCGTTTTTTCCAATTCTTTGTTTAAAATGCCAAGAACCTGGACAACTTGCAGTCACGACCCTTTACTGGTGATACATGTGACAACATGGATGAGCCTTGAAAACATTATACTAAGACAAAGAAGCCAGACAAAGGCCACATGATATGTAATTCCATTTATGTGAAATGTCCAGAATAGGCAAATCCTTAGACATAGAAAGTAGATCAATTGTTGCCTAGGGCTGCAGGGGGTGTTAGAGGGAAGGGGGAGTGACTGCTAATGGATATAGAGTTTCTTATTCTGTTTTTAAAATTTTTTTATTTTTAGAACTTCTTGGATACCAAGGATATAGGGTTTCTTTTTGGCATGACGAAAATGTTCTAAAATCCGATTATGGTCATAGTTGTGCAACTCTGTAAATATACTAAAAACCATTGACTTATGCGCTTTTTTTTTTTTTTTAGATGGAGTCCTGCTCTGTCGCCCAGGCTGGACTGAAGTGGCTTGATCTTGGCTCACTGCAACCTCCACCTCCCAGGTTCAAGCAATTCTCCCACCTCAAACTCCCAAGTAGCTGGGATTACAGGCGTGCACCACCACACCTGGCTAATTTTTGTATTTTCAGTAGAGACGGGGTTTCGCCATGTTAGCCGGGCTGGTCTCTAACTCCTGACCTCAAGTGGTCCACCTGCCTTGGCCTCCCAAAGTGCTTGAATTACAGGTGTGAGCCACCAAACCTGGCTGGACTTGTGCACTTTAAATGGATGAATTGTGTGATATGTGAATTGTATCTCCATGAAACTGTCATAAAATGAGGAATTTAAAAATGAATAATGAATGTAATGAATTGAAATACATCAAATATACTAAAATCCATAGGCTCATAATGATTTTTTAAAAAGCTCTTTGGTCATGTTTAGACAATGCTAGGGAACCAACTGATTTTTATGAAAACTGATGAATGGGGCTGGGCACGGTGGCTCACGCCTGTAATCCCAGCACTTTGGGAGGCCGAGGCGGGTGGATCACCTGAGGTCAGGAGTTCAAGACCAGCCTGGCCAACATGGCGAAACCCTGTCTCTACTAAAAATACAAAAATTAGCCGGGTGTGGTGGTGTGCGTCTATAATCCCAGCTATTCAGGAGGCTGAGGCAGGAGAATCGCTTGAACCCGGGAGGCGGAGGTTGCAGTGACCGGAGATGGAGCCATTGCATTCCAGCCTGGGCTACAAGAGCGAAACTCTGTCTCAGAAAAAAAAAAAAAGAAAACTGATGAATAAAGGTAAGCAATCAAGCACTTTTTTCTGCCATCCTTATATGAACTGTACTTGGGGGTATTCAAATAGTTAATCAGAGGAAATTCTTTATTATGGAAAAATTCTAGTTAATGAAGGCAGAAGAAATCACAGAATTAAAATCTCACAAATTTACAAGCCCTAATGACATAATGGATCTAGGCAATGCTTTCCATTATATGAAAGGTTTATGGGTTGAAAGGAACATTGAAAGGGGGGCTAACAACACTGGAACCCAATGACTAATGTTAACATCACTAAAAATGGGACAGCCAGACATCATGGGCCTCCTGATGTGACACAATGGAAAGTACACAGTACCACTTACAAAGTATTCTTGCTAAATAAATCAAACCTGACTTGGATCAAGGCTCTAAATCTAACTACCAGCTTATAGAAAATACAAGGTTTAAAGGAATACATTAGGTGACACTAGAGAGATTGATGAAATCAGCAAAATACTGACTATGGGAAAATTTTCCAGGGCAAATGCCCCAACTTTTTCAGCAAACAAATGGCAAAAATACAAGAGGGAAGGGGTAACCTATCAAATAGATGTAGGAGACATACACATTTATGCCTAGTGTTCCATTATTGGAACACTAAGCATGTGGGAGTTATTTATATCCTATTGCTCAAGGTCATTGCCAAAGTCTGATTTTTAAATTCAAAAAAATTGCAACCTCAGGCATAAATGGGTTAACCATATGCAGTGAGGGACCTTGTCTAGTTTCTGATTTGAAGAAACCTACTATAAAAATATATTTTGGGGGGCTGGGCACAGTGGCTCATGCCTGTAATCCCAGCACTTTGGGAGGCCAAGGTGGGTGGATCACTTGAGGTCAGGAGTTTGAGACCAGCCTGGCCAACATGGTGAAACCCTGTCTCTACTGAAAATACAAAGATTAGACAGGAGTGGTGGCGCACACCTGTAGTCCCAGTTATTTGGGAGGCTGAGGCAGGAGAATAGCTTGAATCTGGGAGGTTGCAGTGAACAGAGATTGCACCACTGCAATGCAGACTGGGCAACAGAGTGAGAATCTGTCTCTCTCTCTCTCTCTAATCATATATATTATATATGATTATATATTATATATCATATATTATATATTATATATCATATACTATATCATATATTACAAAACATATACATTATATTATATATTATATAATATATACCACATATTATATATTATATAATATATACCACATATTGTATATTATATAATATATACCACATATTGTATATTATATAATATATACCACATATTATATATTATAAACATCATATATCATATAATATATATTTTATATAATATGATATATCATATCATATATCATATTTTATACAATATATGATATATCATATATCATATTTTATACAATATATGATATATCATATATCATATTTTATACAATATATGATATATCATATCATATATCATATTTTATACGATATATGATATATCATGTATTATATAATATTTTATACAATATATGATATATAATATATAATATTTTATACAATATATGATATATAATATATATTTTATACAATATATGATCTATCATATAATATATCATATTGTATACAATATATGATCTATCATATATCATATTGTATACAATATATGATCTATCATATATCATATTTTATACAATATGATATATCATATGTCACATGTCATATATGATACGATATGTCACATGTCATATGATACGATATGTCATATGTCATATATGATACGATATGTCATATGTCATATATGATACGATATGTCATATGTCATATATGATACGATATGTCATATTCATGTCATATATGATATATGTCATATGTCATATATATGTCATATGTCATATGTCATATGTCATATATCATATATGATGTCATATGTCATATATCATATATCATATATCTGATATGATATATGATATGTGATATATCATATATCTGATATAATATCATATATGATATATGATATATATGATATAAGATATATGATATATATCATATACGATATACGATATATGATATATATCATGTATGATATACGATATACGATATATGATATGATATACGATATACGATATATGAGATATGATATATGATATATATCATATATGAGATACGATATGATATGATATATATCATATATCATATGAGATATGATATATGATATGATATATATGATATATGATATGATATGATATATATCACATATCATATATCATATATGATATGATATATGATATATGATATATTATGTAATATATCATATATTATATATATATTTTTGGACACTGGATATGACTGATATTAAAAAATTGTCAATATTCTTTAGTTGTGATCGTGGTAATGTTTAATAAGAGTTTTTATCTTTTAGAGATACAAAAATATTTGCAGATGAAAAGATATAATGTCTGGGATTTGCTTTAAGATAATTTCTAGGTAGGGATGGCAAAAAAAATTTCTTAAGATAATCTCATAGTAGGGTGGGCGAAGTAGTTGGGAATATAGATGAAACAAGATTGGCCATGTGTTCGTAATTGTTGAAACCAGGTGATAGATGGCTCACATACTGTACTACTAGTATATATGTTTGGAAATGTTCCAGAGTAAAAGTTTTTTAAAAGGTTCCTTGGAATATTGAATTGAGCCCTAAGTATGCTTTTCCATATAAATCAATATGTTTTTGCCTGGTAGAGTGTATGGGAACTCTTTGTTGCCTAACCTTACTAAAGCAGATTATTTGGAGGGCAGGAGGACATACTGGAAAGGCTAAGCTTTGAAATCAGGCTTGGATTTGAGATCTAGCACCACTCTTCACTCATCTTGTCAGATACTTAGACTTTCTGAAGCTCAGTTTCCTCAGTGGTAAAACAGGCATAGTAATAATAGTTGCTATGTCCTAGGATTGTTTGAGGAATTAAATAAGATACAGAATACAAAGCTGGTGGCACTGTGCCTGGCAGTGCTCTATAAACATTAGGGGCCAATAATACATCATTGTTTCAGTTACCTATTGTGGGTTGACTTGGCTCAGCTGGGAGGTTCTTCTACTCTATCTGCTGTCAGCTAGGGCTACAGTCATTTGATGATTAAGTTGGGCTGGAATGACCAAAATGGCTCACACATGTGATAAGCAATTGATGCTTTTGGCTGGGAGCTCAGCTACGGCTGTTGTCCTTAGCACCTACTCATGGCCTCTCTGCAACACTTGGGCTTCTCATTACATGGCAGCAGGGTTCCAAGAGGGAGTGCCCCAAGAGCAAATACGCCAAAAGTGAGGAAGGAAGCTGCCAGTCCTCAGCGCCTGGACCAGCACAGTGTCATTTCTGCCACATTCTATTGGTTAAAGAGTCACGAGACCTGCCCAGATACAATGGGGGAAGAAATAAACTCCACCTCCTGACGGGGAGAGGAAGAATCTGTAGCCATCTTTAATCCACTACATTAAGTATTCCTGTTTCCCTAGTACTTGATCCATAGATAAATATATCGATTTCAAAGAAACACACCAAAAACTACTCAATATATGTTTCTGGAAGGTGCTTGCTAAACACCATTCTTCTTGCTGACATTCTTCCTCCTGCTCAGCTGACTAAGCCAGGGCCTGGGGGGCGGGGGGATTGGGAGTAGTCACTAGCTTCCCCACCCCTGAGGCTGGATGGGAGAAAAAACCAGGGCAGGACTAAGTCTTCACTGCAGAAACACCTTGGCATGAGTCAGTGGTTCTCAAAAATAATTTATGAGATCAAATCAGGTCATCTATTTTTAATTATTGTGGTTATTAATTTGAAAACGTGTAATTCAATACTGTTCTCACATGCAATAATTCTTGAGACTTGAGGAACTGTTAGTGTTCTCTTCCAAGGTATTATTTCCTTAATTCTCTACTTTTAAGACACAGGGGCTTTCCAAATATTTCCTTCTCTAACCCTTTAACCAACAATTGCTGACTCTCACATTTTCTCTGACATTATCTAAAACCACAGTCCAAGAGGAGGTTTTTTTTTTGTCTTTGTCTTTTTTTGTTTGTTTGTTTGTTTTTAATGTACATTATACAAACACAAAGTCCTCTATTTTGGGTCAGAAATATTTCCTAGAGCTAAAAAATGCAGTTAGCGGCAAGCTTGGGCAATGTCTAATTACAGCATTTACAGTAAACAAATGATTGATAAAGACACCCAGACACCTCTATAAACAAGGAAGTACAGAACCAGCCATGCTGAACACTGTGTTTATTTTCCACTGAAAGAGGATGCAAACTGCTAATCACAGGCATGCCACAGTTTAATTTCCACACAAGACCTTTCCTTGATTTTCTATTTAAAAAAAAAAAAAAACATGATGGCAATCAGGTTTTGTTCACTGAATTTATTTCTGTAGAATCTCAAATGCTGTTAATTTTAATACAGGTTACATTTTTAAAAGCCTTTTTAAAAAAGCCTTAGGTGCGTCTAACCTTGGATTCATTTTGCTGTTGAGAAGATCTCAGCTAACAGGTGTGATATAAATGCACAGAGAAGGAAATAAACACCGGGTCTTAGACCATGACCTGAAAGTTATGTCAGAAGAGCTAGGCATTCTATTCACTTGGCCACAAAGCAAATACCTTGGCGGACAAAGAGAGGGAGGAAAGGGGCGGATGGAATGGCCACATATTTCTGGCTCTTTCTGAACTTCTGAGCGCATAGGGCATACAGCCTTTAGAGGCCCAGGATCATTGTGGTGATGAAAGAATGGTTGAAAACATTTCCTTAGAAATGAATTGTCCTTGTCTAAGTTAAGACCCTTACTCATGTACTTGAGAAGATTTCAGACTTCTTTGAGACTCTTTCTGACTTACTTGAGCCCTTTCTGACTTGTTTCAGACCCTGTCTGGTGAATTAGATACACTTCCTGATGTGGAAGGGACTCTTCCTAACTTATTTAAGACCCTTCCTGACATGTTTGAGCCCATTCCTAACTTGTTTCAGACCCATCTTTCATGTAAGAGACTCTTCCTGACATGTTTGAGCCCATTCCTAACTTGTTTCAGACCCATCTTTCATGTAAGAGACTCTTCCTGACATATTTGAGACAGTTTCTAACTTGATTGAGATACTTCCTGATATATTTGAGACATATCCTGACTTGTTTGAGACTTCCTAATTATTTAAGACTCTTCCTGACCTATTTGTGCCTCTTCCTGACTTGTTTGGAACCCTTCCGGACATATTTGAGATCCTTCCTGATTATTTGAGACTAGTCCAGAGGACTTTGACACACTTCCTGAGACAGTTCCCAATGATTTGTTTGCAATGATGCCTGACATTTGAGACAGTTCCCAGTATTTTTGAGATTTGTTCTGTCTGAGATCCTTCCAGACGTATTTCCAACTCTGTCGGACAACTTGGAGACACATCCTGACTTGTTTGAGACTCTTCCAGACTTGTTTGAGACCTTTCTTGGCATGTTTAAGACCATTCCTGGTGTCTTGAGACTATTTCCATGTGTTTGAGACGCTTACATATTTAAAATTCTTCTGAACCAGATGCAGTGGCTGACACCCCAGCACTTTGGAAGGCCAAGGCGAGAGGATTGCTTGACGCCAGGAGTTTGAGACCAGCCTGGCAACATAGTGAGAACCACAAAAAATAAAATAAAATGTTAGCCAGGCATGGTGGCACGTGTCTGTAAGTCCAAGCCACTGGGGAGGCTGAGATGAGAGGATCAGTTGAGCCCAGGAGGTCAAGACTGCAGTGAGCCACGATCATGCCACTGCACTCCAACCTGGGCAACAGAGCAAGACGCTGTCTCAAAAAAATAGAAAATAAAACTCTTCTGGATTACGTTAGCCACTTCCTAATTTGTTTGTGATGATTCCTGACATGTTTGAGACCATACCTGACATATTTCAGATCCTTCCTGACATGTTTAAGACCCTTCATGACTTGTTCTACAGTCTTGCTAACTGCGTGAGAAACTTCTTGACATGTTTGAGATCTTTCCTAGGTTGTTTGAGACCCTGCTTGATCTATTTGCGAAATGTCCCGATATATTTAAGACTCTTCCAGTCAGGTTTCAAACCCCTCGTGACTTGCAGAAGACGATCCTGACATGTTAGAGAATTTTGTTGACTACTTGAGACTCTTCCTCTCTGTGACCCTTCCAAAAGTATTTGAGACCCTTCTTGACTCGGTGAGACTCTTCCTGACAGAGACCCTTCCTGAGATAACAAAAACTGACAACTGTGATATCCTTCCTGCCATGTTTGAGACAATGTCTGCCTAGTTTGAGACACTTCCTAACATATCTGACCCCTTCCTGCCTTGGTTGAGACCATTTGTGATTATTTGATTCACTTCATGACATGTTTGAGACACTTCTTAGAGTGTTAGAAATATTGACTGATGTAGTTAATCCCTCCCTGTATGTTTAAAACCCTTTCTGATGAATCTGAGTCTCTTCCTGTATTATTATTATTATTATTATTATTATTATTATTATTATTTGAGACAGGGTCTTGCTCTGTCACCCAGGCTGGAGTGCAGTGGCGTGATCACAGCTCACTGCAATCTTGGCCTCTTGGGCTCAAGTGATCCTCACACCTCAGCCTTCCAAGTAGCTGGGACTACAGGCATGTGCCATCACACCAGGCTAATTTTTGGTAGAGATGGGGTTTTGCCATGTTGCCCAGGCTGGTCTCAAACTCCTGGGCTCAAGTGATTTACCCACCTCAGCCTCCCAAAGTGCTGGGATTACAGGCGTGAGCCACTGGGCCCAGCCTCCTCCTGTATTATTGAGACCCTTCCTGATATATTTGAAAATTGTACTGATGACTTTGACACTTTTTCTGACTAGTTTGAGACCATACCTGAAGTATCTGAGACTCTTTCAGAGCCTTACTGTATTAGTCCATTCTCATGCTGCTAATAAAGAAGACATACCCGAGACTGGGTAATTTATAAAGGAAAGAGGTTTAATTGACTCACAGTTCCGCATAGCTGGGGAAGCCTCAGGAAACTTACAGTCTTGGCAGAAGGGGAAGCAAACACGTCCTTCTTCACATGGTGGCAGCAAGGACAAGTGCTGAGCAAAGTAGGGGGAAAGCCCATTATAAAACCGTCAGAGCTCATGAGAACTCACTCACTATCATGAGAAGACCATGGAAGTAACCACCCCTATGATTCAATTATCTCCCACTGGTTCCCTCCCACGATACATGGGGATTATGAAAACTACAATTCAAGATGAGATCTGGGTGGGACACAGCCAAACCATATCACTTACTGACATATCTAAAAGGCCTTCTGGGCTGGATGTGGTGGCTCACGCCTGTAATCCTAGCACTCTAGGAGGCCGAGGCAGGTGGATCGCTTGAGCTCAGGAGTTCGAGACCAGTCTGGGCAACACAACAAAACCCCATCTCTACTAAACATACAAAAATTAGCCAGGCGTGGTGGCACATGCCTGTGGTGCCAGCTACTCGGGAGGCTGAGGTGGGAGGATTGCTTGAACCTGGGAGGCAGAAGCTACAGTGAGCTGAGATCCCTTCTTCATTCTTTTTTTTTTTTTTTTTTTTTTTTTTGAGACTGAGTCTTGCTCTATCGCCCAGGCTGGAGTGCAGTGGCGCTATCTTGGCTCACTGCAAGCTCCGCCTCCCCAGTTCACTCCATTCTCCTGACTCAGCCTCCCGAGTAGCTGGGACTACAGGCGCCTGCCACTGCGCCCGGATAATTTTTTGTATTTTTAGTAGAGACGGGGTTTCACAGTGTTAGCCAGGATGGTCTCGATCTCCTGACCTTGTGATCCGCCCGTCTCAGCCTCCCAAAGTGCCAGGATTACAGCCTGAGCCACCACGCCCGGCCCCTTCTTCATTCTTTTGAGATGCTCCCTGATGTATTTGAGACCTTTGCTGAGTGTTTAAGACTCTTCCTGTTGACTTTGAGATACATCCTGACAAATGTAAGACCCTTCCCTACTCACTCAAGACTCTTCCTGATATATTTGAAAACTTTTCTGACTTGCTTGAAACTCTTCCTGAGCTATCTGAGAGCCTTCTGACATGTCTGAGACCATTCTTGAGGGATCTGAGAGTCTTCCTGACCCTAAGACCCTTACTGAAGTCTTTAAAATTCTTCCTAGCTACATTCATACACTGCAGAAAGCAACCAATTTGAGGCTGAAGTGAAGTTAGAGAGGTTACACTCCTATGCAAATATCTGATTGGTTGCAGAAAGCAACCAATCAGAGGCTAAAGTGAAATTACAAAGTTGCACTCCTATGCAAACAAAGACTTGGCCCACAATCAGTCTGATTGGTTGCGGAAAGCAACCAATTAGAGGTACTTTCAATTTTCCATCTGCCATGCAGAAAAGTGGGGCTTTGCAAAGGGAGTAGCCTCTGGTCTTTTTGTTACTTAGGTGTGGAAAGTTGGGGTTTTCCTTTCAATTTAGCTCTAGGAAGTCACCATAAATCGGCCTTAGGTTCCCTGCCTCCAGACCCTATTCTCCTGCCTCATGAGACCTTTTCTGGCTTTTCTGAGCCCCTTCCCGACTTTCTTGAGACCCTTCCTGACATGTTTGAGACTCTCAGATGTATTCGAGACCTCTCCATCTTTTTGAGACACCATACAGAATTATTTACACCTCAGACTTACTACTTTGAGAAACTCCCTGACTTGTTTGAGATGTTTCCTGATGTGTTTGAGAACTTTCCTCTATGTTCTAGACAGTTCCTGAGAAGTTTAAGACACTTTCTCTCATGTCACTCACTGTCAAATACTCATTTTGACTTTTTTTTTTTTTAACAGAGTCTCACTCTGTTCCCCAGGCTAGAGTGCAGTGGTGTGATCTCGGCTCACTGCAACCTCCGCCTCCTGGGTTCAAGTGATTCTCTTGCCTCAGCCTCCCAAGTAGCTGCGATTACAGGCATGCACCAGCACGCCTAACTAATTTTTATATTTTTAGTAGAGAAGGGGTTTCACCACGTGGCCAGGCTGTTCTCAAACTCCCTACTTCAGGTGATGGACCCACCTCGGCCTCCCAAAGTGCTGGGATTACAGGCGTGAGCCACCGCATCTGGCCCACATATCTTTTTGATATAACAATTTATTTTGCTTTGGGTAGATACCCAAAGAACTTCTGGATCATAGGTAATTCTATTTTTAGTTCTTGAGAAATCGCTATATGTTTTCCGTGGAGGTTGTACTAATTTACATTTCCACCAACAGGGTAGCTGTTCCCTTTTCTCTGCATTCTTGCCAGTGTCTATTTTTCGTCTTTTTTTTTTTTTCCTTTTCGAGATGGGATCTTGTTCTGTTGCTAAGGCTGGAGTGCAGTGGCATGATCAAAGCTCACTACAGCCTGCCTTCTGGGCTCAAGCCATCCTCCCACCTCAGCCTCCTGAGTAGCTGGGACTGCAGGCATGCACCACCACGCTCTGCGAATTTTTTAAATTTTTTGTAGAGACGCAGTCTCCCTATGTTGCCCAGGCTTGTCTCAAACTCCTGGCTTCAAGCAATCCTCTCACCTAAGCCTCCCAAAGTCTTAGGATTACAGGTGTGAGCCACTGTGCTCAGCAATTTTTTTTTTTTTTTTTTTTTTTTTGAGACAGTCTTGCTCTGTCGCCCAGGCTGGAGTGCAGTGGCGCGATCTTGGCTCACTGCAACCTCCACCTCCCGGGTTCAAGCCATTCTCCTGGCTCAGCCTCCCGAGTAGCTTGGGATTACAGGCGCCCACCACCACGCCCTGCTGGGATTACAGGCGTGAGCCACCGTGCCCGGCCCCAGCTAATTTTTTTTGTATATTTAGTAGAGACAGGGTTTCACCACTTTGGTCAAGCTAGTCTCGAACTCCTAACCTCAAATGGTCTTCCCGCCACAGCTTCCCAAAGTGCTGGGATTACAGGTGTGAACCACCATGCCCAGCCGTTACCTGCCACTTTCAAGATTTTCTCCTTGTCTTTGGTTTTCAGCATTTTTGCTATGATGTGTCTGTTTGTGGATCACTTTGCATTCATCCTATTTGGAATTCATTGAGTTTCCTAGATGGTTTTCATCAAATTTAGGAATTTTTCAGCCATTACTTTTTGGAATATTTTTTCTCCTCCTTTATCTCTCTCCTCTCCTTCTTGTATTCCCATTACATTGGCTCAATATGCTTAATGGTGGACCACATTTCTGAGGCTCTGTTTTTCTTCATTCTGTTTTCTCTTTGTTCTTCAGATTGCATAATCTCCATTGATCTATCTTCAAGTTAACTGATTATTTCTTGTCTCAGTTCAAATCTACTTTTGAGCTCCTCTAGTGAGTTTTCCGTTTCAACTGTAGTTTTCAACTCTGGAATTTCCATTTTGTTCTTTTTCATAACTTCTATTTCTTTACTGATATTTCTTATTTGATGGGACACTGTCATCATACCTTCCTTTTCTTCTTTAACCATGATTTCCTTTAACTCTTTGACTATATTTGTAATGGATACCATGTAGTTTTTTTCCCATTAAACCTTACATCTGGTTGTTCTCACAGACAGTTTGTTTCCTTTTTTTCTGGTGTATGAATCACACTTTTCTGTTTCTTTGTATGTCTTGTAATTTTCTTTGTTGAAAACTGGACATTTTATATATCATAGCAGCTCTAGGTACTAGTCCCCTTGCCCCAAGGCTTGTTATTGTCATTTGCTTGTTTATTTGCTTAGTGACTGGCTGGATTATTTTACTGAAGTCTATTTCCTCTGCAGCATGAAGTCCCTGATGTCATTCTTCAGAGAGCAAAGTCTTGGGCATGAGCAGTCACCCTGGGATGAAAGTGGTTTTAGTAGGGCTCTCTATATCGCTGTCCCTGATGACACCCAGCTGTTAAGCTCCACTAATTACTGGCTGATTGCTCT
Organism: Homo sapiens; assembly: GCF_000001405.40. Lineage (NCBI taxonomy): Eukaryota > Metazoa > Chordata > Mammalia > Primates > Hominidae > Homo > Homo sapiens. The sequence goes on from NC_000023.11 coordinate 40,972,045, forward strand.
ATTGCTTTCAACAATGCCCTGGGGCATAAATTGTTCCACAGACTGATCCCATTAAATTCAGGCTCCTTTGCAATGATAGTTTTTGAGGTCAGTGTTTGAAGTTTGTTCTGACTCTAGTAGGCCTACTTTTAGCTGTCACTTTCCCTGGTTCTCTCTGGTAAACTAGGTGGCCTATGGGTTATTTATTTCATTTATTGAATCAATGTATTTATTTAGAGATAGAGTCTCACTCTGTGTTCCAAGCTGGAGTGCAGTGGCACAGTCTCAGCTCACTGCAACTTCTGCCTCCTGGGCTTAAGCAATCCTCCCACTTCAGCCTCCTGAGTAGCTGAGACAGTAGGTGTACACCACTATGCCTGGCTACTTTTTGTATTTTTTGTAGAAACAGGATTTCACCATGTTGCCCAGGCTGGTTTTGAACTCCTGAGCTCAAGCAATCCTCCCGCCTTGGCCTCCCAAAGTGCTGGGATTATAGGCATGAGCCACTGTACCTGGCCTTATCAGTCTCCTCTTAATTGCATTCCACCAAAACCTCCATTGTTTTTGAGAGCTTCCTTAGCCTTTAACTTCCCCACACTATGTTTCAAATAAAGGTAGTTCCTTTGGGAAGAGCTTCAGAACCCTCTGTTTTATGGCATGCCTGTCCCTCTGTCAGAGGCATGTGAACCACAGCAACTCTATCTTGAATAGGAACTGGGTAAAATGAGGCTGAGACCTACTGGGCTGCATTCCCAGACAGATAAGGCATTCTAAATCACAGGATGAGATAGGAGATCAGCAAAAGCTCAGGTCATAAAGAACTTGCTGATAAAACAGGTTGCAGTAAAGAAGCGGGCTAAAATCCACCAAAACCAAGATGGCGACAAGAGTGACCTCTGGTCGTCCTCACTGCTATACTCCCACCAGCGCCATGACAGTTTACAAATGCCATGGCAATGTCAGAAAGTTACCCTATATGGTCCAAAAAGCAGAGGCATGAATAATCCACCCCTTGTTTAGCATATCATCAAGAAATAACCATAAAAATGGGCAACCAGCAGCTCTCGGGGCTGTTCTGTCTGTGGAGTAGCCATTCTTTTATTCCTTTACTTTCTTAATAAAAGTAAAGGAATTCACTTTACTTTTATTAAAAAGAATTATTTTATTAAAAAGAATTTCGCTTTACCGTATGGACTCACCCTGAATTCTTTCTTGCGTGAGATCCAAGAACCCTCTCTGGGGGTCTGGATCGGGACCCCTTTCTTGTAACACTCTGGGCAAAATTTTGGAGCTGCAGCTCCAGAGCTTGGAGAAAGGAGCGGCACACTTCTCTCTGAGTGACGCCTCTGCTTTAGGAGCTGGGCACTAAGTGGGGATGGGGTGGGGGTTGGGGGTAGCTTCTGTTCTTTTTTTGCCTGCCTCTTCTTGCATGGAACCTCTGTCATACTAACAAGCTGAGGTAAGGGTGATCAGGGCCCCAGCATTCTCAATGCAGCACACCTGAGGTAGAGCCTGCACTCAAGGAATGGGGGCTGTGTTAAAGAATAGAGCCTTTGTCTCTTAGCCTCACTCACCTGGAACACCTCTGCAACAGGTACCTAGGGGATGGCATAATAAATGCTGAAGTTCTGCCCCTCCTGGGAACATATAGTAGACTGTTATTGGGAGACTGGGGGAGAGGGAGCCCTGAGTCCTTGGCTGCACCCGCCTGCAGTAGAGTGTCCATCATGCTAAACTGGGAAGGGGAGGGAGGGAGCAGCTTGTGGGTCAAATGCCATTAGACTGTCACTGTTCTTATAGAGTTTTAGTAGATTTTCTCGAATGAATGTTTCTTTATTTGCTCTATGCTCTTAGGACCATTTCCAGATACTTTAAATGGTGGTTTTAAAAATAAATTTCACAGTTTTGAGGGGAAGCAGGTGTGCAAAGCTCCTCGTGATGCCATTCCAGAAGAACTTCCAAAAAGAGTTTTAATGATCTCAGGAAGGGTCTCAGACAAGAAAGGCCTCCGATCTGTCAGGAACAGTCTCAAACCACTCAGGAAGTGTCTCAAACATGTCAGGACAGGCTTAATATTTGTCAGGCAGAATTTTAAATGGGCCAAGAAGGGTCTTAAACACAGAGGAGGACTCTAGAATACTTCAGGAATGTGACAGACAAGTCAGGAACAGTCTGAAAGACATTCAGAGGAGTCAGAAATACATCACAAAGAGTTTCAACTCTTGAAGAAGGGTCTCAGCAACTCAGGAAAGGTCTTAAACATGTCAGGAATGGTCTCAGAGTCAGCAAGGGCTTCAAATATGTTGGGTCTCAAATATGTCAGAAATGTCTCAAGAAGACAGAAAGAAACTCATATATCAGGAAGCATCTCAAACCAGTCAAGAAGGATATCAGGATACTTAGAATTTTAAATTTGTCAGTAAGGTTCTCAAACAGATGAAAAGAGTCTCAAGTATGTCAGGAAGATTTTAAATATGTCAGAAAGGGTCTCCAACAAGTAAAAAAGAGCTTCAAGCAAGTCACAAAGGGTCCCAAATATGTCAGGAAAAGTCTCAATCAGACAGGAAGAGACTCATTCAAAAAAAATAGAATACAAGCCATAAATGTCTCAAACATTTCAGAAAGAGCCTCATTTTTGTCACATGGTATTTTAATACATCTGATGGGGTTGCATATAGACAGAAAGAGGTTCGTGTCAGTAAGGGCCTCAGAAAAGTCAGGAAAGATTTCAAACATGTCAAGAAGGGTCTCAGTATGTTAAAAAGAGTCTCAAATATGTCAGAAAGGGTCTCAAACATAAGAAAAGGTTCAGCCGGGCGTGGTGGCTCACGCCTGTAATCCTAGCACTTTGGGAGGCCGAGGTGGGCGGATCACCTGAGGTTGGGAGTTCGAGACCACCCTGACCAACATGGAGAAACCCCATCTCTATTAAAAATACAAAATTAGCCGGGTGTGGTGGCATATGTCTGTAATCCCAGCTGCTCCGGAGGCTGAGGCAGGAGAATTGCTTGAACCCAGGAGGCGGAGGTTGCGGTGAGCCGGAGATCATGCCATTGCACTCCAGCCTGGGCAACAAGAGCGAAACTCCGTCTCAAAAAAAAAAAAAAAAAAAGAAAAGGCTCAAATATATCAGCAAGGGTTTCAAATGGGTTTCAAATAACTCAGAAAGGGCCTCAAACATTTCAGAAACAACTTGAAATATATAAAAAGGGTCTCAAATACATTGGGTAGTTTCCCAAACAAGTTGAGAAAGTCCTCAAAGCAGTCAAGAAGAACTTTATTTACTTATTTATTTATTTATTTTTATGTATTTATTTTTTGAGACGGAGTCTTGCTCTGCTGCCCAGGCTAGAGTACAGTGTCGTGATCTCGGCTCACTGCAACCTCTGCTTCCTGGGTTCAACCTATTCTCCTGCCTCAGCCTCCCCAGTAGCTGGGACTACAGGTGCATGCCACCATGCCCGGCTAATTTTTGTATTTTTAGTAGAGACGGGGTTTCACCATGTTGGCCAGGCTAGTTTCGAATTCCTGACCTCAGGTGATCTGCCCACCTCAGCCTCCCAAAGTGCTGGGATTACAGGTGTGAGCCATGGTACCCAGCCTAAGAAGAACTTTAAATGAATCAATAAAGCTTTCAAACAGAGGCAGAGTCTCCAATATGTCTGGATAGATTTCAAACACATGGGAAAGCATGTCAAGCAAGCCATAATGCTCTAAAATGTGTCCAGAAGAGCCCCCAAATAATCAGAAAAGGTCTCAGCCATGTTAGGAAGGGTCTTGGCAAACCAGGAAGTGTCTTGAATAAGTCAAGAAGAGTCTCAAATATATCACAAAGGGTCTCCAATTGGATGCAAATGCCTCCAATAATCAGGAAAGTTCTCAGGTCTGTTAGGAAAGGTCTCAACAGCATAAAGCGTCTCACATGTTAGGAAACATCTCAAACAATTCAGGAAGAGTCTCAAATACATCAGAAATGGTCTCAAGTGGATAGGAAGAATTTCAATGTGTCAGGAAGAGGCTTAATCCATCAGGAAGAGTCTCAAACAAGTCATTAAGTGTCTCAACCACGGCAGGGAGGGTCTCAAACAAGTTACTAAGAATCTCAAACAGAAAGGAAGAGTCTCAAATAGTCAGAAAATACCACAAACATATCATAACATTTTTCCGATGAGTCAGGAGGGTTACAAAGATGACAAGATGTTCTCAAAATGGTCTAGGCATATCTGGAGTAGTAGAGAATATTATTTAATACACAAGGAAGGTCTCGAACATGTTCCTAAAGGTCTTCAAAAGTCAGGACAGGTCTTAAATATGTTAGGAAGTATCTTAAAGTTGAAAGTTATCAGGAAGGTTTTTTTGTAATAAATTTTTTTTTTAATTTCCATAGGTTTTTGGAGAACAGGTGGTATTTGGTTACATGAGTAAGTTCTCTAGTGGTGATTTGTGAGATTTTGGTACACCCATCACCCAAGCAGTGTACACTGGACCCAGTTTGCAGTCTTTTATTCCTCACCCCCTCCCCACCCTTTCCTCTGAGTCCCCAAAGTTCATTGTATCATTCTTATGCCTTTGCATCCTCATAGCTTAGCTCCCACTTATGAGTGAGAACATACGACGCTTGTTTTTCCATTCCTGAGTTACTTCACTTAGAATAATAGTCTCTAATCCCATCCAGGTTGCTGTGAATGCCATTAATTCATTCCTTTTTATAGCTGGGTAGCATTCCATCGTATATATATATATATATATATATATATATATATATATATATATATACCACAATTTGTTTATCCACTCATTGATTGATGGATGTTTGAGCTGGTTCCATATTTTTGCAATTGTGAATTGTGCTGCTATAAACATGCATGTGTAAGTATGTTTTTCATATAATGACTTCTTTTCCTCTGAGTAGATAACCCAGTAGTGGAATTGCAGGATCAAATGGTAGTTCTACTTTTATTTCCTTAAGGAATCTCCACATTGTTTTTCATAGGGGTTGTACTAGTTTACATTCCCACCAGTAGTGTAGAAATGTTCCCTTTCACCACATCCACACCAATAAAATTTTTATTAATATATAACTCACATATAGTACAAATTACCACTTTTATGTGTACAATTCAGTGGTTTCTTGAATATACACAAGGTTGTGCAACCTTAACCACTATCTAATTCCAGAATATTTTCATCATCCTAGAAAGAAACCCCCATACCCCTTAGCTGTCATTCCCCATTCCATCGTACCCCCACCCAGTGACAACAACTAATCTATTAATACTTTTTGTCTCTATGGTTCTGCCTATTCTGGACATTCCATATAAATGAAATCATACAATATCTGGCCTTTTTTAAATTTTGAGATGGAGTCTTGCTCTGTCACCCAGGCTGGAGTGCAGTGGCACAATCTCGGCTCACTGCAAGCTCTGCCTCCTGGGTTCATGCCATTCTCCTGCCTCAGCCTCCCGAGTAGCTGGGACTACAGGTGCCAGCCACCATGCCTGGCTAATTTTTTGTGTTTTTAGTGAGACGGGGTTTCACCATGTTAGCCAGAATGGTCTTGATCTCCTGACCTCGTAATCCGCCTGCCTTGGCCTCCCAAAGTGCTGGGATTACAGGCGTGAGCCACCGCGCCTGGCCATGGCCTTTTGTTTCTGGCTCCCTTCTCTTAGTATAATGTTTTCAAGATCCATCTAGGTAGTACCATGTATTACTTAATTCCTTTTTATGGCTGAATAATATTCCATTGTATGGACATACCACATTTTATTTACCCATTTATCAGTTGATGGACATTTGGGTGGTTTCCACTTTCTGCCTATTATTAATACTGCTGCAATGAATGTTTGAAAACAAGTTTTTATGTGAACATAAGTTTTCATTTCATTTCTTCCATCTAGGAGTAGAATTGTTGGGTCATGTAGTAAGGAAGAGTTTTCATCACCTCAGGAAAGGTCATAGATAAAACAAGAAGGATCTCGATCATACAGGAAGGATTCAAATACATCAGGAAGTGTCTCACACATGTCATAAATACTCTCAAAGAGAGAGGCAGTGTCTCAAATACATTATAAATAGTATCAGACAACTTGGTAATGGTCTCAATGTAGTCAGAAAGATTTCAAAATGTCAGTACCTGAGATGAACATCTTAAATATGCCACAAAACGGTCTCAAAATTAAAGCAAGAGTATCAATCAATCAGTAAAGCTCAGCTCATAAACCTGTTAAGAAGGGTCTCAAAAAATAACAGAAAGGGTCTCAAATAGTTAGGAAAGGTAGTAATGTCAGGAAGAGTCTCAAATATATTAGGAGTCATCTTACTCAAACAAGAAGAGTCTCAAATAGTTTGGATACATATCTAACATGGCAGTAGAAGACTCAAGCAAGGTAAGGGTCTGAAATTAGGAAGGAAAGATTTCACATTTGCCAGGCAGAGTTTAAAATATGTCTCTAATGGTTCTAAATAGATAGGCAAAATTAGGAAGAGTCTCAAGTACATTAGCAGGAGTCTCAAAGCTGTCAAGAAGAGTCTCGAACATGTCAGAAAGGGTCATAAATAGAGAGAAAATGTCTGAAGTCCTCACAAATGATCTCAAACAAATCAGAAACAGTTTCAAAGTAGTCAGGAAGAGTTTCAAATAGGTCAGTAAGAGTCTGGAACAAAGAGTAACAGTCTCAAATATCGGGGAAGGTCACAAATATATCAAGAAGTCTCAGGCTTGTCAGGAAGAATCTCAAACAATTAAGTACAGGTCTCAAACATGTCAGGGAAGATCTCAAACAATCAAGAAGAGTCTCATGCCAGTCAGAAAGGGTTTGGAACATCCTTCAGAGAGGGCCTCAACATCATCAGGAAGAGTCTCATTATGTGAGAATGTGTTTCAAATATTACAGAGAATGTCACAAAGAGAGAAGGGTCTGCAATGCATTATGAATTCTCTCAAGCCAGATTGGAAGTTTTCTCAAAGTAGTAAGGAAGAGCTTTTAAATTTGTCAGCAAGGGGCTGGGTGTGGTGGTTCACACCTGTAATCTCAGCCCTTTGGGAGGCCGAGGCAGGCAGATAACTTAAGGTCAAGAGTTCAAGAACAGCCTGGCCAATATGGCAAAACCCTGTCCCTATTAAAAGTACTGAAATTAGCCGGGCATGGCGGCACATGCCTGTAATCCCAGGTACTCGGGAGGCTGAAGTATGAGAATCACTTGAGGCTGGGCGCGGTGGCTCATGCCTGTAATCCCAGCACTTTGGGAGGCCAAGGCGGGTGGATCACAAGGTCAGGAGATCGAGACCATCCCAGCTAACATGGTGAAACCCCGTCTCTACTAAAAATATAAAAAAATTAGCCAGGTGTGGTGGCAGGTGCCTGTAGTCCCAGCTACTTGGGAGGCTGAGGCAGGAGAATGGCATGAACCCGGGAGGCGGAGCTTGCAGTGAGCCGAGATTGTGCCACTGCACTCCAGCCTGGGCGACAGAGCAAGACTCCGTCTCAAAAAAAAAAAAAAAAAAAAAGAGAATCACTTGAACCTAGGAGGCAGAGGTTACAGTGAGCCAAGATTGCACCACTGCACTCCAGCCGGGCAACAGAGTGAGACCCTGTCTCAAAAAAAGTAAAATAAATAAATAAATAAATTTGTCAGCAAGGGGTGCAAACATGCAGGAAAGTGTCTCAAGAAAGTCAGAAAAGATCTCTAATATATTAGGAAAAGTCTCAAAGAGTCATGAAGGCTCTCAAACCTATCAGAAAGAGTGTTAAATATGTCACGGCCTGGTGGGGTGGCTCATGCCTGTAATCCCTGCACTTTGGGAGGCTGAGGTGGGAAGATCGCTTGAGGCCAGGAGTTCAAGACCAGTCTGGGAAACATGGCAAGATCCTGTCTCTACAAAAAATAAAAAAATTATCCAGGCATGGTGGCACTTGCCTGTAGTCCCAGCTACTTGGGAGGCTGAGGCAAGAGGATTACCTGAGCCTGGGAGGTTGAGGCTATAGTGAGCTATGACTGTGTCACTGCACTCCAGCCTGGGCAACAGCACAAGACCCTGTCTCAAAATAAAAAAGTGTCACAGCCAGGCATGGTGGCTCACACCTGTAATCCCAGCATTTTGGGAGGCCAAGGCAGGCGAATCATTTGAGGTCAGGAGTTCAAGACCAGCCTGGCCAACATGGTGAAACCCTATCTCTACTAAAAATACAAAAATTAGCCAGGCGTGGTGGCAGGCGCCTGTAATTCCAGCTACTTGGGAGGCTGAGGCATGAAAATCACTCATGATTTTCATCATGAGTACCTGGGAAGCGGAGATTGCAGTGAGCCGAGATGGTGCCACTGCACTCCAGCCTGGGCAATAAAGCGAGACTGTCTCCAAACAAACAAAAATGTCTCAAAGGTTCATATTAAATATATTTAATATTTAACATATTAAAGAGGTCTCAAACACATCAAAAGCAGTCTCAGATATGACAGAAAACGACTCAAGCTTGTCAAGAAATATCCAGAACAGAGAGGAAAATTTTCATATACATGAGAAACATTACAAACAGGTCTGGAGGTTTCTCAAAGTAGTAAGGAAGAGTTACAAAAGAGTCGGGAAGAGTCTTAAACAGAAATGGAGTGTCCCTGATACAACCTAGAGTGTCAGCATGTCAGAAATGATCTCCAACTGTCAGAAGGGATTGCAAAAAAAAAATCAGGAAGAATCGCAAATACATCAGGAAGAGTGGCAAACATATCAGGAGGTGTTGCAAAGAGAGAGGAAGGGTCTCACATGCATCAGCTATCTTCTCAAACAAGTCTCGAAGGCCTCAAAGTAGTCAGGAGGAGTATTAAGTATGCAAATAAAGGGTGCCAAAAGAGAGAAAAAGAACTAAATACCTCAGGAATGCTCTCAAACTTGTCAGGAGAGATTTCAAGTAAGTTGGGAAGGGTCTTAAGCAAGTCAGAGACGATTCCTAACAGGGTAGAAAGTCACAGAGAAGTCATGGATGCTTGGCCGGGTGCAGTGGCTCCCACCTGTAATCCCAGCACTTTGGGAGGCCAAGGTGGGCAGATCGCTTGAGGTCAGGAGTTCGAAACCAGCCTGACCAACATGGCGAAACCCCATCTCCACCAAAAATGTAAAAAATTAGCCGGGTGGTGGGCGCCTGTAATCCCAGCTACTCAGGAGGCTGAGGCATAAGAATCCCTTGAACCAGGGAGGCAGAGGTTGCAGTGAGCCCAGATCACGCCACTGCACTCCAGCCTGGGCAACAGAGTGAGACTCCGTCTCAAAAAAAACAAAAAAAGAAAGAAAGAAGTCATGGATGCTCTAAGACATGTCAGGAAGGGATTTAAATACATCAGGAGGGTTCTCAAATATGGGAGGAAGGGTCTTGAACACGACAGCGAGTGTCTCAAACTTCTCAGGAACTGTCCAGAACAGAGAGGACTTATGGATTTGAGAAATACATCAGGAAGCAACTCAAACAAGCCAAGAATGTTCTCAAGGTAGTAAGGACGAGCCATAAATAAGTCAGTAAGGTTTACCAAACTGAAGAAAAAGTCTCAAATTCACTGAATAAGTCTCAACCTTGCCAGGAAGTTTCTCAAATAACTTGGGAAGGGTCTCAAGCCAGTTAGAAAAGATCTCATGTATGTCAGCAAGAGTTTCAAAAATGTTATGAAGAGTCTCAAATATGTCAGGAAGAATTTCAAATAGAAAAGGAAGGAGGCCAGGCACCGTGGCTCATGCCTGTAATCCCAGCACTTTGGGAGGCCAAGTCAGGTGGATCACCTGAGGTCAAGAGTTTGAGACCAGCCTGACCGACATGGTGAAACCCCATCTCTACAAAAAACACAAAAATTAGCTGGGCGTGGTGGCGGGTGCCTGTAATCCCAGCTACTCAGGAGGCTGAGGCAGGAGAATCACTTGAACCCGGGAGACGGAGGTCGCAGTGAGCCCAGATCACACCACTGCAGTCCAGCCTGGGCTACAGAGTGAGACTCTGTCTCAAAAAAAAAAAAAAAAAAAGAAAGAAAGAAAAAGAAGACTCTCAAACCATCAAGAATGATTACATAAAAACAAGCAGAGTCTCAATGTCATGATGGTCTCAAACAGTCAGGAAATGTCTCAAAGACATCAAGAAAATTCTCAAAGACATCAGAAAGACTAGCAAACATGTCAGGAGCAGTCTCAAACATAGGACGAGTCTCAAACAAATTAGGAATGGCCTCAAACATGTCAAGAAGTATCTCCAACAAACCAGGATGTGTCTCAAAACAGAGAAAAAATGTCTCAAATACTTCAGGAATGGTCACATAGGTGTCAGGAAGGGTCTCAAATATGTCAAGAAGAGTCATGAATGTCAGAAAAGGCTTCAAAAACATCAGAGGAGGGCCTCAAAATCATCAGGAAGTCTCAAATACACTAGAAAGAGTCTCAAACATGACAGGAAGTGTTCCTAAGAGAGAGGAAGAGTCTGGAATCTATTACAAATTCTCTCAAACCAGAATGGAAGAATCTCACGGTAGTCAGGAAAAGCATTACATTTGTCAGTAAGGGTCAGTAACGGTCTCATATAGTTTGGCTGTGTCCGCATCCAAAACTCAAATTGTAGCTCCCATAATTCCCATGTCCTGTGGGAGGGACCCAGTGGGAGGTAATTGAATCATGAGGGTGGGTCTTTCCTGTGCTGTTCTCGTGATAGTGAATAAGTCTCACAAGGTCTGATGGTTTTATAAAGGGGAGTTCCTCCGTGCATGCTCTCTCTTGCTTGCCTTCCACCATGCAAGACATGACTTTGCTCCTCCTTTGCCTTTGGCGATGATTGTGAGGCCTCCCCAGGCATGTGGAACTATGAGTCCATTAAACCTCTTTCCTTTATAAATTACCCAGTCTCGGGTATGTCTTTGTTAGCAGCATGAGAACAGACTAATGCATGGTCTCATATACATACAGAAAGGTTTTAACATTTCAGCAAGGGACGTAAATGAGTTGGGAAGCATCTCAAGCATCAAAAAATGTCTCTAACATGTCACAAAGAGTCTCAAAGAAGCCTCAGACAGGTTTAAGACAGTCTTAAATATGTCATAAACTTATCAAATATGACAAAGAGGGTCTCAAACACACCAGGAGGAGTCTAAGCATGTTAGAGAGTGTGAGTCTTCTCAGGGTCTTATCTAGAAGAGAGAGGAAGGATCTCTATTCCATCAGCAGTCCTCTCAGACTAGTCTAGAAGGACTCAAAGTAGTCAGCAAGAGCTTTAAATATGTCAGTAATTGTCTCAAACGGGGAAAAAGAGATACAAATACCTTTGGATAGGTCTCGAACATATCAGAAAAGAGATCTAATATACCAGTTAGAGTCTCAAACAAGTCATGAAGGATGTCAAACATGTCAGGAAGAGATTTAAATACAAAAGGAAGGGTTTTGAATATGTCAGAGAGCTTCAAACATGAGAGGAAAGGTCTCACAACTTCTCAGAAAGTTTTTAGAGGAACAATGAAGGGTCTCAAATACATCAGGAACAATCTCATACACATCATGAAGGTTCTCAAACAGGTCAGAAGAGTCTAAAATAAGTTCTAAACACATCAGGAAGATTCTCAAATAAGTCAGAACAGGCTGGGTGTCATGGCTCACACCTATAATCCCAGCACTTTAGGAGGCCAAGGCAGGTGGATCACCTGAGGTCAGGAGTTCGAGACCAGCCTGGCCAACATGGTGAAACCCCATCTCTACTAAAAATATAAAAATTAGCCCGGCATGGTAGTGGTGCCTGTAATCCCAGCTACTCAGGAGTCTGAGGCAGGAGAATCGCTTGAATCCAGAAGGCGGAGATTGCAGTGAGCTGAGATCGTGCCACTGCACTCCAGCCTGGGGAAACACAGTGAGACTCTGTCTCAAAAAAAAAAAAAAAAGTGCACTTGTATGTTTATCCCAGCAATATTCACAATAGCAAAGATAGGGAATCAACCTAAGTGTCTGTCAATGGATGACTGCATTATAAAATGTGATATACATAAAGCCAGAGGAATTCAGCCGACAAGACAGAGTTAGCATTATCAAGAAATCCCAGTTGCCCTGAAAAAGTTGTCCTCCATTGTACTGAACAGACAGTCCTAACAATTGTATTATTTAGAAATATAGACTGAATGTGGGCTGAAATCATCATCTTTCCATGATAATGAAAATTGAGAAACTATTCACAATGCATTCTTTATAAATAAATGCTACATTTAGTAACTCACTTCACCCCCTAAAAAGGTATATATATATATATATAAAACTCTCTCTATATAACTATATATATATAACTCCCAATAGTATTCCAATAGTATATATATAACTCCCAAGTAGTATTTTACTATTTGGCCATAGAAAAAGAATGAAATCATGTCTTGCAGCAACATGGATGGAAGTAGAGGCCATCATCTTAAGTGAAACTCAGAAACAGAAAGTCAAATACCACACGTTCTCACTTATAAGTGGGAGCTAAATAATGTGTATACATGGAAGCAGAGTATGGAATAATAGACATTGGAGACTTGGAAGAGGGAGGGGAAGGAGGAGTGGATGATGAGAAATTACTTAAGGGGTACAATGTACATTACTCCAGTGATACACACTAAAAGCCCTGACTTCACCACTGTACAATATATCAATTTAACAAAATTATACTTGTACCCCATACATTTATACAAATAAATATTTAATTAAAAAAAAGATGTCAATAGCCTCCCCCTTCTTTTTTTCAGGTTGTTTTTTATAAAATCTTTACTCTGCCACCAGTTGGGTTGGTATTGAGTAGAAAATGATCTTCTTGTATTTTTCGTTTTTACTTTTATTTTAAGTTCAGGGGTACCTGTGCAGGTTTGTTACATAGGTAAACTTGTGTCATGGGGGTTTGTTGTAAAGATTATTTCATCACTCAAGTATCAACCCTAGTACCCGTTAGTTGTTTTACTTGATTCTCTCCCTCCTCCCACTCTCCATCCTCCAATAGGCCCCAGTGTGTGTTGTTCCCCTCTATGTATCCATGCATTCTCGTCATTTAGCTCCCACTTTTAAGTGAGAACCTGCAGTATCTGGTTTTCTGTTCCTGTGTTAGTTTACTAAGGATAATGGCCTCCAGCTCCATTGATGTCCCTGCAAAGGACATGATCTCATTCTTTTTTATGGCTGCATAGTATTCCATGGTATATATGCACCACGTTTTCTTTAGCCAGTCTACCATTGATGAGCATTTAGGTTGAGTCCATGCCTTTGTTATTGTAAATAGTGATGCGATGCAATACACGTGCATGTGTCTTTATAATAAAATGACTTATACTCCTTTTGGTATATGCCAGTAATGGGATTGCTGGGTCAAATGGCATTTCTGTCTTTAGGTCACTGAGGAATCGCCACAGTCTTCCACAATGAATAGACCCCTTTTAATAATGAATAGGACAATTAGACAGAAGTTATAACTGGCAGAAGATCAACAAGGAAAGAGAAAACTTGTCCAACACTATAAACCAACTACACTAAATGGACATCTCGAGAACATTCCACCCAACAACAGCAGAATATACATTCTTCTCAAATGCATATAAAAGTCTTTAAATTAGACCATATGTTAGGCCATAAAACAAACCTCAGTTTAAAAGAACTGAGGCCGGGTGCGGTGGCTCATGCCTATAATCCCAGCACTTTGGGAGGCTGAGGCAGGTGGATCACTTGAGCCCAGGAGTTCAAGACCAGCCCCAGCAACATGGTAAAACCCCATCTCTACAAAAATAAAAAAAGTAGCCGTGCGTGGTGGCACATGCCTGTAGTCCCAGCTACTTGGGAGGCTGAGGCGGGAGGATCAGAGGATATCTTGAGCCCAAGAGTTTAAGGTTGCAGTGAGCCATGAGCATGCCTCTGCACTCTAGCCTGGGTGACAAAGCAAGACCCCAACTCAAAAAAAAAAAAAAATTGGCAAACTTTTGGTTAAATTGACCAAGAAATGAAGAAAAAAGACTCAAATTATAATACTAAAATCATAAATGAAAGAAGGGACGTTACCACTAACCTTACAGAAATAAAAAGGATTATTAAAAAATACTATGGGCCAGTGCATGGTGGCTCATGCCTGTAATCCCAACATTTAGGGAGGCCGAGGCAGGCAGATGGCTTGAGCCTAGGAGTTCGAGACCAGCCTGGGCAACATGACACTACCCCATCTCTACCAAAACTACAAAAACATTAGCCAGGCTTAGTGGTATGCTCCTGTAGTCCCAGCTACCCTGGAGGCTAAGGTGGGAGGATCAGTTGAGACCAGGAGATCAAGGCTGCAGTGAACCATGCTTGCACAACTGCATACCAGGCTGGGTGACAGAGCGAGACCCTGTCTCAAACAAAAAAAAAAAAAGAAAAAAGAAAACTATGAACAACTGTATGCCAACAAATTAGATAACTTACATGAAATAGACAAATACCTAGGATACAAACTACCAAAACAGACTCAAAAAGAAGTAAAGAATATATATAGACCTCTAACAAATAAAGAGATTAATTAGTAATCAAACAACTATTCGCAAAGAAAAGATGAGGTCCAGATGGCTTCACTGATGAATTCTACCAAACATTTAAACATTTAAAGAATTAATACCAATTATTCAGCAACTTTTCCAAACAATAGAAGAGGAAGGAATATTCAGTTCTCTCTCTGAGGCCAGTATTACCCTGATACCAAAACCAGACAGACATCCCAAGAAAAAAAAATTAAAGGCCAATATCCCTTATGCATATAGACAACCCGCAAAATCGGCAAATTATCAGCTATATTGTGTGTGTGTGTGTGTGTGTGTGTGTGTATATATATATATACACACATATATATGCATATACATATATGTGTGTATATATATACACATATATATGCATATACATGTGTATATGTATATATATACACATATATATGCATATACATGTGTATATGTATATATATACACATATACACATATATGTGTATATATATGCATATATATGTGTGTATATGTATATATGTGTGGGTGTGTATATATATATATATATATATATATATATTTTTTTTTTTTTTTTTTTTTTTTTTTTTTTTGAGACAGAGTTTCACTCTTGTTGCCCAGGCTGGAGTACAATGGCGATCTCCGCTCACTGCAACAACCTCCATCTCCTGGGTTCAAGCTATTCTCCTGCCTCAGCCTCCTGAGTAGCTGGGATTACAGGCATGTGCCACCATGCCCGGCTAATTTTTTTGTATTTTTAGTAGAGACAGGGTTTCTCCATGTTGGTCAGGCTGGTCTCAAACTCCGACCTCAGGTGATTCGCCCGCCTCGGCCTCCCAAAGTGCTGGGATTACAGGCGTAAGCCACCGCGCCCAGTCTATTTTTTTAAATTATGTTTTAATTTTTAAAATTTTAAAAAATTTTAAAAGCATGATGTTTTGACATCTTAAAAAAACTTCTCTAGCTGAGGAGAAATTGTCCTTCCCTGGTCTAGCCAATTCTTAAAGATAACAAAGGCCCCAGCCAGGAGCATGTCTTTGATATGCAAACTAACCAATCCAGAGCCATCCCTCCTCTATCTGGCCCATGCACCCCAGGAGGCAATATTCCTCGGCCTTAATCATCCCAGTATCAGGTGCCAGGCAACTAGGAACCACCACTACAGCTCAAAGCCCTCCAAAATTCTTCAAACTAACCAAACTGTTCACCTTGCCCTGCCTTGACTTTCCTGCGGAAACCCCAATAAAGGCAATGTCCTAAACTTTCTCCTTACTCCTGTCTTCTGCCTTCTGACCACTCTGGTGCCTTTCCCATGTGGCCCTGTGTGGTCTGCCATGCCTCCTGTCTCTAAGACCTGGGAGTATAATAAACCTTGTTTTCTCCTGAGCTTCTCCTGTGTCCCCTTTTGTGGCCACACCTGACTGACCATCTCATAAAAATACAAAACACTAGGAAATCAAATCTAGCAATGTACTAAAAGGGTTAGGCACCATGATCAAGTGGGATTTATCTATCCCAGGAATGCAAAGTTGGCCTAACATCTAAAAATAAGTTATTGTAATATACCATACCAATAGAATAGAAACAAAACCCACAGGAACATCTAAATTGATACAGAAAAAGCATTTGTCAAAATCCAACATTTTCATGATAAATAACACTCAACAAATTAGGAATAGAAGGAAATTTCTACAACCTGATAAAGGACATCTATGAAAAACCCACAGCAAACTTCACATGTAATGTTGAAAAACTGGCTGCCTTCCCCCTAAGGTCAGGAACAGGACAAGTATATTTGCTCTCACTGCTTCTAGTCAACCTTGTACTGAAGGTTCTGCCTAGGGTAATTTGGCCAGGGAAAGAAATAAAAGGCACCCAGATCGGAAAGGAAGCAGTATAGCTATCTCTATTTACAGATGACGTGATCTTACATGTAAAAAATCCTAAGGAATCCACTTTTTAAAAAAACTATTAGAACTAATAAATTCGGCAAAGGTGCAGAATACAAGTTCAATAAACAAAAATCAGTTTTATTTCTCTACCCTTGCAGTGAACAATTTCTGATGTGCTTGTCACTATTCCCAACATGTTTTCAGTCCTTCCTGACTTTTTGAGACTTTTTCTCACGTATTAGAGACTCTTTCTGCATGTGTGAGATCCTTTATGAGGTATCTAAAATTTTTCCTGGCCAGGCGTGGTGGCTCACACCTGTAATCCTAGCACTTTGGGAGACTGAGGGAGGTGGATCACCTGAGGTCAGGAGTGCAATACCAGCCTGGGCAACATGGTGAAACCCCGTCTCTACAAAAATACAAAAATTAGCTGGGCATGATGGTGGGTGCCTGTAATCCCAGCTACTTGGGAGGCTGAGGCAGGAGAATTGCTTGAACCTGGGAGGCGGAGGTTGCAGTGAGCCAAGATTATGCTATTGCACTCCAGCCTGGGCGACAGAGCAAGAGTTCATCTCAAAAAAAAAAAAAAATTCCTGACTACTTCATATCCATACCTTACAAATTTGACATTCTTTCTGACTCTTTGATACCCTTGCCTACTCTTTGATCAGAAAGAGTCATACACATCAGACCCTCCCTGAAATGTATAAGACTCTTCCTGATAAAAGCACAAGATACCACTTCTCACCCACTAGGATGGGTAAAATCAATCAGATAACAACAAGTGTTGGTGAGGATATGGAGAAATCAGAACTCTCATACAGTGCTGGTGGGACTGTAAAATGGTGCAGCCACTTTGAAAAATAGTCTGGCAGTTCCTCAAACATTAGACATAAATTTACCATATAATCCAACAATTCCAATCCTAGGTATATATCCAAGAGAAGTGAAAACATATATCCACACAAAAACCTGTACACAAATGTTTATTATTATTCATAATAGACAAAATGTGGAAACGATGTCTATCAATGGATGTCTATCTATGGATGAATGGATGTCTATCAATGGAAGAACAAAATAGGTATATCCATACAATGGAATATTATTCAATCATAAAAAAGAATGAAGCACTGATGCATGCTACAACATGGATGAACCCTGAAAACATTACATGAAAGAGGCCAAACAAAAAAGACCACATATTATATGGTTTAATTCATATGAAAGTCCAGAATAGGAAAAGCTATAGAGACAGAAAGTAGATTAGTGATTGCTTAGGTCTGAGAAAGGAGGGAGAATAAAGGGGATGTGTATTAGTCCATTCTTACACTACTATAAAGAACTACCTGAAACTGGGTAATTTATAAAGAAAAGAGATTTAGTTAGCTCATGGTTCTGCAGGCTGTACAGGAAGCATGGTTGGGGAGGCCTCAGGAAACTTACAGTCATGGTGAATGCCAAAGGGGAAGCAGGCACATCTTACATGGCAGGAAGAAGAGAGAGACGGGGAGGTGCCACACACTGTTAAACAACAAGATCTCTTGAGAACTCACTATCACGAGAACAGCAAGGGGGAGATCTGCCCTCATGATCCAATCACCTCCCACCAGGTCCCTCCTCCAACACTGGCGATTACAATTCAGCATGAGAGGCCGGGCATGGTGGCTCATGCCAATAATCCTAGCCCTTTGGGAGGCCGAGGCAGGTGGATCAACTGAGGTCAGGAGTTCAAGACCAGCATGGCCAACATGGTGAAACCAGTCTCTACTAAAAATACAAAAATTAGCCAGGCGTGGTGGCAGGCACCTGTAATCCCAGTTTCTCAGGAGGCTGAGGCAGGAGAATTGCTTGAACCCGGGAGGTGGAGGTTGCAGTGAGCCGAGATGCGCCACTGCACTCTAGCCTGGACAACAAGAGTGAAACTTCGTCTCAAAACAAAAACAAAACAAATCAGCATGAGATTTGGGTGGGGACACAAATCCAAACCATATCATTCCGCTCCTGGCCCCTCCCAAGTCTCATGTCCTTCTCACATTGCAAAATATAATCATCCCTGATCAACAGTCCCCCAAGTCTTGACTTATTTCAGCATTAACTCAAAAGTCCACAGTGCAAAGTCTTATCTGAGACAAGGGAAGTCCCTTCCGCCTTTGAGCCTGTAAAATCAAAAACAAGTTAGTTACTTCAAAAATACAATAAGAATACAGGCATTTGGTAGATAGTCCCATTCCAAAAGGGAGAAATCAGCCAAAAAAAAGGGGCTACAGGCCCCATGCAAGTCCAAAACCAGCAGGGCAGCCATTAAATATTAAAGCTCCAAAACAATCTCCTTTGACTCCATCTCTCACATCCAGGCCACACTGATGCAAGGGGTGGGCTCCCAAGGCCTTGGGCAGCTCTGCCCCTGTGGCTCTGCAGGGCTCAGCTCCCACGGCTGCTCTCAAGGGCTGGTGTTGAGTACCTACAGCTTTTCCAGGCATATGGTGCAAGCTGTTGGTGGATTTACCATTCTGGGGTCTGGAGGACAGTGGCCCTCTTCTCATAGCTCTACTAGGCAGTGCCCCAGTGGGGGCTCTGTATGGGGGCTCCAACCCCACATTTCCCTTCTGCACTGCCCTAGTAGAGGTTCTCCATGAGAGGATGATAGCTAGAGAATAGGGTTTCTTTTTTTTGTTTCTTTTTGAGACGGGGTCCCATTCTGTCTCCCAGGCTGGAGTGCAATGGCACGATCTCGGCTCACTGCAACCTCCGCCTCCCAGATTCAAGTGATTCTCCTGCCTCAGTCTGCCCAGTAGCTGGGATTACAGGCATGTGCCACGATGCCTGGCTAATTTTTTGTATTTTTAGTAGAGACAAGGTTTCACCATATTGACCAGGCTGGTCTCAAACTCCTGACCTCAAGTGACCCACCCACCTCGGCCTCCCAAAGTGCTGGGATTACAGGTGTGAGCCACAGCGCCTGGCTGAGGATAGGGTTTCTTTTGAAGTGATGAAAATGTTCTAAAATTGACTGTGGTGATGGTTGCACATATATGTGAATATACTAATTAAACCACTAAATTGTACACTTTAAATTGCCAGGCATGGTGGCTTACACCTGTGATCCCAGCACTTCGGGAGGCCAAGGTGGGCGGATCACTTGAGGCCAGGAGTTCGAAACCAGCCTGGCCAACATGGTAAAACCCCATCTCTACTAAAAATACAAAAATTAGCCAGGCATGGTGGCCAGTGCCTGTGAACCCAGCTGCTCTGGAGGCTGAGGCAGGAGAATTACTTGAACCCGGGAGGTGGAGGTTGCAGTGAGCCAAGATTGTGTCACTGCACTCCAGCCTGGGCAACAGAGCAAGACTCCGTCTCAAAAAAAATTAAAATTAAAAAACAAATGGGTGGATTCTATGGAATGTGTTTTACAACTCAATAAAGCTGTTTTTAAAATGAAGAGTAACAAAATGACTCTTCCTAAAGTGTTTGGGACCCTACGTGACTTGTCTCAGACTCTTCCTGACACGTTTCAGGTCATTCTGACTTGATTGAGACACTTTCCAACTTCTGGGAGACACTGCCTGACATGTTTCAGATCCTTCTGGCTATACTTGATCTCTTCCTTTCTGTTTGAGATCTTCCTAACTTGAGTAAGACCCTTCCGGTCTCACTTGTTTTATTCCTTCCTTACATGGTTGAGAAAGTTATTTATTTGCTGAAGTCTTTTCCTGATTATTTGAGACACTCTCTGCCCGGTCGAGATGCTTCCTGAAATGTAAATGTCTCTTCCTGATTATTTGAAACCCTTCCTGACTTGTTTAGACCTTGACTAACATGTTGAGATCCTTTCTGGTGTATTTTGGACCTCTCCTGATTGTTTGAGACTCTGCCTAACTTGACTGGGACTCTTTCTGACTTGTTTGAGATCTTTACTCAAATGGTTAAAACACTTCCTAATTTAAGACGTTTCTGGATGGGCACAGTGTCTCACACCTGTAATCCCAGCACTTTGGGAGGCTAAGTCAGAATGATGCTTGAGGCCAGGAGTTTGAGACCAGCCTGGGCAGCAAAGTGAGATCCTGTCTCTACAAAAACGTTAGAAAATAAAAAACTAGATGGGCATGGTGGTGTGCTCCTGTGGTCCCAGCTACTCGGGAGGCTGAGGTGGGAGGGTTGCTTGAGCCCAGTAGGTCAAGGCTGCAGTGAGCCATGATGGCGCCACTGTACTCCAGCCTAGATGACAGAGTGAGACCCTGTCTCAAAAAAAAAAAAAAAAAAATTTCCCGGTGTGTTAAATTCTCTTCCTGATTATTTGAGACTCTCTGACTTATCTGAGACCCTTCTTGACTATTTGAGACTCTTCCTGATGACTTTGAGCCCCTTCCTGTCATTCTTTTTTTTTTTTTTTTTTTTTTTGAGACAGAGTCTCGCTCTTTCGCCCAGGCCGGACTGCAGTGGCGCTATCTCGGCTCACTGCAAGCTCCGCCTCCCGGATTCACGCCATTCTCCTGCCTCAGCCTCTCGAGTAGCTGAGACTACAGGCGCCTGCCACCGTGCCCAGCTAATTTTTTGTATTTTTAGTAGAGATGGAGTTTCACCGTGTTAGCCAGGATGGTCTCGATCTCCTGACCTCGTGATCCGCCCGCCTTGGCCTCCCGTGATCCAAAGTGCTGGGATTACAGGCGTGAGCCACCGTGCCCGGCCCCTTCCTGTCATGTTTTATGTCCTTCCTCACTGGTTCGAGACTCATTCTTACTCGCTTAAGACCCTTTCTGAAATGTTTGAGACCCATCCTGATCTGGTAAAAGTCTTCCTCATAATGTTTAGACCCTTCTTGGCTTGTTTGCTAGATGCTTTTCCTGACATATTTTTATTTTATTTTATTTTATTTTAAGTTCCGGGATACATGTGCAGGATGTGCAGGCTTGTTACACAGGTAAAAGTGTGCCATGGTGGTTTGCTGCTCCTATCAACCCATCACTTAGGTATTAAGCCCAGCATGCATTAGATATTTATCCTGATGCTGTCCCTCCTCCTGCCCCACCCCACCCCCCAGACAGGCCCCAGTGTGTGTTGCTCCCTCCCTGTGTCCCTGTGTTCTCATTGTTCAGCTCCCACTTATAGATGAGAACATGCAGTGTTTGGTTTTCCGTTCCTGTGTTAGTTTGCTGAGGATAATGGCTTCCAGCTCCATCCATGTCCCTGCAAAGGACATGATCTTGTTCCTTTTTACGGCTGCATAGTATTCCATGTTGTATATGTACCACATTTTCTTTATCCAGTCTGTATTGATACTTGAGACTCTTCTGGACAGACATGAGATGCTTTCTGATGTATTTGAAGCCCACCTTAATACATGCAAGACTTTTCCTCATGACTTTGAGGCTGCTCCTGTCATGTTGGAGGCCTTTTCTGACTTGTTTGATACTCTTCATGACATATTTGAGATGCCTGACATATGTGAGGCTTTTCATGGTGTATTTAAGACACTTTCCCTTTCTTTCGGACCCTTCCTGATATGTTTGCAAAACATGCCAATTTGTTAGAGATACTTACTGACCTGCTTCAAAAGTTTCTCAACTTTGAGACTCTTTTCTGTTTGAAATCATTCCTGGTGAATTTGAGACCCTTCCTAATCTATTTGAGACTCTTCCTTATGCGTATGAAACCATTTTTTACTTGCCTCATTTTACTTGACTCTTCCTGACATACTTGAGATGCTTGCTGACCTGTTTGAGACACTTCCTGACCTATTTGGTATCATTCCTGGTTATTCAAGACTCCCTAAAAATCTTGAGACACCTCCTGACATGTACGTGATATTTTCTGGCTTGTTTCAGAACCTTCCAGACATGTTTGAGACCCTTCCCAGAAAGGGCCCTTTTGGGACCTTTTTTTAAGACAGGATCTGGCTCTGTCACCCAGGCTGGAGTGCAGCCTAAGCCTCCCAAGTAGCTGGGGACTACAGGTACATGCCACCACAACTGGCTGATTTTTGTATTTTTAGTAGAGATGGGGTTTCACCATGTTGGCCAGGCTGGTCTTGAACTCCTGACCTCAAGTGATACACCCGCCTTGGCCTCCCAAAGTGCTGGGATTACCATGTTGGCCAGGCTGGTCTTGAACTCCTGACCTCAAGTGATACACCTGCCTCGGCCTCCCAAAGTGCTGGGATTACAGGCGTGAGCCACCACACCTGGCCTGGGACCCTTTTTTGAAGCTTCTCTATCTTAGTACAGATTCTCCCTGTCTGTGTAAGACCCCTTCTTTTTTTTTTTTTCTGTTTTGAGACAGAGTCTCGCCTTGTCGCCCAGGCTGGAATGCAGTGGTGCTATCTCTGCTCACTGCAAGCTCCGCCTCCCAGGTTCAAGCAATTCTCCTGTCTCAGCCTCCTGGGTAGCTGGGACTACAGGCGAACGCCACCAGGCCAGGCTAATTTTTTGTGTTTTTAGTAGAGATGGGGTTTCACCACGTTGGCCAGGCTGGTCTTGAACTCCTGACCTCGTGATCCACCCACCTCGGCCTCCCAAAGTGCTGTGATTACAAGTGTGAGCCACTGCGCCCGGCCAACACCCTTTCAAAGATCATTAAAACGTTTCCTTACAACTTTGTGACCCTTGCTTATGTATTTGAATCTCTTACTGTCTGCTTAAGACCTTGACTGACATGTTTGAGACCCTTCTTGTCTGAGTCCCTTCCTGATGTATCTAAAACTCTTCCTGATGACTTTAAGACACTTTCCTAACACGTTCGTGACCTTCTATAACTTGCTCGAGCTGTTTCCTGATACTTAAGATCCTTCATAATTTTTTGAGCTCTTTCAGACTATTTGGGGGCCCTTTGTGACATATTTGAGACCTTTCTTATCTTGCTTTAGATGTTTTCTGACTATTCAAGATTGTTTTCTTCTGTTTGAGATCCTTCCTTATGTATTCGATACCCTTCTTGAGTTGAGAACCTTCCAGAAGTATTTGAGATTGTTATTGACTTGTTTAAAGCTCTCCCTGACTTGTCTGAGACTCTTCCTGATGTATTTGAGACAATTTCTGGCTTGCTGGAAACCTTTGCCAAGGTGTTGGAGACTTTTCCTTACTATTTGAGAGTCTTCCTGTCTGACTGAGACCCTTTTGGACATGTTTGAGATCCTTCCTTCTTTTTTGATACTTTCTGACTTCTCCATTCTCACTTTTTTTATTCTTCCTGTCATATGTGAGTCTTTTCCTGACCTATTTGAGACTCTTACTAACCAGTTTCAGACCTTCTCTGGCCTCTTTGAGACTTGTCCTTAAGTATTTAGTTAACTTTTCCTGACATCTTTGAGACCCTTCCTGTCTTTTTGGAGATTTGCTTTTGATTTGTTTCTGAGTGCTGAATCAGTACCTGGTACAATCTTAGGAGGAGGCAAAAAGACAGTTATCCTCAGAATGGAGAGGACCTTTCTTCAAGCATCTAATCAAAACATATATATGACCATGTGTCAAGAAAAATCAGGCTGGGCACGGTGGCGAATGCCTGTAGTCTTAGCTACTTGCAAGGCTGAGGCAGGAGAATCGCTTGAACCCTGGAGGCGGAGGTTGCAGTGAGCCGAGACGGCGCCACTGCACTCCAGCCTGGGTGACAAGAGCGAGACTCTGTCTAAAGAAATAAAAAAGAAAGAAAAGAAAAATCTATCAGTGCTTTCCTTTCATCCAATCCTCAATTGAAAATGAAGAGTTGAGACTTTTCTTGGCGATAGGACATTCCTGGTCTTTTTTCTTTTCTTTTTCTTTTCTTTTTTTTCTCTTTTTTTTTTTTTTTTGAGACAGGCTCTCGCTCTGTCACCGAAGCTGAAGTGCAGTGGTGATCACAGCTCACTGCAGCCTGGACCTCCTGGGCTTCAGGGTCAAGCAATCCTCCCACCTCAGCTCCCTGAGTAGCTGGGACCACAAACATGCTCCACCATGTCCGGCTAATTTTTTAATTTTTTGTAGAGACCTGGGTCCTCCTATGTTGCCCAGGCTGGTCTCAACTCCTGGGCTCAAGTGATCCTCCAGGCCTCCCAAAGTGCTGGGATTACGAGCATGAGCCACTGCACCAGGCCTTTCCTAGTCTTTTTTTTTTTCCAGAGTTTCGCCTCTGTTGCCCAGGCTGGAGCGCAATGGCACAATCTCAGCTCACTGCAAACTCCGCCTCCCGGGTCCAGGTGATTCTCCTGCCTCAGCCTCCTGAGTAGCTGGGATTACAGGCGCTTGACACCATGCCTGGCTAACTTTTTGTATTTTTAGTAGAGACGGAGTTTCGCCATGTTGGCCAGGCTGGTCTGACCTCAGGTGATCCGCCCGCCTCCGCCTCCCAAAGTGCTGGGATTACAGGTGTGAGCCACTGCACCAGGCCTCTTCTAGTCTTTTGATCAAAATTATCTCCAATTCTGCCTAAGTGTCTGTGTTTTTCGTTAGAATATAGTTTTGGCTGTTGTCTCTGAGAACCAAAATAACAATGTCTTACGATAAAGAAAGCAGAGCATTTCTCCCTCTGGGCATATGTAGTCCAGAGCTGCTCTTTCAGCACCATGGTGGTTCCTGGGCTCCTCCTGTGTTATGAAATTGCCATCCCTGAGTGAAGCTTTGTCCACATGGTCCCAGATGGCTCATTACCACATCCCTCTTCCAACCAGCAAGAAGGGCAAAGAGGAAGCAGATAGCAAGCTCTGCTCCTTTAGGGACATGATCCAGAAGTTGCATACATAAGTTCTGCTCACATATAGTTGGCCAGAATGTAGTCACATGACCACATCTAGCTATAAGGGAGGCTGGGTAATGTAGTCTCTATTCTGGGAAGCCATTTTACCTTCTTAAATTCGGGGTTTCTATTGCTACCAAAAAATGAACAAAAAGGATTTGGGGGAACAAATAGCAATCTAGTCACAATCTCCCATTTTGAAACTTAGAAGTTTTCAATTTGGCTAAGAAAAAAAAAAATTCCCTCCTCCGGCAAGAGAAAAAAAAAAAGGAACTTCCCCCCTTTTCTCTTCCTTAACTTGGTAGCTCCCACAGAGGAATGGTTTTTAATGCTAAGCAATGAAAGCAAACGGAAAAAAGGCTGCTGGAATTTGGAGTATTTCTTTGTAATCAAGAATGCCTTGAGATATCAGGCTAGGACCTAAAGACCAACCTGAATTTTGTAATTGAACGTCTGTGTCTGCAGCAAAAGCACAGAACATTTTTAGATGCAGATAGTATCAGATCACCATCTGGACTATAAATAATTTATACATTTCAGATACCTGGGAATCACATGGGCCAGGAACAAATAAGGTACTAAATCTCAGTGAGAAAAAATATCTCCAAACATTGTATCTGTGAATCCAATTTAAAGTCGAATGATGGTTTGGAGAATTGAATAAAAATACAGGAAAGATCTCTATTGCTTACGTAAAATTGAATTCGCATTATTTTTTATTTTAAAAAATATACAAAGGAAAGGCTGAACAAATTAAGCTTAATTCTCCACAATCCAGTCATGGGGTGGGTGGGTTGGGGGCAACTAGAATTGATTCCATATCCAATCCCCTGTCTTTGGGTTCTAGAGGTAAGACGCTTATCAGATCCTCTCCAAGTAGTGACTTTGCACATTGGGCCGCAACTTTGTAAAACATGATCACTCTTTTGACTATTTTTGAGAGAGCTTGCTGAGGCATCTGACTGAGTACACTTAGAGAATGACAAAACATGGCAGAAAGAGAGTCTGGAGGCTGATTCCGGGTTGGCAGTGGGAGGATGAAACAGAACACTGGGCTGCCCCAAATCCAATGGATGGGGCACGGACAGGGGCCAGGGTTCAGTTGGGCATTGCCAGAAAGTCACAACAGATGTTCTTTCAGAGTGGAGCCAGGAGCCTGAAACCTACAAATGAACTCGGTTAGGAGCTGGCAAGATAACTTGCCCACTGACCTTCACCAAGTACTTGTCGGTGGCCTTGCTCAGCCTTTACAGGCCCAGCCATCCACCTGCCAACCTCTCTCTGGACAGTGCCTTAAAGGCTGCACAGAGGAAGTTTCAGCATTGTACTCTCTGGAATGGAGTCTAGTGAGGTGGTTGGGCATGTTTCTGTGTTTTTGAGAAATGGGTGATCACGTGAGGTCCCTCTGAATTGGAATACGTGTGAACACAAATAAGTGTCTTTAATCACTTAGAATTTTTGTTTTATATTTATTCAAAGAATTCTTTTAGACTTATCTAGACATTTGTTTTTC
This sequence comes from Homo sapiens, assembly GCF_000001405.40. Lineage (NCBI taxonomy): Eukaryota > Metazoa > Chordata > Mammalia > Primates > Hominidae > Homo > Homo sapiens. The sequence goes on from NC_000023.11 coordinate 40,998,613, forward strand.
TCATATATCACTTTTGGACATACCTTAAAAAAGAAAATTTAAGTTGGTTAAAGTATTCCTAAAACTTCTTTACATTCAGAACCCAGCTTTTCTGAATCAACTTTTAAAAATTGAGATGCAACATTGTGTGTGTGTGTGTGTGTGTGTGTGTAATTTTTTTTTTTTTTTTGAGACAGGGTCTCACTCTGTCACCCAGTCTGCAGTGCAGTGACACAACCATGGCTTACTGCAGCCTCGACCTCCTGGGCTCAAACCATCCTCCCACTTCAGCCTCCCAAGTAGCTGGGACTACAGGTGTGAGCCACCACACTCAGCTAATTTTTTAAATTTTTTGTAGAGACACGGTTTCACTATGTTGACTAGGCTGGTCTCAAACTCCTGGCCTCAAGCAATCTGGCTGTCTCAGCCTCCCAAAGTGCTAGGATTACAGGCATGACCCACCACGCCTGGCCTGTATATATTAAAGTATGTAAGGTACACTAGTCATAAATGTTTATATACACACACACACACACATATATATAGATACACATAGATACACACACATATATTCTGATAACCACCATCCAAAGGATGTAGAGCAATTGGGACTTTCATACACCATTGGTGGGTGTGAAAATTCATACCATCACTTTGAAAAACAGCTTTATGCCCGGGCACAGTGGCTCACACCTGTAATCCCAGCACTTTGTGAGGCCAAGGCAGGCAGATCACCTGAGGTCAGGAGTTCAAGACCACCCTGACCAACATGGAGAAACCCCATCTCTACTAAAAATACAAAATTAGTCAGGCATGGTGGCACATGCCTGTAATCCCAGCTACTCGGGAGGCTGAGGCAGGAGAATCACTTGAACCCGGGACATGGAGGTTGCGGTGAGCCAAGATCCCACCATTGCACTCCAGCCTGGGCAACAAAAGAGAAACTCCACTCAAAAATAAATAAATAAATAAATAAAAGAAAAACAGTTTTACAGTATCTACTAAAGTTAAACATATGCCTACTTTATGAACTAGCAGTCCCTCTCCTGAATATACACTCAAGAGAAATGAGTGCATATGTCCACCAAAATGCATGTATAAGAATATCTAGGGCTGGGCATGGTGGCTCATGCCTGTAATCCCAGCACTTTGGGAGGCCGAGACAGGTGGATCACTTGAGGCCGGAAGTTCAAGACCAGCCTGGCCAACATGGCGAAACCCTGTCTTTACAAAAAAAAAAAAAATACAAAAATTATCTGGGTGTGGGGGTGCGCACCTGTAGTCCCAGCTACTCAGGAGGCTGAGGCAGGAGAATTGCTTGAACCCAGGAGGCGAAGGTTGCAGTGAGCCGAGATCACGTCACGGTGCCCCAACCCGGGCAACAGAGTGAGACTCTATCTCAAAAACAAAAAAAAAAACATAATATGAGGTATTATATTACTTAGATTATAGATGAAGTGCTAGAGGAGTCCAGAGATCAGGGAAGACATCCTGGAGAAGATCATACCTTCATTCATTCATGTTGCAGCATTTATCAGTACTTCATTCCTAGTTATAGCAAACTAATATCCATTGCGTGGCTAGACAGCATTTTGTTTATCCATTCATCCGTGGATGGATATTTGGGTTATTTCCATCTTTTGGCTATTATGAATAATGCTGCCCTGAACATCTGCATACAAGTCTTTGTGTGGACATATGTTTTGGCCTCTCTTAAGTAGATACCTAGGAGTAGAATTTCTGGGTCATATAGTAAATTTATGCTTAACTTTTTAAGAAACTGCCAGACTGTTTTCCAAATTCATTATACCATTTTGTCATACCACCCAGCAATACGTGAGGCTTTCCATTTCTCCACATTTATACATTTATGCCAGCATTTGTTACTGTCTGTCTTTTTTGATTCTAGCTAGCATAATGAACGCGAAGTATCTCATTGTAGTTTTGATTTGCATTTGCCTAATGACGATGACGTTAAACATCTTTTTTTGTTTTTTTTGAGACGGAATTTTGCTCTTGTTGCCCAGGCTGGAGTGCAATGGTGCAATCTTGGCTCAATGCAACCTCTGCCTCCCAGGTTCAAGCGATTCTCCTGCCTCAGCCTCCCGAGTAGCTGGGATTACAGGTGTGTGCCACCACGCCTGGCTAATTTTTGTATTTTCAATAGAGATGGGGTTTCACCATATTGGCCAGGCTGGTCTCGAACTTCTGACCTCAGGTGATCTGCCCGCCTCTGCCTCCCAAAGTGCTGGGATTACAGGCGTGAGCCACTGTGCCCGGCCGATGTTAAACATCTTTTCATGTGCATTAGCCATTTGTATGTCCTCTTTGGTGAAATGACTATTCAAATATTTTGCTCATTTTTAATTGACTAGTTTTTTTTTTTTTGAGATGGAGTCTCGCTCTGTCCCCCAGGCTGGAGTGCAGTGGCTCAATCTCCGCTCACAGCAAGCTCCGCCTCCTGGGTTCATGCCATTCTCCTGCCTTAGCCTCCCGAGTAGCTGGGATCACAGGTGCCCGCCACCACGCCTGGCTAATTTTTTGTATTTTTATTAGAGACAGGGTTCACCATGTTAGCCAGGATGGTCTTGATCTCCTGACCTCGTGATCTGCCTGCCTCGGCCTCCCAAAGTGCTGGGATTACAGGTGAGAGCCAGACTTGTTTGTATTTTTAATATTGAGTTGTAAAAGTTCTTTATTTCCAATCGAAATGTAATATAAATCTATGCAATCTTTCTGGAGTACAATGTGGCTTCAAATGTTTCAAATGCCCTAGAATTGTGTAATTGTGTGTGTGTGTGTGTGTGTGTGTGTCCCTTTAGGCAGGGCACTGTGATGCACTACCCAGATTCCCCTTCAGTGAAGGACTTCTTGCCCAACTCCAAGAGTGTGGTCAGCAGACAGCCCTCAGCTGTCATCCCCTCCAGGTCTGCCTCAGCTGCAGAGGGCAGCCCATGCCCACTGACTGATCAAGGCAAGGGTCTAAAGGTCTGGACATTTCCACTCAGCCCTGGACAGCTCTGAAAGGCTGTTCTAACACCAGAGTTCCCTGTAGGGTCAGCTGAGTCCATCAGGCCTGCATCAAAGCTTGGCTTCTCTCTCTACCCAATCCTGCTTCATCCTCCTACCTTCCACAGGTGTTGATCCCAAGAGCACTTCTTAGTGAACATCCTACACACTAAACTCCATTGCAGAGTCAGTTTCCTGCAGAACCCCACCTACAACAAGCAGCTTCATCTTAACTCCCCCAAAAGTATCATCTTCTAAGAAATTCTGTGTAATTCTAATGGCACACACACACACACCATCTCTTGTTGATTAGCCCAGAAGTTAGCACCTGACCCAAGATGAACCAAACAAAGCTTTTCCCTGGGGGTGTTGAACTTGGGAATCAGAGAGACTAAGTCACTGCACCTGCCCGGTGTGAAGCTGGAAAACAGGAGGGTAGGAAGGAGTAACACAGTATATCTGGTTGCTCACTCCCAGCACAGCTCCAAGGGACCCTAGAGCTATGATCATTCCTTGCCCAACCCCTGAGAATGTGGCCCTTGGAAGGTTTTTTACGTTAATGATTGATGATTTTGTTGTGTACATGTGGTGCAATGGACCATGCTGTACCAGCTTGTCAGGACTGGTTTGCACAAACATCAAGATTGATGATTGCACCCGAAAGGAACCAACTGTCCAGCCGAGCTACACGAGGAGATGAAGGGAGCAGAAATGTCCAGCTCCTGGGCTACGTGGCCAAAGAGGCAGTCAGCATGTTTACCTCTCTGAAGCGTGCATTCTACCATCAGGACACCCATCCATTTGTCTTCCCCACACTGCACAGTGAATCCAGTGAGTCTCCTGCAGTCCTTTGATCTTAGAAAACCAGGCCAGAAAATAACAAGTAGCAACCTGGGGACAGTAAAATCTCTGCCCTGGGAATCGCTTTTCCTCCTAGAGCTGATCTACTACAACTACTCAGAATACATGCAAATGCTACACAATCATCCCGGTGACATATGTCTGTGTTATCCACAGGTGAATTTTGAACCTAGGACCTCTTTAAACTTCTTTGCAGTTACTTAAAGTGTACTAAAGAAAGGCTAATGTATGATAGTGCCAGATTGAAGTAAGTATTCGGAAGGCAATGGTTTCCAAGAGCAGATAGATATTCTTCAAAGTGAAGGCTTAGAGGAAATGATGCCCGTGAAAAAGGGACAGGCATTAAACCAGTGCCCAGAAAATAGCTCCATTAAATGAGCTTCTTACCACCATTAAAGTGGAAGTGTGACCTGCTCACTCTTTGTAATTTAGAGAACAAATGAATCAAAAAGTAAAATCCAAGGCTAGACGAGGTGACTCATGCCTGTAATCCCAACACTTTGGGAGGCCAAGGAGGTCGAATCACTTGAGCTCAGGAGTTTGAGACCAACCTGACCAACATGGAGAAACCCCTTCTCTACAAACAATGCAAAAATTAGCCAGGTGCCCTGGTGTGCGCCTGTAGTCCCAGCTATTCAGGAGACTGAGGCAGGAGAATCTCTTGTGCCCAAGACACAGAGGCTGCAGTGAACCGAGATATCACCACTGCACTGCAGCCTGGGTGACACAGTCAGACTCTGTCTCAAAAATAAATAAATAAATAAATAATCAGGCCAGGCACAGTGGCTCACACCTGTAATCCCAGCACTTTGGGAGGCTGAGGCGGGAGGATCACTCAGGCGTTTGAGACCAGCCTGGCCAACATGGTGACACACTGTCTCTACTAAAAATACAAAAATTAGCCAGGCATGGTGGCACGCACCCGTAATCCCAGCTACTCAGGAGGCTGAGGCAAGAGAATCACTTGAACCCGGGAGGCGAAGGTTACAGTGAGCCGAGATTGCGCCACTGCACTCCAGCCCAGGTGACAGAGTAAGACTCCGTCTCAAAATAAATAAACAATAAATTACCAATTCTGTGGTATTCTATTATAGCAACACAAAATAAAGATAGCTTCCCTCTGCAGGTCACTGTGATATATCTTCTGGGATTTAAGAACTTTCATTTTTAAGACCTGGTTTTCTGAAAATGTTTTATAGGCAGCAGGGCACTAAATCCTCTCAGAGAAGCCAAATCACTGAGTAAGGAAAAGTGATGAATAGCACTTCTCTGTATTGTCAGAAATCAGTGATTGGGGGATTACAGGCTTATAAGTGGTTAGTTCTCTAGGAGATATCTTTCAACTTACATCTGGCTCTGGTAAAGAATTGTTAGGAAGACAAAGAAATACAAATTATTGATATTGATTTCATCAAACATTATCAGAGTAGGAAGAAAATTAAACTTGACCTTCATTCACCCCATACCATACACAAAAATTATTCCAGGGTAAAGTATCAGAACTTTATCAGAAATATGAATACTGGACAGTTGAAGGAGTAGGTATACTTTGAACCCCCAAGCAAAGATGGCTAATCTTCTAAATACTTAAAGGCTTTTCTTATCAGGCAGGTCGTTTGACCTCTAAGTGGATTCAAAGACTCAGAAGTCTATGTTATCCTAAAATTCCAGCATAATTAAGCTACATGCTAACATAAAAATGATTTTATCTTCTATCTTCAAAATGTTTCCCTAGGCTGGGCACGATGGCTCACGCCTGTAATCCCAGCACTGTGGGAGGCTGGGGCAGAGGATTGCTTGAGCCCAGGAGTTCGAGACCAGCCTGGGCAATATAGTGAGACCTCATCTCTACAAAAAATTTTTTCTAGAAAATTAGCCACGTATGGTAGCACATGCCTGTAGTCCCACCTACTTGGGAGGCTGAGGCAGGAGGATCACTTGAACCCGGGGAAGTTGAGGCTGCAGTGAGCTGTGATCGCCCCACTGAACTCCAACCTGGGCGACAAAGCGAGACTGTGTCTCAAGAAGAAAAAAAAAATGTTTTCCTAATAAAACATATAAATGAGAAGAAGTGAAATCCAAATCATACATCAGTGAATTATTTAAACATTTATTGCTTTCCCTAATCATAAAAGTAATAAATATTTACTGTAAAAAAAGAAACTTAGAAACTAGAGAAGGTATAAGGGAGAAAAAAATTAAAGTTACCCATAATCTCACCACTCAGGGACTACCATTTCAAATGTATGGGTTAATATGGTTTACTTCTCTTTCTGTGGACACCTAGATGTGCACATAGAACCTCTATGAAACTGGGATCCCAGTATTTGCACTGTTTCAAAACCTGCTTCTCTCATTCAACAGAATATGTGCCCTTGTCATCATTTCTAGTGGCTGCATGAAAAAAGAGGCATCACAACCTACTTTATCACTCTCTCATTGCCAGACATCCAAGCAGCCTCCCAATATTTGTTAATGTAAACAAACAAACAAAAAACTGCAAGGCCAGGTGCTCACCTGAGCCCAGGAGGTCAAAGCTGCAGTGAACTGAGATCGTGCCACTGCACAACTCTGTCCCAAAAAATAACAATAATGCTGCTGGCTGGGCGTGGTGGCTCACACCCGTAATCCCAGCACTTTGGGAGGCTGAGACAGGAGGATCCCTAGAGCTCAGGAGTTCAAGACCAGCCTGACCAACATGGTGAAACCCCATCTCTACTAAAACTACAAAAGTTAGAAGGGCATGGTGGCACGTGCCTGTAGCCCCAGCAACTCGGGAGGCTGAAGAGGGAGAATCACTTGAACCTGGGAGGCGGAGGTTGCAGTGAGCCAAGATTGCCCCACTGCCCTCAAGCCTGGGTGACACAGTGAGACCCTGTCTCCAAAAAAAAAAAACCAAAAAAAAAAAACCATGCTGCTAAGAGCATGTCTGCACATGTATCCTTGCACACTTTTCCATTTATTTTTGTTACCCAGGTGACTCCAGGTCCTCCAGTCTGCACAATTTACCTTTTCCTTTAATATCTAAATAAAATGCTGGAGACTCATCCCCTCCAACAAAGGGAAGTTCAGCACTTCCCCCAAGGTCTTCAAGAGGTCTCAGCGGGGTTCCGTTCCTCTCAATCACTTCTCACTCTGTTTTCCTGTTTATCCCTGCAAGCATTTCATCCTCTTGGGCAGCTGTCCCCTTTCAACATGACTTTGCCTTTCTTCCTTCATCTGTCCAAAGTGCCCCTAATGCATGGCAGCCACGTGTAGCTGCCTTTCACTGAGCTTTGGGGGAAATGAAAGACAATCACAATACAGGGCAGGAAGTAATCAAATTCACACCAGACATTACTGTTCCTAGAAAGTTGCTGGCCATTCTCCACCACCTGGGGACTTCTCATGGATGGCATTCCTTTATGGATCCTGCCATGCTCCTGGGACCTTCTGCCTTCTGCTCTCTTTACTGACCCCCTGACCTTTTTATATCTTCTCTCCTTTCTGTGTACCTAAACTCTTTTTTTTCTTTTTTGAGACAGAATCTCACTCCATCTCCCAGGCTGGAGTGCAGTGGCTCAATCATAGCTCACTGCAGCCTCGAACTCCTGGGCTCAAGTGATCCTCCCACCTTAGCCTCCTTGGTAGCTGGGACTACAGGCATGCATGACCACGCCTGGCTAATTAAAAAAAAAAAAAAAATTGGCCGGGCGCAGTGGCTCACGCCTGTAATCCCAGCACTTTGGGAGGCGGGCAGATCACGAGGTCAGGAGATCATGGCTAACATGGTGAAACCCCATCTCTACTAAAAATACAAAAAATTAGCTGGGCGTGGAGGCGCCTGTAGTCCCAGCTACTCGGGAGGCTGAGGCAGGAGAATGGCGTGAACCTGGGAGGCGGAGCTTGCAGTGAGCCGAGATTGTGCCACTGCACTCCAGCCTGGGCGACAGAGCGAGACTCTGTCTCCAAAAAAAAAAAAAATTTAATTTAAAAATAAGGGTCTCCCAGGCTGGTCTCAAACTCCTGGCCTCAAACCATCCTCCTGCCTCTGCCTCACAATGTGCTAGGATTACAGACGTAAGCCACCATGCCCAGCCTTTGTACCTAAACTCTTTATCTTCTCACTCAAGCAGCCCTGAAAATTCCAAATGCCTCCTGCTTATTTTTATTTTTTATTTTTATTGAGACAGAGTTTCGTTTTGTCACCCAGGCTGCAGTGCAGTGGCACAATCTTGGCTCACTGCAACCTCCGCCTCCCAGGTTCAGGCGATTCTCCTGCCCCAGCCTCCCAAGTAGCTGGGATCACAGACGCACTCCACCTTGCCTAGCTAATTTTTGTATTTTTTATAGAGATGGGGTTTTGCCATGTTGGCCAGGCTGGTCTCGAACTCCTGACCTCAGGTGATCCACCTGCCTCAACCTCCCAAAGTGCTGGGATTACAGGCATGAGCCACTGCGCCCAGCCCCTCCTGCTTATTATTTAATCCCTCCCAAATCCCAGGCAGCAGCTTCCTCCTTAAAACATCTTCTTCATTTAGCTTCGAGAACGCTACATTCTCCTGGTTTTCTTCCTCACTCACTGGCTCATTCTCTTCATCCTGACCTCTCAGCATCAGGGTGTCCCAGTATGCAGACTTTAGATCTCTTCTCTATTATTGCTCACTCCTGCATGAGCTCACCCAGTCTAACGGCTTTAAATACCCTCTATACACTAATGAGTCTCAAATTTGTATTTTCTGTCCTGACCTCCAGACTCATGTGCCCAATTGCTCCACTAAAAATACAAAAGTATTGGATAGAACCTAAATAACCCAGTTTGAATGGTTATTCTGTATCTCATTCTTTTTCTTTTTTTTCTTTTTTTTTTGAGACAGGGTCTCACTCGGTCGCCCAGGCTGGAGTGTAGTGGCACACTCTCGGCTCACTGCAACCTCCACCTCCCGGGCTCAAGCGATGCTCCTGCCTCAGCTTCCCAAGTAGCTGGGATTATAGGTGCGCACCACCATGCCCAGCTAATCTTTTTGTATTTTTAGTAGAGATGGGGTTTCGCCATGTTGCCCAGGCTGTATCTCATTCTTAATCTGTCCATAATTAAATTCTGCATTATTCCCAAACCTGCTCCTGCCTAGCATCCCCCTTCTTAGTAAATAACGGCTCCATTCTTCCACTTGCTCAGGCCAAAAACCTTGAAGTCATCCTTGACTCTCATCTTTCTATTACAATTCACATTTGACCTCGTAGCAAATCCCTTCAGCTTTGCTCTTATAGTGTTATTGCCTCTGACCACTTCTCACCTTCTCCACTGCTGCCCTGCCCTGGTCCAGCCTCCTGACAGCCTCCTGGATGGACCACTTGCAATAGGTCTTAATTGGTCTCTCTGTGTCCACTCTTGCCCAGCTGTAATTTACTCCTCATGGATAGCCTTTCAATATTTAAGCCAGCAAAGGTCATGTTCCACTTCAAAACTTTCCAATGGTTTCCCACCTGACTTGACCCAAATCAAAAGCCAGTGTGATCTGTCCCCTGGCTTTCTCTCCAACCTCAGCTGCTATCACCCTCCCTGCTTGCTCACCATGCTCCAGCCACATTGGTCTCCCTGCTGTCCCCTGAATAAAGAAGTTCATTCTCAGGAGGCTGAGACGAGAGGGTCGCTTGAGCCCAGGAGTTCAATGTTACAGTGAGCTATGATCATGCCACTGTATTCCAGGCTGGACGATAGGGTGAGACCTTGTCTCAGAAACGAAGTTCGTAAACTTCCTTCTCATCTTCGGCCTGTGTATTACTTTCTCCGCTCCTGAAATGTTCTGCCTTCAAATATCAGCATAGTTTCCTGCCTTTGTTCATTCATGTCTCTGACCCAACGGCACCTCCTCAAAGAGGCCCCCCCTTGACCACCTTATCTAAAAATAGCACCCATATTACTCTCTAATCCTTGACGCTGCTTTATTTTCCCTCTTGGTACTTAATCTGACATTTGGTGACATTTTTCATCTTTATATTTATTTATTTATTTATTTTGAGATGAAGTCTCGCTCTGTCGTCCAGGCTGGAGTGCAATGGCACAATCTCAGCTCACTACAACCTCCACCTCCTGGGTTCAAGCAATTCTCCTGCCTCAGCCTCCCGAGTAGCTGGCCTTACAGGCACGTGCCACCACGCCCAGCTAATTTTTGTATTTTTAGTAGAGATGGGGTTTCGCCATGTTGGCCAGGCTGGTCTTGAACTCCTGACCTTGGGTAATCCGTCCACCTTGGCCTCCGAAAGTGCTGGGATTACAGGCGTGGGCCACCGCGCCTGGCCCATTTTTCATTTTTAGATTGCCTCTTTCCCCCATGAGGGCAGGAACCTGGTCTGTTTTGTTTATTGCTATATTCCTATTATCTGGAAGAAGAACTGACACAGAAGGGGTGCCACAAATTCTTGTTAATTCTCTTCGTTTACGTTATGCAAGGTTCAAGTTCTTCCCAAATAGAATATAGCATGGAAGTTCTCGCAGGTGCTCTCTCTCCTCAATGCAAGACATGGCCACCTCTGAGATACAGTTGGCTCACCCCTAAAATGCTAAAGCCCAGCGATCACACAGGCGCACATATTAGAGCACTTCCTTCTCATAAACTTCCAGAAGCAGAATTACTAGATCATGAGCTAAACTCCCAAATTAACCTCCTGAGAGGTCAATGCTAATTCCTTTCCCATCAGCAGTACTCCATTACGGTGTACTCTGGGCCTTCAGGCAAATAATAATGATGATGATGATGATGTTGATGATGATGATGATAGTGTCCTCTTCACTCTTTGTTAACTGGAAAATAAACAGATCTTTTTAGTGGCAGGGAAACTTCTGGGTTATCAGGACTAGTGAGGTCCTGGGATGGGCTTTTAGGAGAAAAGAAGCTCTTCTGGCAGCTTCCATCTCTGAAATTATGTCCCCACCAATACTGTAAATTGTTTCCCCATGATGCCAAGTCATGTTTATTCAGGAATTCATTCACTTCATAATTCCTTTTGAGTATGTATTTTGTACGTAAACTCCAAACTTTTGCCAAGCTCAAGAATATTCCTTGAAATAAAGGAATTTGGCCAGGCATGGTGGCTAACACCTGTAATCCCAGCACTTTGGGAGGCGGAGGCGGGCTGATCACCTGAGGTCAGGAGTTTGAGACCAGCCTGGCCAACATGGCGAAACCTCGTCTCTACCAAAAATGCAAAAATTAGCCAGGCACAGTGGCAGGCGCTTGTAATCCCAGCTACTTGGGAGGCTGAGGCAGGAGAATCGCTTAAACCTGGGAGGCGGAGGTTGCAGTGAGCCGAGATTGTGCCGTTGCACTCCAGCCTGGGCGACAGAGCGAGACTCTGTCCTCCCCGTCCCCGCAAAAAAAAAAAAAAAAAAAAAAAAAAGGAATTTATAACTATCCTGGCATTTAGCAGTTTACAGGGGGGTTTCACTTCCGTTTTCTCATTTGGACCATGCAAAAGCCAACTGAGTACAATTCTGCCCATTTTACAGATGAACAAACCAGAGGCACAGAGGAGAGGGATTTGCCCGAGGCTACACAATACCTGTGAGTCACAGCCAGGACTAAGGATCCTGTGAGCTTCTCAGCACATGCCACTCCTTCCTACAACACCCTGCCAGGTCCACCACCTCCGTAAGTGGAGAATCTTAACGAAGGGCGACCTATGCACGCACCTGACTTCTGAGCTGAGGAACAGTAGAATGAAGGAGTTATTTTTAAATGGCTTTTACCGAGCCTGTGATGTCATTTCATTGATCACGCTGGGAGATGCGGTGCTGAGTTGTGCTATGGCAACTCGATTAAGGCTGGGAACTCCATTTCCTAGAAGCCCCTCCCTGCTGTGTTTCCGGGTTAGAGTTGGCCAAAAGAGAACCTTGTGCAAGAATTGTAGGGCGGAAGGCGAGCAGCAGTCACTGCCCCTGGCAGGTTTCCCGTCAGATACAGTGAAGGACAGAAACAGAGGGGCCCTGAGAGGCCCTGCAGCTCCCGGTTTATCCGGCTCTCTCCTCTGCTCCCTCCCAGCTAACATTTCCTGCTGTTGGCTCTGCTACCCAACAGCTGCCTCGGGCCCACCACCAGGGGCTTGGCTGTCGCCCCACATGGGGCGGGAGCTACGTAGAGGCCACAGCTCCCATAAACCTCTCCACGAACTCCCCCTCCGCGGCCCTGCTTCGGTGGCTAGATGTGCTTTGGCTTCTGGAATTTTCCTGCAAGCTCTGATTTGTCCAACTGCACCAGTGCTTCCGGCAACGGCTAGTGACTCTCTGATCTTCTGACTCCTCCTTCCAGACATTCACTTCCCCAGCTCTTCCCACAGCTGTGAACGGTTTTATTCCTAGAATACTCACAGTGGCTCTGTTTCCCTGGCTGAATCCTGTTACGATACTTACAGATTCTGCTTTACATGAAAAACAGCATAAGAAAAAAAAAATGTTCTGGAGTGTAAGGCAGAATTCCACCTGATACTTAGAATCTATATATCTCATGTGCTTGATTTATAGATTGGATATGTGGGAACTAAGGAAAGAAGATTATTCAATGAACCAGTGGAGGAAGAATCGTGTATGCTTTCAGTGTAGACCAAACTGGGGAAATAGATGAGAAAGGAATAACTGAAAAGACATAACCTTCTTTATCTTGTTTTTCTAAGCTCAAAAGATGGAAGAGGGGAAGGAATTGGTAGTGAAGCCATTTTTGTAGTCTGGAAATTTTCTGTCAAGTTTTACATAATTCCTTAGGGCATACCAAAGAAAATAATCAGTCCTGTCTACCCTCTAAGTAACTATCTTCTCTTGAAAGAGAAAGGAGTGATTCTTATTTAGGAAATCTAGTTCTTTAAATATAAAATACGAAATTGAGCCTGGGCAACATAAGGGAGACCTTGTCTCTACTAAAATTCAAAAAGAATAAAAATTAGCCAGGGGTGGGGCGCAAGCTGATAGTCCCAACTATTTTGGGGGCTGAGGTGAGAAGATCGCTTGAGCCCAGGAGGTTGAGGCTGCAGTGAGCAATGATCTCACCGCTGCACTCCAGCCTGGGTGATACAGTGAGACCCCATCTCAAAATAGATACATTAATTAAATTAAATGTGAAATTACACGTGAACAGGAGCAAACCGATGTTCAAGGATTCTTAAACATTATAAAACCAACAGGACAATATCTACCTGGTTAATGCTGAGGTGAATAGTCAAGGCTCTAATGTTAATAAATAAATACATCAAAGATCTTTTCCTTTCTCTTCCTTATTGTAGCCTCCTCTCTTTGCAACAGAGAAAGGAGGTCTTAGAACAGTTTCCAGTGGAGAAGAATTTTGAAATTCAGCGTTTTCTTCCTAGCAGTCTGTATGTATGTGAATGTTCTATGCCATTGTTCTTTCAAAATCATACTTGTTTGTCTCCCTCTTCCACCCTCACGCAGTGAGCGTTTTCACCCAGTGTCTTTAAAACATGCCTGCCTCAGGTGGCTGGTCACTTTATCAAATAAAAGGTGGCTGGCTTTGCCAATTTCTTTTCCCTACTCTGCATTAATAAGCCTGGCTCACAGTGCAGTAGAATTTTATTTCCACCAAGCAAATACAGATTGCTTTCTCCTTGGCTGCTTTTTAAAAGTCTTCTCACTCTCACTTGTGTCTAGATCATCCACCCATCCCTGCAGCACTAATGCTGACAGTGGCCAAGAGTATGAAATGTTCTCAAGCCAGTCCTGAGCCCGCAGATTCCTCCTCGGCCACTGGTCACAGGAGTGCACAGGGGGACCACTGTGCAACCCAGACAACCACCAGCTCATCCTCACAAAGAAGAGATCGTCTCCACTCCTGGGACCCCCTGAGACTCCCAGGGACCCAAACTCTTGGCTCTTGGCTCTGCCTGGAGTTTTATCTCCAGCTTGCTGGGTTTACTACCAGAGTCCTAGTTCTCTAGGGCTGCCGTAACAAAGTACCACAAACATGGTGGCTTCAAACCACAGAAACGCATCCTCTCGCACTTGTGGAGACCAGGCATCCAAAACTAAGGTGTCCACAGGGCTGTACTCCTTCTAGCTTCCGATGGTTGCCAGCAATCTTTAGCATTCCTTGGCTTATGTCCGCATCACTCCAATCTCTGCCTCTGTTGTCACAACTCCTCTGTGTAGCTGCATCTTCTCTTCTGTCTCAAGTCTCTCTCTGTCTCTCCCTTTTTTATTTTTATTTTTATTTTTTTTGAGACAGGGTCTCGCTGTCACCCAGGCTGCAGTGCAGTGGCGTGATCATAGCTCACTGCAACCTCTAACTCCTGGGCTCAAGTGATCCTCCTGCCTCGGCCACCCAAAGTGCTGGGATTACAGGTGTGAGCCACTGTGTCCAGTTTATAAGTTTTATGAGTTTATAAGTGCCCTAATAAGGACACTTGTCATTGGAATTTAGGGCCCACCTAGATGATCCAGGGTGATCTCCTCATCTTGAGATCCTTAACTTAATTACACCTGCAAAAACCCTTTTGCCAGATAAGGTCACATTCACAGGTGCCGGAGTTAGGAATGAGAACACATCCCTTGGGGGCCGCCCCTCAATCCACCAGGCTTTGTCTGCCTGGACTCAGAAGTATTTCCTTTCCAGTTTTTTTTTTTCTTTTTTTTTTCGATACGGAGGCTTGCTCTGTCGCCAGGCTGGAGCGCAGTGGCGCGATCTCGGCTCACTGCAACCTCTGCCTCCCGGGTTCAAGCGATTCCCCACCTCAGGCTCCCTGGTAGCTGGGACTACAGGCACGCGCCACCACACCCGGCTAATTTTTTGTATTTTTAGTAGAGACGGGGTTTCACCATGTTGGCCAGGATGGTCTCGATCTCCTGACCTCATGATCCGCCCGCCTCGGCCTCCCAAAGTGCTGGGATTACAGGCGTGAACCACTGCGCTTGGCCTTTCCTTTCCAGTTTTAAAGAATTTTCAGGCCAGGTGTGGTGGCGTGGTGGCGCGTGCCTGTAATTCCAGCTACTCAGGAGGCCGAGGCACGAGAATTGCTTGAACCCAGGAGGTGGAGGTTGCAGTGAGCCAAGATCGTGCCACTGCACTTCAGCCTGGTGACAGAGCGAGACTCTGTCTCAAAAAAAAAAAAAAGAATTTTCTGGCTGGTGCTAAGGTTCACACCTTTCACGCCTGTAATCCCAACGCTCTGGGAGGCCAAGGCAAGAGGATCTGTTGAGCTCAGGAGTTCAAGACCAGCCTAGGCAACATAGTGAAACCCCTGTATCTACAAAAAATTTAAAAATATCCAGATGTGGTGTGCATGCCTGTAGTCACACCTACTCTGGAGGCAGAGGTGAGAGGATTCCATGAGCCCAGGAGTTTGAGGCTGCAATGAGCTATGATGGCACCACTGCACTCCAGCCTGGCCCACAGAACGAGACACCGTCTCTTAAAAAAATAAACAAATGAAAAATAAAGGCCAGGCACAGTGTAGTCCCAGCACTTTGGGAGGCCAAGTTTAGCCTGGCCAACATGGCGTAACTCCATGTCTACTAAAAATACAAAAAAAAAAAAAAAATTAGCCAGGCATGGTGGCACATGCTTGTAATCCTAGCTACTCGGGAGGCTGAGGTAGGATTGCTTGAGCCTGGGATGTTGAAGCTGCAGTGAGCCGTGATCACGCCACTGCACTGCAGCCTGAGCGACAGAGTAAGACCCTGTCTCAAAAAAAAAAAGTTAAGCCAATATATTTCCTCTCCTTTAAGAGGCAGCTTATGGCTGGTGCTGGTGTTGGCTCTGATTCGAACAAAACTAATTGTGTCAAACCAAGTGGTTTGACATCCTTAAGGGTCTAGCAGAATTCCTGGCCCTGTTTCTGAATGATTTTACGATGTCACCAGAGTGCAATGCTGATTTCAGCACTGCCATTCACTTATGTCCTTCAGGTTTCTGGATCATTCTAGCTCTCTCTGCCTAACCATAACTGTCACCAGACAGGCAGGGTTTACAATGACTGCGTAGGTGATTTCAGCGCATTATCTTATTTCTTTTAACGTACGTTTCTGCCATTATCTTGAGCCTAGTTTTGTTGTTGTTTTTTTTTTTTAACAAGACCTTAACAAGAACAAACATTGTCTTTTTAAGGGGAGAACGGCTGTAGAATTGCGGGACTGGAGGAAGGCAGCAACAGGCCATCATGAAAAGTTTAGAGAAGAAGTGGCCACCCTTGGGTATCAATTAAAGAAAATGGTTGAGAGTTTCTCCTGATGTTCTGCATAGTACAGCTCAACTCAATCAAGAAGCAGTCCCTAAAAGGCAGACAGTAACTGTTCAATTGAATTGATTGGGGATGGATGGATGAGTAACAAAAATTGGCCTTAAGTGGAACCCACATATCCCACACATGTATAGCAATTCAGAGTTTATTCAACCAAATTCTGTGGCCACAGATACAAAATCACTTGATTTAGCCACACTGTGATGACGGACTCTTCCTTCATTATGTGAATCGCTATTATGCCTTCATGATAATATCTAAGATGAGTTTGGGATGAAAAGGTAACAATGACATAAACTGACTCATAGGCTTAGGTAGCGGTTGGGCAACAGGGTAGAAGAATGACTCAAAAATTATATTTGAGGTTGATTGTCGTGACTCATGCCTGTAATCCCAGCAGTTTGGGAGGCCAAGATGGGAGGATTGCTTGAAGCCAGTAGTTCAAGACCAGCATGGGCATAGTGAGACCCTGTCTCTACCAAAAAAAAAAAAAGAAAACCAGAAAAAAAAAGAATGATAGTTTAGAAAAGAAGAGAACACTGGGTCTTAGAAAAGTCAGAACCAGAGGGGACATATATTAATACAAATAGGATGGAAGTTAAGCAAGACAATCAAGAAGAGGTGGGTGGAATTTTGTTGAGAAGAGGCTGAAGAAACATTGATCTTACTTGGACACGTCTGAGAGTACAATTCAGAGAACCTGTGAGCTCCAGGGACAGAAATACCAAAAGCTTAATTCTGGCTTGAAACCAGTGCCCAAAGGAGTGAGTTTTCTCTATCTTCCAGCCCTAAAGAGCTTGTGAGGCAGCCTGAGGGAAAAAGATCAGAAATTTTAAAAAGTCTGATGTGCACATTAAGTCGTATCAAATTGTACTTAGGGACTAGGCAAAGCTCCTATAATTCACAGACCAAGAAAATATAGCCAGCCTGGGCAACACGGCAAAACCCTGTCTCTATAAAAAACACAAAAATTAGCCGGGCATGGTGGTGCATGCCCGTAGTCCCAGCCACTCTGGAGGCTAAGAGGGGAGGATTGCTTGATCCTGGGAGGTGGAGATCGTGCCACTGCACTCTAGCCTGGGCGACAGAGTGAGACCCTGTCTCAAACAAACAAACACCACAGAAAAGAAAAGAAAATATAGACCAAGGCCGGGTATGGTGGCTCACGCCTGTAATCCCAGCACTTTGGGACACCGAGGCAGGCGGATCATGAGGTCAAGAGATCGAGACCGTCCTGGCTAACACAGTGAAACCCTGTCTCTACTAAAAATACAAAAATTAGCAGGGCATGGTGGCGTGCACCTATAGTCCCAGCTACTCGGAAGGCTGAGGCAGGAGAATCGCTTGAACCCGGGAGGCGGAGGTTGCAGTGAGCCGAGATTGCGCCACTGCACTCCAGCCTGGCAACAGAGCAAGACTCCATCTAAAATATATATATATATATATATATATATATATATATATATATATATATATATATATATATATATGTATGTATATATATACACCAAAGTTCCTCACCTTTTGGTAAGACAGATGTGTTGGTGACCAAAACAGAGCAAACGGAATCCTGAATGAGACTGAAGGGCTGCAGCTATGTGGTAGAAAAGACAGGAGACTACCCTAAGGCCTCTTTGCCTACAACACAGATGCCTAACAATATTTTTTTCTAAGGTTCTCAGTGACAGTTGGGTGTCATTTTTACATATTGTGTTTTGAAATTATAATCCAAGCACTTAAATAGAAGAGAGGCCTAAGGTAAACATCTCGGGTGACCAGATGATTTTCCTATATGACTCTTTTTTTTTTCTTTTTTTTCTGAGACAGAGTCTCCCTCTGTTGCCCAGGCTGGATTGCAGTGGCTTGATCTCGGCTCACTTCAACCTCCGCTTCCTGGGTTTCAATGATTCTCGTGCCTCAGCCTCCCAAGTAGCTGGGATTACAGGCGTGCACCACCACATCCGGCTAATTTTTGTATTTTTAGTAGAGACGGGGTTTTACCATCTTGGCCAGGCTGGTCTTGAACTCCTGACCTCAAATGATCCACCCAACTCAGCCTCCCAAAGTGCTGGGATTACAGGTGTGAGCCACCACGCCCAGCCCCTATATGACTCTTGTAGTCATTTTTCACCCACTAAGGCTCAGTCAACTCATAGTAGTAATAAAACCCTTGTACTCATACAGTGCTTTACTGTGAAAAAGTATTCTAGACAGTATTTCATTTCATTGTTTCCTAAAGTCCTGGTGAGGAGACATGCCCTAAAGGCCCAAGCCTTTGAGAAAGAAGGAACCCATAAAGAAGGAGGTCATTCTGGAAGCTCCCAGCTGTGCCAGTGAAGGTCAGTGCAGTACCCTGAGGCCGTTATCACTCGTAGGTCCAAAGTCAATGAGACAGAGTGGTAATTGGAACCCAAAAGGGGAAAGTCCCATAAAGAAGCTACCTTGAAAAGAGCTATGACCTTTTGTCTAGGAACACAGCCACACTGAAGTGACCTCGCAGGGAAAAAACCAGGAACGTAGATCCCTGGCTTCACTCTACCCTGTTGCTTTACAGACAGGGTCTCACTCTGTCAGCCAGGCTGGAGTGCAGTGGTGCAATCTCAGCTCACCGTAGCCTCAAACTCCTGGGCTCAAGCGATCCTCCCACCTCAGCCTCCCAAGTAGCTAGGACTACGGGTGCATGCCACCACATTTGGCTAATTTTTTTTTTTTTTTTTTTGCTTTTGGTATAGATGAGGTCTTACTATGTTACCCAGGCTGGTCTCAAACTCCCGGCCTCAAGAGATCCTCCTGCCTTGGCCTCCCACATTCTTCCTTTGATTTCTTGCTGGAGCTCCCCCTTAGCCAAACACAAGCAGAAGTCAGAGGGACAGAGAGCAGGGTGGAGGAAAATGGAGAGCAGGTCTGAGAAGCAACAGAAGCTATCTAGCACTACCTGAGTGACCAGGATTTTCTTCCTTAATTGAACCCTTCTATGCCATATCATCGCATCATTTAACTCTTGCCAGCCCTGGAAGTAAATGGTATTTTCCCTATTTTAGACGTGAAAAAACAGTGACCAAGAGAGGTTAAATGATTTAGCCAAGGTCCCTCAGTTAGTAGGTAGGGGGGCCATGATATGACCCAAGTTTGCTGACACCAGAGCTTGTTCTGTTCACCACCCAGTTCAGCCTCCTCAATGCCACGGAGCCTTCACAGGATTGAGATGGCTCTAGGAATCAGATAAGACAGCAAAGGGAGCCAGGCACAGTGGCTCATGCCTGTAATGCCAGCACTTCGGGAGGCTAAGACAAGTGGATCACTTGAACCCAGGAGTTTGAGACCAGACTGGGCAATATAGTGAGACCCCATCTCTTAAAAAAAAAATTACGGCCAGGCGTGGTGGCTCACACCTGTAATCCTAGCACTTTGGGAGGCCAAGGCGGGTGGATCACCTGAGGTCAGGAGTTTGAGACCAGCCTGACCAACACGGAGAAACCCCATCTCTACTAAAAATACAAAATTAGCCGGGCATGGTGGTGCATGCCTGTAATGCCAGCTACTCGGGAGGCTGAGGCAGTAGAATCGCTTGAACCTGGGAGGCAGAGGTTGCGGTGAGCCGAGATCCTGCCATTGCACTGCAGCCTGGGCAACAAGAGCGAAACTCCATCTCAAAAAAAAAAAAATTTGCTTTTAATTAGCCAGGCGTGGTGGTGCATGCCTATAGTCCCAGCTACTCAGAAGGCTGAGGTGGGAAGATGGCTTGAACCCAGGAGGCAGAGGTTGCAGTGAGCTAAGATGGCACCACTGCACTCCAGCCTGGGAGACAGAGCAAGATCCTGTCTCAAAAAATAAAATAAAATAAAATAAAATAAAATAAAATAAAATAAAATAAAATAAAATAAAATAAAATAAAAATAATAAAATAAAATAAAATAAAATAAAATAAAATAAAATAAAATAAAATAAAATAAAGACAGCAAAGGGGATGCTCCTACATCACAGGAGATGTTGCTCTTGCCATCCTTTGAAACCCTTAAAACCAAAACGGACACACCAATTGTCTTCAGGGACCACAGAAAAGGGGACATTGAGAAAACTTGCTTTGCGAGGAAGCAACTATGAGAGAGGAGAGGGAAGCCGAACTGGGAAGAAAGGAAGAAGCAGGAACCAGAGGCTGGCCTGCCTGGAGACGCAGAGAGGCAGGAAATTCCCCAGGCACAGCCGAGGCAGGCGTCATCAGAGGGAAGAGGACTGAGGTGGGGAGGCCGGCAAGTGGGGTAGATTTTGGGCAAGCTAATCGCAGGCCACCATGCAAACGCCTCTGGTTTCATCCACCCTGCAAGCTGGTGACATGAATATTTTCTCAAAAGTAGAACTGAACTAATTGGAGACATAACTATGCCTCAAAGATACTCTGCACATATTTCAGCAGAGCCAGGGAAAATCAGTAAGTCAGGCCGCTAGAAAGAGCTGCTCAACCTTAGGGATAGTTCTAGCTGGTTGGGGGCAAGAGGATTCAGTGTAACAAATGCCTTTCCGCAGGGGTCCCTTCTCCCCTTATGCTCACATTAGAATTTTCCCTTGACCTATTGAATGATGGAAGAGAAATCCCTGCTGGCCAGTTTCACATGAGCTTCTCACAACTCGAAGAGGGAATGAGTGCCAGGCTCACATTTATTTACGTAGTCCTGGGAAATGTGTTTTGCACATATTTCTTACTTAAATACGTATTTCTTATTTAAATCAACCTACATGTAAAAAATACTGATTTCCTTTTACAAAGAGGAATTTGAGGCTCAGAGAGTTGAAGTTATTTCCTGAGGTCGCGCTAGTTACTGGGAAAACGGAGTTCCAATATTCAGGCCCTCAAATCCCAGTACCTATTTCAAATGACTCTGATATATTCTGTATTTCTGAAATTCAGAAAATTCAATAGAGGGTAGCCCACTTGGAGAAGGAACAAGATGTACACCACAGCAGCAAGGGGAGGGGGGAGGCTACGCAGATCTAGCAGAACACCTAGAGATCTTAACTGAGAAGAGAATAACCACGAGCCGGAAATGTACCAATGTAATTTTGAAAAGAAGGTTGGCCACAGCAGAGGCTCACGCCTGTAATCCCAGCACTTTGGGAGGCTGAGGCGGGTGGATCACCTGAGGTCAGGAGTTCGAGACCAGCCTGGCCAACATGGTGATACCCCATCTCTACTAAAAATACAAAAAAATGGCCGTGCGTGGTGGCTCACGCCTGTAACCCCAGCACTTTGGGAGGCTGAGGTGGGCAGATCACGAGGTCAGCAGTCTGAGACCAGCCTGATCAACATAATGAAACCCCATCTCTACTAAAAAAAAAAAAAAAAAAAAAAAAAATTAGCTGGGCGTGGTGGCAGGTGACTGTAATCCCAGCTACTTGAAAGGCTGAAGCAGGAGAATCGCTTGAACCAGAGAGGCGGAGGTTGCAGTGAGCCAACATCGCGCCACTGCACTCCAGCCCGGGCGACAGTGTGAGACTCCATCTCAAAATAAATAAATAAACAAACAAAAAAATCAGCTGGGCATGGTGGCGTGCGCCTGTAATCCCAGCTACTCGGGAGGCTGAGGCAAGAGAATCGCTTGAACCCGGGAGGCGGAGCTTGCAGTGAGCCGAGATCGCGCCACTGCACTCCAGCCTGGGCGACAGAGCGAGACTCCGTCTCAAAACAACAACAACAACAACAACAACAAAAATGAGTAAGAGTTCACCAAATGGAAAAGCAGGGCAGAGCACTCCAAACAGAAATCCACAAGCTGCTGCTCCTCCCTCTCTCTCTCTTTTTTTTTCTCCCTCTTTTCTTTTCCTTGCAATTTATTCATTGAAAAAAAATGGAGTGATTTGTCCTATAGAATGACCTGTTACGTTGGGGTTTTGCTTATTGCATCCCAGAGTGTCTTTAACAGGTTCCTCTGCCCCCTGTATTTCATATAAATTGGTAGTGGAATCTAGAAGTTTTATCAAAATCAGGTTTGTTTGTTTTTTTTTTTTTGGCAGCAATACTTCATAGGCGATGTTGTAAACCTCTATCAGGAGGTACATGATAGCTCCTTTTTTTGTCATATGGTGACCATTGATGATTAATGCCTAAATCTGTTACTTCAGTAACTATTTGGAAAATAATGATATTCTAATTCAAAAGTTCTCAAACTTTTTGAACTTAGAATTCTTCTATGCTCTTAATAATCATTGAGGCTCCCCCAAAGAGCTTTTGTTTGTATTGGTTATAGCTATACATATTTATCATACTTAATATTAAAACTGAGAAATTTTTAAATGTATTAGTTCATTTAAAAATAATAATCACTGGGCATGATGGCACATGCCTGTAATCCCAGCACTTTGGGAGGCTGAGGTGGGAGGATTGTTTGAGCCCAGGAGTTCGAGGCTGCAGTGAACTGTGATCGTGCCACTACACTCTGGCCTGGGTGACAGAACAAGGCTCTATCTCTATTAAATACATAAATATCTGCCCGGGCATGGTGGCTCACGCCTGTAATCCCAGCACTTTGGGAGGTTGAGGTGGGTGGATCACCTGAGGTCAGGAGTTCGAGACCAGCCTGGCCAACATGGTAAAACCCTATCTCTACTAAAATTACTAAAATTAGCCGGGCATGATGGTGCATGCCTGTAATCCCAGCTACTCAGGAGGCTGAGGCAGGAAAATCGCTTGAACCCGGGAGGCGGAGGTTGCAGTGAGCCGAGATTGTGCCACTGTACTCCAGTCTGGGCAACAGAGTGAGACTCCGTCTCATAAAAACAAACAAACAAAAAACCATAAATATCATAAGCACAACATATTTTATGAAAAATAACTATATTCCCCAAAACAACAAAAAAGTAATGAGAAAAGTGGCACTGTCCATTTGCTTAAATCTCTTTAATGTCTAGTTTAATAGAAGACAGCTAGATTCTCATGGGTTCTATTTTCAAACTGTTGTAATATGTTGCTTTGGGTGAAGTATATGAAAAATATCCAGCTTCACACAATATGTAGCTAGAAAAGGGAGGAACATTTTTAATAGCCTCTACAGATAATTATGGAGATTCTTTTCTGAAAGTAGTTGTGTCATAAAGGTTAATTGCAATGTGGAATCTGAAACCACATCGATGTCCTCTTCATACTCTGTTTCATTAAAATATATTGTATACTTTGGATCTTTTTATATCAGTTATATCTATTCATATTTACCATACTTAATATTAAAACTGAGAAATTTTAAAATGTATTAGTTCATTTAAAAATAACAATCATTGCCGAGTGCAGTGGCTCACGCCTGTAATCCCAGCACTTTGGGAGGCCAAGGAGGGCAGATCACAAGGTCAAGAGATCAAGACCATCCTGGCCAACATGGTGAAACCCCGTCTCTACTAAAAATATAAAAATTAGCTGGGCACGGTGATGCACACCTGTAGTCCCAGCTACTCGGGAGGCTGACAGGAGAATCGCTTGAGGTTGCAGTGAGCCGAGATCTGCCACTGCACTCCAGCCTGGCGACAGAGCAAAACATTGTCACAGAAATAAAAATAAATAAATAAATAACAATCACATCATTTCTCGGCCTTTTGGCTAAGATCAAGTATAAAAATAACAATCACTGCGCTCAGTGGCACATGCCTGTAATCCCAGCACTTTGGGAGGCTGAGGTGGGAGGATTGCTTGAGCCCAGGAGTTCGAGGCTGCAGTGAGCTATGATCGTGCACTCTGGCCTGGATGACAGAGCAAGCCCCTGTTTCTATTAAATAAATAAATAGATTTATTTTATTATGTATAACATATCTTATGAAAGATAACTATATTCCCCAAAACAAACAAAAAAAAGGAATGAGAAAGATGGCACTGTCCTTGTTGTTTTGGGTGAAGTACATGAAAAACATTCAGCTTCACACAATATGTAGTTAGAAAAGGGAGGAACATTTTAATAGCCTCTACAGATAATTATGGATATTCTTTTTTGAAAGTGGTTGCGTCATAAAGGTTAATTGCAATGTGGAATCTGAAACCACATCAATGTCCTCTTTATACTCTGTTTCATTAAAATCTATTTTGTACTTTGGATCTCTTACTCATCCTTGATTGTGTAACATCATGCATTAGTCATTTCAAAAATATTGGTTCACTGAATTTTACAGGTATTGCAAATGTTGACACATTTCATTACACAATATCCAAAATGTCCCATTCATTAATGTCACCACCAATCTCATCAGAAAAGTCTTAAAGTATTGAGAAGACATTAAGCTTACAGTGGCACATACAAGTTTCCCAAAATTCCCATTTTCATTTGAAAGCTCGAATTTTATGATTGGCAACAAATACTGTCAAATTGTTTCCCTTGAAGTGACAAGGCTCACTTCTTAATTTTCAGTAAAATGTCTGCCAAATACCACTGTGTGAATATCCATAATTTGCTGTCAGTGGTTCTTTCAAGTAAAAATGGTGTTCCACAAAAAAAGTGGCTAGTTCAGCTCTCAACTCAAACAATTGCCCATCTGCTTTTCCTCAAGATAGCCACCATCCCTCAGAGTGCAGCCAAAGTGCTTATTATTATTATTTTAACTGAGACAGGGGTCTCACTATGTTGCCCAGTCTGGATTAGAACTCCTGGACTCAATCGATTCTCCCACCTCAGTATCCCAAATAGCTGGGATTACCGGTGTGCACCACCGTATCCAGCTGGAGTATTTTATGTAGATTTCCCATTTCACCATATAGAATATTTAAAAAACATGTACTCAAGGGTTGAAATTTAATAAAATTAATAATTTTGACTCCTTCAACAAGGCCATTGTTAAGTGAAACTAGCAATTTCTTTTACTGTGAATGTGGCAATAAAGAATACAGTGACTACTAGTTTAGTCCGTACCACTGCCTTGGTTCATACTGAGGTACCAGCAGTTTTAGCCACTCTTGGTTTTGCACCATCCCTGGTCAACCTAGTGAAAGAGGTAAGTAATATCTTAGTTGAATTATGAAAATAGTTTGACCTCATGGACCCCTGAAAGAGTCCAAGAATCCACACTTAGAGAACCATTGTTCTACTTCTGTCATTCCTTCTTCATTTTTACCTTTAAAAAAAATTATTCATTAGCCTCTCCATTCAGAGTACAACTTCTTCATTTTTAAACTGAAATACTTCCATAGAGAGAAAATTTCCCTCATTCACTATGTGGTCACCTTGAGGTCAGTTTGTATAAGAAAAGCAAGAAAGGAAGTTACCTTCTTGATTCTTTCCCTTTATTTATTAGTTGTTGTTGTTTTGTTGTTGTTGTTTAATAAGGTTCTTGAGGCCAGGCCATGGCCTCAAAATCTGGTCCCAGCTCCTCAGGAGGCTGACACAGGAGGATAGCTTGAGCAAGGAGTTCAAATCCAGCCTGAGCAACATAGCGGGACTCTCCACTAGTTTGTTTCATTATGAACTAATGGATTTAAACATATTTGATGTTTCAATCCATTGCAGTTATTTTTATTGATACTTAAATCATCCCATTATTTGCTAATGAATGCCTCTTCACATTGGCTACTGAGTCCTTTTGACATGACCCCAGTAATCTTTGACAGCTCCCCTGCCTTCTCGTACAAGATGTTCCCTGGTCATACAGTACTTTTCCTGACTCAGACCTGGAATGAAACATTTCTCTAAGGAGCTCTGGTTTCTTTCAGTAGGAAATGATATTCAAAGATCATAATCCAGGTGCCAGGAATGCTGTGGCATCCAATTTATTGCCTCTCAGGTCCAAATTCATCCTTTTAGACTGTTCTGTGAAAATGAATCTGGGCCCTTTAAATTTTTTTCCTTTGCCAGTCAGCACTGAATTTTTGTCAGTAGGGGACGCTAAAGAGACAATTCCACAGCCAGGCATAGTGGTTTATGCCTGTAATCCCAACACTTTGGGAGGCTGAGGCAGGCGGATCACTTGAGATCAGGAGTTCAAGATCAGCCTGGCCAACATGGTGAAACCCATCTCTACTAAAAATGCAAAAGTTAGCCAGGCATGGTGGTGGGCACCTGTAATCCCAGCTACTCGGGAGGCTGAGGCCCAAGAATCACTTGAACCCAGGAGGCAGAGGTTGCAGTGAGCCGAGATCACACCACTGCACTCCAGTCCGGGCAACAGAGCAAGACTCTATCTCAAAAAACAAACAAAATAACAAAACAAGAGAGAATTGCAGGAGGAAAGGGGTTTTGTTTGTTTGTTTGCTTTCTTGGGTTCTGTGCACTCTCTCAGCAAGTTCCTGTAGCATTGTCCAGCACCAGGCTCCTGTAGCACGGCACATTCTCCAGTGCCCAGCTCCTGCAGTGTGTAGTGGCCAGCAGGACCCAGTAATGAACAGCTTTCCCTAACATCCGAGAGGGTAGATTTCTTTTCTTTTTTCTTTTTTTGAGACAGGTTCTCACTCTGTCACCCAGGCTGGTGGGCAGTGGCACGAACATGCTCACTGCAGCCTTGATCCCCGGGGCTCAAGCCATCTTCTTGCCTCAGCCTCCAGAGTAGCTGGGACTACAGGCACGCGCCACCCCACCTGGCTAATTTTTTTTTTAGTTTTAGTAGAGACAAGGTCCCCTATATTGCCCAGATTGGTCTCAAACTCCTGGGCTCAAGCGATCCTCCCCTACCTTGGCCTCCCAAAGTGCTGGGATTACAGGCCTGAGCCACCATACCTGGCTTGTACTTCTTTTTTGTCCTTAGGGTATACCCCATTATAAACTTACAATCAAATTACTATCTTTTAAAGTTCACTTGAAATAATTTTTCTCCATGTGATTAAGCCTGCAGCTCAATACACAGATCCATTCGTTTCATTTTGCTTTTGATTTTTAAATGCTGTGTTTTAAAATGTTGATTTAATAATGCTTTATAATTATGTAAAATATTGACATTGTTCTAAAGTTAAATCTGTAAGTCAAAGTATCTTCAGAAAAATCTAGGTTCTGTCCCTTTATTTCCTTCTTCCTCCCACAGGTAACCATTTTATTTATGGTCTAACCTTCTATTGTCTTTTAAAAATATAAGTACATAATATATACATATTTGTATATGTTCTTTGATTTTTCTACCTTGCTTTTTTTTTTTACTTTACATTATATCCTGGAAAATACTTCATAGCAGTACATGGAAGTATTATTTATTCCCCTTTATACTTACATAGTATCTCATTGTGTAGATGTATCCAAATTTATTCAGTTAAGCCCCCAATAAGCATTAAAGTTGCTTCCGGTCTTTTGCTACTGTAATTAATGCTGAAAGCAATAGGTTTGTGCTTTCATCTTTTTGGGATACATTCCTAAAAGTGAAACTTTCGGATTTTTGCGGTCAAACTTTTGGATTTTTGCTAACCTGCGTCAACCGAAAAGGAAGAAGAGGCTGAGGCACAAAATCTAATTTAAAACGTTTACTTGAGCCAAAGGGAGGACAGCTGCCCAGGAGACCCAGCCCCCAAGTAACCTCGGATAAGAGCTCCGGCTGGCCTTTGTTACAAGCAGTTTTTTAAAGGCAAAAAGAAGGGGGAGAAGGGGTGGGCTGATAAAAAGCTGTTTGCCGAAAATTCTCACTGGTTTACAGAAGTAACATTGATTAGTAATTGACTGTACATTGTTAAGCTACAGGGTGTGGATTAGTGTCCAGCATTGTTAAATTAATTTATAGCCATCTGTGGCAATAGCAAGCGGTTTGAAGAGATGAATACTTAGCTCAAGGGGGGAGTAGGATGTGATTGCTGTATCATTTTAATGTCTCTCCGGGCCTGATAATTTAAAGAGACTTGGCATTCCTCAAATAAAAGTTCTTTCTTTTCTCGCCCGCTAGGAAAGAAAAGGTATCTCATTGTAGTTTTAATTTGCATTTCTCTTACTGTGAGCAAGATTGAGCTCTTTCCATATGATAGAGAGTCATTTGCATTTATTTCTCATATCTTTAGCCCGTTTTCTTGAATTCTTAGTCTTTTTCTTCTCTAGCTTTAAAAGCTTTTCATATATTAGGGATAGTAACTCTTTGTGATACAAATTCCAACTATTTTTTTTTCCCATTTTCCCACTTATTTTTATTCTATCTAAGGTGCTTTTGTTTCTTTTTGCATGCAACAGGTTATTTTAGTGTAACCAGATTAATCTATGTTTTCCTTATTGCTTTTGTACTTTGAGTCACAGTTGTAAAAGCTTTATCCTCTCCCAGATAATAAGGCAGTTTTGTTGACTAAATATGGTCCTCAGATCAGCAACTTAGGCATCACCCGTATTCTGTTAGGAAAGCGGACTCTCAGGTTCCACCCAGGCCTATTGAATCAGCCTCTGCGTTTTAAAAAGATCCACCACCACCACCACCACCCCGCTCCCCGCCATAGTAAATTTGCAATTTAAAATTTGAGAAGCACTGGTCTAGAGAATTCTGCCCATATTTTCTGCTAGAACTGGTGAGGTGGATGAATGATTTTTAATTGGAACTTATTGGTGACATCCTATCCACAGCTGCTGAAGAAAAACAAGAAAAGAGGCCAACCCCAGCAAAGGGTGTAAATGAAGCCTGCCTAGATAACTAACATTATTAAATACAGACATGAGAATCTTCTATTGAAAAAGTCATTAAAAATACATCTTTTGCAGTGCTAGGATTACATGATTGACATATTGATCCATCAATTTTATGAAACATCTGTGGACAAATTACTAGTGAAAAAAATGGGCTTTGGTTATTTTCCAAATGAATAGCATTATCTCCTGCTGTTAAGCTTTTCAAGATTCTCGTGACCAGGGACTTTGCAGAGGAAAAAATAGACCTCTTTAAGGCTTGCTGCACTGCACAAGCAAATTCTATTCCTCTCCCACAAGCTGCAAAGATGGTCACATGACCTGCACTAAATAAATGGGTGGGTAAAAGATTCCATAGAAAGATTCTTATCATGCCTTTCCATCTAGCATCACGTAGCTGTTTGTCAGTAATTTTCATTTCTGCCAGAACGTGTTACTCAATCTCCCTTGCCAATAGGTTATGTAGAACTTAATAAGAATGAGCAGGGCCAGGCACGGTGGCTCACGTCTGTAATCCCAGCACTTTGGGAAGCCGAGGCGAGCAGATCACCTGAGGTCAGGAGTTCGAGACCAGCCTGACCAACATGGAGAAAGCCCATCTCTACAAAAAATACAAAATTAGCTGGGCATGGTGGTGCATGCCTGTAATCCCATGCACTAATGGGAGGCTGAGGCAGGAGAATTGCTTGAACCCGGGAGGCAGAGGTTGCAGTGAGCCGAGATCGTGCCATTGCACTCCAGCCTGGGCAACAAGAGTGAAACTCCATCTCAAAAAGAAAAGAATGAGCATACTGGAGAATGAGATCTTGACTCAGCTGTTTGTAACAGCTTTTTGCACTTTTCATTGTCTTGGAATGCGAAGAGGTTTTGCAAGAATGATTAAAGCAGGAATCAGCCATGATAAGATGGTGCTATCATTCGTTTTTAACACACAGGCCTGGATTCAAGAGCCACTAGGAGTTCTGAACACTATTAGAAAAATAACTGCTTAAAAGTGCAGAACTGCGCCTCTGGGCATGAGGAACATGCTGGTATAAATTTGACAAATGATTTCTCACTCTAGTTCAGTTTTGACTTTACTAGTATTTCTGAAGCAAAGTTCTCGAAATTCAGTATCTCGTTTTAAACCTAGATTTCAGATGAAAAGTAGGTTTAAAAATATATATGTGGGCGGGACCCGGTGGCTCGCACCTGTAATCCCAGCACTGTGGGAGGCTAAGGCAGGTGGATCACCTGAGGTCAGGAGTTCGAGACCAGCCTGGCAAATGTGGTGAAACCTGGTCTCTACTAAAAATACAACAATTAGCTGGGCATGGTGGTGCACGCCTGTAATCCCAGCTACTCGGGAGGCTGAGGCAGGAGAATCGCTTGAACCTGGGAGGCAGAGGTTGCAGTGAGCCGAGATCGTGCCACTGCACTCCAGCTGGGTGACAGCCGAGGCGGGCAGATCACGAGGTCAGGAGATCGAGACCATCCTGGCTAACACAGCGAAACCCCGTCTCTACTAAAAATACAAAAAATTAGCCGGGTGTGGTAGCGCGTGCCTGTAGTCCCAGCTACTAGGGAGGCTGAGGCAGGAGAATCGCTTGAACCCAGGAGGTGGAAGTTGCAGTAACCCGAGATCGTGACACTGCACTCCAGCCTGGGTGACAGAGCGAGACTCCGTCTCAAAAAAAAATATATGTGTGTGTGTGTGAAAACGCTTCATAAACTATAAAGCGGCATTTTTATTTTGGTGTTTGTCATGGGATTATGGTTCACATTTCAGTTTTATAAAAAGCAGAAAATTTAATATTCCAAATTAGAAAGATTATTTAGTGAACTTCCATATGAAAAGCAGAAATATTAATATTCTAAATTATAAAGATTAATGAATTTCTATAAATAAAGTAACAGCTTTCCCCAAATTCAAGAAAGACATGATCCTCCCCAGCTTCAGCCTTACCTGGTATTCTATGCTTGCAGGAACCATTCCCATGAAATGTTTTTCTGTAGTCATAGCATCAGCCTTTTTACACAGACAAAATACACAGTGAAAATACTCAGTTGCTAGCTGTTCTTATACATTGCCAGTAGAATATAAATTGGTATATCCCTAGAGGTTGATTTTGCAAAATTTGTCAAAATTACAAATACATTAATTTTTTTTTTTTTTTCTGGCGGAGAAGGCTATTCTCCCTTCACTTCCCTAGTCTGGGCTAGCTTTGTGACTTGCTTTGGTCAATAGAATAGGGCAGGAATGACTCAGGACTCTCACAGGTCAGGAAGTTTGAAGCTTCTGCCTTTTGCGTGTGTGTTTGTTTGTTTGTTTTGAGACAGATCTCACTCTGTTACCCAGGCTGGAGTGCAGTGGCACGGGTCCAGGCTCCCTGCAGTCTCTGCCTCCTGGGTTCAAGCGATTCTCGTGCCTCAACCCCCCGAGTAGCTGGGATAACAGGCATGTGCCACCACACCCGACTAATTTTTGTATTTTTAGTAGAGACAGGGTTTCACCATGTTGGCCAGGCTGGTGTTGAACTCCTGGGATTACAGGTCTGTGCCATCACACCTGGCAAATTTTTGTATTTTTATTAGAGATGGGGTTTCACCATGTTGGCCAGGCCGGTCTCGAACTCCTGACCTCAAATGATCTGCCCACCTCGGCCTCCTAAAGTTCTGGGATTACAGGCGTGAGCCACCGCACCTGACCAGAAATACATGAATCTTTTGATCCATCAATTCCACTTCTAAAGATTTATCCTAGAGAAATATTTACACACATGTGAAATAATGCATGTAAAGGTTATCGTGAACATCAAAGATTGAAAACAATCTAAATGTCCTTCAGTGGGAGACTAATTACATAAATTATGCCACATTCATGGAATACCATGTGACTATGAAGAAAAAAATGAGAAAGTAGTCTGTGTGGTAACATGTAAATATATCCAATATATATTGTTAATGGGCAAAAGCAAGAAACAGAATATAGTATGCTGCCATTTAGGCAAAAGAGGGACATTATATACACGTGCACAAACACAAAAGAGAAATATAGGCCGGGCGCGGTGGCTCATGCCTGTAATCTCAGCACTTTGGGTGGCCAAGCGGGGAGGATCATGAGGTCAGGAATTCGAGACCAGCCTGACCAACATGGTGAAACCCCGTCTCTACTAAAAATACAAAAATTAGCCTGGCATGGTGGAACATGCCTGTAATCCCAGCTACTCAGGAGGCTGAGGCAGGAGAATTGCTTGAACCTGGGAGGCGGAGGTTGCAGTGAGCTGAGATCACACCACTGCACTCCAGTCTGGGTGACAGAGTGAGACTCTGTCTCAAAAAAAAAAAAAAAAAAAAAGAGAGAGAAATATATATACATAATGAAAGAAAAATATATGTGTGTGTGTGTGTGTGTATATATATACACACACACAAAAATATAATATTGCTGGGGGAGTAAAACTGGATGTCTGGAGAAACAGATGAGAAGGAGACTTTTTTCACTATGTACTCTTTAATACTTTGAATTTAAAACTATGTGAACCTCTGGGCACAGTTGCTCAGGCCTGTAATCCCAGCACTTTGGGAGGCTGAGGCAGGTGGATCACTTGAGCCTAGGAGTTCGAGACCAGCCTGGGCAACATGGTGAAACTCCATCTCTACTAAAAATACAAAAATTACCTGGGCGTAGTGGTGTACCCCTGTAATTCCAGCTACTCAGGAGGCTGAGGAACGAGAATTGCTTGAACCGGGAGATGGAAGTTGCAGTGAGCTAAGATTGAGACTGGACTGCGCCACTGCACTCTAGCCTAGGTGACAGCGTGCGATTCCGTCTCCAAAAAAAAAAAAAAGCACAGTTACCAGTAGATTGTGGAGAAGTCTGACCAAGCAGCTCCACTGCTACCCTTTTGCTCCTTGCTGGCCTGAAATTTTCTCCATCGGAATCACCTCCCTGGGTTGTGTGACCGTGCCTGTAGCTCACCTATTCCCACAGCTTCGGTCACTGTTGATTCACATACAGGCTCAGCCTGACCTCAGCCCTAAGGCCAAACAAGACCCACTGGGTAAGAAGGTTATAGGAGACCCCTAGCACCATGCAGGGATTCAGCATCAAGTTGGCCCAACTGCCGTTTGAGGATCGGCAAGGGAATGCCCAGTGTTCCTGACATGTGGTCACCCTGCGTTGTGCCAGGTGTAAGAACCGCACGCAGTGTGGGTAATTTCCCTCTGTAGGACTGCATTCTGCCAGACTTTTGTCCGTAATTGTCCCAGAGATTGCAGTCTTTGCAGCTGCTAGCAAACATTCCCTAAATAGACTCCTTGCTTAGCTGTCTGCCTGCCTCAGGCTCTGAATGTTGCCTTCCCCTGGAGCCTTGGTCACCAAGTTCTGCCCTCTTGGTGAGAAACCCCATTGCTCCATCCCCATGTTTCAGCCTTCCGTGCTGACCATTTCATTTGTTGTTCACTGCCAAACTCTTCAGTACCGTTGCTATTATTACCTCCATATTGTGTCGTATCTGCTGGAATGAATTTTGTCTTTGTGCCTATAACTAGGGTGCAAGGTCCAAAGTACAACCCAGCCCTTCCCAGGCTGTCCCATCCCATTGCCCGAAATAAGACATGCTGGACACTGGGAGCAAGTCCACTGTTAAAAATGTGCATCCCGTTCGTGACCAGCCTGGGCAACATGGCGAAACCCCATATCTACAAAAAATGCCAAAAAAAATTAGCCAGGTGTGATGGTGTGCACCTGTAGTCTCAGTTACTTGGGAGGCTGATGTGGGAGGATCATTTAAGCCCAGGAGGCGGAGGTTGTAGTGAGCTGAGATCACGCCACTATACTCCAGCCTGAGCAACTGAGCCAGACCCTGTATTTAAAACAAAAACAAAAACAAAAACAAAAACAAAAACAAAAACAAAAAAAACTGCACATCCCTTACTGGGGGGTTTTCTGTGACTCCTCTAAAATTTAGTCTGCTTAACATTTTCTTTGAATATCTATAATCTATTGGCTACTCATTGACATCATACACTCTTTTTTCCCCCCCGAGACAGTTTCCCTCTTGTCACCCAGGAGAGAGGGGTTTCACCACGTTGGCCAGGCTGGTCTCGAACTCCTGACCTCAGGTGATCTGCCCACCTCGGCCTCCCAAAGCGCTGGGATTACAGGCGTGAGCCACCATGCCCGGCCGGCATCACACACTTTTTTTTTTGAGATGGAGTTTCGCTCTTTTGCCCAGGCTGGAGTGAAGTGGTACGATTTCAGCTCACTGCAACCTCTGCCCCCCATGTTCAAGCGATTCTCCTGCCTCAGCCTCCCTAGTAGCTGGGATTACAGGAGCCCGCCACCACACCTGGCTAATTTTTTAAAAAAATATATTTTTGGTAGAGACGGGGTTTTGCCATGTTCGTCAGGCTGGTCTCGAACTCCTGACCTCAGGTGATCCACCCGCCTCGGTCTCCCAAAGTGCTAGGATTACAAGCGTGTGCCACCGTGCCGGCCATCATACACGTTTAATGGAAGCTTAAGATGTCAACTTTTACACACAATGCCAAGAAATAGATCGGCTATAATCAAATCATCTTCACAAAAGATGAGCAGAAGCCATGGAAGGCACCACAGTGGCTTACGACAGTGGTTCTCAAACTTCAGCGTGCATCAGACGGAGAGATTGTGAATGCAGAGTGCTGGGCCCCACCCCCAAGGCTTCTGATTCAGTAGCTCTGGGGTGAGGTTGAGAATATGCGCTTTTAAAAAGTTCCCAGGTGGTGTTCATGCTATTGGGCCACACACAGAGGTTAAGATGAGAAAACTGAGCTAGAGGGATTATATGACTTGCCTAAAGTCACAAAGCTAATAAGTGGTAGAACCAGAATTTTGAACACAGATATTTTGACTCCAGGAACATCACTACATCATATTCCTTTTGGCAAAAACAAAACAAAAAAAATAGCAATATTGTTACGGGTGAAGGGTATCCAGATTCTTAGCGTTTTGAACAAATAATTGGACAAAATGCACAATCAAAGCAAGAAAAAAATGAAGCAACAAAAGCAGAGGTTTATTGAAAATGAAGGTACCCGAGCATAGGGGCTTAAGAGCCCAGTTGCAGAATTTTCTGGGGTTTAAATATCCTCTAGAAACATTGATGTACACCCTATGTAAATGAAGTAGTGGCCTGCCATCAGTCTGATTGGTTACAGAAAGCTTTCTGCAACCAATCAGAGACTGAAGAGAAGTTACAGAGGTTGCCCTCTATGCAAGCATCTGATTGGTTGTGGAAAGCAACCAATCAGAGGCAAAAGTGAAGTTACAAAGTTACACTTCTATGCAAATGAAGACTTAGCATGCAATCAAGTCTGATTGGTTGTGGAAAGCACCAATCAGAGGCTGAAGTGAAGTTACAAAATTATACTCCTATGCAAATGTCTGATTGGTTGCAGAAAGCAACCAATCAGAGGTACTTTCAATTTTCCATCTGCCACTGCAGAAAAGGGAGGGGGTTTGCAAAGGGAGTAGCCTCCGGTCCTTTTGTTACTTAGGTGTGGAAAGTTGGGGTTTTCCTTTTGATTTAGTTCTAGGAAGTCAGCGTGAATCGGCCTTAGGTTCCCTGCCTCCAGACCCTATTCTCCTGCCTCAATATAAACAAACTTAAAATCTAAAATCTAAAGAAAACATGAACATTTTAGAATCATTGTGATATAGCATTTTTAAAAACTTTTTCATAACATCTATTTTTTCAGCACCCTGAGATTCTCTACTAAGTGCTAGTGCTATTAACCATTAAATATATTTTCTCAATAGTTTTAATTGTTTTCAATATAGAAGAAAACAAATGTTTATTGAGCATCCAATATGGTAATCATGGATGGTAATTGCCAAAAATATAAACAATGCACTTCAGAAAAGCCTCTATTCATTCATCAAAATCACAAATAATTTAAAATTTTTCTGGCTGAATTTTTAATAATTTAATGCAAAGCTACAATTTCATTGGCAACGGTTCTGTTAAAATGTTCCTCGGTACCTTTTCTGCATTTTTCACAGTGGCACCTTTATGCATTTGAAAAATTTGGACTAAGAAATGCAAATAAATCAGCAACTGTCCTTACCCTTAAAATTATGTGTCTTGCCAGGTACTTACTCTATCTATTACATGATTAAAAACAGTAACCTATAATTCCTTTCCCTAAAAATAAGTGTCAAAGTTATGGTGCTATCACATAGGCAGAGCAAAAATCTTTAAACTTACTAAAATTTGCCGGACATGGTGGCTCACACCTATAATCCCAGCACTCTGGGAGGCTGAGAAAGGAGGATCATTTGAGGCCAGCAGTTCCAGAACAGCCTGGGCAAAAGAGTAAGACCCCATCTCTACAAAAAATAAAATAAATAAGCTAGGCATGGGGGTATGTGCCTGTAGTCCGAACTACTCAAGAGGCTTTGGTGGGAGGATCACTTCCGCCCGGGAGTTCTGGGCTACAGTGAGCTATGATCATGCCACTGCACTCCAGCCTTAGGCAACAGAGTGAGACCCTGTTTGTTTAAAAAAAAAAAAAAAAAGAAAGAAAAGGCCAGGTGCAGTAGCCCACGCCTGTATTCCCAGCACCTTGGGAGGCCAAGGCAGGCGGATCTTGAGGTAAGGAGTTTGAGACCAGCCTGGCCAATGTGGTGAAACCCCATCTCTACTAAAATTACAAAAATTAGCTGGGCATGGTAGTGCATGCCTGTAGTCCCAGCTACTTGGGAAGCTGAGGCAGAAGAATCACTTGAACCCAGGAGGCGAAGGTTGCAGTGAGCCGAGATTGTGCCACTGCACTCCAGCCTGGGCAACAGAGCAAGACTCTGTCTCAAAACAAAACAAAAGTTATCGACTGGATAAAGAAAATGTGGCGCATATACACCATGGAATACTATGCAGCCATAAAAAAGGATGAGTTCATATCCTTTGCAGGGACATGGATGAAGCTAGAAACCATCATTTTCAGCAAAGTAACACTAGAACAGAAAACCAACCACCACATGTTCTCACTCATAACTGGGAGTTGAACAATGAGAACACATGGACACAGGGAGGGGAACATCACACACCGGGGCTGTCAGGGGTGGGGGACAGAGGGAGGGATAGCATTAGGAGAAATACTTAATGTAGATGACAGGTTGATGGGTGCAGCAAACCACCATGGCACATGTATACCTATGTAACAAACCTGCACATTCTGCACATGTACCCCAGAACTTAAAGTATAATTAAAAAAAACAAAATAAAGAAAGAAAAAAAAAGTATTGCTAAATTTTGCTAACATATTGACTAAAGGAGTCATCCATGCAGATAACGTACATCAAAAAGTATAATTATCTTGTATGTTTTAAGACAATCCTTTATTAGTATATAATATATTTTATAATATGTAATTCCATCTGACTTCCTCATACTTGCAGCTAAGAAATGGCCAATTATTAATCCATCTCTGCCACAAGGCTTTATCTTTACCTTGCCAACAAAGGCTTCAGAATCCTTTAGGCTAAAAAGCTAGCAAGTTTAAAAAGCTTTGAGAAATGTTCTTGACACACCCGTGAACACCTGTGAGCTCTAGGTAGGCTCTCTGTGTACATACAAGCTCTGTTCCATTCCAACAACCTGGACAGTAGTAACACATGTAAAAGTGTGCTCTTTGGTGAAATGGAGATTCTGAATTATTCATGGTAGTTTCACCAATAAAATGATCTAATGTGATACTGATTGTTTGTGTTCATATTTTCATTATACTGTATAATCTGGTCTAGAAATGCTTCAAACGTTAGACCTAAATGAAACTACAAAACAAACAAATCAATTTATTACTGGATAGGTCATTGATTAGGTAATTTAGAACATTTACAGAATTTTATCTTATGAAATTGCACCAAGGTCACCAAGCTGCAAAATAAAACTTGTGGGCCAATACAGTAGGCAGAATTCTAGGAGTTCAGGAATCTGCATTAAGTCCCACATATACAGAATAAATTCTATGTAGCTGGGCAAAGAACGATTTCCTTTTTTTTTGTTTTGAGATGGAGTCTTGCTCTGTCGCCCAGGCTGGGGTACAGTGGCACGATCTCTGCTCACTGCAATCTCTGCCTCCCGGGTTCAAGTGATTCTCCTGCCTCAGCCTCCCGAGTAGCTGAGATCACAGGTGTCCACCACCATGCCTGGCTAGTTTTTTGTTTTTTTTTTTTTGAGACAGAGTTTCGCTCTTATTGCCCAGGCTGGAGTGCACTGGCACAATCTCGGCTCACTGCAACCTCTGCTTCCCAGGTTCAAGCGATTCTCCTGCCTCAGCCTCCTGAGTAGCTGGGACCATAGGCATGCACCACCATGCCCTGCTAATTTTGTATTTTTAGTAGAGATGGGTTTTCTCCACATTGGTCAGGCTGGTCTCGAACTCCTGACCTCAGGTGATTCGCCTGCCTTGACCTCCCAAAGTGCTGGAATTATAGGCATGAGCCATCGCGCCCGTCCAATTTTTTGTATTTTTAGTAGAGACAGGGTTTCACCATGTTGGCCAGGCTGGTCTCAAACTCCTGACCACAGGCGATCTGCCCACCTTGGCCTCCCACAGTGCTGGGATTACAGGTGTGAGCCATTGCGCCTGGCCGCAAAGAACGATTTCTACAGAAATAGCTACCAGGAAGTTGTATTCAAACAATTTCCAGAGTTCACACAGGACCAGCGATCTTCCAAGTTTCTACCAAGCTGAGTAAAGAAACTTTGTTGAATAAATTGGGAACTCAGTAGAGACCCCAGAGGCATCACACCTTAGGGGTGTGGCTAACCAAGCCCTAAAGGAAAGGTTGCTCTGAACCTACCCTAAAAATTTTAAAAAGCAAGTCTTGAAGAGATCAAGCTGATCTGCAAGTAACATAAACTGTCTGCCAGAGCAAAGTCCAACAGTATTTAAAGAAGAATGACGAATTCTAGGACTTAGCAATGTAAAATTCATATGCCTGGCATCCAAAGAGAAATTACCTAGTATGTGCCCAGGAGTTCAAGACTATCCTGGGCAACATAGGGAGACTCCATCTCTACAAAAAAATTTAAAATTGAACCAGGCATGATGGCACATGCCTGTGGTCCCAGCTACACAGGAGGCTGAGGTGGGAGAATCGCTTGAGCCCAGGAGGTCGAGGCTGCAGTGAGCCATGATCACAACACTGCTCTTCAGCTTGGCAACAGAGTGAGGCCCTGTCTCTAAAAAAGAAAAAAAGAAATTACCTAATATATAAAGAAACAAGGCCAGGCACAGTGGCTCACACCTATAATCCCAGCTCTTTGGGAGGCCAAGGCGGGTGGACCACCTGAGGTCAGGAGTTCAAGACCAGCCTGGCCAACATAGCGAAACGCCGTCTCTACTAAAAATACAAAAATTAGCCGGGTGTGATGGCACGTGCCTGTAATCCCCACTACTCAGGAGGCTGAGGCAGGAGAATCACTTGAACCCAGGAGGTGGAGGTTGCAGTGAGCCGAGATTGTGACACTGTACTCCAGCCTGAGTGACAGAGCAAGACTCCGTCTCAAAAAACAAACAAACAAACAAACAGAAAACCCAAAATATGGCCCAAAACTAAGAGAAAAAATAGTCAATGGAAATAGACACAGGAATTACGAAATGATGGGGTTAAAAGACAAGGATAATAAAACAGCTATTATA
Source organism: Homo sapiens (assembly GCF_000001405.40). Classification (NCBI taxonomy): domain Eukaryota; kingdom Metazoa; phylum Chordata; class Mammalia; order Primates; family Hominidae; genus Homo; species Homo sapiens. The sequence goes on from NC_000023.11 coordinate 41,037,891, forward strand.
CATATTCTTGGATGGGCTCAGTGGCTCACACCTGTAATCCCAGCACTTTGGAAGGACAAGGTGGGTGGATCACTTGAGGTCAGGAGTTCGAGACCAGCCTGGCCAACATGGTGAAATCTCATCTCTACTGAAAATACAAAAATTAGCTGGATGTGGTGGCTCTTGCCTGTAATCCCAGCTATTTGAGAGGCTGAGGCAGGAGGATCGCTTGAACCCAGAAGGTGGAGGTTGCGGTGAGCCGAGATCATGCCACTGCACTCCAGCCTGGGTGGCAGAGTAAGACTCCATCTCAAATAAATAAATAAATAAATATTCTTAATATAGTAAAGTAAAAGTAGGAAGTACAGTAAAAGGAAATATGAATTGAATGAAAATATAAATGGATAATACAAAAAAAGAACCAGGCCGGGCATGGGGGCTCACACCTGTAACCCCAAGACTTTGAGAGGCTGAGGCAGGCAGAACACTTAAGGTCAGGAGTTTGAGACCAGCCTGGCCAACATGGAAACCTGGTCTCTAGGAAAATACAAAAATTAGCTGGGCTTGGTAGCACACACCTGTAATCTCAGCTACTGGGGAGGCTGAGGCATGAAAATTGCTTGAACCTGGGAGGCAGAGGTTGTACAGAGCCAAGATCACGCCACTGTACTCCAGCCTGGGTGACAGAGTGAGACTCTGTCTCAAAAAAAAAAAAAAAAAAAAAAATTCTAGGTATGAAAAACAAACCAAGTACCTGAATTTACGGTTTCATCGAATGGGATTAACAGCAGATTAGACACCACAGAAGAAAAGACCAGAGATTTGAAGACAGAAACTATCCAAAATGAAGCACAAAGAGAAAAATGGCTAAGAAATGATACATAGGCCAGGTGCGGTGGCTCACCCCTGTAATCCCTGCACTTTGGGAGGCCAAGGCACGTGGATCACGAGGTCAGGAGGTTGACACCATCCTGGCCAACATGGTGAAACCCTGTCTCTACTAAAATACAAAAAATTAGCCGGGCGTGGTGGTGCACGCCTGTAGTCCCAGCTATTCAGGAGGCTGAGGCAGGGGAATCACTTGAACCTGGGAGGCAGAGATTGCAGTGAGCTGAGATCGCGCCACTGCACTCTAGCCTGACAGCAGAGTGAGACTCCGTCTCAAAAAAAAAAAAAAGAAGAAAGAGAGAAAGAAATGATACATAGAGCCTCAGTGACCTATAGAACTATAGAATAATACTAAGTGATTTAATATATGGGTAATTGGAATCTCAAGAGAGGAGAAAGGAGGAGGACACAAAAATACTTGAAGAAAGAATGGCCAGAAATTTTCTAAATTTGATTTTTAAAATCCTGTAAAGCCACAGATCCAAATAGCACAATGAACCCCAACGAAACAAAACTGCATCAAGACACAACAAAGTCAAATTGCTAAAAACCAGCGATAAAGAGCCTTTTTTATTTATTTATTTTTTTTTTGAGACAGGGTCTCGCTCTGTTGCCCAGGCTGGAGTGCAGTGGCTCGATCTTGGCTCACTTCAACCTCTGCCTCCTGGGTTCAAGTGATTCTCGTGCCTCAGCCTCCCCAGTAGCTGGGATTGCAGGCACATGACACTATGCCTGGATAATTTTTCTATTTTCCGTAGAGATGGGGTTTCACTATGTTGGCCAGGCTGGTCTCAAACTCCTGGCCTCAAGTGATCTGCCCACCTTGGCTTCCCACAGTGCTGGGATTACAGGTGTGAGCTACCATGCCCGGCCTAAGAGAAAATCTTTTTTTTTTTTGAGTTGGAGTCTCACTGTTGTCGGCCTGGGCTGTAGTGCAATGGCACAATCTCGGCTCATTGCAACCTCCTCCTCCTGGATTCAAGCAATTCTCCTGCCTCAGCCTCCTGAGTAGCTGAGATTATAGGCATCCGCCACCACACCCAGCTAATTTTTGTATTTTTAGGAGAGTTGGGGTTTCACCATGTTGGCCAGGCTGGTCTTGAACTCCTGACCTCAGGTGACCCACCCGCCTCGGCCTCCCAAAGTGCTGGGATTACAGATGTGAGCCACCATGCCCCGCCAAGAAAATCTTAAAAGCACACAGAGAAGAAAGGTACATTATGTACAGGCGTACAGAGGTCAGAATCACTGTAGACTTCAAAAACTATGAAAGGCATAAAAATTCTTTATGGAACTGAAAGGGGGAAAAAAGGGTTTATTTAGAATTCTCTACCCAGAAAACATATCCTTCAGAAATGAAGGTTAAAAAAAAGTTTCAGACAGAGCCGGGTGTGGTGGCTCACGCCTATAATCCCAGCACTTTGGTTGGCAGATCACGAGGTCAGAAGTTCGAACTTGGCCAATATGGTGAAACCCTGTCTCTACTAAAAATACAAAAATTAACTGGGTGTGGTGATGGGAACCTGTAATCCCAGCTACTCGGGAGGCTGAGGCAGGAGAATCACTTGAACCCAGGAGGCAGAGGTTGCAGTGAGCTGCAATCGCACCGCTGCACTCCAGCCTGGGTGACAGAGCAAGACTCTGTCTCGAAAAAGAAAAAGAAAAAGTTTCAGACAAACAAAAATTGGGAGAATTTGGCACCAGCCCATCCGCACTACAAGAAATGTTAAGAGAAATTTTTCCAGCAGAGAAATATGATACCAGAAAGGAACTTGGATATACACAAAGGATCAAAGAGTGCTGAAATGGTAAATATGTTGTTAAATGTAAAAGTCGTTTTTCTAATTTTCTAATTCTTTTACGAAATAATTGTTTATAGCAAAAGTAATAACAATGTACTGTGGGGTTTCTAAGATAGGTAGAAATAAAATGTATGGCAAATTAACACAAAGGCCAGTAAGGGAAAAAGGGAAGTACACTGTTGTAGGGTTCTTACACAATATGTGAAGTGGTATATTATTTGAAAATAAACTATGATAAGTTAAAGAAGCAGTTTGTAAACCCTAGAGAAACCACCTTAAATGAAACAAAGAGGCACAGATGGGCAGGTGCGGTGGCTCACACCTGTAATCCTAACATTTTAGGAGGTGACATAAGAGTATTGCTTGAGCCCAAGAGTTCAAGGCTGCAATGAGCCATGATCATGTCACTGCACTCCAGCCTGGATGACAGAATGAGACTCTGTCTCAAAAAAACAAAAACAAAAACAAACAAACAAACAAACAAAAAACTACAAAGCCATAGTAACCAAATCAGCATGGTGTTGGCATAAAAACAGACACATAGACCAGTGGAACAGAATGGAGAACCCACATAAAAATCCACACATTTACAGCCAATTCACTTTTTAGACCTTTTTTAAAAATTAATTTTTAAAATTTTATTTTTAATAGAGACATGGGGTCTTGCTTTTCCCAGCATGGTCTCAAACGCCTGGCCTCAAGGGATCCTCCTGCCTCAGCCTCCCAAAGTGCTGGGATTACAGGCGTGAGCCACCATGCCCGGTCCAACCAACTCATTTTCGACAACGGCGCCAAGAACATGCAATGGGGAATGGACAGTCCCTTTAATAAATGGTGCTGGGGAAACTGGATAACCATATGCAGAAGAATGAAACTAGACCCCTATCTTTCACCATATACAAAAATCAAATCAAAATAGATCAAAGACTGAAACTGTGAAACTACTAGATGAAAGCATTAGATAAATGCTCCAGGATATTGGTCTGAGCAAAGATTTTTTGGGTAAGATCTTAAAAGTACAGGCAACAAAAGAAAAAATAGACAAATGGGATCACATCAAGCTATAAAGCTTCTGCACAGCAAAGGACACAATCAACAAAGTGAAGAGACAACCCACAGAATGGGAGAAAATATCTGCAAACTACACCTCTGACAAGTGATTAATAACCAGAAGATATAAGGAGCCCAAACAACTCAATAGCAAAAAAAAAAAATCCTAATAATCCAACTTAAAAATGGCCAAAAGACCTTGAATAGACATTTATCAAAAGAAGACACACGGGGTTGGGCACGGTGGTTCACGCCTATAATCCCATTACTTTGGGAGGCCGAGGCAGGCAGATCACTCGAGGCCAGGAGTTCAAGACCAGCCTGGACAACATGGCAAAACCCCATCTCTACTAAAAATTTAAAAATTAGCCAGGTGTGGTGGCATGTGCCTGTAATCCCAGCTACTCAAGAGGCTGAGGAGGAGAATCGTTTGAACCCGGGAGGCGGAGGTTGCAGTGAACCGAGATAAGGCCGTAGCACTCCAGCGTAGGCTACAAGAGCAAAACTGCCTCTAAAAACAAAAACAAAACAGAATTACCATATGATCCAGCAATCCTGCTGCTGGGTATATACCCGCAAGAAAGGAAATTAGCATATTGAAGAGACATCTGCAGTCCCATGTTTATTGCAGCTCTGTTCACAATAGCTAAGATTTGGAGGTAACCTAAGTGTCCATCAACAGATGAATGGATAAAGAAAATGTGGTACCTATACACAGTGGAGTACTAGTCAGCCATAAAAAAAGAATGGGATCCTGTCATTTGCAATAACATGGATGGAACTGGAAGTCATTGTGTTAAATGTTATTATGTTATTACCTCTTAGAGAATGCATTATGTTAAATGACTTCCAGTTCCATCCATGTTATTGCCAGGCATAGAAAGACAAATACTGCATGTTCTCATTAATATATGGGGGCTAAAAAAGTAGATCTCATGAAGATAGAGAGTCGGTTGGTGGTTCGCAGAGGCTGGGAAGGGTAGCAGGGAGAGGGAGATTAAGAGAGATTGATTAGTGGGTTCAAATATACAGTTTGATAGAAATAAGACCTTGTGTTTGATAGATCAGAAGAGTGACTACAGTTTACAATAATTTATCGTATATGTCAAAACAACTAGAAGAGAAGAATTAGAATGTTTCCAGCTTTATGCTGGAAAAGACAAATATTTAAGGTGATGGATACCTCAACTATACTGATTTCATCTTTACAGATTATATGAATGTATTACATGATCACATGTACCCTCTAAATATGTACAGCTATTATGTATCAGTGAAAAGAATAAAATTTTTTAAATACCCCACACAACTACAGAATACACATTCTTTTCAGATGTACATGGAACACTCACCAAACAGACCATATGCTGGGCCATAAAACAAGTCATATTAAATTTAAGAGGACTGTAAGCAAACAGAACGGGCTCCTCAACCACAACAGAATTAAATTACAAATCAATAAGAGAAAGATATCTGGAAAATGCCCCCAAATTTGGAAACTAAACAACACACTTCTAACCCATGGGTCAAAGAAGAAATCACAGAGGAGCTAATACTGTATTTTTAATGGGATGTAAACAAAAATACAACATATCAACATTTGTGACTTGCAGCTAAAGCAGAGTTTAGACCTTAGAGGAAATTTTATAATATTAACTACTTATATTAGAAAGAAGAGGCCAGGTGCGGTGGCTTATGCCTGTAGTCCCAGCTATTTGAAAGGCTGAGGTGGGAGGATTGATTGAATTAAGGAGTTCGAGGTTGCAATCAGCTATGATTGCGCCACTTCATTCCAGCGTGGGTGGCAGAGCAAGACCCTGTTTCTTGGGAAAAAAAAAAAAAAAGGAAGAAGAAATGTCTAAAACTGATTATCTAAGCTTCCACCATAAGCTAGAAGGCCGGGCAGGGTGGCTCATGCTTGAAATCCCAATACTTTGGGAGGCCGAAGCATGGAGGATCACTTTGAGACCAGGAATTCAAGACCAGTTTGGGCAACATACCAAGATCCTGTCTCTGAAAAAATTAAAACTAACAAACAAACAAAAAAACAAGCTAGTAAAAGAACATATTAAACCCAAAGAAAGGAAAAGATAGGAGCAGAAACCAATATAATAGGAAATTAACAAACAATAAAAAGATCAATGATACCAAAACCTGGTTCTTTGAAAATATAAAATCGGTAAACCTCTAGCTAGACTGACCAAGAAGAAAAGAGAGAAGACTCAAATTACCAACATCAGGAATAAAGGAGGGCACGTCATCCAGATCACAGAGACTATATATACATATGCGTTGCTACGTGTGTGTGTAGCAATGCATAATCAAAATAGATAATAACTACATTAATTAGAAAAGGATGGATAATTATAAATCTGGTTTTAAAGCAAACATACACACATACACTCACACAAGCAACCAACCAGTAAATCTTTTTAAAGATTTTTCCCAATTCAGGTTATTACCTCTTAGAGAATGCATTTTCCACAATATTTCAGCACATAACATCAAGAATATTCAAAGCTCTAGAAAGCTGCCACTGTGACTCATCATGACGCAGTCTGAATAGAATTGGCAAAAAGTACCTCTTATTTTTATAAAAAAAGGATATGTTTATCTCAGAAACACAGCATTGGTGAACAATCTGAAAATAAATGTTACTATCTGCCATATTAACAGAATAAAGGAACAAAATTATACGTGTCTCAAAATGCATTAAAAGTATTTGATACAGCTTCTACTCATGATAAAAATCCTTAGAAAGCTACAAAGAGACATAGGCTTCCTTAAAATGACACCGACAACAAACATACACAATGATAAAATATTGAAAGCTTTGAAATCGAAACAAGACGAGGTTATCCACTCTCACTATTTCATTGCCATTGTAATGCAGCTCCTAGTGAGTACAATGAGGCAAGAAAGAATAAACGAGAATGCATCATGTCTTACAAAGGAGCAATAACTCTCATTCTTTGTCAGAAGCATGATTGTGTATATGGAAAGTTGTATATGTGGAAGGTCACCAAAGTGCAGGATAAAACGTTAGTATACAAAATCAGTTGCATTTTTATATGCCATAAAAAAATTAGGAAATGAATTTTTTTTTTTTTGAGACGGAGTCTCGCTCTGTCGCCCAGGCTGGAGTGCAGTGGCGCGATCTCGGCTCACTGCAAGCTCCGCCTCCCGGATTCAAGCCATTCTCCCGCCTCAGCCTCCCGAGTAGCTGGGATTACAGGCGCCCGCTACCACGCCTGGCTAATTTTTTTGTATTTTTAGTAGAGACGGGGTTTCACTGTGTTAGCCAGGATGGTCTTGATCTCCTGACCTCGTGATCCGCCCGCCTCGGCCTCCCAAAGTGCTGGGATTACAGGCGTGAGCCACCGCGCCTGGCCAGGAAATGAAATTTTAAGAGAAATCATTTATAATAGCACAAAAGAAGCAAATACTTAAATCTATCATAATTGTGCAAGAACTCAACAGAGAAAGCTGTAAAATACGATTGATATTATTAATAGAAATGCAAGGAAACTTACACCGAAAAACTTTATATTGTGAAAATATCAATTTTCCACAAACCTGCTAGATTTAATCATCTACATATTGTGTCTTTAAGGGGAGATTGCCTAGCTTATTCTTTTTCTGAATATGAATTTTAATCCATAATCAGTGCCATTATTGAGAATATTAAGATGCTTTCATGTTGAACTGATTAAAACAGCATTTGGAATAGTAAATGACATGTAATGTATGAATAACCTCCAGCTGGCCGGGTGCTGTGGCTCATGCCTGTAATCCCATCACTTTGGGAGGCTGAGGAGGGTGGATCACTTGAGGTCAGGGGTTCGAGACTCGCCTGGGGAAGATGGTGAAACCCCCTGTCTCTACTAATAATAAAAAAATTAACCGGGCGTGGTGGCACACGCCTCTAATCCCAGCTACTTGGGAGGCTGAGACAGGAGAATCGCTTGAACCCGGGAGATGGAGATTGCAGGGAGCCAAGATTGTGCTACTGCACTCTAGCCTGGGCAACAGAGTGAGACTCTGTCTCAAAAAATTAAAATTAAAATTAAAAAAAACCCTCCAGCTATCTTTTTTCTTTTTTTTAAGTGTAAAAATTATAAGCAACTATAATGAAAAGTCTTCAGAAGTATTCTCTGGGAGACTCAGGATTGAAGAGGCCAGAAGCAGAGAGCCAGCAGGTCCTAGGAGGTGGTCTACTACAAGATCTGGGGGCTCACCGCCTACTTGAAAAGATACAGAACTCCTGCCCTCAATAAATGAAAGAGAAGTTGAACTACTCTGCAAGTCAGTTTTCATCAGTATTCATTTTCTTTCGAATCGTTGAAAGACTGAAGATGCCTGTTAAAATAGGTCTCTGTAATAATCCTGTAGGAAAAGTTTGCCAAGGTTTTCTGATTTTGAACCCAAATATTGCTTAAGCATCTGGGGCACAGCTCCAAATGTATTGAACTTGCTTCTCCCCCTTGCCAATGTTGCATAAGGCCCTTTTCAAAGCCATCTTAATTCCATTTTACCAGCAGTATAGACCACACACAAAGTGGTGCTTCTGGCTTTTGTAATCAGAACGCAAAGGCACCATCCTGCCAGTACTGAAGTCAGCCAAGCCCAACCCTTTGCAGGGAGCTCCTTCTGGTGTGATGGCTGATCAGCCTGCTGGCTTCAAGAAGAGCTCTCTGAGTACCAGCATAAACAGCACCGGTATAAACCAATCCACCAAGGCAAAGTTTTGTGGAAGAGCCTGGCAGGTTCCTCACCCTATACCCATCCCCAATGCACCCTGTGACTCCACTCCCTCCGCCACTCCCATCAGCCTCTCATCTGCCACCAGAATGATTTTTTTTCCTGCCTTCCTGTGGATTGCTTAAACATTTTTTAGAATGCTATTTTGATTTAGCTTTAGTGTTCTTTGGGTGTATCTCTTTAATGGTTGCCCTAAGGATCGCCTTATATATATATATATAACTTATTCTACGGTTGTCAACATTTTACCAGTTTGAGTGAAGTGTTGAAACTTTACCTCTTTTTATAACTCTCAATCCTCCCCCGTTTATAATATAATTGTCTTAAATATTTCCTCTACATACATTGAGAACTACTGCATAAGCCAAGATTATAATTTTGTTTCAACTGTCAAATATAATTTAGAAAACTCAAGAAGAGAACAAAAGTCTATTGTATTTACCCATGCTTTTGGCTTTATCATTCTTTCTTCCTTCCTGATGGGCCAAGATTTCTTTTTCTCTCATTTTCGTTTTGCTTAGAGAATTTCCTTTAGCTATTCATTAGGGCAAGTCAGCTGGCAACAGATTCTTTCAGTTTTTTGTCATCAGAGTATATCTTGATTTCCGAAAAGGAACGAAAAGTTCCTGAAGAATATTTCGGCTATACAATTCTGCATTGAAAGTTCTTTCCAGCACTTGAAAAATGTTTTGCCATTTCCTGCTGGCCTTCATGGTTTCTGATAAGAAATCCACGTTCGTTCGAATTGTTTTTCCCCTATAGGTAACATGTTGTTTCTGTCTGGCTGTTTTCAAGATTTTTTTCTTTGTCTTAATTTTCAGAAGTTTGACTGTGATGGGCCTTGGCATGGATTTCTTTAGGTTTATCCTGTTTGGGATTTTCTCAGCTTCTTGAGCTGTAGGTTTTTGTCTTTTGCCAAATTTCAGAGCTTTTAGCCATAATTTCTTCAGTTCCACATTTTTCTCCTCTCCTTCTGGAACACCCATGGTCTGAGTATTAGATTTTTTGTTACAGCAGTCTCACATGTCCCTGAAGCCCTGTTCTTTTTGTTTGTTTGTTTGTTTGTTTGTTTTTTAGTCTATTTTTTTCTCTGTTGTTCAGATTGGGTAAATTCTATTTGATCCTCAAATTCTGATTCTTTCTTCTGTCTATATTCTGCTGCTGAGCATATGCCTTGAGTATTTTATTTCAGTTATTGCAATTTTTAGTTCAAAAATTTCCCTTTGGTTCTCCCTTATATCTTTGATTTCTTTGCTGAGACTTTCTACTTTTTTTGTTGTTTCAAGCATGTTTGTAGTTGCTCGCCAAAGCATTTTTAGAATGGCTGCTTTAAAATCTTGTCAAATAATTCTAGCAACTCTGTCATCTAGGTTAATTGTCTTTTCTCATTCAAGTTGACATCTTCCTGGTTCTCAGTATAACAAGTGATTTTTTTTTTTTTGAAACCAGAACATTTTGGGCATGATGTTGTAAGATTCCAAATATTATTTAAATCCCGTGTTTGAGCAGACCTCTCCTGCCTTACTATTGGCAGATGAAGGTGAAAGTCCAGGTTCTCCCCTCATGGGGAGTGAGTGTGGGAGGAGTGTTCCTTGTTATTGGCAGGCAAGGGTCGGGGTTCAGGCTCCCCAGTAGGCTTCCTTTGATACCACCCTGGTTAGGAGGGTTGAAGGTGTTTCATTATTGCCTCCCTTGACGCCATCGTATCAGGGTGACCTCATTACCATGGAACAGTGGTGAAAGTTCAAACTCTCCACTCTTCTGACACCACCCCAGAGAGGAGGGGGAGGAGTACTTTGTTACTGCCTGGTGGAGGTGGACATCCAGGCTGCCCATGTGGTTTCCATTGACACAGGGAACGAGGAGGCTCCTTACTCTCCAGCAGGGATGTTCCGCTGCCTTCCTACTCAGCCTTCTCTGACCCCACTGGGTGTGGGGAAGGGGTGGTGTGAGGCACGTCCTTACAGTCTGGTAAGGGTGAAAGTCTAGGCTCCCCATTTGGCTTTTGTCCCACAGGGTGGAGCCACAACTTTTTTTCTGTCGTGTTTGCTTGCAGCAAAGTGATTATTGTCTAGAAGTTTTCTGTCTTGCTAGGCTGTCCTTTTCCTGGTCCTTTGGCTAGAAAGAGCAGACTTTTCTTGGAGGTTTTATGTTTTGCGTTTTTGTCTGTGGCTATTGATGTTTCTAGGTTGCTGGCTTCACCAGCACCCAGTCAGGAAGATGTCAGACAAAAAGAAAATTCTGGGAATTCGCAGCCATGTTGTTCCTTGGGTCCCAAGGCCCCTAAATGACTGTGCCTTTTTCTCTCTGCCTTTCAGTCTTCATATGCTTATTTTACATAGAAAATCTAGGGTGTTGGCGGGCGCGATGGCTCAAGCCTGTAATCCCAGCACTTTGGGAGGCCAAGGCAGGCAGATCACTTGAGGCCAGGAATTCGAGACCAGCCCGGCCAACATGGTGAAACCCTGTCTCTACTAAAAATGTAAAAAATAGCTAGGTGTGGTGGCACATGCCTGTAATCCCAGCTACTTGGGAGGCTGAGGCAGGAGAATCCCTTGAATCTGGGAGGCAGAGGTTGCAGTGAGCCAAGACCGCACCACCACACCCCAGCTTGGGTGACAGAGTGAGATTCTGCCTCAAAAACACAAACAAACCAACAAACAAATCTAGGATTTTGAGCTGTACTTAGCAGGAGGAATAGTACATTTACTCCATCTTCTCAGAAGCAGAAGTCCCAAAGGCTGCCTTTTCACATTTCATCACAGCCAAGAAAGTATTACTCCACTCTGCTCTATGTTTGGATTTGGAAGGCCTTTCCTACTGTAAGGGAGTCTATGTTGGAATGGGGAACTGTCTTAAAAAACAAATTATTGGGCCGGGCGCGGTGGCTCACGCTTGTAATCCCAGCACTTTGGGAGGCCGAGGCGGGCGGATCACGAGGTCAGCAGATCGAGACCACAGTGAAACCCCGTCTCTACTAAAAATACAAAAAAAAAAAAAATTAGCCGGGCGTGGTGGTGGGTGCCTGTAGTCCCAGCTACTCAGAGAGGCTGAGGCAGGAGAATGGCGTGAACCCGGGAGGCGGAGTTTGCAGTGAGCCGAGATTGCGCCACTGCACTCTAGCCTGGGCGACAGAGCGAGACTACGTCTCAAAAAAAAAAAAAAAATTATTGGGTCTAAAGTAGAACAAACTTGAGGCCAGTCGCAGTGGCTCACACCTGTAATCCCAGCACTTTGGGAGGCCGAGGCGGGTAGATCACACGAGGTCAGGAGTTCAAGACCAGCCTGACCAACATGGCGAAACCTGGTCTCTACAAAAAAATACAAAAATTAGCCGGGCATTGTGGTGGGCGCCTGTAATCCCAGCTACTCGGGAGGCTGAGGCAGGAGAATCATTTGAACCTGGGAGGCAGAGGTTACAGTGAGCTGAGATCACGCCATTGCACTGTAGCCTGGTTGACAAGAGCAAAACTCGGTCTCAAAAACAAACAAAAAAGAACAAACATCAAAAACCTAAGCCCCTGCCAAAATTGTCCTGTCTCCCTGCTGTTAAGATTACGTAGGACAACAAATCCACGATTTTGGGGAGGAGATGATGAACCCAAGTCTGGGGGTTTTCTGCATGGTTTTTTTTGAGAAGGAGTCTCACTTTGTAGCCCAGGCTGGAGTGCAATGGTGCAACCTCGGCTCACTGCAACCTCGGCTCACTGCAACCTCCTCCTCCCTGGTTCAAGCAATTCCCCCACCTCAGCCTCCTGAGTAGCTGGGATCACAGGCGTATGCCACCGCGCCCAGCTAATTTTTTTGTATTTTTAGTAGAGATGGGGTTTCACCATGTTGGCCAGGCTGGTCTCAAATTCCTGACCTCAAGATCCGCCCACCTCGGCCTCCCAAACTGCTGGGATTACAGGCGTGAGCCACCGCACCTGGCTGAAAATGTAGTTCTTAAGTTTATATGGAAATGTAAAGGACCAAGAATATGAAAAAGAACAAAGTTTGAGAACTTACATTACTTGATTTCAAGGATTATTATAAAACTATTATCATCAACAGAGTATGGCATATAAATTAACAAGTAGAATAAAAAGCTAGAAGTAGACACACACATATATAGTCATGTGATTTTTTACAAAAGCACCAATGCAATCTAGTGGGGGAAGGAAAGTTGATGCAACAAGTGGTGCCACATGGAAAAATATGAATCTCAACCTGTGCCTCACACCATATATGAAAACTAATCTGAGATGGATCACATACCTAAATGGAAATGGTAAAACCATATGTCTTTCGGAGGAAACCTCAGAAGAGTATCTTCATGATTTGGGATAGGCAAAGTTTGCTTAGCAGGTCACAGAAAACAGTAACCATAAAAGAAAACATTGATTAGAGTTCATCAAAATTTAAAACTTCCGTTCATCAAAAGACAACATTAAGAATATCAAGGCCAGGCACAGCAGCTCAGATCTGTAATCACAACACTTTGCAAGGCCAAGGCAGGAAGACTGCTTGAGCCCAGGAGTTTGAGACCAGCCTGAGCAATATAGGGAGACTCCATCTCTTAAAAATAAATAAACAATGGCTGGGCGTGGTGGCTCAAGCTTGTAATCCCAGCATTTTGGGAGGCTGAGGCGGGCTGATCACTTGGGGCCAGGAATTCAAGACTAGCCTGGGCAACATGACAAAACCCCATCTCTACCAAAAATACAAAAATTAACCTGGGCGTGGTGGCCGTGCCTGTAGTTCCAGCTACTCAGGAGGCTGAGGTGGGAGGATCGCTTGAACCCGGGAGGTGGAGGTTGCAGTGAGCCAAGATGGCAGCACTGCACTCCAGTCTGGGCAACAGAACGAGACCCAGTCTCCAAAAATAAATAAATAAATAAATAATATTGAAAGCCAAGCCACAGACTGGGGAAAATATTCATAGAATACATATTTGACAAAGCACTGCTATACAGAAAATATAAAGAACCTGAAAAATCAGTAATACTAAGACAAATGGCCCAACTTAAAATGGGCAATTTGAGTAGACACTTCCTAAAAGAAAATAAACAAATGAACAATAAGCACATGAAAAAGTGACCAAGGTCATTAGTCACTAGAGAAATACATATTAAAACCGCAATGAGATACCACTACACACCTATTAAAATGACTTGACCACCCCAAATGGTGAGGATGTAAAGCAACAGGAACTCTCAAACCCTATTGGTGAAAATGTATAATTGTATAACTACTCTGGAAAAAGATCTGGCAGTTTCTTATAAAACTAAACAGTTACTATGCTATGACCCAGCAAGTCCATTCCTAGGTATTTACCCAAAAGAAATGAAAATATTTGTCTGTCCAGGCACGGTGGCTCATGCCTGTAATCCCAGCACTTTGGGAGGCCAAGGCAGGTGGATCACGAGGTCAGGAGTTCAAGACTGGCCTGTCCAATATGGTGAAACCCTATCTCTACTAAAAAATACAAAAATTACCCGGACGTGGTGGCGCATGCCTGTAATCCCACCTACTCGGGAGGCTGAGGCAGGAGAATCACTTGAACCCAGGAGGCAGAGGTTGCAGTGAGCCGAGATCACACCATTGCCCTCCAGCCTCTCCAGCCTGGGTGACAGAGTGAGACTCTGTTTCAAAAAAAAAAAAAAAGGAAAGAAAAGAAAAGATTTCTCTACACAAAGGCTTGAATATGAATGCTCAATGAAGCTTTATTCATAACACCTAAGCCCAGGAAAAAACTCAGGTGTCCATCAATAGGAGAATGGGTAAACAAGCTCTCATACATTCATACTGTAGGGGAGGCAAAATTTTACTTCTACCTTCTTTGGATCTCCAGCAGGGCCTGAGAATTAATTTGGCATAAGACAGATGAGCAAGAGAAAAGCATACAAATTTATTCAATATAAGTTTTCTATAATACAGGTGACCTCATAATAAGGAAATGAAGACCCAAAGAACTGGCAAAACTTGGCCGGGTGTGGTAGCTCACGCCTGTAATCCCAGCACTTTGGGAGGCCAAGGCAGATGGATCACTTGAGGTCAGGAGTTCGAGACCAGCCTGACCAACATGGTGAAACCTCATCTCTACTAAAAAAAAAAAAAAAAAAAAAAAAATTAGCTGGGCATGGTGGTGGGCACCTGTAATCCCACCTACTCAGGAGGCTGAGGCAGAAGACTCGCTTGAACCCGGGAGGTGGAGGTTGCAGTGAGCTGAGATCCTGCCCTTGCACTCCAGCCTGGTTGACAAGAGCGAAACTCCGTCTAAAAAAAAAAAAAAAAGAATTGGCAAAACCAAAATGCTTTTATACTGAGTTCAACAGAGAGGCAACTGTGGAAAAGTAACTAAAATATATGAGAAGATTAAAGAAGATCAGTTTGTACAGAATTCTCTCAGTCTCAACTGCCCATCCTTGATAAGAATGTTTCTATTCTCTTGATACAAAGAAGGCCGTGCTCGCTTAATAATTTTATCTCGTATTTTTTAAAAAGAAAAGGGGGATCAGAGTGTCCTTCTTGCGTCTGCTGTTTTTCAAGTGCCTTTAACCCCAAATAGTCAATATGGCATGGTGACATATTTTAGGGTGACATGTTCGGAATTCCTTCAATACAATGGAATACTACACAGAGGGAATGAATTGCTGATAGATACCATAACATGAAGAATCTCAAAATCATAATGCTCAGTGGAAGAAGCCTTACATAAAAGACTACATACTGTATGATTACATTTACACGAAATTCCAGAATGACCAAAGTAATCTATAGACGAAAAAAACAGAACAGTGGTTGCCTCTGGTAGATGGGATGGGACAATGCTTGGGAAAGAACACGAGGAAATTTTCATCGGTGATGGAATTGTTCTATATCTTCATAGGGCTTTTGATCATATGACATTTTTCAAAACTCAGTGAATATGCTCTTAAAATTTGTGTCTCTTGTTATAGGTAAATTTTATATAGAAGAAAAACTATAAACAAATTTTTCAACTCTTATTAACTATTTGCCTGCTGAAGTATTTAGGGAGATGAGTACTGATGTTAACAATTTACTTTAAATGCATTAAAATAAGATAGACTAATGGATGGATAGAAGGATAGAAAAATAAATAGATTAGTAAGAAAACAAATGTAGTGAAATGTGAATGCTAAAATCTAGATAATTTTATGAATGTTTGCTATAAAACTCAATGTTGCCATTATGTTTAAAAATTAAACGAAAATTTTCGGCCAGGCACGGTGGCTCGCGCCTGTAATCCCAGCACTTTAGGAGGCCGAGGTGGGCGGATCACCTGAGGTTGAGAGTTTGAGACCAGCCTGACCAACACGGAGAAACCCGTCTCTACTAAAAATACAAAATTAGCCGTGCATGGTGGCATATGCTTGTAATCCCAGCTACTCGGGAGGCTGAGGCAGGAGAATTGCTTGAACCCGGGAGGCGGAGGTTGTGGTGAGCGGAGATGGTGCCATTGCACTCTAGCCTGGGCAACAAGAGTGAAACTCTGTCTCAAAAAAACAAGCAAGCAAACAAACAAACAAAAAATTAAATGAAAATTTTCATAATAAGACCAGGCATGGTGACTTATGCCTGTAATTACAGCACTTTGGGAGGCCAAGATGGGAGGATTGCTTAAGGTCAGCAGTTTCAGACCAGCCTGGGCAACATAGCAAGACCCTGTCTCCATTTTTTATTAAAATTTTTTTTCATAATAAAATGTTAAGAAAAAAGTAAAAAAATTCAAAAATAATATGTAGTAAAAAGTAAAGTCCCCCTTTCACTACTCACCCCAACCAGTCCCCCTTTCCAGAAGCAACTACTACTAACAGTTTGGTAGATATTGCTTCAAATCCTTTTCTTTAAATTTGCATATATGTATATGTTGAAATATATAGTGATCTTTTAAAAACATAAATGGGGGGCCAGGGGCGGTGGCCCACACCTGTAATCCCAGCACTTTGGGAGGCCGAGGTGGGCAGATCTCCTGAGGTCGGGAGTTCGAGACCAGCCTGACCAACATAGAGAAACCCTGTCTCTAACAAAAATACAAAAATTAGCCAGGCGTGGTGGCGCATGCCTGTGGTTCCAGCTACTCGGGAGGCTGAGGCAGGAGAATCCCTTGAACCTGGGAGGCAGAGGTTGCAGTGAGCCGAGATTGCGCCATTGCACTCCAGCCTGGGCAACAAGAGTGAAACTCCGTCTCAAAAACAAATAAACAGGATTATACTATTCACATATTAAGTAACTTGCTTTATTTACTTGACATTTTGTCTTGGAGTTTGTTTCATGCCAGCACATCTACATTGGCTTCTTTGTCTTTAACTTCTGCTTGCTACCCTATTCCCAATAGAAATGTAGGTTGCTTAAAGTTTTTTTGCTATTAAAAATTACTCTTCAAAAAGGCTGGGCCAAATTACCTACAAAATGACTATTTTTTAATATTGTGTGTATCAATGCCTGATTCCCCACACTTTTGCCAACACTAGATACTATCGATCTTTTTCATTTTTGTCTACGTGATGGGTGAAAAACGTTTTGCATTTTCCTGAGAGTTGGTGAGATTGAGAGTCTTTTAATGCTTTATTGGCCATGTATGACTTTTCTTTTGTGAATTGCCTTTTCATATTCTTTGCCCTCTTCTCTATTGGATTTGACTTTTTCTCATTGATTATATATTCTGGATAAAATCACTTGTCAGGTATCATGTTGAAAATATAAAAATGTCTCTAGTTTGTGGCTCGTGTTTTTGTCCTTTCATTAACAAAAGTTTTTAATTTAAATTTATTCAAATGTATAAGCCTTTCTTTATGGTTTGCACTACTATGTCTTATTTAAGAAACTTCCCAATATCACAAGATTATAAAAATATTCTCTTATTATTATCTCCTAAAAAGTTTCCTAGCTTTTTTTCCTTTTCTTTTTCTTTCTTTCTTTCTTTCTTTTTTTTTTTTTGAGATGGAGTCTCGCTCCAGGCCGGAGTGCAGCGGAGCAATCTCGGATCTGCTTCCCGGGTTCAAACAATTCTCCTACCTCAGCCTCCTGAGTAGCTGCGATTACAGGTGCATGCCACCACACCCAGCTAATTTTTGTATTTTTAGTAGAGATGGGGTTTCACCATGTTGGCCAGGCTAATCTCAAACTCCTGACCTCAGGTGATCCACCCACCTCAGCCTCCCAAAGTGCTGAGATTACAGGCATGAGCCACCACACCTGGCCCCCAGATATTTTTTCTAGGCTGACCTATAACCTGTATAGTTAAAAAAACAGGATGACATCCTGCATACTGCTTTATAACTTGTTTTGTCATTTAGCTATATATTTTGAACATCTTTTCATTTGAATAAATGTATCAGTAGTGTTGTGGGCAGGGTTTCCCAGGAAACAGACTCTGAGACAGAGATTTGTGTGCAGGAAGTTTATCAGGGAATGCTTTCAGGATCAACATGTATGGGGGAAGGGAATGAGGTAGGATTAGACAGGAGGAGAAGTTAGACTGTGGTGCAGTATCAACAAGGGCTCCGGCTTTGTTGCTTAGAGGCCCTGCAATGCTGTCACAAATTGAAGAAAGAAGGCTGGGCCTTTATATACCCGTGTCGTTTGATGTGAGCTGCCCCTGGGAAGGGGTGGGGGTGACATTGAGCAAGGCAGCTGACTTCAACTGAATTCAATTCCCAGAGGCAGATGAAGCCTGTAGCACTCCCAGTAGCTGGGAGTCCTGAAGTGGGATCTGAGCCCTGCAGTACAGAATCCACCATAGTTAGGGACACTATTGACTTCAACCAGCAGAAAACCCAACCACCCCTTGTTTCATAAATAGAAGTTAGTCTCAGTTAACAAGCCCTCAGTAGGTGATTGCTAGCATCAATGCTATCTATCCCTTTTATTAGGAAAACAAAAACTTTCTGAGAAATACTCGGTAGATTTACCTTTACGTTTCATTGGCCATAACTAAAATGTCCATCCCTAGGTGCAAGGGAGGCTGCGAAAGTAGTATCAGAATTGTCAGGATTTTGTGCCTGGAGCAGTGAACATTGCTGCCCTGAACAGTGTCCAGATTGTTAGTATAGAAGAAGAGCATAAAGGGTATTAGACATGCAACTAACAAAATAGACTTGTACAAAATTAGTTTGAATAGTTGCATATGGATTTAACTTACTAAAACAGTCTCCATATTGCTGGACACTCGGTAGTTTCCAACTTTTTGCTACTATCCACCGTACTGCAATAAACACCCTAGATATTTTTCTCTGCCCATTATTCGTTGGGGATGAAATTGTAAACATATAATTGATAACAACAAAAAAACCAGGGGAATGGATCTTTGAAATAATTTTGATGCAGATTACCAAGAAGTACCTTTGAAAGTCCCTACAAATTCATGTTTTCTCCTGCATTAAAAAAAATTTTTGTTTTTGAGATGGAGTCTTGCTCTGTCGCCCAGGCTGGAGTACAGTGGTGAGATCTCTGCTCGCTGCAACCTCCACCTTCCGGTTTCAAGCGATTCTCCTGCCTCAGCCTCCTGAGTAGCTGTGATTACAGGTGCGCACCACCACGCCTGGCTAATTTTTGTATTTTAGAGATGGGGTTTCACCATGTTGGTAAGGCTGGTCTCAAACTCGTGACCTCGTGATCCCCCTGCCTCAGCCTCCCGAAGTGTTGGGATTACAGGCATGAGCCACCATGTCCGGCAGTCTGGCAGTGAGTTAAGAGGTCTATTTTTCCTCACCACATCCTCACTGTAGTCCCAGCTACTCAGAGGCTGAGGCAGGAGGATAACTTTAGCCCAGGAATTGGAGGCTGCAGTGAGCTATGACCACACCACTGCATTCTAGATTGGGCAACAAAAGTGAGACCCTGACTAAAAAAAAAAAAAAAAAAAAAAAAAAGTATCTTTTTTTTGTTTGTTTTTTGAGACGGAGTCTCACTCTGTTGCCCAGGCTGGAGTGCCGTGGCATGGTCTCAGCTCACTGCAAGCTCCACTTCCCGGGTTCAAGCAGTTCTCTACCTGAGCCTCCCGAGTAGCTGGGATTACAGGCGCCCGCCACCATGCCCGGCTAATTTTTTGTTTGTTTGTTTGTTTTCGCTTTTGTTTTTAGTAGAGATGGGGTTTCACCATCTTGGCCAGGCTGGTCTTGAACTCCTGACCTCGTGATCCACTTGCCTTGGCCTCCCAAATTGCTGGGATTGCAGGCATGAGCCACCTTGCCCGGCCAAAAGTATCTGTTTTAAATCTCATTTTGTGTAGACTTTTACTGTCCATATTTGCTAATTTTTGCACTGTAGTTGAAAAATGTGCTCCAGACTGTTTTGGCTCTTTGGAAAGTATTGAAATACAGTAGATGTCTTTGTTCTTGTGCTGTGAGTGATAATTCCAACAGGTCTGAGTTGCTTTGCTGGTCAAGGCAAGAAACATACAAATTAATAATGTTTCCTGGCCGAGCGCAGTGGCTCACGCCTGTAATCCCAGCACTTTGGGAGGCTGAAGCGGGCGGATCACCTGAGGTTGGGAGTTCAAGACCAGCCTGACCAACACGGAGAGACCCCGTCTCTACTTAAAAAAATACAAAATTAGCCGGGCGTGGTGGCATGTGCCCGTAATCCCAGCTACTCCGCAGGCTGAGGCAGGAGAATCGCTTGAACCCAGGAGGCAGAGGTTGCAGTGAGCTGAGATCGTGCCATTGCGCTCCAGCCTGGGCAACAAGAGCGAAACTCCGTCTCAAAAAAATAAATAATTAATTAATTAAAAATAATAATAATTTTCCCTTTTAGCTAGGAACCTCACAGGCTGGAAACATACAAATTAATAATGCTTCCTTTTAGCTAGGAACCTCGTCAAACATACAAATTAATAATGTTTCCTTTTAGCTAGGAACCTCACAGGCGGGATGGGGGTGGGGGGCGGGGGCCCACGGCAGAAAGATTTTCAGAGCATTTTGACCCAGTTTGATAGAATTGTTTATTGATAGCAATTAGGTTAGCCGGCGCGATGGCTCACACGTATAATCCCAGCCCTTTGGGAGACTGAGGCGGGCAGATCACCTGAGGTTAGGAGTTACAGACCAGCCTGGCCAGCATGGCGAAACCTTGTCTCTAGTGAAAATACAAAAATTAGCCGGGTGTGGTGGTGGGAAACTGTAATCCTAGCTACTTGGGAGGTTGAGGCAGAAGAATCACTTGAGTGTAAGAGGTGGAGGCTGCAGTGAGGTTGCAATGAGCCGAGATCTGCCACTGCACTCCAGCCTGGGCTTCAAGGTGGGACTCTGTCTCAAAACAACAACAACAACAACAACAACCAAAGAAAAAAAAAAACGACCAGGCGCAGTGGCTCATGCCTGTAATCCCAACACTTTGGGAGTCCAAGGCAGGCGGATCACGCAGTCAGGAGTTTGAGACCAGCCTGGCCAACATAGTGAAACCCCGTCTCTACTAAAAATACAAAAAATTAGCTAGACATGGTGGCATGTGCCTGTAGTCCCAGCTACTTGGGAGGCTGAGGCAGGAGAATCACTTGAACCCAGGAGGCGGAGGTTGCAGCTAGTGGAGATCGAGCCACTGCTATAGCCAAGATAAAATTATAATGCTACAAATCCAACAAAATAACTTGAATATTTCACTCTCTCTAAATATATGAATATATTATACTAAAAATGTTTGGAATAATTTTTAGTGAATATTATATGGAATATAATAAAAATCATTGATGCACTTTATCATTTTTGTACACATTATAGTCTTCATGGAAATGTAAGTACTAAATATTTACTAGCTCAGAAAAATTCTATAAGTCCACATGCAGTTCAGGTTAAATATATAGAAAAATTAAATAGTCAAAAATGGTATTTGAAATATATATAATACAGTTTTTAAAGTAACAAATTATCACTTGTTACTTTAAAGTAAACTAACTTAGTAGTAAGAATGATGTGAAAATATATGGACACTACAGAAATCCACTTAGGTATATCTGTTAAAATAGTGAAGATTAAAAAGAATTAGGCTACCGAATGCAGATCACAATACATAGAAAATGAACACTCTCTGCACAGTAGGTGGAAACATAATGCAGTATAACTCTTTTGTGAACCAATTTAGCAACACAAAAGCAGAACATGAAACTTTCCATATCTTTGACTTAACAAATCTCTATCTGTGTGTCTAGCACCCTAAGATAAACCTACATCCAGCAAAACCTTTATACAGAAAGATATTCATTGCGGCGTTATTTATGATGACGAAAATTATAAGTAACTAATGTCCAAAAATTGGAGAACAATTGATAAATGATGAAGCCA
This sequence comes from Homo sapiens, assembly GCF_000001405.40. Classification (NCBI taxonomy): domain Eukaryota; kingdom Metazoa; phylum Chordata; class Mammalia; order Primates; family Hominidae; genus Homo; species Homo sapiens. The sequence goes on from NC_000023.11 coordinate 41,059,654, forward strand.
TTACAACATTATGTAAACTACAGGATCACTATATAATGGAGTTGAATGAAGGTATAAAATAGAATAAAGATGTCTAAGGTTGCCATTAGGTGGTCTGTTGGACACGGCATTAATTGAAGAAAGCAAGGTGCTGAAAAGGTGTATAGTAAGTTATCTTTTGGAACTACAGATATATGTACATATTTTCTGATATTTTTCCAAACAAAACAATGGAAAAATAAAGCAGGTAGTAACAAAAGTGGTTTCCTAAAGGTGGAGGTAAGCAATGTGGAACACACAAAGGTGAAAGCTAGAACTCTCTGAATGTATCTTGCTTTATATTTTTGCTTTGTGTAAAAGATGGCCCCCAAGAATCCCCACGTTGTGGTATTTACACCCTTGTGATGTCCCCTCTGACACTGTACCAGGGTTGATCTGTGAGACCAGTAGAATTTGGCAGAAGTTACATCTGTTTTGTGTGTGGGGAAAAAAAACAAAAAAACAGAATTTGGCAGAAGTGATGGTATAAAAATTTCCAAGATGAGATTCTAAAAGACAATGTAGCTTCCTTTTTACCCCGTTTCTCTCTCTTGGATCACTTGTTCTGGGGGAACCAGTTGCCTTGTAGAGCAGTCCCATGTGGCGAGGATCCAAAGACCAACAAAGCCATGTGACCGAGCCCTGGCGGAAGCAGATCCTCTGGCGTTAGTCGAGCCTTACCACATCCCTGGCTGACATCTTGACTGCATTTCAGGAGGAGACCCTGAGCCAGGGCCACCCAGCTAAGCCACACCGGATCCCTGATCCACAGAAACTGTGAGAAAATAAAAGTTGGTTATTTTAAGCCGCTAAGTTTGGTATAATTTGTTATGCACTAATAGATGTTAGAACAGTAAGATTGTTGTAAATAATTTAACAACTGGGCCAGGCGCAATGGCTCACGCCTGTAATCCGAGCACTTTGGGAGGTCAAGGCGGGTGTATCGCCTGAGGTCAGGAGTTTGAGACCAGCCTGGCCAACATGGTGAAACCCCGTCTCTACAAAAAAACACAAAAAAATTAGCCGGCCTTGGTGGCGTGTGCCTGTAATATCAGCTACTCAGGAGGCTGAGGCAGGAGAATCACTTGAACCCGGGAGGCGGAGGTTGCAGTAAGCCGAGATCGCGCCACTGCACTCCAGCCTGGGCGACAGAGAGAGACTCTGTCTCAAAAAATAATAATAATGTAACAACTGAATATAATCCAAAAGAAAAGAGGCAGTCATTAAAAATTGAAGACAAACTGAAACAAATTGAACCTGATTGTATATCAAGTTGGTGGCAAAACTACACATATAATAATGATTTCAAGAGATTCATGAACACAATATTTTCCCTGTACATCCTTAGTGGGCTGGATCCTAAGGACTAAAATAACTGCGAATAAATCTTAAATGGCATTTGGTGATCTAACTGTTAGTAATAACATTGGTATTGTTATGCTGAAACTATTTTATCTATATAGGGGAAGAAAGCAAATAGGTCATTATGTTAATATCATTAGGAACCAAGATTTTACACATGAGAGAAGAGATGCAAACACAAAATCAAAGAAATTAAGTAAAAACCCTTTAATCTTTAATTGAGGTTAGAAATAGCAGTATTTATTCATAATTTATTTTAATTTTGAAAAAAAAATTTCTTAGCTTTGTGCACTGAAAAGACCTGAAAGAAATGACAGCATGATAGCAATAAAGACCCAGCATCCATATCATAGTGAGTAAATATAATTTAAAACAAACAAACAAGCAGAACTCCTTAGGGAAGTGGCTAATTCCAATTCCCAGGTAGGAAATGTAAAAGATGAACTTGGAATTACTAGAAGTTAAGGGAGAAATTACAGATTCCAAGGGTTGTATGACAGTACTAAGGAGCCGACTTTTTAAGGTCCCCCACTGGTACAAGATGGATAATTTGAGCATCAAAAAGCATAATGAGGCCGGGCACGGTTGCTCACACCTGTAATCCCAGCACTTTGGGAGGCCAAGGCAGGCAGACCACTTGAGGTCTTGGGTTCCAGACCAGCCTGGCCAACATTGTGAAACCCCATCTCTACTAAAAATACAAAAATTAGCCGGCCATGGTGGTGTGTGCCTGTAATCCCAGCTACTCGAGAGGCTGAGGCAGGAGAATCGCTTGAACCCGGGAAGCAGAGGTTGCAGAGATTGAAGGTCGCACCACTGCACTCCAGCCTGGGTGACAGAGAGAGACTCTGTCACACACACACACAAAAATGACAGAATTGGAGCATCAGCTTTTATGAAGGATAGTCTAGGTTATGGAAATGCTTTATGTCTTGATGTAAATGGTGGTCACATAGTTGTACAACATGTAAATATTCATCAAGCTGTTCACTTAATATTCATACATTATATTTTAGGTAGTTTAATTTAACCTTAATTTAATAATTTTACCTCAATTTTAAAATTACACTTCAATTTTTAAAAATCTCCATTGTGGGGCTGGGCACGGTGGCTCACTCCTGTAATCCCAGCACTTTGGGAGGCTGAGGTGGGCGGATCATGAGGTCAAGAGTTCGAGACCAGCCTCAAAAAAAAAAAAAAACCTGGCTACCAAATGCAGATCACAACACAGAGAAAATGAACACTCTTTGCATAGTAGGTGGAAACGTAATGCAGTATAACTCTTTTGTGAACCAATTTAGCAATGCATAAGCAGAACATAAAAATTTTCGGCCAGGCGCAGTGGCTCACGCCTGTAATCCCAGCACTTTAGGAGGCCGAGGTGGGTGGATCACGAAGTCAGGAGTTCGAGACCAGCCTGGCCAGGATGGTGAAACCCCGTCTCTACTAAAAATACAAAAAATTAGCTGGGCATTGTGGTGAGTGCCTGTAATCCAGCTACTCAGGAGACTGAGTCAGGAGAATCTCTTCAACCCAGGAGGCAGAGATTGCAGTGAGCCGAAGTCGTGCCACTGCACTCCAGCCTGGGCGATAGAGCGAGACTCTGTCTCAAAAAAAAAAAAAAATTCATATCTTTGACTTAATAAATCTGTATCTGTGAGTCTAGTAGTCTAAGATAATTCCACATCCAGCAAAACCTTTATACAGAAAGATATTCATTGCAGCATTGTTTATGATGATGAAAATTATAAGCAACTATGTCCAAAAATTGGAGAAAAATTGATAAATGATGAAGCCATTACAACATTATGTAAACTACAGGATCGCTATATAATGGAGTTGAATGAAGGTATAAAATAGAATAAAGATGTCTATAGGTTGCCATTAGGTGGTCCTTTGGACACGGCATTAATTGAAGAAAGCAAGGTGCTGAAAAGGTGTATAGTAAGTTAATTTTGGAACTACAGATATATGTACATATTTTTTGATATTTTTCCAAACAAAACAATGGAAAAATAAAGCAGGTAGTAACAAAAGTGGTTTCCTAAAGGTGGAGGTAAGCAATGTGGAACACACAAAGGTGAAAGCTAGAACTCTCTGAATGTATCTTGCTTTATATTTTTGCTTTGTGTAAAAGATGGCCCCCAAGAATCCCCACGTTGTGGTATTTACACCCTTGTGATGTCCCCTCTGACACTGTACCAGGGTTGATCTGTGAGACCAGTAGAATTTGGCAGACGTTACATCCGTTTTGTGTGTGGAAAAACAAAAAAACAGAATTTGGCAGAAGTGATGGTATAAAAATTTCCAAGATGAGATTCTAAAAGACAGTGTAGCTTCCTTTTTACCCTGTTTCTCTCTCTTGGATCACTTGTTCTGGGGGAACCAGTTGCCTTGTAGAGCAGTCCCATGTGGCGAGGATCCAAAGCCCAGCAAAGCCATGTGACCGAGCCCTGGCAGAAGCAGATCCTCCGGCGTTAGTCGAGCCTTACCACATCCCTGGCTGACATCTTGACTGCATTTCAGGAGGAGACCCTGAGCCAGGGCCACCCAGCTAAGCCACACCGGATCCCTGATCCACAGAAACTGTGAGATAATAAAAGTTGGTTATTTTAAGCCGCTAAGTTTGGTATAATTTGTTATGCACCAATAGGTCACTAATAGATGTTAGAACAGCAAGATTGTTGTAAATACACACCCACATATATATATATATTATATATATATTGAAATGGAGTCTCACTCTGTCACCCAGGCTGGAGTGCAGTGGCACGATCTTGGCTCACTGCAACCTCCGCCTCCCAGGTTCAAGCAATTCTCCAGTCTCAGCCTCCCGATTAGCTGGAATTACAGGCATGCCCCACCACACCCGGCTAATTTTTATATTTTTAGTAGAGATGGGGTTTCACCATGTTAGTCAGGCTGGTCTCTAACTCCTGACCTCATGATCCGCCCACCTCAGCCTCCCAAAGTGCTAGGATTACGGGCGTGAGCACCACTGCGCCCAGCCAAGTTGTAAATAATTTAACAACTGAATATAATCAAAAAGAAAACTAGAGGCAGTCGTTAAAAATTGAAGACAAACTGAAACAAATTGAACCTGATTATATATCAAGTTGGTGGCAAAACTATGCATATAATAATGATTTCAAGTGATTCATGAACAAAGTATTTTTCTTCTACTTTGTGGGCTGGATCCTAAGGACTAAAATAACTGCGAATAAATCTTAAAAGGCATTCGGTGATCTAACTGTTAGTAATAACATTGATATTGTTATCCTGAAACTATTCTATCTATCCAGTGGAATAAATCAAGTAAGTCATTATGTTAATATCATTAGGAACCAAGATTTTACACATGAGAGAAGAGATGCAAACACAAAATCAAAGAAATTAAGTAAAAACCCTTTAATCTTTAATTTAGATTAGAAATAGCAGTATTTATTCATAATTTATTTTTATTTTGAAAAAAAATTCTTAGCTCTGTGCACTGAAAAGATCTGAAAAGAAATGATAGCAATAAAGACCCAGCATCCAGATTATAGTGAGTAAATATAATTTAAAACAAACAAATATGCAGAACTCCTTAGGGAAGTGGCTAGTTCCAATTCCGAGGCTGGAAATGTAAAAGATGAACTTGGAATATCCTATCTTACCAGAAATTAAGAAAAATTAAGGACTCCAAGGGTTGTATGACAAGATGGAACAATTTGAGCATCAAAAAGCATAATGACTGCAAAGTACTGTAATATTTACACATCAAGTATTTTAAAACTCCATGAGTTCATAATGACATCAATAATCAATAAATAAAACCTCACTGGTTACCTTTTGGAGGCTGCTGGAACATCAACTCACTAATTGTATAATAGGCAAATAAAGGAAAAGAATCACATTTATTTTGTTTTTCTGGGCAAACTATATTCAAGAGCATCCAGAAATGATAGGAAAGTTCTTCATTATGAACTAATTCAAGTTCGTAAAAAAATGACAGAATTGGAAAATCACCTTTTATGAAGGATAGTCTGGGTTATGGAAATGTTTTATGTCTTCATATAAGTGGTGGTTACATGGTTGTGTAAATATGAATATGTAAATATTCATCAAGCTGTTCACTGGATGTTTGTTCATTATATTTTAAGTAGTTTAACCTTAATTTAATAATTTTGGCTGGGCACAGTGGCTCACGCCTGTAATCCCAGCACTTTGGGAGGCTGAGGTGGGCGGATTTCCTGAGGTCGGGAGTTCGAGACCAGCCTGACCAACACGGAGAAACCCTGTCTCTATTAAAAATACAAAATTAGCCAGGCGTAGTGGTGCATGCCTGTAATCCCAGCTACTCGGGAGGCTGAGGCAGGAGAATCACTTGAACCCGGTGGCAGAGGTTGCAGTGAGCCAAGATTGTGCCATTGCACTCCAGTCTGGGCAACAAGAGCAAAACTCCATCTCAAAAAAAAAATTTAAAAAAAAATAATAATTTTACCTCAATTTTCAAATTACACTTGAATTATAAAAAAATTTCCATTGTGGCCAGGCCCAGTGGCTCACGCCTGTAATCCCAGTACTTTGGGAAGCCGAGGGAGACAGCTCACTTGAGGCCAAGAGTTTGAGAGAAGCCTGGCCAACATGGTGAAACCTTGTCTCTACTAAAAATACAAAAATTAGCCAGGCATGGTGGTGCGTGCCTGTAATCCCAGCTACTCGGGAGGCTGAGGCACAGAATCTCTCTATCCTGGGAGGTGGAGGTTGCAGTGAGCTGAGATCGCACCACTGCATCCAAGCCTCGGTGATAGAGTGAGACTCCATCTCAAAAAAATAAAGAAAATTAAAAAATCTCCATTGTGGCCAGGTAAGGTGGCTCACGCCTGTAATCCCAGCACTTTGGGAGGCTGAAGTGGGCGGATCACCTGAGGTCAGGTGTTCGAGACCAGCCTAGGCAGCATGGTGAAGCCCTGTTTCTACTAAAAATACAAAATTAGCTGGGCATGGTGGTGCGTGCCTGTAGTCCCAGCTACTCGGGAGGCTGAGGCAGGAAAATTGCTTGAACCCTGGAGGTAGAGGTTGCAGTGAGCCAAGATCGTGCCACTGCACTCCAGCCTGAGCAACAGATTGAGGCTCCGTCTCAAAATTAATTAATTAATTAATTAATTTAAAAAAAAAGGTCAGGCGTGGTGGCTCACGCCTGTAATCCCAGCACTTTGGGAGGCCGAGGCAGGCGGATCACCTGAGATCGGGAGTTCGAGACCAGACTGGCCAACATGGTGAAACCCCATCTCTACTAAAAATACAAAAATTAGCTGGGTGTGGTGGGGCATGCCTGTAATTCCAGCTACTCGGGAGGCTGAGACTGGAGAATCGCTTGAACCCAGGAGGTGGAGGTTGCAGTGAGCCTCTGCACCACTGCACTCTGTCTTGGGTGACAGAGTGAGACTCCATCTCAAACAACAACAACTATAACAACAAAAAAAACAAGTGTTCTCTAACCAGGCATGATGGTACATGCTTATAGTCTCAGCTACCTGGGAGGCTGAAGTGGGTGAATTGCTTAAGGCAGGGAGTTAAGGCTTTGGTGAGCTGTGATCTCACCTTTGAATAGGCACTGCACTCCAGCCTGAGCAAGAGAGTAATACCGTGTCAGTAAAAAAAAGAGAGAAAAATGTATACCTGGAGAGCACTAATGCCCTTCTCTTACTACAGACTTCCAATAGCTGCCTTAGCCTATATTTCCATGTGGCACTGCCCTGTACTGATTTAGCAGAAGATAACATGTGGGGAGAGCTGTTCATCCCAACCACCCACAGACCACCGCATATCTTCTGCAGACCCCTACAGTCCAGGGGGCCACCAGGGCAGAACTATTGCAATCCTGCAGGAAAAACCAACACCCTAACCAAGCCCTTAGAGTGGCAGCAGTGTCTGTGGTATCCAGCTGAGAGTAGAGTCTTACAGAGACTGTTGCAGTGGACTTGTTCCTAAGTATGTGTGACAACCCCCAGCAACTCCTGGAAATAATGAGGTGCTTTTTGTGGGGAGTTGAGGTTCTTGCATGAACAGGTGGCAGGGCAATTAGGTTACACCTAGATTTTGTTTTATGGCAACAGTGGACCTGGATGTCTGTGGGAGTGGCAGCTTGCAGGAAGAAAGGTAGACTGTTTCACTTTCCCCTAAATAGGCCTGGGGCTGGGATCCACAGTGATCCACTGGGATCACAGTGTGGGACTGGGATCCACCGGGCCTGGGATCCACAGGAAAAACAGTTTTTTCCTGGCAGAGGAATCAGCAAAGGCAAAGGTGGTAGCATGTTTATTGTTAAAGGAATGGTAAGGAGGCTGGCTGGAACGGAGGGAGTGAGGGGGGGAAAGTAAGAAATGAAGTCAGAGAGATAATGATGGGGATTGGAGACCATGGCAGCCTTCTCTGATCATTTCCTGCCCAAGGGTTGTTTTACACCTCGAAGCATTTGAGAGCAGGCTCTTGGTTTCTTTGGTAATTTAATTCCTTCAAAACCATAGAAGGCTTCAGATCTCTTTGCTTCCAGACAGTTCCATGTGCTGTAATGTAACTATGCCCAATGTTCTTTCCTAGACATAGTGGTAAAGTCTCCTTTTTGCAGTGTTTGTTTCTTGGTCCTGTGCTTCTTTCTCTTTCAAATTAATGTTGGCTACCTCGATGTCATCTCAAGCAACAGGCTTAGGTGAGGGCACCACCACCCTTAATCTAATTTTTGCTTTAGGGCAGGGTCCCTCTAAGTGAGGGGTCTTTATGGACTATTGTGTCAAGGGGTCAAAAGCTCACAAGATAGGGACATGAAACTGCCTTGCAGCAGTTCCTTGCCCTTATCTCCCCTTGTTCCAGGAAGAATCGGGGGGCATTCTGCCAACACTCAGGTCAGACTGCAGCCAAGCCTCGCTTGTGTGGCCTACATGAAGATGTGCAGCGTCACCAGCATATCATGACAAAGTCTTCCCGTACACTTTGTGACACAAAGTCTTTTTCGGTCTCCTCTCTTCTTATTTGGGATATAGAAGTTGTGAGCTTTTCTAACCCTGTATCCCCAAATTTCCCAACTCTTTCTTTTTAACTTTTAGGTTCAGGGGTACATGTGCAGGTTTGTTATATAGGTACATTGTATGTCACAGGGGTTTGGTGTACAGATTATTTCACCGCCCAGGTAATAACCAATAGGTAGTTTTTTGATTCCTCCTCTCCTCCCTCTGTCCACCTTCAAGCAGGGCCTGGTGTCTATTGTTCCCTTTTTTATGTCCATGTGGAATCAGTGTTTAGCTCCCACTTATAAGTGAGAACATGAGATATTTGGTTTTCTGTTCCTGTGTTAGTTCACTTAGGATAATGGCCTCCAGCTTCATCCATGTTTCTGGGAAGGACATGATTGTGTTCTTTGTTAATGTTGCATAGTATTCTATGGTATATATGTACCACCTTTTCTTTATCCATTCTACCATACATGGTTGTTTAGGTTAATTCCATATATTTGCTATTGTGAATAGTGCTGCAGTCAACATATGCATGCATGCGTCTTTATGGTAGAATGATTTGTATTTTTCGGGGTATATACCAATAATTGGATTGCTGGGTGGAATGGTAAGTTTGCTTTGAGCTCTTTGAGAAATTGCCATACTGCTTTCCACAGTGGCTGAACTAATCTACATTTTCATCAGCCGTGTATAAGCATTCCTTTTTCTCCACAACCTTTCCAGCATCTGTTGTTTTTTGCCTTTTTAATAATAGCCATTCTGAGTGGTGTGAGATGGCATCTCGTGTTGGTTTTTTTTTTTTTTTTTGACATGGAGTCTCGCTCTGTTGCCCAGGCTAAAGTGCAGTGGCGCGATCTCAGCTCACTGCAACCTCCGCTTCCCGGGTTCAAGCGATTCTCCTGCCTCAGCCTCCTGAGTAGCTGGGATTACAGGCATGTGCCACCATGCCCGGCTAATTTTTGTGTGTGTGTGTATTTTTAGTAGAGACAGGGTTTCACCATGTTGGTCAGGCTGGTCTCGAAATCCTGACCTCGTGATCCGCCCGCCTCAGCCTCCAAAAGTGCTGGGATTATAGGCGTGTGCCACCATGCCCAGCTAATTTTTTTTTTTTTGTATTTTTAGCAGAGACAGGGTTTCACCATGTTGGTCAGGCTGGTTTCGAACTCCTGACCTCGTGATCTGCCCGCCTCAGCCTCCAAAAGTGCTAGGATTACAGGCGTGAGCCACCGCGCCTGGCCGTGGTTTTTTTTAATTTGACTTAAGGGCAGGGGGACTTTGGGGACTTTGGGGTCATTGTGGTTTTGATTTGCATTTCTCTAATAATTAGTGATGTTGAGCCTTTTTTCATGTGCTTGTTGGCCATGTGTATGTTTTTTTAAATTAAATTAAATTAAATTTAATTTGAAGTCCTGGGATACCTGTATAGCATGTGCATGTTTGCTACATAGGTTAACATGTTTCATGGTGGTTTGCTGTACCTATCAACCCATCACGTAGGCATTAAGCCCCACATGCCTTAGCTATTTGTCCTGATGCTCTCTCTCCCCTCACTTCCCTGTGGATGTGTCTATGTCTTGTTTTGAAGAGTGTCTGTTCTTGTCCTTTGCCCATTTTTAAATGGGGTCGTTTGTTTTTTTTTCTAGTTGATTTAAGTTCCTTACAGATTCTGGATATTAGACCTTTGTCGGGTTCATAGGTTGTAAATATTTTCTCCCATTCTATAGGTTGTCTGTTTACTCTGTTGATAAGTTTCTTTTGCTGTGCAGAAGCTCTTTAATTAGGTCCTATTTGTCAATTTTTGTTTTTGTTGCAACTGCTTTTGGCATCTTTGTCATGAAATCTTTGTGAGGTCCTATTCCAGAATGGTATTTCCTGATTATCTTGCAGGATTTTTATAGTCTTAGGTTTTACATTTAAGCCTTTAATCCATCTTGAATTGATTTTTGTGTATGGTGTAAGGAAGGGGTGGAATTTCAGTCTTCTGCATATGGGTAGCCAGTTATCCCAGCACCATTTATTGAATAGGGAGTCCTTTTCCCATTGCTTGTTTTTGTCAACTTTGTTGAAGATCAGATGGTCGTTGGTGTGCGGCATTGTTTTAACTCTTTTTTTTTTTTTCAAGACGAAGTCTTGCTCTGTTGCCCAGGCTGGAGTGCAGTGGCACGATCTTGGCTCACTGCAACCTCCGCCTCCCGGGTTCAAGCAATTCTCCTGCCTCAGCCTCCCAAGTAGCGGGGACTACAGGCATACGCCACCACACCCGGCTAATTTTTGTATTTTTAGTAGAGACAGGGTTTCACCATGTTGGCCAGGCTGGTCTCAAACTCTTGACCTCTTGATCCCCCCACCTCGGCCTCCCAAAGTGTTGGGATTACAGGCATGAGCCACCGTGCTCGGCCTATTTTAACTCTTTATTTTCTTTCATTTCTGCTATTGAACCAGCCGGTTCTTGAGTCAGCTTTTCTCTTCATGTAATACCTTGCTAAATACAGCAAGTAACCATCAATACATACCTAAAATTGCTTTCTATCTTTTTTTCCCTAGAGTTATAGGCCCAGGAGACATTTGATCTGACTTCTAATTTATTACAGGCGACTTTTTAATCAAGAATTTTGCTGCTTTTTAACATGGCTCTCCATGTTGTATCCTCCAATATCAGTTTTGTCACTGCTCACTGGCTCAAATACAACACGTTTTGTTATTGCTCATCTTAAAGTATTATGTGGGTGAACAGGTCAATGGGGCAGCCTTCCTCCATGCAGTCATTCAGAAACCCAGGGTGACAAGAGCTTTGCTACCTTCAGCACATGGCCACCAAGGTCATCCTTGGGGGTCGCATGCAGTCATCCCTACTGCAGCAACCTGTCAGAGGAGAAAAACATATAGGAATATGTTTGTGAGTTTTATAGGAGCAGACTAAAAGTGGCACGAGAAATTTGCTCTCATATTTCATTGCTTATAAAGCAATTTCATCATATGACTATATCTAACTGCAAGGGGAGGCTGGGAAATGTGTGCCCAGGAAGAAGAGGAAAGCATGGATCAGGTGAGGAGCTAGCCATCTCTGCCACGGGTGCTTTGGAATAGTGTATTGGCAATGAGAGTAGTGAGAAGTTGTAGAATTTTAGGTTTATATTGAAGGTAGAGACATCAGAATTTGCTGACTCCAAAGCTTTTGGACTAAATAATCGGAAGAATAAAAATGCCATATACTGATATGGTAAAGACTATTGAGAACTCAGTTTTAGGCATTTAATTTTTGAGATGTCTATTAGCATCCATGTGGAGATGTCAACTAAGCACTTGGATATGCAGGTCTACAATTTAAAGAAATGGTCAGTATTGAAAATGTAAATTTGGGGATCCTTAGTATATGGATGGTATTCAAAGCAGCTGTATACTAAATGCGAAACTATATATAACAATACTGAATTTCATTCACTCTACAAAGTGCAATTTCCTCACATCTTTGAAATTGGAATGCACTTTAGAACACTCAGCCTTCAGTTATGATTGGCAGTGTTTTCTTTCTTTGTTAATGGCACATAAAATAATGATGTATCTACAATTGATGGCACCTCAGATTCAATGAAGCATAGTAATAATGATAAAAATGATAATGATAATATTGAGCACTTAATATTGTGGATGAGACACTGTGCTAAGCCGCTTCTACGATTATCTTTATATGCAGTTGTAATATAGAAAGGCTAAGAACACAGACACTGGGGCCTGACTGGGTGGGGTCTGTCTGAATTTTAGCTCTGTGCTTACTAATCACATGACTCCAGCCAGATGCTTTATCTATGCCATAGTTTTCCTATCTAAAATAAGATGATAATACCACCTAACTTACAGGTTTATTATAAGGATTAAAGGAATTAATACACATATAGTGCCTAGAACGAGGAATTAATACACATATAGTGCCTAGAACAGTGCTTAGCACATAAGTACTGAAATGATTTAATATTATTGTTAAAATATGTGAAAAGCATATGTAGGTCAGGCACGGTGGCTCGTGCCTATAATCCCAGCACTTTGGGAAACCGAGGGGGGCGGATCACTTGAGGTCAGGAGTTGGAGACCAGCCTGGCCAACATGGTGAAACCCCGTCTCTACTGAAAATGCAAAAAAATTAGCCGGGCATGGTGGCGTGCGCCTGTAATCCCAGGTACTCAGGAGGCTGAGGCAGGAGAATCGCTTGAACCTGGGAGGCGGCCACTGCACTCCAGCCTGGGTGACAGCAAGACTCCATCTCAAAATAAATAAATAAATAAATAAAGAGCATATATGTATGCATGTAAAAATTGACTATACTCGTTTTTGTTTTTGTTTGTTTGTTTGTTTAAGACAGAGTCTCCCTGTGTCACCCAGGCTGTAGTGCAGTGGAATGATCTTGGCTCACTGCAGCTTCCTCCTCCCGGGCTGAAGCCATCCTCCCACGTCAGCCTCCCAAGTAGCTGGGACTACAGGCATGAGCCACCATGCCCAGCTAACATCCCTTTACTTTTAATCTATGTCTTTATATTTAAAGTTGGTTTCTGTTAGATGACAAATAGTTGGGTGTTGGGTTTTTTAATCTCTTCTGACAGTTTCTGTCTTGTAATTGGTGTATTTTATAATAATTAGACCATTGATGTTTAAAGTGACTGTTGATACAGTTGGATTAACGTCTACCATGTTTGTTACTGGTTTCTATTCATTATCCTTGTTCTTTGTTTTTTTTGTTGTTGTTGTTGTTTTTGCCTTACACTTTTTTTCTGCCTTCTCTGGTGTTAGCTGAACGTTTTTTTTTGTTGTTGTTGTTTTTCTAAACAGGATTTTGCTTTGTTGTCCAGGCTGGAGTACAGTGGCATGATCTTGGATCACTGCAGCCTCGACCTCCTGGGCTCAAGTGATCCTCCTACCTCAGCTTCCTGAGTAGCTGAGACTACAGACGTGCGCCAGCACACTTGGCTAATTTTTGTATTTTTTTTGGTAGAAAGAGGGGTCCACCATGTTGGCCAGCCTGGTCTCGAACTCCTGGGCTCAAGCAATCTGCCCGCCTTGGCCTCCCAAAGTGCTGGGATTATAAGCGTGAGCAACCGTGCCCGGCCAATTGAACATTTTATATGATTCTAATTTCTCTCCTCTCTTAGCATATCAATTCTACTTCTTTCTTTTCAGAAGTTGCTCTAGAGTTTGCAGTATACATTTACAACTAATCTAAGTCCACTTTCAAATAACACCACCACTTGACAGGTAATACAAGTATCTTATAACAGAATATTCTCAATTCCTCTCTCACACCCCTATAACATTGCTGTCATTCATTTCAGTTATCCATAAGCTATACTGAATATTGCTAATATTGAATCACTGCTATTATTATTTTGAACAAACTGTTATCTATTAGATGTATTAAAAATAAAAATAAAATATTCTATTTTACCTTTATTCCTTCTCTAATCCTCTTCCTTTCTTTTTTTTTTTTTTCCTTTGAGACGGAGTCTCACTCTTGTCACCCAGGCTGGAGTGTAGTGGAGCAATCTCGGCTCACTGGAACCTCCGCCTCCCAGGTTCAAGCAATTCTCCTGCCTCAGCCTCCTGAGTAGCTGGGATTATTGACGCCTGCCACCACACCTGGCTAATTTTTGTATTTTTAGTAGATGGGGGGGTTTCACCATATTGGTCAGGCTGGTCTCGAACTCCTGACTTCAGGTGGTCCACCCACCTCGGCCTCCCAAAGTGCTGGGATTACAGGCGTGAGCCACTGCGCCTGGCCAATTTGAAACTTTTAGTAGCCTGCAGTAGAGTCGTTGGGAGTGCCTCTTTAACTTGGCCCTGGCTCTCTTGATTCTAGAAAGCTCTGTGTGGAAACAGGGCCCTTTCACATGCTTTAGAGAAGCTACTTTAATTACTAAAAATGATTTAGAAGTTTAGCATTTTAGCAGATTTTTCTAAAATATTCCAAACAACTCTGTAATAGAGACTAGATTATAAATAATTCTCTTATAATTTTGTGTATACTGTCGATTTGAATATGCTTTCTTTTTTTTCTTTCCCCCAATGATAGGATAAGCATAAAATTCAAGACAGTTGCTGTCTAGAATATCATGTTCTAATTTAGTGAGATCCAAATTAATGATGTTATAGTAGATGAATTGGTAGCAAATGAGCATATTTGCTTATGGGCTTTAAAAGTGTTTACTTTTTCTGAGATAAGTAGTAATATTTCCAAATTAGAGTAGACTTTGAAGAAACTCTAGCAAAAGGAAGAGTTGGTTGAAAATCTCCCTTTTTACAAGACTTCTAGGCTAGTCAAGAAGAAATAACAGTGCTAAGGCAGAAAGCAGGACAGAACTGAAGCTTCTCCAGGCTGCAGTCATGTAGAGAATTTGACTTGATGTCTGACTTGAATTAGCAAATGGTTGGTCTGGGTGACTGCAGTGCAGTTTTGATTGTGAATATGGCTGGAAAATTTGGAATCCTCTAGACGGTATGTAGATATATATCTGAGATATACCACTGCTAAGGAGCAATGGATTTACTAGAACTAGCATAGGGTCAGGAATGAGGCATAATTAGTGCCACAAACTGGTGATATCTCCTCCTGGGAAAATATGTACTTCTTAGGCCTAGATGAAATAAACATGATTTCGCTAGTAAAAACAAAAGGATCAAATTATTTTGCGCTATGGTGGTTTACATAAAATATATAAGGTACAGCCTTATTTTTTTTTATTTTTATTTTTAAAAGCCCCAAAGATCTAAAAACTCTACAGTAAAAGGAGTGAAATAATACCTAAAACACTGGCTAATAGACTCTGGTGGAATATTAATAGTGATGCCCCCTGGGGTAAGGTAAGGTGGAGATGCAGAGAGGCAGGTTGGCCTGGGGTCAGCTCTGGGGTCCCTCCAGCACTTTTCAGGTCTTACTCCTCAAATCTTTATTTTTATTTTTTATTTTGTTATTGTTGTTGTTTGTTTTCAGATGGAGTTTCGCTCTTTTGCTCTTGTTGCCCAGGCTGGAGTGCAATGGCGTGATCTCGGCTCACTGCAACCTCTGCTCCCTGGGTTCAAGCGATTCTCCTGCCTCAGCCTCCCGAGTAGCTGGGATTACAGGCATGCGCCAACACATCCGGCTAATTTTTGTATTTTTAGTGGAGACAGGGTTTCGCCACATTGGCCAGGTTGGTCTCAAACTCCTGACCTCAGGTGATCCACCCGCCTCTGCCTCCCAAAGTGCTAGGATTACAGGCATGAGCCATTGCGCCCGGCCCTGCTTTTTGTTTTTTTTTTGAGACAAGGCCTGGTTCTGTCGCTCAGGCTGGAGTGCAGTCGTGTGATTTTGGTTCACTACAGCCTCAGCCTCCCCAATAGTTGGGACTACCGGCATGTGCCACCATTCCTGGCTAATTTATTATTATTTTTTATAGTGATGGGGTCTCCCTATGTTGCCCAGACTGGTCTCAAACTCCTGAGCTCAAGTGATCCTCCCACCTCGTCCTTCCAAAGTGGTGGTATTACAGGCCCTGGCTGATCCTTGCTCTCTCAGCGACCCCTCCTCCTTTTTGCTCCTACCCCAGATTTCTTCTTCGGGTTTCCTGCAAAGCCATCCAGTTTGATGCCCAGGCCCTGGGGGCTCAGCTTCCACCACTTGGGCCTCTCAAAGTTCTTTTGAAAATCAGAATAAGAAATATTTCATCTCATTGCGTATCTTTGTTTTATTTGGGTTTTTCTTGGCTTTCTAAATTGCTGGGGGGATTTTAAAAAATCTTTTTGTTTTTTAACTAGAGAAACTAACAAAATATACACAGACTCTCAAATGACACTATGGGTACCTTCATGGCTTTGCCTTTAATTATTTATTATTACCTTATTCCTCTTCACAGGGGCAAACCCATGCTTTATGAAGCCTGATGCTTACACAATTATGGGAGCCTTCTTTGAAAAAAAAATTTCAAAATTACAAATGCAAAATTAGGTACAAAAGGGAATATTTACAATGAGAAATCACCACAAATGGCAAGATTTAAACAGCTGACAAATTAAACAGCGCAAAATCCAGGAAAAAAAAAAAACCATGGTTGATCAAAATTTCTTCTTTTCTTTTCTTTTTTTTTTTTTGAGATGGTGTCTTGCTCTGTCGCCCAGGCTGGAGTGCAGTGGTGCCATCTCAGCTCACTGCAACCTCCGCCTCCCAGGTTCAAGCGATTCTCCTGCCTCAGCCTCCTGCCTCAGCCTCCTGAGTAGCTGGGACTACAGGCACGTGCCACCAGGCCCGGCTAATTTTTTGTATTTTTAGTACAGACGGGGTTTCACCGTTTAGCCAGTATGGTCGCTATCTCCTGACCTCGTGATCCGCCCGCCTCAGCCTCCCAAAGTGCTGGGATTACAGGCGCCATCTCGCCTGGCCTTTTCTTATTAATAATTTAGAAATGTTTATTCAGCTTCACAACTTGTTAGTGATATCAAGTACTTTTTGTTTTGTTTTTTTTGAGATGGAGTCTTGCTCTGTCCCCCAGTCTGGAGTGCAGTGGTACAATCTTGGCTCACTGCAAGCTCAGCCTCCCGGGTTCAAGCGATTCTCCTGCCTCAGCCTCCTGAGTAGCTGGGATTACAGGCGCCCACCACCACGCCCGGCTAATTTTTTTGTGTGTTTTTAGTAGAGATGGGGTTTCACCATGTTGGCCAGGCTGGTCTCGAACTCCTGACCTTGTGATCCGCCCACCTCGGCCTCCCAAAGTGCTGGGATTGCAGGCATGAACCACCGCGCCCGGCCAATATCAAGTACGTTTTTAAGATGATCAACTTTGGTCGTGCGCAGGGCGTGGGGAGGTGCTGAGGGGCCGAGGCCGCGGCCAGTTAGACGCCGTACTGTCCAGAGAGCACTGCGGCGGGAGCCGGCAGTCGGAGCAGCCTTGGAGCAGGAGGAGCAGCAGCAGCAGCAGCCGTCGCCGTTTGCGGAGCGCAGCCGAGCCGGCCATGGCGTTGTCGATGCCGTTGAACGGGCTGAAGGAGGAGGACAAAGAGCCCCTCATTGAGCTCCTCGTCAAAGCTGGCAGTGATGGTGAAAGCATAGGAAACTGCCCCTTTTCCCAGAGGTTCTTCATGATTCGTTGACTCAAAGGAGTTGTATTTAGTGTCACAACTGTTGACCTGAAATGGAAGCCTGCAGACCTACAGAACTTAGCTCCCAGGACCCACCCACCGTTTGTAAGTTTCAACAGTGAAGTCAAAACGGATGTAAGTAAGATTGAGGAATTTCTTGAAGAAGTCTTATGCCCTCCCAAGTACTTAAAGCTTTCACCAAAACACCCAGAATCAAATACTGCTGGAATGGACATCTTTGCCAAATTCTCTGCATTTATCAAGAATTGAAGGCGAGAGGCTAATGAAGCACTGGAGAAGGATCTCCTGAAAACCCTGCAGAAACTGGATAAATATCTGAATTCTCCTCTCCCTGATGAAATTGATGAAAATAGTATAGAGGACATTAAGTTTTCTACACATAAATTTCTGGATGGCAATGAAATGACATTAGCTGATTGCAGCCTGCTCCCCAAACTGCATATTGTCAAGGTGGTGGCCAAAAAATATCACAACTTTGATATTCCAAAAGAGATGACTGGCATCTGGAGATACCTAACTAATGCATATAGTAGGGACGAGTTCATCAATACCTGTCCCAGTGATAAGGAGGTTGAAATAGCATATAGTGATGCCAAAAGACCCACCAAGTAAAATTGCATTTATGAAAGAGATGTCTTCATGTCTTCCCCTAAGAATATGCTTTTCCTAACAGGCTACTCTTCTTCTTATAGAGTAGAAATTGTATTTTGCACGAACATGCAGTTATTGAGGATTAGGATCAAGGGTAGACAAGGTATAGTAGTTATCTTAAAATATACACTCCTTGACCAGGTGCGGTGGCTCGTGCCTGTAATCCCAGCACTTTGGGAGGCCGAGGCGGGCAGATCACCTGAGCAGGAGTTCAAGACCAGCCTGGCCAACATGGTGAAACCCCGTCTCTACTAAAAAAAAAGAAAAAAAAAATTAGCAGGACGCGGTGGTGCGCACCTGTAATCCCAGCTACTTGGGAGGCTGCAGCTGGAGAATCGCTTAAACCTGGGAGGCAGAGGTTGCAGTGAGCCAAGTTCACGCCACTGCACTCCAGCCTGGGAGACAGAGCGAGATTGCATCTCAAAAAAAAAAAAAAAAAATATATACACACACACACACACACACACACACACACACACACACACACACACTCCTAAGCAGTATTATTTTAAAATCCTTTTACCCTGCCTACCTCTGTACCCGTGTTCCCCTCTTTTTAATTTGGAGACACTCCACCACAAACTTTTCACTTTAGAGGTAGCTTGCCATCTTTCAGGAGCCCTCACCATTGTGTCTATTCACTGTGCATAGATGACAGAATTTTGAGGTGCAATGTCTGTTTAAATAGTAGCTACGACTTTATCAGGCAACCCCAAACTGGTGCATAATGCATGGTATAAGGAATATTTATGTATTTTTTGGATTTTTGTAATATTTAGTGCAGGGTGGAGGGCTAACAGAGGAAAGAGCTCCATTCTTCAAACTAGAGTGATGAAAATTCATTCTGAAACTCAAAGTATTTTCTTTTCTTCTTTTTTTTTTTTTTTTTGAGATGGAGTCTCACTCTGTTGCCCAGGCTGGAGTGCAATGGCATGGTCTTGGCTCACTGCAACCTCCTCTTCCCGGGTTCAAGAGATTCTCCTGCCTCAGCCTCTCGAGTAGCTGGGATTACAGGCGCCCACCACCGCGCCCGGCTAATTTTTGTATTTTTAGTAGAGAGGGGGTTTCACCATCCTAGGCAGCCTGATCTTGAACTTGTGACCTTGTAATCCACCCTCCTCGTCCTCCCAAAGTGCTAGGATTACAGGCATGAGCCACTGCGTCTGGCCCAACTCAGAGTATTTTCATTTTGGATATTTATTCTCTTGTTTTTTATTAACCCAGTGATTACACTTGGCCACGTTCGAGGAAGGTATGTCCATTGTAATTTTGATGATCAGAATTGTTTTTTTTGTTGTTGAAAGACAGATACTACTTTATCAGGGACGTTAGTCAAATCAAATGGAAATTGGTAAATGGACAAAAGCTACCTAGTTAAAAGGATGATCTGACAACATGCTTTAATCCCACTGTATGTGGAAAGAGCATAGCTTAAAATCTTGAGAAATTTGGACCATAAAATTTTCATGGTAGACAGTTCGTGCAGTATATAAATTGGCATAATGGAAATAATCTGATTTTATTTTTACAACTAACAAATCATTCCTCTTCATTTAAACACCTTTTGTATTTACTTCAGTGAGGAGATTGGAGTCTGAATGGAAAGTCTTACTGTTTTCCAAGGGATTCTGAGAAAGTTTTGTATTCAACAGTTGGAAAGTTCTCTACTATTCTAGTTGATAAAACTTCCCTTTTTTGATGTAGATGCATATTTTCTATACAGTTCTGTTGTCTTCTTTTACTACGACTGTTAACTTTTGTCATAAAATTCAAATAAGATTTTATTTCTTGGTAATTTTGACTTTCACAATTTATCTTTAAATCCTTGAGCAATCTGTTTACAATTAAGAGATTTCTGACATTTATTCTTACACTAAGTGGATACACTCTAGGATTTAGGCATGTTAACTTTATTTCTGTTGTGTTTTGAATCGCTCCAGAGTTGCATGTAGATAGCATTTATTTCTGTGCACTTAAACCTATTTAGAAAATATCTATGAAGTAAAAATGGAGAGGAAATAGAAATGTATTTTTTCATGAAAATTTTGATGGAAATTTCATCAAGTTTAATGATTCACCAATTTCTTACATTAATTTGAATTAAGCATTTAATTCAAAGAGAGGGGAGCATTCATTATTGATATATTTGGGCTTTTAAAAACTCCATCCTTTATAAATAGTCAAAGTTTGGGCCACACAAATTATATTTTCATCATGGAAAAATTTCAACTTCTCAAGCCATAATGTTGAACAGAATTGGAGTATTTTCTTTAGAATTTCTTGAACAGGCAAATGAAAGCTTATTATAGCATGCACGTATTTTCTTTTCTTTTTGGAACATCAACACCAGTATATTGTTGGCAGCTATTGTATCAAAAAAATAAAGTATACTTTCACTATCATAAAGGATTCTTTCCCCCCCTCATGAAAATAAACAACAACTTGGGGTAAAAAAAAAAAAGATGATCAATGTTGAGACAACTGTCAAGTTTCTTTCATACATGGGCTGCAAGTTTTCAAGACTTTGGTGCAGTTACTAATATGAAATAGTCTTTGAGTTGATAACACTTCTAACTAGCTTATCCTCGATGTTCTCCTTCTAATGTCAGTGGTATTGATTGGTGACTAAGCCCCATGTACCATGACTAAGACCAGGTAGCTGGTCCCCTTTGAGTGGGCAGATACATGGTAGTTTTGCTTTAGATTCCTTTATGTCCCCAGAACTCAGGGATGATCCAAGGCTGGGGCTACTCTTGCTGTCCTTACATCCAAGTCTTTGGCTGGGAATAGGTCAGTTTCAGAGACATTCCCACAGAGCAGGAGGGACAGACTACTTCTAAGCAGGTTGTTAGGCACTGGTGTCTAAAATTTGGTCAAATTTTAGACACCATGAGCAATAGCACATTATCAACTGTGATCATTTAATTATCTCTTGTTCTCCCTAGCTACATTTTCTGCCTGTTGTCATAAAGATTAAGTGGGACCACCTACTTAGATTTTTAGTTATCGTATTTTTATATTAAAAATAGTAACTCATTGTGGACTTTGCTCATTCCATTCAATCACAAAGCCTTCTCTAGGGAACATATTATCAAAGGTCCCTCCTCTTCTATTTTAGTTTGGCCATTAGCCCAGAAAGTATTTCCACAGAACTTTAAAATTTGTACCCCTGAAAATATTAAATAACATCAATTTATCCAGGAAAATTTGTCTATGGTTTAAGATAAGTGTCCTAGTAAACAATGAGTATACTTATCAGATATTTCTGGGGCAGGGGGAGTGGGGAGAGAGAGCAATGAGAAATTTCATGAGGAAATGTAATATAATAAGGTTTTGCCCTAATAAAGCAGAACCAGGAAGTTAAAAAAAATTACAGTTTGAAAACTAAAGGACAGGTGTTAGAAAAGAGAAACCCAAACAAAGGAAGAAGAAAGACCTGGACTATATGGATTTTAATTTAAGGAGTTGCACTGTGATAATAAACCTATTCTTTTAACTCAAAACTGTTTATTTCCTATCCCATTAACTAAGTGGAAGATCTCAAAAGGGGACAGTCCTGTAGGCCAAATCTACCCTGGGAGCCAAGGTGCACCCTCTGGGTAGCTCGAGAGAGCACAAGGCATCAGTTGGTGGTGAGCTTGACTTGAGAGTTGAGACTAAAACAGCTGGTGGGAGAGTAATGTATAGCCTAAACCATATGAAATTGTATGTGGCTGGATTTTCTTTTCTTCATTTTTTTTATTGTAAAATACAGATAACTTAGAATTTACCATTTTAAGAGTACTATTCAGTGGTATTAAGTACATTTGCAATGTTGTGCAACCATCACCACTTTGCATTTCCAGAACGTTTTTCATCATCTCAAACAGAAATTCTGAACCCATAAAACAACTCCCTATTACCCTCCCCCTAGCCCCTGGTAGCCTCTATTCTACTTTCTGTCTCTATGAGTTTGACTACTTTAGGTACCTCATATAAGTGGAACCATACCATATGTGGCCTTTGTGTCTGGCTTCTTTCACTTAGCATAATGTTTTCAAGGTTCATCCATGTTGTAGCATGTATCAGAGTTTCATTCCTTTCTAAGGCTGAATAATATTTCATTGTGTGTATACACCAAATTTTGTTTATCCATTCATTTGTTGATGGACATTTGGGTTGTTTCCACATTTTGGCTATTGTGAATAATGCTGCTATGAACGGTGGTGTTCAAGTGTCTGTTACAGTCCCTGTTTTCCCTTCTTTGGGGTATATACCTAGGAGTGGAATTGCTGGGTCATATGGTAATTTTATGCTTTTTGAGAAACTGCCATGTTGTTTTCCACAGCAGCTGCACCATTTTACATTCATGCCAGCAATGTAGGAGGGTTCCAATTTCTCCACATCCTGGCCGGACACTGTATTATTATTATTTTTTTGGTTAATAGCCTTTCTAATGGGTGTGAAGTGGTATCTCATTGTGGTTTTGATTTGCATTTCTCTAATGACTATGATGTTAAGTGTCTTTTCATGTGCTTATTGGATATTTACATATATTCTTTGAAGAAATGGCTCTGCAAGTCCTTTGCCCATTTTTGACTTGGGTTTTTTGTTTTGCTGAGTTGAGTTGTAGGAGTTTTTTATATGTTCTGGATATTAATGCCATATCAAATATATTATTTGCAAATATTTTCTCCCATTCTGTAGGTTGCCTTTTCACTCTGTTGATAGTGTCTTTTGATGCACAAAAGTTTTTAATTTTGTTGAACTCCAATTTGTCTATTTTTTCCACCTGTGCTATTGTCATATCCAAGAAATTATTGCCAAATCCAATGTTGTGAAACTTCCCTGTCACGTTTTCTTCTAAGAGTTTTATAGTTTTACCTCTTATGGTTAGGTTTTTGATTCATTTTCAGTTAATTTTTGTATGTTATGTGAGGAAAAGATCCAACTCCATTTTTTTGCATATATATATATATATATATCCAGTTTTCCCAGCACCATTTATTGCAAAGACTATCCTTTCCCTCATTGAATGGTCATGGCACCCTCGTGGAAAATCAGTTGATCATATATGTTAAGGGTTATTTATGAGCTCCTTATTCTATCCCATTGGCATATATACCTGTCCTTACGCAGTACAGTTTCATAGTGAGTTTTGAAATCAGGAAGTAGGAGCCCTCCCAACATTGTTCTCCTTTTTCAAGATTGTTTTGGCTAGTGGCGAGGTGGGGGGGAAACTCCTTATCTGTATGAATTTTAGCATCATCTTGTCCATTTCTGCAAAAAAAAAAAAAGCCTGCTGGGATTTTGATAGGGATTGCATTGACTCTGTAGATCAATTTGAGGAGTATTGCTATCTTAATACTTTTATTTCAGTCTTGAATGTTTTTCAATGATGTTCTGTAGTTTTCAATGTACAAATCTTGCATTTCTTTTGTTAAATCGATTTTTAACTTTATTGATTTTGATGCTATTGTAAATGGAATTTTAACTTAATTTTCAGATTGTTTATTGCTAGTGTGTAAAACTATAACTGATGTTTAAATATTGATCTTATATCCTGCAGTTTTGCTGAACTTGCTTATTGGCTTTATTTTTTTTATAATGGATTTCCCAAGATTTTCTATATATAAAATCATGTCATGTGAAAGTAGCGATAGTTTAATTGTTCCTTTCTTATCTGGATGCCTTTCATTTCTTTTTCAGGCTAGAACTGCAAGTACAATATTGAACAGAATTGGTGAGAGGGGACATCCTTGTTAAAGGTGCACTTTTGATAGGGTTAAAAGACCAGTGTTCAACACTTTCCAATCCTGACTTCGGGCAAATCATTTACCCTTTCTGTTTCCTTATCTAAAATAGAAAATAACAGCCTATAGTGTACGCGGGTGGTCGTGTCTGCTTTTTAGAAGCCCATGAGCTAGTGGGGAAGCAAATGATTCATGGAAATAATTATAAAAACAAGGTAACATATGCTAAGAGTTATTAGGGCTATGAATGATACATCTTGGATACCCTATTAGATAATTTGTGGTGAAAAATTTGTAAACAATCTTGTGCTAAATAGAGAAATGGTTTAAAAATTTAAGATACCAATAACTTGCTTTCACTGTCACCTACATTAGTTTGGTTCCATTTTTAACAGTCTTTTATTACAAACTGATATAATCATAGCATAACTAAATTCAACCCTCTTCTCTATAAAATAGATCTCGGTTTGTAGGGTTTTACTATGATTTTGCATGCCATTTGATGTCCACAGGTATTTTTTAAGTCAAAAGGAAATCTGTAAATTAGGAACTGTTAATTTCCTCTTCATTTGGGCATCCTAGGTAGACTGTACAGATTTGTTCCAAGCACCCCATTAATTTGAGATTAGCCTAAGTTTTTCCTATGCCCGCACTTTGGAATATAAACATGTAGAAAATAGTCCATGACACAGCGGATGGGTTCATAAGTTTCTTCCGGGTCCTAACACCGAATTGTGCTGATGATCTGGCAATGGAGGCTAATCTTGCCACATCAAGTACGGCCTATTCGCTAAGCCGTCTGGGGCACTTTATAATTTTTTTCTTTGCTGGTCTGTTTGAAGGGCTCCTATGGCCAAAAAGGTGGTCAGTCCCGTCAGCTAGGCTGTGAGGACGCCTAAACGCTTTGAGGACGCCTAAACGCTTTGAGGTAGTGATGATGCATGATCGTGTGAAAGAGTTTCTCAGAGCACCTCCCTCGCGGGGTGGGGAAAAGGACCTCACTCCCCACGCCCCCTCCTTCCGCTGCGGGAGATAGCCACACCTTCCCCCTATCGGCGCCAAGCAGGTGGCCAGGCCCTCGGGACCTCGCGCCCCCGCAGCCAGTGGCCCGGCCAGCTCGTGCGTCACGTGACGCGGGTCAGCTGCACCGCCGGGACCTCCAGGCACCGCGGCGGCGACCGCCCAGCGCGTGGTCTCGAGATCTCATCTTTCCGCGCCCCTCCCCCCACGGTCCCGGAAAAGGGGGAGGCCGGTGACGTCATCATCCGGGTTCTTGTCGGCGGGGCTACGGTTCACAATGGAACAAAAACAAGCGGCCCGAGTCAAACTATGAGCGACGCGGCTGCGGCTCACGCGATTAACCCTGTCGTGGCCACACACCCCGCCAGTCCCTGCCGCCCAGCCCCTCCCGAGTGGTGTGCCAGATCTTTTCGGGCCTCCCTTCCCCAACTTCGGTCCTAGAGCCACCTCTGCCCTCGTCCCGCTCCTGAGCCGAGGGGCATGGAACAGGATTTCTGGCCGTAGCACGACCCTGAAGGGGCCAGCCGGAAGAAACAGTACTGCGCGAACAATCTTTACCGCATTGTCTTCCCCTCCCCCACCCTAGCTCTCCGGGTTCCCGGCGGCTCGCGCCGAAGCCCGGCCCCCTCAGCGGCTCGCGCTGCTCTCCCAGCCTTGACGGCCCGGGGTGGAGGGAGAGAAGAGGGGGCAGCTGAGCGGGAGGGGGCTGGGCAGGAGCAGGGGGAGGGCCGAAAGGAGGGGCCTGAAAGGGGCGGGCCCTGACGGGGGCGGAGAACTTCGGGTCTTGGGCGGCTCTGGGGCTAGTGGGAGTCTGCGCCGCCGCCGCCGCCGCCACCGCTGCTGCCGCCGTCGCCGCTACCGCCGCCGCCACTGGCCGAGCGGTTTTTTTTTTTTTGGTTTGCCGGATCCGCCATATTGACGAGGACGGGCATCCGCGGCTGCGGACGCTAGTCTCCGCCGCCGCCGGAGCCGCAACCTCTCCGCACCCGGCCCCGTCAGGGCCTCTGTCGCGCCTAGCCCCTCCCCGCCTTACACAGCTCCCGGGCCTCGCGGGAGCCCGCCGCCGCCGCCTCTCTCTCACGGGAGGCGGCCGCCTTAGCGCCCGGTGCTTGGGTCGGCGCCGGGAGCGAGGAGCGAGCTACTTCAAAGCCACCAGGCCTGGAGCGGGGACAGAGGCGGCGACTAGGGGAAGGTGAAGCCGTCGCTGCAGGAGGAGGAGCAGGAGGAGGTGACGCAGGAGAAACGCACCGCCCGGAGCCCGTCTGAGCTCAGCGAGAGCCCCAGCCTGAGGGGAGAAGGGGAAGAGGGCCGTCGCCGGCCAAGGAGGAGGAGGAGGCGGGCGCGGCGAGGAGCGAGTTCCGGCGCCGGTGTGCAGCCTTTTGGTTGAGACGCCCGCAGCCCCGAGCCCGGCCGCCGCAGCCTTTCGATACACTTTGTTGCCGGTCACCCCCGGGCCTGGGATGCACCCAGGGTAGGTCTCGTCCCGGGACCGAGCCCCACCGTCGCCTGGTGCCTCCCGCCTCCGTGTGCCCTGGTTGTGAGAAGACGTCTGTGTCGTGCGGTGAGTGGCCAGCTGCACTGGGGCGACGCTCTTTCCCGGGGCCAACAGCTGGATGTGGGTGAGGGGAGGAGGGCGAGGGGGGTGTGCGTGTGTGCGAGCCTCTTCCCTCGGCGGCTGCCGGCCAGGCTGGGGCTTCCCCGTTCCCCCTCCTCCGGCCCGGGCTGGGCGGGCGCGCGGGCCCGTGTTGTGTGTGGAGCCGGTGTCCCGAGAGCGTGTCTGTGTGTTTTGGACTGTAAGGGAAAATGGCTGACGGCTCCGTCCCTCCCCCTCCTCCCCCTTCCCGTCCTGTCTGGGGCCGAGTAGGAGGATGGAGTCTCCGGGCGTGGCGGGCAGCCCCCCCGCCGTCCGCACCCGGGGGCCGGGTCGGTTTGGGGGCTGGCCGCCCCCCGCCCGGCGGCCGCTTTCCTACCCGGTCTGGTTCCACTTGACACCAAACGCCATTACTGAGGTGGAGTGATTTGGAGCTGGGGAGCTAGGCCTCGGCTACGCCTGGCTATCAGGCCTGACGACTTGTCCGCCTCCCCCCACCCTCCCGCGATAACCCGCAGTTTCTCCCCGGCCCTGGGCTCCTGGAGTGGGAGCTGGGTTATCGGCCTCCTACACCTCCTTCGCCCCGCTTTATTTGCAGAGGGCCAAAGCCGTGAAAGGGGTTTTTGAATGCAGAAATCGCTTCCAAGCTAGCTTGGACCTATTACCTTTCTATTTTTAACTGTTTCTGCAAATATTAGCATGTGCGAGTTTGGTAGTGATCAGGTCTTCAGATTCTTGTGACGTGAGGCTTAGGGTTGGATAAATGGCTGATTTTTCATTCATTGTGAAATAAGTTAAAGAGTTATACAGCAGGTGTGTAGATGGCTTCTTAAATTATTTGTGTGGATTTCTGTAGCGACTAGAACTTACACGAGAATTTGCAAAATTTCTAGTAGAACCTGCTTAAATTAAGCATGTTATTTTTTGGAAGTTCCATAGTTACAACGTTAATTGAATTTACACGGTGCAGTTTACAGGTGTATATAATTGCTTCAGATTGTCTTTTAGTTTAAATAAGCAAGTTGTAGGTATAGATTAAATATTCATGCTTTATTTTTCGGGGAGAGAAGTATGTGTACTGTTCTTTTACCTGGAAACCCATGAGTCCCTAAATCTACTTAACGTTTGTATACTTTCACTTTTGAGGAAGAATGATTTGGGGTGCATTGATTAGGAAACTTTCCAGCAGGTACTTAACCCTCTCGGAGCTGATTACCCTTAGGTAAGGACTCCTTAACCATGACTAGCTTGGCTGGTTAGTACACTTGAACTCAAAAATAGAGACTATAAACTCTCCTTTAGATCTCGCTCGTCTTCTAATTCGCTGGGCTGCCATTTTGGTTTCAGCAAATACCTTCAAATTCTTGAAGAATTATGTATTAAATATAAAAAAGTGTCAACATTCGTTTTCTCAATTTTTAAACTCATGTGCTGTGTCATACATCTAACTTTAACCCTTTAAACTTTATCGTTCCAGCTTTTGGGTGGAGTGAAAGCTTGAAGTATTTGGAATTGGTGTTCCACAGGTGAACTCAAAATGTCTTTGGTATTTTACTGTTTTATTTTCTCTAATTTAAAAATAGGACGTTTGGACTATATGAATTCTCTCTACCCCTTTTCTTGTATTTTTTTGCATGAACATGTAACTTGTAATTCTGGTTATCAGCGTTCTCATGTTTCTTTTGTTTGCTGACCTTGGTAGTTTCTGAGAATTTCTGGAGGGAGTAATAGCACCAGCAACAGTACATGTGAGAATCTTAAGTTACTTCAGGAAGGAACATTGAAGGGCAGATTTTACCTTTCACCAGGTTATTGGGGTCTCTAGTTTGGTGTTCCATAGTCCATAGTTCTCATGGTTTTGTTTGTTTGTTTTTTTGTCTGTCGCCCAGGCTGGAGTGCAGTGGCACGATCTCGGCTCACTGCAACGTCCACCTCCCGGGTTCAAGGGATTCTCCTGCCTCAGCCTCCCTGGTAGCTGGGACTACAGGCGCGTGCCATCACGCCCGGCTAATTTTTTGTATTTTTAGTAGAGACGGGGTTTCACCGTGTTAGCCAGGATGGCCTCGATCTCCTGACCTCGTGATCCGCCCGTGTCGACCTCCCAGTTCTCATGTTTTATCTATGGAATGCTCAAGTAGGATTTACTTTAGATCTTTTTTCTTCCAGAGTCTTGTTTTTAATATCTTAAGGTATGAGATTTCTTTGCTATCTTCTCAGAGATTTTTCTTTGACATGGTGGTAATAATGCAGCTTATGGTTTTGAAATGGATGTTTGTCATGAATTTGCTAATCATCCAGTTCTTGATTAGTTGGTCACACAACAAGTGTCTTTGAGCTTATTTTTATTTAATAAGATCAATTTCTAACGTTTTAGTTTCAAAATTTTAGTATTAAAACCAATCTTTGTTTAAAACAGATGTTAAGAATTAGTTATTTGAAATATCTAGCAGTGTGTGTTAATGGATTAGTGTTCTTCTAAGTCTTTTGGGCAGTGAAGGTGAGGGGGGTCTTATCCTGAGATTGAGTTAGTTGATTTTTATTCTGAAAGAACGTATTACTTTTTATGGTAGCCTACATTATGTTTCCCCTCTTGTAGGTATGTTTTCTGAGTCTTGAATTGTTTTTCTTTTTTTTTTCAAAAAGGGAAAAAACCGGATTTTAGTTGTCATTTGGTTCTTTTAGGAGCTGTGTTTTTGAAAGCCATCCTGTGTATTGCTAAGTTCTTGTATTATTTTAACATAGAGTTTAACGTTAATATTTGGGAAAGAGTTAGTGCATTGGACCTCAACCCTGACTGGACATGAGAATCACTTGGCGGGGTTAAAAAACAACCACAACAAAAAAACTGATCCCTGGGTTCCACCCCCAGAGACTGATTAATTGGTCTGATAGGGAGCCTGGGCAAAGGTATATTTTAAAAGCATTGTGGATGATTCTTACATGCATTTGGAGTTGAAAACCACTGGGCTATTGTTTTTATCATGTTGTTAGAACTTTCAAGTGGATAAATAAGAAAATGGATTTTTTTCTCAATTGTTTTCAGTTATTAGCATGATTATCATTTGAGCATTAATTGTCTGTCAGCACTGTTAAGCATTTTCCATTTATTGCCTTACGATGGGTCTGAGGTCTGTCAGGTTCAACCAGTGGTGCTTCGACTACTGTGCTATGTTAGTGAAATGACACTGATTGCTATTTTTAAAAAAGCATTTAGAGCTTTTGGTTTGTTTCTCGTACCAGAGTAAGTTAAGATATAGTTTAGTTTTTAAGACTATCAAGATAGTCTCCAATTTGATAAATATCTTGGTTGCCCAAGGGAGATGTTAAAAGCTATGTGGCAAATAGGTTTCTCCCCTTCCATATATCTTCCAGCGTGCTCAGGGTGATAGTTTAGTTGGTGCGTTTATGACAAAATATTACACAACATTCCTAAAAGGTGTAGAAACTATGCATTTGTCTCCTAGTAATTTATTTAAATGATCCCACAAATTACCGTTTAGTGTCACATGAAATTCTGTTATCTCAGTTTGAGAATTTAGAGTTTTATTTGTCTTAGTCAAAATCAGTTTGATTTTGATTAAGCGTTTTGAATTTTGTGTTGTTTTGGGATTGATGTATAATTGTTTTATGGAACGAATGAAATAACAATAACAGACATTTATTTGGAGTTTCTGTCTCTTAATCCCCTTGGTCCATTGGACCAAATTCTGCATGGTGGGGGCATGGCAGCAGGGAAGCCTATAGGAGTTTAGGATCTATGAGGGTTTTTTTTTTTTTTTTTTTTTTTTTTTTGAGACAGATTCTCACTCTGTCACTGAGGCTGGAGTGGTCACGGTTCACTGCAGCCTCCACCTCTCCTGGGCTCAGGTGATCCTCTCCCCTTAGTCTCCTGAGTAGCCGGGACTACAGGTGCTCCCATGCCTGGCTATTTGTATTTTTTTTCTCTTTTATAGAGATGGGTTTTGCCTTGTTGCCTAAGCTGGTCTTGAACTGCTGGGCTCAAGCTGTCTGCCTACCTGGGCCTCCCGAAGTGTTAGGATTCCCGGCATGAGCGACTGGGCCCGGCCCTATGAGCATTCTTAGTGTGACACAAGATTCCCCAAAGATCTTTTTGTTAAATTATAGAAAATGAGACTATAAGGATCATGAAAAAAGTTGATGTAATAAGGAAAAAGACTTAAAACTTCTAACACTTACCTATATTGGGCATTGAATTTATAATTTATTGTGGATTATAAAGTGATGACCATTGTAATATACTTTTAAAGAATAACTTGTGAAAAAGTATATTGTTAGGATGAGATCGCTTACCTAAAATTTATTCTTCAAAGATACTCATGCTAAATCTTGGTGTCTTCAACGTGTGTATACACACATATCTTATATTTGGCAGCAAATGGATTTTCAATTTTATTCTCAATCACTGCCTAACAAGGATTTTCTACCACCTCTGTGTATCAATCATCTGTGGAGCTTTTTCAAAATATATATTTGCTCTATAGGTGAGTCTGATGTGTAACCAGAGGTTTTTTTTTGCAGTCCCTTTTAGGGAAAGGGGAGAATTGAGACCCTTTGCATGTCATGTGTTCCACCATTAGGCAGCAGTACTCTTGTTTGAGTTTCGTTTTGTTAGTCACACAGTCAAAAATTCCAGACTGAAACACAAACATGTAGTGAAAAGCTCAAACACTAGAAGAGACAGGGATTCCACACTCACATGTATTATATACAGTATATGTGCACATATATATCAAATTTATTGTCACTTAGCACCTTCTCGGTGTTACGGTTCCAGCTCTACTATAAACATTAATATCTGTTAAGACATTTGTTTCCTTTTTAATCCGTTCAACAAATACTTCTGGGGCATCTGCTGTGTGCTAGGCACTGTTCTAGAGATTACTGTTGTCTAGAAGCTAACATATGAAGTGAGGTGGGCTGGACTAGCTGATCTCTAAAGTCTTTAGTGCTAGTTTTCTGGCATTCTTTTATGTACCTCGTAGGAGAGATTGGATTAAGTTGTTATTTAAAAAAACTTTGTTATGGTATATGCCAATTGAATTTTTTTTGTCACTAAATAGAATTTCATTCTGAACTCCAGTTTTCTCCAGTGAGCCCAAATGTCAAGTATAGTAGAAATAGGTTCTTTTGGAATTCTTGGCATACTGGCTTTAGGAATAGCTGTACTTCTGATGCTGTTAATTTTTGACCAGAAATTACATACTCTGGTGTCACCCCTTACTCCTGCCATTCCTTTGCTGTATTGATGCTCTATTATCTCTATACAGTGTGTTTTTCTATTTAATTTACTTTGTTTAGGTGTTTTGATTAATTTTGTCCTCACAATTCTATCTTTAAGGTTAGTGGCTTTCATTCTAAGTCAGTGATAATATCCTTAGCACCTAGAAAGTGCCTGGCATATAGACATTTAGTAACTGTTGGATGAATATAGTTTATCACATTCTTGCTATTTTACTTATTTTTTGCTAAATCTTTTTACTTCTGGGAGTCACTTTTCTTACTAATCTCATTACAATGAGAAATCCTGGAAGAGATCTCAATTCTTTCTAGTCAGACCCTTCATTTTTCAGATGAAAAAAATGGCTCAAAGAGGTGAAAGGTGAAGTAACTTGACCAAGATAGCATGCCATAGACTACCTTCTTTATGAAGCTATATCTATATGTGTCAAATCACATTAATTATTAAATTCTCTGTAGTCACTCATAAAATTAACATTAAACTGTCTCCCTGGTAATGGATAATAAGGTCAGGGATTCTGTCCTTTACCTTTGTATATTACAGAGCACCTAGAATAATACTGTTTATAATAACCATTTGATTACCTGAATGGGAAAATCTGGGGCAGTATTTAACTTGCAGTACCTCCAACCTCTTGTACAGAATTGATTCATCTTCATTTTATGGCACCCTACAGTTTATTCTTATTAATCATGTGAGCTTTGAACACCATGTTAGTCAACCATAATCAAAGGAATTGTTTTCCTTGGGATGAGTTTGAGCTGGTGATCGTGCATATTAGATCCCATCTTCTACAGAGCCTGTGAATTGGGTGGAAAGGAAAAAGGGAGTGGCGAAGCCTCCTGTTAGTATCCTTGATGTCCATTTTATTCCTGCTGACTTTGGTGGCTATTGAGAGTTATAAGTTGAGGCTGTTGGTTACATCTCTCATTTCTAGTCTTTTCTGTTAACTGGTTACTTAGAACTCCTAAGTAAGGCCGCTCATTATTAACTTGGACCCCAGAGAGCATGGAAGTTACCGTATAGTATTGAACCCATTTCTGCCTAACAGTGTTTTCTCTCTGGTCGAGGTGTAGTGTACAAAGTTTTGGTTGCTCTGCTTGGTAACATCTCTGGAGTTCAGAGCACAGGGATCAGTAAACTTTTTCTGTAAAGGGCCACATAGTAAATACTTTGGACTTTGTGGGCTAAGAGGCAAAATTGAGGACATTGGGTAAAATTTTTATTGGTGAAATAAAAAATATAATTAAATACAGTTATGTATAACTTAGGTCTAATGAGAAAAACAATTTGGTGTGTGTGTGTGGAGGGGAGGTAATACAGTATTTTGCTTTATTGGGTAAAGTTCAGTGTTCCCTGTCATCAAATTGATTGCAGACGTTCTGTGTGAAATCCATTCTTACCTTGTGAGCTGTACAAAAACAGGAGGCTGGAATTGGTCTGTTACCATAGTTTGCCAGCCCCTAGTTAAGAGCAGTGATTTTTTTTTTTAAGAGGAGGGGTCTCGCTGTCACTCAGGCTGGATTGTGGTGACGCAATCATAGCTCATTGTAGCCTGGAATTCCTGGGTTCAAGGCATCCTCGCACCTCAGCCTGCCGAGTAAGTAGGACCACAGGCCGACATCACCTCACCTGGTTAATTTTTGTTAGAGAACAGGGGTTTGACTGTGTTTCCCAGGCTGGTCTCAAACTCCTGGCCTCAAGCAATCCTCCTGTTTTGGCCTCCCAGTGTTGCTGGGATTATAGGCCTGAGCCACTGTGCTTGACCTCCTATTTGATACACTATATGTTAACAACTCTGAACCTCCTTTCCTTAAGTCAGGTTCAAACTTCTGTACATTAGCTGATGAAAGGGATTTCTTTTTATTGCAAGGTGGTATTGCCTGAGAATAGTTTGGTTTCAGCAGCTTTGCTGTATTTGTACGGCAGTATCTTGTGTTTATGTGCAAGTTCAGATGTATTTTGCCTTTTTATAAGAATGAGCAGAAAACAAAAAAGTAAATGGCGCGATCTCGGCTCACCACAACCTCCGCCTCCTGGGTTCAAGTGATTCTCCTGCCTCGGCCTCCTGAGTAGCTGGGATTACAGGCATGCGCCACCACACCCAGCTAATTTTGTATTTTTAATAGAGTTGGGGTTTCTCCATGTTGGTCAGGCTGTCTTGAACTCCCGACCTCAGGTGATCCGCCTGCCTCGGCTTCCCAAAGTGCTGGGATTACAGGCATGAGCCATCATGCCTGGCCTACCTGGAGGTCTTAAATATCCTTGAGACAGAGGGAACTGGTTAGGGATATGAATCTTAAACCTTACTGGATTAGGTTGTGCTCATTGGTTAGGTTAGTTGGCTTTGTGCAAATAGTGAATGCAATAATTAGAATGAAATAGGAATTAAGTGAGGCAAATGTATGATGAAGTTTACATTTGAAAGGTGAGGGTATAATTAGAAATAAAAGTTTCTGTACTCTGTGAGTGGGAAAAACCCCTAAAAAGGTGACTGTCGTTTTTGAAATTTTTGACTTCTCTCACATTTTCGGGAATGTGAAAGGAGGATACTGGCTATGTACAGCATTTGTCCAGACTTTTGAAAATATAGAAAATCTCATTTACTCATTTAATTAGTGTGTATATTATCTGTTTACTGTGTCCTTTGTAGATATAATTAATTATCCAGGATTCTTAAGAGTTGACTTGGAGCATGCTGAGCTGAGGCAAGAGGGATTGTGGGGCCAGACTGAGTGTTGGAGGAGGAACCTACTGTAGTGACTACAGGTGTATTTCTTTTTTCTTTTTTTTTGAAATGGAGTTTCACTCTTGTTGCCCAGGCTACAGTACAATGGCGTGATCTCGGCTCACTGCAACCTCCGCCTCCTGGGTTCAAGTGATTCTCCAGCCTCAACCTCCTGAGTAGCTGGGATTACAGGTGGGTGCCACTATACCCGGCTAATTTTGTATTTTTAGTAGAGATGGGGTTTCACCATGTTGGCCAGGC
Organism: Homo sapiens; assembly: GCF_000001405.40. Taxonomy (NCBI): domain Eukaryota; kingdom Metazoa; phylum Chordata; class Mammalia; order Primates; family Hominidae; genus Homo; species Homo sapiens. Next base: position 41,094,389 of record NC_000023.11, read on the forward strand.
TGGTCTCGAACTCCTGACCTCAGGTGATCCACCTGCCTCATCCTCCCAGAGTGCTGGGATTACAGGTGTGAGCCACCGTGCCTGGTGTGTTTCTTGTCTGATGTCAGTGCATGTCGTTATCTGAGCCATATCAATGTCAGCTGAGGATTGCTTTGTTATCCTCGGTGCATTATGGGAAGGAGAATCATGTCAGTGCTACCTTACTGTGATTGAATTGAATTCATTGATTTAATATAGATTCAGTTAGTACGCCTTATCCATAATATTTGGGATCAGAAGTGTTTCCGATTTTGTAATTTTTTCCCCATATTTTGGAATATTTGGAATATTACTTGCGGGTGAGTGAAAATTCAAAATCCGAAATTTGGGGCCAGGCGCGGTGGCTCACCCCTGTAATCCCAGCACTTTGGGAGGCTGAGGCGGGCAGATCACTTGAGGTCAGGAGTTCGAGACCAGCCTGGCCAACATGGTGAGACCCCCGTCTCTACTAAAAATATGAAAATTAGCCAGGCATGGTGGTGTGCACCTGTAATCCCAGCTACTCAGGAGGCTGAGGCTGGAGAATCCCTTGAACCCAGGAGGTGGAGGTTGCAGTGAGCCCAGATCGCGGTACTGCACTCCGTCTAGCCTGGGTGACAGAGCGAGACTCCGTCTCAAAAAAAAAAAAAAAAGTTCAGATTTTGGAGCATTTTGGATTCCAGATTTTTCAGATAAGGGATGCTCAACCTGTGCCATTTTAGGCACCAGAGGGTATATAAAGATGATTCTCTGCTTTCAAGGCTCTGAAGTATGGTGAACCAGACAGTTATACAGTGCAATTACAGCTGTATTAAGTGGAGGTGTGAAAAGTGTAGTAGGAGAGATGGAGAAATCATTGTTTGGCATTGGGTGAGGTCTTCAAAGATGTCCTATTTTCATGGCCCTATTAATTAGAGCAGGGACTTCCGGTCAGAGGGATCAACTTGAGATCAGGCAGGGTTTTTTAACCCTATTGACAGTTTGGGGCAGATAAGTCTTTGTTGTGAGGTGCTGTCCTACTCAGCCCTGGCTTCTACCCACAAGATGCCAGTGGTATAGCCCCTACCCCACTCATATGTCTTCAGACATTGCCAGTTGTGCCCTGGGGGCAAAATTGAGAACCATTATTTGAAATGGAGCAATGCAAGTGTGAAAGTATAGTGTTTTCAGAGTAAGAACTAGTAGGAGAGTGTGCAAGGAACACTAGAGATACTGGGAGGGGAGGGGTTATGGGAGATGGAACTGAAAGGTAGTTTGAGTGAAGCTAAAATCACAAGGGGTAACCTTGAGTGCCATGTTAGGACATTTGCCTTTTACTGTTAAGGTAATGAGAGATGTACTTTGAAGTTTAAGTGAAAGGAGACATTAGATTTGTGTTTGTTTTTGAAAGATAATTCTGATGGCATTCGTGGCAGATGTGTTGGAGAGTTGAGTGTCGGGGGATTGAGATGGTATTTTAACCGTTCTTCTGAAAGATAAGAAATAATGATTAGGGAATGGAATAAAGGAAGGAGATCAATGGGGTGCTCCCATGGTATGAGGGAGGTGCTGCTAATTTGAGTTTGGCTTTTCTGCCACAGAATGGAGTACTGAGCTAAAAAGCAAAACACCTCTATTGTCTTCCTTTCAACTTTTCCTGCCACCTCCAATTCCCTTTCCTCACTGAGAGCTGCTGTCTGTTGAGGTCTGTTGAAAGGTCATTGAGAGAAGGGAATCTGGGTTACAGAATGACTACTCTCTCAATGTGGTTCCTTAAACAGTGGATTATCAAAGCACAAGTGTCATCTTCCCCCCCGCTCCCCGCAAGGGGTTAGACTGGCATCCAGAGAGCATTAATTGTAGCCTCTCCTTGGTTTGTGTAGATGTTATTTTGCCCTAAAATACTTTGATATACAAACATAGGTGAATAATCTGATGGTTTAATTGTAATTATTTCATTGCTTCCTATTTTGGAGGTTAGCTTTACTATTTTAAGTGAGAATGTAGTCAGTGGAAGGGTACTGGACTTGGAGTCACAAGATCTGTGTTTTATTTTTTTATTTTATTGATTTTTTGAGACAGAGTCTCGCTCTGCCGCCCAGGCTGGAGTGTAGTGGTGTGATCTCAGCTCAGTGCAACGTCTGCCTCCTGGGTTTAAGTGATTCTGCTGCCTCTGCCTCTCAAGTAGCTTAGGATTACAGGCACCACCACCCACGGCGAATTTTTGTATTTTTTGTAGAGATGGGATTTTACTATGTTGGCCAGGCTGGTCTCAAACTCCTGACCTCAGCTGATCAGCCTGCCTTGGTCCCCCAAAGTGGTGGAATTACAGGCATGAGCCACCGCGCCTGGTCAAGAGCTGTGCTTTAGTTCCAGTTACCCAACTCCCTGTGTTAAATCACTTAGCTAACCTCTTGGGTCTTCATGACTCTGTAAAACCAAGATGTTGGGCAAGAGGTGAGTTAAACTACTACTTTTTTAAGTTCTTAAATTTTATCTTTATTCCTAAAGATGTGGAAAAATCTGTAGTCAAGAGAAATTGTCAAGTAAAGGAAAACAGAGAAGGTAAACACTTTAATGGGTTTAGAAGTTGGTTATATTCCTCCATTTACTTGTCAATCCAACAACTTGAATGTCTCCTCTCCCTTGTTTCTCCTGTGTGGTCTGAAGGGCTTTATTTTATTTAGAATCCTGTGGGTTAATTGTGCTTGGCCCACAGCTTGTACTGTGAATTTAGGGACCATAGACTTTGTAGCCAGGGGTATAATTTCTTTGTTGGCAGAGCAACTTAAAGTTTGGTTAAGTTTTCATCTGCAGTCTAGTGCTTTAATAACATAACTTGCTAAAAAGTGATATAGCCTGCTAGGGGAAATAGTATTTAGGGGGAAATTATTTTTTCCGAATTGAAGATGAAAATACACAGATAAATACAGTAATAGTGATTTTTATCTGGCACAGATGGTTTCAGAGAAAATGTTGATACCTCATTTCTTATTTTACTGTAAGAGAACTAGCAAAAGAAGCTTATTTTGTTTCTTAGGTGAGTCATTCTCAAACTTGGTCTCAGGATGCTTTTATACTCTTAAATTATTGAGGATCCCAGAGAGCTTTTGTTTATGTGGGGTTACAGCCATTGATGATTTACTGTATTAGAAATGAAAACAGACATTTAATAAAGTTATGTATGCTTTTAAAAGTAACAAAACCCCACTGCATGTCAATTAGATATTTTTATGAAAAATAACTTTTCCAGAACAAAAATTAGAAGAGAGGCATTGTTTTACATGTTTTACAAATCTCCTATCTGGCTTAATAGAAGACAACTGGATTCTCTGCCTCCTTCTGCCTTCAATCTATTGCGATATAATACGTCATATAGCCTTTGGAAGAACTCCATAGTACACTTGAGAAAGAATGACAGTGAAAATGGCAAGTAAAGTCTTAAGAAAACAATTTTGACCTCTCTGACCTCTTGAAAAGATCTCAGGGATCTTTGAGAACCAGTGTCTTAGACTGCCAAGAGAAGATGTGATGTTATCTTTTGAGTGGCTTATCTACTGTAAATTTTATTTTAACTGAGATATATAACTTACAGTAAAATGCACAAATATGAGATTGTATAGCTTGATAAATTTTTAGAAAATATATACATCTGTGTAGTCATTCAGATCAAGATACAGAATATTTCCAGCACCCTGGAAGGTTCCCTTATGCCTCTACCTCCTCCCTGTAAAACCCCAAATACCCTGACCTCTTTTTTTTTTTTTTTTCTTGAGATGGAGTCTCGCTCTGTTGCCCAGGCTGGAGTGCAGTGGTGTGATCTTGGCTCACTGCAGCCTCCATCTCCTGGGTTCAAGCGATTCTCCTGCCTCAGCCTCCCGAGTAGCTGGAATTACAGGCACACACCACCACACCTGGCTAATTTTGTATTTTTAGTAGAGATGGAGTTTGGCCATGTTGGCCAGGCTGGTCTCGAACTGCTGACCTCAAGTGATCTGTCCACCTCGGCCTCCCAAAGTGCAGGGATTACAGGCGTGAGCCACCGTGCCCAGCCTGACCTCTGTCTTTTAATGAATGTTATGCCTATTTTTGAACTTCGGATAAATGGAGTAATACACTATATACTCCTGTATCTGGCTGCTGTTGCTCAATACATGATCACTAACTGTCTTTTTCTTTATTGTTTTTTTGAGATGGAGTCTTGCTCTGTTGCCCAGGCTGGAGTGCAGTGGCGAGCTTGGCTAACTGCAACGTCCGCCTCCCAGGTTCAAGTGATTCTCTTGTTTCAGCCTCCCGAGTAGCTGGGATTACAGGCGCCTGCCACCACACCCGGCTAATTTTTGTGTTTTTAGTAGAGATGGGGTTTCGCCACATTGGCCAGGCTGGTCTCGAACTGCTGACTGCCTGCCTCAGCCTCCCAAAGTGCTGGGATTACAGGTGTGAGCCACCGTGCCCAGCCAACTTCGTCTTTTTCATTACTGTATAGTATTGTATTAAATCCATGATTTATTTATCCATTCTGTTGGATTGAGGTGGGTTTTTTTCATTTGTTTGTTTTGAAACAGGGTCTTGCTCTATCACTCAGGCTGGAGTGCAGTGGTGTGATCACAGCTCAGTGCAGCCTTGTCCTTCCAGGCTCTAGCGATTCCTCCCACCTCTGCCTCTTGAGTAGCTGGGACCACGACCACATGCCATAATGCCCAGATAATTGTTTTTTTTTTTTTTTTTTTTTTTTTTAAACAGAGATGGAGTCTCACTATGTTGCTCAGGCTGGTCTCGAGCTCCTGGGCTCCAGCAATCCTCCTGCCTCAGCCTCCCAGAGTGCTGGGATTACAGGTGTGAGCCACTGTGTCTGGCTGACGTTTGAGATTGTTCAGTGTTTTCACCAATATAAAGAATGTTGCCATGAACACTTTTGTATATGTCTTTTGGTGGTCTTTTGCTGCATATCCAGGATTGGAATTGCTGGTTTATAGGATACATATGTGTTTAGCTTTAGTCAATACTGCCAAACAGATTTCCCAAGTAGTTGTACCAGTTTAAACTCCTACTAGCAGTAGGTCGTGTTGCTCTTCCTTATCAATACTTAGTATTATTATCAGTCAGTGTTTCTAATTTTAGCCCTCTTGGTGGAAGTTTAGGAATATCTGGTGGCTTAAATTTGTATTTGTGTCTAGTGTTTAGAATACTTTCACATGCTCACCAGTCATTTTACTATTTAACTCTTGCTTACCTATAAAATTTGAAGCTTGGCTAATAACATCTTGTGTAGTTCAAAATCACTAGTTGAATGAATTTTCTGAAATGAGGCTTTTAAAAATAAACTTAATTGGCTGGTCATGGTGGCTCACACCTGTAATCCCAGCACTTTGGGAGGCCAAGGCAGGTGGATCACGAGGTCAGGAGATCGAGACCATCCTGACCAACATAATGAAACCCTGTTGCTACTAAAAATACAAAAATTAGCTAGGCTTGGTGGCATATGCTTGTAATCCCTTTTCTGAGAAGTCTTTAATAGATACTCTCTACCCTCTTCTAATTTACTCCCTTTCCAAGCTTTTTATTAAGGAAAAATCAAACATACACAGATGTAGATAAACTTCCATTTGCCCATCAATCAGCTTCAACTCATGGCTAGTCTTTTTTACCTACCCCCTTCCATTTTGATGCAAAACCCAGACAGCATTTCATCTTACATATTTCAGTATATCCCATTCTAATTTAGATGTTTTTTTCCTTGGTGCTCATATTGTGCTGCTCTATTGTAAATTATAAGTTCAATTTAGTTCTTACATATTCTCTCATTCTGCTTTGTAAACTTCTCACAGGTAACAATCACTAACACTTAACACCTGTGTGTGAGGATCTATGAAATTGCTTCACCTGCATAAATTCTTTATATTCTTACAACAGCTCTAAAAGGTAGATATTACTGTCTCTGTTGTATATATAAGGAAACCAAGGCACAGAGGTTGAATAACTTGTCCAGCTTGTACACCTAGTTAAGTGGTAGAACAGGAATTCAAACTAAGGCAGTTTATCTTCAGTCTTTAGTGTTAACTACTGCATTACATAATGTCTGAGTAAATGAGCGCTCTACTGCATATAAGTTCCTTCAATCGTCCTTTTTAATTAGCATTTTTTCCTTGTTAATTTTGCCTCCTGTCTTGCATTTCCAACGGCACACAAGTATTATTTGCTCTTTCATAAAATCTAGCTAAAAGGGCCCTTAGCATGCAACTCTCTTATTTTTTATTTATTTAAAAAAAATTTTTTTTGAAATGGAGTTTTGCTCTTGTCACCTGAGCTGGAGTGCAATGGCGTGATCTCAGCTCACTGCAACCTCTGCCTCCTGGGTTCAAGCAATTCTCCTACCTCAGCCTCCTCAGTAGCTGGGATTACTGGTGCCCACCACCACGCCCAGCTAATTTTTGTATTTTTAGTAGAGATGGGGTTTCACCATGTTGGCCAGGCAGGTCTCGAACTCCTGACCTCAGGTGATCCACCCGCCTCAGCCTCCCAAAGTGCTGGGATTGCAGATGTGGCCACCTCTCCTGTTTTAAAGATGATCATCCCTTGCTTTTAGCTGTTCTGCTTCTAATTTTATATGTGATATTCTATCAAAAAATTGCTGACCTCTGGTCTTTTTGTTTAATAATAGTGTCTCTATAATTATGGGGAGAAGGTACCACATACTGAATTTAAATATTTTCGTCTTTTATATACTATATTTTAAATTTTTAATGTTTTTATTTTTGCTTTAACATTGTATTTGAAAATTTCATTTGCAGTAACTCGATACAGCTTTCACTTTAGATTTTTCTGTTTTGAGTATTAGCCCTTCCGGTGTTAATTTGAGTGTTCGAATCTTTAGGATTAATTGTGCAAAGATATAAAGACTTTAGAGAAGCCAGCCAGGCACGGTGGCTCACACCTGTAATTTCAGCACTTTGGGAGGCTTAGGCGGGTGGATCACGAGGTCAGGAGTTCGAGAGCAGCCTGGCCAATATGGTGAAACCCAGTCTCTACCAAAAATACAAAAAAAAAAAAAATTAGCCGGGTGTGGTGGCACATGCCCGTAGTCCCAGGTACTTAGGAGGCTGAGGTAGGAGAATTGCTTGGACCCGGGAGGTTGGCTCACTGCAACCTCCACCTCCTGGGTTCAAACAGTCTCCCTGCTTCAGCCTCCCTAGTAGCTGGGATTATAGGCGCCCGCCACCACGCCTATAGCAAAGATCGCACTACTGCACTCCAGCCTGGGCGACTGAGCAAGACTCCGTCTCAAAAAAAATAAATTAAAAAAAATAAATAAATAATGACTTTAGAGGATACTTCTTCTCAGATCTTTCTTAGTGGAATTTGTGTATGTAAAACTATTACAGAAACAACCCAAATGTCCATTGTCCATCAAGTGATGAATGCATAAATAAAATATACAATGGAATATTATCTGTCAATGAAAAGAAATGAAGTACTGATACATGCTACAACTTGGATGAACTTTGAAAATGTTATGCTTAAGTGAAATAAACCAGTCACAAAAGACCTCATATCACATGATGCCATTTATATGAAAATAGATTAGCATGGGACTGAGGGGAGGTTGGAGGGAAGGGAGAATGCTATTAATGGTATGAAGTTTCTTTTTGGGGGTGATGAAAAAGTAATCTGAGATCGATTTTGGTGATAATTGTGCAACTCTGAATATACTGAGAACCTTTGACTTGTACACTTTAAATGGACGATTTGTATGGTATGTGAATTAGATCTCAAGGGTGTTATTTTAAAAAACTTAAATATAATTTATAATGATAATCTCATTGATTAAACATAATTTGAAATTTTTTGGTGTACTTTTTCAGATTCTTTACATTTATGATTTAACCAATCTGGTTTTGGAAGATACAGGCAGAAAGAACACCCAGTGGAGGCACATAAAAAATGTTACTAGACTGGGTGCAGTGGCTCATGCCTGTAATCCCAGCACTTTGGGAGGTGGAGGTGGGCGGATCACTTGAGGTCAGGAGTTCAAGACCAGCCTGGCCAACATAGGGAAAACCTGTCTCTACTAAAAATACAAAAAATTAATTAGCTGAGTGTGGTGGCACACACCTGTAATCCCAGCAACTTGAGAGGGTGAGGCACGAGAATTGCTTGAGCCCAGGAGGTGGAGGTTGCAGTGAGTTGAGATCACGCCGCTGGACTCAAGTCTGGGCGACAGAACGAGACTGTCTCAAAAAAAAGAAAAAGTTAATTATTAATACTGCCTTGTCTAAAATGTCATAAATGAAATGAGATCTTTCTTTTCAGTGTATTGGGTTAGCATTTCATGATTGGGTTAGTAACTTAGAAAAGTTAGATAATTTTGTCAAAAATTGGTAAAAAGCTGTTAACAGATAACTTTGAGTTTATCTTTTTTTTTTTTGAGACGGAGTCTTGCTCTCTCACCCAGGCTGGAGTGCAGTGGTGCAATCTTGGCTCACTGCAACCTCCACCTCCTGGGTTCAAACAATCTCCCTGCTTCAACTTCCCTAGTAGCTGGGATTATAGGCGCCCGCCACCACGCCCGGCTAATTGTTGTATTTTTTAGTAGAGACAGGGTTTCGCCATATTGGCCAGGCTAGTCTTGAACTCCTGACCTCAGGTGATCCGCCTGCCTTGGCCTCCCAAAGTGCTGGGATTACAGGCTTGAGCCACCACGCCCGGCCTAACTTTGAGTTTATCTTAACCTGTTGTTTCAACAGAGTAGATTGATAGTTAGGCATACCCGCATTCTGTAACATTTGATGTGACTTATGTCTAATATTAAGTCAACATTGCTCACCTATTGGCTGATTTAGGGACTGGGATTTGTCGGAACTTCACAGCCTTTGTAACGATTTAAAAAAGGAGTTAAGAAAGGTGTTTTCTTTTTAAAATAAGTCTTTTCGTTTTGATGATATTTTTCAACATTAGTACATGCATTTTTGGATTATCCAGATGACTGCCTCATAATCAAGAACTGTTAACATCATTTCGGTACTTATGTTAGCTTAATAATGTGTTGGTGCCAAGGGCAAATGATGTCACAGGATACTATGTGTATAGAGTAGTGTAATCATTCAGGTAGAAGTAGGAACATATGATGGTGGTATAGCCATGCAAAACTCGAACCCATGCCTTAGCATTCAGTAATACACTGCCATCTGTCACGTTATATTAATAGTTTTATTTGTATTCCATTTATAAATTTATTTTAGTTTTAGTTATGAGAGCAGTAAGCATAAGGAATTTAATCCTAATTTCATTTCTGCATTTATTTAAGCAACATTAAAATAGAAAGTGATTAAATTAGTTTTTAAAAATTCTGTTATGATAGAACCAGAATTTGCAAGCTTGAGCCAGCTTACTTAATATTATTGCTGGAAACCTAGCATTTGGCATTAGGTGACTGGAACTGGGACTGCAGTTTTGTATTTACTAGGTTATTTCTCTATTTATGAAATGGGAAATATATTTCTAACTAAAAGGGTCGTTCATTTGTTCATTCTTTCACTCAACAGATAATTAGTTGTGTAGCACCACATAATTTTATCTCATTACTAGTTTAATTTTCCCTACTGTCAAATTTTCTTCAGAGCCAGCACAAAATCTGATAGGAATATTATGCTATGAATTGTCTTCTAGAAGGTAAGATACCACCCCCACTCCCCCTTTTTTGAGACAGGTTCTCGCTCTGTCACCCAGGCTGAAGTGCAGTGGCGTGATCATGGCTCACTATAGCCTTGAACTCCCAGGCTTAAGCCATCCTCCTGTCTCAGCACTCCCAGTAGTTGGGACTACAGGTGCATGCTACCACGCTGAGCTAATTTTTGTATTTTTTGTAGAGAAGGATTTTGCCATATTGCCCAGGCTGGTGTGCTGGGCAATTCCTGGGCTCAAGTGATCTGCCCACCTCGGCCTCCCAAAGTGTTGGGATTACAGGTGTGAGCCACTTCACACGGCCTATACCTTTAACTTGAAATTTACTTTTTAAAAAATAGGACAAAATAATTTTAAAATGTGGTAGGATTCTGTTGTAATGCAATGGAATAACAGCTATATCAGTAAAACTGTTGAGGCTGTTCATTTATTTAAAAACCTAAGCAATTGTGGTGTGTATACCAGGAGCAGCAAATTCTGATAATTTATAGTTGGGAGAATAATTTTCCTCTGGGCTGGTCTAGAGATTATATTTATAGGGACCCTCTGAAGATTCAAAAATAAGAATTGTCAAGAGGGGATAATCAGCATTTCAAGAGAGGAATAACCAGCACTTGTTAAAACACCTGCTCTTTACTGGGTCCCTCTGTGTGTCTGGTACTTCACATACATTCTCCTATTAAAGCTTTTCAACAGTCTCTGGAGGTATTAGCCATCTTGAGAGAGAAAAAAAAAAGATACCTGGAGTTAGAACATCATCTGTTGTCGGCCTGTCTGCTATGTTGCAGTATATGCATTGTTGAAAACCTCATAGTCTGCAAAAATCAGGTACCAAAAACTAACAATGTGTATAGGGAAAAATGGGCTTAAGAGTAAACTGATCACTTCAAAGCTATGTTACTTTGTAATTAGAGCACTAACAAAACAATAAAAATTCCAGTAAAATAGCACAGTTTTGAAGATCCTAAATTTCTGACAAACTACAATAAATATAGGACTTGAAAAAGGTAGCTTGATGGAAGGGGCAGGTATAAGGGGGAGGGTTGGGGTGACTGACTTAGAGAGACAAAGCTAAGATGCATAAATATCAGGTGGAACTGCGTACATACTTCTGAGACAGAGCATGTGGCCTGACTAAGCCAAGAAGAATAATGTGGGGCTAGGAGGTGGTGGTGATGAGCATCTGGTTCAGACCTATAACCCCCAACCCCATGCTGCATTCAGCTTCTGTTACTTGTGGGTACAAAACATCAATGTGTTGGGGGAAAAGTGGCAACCACTATTCTACTTTGTGAATTTGACGACTCCAGGTACCTCATAAGTGGAATCATAAAATATTTGTCCTTTTGTGACCGCTTTATTTCAGTTAACATAGTGCCCTCAAGGTTCATCCATATTGTAGCATGTCAAAATTTCCTTGCTTTCTAAAGCTGGATTATTTTCCATTGTTTGTATGTATATTTTATTGACACATTCATCTGTCAAACGGATACATATGCTTCCACATTTTGGCTATTGTGACTAATGCCGCTATGAACATGGGTGTACAAGTATTTGTTCAAGTCCCTTTCAGTTCTTTTGAGTGTATACCCAGAAGTGGAATTGCTGTATGTATCATATGTAAATTCTGTGTTTAACTTTTTGAGGAATCACCATATGTTTTCCACAGTGGCTGCACCATTTTACATTTCTTCCAGCAATGCACAGGGGTTCCAGTTTCTCCCCTTATCCTTGCTATCACTTGTGTTTTCTGCCTTTTTGATTATAGCCATCCTAGTGATATCTCATAGTGGTTTTGGTTTGCATTTCCCTGATGGCTAATAATGTTGAGTATCTTTTCATATGCTTATTGACCATTTGTATGTCTTACACATTCAGATCCTTTGCCCATTTTTCAATTGAGTTGTCTTTTTATTATTATTGAGTTGTATGAATTCTTTGTATATTCTAGATACAAGTCCCTTACTGGATACATTATTTGTAAATGTTTTTCTTGTAATTTGTGGGCTGTGGGTTGTCTTCTCACTGTTTACAGTGTTCTTCGGAGCACAGAAATTTTAAAATTTTGATAAAGTCCCATTTAACTATTTCTTTTGTTGCTCCTGCTTTTGGTATTGTATCTGTTAGAATCCATTGCCAAATCCTAGGTCATTAAGATTTACCCTCATGTTTCATTCTAAGAGTTCTATAGTTTTTTTATCTTATATTTAGGTCTTTGATGCATTTCATGTTAATTCATGTTGTTACTGGGAAACACTTCTATATGTAGTAGGCTCAACAATGAATTATACACATGTTGTGTTACACAATGCATTTTAAGTCAGTTAAGAGAAAGAAATATGCAGTCATACTGTTTTCTTATAATTGCATAATTGTATTTACCAGTGTTATTTCACTGAGTTTGTGTCTTGTCATGCTCCTCCGGTTGTCATACTGGAAGTATATTTCTGAATTAATTTTTTTTTTTTTTTTTTTTTTTTTTTAGACAGAGTCTTGCTCTGTCACTCAGGCTGGAGTGCAATGGCGCGATCTTGGCTCACTGCAACCTCCACCTCCTGGGTTCAAGCACTTCTCCTGCCTCAACCTCCAAGTAGCTGAGATTACAGGTGCCTGCCACCACGCCCAGCTACTTTTTTGTATTTTTAGTAGAGATGGGGTTTTGCCATGTTGGCTAGGCTGGTCTCAAATTCCTGACCTCAGGTGATCCACCAGTCTCGGCCTCCCAAAGTGCTGGGATTACAGGCGTGAGCCACTGCACCCGGCCCTGAATTCATTTTTGAAATAAATTTGGTTGATAGTTTTCTTTCTTTCTTTTCTTTTCTTTTTTTTTTTTTTTTTGAGACAGAGTCTTGTTCTGTTGCCCAGGCTGGAGTGCAGTGGTGTGATCTCGGCTCACTGCAACCTCTGCCGCCTGGGTTCAAGTGATTCTCCTGCCTCAGCCTCCCAAGCAGCTGAGATTACAGGCGCCCGCCACCATGCCTGGTTAAGTTTTGTATTTTTAGTAGAGATGGGTTTCACAATGTTGGCCAGGCTGGTCTTGAACTCCTGACCTCGTGATCCACCCGCCCTGGCCTCCCAAAGTGCTGGGATTACAGACGTGAGCCACTGCGCCTGGCCAATTTTTGTATTTTTAGTAAGGATGAGGTTTCACCATGTTGACCAGGCTGGTCTCGAACTTCTGACCTCAGGTGAGCCACCTGCCTTGGCCTCCCAAAGTGCTGGGATTACAGGCGTGAGCCACTGCGCTTGGCACGATAGTTTTATTTCTTTCAGTGCTTGAAGAATGCCATCCCACTGCCTTCTGGCCTTCAAGTTTTCTGGTGAGAAATCAGCTGTTGGTCTTACTGATGATCCTTTGTATGTGGTGATGGATGCACTTTTTGCTGCATTCAAGATTGTCTTTGTATTTGGCTTTTGACAGTTGATGATGTTTCTCAGTCTGGATCTTGAATTTATCCTACTTGGAATTTGTCGAACTTCCTGCGTGTGTAGATTAATGGTTTTCATTAAATTTGGAGGCAGTTTTTGATTCTGATTTCTTCAAATGTCTTTTCTGTTCCCTTTTCTCCCGTTTCTGGGGCTCTCATTATGCATATGTTGGTTTGCTTATTTTGTCACACATTTCTCTGAGGCTCTGTTCATTTTTTTTCTCTGTTATTCAGATTGCTTAATCTAACAGTCTGTATCTTTGCTGATTCTTTGTTCCGACAGCTCATTGGCTGAATTTTTCGTTTCAGTTATTGTACTTTTCAACACCAGAATTTCCGTTTGGTTCTTTTTGTTGTTAAATTCTGTTAGTCTCTGTTTGTTTAGAAATTGTCATATTTTACTTCTTTAAGCATGGTTTCCTTTAGTTCATTGAACATAAGCATAAGAGCTGTTTTTGAGGTCTCTGCTAAGTCTGGACCTTCTCAAAGTCAGTTTCTTTTGCCTACTTTTTTTCTGTATGTGGGGCACACATTCTTCTGTGCATGTCTTAAATTTTTTTGTTTAAAACTGGACCTTTTATATAATATAGCAACTTTGGATACCCTACACCTCTAGCAGCTTTGTTGTTTGTTGCTTCCTTATTTATGTAGTGACTGGCTGAACTATTTTAGTGCCTACCCCTCAGCCTGTGATGTTGCTCTTCAGCGGGTGTAGCCTTAGTCATGCCTGGGATGATGGTGATTTTAGCAAGGCTTTGTGAGTTTCTGTGATCTCTCTGTTAAACCTCTCTCTGTGTTGGTATCACATGCACATATTAGCCTCTACTAATTGCCTACTGATTGGTCTGTTGATTTAAATGACTCCTTGGGACATAAATTGCCCCACAGTCTGATCCAGTTAAATTCTCATGCTTTCCAGGGGTAAGTAATCTTTGAGGCTGTGTCTGAGGTTTGTTCTGACCCCAGGAAGGTTCTTAGCTTTTATTTCCCTGGTTCTATCTGGTAAGCTGCTAGCTGAGTAGTTTAACTTGTTGCTGTCCACCACAGGTCTTTTGATAGCTGCTTATTACCATGATCTCTCCTGTTTTGTGTTGTTTTCCAACACACCCTCAGGCAGCATATTACCATATTGTTTCAAATAGTTCACTTTAAGACAACTTCAGAACTCTGTTCTTACGGCCTGCCTTTCCCCCTGGGCAAAATCTTTACACCACTGCTTCAGAACTGGGTTGGACTGTGGCTCACTTCTCAGAGTGACACCTCTGCTTCTTGAGCAGGGTGATTGGCTTTGCCTGCCATGGAATCTTGACTCTGAGTGAGGTGGGGTGGGGGCCATTAGGACCACGCTTTTCTTGACTTGCTGCACCTGGGGTTAAGAGCGTCTGCCTCACAAGTGGGGCCTAGCTGGAAAAAAGAGCCCCAGACTTCTTAGCCACTCTTGGTGCAATAGAGCCTGTGCAACTCAAAGTTGGGGGTGTTGAGAAATGCTGCCTGCCTTTACCTCCTGGGGAGATACCATCAACTGGGAGCTGGGTCGGGGGAGGTGTGTTCTTGGCCGTTCTCACCTGGAGTGGAGCTACTGTCCTGCTGAGCTGGCTCAAATGCCACAGACTATCCTTACTGAGATATGGTAGATTTTCTTAAATAAATTATTTTTTCATTTGGTATATGCCCTTAGGACAATTTCCAGAGGCTTTTAGTGTTTTTTGTTTTTTAAAAAAATAATTTTCACCAGTTAACGATTGTTTCACTGGGGAGAGCATTTACGGAGCCTTTGAGGGCACCATTCCAAAAGTTATTTTTAATGTAAAATTACTCAAATTGCCTACAGCCACTTAAAAATTTGTGTTTGAGAATGCTTTGGAAAAGATGCTGAAGTTTATATGTATGTAAAAGCTTCATTACTCTAATTGTGTACGTACAACTTGACAGATGCTCGATATGGAGGAGGTTTGAATAAGGGTGTTTGGCCAATTACTGAGCATTTCTAAAAGAATACATTTCTGCTGCCACAAAGAATTTTGAATGCAGGATGCAGTTCTGTTGCAGTGACTTATAGGAAGTAGCCATGGATGTACACAGTAATTTAGTGACAAAAATCAGGAATCTGTAAGGGGTGTGTATGTGTGTGTGAATAGTGTTGGAAATAAAATACGAGCATTTAGCTCAAGTAACATATTTGAATTTAACAAAGATTAATTGGACATCTTTATTTGCATTAACCTGAATTATTGATTGGATTTAAAGCTGTCTAGAAGTAGCATCACACTGGGGATGGGGGGGGCAGGAAACCTGTGCTTAATACAGTTATCTTGACTGGCTTTGGGTATAATTTATCATAATGTGTGATAAGAATGATAAAGTCTGTGCAAATGATAATGGCAGTGCTGGTGGAACTAGGAAAAGAAAAGCTTTTACCTTTGAGCAAAGGCCACATTTTAAAATAACTTAGGGATGTTTAGGTGTATAGCTGTGGGCTCAACTATTAAAAATAACTTACTGTATTTCAGACTCCTTAACATGAACCTCCTCATTTAACACACTCTGTCAGAGGGAGAGATCCCCAGACTTCTCAGCCACTCCTGCCTGTTTGAGAAGGATTCTCAAACACCCCCTCCCCCAGAGAAGGGGCCTCATTTTGTTGCCCAGGCTGGCCTCAAACTCCTGGGCTCAAGTGATCTTCCTGTCTCAGCCTCCGGAGTAGCTGGGGCTATAGGTGTGCACCACCACAGCCAGCTAATTTTTATAACATGATTTTTTATTCCATATATCTGAGGAATACAGCTAATTGTGTCTTAGTTCCTTGATATGTACTATAACAGTGACAACGATACTTAACATGCAGAAATTGTGAATTAAGTGAAAAATCCAATTTTGTAAAACATGTTTCTGCATCAAAAACTAAACAGTTTGTCTTGGGAGTGGGGTTATGGTGAGATTAATGGTAGTTTCCCCCTCCCTTTTCTGACATTATTGATGTATGGTGTGATAGTTAAAACTGTAGGACACTGGCACTTGTACTGTCTGAGTTTGAATCCTGGCTCCTACCACTTTGACAGCCTGTAGTCCTCTGTCCCAGTTTTTTTACTCATGAAATTGGGCTGATAATAGGGTTGTTCTAAGGATTAACTTGCTTAGAATAGTGCCTGAGACAAATACTTAAATGTTAGCTATTGTCACTATTAATGAGGAAAATGTTATTTAAAATTTGAGGTGTGTCAACCTGGCTGCACTAGTATTGAAGTTGGGAAATGAGAGACAAAGTTGGAAAAATAAGTTAAAGGCTGATTATGAATGACCTTGAATATGTACCAGATGGAGAAGAGAAGCCATTCAAGGTTTTAGAGATTGAAAGTGTTGAGATTAATTTAGCATTAATATACTGAACGATTGGTATGGTAGTGTGGACGCTAGCCAGGATGCTGTTAAAATAGGAGTCTAGGCTAGAGTGGTTTGAGTGGGAGTGGAAAAGATAACATTGGACACATCATGAAAGAAGAATGGAGGAGATGGGAAGGGAGAGATTTGACTTTGTTTTTACTGTATTTCCCCACACTCCCAATTTTAGTTTTGAGCACTGCTATAGACTGAACGTTTGTCTCCACCCCTCCACCTCGCAAATTCATATGTTGAAACCTAACCCTCATGTGATGAGGTGGGGCCTTTGGGAGGTGATTGGGTCACGAGAGTGGAACCTTCACAAATGGGATTAGTGCCCTTGTATTAATAAAAGAGACTCCAGGGAGTTCCCTCACTCTTTCTGCCTTGTGAAGATACAGTAAGAAGATTGCTATCTGTAAACCAGAACGCAGGCCTTCACCAGACGCTAAATATGCTTGGCACCTTGATCTTAGACTCCCCAGCCTCCAGAACTGTTAAGTGTTACTTGAGCCACTCACTCTGAGCTTTTGTTACAGAAGGGGCTAAGACAAACAAACACCTGTTGTTTGCCAATGAATCCTTGGGATTCAGTGATGAGCAAAGCTTGCATAGCTTCTGCCCTTAAGGAGCTTTTATGTTTTAGTAAGAAGATAAACTCACACAGGTGCTATGAGAAAATAGGGTAGCTGGCTCCTAGAGTCTAGGATGTGAGTACTTGATGAATCCTGAGTCAGGAGAGTTGGGAGCTGCTGAATTAATATGGGTAAAACTAAGCAGACTGCTTTGTTCAGAGGCTCTCAGAGGTGGCATGAAGGAGCACTTTGTGAAGGAACAACAAGAAGGCAAATTGAACTGGAGTTTGAACAAGCTTTGGCTGGGGTTAGCTGCAAGATGAGGCTGGAATTGGGTGTTTGAGGGCCTTGTAGACCATTAGATAAGTATTTTGATCTTCATCCTGGTCTTTGAAGATTTTTTTTTTTTTTTTTTGAGACGGAGTTTCACTCTTGTTGCCCAGGCTGGAGTGCGGTGGCACAATCTTGGCTCACTGCAACCTCCACGTCCCGGGTTCAAGCAGTTCTCCTGCCTCAGCCTCCCTAGTAGCTGGGACTACAGGCATGCACCACCATGCCCGGCTAATTTTGTATTTTTAGTAGAGATGGGGTTTCTCCACGTTGGTCAGGCTGGTCTCGAACTCCCGACCTCAGGTGATCTGCCTGCCTTGGCCTCCCAAAGTGCTGGGATTACAGGCGTCAGCCACTGCGCCCAGCCAGTCTTTGAAGATTTTTAAGCAGTGCTGTGACATATTTTGCATTTCAGTAAAACTCATAGTGATGATTTTTAATACCGAAAGAACAAAACAATTGTAGGAATGGATGCAGGCCTGACAGTCACTGCTTTCAAAAGAAAGCTCAATCCCTTTTCCCTGTTGTTTCCTTTTCTCCCCGTTTGAATTTATAGAGAACAACAGATTCTGTAGAGAACCTTCATGGTATAGTTGGAAGAGCCAAGGGTTTTAGAGTCTTAACGGAAATTATTGTGATCTTGTATAAGCTCAGTGTACTTAATCTCTTAGCTTCTATTTATGTCTGTTAAATTGGACTGATGGCTGTATGAGATAGGTATTATGATTAAATGAGATTATACAAATAAAGCACCTACTGTTGTGCTTGATACACAAGTAAGTACTTAAAACTTTTCAAGAATAATATACAAACTAAGAACTGGAAAGGAGCCACAGAGAACTTTTGAATGGAATGGAACCAACAAGTCCACAAAAGAAAAAAAATCTTTAGCATAAATACTGAGACCTGTTTCGCCTTGCCCACAGGGTGGTTATGGACCATAGTGTCTAAATATAATTGATTGTGAGGTGTATGCTACAAGTAATTATAAGCAATTAAATAATTAGTTAAAATAGTAATGTTTGCAAATGAGATTACCTAAAAATATTAGAGTCAAGATTATCCCCTTAATAATTATTTTCACTCACATTTCATGTGTTTTCGATTGAGGCACCAAAAGAATCCTTGAAGTCCAGCATATAAGCTATTAATGTTTGCTGTTTTTATTTTGTGCTCTGCTTTATACAGTTTTTGTTTTTTGGCAATTTCTCTGTGTCCATAGAAGTGTGTCAAACCTGTGATAACCTTATTTTAGTGTCCTTTCTCATGCTGTGGTAGAAAAACTGCTGTGTAGGTTACTTTTTCTTCTAGACAACAATGCACTAAAATTTTGTCTTTAAAAACATAATTGAATCTGTCATAGCAACAGCATGTTCAATTTAAAAATTCAAAAAGATCTAAACTTGGCTTAAAAATACGTTTTTTTGTTGTTGTTTTTATTTGAGATGGAGTCTCGCTCTGTCGCCCGGGCTGGAGTGTAGTGGTGCGATCTTGCTCTCTGCAAGCTCTGCCTCCTGGGTTCACACCATTCTCCTGCCTCAGCCTCCCGAGTAGCTGGGACTTCAGGCACCTGCCACCATGCCCGACTAATTTTTTGTATTTTTAGTAGAGACAGGGTTTCACCGTGTTAGCCAGGATGGTCTCCAACTCCCGATTTGTGATCTGCCCGCCTCGGCCTCCCAAAGTGCTGGGGTTACAGGCATGAGCCACCGCGCCTGGCCAAAAATAAGTATTTTTGTACTCTAAAATGGTGGGCATTTTGAAAGAAAGCTTAGCTGAAAAGATGCTGCTTACTGGATTGTAATAAACATGAAACAATTGATTTATACATTCACATTATAATTTTAAATCAGTATATAGTTGACCCTTGAACAACATGGGTTCAAACTGTGTGGTCCACTTTCACTGCAGATTTTTTTCAATAAATATATTGGAAAATATTTTGGAGATTTGTGACAATTTGAAAAAAACAGGATAAACTGCATAGCTTGGAAATACTGAAAAAATTAAGAAAGGTGTGTCATGAACGCGTAAAATACATGTAGATAATAATCTATTTACTACCATAAAATATACATAAATCTATTATAAATTTAACATTTATCAAAACTTAATGCACACAAACGTTTTTATAGACCACATGTGGTGCCACGTGCAGTTGAGAGAAATGTGAACAAATGTAAAGATGGATTAAGTCATAACTGCATAAAATTAACTAGTACATTCTCTACTACTGTAATTTCATAGCCATCTCCTTTTGCTACTGCGATGAGTTTGTTGTAAGTATCCGATGAAAATATGTGACGCTGATCTCTGCATGAGCAGTTCATCTCTCCAGTAAATGGTCTATCATAGTAAAAAATGATCTCTCATGTTCTCATGTATTTTTCATCATGTTTAGTGCAATACCATAAACCTTGAATAACATTACGGGACTCATGAAGTGTCACTAGTGGTGCTGGCGAACAGGCTCCCAAGAAGCAGAGAAAAGTCATGACGTTATAATGTTCTGCAAAGTTTCTTATAAGAAAAAGTTGAATTGCTTGATAGGTACCATAGATTGAGGTCTGAGGTCTGCAGCTGTGGTTGTCCGCCATTTCAGATGATTGATCTTGTAAACAGATGATGTAATTTTACTTTATTGGTAAAAACAGTACAGTACTATAAATACATTTTCTGATTTTCTTCTTTCCTTTTTTTTCCCTTTTCTTTTTTTTTTTTTTGAGACTATCTCACTCTGTCACCCAGGCTAGAGTGCAGTGGTGCGATCTTAGCTCGCTGCAACCTCCACCTCCCGAGTTCAAGCGATTCTCTGCCTCAGCCTCCCTAGTAGCTGGGATTAAAGGTGCACACCATCACACCTGGCTAATTTTTTTTGCATTTTTTATTAGAGACGGGGTTTTACCATGTTGGCCAGGCCGGTCTCAAACTCCTGACTTCAAGTGATCCGCCCGCCTCAGCCTCCCAAAGTGCTGGGATTACAGGTGTGTGAGTCACCACCCCTTCTGAGTTTCTTTTTTTCTCTAGCTTGCTTTATTGTAAGAATACAGTATTATAATACATGTAACAAAATATGTTAGTCGCCTCTTTATGATCAGTAAGGCTTCTTGTCATCAGTATGCTGTTAGTAGTTAAGTTTCTGAGGAATCAAAAGTTATTTATGGGCCGGGCGCAGTGGCTTATGCCTGTAATCCCAACACTTTGAGAGGCCGAGGCGGGTGGATCACGAGGTCAGGAGTTTTAGACCAGCCTGGCCAACATAGTGAAAACCCATCTCTACTAAAAATACAAAAATTAGCCCGGCATTGTGGCACCTGCCTGTAGTCCCAGCTGCTTGGGAGGCTAAGGCAGGAGAATCACTTGAAACCAGGAGGCAGAGGTTGCAGTGAGCCGAGATTGTGCCACTGCACTCTAGCCTGGGCAACAGAGCAAGACTCCGTCTCCAAAAAAAAAAAAAAGAAAAAGAAAAAAAAAAAAAGTAGTGAGGTCTGGCGCCCTCTACTGGTGAAGGCTAAGTATAGCTTGTGTTGTACAGTTAGGTCTCTTGTCTCTAGTGAGTCAAATATTTTAATGGAAAAACAAGGGTTATAGATGTCGGTTAAACATAGAAATTTGAAAGGAAGAGAAGTAATTCCCTTTGATTGTTGGTGCATAAAACCGGAATAGGCAAAATTCACAAGTCAAGATTAATTTCCAAGTCAAGATAATTTCCATGTTTGAGCTTAAGGATGATCTATCAAATTGTTTTCTAAGAAACTCATTTCACTTTGATGTCCAGTAAAGGAAATAATCTGGTAGGGGGTTGGAGTTGCTGTTGCTTGTTTATTGTCTCTATCCCCAGTCTGTAATGTTCCACAAAAGCAGAGATATTTGATGCACTGTGTACTTCCATATATTCTCCTATGATTAGAACAATATGTGACCCATTGCAGATGCTCAGTACACAATTTTTGAATGACTAAGCTTTGAGTTTTTATTTAAACACCTTTTTTTTGGATGAAAAGAAAAATTGAGAGAAGAAAATCTTAAGTATCCTAGGATCATATGTAGAATCAGAGGATTTCAACGTGCTGTATAAAAGGAGAGAGATTCTGGAACATAGGGCAAATTTTAGCAGAGTTGGGATAATGACTGGGTAAGAAAGGATAATTCTTTGTTCTAAAAGGGATTTCTCTGGTATTAAGGCCCTGTGTGAAAGCTGCTGGAGAAATTCAGTTCTGCAAAGTTTAAAGTAAATGGTTTGCTGTTTATGGAGTACTAGATTACTTAATGCAGTCCAGCCTTTATCTAGGTAAAGGTGATGCTTTTCCCATTGTGGAAGATGTTAGGATGCTAAGTTTGAATATGAAAATGTGTTGTGTGTTGTAGAGGCAATCAAATCACCATTTTGGTTGTATTTCCCATTGAGAAAATTAAAGATGCTTCTGTTTGTGTAATAATTTTGTTTTTATGAAATAAAGCGTAAAACTTCATGTGGTAAAATTTCACACTGTGATTCATTGTATTTGAGCATGCCTATGGAAAGTGATTGTTACTGTGTCAAATATTGAATGATTTGAATAATTACTAAGTTGTTCAGTTGTGTGTAGGATACTGCTGCTTTGACTTGGTAGAGAGCTTGTTCTAGCCCTGCTAGGTATGCCTAAATCTCTGTGACATAAAAAACAGGCTCTTTTAGAGTTGTGAGACTGCTACTTGAAATCAGGCAAAGCTGTGTGATTCCCAGCTGTTTCCACCACTTGAGTATTGAATAGGATTTATTAAGAAAAGTAGTGGTGTTATTCTTGGATAACTTAGTTGTATCTGTGATAAGTTTTTTTCTCCCACTCAAACCTTTCCAAATTATATCTGAAGGCAATATTTTCAGATTCATTCCTGAAATATTTAGGAACTCTGCACAGTACATTGTAGAAAGGGAAAAGAAAATTTACATTTTTTTGAGAATTACTGTGCTTGCTATTTGTGAGACTCCTTTTATTAAAGCAATTCTCATGGCTTTCTTTTTTTTGTGTGGGTAATAGCATCTCAATTTTAAATACCTGGAAAAAGAATGAGAGAGGTTGTTACTTTCTTTTTAAGATAGGCAGATTGTAAGTGACAGAAGTTGGATTTTGAATGAGTTATGTTTGAATCCAGAAATTATTTTTAATTGCTCCATGCCTATTTCCTGCTCTTTATCTTGCATCTTAGTGTGCTGAGGGAAAGGGATCAAATTCTTATGTGGTAGTAGAGAGATGCAGCAGAGTATGCTATGCTGAGACCTGACATACCTGCTCAGCAATACCGGAAATATAGAAATGAGGACAGCTTGTCGGGTAGAAGAAACAGAAACCAAGAGCTAGAAAGGCGAGACTATATAAGAGATAGGGATAGCAAGCAGCTTGAGGCTTTTGCTGATTGAGTGTCCTGTCATAAGCAGAAGATGATTTAGTTCTGTGGTCTTAGAGAAAGGTGTTTTGAGAGAGGAGTTTCACACTGCCGCTTTTCCCATTTATCTTAGTTATTTTGTTTAAAGGGATAGTCCCTTAGTTATCCACATGATACTTTTGTCTAGAATAATTTATACCATGACTTTTGCCAGATATTTCTGATTTGTGTATAGATGGTTACTGAATTCATATAGATGGAAGGATATTGTGCATAAAAATATGAGAATATAATTTTGAGGTATTTTAGCTCAAATGATCTCCAAATGCTAAAAGAACTGCAAGGTAAGGGAACAGTGAGTACTCTATATATACAATTTTACTGTGGGAAAATATACATAAAATTTACCATTCTAACCTTTTTTTTTTCTTCTTCTTTTTTTTTTTTTTTTGAGACGGAGTTTTGCTCTGTTGCCCAGGCTGGAGTGCAGTGGTGCGACCTCGGCTCACTGCAAGCTCTGCCTCCTGGGTTCACGCCATTCTCCTGCCTCAGCCTCCCGAGTAGCTGGGACTACAGGCGCCCGCTATTGTATGTTTATTAGAGGTGGGGTTTCACCGTGTTAGCCAGGATGGTCTCAATCTCCTGACCTCGTGATCCGCACACCTTGGCCTCCAGAAGTGCTGAGATTACAGGCATGAGCCACCACGCCCGGCCCTTTTTTCTTCTTTTTTGAGACGGAGTCTCACTCTGTCATCCAGGCTGGAGTTCAGTGGCACCACCTCGGCTCACTGCAACCTCTGCCTTCCGGATTCAAGCGATTCTCCTGCCACAGCCTTCCGAGTAGCTGGGATTACAGGTGTGCGCCACCACGCCCAGCTAATTTTTGTATTTTTAGCAGAGACAAGTTTCACCATGTTGGTCAGGCTGGTCTTGAACTCCTGATTTCAGGTGATCCACCTGCCTCAGCCTCCCAAAGTGCTGGGATTACAGGCGTGAAACACCGTGCTCGGCTGATTTTAACCATTTTTAAGTTTGCAGTTCAGTGGCATTAAGTACATTCACATTGTGGGATGCTTACCATCATCCATTTCCAGAACTTCTCTTCTTTCCAAACTGAAGCGCTGTACCCCTTAAGCAATAACTCCCCATCCCCCCAGCCCCTGGCAACCATCATTCTACTTTCTGTTTCTGCAAGCGTGACTAATCTGGGTACCCGTGTACTTGGAATTATGCAGTATTGTTCTTTTGTGAATGACTTATTTCACTTAGCATGATGTCCTCAAGGTTCACCCATATCGTAGCACCTGTCAGAATTTCCTTTCTTTTTAAAAAATACTAAATAATCCACTGAACATAGGTACCACATTTTGTTCGTCCTTGTATTGCTTCCTGGAAAGACTTTTAAAAGAGACACAGTATTGGCTTAGTAGACAAGGTGATCTCCCTGGCCCCCTACTTGCCCCACACTTGGGAATATATAGTCGCTAACCTCATCACTCTCAGGAGGAGATGGTAGGGAGTGGAGGTTGTATTTATTTTCGGGAAAAAAAACAGACTCCCAGGTGGTGCTGATGAATCCATCTCTTCCTACCCTTTTGTGAATAGTTGAATCTGTGTTCAAGATTCCCAAGTTTTGCCTGAATTCTAGACGTGTAGAGCCAACTCTCTAGTGGTTTTCACCTCAGTTTCAATGTTAAGAACTGTACGAACTGCCACTCTACCCCTTTCCTTGGAAGAGAAGTGGACGGGAAACCTGGAGTCCAGGATTATATAAGCCAAGGAAGCTCAGAGTTTCAAGAAGGGAGAGGTGGTCAGTGTCTAATGATGAGAAGAGGGCAAACAGGATGAATATTGAGAAGCAGTTATTTGATTTGTCAGTAAGTAGAACATTGATCTGTGGACCTTCTTCTCATGCGTCCCCTAATGCACATACTCAAAAGCTTTGTATGTAATTTTTAGGGGAATTAATCTTGAAGCCCATCCCTACGTCTCGATTAAGACCTTCTGGCTTAAAGCAGTTTTAGTTTTAGTAGCTTTGGATGGAGCCAGGTGATGAGAGAGAATGGACAAAGTGGAAGGTGAGATGG
Source organism: Homo sapiens (assembly GCF_000001405.40). Lineage (NCBI taxonomy): Eukaryota > Metazoa > Chordata > Mammalia > Primates > Hominidae > Homo > Homo sapiens. The sequence continues at coordinate 41,119,232 of NC_000023.11, forward strand.
GCGGGGCATGGTGGCTCACATCTGTAATCCTAGCACTTTGGGAGGCCAGGGAGGAGAATTGCTTGAGCCCAGGATCTCGTGACCAGCCTGGGTCTCAAAACAACAACAACAAAAAACCCAAAATTTACAACTTACCTACTTTGTCTTCATCACATTTATTTAAAAAGAAAGAGAAGGGGGAAATGGAGACAGTCTTACGACTTGTGGGAAAAGGGAAGGGCAGACACTGGTGATTTTCAGTAGGGAAGATTCAAGCACAGGCTGGGAAAAGATTGATTGGGGATGATGATGATTGGAGCATCATCCCTTGGAGAGGGTATACAATGGGATCATGACCCCAAGCTGAGGGACAAGAAAAAGAAGAAACTGGAGCAGATTTGAAGTAGACAAGAATAAAGTTGAATTGGTTAGCTAATATTTTGAGTGCCAAGAAAATAATTATTCACATATTAGCCAGGTGTGGCAGCACGAGCCTGTAGTCCCAGCTACTCGGGAGGCTGAGGCAGGAGAATTGCTTGAACCCGGGAGGCGGAGGTTGCGGTGAGCCAAGATTGCGCCACTGCACTCCAGCCTGGGTGACAGAGCGAGACTCCGTCTCAAAAAAGAAAATAATCATTCACATAATTTGTCAGCAGACCCAAAGTGGCTAAGGAAAATGATATGCAAGTTTCTCAAGGTTTTGAAAATTGTCTGCTTCACGTAACACTCTTTGTAATTTAGGGTGTATAAAATGGATAACAAAAGCGAAAGAGGGACTGCTTAAATCAGACTTTTTCATTTTTTTTTTCCACTTTATGTATTTAAAGAGCTTCTATGTCTTTAGACTCACCAGTACTTGATAGTATCAGTCTTAAAACTTTGTTTTGCTTCGCCAGTTTGATCAGTGGAACAAATTTTGGTTTTGTAATTTGCATTTTCGCAATTACTAATGAGGTTGAGAGGCAGGCTAGTGTAGCATTTAAGAGCTATGGACTCCCTGGGTTGGAATCCCATTTTGCCACTTAGTACTTACTGATACGGTAATTTACTTTTGCTCTCTGTGCCTCCCTTTCCTTACCTGTAAAGAGGGATGATACTAGTTCCTACTGTATACATTTGTAAGGATTACGGTGCTACAAACAGTGCCTAACATGCGAAAAGCTCTATTTTAAAATTATGTCTTATTTCATGTATTTATTAGTCACTTCTATTTCTTTTTGAGAAGTCTATCTTCATATCTGTTTTTCTACTTCTCCCTGAAGCTTCTGAATTTTGCCTAGAGGAGGACATATCTTTTTTGTGTGTGTGACAGAGTCTCGCTCTGTTGCCCAGGCTGCAGTACAGTGGTGCCATCTCGGCTCACTGCAAGCTCTGCCTCCCAGGTTCACGCCATTCTCCTGCCTCAGCCTCTCCAGGTAGCTGGGACTACAGGTGCCCGCCACCACGCCCGGCTAATTTTTTGTATTTTTAGTAGAGACGGGGTTTCGCCATGTTAGCCAGGATGGTCTTGATCTCCTGACCTCATGATCCGCCCGCCTCAGCCTCCCAAAGTGCTGGGATTACAAGCGTGAGCTACCGCGCCCAGCCAACATATCTTAACAAATCAGTTTTTGTGTGTGCTTTAGTCAAGTTTTTTTTTTTTTTTTGAGACAGGGTCTCGCTGTGTTGCCCAGGCTGGAGTGCAGTGGCCCCATTTCATCTCACTGCTACCTCCGCTTCCTGGGTTCAAGTGATTCTCCTGACTCAGCCTCCTCAGTAGCTGGGACTACAGGGGTGAGCCACCATGCCTGGCTAATTTTTTTTTTTTTTGTATTTTTAGTAGAGATGGGGTGTCACCACGTTGGCCAGGCTGGTTTTGAACTCCTGACCTCAAGTGATTCGCTTGCCTTTGGCCTCCCAAAGTGCTAGAATTACAGGCGTGAGCCACTGCGCCTGATTTTAAACATATTCCTCTAGCACTTTCTATAGTTGTTTACATTTTCCTCATTAATCTGCCTGTAATTTGTGTGTATGTCAGGTGGTGGCAGGGGTTAAAATGTACGTCAACTTTTTTTTGACAATGATAGAGAACTTGAAGAGGAAGAAGTCTTAGAGTCAGATGTGAATTAGAGTCCGCTCTGCATAACTTAGGCAAGCCCCTGCTGTCTCTTATTTTTGACTCTGTAAAATGGAGATAATACTCAATTTCTGTGCTGCATAGACTGGGTATGAGAATCAAGTGAGTTGTGGCAGAGCACTTCGAAACTTCCTGCAGTGGCTTGGTAACCTAAGTGGTGAAAAATACTTGGGTATTAATATTACAGAAGCAAGCCCCCAGGTAAGTTTTATATACCATGGTATACATTTGGTTTTGAATGTCTTAAGCCAGGTCATAATTAGAAAACTTAGAAATGAAACTTTGCAATGCTTGTGGGAAGTCTCTCTCAATCTCTTGAGAGCCAGTGAGTTAGAACCAATCAGTTAAGTTTCTCTATCTGGTGGCACCTTAGAGTCATTCACTGGGGGAGATTTTTTGCAAAGTTCTGATGCCTAGGCCTTACTCCCAGATACTGTAATTTATTTCATCTGGAGAGGAACCTGGGCATCAGTGTTTTAAACAAAATCACTTCAGGTGATTTTATTGTGTAGCTGAAGAGGGCTACTGATCTAATGAATATAGAATTGAGGATTTGGTAGCATTCTCCTGTACTTGTTTGCTGGTCAGTTTGTAAAGAAGAGTTCCCTGTTCTTAAACAGTTGTGGCCTTGTAACCCTGTTATGGCTCTAGGAGTGGCTGGAGCCAAAACCTTGCCAAAGTAGAGAGCTGAGATCATCTGACAAATTCAGTTGTATTGGAGTATTATGTAGTTTGAACCCTCTTAAAATTTTACCAGAGGTTTTTGGGGGGTTTTCAGGGTTTTTTGTTTGTAGGGGGTGGAGAGAGCGGGGATCTTAACAGAAATTTGTTCTCTCACAATTCTGAAGGCCAGAAGTCCAATATCAATGTGTTGGTAGGTTTGGTTTCTTCTCTGGCTTGCAGGTGGCCACCTTTTTGCTGCATCTTTACGTGGTCTTTACTCTGTATGCGTGCACCCCTGATGTTTCTCTCCAAAGCGTCAAAGTTTATGTTAAAAGTACTTAGAAGCTAGTTTAAAAAACCATTTATAATGCCCTAGTATCAGTGATAAACGTTAGTTGTGCGGCCTGCCTTGAAATGTTTTAAAAAATCACTTTGTACTTTGTCTAAGTACACATGTTACTGAAACAGGAGAGTTCCCTGACGCCCTCACAGGATGTGTGACAGGGGTGTGGCTCATTTATTCCTCTTATGGGAAGGGGAGCACACAGGTGAGCAGGTACAGGAGCCAGGGTGAGCGCTTTTGGGCTCCGGCCCCACAGCAGTGTCTAGGAGTGTTACAATGCTCCTTTAGCCCTGCTGTCCCAGCATAAGTGTTAAACAGCTCAGAGAAGAGTCAGTGTGACAGCCTTTTTGGGTTTCTGCATTTAGGGCATCCCGAGTTCTTTTCCTGTGTCTGGGAAGAATCAGGTCACAGGGACTTGAAGGATGGTGAATGTGGGGATGTTATTGAGTGGTGGAGGTGGCTGTCAGTGGGATGGGGAGCTGGAGAGGGGATGGAGTGGGAAGATGATCTTCTCCTGGAGTTCGGCTATCTCACAGCCAATCTCCAACGGCCCCCAGCTTGAACCTCCTCTCCACCTTTAGACACTTCCTCTCTTCTCTCCTTCTCTGCTGTGCTTCTCTGCCACTCTTCTGCTTTTGGAGCCTGGGGCTTGGGGTTTATATGGGCACGGGATAGGGGTGCGTGGCAGGCCAAAAGGGAACACTTGGGCGTGAAAACAGGAATGCCTGTTCTCATTTAGGGCTGCAGGTCCAGGCTTGAGCCCTCACCAGGGACCCCACCCTCATACCTCTTGTCCTTATTCTTACAGTGTAATGAATGCATCAGCAAATTGAAAACAGATAGTTTTTGCCGTTTCTTAATTTAATTAAAATGACAGTTAAGTACTTTGATATATTGCCTTTGGAGTCATTTCCAGGAGGCTATATTTGTTTGTTTTCTTGGTATAATGGCCAGTGTACCAATGATCAGTTTTAAGTTAAATGTAGTATTAATGAAACTTCAGCTTTTTACTTTCTCTTCTTGTTTGTATAGCCCCTTTTTCCTGATTAGATTCACTGGTGATACTAAATTCGAACAGTTCCATAATTCATGTTTTTTATATCTAAAACCAATTACTTTTTCCCCTTTCTATTTGTAGGTTATGCAATGGTCTCTGCAAGATGGTTTATTCTTGAATTGGACCTTTTTAAGACTGACAAATGCTGGTACTTCATCTTCTATAAGTGGACTATAATTTCTTTTCTCAAGACAACTACATAAGCAGACAAAATTGCAAAGATCTGCCCTGTGTCGAGTATGACAGCCACGACTCGTGGCTCTCCGGTCGGAGGGAATGACAACCAGGGCCAGGCTCCTGATGGACAGTCTCAGCCCCCCCTCCAACAGAATCAGGTAGGATGTTGAAGATACTAGTTAAAGCTACAGTGGGGCTGGACTCAGTGGTTCACATCTGTAATCGCAGCACTTTGGGAGGTTGAGGCAGGCAGATCACTTGAGGTCAAGAGTTTGAGACCAGCCTGGTCAACAGGGTGGAACCCTGTCTCTACTAAAAATACAAAAATTAGCCGGGCGTGGTAGCATGCACCTGTAATCCCAGCTACTTGGGAGGCTGAGACAAGAGAATTGCTTGAACCTGGGAGGCCGAGGTTGCAGTGAGCTGAGATGGCGCCACCGTACTCCAGCCTGGGTGACAGAGCGAGTCTCTGTCTCAAAAACAAAAACAAAAAACCTACATTGGTGGGTCTACTGTTGGGGTACTAAATGATGGAACATGTTCTAAATAATTTGTGAAGCAACTGTTATTTTAAGTTTTGATTAACAAAAGTGAACACGTTGGGCGCAGTGGCTCACATCTGTAATCCCAGCACTTTGGGAGGCTGAGGCAGGCGGATCACAAGGTAAGGAGTTCGAGACCAGCCTGGCCAATATGGTGAAACCCCATCTCTACTAAAAAATAGAAAAAGTAGCTGGGTGTGGTGGCACGTGCCTATAGTCCCAGCTGCTCGGGAGGCTGAGGCAGAAGAATCCCTTGAACCGGGAGGCAGAGGTTGCAGTGAGCCGAGATGGTGCCACTGCACTCCAGCCTGGGTGACAGAGCAAGACTCCATCTCCGAAAAAAAAGAAAAGTGAACATAGGTCTTGCATAGTAACAAGAAAGCTCAAGTGGTGTAGATGGTAATACTTGAGTATGTAGTCCGTCTTTTTCTGATGGCTTATACTGTCAGTCATTAAAATTAACTAAGCCATGTGTCAATTCTAAGGGGGAAAGCATTAAATCATTCAGTGTAGCCTATGGTTAGCATTGGACCCATCATAAATCATGACACCACTTTCTACCCCATAAATACATACAATTGTAAATTGTCAATTTACAATAAGATTATAAAAAGAACATGGACCCAAGTCATGTTGCCTAGCGTTCAAATTTCAGCTTTGTACCATACTTGCGTTATGACTCTGGGTTAATTATATAACCTCTAAGCCTCAGTTTGTTTATCTGTACAATGAGGGTAATAATAGTGTAACTACTTCATGGACTGTTAAAAGGATCAATTGAATTAATGCTAAACATAGATTTTGGTATTAAGGTTTTATGCTGGCCGCAAAACTCATAGGGTGTACCTCTTTCTGTTCTCTGGATGAATTTATGCGAAGTTTATTATTTCTTCATTAATTGTTTGGAAGATTTTACTGGTGGACCCATCTGGCCTGGGGTTTTATTTATGGAAAAGTTTTAATTGAAGATCCATTTTTTAATTTGGAGATGGGGTCTTGCTCTTTTGCCCAGGCTGGAGTGCAGTGGCGCGATCTTGGCTCACTGCAACCTCCACCTCCCTGGTTCAAGCGATTCTCCTGCCTCAGCCTCTCGAGTAGCTGGGATTACAGGCACGTCCCACCACACTCAGCTAATTTTTGTATTTTTAGTAGAGATGGGATTTCACCATGTTGGTCAGGCTGGTCTCGAACTCCTTACCTTGTGATCCGCCTGCCTTGGGCCTCCCAAAATGCTGGGATTACAGACATGAGCCACGGTACCCGGCCGATCCATTTTTTTTTTTTTAAGTGGAGGAATTTTTTAATTTTTAGTGTCTTTTGGTAAATTATGGTTTTCAAGGAATTGGTTTATTTCATCTGGATTTTCAAATTTGAGGTAAAGTTGTTAACGACCCTTTTTATTATCTTTTTTGTGTCTTGGGGCCTATGGTAATGCCTCCTTATTTCTGATATTTCTGATACCACTACCAATGTCATTAAACCTTCTAAAAACAACTCTCTTGGCTTTACTCCCTCCCCCCACACCCCTCCCGCCAACACACACACACACACACACACACACACACACACACACACACTCTCTCTCTCTCTCTCTCTCTCTCTCTCTCTCTCGCGCACGCGCGCGCGCTCTCTCTCTCTCTGTTCCTTTTGCTTACTTTGGATTTGGTTTGCTGTTCTTTTTCTCATTTCTTGAAATGGAAATTTAGATAATTGATTTCAGTTGTCTTTTCTAATATATACAGTTTTATATTGGGAAGTATTAAATTGAATGGCAAAACATTAAAACTTACGATGTACAGCTCACATCACAACTTACCTTCTATAGAGGTAAGAGGTAAGTTGAGGTGTGTGTAAATGATCACAAACATGCTGCTTCCAATTATTACATGTTTATGTAGAGTCAGGTAAGTTTTTAGGCAAAAGTGTTATTTTGAAGTTTTTATACTGTTATTTGGGGATAAGTTCTTATTGTCCAGCTATTACAGATTAGATATTCTATCGTAAGTAGTATAGAAAAGAGCTTCTGTCTGTCTCTCCTTTTTCTTCTTTCTCTGCCATTTTAGAGAAGTGAACAAGTCGGGGGTTTTTTCTCCCCCAAATAAATGTGTCAGTTTTATTCCTTTTCCTCTCTAGTTCCCATTTTCGAGACATAAAATATTAAAGTGTATGGTCACAGGTCTTGGACAGAGTTAAGACCTTCCTGTGACATAAATTTGTTAGCCAGTATTCAGGTTTTTAAAAGCGTAGTCAGAGGTTTGAGTTGGATGCTAAAGATTTCTAATTTTACACCAGAAGCTAGTAGTTAGAGTTCCAGTATCTTTCCCTCTTCCTTTTTCATTTTATACCTGCATTGTCCATGGAATTCTAACCTTTTTTGCAATGTTTCTGACTTGCATGGCTTTAGACAAAAATCAAACCTTTAATTTAACCTTACTCTTATTTTAAGGTGTACTTGATGATTTTTAGAGCTCTTGGGTTTGTGATATTCAACCTAATATTCTATGTCTACATTGTGTTCTTTTTCTTCTAAAAACTTTACATTTTTAAAGATGACTGGTAATTTAAAATAACAAAGGAATGAAACAAATTACATTATCCCTCACTCTTACATTTTGTTTTTCTCTACTTTTTAATGTTAGGATTTTATTTTACAAGATCTGACACGGTTGTACCAAGAAGCAGCAACCAAAGTGTTAATCACTGTTCAATTTAGGGCTCGCTTTTTGGATATGCTTTTTATGTGCTGGCATAAAGGGAATTTCTAAAATCAGATTTTTCACTTAATTTTTTTTAAGCATGCCTTTAAAAAAAATTCTCTTAGAGAATTTTAGGCTTTAGTATGTAGTAAAACTCGATAAATGAAACAGCCTTGGCAGAGACACCGTGGGATGAACACTCTTGGATGTGGTTGCTGGGAGGGTGCAAATTTTCTGGAATGAAATTTGGCAGTATTTGTCAGTGGCCTTCAAAGAAATTGTTTATACTGTTCTAGTAATTATATATCCAGGATCCTATCCTAAGGAAAAGTTGAAGTTCAACACAAAGGTTTATATATGAGAACATTAATTACAGCTATGTTTATGTTTGTTAGCAGTAAAAATTACCAAATACTAAACGTCCCCTTAATTTTGTTTAATTCATGCAATATTATCTGGCCATTAATATTTTTTTAAGATTCTTAATCAAAAAATTGAATACCTAGATATATTGAATGGAAAAGGACAGAGACTTATGTATAATTCCAGTTTTATTGAACATATATATGGACAGTTTTTATTTACTCTTAAAGATTACAAGGAAATAAATATCGGTGGTGTTTATAGGTGTGGAATTACAGGTGTTTTAAATTTTATTTTTTATATTTTCTATGAGCATGTGTAAACTACCTGTATATCAGGGGGCAAGGAGTTAAAAAATAATAAAGCAGGCTTCCAAAGTTACATACTTCACATCAGACATTTTTGTTGGACTTGTAACACTTGACTTCCGTGCTGTAGTTTCCTGTGCCTTGAGACCAGCTCTGTGAGCACCTGCACAGTTTTACTGTGTTACTGTGAGCACCTGCACAGTGCACCATTTAGTTACTAATTGACCATATGAGTTCATGTATAAACTTTGTGAGTAAAACATATTAATGCTGGTAAACTCATCTGTCTTCGTGCAAGTGCTTATTTATGCAACTCTTTATTTTACAACTGTTAAATAGGTGCTTGAATGATAAGGCGAGGGGCCCGTTTCTCTTAAAGGGCCATCAGCCTATAGTGAATAGAAAATTCAAGAACACATGAATAAAAATCAGTTTAAAATTTAGGTTAGTTTCATTTTGAAAGAGAAAATACCACCTGCTTTCTGAATTAAGAGTAAAGGTCATAAAAGTTCATTCACTTAGTTGTGAAAATATTATGCACTGTTAAAACGGGGGGAGAGAAAGACATGCTAAAAATGAGGAATGAAAGAGAAAAATAGCCACGTTAGTTGAAAGTGATGTTACTTATTTAAGAACCATAATCATGAACTTCTAAATAATTATTGTTTGGATAATGGTTTGGGTGTAGGGAAGTTATGGAATAATTACATTTTCTCCCTTCAAATAAAAAACAGAAGTTATAAATTACTTTATAATGTATAAAATGTGATGTATCATATTTGTGGAATAATTTCTGTCATGGCTTATATAATGGGAAATGTAAGCAGAGAGGCAGTACACATTATGATTAAGAACACAAACTATTTAGACTTTGATAGAAATCCTGAGTATAGAATTTGAGCTGTGTGATCTTGGGCTACTTACTTTCTGAGTTTTTTTTCATCTATTAAATGGCAGTAACATATTTCATTAGGTTGTTGAGGATTAGATGAAATTATTTTAAAGCACAGTAGTACAGAGATGGCCTGAAACATCATAAACTTTCAATTATTTTATCTTTTGTAAAAATTTACAATGCAGTTGTCCCTTAGTATTCATGGAGGATTGGTTCCAAGACCTCTTACCACTTGGATAGCAAAATTGGTGTATGCTCAAGTCCCTGATATAAAATGGTTTAGTATTTGAATATAACTCATGCACATCTTTCTGTATATACTTCACATCATCTCTAGATTACTTATGATGCCTAATACAGTGTAGATGCTATATAAATCATTATTATGCTATATTGTTTGGGGAATAATGACAAGCAAAAAAGTTTGTACATATTCAGCACATAGGCAATTTTTTCTGAATATTTTCGATCCAAGGTTGTTGGTTGACTTTGCAGATGCAGAACCCATGGATATGTAGGGCTATTTACAAAATTTTTAAATCTGCAATGCTTGTCTATGTTGGTGTTTGGATTACTATTTTACATATGTTATAGAAACTTAAATGTGGAATGTTTAATTTTTAATTAAGACTTCATCGCCTGATTCTTCCAATGAAAATTCCCCGGCAACTCCCCCAGATGAGCAAGGTCAAGGTGATGCCCCACCACAGCTTGAAGATGAGGAACCTGCATTTCCACATACTGACTTGGCCAAGTTGGATGACATGATCAACAGGTGAGTTGGTGTGTAACACCCAAGAAAGAGAGCAGACAGGAAAGTAACCCCACTGCCTCCTTAATAGTCTTTATAGCTTCGTCACTGCCAAGTGCTTTATAACCCATGATTCTTAATAGATTTAATAAATGAAAGGGAGTGACAGTGTTAGTAAAAATTTCACATTAATGATGATGACCCTAGTTGGGTTGTTTCCGAAGTAAAATTGTATGTTCAGTTTCCCTCTTGGAGAGTTTATGAAGTTTTTTTCTCATTGGTCTCTTGGTTGCTGGATGACTTTCATAATTTTTGGGATGGCCTGAGGTAAATCAGGTCATGAGGACATTGAGTTCCTCAGAGCCTGATCCTAGTGAACTCTTGACTAGTTTGAGCTATTTAACCATCCTAGATGTTTCCTTTTTTTGGTCTTCATCTCAGGGAACAGTTCAGAATATAATTTTTCACACTTATAGTACAAACAACCACCCTATCCCACCCCACACACTTTGATTATTTAGAGGAAACCTCCAAGAGAGTGAAGCTTTAAGCTTTTGTGCAGAGGAAGAAAAAGATTTCAAGAGGCTAGGGAAGAGCACATCAAGGAATCCCATGTGACTGTGATCTTCACCAGACTGTGGGCTCAACAAGTGAGTGCTAGGAAGGTGCGACACATTTCCCCCTCACTCCCCAAAAGGAAAGTAATGAAAACACATGTTCTTAAAGGCACTTGCTTTACTGAGTTTTTTTTTAAATTTCATTTTCTAAAAATAAGTCAACACTATTAAATGCATAATGTGAGGGGAAATAGAAATCCTTTGCATTAAAAAAAGAAATCTAAATACATAAATAATGAGTATGCGTTAACAGAAATATTTTGTGTAGGTAAATTTCTCTGTAATTTCCCCCTTACATACACATATTCCTGCCAAAAATTACTGTTAACAATCAATACATTCTTCAGATTACCTTTGTGTTTACTATCATATATGAATTGATTTTTCTATAAATAGAGGATTCTTACTATAATTTTGTAACTTGCTTTCATTTATCTTGAATATTTTTCCTATTAATAAATTCCATTGTTTTTAATTATATATTTATAAGAATACATTGTGTGATTCTGGCAGGTGCCTATAGTAATGGTATATAATAAATTATATTTAATAGTGGTCCCTGACCATTCTCTATAGCAGTGATACCATAGCAGAAGGTTGTATTGTTTGTTGCTTTTCCATACTTGTCTGGTGGTTGGTGATTGGTAATAAAATACTTCTTAGGCTAAAGTTGCATATTATTAGCAAGTTCTCAGGGGGGAGAAAAATACAAATGATTTTTTTTTTCTTTTTTTCTTTTTTTTTTTGTTTTTTGTTTTTTGTTTTTTTTGAGATGGAGTCTCGCTCTGTCACCAGGCTGGAGTGCAGTGGTGTGATCTCGGCTCACTGCAACCTTCGCCTCCTGGGTTCAAGCGATTCTCCTGCCTCAGCCTCCCGAGTAGCTAGGACTACAGGCACGTGCCACCATACCCAGCTAATTTTTGTGTTAGTAGAGATGGGGTTTCACCATGTTGGCCAGGATGGTCTTGATCTCTTTTCTTTTCTTTTTCTTTTTTTTTTCCTTTTGAGACGGTGTCTCACTCTGTTGCCCAGGCTGTAGTGCAGTAGCACAATCTTGGCTCACTGCAACCTCCGCCTCCCAGGTTCAAGCGATTCTCCTGCCTCAGCCTCCCGAGTAGCTGAGATTACAGGCATGTGCCATCACACCTGGCTAATTTTTGTATTTTTAGTAGAGACGTCATTTCACCATGTTGGCCAGGCTGGTCTCGAACGCCTGATGTCAGGTGATCCTCCTGCCTCGGCCTCCCAAAGTGCTGGGATTAGAGGCGTGAGCCACTGCTCCCGGGCAACCCTGTCTCTTACCAAAAAAAAAAAGGGGGGTGGCGGGGCAATGAAGAGGTTTATCATAATGTCTCCTTTGATCTGAATCCTGAAAGAGCACTTCCCTATGAATTTTAACAAAAATATCCATGATACCTAATTAGTTAATATTTGATTGTTATAATAGTTTTATATCCTAAGTTATCAAGATAATTTAGTTTTCTTCCCTCTCTTATTGCTGTATCTTTTGACAGTACCTGTAAAAATTTGTAGAGACATCAGGTGGTGCTTAGTCCCACAAAGCAGATAATCTGCCAACCTTGTCTTAATATTTTAATGTTATTTTAATATTAATATTAAATATTTTCATAGCAAGATAATTATAATTAGTAGCTCATTTGTAGTGCCTCTTTTAGTGTACAACCATTAAGCATGTTTTTGTTTGGTAAAACTTTTAGGCCTCGATGGGTGGTTCCAGTTTTGCCGAAAGGGGAATTAGAAGTGCTTTTAGAAGCTGCTATTGATCTTAGTAAAAAGGGTAAGTTATATGTTTTTATGCTTCCTATAATGTATGCTACTAGATGTATTTTTACTTTATCCCAAAAGCGGATGAAGTGGATTTGTTTTCCTCCATCATAAACACATACTGCAGCTTGCAAGGAGGGGCTCATATCCTTTGGACATTCTTAAAGGATGTTTGTGAACTCTCTGAGGTCACATAAAATTTATATTTGTATTTCTACGGAGTGGATTCATTGTTTCGTCAGATTTGCAAAGAGGTTGTCACTCAGAGGTTAAACATTTTTAATTGAGGGTCTTATCTGTTATGGGAAATACTATACAAAAGAACATTTTACAATTAAGTACTCTATAAATGATGGATGGTATGATGGACTCCAGACATATCTGCCCCCTGCCCTCCTTGTAATTATCTTGAGTCATTTCTGTCCTCAAAATATTACTATGTAAGTCTACAAATTATTTACACTTGACCTTTGACTGCTTTACTGAAATGACAGTGAATTAGGATGTGTGGCTCTTTGTACTCAGTAAAATTTTACCTAGTAAAATCTTCATTCATAATCCTTCAGGTAAAAATTACCATTTCATTAATATTGTACTTCTGAAATAAACTGTCTCGCTTACATATTTGTAAGATAGGGTCTTGCTTTGTCACCCAGGCTGGAGTGTGGCGATGTGATCATGGCTCACTGCAGTCTCTACCTCCTATGTTCAAGCAATCATTCTGCCTCAGCCTCTTGAGTGGGATACAGGCATGCGCCACCATGCCCACTAATTTTTTTTTTTTTTTTTTTTTTTTTGAGATGGAATTTCACTCTTGTTGCCCAGGCTGGAGTGCAGTGGCGTGATCTTGGCTCACTGCAACCTCCACCTCCCCGGTTCAAGCGATTCTCCTGCCTCAGCCTCCCGAGTAGCTGGGATTACAGGCGCCCACCACCATGCCCGGCTAATTTTTGTATTCTTAGTAAAGACGGGGTTTCACCATGTTGGCCAGGCTAGTCTCGAACTCCTGACCTCAGGTGATCCACCCGCCTTGGCCTCCCAAAGTGCTGGGATTATAGGCATGAGCCACCGCGCCCAGCTAATCTTTTTTCTTTCTTTCTTTCTTTTTTTTTTGTAGAGACAGACTGGTTCCCCAGGCTGGTCTTGAACTCCTGGGTTCAAGTGATCCTCCCACCTTGGCCTTCCAAAGTGCTGGGATTGCAGGCGTGAGCTACTGTACCCAGCCTATTTTTTTTTTTTTATTAATACACAGGAAAGGTGTGATTTTTCTCTTAAAGAATCGGAAGATGAAGTCTCAGTTTTTGTTTAACCAGCAAAAGGAAATCTGGTGTTTTTACTCAGTTGTCCAGAAAAAAAGCTTAATGCTGGAATTAATCTTTTTTTTCCCCCAATGACTTTGGTCTACTTTAGGTGCAGTTGAATTATCTAACAGAGGACTACCATTGTAATAACTTTCAATTCATTTTTTAAGATATTGCAGATTAAAAAGCAGTAACATTTCATTTTCTGAAATAGGATAGCTATGGATGTGTTATAACTAACAGTAGGCACTATCACAATTGAAACTGATTATTGTCAAAATTAACATGTTTAGTACTTTAAGTTCAACTCCATGGCAAGGGAAAGTTTGATTTATCTTTTAATAATTCCCCTCTTTTGTTTAAAGAACGTGTCCTTATGCCTCATTAATCTTGTAGAAATAATATCCCAAAGTGAAAATACAATACGCGGACAGGTTACAGTTGTTTTCACCACTCAGAATTTTTTGTTCTTTTATACGTTCACTAATTCATCAAAATTTTTTAAAGAAAATATCTTTTTTTATTTTAAAAATGTTGAATTTTTATGGGTATATAGTAGGTGTATATATTTTGGGGTAATGAGATATTTTGATACAGGCATACAATGCGTAATAATCACATCAGGGTAGATAGAGTATCCATTACCTCAAGCATTTATCCTTTGTGTTTCAAACAATCCAGTTTTACTCTCTTAGTTATTTTAAAATGTACAATTAAATTATTTTTTACTGTACTCACCGTTTTGTGCTATCAAGTAACTAGGTCTTATTCTAATTTTTGTACCCATTAACCATCCCGCTATTCTTTACGTCCGTGAGTTCAATTGTTTGATTTTTAGATCCTGCAAATGAGTGAGCACATGTGATGTTTGTCTTTCTGTGCTTGGCTTATTTCACTTACCATGGTGACCTTTTGTTCCATCCATGTTGTTGGAAATGACAGGATCTCATTTGTTTTTAATGGCTAAATAATACTCCATTGTGTATATGTACCACATTTCCTTTATCCATTTATCAGTTAACACGTAAGTTGGTTCAAAATCTTGGCTATTGTGAACAGTGCTGCATCAAACATAGTAGTGCAGATATCGCTTCAATATACTGATTTTCTTTCTTTTGGGCATATCAGCAAATTTTGGAAGACTTCTTTGCTAAGCATGTTCTAAGTCCTGACTGTAAAATGATGGATAAACACTGATTAATGGTATTTCATTTAATAGCATTGACATTCAGTGGACATGTATTCCTCCCTCCACCATATTTTTTTTCTGAGACCACGGTTATTTTCAACAAGTTCCAAATTTTTAAAAGTTTAAATTACCATCTCTTTTGTACTATCAATCAAATAATACTTTCTGTACAAATTGAATAGTTTTTATTTGGTCATTAAGAGTTACAGATTTTCTTTGTTTGGAAGCACATTGCTCTGTTGCCTTTCTAAAATGAGGTGAAATTAAGCAAAGATATAAAGAAACAGAGACACTGAGATAATTGAGAGAGGCTAATAAGGAAGACAAGACATAATTCATTTTATTTGATCAAACACAGAATAGTATAAGGATATTGATGCTAAATGAATGATTTATGAACAAAATAAGATTTTAAAAATTGGGAAATGCTTTTAAGGTCAAAGACTTATTTTCAGGGAGCAAAATACTATTTAAATTTGCCTCTTCTTGTGGTGCTGCTGATCACCATTTTGTGTTTAAGGCTAGTGCCATAATTTGTAACATTTTCAGTTAGTGTTAATATTACTCGGTTAATCTACTTTTATGCAATTAAATATTTGTTAGCTGTCGGTGAAGTTTCCAGTTATTTATTACCTTTTATTGTATATTGGACAATGTAAAAACAACCAGATGAACATTTTGTTTGCATTAATTTTTCTCCCTTTTTCTTAGGCCTTGATGTTAAAAGTGAAGCATGTCAGCGATTTTTCCGTGATGGGCTAACAATATCATTCACTAAAATTCTTACAGATGAAGCAGTGAGTGGCTGGAAGTTTGAAATTCATGTGAGTCTTGCATTTGACTTTAAAGGATCAGATTTACATAGTGATGCCTGTGAGTGGGAAGAGGTATATGTGTGTGTGGCTGTGTTATATTTATTCTGTTATAATTGAATTAAAAGGTCTAAAAATGAAAAACTTAAAAATGTTTATAAATTAAGTCTCTTGAAGGCCGCATGGTCATTTAGAATAAGCATGAGATTTAGAGTTAAGCTTGGGTTTAATCTCTCCTCTGGGATCTCAAGTGTCTGTGACCTTAGGCAAGTCATCACATTTCATTGAAAATGTAATGCTATCAATTGTAAGGTACATCACTGTTTTATGGACTATTAAGGAAGAAAAACACCCAAGATGGGGCATTTCATATACGTCTGGGACACCAAAGGGTCAGTATAGAGGTAAATGAGAAATGAACTTGCTATGCAGAAAGGGACAGCAAAAAATCCTGCATATCTCAACCTTGGCACTTGGTGGAGGGAGGGATTAAAAAAAAAAGTGAAAATCTAAACCACAAGCCAGTATTTAAACAGTTTCGTAGTCTGAATTCAAATTATAGTTGCAATACAAAAAGCCCTTAAGTGGAAAATGTAAAGTGGTCTCATGTCGGTAGTGCCCCCAAGTGACTAGCAGAAGCAAACACAATTCCTCTCTGCAAATACCTTCCATTTAGGAAAACAGTAATGTATTGTTCATTGATTATAAGATAGAGTCAGATTCCAGAGATCTTAAAAAGTGAAAAAAGTATATGTCTCAGACTGATAAAATGCCATAACTACTCTAAGTCTCTGTTGCTTTTGTTTTTTGTGTGTCCCCCCGCAAGACGGAGTCTCACTCTGTCTCCCAGGCTGGAGTGTAGTGGTGCGATCTCAGCTCACTGCAACCTCCGCCTCCCAGGTTGAAGTGATTCTTCTGCCTCAGCCTCCCGAGTAGCTGGGACTACAGGCGTGCGCCACCACGCCTGGCTAATTTTTGTATTTTTAGGAGAGATGGGGTTTCACCATGTTGGCCAGGCTGGTCTCGAACTCCTGTCCTCAAGTGATCCGCCTGCCTCAGCCTCCCAAAGTGCTGGGATTACAGGTGTGAGCCCCCATGCCCGGCCTCTGTTCTTTTGTATACTATGGAAATGGTCATAAGTTGTCAAGCAGATAATATTTTTGTGGCCTATAACCTATTTCCCAAATATGACCATAGCATAAAAATTCCACATTTTCTGATTTAACATGTAATTGTATAGGTGTAGAAATGGAAACTTTGGAAGTGGCGTCAGACTTCTGCATTTGACATTTAGCTAGCAAATTTATCTTGGATGATTGACATATTGTTTATTTTATTTATTTTTATTTTTTGAGACAGAGTCTTGCTCTGTTGCCCAGGCTGGAGTGCAGTGGCGCCATCTTGGCTTCCTTGGAGCCTCTGCCTCCTGGGTTCGAGCTATTCTCATGCCTCAGCCTCCCGAGTAGCTGGGACTACAGGCACATGCCAGCACACGTGGCTAATTTTTGTATTTTTAGTAGAGACAGGGTTTCACCCTGTTGGCCAGGCTGATCTCAAACTCCTGGCCTCAAGTGATCCGCTTTCCTCAGCCTCCCAAAGTGTTGGGATTAACAGGCGTGAGCCACTGTGCTCAGCCTGACATACTGTTTAGACTCTAGAATTGCTGCCTCTCGTGTACAAATTCCACAGAGAAAAAATAGTAACTTGCATCTTACCTGTGGACGTAGAGCAGGAATAGATATCTTATGGTGCCTCTTGTATTTTTTAAGCCATAGCAAATGGCTTTTGAAAGTACCATATAAATTATGAAGTAAACAAATTCTAATTTGTCCTTTGATAATCAGTTTGATCCCAATATTAATGATTAGAAAAATGGAGAGATCGTTATTTGTTAGGATACGATTAATATTGGAAGATATTTCTGTTTGAAATTGCAGTGTTTTGATCTTGTAAATCGCCTTTCCCCCTTGTATAACAGAGGTGTATTATTAACAATACTCATCGTCTGGTGGAGCTATGTGTGGCCAAGTTGTCCCAAGACTGGTTTCCACTTTTAGAACTTCTTGCCATGGCCTTAAATCCTCATTGCAAATTCCATATCTACAATGGTACACGTCCATGTGAATCAGTTTCCTCAAGTGTTCAGTTGCCTGAAGATGAACTCTTTGCTCGTTCTCCAGATCCTCGATCACCAAAGGTGTGTTGGTTTGTTATTTTCAAAATTAAATAATACAATTGTTTTGTTCTGACACAGAATCTTCAGTGATCTGTATTTAAAGTGTGACAATGAAATAACACTTTAAATGAAAATACACACAACCAGGAGCCTTTTTCGTAGCTTTGTCGTTCTAGTTCTTTGTTTTTTCTGCATGTATAATTATCCCCATTGTCTTCTGTCCAGCCTCTTTAGAAGTAGTCATAATTTGGGTTAGTAGGAAACAGACTGTATTTTTTCTTTGAAATAGAGTAGGAGATTACTTCTTTGACCAAGGACTCAATTGTTGTTCTGTAGGGCCGTGATCATTTTAGGCATTCTAAGATTTTGACTCCAAAATCAAGTATATCCTCTAAATACCTAATAATACATCATAAAATTACAGAAATTGTTAATGAAATCAATATAGTAAATCTTCCAAATCTCACTTAAATATATTGTGTACATAAATGTAAGTTTTCTATATTGGTGTAAACAGACTGTACACTTTAAAAAATTTTTCCCTAAACGCTGCTTCTTTTAATAAATATTATATAATTTTAAAATTTTAGATTTTAGGGAGACATTTTTAATATTATAGGTCTTGTACAAATTTCCCTTTTTCTATCCAGCCAGAAAGATTTTAAGTCATACATTATGGAGAACTTGGTTTATTTTACTAATAAGCTGAAGTTATCAAAAAAAGGTCAAACTTAAGTTGAGATTTTCTGATATTTCCTAGTTCATATAGTTGCCACTAGATGGCTTATTTTTGCTTGAGTAGATCAGGTTACTATCTAAATAATGGCAGTCTTCAAAATGAAAATTTTAATCTATACCTGTATTTCTTTTTAAATTTTACTTTTTTTTTTTCTCTATGTGCCAGTAATCCACAACTTAAGAGATTCACAGGGCACAAAACTTGATTTAACATGGCTAAATGTAAAATTTTTAGATGACTTCTGGTTGAAGATAGTTTTATATCTTTGAAATATAGTTCTTGCTATTAAACTTATAAAGTGTAGCGATTGTGAGAGTGTTAGCCTTTCAAAGCCTTCAAGAGTACAATTTTTAAAAATATAGCCCAAAATATAGTTGCGAATCAAGGAGAAGCATATTCTATGGAGTTACCTTCACATTTACTTGCTATTGAAGTAAGAGAAATTTTATCATACAGCTAAACAGGTCTTCTATAAGCTTTTAAAAATCTGATTAAAAGGGGACATGTTTGGCAGCATCTTCAACCATGTCCTAGTTGAATGCAGATGTCATGATATAATGAAAAATCTAAGAGATATGTAATAGCCTCCATATGTTTTTTTCTCCTGTTCTCCAAAAGTGGTAGTGGCAAAATTCAGATCATCAGACTTAGTCGATGGAGATAAACTTTCTAAGCTGTAGATTCACTTTCGGATACTGTTTGTAATGAGTTTCATTTACCTTTGAGAAATTTGAGTTACAGAGCTTAAAAGTGTTTTATTCGGAATATTTTTGAGCCTTAATACTTAATCATTCTCTGGAGCTTTTGGTAGGTCTTCTGTTCTACTTCAAATTCTCTCTACACCTCCTACCCTCCTGGGACATTGAACCTCTGTGGCCTCAACTTTTGACCCATGACAAAGCTAAAGCTGTCAGGACTATCTCTCAGAGTGTTTCCTAATCCCCATCTTCCCCCAAGATGTTTGAAGATGTTTAAATGAGATCATTTATTCAAACATTTAAAATATAATAAAAACTTCATTGGTTACGACAAAAGGTCTTAGGTGAAATTCACCATGCTATCTTTGAGAAAAGGAACTTGTAGCAATAGAAAACTATGTGGAAAGCATATGGTGAATTGTAAGCTATGTGGTCATTTTGAATTTTCTATTTAGGGCGACTGATCTTTCTCTGCCAGTCTTGAAAACTTAGAGCCAGAGAAGGAAAGCTGTTGTTGGCAGCTGCTGAAGCTAGCCTATTAGCCTCAGTTTGAAGCACTCTTATCTGAATATTCCCAATTGTTTAAGCATACATTGCAGCCAAAGAAATACAGAAAGATTAGCTTTAGACTAATTCTTTACTGTGTCCACACCTGCTGTTTTATAAATATTGTATGTAACTATCAAGTATATCAATCTAATAGTCTCATTATAGTTACTGAAGAAATAAAATATATTACATAATGAGCATGTACTTTCTTACAATTGCTGAATGACAAAAGGGATCTGGTGAATTAAGTACTCGAGTTTTAATGGTTTTGAATTAGCCTTTCATGACTAAAAAGGTAGGAAAACACTATTAAATTGAAATACGTTAATGGGTTTATTAGAGAAACTTAGTTCATTCATATTCTTTTAAAACCATATAAAAACTAGCAGTAGGCCAGGCAAGGTGGCTCACGCCTGTAATCCTAGCACTTTGGGAGGCCAAGACGGGTGGATCACCTGAAGTCAGGAGTTCAAGACCAGCTTGGCCAACATGGTGAAACCCCATCTCTACTAAAAATACAAAAATTAGCCGGGTGTGGTGGTGTGTGCCTATAATCACAGCTACTTGAGAGGCTGAAGCAGGAGAATCCTGCTTGAACCCTGGAGGCAGAGGTTGCAGTGAGCCGATAATCACACCATTGCACTCTGGGCGACGAGAGTAAAACTCCATCTCAAAACAAAAAAACACACAGAAAAAACTAGCATTAGCTATCATATTTTCTCTTTAAACAAACATTGAACATACAGCCATTTAGCATCTTTACTTTTTCCTGTATTTTTTTTTTAAATAGCTGTAGAAATTATTTTTGCTTAAGGCTTAGAAGAGAAATTGTGTATTTTGCTCCTTGTTTTCCAGTGGCTTCTAAAACATGGCCTAAATTTTAGAAGGTGGCAAGGTGTGAAAGGTTTTCTTAGGTACATTAATTTCTACATATATTTGATTCTTATATTTATATAGCCTTTTAATTCATTTTAGGTTTTTACATACAGACAGGCTTTTAGCCTCACAACTGTTGTCTGTGCCAGCTGTATGGTACTTTGAGCTACAGCTCTTTCTTAGACAGTTCATCCTGTTGCATGGTGTTACTTCTAAGATAAGGAGAACTGGGTGCAATTTGTATAAGCAAAAGTATCAACCAGCATATTCTACTTAGGAACAGTAGATACTAGTACCAGACCTTAGTTTTTAATTGACAATTGACTCTCAGGCTATTAGTTACTGTGTTTATAGGGAAATTTTAATGTTTTACAACTAAACAAGAAGTAGATTCAAAATTCATTACCAAGTAGCTTCTTCTTAACTCTCTTGAAGTCTTTCTGCCTCCTGAAAATTATTTTAATATAAAAGACTTTACAGTAATTAGAAGGTATTCATTCTTATATGGTGGGATATCTGAAATAGGAGCATGTCTTCTAATTCCTGTTCACCACTTACATTGGTACAGACAGACAGAACTATGCCCCAGTGATTTAATCTATACTTACTACGTATACTGCTTCTGTCTCACAGATGGAATTACTATGAACAAAATGCAATGTTTTGTGGTCCTTTGAAAGATGATTTATTTTATTGAATTTACTATTTCTAGTATATTTCAATAAGGCTTTTTTTTCGTGCTTTTTACCCTTTAAAGTAGGAAGTTAACTTTTTTCATTAATTGTGTTACAGGGTTGGCTAGTGGATCTTCTCAACAAATTTGGCACTTTAAATGGGTTCCAGATTTTGCATGATCGTTTTATTAATGGATCAGCATTAAACGTTCAAATAATTGCAGCCCTTATTAAGTAAGTTACATTTAAAAATCAATGGTTAGTGCACCGTAGAATTGCTGGTTTTTGCTTCATAAAAATTGAGTTTTTCAAGTGTGGTTTCTTCAACTAATAACTGGGATTTTTTAAAAGTAATATAAAGAATTTAGTCCTAAATTGATTTTAAGAAATTGCGTATTTACAGGAGTTTTGTATCTTTCTTATTTCAGACCATTTGGGCAATGCTATGAGTTTCTCACTCTTCATACAGTGAAAAAGTACTTTCTTCCAATAATAGAAATGGTTCCACAGTTTTTAGAAAACTTAACTGATGAAGAACTGAAAAAAGAAGCAAAGAATGAAGCCAAAAATGATGCTCTTTCAATGATTATTAAATCTTTGAAGAATTTAGCTTCAAGGGTTCCAGGACAAGAAGAAACTGTTAAAAACTTAGAAATATTTAGGTTAAAAATGATACTTAGGTAAGATACTTACCTCTTGAAATAATTGTTAATGCCGATTTTAGAATCATACTTATCACTGAATTTTTCTTACAGATTATTGCAAATTTCTTCTTTCAATGGAAAGATGAATGCACTGAATGAAGTTAATAAGGTGATATCTAGTGTATCATACTATACTCATCGACATGGTAATCCTGAGGAGGAAGAGTGGCTCACAGCTGAACGAATGGCAGTGAGTCTTTCAGTTCTTCTTCATAGGAATAAGAATCTACTTAAGACAAGAAATTAGAATAGCTCTAGCTAAAAAAATTAGTAATAGTAACATTTTAAAGTAAACTGAAATTGGGAGGTGTTTTGATTGATTTATAACTCTGTTAATCCTGAGAACTTTTTGAAATAACATAGTTTATTATTTGGTAGTGATATGGGTAGCTTTAAAACATCTTTGATAAACTTAGTGATGAATGTGGCGTTTTGAAGTAATTATTAGTTTGTTGGAGAGTGGGAAGTTGGTTGAAATGGAGTAGGTAGAGTTGATCTAGAAAATGGATTGGGTAGTATCTAGTACCTTATAAAGTGGCCTATTGTTCATTTGACCATTTACAGTTAAACGTTTTAAAACAGGAAATAAAATTACTAGAATAAGATCTATACAAATTGTTTTATCACGATTTTGAGAATTTTATTTTGAAAGCCCTTATTTTGACATTGAAATTTTATGAAACTTTATGTACCATAGCTATTTTGTATTATATTGTTTTGAAATGAGTAAGTATGCCATTTAAGTTACAGTGCCAATATTTTTTGAATGTATATGTGTAACAGTCCTGGGGAAACATCTGTAGGAGAACTGTCCTTGCCCTCAAGGAGCCCTCACTTAATAGGGGAGTTAGTGATTAGAGTATGTTAAAATGCATGTGGAGACTGCTTAGATATTGCCCTGTGTTAGGGGGTCAGGTGGTAGACATCTGGTTTCATACATATGATGTACGTATCTGCCTCATGGAAAGTCCAGCACAGAGCTATTCAAAGTGTGCTCTGAAGACTGGTGCTGGTTCTTGAACCAGTCCTAGATAGGACAGAGAATGGCATTAAGTGTTTAGAAACTTTCATTGCAGTTTGACATTGCGACATTTTTATTGTGTTTTACAAAATTATCTGTGGCTCTGCAGTGGCTCACGCATGTAATCCCAGCACTTTGGGAGGCCGAGGAGAGATTGCTTGAGGCCAGGAGTTTAAGACCAGCCTGGGCAACAAAGCGAGACCCTGTCTCCATATTAAAAACATATGTGTATATATGTAGAATAACATAAAAACAAATATCTGCAACAGATTAGACATTAAAAACTGGCTCATTATCAGCTGAGACATGTACTTCTCTAGCACATTTTGGGCCTAACTACTTTTTATTCTCAGCTAAATACTGCAAAATCATATAGTGTGGATTACTCCCTGTTTGTATCATGAGTTAGCACTTTATTCTGTTGCTATAGATTAAATGAATGCTAGTTGAGCAAGCTAGCACAGTGTTACAGAAAAACAGACTGTGGAAGCATATGACTTGATTCATATTCCAATTCTAGCATCTGTGAGCCTGTTTACATTTTGTAATAGAATAATGTATCTCTTACTAGGATTGTTTGGAAAATTAAAGAGATAATGGATAAGCAATAATAGTGCCTAGCACATGATAATTGTTAATAAATAAAAGTAAAAAATAGAGAGCCTTTTTACCCAAGGTCAAAACATAATTCTGTGGCAAAATTGGGATAAAGAATCCAAAGATCCTAAAATTGGTCCTGTACTCACCCTACCATGGTGATTGTGTACTTAAATAATATTTTTCTGAGTAAATGCTGGAGTGTAGAATCTTCTTAATTTCAGTATTATTTATGGGAGCATTTCTGTATGTGCAAAATTGTTATAAAATTTCATAATTTTCCATTAAAGCAACACATAAGTATATTTTACCAGTATTATATTTTGTAAATGTGTTTTGAATTTCCTTATATTATTTAATAATAGTGTGAGCAATTAAGAAAAAATTGTTTTAATTTCTGCTTTCAAACACGTTTTTGAATTAACATTTAGGAATGGATACAGCAGAACAATATCTTATCCATAGTGTTGCGAGATAGTCTTCATCAGCCACAGTATGTAGAAAAGTTAGAGAAGATTCTTCGTTTTGTCATCAAAGAAAAAGCTCTGACCTTACAGGATCTTGATAATATCTGGGCAGCACAGGTAAGGAATTTAAGATGATGGCTATTTAGTTTTTAAAATAAAGATACTAAAAACTGAAGAAATACAGTAGCTGTCATGAAATGGATGCAGGCTTGTATTGTTTGACTTTGAGAACGTTTAAATGCTTGTTACCCTGCCAGGAATCTTTTTGAAATAACCAATAATCTTTTAAAAATAAAAATATTCTTTTATCTGTATTTGATAAAGGTTGAGAATTTGTCAGTGGTTTTAAATAAAGATGCAAACAGTAAAATCATAAGGAATGTCTATTGAAAGAGAGTAAAGACATCTGTAATTGGTTTCTTCATAGATTTAATAGAAAGCAAAAACCTCCAGTGTCAGGAGAATTAATTCACTTGATTATTTATAAAGACCTGTAATAATTATTCCAGAGAATTTATAACTCTTCAGAAGGATTAGTAACCTTTTTAGTTTTTGAGTTGGAAACTACAACTCCTTCTATTATCTTAATGACAGTTTTCTAATCGTGGATTTCTTGGGAAGCATTATTGAGTTGTAGATTATAAAGCTTTGTTTTTTTAGTCTATAAAAACCAAGAAAACAGCTTTGCCTTTGAGTGCTTAAGGTTCCAGTTTTGAAACAATATTGTTAGTGTGCCTTATTTTTGTATTTGCAATATTAAAATTGTCAAATTAAATAAATTGTATTAAAGGTTTGTATGAACCGCCAAAATACACATTAGCTGTATTTATTATATCATGAAATTAAGTTGCCAGGTTTTAGATGGCAGTTCTAAAGCATTTTATAATGTTAGAATTTTTTTTTTTTTTTTTGAGATGGAGTTTTGTTCTGTTGCCCAGGCTGGAGTACAGTGGCTCGATACCGGCTCACTGCAACCTTGGCCTCCTGGGTTCAAGTGATTCTCCTGCCTCAGCCTCCCGAGTAGGTGGGATTATAGGCATTTGCCACTGTGCGGGCTGTGTTAGGAATTTTCTTGTGTTACATAGTTAAATGAAGGAGATAGGAGTACTTTATTAATTGTCAGCAAGCAGTATACACTACTTAATCTATTACTCAGATTCTTGTGCATTGTGATTTCGTTTTTGTTTTTCAATAGGCAGGGAAACATGAAGCCATTGTGAAGAATGTACATGATCTCCTGGCAAAATTGGCATGGGATTTTTCTCCTGAACAACTTGATCATCTTTTTGATTGTTTTAAGGTAATTGTTAACATAGCAAAATATTACCATTCTATTTCAAATAGAATTGATTAATTAGATCTGTGAATTACTTTTAGCCAATAAATACTTAAATAGAAATCCCATTAAACAGTCTGTGGTGTGAAGGAATTGGCCCATTGTTTTCTTTTCCAACAAGAACTTGATGTTCATTTTCTTAATAGCCCCCATAATGGAAACTCAGGCTATCACTTTTTCTTTCTTTCCCCTGGTAGTTTCTATTTTAGTTACAGGTTCAAGCAAATTGTAGGACTACAGGGAAGGATGATTGGCTACAATAAACAGTAAGATGAAAGCAAGAGAATACCAATATCTTGGTATTCTGGGGTCATATGTACAAGCAAAATATGAGTTAATCAAAATGTAACTGATAAGGTAGCCCAAGAACTCCTCCTACAGTCATATCTGCATTGATGCCATCATGTTGGTTTTTGAGGCCATGTTTTGTAACATCTTTGATTAGTTGCCAGGGTTAGGTTTGTGAAAGCTCAAGTGGTTAGTGAATTTGTGGATTAAGAACGTAACTTTTTGGCAGTTTGCACTAAGAGGTGTTCTGTTAACAACTGGCATTAGATCAATAGGTCACCAACGTTTCTTGTTAAAAATAATAATTATACTGACCAGTGGGAACATAAATTGCTATAGCCACTTTGGAAAATACTTGGTATTTCTGGTAAAGTTTAAGATTCTCATAACTCATCAGTTTGACTTCTGAATATACACTTGAGAAACTCATGCTTATGTACACCAGGATACGTGTTCAGCAACACTTGTTAGCAGAATTACTTGTAATAGTGAAAAAACCTGCTATGTAGGATAGATAAAACATAGAATAGATAAATTATGGAATGTTCATACAGTGCAATATTTCACGGCAATGAAAGAGCAACTCAACCATATGGATGAGTCTAATAAACAGAAGGTTGAAGAAAGGAATAAAGCCACACAGTAATTAATACACCTTGATTACATTAATGTAAAGTTCCGAAATGGGCACAGCTGGTTTCTGGGATGTTACTTGCCGTGTATTATTTTTTACCTGGGTACTAGTTACACAGGTGTTCACATTGTGTACTGTAATAATGGTATATGCTTGTACTTTTCTAGATATTTCACAGTAGAAGAAAAAAATACCATTTTTACTGGCTTCCATCACAGACATGTTAGATCAGTAGGTACTGAAGCCCAAGAGTCTGTATTTTAAGCAAGTTTCACAGATAAGTCTTAGGGACATTAAAGCTTTGATTTATGGAAAAATCGCTGCCTTATGGAAAATTTTATTTTGAAGGGAACAAATTATTGAGTGAATCTTTTATGTGGTTTTTATATATTTTGTTTCTATACATGTAAAAGCAAAACTTAAATACTTTTTCCATCCATTGAAGTATATCAAAGGCAGCTGAGGAAATAATAGAATTGGTCATCATGGGCACTGCAAAGATAAAGACTTCCGAAATGATGATACGTGACCAGTGATGCCTTTGATGAGAGAAGGAAAAAAAGGGGTTGTTATTATATCTGCTGTATCCCCCCTCTTCTCAGGATAGTCTAAATACAATAATGGTCTGAATATAATAATAATTCTTCATGTTCTTCCCCCTTTGGCTTAACATATGTTTATTGAGCACTTGTCATTTGGTAACAAGCACTTTTTTCCCAAGGTGTTGGTAAATCTGGCAATTCTTATGGAGTGTTGAAAGTTTCTGCTAAAGATGATTTTGAAAGGAAGCAATGAAGTCTGAGTCACCTTGTGGTTCTTTGCAGATTGCAACCAAATGATTCCAACCTTCTGGGTTAGACTTTGCTTTATGTACTTGGCCTAGAGCCTAGTTTTTAAACATTTGAGTTCTAAGTAAGTTTCATATCTTTGCCAGCACTTGTTCTTGTCAGAGTTCTGAATTTTTGACAATCTTCTTGGTGTTTGAAATGTTACCTCATTGTGCTTGTGCTTTTAGTTTTTATATCCCTTGATCAATAATGAGATTGAGTATCTTTCTGTATATTTTTTGAGCTATTTGCCTTTTTTTTTTTTTTTTTTTTGGGTGAATGCCTGTTCCCCCCCTCCCCCCACCGTGGCATTATTTGTATATTTTTTGGATTGTAGTTCTTGATATATTTTGAATGCTAATCTTTGTCAGTTCAAGAGTTACAAATAATTTCTCCCAATTTGGTTATCTTTTTCATTCACTTAATGGTTGTACTGGTTGAATAGATGTTCTTAATTTCTCCTTTTCATGTAGTTTGTATGTCTAAAAGATGAGTACATGAAAAAATTCACGATACCATTATCTACCTAAAAAACAATAATTCCTTAATATCATAAAATAGTTTTAAAACTTCCAGTTGTCTTAGATCATACATCTTCATTTTAGAAGTGAGTTTTAATCAGGATCCTGGTGCAGTCCATGTGTATGTCTTTTAAGTCTCTTTGAAACTAGCTTTCTTCTTTTTTACTTCCCTTGCAATTTATTTGTTGAAGAAACTGGATTGTTTGTTGCCTTGGTGTCTGTCAATAGTTTTGATACAGAAGGTTTTTTTTTTTTTTAATTTTACTAGAGCATATCTCAAGTGGTGGTGTGCTTTTCCTTGAGGAGGAATACCTAGTTGTCTCTCTTTTTATAATGTTAGCTAGAGGTTTTTAATTGTAATCTGATATTTTAGTCTTACATTTTTAGCAGTTGTCATATTCCTTTTGTTATTTTGTGTAGGCTGGAAGGAAATAAAAACAGGCATTC
Source organism: Homo sapiens (assembly GCF_000001405.40). Lineage (NCBI taxonomy): Eukaryota > Metazoa > Chordata > Mammalia > Primates > Hominidae > Homo > Homo sapiens. The sequence goes on from NC_000023.11 coordinate 41,147,380, forward strand.
ACATCATCTTTGAAGACGTACCATATTAATAATTCCATTGAACTAATCTTCTCTCATTAACTTAATCGTTGTTTTTTTTTTTTTTTTTTTTGGAGACAGAGTCTCACTCTGTCACCCAGACTGGAGTGCAGTGGCGCGATCCCAGCTCACTGCATCCTCCACTTCCTGGATTCAAGCAATTCTCCTGCCTCAGCCTCCCAAGTAGCTGGGATTACAGGCATGCGCCACCACGCCCAGCTAATTTTGTATATTTAGTAGAGATGGGGTTTCACCATGTTAGCCAGGCTGATCTTGAACTCCCGACCTCAGGTAATCTACCTGCCTGGGTCTCCCAAAGTGCTGGGATTATAGGCGTGAGCCACCGTGCCCGGTCAGCTTAATCGTTCTTCTGCTGTTTGACGTTAAGTTCGTTTCAGTTTATTTTCTAATAAACACTGATCAGCAACTTAGTGCATTTGCTGCTGCTATAACAGAACACCACAGACTGGGTAATTTATAAAGAACAGAATTTTATTTGGCTTATGATTCTGGAGGTTGGGAAGTACAAGAGGCATGGTGCCAGCTTAACCGTGAGTTTTGGGGGGGACATTCGAACCATAGCAGTAACTTTACTCATAAAACTTTTCCCATATTGCTTAGCAGCATCCCTGGTCTCTACTCACTAAATGCCATTAGTACCCTGCCCTTCCCCAAGCATGATAACCATGTTGTATTACAATACCATTTTAGAGGTTTTAAAAAAATGTATTTTAGAGTTTTTAATTGGGTGTCTTCTAAATTGAAATAGTGTATCATTTATTTTTCTTTTTTGGAATTTAACTCTACCCTATAAAAAAAATACCAGGCTAACTATATTTTCAGATCTCACTTGAATCATTCTGTGCTTAGCTACGTTGCTTTTGATGAATTTGAATATAGTTAACCTGGTGACAATTTATGAAGTGGTGACTAAATATGTGTTGTTTTCATGTCACTTAATTTTTTTCTAGGCCAGTTGGACAAATGCGAGTAAAAAGCAACGTGAAAAGCTACTTGAGCTGATACGTCGTCTTGCAGAAGATGATAAAGATGGTGTGATGGCACACAAAGTGTTGAACCTTCTGTGGAATCTGGCTCACAGTGATGATGTGCCTGTAGATATCATGGACCTGGCTCTCAGTGCCCACATAAAAATACTAGATTACAGTTGCTCCCAGGTAAGAGTGTACTGCTTTGCTCACTTTTTGTGACTTTTCCCCTTCAGTTAGGTTGGCTTAGTTACAGGATAGTTCTGTTACTCTGACATTGTTAGTTTTTAAATGATCTTCCGGAGTTGACTTTTTTTGTTCATTAGTCTGCTTTCCTTAGGATCTGTACATCAAGGTTTTGTGACTCATCTGAAAAGCATTTTAGTCTCCTTGGGAGAAAGTATAAACAGAACAGATTATACAGTGGTGGCATTATCAAGTGTATGGTTCTGAAATGCCGTTTCGAATAGAATTCGAATGTTAAAGCTGATAGGGACTTCAGAGGGAAGAGAAATTAGGTTTTCTTTGCTCATAGGGAAGTTAAGAAAAATTAATAGAATTTCCTAACCATTAAAACATTTAGTGCCTCCACAGTGAGCAAATCACACAGTTTCCCTACATTCTAATTTGTGGCATGTGTATTTTTTAACACATGGTAAAGTGAACATTGCTGAGTAATTTCTCACATGTTAATAAAACTATTTGTTACACTGATGAACTGGTATTTAGGTAAGAGCCAAGAAAAGCTCAGGAAGGTGTATTAATGTAGATACTACTCAGGTTTTGACTATGTTTACTTGTGACAGTTCGGTAAGTATTTATTCAGCAAATTAAATAGTAATAAGGGCCTTGAGTATAAATTATTTCATTAAACCAAGGGTCCTTCTGAGGAGTCTTGAAATCAGAGCAGTACATTTGCTATCAGGGCTTTTAACTAGTAACTTCTTTTTTAAATATCTATTAGTATCAGTGCCTGGCATAGTGATGTACACATTCATTCATGAATAGTTACTGAGTTTCACTGAATTTAGTAGACTGTTGCCTTTTTTCAACTTCAACTTTCATTTATTGTTTGGGAAAAAATTTTTAAAAGTCATTTTCCAACTGTCACCTTTTCCCTTCTGCTTGCCAAAACTGTTGTCAAAGTGTACATTTGATCATAAATGTTTTCATGGCCTTAAAAATGTACACACTATTAAACCCAACAATTCTACTTAGAGAAATTTCTTCTCGGAAATAGTGAAAAAGGATACAAAGAGGTACCCACAAGGACATTCATTAGTGTTTATGGACATGAACATGTGGAAGCCTCCTGAATAATTACTTTTTTTTTTTGAGACGGAGTCTTGTTCTGTCGCCCAGGCTGGAGTACAGTGGCGCAATCTCGGCTCACTGCAACCTCCGCCTCCCAGGTTCAAGCGATTCTCCTGCCTCGGCCTCCCCAGTAGCTGGGATTACAGACACGTGCCACCACACCCAGCTAATTGTTTTGTACTTTTAGTAGAGACTGGGTTTCACCATGTTGGCCAGGCTGGTCTCGAACTCCTGACCTCAAGTGATCCACCCGCCTCGGCCTCCCAAAGTGGTGGGATTACAGGCATGAGCCACAGCTCCCAGCTGTGAATAATTACTAATAGTTTATACAAGGTTCGATTATGGCGCCATTAAAAGGATTAATATCACTTAAGAGTATGATTCTAATTTTGCTGCCGAAAAAGGAATATCTGTGTATTACAAAATAACCCCAAACTTGAGGGGTTTCAGGAAAAAAAAAAAACAAAAAACTCCACAAAATTGTTTTCCTTTCCCTGTACGCAAAAGTAAAACAATCCGAGCTTACGAAATTGTTAGGCACACAAACTTGCAGTTCTGATTACTATTGACTTTAGGGGAAGAGGTGAAGTAACTGAGGTTTGAGAAGTAAAATACCATAATTGAAATAATTTTGAGTTTATAACATTTTTAATTTTTAAGTTTATATCTGCCTCTGTCCTTTTTCTCTCCTTGTACGTGTGTTTCTTTATTTTGATTTTGGCGATTATTTTTAAATGTAGTTGTCATTCTATTTATTTTCTTAGTCAAATATACATTTTTTGTGTTCTTCACTGTACTAAAAGATGGCCCATTTAGAGTAAGTCAGGGTCTTGTTATATATTAATTCTGGATTTTATGATACGGTAGAATCTCTTAAAATACTGGCTAAATACCTACCCTCTGGCAAACTTGGAAAATGAAACTTTCTGTCAGTGTGCCTAATACTTAGGATCTGTAGTGTGTACAGATATATTTCAGTCCATATAATACAAAGCTTTTATAACAGTGCTGGGCTTTTTGGAGTTCTGGTAGTAAGTGTGAAATAAAAACAAACTTAAAGCTTTTATTATTTAAATTAAACTCTTTACTGTAATTACAACATGATGCTTGTATTGCTAATCTTAAAAGAAAAGCTTTTATTTTATAATTCTCAAAATAATTTGAAAATAAAATTCTCCTGAGTATTGATCTATTTAAAACATTGAAATCATTTGTTTAAGGACCGTGATACACAAAAGATCCAATGGATAGATCGCTTTATAGAAGAACTTCGCACAAATGACAAATGGGTTATTCCCGCACTGAAACAAATTAGAGAAATTTGTAGTTTGTTTGGTGAAGCGCCTCAAAATTTGAGGTAAGACTTTTTAACATAGAAAATTTCAATACTTAAAATTTATGTACTTTATTGAAAAGAAACAGCATATTGGCTGGCAAATGCAAATTTTTAAATTAGTGGAGTGAGAAGAGGCTATATAAGAAGTGTTTGGAACAAAAGAATTCTTTATTACATCTACCTCCTTTTTTTTTATTAATGAGGAAGTAAGCCACAGTTAAGTGATAAATCAGAATCAAGGTAATATTGCCTTTGGGTTCTTGGTTCAGAATTATTATTATATACATACTATATTTCCAGCAAGTATGCCAAGAAGTTTCATAGCATGTCTTTAAAGATGGATTAGACCACAAGAACATTTAAATTGATGAAACATGACAAGATAAAGTTTCATAATTTTTAAACATTTATTTTAGCTAAATTTCTTTTTAATAGCTGTCTTTATACTATCTTAGGTGTCATATTCTGGTTACTGAAATAATTTGTCCTATTTTCTGGTAATACAGTTGGAACTGATAACATGAAAAGGAAAAATAATGTGAAGAGAAAGAGAGCAGGGTGCAGTAGAAGGAATATTCACAGTGGAGTCAGGATTCCTAGGTGTGAATCTTGTGTCAAACCAGTAATTTAATCTTGTAAAAATTCTGTAAAGAATCATGTTTGGCCTGGTGCGGTGGCTCACGCCTATAATCCCAGAACTTTGGGAGGCCGAGGAGGGCGGATCACCTGAGGCCAGGAGTTCGAGACCAGCCTGGCCAACATGGCGAAACCCCGTCTCTACTGAAAATACAAAAATTAGCCGGGCGTGGTGGCATGCGCCTGTAGTCCCAGTTACTCGGGAAGCTGAGGCACTAGAATCGCTTGAGCCCGGGAGGCAGAGGTTGCGGTGAGCTGAGATTGCAGCACTGCATTCCAGCTTGAGCAACAGAGTGAGACTGTCTCAAAACAAAAACAAAACAAAACCAAAAAACATGTTTTCTTTATATGTAAGATTAAATGATTGCCAGGATCCTTTACAGCTCTAGATTACTATGATTATACCTCAGACAGAAATAGAAAAGGTCATGTATATGTCTTTATTTAAACAGTTGAACTTTGTCTCACTTTTTTCCCTAAGGCTAGAAAAAATTAGCAAATTGGAAAAGCTATAGAGATAAACACTGTAAGAAATTGAGACATATATCTCGTTAACAATAATATTTGAGGAGCATATTTTGAGTATGTTTGGCTCATCGTACATATTTCGGCCTTTCTCAAATGAATGCATTTATCTTTCGAAGTAGACACAGTAGTTCACATACTCTCCCAAGAACAGTGGCCTTGTCTCCCCTAAAATAGTAGTAGTGGATGTGAAAGTTGATTGGTTTCAGTGAAGGTAGCAAAACAGATTAGGGTTTCAATGAAGATAGCAAAACAGATGAGTCTTTGTGGTGACACCTGTGGGCAAACTTGGCTACAAACAGAGTGTCCCAGGATGTTTTCTTAAATAGCTAATAAGAAGAAAATGCTAAGAGCATTTTCTTTGATTGAATTCTTCCTTACAACTGTAGCATAATCTTTGTGATGCTAGTCTTGCAAAAAATGTTTCTATTTTATAATTTTGGGAATAATTACATAACATAAGTGCTTTGGTACAGTTATAGTATAGACATTAGTCATTGAGGTATACTCCCATTTGGTGAAGTTGGAGAATAGTGATGGATGCTTTTTGTGTAAAATAATAATGTAATAAATGTCTTATCTTTTGAAGAGTTTAAGTTGGTTGTGATATTTTCATTAAAAGAAGTAAATGTACAAAAGTATAATTTTTAAGTTTTTACATCAGTAGCTAAGAATTTAGATAGTACGAACTCTTCTGGTTACAACAGAGTTTAATTGCCTAATTATATTGTTAAGTTCTTCTCGTTTCAGTCAAACTCAGCGAAGTCCCCATGTGTTTTATCGCCATGACTTAATCAATCAACTTCAACACAATCATGCCCTAGTTACTTTGGTAGCAGAAAACCTTGCAACTTACATGGAAAGCATGAGACTATATGCTAGAGGTATGTATTGTAAGCTAAAATAAACTATGGGAAATAGCAGGGACCTTTTTTTGCATTAATTACCTTAGAAATGTAAATCATGTTCCTTTATGGATTTAAGATCCACTATTACTCCCAACTCTTAGACATCCTAAACTCTAGGCCAGCAGTTTAAGAGTCTTCACTAAGTGCTTGCCTTCCCCCATTCTCTTTGTTAAATAGATTTTTGTTCTCTGCTTTGGGAGCTCTGCCTGCCTTTTTTACGATTGATCGCTACCTTCTTAGGAATGTACTTGGCTCATTTTCAACCTTTATGTCCTTTACCACCACCTTTAGCTTTTTAAAAGGAAACTTGTTTTGTCTAAGTCTGTTCTTACTTTATAGTTCTTTTATAATGCCAAGCCTATGTTTTGTAAGTGCTTCAAGACTCCATGAATTTAAAAAACATAAGAGTAGAGATGAGAGGCTGGCTGTAAGAATCTAGATGTTTACATTGGCATTCAAAGTGTGAAATTGTTTGAACATGTTTAGGATAAAGTTTCCTGTGATTTCAACAGATCCTGATTGTAAGTCTTAGCCTGCCATGTGTGGAGCCCTGTGTCAGTGCTCTTTTGCCCTTTGACAGTTATGTCAGTCTGTGTGTGCAAGAGTAGGGATGGCTTCTCAGTATATACTGTTCCTCTTCTGTCTTATGACAAATTCATACCCCTTTCCCCACTGATACTTTGTTGTTTCAAGTTTGTTTCCCGAGCAGTATGTAAGAAAATACTGTATTACGAATGTTAGTTATAGAGTTAAACATACTGATTACTCAACTTACCATTCATTTAACATGTTATGTAGGATCTGCAGAAGCCCATAGTGTATGTTAAAAATGAGAATATTTATAATACTCATTATTTGAGGAGTAGGCTTTTGACATTATTGAATAAAATCCCCTCGTGCTTAAGAATTACCAGATTTTTGCTTAATACTTATGTACATTTCCCAATGAAATTCAGATAAACATAAAAATTAAGTAACTCTTCTGATACTCCCAGTGATAGTGTTGACTCTTTATTCTTCCATTTATCCCCTCGGGGCCAATAGATTGTTAGAGCTAGACAAGCAATCTAAATGTTAGGCAGCTGATGAGGAACAGACAGTGATCTTAGCATTTTAGTCTTAGGTTCCTTCTAAGCAGTGTAATAGAATGATCAAGGCAATACAACCATGTGATTTATGTTCTATACCAAAGGTACTCAAAATCAGTGACATAAAAAAGAGGTTTATGTGTAGTATACCCAAGCATTTGGGTTTAGTATATTATGATTATAATCTCTTCCTGGTGGTACACAGCCCTCATGGTTGCCAAGGAGGGCCTTCCCCCAGAGTGGAGACATATAATTCATACGTGCTTTAATGCTAATTTTTATTTACTTCATTTGCATGTGGTGTTTAATTTCATTGTCAGAGGTCAGGAACCCGGCTGTCTCACTAGGGTTTTTTCTGCTACATTTTAGTACAATTCTACTTGAGTTACCGCCTCATCTCAACTTCGTTATCACAGGAATGATTACATTCTTCAGTTTTTCCTCCTTATGTTGTCTGTATATCTGCAAACTGAGAGATGTGAGTCTGCATAGTTGCCTAGGTCTGAAACATGACCCAAACATATTAGCTGTATGACTGTGGGCAGGTTATTTATGCTAGAATAATGTCTGGCACATAGTAAATTCCCCTCTGAATTTTAACATCATACCTTTTTTTCCTCCTAACCTTGGTACCTTTTCTTCTTCCAATTTATTACACTACTCTTGATTAATACTGATGAGTCTGGAGATAGTTAAATATGGGGGTGGGGGCAAATAATTTTTAAAACCAGTAAAATTCTTCTATTAAACTTTTTACAACGTTAAATCACTTCTGTGGTAACATCCACTAACATTTCTAAATTTGCAATTCTAAAGTTAATTATGGTTTTTGCCTCTATAATAAAAGTGATAGACAAATCCCATTAGCTATGAGGCATTAGGTTACTTGGCATGATAACATCAGGCTTTCACAGTTTACTGATATTCTCAATTTCTGATAACCATTTTACCAATGGTTTGTGCTGCCTGTATTTTATCTTCACTAGCATCTTTAGCTTTTGGGGGAAAAACATTTCCTCAGTAAGCATGATCAGCTGATTTTACCTCCTATAAACATTATTTAGATAAAAGAATGAACTTAGTAAAATTCTCTACAGTATTTACTCATGTTCTCACTACAAGTGTTTTCATACACTGGTACTTAAATTATTCTTTAAAAGTTTTTCATATGCATACAATGAAGTATAAACCACCTTTTAGTTTTCACTCAAGTTTTAACTCATTGGTAGAATAGTCATTCTACTGACTTCAATACTTACCGAAAGTTTAATTTACCATTTTTTCTTGTTTCTGGATAGAGTTGGATGACCCAACTTCACTGTAGGTCAGATTTTTCCACTCTGTTTACTTAGGATGCTACCTTCTGTTACTTCTTCCCGGTCTTTTCCATCCAACAGTAACAGTTTTTAGGAACGTTTTCCACACAAAAAGATTGCTTTATGAGTGTCATTCACCAACAGTGCTATGTTAGGGTGCAGATCCTGTGCTAGATTTTCTCAGGACTCATTCCTTACATCAACTATGAAGTACTATTAAGTCTGTGTGACTTCTCTGTGGTTTAAAAATAATTACATACTATCCATTTTGTGAACAATTTGTACCTTCTTGGAGAAACGGCTGTTTCCAGGCGTGGAACAGGGAAAGTACCACATGATCCTTGACCATCCTATTCCAGAAAGTAAGAAAGTGCTCAACGATCATGTTGACATGTCAAAAGGACACAGGAGTTGGCTTTCACTGGCCATAATTAGGTCAAAATTAGTAATGAAAATAAAATATGAAAATACTCATGTAGACAAAAATGCCAACTAACAAATGAAGAGTATATGATGAAAATAAACCCAAGGGGGTGAGGATTTTCACGTCTGGAATGGCAGAATAAAATGTTCAGCAGACCTTAACAAAACAACCATTTAACCGGAGAAAAATATAAACAATAGTCATTTAGAGTACCTGAAAATTGTCCTAAGAGGGAGTATAGCAAATGGGAAAACACTCAAGAAAATCTATTAAATCTGCAAAACAGCAAGAGTCTGTAGCATTTGAGCCACAGCTTGTTCTGTTCTCCCATGTTCAGATCCAGCTTTCTTGTGTGGAAACTCTACTCCAGGCAGGTGTGACTAAGAAGCAGGGGCTCCTTCCCTGAGGCTGCCAGTCTAGGGCTGTAGTTTGACCACATGAGGTGGTGTGGGCTACTGGCATTTCTGATCCTTTTCAGTCGTATGTGGCAGAAGCTCTGTTCCAGGCAGTCATGTCCAAGAAAACTGAGACTCCCTTACCCCATTCAGTGCCTGCTTGTAGGATAAATGCTTTACTTAAGGCATGGCAGGCTGAGAATATTGGGCTCTGATTATCCCCAACCTGGCTTGCTCACAGGGTGGACATTATATGTCAGGGAGTGCAATCTGAAAAAATCAGAGTTTGATCCCACACACCCAACACCAGCACCTGCTCTTAAGGCAGGGATATAATTTTGGGAGAAGTTAGCTGCTGTCCTCCCTCTATCTCCTGAACAGTAACATAGATGTTCTGTCCAGATGGAGAGAGAAGGTGTGAGGATGCTGTGCTCAGCAGTTGTGCTTGAAGGGACCAACTTTCTTTGGACCAGACCGTGCTGTGCCTAAGGGTATTATCACAAATGGAGATTTGGGTGATGAAGAATTAGGAGAGTGCTTGTGGCTCCCTTATACTGGTATCAGCAAGTCACAGGATGAGCAACCAGAAATTTAACAGAAAGATCTAGATAAAGAGATGGCCAAGACAAGCTCTCTTGTGATCACAGTCAACCCTGGGGGTCAGGAATGCTACGTGTATGCATTAGGCTTCACCTAAGCAGAAACAATCAGAACTGGACACGGGACAAATTGAAAACATTCCCCAAGCTTCATGTCAATCCGTCAGCAAAGGGTGAAAGCCTCACCAGTACAGTGGACTTAAATACAGCTCTGACCAAACAAAGCATTGGGTGAATAATAAGCTACCCCGACTCAGGGGCAACTCTTAGGAAGCCAGACATGAAAATTACATGTATCCCTGGCAGTCTGGAAGACTTGCTGCATCCTTGCTGGAGTGATTGAGAAGGGAACAAGCAAGCTGCTAGTCTCCGAATGAGCATAGGACAAAAACATAAACTTTCTGAGTGGTGTGATAGCAGCCTCCAAGCCACACAGACATGCAGTGGTAAAGGGTAAAAATCTACTAGTCAAGGAGGCTTAAACACAGCGTTTGGCCAATAAGGGGCTTATACTGATGCAGGGGCAACTCCTAGGTAGGCAGGCTAAAGGATTAAAAGAAGGAGGAAAACATGGGGGCAGAGCTGTCGGAAGCTGTGCACTGTGAGGGAAATAGACTATGAAGTCTATTTCCCAGTCACTATATCCCATAGCCATAGCCCTTATTTCCCATAGTCATATTTCTGTTTCCCATAGTCATAGCCCAGTCACTAAACAAGCAAGCAAACGGGTGGGGGAAGGGAGATCAGTATTCAGGTTGTTGTTGCATATCTAACATGTCCAGATTTTGATGACAAAAATTGAGGCATGCAAACAAATGGGAAGATGGGACCTGTAGACTGACGCAGAGACTGCCTTTGAAGGAGGCCAAATGGAGGGCTTTGCAGACAGACTTGACAGCAAAGACTTGAATTACAAATATGCTCATAGAACTGAAGAAAACCATGTCTAAAGAATTTTTAAAGTATGATGACAATGTCTAATCTAAATTAGAGGATAGTAAAGAGAAATTATTTTTTATTTAAAAAATCATGTAGAGATTTTGTACTTGAAAAGTATAATAACCAAAATGAAATATTCATAAGAGGGGCTAAACAATAGATTTGAGCTGGCAGAAGAATGAATCAGTGAACCTGAAGATAGATTAGTAGAAATTATGCAATCTGAAGAACACAGGAAAAGTGAACAGAATCTCAGGGAAATATTGGGTACCATGAAGGGGACCAACATTAATTTTAATGGGAATACCAGATGAATGAGAGTGACAGAAAGAGACATAGTCACTGAAAACGTCTCTAATTTGATGGCAGACAAGAAGCTTAAAAAAGAATTGCAAATAGGGTAAATGCAAAGAGCCCCAGACTGAGACACATTATAGTCAGAGAGAACAATTGGAAGGTGGTGAGAGAAAAACGAGTCTTCCTGCACAAGGAAACCCCAATAAAAATTAACCGCTGACTTCTCATCAGAAACATTGAGGCCAGAAGGCAGTAGGACAACATATTCAAAGTGCTGGGGTTGGGGGACAGACATGACAACCAAGAATTTTACATTCAGCAGCACAGTCTTTAAAATCTGAAGGCAAGCTGAAGATATTCCCAGATAAACAAAGACTGAGAGAATTTGTTGCTCTAAGACTTGGCTTACAAGACACCCTAAAGGAAGTAATTAGGCCCAAAACAAGTGACATCAGACAGAGTGTTCCGAATTTGCAGGAAAAAAATACTTGAATACTATAAACCAGCAGTCCCCAACCTTTTTGGCACTAGGGACTGGTTTTGTGGAAGACAGTTTTTCCACGGACTGGGGGGTGGGGGGCTCACCTCCTGCTGTGCAGCCCCGTTTCTAACAGGCCACAGACCTGACAGACATCTGTGGAATACTCCATCCAACAATAGTGAAACTACTAAAAGCACATATCATCTTAATAGATGCAGAAAAAGCATTTGTCCAATCCAGCCTCTTTTCAATATAGAAAGGCTCAAACTAGGAATAGAAGGGAACTTCCTCTACCTGATCAAGACTGTCCCAAAAAACCCACAGCTAACCTCATACTAATTAATGGTAAAAAACTGGTTGCTTTCCCCCTAGGAACAAGAATGAGACAAAGATGTCCACTCCAACCACTTCTATTTAACATTCTGCTTGAGGCATTAGCCAGGATAACTAGGCAAGAAAAAGAAGTAGACAACCCAATTAAGAAATGGATGCAAAGGATCTGAATAGAAATTTCTGCAAAGAAGGCATACAAATGGCCAATGAGCACTTGAAAAGATGCTTAGTATTATTAGTTATTAGGGGAATGAAAATCAGAACCACAGTGAGATAATGCTACTTCATACCTACTAGGGTGACAAAAAAGACAACAGTAAATGTTGATGAGGCTATGGAGAAATTGGAGCATTCATATAGTCCTTGTGGGATTGTAGAGTGGCACCCACCTTGCAAAATATTAATCGTAGAATTTACCATATTACCCATTCCCAGTTACATACCCAAGTAAAATGTATACATAAATCTGTACAACATGAATGAACTTTGAAAACATTATGCTAAGTGGGAAAAAGTCTGTCAGAAAAATACCACATATTGCATGATTCTTTTTTTTTTTTCTTTTTTTTTGAGATGAAGTCTTGCTCTGTCGCCCAGGCTGGAGTGCAGTGGCGCCAGCTCGGCACACTGCAACCTCCGCGTCCTGGGTTCAAGTGATTATCATGCCTCAACCTCCCGAGTACCTGGGATTACAGGCACATGCCGCCATTCCCGGCTAATTTTTTTTTTGTAGAAACGGTTTCGCCATGTTGGCCAGGCTGGTCTCAAACTCCTGCCCTCAGATGATCAGCCCTCCTCAGCCTCCCAAAGTGCTGGAATTACAGGCATGAGCCACTGTGCTCAGCCATGATTCCATTTTTATATGAAATGCCTCAGACTTAAGCAGGGAGAACAAAGGGAGAGGGTGGTTTGTACAGGGTTTCTTCTTGGGGTGAGGAAAAATGTAGACTTAGATTGTGATGATGATTATACAACTGTACTAAAAAAATTGAATTGTATTTAAATGGATAGATTTTATGGTACTTTATGACTCGATGTTTTTTTTTTAAATGAACTTTTAAAATAAGTTCTAAAATGGGCCCTAGAAAACTTGCTGTTTATGATGACAAGAACCAATTTATGTTAGTCTCAGCCATGATTCACTACCTCTTCCTACCTATTTTCATAGACATCTGAGTAATTTAGTCTCATCTAATTCTTCCTGCTGTTTTCAGCGGGATATTTGCCACCTAGACAATATGAGTCAAAAGTGGATTATCCTCCTCATTTGACTGCTAGCTAACAAGTCCAGGTATTTGTTTTGAACTGAATATTTACTACTAAACTACCAATTTATATATATACATATATATATATATAAATTTGTCTTGACAGCTTGGAAGCTTCTCTGTAGTAAGAGGGCCTCTTCATTCCTATTTAGCATAAAGGCATCTTATTTCTTGACTTTTATTGATTAGCTGTCAGCTGAATGTTTCCAAAGTTCTACTCTTTGTGCAGGGTCCCAGTTCTTCATAAGTAAAGTGTTAGCACCTAAACAAAAAAAGGGAGGTGGGTTGTTAGCTAAAACTAGTGGGCAAAAGTTTAACAAAATAGTTACATAGCCTCAAAGTCTCTCTCTACAAATTACTTATTAATTACAAAGAGCAAAATAGTACCTTTACATCAGAGAAACCTGCCTCCCTTCTGTGTTACTCGCCACAATGCTTAGACTGATCTAATTATGACGAAGTGGCATGGAAGCCCAAATTGAGTGACATTTCAACAAAATTGACCTCCAGTTTTCAAAAAGGTCAAAGAACACAAAGGATGATTAATTCTGCAGATTAAAGAATAGAAAGTCATGAAAACCAAATGCAATGTATATTTAATCTTGGGCTTTGTAGAAAAGATGTAAAAGGACGTTATTGGGAAAATTGATGAACTCGAATATGGACCATGGATTAAATCAGTGCTCCTCCGAGGGGGTGGAGGTGGCTATTTGACAGTGTCTGGAGCTGTCTTAAACTGGGGTTGAGGGGTGGGTAGAAGCCTGGAATGTTACTAAGTAACCTATAGTGCAGTCCTAGACAGAACAGTCCTGTACAACGAAGATTACCTGGCCAAACGTCAGTAACGGAAACCCTGGGTTAGATGATGGTAGTATTTTACTAGTGTAGTTTTCTTGTTATTTGGAAATACTCATTGAAGTATTTAAGGGTAAAAGGACATATGTCCAACTCTTAAATGGTTTATAAAGATTATGCACACACGTGTATGTGTGTATTTTTTACATGTGTGGCAACTAATGAAGCAAATGGAGGAAGATGTAAACAATTGGTGAATACAGGTAAAGAGTATAAGAGAATTCTTGCCTTTTTTTTTTTTTTTTTTTTTTTTTTTGGTGACGGAGTCTCGTTCTGTTACCCAGGCTGGAGTGTAGTGGCACAATCTTGGCTCACTGCAACGTCCACCTCCCGAGTTCAAGCAATTCTCTTGCCTCAGCCTCCAGAGTAGCTGGGATTACAGGCGCCTGCCACCATGCCTAATTTTTGTATTTTTAGTAGAGACGGGGTTTCACCATGTTGGCCAAGCTGGTCTCGAACTCCTGACCTCAGGTAATCCGCCTGCCTTGCCATCCCAAAGTGCTAGGATTACAGGCGTGAGCCATGGCGCCCTGCCTTTTTTTTTTTTTTTTTTTTTTTAAAGAGACAAGGTCTTGATGTTGCCCAGGCTGGAGTACAGTGGTGCAATCATAGCTCACTACAGCCTTGAACTCCTGGGCTCAAACCATCCTCTCACTTTTTTTTTTTTGAGACAGGGTCTTGCTATGTTCCCCAGGCTGGTCTCGAACTCCTGGCCTGAAGCAATACTACTGCCTGGGTTGGGCTTCCCAAATTGCTGGGATTACAGGCATGAGCTAAAACTTGATTTTCTTTCCAGTTTCTTAAGAAAACCTCTTGAAGTAGTCCTTTAAGTCCCAATCTCTGATGAAATATGCATTCCTGAAAGTAGAGTGTTTATGCCTGTTTGCATATTCCAATATATGTGGAATTAGAAAGTAGTTTGGTCGTAATATATGGGGCTTTTTTCTTTACCAAAGCATCAAAACCAAATATGTTTCCAGACATTATGAATGTCCCATCTTTATAACACATCAGGAGTTTGTTCAGAGAAGAAACATCAATGTTTTGAAGAATTTGATTACTGATTTCCAAAAGAGCTTACATAATTAGAATCTTTAACAATAGCTTGCACATACCATAGGGTCTGGGATCTGATATGGAAATATAGTAATTAATGCTGAAGGAAAATGACACATTCTGGACATTAACATGGTAATGGTGACAATTGTATGATAACTTGGTCATGTAGAGTAGCATCTTGTGTTACCCTCACTTCTTAGGTGTAAATTAGTAATATTTATTTTTATACCAAAATAATTTTTTCTTCATGAAAACACCTTTCAATATAACAGGTAAGAAATTGAAGAAAAAAATTTTGTCTTCCTTATCAGTTCATAGACCACTTAGGTCAGTCTTAGGCTGCAATCATGAATTGCTTCATTGTGTGTGAAGGTTGCACGAAGGGGTTGTGCTGAATAATTATTTTTGATAGCATATTTAACAGATTATTTTGTTTTGGTTATGTAACAGGAACGTATTTTTGTGGGGAAAACAGGAGATGGATAGAAACCACCAACTGGTAGAATTTAGGTTGCCTTTTAATGATAAAGGATTAGTGACATTTTAACTGGCCTAATTTCTTTGGTTGAAGTCAAAGCAGTGATTTGGGTTATCCATGTGTATAATGCATGGTTTTTTCTTAATTTGCAGACCATGAAGATTATGACCCACAAACTGTGAGGCTGGGAAGTAGATATAGTCATGTTCAAGAAGTTCAAGAACGGCTTAACTTCCTTAGGTTTGTTTTATACAGTTAGTGTTGCTCTCTTTAAGAAAAAGATAAGGAATACAGAATGAATAGACTGTATAGCTTGGTCTTTGTTGGGTGGCCTTTTCCCAAGTCCCCAAGTCATGTAAGACATTTCCCTGTATTTGTTACTAAATACTTTAAAATGATTCGCTGAGTTTTAACTTTGTTGCAATATTTTAAGAGAACACATTTTAACCTTTAGAATTGACTTCGTTCTTCATATCTGTTTATGCTGGAAATAATGTTTATTTTTAAAGGGCAAATTCCCATATTTTGACACAACCGGAAGGAGGACTATACTGACTTAATGATATCATAGACACTAAGGAAACGGGGGCAAAAGGCTGCTAGACCAGCACCTCAAAAGAGTGGTTGGAGTCCTCTGGTATCTTGTTTATTCTAACAGTGGCTGACAGGCAATCTAAAGTCATGTGTTAATAATATCATTTCTGATTGGCTTGAGGGGAAAAGGTTTATTAAGATAAAATGTAGTCTAGGGCTGGATTTTCTCTGCAATATTTAGCGTTTGGTGATCATACACTTAACAGATGTGCAAAGTGCCTTTGTTAAAAATTTTGATGGTCAGGCACGGTGGCTCACACCTGTAATCCCAACACTTGGGGAGGCCAAGGCAAGTGGATGGTTTGAGCCCAGGAGTTCAAGACCAGCCTGGGCAGCATGGCGAAATCCCATCTCTAAAAAAAAATACAAAAATCAGCCAGGCATGGTGGTGTTCACCTGTAGTCCCGGGTACTCGGGAGGCTGGGGTGGGAGGATCACTTCAACCTCGGAGGCGGAGGTTGCAGTGAGCTGTGATTGCACCACTGCACTCCAGACCCTGTCTCAAAAAAAAAAAAAAAATTTTTTTTTTAAATGAGAGGTTCCTTTTGAATTCAAAAAACCACATGTAGCAAAAGAGCTTGTTTAGATTACAAGTGTGCTAACAGAAATGCCCAGATTATCACTGCTTCTTGAAGTCTATTTTATTTATTTATCTTATTTTTTTGAGACGGAGTCTCACTCTGTCGCCAGGCTGAAGTGCAGTGGTGAGATCTCAGCTCACTGCAACCTCCACCTCCCAGGTACAATTCTCCTGCCTCAGCCTCCCAAGTAACTGGGACTACAGGCATGCGCCACCACGCCCAGCTAATTTTTGTGTTTTTAGAAGAGACGGGGTTTCACCATGTTGGCCAGGATGGTCTCTATCTCTTGACCTCGTGATCTGCCCGCCTCGGTCCCCCAAAGTGCTGGTATTAAGGTGTAAGCCACCGTGCCTGGCCCCATTTATTTTAATAACATATTCTGGGTAGTTTTGTCCTGGGCTGTGTTAATTATGGATTTCTATTTATTGAACTCTGTGCTTATTTATGGAGAAAATTTTAAGTAGCTATATAATGATTTTGAGGAAAAACCTCTACCAAATTTTAAGAAATTTGGCATTTGTTTAAAGTGCATTGTTTTTTTTTTTCCTGTGTGTTTTGTTTTTAACCACCTGGATAGAAGGACTTGCCTCCTCCCCACATTGAGAGTTACTGCCATAGTAAGCAGTCGTTACTGATTGGCATGTGTTATATGTCTCTTAGGTTTACTAGAACAGAAAAGTGGTTTCAAGCCTTTTTGCCATTTTAAAGTTTGGAATCAGAGGAACTATTGTAGTTTCTACTCTGTTAGTACCTCTGTATGTGAGCTAATAGCAACTAACTCAAGGAAGAGGAACCTGACTTTAATGCCTGCTGTGTGTTGGGCCTGTGCCAGACACTTTATATTTACTCCGAAGCAACACAGTGCAGCAGGTGTTACTCCCATCTGATCAGTAAGAAACCCAAGATTCCAATGGCTTAAGGTAGCTTGTTTGAAATATCACAGCCAGTATACGATGGAATTGCACTACTCAACTAGGTCTCTTTTACTTAAGTCTGTGCTCTTCCTATTAGACCGGTAGTTTTTCAAACTTACGTAGGAGCTTTAGGGCTTCTGAGTTAAGTTCCTTGAAGATTTCTGAACAAGCAGTAGGAAGTTTCCCGATTTTTCCTTTCTTTTTCCTCTCCCAACAACTGGTGCAGCTCTACTTTTTAAAATATATATCAGATTCCAAATGGGATTTTCATTTGAAGAAGGGTCTATGCCATCTTTAGAAAAAAACAAAAAAATGGAAAACCTTTGAAAAGTTAAGCAGTTTTAACTCATAAATATTGATGGATTAGTTATTTGTGAAAGTCACTTGATTGAATACCTCATTTTTCAATGATGCCATATAAGCAGGCTGCTAAGTCTTTTTTCTGGTTGTTGTTGTTGGAGACAGGGTCTCACCCAGGATTCTCTACTTAAATATGACTGTTGTTAATTGAGTGCTACAATTAAATTAGCCATTGCCATCTTTAATTGGAGTGCAGCGGCACAGTCTTGGCTCACTGCAACCTCCGCCTCCCGGGTTCAATTGATTCTCATGCCTCAGTTTCCCCAGTAGCTGGGACTACAGACATGAGCCACCACACCCGGCTAATTTTTATATTTTTAGTCAAGATGGGGTTTTGCCATGTTGGCCAGGCTGGTCACAAACTCCTGACCTCAGGTGATCCGCCCACCTCAGCCTCCCAAAGTGCTGGCATTACAGGCGTGAGTTACTGTGCCCAGCCTAAGTCTTTTATTTTTAACTCAAGCTACTAAACATGCTTCTTTCCAAAAGTCTGGTTTCAAAAACTAAAGGTTCATGGAATGAATCTTTTATTCCTAATTCAGCTAGCTGCATTTCAGGCACAAAGTGGGTGTTCAGTGTGTGCTTGTTGAATTAATTAATATCTAGTGGGGATTTTTTTTTAGTACCAGATAAAAGTAGAGAAATAGGTTATTTTGAAAGAATGAATATCTTTTTATCTATAGTTAAAATATAATGGTGATAAATGTATTTTATAGGTAATACAGATTGCCTTTCCGGATAAAAATTACATAAATCTAATTGCCAATTTTCAATGTTTTTTCAAGATTTTTATTGAAGGATGGTCAGCTGTGGCTATGTGCTCCTCAGGCAAAACAAATATGGAAATGCTTAGCTGAGAATGCAGTTTACCTTTGTGATCGTGAAGCCTGTTTTAAGTGGTATTCCAAGTTGATGGGGGATGAACCAGACTTAGATCCTGATATTAATAAGGACTTCTTTGAAAGTAATGTGCTTCAGCTTGATCCTTCTCTGTTAACTGAAAATGGAATGAAGTGTTTTGAGCGATTCTTCAAAGCTGTGAATTGTCGAGAAGGAAAACTAGTAGCAAAAAGGAGAGCCTATATGATGGATGACTTGGAGTTAATAGGATTAGATTACCTTTGGAGGGTAAGTCAAAAGTAGGAACTCTGTAAATGGTGTCTGATGTACTTTTTCATGTACGTAAGGAATTGTAATTTTGCATATAAATTGTGTATTTTACTCTGATGTTTGTCTCAGGAATTTGGTGTAGTTAGGAATTGTTCATTTTTATTATGTCACCTGTCAGTGGGCTTTTTCTTCTCTCTTCCTCTCCCTCCTCCTGCCACTGATGTTCCTTTTGTCTTAGCTTAGTATCTGTGTATTCCATAGATGTGCACTAAACATACAAATCTTTCATTCCTCCCCCGTGGATATTAATGTTCCTTCCCGAGTTTTCATTCAGTGTCGATCTGTTTCCTCCTCTTCAATGTTTAACACTAAAATAGAGGACAGAAGAGAGGACTTGTGTTTAGTATAGATTATGAGTATATGCTTTATTGGCACTGTTTACCTTGTGATATTTTTAAATACCTGGGGGAATAAAATACTATCTTTTTAAGGCTAATCTATTTTTATAGTACTACTCTATTATGCCTATCTTTAATCTGACCTGTTATACAGCAGTTTATATTGTTTGGATGTCTCACATATTTTCCTGCAAACCATAGATAAAGATGTTTATTGTGGCATTTGAGTATTTAAAAGCTTTTAATTAAGTATGTGGTTTTCAACATTGTTTTAACAGCAGAAACACATCTTAAAACTCAAAATTTGCACCACACTACAAAAGTAAACTGAATTGAACAAGGAAAATATGTTTTCTTACTTGGTCTCCCCATGCTTATCCCCTTTCCCCTCCCCAACCCTTTTATAGGGGCCAACACTGAAACACTTCCTCAAAGTCCCCTAGGGTTCTGAACATAGTTTGGAAACCACTAATGTAATTAGATGAGTGATAAAGATTTATAGAAACTGGGGGTAGAGTAGTCCTTTATGCTAAACTGTGTTTCATGTAATCTCTTATTTCCTGTCAACTAATTTGAATTTCTTCTTGAGTGTCTCACTTGGTTATCAAGATATTAAATTATAGGGTTAAATAATAGTGGTCAAAGCGTATTTTATTTTTACAAAAATGTACCTTTCATTCTTAAATTATTCAGAGACTTTCATTTTGCATTTATTACCCTTTCTTTTGGTCTGTGCTTCTCACTTAATTTTACTTGATTATCAAAGTCAACTTACCATTAAATCATTGAATAGTGTGTTTAAGATAACTGAGGATATGGTTTGAATTTAAATGCCCAACAAAAATATATGTTGAAAGGGATGAATACTTTTATCATTTTGAAACCAGGTCGTGATTCAGAGTAATGATGATATTGCCAGCAGAGCTATAGATCTCCTCAAAGAGATATACACGAACCTTGGTCCAAGACTACAAGTCAATCAGGTGAGGATTGATGTGCATTAAAACTTCCATATATAATTCTTTCGGCCCCCATTTCTCTTATACAAAAGAGAAAAAATATTATCTAAATGAATCTTGCCTTGTTAGTTGTCTTGAAGTGATTGGGTTATTTTTAATATAACTATTTATTAGATGTTGAAATGGCAAAGAAAGTCTATGTGAATTCATTTTGATGCTAACACCTAATCCTGAAGTTCACTTTTGACTAATTTATGTTTGTTAACTTATGTAATGCTAGCTTCCTTTTAATAAACATACATTTTATTATTGTATGGATTCTCTACTTAAATATGACTGTTGTTAATTGAGTGCTACAATTAAATCAGCCATTGCCATCTTTAATTGGATTAATATTTGGTTTTTACATTTTAAAGCAATTTTAACTGTGTTTATTTGGCCTGATATTTGTAGGTGGTGATCCATGAAGACTTCATTCAGTCTTGTTTTGATCGTCTGAAGGCTTCCTATGACACATTGTGTGTTTTGGATGGTGACAAAGACAGTGTTAATTGTGCAAGACAGGAAGCTGTTCGAATGGTTCGAGTATTAACTGTTTTAAGGGAATATATAAATGAATGTGACAGTGATTATCATGAGGAAAGAACAATTCTCCCTATGTCGAGGTTTGTGAATAACTAATCTATTGGTGCTAATTCTTAATTATTTGATATTTTCCTAGCCATTTGGTAAAAGGAGAGCAGAAATTTTTCTCGTTTGAAAATTGTTGTCTTTGCCCATTAAAAACATTTTCATTTCATCTAATTTTTTTTAATAACCTCCCCCACTCTCCCATCTGGTTTTGTTTTGGTTTTTTGGGTGAGGCATTCTTAAGTTGTTTTCTAGTTTTCTTTTTGTCTTTGACATTATTACTCATTAAGTGTTGCAGTGGCATTTTGCAGTTGAAGTGTTTTTGTTTATTTGTTTATTTTGAGAAAAGGTCTTATTCTGTCACCCAGGCTGGAATGCCGAGGTGTAATCATGGCTCACTGCGGGCTCAAGCGACCTTTCCACCTCAGCCTCCCAGGTAGCTGGGGCTACAGGCACAGGCTACCACACCTGGCTAATTTTTTTTGACTTTTTGTGGAGGTGGGGTTTCACTACATTGCCCAGGCTGGTTTCAAACTCCTACGCTCAAGCAAATCCTCCTGCTTTGGCCTCCCAAAGTGCTGGGATTATAGGCGTGAGCTACAGTGCCTGGCCTGTAAAGAGCTCTTAAAAGCTGCCTTGCATGGCATATAACAAATATTTTCAAATGGTGTTTATAGTTTTGGGATGTTTTGTGTAGTCAATGCCATCATTTTTTTTAAAGAGTTTTGTTTATTAATCATGAAATTATATACAGTTGCTTCTTGAATATGATTTTTATTTTGTATTTTACTTTAAAAAAGGTACTATACCAATATAAATAGCATTTTGGAGTGAATTTTGATATGAAGGCTTTTTTCCAGAAAAAAAATAAAGTGCATTGTGGCATTTTTGTTGATGCTTTTAACAAAATGTAAAACGACCTTTTAAATGTAAAAGGTAAACTCTACCTTCTTTTTTTGAATTTTTTTTTTTATTAATACAAGGTCTACCTATGTTGTCGAGGCTGGTCTTGAACTCCTGGGCTCAAGGGATCTTCTTTGCTTGGCCTCCCAAAGTGGTAGGATTACAGGCATGAGCCACTGCGTCCAGCCAACCTTTTACATTTAAAAATAGTCTTAGTGAGTTGGGCTTTTACAGCATAAAAATAAGCGTTATATCTTGGATTTAATTTCATTTTAGTAGACACCTCATTTTCTGCAACCATAGATACAAGACTAACAACAATAGAATATGATTATGTTTTTAAATATTATTTATATTTTTAGTTAAAAGGAGCAATATTTTTTTTTCTTTTGCATTTCACTCTTGTTGCCCAGGCTGGAGTGCAGTGGTGCAGTCTCGGATCACTGCAACCTTTGCCTCCCAGGTTCAAGCGATTCTCCAGCCTCAGCCTCCCAAGTAGCTGGGATTACAGGCGCCCACCACCAAGCCTGGCTTATTTTCTGTATTTTTAGTAGAGATGGAGTTTTACCATGTTGGCCAGGCTGATCTCGAACTACTGACCTCAAGTGATCCACCCGCCTCGGCCTCCCAAAGTGCTGGGATTATAGGCATGAGGCACCATGCCTGGCCTTATTTTCAAGATACTGAAAGTAATACAGGTTGAGTATCCCTAATCCAAGAAATCCAAAATTTGTCTGGTCCCAGACATTTCATATAAGGGATTCTCAAGCTGTATTAAGTATCTTTAATTCACATCCTCTTGTTTAATAAGAAAATACTTAGTGTTAAATCCCCAGCATTATTTTCTTGGCAACAAAATTTCAGAGTCTGCTGAATATGATGATGTCTGTCTTTCTTTTTCCCCCCAGAGCATTCCGCGGTAAACACCTCTCTTTTGTAGTTCGATTTCCAAACCAGGGCAGACAGGTTGATGACTTGGAGGTATGGTCTCATACAAATGATACAATTGGTTCAGTACGACGATGTATTCTCAATCGTATTAAAGCCAACGTAGCCCATACAAAAATTGAGCTCTTTGTGGGCGGTGAGCTGATAGATCCTGCAGATGATAGAAAGTTGATTGGACAATTAAACTTAAAAGATAAATCGGTATGTATGTATAGTTAACAGATTTTTCAATAAAATCAAACCAGAGACTATCGTTTAATCAGTAAATACTAATTGAGCATTTGTTATGTTTGGGACTGTGTTAGGTGTTAGAGTTATAGCATTAAAGTATAGCATGTAGTCTTTCGGATTTTTTGGTTGGTATATCACTAAGTTTTGTGTTTTGTGTAAGTATTTTTCCTTGTTTTTGATATTAACATAGTATATAATTTTCAGCTTATTACAGCCAAACTTACACAGATAAGTTCCAATATGCCTTCAAGCCCTGATAGCTCTTCTGATTCCTCCACTGGATCTCCTGGAAACCATGGTAATCATTACAGTGATGGTCCCAATCCAGAAGTGGAAAGCTGTTTGCCTGGAGTGGTGAGTAGATACAGTTTTGAACTACTGTATGTAAGGCATCATGCTAGGGTTTTTGAGAATAAAGTATATAGAGTGGTTCTTTCTTTTCTTGAGGAGCTTACAGTTTAATGAGACAAAAAAATACAGTTAACCACCAACTTCAGAATGGATCCCTCTAAAAGGTAATTGTAACACAGTTGGAATTTAAAACATAATTTCCCCATAGGTATAGTATTGTTACTTTTACATAAAATTAACCAATTAGAGCTTAATTATAACACTATTGGATGTATAAATTTAGAGGAAAACAGTCATCCCTCGTATACGTGGAGAATTGGTTCCAGGACCTCTGCATATACCCAAAATGCTGCAGATGACCCTGTGCAACCAGATATACAAAAAGTTAGCCTTCCATATACTTGGGTTTTGCTTGCTGGAAATACTGAATTTTCTGTCCACATTTGATTGGGAAAAAAGTCTGCATGTAAATGGACCTGTGCAGTTCAAACTTGTGTTGTTCAAGAGTCAGCTGTATCACTTTCTAAAATTTATACCACAAAACGGATAGTTCTTTTAGAACTATATATGAGCTGGGCATGGTGGCTCACACCTGTAATTCCAGCTACTGGGGAGGCTGTGAGGCAGGAGGATTGCTTGAGCCCAGGAGTTCTAGGCTGCAGTGAGCTGCGATTGTGCCATTATGCTCTAGCCTGGTCAACAGAGTGAGACCCCATCTCTAAAAATATAAATAAATGAAAACAAGAACTATGTAGGAAAATACCTGTAATCTTTATCAGATTGTCAGTAACATATAGCCAAAGAAATATTTTTAAGCTCTCCTTTCGCCCCTCCCGACAGAAATTTTAATGGTTACAATAGTAGCAGCCACTCCAGTGTCAGGAGGATTTGGCTCTCTATAACAACTGGATTAAGAATTTGGTAGTGGGCATGGCAGCCTTTTGTTATGTCCAGAGTCTAAATTGTATATATGAGAGAAATGGTTTAATAGAACAGGAGAGGAGCTATCACAAAAAAATGACTGGAAGTGACTTGATGATGTATTTGATCTGCACTATTAAGGATTTGTAGGGATTAAAAGATGGGAAAGTCAGACTATTTCAAAGAGTAGAAATTTCATAAGTAAAAGTATAGGGATTAACACAGAGAAACTTACTTGGGCTTTTATAAAACGGGAGTAAATAATTTAGAGGTAATTATTTTGTGTATTTTATATTCTAGATAATGTCACTGCATCCCAGATACATCTCTTTTCTTTGGCAAGTTGCAGACTTAGGTAGCAGCCTAAATATGCCACCCCTTAGAGATGGAGCAAGAGTACTTATGAAACTTATGCCGCCAGGTAAGAATTTTTAAATGATGATCAAGTACTTGCTGGACAATAAAGGAGTATATTAGCAAATTCTGTTTCTAAATGGACCGTGCTTTTTGGTATAGACTATAACAAGAGTTGACAGATGACAGCCCACAAGCCACATCAAGCCCCCTGCTTGTTTTTGTGCATCCCAAGAGCTATATTTTTAAGTGGCTACAAAAAAAAAATCTAGAAGAATAATATTTTGTGATACATGAAAATTATATGAAGTTTAAATTTTAGTGTCCATGATCAAAACCAGGCTCATTTGTTTACATTCAGTCTACATGACTGCTTTTGTCTTAAAATAGCACCGCCCAGGAGTTGTGGCAGAGGCCATATGGTTCACAAGCCTAAACTGCTTAACTTTCCTGGCCCTTTACAGAAAATGTTTGCCTATACCTGGACTATAATATGGGTCATGTGTCATCTGCGGTATTGTTCCTTTTTTATCCTTAGAAACAACCACTTCCAACTTCTCGCTTTTACTTTAGTATATATATGTACCATTATGTCTGGAGTGTCCTCATACAGCTATTTCTTTGTTACTTACAGATATATACTGATTTTCTGCTGTGTAGATGAAAACTTAACTGTTACATACCCCCACATCCTCCCAGTATTTGCTTAAATCCAGATTCAACATCTACGTTTCCAAGATTGTTTGAAATATAGTTCTCTAGATCACTGACAACTTTTATCCTGGATTTAATAATTTCCCTTTTATTTTCCTGATTGTACACCTATCACTTATTCTTCCCACATACTTTTTTTTGAGATATTTTTTATCTGAATGTGGGCAAACTATCACGTTTGATTAATGGTTTGTGTATAGAATCCTAGGTTTGAAAATATATTCCTTCTGGCTGGTGGCATTGCTGATGAGAAGACCAAAGTCCTCTTGGTTTCTATTCCTTTGCATGTGACCTTCGTTTCTGGAAGTTTTGGTTTTATCCTTACGTTTTGAAATATTATGATGTGCCTTAGCGTTAAGTCTGTTTTGTGGTGCGTCACCTGTGGGCCTGGAGATTTCCTCAGTTGAGAGAGATTTGTATTCTTTGATAGTTTTCTCACCAGCATTTTGCGTTTTGTGTGTCTTTGAAATGTCTAAGTGTGATGGTGAATTTACTAGATCTGATTTTACCTTTTCTCTCTTCCCTTCTCTCTTTAATCTTATTCCACCTTTGGGGTGGCTTCTTTAACCTTTTCCAGCTCTTCTGTTGGCTTTTCCCCTCCAAATATTCTAGTGTTAAAATTTCAAGACCTTTGTCTCCTTAGTGATCCTTTTCCATATACAGGATTTTGTTTTTCACTAACACATTCTTGCATTTATGTTCTAATATATGTGTGTTCCTTTAAAACCTAATGTTCGGCAAAATTATGCACTAAAAATAGTAGGGCTTTTGGGGAAAAAGTAGAGTTTTGGCAGATCATTCAAGCCTATACAACCTAAAAATTTTTTAAATGTATTTTTTGGAAATACTTACAATCTTACAGAAAAATTAGAAGTATAATTCAAGAACACTTGAGAGTAATTTACTGGTTTTTGTAGTCCCATCGCCCACCAAATACTTTCCCTACAAACAAGGATATTTGTCTGTATAAGCAAAATTAAGCCATCTATACCAGGAAATTAATGTCGATTCATTACTGCCATCTACTTAGCAGACTCTATTGAGTGTTTTCAGTTATCTCCTTCACAGCAAAAAGATATAGTTCAAACTCAGATATAGTCAGCCCTCCATATACATGGGTTCTGGATCTATGGATTCAACCAACTGTGGATTGAAAATGTTTGGGGGAAAAAACATTGTTGAAAGTTCCAAAAAGCAAAACTTGAATTTGCCACATGCTGAGTACTGTGTTGAATCCACACGAATGAAGCTATGTGTAAGCATTGTATTAGGTGTTACCTAATACAATGTACAGTTAGGCACCAGATAATGACGTTTCAGTCAGTGATAGACCACATATACAATGGTGGTTCTATAAAATTATAATACCATATTTTTACTGTACCCTTTCTATGTTTAAATACACAAATACCATTGTGTTATAATTGCCTACAGTATTCAGTACAGTAACATGCTTGTATGGGTTTATAGCCTAGGAGCAATAGGCTATACCATATATAACCTAGATATGTTGTAGGCTGTATCATCCAGATTTGTTGTAAACACACCCTATGATGTTCACACAATGATGAAATCACTTAATGATGCATTTCTCAGAACATATGCAACACGTGACTGTAATCTGGAGATAATTTATACAGGAAGATGTGCATCGGTTGTATACAAATTCCACATCATTTTATATAAGGTATTTGAGCATCCCTGGATTTTGGTGTTGGGAGGGTGGATCCTGAAACCATCCCTGCACCCCCACCCCCCATGGATACCGGGGAATAACTGTATTGCATTTAGTTAATGTATCTCTTTAGTTTCCTTCTGAAACAGTTCCTCATACTGTCTTTGACCTTCATGACCTTGACTCTTAAAGATTACAGGCCAGTTAATTATAGAATGTCCTTCAGTTTAGATTTGTTTTATCATGATTGTATTCAGGTTATGCGTCTTTGGCAGAAATACCACAGAAGCGATGTTCTGTTCTTCTCAATGCTTCCAGTCAGATAGTATGTAATTTCAATTTTTCCCATTACTGACGATGATCACTGTGATCACTTGAGTTTTTTCCTTGCTTCCCCACTGTAAAATTACCCTTCCCTTTGAAAGTATTTTGGGCCAGGCACAGTGACTCATGCCTATCATCCCATCACTTTGGGAGGCCGAGGTGGGCAGATCGCTTGAGGCCGGGAGTTCGAGACCAGCCTGGCCAACATGGCATAACCCCGTCTCTACTAAAAATACAAAAATTAGCCGGGCGTGTTAGTGTGCACCTGTAATCCCAGCTACTTGGGAGGCTGAGGCTTGGACCTGGGAGGCGGAGGTTGCGTTGAGCCGAGATCATGCCACTGCACTCCAGCCTGGGCGACAGCGAGATTCTGTCTGAAGAAAAAAAAAAGTATTTTGTGCAGAGGTACTTTGAAAATATTTATACTGTTCCTCATCAGACATTTTATTCATTCGTTTATATCTGTATGAAATCATGATCAAGGAGTTATAATCTGTTACTATCATTTATCTTGATGCTGAAATGATCTCGTTTGGCCAGTGGGAGTCCTTTCAGACTGTTCTGTGTTACTTTAATATGTTCCCATTATTCTTTCAGCACTTGTGTGCTCTTTGGCTCAAGATGTTTAAGATTAGGTCAAGTGTAGTGGCTCACGCCTATAATCCTAACACTTTGTGAGGGTGAGGCAGGAGGATCACTGGAGCTCAGGATTCATGACCAGCCTGGGCAACATAGCCAGACTTCATTTCTATTAAAAATTTCAAAAATTAGCCAGGTGTGGTGATGCGCACCTGTAGTCCCAGCTACTTGGGAGGCTGAGGTGGGAGGATCACTTGAGCCTGGGAGATGGAGACTGCATTGAGCTATATGATCAAGCCACTGTACTCCAGCCTGGGCAACAGAACAAGACGCTGTCTCAAAAAAAAAAAAATTTAAAAAAGTTCCAGATTAACATCCTGTACCCTCTCTGCCCCAGTCCTGAAATTGGCTGTTTCTCCAAGGAGGCCTGTTTGATTTATTTTCCTGGAGAATGGTGTTTAGAAACCAAGATCTGGACATTTATTGCACTCATTGCTATCGATGTATTGTTGCTCCCTGGCTCTCTAAGCAGTTAGAGCTAAGGAATGTGTGTATGTGTATCCACATTTAAGTCTATTACTATATATATACACACACACACATGAATATATATATGTGTGTAAGTTTTTACAAAACCATGGGGTCACACGACTTCCTCCCATCCCAGCCTATCACAGTTTCATTCTAGTTTTCTCCCTTTCTATATTTGTAATTTTTTTTTTTTTTGAGACAGAGTCTCGCCCTGTCACCCAGGCTGGAGTGCAGTGGCGCAATCTCGGCTTACTGCAACCTCCGCCTCCCTGGTTCAAGGGATTCTCCTGCCTCAGCCTCCCAGTAGCTGGGATTACAGGCGTGAGCCACCATGCCTGGCCAAACTCTCTTTTCTGACAATGAAAAACCTGGCTTCTGTTATCCTCTCACTTATTTTCCTATTTAATCAGTTATCTCCAGACCCCCCACCCTTTCTTTGAACGCAGAAGGACTCTTGTCTCTGAATGTTGGGTCTCTACCCCAGGGACACTCCTCGCTCTGCTTGAGTTGAATCTTTATGCTGAGCTCTACCCACTTATTGGGCTCCCTCCTCCTCCTTCATGGTCTGTAATTCCCAACATAGGACTACCTTTAAAACTTGCACATAGTTTAATTAGAGCACTCATAAAATGATAATTAGTATCCTCAGAGATAATTTGGACAGTCCAGGCAGGTACTTCAGTGTGGCTGAAGGCTTCCTCAGGAGATAGTAAAAAGACACAAAACCAGTACAGAGGAAATGCTGACTTGACATTGCTGAGATACAGTGCAAAAGAGTGGAGCTCTGAGATAGATGGGCTACCATTAAGATAGGCACAGGGGGAAGTAGAACCTGCCAAGGTCCATGAAAGTCTAGTTTAGGATTGTATCTCACAAGATGAGCCCTTGATGCAAGTATTCACTTTAAATTTTCCTTTAAAAAGAAACAGGCTTCTGCTTACACATCTACCCAGCTGAGGGGGCTTTTTGCTTTGCTCATTTTAATTTTTTTGTTGAAGATTAACAGTTCTGTTGTTCTGGCTACTGTTGCCTGGAAGAAATCACACATGAACAAACTCACCTTCTGCATTATACTGACATCATTATATTTGCCAATTGATTGTGAGCTAATTGGGGTTATAGAAACGTGCTATAGCATAACAGACTGTAATTATTTCTCTCTAGGCTATTACTGATGGATATTATGTTTTCTTCTTTTTCCAGCATCATCTTTTACTGTCCTTGAGTTTTTTAACTAGCTTTTTATATTAAAATAATTTCAAACTGTTTACAAAGAATACAGTTGGCTCCCAAATTCAGTAATTAACAGTTTGCCGTAGTGATGGCAAAAGTTTCCTAACATTTGGAGAACAAGTTGTAGACAATCATCTTTTTCTTCCTAAATAGCTTAGTATATGTCTTCTAAAAACAAGAATGTTCTCACTTACATTAACATAGTATTATTCAAAATAAAAAAAATTTAGCATATACAGTAATATCATCTAATCTGCAGACCATTTTCATATTTTGACACTTTCCTCAGTATTGGACTTTATAACAATGTTTTCTGGTTGAGGATCTAAATCCAGGTTCATACATTGCATAATTATTCGGTATCTCTTTCAGTTGTCTTTAATCTGGAATAGTTCCTCAGTCTTTGTCTTTTGTGACTTTGTTTTTGAATGGCACATGTCAGTTGCGCTGAATATCTCTCATTGGGTCTTATCTGTTCTGATGATTATATGGAGGTTGTACATTTGACAGAGTACTACTTGTATGTTGATGTGTCTAAGAGCATCACATTGAGAGACACATGTCACTGTGTCTTTGGTGACATTAACCCAGATCACTTAGTTGATAGCTGCCAGGTTTCTCCTCTAAAGGAGAGAGATGCTTTGTGTAGAGAGATGCTTTGAGACTTCGTAACTATCTTTTTCCTCATCAAACATTTGTTTTATCATCTATTGTGATTGTTGCCTAAATGTTTTTACTATGATGGTTGCAAAATGGTAATTTTGTTTTAATTTTGTCATCCTTTCTACATTTATTAGTTGACATTCTATAAGGTAGTGCTTTGTTTTCTCGCCTTTATATTTGTCATATATGATCACTCTTATGGGTTTATTTTATTCATTGGGTTATAACCATTGTAATGGTTATTTATTTTGATGCTCAATTGTCCTAGATATGGTCAGTGGAAGCCCCTATAGGTTAGACCCAGACATACAACCTCAATTTTTTTAAGGTACTTTATTGTACTTTATTATTTTCTGGTATGAGAAGATGTTTCAAGCTTATCTATAGTATTTCCTCTGCCCCAGCTCTGGAATCTGCCATTCCAGAGTTTTTAGAAGGAAGGGTATTTAGAAATCAAAATCCGAGGTTTAAATCTTTTTTTTTTTTTTTTTTTTTTTTTTTTTTGAGACGGAGATTTTGCTCTGTTGCCCATGCTGGAGTAGTGCAGTGGCGTGATTTCGGCTCACTGCACCCTCTGCCTCCTGGGTTCAGGTGATTCTCCTGCCTCAGCCTCCCGAATAGCTGTGATTACAGGCACCTGCCCTCATGCCCGGCTAATTATTATATTTTTAGTAGAGACGAGGTTTCACCATGTTGGCCAGGCTGGTCTCGAACGCTTGACCTCAGGTGATCCACCCACCTCGGCCTACCAAAGTGCTAGGATTACAGGTGTGAACCACAGTGCCCCTGCCAAGTCATCCTTATTTCATTCTAATTGTGGTAAGGTGATACCTCATTGTGGTTTGGATTTGCATTTCCTTAATGATTAGTTATGTTGAGTGTGCTTTCATGTACATGTTGGCCATTTGGATGTCTTCTTTTGAGAAATATCTATTCAAGTCTTTTGCCCATTTTAAAAATCGGATTTTTTGCTGTTGAGTTCCTTATATATTCTGGATATTAACCCCTTGTCAGATGCATAGTTTGCAAATATTTTCTCCAATTCTGTAGATTTGTCTTTTTGTGGTCTTATTTCCTTTGTTGGGTAGAAGCTTTTTAGTTTAATGTAATTTCGTTTGTCTGTTTTTGTGTTTGTTGCCTGTGCTTTTGAAGTCTTAGCCAAAAAGTCCTTGCCCACACTAATGACATGAAACATTTCCCTTGTGTTTTCTTCTAGTAGTTTTATAGTTTCTGGTCTTACATTTAAGTTTTTAACCCATCTTGAGTTTATTTTTACATATGATGAATAATAGGGGTTTAGTTTCATTTTTCTGCATATGTATATTCTGTTTTTGCAACACCATTTTTATTCAAGAGATTGCCTTTTCCCCCAATGTGTGTTCTTGGCACCTTTGTTGAAAATCAGTTGTTTCTGATTATGTGGATTTATTTCTGGGTTCTCTATTCTGTTCAATTGATCTGTGTCTATTTTTGTGTCAATACCATGCTGTTTTGGTTACTATTGCTCTATAGTAAATTTTGAAGTCAAGTAGCTGATGCCTTCAGCTTTGTTCTTCTTACTCAAGATTGATTCGGCTATTTGGAGTCTTTTGTAGTTCCATATGAATTTTAGGAGTGTTTTTTGTATTTTTTTGTTTTACCTTGCAGATTCACCTCAAAGGATGTTTTTTCTATTTCTGTGAAGAATATAATTGGTATTTTAATAGAGATTGCATCAATCTGTAGATTGCTTTGGGTAATATGGACATTTTAACAATATTTGTTCTTCCAACCCATGAACATAGAATATTTTTCCATTTATTTGTGTCCTGTGTTCGTTCTTTCATCAGTTTTTTTTGTAGTGATCTTTCTCCTCCTTGCTTAAATTTATTCCTAGGCATCTTATATTTTTGTAGCTATTGTGAGATAACTTTCTTGATTTCTCTTTCAGATAGTTTGCTATTGGCAAATGGAAACACTACTTAGTTTTGTATATTGATTTTTGTATCCTGCAGTTAACTAACACAGGTTCACGCTTGTACCAGTCCAGCTTCCTAGTCATCTTCCATTCCGTATTTGTATCTCTACAGCAATGAGAAATCTGAAACCTGAGGGAGTTGGAAAGGCTTCTTAATCAGTCTTCAGCCTCTGTCTTTAGGCCTTCGAATCATTTGTGCCTTCCCAAGTGTTTGTTGTTTTCATACCCTTGGCTTTTCTCAGATTTAGTGGGGCATTAATTTATAGGCACCCTCTTCTCCTTGCCTTCACAACAACTAAACCAACTTCACAACTTCAGCTAAACCAACTATCTATCCCCATCTTCACTACACCGTCAGTAATTTGTTGACAGCTGTTTAATGTGTTGCTTCCCCTTCTGTTTTTATGTTCTTTTGAGTTTATGTATTTTTATATTCATTCATTCTCATTTTAGTGGGGTTTGGGGATGAAGTACTGATAAATATAGTGCAGTACACCATATTTAGTTGACATAATTTTTAAAGCTGTCTTCTGCTTTTATTACCTCCATTTTCTAAATTAAACACCTTGTTGGGCTTCTCATCTTGCTTTGCAATTATTATGGGACAGAAGCATTTCACATTAGATTCTTAGCTAAGGCTTCTCTCAAAAGATATATTTCATTCTTGTCTGTTACATCGTTTAGAATTTACATAGTTTCATTTGTTAGTATTTCAGTAATAGTCCTTGCAGTGCTTTACTGCAGATTCAACCTTCACAACATACTGTAAAAACACAAACCCACCACTGAATCCTTGATCTTGTGATTGGCGCTTAATGCCACCAGATGGCGAGCATGAGCTCTTGTCAGACAGTTAAGGCAAGAAACTTGAAGTGGGTGCTTTCTTCATGTTTTATATAATGAAACTAGAATACCTAAATTTGAAACAGCCAGCTTTTGAAAAAGCTGGTAATGGTTGTATTGCAGCAGAAAATCATAGGCTTTGGACTCAAATGGACTTGAGTTCCAATCCTGCTTCTAATTGCTACTCTATGGCGTTAAACATAAGTTTCATAGTTTATTAGAGCTTCCTTATCCTTAGAACTGGGATAATGATAACTTTTTTGTGTAATTGCAGGGATTAAATGAAACAATGTATGGAAAACCCCTAGCCTAGGGACTGGCACTTAGTATTCATTAAACATTAAACCACTCTCTGTCACTTCCTTTTCTTAGAGCTCCTGCTTCCTTTCTTATTTAAGAGTTTGTGTCTAAAACGTGGTAATACAATCTTTTGTAAAAGTCTGTTGTAAGCTCTTAGCACTGATAAACTCAACTTAAACCACACATCATCTCTATAAGGTATAGTTAATGACTAGGAAAAAAGCTAATGATTCTCTCTTTCCCCTCCATTTAAAATACATCCAAGAGTGCACAAATGCTAAATGATCACCCAAATGTTACACTTCTTTTCATTCTGAATCTTTGCCTGAAGCCAAGTGCCCATGTTATGATTTGCTGTTAAACTTAAAACTTCTGCAGTCCTCTCTATATGTAATACCATCTTTTGTAAAAGTCTGTTGTAAGCTCTTAGCACTGATAAACCACACAACATACCTATAAGGAAATTATTAATTTTATCTGTATTTTAAAGACGGAGAAACTGAAGCACAGAGAGATTGTTAATTCACCTGGGACACATAGCTTAAATGCTATTTCTCATTTCTTTTTTTTTTTTTTTTTTTTTAAAGAGAGAGGGCCTTACTCTGTGTCCCAGGCTAGAGTGCAGCAGCATGATCCTAGCTCACTGTAACCTCAAACTCCTGGCCTCAAGTGAGGCTCCTGCCTAAGAGTAGCTAGGACTACAGGTACACACCACCACACCTGACTTTTTTTTTTTTTTTTTTTTTTTTTTTTTGAGATACAGAGTCTCACACTGTCGCCCAGGCTGCAATGCAGTGGCGCAGTCTCTGCTTACTGCAGCCTGTGCCTTCTGGGTTCAAGTGATTCTCCTGCCTCAGCCTCCCGAGTAGCTGGGATTACAGATGGACGCCACCACGCCCAGCTAATTTTTGTATTTTTTGTAGAGATGGGGTTTCACCATGTTGGTCAGGCTAGTCTTGAACTCCTGACCTCAAGTGATCCGCCCACCTCCGCCTCCCTGAGTGCTGGGATTACAGGCATGAGCCACTGCGCCCGGCCCACACCTGGCTTATTTTGAAAATTTTTTTGTAGTGATGGGGGTCTTGCTGTGTTACGCAGGCTGGTTTTGACCTGGGCTCCAGTGATCCTCCCATCTTGGCTTCCCAAAGCTTAGGTATCTTTTCAAAAGGCTAGAAAGAAACCAAAATCGTCATAAACTCTGGATGACAAGATTATGACTGGCTTAAATTTTTCTGGCTTCCATTTTTTATAAAATGTAACATGATATAATCAGGGATGAATATGAGAGCTGGAATGGCCACTGAGTGTTAACTTTGATTCAGATCTCTCAAATGAGTAAACTATAATTCAAGACCATTAAATGATTTGCTTAGAATTCACTACTTCTGACCGGGTCACGCTGGTAATCCCAGCACTTCAGGAAGCCAAGGTGGGAGGATTGCTTGAGCCCCTGGAGTTTGAGATCAGCCTGGGCAACATGGCATAACTCTGTCTCTACAAAAAAATATGCAAAAATTAGCTGGGCATGGTGGCACATGCCTGTGGTTCCCAACTACTCAGAAGGCTGAGATGGGAGGATCACCTCAGCCCAGGGAGGTTGAGGCTGCAGTCCTCACGCCACTGCACTTCAGCCTGGGTGACAGAGTGAGACCCTGTCTCAAAGAAGAAAAAAAAATATCCACCACTTCCTTTTCTTGAGCTCTTCTTTTTTTTTTTTTCCTCCTACTCCCCTTTGCCTCCATCCTTCACTCAGAATATTTTTAAGCCAAGCAAGATACTATGAGATACAGTGGTTAAGCATATGAATTGGGTTGCTTTTAGGGAGTAATTTGACAATGTATGTCAAGTCTTTGGGCATTATGTTCAACTTCTTTATGCTTGCAGGGTTTTGCATGGTGAAAATTATAAAAATTCAGCTGCTAGGATCTTTGATGTTTAAAAAGGTGAGGGGAGGTAAAAACCTAAATGCCCAATAATAGGAATTAAACTGGTAAAATAATATTGTCATTTTAATAATCAGATAAAATGATATAGATGAATATTCAATGACACGAGAAGATATTTATAAATATTTTATTATAAAAACTATTTTAATTGGTTACATTATATGTCGCTATGCCTTCAGAGTAGAGAGAAGTGACAGTTTCAACACAAACTGAAAAATTTGTAAGATAATGGCTGCTATTTCTAGGCCTGTAAAAATTCATTTACCCAAAGAAAATCATAGTTTTTTTTTTTTTTTCTGGAGATGGAGTTTCGCTCTTGTTGCCCAGGCTGGAGTGCAGTGGCGCAACCTTGGCTCACTGCAACGTCCGCCTCCCAGGTTAAAGCAATTCTCCTGCCTCAGCGTCCCGAATAGCTGGGATTACAGGCGCATGCCACCACGCCCGGCTGGTTTTTGTATTTTTAGTAGAGATGGGGTTTCATCATGTTGGTCAGGCTGGTCTCGAACACCTGACCTCAGGTGATCTGCCTGCCTCAGCTTCCCAGAGTGCTGGGATTACAGGCGTGAGCCACTGCGCCCAGACCTATTTTTCTTTTCTTTAAAAGAAGCTTTTACTTAAAAAAAAAAAAAAAAATTATCAAGGTATTTTTTTAATCATAGGGCAGTTACCTTAGATCATCAAAATACTTTCCAAGGTTGATTGACTATTAATAAAGTTGGAATATTT
The DNA here is from genome assembly GCF_000001405.40 of Homo sapiens. NCBI lineage: Eukaryota > Metazoa > Chordata > Mammalia > Primates > Hominidae > Homo > Homo sapiens. The sequence goes on from NC_000023.11 coordinate 41,183,383, forward strand.
GGTAGCTAATGCTTAATTGTATTTTGGGATTATCTTATTTTTCCCCCACTGTGTCTTTTCACCGTAATTTAAAATTATGTTTTAATATTATGACAAAAGGACAAAAGCTCTGCTTGCTTTGAGGTGAATGTACATAGGCACTTACCCTTTTTCGATGTTTGCTTTTTAGGGTTCATTTTCTTGGATATCACTACATTCCTTTCAGTGAAGCAAGCCAGTTAATATATAGTGTCAGGGGGCAAACAATAAAGAGGTTAGAGGGAAGAGTTTATAATTTTTTTCTTGTTATTTTCAGTCAGAACTACTTCCTTTTGAAATGTATTTTTTTCCATCTCCAGTGGCTGAGAGGAGAGTATCTTGATTTGAGGTCCCTGAGTAGCAGATGCTTTGTATTGAGAGTAACTGATTAAAGAGCCCTGTTTTTTGTTTTTGTTTTTGTTTATTTTTTTTTTCTTTTTTAATCATTCCAGGTCTTGTCATGTCTTAGGAAGTTTGAGCCTATAGCCCAACTGAGTGGATTGTTATTCCATATTAGTATGGTCTTCAAGATATCAAAAGTTAAATATGTATGAACACATGAATTACATTTTCACACTGTCTCTTTTTTTCCTCCAGATAGCACAACGATAGAAAAATTAAGAGCTATTTGTTTAGACCATGCCAAACTTGGAGAAAGCAGCCTTAGTCCATCTCTTGACTCACTTTTCTTTGGTCCTTCAGCCTCACAAGTGCTATATCTAACAGAGGTTAGTTTTTGGGGTTTTTTGTTGTTGTTGTTTTCTTTGTTTTTCCTTTTAAATTTATTCTGTGTTCTTTAAATTTGACCTTTCATATGGTAAGGTGAATGATTTGGGTAAAATTGTAATGAAGTAGTTTTGAAATGAAATATTAATTTGAAATAAATAATAGTGAGATGGTCAAGAGTTTCTTGGCACTGACAATAGTACAAATAGAAGTTATTTTTTTTTTAAATCTTTTAATACAGCCCTCTCCCCCTCTTCTCTATTTTTCCAGGTAGTCTATGCCTTGTTAATGCCTGCTGGTGCACCTCTGGCTGATGATTCCTCTGATTTTCAGTTTCACTTCTTGAAAAGTGGTGGCCTACCCCTTGTACTGAGTATGCTAACCAGAAATAACTTCCTACCGAATGCAGATATGGAAACTCGAAGGGGTGCCTACCTCAATGCTCTTAAAATAGCCAAGCTTTTGCTAACTGCCATTGGCTATGGTCATGTTCGAGCTGTGGCAGAAGCTTGTCAGCCAGGTGTAGAAGGTGTGAATCCCATGACACAGGTAATACAGACTTTTTAAAAATCCTTTTATAATAGTAGATAGCAATTTTTAAAGTAAAACTAATTAGTATTTTAAGTGTAGAGTTCAAGGTTGACTCAATGTTCAAAGTGCCTTATTTCAGAGGTTTTCTTTATGATGTTTGTATTAAAAGTGCAAATACTTTTCGCTGACAGCTGATAATCTGAGGGTAGTTTCTCCCTGCCCACTTAAATCTTGCTTGACTTTCATTTATTTTAAACCTAACAAAAACTCCATATGAATCTCTTATTAACTTGTGCCTGGTAGATATATAAAGACACAGATTGTAATAAGAGATATAATTGGTTTATCTTGTTGCTTGTTTCCCTTCCCACCTTGGGCTTAAACCCAAGTTCTGAGCTTATTCTGACTCGGTTTCTGCCTTGGTGGCATTCTTGATCCATGTCACAAAAAATTCTCAAGACATGCCAGAATTTGATACTTATTTATGAGAGATCAAACTATGCATTTAATTCTAAGTAAAGTTTTATAAACATCATAAATGATTGTTTTACTAAGTTACTGATAGAAGGTAAAACTTCAGGGATAAAGATTTTCTTCTTTAGAAATGGCTTAGTTTTCAATTGTGGAGATCAGAATGTTGATATTTATGGTAATATCACATATAATTGTTTTAGCTATGATAATACTGTGGTTATGTTTAAAAGGAAGAGCCCCCTATATTTTTGAAGTGATTGCTAAGATACTTCCAGGTGAAATTACATGATATCTAGGATTTGCTTAAAAACAATCCTGGGGTGGAGAAGTGATGGAAAGCAAGGGAGGATAGTCAGATTAAACAATTTGGTTCACTGGCGATAATTCCTGAAGCTAAGTAATATGTACATGGGAGTTAATTATACTACTTTCGACACTTTGATGTGTGTTACGAATTTTCTGTAAAAAATGGCTTAAATTTTATATTGTTTTGTATCACAGGTCCCATCTTTGTTAGGATTTTTTTTTTTTTAAAGTAGTTCTTATTAGGTAAGTAAAAAGACAGCTTCTTGTTAGGATAAAAACAGATTTTTGTCATGATCCCTGACACAGATACTTAATGAAGTACACAGAAAACAATTACATGTTTCCACTTTCACCTTTCTTCAGTATTTATTCAGAGAATGTGCCACTATGGATACAGAGGTACATAATAACCTCTAATCTCAACGAGCTCACAGTAGGGAGCCCAATGCAAACTTAGTAATATAGAAATATCTTAAAATAATATTGTTGAAATATTTACAGTATATATATATAGGAGGGGAGTTACAACTTGAAGGCAGTCAGAATTACCTCGCTAACAACTACGTAATGAAATTAATCTGTCACTGATTTAACAACTTGATTATAGCATTAAGTAAAAACTAGGGTACCTTTCATACATTAGTCCTCTTACTGCTTTTTCAGTATTCCTTAATTTTTCTTTTTTTTTTCCAAAGAAAAATGTGGTAACAATGGGGAATACAAGCAGGGTCTGCCCAAGGCATGTACATAAAAGATGTACAATACTTTACTGAGTCTCTAGAAGGGAACCAGTCTATTTAGTGTATCATTATCCCCTGCAAGTTAAGCTGAGGCCAGATTTAGAGACACGAGTTGATTGCTCTAGAATGGGGATTTGCAGACACGTGGCACTACAGTGCACAAGGAAGAGAGGAAGCCCACTTTGTTGGCAGTGCTTTTTGTGTAAGTTGCCACAGGTTCTATAATGTGTATATGCAAGGAAGTCGTTCTGCAGGAGTGGGTGATGAATGAAGAGCAATTGGTTAGGTCTGGTTATGTACAAATTATTTACTCCAAATAAAATGGTTAACTTTTTTCAGATCAACCAAGTTACCCATGATCAAGCAGTGGTGCTACAAAGTGCCCTTCAGAGCATTCCTAATCCATCATCCGAGTGCATGCTTAGAAATGTGTCAGTTCGTCTTGCTCAGCAGATATCTGATGAGGTTAGTTTTATCAAGACTTCTGTCACAATTTTAACTTTCCTAGGCCCACTTATTTTAATCACTGTCTCATTCTATAGATAATGTCCCCTTAATATCAGTTTTGTCTACTATTAATATTAGTACTTTCTGTTTTTAATCAACTTTATGTATAATAAACAGCATCCTTTTAAAGTATACAGATGGGGTGATTTTTTTTTTTTTTGAGACGGAGTCTCACTCTGTTGCCCAGGCTGGAGTGCTGTGGTGCTATCTCGGCTCACTGCAACCTCCACCTCCCAGGTTCAAGTGATTATTCTGCCTCAGCCTCCACAGTAGCTGGGATTACAGGTGCCACACCCACCCCCCCATGCCCGGCTATTTTTTTATTTTTAGTAGAGATGGGGTTTCATGATGTTGGCCAGGCTGGTCTCGAACTCCTGACCTCTGGTGATCTGCCTGCCTCAGCCTCCCAGAGTGCTGGGATTACAGGCATGAGCCACCATGCCCGGCCCAGATTCGGTGAATTTTGACATATATGTGTGAAACCACTGCTGCGGTCGAAACCGAATGTTTTCATCACTCTTTATGCACTTTTGCAGTTTATTCTTTCCCCAGGTAACTACTGCTCTTTTTGTCCCTAGAGAGTATTTTTTGTCTTCTGGAGTTTTATATAGGTGGATTATAGTGTGTGTTCTTTTGTGTCTGGCTTCTTTCACTAAGAATAATGACTGAGAATTACCTGTGTTGTGTGGATTAGTAGTTCATTCCTTTTTATTGCTAACTAGTACCCATTATGAATATTCCACATTTTGTTTATCCATATACTTGGTGAAGGACAGTTGGATCATTTTCCCTTTTTGGCTGTGAATAAAGCTGATGTAAACATTGTGTACAAGTGTTTGTGTAGACATAAATTTTCATTTTTCTTGGATAAGAAACTACGAGTGGAAAGGTTGTCATCTTTGTAGTAGTAAAATGTAATAGTAAAGAGCTAGAGAACTTGGGGAGCGTACTTTGTTGTATTGCTGTTTAAAGGCAGGAGGTGGGGAATAAGCCAGGTGCAGTGGCAGATGCCTGGACTTCCACCTACTTGGGAGCATGAGGTAGGAGGATCTCTTGAGCCCAGGAGTTCAAGGCTGTAGTGAGCTATGATCACACCACTGTACTCTAGACTGGGTGACAGAGCCAGAGGGCCCTCCGCCCCCACCTTTTTTTTTTTTTTTTTTTAAGACAAAGGCAACTTGGGAATTTAAAAACAATGGTACTACACAGTAATTCCTATTTCCTTTACAAAGTGAAACATTTTTGTTTTTCTAAACATAATTTCACTCTCATTCTATCAACAGTTCTATTTACTCGTTATCTTGCAGGCTTCAAGATATATGCCTGATATTTGTGTAATTAGAGCTATACAAAAAATTATCTGGGCATCAGGATGTGGGTCGTTACAGCTAGTATTTAGCCCAAATGAAGAAATCACTAAAATTTATGAGAAGGTAAGAATTATCACAGAACTATATTCCTTGTAAACAAATGTTTCTTAATTGTGCATGTGGTTTGATTTTTATTAGCTTTGCTATTTTTAAAAATTGAATCACTTGCATCTTAATGGTTGAAAATTAATTGATAGCTATGTTGAGAATATGGTAAAATTTTACTTTGAAAATGAAGTACTTAAGAATCGTGCCATGTGGCTGCTTTTTAAATGAAATTGCCTTTTGCTGCTTCTTGTGGGGGTCAGATATAATTGTCTCATACTGAATTTGCTTTATCCCATTCTCTTTTTTCTTTTATCATCTTTCTGTCCTGCGTAAATTTTGGTTTGTCAGTTATGGTATGGCATTTAAGTATTTTTATTTGATTGTCTTAAAGCAGTCAAAAATAAGAGTGTTAGCCAATTAGATATCATTCCTGACCTTCTATTAGATTAAGCAAATTATCTACAGAAGAGAAGCTGTGGTTGGCTTTTTGATTTATCATGTGTACCTGCCCCTGATGCTACATATTTAGAAGGAGAAATTGAGTTACAGGAACTTCCCTGACTTGGTAGAGCTTCTTTTACATGGCCAACATCACCCTGATTTGCCCAGGATATATGTTGATGTTCCATAGTATCTGTCTGGCACAGCCCTGGGTATTCATTCAGCTTATTAACTGAATACTTATTCTGTTTCAGGCATGTACTGTAGTTACTACTTTTTGATTAATAAAGTCAGATTAGAATTCATTAGGTACCTCCCCAGGCATATTTTAGGTTGTAAGCCTTTGAAACCCTTCCTGAATAGTTGTCAGACAATTGATTTTGAATAAAATGGCACAATAGGCAAGCAACATAATGGAACTAGTCAAAAGTACCTAAGTGCTATGCCACAGTGGTTCCTGAGAAAGGATTGGTTGTTGGTTCAGAAGTAAACAACTCAGAAGGTCTCAAAAAGATAGGTAGTGTGCTCAGTGTGCTCCTTCAGCCCTCCTGAAGACATAGGAAAATAATGGAATTAGACTTTATTTTCTATTATAGTCATTTCCAGACTATTCCAAAGGGGCCTCAAGAGTTAACATGCAGCCATGGAGAGGCTGAGGCCAGGTGGTTTAAGTGAGCAGATGAGTTTTAAGCACTAACTAGAAGTTGTGTGAGATTTTTCTTAAATACTTCTTTGGGTAATTTGTTCTTGATTGTAATTTTACAGACCAATGCAGGCAATGAGCCAGACTTGGAAGACGAACAGGTTTGCTGTGAAGCATTGGAAGTGATGACCTTATGTTTTGCCTTGATTCCAACAGCCTTAGATGCTCTTAGTAAAGAAAAGGCTTGGCAGACATTCATCATTGACTTACTATTGCACTGTCACAGCAAGTAAGTATCTTTTTTAATTGTAAGAAACTTACTTTTTGTAAATGGAGTGAATTAATTTAGGCTGGCAAAATGTGTCCCCAAAATTAAATATTTATTGTCTCTATGGCATATTGGTATTGAGGAAAATTTTATTATTTAAGAGTGTTTTGCTTAACCTAAATGTTTGGTTTTAGTCTCTGCAAATGCCAATATTAATTGTCAAAGCATGATTTTTTTCTAATCTTAGAATTTAGTTTTACCTGGGAGGTATATAGATTAGCCTATTTCTAAAAATCTAGTTTGCAAGATTTAAATCATATAGGACATTAGCCTCCTATCTTAGATTCCTAGATGCCAGGTTTTTTTTAAAGCCAAACAGAATTTGATATGAAATTTGTAAGACAGGGTCATTGTAAGAACTTTTGCAGTTTACACTGATAATAAAGATCAGTTATAAAGCTCATGTTTTCATTTCAAGAGCATTTAATCAGTGGCAGTAATTTTGTTTTGGGTTTCTTTTTCTGCAAGTCAGTCAGATTTATAGAAAATGTTGGTTTCCATCCTCTTGTATCAGTCTGATCCTGATCTTCGTATATGGTAACTTTATTAACTTGGGCTCTAATTTGTGTCACTGTTGTATGTAATTAACTTGTTTTATCTGTATTTTGTGAAAAGACACAGAAAATGTTTACTTTCATCATTCCATCACATGCCATTCAATAATGACAAAATTCATTGATGAAAGGTTGATGTAAATTCACAATAAGTCATTTGTTGAAATGAAACATAGTAATAATTAAAGTTTTAAAAATGTACATGCTGTGGGGGGTAGGGTTCAACTTGCCCACTCGAGAGGATGTAGAGTCTGAAGTGGGAATGTCACTTTAGAGTCTAAAGTGATTTAGTGGGTTTAAAGTGTGAATATCACCTATTTTAAGAAGGTCCTTGGGTAAGTTCTTTGAAGAAATCCAGTCCAGCCTATTCAGAAACTCTTAACAGGATCCCCACAAATCGGGTTGGGCGTGCTACCTCCTTGAGAAGACAATCCTGCACGTTGGAAAAGATAAATAGGTTTAGTAAGTCTAATTCCATTTAATGATGCATACGTGTGGGAATGGTGAGGATAGGAAAGATGATTAGCCAACAGTTTTAATGATGTCAAACCTGGAGGGTAGCAAGTTTGTTATTCTATGTTGAATTTTTAAAATCTTAAATTAGGAACTTATTTCATCTCTTAGTCTACTAACTATTAAGGAACTTGATTTAACAGGGTTTTTTGCCCTCTACCCTTTATGAAAATTACCCTTATATAAGTCAGAACCATTTTGCCCCTCTCTTCCCTGAAACTTGCATGCAGTGCGGTAATGTACTGTAGAAAGCATGTTATCTCATTATGTCACCATATTGTCTGCAATAATAGGGAGGGCGTTCTAAGTTAGGATCTTTTTGAGTTTTAAGTACCTGATTTTTTATAAATATCTGAATACCTATGTAGGTTCAAAATCCATTATTTCCCGTTAGTAAGAATTTGTCAGCAAGTCCGACTTGGACATTAATTATTGGCATTAATATTCTAAAATCTGAATCCCCAGGCCGGGCACGGTGGCTCATGCTTGTAATCCCTGCACTTTGGGAGGCTGAGGCAGGTGGATCACCTGAGGTCAGGAGTTCCAGACCAGCGTGGCCAACATGGTGAAACCTCGACTCTACTAAAAATACAAAAAATTAGTTGGACATTGTGGTGGGCGCCTGTAATCCCAGCTACTTGGGAGACTGAGGCAGGAGAATTGCTTGAACCCGGAAGGCGGATGTTGCAGTGAGCTGAGATCGCGCCATTGTACTCCAGCCTGGGCAATAAGAGTGAAACTCCATGTCAAAAAAAAAAAAAAAAAAAATTGAATCCCCAAATACATACTGGCCCCAGGGGTTTCAAATAAGGGATTGTGAGCTGTGTACAAATCTGCCCCTCAGATGGAGTTTATAATCCTATAGTAACGTTTAAGCATAGTTATTTACAAGGTACTTCTCACTTAATCCGTATAGCAACTCAGAAGTAGACTTTGCTGATGGAGAGGCACAAGGACTGTAGAAATTAAATGACTAACAAGGGCATAATGATCACTAAATGCTAACACTAAGACTGAAGGTTTTCTGCTTCTTGAGTTCTGACATTTCTGCCACACAAATTGGGCTCTGGGTGTAATTATAATCCACCAGCAAATATGTGAATCCCTACCTATGTGCTTGGCAATTAAAACCAAAGTCAAATAAGGCAGTTCTTGCACTCAAGGAACTTTGAGAGAGAAATTGGTGCCATAAAAGGTAAAATACTTTGAGAATTGGAAAGGCCATAACTTACTTTCTACCTGGAAGGAGCAAAAGTGAAGGTTTTGTGCAGGATGTAGCATGTGAGCTCATGTTTGGGCAGGATTTATATGTGCATAAAAGTAGAAGATGGTCATTGCCAGTGCGCTCTCTCTCTCCCTTTCTCACTCCCAGTTATGTGGCTTTTACTTCATGTGTCTTTGAACTCCATACACTTTCCTCCTCATGGTCTACCCTGATCTAAGCAGTCTGGACCCATTGCCTGGACAATCATAGTATCCTTGATCTTCCCACCTGTAGTGTTGTACTCTTCTAATCTGTTGACTACACGGCAAGCAGAGTGATCTCTAGAAAATATGAGCATGTTGCTTTCCTGCTTAAAATCTTTCCATGTCTTCCCGTTATCTTTGAATTAAGTTCAAACTTTTAAATTTGGCTTATAAGCACTCCATAATTTGGTCCCTGCTTCTACTCATTCAGAAGTTTCAACTTAAATGCCACATATTCTAGTAACTTTTCCTTATCCCTAATCTAGGAAAGGTTTCCTAGACCTCTGTTCCTGTTAGATGGTCTGCTTCCACATCATGACACTGACTTTATTTTATTGTAGTTAGTTGCAATGGATTTAAATTCTTTTAGATAAACGATATTTTTTTCTGCTGTTTCCACAGCCTGTTGTTTTATTCCCTGCCTAGTTAACTCACTTATGTTACCTCTCTGATCCGAGAAAGCATTTGACTTTGCCACTCCTGGGATAGTGCTTTCAGAGCAGAGCTGAGTATTTGGTTAAATGTTTAGAAAAGGAGTCAAGGATAATACTGTACAGGAGGTTAGTGGGAGTCAGTTTGACAGAAGGCCTATGGTGCTAAGGTCTAAGCAGTGTTTGATGTTAATGTGGTGTAGGCAGTCTCATGTATATGTTTGGTAAATATTGATCAAATACCTATTGTCTACAAGACACTACCCACTGTGGATATGGCAAAACAGACAAAATCTTAGCCTTCTAGGAGCTTACATGCCAAAAGGGATGGGGGAAGAGAAGGCATACGAGAAGTATATCAGATAGGAATAAGTGCTATGGGGGTGAAATAAAGCAGGAAAAGGGGCTGTGTAGTACGGGGCATGAGTGGAGTTCATTTTTTTATAGGGTAGTTGAAGAAGACTTCACAAAGGTGATAGCTTTGTTTAGAGGTCACCTTTTATCATTACCTTTCAGAGCAAAGTAATAATCCATGTGACTCATGGAGAAAGTATATTTTAAGCAGAAAAAACAACAGATGTGTATGTCCAGGCATGTCAGGAACATGCCTGACATGTGAAAGAACAGCAGGGAAACTGGAGTGGATGGAACAGAGGCGGTAGGGGACGGGGACAGTTGTAGGGAGTAAAGTCAGAGAGGATAACAAACACCCTGTGAGGGTTTTTATAGGTCATTGTGAAGACATTGACCCTAAGTGAGATGGGAATCTTTCAGAGGGTTTTAAGCAGAGAAATGATGTGCTCCACCTTAACTTTGTAAGTTTATTCTGGTTAAGAATAGTATGTAGGATAGCAGGAAAAGCAAGCTATTTTATGAATTTAAATAAAAGATGACAGTGGGCTGCATGCAGTGGTGGCTCATGGTTGTAATCCCAGCACTTTGGGAGGCCAAGACAGGAGGATCACTTGAGGCCAGGAGTTTGAGACCAGCCTGGGCAACATAGTGGGACCTTGTCTCTAAAGAAAATAGAAAAAATAAGCCGGGTATGGTGAACATGCCTGTAGTCCCAACTACTCAGGAGGCTAAAGTGGGCAGATCACCTGAGCCCGGAGAGGATGAGGCTACTGTGAGCCCTGATCGTGCCACTGCACTCTAGCCTGGGTGACAGAACGAGACCCAGTCTCAAAAAAAATTTTTTTTTAGCTGGATGTGGTAGCATGCACATGTAGTCCTAACTAGTCAGGAGGCTGAGGTGGGAAGATTGCTTGAACCCAAGAGTTTGAGGTTACAGTGAGCTAGGATGATGCCACTAAACAGCCTGGGTGACAGAGGGAAACCCTGTCTAAAGTAAAAGGGACTGACTGTTGTGAAGATAGAGGCAACAGGATTAGTTGACAGAAATGTGTTTCTTTTGAAGCACTCTAGAAGTCTGCATTTGCTCAGGGAAGTTCTATCGGGTATTCACGAGCATCAACTTTTTATTGCCCCTCATATTTGGGCTGTATACCTAGCTTATTGAAAAATTAGTAAACCAAAGCAGTGGGAATAGCATACCTTTGAAAATCTGATTAAGTTATGGGCTTGCTCCCAGAAAAGTAGATACGCCTGACTTTGGTTTACTTGGGTTCCCCCCAAATTCTACCTCCAAAAATTTTAGGGGCTTCTGAATCCCTCTGATTTATAGGCCTATGGACTGTTTTCAGAAACCTAAGATACCCTCTAGGGAGGGAGGTTAGTACACAGAATGTATGCTGTCAGGTCCTTTACACTTGTACTTTAAATTAAGTTCTGAGGGCTGGGCTCAGTGACTCACGCCTGTAATCCCAGCACTTTGGGAGGCCGAGGCGGGCGGATCACCTGAGGTTGGGAGTTCGAGACCAGCCTGACCAACATGGAAAAACGCCGTCTCTACTAAAAATACAAAATTAGCCAGGTGTGGTGGCATATACCTATAATCCCAACTACTCGGGAGGCTGAGGCAGGAGAATCGCTTGAACCTGGGAGGCGGAGGTTGCAGTGAGCCGAGATGTTGCCATTGCACACCAGCCTGGGCAACAAGAGCGAAACTCTGTGTCAATAAATAAATAAAAATAAATTTGGTTCTGAGTTATCTAGTAACTAGCACAAAGACAGAAATGTAGTTATCCATGAAATGCAGTTTGTGATGTCTATAAGATATTCACAAATGCTTAGCAGGTACTTGTTGAGCATCTTCCATGTGTCATACATTGTTCTAGGTGCCAGGACCTTTGGCATCAAGAAAGCCCCTACCCTTAAAGAGCTTACTTTGTAATGGAGATAGACTACACATTTGATAACTGGTTCTTGAGGTCCTCTTATACGCCAGACACTATTCTAGGTTCCAATGGCACAGTTTTAATTAAAGGTAGATGATGTCTCTGCCCTCTTGGAGCATTTTATTCTAGTGAGATCTATATAGTACATAACAGTTTTTAAAAAAGATAGATCCATGATTCCCAGATCTGAGAATCATGAGACAAGGTTTTCCCAAGGGTCATCAGAGAGAAAATATGGTATTGTGATTCTCAATCTTTCTTTTTTCTTTCTTTTTTTTGGAGATGGATTCTTGCTCTGTCACCAGGCTGGAGTGCAGTGGCGTGATCTCAGCTCACTGCAACCTCCGCCTTCCGGGTTCAAGCAATTGTCCTGCCTCAGCCTCCCAAGTAGCTGGGATTACAGGCACCCACCACCACGCCTGGCTAATTTTTGTATTTTTAGTAGAAACGGGGTTTCACCATGTTGGCTAGGATGGTCTTGACCTCTTGACCTCCTGATCCGTCCGCCTCACCCTCCCAAAGTGCTGGGGTTACAGGTGTGAGCCACCGCACCCAGCCTGTGGTTCTCAATGTTTAGTGCACATCAGATTGACCTAAAGAGTTTATTAACACATTGCTGGGCCCCACCTCCAGTATTTCTGATTCAGGAGGTCTGCATTGGAGCCTGAGAGTTGGCATTTCTAACAAGTTCCCAGATAATGCTGATGTTGCTGCTCTGGGGACCGTGCTTTTGGAACTGCCAGTACGGTATACGGCAGCAGTCCCCAACCCTTTTGGCACCAGGGCCCAGTTTCATGGAAGACAATTTTTCCGTGGATCAGGGAGGTAGTGGGGGATGGTTTCGGGATGAAAGGATTCCACCTCAGATCATGAGGCATTAGTTAGATTCTCATAAGGGGCACATAAGCTAGAACCCTTGCATGTGTAGTTCAATAGGGTTTGCGCTCCTATGAGAATCTAATGCCACCGCTGATCTGACAGGAGGCGGAGCTCAGGCCATAATGCTCATTTGGCCTTCTGGCCTGGGGTTTGGGGACCCCTGGTGTAAGAGACATCTGCCACAATAGCCTTACCGTGGTTACTACAGAATTTCCACAGAGCTGTTGTGCAGAACCACAGTTGAATAAAAATTCTGTGGAAGGCCAAAAAGATGCATAAGGTTATTGTAGTAGAGCATTTGGTATATAGAGGAACATTTCCAGCCTGTTCCAAGAAAGAGGTGTTAGAAGGTGGTATCCCTCAAACTCTTAGTGTCAATTTGAGGTTATAGTCCTGGACATAGAGCTTAAGTTCATGTATTATGTGGTGTTGGCTTGAGTGCTTGTTGTGTGTAGGTAGGGTAATCCTGTATCCTTACTATTAATTTATTTCCCTTTTATACTCCCCCCACCTCTCCTCCCCAAGAGGGAACAATGTTACAATCATTTTTTAAAATGGAAATAATGTATTAAATGTGAAACATTTTTTATTTCAGAACTGTTCGTCAGGTGGCACAGGAGCAGTTCTTTTTAATGTGCACCAGATGTTGCATGGGACACCGGCCTCTACTTTTCTTCATTACTCTACTCTTTACTGTTTTGGGGGTGAGACTTTTTAAAATATGCTTATCAATGTGATTCATTCTTTAAGCAAGAAACATTCAGAAATTTGTGGTTTTAGCTTGCATTAAAGTTAGGACAGTCTATATTTAATAAATGAAGTACTACTTTATTTCCCGCACTGTGGTAGTCATCTTCTCTAGTTAACTCTGGGTTTTTAAAAAAGTGGATTTTGAGGATGGACGTGTAAATTGATATTATTCTACTCTGTTTCCAGAGCACAGCAAGAGAGAGAGCTAAACACTCAGGCGACTACTTTACTCTTTTAAGACACCTTCTTAATTACGCTTACAATAGTAATATTAATGTACCCAATGCTGAAGTTCTTCTCAATAATGAAATTGATTGGCTTAAAAGAATTAGGGTAAGTTTTAGTTAATACTCCATTTATATGTCATTATTAGTAAATAGAATGTTTTATTGATGATTTATATTTTTTGAGCATTTTGGTTAAATGGAAAACTCCAAAGATTGATAAAAGGGACCAAAGAATGTACTCTGCATCAGTGGACGTTAGTAATCTGTGATTCACAAAATGCATATCTAGTTTAGTAAAATGAATTGCTTACTTGACACTTGAAATACTGATGTTCAGCTTCTTTTATTTTAGCATTTTGGGCCTTTTTGCAAATTCTAATTTTTAAAAAAAGTATTCTTGAATTGTTTATGTCAAAAATGAGTCTGATAGAGCAGAACTTTCTACCATAACATCTGATACTTTTTACTTAGGCAAAATGATACAAGAATTTATTTCTGAAGAGATTTGTAGTTTTTAACCTTCAAATTAGCATTTCTTCTAGTAGTTCATAAAGCCAATTTCTAGAAAGTTCTGAAGAAAACAAAGTTGTTTGAATGGAAAGACTTAAGGAAATTATCTCATATCCCTCCAGCTCTGTCTCGTTCTGGCTCCTCTCTCCCTCTTTACCTCCCTTTCATAAGCTAGACATTTGATTTCTTCCCCCCCCCACCCCACCCCCCGCCTTTGGCAGGATGATGTTAAAAGAACAGGAGAAACGGGTATTGAAGAGACGATCTTAGAGGGCCACCTTGGAGTGACAAAGGAGTTACTGGCCTTTCAAACTTCTGAGAAAAAATTTCATATTGGTTGTGAAAAAGGAGGTGCTAATCTCATTAAAGTAAGTTCTGTGTTCTTGGTTGTAAGCTACATATCATAACCTTCTAAATGTTTATAATCAAATTTAATTAATTTATAGTAGTATCATGTCTTTGTACTTTCTTGATCTTTTCTCTTTTTTAAGAATCTTTATCAAATTTACAGTAATTTAAGAAATACAGTTATGCCTTACTTTATTCAAGAGACATTTCTAAATTTGTATTTAAATAAGATTTCATGGCTGGACTTGCTGGCCTCATGCCTGTAATCCCAGTACTTTGGGAGGCCGAGTCCAGTGGATGGCTTGAGCCCAAGAGTTGAAGACCAGCCTGGGCAACATGGTGAAACCCCTTCTCTACAAAAGAAAAAAAAAAAATTGCCAGGTGTGGTGGCGCACACCCATGGTCCCCAGCTACTTGAGAGGCTGAGATGGAAGGATCACCTGAGCCCAGGAGGTGGAGGTTGCAGTGAGCTGAGATCGCACCACTGCACTCCAGCCTGAAGGAACAGAGCAAGGCCCTGTCTCAAAATAAATAGATAAATAAATAAGATACTTTATAAAGTAATTGTTGTTTAGTTTTTCTCTTTGGAAAATCTGAATTGTTAATTTCATTTAATGAGGCAAACCTCTGTTTTGTAAGAATGCATCTTGTATATCTTTAATGAGTTTTTTCATACATGTAGTAACACAAGGAAACAAAGTTTCATTTTTGTACATTTTATTTCTATTCAAAATGGGTTTAATTTGCTATACACTTGATTAAAGGAGCAAACATTTAAAATAAAAATTTTGATAAGTACTATATTCAGTTCTTTCTTAATATTTACAAATTTATTTAACCTGCGAAATTAGGTATGTTAGTGATAGTAAATAGTGTTTTGAAGGAAGATCTTTTTATTAGAAAATCTGAGTTTTCTGAGATGTAATGAGATCTTAAATTCCAATGAGTAATTTTAAAATGATTTACTTACAAGAGAACTTTTTTTTTCTAAAAATATATAGCATTGCTAATATGTAATCCCTTTTTCAACTTTTTAGGAATTAATTGATGATTTCATATTTCCTGCATCCAATGTTTACCTACAGTATATGAGAAATGGAGAGCTTCCAGCTGAACAGGCTATTCCGGTCTGTGGTTCACCACCTACAATTAATGCTGGTTTTGAATTACTTGTAGCATTAGCTGTTGGCTGTGTGAGGAATCTCAAACAAATAGTAGATTCTTTGACTGAAATGTATTACATTGGCACAGCAATAACTAGTAAGTATTTTTAATAGAATGTGATAATTGATCATTTCAATGTTTCAAAGTTGTTTTCCTGTTTTTCTTTCAGAAAATATTTCCAACTTACGTATTTCTTTCAGTAACTAGTTTAACATTTTTAGTGAGTGAATGAACAGTTAAGACCATTATAGGCCGGGCACGGTGGCTCAGGCCTGTAATCCCAGCACTTTGGGAGGCCAAGGTGGGTGGATCACCTGAGGTCAGGAGTTTGAGACCAGCCTGACCATGGTGAAACCCTGTCTCTACAAAAAATACAAAAATTAGCTGGGCATTGTGGTGCACACCTGTAATCCCAGCTACTCAGGAGGCTGAGACAGGAGAATTGCTTGAACCCAGGAGGTGGAGGTTGCAGTGAGCCGAGATCGCGCCACTGCACTCCATCCTGGGTGACAGAGCAAGACTCCATCTCAGAAAAAAAAGAAAAGAAAAGAAAAGAAAAAAGAAAAATAAGACCATTATAAGCAGACCACCTTGTATAGAAAAAAATTCAAACATTTGTTAAGTGGCATCCTATAAGTGGTGTCGCCATTTGGCAAGATAAATTTCATCTCATGAAACCTGTCATAAAATTCAAACTCCAGATTAAAAGGTAGCCAAAGTAAATGCCGTAGAGTATAGACGTAAAACTTTATTTTATTTATTTATTTTTTTGAGACGGAGTTTCACTCTTGTTGCCCAGGCTGGAGTGCAGTGGCGCGATCTCGGCTCACTGCAACCTCTCGGGTTCAAGTGATTCTCCTGCCTCAGCCTCCCAAGTAGCTGGGCTTACAGGCGCCTGCCACCATGCCTGGCTAATTTTGTATTGCCACCATGCCTGGCTAATATTGTATTTTTAGTAGAGATAGGGTTTCACCATGTTGGCCAGGCTAGTCTTGAACTCCTGGCCTCAGGTGATCCACCTGCCTCGGCCTCCCAAAGTGCTGGAATTACAGGTGTGAGCCACCGCACCTGGCCCAGACTTAAAACTTTAAGTTGCATGTATTGGAAAACCTTTCAGGTCTTCACTTAGAAGTTCCGTAACGTTATGAGTTCGAAGAAAATCTGGCTTTGAAGATTAGAACGTGAGAAGTTACCATTTTGGTGCACCTTATTTATGTTCTCATTTAATGCCCACACCAGGCGCATGAATAGGCTGCAGATTTCAGACCTTACAGATAAGGAATTGAAGCTCAAAAGGGCAAGGGCAATATAAAATATTAATAACAGAAAAAGCAGAAATAAGCATAATTGATGCTGTTTTAAGAGAAAATCGCTATTTAGAACACTTAAGAATATAATTGATTATAGTAAATCTTTAAGAACATGTCAAATTACTTTTTGATGTGTTTCAGAATGTTTGGAAGTTTTAAATAACATCTCAGGAATTTCTGAATAAATTGATTGCTTAAAAGGTTAGACCTTTAGCTGTCCTATCAAATCTATGTATTGTGAGAATTCTTGTATTTTTTTTTTAACTTAATGGGGGTTAATTTTTTAATCACAGATTGGAGTATAGTACAACGTTGTTTGCATCCTTCCCTATCTGCCATTGTTCCCTGTCAACACAGAAATATTTACCTAATTCCATTTTTGGCCATGCAGTTTGGTATGATATAATTAACTGGCCCCCTAGACAATGATACTTAATGTTGTTTCCAGGTTTATACTAGGTGGAGGGAGATAGGAAGATGTACAGTGATTTACAATTATCACAAATCTGCTGTCTTGCTTGCTCCTCAAAATAGCATTATAGATATCAGGAAAGCAAGTGTTACTTTTATTATTACATTTACTAGGAAGAAACAGAAAGTTACCTAAAGGTGGGGGAAAAAAAGTGGTAAGCATCAGAACCAGGATGTGAGCCCATGTGGTTTTAGGATTATTTAAAACTGAGAAAATTATAATGTGTTGATATATTTAGATAACATTTCATTCCTTGCCAAATTTGAAGGCAAAAGTATCAAATATTAAGAAAGTGAATAATGGCTAAAAATAAAGATGCAAGTAAAGTTAGCATGTAGACATTAGAATTATACTATCTTGTACTTTTGAGACTGCCATAGAAGCAACATCATATGAAACGGGTTTGCGGGTGATTGGATAAGAAGCTGCACAGTGGTGCCTGTTGCTGTATATTTTAGATTGTTGGAAGATGAAGTGCAAACTCAGAACACTGCTTCAGGTTGCTGTAGGGTTAGTCGAATTATGGGTGGTAGAATTATTGCCAGGGTTGCTTTGTCAGCATAATAGAGTTTGAAAGGACAGAATGGCCGTGTTCATGCTACAAGAATCTTTCCTTCTCTCAGCTTGTGAAGCACTTACTGAGTGGGAATATCTGCCACCTGTTGGACCCCGCCCACCCAAAGGATTCGTGGGGCTGAAAAATGCCGGTGCTACTTGTTACATGAATTCTGTGATTCAGCAACTCTACATGATTCCTTCCATTAGGAACGGTATTCTTGCCATTGAAGGCACAGGTAGTGATGTAGATGATGATATGTCTGGGGATGAGAAGCAGGACAATGAGGTAAATTTGAGTTACCATTTCTGTTTTCTGTGTTTCAAGTTATGATACCAGATACTATTCTCTCTTAAGAGAGTGTTATACTTTCATCAAACGTATTAAAGTATATTTGAAAGTTAGGGATGGGCCGAGCACACACCTGTGGTCTCAGCTACTCAGGAAACTGAGGCAGGAGGATTGCTTGAGCCTGGGAGCTGGAGGCTGCAGTGAGCCATGATCATGCCACTGCACTCCAGCCTGGGTTACAGAGTGAGACCCTGTCTCAGAAGAAAAAGAAAAAGTAAGTAGGGATGGACTTCTCCCAGCCAGCATGAACTGCTACCTCTTAACATAGTATAGTTCTCACTACCTACCAGAATTTAAACTGCAGATAATTTTTAGAATGGTTTGTACATTTCTAAAGCAACAGTTGGCTGGGCATGGTAGCTCACACCTATAATCTCAGCACTTTGGGAAGCTGAGGCAGGTGGATCACCTGAGGTCAGGAGTTCAAGACCAGCCTGGCCAACATAGTGAAACCCCATGTCTACTAAAAATACAAAAATTAGCTGGGTGTGGTGGCACATGCCTGTAGTCCTAGCTACTCGGAAGGCTGAGGCAGGAGAATCACTTGAACCCGGAAGGTGGAGGTTGCGATGAGCTGAGATGGCACCAGTGCACTCCAGCCTAGGTGACAGAGCGAGACTCCGTCTCAAAAAAAAAAAGCAACAGTTAATGTACTCGTGTTTTTTTGTGTAGAGTGTTTAGTATAATTTGGGGTTTGTTTGATGGTAAGAACCTTCATTTTTGATAATAGTTTTAAATTTTTACTTTTCTATTTCTAAATTTTAATTTTCTATTTTATGCCAAGTTATACAGTATCTGCCAATTTCACTGTGTGTGCTTACTTTTAGGTTATTCTTTGAATTTCCCTTAGATCATAGCTCTTCTTGATTAGGAAACAAACTTTCCCTACTTTAAATAGTCTCACGTAGTCTTGTGGCAAAATTTAGGCTGCCTACTGAGTATCCAGTGCAGTATAAAGCAGTGAAGAAGTTGAGTTGTAGTGGCGAATCAGAATTGACATAACTGTAAGATAGCTCTTTAAAGAAGAGCATATGGCAAGAAGACTTAAGTTGTGGTCATGTTTGTGCTTACCATGTAATATTTCCTTGGTTTTACTTTTCCTGTTTATAGTGATAGTGGGAACTGAAGAGAGAAGCCAGAGTATATTCTAATTGTAGTAAATGGTTCTTTTCATTCCCTCCCTTCAGTTGCCAGAACTGATTTTGCTCTGAAGAAGTAGTTTATCAATTGGAGCTTCTGAAACATCTACTTGCCTCAACTCTTCCCTAGACCTGCTGTGCCAGATGGTCTAGGGATTGGGTTCTGAGCACTTTCACTTTATAAAAAAAAGCTTCATAAAGGACACTTATACCCATACCTGATTAAAAACCACTGCTCTGGGAAAAAAATGTAATTCAAATTCCAGTTCTGGAGCCCATCATATACCTGGGATATTGAGTTAAACACAAGTAGATATAGGTAATTGTACTGGCAAGAAGTAAATGAGGCATAGAAAATATAACACAATTTCAAATAAGGTGTACCACTTTTACTCTCATGGTATCCTCTGCTCCATGTTGTCTCTGCACCCCAGTGTACTGTGGGAGTTTTTGTGGGGTTTTTTGGGTTTTGGTTTTTTTGGCTTATGTTTTTGTTTCCATCCCTAGAGTATAAGTTTCTCATGGGCAGGGACTGGTTGTTGTCTATTTCTATATCAGAGTTATCAGATACAACTCAGAGAATACTGAAAGATAGTTAAATGTAAAAACACATTCTTCTTTGTAGCTGCCATATGATTATGACCTTTAGGAATTCTGTCTTCATGTTACATCTTACACCACTACTTCTGTTGTTTTTTAAAATTGTGGTAAAATACATATAACATGAAACTTACCATCTGTTTTTAAATGTGCAGTTGTCCTATTAAATACATTTACATTGTTGTACACCATCACCACCACCCATCTCCAAAACTCTTCATATTGCAAAACTCAAACTGTAGTCATTAAGCTACTCCCCATTCTCCCTCCCCACAGCCTCTGGCAACTACTATTCTTTTTGTCTCTATGATTGACTACTCTACATACCTCATATAAGTGATTATATAAGTGAAATCATACAGTGTTTGCCTTTGCATAGCTGGCTTATTTCATTTTAAAGTCTAAGTAATATTCCATTATATGTATATACCACATTTTCCTTATCCATTCATTTGTCGATGGACATTTGGGTTGCTTCCCCATTTGAGCTATTGTGAATAAGGCTGCCATGAACATGGATATACAAATAGCTGTTTGAGGTCCTGCTTTCAATATTTCCAGGCATATGCTCAGAAGTGGAAGTACTAGATCATTTGGTGATGCTATTTTTATTTTATTATTTATTATTTTTTTCAGACAGAGTCTCACTCTGTCACACAGGCTGGAGTGCAGTGGTGCTATCTCAGCTCACTGCAACCTCTGCCTCCTGGGTTCAAGCGATTCTCCTGCCTCAGCCTCCCGAGTAGCTGGGACTACAGGCACGCACCACCATACCCCGCTAATTTTTGTATTTTTAGTAGAGATGGGATTTCACCATATTGGCCAGGCTGGTCTCGAACTCCTGATTTCAGGTGATCCACCCACCTTGGCCTCCCAAAGTGCTGGGATTATAGGCATGAGCCACCATATGCGGCCAAATTTTTTGAGGAACTGTTTTCTAGAGTGACTGCACCATTTTACATTCCTACCAGCATTGCACAAGAGCTCCAATTTCTCCATATCCTTGCCAACACTTGTTATACTCACTCGTTCTGGTAGTTGACACCCTAATTGAGTGTGAGGTAGTATCTCATGGTTTTGATTTGCATTTACCAAATGGTTAACGATTTTGAGCATCTTTAGCTGTGCTTATTATTGGCCACTTGTTGATCTTCTTTGTCTATTTTTAAATTGAGTTGTGTTGTTGAGTTTTAAGAGTTCTCTGTATGTTCTAGATATTAACTC
Organism: Homo sapiens; assembly: GCF_000001405.40. Taxonomy (NCBI): domain Eukaryota; kingdom Metazoa; phylum Chordata; class Mammalia; order Primates; family Hominidae; genus Homo; species Homo sapiens. The sequence goes on from NC_000023.11 coordinate 41,204,307, forward strand.
CATATCAGATATGTGATTTGCAGATACTTTCTTTTGTTGCCTGTACCTCTGATGTCATATCCAAGAAATCACTGCCAAATCCAGTGTCTTGAAGCTTTTGCCCTATGTTTTTTTTTTTTTTTTAACAGTTCTGTGGTTTTAGCTCTTACATTTAGGATTTTGATCCATTTTGAGTTAATTTTTGTATGTAGTGTTTCATAAGGGCTCAACTTTATTCTTTTGCATGTGGATTATCCAGTTTACCCAGCACCATTTGTGGAAGAGTACTAGTCATGCACCACATAACAACGTTTCAGACAATTACAGACCATATATATGACAGTAGTCCAATGAGATTATAATGTCGTATTTTTACTGTACCTTTTCTATTTTTAGATGCACAGATTCACCGTTGGTTTGCAGTTGTCTACAGTATGTAGTACAGTAACATGCTGTACAAGTTTACAACCTAGGAGCAATTGGCTATACCATCTAGGTTTATAGGTACACTATGATGTTCACATGACAAAATACCTAATGATGCATTTCTCAGAATTTATCCCTGTCATTAAGCAAAGAATGACTATACTGATATAGGTATATTTTATTGACAGATCTGAGCATTTTATATACAACAGCTACACAAAGGATATATTACCCCCATTCACACATAAAGAAACTTGAAGCCTAGAAAGTTTAAGTAGTTTTTACTTGCTCAAAGTTACTTGGTTTATAAGTGGTAGAGCCTGCATTTATGTCTAGTTCAGTCTAAATTACTATGCTAATGCTACACTATATTATCTATCTTTCTTACACATGGTCAGGGTTATTTGGTTATGATAACTAATATGTGAAATGGTGGGGATAAACACTAAATAACTAAAAATTTATAAATTGAAAAGTGCTTTGGAAATGAGCATAATAGGAATACAAATCATTTGTTCAATAACTGCTTGGCATTTGTCTCAACGTATTTTATTATACTTTAGCTCATTGGTGACATTTTTTGGTTTCTAGAGCAATGTTGATCCCAGGGATGATGTATTTGGATATCCTCAACAATTTGAAGATAAACCAGCATTAAGTAAAACTGAAGATAGAAAAGAGTACAACATTGGTGTCCTAAGACACCTTCAGGTCATCTTTGGTCATTTAGCTGCTTCTCGACTGCAATACTATGTGCCCAGAGGATTTTGGAAACAGTTCAGGTAAACTATGGATGGACAGTAATAGAGATACTTCTTAAAATGAACATCTCAATACACTAACATTAAACCTCTAAAAGACATGTTGGAAGGCATCTTTTTTTAAGCACTGGTAATATTCAAACTGTCCTTAATTGGGTGGGTTTTTTTTTTTTTTTTTAGGTCCCCTTAGGAAGAAGTAGAAACTGCCATAGTAAGTAAGGGCAACATCCTTTAGTCTCTTAACCATATTATTAACTTTTTATTAGGAAAACATCTAATAAATACAGAAGTAGAAAAAATAGTATGAACCCCTGTATACTTGTCACCCAACTTCAGTAGTAGTCAACTTGTGGCCAGCCTCATTTAATCTATATTCTTAACCTATTTTTTTTTTCTTTTTTTCTTTTTCTTTTTCTTTTTTTCTTTTTTTTTTTTGAGATGGAGTTTTGCTCTTGTTGCCCAGGCTGGAGTGCAGTGGTGTGATCTTGGCTCACTGCAACATCCGCCTCCCAGATTCAAGTGATTCTCCTGCCTCAGCCTCCCAAGTAGCTGGGATTACAGGCACCCACCACCACGCCTAGCTGATTTTTTGTATTTTTAGTGGAGACGGGGTTTTACCATGTTGGCCCAGACTGGTCTCGAACTCCTGACCTCAGGTGATTCCCATCTCAGCCTCCCAAAGTGCTGGGATTACAGGCGTGAGCCACTGTGCCCGGCCCCTACCTATTTCTTTCTAGATTGTTTTGAAGCAAATCTTAGTTCCATCTGTAAATACTTAAGTATGTGTCTGTAGTGTCTGTCTCAAAACATGATCATGATACCATTATGTTTTTTTAAAATTGCTTAATATCAAATATCTCTGTCAGTGTTTGAATTTACCGAGTTATCTCATAACTGGTTTTTACTGATATTTTTTAAAAATAAGATTCAGTTGAGGTCCATTTACCACAAATGGTTGGTAATGATCTTGATTATTCATCTGTTTCTTTTTTCCCTTTACAATTATGGGGGAATCGGAGGACAAATAGTTTAGCATGTAAATTTTCCCACAGTCTGAATTTTGTTGATGGAATCCCTGTGGTCGTTTATTATTTTCTGTTTTTCTTGGTCACCTGCATCTTCTATAAACACCTTATGAGATCTAGAGGCTTGATCAGATTGTGGTATTATTTTTCTTTTTGTGGAATGGATAGGCAACGCTACTTCATAGGGGATAATGTTTATCTCCATGAGGAGTGACATTATAATGTCTGTCTTCTTATGATGTTAACAGCAATTTTTTATTATTATTATTATATATATACAATTTTTTTTTTTCCCCTGAGATGGAGTCTTTGCTCTGTCGCCCAGGCTAGAGTACAGTGGCGTGATCTCAGCTCACTGCAACCTCCGCCTCCTGGGTTCAAGCAATTCTGCCTCAGCCTCCTGAGTAGCTAGGGTTAACAGGGGTTACAGGCGTGGGCCAACCATGCCCGGCCAAGTTTTGTATTTTTAGTAGAGACGGGGTTTCACCATGTTGGCCAGTCTGGTCTCGAACTCCTGACCTCAGGTGATCTGCCTGCCTCCCAAAGTGCTGGATTATAGGCATGAGCTACTGCTCCCTGGCCTTTTTTTTTTTTTTTTTTTTTTTTTTGGAGATAGAGTCTTGCTCTGTTGCCCAGGCTGAAGTGCAATGGCTCGATCTCAGCTCACTGCAACCTCTGCCTCCCAGGTTCAAGCAATTCTTCAGCCTCAGCCTCTCAAGTAGCTAGGACGACAGGCCCACCACACCCCGCTAATTTTTTGTAGTTTTAGTAGAGATAGGGTTTCGCCGTGTTGGCCAGGCTGGTCTCAAATTCCTGACGTCAGGTGATCCACCCGCCTCGGCCTCCCAAAGTGCTGGGATTACAGGCGTGAGCCACTGCACCTGGCCAATTATCATTATCTTAATACAGTATTTCTTCAGGGTTATAAAATAACAATATTTTATTTTTTCATTTAATAGCTAGAAAAGATCTATAAAGGGAAAATTGCCCTCACCATTTTCTTTTTAAGTTAGAAAACTCAGATTACATTTTTATCTTGTTTCCTTTGACTTTAAGTCAGTACTACGTCATGCACTGTGCTAAAATAACTACAGTACAACCACGTAACTCTTACTGTGTATGAAAAGGGGTATAATTCTTTATAGCAGTGAGGTTTGGTTTGTTTTGTTTTGTAAGTAATCCTCCTTGGAATCCCTTCAAGGTGCTTCCCGGCCAGCTGAGAGGAGCGGGGAACGAAGGGTCACCTGATACTCTGATCCGCCTTCCCTTCTTCTGACAAAGCAGTATAAATTTCTTTTCCTCCCCTAACTAGGCCCTCTACTTACTCTGTACTAGTGTCTTGCGTGGACCACCCTCCCTCCCATCTCTCATTTTGCTTTTAGTCCCGTCACCCAGCATACCATTCTCCCTCCTCTCTGACTATTTCAGTTCTGTCTTCTTTCCCTAGGTTATTCCAATTCCATCTCTGCCTTAAGGCTATTTTAGCATTTCTGTTTATGCTCTTCCAAACTGAAGAACACAAACAGAGGCTTATACTGGGTTTTTTTTTTTTTTGAGACAGAGTCTCACTCTGTGGCCCAGGCTAGAGTGCAGTGGTGTGATCTCGGCTCACGGTAACCTCTGCCCGCTGGGTTCAAGCAATTCTCCTGTCTTGGTAGCTGGGATTACAGGCGCCTGCCACCATGCCCAGCTAATTTTTGTATTTTTAGTAGAGACTGGGTTTCACCATATTCATCAGGCTGGTCTTGAACTCCTGACTTCAGGTGATCCACCCGCCTCAGCCTCCCAAAGTGCTGGGATTACAGGCGAGAGCCACTGCGCCCAGCTGAGGCTTACACTTTTTAAACTTTCGTCTTGTCATTCAGTTACAATTTTTTCTCTTGTAATGCCTTTGCTTTTTTGACTTTTCAGTTACTCGCTGTGCTAGTGGAGCTCGGTTTGTATAGACTAGCACTTTGGATTATCCACACTTTAGACACATAATCTACTCTTGACACAAGCGGGTTAGTTAACTACACTTCCTCACCCCACTCTTTTATTTTGAAAAGTTTCAAACCTACAGAAAAGATGAAGAAGAGGTATAATTATCACCTTTATGTTATATTCTTTATGCGGTTTTACTAATTAACATTTTGCCATATTTGCTTATCTTGCCATATGTGTGCTTGGTTTTTGGTTTATTTTTTTTTTAAGTTTTGTTTGTTTGTTTGTTTGTTTTTTGTTTTTTTGAGATGGAGTCTCGCTCTGTCGCCCAGGCTGGAGTGCAGTGGCGTGATCTCGGCTCACTGCAAGCTCCCCTTCCTGGGTTCACACCATTCTCCTGCCTCAGCCTCCCGAGTAGCTGGGACTACAGGCGCCTGCCACCAATGCCCAGCTAATTTTTTGTATTTTTAGTAGAGACAGAGTTTCATTGTGTTAGCCAGGGTGGTCTCGAACTCCTGACCTCGTGATCCACCCGGCTCGGCCTCCCAAAATGCTAGGATTACAGGCGTGAGCCACCGCGCCCGGCCTTTTTTCTTAAGTTGATAGTGAAGTTGCAAACAGGACGCTTCACCCCTTCATACTTCAACATATATCTTATAAGAGATCATATATCAGAATAAGGCAATTTTCCTACTTATGTATGATACAGTTATATCCAAGTAATATAATAACGATTTTTAATCTCTAATATTCATCAGTATATATTCCGATTTCCCAAAAGTGGTCTTTATAACTTATCTCTCTATCCCAATCTGATACTCATGAAGGAATCACAAGGATTTGGCTGTTAGCTCTTTAGTTGCCTTTTATGTAAAATAATCTCCCTAACTTGTGACTTGTATCGCACTGAAATTTTTAAAGAATCCAGGCCAGTTGTCTTGCAGAATGTGTTTTTTGATTTGTGTGATTGTTTCCTGATGATTAGCTTTATGTTAAATGTTGAGGGGGTGGGGGCAATAAAACTACATAATTGATGTTTTGTGTTTCTCACTGCACTGTATTGGGAGGCATGTGTTATCCACTTAATTATTAAGTGATATTAATTTTGATTTCTTGGTGTCTTAACAGATCTCTCCTTTATAAAGGGTACCTTTTCCCTTTTGAAATTAGTTGATTACATGTTTGAAAGTTTGAGGAGTTGAATATGGTTTGAAAGTAAATAGAACGGACTGGTGTAATTTCCAGTAATGAAACAAGCTGATTTTTAACAAATAATATATTTGATTTTAAACTTACTGTATACAAATTTTTACTTGTGTAAAATATAATAGAGATCAGATTATTTGCTATGTAGAAAAGGTTTTTACAAAAGTATAAACAGACAGTTCTTGCATACTTTAAAATGTCATTTCTTGCTTAGAACAAATACACTTAAATTCTCTATATACATTATTCTGTATATACAAAATCAGGTATTATTGATAGTTTCCAGCAGTGCCTGAGTTTTAGCAGTATGAGTTCTCATTTTTGTGGTATGTAGTGATGGTGTCTTTTCTTAGATTACTCAAGAGATTAACTCTAGAACAAGTTAAACCTTTCTCTCTTCACTTGGGAAAAAAATAAATTTAAGAGTAACTAGATCTGATCTTTTTACTATTTATAATCCAAAATTTAAGCAAAATGAAAGAAATAAAATAGTGATTGTAACATCCACATAAGAGTGAGATCCACCACCTCATCTTAATAGTATCTTTAATTGGATTCAAAATGCATGCATGTGTCATACCACCTGAAGCAACCATCCTTCCTGGAGCCGTACTATCCATCAATTACACCACTAGTTTTGTGGCAGTTCTTTGCCGCTAGAGTACTAGTTTTACTATGAGGCTCACTCTCTTACCCCACTACATTCTACAGGGAAAGCACATTCTTTTTTTCCTACTTTTTCCATGTAATTGAGGAATAAAATCTCGGTTTTATATACTGTTGTTTGTGGTCTTGTTGCTTTTTTTTCCCCTGAAAAATATAGTTGTACATATTGTTCTGTGAATGTTACATGTTACATGTTTTATTTCATTCATTTCTTAGGCTTTGGGGTGAGCCTGTTAATCTGCGTGAACAACACGATGCTTTAGAATTTTTTAATTCATTGGTGGATAGTTTAGATGAAGCTTTAAAAGCTTTAGGACATCCAGCTATGCTAAGTAAAGTCTTAGGAGGTTCCTTTGCTGATCAGAAGATCTGCCAAGGCTGCCCACATAGGTAAGTACTAATTACACATTGAAAGTATATGTTGTACCATGTATATACTAACAGAAATAAAATTTTTACTAGTACTTACATACAAAAGTGGAGTATATCACTGATTACTAAATACCTGAAACAGAATGATTTATATACTTTGCATACCTTACTGCTGTGGGGCTTTTTTTTGTTTTTGTCAGTTAACTTTTAGTTCCTTCTACTCTGCCTGATCTCTTAGCCATTTTATTATATTATACTCTTACAGTCTCTTTCTTCCTTTCCTTTCCTTTCCTTTCTCCTTTTTCTTTTCCTTTCTCTTTTTTTTTCTTTCTTTCTTTTTTGAAAGAGACAAGGTTTCTCTTTGTTGCCTAGGCTGGAGTTCAGTGGCATGGTCGTAACTCATAGTAACTTTGAACTTGTGGGCTCAAGCAATCCTGCTGCCTCAGCCTCTCAAATAGCTGGGACTACAGGCATGTGCCACCACACCTGGCTAATTTGTAAATTTTTTTAGAGATCGAATCTCTTGTTGCCCAAGCTGGTCTCAAAACTGCTGACCTCAAAATCAGTCGTCACACCTCAACTTCCCAAAGTGTTGAGATGACAGGCGTGAGCCACTGCGCCTGGCCTACTCTTACATTCTTTTACAGAAGATTATTCCTGAGGAAATAAAATGGCATTTTGCATATAGCTACAGGTGTTATTTATAAATTTGCCCTTTATCTTAGAACTTGAGTGATTATAATAGTGTAAATACAGTAAGTTTAGAAGATGACAAAGCTATGGTAGTATTTCCTATACAAATGAAATAATGACTTTTAAAATAGCATTGATTATTGTCATTATCTTTAAGGTATATTTGTATACAAAACATATCAAACCTATTGTAAAAAAAGATTTTACCCCCGTCCGGGAGGTGAGGGGTGCCTCTGCCCGGCTGCCCCTACTGGGAAGTGAGGAGCCCCTCTGCCCGGCCAGCCGCCCCGTCCGGGAAGGAGGTGATGGGGTCAGCCCCCCACCCGGCCAGCCGCCCCGTCCGGGAGGGAGGTAGGGGGGTCAGCCCCCCGCCCAGCCAGCTGCCCCATCCGGGAGGTGAGGGGTGCCTCTGCCCGGCCGCCCCTACTGGGAAGTGAGGAGCCCCTCTGCCCGGACAGCCGCCCCGTCCGGGAGGGAGGTGGGGGGGTCAGCCCCCCGCCCGGCCAGCCGCCCCATCCGGGAGGTGAGGGGTGCCTCTGCCCGGCCGCCCCTACTGGGAAGTGAGGAGCCCCTCTGCCCGGCCACCACCCCGTCTGGGAGGTGTACTCAACAGCTCATTGAGAACAGGCCATGATGACAATGGCGGTTTTGTGGAATAGAAAGGGGGGAAAGGTGGGGAAAAGATTGAGAAATCGGATGGTTGCCGTGTCTGTGTAGAAAGAGGTAGACATGGGAGACTTTTCATTTTGTTCTGTACTAAGAAAAATTCTTCTGCCTTAGGATCCTGTTGATCTGTGACCTTACCCCCAACCCTGTGCTCTCTGAAACATGTGCTGTGTCCACTCAGGGTTGAATGGATTAAGGGTGGTGCAAGATGTGCTTTGTTAAACAGATGCTTGAAGGCAGCATGCTCGTTAAGAGTCATCGCCACTCCCTAATCTCAAGTACCCAGGGACACAAACACTGCGGAAGGCCGCAGGGTCCTCTGCCTAGGAAAACCAGAGACCTTTGTTCACTTGTTTATCTGCTGACCTTCCCTCCACTATTGTCCTATGACCCTGCCAAATCCCCCTCTGCAAGAAACACCCAAGAATGATCAATTAAAAAAAAAAAAAAAAGCCTAAAAAAATAAAAATAAAAAAAGATTTTACAAGAAAAACATTGACAAAACAAATTGTTTGACTTGAAAATTGATTAAGGGCTTCTATTAGAAATAGTTAATGAGTTCATTACTGATAAATATACATGCCTGTCATATGGAAGTTTTACTTTGGGACTTGTTATAATATGGATTAATGTTGATTTGCAATCGTTTTTCACCAAAATGTCACAGTAAGATAGTATTTTCTACAATCCAAACTGTATTAAATATAGTCATGGGTTGAGTACACATGTGGTTTGTGGGGGTGTTTTGTTTTTGATTACCAGGAAATGATTGGGTGAGAGGTAATACTATATAAATGAGAAATTTCTAGCAAGTTATAGTCTTACCACTCATTCATAATTAGGGAATATACTTATTCACTTAGCCTAGGCAACTTTTAGTCCTTTTGAAAGGCCTTTTATATTAGGTGAACAATAAAATAAAATTTTAACCTTGTTTTTAATTAGTGATAAAAACAGCCAACTTTGGGGTCATTTGTTCATGTTACTCCTCCTTAGTTTTAGACAATTTTCTAAATTATTTGGAAATCACTGGTTTTCTTTGGCAAGTGAAATGTCAAAAGATTATGGTCTTGAAATCAGATCCTTATACCTGATCAACAGCTAAACTAGTCTTATTTTTTTAACTAGCTGGGCATGGGGGTGGACTCCTGTAGTCCCAGCTGCTTGGGAGGCTGAGTCAGGAGGATCGCTTGAGCCCAGGAGTTAGAAGTTCCAGTGAACTGTGATCATGCCACTACATTCCAGCCTGGGTGACAGAGTGAGACCTCACCTCATTAAAAACAAAAAAGAAAGAAACTCTACTTTGAGTGCCCATACAACCATTCTGTTTTTCACTCTCAGTACAGTATTCATTGAATTACATGAATCTTTGTGTTACAAGATTTTGCCCAACTGTAGGCTAATATAAGTGTTCTGAACACATTTAGGGTAAGCTAGGCTAAAGCTATGATGTTTGGTAGGTTGGGTGTATTAAATGCATTTTCAGCTTATGATATTTTCAATTTATGATGGGTTTATTGGGCTGTAGCCATTTCATAAGCAAAGAGCGTCCGTACTTGCTGCAGAGACCATATGCTTCACAAAGCCTAAGATAAATTTACTATCTGGCCCTTTACAGAAAGACTTTGCTGTCCTCTAATGTTAGAACACCTTCTTTTTATAGATGTTGAAGAATATCCTACTTTTGAAGTGTAGTCTAAGATCTAACTTTTTTCCCTCTATGGGCTGTTCCCTGATTATATAGTAAAAATTTGCTTAATACCTGCTTTATATTCCATTCATATAATTTATAAATGCCTTTGTGTACCTTTTTTCCGGAGTTTAAAATTCCTTAAATAAGGGACTATCTTAAACAGTGAATATCCCTCAGTACTTTTACACATAGAAAGCACTCTCAGTCTATCCATTGGATGAATTAATGGTTAATAATGTATTCCTCACATCCCTTGTTTTGCATTTATGCATGTGTCTCACCAGAAATTGGAAAGTCTCTTTGGTAGAAAATGACCATAAACTGGGATTCTAGCTCCTTCTCAGGTTGCTAATCCTGTACTCATTTGTGTGTGCAAACTTTTGCTTTACTAAGGCTTCCATTACAGAAAAGGAAGAATATATAAAAATTTAGCTTATTCGTAGTTTATCATTTTCAGAACTTAATAAATTCATGCTTTGGCTTCAGCATGAATTACTATCTAAACAGATAACACTAGAAGCAGCATCGTATACTACAAAGAGATTAAGCTGTGAGCCCAGACAGATTCAACTTTAAAATACCATTTCACCTAATAATCTTGATCAAGTTAACTTTTTTATTGCTAACATTCTATGACTTACGGGTTTCGCATTATAAAAATGGCAAATGTATGGGTGCAGCAAACCAACATGGCACATGTATACATATGTAACAAACCTGCACGTTGTGGACATGTACCCTAGAACTTAAAGTATAATTTAAAAAAAAAAGGCAAATGTAGTTTACATTAAGTCCATAACTAAAATGTTTACAAAACTAAGGGATAAATCCTTTTTTTAAATCGTTTTTAGGTACGAATGTGAAGAATCTTTTACGACCCTAAACGTAGACATTAGAAATCACCAAAATCTTCTTGATTCTTTGGAACAGTATGTCAAAGGAGATTTACTAGAAGGTGCAAATGCATATCATTGTGAAAAATGCAATAAAAAGGTACGGGCTGTCCAGTTTTGTTTAATTTTGATTACATTTAATGGATTTAGAAGAAATTGGTTTTTTTGGTTCATCCTCACAAGTCACCCTATTTTTATTTTCTCCTACTTTGGTATAGTGGTAGCAGAGAAGTAGTCAATATGATAACTAATAGAAGGTTTGGCAAGGAAGGAAAAAAAGTAGTGCCAAAGGGGCTAGGTAAATAAGATAAAAATAGGTAAATAAGAGTGAATAATTTTAAAAGTCATAACGTGATAGCACATTCTCTTATATAAGTTACACAGACACTTTCCATCTCTACCGAGAAACAAATTGCCATTGAACCCCTCAAAGATACAGAGCTGATAGAGGAAAACATTTCTCCTGTCATGTCCAGGATTACTTGTCAAGACCAAAACATTTGCTGAAACCATTAATTACTTTATTGAACCACATAAGATTTCTTTTAGACTAGTCAAGTGGCCCATAAGATTTCTTTTATCACCTATGTTATAAAACCATTTATTTTGGAAACTTATTAGCAGTTCTTTGAGAGAGATGATTCACACGCATTATAGTAATGAATAAGGTGTATCTTTGGGAGCTCCCAAACCCTTTCACCCTCAAGTCACTTGTGTTGTTTTGGCCTTATGCACCACTTAGAGAAGTCCTGAAGTTTAAAGATTGAGATTGTGGGCTGTAAAGCCATACTGCCTGCCACCTGCAGCTCCTGAGACCTGAGGCAAGTTACTTGACCTCTCTGTGATTACTAGTTTTCATCTTTTAAGGTTCAGTAGTACACACTTGAGAAGGTTGTAAGGATTCGGTATGTTTTTACTTGTGCGGCACTTAGTATATATTACCTGGCATCTGAATTACCCAACAAATATTAGCTACTCTTATTGTTATTGTAGTTCTTTGGTTTGTGCATAGGAAACCACCTTCGTGGGAACAACAGTAAACATCAAACAGGTAATAATGGCTAGATAACAATGACAGAAACCAGTCAACAATTTACCATTTGCATATTATTAATTTCAGCATTTAAATCAGCTGATAGGATTATCTTGATTATGCTCATTGTCATGTATTTGTTTATACTTAAAAATTCAGATAAGTCTTAATATCATTTAAAAGTTTGCTTGGGGTTTTTTTTTTTTTCCTGTGGATTTTAATAGAACATCTGGTAACTTTGTCTTGTTTATTTTAGGTTGATACCGTAAAGCGCTTGCTGATTAAAAAATTACCTCCTGTTCTTGCTATACAACTAAAGCGATTTGACTATGACTGGGAAAGAGAATGTGCAATCAAGTTCAATGATTATTTTGAATTTCCTCGAGAGCTGGACATGGAACCTTACACAGTTGCAGGTGTCGCAAAGCTGGAAGGGGATAATGTAAACCCAGAGAGTCAGTTGATACAACAGAGTGAGCAGTCTGAAAGTGAGACAGCAGGAAGCACAAAATACAGACTTGTGGGTGTGCTCGTACACAGTGGTCAAGCGAGTGGGGGGCATTATTATTCTTACATCATCCAAAGGAATGGTGGAGATGGTGAGAGAAATCGCTGGTATAAATTTGATGATGGTGATGTAACAGAATGTAAAATGGATGATGACGAAGAAATGAAAAACCAGTGTTTTGGTGGAGAGTACATGGGAGAAGTGTTTGATCACATGATGAAGCGTATGTCATACAGGCGCCAGAAAAGGTGGTGGAATGCTTATATACTTTTTTATGAACGAATGGACACAATAGACCAAGATGATGAGTTGATAAGATATATATCAGAGCTTGCTATCACCACCAGACCTCATCAGATTATTATGCCATCAGCCATTGAGAGAAGTGTACGGAAACAGAACGTACAATTCATGCATAACCGAATGCAGTACAGTATGGAGTATTTTCAGTTTATGAAAAAACTGCTTACATGTAATGGCGTTTACTTAAACCCTCCTCCCGGTGAGTATCAAGAGAGTTTAGCTTCTTAGTAATAAAGAATAATTTATAGTAGGCGTCAACATGTTTAAGTTCATAAAATTAATGTTTTCACTTTAAATGAGTCTAATTTGCTGGGTGTGGTGGTTCACGCCTGTAATCCCAGCACTTTGGGAGGCCGAGGTAGGTGGATCACCTGAGGTCAAGAGTTCAATACCAGCCTGACCAACATGGTGAAACCCCATCTCTACTAAAAATATAAAAATTAGCCAGGCATGGTGGCATGCACCTGTAGTCCCAGCTACTCCCTGTAGTCCCAGCTACTCCGGAGGCTGAGGCAGGAGAATCGCTTGAACCTGGGAGGTGGAGGTTGCAGTGACCCAAATTGATGGCCACTGCACTCCAGCCTGGGTGACAGTGAGTCTCCATCTCAAAAAAATAAAATAAAAAAATAAATGGGTCTAAATTAAAGTAGCCTGAGAAGGGTTCTTAACAAATTTAGGACTTCTCAAAATTAATGGAAACACAGACTTGTTTGAAAATGGGGTTGGAAAATAAAAATGTGTTTTTATATCTGCATTTTATTTATAGGGCAAGATCACCTGTTGCCTGAAGCAGAAGAAATCACTATGATCAGTATTCAACTTGCTGCTAGGTTCCTCTTTACTACAGGATTTCACACAAAGAAAGTAGTCCGTGGCTCTGCCAGTGATTGGTACATTGCTTTGGATTTTCATTCCTATTATACTAATGTTTGGTTTGCTTCTTTAATAGATTGCTTTATGTTTTTCTAAACCAAGAGAATTTTGTTTGAAGTTTGGAATATAGAATAAAAACTCTGGGTCACAATAGAGAAATCATATTAAAATAGTTACTTAGTCTAAACATGGCCTTTTGTTATTCAGAAGCTGACTTCTGCTTCTATTACCTTGTATCATATCTTTGACATCCCTGCACCAAAGACTACAAGCTGAGACTGGGGGACAGTGACTCACACCTGTAATGCCAGCACTTTGGGAAGCCAGGGTGGGAGGATTGCTTGAGCTCGGGAGTTCAGGACCAGCCTAGGCAACATAGTGAGACCCCCATCTCTTCAAAGAAGATTTTAAAAATTACCCAAGTATGGTGGCGCACACCTGTAATCCCAGCTACTCGGAAGGCTGAGGTGGGAGGATCGCTGGAGCCTGGGAGGTTGAAGCTGCAGTGAGCCATGACTGTGCCACTGCACTCCAGCCTGGGCAGCAGAGCAAGACCCTGTCTCAAACAAAACCAAAGATTACAAGATGAGACTGAAAAGTGTAAGCTACTTATGAAATTTATTAGGTTTTAGCTTACCTAGATTGAATTCTGACACCGATTAAAAGGGTAAAAAATTAAAATGGTTTTCTTAAGTTTCTAATTGTGAAAGTATAGAGGCCATTATGATACATTGATTTAATAATTTTTACTTACTCATTTCAGGAATATGTCAAGATAAGGGGGTGGTATTTTGTCATTGAATCTAGGAAGAGTTTGTTAATGGATTTTTAGAGGACAAGCTTTCACCTGTTTGGTAACTCTGAGAGAATAGACCAAGTCATAGTATTTATCTATTGTTTTAATATTAGAAGCAACCTTTGCTGGTTCTCTCCAGCAGTAGAGGAAGATCTTTGTCTTTTTTTTTTGGTTCAATGAGACTCATCCTTTTACTATAGAGAACAAGTTATTGACTTAATAGTCATAGGTTTTTTTGTTTTATTTTAGGTATGATGCATTGTGTATTCTCCTTCGTCACAGCAAGAATGTACGTTTTTGGTTTGCTCATAACGTCCTTTTTAATGTTTCAAATCGCTTCTCCGAATACCTTCTGGAGTGCCCTAGTGCAGAAGTGAGGGGTGCGTTTGCAAAACTTATAGTCTTTATTGCACATTTTTCCTTGCAAGATGGGCCATGTCCTTCACCTTTTGCCTCTCCTGGACCTTCTAGTCAGGTAATTGCACAGCTTTCTTTCTAAATGATGAGATGTTTACAAATAAATTGTGTTTCCTGGAAGTCGAAGTCACAAGCATATGTGCATCCACTTGATATGTTTACCTAACAGAAACACACAATATGATGTCAGTGAGTTCCATTTAATATTACTGCATGGCAATGAATAGTAATTATTGGCTCTTTAAAAATGTAAGAGAATTTTCTCTGTTCGGTTACATGCAGTAGCTTAATTATAAGTTTACTGTTAAGTAGATTTTTTCCTATTTTGAAGGTTTTTTAAATAGTCTTAGATTTTTTTAAAAAATTACAAGTGTAAAAAATTATAATGAAATCCGCCTCTGATCTTCATTCCCTTTCCCAAGAAGCAAAATAGTTTAGTTTGTGTGATCAGTCCTTCCATAAATGTATGCCTGTATCAGCATATGTGCATGTCCTTTTTATGCAAGTAGAAGTATACATATACCTTGTTGCTGTAAAACAGGTAATGTTTTATCCTTTACAGGCTTATGACAACTTAAGCTTGAGTGATCACTTACTAAGAGCAGTACTAAATCTCTTGAGAAGGGAAGTTTCAGAGCATGGGCGTCATTTACAGCAGTATTTCAACCTGTTTGTAATGTATGCCAATTTAGGTAAGAATTTAAGTTTTTCAGAATTCTGTTTTGATGTATCATATTAAATTGTGAAGTCATTTAGGTCAAGTGATGAAATATAATCTGATCTGAAGTAGAAACAATTTCCCATAAAACCTGTTGTGAATTTTATCTGAACATGGCACTTTCACCTTTTACTTTGTTTATGCATGTGTCTTTGTGGTAGACACAGGTCAGAATCTGTGTTTTGATTTTTTTTTTTTTTTAATCTCCTAATGCAGTGGTGCCAAATCTGGCTGCTTTTGGAAAATACTGGTTTCTAGGCCTCTTCTCACACTGATTGAATCAGCATCCCCAAAGCTAATGTCAGGGAATCCATGTTTTCAAAGGGGTCCCCAAATGGTTGTGATACTCACCAAATTTAGATAGCAGACTTGGTCTGTACATAAGTTTTTGTTTAAGTAAACTACAATTATGGATAATATAAATACTCGCTTAAAATATTAATTTAGGGGCCGGGCACAATGGCTTATGCCTGTACTCCCAGCACTTTGGGAGGCCAAGGCAAGAGGATTGCTTGAGCCCAGGAGACTAACCTAGGCACCATAGGGAGACCCTATCTCTACAAAATAAAATTTTAAAATTAGCTGGATGTAGTGGCATATGCCTGTAGTCCTAGCTACTTGGGAGGCTGAGGTGGGAGAATCACTTGAGCTAAGGAGGTTGAGGCTGCAGTGACCCGTGATTGCACCACTGCACTCCAGCCTGGGCAACAGAATGAGACCCTGTCTCCAAAAAGCAAACAAACCAAAAAGTCATATATCCAAAATGAAGTTCTATATCCAGGCGTACCTGTCGTTTCAGGTTTTTTTTCTGTGATCTTACTTAATCACCATTGGATCCATGGCCCTTTTAACATAAGGGAGATTGTACTTTTCATTTGTCTATTTAGTTTGTCTTCTTTTCCCTTGTCTTTTCCGTAATTGCAGATATTTGGGTATTTGTAGATGAGAAAGAGAATATTTATTACACAGACAAGCATAAGTGGAATCTGTATTTCAAACTTAAAAATGCCAAATTTAGACATTCAGAAGAATCCTATTCTGTTCAACTCTTTTAGATATTGCCTGTTCACAAAGCACACATCATTGTTCCATAATGTAACCTACTTGTAAAATTTTCCTGCTGAAAACAAATACTGTAGGGCCTGTAAACCTTAATATGAAGTCCTTAAGATCAGATATGCATTGGGATTGAGAATTGTTTGGATTTAAGAAAAGCAAGGCAGTGCATATACCAACATCTCTATAGCAGGGTCTGAGACAACAACTTACAATTGAACACATTAATATTTCTACAGTAAAATATGAATATTTATACTGAAGGGAGAAATAAAGACTATAAGTAGCCTTTAGTCAGTTTGGGCTAGGTTATCCCACCAACCACATTTTGACAGCAACTTAATGAAAAACTTTGTTGGGCTGGGCGAGGTGGCTCATGCCTGTAATCCCAGCACTTTGGGAGGCCGAGGCAGGCGGATCACCTGAGGTATGGAGTTCAAGACCAGCCTGGCAAACATGGCGAAACCCCATCTCTACTTAAAAATACAAAAATTAGCAGGGCGTGGTGGCGGGCATCTGTAGTCCCAGCTATTCGGGAGGCTGAGGCTTGAATCTGGGAGGCAGAGGTTGCAATGAGCCAAGATCGCGCCACTGCACTCCAGCCTGGGCAACAGGGCAAGACTCCGTCTCAAAAAAAAAAAAAAAACTTGTTATAATAATAGCTTTTGGGCCAGGCGCGGTGGCTCACGTCTGTAATCCCAGCACTTTGGGAGGCCGAGGCAGGCAGATCACAAGGTCAGGAGTTCAAGACCAGCCTGACCAACATGGTGAAACCCCGTCTCTACTAAATATACAAAAATTAGCCGGGCGTGGTGGCACATGCGTGTAATCCCAGCTACTCAGGAGGCTGAGGCAGAAGAATCGCTTGAACCCAGAAGGCGGAGGTTGCAGTGAGCTGAGATCACACCACTGCACTCCAGCCTGGGAGACAAAGCGAGACTCCATCTTAAAAAAAATTAAAAATTAAAATAGCTTTTGGAATCTTAGGATTTCAGATAAGAGGTTGTGGACCTGTTTTTATTATGTTTTTGGGAATATGGCAATAAATAAGATTGTCTAATGGGATATAGAAGCAAATAATGTAGTTGCCATAAAATATGTTAATAGCTATAATAGGGAAAATGCAAAGTGCATCACGGGGGGCATGGTACCTGAAGGGATTTGGGGAGTGCAGAAGACTTAATGGGGAATGTAACGTGGGAATTGGTTAGTTGAGCTTTCCATCTAGAGTGTGAACAGCAGATGCAAAGACTTGATAAACTTGGCGTGGCTTATTGGATGGGATGAAAATTGTCCAGTCTGACTAGAATTGATGTAAGATGGGAATGGCAGGAGTTTCTGATCATGCAGTTCTAATAGGCCTTGTGAGAGAGACTGAGGCATTGGATGAGCCATTGTAGGGTTTTGAACAGATAATACCATCTAGAAAGAGCACTGTGGCCACAGTGTGGAATGTATTGCAGTGGAGTAAGATCCCAGAGAGTGTTAAAATGATCTATAGACATAAGATCATTGTGACCTGTACTGGAGAACTGGCAGTGAGGGAGATACAAGTGGACAGATAGATATATGGTGCTTTTTATAAGAAGTGGAATCAGTGGATTTGGTGATGGGATATTCAGAGAAGGAGGGGACAGGGAAGAGATGTGAAGAATGATGCCCAAAATTCTAACATGAACAACTGTGAGTGGATAGTGGTACCATTTACTGAGGGGAAACACAGGAGGAGAAACATGTATGTATGGGAAGAAAGGGGTGAGTTCAGTTTGGGTAGATTGAGTTTGAGCCTGTGTGACACCCAAATGGAGATATACAGTAGAACAGTAAGTAATTTGTCTTGAAATGTTTTTGAATCATCTGAATGAAGATATCTAGAACATTAAAGCCGTGAGCGTGGGCTAGATCATCCAGGGAAATCAGTGTGAGAAGATAGCCTGGCATGGGAACTTGGAGAAACATCAGTTTTTAAGAGACAAGGAGGAGTCGCAAATAAGAACAAAAAGAGGTAGAAAGAAAATCAGGAATCCAGGGAGGAAGAAGTGGTTATGGTTTGAGAACTGCTCCTTAGCTTATTACTGTGAAGAGGGGCCAAAACCAAATTGGCATGAGTTGAGGAATAGAAAATGAGAAAGTAGAGAGACCAAATGTAGGTATCTTTTTCAAGAAGTTTGGCTGTAGAGGAAAGAAGAGAGGCAGGCAATTTATAAAAGAGTTTTTGCTTCTCATTTAATGTAGTTATTTTGTTGTTTTCATCCTCCTTACAAATGAGGGTTGCAGTGTTGGTTAGTCCCTTTAGACTCTCCAGGCTGTAGAAAGTGTTCGTCTTCTGGTCGGGCGTGGTGGCTCATAATCCCAGCACTGTGGAAGGCCAAGGCGGGCAGATCATGAGGTCAAGATATCGAGACCACCCAGGCCAACATGGTGAAACCCCGTCTCTACTAAAAATACAAAAATTAGCTGGGCATGGTACGTGCCTGTAGTCCAGCTACTGGGGAGGCTCAGGCAGGAGAATTGCTTGAACCCGGGAGGCAGAGGTTGCAGTGAGCTGAGATCATGCTACTGCACTCCATCCTGGCGAGAGAGCGAGACTGTCTCAAAAAAGAAAGAAAGTGTTCATCTTCCTTACAGTGAGCCGGTGTGATTGGAATGTCATAGTCATAGTCACTGTTGAACAATGTTAATACTTATACTCAATGGGTGAGTTTTCTTTTCTAGTAAAATAATTCTCTGAATGCTAAGTAAAAGTGATAAAATTACAAATCAAAATTTTTCTGATCATAAAAATTATAGACAAGATATTTTGTATAACTACTTGTTTTATTCATGAAGCCCTTGCCATCTTAATTTTTTCCTCATATTTTTCTCCCTCTCTTTCTTCTCCCCTTCACTCCTTTTTGTTGTAGGTGTGGCAGAGAAGACACAGCTTCTGAAATTGAGTGTACCTGCTACTTTTATGCTTGTGTCTTTAGATGAAGGTCCAGGTCCTCCAATCAAATACCAGTATGCTGAATTAGGCAAATTATACTCAGTAGTGTCACAGCTGATCCGCTGTTGCAATGTCTCTTCAAGAATGCAGTCTTCAATCAATGGTAAATTTGAATGCTCCATTCTTTACACTAGTTTTGTTTGTTTGTTTGTTTTGAGACAGAGTTTTGCTGTTGTTGCCCAGGCTGGAGTGCAATGGCGTGATCTCGGCTCACTGTAACCTCCGCCTCCCTGGTTTAAGCCATTCTCCTGCCTCAGCCTCCCAAGTAGCTGGGATTACAGGTGCCCACCACCACGCCCGGCTAATTTTGTATTTTTAGCAGAGACGGGGTTTCGCCATGTTGGTCATGCTGGTCTCGAACTCCTGACCTCAGGTGATCTGCCGTCCTCGGCCTCCCAAAGTGCTGGGATTACAGGTGTGAGCCACCATGCCCAGCCCTCTTTACGGTAGTTTTTAAATGCTGCTGGGCATATATAGTACTAAGAGTCTGGAGGAAGATTTTTGCTTTGGAATATTTTAGCCCTGTACCTTTTTTACGTGTTTAATGGGGGTCTTTTTTCTGTCTCCTTGTGACTGAGGTTGATACCATGTTTATGAAATAGTTTAAGAATTAACTTTTTAGGCTGGGCTCAGTGGCTCATGCCTGTAATCCCTATGCTTTGGGGGAGGCCAAGGCAGGAGAATCACTTGAGCTGAAGAGTTTGAGCCTGGGCAACATAGCGAGACTTCATCTCTACTAAAAATTAACAACAAAAAAGTTGGCTGGGTGTGGTGGTGTGCACCTGTTGTCCCAGCTACTCAGGAGACTGAAGTGGGAGAATCACTTCAGCCCAGGAGATCAAGGCTGCAGTGAGCTGTGGTCATGCCACTGCACTCCAGCCTAGGTGACACAGTGAGACCCTGTGTCCAAAAAAAAAATTAACTTTTTATATTTAGATTTTGTATTTTTATATCTTGGTATATCTATCTGATCATTATAATGCATAATGTTACTTTCTTCGTTGTGCTTAGGTAACTTGATTTAAAATGTTATTTCTCTAAAATAAAACATTTGGCCAGACATAGTGGCTCATGCCTGTAATCCTAGCATTTTGGGAGGCCGAGGTGGGTGGGTCACTTGAGGTCAAGAGTTCAAGACCAGCCTGGCAAACATGGCAAAACCCCGTCTCTACAAAAATACAAAAAAATTAGCCAGGCGTGGTGACGTGCACCTGTAGTCCCAGCTACTCGGAAGGCTGAGGCAGGAGAATCACTTGAACCTGGGAGGTGGCGGTTGCAGTGAGCTGAGATCGCCCCATTGCACTCCAGCCTGGGCGACAGAGCGAGACTCCATCTTAAAAAAAATAAAAAAAAATTATAGGCTATTTTCTATCGTGAAAGTTGTGTATTATTATTGTGAAGAAGCTTATTAGTTTTTTATTGGTGACAAATCTGTATTCTAGGTAATCCTCCTCTTCCCAATCCTTTTGGTGATCCTAATTTATCACAACCTATAATGCCAATTCAGCAGAATGTGGCAGACATTTTATTTGTGAGAACAAGTTATGTGAAGAAAATCATTGAAGACTGCAGTAATTCAGAGGAAACCGTCAAATTGCTTCGTTTTTGCTGCTGGGAGAATCCTCAGTTCTCATCTACTGTCCTCAGTGAACTTCTCTGGCAGGTAAAAGGAAAATAACATTTGTATGTTTATAATTTGATTTGTTATTCCTTTCATTAAGTTACTCACCATGTCTTACTTGTTTTTAGGTTGCATATTCCTATACCTATGAACTGCGGCCCTATTTGGATCTGCTTTTGCAAATCTTACTGATTGAGGACTCCTGGCAAACTCACAGGTGGATACTCTTTTTGTGACTGGAAACAATTAGGCTTGCCCAGGTGTTAGAGTTAACTGAAATTGACAGTCACCACATTTTTTTTAACCTATTGGAGTTCTAGTGAATGTTTTATCTTAAACCTAGGACAAGGGTAAATAACAGGTTCTCCCCTTTTCCTCAGAATTTTATTTCCTTTTTTATTCTTTTTTCTCACTGCCTAAGTTTCATACTTAATAAGCCTGTTTCTTTAGAATGACTTTTTTAATTAAGGAGGAGCTAGCTTGGGCATTTGGTAAATATTTGAATTTCATTAATGATGCCCGAGGATTATTTTATGATTATATTACATTTGTTTTAGAATTAGTCACTTGAAGCAACTTAGTCATTAGTCACATGAAGTATAATAGTATATGTAAAAAGTCTTCAGGTAAGTACGGTTTCCATTTTTCATGGTACTTATATTCTGTAAAGTCACCACAGACACTGAGTTAGCAAATACTGAACCATTACTCCTAGGAGGAAATACAGAATTAGGTTTCTATAAGCCTCTGTTTACATTTTTATCAACCAGTCAATACATAACCTTGTTGTATGTGTGTTTCTACTTAAAGTCATTTAATATATTTTGTTGACTCATAAAGTTCACAGCCAACAGCTCTGTAACTTAAGCCTGAACTTAAGCTTCTCAATGCATTCTGCATAAGGCACATCACAGCCTTCTTGTGGTTAGGAACATTAGATAGCACTTCAACATTATATACTTGGGTCATTTTAAACATAAAAATAACCAGCAAAAGCACAAATATGTGGAAAATGTGGCACTAAATACACCATGAAGAAGGACACTTGTTTACAGTTTAAGCTGAAACAAGAGAGAATGACACTCTTCTGGACTTCAGCTAGGAACGTTTGTGTTGGACAACTTGATATTTTTGCTGCTCTGTATATGTCCACAGATGACGAAGAAAGCACCTTGATGATTGATTTTGCAGTTATAAATAAAGTTTAGGAAGTAAGCGAATTCACAAATGTGGAATTCATGAATAATGAGGGGATCAATTATAATTAGTTTTTATGAGAACTTTTAGAATGTTAACTTTTTTCCCCCGTAAAAACTAAGGTTATCCAGCTTAACTGGCCCTCAAACTTTCACTAGAATTTTTCTATTTGTTTTTGGGGGTTTTTTTGTAGTAAAAGTTGAATATATTATCTTTAATCCCAAGAGTTATATAATAGATGATAAATTATGGTATTAGTTGACAGCACTGCCAGGTTTTAGAACTTCCCTTCCCACATGGAAGATAGTATAATAGTTTGTTTGGGAAAACAATTCAAAGTCTATGTCGCAGTTTGCCTCCCATCTGCCAAGGTAATAAAACAAACTTAAAAACAAGTTCTGTAACAACAAAATGCTTAAAGAGAAGTAACAATCTGGAGTTTTAGTGGGGATTGCGAAAGCCAGAATTTGCAACTTAGTATTTTCAAATTATCTCCAAATTTACCATAATAGATTTCAAACAAATACTGTAAAAATAGCATTAAACCAAAAATCAATTTTCGTGAGACACAAAAGATAGTAGCTCAGAATTATAGTCGTTTATTCAGGCAGTATTCAGTGCCCTTCTAAATATGTTCATAGGATTTGAAAGCTTCCTTCAGAGTAGATTTTAATGAAATCTAACTTTTACTATTTTCTTTTTTAAAAATGCTGTATTTCTGGGCACAGTGGCTTACCCCTGTAATAAGCACTTTGGGAGGCCAAGGCAGGAGAATTGCTTGAGACCAGGAGTTCAAGGCCAGCTTGACCAACATAGCAAGATCTTGCCTCTATTTTTTTAAAAAAGAAAGTACTGTAAGCACTTACAGTTTTAAACCAGTTAATCACATCTTAGCTCTTGTTTGATTAGAGCAAGTGATAATGGCAAAGACATACGTGCTAGATTAAATGTGGGAATTACACTTTTGTGTAATGAGATTAGTAAGATACTGTTAAATGAATCACTGGCCCAAACGTGAAAATAATTTTCTCATAATGAGCTTTTAGTTCATTCAGTAAACAATGTTCAAATATTTATAGAGTGTCTACCATGTGCCCAGCACTGCTTGGCATCAGGTAATAAGGCAAGTGAAGATAGTATTAATAAAAATGGCATTTGAGAGCAGTTGATGCTAATGGGGAGAAAATATGATATGGCAGAAATAATGATTTAGCACTTCATTGTTACTTGAAAAAACTGAAGGTAAAAGCAATTTATATGTAGTGTTTCAGATGAAACAGCAAGAGGGCCTGAACATGGTTGATTTGTCTGAAATGATTAAGCTTTGCAAAATTGTTGAAGTAATCTGTTTTGTTTGGAAATCATGAATGCATTTGATGGAGGAAAAAAATCTTACTTTGACTTTAAACATACTGTTAAGTAAAATACATAGTGTATATTAGAATCTTTAAATTCTCAGTGTCCAGGTTATGTTTTCTAATTGAGGTAAAATTTACATAACAAAACTCACCATTTCAAAGTATACAATTCAGTGACTTTTAGTACATTCACAATGTTGTATAGCCATTACCACTATCTGATTCCAGAACTTTTTTTTTTTTGAGAGGGAGTCTCACTCTGTCACCCAGGCTGGAGTGCAGTGGCGCGATCTCGGCTCACTGCAAGCTCCGCCTCCCGGGTTTACGCCATTCTCCTGTCTCAGCCTCCCGAGTAGCTGGGACTACAGGTGCCCGCCACCATGCCTGGCTAATTATTTGTATTTTTAGTAGAGACGGGGTTTCACCGTGTTAGTCAGGATGGTCTCGATCTCCTGACCTCGTGATCCGCCCACCTCGGCCTCCCGAAGTGCTGGGATTACAGATGTGAGCCACCGTGCCCATCCCAGAACATTTTTTTTTATTACCCCAAAAGGAAACCCCTACCCAATTAAGCAGTCACTCACCATTCCTTCTAACCCTGGCAACCACTAATCTGTTCTCTGTCTCTGTGGATTTGCCTCTTCCAGACATTTGGTAAAAACGAAATCATGCAATTTGTGTGTCTGACTTCTTTCACTTAGCTTAATGTTTTCAGAGTCCATCCATGTTATAGCATGTATCATTACTTTATAGCTGAATAATATTTTGTTTTATGGATATATATACACCACATTTTATTTACTGGCACATAATCTTTTTAACACAAAAGAAACAAGGCATGTTTGTGCCCCTACAATCATGTTTTAAGTTAGTTAGTTCAGGGAAAGACAGGACTAGTTGGCTTTGTATTATTACTCTGTTGTAGTTTGGGAGAAACTGAAATGAAATCCTGTGTTATTGGCAAATCAGCCAAATTGTACTATTGCCTGTCAAAATGCTTTGCCTGCCATGTATTCTCATTATTAGAATTCAAATACTGTACCTCCAAATTATGTCACTGAATCCTAACTTGCCTTCAGAGATGCAGTTTTATAAAAGGTATTGATGTGTAGCAAATTACCCTCAACTACAGCAGTCATAAACTTAGTTATAACTTTTTTAAAGTTTGCATTACTCTCGAGTGTCCTGAATTCACTTCAGGTAATGTGTTTAAATTACATATATGGCAGAATTATTTTGGACTGGTAATAAGTTAGTAAGAGCACAGACTCTGGAGTCACACTGCTCCGCAGCTATATGACCTCGGCAAGCTGTGTAACTCTGTGCCAATTTTCTCACCTGTTAAAAGTTTTAATAATAAGGCCAGGCGCAGTGGCTCATGCCTGTAATCCCAGCACTTTGGGAGGCCGAGGCAGGCGGATCACGAGGTCAGGAGATTGAGACCATCCTGGCTAACACGGTGAAACCCCGTCTCTACTAAAAATACAAAAAATTAGCTGGGCGTGGTGGCACGTGCCTGTAGTTGGGCTGAGGCAGGAGAGAGGCGTGAACCTGGGAGGCAGGACTTGAAGTAAGCCGAGATGGCGCCACTGCACTCCAGCCCAGGCCGTCTCAAAAAAAATAAATAAATAAAAAATAAAGGTTTAATAATAGTACCTATTGTCTAATGTTAGATTAAATGACTAAAAGACATTATTGAGTGGCACATAGTAGGCACTCAGTATATATTAGCTATTAGATTTTAGATGTTTTTATTTTATATCTGGTTCTCTTTCAGAATTCATAATGCACTGAAAGGAATTCCAGATGACCGAGATGGGCTGTTTGACACAATCCAGCGCTCTAAGAATCACTATCAAAAAAGAGCATACCAGTGTATAAAATGTATGGTAGCTCTATTTAGTAACTGTCCTGTTGCTTACCAAATCCTGCAGGTGAGGATTTTTTTCTTATAATTTTGTAGAAATCTTAATCAGAATTAAGGATTCTGTTTTAAAAGAAGAGAATCATGAGAACTTGGGGTTGTCATTTTAAGTTAACTTTGAAGTATTCCAAATCCTCTTATCTATATGGTTTTATTTTCTTTTGCAGGGCAATGGAGATCTTAAAAGAAAGTGGACCTGGGCAGTGGAATGGCTTGGAGATGAACTTGAAAGAAGACCATATACTGGCAATCCTCAGTACACTTACAACAATTGGTCTCCCCCAGTGCAAAGCAATGAAACGTCCAATGGTTATTTCTTGGAGAGATCACATAGTGCTAGGATGACACTTGCAAAAGCTTGTGAACTCTGTCCAGAGGAGGTAAAAAAAGCCACCAGTGTGCAGCAGATAGAAATGGAAGAGAGCAAAGTAATTCTTTATTTTATAGGCCAGTGTTTATGTATTAATGATATTATTAAAAGATTATGTTGAAGTTTTGGGTTTTGAAAAATGTTTATTCGGCTGGGCATGGTGGCTCACGCCTGTAATCCCAACACTTTGGGAGGCCGAGGCAGGCGGATCACCTGAGGTCAGGAGTTCAAGACCAGCCTGGCCAACAAGGTGAAATCCCATCTCCACTAAAAATAGAAAAATTAGTCGGGCGTGGTGGCAGGCGCCTGTAATCTCAGCTACTTGGGAGGCTGAGGCTGGAGAATGACTTGAACCCAGGAGGCACAGATTGCAGTGAGCGGAGATCGTGCCAGTGGGCTCCAGCTTGGGTGACAAGAGTGAAACTCCATCTCAAAAAAAGAAAAGAAAAGAATGTTTATTCTATGTCATTTTAAGCTAATGAAGGGAGCTTTCTTTTGGAGAAATTTCTGTGAAATTGCCTGAAATGTAGTAGTTCTGAGAGAATGCAAATCAGGTTTTTTGTTTTGTTTTTTTTTTTTTTGTTTTTTCCCCAAGTTCTTTATCTGCAGTAAAAGAAAAGTTGCTAATGGGTCAGTTTTGTAGATTTTTAAAATTTATTTCAAATAGAAAAAGTTAAAAGTAAACTTGAGTTTGCCTACGTAATTTTTTATCTTGAAATATTCAAAATTAGGAGCCAGATGACCAAGATGCTCCAGATGAACATGAGTCGCCTCCACCTGAAGATGCCCCATTGTACCCCCATTCACCTGGATCTCAGTATCAACAGGTAAACAGGAGTCAGTTTATGCTTTTATCCCCTAGAACTGGGTTTTATGCTTAATTTTAGAGGATGGCTCAATTGTTTGTTGTGACTACAAAGTAAGAAGTAGGATTATCTAGACTAGCTTTGGGAGCATGATCCAGAAGAGGGATGGTTTGGAGTGGGGGTCATGGTGTAACATGTTTGAACTTAACCACTGTAGGGTTTTCCTTGTCAAGAAGGTGTCCTTCTTGTGCTAGTAGTTAATAAAACTGTATGAGAATTTATATCAACATAAAATGATCATTGTTTAGTGCAAAGGATTGTGGTGACATTTCCGGTGAGGTAAAATCTTCACCTGGATTCCAAAAACATTATTAAGATATGGCAATGAAGTAAGAAGTCCTTGGTTACTTAGCCACAGGTTTCAGTGATGGTAAAAATCACTGGAAAAAAAAGGATTTGGGTAGATTTCCATAGGTGATTAAAGTAAATAAACTAGTAAATAGCAAAAGAAATGAGATGAAGAAACATTCTAAATGATAACTTTTTCTTTCTGAAACCAAAATGTGACTAAATCAGCTCTTGTGAGGCAGTGGTACTCAAACTTGCACAGGCGTGAGTCTCCCTGGAAGGGTTGCTCCAGCAGAGAGCTAGATGCTACCCTAAAGTGTCTTATTTCATAGGTCTTCAAGGGGCTGGAAAATGTACATTTCTAGCAAGTTCCCAAGTGATGCTGCTGGTGGTCCAGGAACCATACTTGGAGAAACATTTCAGGCATTCTTTCTTACATTTCACTGTGTACATAGAAGCAAACTGAATAGTTAGGAAGTACACATTCAGCGTACTTATTTTCATCTATAGAAAGTAAAGCCTGGCCAGGCGCGGTAGCTCATGCCTGTAATCCCAACACTTTGGAAGGCTGAGGCAGGTGGATCACCTGAGGTCAGGAGTTTGAGACCAGCCTGACCAACATGGAGAAGCCCTGTCTCTACTAAAAATACAAAATTAGCCGGGTATGGTGGTGGCGCATGCCTGTAATCCCAGCTACTCAGGAGGCTGAGGCAAGAGAATCTCTTGAACCCAGGAGGCAGAGGTGGTGGTGAGTCGAGATAGCACCATTGCACTCCAGCCTGGGCAACAAGAGCGAAACTCCCATCTCAAAAAAAAAAAAAAAAAAGTTAAGCCTAAAATCTTGGCTTGGCTGATGGAGCATGTACAGAAAAATGAGAGCACTGTAGGGTTCAGACATTTTAAAAGGTTAAGGAACCAAATCCACAAGGAAGGTTAACTTCCTTTGACCCTGAGAAAGCTCTTATGTTAATCATGCCTGGTTACTTTATCATCTTGAACATTGTTCTGTTTTTAATCAGCATTATTGTGAGTTCAGGGTTACTGCTCCTATATATCTTACATCATGGTTAGTCAATCGGATTTAGCATGTGGAAGAGTCAATAGATGCTCATAGATCATTCTCTGAAAATTTTTTACCAAGAGCAACAGTGGGTTAATCCTTTATTTGCCAGACTTGAGTCTAAATAATTTTTGGCACTAAAAATCACTTTGGCCAAAGATTTATGTGGACCTACACAATCACTGCTCTTATTCAGGGTTTTGGGGTTTGCATTTACACTACGTTTTTCAAGCCTTTTTTTGTTTTTGTTTTTGTTTTTGTTTTGCACTATAGTAGTCCAAGGGTATTTACAGAGTAAGTCCCAAGAATAAGAGTATACATTTCCAGAGACTTCAGACCATGATTTTGAAGTTGTTTTACTATGTGAAAAGTTTTAACATACAGATCTTTTCTCCTTTCCCAGAATAACCATGTGCATGGACAGCCATATACAGGCCCAGCAGCACATCACATGAACAACCCTCAGAGAACTGGCCAACGAGCACAAGAAAATTATGAAGGCAGTGAAGAAGTATCCCCACCTCAAACCAAGGATCAATGAAATGCACATAATTAACTGGTTCCATCAAGACTGTGCACCCAGGCCTTACAGTCCAACCTTTTTCTGTGTCTGGCTAATATTTAAAACTAGAAAAACTATTCCTAATCAACATGGAGTGGAGAGTTTATTCACTGTCTTATCTGCAGAAATTTGCTGTCAATATATAACCCGCCTGCAGTGGAAAGTGTATAGTGTTTTGTAATAAATGGCCTGATGCTAATGTGTAAATGGCAAAGGTGTATATAGTATATTAATGTTGACTGTTAATTCTTAAGCAAGAAACTTTTTTCTTGATGAGACTCACAGATCTACACAAACTACAAAAGTTAATTTTCTTGTTACACCCACTGCACTCTGCAACCAGTGTTGCCTGCCTCATGGCAGTTGGATCAGCTCCTTTACAAAAAAGAAAAAAAAAAAACCAACAGCAACAAAACAGAGCCCATCCATGTCAGCCACACCAATAGTTTCATGTTAATTCTTTGCCACTGGAGTCAATTTTGCTATGAGCAATGTAAGGCTGGTAACCTTTAAATTATTTGGTTGATGTGGAAAATTGGTGATGTAACACTGTTTCTAGATTTTTTTCATTGCCTTTTTATTCTGATATTAGGTTAATCACTTTGAAGCTATAGTTATGCTGTAACATTTAGCATGGCTTCACACCAAGTTAGTGTAGCCAATGAGGAAAAAGTTACCATAATGACAGCAGTTGTCCGAGAAGTGACAGCTGTATTACTCAGAGCTTTTACTTCTTACACCTAGAATATTAAAATATAAAACAAGGGGAGAAATGTGACAGTCTATTTTCAGTTGCACATATGTTCCTTATATATAATGTTTGACAGTTCAATCTCTGGGTGGAATAAAGAACACTTACGTATCAGTAATGGGAATTTTTAAAGATTTAAAACAAATATGCAAAAATTTGCTATGCCAAGATGCTGGAGCATAATATAAGACTGTATTTGGTGTGCTTGTTTTGTTTCTTTGGTAGAGTTTATTAGGTGAATCTTCTAAAACTTTCCTTCTGTTGGATCCCAGTGACGTGGAAGTCATCAGAACCCCACGGTACTTGGAGTACCTCTCTGCACCAAGATAGCTGGCTGATTTTCTGCTCAGTCACAATTTTACTTGAAAGCAAGAATTGTCCTAGCTCCTTTTCCATTATTCCAAAACGTTTAACGTTCAAAGCAGGGTCTCATTAAAAAAGAAACTACTGGTTGATATAATTGAGATATTACAATTTCAGAATAAACATTTGATTAAAAATAAGGAAATCCTCAGTTCATACTGTATTTAAAAGAGAATTGGTAACTTGAATGTGTGTAATTTTTTGGAACCTGTCTAAAAACCAAATACCCCTGCAAACAGATACAGCCCACCCTATTCTATTTAAATATTTTGCTGTTTTATTTTATAGAAATTATTTTGCTGAATTCACAAATAGAATTTGATTTAAGAAGAACTTTTTGTCCTGTGGTGTGTTTTTGGTTTTTTTTTTGGTTACTTTTTTTGTCCTTTTTTTTTTTTTTTAAAAGAGGACTGCATATTAAAATTCATTCTGTGCATAGCATGCCTAGGCATGACACTGATTCAGGATTTCAGTCACATCAAGTTTTTGTGCACAGAAAGATTTGACCTTTGGCCCTCTACTGAAGATTTTGAGAAATCAGGATGTTGACACTGTAAAAGTTTCCTAACATAATCTTGTACTTTTTGTATGTTTTTTATATACATGTATATTTAATGAGCACAAGCTTGGTTGTATTTTTTACAATTCAGTTAATAGGGAAATGTTTTGTCAAAAGGCTACACTTGGAACTGAACAAAGCAGAAACAAAATTGAGCATTGCATTATTTTGTGATTAAAAGGGGCAGGTATTTAAGATAAAGCTTTGGGTATCTTATTTGTAGTACTGTATAGTCAACCTGTGCTTCTAGGTGTTCCTGTAGGACATTTTGACACCGATACTTTGAGTGAAAGTCACACACGGTGTTTGCAATTCCAACTGATTTTTGTTTTGTTTTTATTTTTTTGTTGTTTTCTTCTTTGAGATGGAGTCTTGCTCTGTCACCCAGGCTGGAGTGCAGTGGCACAATCTTGGCTCACTGCAACGTCGCCTCCTGGGTTCAAGCGATTCTTCCGCCTCAGCCTCCCGAGTAGCTGGGATTAGAGGTGCCCACCACCACGCCCAGCTAATTTTTGTATTTTTGTAGAGACAGGGTTTCACCACGTTGGCCAGGCTGGTCTTGAACTCCTGACCTCAGGTGATCTGGCCGCCTCGGCCTCCCAAAGTGCTGGGATTGCAGGTGTGAGCCACCGCGCCTGGCCCCAGTTGATAGTTTTTTTAATTTAAAAGTTCCTCAATTCCAAGCTCTTTAAACGAGTGAAATAGGTTAACTTTATTTGGATGAGTTAGGTGTACCATCTCACCATCTGAGAGGAGATTTATATATTTCCTGCTGCTCCTTAACAAAATATGTAATGTACTTAAAAACTTTAACGACTTCCTAGTTGAGAGAAAACTTGACATATAAAAGGCTGTGAATTTTTCTGCTTGGAGGAAGAGCCCAACCTTGGTTGCTTTGAAGTTACAAGCCCCCTTGTGCCAGGTGAGGGGCTTGTGAGTCATTTTTGTCTCCATTTGAGGAAGAGTGGTATTCGTTGTGACTAGGAGCAAGGGAAAGTGGAGTTATTTTTGTTTGTGCAAATTATTTTCTATATTTAACTCAAGCATTAATGTATAACCAGAAATTTAAAGATGCATGTTGTTGCAAGAGCAACATAATGGTGATTTTGAGGTCTTTTTCTGAACACAAGTGGCACATTTTAAATTTCAAGTCTTCAAAGTGCCTAAGGATTATTTAGTTCTCCCTCAACTGATTTTTTGAGCCATATATTTCCTATTTTAAATGTTTGCGGAATCGCCAGTCTTCCTTTGAAAGAAACAGCCCCCAGAATTCTAAATGACACGATTATAGAAGACAGTAGAATGTGTTACCATAAAGACTGAAGATATTTTAGTTGTAAAACCATGTGAACAAGGGCTTTTGCCCTATTGTATCTAAGTATTTCAGTGCACAACTTGTTAAACCATGTTGCTGCTGTTTCTAAGCCCTCCACCAACTGAACTTTCATGTTTAGCATTGTAGAGGCAGAAATAACATACTAGGTTTTTTTTTTCTTTCATTGATTTTTCTCCTGGTGATAATTTCCCAGCCTTGTGTCTTTTAGCTGTTGTGTATACAAATTTAGAATTAAAATGTTTTCTATTTTTTTCATGATTAACTTAGTGAATAACTTAAATCCTTAATCCTCGTAGTGGTTAGAAAGATGAGGAGACTTTTTTGACTTACATTTGTAAATGAAAACAAGTCTGTGAATATTCAGATGACTACTTCGAAGTAATTCAGTTTTTTTATTAGTATTTTTCCAGCTTATGTTTTCCCATGAGCTATTTTACTTTGCTGAATTTTGTGGGTAATTTGGTGGATATATCCTGCCTTATTTAGGATTATAGCTGGATAAGAAAATTGCCTTTTCATTGTAAGTGCCCAGTTTTGGTCTCTAGTTTGAAGGTACTACATACTGCCGATAAAGGAAAACACTCCCCTACACCCCAGTTTTTGTGTTACCAAGAAAAAAAAAACAGTATTGGTTTCATAGTAGGACTCAACCAGAATTGGTCCTACATATATGTGAGTGTTCAGTTTTTGCAAATAAGGTTTTTGAGTGTGATAAAACACTACAGAAGTGCTAAGTGTATTGAGAATTTGCTGCTGATTGTATTTATAACAATTACTTGACGTTTGCAGAAATTTAGCACTTTCCCTCCAAATTTATAGGTGTAAGAGAAGCGGGGGCAAGGTGCACCACATTTTAAAACTGCAAATGTGTGAAAATTTATTTAGAGATTCAGATTCCTAAAAGGAAATTTCACCACCCAAGTCATGCACTTCTTAGCCTTTTACAAGCCAACAGACTGACATGAAGATTGTTCACAGTTCCTAAGATTTAGCACATATACAAAAATAAAACTTTATAAATTCAATTTCGGTTTTCCCTTTATTTATTAATACAAGATTTCTAAACAAGGTAGATGTGTAATAGAGCTGAAGGGAATTTTTTAAAGGGAAATGTTTATGAGGAATTCAGCCATCATTGTGTATATCCAAAGTGGATTCACACCTAAGGACCTCAAAGAAATGAGTTGTGATCTAATTGCAGACTTTAGAGTTAAAACTAAGATTCAGCAAACTGTGGTGTTTCAGTTCTCTTAAACTGGAAATAAAGCAGACCACATGTTTTGAGGGGAGCCACAGAAGTGAAAGTTAACTCTCTAGCAAGTTCCATCTGCTGTTTTTTAGTGTCTAGAAATAGCTCTTTGTTGTCATGTCCCAGGGAAATTAAGATTTCCTCAGAAACCTGGAGGTGCTTTCCTAAAGTTGGGTTACTTCAAGAACTGCTAAAAGACAAATCTCAGATTTTCACTGGATTTAATTTCACTGATTTTTTTAAATAGAAAACTAATATTTAACTTTTCTGCAATTTGGAAAACTCCCTCCAGTTGGATTAGACTGTATTTTAAGTATTTTTAGCTACATGAGTACATCTAACTGAAAATCTACATCACCACCAATATTTTGAATTGTTTCTTGTAATCTGGTAACTTAGAGATAGGCAAAAAGTTGACATCTTTATTTTTATCTGTACCTGAAAGTTTAGATACTCTTACTAAAGTTGGGGTTACATAAAACGTTTCAGTAACTTTAGGGAGGTAAAATCTCAAGAGAAATTTCTTAAATTACACCAAAAAACTTTCCTAAATAGAACACGTTTCAGAGCCATTTAAATAAAGGTTGATTATTTTAAGGTCATTCTATTTAAATGGTCAAAACTCAAGAGTAAAATAGGAATCATTTTAGCCATCTGAGAAAACAAGTCTCATTCTGATCCATTAACATTAGACAATATACTGCATTTCAACAAATCCAAGATGCCATTGGTTACAAGGCGCCTCAGCAAGCAAAATCACTGACTTTCATGGATATTAAAACGTGGGGTATCCCATCTGGTAGTAATCCTTGTCATGACAAACGTCTTTTCACATCTGGAAATAGGTTTTTGTAGTGGGCTTTTCTCACATTGCTTTTTTTTCCATTAGTGGAACTTAGAAACCCTATTTTTATGTGTAATTGCTAACAAAGCTGGCCAATTTACAAGTTTATGAAGAAATGGCTTGATGGAACTGAACCTTTGAGGAGTCACCGAATTATTAATGAAGTGCCCTGTGTAAGCGGTCTTCTTGAGATAGTTTTGTGTCGTAGCTTCTGGTTTTCACATGCATTATAGTTAAGACACCAAGTGGACTTTCTTGCTCTGCCAGTATGGTTCAGCTGCCCTGGACTAGTCTCTGCCTGTCAAAGCACTCCCTATGTTAGAAAATGAGTATAGAGGCCAGGCGTGGTGGCTCACGCCTGTAATCCCACCAGTTGGAAAGGCCGAAGCGGGTGGATCACCTGAGGTCGGGAGTTCGAGACCAGCCTGGCCAACATTGTGAAACCCTGTCTCTACTAAAAATACAAAAATTAGCTGGGTGTGGTGGCGCACGCCTGTAATCCCAGCTACTCAGGAGGCTGAGGCACGAGAGTAACTTGAACCAGAGGCAGAGGTTGCAGTGAGCCGAGATGGGGCCACTGCACTGTAGCCTGGGCGACGGAGTGAAACTCTCAAAAAAAAAAGAAACTGGCTTCTGTAGCCTTCCCAGCACTAGCCAAACTCCTCAAAGGTAAGCAAGTGGGGGCCACCTTGCAAGATAGTAAGAATTGTGTTCATTTTCTATTTATATTCAACCCTATAGATGTGTTTAAAAAACAAAATATTCCAAATAGGTACTTTGGGTATTGGAACATTTTTTTCCATGGAGTCCTTTTTAGCAATTCAGTTGCATCAGGAATAGAAATGTATTCTTAACAGTGTTGCTGCTGTGTCTCTTAAATCACTTGCCATTAATTATCTTATGTTCTCATCTAATTCTTCCCCCACCCATTAAAACATTGGTACACCTTTGGAGTTCAGAAGTAAGGATGATTTTGGCTGGGTCTTAATTCCCATGCTGCTGGGACCAGAGAGAAGAAAGGATATGCTTCATGGAGGTTCAGAATTGCATTCCCTTCTGACCCACCAACTACTGCCTGCACGATAGCTGTTAACAAGAGGAAGCATTTGCAGGATGTCAAGGAAATGAGTCAACATTTAGGGCACATGGTATGTTGAGGGAAAGTCCTTCAGAATCCATTTTCCTCAGGTGTCTATATGTTTAGGATGTGGCCCTTATTTCTTGATGTAAACTAGTGTTTTCTGCTGGGTGATTAAGGAAACAACTTTTTCAGGCTGTGTTTAAAATCAGTCAGAAACCTAGATGGGACTGCTTAAATTTGGTAAGTTAGTACCATTAAGTTGGGTTTTTGTTTTGTTTTGTTTTGTTTTTGAGACAAAGTCTAGCTCTGTCAGCAGTGGCGCAATCTCGGCTCAGTGCAAGCTCCACCTCCCAGGGTCACGCCATTCTCCTGCCTCAGCCTCCCGAGTAGCTGGGACTACGGGCACCCGCCAACGTGCCCAGCTAATGTTTTTGTGTTTTTAGTAGAGACGGGGGGTTTCACTGTGTTAGCCAGGATGGTCTCGATCTCCCGACCTTGTGATCTGCCCACCTCGGCCTCCCAAAGTGCTGGGATTACAGGCGTGAGCCACCGCGCCCGGCTAAGTTGGTTTTAAATAAGCTCTTAGGTTGTAGTTAGCCTTTTCTATTGCTCCAAGATTGGATTTTTTAGTTTTCATTTTATTTTATTATTTGTTTTTTGAGACGGAGCCTCGCTCTGTCGCCCAGGCTGGAGTGCAGTGGCGTGATCTCAGCGCACTGCAACCTCCACATCCTGGGTTCAAGAGATTCTCCTGCCTCAGCCTCCCGAGTAGCTGGGATTACAGGCGTGTGCCACCATGCCCGGCTAATTTTTGTATTTTTAGTAGAGACAGGGTTTCGCCATGTTGGCCAGGCTGGTCTCGAACTCCTGACCTCAGGTGATCTGCCCACCTTATCCTCTCAAAGTGCTGCGATTAGAGGCGTGAGCCACTGCACCCAATCCAAGATCAGAATTTTTATCTAACAGAAAAACAAAAAACAAAAATTCAGACTTGCACTAAAATGGTAGCAGGTTTGCCTTACTAATGGCCACTGAAGCTTGGTTTAATAACTTAGTAACGTTAAGTGCTAGATAAACTGGATGTTGGGTTGTTGTTTAGCACTTATCAGCACAGCGTTAGACACTGATATTAGCAGGCCTGGCGCGGTGGCTCACGTCTATAATCCCAACACTTTGGGAGGCCGAGGCGGGTGGATCACCTGAGATCAGGAGTTCTAGACCAGCCTGATCAACATGGTGAAACCGGGTCTCTACTAAAAATACAAAAATAATTAGCCGGGCATGGTGGCGGGCACCTCTAATCCCAGTTACTCTGGAGGCTGAGGCAGGAGAATTGCTTGAACCGGGGAGGCGGAGGTTGCAGTGGGCCGAGATGGCGCCGTTGCACTTCAGCCTGGGCAACAAGAGCAAAGTTCCATCTCAAAAGAAAAAAAAAAAAAGGAAGAAAGTCCATAAACCCCACCCATGTTCAAGGGGAGGGGCATCTCACATTGGCCGGGCACGGTGGCTCACGCCTGTAATCCCAGCACTTTGGGAGGCCGAGGCGGGCGGATTACCTGAGGTCAGGAGTTCGAGACCAGCCTGACTAACATGGAGAAACCCCATCTCTACTAAAAATACAAAATTAGCCGGGTGTGGTGGTGCATGCCTGCAATCCCAGCTACTCGGGAGGCTGAAGCAGGAGAATCGCTTGAACCCGGGAGGCGGAGGTTGCAGTGAGCCATTGCACTCCAGCCTGGGCAATGAGAGCGAAACTCTGTCTCAAAAAAAGAAAAAAAGAAAAAAAAAGAAATGGCTACAGGATGTCCCTCTCATTCTGTGTTTTTGTCTCTAGAAAAGGATGATAAAGTAACCAAGAGTGACACTTATATTATCAGGTGCTTTTGAGGAGTAATAATTTATCAATATGCAATCCACATTTAGGCTTTTAACTGCTGTTCCGCTATGCTGAAGTGCAATGGGCAATACTCATCACAAAAGCAGCTTAGAGCTGTAAACAAAAAAGAGGAATTACTTTTAGGGAAGCTGGTTTAACTGTACAAATTTAAAGTCAAGAATTAACTTAAGATTTAAGGCTAGAACTAAAAGAAAGCATATATAACGTCATACCTGAATCTCCTACTAAATTCTGAAGTTTGGCATTAGGTTGGTTTGAAAACAGTTGTTAAAACGTGGCCTTCTGGCCTGGCGCAGTGGCTCACGCCTGTGATTCCAACACTTTGGGAGGCCGAGGCAGGCGGATCACTGGAAGTCAGGAGATTGTAACCAGCCTGGCCAACATGGTGAAACCCCATCTCTACTAAAAAATACAAAAATTAGCCGGGCATGGTGGCAGGCACCTGTAATCCCAGCTACTTGGGAGGCTGAGGCAGGAGAATCGCTTGAACCCGGGAGGTGGAAGTTGCAATGAGCCAAGATCACGCCATTGCACTCCAGCCTGGGCAACAAGAGCAAAACTCCATCTCAAAAACAAAACAAAACAAAACAAAACAAAAACTTGGCCTTCTAAATTTGACTAGTGAATGGGGGAAAAGTCAAGTAAGGTTTGTTTGTTTTTTTATTCCGAATTTGTTTACAGATGTACCGTAGCTGAAATACAGTGTTACATTTTGTGTCTAGATTAAAAGAAAATACAGTTGCCTAAAATAATATCCCATATTTTAAATTATGCTGTACATCAATTGCAGTAGTTTTTTTCACCCCACAGTAGTTCTTTGCAATGCGTTTAGCGTGAACTCCTGTTGAGGAGCAGCTTTTGTTACAAATTCGATGTGGGATTACAACTTTGAAAACTGAAATACGCCTTTTATTTTTTTGTAGCTCTGATTTGAACCTCATTTGAAAATAAGTACATTGAAGATTTATACTAACACATTTCCAGTGGCTGAGATCAAGTGTTATAACCACTACTTTGAATGAAAAGAAAATGTGCTAATGTGCTGTACAAAACACACGGGTCCCAGGAAGAAAATAAAATAGCAGCCCATATTTTCAAGTGATAGCAGGTTGTACCCTGACTCAGCACCAATCCATCCAAATCCTTTAGCAGCTTTAAAATGTGGATGTCAGCCGGGCGCGGTGGCTCACGCCTGTAATCCCAGCACTTTGGGAGGCTGAGGCGGGTGGATCACCTGAGGTCGGGAGTTCGAGACCAGCCTGACCAACATGGAGAAACCCCGTGTCTACTAAAAATACAAAAAATTAGCCGGGCATGGTGGCGCATTCCTGTAATCCCAGCTACTTGGCAGGCTGAGGCAGGAGAATTGCTTGAACCTGGGAGGCGGAGGTTGCAGTGAGCTGAGATCGCGCCCTCGCTCTCCAGCCTGGGCAACAAGAGCGAAACTCCATCTCAAAAAAAAAAAAAAAAAAAATGTGGATGTCGCAGGCCCCAGTGGTGACTTCGGTACAGCACCAAACAAGAAGTGGGCGTGTGAGCTCTGTGTTCTGGCCCAGAGGGGCAATGCCTAGTTCTAAGAAAGCAGTCTGTGTACGGTTCTTCTCAAGTCTGGTCTCCACTCCAAATGTTTTCCTCCATTAGAAAATAAAAGCTTGTTTATTCATATGAAACCCTACCGTGGTGACTTTGATTAAAAATGCATCTCCTTTATAACTTTCGCAAATGGGCTGAATTTAGACTGTGCCTACTTGTAGCCACTTGTCAAGTCTCCAAGACAGGAATTTTTCTCATCTGCATTTCAAAAACTCTTGTCTTTGTTACAATAAACTTTCTCTTCATCAGAAGTTAATTTTAGGCCGGGTGTGGTGGCTCAGGCCTGGAATCTCAGTACTTTGGAAGGCCAAGGTGGGCGGGTCACCTGAGGTCAAGAGTTCGAGACCAGCCTGGCCAACATGGTAAAACTCTGTCTCTACTAAAAATACAAAAATTAGCCAGGCGTGGTGGCATGCACTTGTAATCCCAGCTACTTAAGAGGCCGAGGCAGGAGAATCACTTGAACCCGGAAGGCAGAGGCTGCAGTGAGCTAAGATCATGCCACTGCACTCCAGCCTGGGTGACAGAGACTCCGTCTCAAAAAAAAAAAAAAAAAAACTTAATTGTGCTGTCATAATCACTCAGGAATAATAATGCTGCAAAGATGTTATGGGACTGAAGAAACAATGTAAAGAAAGGAGGTGGCCGGGCGCGGTGGCTCACGCCTGTAATCCCAGCACTTTGGGAGGCTGAGGCGGGCAGATCACAAGGTCAGGAGATCTAGACCATCCTTGCTAACACGGTGAAACTCCGTCTCTACTAAAAATACAAAAAATTAGCCGAGCGTGGTGGCGGGCACCTGTAGTCCTAGCTACATGGGAGGCTGAAGCAGGAGAATGGCGTGAACCCGGGAGGCGGAGCTTGCAGTGAGCCAAGATCACGCCACTGCACTCCAGCCTGGGCGACAGAGCGAGACTCCGTCTCAAAAAAAAAAAAAAAAAGGAGGTGAGGGTGGCCATCACAACTGAGGCACAGGTTCTACACGTGTGAAGTACACTTTGCCTTAAATTGTGTTCTCTCCCAGTTGCTCTCTTGATTTGAATATGGGTGATTGAGTCCAACTTGACCTCTGGAAAACTCATCACTCCAGGTGCACAATCATTAATCAGGTCTAAAGTAAATAGTTTGGAGAAATCCTAGTGTCAGGCATATCCTTGCTGGGGTTTTCTGGATGTACTCAGTGTCTTTTTTATAAGAAAAGCCAGCTTTCTTACAGACCGTTGATGCAACTCTCACGTTCAAAAAAAAAAAAAAGGAGGGGGGCGGGGGGCGGATGCTGTGGCTTACACCTGTAATCCCAGCACTTTGGGAGGCCGAGCGGGGGGCGGGGGGGGGGGGGTGGATCACCTGAGGTCAGGAGTTCGAGACCAACCTGTCCAACATAGCGAAACCCCGTCTCTACTAAAAAATATAAAAATTAGCTGGGCGTGGTGGCGGGTGCCTGTAGTCCCAGCTACTCAGGAGGCTGAGGCAGGAGAATCACTTGAACCTGGGACGTGGAGGTTGCAGTGAGCCGAGATCGCACCACTGCACTCCAGCCTGGGTGACAGCGAGACTGTCTTGTGGAAAAAAAAAAAAAAGTCAACCAATAAAATCTGTTAGCTTAGAATTAAAATGGAAAAATTGGTAAGTTTAGGATTGCATCGTTACCTGGATAGGTGGATGCAACCCAAAGTGGTTGGTTGGTGTTGTTGGCTTTTCAGTTGCTTCCTTGTATTTACCGTTTTCTTTTCTTTTCTTTTCTTTCTTTCTTTTTTTTTTTTTTTTTTTTTTGAGACAGAGTTTCACTCTTGTTGCCCAAGCTGGAGTGCAATGGCGTGACTTTGACTCACTGCAACCTCTGCCTCCCAGGTTCAAGCGATTCTCCTGCCTCAGCCTCCTGAGTAGCTGGGATTACAGGCATGCGCCACCATGCCCAGCTAATATTTGTATTTTTAGTAGAGACGGGGTTTCATCACGTTGGTCAGGCTGGTCTCGAACTCCCGACCTCAGGTGATCCGCCCGCCTCGGCCTCCCAAAGTGCTGGGATTATAGGCGTGAGCCACCGCGCCCAGCCAATATTTACTCTTTTCTTTAATATTTTATACATTCAGATTTTGAACATATACACATTCAAGGAATATTATCTTGCCCAACTCTGGTTACTTTTCTTTGTATTTTGTTTGAATTAATTTTCATTGAAAATGACTGGATTCTTTGCTGTTGCAGTGCTCCTGTACACTTGAACTTGGTTTCCTTTTCCTCATGGTACTAAGTCAAAGATAGCAAGGGCTGCAGTGGCCCTTAAGAAAGGACTGGAGGCCAGGCGCGGTGGCTCACGCCTGTAATCTCAGCACTTTGAGAGGCCGAGGCAGGTGGATCACCTGAGGTCAGGAGTTCGAGACCAGCCTGGCCAACATGGTGAAACCCTGTCTCTACTAAAAAAAAAAAAAAGGTTTTTGCGAAACTTTAAAAATACAGAGAAATGGCTGGGCTCAGTGGCTCACGCCTGTAATCCCAGCACTGTAGGAGGCTGAGGTGGGCGGATCACGAGGTCAGGAGTTCGAGACCAGCCTGGCCAACATGGCAAAAATCCGTCTCTACTAAAAATACAAAAATTAGTCGGGCATGGTAGCATATGCCTGTAATCCCAGCTATTTGGGAGGCTGGGCAAGCTAATGGCTTCAACCCAGGAGGCAGAGGTTGCACTGAACCGAGATCCAGCCACTGCACTCCAGCCTGGGCGACATTTCCCCCATCCTCCATTCCATTCCCTTCCCCTACACCAGAAGCAAGCACCATCATGATTCAATGTGTATCCTTCAAGCACAGTTTTTAATGGTGCCCAGCTTTGCTGACAGATGGCCCATTCAGGATGCCACATCAACCCTAAGATAGGGACTTCACAGGGAAAACTGGAAGTGGCGTTTCTCCAGCAAAGGACCAAGAGGATCTTACTTAGTGAATTCCAAAACAAAGAAAATAATCTGCTGCTAACATCAGGAATACTGCTAACATCGTGTGAGCAAAATGGCTGTAACAGAGTATATCCTAGACAAAGGTGTCAGAGTCCAAAAGGAATTGACAATGTTTCTTCAGAAGTGGTCATGAGGCCCTGAGTTGGAA
Organism: Homo sapiens; assembly: GCF_000001405.40. NCBI lineage: Eukaryota > Metazoa > Chordata > Mammalia > Primates > Hominidae > Homo > Homo sapiens. Next base: position 41,245,324 of record NC_000023.11, read on the forward strand.
ATGGGGTCTCCATGCACGTGGGATATGACATGGCTGCCTCCCCCAAATTTGTGGAAATAAGATTTCTAGTCATGATAAGTTTTTCTCACCTATGGTTTGAGTCGTATGAGCAAGAAAAGGATGGTTTTTGTGTCTGTTAAGTTTTCCTTTTAGAAAAGTACTGAGGCCCAACTTTGTGTAGAGCCTTGCCTTGTAGGGGACTTTGATTCTGCCCAAGACAATTCCTCCAGCTTTAAGCTTGGCATCCCAGCAGCCCAACTTTACCATCTTCCCTGAGCAAATAATGACAAATGAAATAGCACTTTAAGCCATCTGTTCAAGTTGGTGCATTTTGCCTCTGGTGTTTATAAACCTGCTCCAATAAAAAGCAAAAACAAAGCCCAGAGTTTAGCAAAAAGCATGGTTGGGTGAGCAGCCAAAAGCAATTTCCATCTCAGAAAGAAACACAATTTTATTTTTATCCAAGATGTTTTGGTAATGTGCGGTTTGCTTCAGAACAACAAATGTGGCGTGTCCTGGTATCTTGAAGCATCTCTCCTTATTTGAAGAAAAGCAAAGAAATGGGAGGAATGTGGGGAGGATCATAACTTACTTTGTGGTTGTGTGTTTATGTGTAAGCTTGGCTTTGTTGCTGAAATTAGCAATAAGAATCTTCTGGAACATCTGCCTATCTAGTTCATCAAATGATTCTTCATAATGCTTGGGGGTGATTTTCAGGGCTGACCAATGGCGGTTAGCTTTACTTTTTGTTTGCTTTGGGGAGTTTCAATAGGGATTTTTTTCTAATGATTTGCTAAATGATATCACAAGGTAGCATTATTTTGTCTTGTCTACGGAATATCACTACAAAAAGATTGGAGTATTTAGTTCTCAGCAGCAGTAGGATAGCCCTAATCCCCATAACCCTATGAGGTACGTGAAATATCCTTATCTTACTGAAGAAATTTCATCTCAATGGGCTTAAATTTAATAACTTGTCTGGGGTGGCTCAGCAGGACAAAAGATAAACAGGAAATTATTTTCTTTTTTTTCTTTTTTCTTTTTTTTTTTTGAGACAGAGGCTTGCTCTATTGCCCAGGCTGGAGTGCAGTGGTGCGATCTCGGCTCACTGCAACCTCCGCTTCCTGGGTTCAAGCAATTCTCCTGCCTCAGCCTCCCGAGCTAGGATTACAGGCATTCGCCACCATGCCCGGCTAATTTTTGTATTTTTAGTAGAGACAGGGTTTCGCCATGTTGGCCAGGCTGGTCTTGAATTCCTGACCTCAGGTGATCTGCCCGCCTCGGCTTCTCAAAGTGCTGGGATTACAGGCGTGAGCCACCGTGCCCGGCCTTAAATCATTTTTTAACAATGAAAATCCATTTTAGAATTAAGGTCTGGCAGACAGTTCTGTTTAGTCTTGTTATGGTAAGGAACACTCTTGCCTGAAACTGCAAGCACTAAGGAAGTGAATCGTGAAGTCTCTGTACCCTATGTTTGTTCCTCCTCTGCTATTTGACATCTTGCTAACTCCACTGGTTCTGTTAAGTCCTTCCGCGCCAGGAACAATATCATAGTGGTAACTCAATTAGTACTTTCTCAGGGATTTGAACCTAGGGCGTTTGACTCCAGAATGCAAACTCTGGTGCCTCAGGATCGAATGGATCAAATTCTTTGTATCATAGCTTTGGTCACCTAGGGCCAATGTGAATGATTTACTCAAGAGATATTTCAACCACACAATAATTTGAGTTCTGATCTCTATGTATTAATAAAAGTCCACCTGATAACACATAAGCACTTGTTTTTGTATTTTTTTTTATTTTTTATTTTTTGAGACAGAGTCTTACTCTGTTGCCTAGGCAGGAGTGCAGCGGCACGATCTCAGCTCACTGCAACCTCCACCTCCTGGGTTCAAGTGATTCTTCTGCCTCAGCCTCCTAAGTAGCTGGGATTACAGGTGAGTGCTAGCACGCCGGGCTAATTTTTGTACTTTTAGTAGAGACGGGGTTTCTCCATGTTGGCCAGGCTGGTCTTGAGCTCCTGACCTCAGGTGATCCACCCGCCTCGGCCTCTCAAAGTGCTGGGATTACAGGCGTGAACCACCGCACCCAGCCACTTTTTGTAATATTTTTTAAAAGCCTCCAAAATGAGTGATTTCCAGCAGGCTTGCTCTGGGCTTCCTTAAGGACCTCTGAGGAAGCCCTTGCTACCTGGAGACAGCAGCTGTTTTGAGACTGGCCTTTGTAGCCAAACCTTAGAAACCTTCTGAGTTCTGACTGAAATGTACAATTTGCCATGTATTAACGACTAGCAGAATTCTTTTTTTTTTTTTGAGACGGAGTCTCACTCTGTCGCCCAGGCTGGAGTGCAGTGGCACAATCTCGGGCTCACTGCAACCTCTGCCTCCCGGGTCCAAGTGATTCTCCTGCCTCAGCCTCCCGAGTAGCTGGGGTTACAGGCGCATGCCACCACACCCGGCTAATTTTTCATATTTTTAGTAGATATGGGGTTTCACCGTGTTAGCCAGGATGGTCTCGATCTCCTGACCTCGTGATCCGCCCGCCTCGGCCTCCCAAAGTGCTGGGATTACAGGCATGAGCCACCGCGCCCGGCGACTTGCAGAATTCTTAATAACTTGGTTTCCTGTATTGGATTAAAATAAGTCTACGTGGTTGATCAAAGGGAGAGGAATGAAACATACTTTCAATAAATGGTTTTGTGCCATTCCATTTATCTATATCTTCAGCCTGTTAACTGTTAGGCTGAAAAATTAGAAAGCTGCCTCTATATAACGAATTCTCAACTATGCCAGATATTAACATCTTAGTAACTGGAAAGTGGCACTGCTTTCTCATTAGCATAAATCTACTTGATTGCACAGACATTCTACCCTGGAAGAAAATACATGTCCTGCCCCCACTCCCATGGGATTCAAAGCTATTTTCACCTGGAAAGAAAATAAATGCAGCCCGTAAGCATATTTTTCCCTAAATTGGCTCTTGTGGGGGAAAATTAAGTTTGCTCACCATTAATATAGAAACTTCTAGAAGGTACAAGAGGTTCTGATTTGAGCAGTATGGTTTCTCATTAGCCAAAGACCCCATAGATGCCTATGAAGAAAACTGGGAAGAATAATTGAAGAAGAAAACAAAATAACCAGATGGGATGCTCCCAGGGGTCCCTGGAGGAGGCACTTTGGAAGTGGTTTCTAAACACTGGGTTGGTCCCCAGACCTCATAATCCTTGAGGATTTTGTCTGGTCAAAATGATGCAGAAGGAGAGATTGAGACAACAGAGTAAGATTTTCATAAGACTGAATTTGCTCTATTTAAACAACTATCCTATGAGATTATATACCTTTGGATCTTTTTAAAAGAATTTTTTACAGAGATGGGGTCTCACTATATTGGCCAGGCTAGTCTCGAACTCCTGGCCTCAAGTGATCTGCCCACCTCCACCTCCCAAAGTGCTGGGATTACAGACGTAAGCCACCACGCCTGGCCTCCTTGGACTCTTTTGAAATTCAAATGTCTTTCCTTATATGAAATGACGGTGATAGTTGTGGTTTGTTTGTTTGTTTGTTTGTTTTGAGACAGAGTCTCCCTCTGTTGCCCAGGCTGGAGTGCAGCAGCGAGATCTTGGCTCACTGCAACCTCTGCCTCCCAGGTTCAAGCGATTCTCCTGCCTCAGCCTCCCGAGCAGCTGGGATTGCAGGCGCGTGCCACCACACCTGGCTAATTTTTGTATTTTTAGTAGAGACAGGGTTTCACCATGTTGGTCAGGCTGGTCTCGAACTCCTGACCTGGTGATCTGCCCGCCTTGGCATCCCCAAGTGCTGGGATTACAGGCGTGAGCCACCGCGCCCGGCCTGTTTGTTTTTTAATTCCCTAACTTGGCACAACAAAAAGTTGGCAAACCAAATTGGTTCCTTTTTTTGTTTGTTTCTTTGTTTTTGATTTTGATTCAGCGTCTCACTCTGTTGCACAGGCTGCAGTGCAGTGGCGCAATCTCAGCTCACTGCAACCTCTGCCTCCCGGGTTCAAGCCATTCTCCTGTCTCAGCCTCCCAAGGAGTAGCAGGGACTACAGGCACATGCCACCACACCCAGCTAATTTTTGTATTTTTAGTAGAGATGGGGTTTCTCCATGTTGGTCAGGCTGGTCTCGAACTCCTGACCTCAGGTGATCCACCCACCTTGGTCTCCCAAAGTGCTAGGATTACAGGCATGAGCCACCGCGCCGGGCCAGGTCCTGTTTTTTGAAAAAGTGTATCAGTTTGTGAAATTTGAGATATCTGAGAGCAGCTCATCTATGGCATCTCAGTAAATGTTGGATTCCAAATGAGGCAAGCTGGAATGGGGCCCCTAGTGTTCACTGACACAGCAAACGTAGGGTCAGCAAACGACAGGGTGGAGCAGAGAGGACAGACATGTGTTTATTTTCTGTAGCTAAAGGACTTGACAAGTCAAAGAATCCCTGGCCATTAAAATCCAAGGAGTAAATATACCAACTCATGTACCTTACACTGATACAAGCTGTTCACTGATCTGAGTGCCCAGGGAGGGTTCATTCCCTGCATGTGGATTTGGGGAGAGATTCTCTTCTCCTCAGGGCCCAGGGACTGCCTTTTCCAGAACTGGCCATCACAATTTGCCCATCTCTCTTGGCAAAGAAGGACCTCCTTGGTCTGCTTGTCCAGGCAGGGCCTCCACAGACACTCCCCTGCCCTCACATGGTCTCCCCTCCTCTTGCTTCCTGCCCTGGCCTGGGTAGACTGGCCGTGCTGGGAGGAAAGGTGGCCCCTCATCATCTCCCCTACCCACTGTCCTGGGCCGTGGCCTCCATGTCCCACACTGTCCCACCCTCCACTCAATTGTCATGGCAAGAGAGTAAGTGAGGATGAAAATATGCAAAATTGGCCGGGCGTGGTGGCTCAGGCCTATAATCCCAGCACTTTGGGAGGCCGAGGCAGGTGGATCACTTGAGGTCAGGAGTTCGAGACCAGCCTGGCCAACATGGTGAAATCCTGTCTCTACTAAAAATACAAAAATTAGCCGGGCATGGTGGTGGCCGCTTGTAATCCCAGCTACTCGGGAGGCTGAAGCAGGAGAATCGCTTGAACCCGGGAGGTGGAGGTTGCAGTGAGCCAAGATTGCGCCACTGTACTTCAGCCTGGGAGACAGAGTAAAACTCTGTCTCAAAAGAAAAAAAAAAAAGAAAATATGCAGGATCACATTTGCTTCCCCACGCCCTTCCACTGCCCAGCATTTCCTACTGTCTTTGCCTTGTCCATCCTCTCATCATGGCGGCAGCCAGGCCAGTCTTGTTCTTTGCCTTGGGGATGTATTAGCAGAAAGTAGAGGAAAAGGGGCTGCTTCTAGCATCCAAGTTTTAAAGGGCCTGGCCCCTGAGAGGCAACAAAATAACTCCAAGTGGACCCTTGATTTGAGGCAACACCTGGTGAGTCCGGGCATGTGGACCCTTTTCTGGTGCAGGCACGTGGACCATCTCTCTTGGACCAGAAAAAGGTCCATGTGCCCAGACTCACAAGGGAGTAAAAGGGTGAGGGAAGGTATGCAGGCCCAGAACAACTGCTCACAGCCCAGCTGGCAGAGGGTGCTAGACCCAGAGGGGCCTGCAGATGAGGGCCAGACACAGCTGCAAAGGCGCGCGTGCGTCCTTCACAGTTGCCAACAGGTGGAAACAGCCCAGGCATCCATGAACAGATGAACGGGTAAACAGAATGGGGCCTATCCATACAATGGAATATGACTCAGCAATGAAAAGGAAGGAAGCGCTGACGCGTGCTGCAACATGGATGAACTTTGAAAACAGGCTGAGTGAAAGAAGCCAGATACAGGAGGCCATGGTCGCACGATTCTATTGATATAAAACATCCAGAATAGGCAAATCCATAGAGATGGAAAGCAGATTAGTGGCTGCCAGGGGCTGAGAGAGGGGAGAAGGGGAAGTGACTGCTAATGGGCAGGGGTTTCTTTTTTTTTGGAGAAAGGAAAATGTTCTGGAACTAGATAGTGATGATAGTTGCACAAGATTATGAATGCACTAAATGCTACAAATTGCACACCTTAAAATGGTTACAATGGTAAATTTTATGGTATGTATATTTTACCACAATAAAAAAAACTTTTGGCCGGTGAGCTGGCTCACACCTGTAATCCCAGCACTTTCCGAGGCCGAGGTGGGTGGATTGCTTGAGGTCAGGAGTTCGAGACCAGCTTGGCCAACATGGCGAAACCCCATCTCTACTAAAAATACAAAAACTTAGCCGAGTGTGGTGGCGTGTGCCTGTAGTCCCAGTTACTCAGGAGGCTGAGGCAGGAGAATCACTAGAGCCCGGGAGGCAGAGGTTGTAGTGAGCCGAGATGGCACCACTTCACTCCAGCCTGGGCAACAGAGCAAGACTCCATCTCAAAAAAAAGAAAGAAAGAAAGAAAAAACTTTTAATGGTGAACATGGTTAATTATATATGTATTTTACCACAATAAATTAAAAAAAAATTTTTTTTTTGAGACAGGATCTCGTTCTGTCACCCAGGCTGGAGTGCAGTGGTAGTGCAATCTCAGTTCATTGCAACCTCTGCCCCTGGGCCTCAAGCAATCCTCCCATCTCAGCCTCCCGAGTAGCTGGGATTACAGATGTGCGCCACTATGCCCTGCTAAATTTTTTTGTATTTTTTGTAGAGACAGGGTTTTACCATGTTGCCCAGGCTGGTCTCAATCTCCTGAGCTCAAGCAATCTGATTCGCCTGCCTTGGCTTCCCAAAGTGCTGGGATCATAAGTGTGTACAATTAAATTATTATTGACTATAGTCACCCTGTTGTGCTATCAAATACTAGATCTTATTTATTCTGTAAATACTAGATGCTATTCTATTTTTTTGTACCCATTAACAATCCGCACCCACTCCCACTACCTTTCCCAGTCTCTGGCAAGCGTCCTACACTCTACACAATAAATTTTTAATTTAAAAAAAATTTATTTTTTATTTTTTGGTAGAGATAGGTTCTCTCTATGTTGCCCAGGCTGGTCTTGAATTCCTGGCTTCAAGCTATCCTCCTGCCTCAGCCTCCTAAAGTGCTGGGATTACATGCATGAGCCACTGAGCCCAGCCTCAATAAATGTTTTTGTTTGTTTGTTTGTTTGTTTTTTGAGATGGAGTCTCGCTCTGTTGCCCAGGCTGGAGTGCAGTGGTGCGATCTTGGCTCACTGCAACCTCCACCTCCCAGGTTCAAGTGATTCTCCTGCCTCAGCCTCTCAAGTAGCTGGGATTAAAGGCGCTGCCACCATGTCCGGCTAATCTTTGTATTTTTAGTAGAGATGGGATTTCACCATGTTGGCCAGGCTGGTCTCGAACTTCTGACCTCAAGTGATCCACCTGCCTTGGCCTCCCAAAGTGCTGGGATTACAGGCATGAGCCACCACGCCCAGCCGCCTCAAATTTTTAAAAAAACATGTGCCTTCCCCTGCACGTTGCTCCAGGGACGTGCACACACACCCTCTGCCTGGCACACCACAGCTGACAAGGGCTGACAATAGTCAATTTCATCAGAGTGCTTTTCTCACCTAGATCCTTCCTTTCTGCCTCCTCACCACACCCCTTTACCCACAAACAGTGGGAGGGGAGCCCTGGACACTCTCAGCTTCCTCCTGCCCCTGAGTTCCAGCGATCAAAGATAAAATTGAAAACATTAGCTATGCCCACTGCTCCCTGGTGGAAGGCAGCCACCTTCTGAGGAGGTCCCATGGGAGAGTGAGTCCCCTCCCCGTGCATAACCCGACCCCCAAATTGGGGGCTCTTCAGACCTCATCAGATCCTGCACAGGCCCCCCAGGATAGGTGCTTGGGGTGCAGCAGCTGGCCAAGGCGCTGTGCCTTGTTGTCTAGGTGGTGTGCCCACCCGGGCTCCCGGTCCCGCCTGGTCACAAGCATCCCCGCGTCAGCTGATGAACACCCCTGTCCAGCAGGTGCCAGACACCCGAAATCAAGAGGAGTGTCCTGTGCTCCAGGAGCCTGAGAGGTGGCAAAGTCCCCGGGGGGAGGCGTGATGGTAGGGAAGGCTTCTGACATACCTCTGCAGGGGCCAGGGCCCTGAGTCCCGGGTCCCCATGGTGTGTTTCTGTGTGAAGTCAGTGGCACTGCCAGCGCCGTGGTCATATTACCTAGGCCACAGCTGCCAGGCCTGCAAGCTCTTTCCTACTTCCCTTAGGTGCCCAGACCCAAAGTCAAGAGGACCTTGACCCGTGGGGGTCGTGGGGAATGAAAACCGTCCTGCGAACTTGAACTTCACTAGGGAGGCGGCGCTCTCTCTGCCCCGGTTCTATCACGCGCATCCGTTAGGAACTAAGCGGCACCTGCGCGAGGCTAGGCTTGTTGACATATTTCTTGCTGGCGGCGTCCTCTCGCGTGGAGCACGACTGCGCAAAGCGCCGACAGTCCCCCGAGCGAGGACGGCAGCGAGACTCCGAAGCCCCCTTAGCAACCAAGCCGGTGCCGCTGCCCTTGCGCCGGGACTGCAGCCGGGTCTTCCGAAGTGAGGATATGCTGCCCTCTAGAGGCCGCGGGGTGACATGGCCCATGAGGCTGTCTGGGCAGGGTGGGTTCGGGTGGGAGGAACCAAGGTGGACAAGCCTCGAAGTAAGAGATCTGTTCAAGGTCACAGGGAGTCGGGACTCATGCGGAGGCACAGATCCAAGCTCTCTGTACTGGGCCCTTTGGTATTCTGTTGGCTCCTATTTTTTTGTTTGTTTGTTTTTTGTTTTTTGTTTTAGATGGAATCTCTGTAGCCCAGGCTGGAGGGCAGTGGCGCGATCTCGGCTCACCACAACCTCCACTGCTGGGATCAAGCGATTCTCCTGCCTCAGCCTCCCGAGTAGCGGGGATTACAGGCGTGCGCCACCATGCTGGCTAAATTTTGTATTTCTTAGCTTTTTTTAAGCTTTTTTTTTTTTTTTTTTTGAGATGGGGTTTCGCTCTTGTTGCCTAGGCTAAAGTGCAGTGGCGTGATCTTGGCTCACTGCGACCTCCACCTCCAGGGTTCAAGAGATTCTCCTGCCTCAGCCTCCCGAGTAGCTGGGATTACAGGCGCGTGCCACCATGCCTGGCTAATTTTTTGTAGTTTTACTAGAGATGGGGTTTCACCATGTTTGGTAGAGATGGGGTTTCACCATGGTCTCAAACTCCTGACCTCAGGTGATCTGCCCACCTCGGCTTTCCAAAGTGTTGGGATTACAGGCATGAGCCACCGTGCCCTGCTGCCCCTGTTATTTATTTATTTATTTATTTATTTATTTTTAGATGGGATTTCACTCCTGTTGCCCAGGCTGGAGTACAATGGTGCGATCTCAGCTCACCGCAACCTCTGCCTCCTGGGTTCAAGCGACTCTCCTGCCTCAGCCTCCCGAGTAGCTGGGATTACAGGCACGTGCCACCACATCCGGCTAATTTTGTATTTTTAGTAGAGACGGGGTTTCATCATGTTGGTCAGGCTGGTCTCAAACTCCCAACCTCAGGTGATCCACCCGCTTCAGCCTCCCAAAGTGCTGGGATTACAGGCGTGACGACCGTGCCTGGCCCTGCCCCCTTTTTTTAAAAAGAAAACAATCCGGCTGAGCGCTGTGGCTCATGCCTGTAATCCCAGCACTTTGGGAGGCCGAGGCGGGCAGATCACCCGAGGTCGGGAGTTCGAGACCAGCCTGATTAACATGGAGAAAGCCCGTCTCTACTAAAAAATACAAAAATTAGCCGGGCGTGGTGGTGCATGCCTGTAATCCCAGCTACTCGGAGGCTGAGGCAGGAGAATCGCTTGAACCCGGGAGGCAGAGGTTGCGGCGAGCCGAGATCGTGCCATTGCGCTCCAGCCTGGGCAACAAGAGCGAACCTCTGTCTCAAAAAAAAAAAAAAAAAAAAAAAAAATCTCATTTCTGTAATCCCAGCACTTTGGGAGGCTGAGGTGGGCGGATCACTTGAAGCCAGGAGTTTGAGACCAGCCTAGCCAACATGGTAAAACCGGTCTCTATTAAAAATACAAACTTAGCCAGGTGCGGTGGCGAGTGCCTGTAATCCCAGGTACTTGGGAGCCTGAGGCAGAAGAATCCCTTGAGCCCAGGAGGCGGGGGCTGCAATGAGCCAAGATCATGCCACTGCCCTCCAGCCTGGGCAACAGAGTGAGACTCTCTCAAAAAACAAACAAAAAACCCTCTCACACACTCATACATACACAGAACTCATGAAGCTTAACCCTCAGAGCCCCTCATTTGCAGAAGACTCTTCGGGGCCTTTAAAATGGGATACGTTTCACATAGAGTTTTCACATATGTTTTCACATATAGTTTTCACATATGTTTTCACATATAGTTTTCACATATAGTTTTCACATATGTTTTCACATATAGTTATTATTGGCCATCCTGGGGTAGGAATGACTTCCAGGAATGATTTGACCTGCCCACCTGGCCTCATGATACTATGCACTATAGCAGCTGGGACTGGGCTGGTGGAGGAGCAGCAAGGTTTGGAATGTACAGAGCCAGACGTTAATCCATGGAAAATTCTTCCAACCATCAAACATGAAAACTTGTAAGCAGATCAAAATGAAAGTTTTTCCTCTTAAGAATATAATCAGGCTATGCGTGGTGGCTTACGCGTGTAATCCCAGCACTTTGGGAGGATGAGGCAGGAGGATCTCTTGAGCTTAGGAGTTTGAGACCAGCCTGGGCAATGTAGGAAGACCCTATCCCTAAAAAAAAAAATTAAAAAATCAGCCAGGTGTGGCGGCGCATACCTGTAGTCCTGGCTACTGGGGAGGCTGAGGTGGGAGGATCACTTGAGCCCAGGAAGTCAAGTCTGCAGTGAGCCATGATTGCACCACTGCACTCCAACCTGGGTGACAGAGTGAGTGAGACCCAGTCTCAAAGAAGAAGAAGAAGAAAAAAAGAAAAAAAAAAATATATATATATTCAATAATGCAGTAATATAATTGCAAACTCACTATATGATGAAAATATTTTTCAAATATTTCTATATATAACCTATAGAAACTATTCTGACATCTGAGAAGTAAATTGTACCAAAATATTTTTTCAGATCATACCAAAAGAGGAAGAGATAAATTTTGAATAGAGGTAATATATGGGCTCTTAGATTATTAAATAATCTACTTAATAAAATAAGTGAAATACATGAACACAGCAGGAAAACATTTACATTTTGTGCAGATTTGACTAAAATACTGTCATTGATAAAGATAACATAAATCTCATAATAGACTAGACCTCTACAGCAAGAATTGGAGGTCAAATTGGTCCATGAGTATTGCCAATTTAGAGTATTTAAGGTTAGTTCCTGAACATGAAACCTTGATATACCCTGAAAACTTACCGCTTTTATATGAAAGAAACTTGATAGAGGTTTTCCCAAATTTGACAACAATCCTAAAAATGTGCACAGAATTATTAATTATGAAAATGTAAAGCTGACATTTTTCTAAACTATCAGTAATGAAAACCAAATTTCTATCAACCATGTTAGAACAAAAACTGAACGATCTAACTATCTTTATTTATTTATTTATTTTTTTTTTTTGAGACGGAGTCTGGCTCCGTCACCCAGGCTGGAGGGCAGTGGCACTGTCTCAGCTCACTGCAACCTCCGCCTCCTGGATTCAAGCGATTCTCCTGCCTCAGCCTCCCGAGTAGCTGGGACTACAGATATGCGCCACCTCCTATGCCCGGCTAATTTTCGTATTATTAGTAGAGATGGGGTTTCACCATGTTGGCTAGGCTGGTCTCAAACTCCTGACCTCAGGTGATCCACCTGCCTCGGCCTCCCAAAGTGCTGGGATTACAGGCGTGAGCCACCACGCCCAGCCAAAAACTGAATTATCTTTCTATCCTCTCCCTAGAAAATATTATAAAGTTGCGGCCACACGAAAAGGTGATCAAAGAGTATGCAGTCAAAAATTACAGGGGGAAAAAGGGCCATTGAGGTTTGTTAAGCAGTTAACAAAACTTTGTTAGTTTTCTGAATTATATGAAATTTGAGGTATTTCTCAGCTTTGAAAACATTGTGAATTGCGTTTTCTTTCTAATTCTAAATAGGCATCCCTTTCCTACCTAATTTTGCATTCACATTTTGTGGTTTTTAAAACATTTTTATTAAAATTTTTTTTTTCTTTTAAATAAAGACGAAATCTTCCTATGTTGCCCAGGCTGGTCTTGAACTCCTGGGCTCAAGCAATCCTCCTGCCTCGGCCTCCCAAAGTGCTGAGATTACAGGCGTGAACCACTGTGCCTGGCCTGTGTTCTTTTTTTTAAAGGGCTTCCCAAAATTGTATAATCTTTAGGGACCACAAAACCTGGGTCCACCCCCATGCATGCATGCACACACGTGCACATGCATGATCGCACATGTGCATGCACCCCAATGCACACATGTACACATATTCCAGAAAATTCATAGAATCACCAAATTATCACAGATTTATTCAAAGCTTGCTCCAAAGAGAATTATTTTTGCTAATTAAGTTAACTTTACTAATTAAACTATTTTTCCCATTGGTTCCCCCAGTACCTTCTGTTCCTTTAGTGTCACCCCCCAAAAAATTGCAGAGGACCGCTTTGGGCCATTATCGCATAATTCTCTCAGACAGAAGGGGTGGTTTTCCTTCCTCTTTCGTCTGTCGGGTATTTTAAGATTGTCATCATCTGTTATGCGAAAAAAAAATCAAACTTTCATTTTTATGTTAATTTCCATGAGCTAAACGTTCATTTTGTTTTACTGACATTTATAGAAACAGGTTTTTTAGAAGTCTGTTACTCAAAGTTAAGTGGATGCAACCTGAAGAGGGGTACCTCGTCCCCTGAAATCTATGATAACATCCTCCTTGGTAGGGAGGCTCTGGTCCCATGATGGGATTTTTGCTGACCTAGAAGAAGAAATATAAGAGGCATACGGGTACGCCAGATGGTGAAAAATAGGTTTACAGCACCAAAATAGTGTTGTTTCTTCTTTATTAAAAACTAGGCTAGTATTGAATGCCAGAAGGCGCGAAATCCAGCACTGAGGAAGAATCTCCACATTTAGCATTCATCTTGGCACGCATGACAAGGCAGGGGACAGTGGGCGCCCCAGCCTGGTGGGGGGCATTGCTGCAGGCTGGCTTCTGCGGCACACAGGATCTGGGAGGTCCGAGGCTGGGAAGGCCAGCTTGGCCCCCGTTCCCCATCCCCACCACCATCAGACTGGAAGTCCGCAGCTCTGTACACTCTGACTCACCGCATCTCCTTCATACTAGATTCTAATGTCCAAGAACCAGGAAGGCTGGAACCTTGACCTCCAAGAAGTCCTAGCTTCTTCAGTGTCATTGTTGGTAACTGCCATCTTTAAAAGTTTCCCCCAGGCTGGACGCGGTGGCCCACGCCGGTAATCATGAGCCACCGCCAGATTGGGAGGCCGAGGTGGGCGGAACACTTGAGATCAGGAGTTTGAACCCCGTCTCTACTAAAAATACAAAAAATTAGCCGGGCGTGGTGGTGGACGCCTGTAATCCCAGCTACTCGGGAGGCCGAGGCAGGAGAATTGCTTGAACCCGGGAGGCAGAGGTTGCAGTGAGCGGAGATCGAGTCACTGCATTCCAGCCTGGGTGACAGAGCGAGACACCGTCTCGAAAAAATAAAATTTCCCTCAAACCATTAGCAACCAGTCTCCTTCGAGCTCTCCAATTGAGAAACTAGAATTCAAGAGGGTTAGGCTCTTCGCCAGCAAAATCCTTATCACCTGCGTCATCCCTCTCTGAGTCGGGTAGCTTTTGCTGCAAAACCGACCCCCACAAAGCTTAGGGCCTTAAAACACCAACATTTTGTTGTTGTTGTTGTTGAGACAGGGTCTTGCTCTGTCACCCAGGCTGGAGTGCAGTGGCACGATCACAGCTCCCTGAAGCCTTGACCTCCTGGGCTGAATCGATCCTCCCACCTCAGCCTCCTGAGTAGCTGGGACTACAGGCACACACCACCGCGCCCAGCTAATTTTTTAATTTTTTTGTAGAGACAGGGTCTCCCTATGTTGCCCAGGTTGGTCTTGAACTCCTGGGCTCAAGCGGTCCCCCCACCTCGGTCTTCCAAGTAGCTAGGACCACAGACATGGCCAGCTAATTTTTTGATTTTTTGTAGAGATGGGGTCTTACTGTGTTACCCAGGCTGGTCTTGAACTCCTGGGCTCAAGCGATCCTTCTGCCTCCGCCTCTCAAAGTGCTGGGATTATAGGCATGAAGCCAAAACACCAACTGTTGATTTAGCTTTTGCTGCTGCCGGCTGGCAATCTGGGCTGAGCTCAGCTGATACACATGGCTCCCACCTGCATCTGCCAGACTGGCTGCGGATGGGCTGGTCTGGAGTGACCTCAGCTGGTCGGATCGTCGTTCGTCTGCCTGGTCCTGCATCCCCAGCAGGCTAGCCCACGTTTGTTCATAGGGAGGCGGCGGGGTTCCAGGAGAGTGAACAGAAATCGCAGAAATGCTCAAGGTCTCTTGCCATTGAGGCCTGGAGCAGGCACAATGTGAAGTATTCAACCGGTCAAAGCAAGTCCCAAGGCCAGCCCAGGCTCAAGGCCTGCACCTCTTGATTCAAAGAGCTACCCTGCATTGAGAAGGAGTGGGGGCACAGGAAGGGTAATTATTGTAAATAATGCATTGTAAATATTGTATTTTTTCTTTAAAAAGATTTTTTTTTTTTGAGACGAAGTCTTTCTGTCACCAGGCTGGAGTGCAGTGGCACAATCTTGGCTCACTGCAACCTCCGCCTCCTGGCTTCAAGCAATTCTCCTGCCTCAGCCTCCTGAGTAGCTGGGACTACAGGCGCATGCCACCATGCCCAGCTAATTTTTGTATTTTTAGTAGAGATGGGGTTTTACCATGTTGGCCAGGATGGTCTCGATCTCTTGACCTCATGATCTAACCACCTCGGCCTCCCAAAGTGCTGGGATTACAGGTGTGAGCCACCATGCCCGGCCTTAAAAAGATTTTCTTGTGATAAAATATACATAAAATTTGCCATTGTAACCATTTTTATGTATACAGTTCAGTGGCGTTAAGTACATTTTTAATGCCACTGAACTGTATCTAGCACACGATCATGGTTCACTGCAGCTTCAACCTCCTGGACTCAAGCAAATCCTCCCACCTCAGCCTCCCAAGTAGCTGGGACTACAAGCTAACACCACCATTACCGACGAATTTTTGTATTTTTTGTAGAGACAAGGTCTCCCTATGTTGCCCAGGCTGGTCTCGAACTCCTTGGCTCAAGCAATCCTCCCACCTTAGCCTCCCAAAGTGCTGGGATTATAAGCATGAGCCACTGTGCTCAGCTGCGGATGAGTTCTTGTTCACCTTCCTACAAGGCGCCATGTTTTCATCCCTCTGGAACCTCCCCATGCCCCATCTTCTTGGCCTTTTATGGAGACTTCATTGGATAGGCATGAAGCATGGACATCCATTTAGAAATGTGATTGGGCCGGGCATGGTGGCTCACGCCTGTAATCCTAGCACTTTGGGAGGCTGAAGCGGGTGGATCACCCGAGGTCAGGGATTCAAGACCAGCCTGGTCAACATGGTGAAACCCTGTCTCTACTAAAAATACAAAATTAGTCGGGCTTAGTGGCGTGTGCCTGTAATCCTAGCTACTCGGGAGGCTGAGGCAGGAGAATCACTTGAACCCAGGAGGCGGAGTTTGCCGTGAGCTGAGATCACTCCATTGCACTCCAGCCTGGGCGACAGAGCGAGACTCCGTCTCAAAAAAAAAAAAAAAAAAAAAGAAATGTGATTGGACAAAAAGGATATGATCTAAGCCTAGCAAGGCCTGTCTGTTCAGATTCTTCTTGGCCTCTCTGTGTGGCATTCCCTCCTCCCGGATATGGGGCGGGATCTCTTCTGAAATGGAGGTCTTATAACCTATGCTGAAGTCAAATAAAATATACAGATAAATCTGAAATTAAAACGTTTTATTTGGGAAGAAAGAATTGCAATTCAGAGCATATATGCAGACTGTCCGGTCTTCGGTATGTCTGAAGAACAAAGAGAAGGTTAGAGGTTTTATAGAAAGGGGAAATGTTTCATATTGCTCTTTGAGGAAGCTCATTGGCACTAGTAAGGTTTCAGAGAGCTGGCAAGCAAGCTCTGATTGGAGAGTGTTGGCAGTGGGTAGAACTAGTCTTAGAGTTGCAGCAGTTTGCTTCAGAAGCCATGAGATAAAACTGGTTTCAAGGCCAGGCATGGTGGCTTACACCTGTAATCTCAGCACTTTGGGAGGCTGAGGTGGGCGAATCACTTAAGGTCAGGGGTTCGAGACCATCCTGGCCAACATGGTGAAACCCTGTCACTACTAAAAGTACAAAAATTAGCCAGCCGTGGTGGCAGGCACCTGTAATCCCAGCTACTCGGGAGTCTGAGGCAGGAGAATAGCTTGAACCCAGGAGGTGGGGATTGCAGTGAGCCGAGATCAGGCCACTGCACTCCAGCCTGGGCGACAAAGTGAAACTCCATCTCAAAACAAAACGAAACAAAAAACAAAACAAAAAACTGGTTTCAGGTCATAGCAGGCAGTTTCAGCAGCCAGGCTTGCAGAGAATTACATTTTTGGAGCAATGTTATGTGCCCTGCCTGCTTCCCCCTGACCTCCTGACTCTGTTTCAGTTGGGTATGTCAAGAATGACCCAATTCGTATGATCTTTTCTTCTCTCCTTTCTTTTCTTTTCTTTTCTTTCTTTCTCTCTTTCTTTCTTCCTTCCTTTCTTTTCTTTCTCTCTTTTTCCTTCCTTTCCTTTCTCCTTTCCTTTCCTTACTCCTTTCCTTTCTCCTTTCCTTTCCTTTCTCCTTTCCTTTCCTTTCTCCTTTCCTTTCTCCTTTCCTTTCCCTTTCCCTTTCCTTTCCCTTCCTTTTCCCTTCCCTTCCCTTCCCTTCCCCTCCGCTCCCTTCCCCTTCCTTTTCCCTTCCCTTCCCTCCCCTCCCCTCCCCTCCCTTCCCTTTCTGTGTGTCTTGCTCTATTACCCAGGCTGGAAGACAGTGGTGCAATCATGGCTCACTGCAGCCTCCACCTCCTGAGCTCAAGCAATTCTTGGCCTCCCAAGTATCTAGGACTACAGGCACATGCCACCATGCCCAGCTATTTTTTTGTATTTTTTATAGAGGTGGGGTTTCACCTTGTTGCCCAGGCTGGTCTCAAATTCCTGGCCTTGAGTGATCCCTCAGCCTCTCAAAGTGCTGGGATTACAAGCATGAGCTACCACACCCAGCTGAAGTATGATCAACTTTTACACCTACAATCACACAAGATAGGCCAGATAATTTCTTTTTTTTTTCTTTTTTGAGACAGAATCTTGCTCTGTCACCAGGCTGGAGAGCCGTGGTGCGATCTCGGCTCACTGCAATCTCCGCCTCCTGAGTTCAAGCAATTCCCCTGCCTCAGCCTCCTGAGTAGCTGGGACTACAGGTGTGCACCACCACGCCCAGCTAATTTTTTGTATTTTAGTAGGGACGGGGTTTCACCATGTTGGCCAGGATGGTCTCAATCTCCTGACCTTGTGATCCACCCACCTCGGCCTCCCAAAGTGCTGGGATTACAGGGGTGAGCCACCTCACCTGGCCAGAGAATTTCTTTATAGCCAGCTCCAAGACAGGTAATTTATAAAGAAAAGAGGTTTATTTGGCTCAAGGCAGGAGAATATTAGAGTATATTTTAGTTTCTAAGGTACTATGGTTTGGATACTTAATCCCTCCAAATTTCACGTGGAAATGTGGCCCCCAGTATTGGAGGTGGGGCCTGGTGGGAGGTGTTTGGGTCATGGGGGTGGATCCCTCGTGAATGGCTTGGTGTTGTCCTCGCTGTAATGAGTGCTCTCTCTCTCTTGCTTCCTGTCTCTCCATGTGATCTGCACATGCCATATCCCCTTCCCCTTCCGCCACGATTAGAAGCTTCCTGAGGCCTCACCAGAAGCAGATACTGGAGCCATGCTTCTTGCATAGCCTACAGAACCGTGAGCCAAATAAACCTCTTTTCTTTATAAACTACCCAGCTTCAGGAATCCCTTTACGGCAATGCAAAAGAACTAAGATATACAGGCTGCCTTGGAGAGAAAAAGGAGCAGGTGAAAGGAGGGCAGGAGAAGCTCAGAGAGAGAGAGATTCTGTTTTCTGAGGCCTAAAGCACCCCAATGTTATGACAAGAGAATGTCTTTCACCTTTATGGCTCTGAAGGCTGTTCTGAAGCTGCTTCAGGAACTAAGGACAAAAGGCCAAATGTTATTTATTTATGTATTTATTTATTTTTTATTTTTTATTTCTTTTAAGATGAAGTCTCACTCTGTCTCCCAGGCTGGAGTGCAGTGGTGTGATCTTGGCTCACTGTAACCTCTGCCTCCCGGGTTCAAGCAATTCTCGTGCCTCAGCCTCCAGAGTAGCTGGCATTACAGGCGCCTACCACCATATCTGGCTATTTTTTTTGTATTTTTAATAGAGACGGGGTTTCACCATGTTGGCTAGGCTGGTCTTGAACTCCTGACCTCAAGTGATCTGCCCGCCTTGGCCTCCCAAAGTGCTGGTATTATAGGCATGAGCCACTGCGCCCAGCCCAAATGCTTTTAAAATATATACCTATTGTTTTAGTCACTTAGGAAATAACAAGGGCTATGGCACTTATCAACCAGGAAGTGTGAACAAAAACCAATATAAATATATCATAACATCACAACATCCAAGCCCAATGTGCCATTACAATGTTGGCTGGAACATCGTGCACTACTTATAAAAATGGGCCTTGGCCAGGTATGGTGGCTCACGCCTGTAATCCCAGCACTTTGGGAGGCCGAGGCAGGTGGATCACCTGAGGTCAGGAGTTCAAGACCAGCCTGACCAACATGGATAAACCCCATCTCTACTAAAAATACAAAATTAGCTGGGCGTGGTGGTGCATCCCTGTGGTGCATCCCTGTAATTCCAGCTACTTGGGGGGCTGAGGCAGGAGAATGGCTTGAACCCGGGAGGCAGAGGTTGCGGTGAGCTGAGATCATGCCATTGCACTCTAGCCTGGGCTACAAAAGCGAAACTGCATCTCAAAAAACAAAGCAAAACAAAACACCCCAAAATGACTGAGTTCTGGGAGCTTCTGAATATCTGCACGCGTGGAGGTTCCTGGAGGGTGGTACACCTGGAGGGGGCATGGAAGCTCCGCACCCCTTCCCCCATACCTTGCCCTATGTATCTCTTCATCTGTATCCTTTGTAATATCCTTGATAATAAACTGGTAAATGTGTTTCCCTGAGTTCTGGGAGCCCCTCTAGCAAGTTTTTTTTTTTTTTTGAGACGGAGTGTCGCCCAGGCTGGAGTGCAGTGGTGCAATCTCATCTCACTGCAAGCTCCGCCTCCTGGGTTCATGCTATTCTCCTGCTTCAGCCTCCGGAGTAGCTGGGACTACAGGTGCCTGCCACCACGCCCGGCTAATTTTTTTGTATTTTTAGTAGAGACGGGGTTTCACCGTGTTGGCCAGGATGGTCTCGATCTCCTGACCTCGTGATCTGCCCGCCTTGGCCCCCCAAAGTGCTGGGATTACAGGTGTGAGCCACCGCGCCCGGCCCCCTCTAGCAAATTAAATGAACCAAAGGAAGGGGTGGTGGGAACCCCGATGTATAGCTTGTCGGTCAGAAGCACAGGTGACACAACCTGGGGCTTGCCATTGGTATCTGAAGGTGGGGGCAGTCTTGGGGACTGAGCCATCAACCTGTGGGATCTGAAGCTATCTCCAGGTAGAGAGTGTCAGAATTGAATTGAATAGAATTGGAGGACACCCAGTTGGTGTCCACTGCAGAACTGATTGCTTGATTGCTGGTGGGGAGAAATCCCCACATATTTTGGGGTCACGGAAGTCTTCTGTGTTGATTGTTGTGTGAGACCAGAGAAAAGACAGTTTGTGTTTTTTCCACTCAGACTTTGGCTTGCTAGAAAACAAATAGAGAAGCCGGGCGCAGTAGCTCATGCCTGTAATCCCAGCACTCTGGGAGGACGAGATGGGTGGATCACCTGAGGTCAGGAGTTTGAGACCCATCTGACCAACATGGTGAAACCCCGTCTCTACTAAATACAAAAAATTAACCAGGCATGGTGGTGCATGCCTGTAATCTCAGCTACTCTGGACGCTGAGTCAGGAGACTCGCTTGAACCCGGGAGGTGGAGGCTGCAGTGAGCTGAGATCGCACAACTGCACTCCACCCTGGGCAAGACAGAGTGAGACTCCGTCTCAAAAAAAAAAAAAGAAAAAGAAAAAAGAAAAAAAGAAAAGAAAAAAGAAAAAGAAAACAAATGGAGGCCCCAGCTTGGAGTTCATTGCCATGCCTGCTCTAGCCCCAGCAGTAAGAATTGCTTCTTACTGGACTCAGCGTCAGCAGTGCAATTCTTACTGCACTGATTTAGTGAGCATGACTTAGCGATCACTCAGACAACTGCTCTCCCACGTGAGGATGGTGAAAAAATGACGCTGCAGCCAGCGTCAGAAGTTTCGTTTTATAAGCAGTCGTGCTGTGCTGTGCTGGCAATGGTGCCCTGTGGTTACCACTTTCTTACAGAGCTCACAGAAGGTGTGCTTCAGCTTTGGGATGCTGAGATGAATGGGCTTTGGAGAGAATTTGACAGTTCAAAAAAAACACTTCCGTTTTTAGACATGCATATTTAGCTGTTTGGGAATGCAATTGTTTCCTTCTTGAATGTCAAATATAAGAGTGCTACAGGCCGGGCACGGTGGCTCACGCTTGTAATCCCAGCACTTTGGGAAGCTGAGGCAGGCAAATCACTTGAGGTCAGAAGTTTGAGACCAGCCTGGCCAACATGGCAAAACCCCGTCTCTACTAAAAATACAAAAATTAGCCGGACATGTTGGCGGGTGCCTGTAATCCCACCTACTCGGGAGGCTGAGGCACGAGAATCACTTGAACCTGGGAGGTGGAGGTTGCAGTGAGCTGAGATCATGCCACTGTTCTCCAGCCTGGGTGACAGAGTGAGACTCGGTCTCAGAAAAAAAAAAAAAAAAAAAAGAGTGCTACAATCACATGACCATATTTGTGCTGAAATCCTGTTTCTTACTATCATTCCCATTCCATTTCGTTGAGACTTGTAACCGAAAGAGGGTCAGGTTGCTTGCCACTTGCAGAAAGAAGCCAAAATAAGAGCAAGGTGTGTTAAAAAGAAAGTAAATTTCATTATCCGTTGCTAGCAAGGAAAGGCTGGCCAGAATCCTTTCCAAAAATTGCCATTTTCCAATTTCTGGAGAGGGGGCCCTGGTTTAAGAAGAGGGGCTTGGACTGCAGAAGAGGCACGGGGGGCTAGGAGGTACCAGGTGGCATGTCTCGCTCCAATGGCTTCTTTTGAATTATTGTTCCATCTGCTGAAGGGGCCAGCACCATCATGAGTCCACGCAGCTCACAAATCAATCGCAGTCAATCTCTAGCTGAGAGTGAACTCCAGCCTTGAAGTAACCTCCTGCTGAGGAGAGAATTCCAGGGATATCTGGTCCGTGTCAGAATTCAGCTCTGGAAACTTCTAAGGAAATCTATAACCAGATAAGTGAGCATGGTGTGAGTTTAGCAAGCATCCAGGTAAATAAGTGTGCATGACACATGAGAGCATAATGTTGGAAAGGGAAGGGCGTTTGAAAGCACGTTTCGTAAGACCAAAGAAAACACACCTGCAGTTTGTCTCAAAGCTACGTCTTGAGACTGAGGAGAAAGGAGGAAAGGAAAACAAGTTTTTAAAACACAGTTTGAAGCTAAGCTGGGTCTAACTCTATTGCCCAGGCTGGAGTACAGTGGCGCAATCACGGCTGACTGCAGCCTCGACTTCCCAGGACCAAGTGATCCTCCCACCTCAGCCTCCTGAGTAGCTGAGACTACAGGCATGAACCACCACACCTGGCCAATTATGTATTTTAGTAGAGACAGAGTCTCACCATATTGCCCGGGCTGGTCTCGATCTCCTGGGTTCAAGGAATCTGCCTACCTCAGCCTCCCAAAGTGCTGGGATTACAGGCATGAGCCACCCCACCTGGTCTCTTTTTCCCTCTTGTTTTTAAAAGATATTTGAAATTTAGCTTTATATTCTGGCCAGGCACAGTGGCTCATACCTGTAAACCCAGTGCTTTGGGAGGCCGAGGCAGGAGGATTGCTTGAGCCCAGGAGTTTGAGACCAGCCTGAGCAATATAGTGAGACCCCATCTCTACAAAAAATTAACAAAAAGTTAGCCGGGCATGGTGGTGTGCGCCTGTGGTGGCCCAGCTACTCAGGAGGCTGGAAATGGGAGGGTCACTTGAGTCCTAGAAGCCGAGGTGCAGTGAGCTATGATCACGCCACTGCACTCCAGGTAGGCAACAGAGACCCCGTCTCTACAAAAAAGAAAAAAAATGGTCACAGCCATGCATCAGCAGATGTCCAATAATTCCAATGATAGCTGTAATAGTAAGAAAATGACAGGCCCGGCCGAGCGTGGTCGCTCACGCCTGTAATCCTGACACTTTGGGAGGCCGAGGAGGGCGGATCATCTGAGGTCAAGAGTTGGAGACCAGCCTGGCTAACATGGTGAAACCCTGTCTCTACTAAAAATACAAAGAATTAGCCGGATATGGTGGCGGGCACCTGTAATCCCAGCTACTCAGGAGGCTGAGGCATGAGAATTGCTTGAACCCGGGAGGTGGAGGTTGCAGTGAGCTGAGATTGCACCACTGCACTCCAGCCTGGGCGAGAGAGTGGGACTCCATCGCAAAAAAAACAAAAAACAAAAAACAAACAAACAAACAAAAGACCGGACGCTGGATTACGCCTGTAATCCCAGCACTTTGGGAGGCTGAGGCGGGCGGATCACAAGGTCAGGAGATCGAGACCATCCTGGCTAACACAGTGAAACCCCGTCTCTACTAAAAATACAAAAAAAAAATTAGCCGGGCGTGGTGGCAGGCGCCTGTAGTCCCAGCTACTCAGGAGGCTGAGGCAGGAGAATGGTGTGAACCTGGGAGGCGGAGCTTGCAGTGAGCGGACATCGCGCCACTGTGCTCCAGCCTGGGTGACAGAGAGAGACTCCGTCTCAAAAAAAAAAAAAAAAAGAAAATTAAAAAGAAAATGACAGGCTAGGCGTGGTGGCTCACACCTGTAATCCCAGCACTTTGGGAGGCCCAGGTGGGAGGATAGCTTGAGCCCAGGAGTTCGAGACCAGCCTGGGCAACATAGTGATATGGTTTGGCTGTGTCCCCACCCAAATCTCATCTTGAATTCCGACGTGGGAGGTAACTAAATCATGGGGGTAGGTCTTTCCCATGCTGTTCTCGTGATAGTGAATAAGTCTCACAAGATCTGATGGCTGTAAAAAGGGGAGTTTCCCTGCATATGTGCACCTCTCTTTGCCTGCTGCCATCCACATAAGATGTGACTTGCTCCTCCTTGCCTTCCTCCATGCTTGTGAGGCTTCCCCAGCCACGTGGAACTGTAAGTCCAATTAAACCTCTTTCTTTTGTAGCTTGCTCAGTCTCTGGTATCTCTTTATCAGCAGCATGAAAGCGGACTAATACATATAGTGAGACCCTATCTCTACAAAAAATACACACATTAACTGGGTGTAGTGGCACGTACCTTTGGTCCCAGCTATTTGGGAGGCTGAGGTGGGAGGATCACTTGAGCTTGGGAGGTTGAGGCTGCAGGATTGCACCACTGCACTCCAGCCTGGGAGACAGAGTGAGATCCTATCTCAAAAAAAAAAAAAAGAAAAGAAAAAGAAAAAAGAAAAACAAAAAAACCAACATGTCCTTAAGGGAGCCCTGAGATGGCAATTCCCTCTGTTCTCAGGGTGGCAGGGCAGGGGCCCTGGAATAGTCAACTCTAGATGTTTCAAGAGGGCACCCAGTGTGGTAGACTCTGGCTGTGTCTCCCACACTCCCCACAGGTGGTGAGCACGAGTGACCAACTGGCCAAGGAGGGCTCTGCCATTAGACACTATTTCAGTGCCCCTTCTCATCATGGACAAGGGTCCACAGAACTGCCGGGGGCAGAAGGTTCTTCCAGGTTCCCAAAGGCTCAGGGCAGATCAAGGTGTAGCCAACAGATAGGGATGGGAAGAGGTGGCCTGGTAGGGCGATACCTCCACACCATGCCCTGAAACACCATCACCACACAGATCAGAAACCTCTGTCTTTTTGTGGCTGGTACGTAATTTTTTTTTTTTTTTTTTTTTGAGACGGAGTTTCGCTCTTCTTGCCCAGGCTGGAGTACAATGGTGCAATCTCGGCTCACCGCAACCTCCACTACTGGGTTCAAGCAATTCTCCTGCCTCAGCCTCCCAAGTAGCTGGGATTACAGGCATGCGCCACCACGCCCAGCTAATTTTTGTATTTTTTTAGTAGAGACAGGGTTTCTCTGTGTTGGTCAGGCTGGTCTCGAACTCCCAACCTCAGGTGATCCACCCACCTTGGCCTCCCAAAGTGCTGGGATTACAGGTGTGAGCCACCGCGCCCAGCCTGCTGGTGTGTAATTTTATGGTGCCCAAGCCAACTGCAGCACGGCTGCTCTCATAATGCAGGTACCTCTGCAAATTAGACCTTCATCATTGTTTTGAAATGTCTAATAGGAAAAGATAGTTCAGATTCAAAATCCATTCACATTACATAAGAAATGTAAACATTCCACTTGTCCACAAAAGAAAGAGCTGTCAGATTCTTAGTTTTTTTGTTTTTTGTTTTTTTTGTTTTTTCCGGACAGGGTCTCACTCTGTCGACCAGGCCAAAGTGCAGTGGTACTATCTCGGCTCACTGCAGCCTCTGCCTCCTGGGTTCAAGTGATTCTCCTGCCTCAGCTTCCTGAGTAGCTGGGATTACAGGCACGTGCCACCATGCCTGGCTACCAGGTTCTTTAAATATAATATCAACTGTTGCAAAATTGTAAATGGATGATAAAAAATGTTAAACGTTAACTTGTGCTAACACAACTTCCCCTTGATGGTAGCTATCAAGCATTTGAAGTTGGTCGGGTGCGGTGGCTCAAGCCTGTAATCTCAGCACTTTGGGAGGCTGAGGCGGGTGGATCACCTGAGGTCAGGAGTTCGAGACCAGCTTGGCCAACATGGCAAAATCCCGTCTCTACTAAAAATACAAAAATTAGGTGGGCGTGGTGGTGTGCATCTGTAGCCCTAGCTACTCGGGAGGCTGAGGCAGGAGAATCGCTTGAACCTGGGAGGCAGTGACTGCAGTGAGCCGAGATCGTGCCATTGCACTCCAGCCTGGGCGGCAGAGCGAGACTCAAGTCTCAAAAAATAAAAAAGTATTTGAAGTGTTCAGCAGTTCAGCATAAGTCCAGGTCAGAAATTGCCACTGTAAGCATAAAACCTCATATAAAGAGTTTTGTTACACTCCTTGGTGTTTACCCAAACGACTGGAAAACTTATGCCTACACAAAAATCTGCACACAGATGTTTATAGCAGCTTTATTCATAATTGCCAAAGCTTGGAAGCAACCAAGATGTCCTTCAGTAGGTGAATGGATAAATAAACAACTGTGGTATAGCCAGACAGTGGACTAGCACTAAGTAGAAATGAGCTCTCAAGCCATGAAAAGACATGAAGGAAACTTAAATGCATACTATCAAGTGAAGGAAGCCAATCTGAAGAGGCTACGTGCTGTACGATTCCAACTACTCTATGTGACACTCTTGAAAGAGCAAAACTGTGGAGATAGTAAGAAGATCACTGGCTGCCAGGGGCTAGCCGGGAGGGAGGGATGAACAGCTGGACCACAGGGGATCTTTAGGGCAGTGAAAATACTCTGGGCTGGGCACACTCGCTCATGCCTGTAATCCCACCACTTTGGAAGGCTGAGGTGGGAGCATTACTTGAGCCCAGGAGTGTGAGACCAGCTTGGGAAACATGGCGAGACCCCGTCTCTACAAAAAACAGAAAAATTAGTGGGGCATGGTGATGTGCGCCTGTGGTCCCAGCTACTTGGGAGGCTGAGCTGGGAGGACCACCTAAGCCCAGGAGGCAGAGGTTGCAGTGAGCCATGATTGCACCACTGCACTCCAGCCTGAGCAACAGAGCGAGACCCTGTCTCAAATAAACAAAACAAAACAACGAAAAAGAAAAAATACTCTGTATAATACTATGATGCTGGACATACATAATCATACATTTGTCCAAACTCACAAAATATATAACACCAAGAGTAAACCCTAACGTAAACTGTGGACTCTGGGTGATGATGATGTGTTGATGCAGGTTCATCAATTGCAACAAATATACCACTCTGGTGGGGGATATTGATAATGGGGGAGGCTGTACCTGTCGGGAGTCAAGGGGGTATATGGGAAATCTCTGTATCTTCTGCCCACTATTGCCATGAAACTAAAACTGTTCTAAAAAATATAAAGTTGGCTGGGCACAGTGGCTTACACCTGTAATCCCAGCACTTTGGGAGGCTGAGGTGGGCAGATCACCTGAGGTCAGGAGTTTGAAACCAGCCTGGCCAACATGGTGAAACCCATCTCTACTAAAAGTACAAAAATTAGCTGGGCATGGCCAGGCACGGTGGCTCACACCTGTAATCCCAGCACTTTGGGAGGCCAAGGCGGGTGGATCACCTGAGGTCAGGAGTTTGAGACCACCCTGACCAACATGGTGAAACCCCGTCTCTACTAAAAATACCAAAACTAGCCGGGCATGGTGGCACATGCCTGTAATCCCAGCTACTCAGGGGCTGAGGCAGGAGACTTGCTTGAACCCAGGAGGCGGAGGTTGCTGTGAGCCGAGATCGCGTCATTGCACTCCAGCCTGGGCAACAAGAATGAGACTTTGCCTCAAAAAAAAAAAAAAAAAAACAAAATTAGCTGGGCACGGTGGTGTGCGCCTGTAATCCTAGCTACCCGGGAGGCTGAGGCAGGAGAATCACTTGAACCTGGGAGGTGGAGGTTGCAGTGAGTTGAGATCATGCCACTGCACTCCAGCCTGGGCAACAGAGTGACTCCGTCTCAAATATATATATATATATATATGTGTGTGTGTGTGTGTGTGTGTGCGTGTGTATAGTTTGGCTGGGCATGGTGGCTCACACCTGTAATCCCAGCACTTTGGGAGGCTGAGGTGGGCAGATCACTTCAGGCTAGGAGTTCGAGACCAGCCTGGCCAACATGGCAAAACCCTGTCTCCACTAAAAATACAAAAATTAGCCAGGCATGATAGTGGGCACCTGCAATCCCAGCTACTTGGGAGGCTGAGGCAGAAGAATTAGAATTGCTTGAATCTGGGAGGTGGAGATTGCAGTGAGCTGAGATCCTACCATTGCACTCTAGCCTGGGCGACAGAGCAAGACTCGGCCTCAAAAAATAAAAATAAAAATAAATAAATAAATAAAATTAAAGGCCGGGCACGGTGCCTCACACCTGTAATCCCAGCACTTTGAGAGACCGAGGTGGGCGGATCACCTAAGGTCAGGAGTTAGAGACCAGCCTGACCAACATGGAGAAACCCCGTCCCTACTAAAAATACAAAATTGGCCAGGTGTGGTGGTGCATGCCTGTAATCCCAGCTACTCGGAGGCTGAGGCGGGAGAATCGCTTGAATCCAGGAGGCCAAGATTGCACCATTGCATTCTAGCCTGGGCAACAAGAGTGAAACTCCATCTCAAAAAAAAAATTAATTTATATATATATATATAAAGTTTATTAAAAGGAAAAGTTATGGGTTGGGTGTGGTGGCTCATGCTTGTAATCCCAACATTTTGGGAGGCCAAGGTGGGAGGATCACTTGAGGCCAGGATTTTGAGAACAGCCTGGGAAACATAGTGAGACTCCATCTGTACAAAAATTTTAAAATTTAGTCAGGTGCGATGCTGCATGGGTAGTCCCAGCTACTCGGGAGGCTGGGGCAGGAGGATCACTTGAACCTAGGAGTTTGAGGCTGCAGTGAGCTATAATGGCACCACTGCACTCCAGCCTGGGCAACAGAGTGAGACCCCCATCTCAAAAGAAAAGGAAGAAAGGAAGAAGGAAGGAAGGAAGAAAGAAAGAAAGAAAAGTTATGTTGATGGAAGCAAACTACAATCGATTGTTGAAAGGCTATTGGCTGGGTGCAGTGGCTCACGCCTGTAATCCCAGCACTTTGGGAAGCTGAGGCAGGCGGATCACTTGAGGTCAGGAGTTCGAGACCAGCTTGGCCAACATGGTGAAACATCGTTTCTACTAAAAATACAAAAATTAGCCGTGGTGGCGTGCACTTGTAATCCCAGCTACTCAGGAGGCTGAGGCAGGAGAATGGCTTGAACTCAGGAGGCAGAGGTTGCAATGAGCCAAGATCATACCACTGAACTCCAGCTTGGGTGACAGAGCCAGACTCTGTATCAAAAAAAAAAAAAAAAAAAAAAAAAAGCCACAAATTCCTCTCATCCTAATGTGCATACCATTGTGCAATCTCTGCCATTCATTCGTCCCATCCATCACTGAGGCTTATTTCTCCCCTCTCTCCATTCTCCCTTCACCTCTCTAGTCTGGGCTGGCTTTGCGACTTGCTTTGGTTAATAGAATGGGGCAGGAATGACTCAGGACTCTTACAGGTCAGTAAGTTTGAAGCTTCTGCCTTGATTCTCTTAGAAAACTCTAGGTGCCATATAAGGAGGCTCATCTAGCCTATTAGAGGATGAGGGGCAATCTTAGACATTTTAGGAGGAACTCCAGTCAAAACTGGCAGAGGAACTGCCCAATCCAATCACTGGAATGGTAAGAAATAGTAAACTATTGTTGCTTTGGGCCACTAAGTTTTGGGGTGGCTTGTTACACAGCCAAGCCTTAACTAAAGCACAAGCTCAATTTATCGTATCATTAAAAAATAAAAATATGCCAGGCGCGGTGGCTCACGCCTGTAATCCCAGCACTTTGGGAGGCCAAGGTGGGCGGATCACCTGAGGTCAGGAGTTTGAGACCAGCCTGATCAACATGGAGAAACCCCATCTCTACTAAAAATACAAAATTAGCCGGGCATGGTGGAGCATGCCTGTAATCCCAGCTACTCGGGAGGCTGAGGCAGGAGACTCTCTTGAACCCGGGAGGCGGAGGTTGTGGTGAGCCAAGACCATGCCATTGCACTCCAGCCTGGGCAACAAGAGTGAAACTCCGTCTCAAAAAAAAAAATAAAATAAAAATAAATAAATAAATAAAATTAATTAAATGAAAATATATAATGGGGGGGAGTAGGTGAGGATATAGGTGAAAAAAATTGGCCCTACATTGGTAATTTTTTTTTTTAAGACATGGTCTTGCTTTGTTGAAGTGGCAAGGTCACAGCTCACTGCAACCTCCTGGACTCAAGTGATCCTCCCACCTCAGCCTCCTGAGTAGGTGAGACTACAGACACGTGCCACCATGCCCAGCTAATTTTTAAATTGTTTTATAGAGATGGGGGGGCGGTCTCGCTATGTTGCCCAGGCTGGTCTCGAACTCCTGGGCTCAAGTAATCGGCCTGCCTCAGTCTCCCAAAGTGCTGGGATTACAGGTGTGAGCCACCACACCTGGCCTACATTGGTCATTGTTGAAGGTGAGGATTTGTTATCTACTTATCTACTTTTATGTATGTTCGAAATTTCTCATAATAAAAAGTTAAAAAAGCAAAAGAGGGGGTTGGAAAGATTTCATTAGAAAATGTTATACACATGCTTGGTATTTCACACCTTTCCTAATAGTCTGTATTTAATTTTCTTTTTATGTTGCTTTTTGTTTTTAAATTTTTACCTAGTTAACATTTTTTTTTTTTTTTTTTTGAGACGGAGCCTCGCTCTGTCGCCCAGGCTGGAGTGCAGTGGTGTGATCTCGGCTCACTGCAAGCTCCGCCTCCCGGGTTCACGCCATTCTTCCGCTTCAGCCTCCCGGGTAGCTGGGACTACAGGCGCCCGCCACCACGTTCGGCTAATTTTTTGTATTTTTAGTAGAGATAGTCACGTGTTAGCCAGGATGGTCTCGATCTCCTGACCTCGTGATCCGCCCGCCTCGGCCTCCCAAAGTGCTGGGGTTACAGGCGTGAGCCACCGCGCCCGGCCCCTAGTTAACTTTTTTTAAAAATTTCCTCCTTTTCCTTTTTTTCTCTTGAAGTTGAAGCCTTGGAGGTGCTTTTCATTCAGTTACAGAAAGCACCACCCCAGCTTAAAATGTATTTAATTTTATTTACAGGATTACATAATATACGGAAAATGAAATATATGTTTTTCCCACCGGGTCCCATTTTGACTCCCCCAATACCCTCCAGTTCATCCCGGAGTGCTGCAGATATCTATACATTTCCTGGATGTCTCAGGAGGTGAAAAAAAAAAAAAAAAAAAGGCAGGGAGGGAGCCCAACTGACTCTACATCCAGAAACCTCTCTCAAGGCAGCTCGTGCCCCCAGGCAGGATTCCAACAGTGCAGAAGCCCCCAGTCCCCAAGTCCGGGGTGGCAAGGACTTCCAGCCTCCCCGGGGAGCCACCTTGGCCCTCCCTCCCTCCTGCTGGCTGGGTGCCGCGCTGCGGGGCTGCTCAGGTTGGTAACTGTGCAAAGCCGGGGCCCGCCTGCTGGACGATGGGGGTTAGGGGGGTGGGGGTGCTGCGAGGTGCGACAAGGCTCTCCCTCGCTGCAACCACGGAAAAGGCGGATCAGCCTCCATTACAAACCGCTGTAGGAGGGGCCAGAAGCTTGGCCTGGCCAGACCGGGCCGTCGTTGAATCCCTGCATCCATCTTGCCCAGGTTCCCTGCTGAGTCCCCCGCTGGGCTGTGATCGTTGCGGATTTAAACACCACACTGTGGAAGCGGAGATGGCCCCGCGTGCACCGCTGAAGTGAAGGGGCTCGTGGCAAATGATGCGGGGGGACAGCGGCCAGAGCAGACCCCGGCGGGGTGGCCCGCCCGGGAGGTGGCTGAGGGTCCCCGGCTGCGGGGTGAGGGGCGGGACCGGGAGGCACACCCTCCGTGATCGCCACCAGAGGCCGCCTGGAACCCGAGTTTCAACCTCCCGGGGATCCTGTCCCGCTTCCCAGCGATGTTTGCCATGACTGCTGCGAGTTCTCCGACCTCGAGGCCACTCTCCTTTCCTTCCAAGGACGCCCAGAACCCGCGGAGGGAGGAGGGGGTGAGGGAGGAGGGAGAGAGGAGGCAGGAGGGAGGGAGGAAGGTGGCGGGGAGAAGAAGAGAGGGAGGGAGGAAAAGGAAGGAACTGCGTTGGCCTGTCGCCTCCGCACTGTAAGATTCTGGCACCCAGGGTCCCGGCCCCCTCTCCTGGGGCCAAACGTTCCGGTTCCCGATGCCAGGCTGCAGAAAAAATGAGCACACTGAACACGTGGACTAGCACATAAATAAGGTTATTACCTCCTTTTTATTTTTTGCACACTAATTAATAAACTACTGCAACGGAAAAAGAGAAAGCAGGCAGAATGCAAACAGCCTCTCGGTGGCTCTGTTATGTAGGAGGGAGGTATGGAGGCTGCTTGGTGGTCAAAGAATTCCTCCAATGCCCGCTCCAAAGCGGAGCCCTGCAACGGCCTTAAATCAAAAGGAAAGCGGGTGTCAGCAGCAAGCACAGAAAGTGGGGCCTAGTTCAGCCAGGAGCTAACACAATATTCCTGCTGGGGTGGGGATGGGGGCACGACTATTACAAAACTAGGGCCCCCTGAAAGCGCCCTGCCCCACCCAACACACACATTCACTTCCTTGTAGGTTTGCGCTGCAGGCAGCTTCCGTTGAACCATACCCGGACCTCCACCCACCATGACCAGAGCTGCTGGGGCTGGGAGCAGGCACCTGCCCCAAGCACTGGGCCACCAGCGTCCCCTTGCCCAGGAATTTAGGATTGGGGTACAGAAAGGGAAAACAGTGTCTATGGAAAGCGGGAGATCATCCTGTGTAAACAGGGGAGCTGGGGAGAGAGAGGCCACAGGGATTCTGCCTTCCGCCTCACTGCAGCATCCTCCCAGCATCTGTAACCATCCCTGTCTTCCGGTTCCCGAGGCACCCATGACCTATAACGTCCTTCTGGGGCTCAGTGAGCTAGAAACTTCTGTTACTTGCACCCAGCAGAGTTCTAAATAATATGCCCTCAAAACCAAGTTTGCTTTCTCATTTTACTTTTTTTTTTTTTAAATAGACTTTATTTTTTTCGAGCAGTTTTAGGTTCACAGCAAAACTGAGAGGAAGGTGCAGAGATTTCCCATATTCCTCGCTGCCCCTGCACAAGCACAACCTCCCCCCAGCAGCATCCCCCTCCAGATGAGCCTGCATGGACACATCATTATCACCCAGGAGCCACAGCTGACATCAGGGTTCACTGTCGCTATGGTACATTCTGTGGGTTTGGACTAATGCATAATGCCACACATCCACCATTATAGTGTCATACGGAGTATTTTCACTGCCCTACAAATCCGCTGTGCTTCACCTATTCATCCCCCCTCCCCACAACACCTGGTGGCTGCTGAATTATTTTTCACCTTCTCCATAGTCTTGCTTTTTCCAGAATGCCATATAGTTGGAATCATATAGTATGCAGCCTTTTCAGATTGGCTTTCGCTTAGTAATTCCTTTTACTTTTGCAGTAAAAGTTTCCTGCTTACGTTTTCCCAACCCTTCTCTCATTTAGTGTATGGTACATACACGGTACAACACATCTTCCAATTGAGGAAAAATCTCATTTCAGGCCTACAAAAAAATTAGAATCAAGTGTTTTTCCTTTCAGAAAAAGGAAATTAACATTTGTGGAAAACTTGAAATGAGAGATCCCGGCATTTCTATTTCCAGCCATAGTGCAACCTGTCTAAAGCGTTCTCTGATTCATCTTCCAGAGAGAGTTTTAAACACCTGGGGAAGCATGCGCAGAAAAGCGGTTTCCTCACCCAAGGATGGCCACGACCCTGTGGCCTGACACTCATGGCACGGTTCTGAGGGCTGCTCCCCTCTGCCCTGGCAGCGTGATTCCATCTGCCGTGACGAGAGTCCAGCGGCGCTCTGCATTGAAGCAAAGCCATGGAGCCCTGTTGCAGGAGCACCTGCAAACACTCATCGCCTCCTTATTTCTCCGGAGGTCATAATCATTGTGCCATTGGCAGGTGTTTCTCTCACTTAATCCCCACTCTGTCTCTGCAACCCTCTCCCATCAGCCATAATAACAGCAACAGCAGTTTAAATGTACTGACTGTTGAAAATGTTCCAGGCACCTTCCTTTTTTTAATTTAATTTTTTTGAGACGGAGTCTCTCTCTGTCGCCCAGGCTGGAGTATAGTGGTGCGATCTCGGCTCACTGCAACCTCCACCTCCCGGGTTCAAATGATTCTCGTGCTTTAGCCTCCTGAGTAGCTGGAATTACAGGCACTTGCCACCACATCCAGCTAATTTTTGTATTTTTAGTAGAGACGGGGTTTCACCATGTTGCCCAGGCTGGTCTTGAACTCCTGACCTCAGGTGATCCACCTGCTTCGGCCTCCCAAAATGCTGGGACTACAGGCATGAGCTACCGCGCCCAGTCTCCAGGCACCTTTCTAAGGGCTTTATTTTTATTTATTTACCTCTTTTTTTTTTTTGACAGAGTCTCACTCGTCACCCAGGCTGGAGTGCAGTGGCATGATCATGGCTCACTGCAGCCTCAACATCCTGGGCTCAAGTGATCCTCCCACCTCAGCCTACGGAGTAGCTGGGAGTACAGGTGGCACGTGCCACCACACCTGGCTAATTTTTGATGTTTTGCAGAGATGAGGGTCTCACTATGTTGCCCAGGCTGGTCTCGAACTCCTGGGCTCAAACCGTCTTCCTGCTTCAGCCTCCCAAAGTGTTAGGATTACAGGCGTGAGCCACTGCACCCAGTCTAGCACTTTTATTATTATTATTGTTGTTGTTGTTATTATTTTCTGTCTTTCTTTTTTTTTTTTTTTTTTTTTGAGATGGAGTTTTGCTCTTGTTGCCCAGGCTGGAGTGCAATGGTGCGATCTCGGCTCACCGCAACCTCCACCTCCTGGGTTCAAGCGATTCTCCTGCCTCAGCCTCCCGAGTAGCTGGGATTACAGGCATGCGCCACCACGCCCGGCTAATTTTGTATTATTAGTAGAGACGAGGTTTCTCCATGTTGGTCAGGCTGGTCTCTAATTCCCGACCTCAGGTGATCTGCCCGCCTCGGCCTCCCAAAGTGCTGGGATTACAGGCATGAGTCACTGCACCCGGCATTTATTATTATTATTTTCTTAGAGACGGGGTCCCACAATTCTTCTGCCTCGTCCTCTGGAGTAGCTGGGGCTATGGGTCTGCTTCATTGTGTCTGGCTTATTCTCATTTTTCAAGATTTAGTTAACTTGCTCAATATCACATACTAGTTGGGAGACAAAGTCAACACAGGTGGATCACTTAGCAAGGCAAATGGCTACAAGTCTTGTTTAATAAAGCACACATTCAGTCCAAGAAAGTTGAAGCCACAGAGTGTATGATGTAGTTATCTATGGAAAGGTCCCTGAAAGTAAGTGGTGAACCAAGTTTTGAAGATGTTCCATGATCAGGCATCCAACGGGAAGCTAAAACAATTTGCTGCAGATGTCCTGACTGACCATGGACCCTGGGGGTCTGTGTGTGATTCTCTTATCTTGGATTGCGGGGGCTCCAAGTCTATTTGCCAAAGACTTTTCTTTTTCTTTTTTTTTTTTTTTTTGAGACGGAGTCTCGCTGTGTCACCCAGGCTGGAGTGCAGTGGCACGATCTTGGCTCACTGCAACCTCCACCTCCCAGGTTCAAATGATTCTCCCACCTCAGCCTCTGGAGTAGCTGGGATTACAGGCAGGTGCCACTGCACCCAGCTAATTTTTGTATTTTTAGTAGAGACGGGGTTTCACCATGTTGGCCAGGCTGGTCTTGAACTACTGACCTGAGGTAATCCGCCCACCTCAGCCTCCCAAAGTGCTGGGATTACAGGCGTGAGCCACCGCCCAGCTATTTGCCAAAGACTTTTCAAGTACTATCGGCCAAAGTGGCAGAGCAGCTTGTACCAAAGCCTGGACTGCAGAGCTGTCAGTTGCTCAGAACTGGCAATCTCTGGTCTACTGGGCAATTGGGTCAGAGTAGCTCATTAGAATAGGGTGTGTGTTGCCTCCAAAATCCAATGACACCAAACATTGTGCCTCTTCCTTTTTTTTGAGGCAAGGTCTCACTCTGTTGCCCAGGCTGGAGTGCACTGGCACAAACACGGCTCACTGCAGCCTTGTCCTCCTAGGCTCAAGCAATCCTCCTGCTTCAGCCTCCTGAGTAGCTGGGAGTACAGGCACGTGCCACCACACCCAGCTGATTTTTTATTTTTTGTAGAGACAGATTTTGCTGTATGTTGCCCAGGCTGGTGTGCCTCTTTCTTCTTCTTCTTTTTTTTTTCTTTTCTTTTGTTTTGTTTTGTTTTTGAGATGGAGTCTCGCTCTGTTGCCCAGGCTGGAGTGCAGTGGCACAATCTCGGCTCACTGCAACCTCCGCCTACCAGGATCAAGCGATTCTCCTGCCTCAGCCTCCTGAGTAGCTGGGACTACAGGCACGTGCCACTACGCCCGGCTAATTTTGTGTATTTTTAGAAGAGACAGGGTTTCACTGTGTTAGCCAGGATGGTCTCAATCTCCTGACCTCATGATCCGCCTGCCTCTGCCTCCCAAAGTGTTGGGATTACAGGCGTGAGCCACCGCGCCCGGCCGCCTGTTTCTTAATGGTAGGTGGTACCGCCTGTCTTTCACTTTGGCAGTGACACCCCACCTTCCTCAAGGTGGTGGGAATGTCTGTAGGTGAATAGTGAATTCAGTTTTTGAAGAAGCCATCAGAAAAGTGAGGGAAGGGAGGGAGCGGCATTCCAGGCAGGACAGGGCAGAGGCATCACAATGGAGCTCAGCAGATTACAAAAGAGGAACTGTGGCAGGGAGTGGTGGCTCATGCCTGTAATCCCAGCACTTTGGGAGGCTGAGGCAGGCGGATTGCTTGAATCCAGGAGTTTGAGACCAGCCTGGGCAACATGGCGAGACCCGCATCTCTACAAAAATTTTAAAAAGTAGCTGGGTATGGTAGCTCATACCTGTAGTCCGAGCTATTTGGGAGGCTGAGGTGGGAGGATTGCTTGAGCCCAGGAGGTTGAGGCTGCAGTGAGCTGTGACTGCATTCCAGCCTGGGTGACAGAGCGAGACCCTGTCTCAAAATAAAAATAAAAATAAACAGTTTAGGCCCAGTGAGCCACTATTATCTGTTAGGGAAGGGTGAGAACCCTCCCAAATCCAAGTTCCCAGACACCAGCCAAGGGTCACCCTGGTACGCAGGCCTTTCTCAGGAGGACAGCCAGGCCTGCTGTGTCCATTCTTTTCTGCACAACCTGTTTTCCATGGGCCCATGAAGAATGTGCACAAGATGGTCACTGCAGTGCTGTTTGTAATGGCAGGGATCCCCAGGCGATTAGGTTGCCTGTCTCAGGGACTGTGGATAGGTAGATGCCCATCCTAGAATCCTAGACCTTTTTTTTTTTTTTTTGAGACGGAGTTTGGTTTTGTCACCCAGGCTGCAGTGGCGTGATCTTGGCACACTGCAACCTCCGCCTCCCAGGTTCAAGCGATTCTCCTGCCTCAGCCTCCCCAGTAGCTGGGATTACAGGCGCATGCCACCATGTCCAACTAATTTTTGTATTTTTAATAGAGACGGGGTTTTGCCATGTTGGACAGGCTGGTCTGGAACTCCTGACCTCAAGTGATCCGCCCACCTCAGCCTCCCAAAGTGCTGGGATTACAAGCATGAGCCACCGTGCCCGGTCCAATCCTGCACCTCTATTATGCAGTAATTAAAAGCAATGCATTAGGCTGGGCGTGATGGCTCACGCCTGTAATCCCAGCACTTTGGGAGGCTGAGGTGGGCGGATCACCTGAGGTCAGGAGTTCCAGACCAGCCTGGCCAACATGGTGAAACCCTGTCTCTACTAAAAGTCCAAAAATTAGCAGGGCATGGTGGCAGGTGCCTGTAATCCCAGCTACTCAGGAGGCTGAAGCAGGAGAATCACTTGAACTCGGGAGGTGGAGGTTGCAGTGAGCCGAGATCGTGCCACGGCACTCCAGCCTGGGTGACAAGAGCGAGAATCTATCTCAAAAAATAAATAAATAAATAAATAAATAAATAAATAAATAAATAAAAGCAATGCATTCTATGTATACATAGTAATGTACACACAGTAATGGAAATAGACCTGAAAAACTTAGTCCTTGGTGAGAGAAAGGTGAGAAACAAGGTGAAATATATAACCCAATACCATTAATGTAAACTCAAAATATATACATACAAAAATACATGCATACAGGTGCCACTGATAAAAATTTCAAAAGTAGGAAAACCAATCTATGTTGTTAGGAGTCCCATAGAAATTACCCTAGGGGCACAAGGCGCTTCTGGAGTGCTGGTCATTCTCATTCTTGAGCTGGGCACTGGCTACACAGGTATGTTCCCTTTGTGAAAATGTATCTAGCTGTACATGTATGATACATGCCTTTTTTTCCATAGGTATGTTACATGGCTATACCACTTACATTAACATAAAAAATAAATTCATGCAAAATAGCAGTATTCATTTTGCAAGTGCATATATGAAGGAACGAATACACAACAAAACAATTGCCTGTGGGGGGAGAGGTGAGTGGGAAATGGAAATCAAATGGTACGCACGCGTGCGCGTGCACAAACACACAAACACACACCCACGCCTTATGTGGATCAATGTTGTTAATATGCCACAAACAGAGAAGTATTATGTTTGACCCTCCGCACCTAAGGTTAAAACAAAAAGGCACGATTCAGAAGAGCTCTACTGGCCAGGTGCGATGGCTCATGCCTGGAATCCCAGCACTTTGGGAGGATCGCTAGAGCCAAGGGGTTCGAGACCAGCCTTGGCAACATAGGGTGACCCCATCTCTACAAAAAAAGTAAAAAAAAATTAGCCGGGCATGGTGGTGTGCACCTGTAGTCCCAGCTACCTGGGAGGCTGAGGTGGGAGGATGGTTTGATCCAGGGAGGTTGAGGCTGCAGTGAACTATGATTGTGCCACTGTAATCCAGCCTGGGCGACAGAGCAAGATCCTTTCTCAAAAAAAAGAAAAAAAAAAAAGAAGGCCGGGCGTGGTGGTTCAAGCCTGTAATCCCAACACTTTGGGAGGCCAAGGTGGGTGGATCACCTGAGGTCAGGAGTTCAAGACCAGCCTGGCCAACATGGTGAAACCTCATCTCTACTAAAAACACAAAAATTAGCTGGGCGTGGTGGCGGGAACCTGTAATTCCAGTTGCTTGGGAGGCTGAGGCAGGAGAATCACTTGAACCAGGAGGCAGAGGTTGCAGTGAGCCAAGATCGTGCCACTATACTCCAGCCTGGGTGACAGAGCAAGACTCTGTCTCAAAAAAAAAAAAAAAAAAAAAAAAGAAAGAAAGAAAAAGAAGAAAACCTCTACTGGTGATTCAGAGGTACCCACTGGAGAACTTGGTTTCTCTGGTTTCTTTGTGCTGTTTAAGTCTGTCTCCATCTCTCTAGTTTCCTATGGGGCTAGTGACCCCCATGCACACTCTCCCTGACCAGGAAGAGCTCCACGGCTTACCTAGCAGGGCTGAGATCCCACAGGGCCTGCCAGGCCCACCTTTCCAACTGCAGAGGCTGCTCAGGTCTATGACTACCCCTGATTGAGGGCGTTAGCAAGGAGGAAAGATGCGCTCTAAGCAATCAGGGGAAAGACTTTAGAGAGCTATGCAAATGCTCACACTGGAGCATGCATCAGAATCCCCTGGAGGGAATTCTGGGCCCAGAGTTTCTGAATAAGGCTGGGGTAGGACCTGAGAATCTGCATTTCTATCAGGATCCCGATGCTGCTGCTGGTCCTGGTCCCTGCAGGTCACCTTGAGAGCCAGGGATGCTGAGAAGGAAGAGGGGAAAGGCAGCTGAGGGCCTTTTCTAATTAGCAAGCTCTCCTCCCCAGGGCTTTCCTTGGGTTTCAGAACAAACCTCAGCTCTGGCTGCCCCTGGCTAGGTGGTGAGGGCTGACAGGGGAGCTAATCCCCACAGACAGTGCTGGAAGGTTTGCAAAGGGGAGACATGCGGGCTTTTGATTGTGAAACTTGGAGACATCAACACTCAACCTCTTTTTTTTTTCTTTTTGAGATGGGGTCTTGCTCTGTCACCCAGGCTGGAGTGCAGTGGTGTGATCATAGCTCACTGCAGTCTCGACCTCCTGGGCTCAAGCAATCCTCCTCCCTCAGCCTCTCAAGTAGCTAGGATTACAGGTGCATACCACCACATCCAACTTTTTTTTTTTTTTTTTTTTTATAATTTTGTAGAGACATGATCTCACTCTGTTTTCCAGGCTGGTCTCAAACTCCTGGCCTCAAGCGATCCTCCCAAAGTGCTAGGATTACAGGTGTGAGCCATCATGCCCAGTGCAACACCCGGCTCCTGCAATCAGCCGCTCCCTCCATCCCATGCAAGAGGCAATGGTCTGAGCTCTCAGTTGAGAAATGTGGGCCATAGCCAAATTCACTAAGGTGGCAGTGTCAGGGAAATGAGTGCACAACCAAGAAGCGGCCTCCCTCAGTGAGTACATGATGACTCCCCTAAAAAGGAACGGTTAGCCAAGGTCTAGATCAGGCCTCCTTAACTTTTTCACACAAAGGGCATGATAATATTTGTATGATTTATTTGGCAGTGTCTACAAGAGGCTTGGTAAAAATAGACTATTACATTTTCTTTATAGTATATAATTATGGTAATAAAAAGTATTGGAGATTACATAAATACTGAATTTGGCCCAGGCACGGTGGCTCACGCCTGTAATCCCAAAACGTTGGGAGGCAGAGGTGGGTGGATCACCTCAGGTCAGGAGTTCGAGACCAGCCTGGCCAACATGGCAAAACCCTGTCTCTACTAAAAATACAAAAAATTGGCTGGGCGCGGTGGCTCACGTCTGTAATCCCAGCATTTTGGGAGGCTGAGGCGGGCGGATCGCCTAAGGTTCGGAGTTCAAGATCAGCCTGGCCAGCATCATGAAAACTCATCTCTACTAAAAATACAAAAATTAGCTGGGCATGGTGGCAGGCACCTGTAATTCCAGCTACTCAGGAAGCTGAGGCAGGAGAATCACTTGAACCCGGGAGGCAGAGTTTGCAGTGAGCCGAGATCGTGCCATTGCACTCCAGCCTGGGCAACAGAGTGAGACTCTGTCTCAAAAAAATATATTAAAAAAAAATACAAAAAATTAGCCAGGTGCGGTGGTGTGTGCCTGTAATCCCAGCTACTTGGGAGGCTGAGCCGGGAGAATCACTCAAACTGAGGAGGCAGAGGTTGCAGTGAGCCAAGATGGCGCCATTGCACTCAAGCCTGAGCAAAACTCCATCTCAATAAATAAATAAATAAATACTGAATTTGCATAAAATTCAAATAAAATGACTATGACATTTACAGTTATCTGTATCTTGTGGCAGGCCTGCAGCGGTTCCCATACTCTGGTTGGGAAGATCTGCTCCAGAGCCCACGAGAATTTGCCTTAGCGCCAAGGTGGGCCGGCACTGCTGGGGGACCCAGTGCACCCTCCACAGCTGCTGGCCCGGGTGCTAAGCCCCTCACTGCCCGGGGCTGGCAGCGCCAGCCGGCCGCTCAGACAGTGGGCCCACCGAGCCCACGCCCACCCAGAGCTCACGCTGGCCTGCAAGTGCTCCATGCAGCCCTGGTTCCCGCCCGCGTCTCTCCCTCCACACCTCCCCGCAAGCTGAGGGAGCCGGCCTCGGCCTCGGCCAGCCCAGAAAGGGGCTCCCACAGTGCAGCGGTGGGCTGAAGGGCTCCTCAAGCATGGCCAGAGTGGGCGCCGAGGCCGAGGAAGCGCAGAGAGTGAGCGAGGGCTGTGAGGGCTGCCAGCATGCTGTCACCTCTCAACATCATCCATCAACTTTCACTTACATCTCAATGGTTGTCCCCACTCAGCTGCAGGGGAGGCTGGGAAACATCATTTTCTTGTCTGGGCACAATTCTGTCCCCAATAACATAGGGGGACTGTTAATAAGAGAGAAGGGGAGAAAGGGGATCAGTTAGGCATGTCTACCATTTTGCTAAGCAAACTTCCCACACAATAATTTGGTCTCCCCAGCTCCTTTATTTACAACAGGAGGGCTCTCAATGGGGAACCCTGATGCTCTGTGCAAGCAGGACGTGAAGGCTAAGGTAGGGTTGTCAGCTGCCTGGCTGAGTTTGAAGGTTTGCTCCAAAAACCCACAGTAAAGACCAGCAAAGACTGGGAGACTTATGGTTTCCAAATACTTAAGGAAATCTCAATCCATTCATTAGCTGACCACTAAGCTAACCCAGTGGACTTCAGTGGCCACACATGACAAAGAACACACAGAATTAGTTCAGAAGCAAACAAGAATAGACAGTAGTAACACAATGCACCCTGGAGGGGGAGAGAATCTGATTTCTAGAGTTATTCCATAATATTTCAAGGGTCCAATTTTCAGAAAGTTTATGGGACAAAAAGAAACTGAAGTGATGATAGTTGCAAACATCTGTGAAAATACTAAAACAACATAATTATACACTTTAAATGGGTGGATTGTATGGGTTTTTTTTTTGTTTTTTTTTTTAAAGACAGAGTCTTGCTCTGTCTCCCAGGCTGCAGTGCAGTGGCATGATCTCGGCTCACTGCAGCCTCGCCTCCCGGGTTCAAGTGATTCTCCTGCCTCAGCCTCCCTAGTAGCTGGGACTACAGGTGCCCACCACCACGCCTGGCTAATTTTTGTACTTTTAGTAGAGATGGGGTTTCGCCATGCTGGTCAGGCTGGTCTCGAGTTCCTGACCTCAAGCGATCCACCTGCCTCGGACTCCCAAAGTGCTCAGATTACAAGCGCGAGGCACTTCGCCCCGCCAGCGGTATGTAAATTATAAAGCTGTTTAGAAAAAAAAAAAAAAAGT
Source organism: Homo sapiens (assembly GCF_000001405.40). Lineage (NCBI taxonomy): Eukaryota > Metazoa > Chordata > Mammalia > Primates > Hominidae > Homo > Homo sapiens. The sequence continues at coordinate 41,287,306 of NC_000023.11, forward strand.
GGGGCTGGGTGTGGTGGCTTACGCCTGTAATTCCAGCATTTTGAGAGGCCAAGGCGGGTGGATCCCTGAGGTCAGGAGTTCCAGACCAGCCTGGCCAACATGGTGAAACCCCATCTCTACTAAAAATACAAAAAATTAGCTGGGCGTGGTGGTGGACGCCTGTAATCCCAGCTACTCAGGAGGCTGAGGCAGGAGTATGGTTTGAACCCGGGAGGCGGAAGTTGCAGTGAGCCGAGATCGCGCCACTGCACTCCAGCATGGGCAACAACAGCAAAACTCTGTCTCAAAAAAAAAAAAAAAAGTAAAGAAAAGAAAAAAAGAAAGTGCCTCTTTGAGAGGTCAAGGTGGGCAGATTGCGTGAGCCCAGGAGTTTGAGACCAGTCTAGACAACATGGTGAAATCCCATCTCTACAAAAAAATACAAAAATTGGCCAGGCATGGTGGCTCATGCCTGTAATCCCAGCACTTTGGGAGGCCGAGGCAGGTGGATCACTTGAGGTCAAGAGTTCAAGACCAGCCTGGCCAACATGGTGAACCCTGTCTCTACTAAAACCACAAAAATTACCCAGGTGTGGTGACGTGAGCCTGTAATCCCAGCAACTTGGGAGGCTGAGGCAGGAGAATCACTTGAGTCCAGGAGGTCGAGGTTGCAGTAAGCCGAGGTCGTGCTCCTGCACTCCAGCCTGGGTGCTACAGTAAGACTCCGTCTGAAAAAAACACACATTGAGCAAAAATGCAAGATACAAAATAATATATACTACATGATTAGATTTCTATCTAACTGTAGAAAAGACAAATGTAATCTAGAGTGACAGCAGATCAGGCCAGATGTGGTGGCTCACACCTGTAATCCCAGTGCTCTGGGAGGCCAAGGCAGGAGGACTGCTTAAGGCTGGGAGCTCATGATCAGCCTGGGCAGCATAAAGAGACGCTAATGTTTATTAAATAGAGACCATCTCTATTTAATACAAATTAATTTTTAAAAAACAGAATGCCTGGGAGGTGCTGGGGAGACTTGTAATAGAGTTATGTGACAGCTGTCAGTGGTTTGGGTCACAGGAAGGAGAGAGGCTGTACTAAGGACATTATTTGGGTTTGATTTTTTTCAAGGACAGGGGAGATACGGATCCTGTTTACAGCCTGTGACAGTGATGTCTGGTGAAAGAGAGAAAGAAAACGTAAGAGGGACATGGGAAATCAAGAAACACCCAAGAGACAGGGAATGAGTAGGATGCGTTCAAGGGCTAGGTCAGCCTTGGGAAGGTGCATGACCACTCAGCCAGTTTGCTTCAGGAAGGATCTGATGGGCACATGGAGACACAAACACACACACACACACACACACACACACACACACACACCCCCAGAGGTGAAGGCAAGGCCAGTTCACCAGGCCTGGGAAGAGGAGGCCCCAGTGAACTGCTCTGTAGGAGCCTGGGGCTGGGGGAGAGCCACAGCTTTGAACCTGCTCTTAGGAAAAGCAGGGAGCCGCCTGGGATTGTCAGGCATAGAGCTGGAACTTATTAATCAGTAATGAAGCCAGTCAGCGCGTTTATGGATTCTACCCTAGCAACCTGGGAGCAAAGCAGAGGAATGAACATTTCAGATGCCAGTTCCCTCGCAGTCCCCTGGACCGTGCTGGCTTCTCCCTGCAACGCAGAATGTCTGGATGGGACTGTCCCTGGTGGGGTGGGGAAGTTGCTGTCCAGATGAGGCCTGGCCTGTGCTCTCCAGCAAGGTGCCCACCTCTCAAGGGCTTCTGCTTGTGTGTGTCTTAGCTGCTATGCACTTGGCCATCTTAGACCCCTGGCCAGGCCCTAGGTGTGTGTGGCGGTAGGTGGGACTGGATGCAGGGTGCATCTCCTGTGTTCACTGCCAGCCTCCAAGGTCCCTTTGCTCAAGGGGGAGAATGGGCAGAGGTTGCTGGGAGTTAGCTTCCTCCGGAGCCCTAACCTTTCATCTGCTTCTCAGTCATCCCCAGGGATTTACGAGAAAGCAGAGCCCCTGCTCTGAAGAAGGAAAACCCTCCCCTGAGGTGGCTTTCAGCCAGAGCCCCAGCACTTTTTATGCTTATCTGTCACATGACATCCTCCTCTGTTTAGTTTTTTCCACTTTTAATTATCTTATTATTGCAAGATTACATGCTTATTGTCAGACATTCAAACTATGTGGAAAGGCTGGGAATGGTAGCTCACGCATGTAATTCCAGCAATTTGGGAGGCTGAGGTGAGCGGATCACTTGAGGTCAGGAGTTTGAGACCAGCCTGGCCAACATGGTGAAACCCCGTCTCTACTAAAAATACAAAAATTAGCTGGGCGTAGTGGTGCACGCCTGTAATCCCAGCTGCTCAGGAGACTGAGGCAGGAGAATCACATGAACCTGGGAGTCGGAGGTTGCAGCGAGCCAAGATAATGCCACTGCACTCCAGCCTGGGCGATAGAGCGAGACTCAGTCTCAGAAAAAAAAGCCAAAAGCCCCACAAACTATGTGGAAAGATCCTTTCTATAGATAGATAGGCGTGGTGGTGTGCATCTGTAATCTCAGCTACTTGGGAGGCTGAGGCAGGAGAATCGCTTGAACCCAGGAGGCAGAGGTTGCAGTGAGCCAAGATTGTGCCACTACACTGTAGCCTGGGCGACAGAGCAAGACTTCTTTAAAAAAAAAAAAAAAATCAGACCAGGCGTGGTGGCTCACGCCCGTAATCCCAGCACTTCGGGAGGCCGAGGCGGGCGGATCACCTGAGATCGGGAGTTTGAGACCAGCCTGACCAACATAGAGAAACCCCGTCTCTACTAAAAATACAAAATTAGCGGGGCATGGTGGCGCACGCCTGTAATTCCAGCTACTTGGGAGGCTGAAGCAGGAGAATCACTTGAACCCAGGAAGTGGAGGTTGCAGTGAGCCAAGATCACACCATTTCACTCCAGCATGGGCAACAAGAGCGAAACACTGTCTCAAAAAAAAAGAATAAAAAAAGAAAAAAAATTAAAAATAGAAAAACTTTATAATTTACCATTTTAACCATTTTTACTTGTCCAGTTCAGTGGCATTCAGTACATTCACATTGTTGTGCAACCATCATGACCATCCATCTCTAGAACCTTTTCATCTTCCCAAACTGAAATTTTGTATCCCTTAAACACTAATTCCCTATTTTCCCCTCCCCACTAGCTGCTGACAACCACCATTCCATTTTCTGTCTCTATGAACCTAACTATTCTAGAGACCTCAGATAAGTGGACTCACAATATGTGTCCTTTTGTGTCTGGCTTCTTTCACTTAGTAGAATATCTATGTTTCACCTATGTTGTAGCATGTGTCAGAATTTCCTTCCTACAAAATTTATTTTCTACAAAAAATAAACAAAAATTAAAAATACAAAAATTAGCTGGGTGTGATGGTGCATGCCTGTGGTCCCAGCTACTTGGGAGGCTGAGGTGGCAGGATTACTTGAGACCGGGAGGTCAAGGCTGCAGTGAGCTGTGATTGTGCCACTGTACTCCAGCCTGGGTGACAGTGAGACCCTGTCTCAAAAAAAAAAAAAAAAAAGTCCTTACTTTTTAAGCCTGAATAATATTCCATTGTATAGATGTATCGCACTTGTTTACCCATGGACATCATTTGGGTTGTCTCCACAAGCATGTATTCCTTTTTTTTTTTTTTTTTTTTTTGAGACAGTGTCTCACTCTGTCACTCAGGCTGGAGTGCAGTGATGCAATCTCGGCTCACTGCAATCTCTGCCTCTCGGCTTCAAGCAACTCTCCTGCCTCAGACTCCCTAGTAGCTGGGATTACAGGCATCTGCCACCATGCCTGGCTAATTTTTGTATTTTTAGTGGAGATGAGGTTTTGCCACGTTGGCCAGGCTGGTCTCAAACTCCTGGGCAATCCACCCGCCTCACCCTCCCAAAGTGCTGGGATTACAGATGTGAGCCACTGCGCCTGGCAAGAATGTATTCTTATATGAAAGAATATCAGTGAATCTTGTTGATTCTCACTCCCAAAAATTCATTGGATGGTTTTAGTTCCTGATTGACACAGAAGAGCCCAGCAGGCAGGCCCTCTCTCCTTCCATGTCTATAATCAGATGGCCTCTTAAGCCAGGCCCCCCTCTCACATTCTGGATCCTGTGGTGCTTTTTGCCCCTGCACCTTTGTCCCACTAATTTTGCCTTTCTTCTGGCAGTTTCTGTTGCCTAAAACTCTCTTTGTGCTCCTTCCTGCCTGGCCATTCCCTTCCTGGCCCCTGGGACTAGGCCAACTCTCCCCTCACCCAATCACTCCCTGCTGTTTGTATCTAAAGCAGTATTTTGCAGATTAGCATGAGATTTACCTCATAGTGTTATTTTGACTTCCCAACTAACTGTAGACACCCCTTTTAAGGTGCCCTTGTCTCTGGCATTCTCCCTGGCTCTAGGTCTGATACTGGACACAGTCATTTATGGAGGGCTTGACTCCATAGGATCCTGAAAGCCTGGCCAAGCAATTTAGACTCTGTGCTAGTGGGACATTCTTAAGCAAGGCAGTGACAAAACCAAGCAGTATTTTATGCAGATTTGTGTTGGGGCAGGAGAGTAAACTAAACTAAATGCCCTTTGCAAGCCCTACGAACTGTGGCTTTCTCTCCATATCTGGTTAATGCTCCCTGTCTTATTAATAAATGGACAGTATACATTTACTGCACATTTGCAGCTGGCGTTCAGAATAATGATTACAAAGTCATTGTGCAGGCCTTGTGGCACGAGACTGGACAACAGTCAGCATGGTGGAGAGGAAAATGTACTGAAGAGATCTGAAAAATCACATGCAATCGCTATGAACAGCTTTATGCCAATTAATTTGGAAAACTTGATGAAAGAGACAATCTTCTAGATGTACAATAACTAAATCAATTAAGAAATGGGATATCAGAATAACCAATAACGCTTTTTAAAAATACGAAACAGAAAGCCAAAAATCTCTCCCAAGGCCCCCACCCTACCTCCACAAAAGAAAGAAAAAAGAAAGGAAGCAAGGGAGAGAGGGAAAGAGGGAGGAAAGAAGAGAACCAGGTTCAGACAATTTCATGGATGCGTTTTACCTAATCTTCAAAAAATAGGAAATCCTACCTAATGTAAATGGTTACAGAAAATAGAAAAGAGGGCTGGGCACAGTGGCTTACGCCTGTAATCCCAGCACTTTGGGAGGCCAAGGTGGGTGGATCATGAGGTCAGGAGTTTGAGACCAGCCTGGCCAACATGGTGAAACCCCGTCTCTACTAAAAATACAAAAATTAGCCAGGCGTGGTGGCACACACCTGTAATCCCAACTATCTGGGAGGCTGAGGCAAAGAGAATCGCTTGAACCTGGGAGGCAGAGGTTGCAGTGAGCAGTGATTGCACTCCAGCCTGGGCAAGAGAGCGAATCTCCATCAAAAAAAAAAAAAAAAAAAAAATAGAAAAGAGAGGAAGCTGCCCAATTCATTTTATGGAACTATTAGAATCCTGATATTTGGTCTACGGCCATACCACCCTGAATGCACCCAAACCCATCTGATCTCGGAAGCTAAGCAGGGTCGGGCCTGGTTAGTACTTGGATGGGAGAATCCTGATATTAAAACAAGAAAGTAGAGTATCAAGATAAGAAAGAAATAGGCTGAACTCACTTATGAACAGAAATTCAAAAATCCTAAATAAAATAATAGCAAATTGAATTCAGCAGTGTGTTAAGACACTAAAACATGGCCAAGCAGGATTATTGCAAGAATGCAAAGATGGCTCAACATCAGCAAATCTACCATGACATTCACTGTGTTGATAGAAGAAAACAGAAATAACACTGGTATGGGCATTAAAAGACAGACTTAAGTTCCATCTCTGCTCTGCCATTAACTAGCTGTGTAACATTTTACCTCTTTCCTATCCCCACATGGGTTCCCCAGCTCTTCCCTGAGGAGGGGAGCACAGCATTGAGAATCAGTCTGCTCCTCTCCCTGCCTCATTTTCTTCATCTGTAAAATGAAGAAACATTCGAATTCCATGATTTTGCAGGCTTTGTGAAGGAAGCATGATGAAGTCCAACAAACAGTGAGGGAAATTTGCTGTGTAGCTGGGTCCTGGCTAAGTCATTGCATCCATAGTGCTGGTGGCTGCCTCAGAGGAGATCAAGCTGGCAGTGCCACCCTGTGGCCTATTGGGAAGTGCATAAAAAGCACAGACACCATCAGGGCAGACTGCAGACCAGAAGAAACACTCTGTAACTAAATACAGTGGTGGATGAGGGAAGTCACCATCACCACGTGAAGTAGTTTTAAACATAAAACAAAATCTTTGGGAGCCGAGGCGGGCGGATCATGAGGTCAGGAGATCGAGACCATCCTGGCTAACTCTACTAAAAATACAAAAAAATTAGTTGGGCGTGGCGGCAGGTGCCTGTGGTCCCGGCTACTGGGGAGGCTGAGGCAGCAGAATGGCATGAACCCAGGAGGCGGAGCATGCAGTGAGCCGAGATCGCGCCACTGCACTCCAGCCTAGGCGACAGAGTGAGACTCCATCTCAAAAAAAAAAAAATCAACTCTGCTCAAGCCTCTAGATCTGCATTGTCCAATTCAATAGTCACTAGCCACATGTGGCTATTTGAATTTAAATGAATTAAAATTAAATAGGCTGGGCACGGTGGCTCAGGCCTGTAATCCAGCACTTTGGGAGGCTGAGGTGGGTGGATCACTTGAGGTCAGGAGTTCAAGACCAGCCTGGCCAACATGGTGAAATCCTGTCTCTACTAAAAATACAAAAAAAAAAAAAAAAAAAAAGGCCAGGCAAGGTAGCTCACACCTGTAATCCCAGCACTTTGGGAGGCTGAGGCAGGTGGATCACCTGAGGTCGGGAGTTTGAGACTAACCTGACCAACATGGAGAAACTCAGCCTCTACTAAAAAATATATAAAATTAACCGGGCGTGGTGGTGCATGCCTGTAATCCCAGCTACTTGGGAGGCTGAGGCAGGATAATTGCTTGAACCCGGGAGGCAGAGGTTGCGGTGAGCCGAGATCATGCCATTGCACTCCAGCCTGGGCAACAAGAGTGAAACTCCGCCTCAAAAAAAAAAAAATTAGTCGGGCATGGTGGCGAATGCCTGTAGTCCCAGCTACCAGGGAGGATGAGGCTCGAGAATCACTTGAACCTGGGAGGCAGAGGTTGCAGTGAGCTGAGATCACGCCACTGCATTCCAGCCTGGGCGACTGAGACTCTGTCTCAATAAGTAAATACATAATTAATTAAATTATTAAATTAAATTAAATATGCAGCTCCTCAGTCTCACTGGCCCCATCTCAAGTGCTCATAGCCACACAGGATGAGTGGCTACCATATTGAAGGATGCAGATATAGAACATCTCTATAATTGCAGAAAGCTCTATTGGATAGCCCTGCTTTCACTCTAACTTCCAATTTACAAGAGAATATCAAGGACAGAGGAACATGTGAATCTGCACCATGAGTGTGCACTAAGCAATATTCAGGCAATGAGAAACTCTTATGGACAAACTATTCAGTTTCTTTAAAAACAACAAATTGCAAGAAAAAAAATGAGATGGAGGGTAAACCTACAGACTAACAGACTTAAGAAACATATTAGCCAAATGCAATGTATGGACTTATTTGGATCTCGATTCAAACAAACTATTAAAAATGTATAAGATGGCCAGGGGCAGTGGCTCACTCCTGTAATCCCAGCACTTTGGGAGGCCGAGGCAGGCGGATCACCTGAGGTTGGGAGTTCGAGACCAGCCTGGCCAACATAGTGAAACCCCATCTCCACCAAAAATACAAAAATTAGCTAGGTGTGTGTTCTGTGTGGGAAACGTGAGAGGGGAGAAGAAAAGACACACACACAATACCTTCAAGGGTAAACAATCTTTATCCCACGTAAATGGCAATGCAGATATAATAGGCAAATGATATAACAAGCAAATTGAAATGGGAAGGGGATAAGGGAAAAGATATAGATAGATAGATAGATAGATAGATAGATAGATAGATAGATAGATAGATATACACACATATATATATATATTTACACTCACCAGACTATGGAGGATTCACCACCAGACCAGGAAGCAACAGCCTGGGCTCCAGAGTCAGACACTACACTCACCAGACTATGGAGGACTCACCACCAGACTGGAAAGCAACAGCCTGGGCTCCAGAGTTGGCCACTCATCAGTGCACAGATGAGGAGAGGTCTCATGAAGCTTCGGTGCAGTCTGGGACCCTCTTTTTGTAACGAGTTGTTTAGCATGAGGCCCAGTCATGAGGGCCCTTTGGGACTGGGCTCAAGGACCACAAAAAGGTCAACTTGTTTTTGTGATTGTCTGTTGCTTTTCTTTTTCTTTTTTTTTTTTTTTTTTGAGACGGAGTCTCGCTGTGTCGCCAGGCTAGAGTGCAGTGGCGCTCACTGCAACCTCCGCCTCCCGGGTTCAAGTGATTCTTCTGCCTCAGCCTCGCGAGTAGCTAGGATTACAGGTGTGCGCCACCACACCCAGCTAATTTTTGTATTTTTAGTAGAGACGGGGTTTCACTATGTGGGCCAGGATGGTCTCCATCTCCTAACCTCGTGATCCGCCCGCCTCTCCTCCCAAAGTGTTGGGATTACAGGTGTGAGCCACTGCGCCTGTCTGTTGTTTTTCAATAACTAATGTACAGGAATAGATTGAAATAGAGATTTCTCTGAAACAGTGCTGGATGAATGCCTCAAGGGGCTCACACAAACTATTCTGGGACTTGGTGACCATTGTTTTTGCCCATGTTCAACTGAGTTCAAGTTTAATATTTAACTTTTCCATCCGGGCATGGTGGCTCACGCCTATAATCTCAGCACTTTGAAAGGCTGAGGTGCGTGGATCACCTGAAGTCAGGGGTTCAAGACCAGCCTGGGCAACATGGTGAAACCCTGTCTCTACTAAAAATACAAAATAAGCCAGGCGTGGTGGCGCGTTCCTGTAGTCCCAGCTATTTGGGAGGCTGAGGCAGGAGAATTGCTTGAACCCGGGAGGTGGAGGTTGTGGTGAGCTGAGATCACGCCATTGCACTCCAGCCTGGGCAACCAGAGTGAAAACTCGGTCTCAAAAAAAAAAAAAATTAATATTTAACTTTTCCTCCATAGTGTGGTGGCACATGCCTGTAATCCCAGCTACTTGGGAGGCTGAGGCAGGAGAATTGCTTGAACCCAGGGGGTAGAGGTTGCAGTGAGCCAAGATTGCACCACTGCACTCCAGCCTGGGTGACAGAGTGAGACTCTTGTCTCCAAAAAAAAAAAAAAAAAAAAAAAAAAGTATAAGACAATTGGGAAAATGTGAACACTGAGTAGATACTTGATGATATGAAATAATTATTGTTATGGTGAGTGTTAATGGTACTGTGGTTATGTTCTTTTATAAAAGTCCTTAGCTCTTAGAGCTATCTTTGGAAAAATCTACAAATGATATGATATCTGGGATTTGCTGCAAAGCATTCTGGACATGGAGGAGTGGGTGAAGGTATGGAGGCAATAAGATTGGCCATCGGTTTTTGTGTTTTTTTGTTTTCGTTTTGAGACAGGGTTTTGTTCTGGGCTGGAGTGCAGTGGTGTGATCACAGCTCACTGCAGCCTTGACCTCCTGGGTTCAAGTGATCCTCCTGCCTCAGCCTCCTGAGTAGCTGGGACCACAGGTGCATGCCACCATGCCCAGCTAACTTTTATTTTTGTAGAGATGGGGGTCTTGCTATGATGCCCACGCTGGTCTTGAACTCCTGGGCTCAAGCAATCCTCCCTCCTCAGCCTCCCAAGGTGCTGGGATTACAGGCGTGAGTGACTGCACTGGGCCAGCCATCAGTTTTTGAAATGGGGTGAAGAGTACAATGGGGTTTATTTTACTGTTTCTTTATTTGGATATATGTTGAAAATTTCCATAATAAAAAGTTTTAAAGGCTGGGCATGGTGGCTCACGCCTATAATCCCAGCATTTTGGGAGGCTGAGACGGGTGGTTTACTCGAGCTCAGGAGTTCAAGACCAGCCTGGGCAACATGGGGAAACCCCGTCTGTACAAAAAAATGCAAAAAAAAAAAAAAAAAAAGCAATTTAGCCAGGTGTGGCGGCACATACCTGTGGTCCCAGTTACTTGGGAGGCTGAGGTAGGAGGATCACTTGAGCCCAGGAGGTCAAGGCTGCAGTGATCTGTGATTGCATCACCACACTCCAGCGAGGGTGACAGAGTGAGACCCTGTCTTTAAAAAAAAAAAAAAGTTTGAAAATGTTCAAATAAAAATGTGTGCATAAGTATGTACAGCTGCTTTCCTGGTCGCACTACATTTACCATAGAACCGAATCCAAGATAGAGAAGAGAGATGTTCCAGGACGGCATGCCCATTGTAGGTGGACTTCCAGCCACTTGGCCAACTGCAAGGAAAAGGAGAGAAAGAAAAGGGAAGTTGGGGCCGGGTGCGGAGGCTCACACCTGTAATCCCAGCACTTTGGGAGGCCGAGGCAGGTGAATCACCCGAGGTCAGGAGTTCGAGACCAGCCTGGCCAACATGGCGCAACCCCGTCTCTACTAAAAATTCAAAAATTAGCCAGGCGTGGTGGCACTTGCCTCTAGTCCCAGCTATTCGGGAGGCTGAGGCAGGAGAACTGCTTGAACCCAGGAGGCAGGGGTTGCAGTGAGCTGAGATTGCGCCGCTGCGCTCCAGCCTGGGCGATGGAGCAAGACTCTGTCTACAAAAAAAAAGAAGAAGAAAGAAAAGGGAAGTTGGGATGATGATGAGAAGAGAGGGGAAAGGAGATTGTGGAAAGGGAATTCTACATGATGAGAGAAGCATACCAGAAGGGCCCAGAGAAGGGTGCCTGGGATAGTGAGATGCCTGGAAATGCATGAGGTTGGAAAGGACCTTACCGGGCTCCATTGCACAGCCCTGGGATGCCCTCTCCCTCCCAGTTTCTTCACCCAAAAGCCTCCATCTGCTTTTTGAACACGTGACTCAGACTGTATGCCCACTGGGACCATATGCCCACAGTGCATGCACACTGTATGCCCACAGAGACTCTGGGAGCACCGCCCAGATAACTGGGGGCCTCTTTCACCAGTTCTGCCTGCCAGTCCCCTAACTGCTCCAGTGGCTGTTGCTGATGGTTCACACCTGTGACCCTCTACAGAGGTTTGCCCTCAGATGATTGGAGCCACTCAGACCCGAGGTGCTCTGGAGCTAGGCATCTTCAGCCACTGATTGGTATAGAGGCATACAGTCTCCTTTCCCTGGCTTCGGCGCAGAACAGATTCTGAGATCCAGTGTCTGCTCCAGAGCTCCCCGTGGGATCAGGCCTGAGGCTAGACTCCTGGAACCACATCCTTGCTAACCTTCTTCTCTCCTCCTCCTCTCTCCTCCCTCCTTACAGCTTCCTGCTGAGAGCACCCCCACTCAATAACTGCCACTTGTGCAAGAACCCGTGTTCCAGGCTCCACTTTTAGGGAGGCTTACTTGAGACAGAAGGTGGGGTAGGCACACAGTTTGTTTTTCTCTGGGTTGTCACACTCAGAACACAGTGTAGAGATTATGCAGAGGCAGAGACCAAGTCTCATACATATTTCTTTCCTCCATCTGACCTGAAATGATTAAAGCCAAAAAGATCCTGGCTTGAAGTGCCCACTGGAAAGGATGTGCAAGTGCTGGAGCTACTGGGCTACAAAGGAAGCTGTCTGGCACCTTGGTCTAAGCTGTGTAGGAAAAAGAAAAAAAAAAAACAACAACAAACCAGAAAACCTAGTTCTGTGGATTGTCACACCCAAGCTAAGCCACTAGAATTCAGCTTGGGGACCTCTCTGGCTGATTGCGGCCTGCAAGTTTTCTTTTTCTTTTCTTTTTTTTTTTTTTGAAGCGGAGTCTCGCTCTGTCGCCCAGGCTTGAGTGAAGTAGTGCCACCTCGGCTCACTGCAACCTCTGCCTCCCCGGTTCCAGCGATTCTCCCTGCCTCAGCCTCCCGAGTAGCTGGGACTACAGGTGCGTGCCCGGCTAATTTTTTTTTTTTGTATTTTTAGTAGAGACAGGGTTCCATCATGTTAGCCAGGATGGTCTCGATCTCCTGACCTCGTGATCCACCTGTCTCAGCCTTCCAAAGTGCTGGGATTACAGGCGTGAGCCACCGCGCCTGGCCCCCCCTTTTTTTTTTTGAGACAGTCTCGCTTTTGTTGCCCAGGCTGGAGTGCAGTGGCATGATCTCAGCTCACTGCAACCTCTGCCTCCCGGGTTCAAGCGATTCTCCTGCCTCAGCCTCCCGAGTAGCTGGGATTACAGGCGCCCACCACCACACCTGGCTAATTTTTTTTGTATATTTAACAGAGATGGGCTTTCCCCATGTTGGCCAGGCCGGTCTTGAACCCCTGACCTCAGGTGATCCACCCGCCTCGGCCTCCCAAAGTGTTGGGATTACAGGTGTGAGCCACCGCGCCCAGCTGCCTGCAGGGCTCACACCTGTAATTCCAGCATTTTGGGAGGCCAAGGTGGGTGGATCACCTGAGGTCAGGGGTTCGAGACCAGCCTGGCCAAGATGGGGAAACCCCGTCTCTACTAAATATACAAAAATTAGCTGGGCGTGGTGGCACATGCCTGTAGTCCCAGCTACAAGGGAGGCTGAGGCAGCAGAATCGCTTGAACCTGGGAAGTGGAGGTTGCAGTGAGCCAAGATCGCATCACTGCACTCCAGCCTGGGCAACACAGCAAGACTCCGTCTCAAAAAAAAAAAAAGTAATCACCAGGCTATTTCAGAAGAGGGTGTTACATCCACCAGCAAACTGGGGGAGAATCATGTCTTGAATGATTCTGAGACCATGTCTAATGGGGATTTCATTAGGGTTCTGACTGTGAAGATGCTGCTTCAGAGATTGTGGGGGATATTGCCTGCAGTTCAGAGGGCAGAGTCTAAAACTGAGAGCCAGGAAGGTACTAACCATGTGTCAGGCAGATGGGGGCTGGCTAAAGAGTGAAGGGGTCAGGGACTGGGTAGCCAAGGGTCAGGGTCAGGTTTAGCAGGCCCCACAGGAAGTCTTGAGCTAGTTCTAAGAATGTTACTGGAATGTTGTCTATGCTTGACTCATACATAATGAAAACACTACTTTTATTGAGTCTTCTTCAAAATCCATTCAATGGGCCGGGCATGGTGGCTCACGCCCATAATCCCAGCACTTTCAGAGGCTGAGGTGGGCGGATCACTTGAGGCCAGGAGCTCGAGACCAGCCTGGGCAACATGGTGAAACCCCATCTCTACAAAAAGTATAAACATTAGCCGAGCGTGGTGGTGTGTGCCTGCCATCCCAGCTCCTCAGGAGGCTGAGGCAGGAAAATCACCTGAGCCCAGGAGGCAGAGGTTGCAGTGAGCCGAGATCACGCCACTGTGCTGCAGCCTGGGTGACAGAGTGAGACTGTGTCTCAAAAATAAATAAATAAATAAAATAAAATCCATTCAGTGGACATTGCCTGGAAGTGACGGTTAATTTTGTGAGTCAACTTGACTGGCCCACAGGGTGCCCAGGTATTTGGCTAAACATTATTCTGGGTGTTTTCGTAAGGGTGTTTTTGCATGAGATTAACGTCTGAATCTATCGACCCAGCAAAGCAGATGGCCCTCCCTAATATGGGTGAGCCTCATCCAAGCAGCTGAAGGCCTGAATAGAACAAAAGGGCTGATACCCCCATATAAGAGGGAATTTCTTCTTCCTATCTTCAGGCTGGGACATTGTTTTTTCTGTCTTCAGACTCAGACTGAAACATTGGCTCTTCCTGGGTCTCCTGCTTGCTGAGTCACTCTGCAAATCTTGGGCCTTGTCAGCCTTCATAATCATGTGCCCCAATCCTACTGGTTCTGTTTCTCTGGAGAACCCTAATATGCTGGATAAATAAACAACTCCATTCCTGTATAAATACCCCAGTGGGCCCCGTGATTTTCAGCTCAGTCTTAGGTAATAGTCTCATAGATCCTCAAAGACACAAATGTAGCCTCTCCCATAATTAGAATAACCAGTCTAAGAGATTCTTTATAACTTCTCCTCTCCCCAACTCTGGCCTGCTTCCAGTTGGAATCCTCCAGCAGGAAGTGGGCAGGAAGTGGATGTGGCTGGCTTCCTATTTCTCCACCTTGTACTTCCTTCTCCTTCCCTCCATCCCTACTAGCTTCTGAGTGTGGGGAATGGGTGGAGGGCGGAGTGGTAAGGGAATGGGCAAGGCCTCCCTTGGCCAGGTTCTCTCTGAGCCTGGCAGGTGTCTAAAGCTGACTCTCTGTCCCCTGGGAGTTTTTATGGGCTCTTCAAAGATTCTCATGGCTCGGGGATCTCCCAAGCTTGTGAATACAGAGGCATGAGTGTCACCTTCCTCAGCCCTGGGCACTGGGCAAGTACCCTCTGGCTTCTTTATGCTGAGGCCTCCCCAGCCCCCAGAAGTCCTCTTGAGCAGCCTCTCAGACAACTCTAGGGAGGCTGCCTCCTGTGGAGTTAAAGGAAACAGACAAGTTTTCTCCCAGTGTCCTGTGGAAGGGTCGGGTGATTCCAGTGTGGCAGCACTCCCCTGTCTTGGCCACCATGGTAGTGAGCCAGCCGTCATTTACCCTTTATTTATTTTGATTAAAAATTTTTTTTTTTCCTGAGACAGAGTCTCACTCTGTCACCTAGGCTGGAATGCAGTGGTGCGATCTCGGCTCACTGCAACTTCTGCCTCCTGGGTTCAAGTGATTCTCCTGCCTCAGCCTCCCTAGTAGCTGGGATTACCTGCGTGTGCCACCACACCTGGCTAATTTTTGTGTTTTTAGTAAAGACAGGGTTTCACCATGTTGACCAGGCTGGTCTTGAACTCTGGCCTCAAGTGATCCACCCGCCTAGGCCTCCCAAAGTGCTGGGATTACAGGTGTGAGCCACCACGCCCAGCCCATCATTTACCCTTTAGAAGTCCCAGGTAGGAGTTGACCCCAGTCTACTTCACCACAGCCTGCTTTAGTCTTCTCAAGCGTGGGTCTGACAGGGTCCCCCATGATTCCAGACAGCGGCACCTCCCTCAGCGTCATGAGCACCTCTCACTCTGGCCCTGGGGCTTCTTTGTGGCTGCCTGGGTTGGGAGACTCCACCTCAGCATTCTGAAGCTTGTGCAAACACCCCGAGGGCAACCCTCGGCTGAGTGGGGCTGGGAGCCATAGATAAATACTGTCCTGTTCCACCCTTCAGGCAGAGAATTCTGAGAGTCGTTTACATGGCCTGGGAAAGTCCCCAGTGATAGCAAGCCCCAGTTACCTACAATAATGAGGAGCTCGGATCAGCTTTCCCTCCTCCCCTGTTTCACTCTTTCCTGTCCCTCGCTCCTGTCCCTTGGGACCATTCCAAGAAATCAATTAACTGTAAAGAAGCCCTCCTTTGAGGGCCAGGGTAGGGAGAGTGGGGGTGAGGAGACAGGCTCAGACGGATCCCTCATTAGACTTTGGTTAAGAGGTAAAACCTTCCCACATACATCCTTCCCCATATAACCTTTCATTTTAAGGGCTTGGGTGGGGTCTTAGACACCACAGCTACTACCCCTTCCCCCTAAATCTCTTCCTCTATTTCCCCTTTCTCGCTCTCTGACCTTTCCTATCTTTGATCTGGCTGAGACCCTCCAGAGTCGCTGAACAGGCCCGGGAACCATTTCTTTTGTAAATCTATATATGGCGATTTGGCACCTGACTCTGAAATTTCACATTTATTGTAGCTCAGTGTCTCTGTAGAAGCTTCCATTTTTATATCCTGTTACACACTGATCATTCCACCCAGAGTTCCTCTTCCAGAAAACGCTGACACCTAGTTTTTTTAGTGTCTGTTACACAAGTTCCAGTTTTCCTGTCATCCCGGTCCATCCCTCTGGTCCTGTTCTGAGCTGGGTTACTAACGTCAGTCTTAAAATATGCCCACTCCCTGCCCACTGCCAGCGAAGCCAATGAGGCACACTCCACAAAAGACCTGACTGGCAAATAGTCGATGACTACCTCTGCCTGAATACTATGCAGCTATAAATGCAGCCTCATCTTGTCCTCGTTTTAGCAGCCACATCATCTGGCTACATAGTAACTGCTGATTCCTATTTCCTAATGCCTGCCGGACATTTCCACTGGGATGTCTTCAGGCTCCTCACATTAATAAGCCCACGATAGCTCATTATGTCGTCCCACAGAGCTCTGCCTCATGTATTTGTGGTCTCGGAGAATGGAGTCACCCAATCTCCCAGGCTAGCCACCTCAGAGACTCTCGTAAAGACTCCAGCCCCTCCAGCCTCCCCATCCAATTCCACCTCTCCCCGATCCTCTGGGTTCTATAGCTTGAACGAGTCTCCAGCCCCACTACCTCAGTTCACGTCCCATCACTCCAACAGCCTCCTATCTGGTACCCCTCTGACCTCCAAGGGGTCTTATCTTTCTCTGAGTCGATTCAGATCTTGTCGCTTTTTGGTTTAGAAACTTTTGTGGCCTTTCCATCGGCCGTATGAGCAGCTAGCTTTCAGTTCACAGGTAAGAACTATAATAAAAGTATTCACAAATCAGCTCTAAGACCTTTCCCCAGCCTCAACTGGGGCACATATACAATGCCCCTGACCTTCCTCGAAGGTCACGATCTTGGGTCCAGTGGGACTAAGGTTTGAAGCTCTACTTTCCTCTTCATTTCTGCCACCAAGTCTCTGAATTCCTGCCTCTGACAGTAACCCCGTGACTGTGGTTCTCCAGTCTCCAGTCATTACTCTCGGCTCTCATCATTCTCTTCCTATGTTGAGTCAGGTTTCTCAATGATAACTGCCTGCTATTAATTTTCAAAGTCCCAAGCATCCTACTGGCTGCATCCAAATAACAGTCATCTGAGTATATAGTCCCCAGTCCCCTGGGGAGCAGCAAGTGGCCAAAGCTCATTAAGAAACTACAGAAGTGGCCTGCAATGTTCACTCTTCCTACCTGCTTTGAGGGCAGGATTCCAGAACACAGTGATCTTCTCCACCTACTCTTTTCAGTTGTTGATGTTGTCCTGAGAGACTCAACTCCGGCACATCAGAGTACCTACATGAGTCCATTGATATTCTGAGGACAGGCCCCACCTGCTCTTGGAGTGGTCAAAGGGCTGGCGGTGGGGGAGAAGGCCGGGGACTCCAGCACCACTGGAGAATGTGCCAAGAGCCAACCAAATCAGCCGGGTGCGGTAGCTCACGCCTGTAATCCCAGTACGGTGGCAAGCGCCTGTAATCACAGCTACTCGGGAGGCTGAGGTAGGAGAATTGCTTGAACCCAGGGGTCAGAGGTTGCAGTGAGCCGAGATCACACCACTACACTCCAGCCTGCGTGACAGAGTGAGACTCCATCTCAAAACAAAACAAACAAACTAACAAAAAAACAAGAGCCAATCAAATCTATATACAGGGTGGAAGCCACCCAGACTGTGGATGAACAGTTCTGAACTCAGGGCCTATGAACCCCTAGGTTGTGAATACCCAGAAATTATAGGTAAAATCTGATAATATATATATTGGCACTTCTGGAAAGAAGATCCACAATTCTCATCACATTCTCAAAGGAGTCTGTGACACAAATGAGGTTCAGGAAAGGAGAACAAAGTGGCCCTACAGAACAATTATTTTGTTAGAATATGTTTCTTCCTGATTACAAAAACAATCATGTTCATTGGAAAATTGGAAAATAAGACGAGCACCAAGAAGACTGTAAAATCAGCACAGGCTGGGCGCAGTGGCTCACGCCTGTGATCCCAGCACTTTAGAAGGCTGAGGCGGGTGGATCACCTGAGCTCAGGGGTTCAAGACCAGCCTGAGCAACATGGTGAAACCTCATTTCTACCAAAAATACAAAAAATTACCTGGGGTGGTGGTGCACACCTGTAATCGCAGCTACTTGGGAGGCGGAGGTGAGAGGATCACTTGAGCCTGGGAGGCAGAGGTTGCAGTGAGTGAAAATGGCACCACTGCACTCCAGACTGGGTGACAGAGTGAGACCCCATCTCAAAAATAAATAAATAATTAATTAATTTTTAAAAATCAGCCCTGATTCTATCATCCAGAGATAACTATGTCAATATTTTTGTGTGTATCCCTCCAGTCCTTTTTCTGTGCACACATAAACACACGTTATCCTTCTAAACCTGGGGAAGATGCTCCTTTGTGATCTGCTTCCGTCTACTTCAGATATCATGGACAATTTTCCAGGTCATTAAATATCCTTCTACAACTTTAATGACTTAGATCAGTTCATAGTATTCGATCATTTCGGTGCCTTATTTTATATTGCTTTCCGGTATTTTTTGCTATTATAAATAATGTTGGGAAAAATATCCTCTTACATACACTTTTTAAAAAAGAGATGGGGGATCTCACTATGTTGCCCAGGCTGGCCTTGAACTCCTGGGCTCCAGTGATCCTCCTGCCTCAGCCCTCCTCATAGCTGGTACCTACAGGCATGCACTATCGTCCCTGGCTTTACATACACTTTAAAAAATATTTCTTTGTTTTCTTTTAATACAGTTCTAGAAGTGGAGGGGTTTTTTTGGTGGGGGGGATTTTTTTTTTTTTTTTTTTGATGGAGTCTTGCTCTGTTGCTCAGGCTGGAGTGCAGTGGCGCGATCTCGGCTCACTGCAACCTCTGCCTCCCAGGTTCAAGCGATTCTTCTGCCCTAGCCTCCTGAGTAGCTAGGACTACAGGCGCATACCACCACGCCCAGCTAATTTTTGTATTTTTAGTAGAGACGGGATTTCACCACGTTGGCCAAGATGATCTCGATCTCTTGACCTCGTGATCCATCCACCTCAGCCTCCCAAAGTGTTAGGATTACAGGCGTGAGCCACTGTGTCTGACCAGAAGTGGAGTTTTTGAATGACAGAGTATAAACACTTTTAAGGATTTTGTATTGAAAAACTATTCTCCATAAAGTTGACTGCAATTTATTCTCCTACCACCAATTTATGAGAATACTCACTCCCTTGCATCCTCTTGCAACCAATAGTTGTTGGGTGTTATCTTTTCAGGAGGAGGGAGGGGAATGTTTTCAATCTGGTAGGTAATACAGCACATTTCAGGTTTTACTGAAGCCCTGTGTGGAAGCTGGTCAGGACTGCAGCTGTGGACTACATGGTTAACATTGCCTGAGTAGGCCAGGCGCCGTGGCTCACGCCTGTAATCCCAGCACTTTGGGAGGCCGAGGCAGGCAGATCACCTGAGGTCAGGAGTTCGAGACTGGCCTGACCAACATGGAGAAACCCTGTCTCTATTAAAATTACAAAATTAGCTGGGCATGGTGGTGCACGCCTGTAATCCCAGCTACTCGGGAGGCTGAGGCAGAATTGCTTGAACCTGGAAGGCAGAGGTTGCAGTGAGCCAAGATCGCGCCATTGCACTCCAGCCTGGGCAACAAGAGTGAAACTCCGTCTCAAAAAAAAAACAAAAAAAAAACATCGCCTGAGGATTTTCCCCAGAGTTTTGGCAACCCTCTGACAGGTGCTATTCAATAGAAGATGGCTCTGCTTTTCTTTGCCTGCATAGCAGACCTGGAGACATGGCAACGGCTTAATTTCCAGGCAATGACTAGTTTAGAGTCCATGAGATTGAGTGGCAGCAATAAATATTTGGTGGCTCTTTAAAAAGATTCCCTCCCCTCGCCCCGGTTTAAGTCAAAATTTCTTTCTTTTCTTTTTTTTTTTTTTTTGAGATAGAGTCTCGCTCCATCGCCCAGGCTGGAGTGCAATGGCACGATCTTGGCTCACTGCAATCTCCGCCTTCCCAGGTTCAAGTGATTGTCCTGCCTCAGCCTCCTGAGTAGCTGGGATTACAGGTGTGCACCACCACGCCTGGCTAATTTTTTTGTATCATTAGTAGAGACAGGTTCTGCCATGTTGGCCAGGCTGGTCTCAAACTCCTGACCTCAGGTGATCTGCCCACTTCAGCCTCCCAAAGTGCTGGGATTACAGGCGTGAGCCACTGTGCCCAGCATAAGTCAAAATTTCTATGTCTTGTGAAAGTTTTAAGAATTGTGGCTCATCCCTTGGCTGGGCGCGGCGGCTCACACCTGTAATCCCAGCACTTTGGGAGGCCTAGGCGGGCGGATCACGAGGTCAGGAGATCGAGACCATCCTGGCTAACACGGTGAAACCCCGTCTCTATTAAAAATACAAAAAAAATTAGCCGGGCATGGTGGTGGGCACCTGTAGTCCCAGCTACTAGGGAGGCTGAGGCAGGAGAATGGCGTGAACCCGGGAGGCAGAGGTTGCAGTGAGCCAAGATTGCACCATTGCACTCCAGCCTGGGTGACAGAGCAAGACTCTGTCTCAAAAAAAAAGAAAAAAAGAATTGTGGCTCATCCCAAAGCCCCCCTGGCATGCACCAGTTTTCTGGATAATTTGAGGAAAAATGAACCTGTGTGAATAAAAATTATTCATAATTAACAAATATCTGCCTAAAGACATGTCTTATTCTACACAGTGGACATGTTGGGGACTCCAGAAATTTGCATGTAACTGAAATCCTATTTTTTATTAAAAAATTCTTTTAAAATTTACATACAACTTACATTTCTCTATTTTTAACTTCTCTAGGATTACCCTCAAAAGTAAGCCCAAGGCCCAGCACCGTGGCTCACACCTGTAATCCCAGCACTTTGGGAGGTGAGAGGATCACTTGAGCCCAGGGGTTTGAGACCAGTCTGGGCAACACAGTAAGACTCCATCTCCACACAACAAAAAATAAAGTAAGGCCGGGCGTGGTGGCTCACGCCTGTAATCCCAGCACTTTGGGAGGCCGAGGTGGGCGGATCACAAGGTCAAGAGATCAAGACCATCCTGGCCAACATGATGAAACCCCGTTTCTATTAAAAGTACAAAAATTAGCTGAGCGTAGTGGCGCACGCCTGTAATCCCAGCTACTTGGGAGGCTGAGGCAGGAGAATCGCTTGAACCTGGGAGGCAGAGGTTGCAGTGAGCCGGGATTGTGCCACTGCACTCCAGCCTGGCAACAGAGTGGGACTCCATCTCAAAATAAATAAATAAATAAATAAATAAATAATAAATAAAGTAAAATAAAATAAAGCAAGCCCAGGGTGATTCTTTTATAAAGTAAGTAATAATTTATGTTGCAAATTCACATTTTTGCCTAGCTAGAGTGCTGGAAGTCACTTATTCAGTTAATTCACTCACCTAACATCGTTACCTCACATAGGGTGCCTAACACTGTGTTCAGAGTTGTAGAAGGGATTTTGATTTTTGTTTTGGGTCTCAGTCTTGTCCCTTGGAGCTTTTTTTTCTTTTTCTTTTTGTTTTATTTTTTGAGACAGAGTCTCACTCTGTTGCCCAGGCTGGAGTGCAGTGGTGCGGTTTCGGCTCACTGCAACCTCCGCCTCTCGGGTTCAAGCAATTCTCCTGCCTCAGCCTCCTGAACAGCTGGGATTACAGGCGTGCGCCACCAAGCCCAGCTAATTTTTGTATTTTTAGTAGAGATGGGGTTTCGCCATGTTAGCCAGGCTGGTCTGAAACTCCTGAGCTCAGGTGATCTGCCCACCTCGGCCTCCCAAAGTGCTGGGATTACAGGCATGAGCCACCACACCTGGCTATGGGGCTTTAATGAGGAGTGTGGCAGAGTTCCCTGACAGCCGTGCCCCTACCATGCTGGGCTTGTGGACAGGCAAGAGTGGGTGTCACAGGCTGGGTGTACTGCTCTCCCTCTTTCCTGCTGGGGGCACTGCTGCTGTCACAACTCTTCCTTCCTCTTCCCTTTGGGTACCAATAGCCGAAGGGCACAGCTGAGGGAAAGCAGACACATGTGGACAGTAACCCCAGACGTCACCAGCCCAGACAGCAGTGATCCCGACTTGGCCAGTGATGTTAACCAGCAGTTTCTGTTTAAGTGGAAAATAGTTCCTAAAGGGAAGCTCCTGCCCTTCTATGGTTCACAGTAGGGCTAAGGGTTAGACTGGTGGACACAGCATGGCATAGGGAAAAACAGCTCAGTCCCAAACCAACACAGAGCCTGCCTGAAATGCCCGCATTGACTTTGCTTTTCAGTATTTCAATGTCATGCACAAAATCCAAGTTCATGATGTGTGTAGCTCAATGGAAAGAAGCAAATGAGCAGGCAGGAGTCAGATACAAATGGGGTGTGTCCACAAAATGTCATTTTGAAGTTTGTGGTTTGGCATTTGGAATGCATTTTCCTAGAGGAAAACAGAACTATGTTAAATGGATATTAGATTCCTAGACTAGACTTCAAAATTCTATATAACTCATAACATGGCTAAATACCCTCTCTGGTTTGTTTTTGTTTTTTTCTTTTTTTGAGATGGAGTTTTGCTCTTGTTGCCCAGGCTGGAGTGCAATGGCGTGATCTTGGCTCACGGCAACCTCCACCTCCCAGGTTCAAGCAATTCTCCTGCCTCAGCCTCCTGAGTAGCTGGGATTACAGACATGTGCCACCACGCCCGGCTAATTTTGTATTTTTAGTAGAGACAGGGTTTCTCCATGTTGGTCAGGCTGGTCTCGAACTCCCGACCTCAGCTGATCTGCCCGCCTTGGCCTCCCAAAGTACTGGGATTACAGGCTTGAGCCCACCAACCTGGCGTATACCGTTTCTTATAATGAAAAATTAGTAGTAAACAAAATGTCTGTAATAATAATTTTAGAAAACAAAGAAAAACAATTTCCGAACAGAAAATAAGAGTTTTGGCCAGGCGAGGTGGCTCACGCCTGTAATCCCAGCACTTTGGGAGGCCAAGGTGGGCGGATCACGAGGTCAGGAGATGGAGACCATCCTGGCTAACACAGTGAAACCCCGTCTCTACTAAAAATACAAAAAAATTAGCCGGGCATGGTGGCGGGTGCCTGCAGTCCCAGCTACTCGGGAGGCTGAGGCAGGAGAATGGCTGGAACCCGGGAGGCAGAGCTTGCAGTAAGCTGAGACTGCGCCACTGCACTCCAGCCTGGGCAACACAGCAAGACTCCATCTAAAAAAAAAAAAAAAAAGAAAAAGAAAAAAAAGAAAGAAAATAAGAGTTTTTATTTGTTTATTTTTTGAGACAGAGTCTTGTTCTGTCACCCAGGCTGGAGTGCAGTGGCATGATCTTGCTTCACTGTAACCTCCGCCTCCTGGGTTCAAGCTATTCTTGAACCCGGGAAGGGATTCAGGAGGCCTCAGCCTCCCGAATAGCTGGGATTACAGGCATATGCCACCATATCCAGCTAATTTTTTTGTATTTTTAGTAGAGACGGGGTTTCACCATGTTGGCCAGGCTTGTCTCGAACTCCTGACCTCAAGTGATCCGTCCACCTCAGCCTCCCAAAGTGCTGGGATTACAGACATGAGTTACTGTGCCTGGCCAAGAGTTTTTATTTATCTGAAACACTAGTGCTTATAGAAACCAGACCTCATAGAAAAGGAAGGAAGAAGCCGTTAACTTTTGGGAAGATTTTGATCAGGTACTTCCGGTAACTTTCAAAATGTAGGGCTTGAAATCATTGGCTCTTTTTGTCTAATTTTATTTACAATTTATGGCCTTTCTTTTTAAAATACCGCTGTATAACTAAAACCACTTTGGTTTAACACCAGCAGTGATCGGAGGGTAGGGTTTTGGAGTTAAAAGCAGGAGAGATTTTACTGAGGTAAAATTAAACATTTTTAAAAATTTACCAAGTACTGTTGGAAAGAAGCCATAGAAGATAAAGATAAAAGGTGAAAGTGGTCAGGTGCGGTGGCTCACGCCTATAATCCCAGCACTTTGGAAGGCAGAGGCAGGCAGATCACCTGAGGTCAGGAGTTTGAGACCAGCCTGGTCAACATGGTGGAAACCCGTCTCTACTAAAAATACAAAAACGTTAGCCGGGCATGGTGGCGGGCACCTGTAATCCCAGCTACTTGGGAGGCTGAAGCAGGAGAATCGCTTGAACGCAGGAGGCAGAGGTTGCAGTGAGCGAAGATCGCACCACTGCACTCCAGCCTGGGCAACAGAGTGAGACTCCGTCTCAAAAAGAAAAAAAAATGGTGAAGGTGGACACGAGTGAAAGAAGACTGTCTAAGGTTAATTACTGTGCCCTGAGTGGTGAAAGATGGCGGTGAGCAGAGAGAATGGTGAAGGTAAGGAAGGTTCAGGCCCGCCAGTGCCCAAAGCATGAAGAATGGTTCTATGAGCACTCCTGAGAGCTTGGGTGCCTTACCTAGAGTGTTGAGGAAGGGCTAGAAGGCACTGTGTGTATCCAGCCATTCATATTTGAGACCTGCTTTAATGCCTGGCGTTTGAAACTTAGGGCGTGTCTGCTCTGTAGTACTAGACTATAGGAGCTAATCTCTAAAGATGGCCACCCCGCAATGGACTGCTATTCATTCCTTTGGATGCTGGCTGACCCTGGGACTTGCTTTTTGGCTAAGAGAATCTCTTGGACTGATACTGCATGACTTCTAAGGCTAGGTCCTAAGAAGTCTTGTAGCTACCACCCAGATCTCCTAGAACATCATTCGCTCTAGGGGAAGCCAGCTGCTATGCTGGCTTAGGGAAGCCCGACTACTCTGACGGTTACCTTGTGAGGAAGCTGTTTTCCAGCCACTCCAGACACTCCAGACATGTGACGAAAGAAGATTCAGATAAGTCCAGCTTTATCCACCATCTGACCACAACCAAATTCAGATGCTCAAGGAAGAACTTCGCAGCTGAGCCCGTTATCCCCGAGAACTGTGAAGAATAATAAATAGGCTGGGTGCGGTGGCTCACGCCTGTAATCCCAGCACTTTGGGAGGCCGAAGCAGGCGGATCACAAGGTCAGGAGTTCGAGACCAGCCTGGGTAATGTAGTGAAACCCTGTCTCTACTAAAAAATACAAAATTTAGCGGGGCTTTGTGGTACGTGCCTGTAGTCCCAGCTACTCAGGGGGCTGAGGCAGGAGAATCGCTGGAACCCGGGAGGCGGAGGTTGCAGTGAGCCGAGATTGCATCACTGCACTCTAGCTTGGGAGACAGAGTGAGACTCCGTCTCAAAAATAAAAAACAAATAAAAAAATAAATATATAAAATAGTCATTCGAAGCCACTGAATTTTGGAGGTGGCTTTTACACAGCGATAGCTAACTGGAACTCGAGTTAAGCCCTAAACTTGCTTTCCTACCAAGCTCACCAGCATTTCAGTTCCATCTACTCCCATGAAGATGTGTTGACCCACCCCAACCTGCTTAGTGGGAGGGAACATTAAGAATCTCCCAGCATGCCAGATGCAGTGGCTCACACCTGTAATCCCAGCACTTTGGAATGCAGAAGTGGGAGGATCACTTGAGCCCAGGAGTTCGAAACCACCCTGGGCAGCATAAGGAGACCCTATCTCTACAAAAAAATTTTAAAATTAGCTGGGCATGGTGGCAGGCACCTGTGGTCCCAGCCACTCAGGAGGCTGAGGTGGGAGGATCACCTGAGCCTGGGAGGTTGAGGCTGCAGTGAAATGTGATCCTGCCATTGCACTCCAGCCAGTGTGACAGAGCAAGAAAAAAAAAGAAAAGAGCAAGAAAAAAAAAAAAAAAAGAATCTCCTAGCACACTCAGCCTTCAGACCTCAATTAGTTTCTCCTTAAATCTTACTCACAGGACCTTTGCTAGGTTAGAAGTCTAGAGATTATAATTAAGAAAAAGAAATAAGTCATAAAGACCACGAGCTCTTGAGTGAGGTTCATCCTGGAAAGTAACCAAGGTAACATTAGCTACTTGTAGCAGTCTGGTGGGGCAGCCTTGGTGGAACCTGGAGGTAATTCTGGGCCAATGATCCAGAGCTGACTGAAAAATTGTTTCCTATCTCTATAGTGAAAATCTCTTATGTTTCTGTATCATGTCTTTTTTTTTTTTTTTTTTGAGAGAGTCTCACTCTGTTGCCCAGGCTGGAGTACAATGGTGCGATCTCTGCTCACTGCAACCTCCACCTCCCGGGCTCCCCACCTCCTGAGTAGCTGGGATTACAGATGCCCACCACCATGCCCAGCTAATTTTTGTATTTTTAGTAGAGATGGGGTTTCACCATGTTGGCCAGGCTGGTTTTGAACTCCTGACCTCAAATGATCCGCTTGCCTCGGCCTCCCAAAGTGCTGGGATTACAGGCGTGAGCCACCGTGCCCAGCCTCTATCGTGTCTTCTAAGAACCAGTTGCTTCTAGAGACATAGAGCAGGGCAGGTGTCTGTTTTTCAGAGACTAGCTTAAGGAATTGGGTAACGAAAGACCTTCTGGGCACATTGCCGGAGATTTCTTGTGCTGTGTAAATGACTTGAACAGAGCAGTGATTTTCCAGATGAGTTGTCAGTGGGTTGTTGTTGTTTCTTATGACAAGGCTGGTAGACTCATGGTTGAACAATTACACAAATTCAGTCAGTCATGGTAACACAGCCACTGAGGTGATGGAGTTTCACTAATTCCTCCCTGTCAGAAGAATGAAGCATGTGATTATGTTAGACGAACTGATAAGACCCAGAGTTTGAAGCCAGGGGAGGTGTCTCATGTCTGTAATCCCAGCTACTTGGGAAGCTGAGGCAGGAGGGTCCCTGGAACCTGAGATCTCAAGACCAGCCTGGGCAACATAGAGAGACCCTGTGTCTTAAAAACACAACAGCAATGTCCGGGCGCAGTGGCTCATGGCTCACGCCTGTAATCCTAACACTTTAGGAGGCTGAGGTGGGTGGATCACTTGATGTCAGGAGTTCGAGACCAACCTGACCAACATGGTGAAATTCCATCTCTACTAAAAATACAAAAAAAAAAAAAAAATTAGCTGGGCATGGTGGCACATGCCTGTAATTGCAGCTACTTGGGAGGCTGAGGCAGCATAATCACTTGAACCTGGGAGGCGGAGGTTGGAGATCACAGCACTGCACTCCAGCCTGGGCAACAAAAGTGAAACTCCGTCTCAAAAAGAAAAAAAAAAAAGCACAACAGCAAGAATAAAAATAAGACACAGAATTTGTCTGGGGGTCAGTGCTCCCTATGGGGTTGATAATCAACAGCAGTTGCTTTCCTCCACCTACCTGCAATGCTGTCATGAGGCACAGATGGCACTCAAAAATGTTTGCCTAATGAATGAATCTATGACTTAGAAGTCCTGAAACTGAGTAGCTTGGAGTCAGGTAACCCACAGGGATCCTATAAATAGCAAGACTGAAAACAGCTCCATTCATGTAGTAATCGAGTTACACCCTAGCTAACTATACGGGGTGTCCATGCAGTCTGGAAACAGGCAAAAATGTAGAATGTCATCAAGAACATCTTCAGAAAATAAATAGTGGGCCGGGTGCAGTGGCTCGCACCTGTAATCCCAGCAATTTGGGAGGCCAAGGCGGGGAGATCACTTGAGGTCAGGAGTTCGAGACCAGCCTGGCCAACATGATGAAACCTTGTCTCCAAAAAATACGAAAATTAGCCGGGTGTGGTGGCAGGCGCCTGTAATCCCAGCTACTTCAGGAGGCTGAGGCACAAGAATCGCTTGAACCCAGGAGGCAGAGTTTGCAGTTTGCAGTGAGCAGGGGTGGCACCCTTGCACTCCAGGCTGGGCAACAGAGCAACACTCAGTCTCAAAAAACAAAAACAAAAAACAACAACAAAAATAGTAATAGTATGTGCATTTCCAGACTTCACAGACACCCTGTATGTTAACATCAACCATCTCAGATCTTTGACTGGCTTAGTCTCACAGGATGCGACAAATCCTTTGGTTTTCTGAGGCTTTGTGCAAATTCCTGTATGGCATAAACTCTCTTGTCAGTGCTGCCCAGGGGCCTCCCACAGGGAGGAACTCAGAATTGACAAAGTTGACTGGGAGTCCATCTGTGACAGCCAGAGAAGCCAGCGGGCAGCAGCGCGAGAAACGGATCACCTCATTCCAGTCCTTCCCCAGCAGCACTGGGCTGTGGGGCCAGAGGCAATAATGGCAACAGGGAAAGCAGGAGCCGAGGTGGGGCCGGTCCACAGAACAAGGAAGGCCCTGATTCCACCCCGACGCCGCTCTCTCCCAGGTCTTTCTGGAGAAACAGTTCCCCTAACGGGACTTGCCTTTCTTTTCTCTCAGCTTCCCCAGCCAACCCAGTAGAGGGTCACCTCAGATTGGAGGACCTGGGAGAATCTTCATCACTTGTCCTTGTGATGAGGTCAAGAAATAATACAAGGGCCGGGCTTGGTAGCTCACGCCTGTAATCCCAGCACTTTGGGAGGCCGAGGTGGGCGGATCACCTGAGGTCACCAGTTCAGGACCAGCCTGGCCAATATAGTGCAACCCCGTCTCTACTAAAAATACAAAAAAAAAAAAAAAAAAATTAGGCCAGGCGAGGTGGCTCACGCCTGTAATCCCAGCACTTTGGGAGGCCAAGGCAAGAGGATCACGAGGTCAGGAGTTCGAGACCAGCCTGGCCAATATGGTGAAACCTCATCTCCACTAAAAATACAAAAATTAGTTGGGCGTGGTGGTGCGTGCCTGTAGTCCCAGCTGCTCGGGAGGCTGAGGCAGGAGAATTGCTTGAACCCGGGAGGCAGAGGTTGCAGTGAGCCAAGCTCACGCCACTGCACTCCAGCCTGGGCAACAGAGTGAAGCTCTGTCTCAAAAACAAGAACAACAACAACAACAAAAATTAGCTGAGCGTGGTGGTGCACACCTGTGGTCCCAGCTACTAGGGAGGCTGAGGCAGGAGAATCGCTTGAACTTGGGAGGTGGAGGTTGCAGTGATTGCATCTGGAGATTGCATCACTGCACTCCAGCCTGGACAATAGAGCAAGACTCTGTCTCAAAGAAAAAAAAAAAGAAAGCAAGCATACAAGGAGCTTGTGATCATTAATTAACTACCAAGTAAGGAGGCTTTCCTGCTATTAAAGGTAGGTGAATGAAAGAGCATAATTGGCCAATAAAACTTTGGGGAAAACAGTAAAAAGGATACTCTAGCATGGGTGCAGTGGCTCACGCCTGTAGTCCCAGCTACTCTGGAGGCTGAGGCAGGAGGATCGCTTGAGCCCAGGAGGTTGAGGCTGCAGGGAGCTATGATTGCACCACTGCACTCCAGCCTGGGTGACAGAGCAAGACTTGTCTCAACGACAACAACAAGAAAAAAGAATGTTCTAGCATGTACAATGCCAACTGGTTTATGTTTCTAGACACTATATTAATCTTCCAGGATCCTCAGAAAACACTTCACCCCTGGCTGGTCTGACTGCAGTGGTGTTTACAACTAGCTGATCACAACTACTTACAGATTTCTTTGTTCCTTCTCCACTCCCACTGCTTCACTTGACTAGACTTAAAAAAAAGAAAAGAAAAGAAAAGAAAAAGAAAAAGAAACAGAAAAAGAAAACACTTTACTCCAACATTTGTCAGAAGAGTTTTACCAAGGAGGAAGGCAATGATGATTTCCATGCCCAGGAAGGAAGGGGAAGGAACCTGTATTGGGCCTTTAAAAGAAATACGTTCCCAGTATTACCACCATGAAACAATCACAAAAGATTCAAACTTTAAAGGCACATTTGAAGCTCTACATATATTTTAATGGCTGCGAAGTTCTCACACATCATGATGTAAGAAACAGTTTTAAAAGAGACAGTGTGGCCAGGCGCGGTGGCTCATGCCTGTAATCCCAGCACTTTGGGAGGCTGAGGCGGGTGGATCACCTGAGGTCGGGAGTTCGAGACCAGCCTGACCAACATAGAGAAACCTCTTCTCTACTAAAAATACAAAATTAGCCGGGCGTGGTGGTGCACGCCTGTAATCCCAGCTACTCAGGAGGCTGAAGCAGGAGAATTGCTTGAACCCAGGAGGCCGAGGTTGCAGTGAGCTGAGATTGTGCCATTGCACTCCAGCCTGGGCAACAAGAGTGAAACTCCGTCTCAAAAAAAAAAAAAAAGAGAGAGAGAGAGAGACAGTGTGGGCTGGGCGCGGTGACTCACCCCTGTAATCCCAGCACTTTGGGAGACCGAGATGGGTGGATCACTTGAGGTCAGGAGTTCAAGACCAGCCTGGCCAACATGGTGAAACCCTGTCTCTACTAAAAATACAAAAATTAGCTGGGCGTGCTGGTGGGTGCCTATAATCCCAGCTACTCGGGAGGCTGAGGCAGGAGAATTGCTTGAACCCAGGAGGCAGAGGTTGCAGTGAGCTGAGATTAAGCCATTGCACTCCAGCCTGGACAACACAGTGAGACTCCGTCTCAAAAAAAAAAAAAAACAGACAGTGTGCATAAAGAAAAAACAAAGTTGGGAGTCAGAAATACTGACTAGTTTCTTTTTTAAACTATTTAATTTCGAAATAATTCTAGATTCACAGGAAGTTGCATAACTATAGTACAAAATCAAAACCAGGAAATTGCCATTGGTACAATCCACAGAACTTATTCAGATTTTGCCAGTTTTACAGGAGCTCATTCGTGTGTGTGTGTGTGTGTCCCTATGCAATTTTATCACATGTAGGTTGCACCACATCAAGATGCTTAACTCTACCATCACCACAAAGCTCCCTTGGGCTGTCCCTTCATAGCCACATCCACTCCCCTCCTCCTCCCCCATCCCTAATCCCAGGCCACACTAAACTGTTCTCCATCTCTAGAATTATGTTATTCAATGAATGTGATATAAATGGAATCATGTGACATGTACCCTTTTGAGGCTGTTTTTTTTTCCACTCAACATAATTCCCTGGGGATCCGTCCATATTGTTCTATCAATAGCTCATTTCTTTTTCACTGCTGAGTAGTACTCCATGGTATGGCTGTATCAGAGTTTGGTTAACCATTCATCCATTGAGCAACGTTTGGATAGTTTCTAGGCTTTGGCTATCACAAAGCTGCTGTGAGCATTTGTGTAGAAGTTTCTGTATAAAAATAAGCTTTCATTTCTCTGGTATAAATGGCCAAAAATGCAAGTGCGGGGTTGTATGGTAAATCCGTTTTTAGTTTTAAAAGGAACTGCCATGGCTCACACTTGTAATCCCAGTATTTTGGGAGGCTGAGGCAGAAGGATGGCTTTAGGCCAGGACTTCAAGAGCAGCCTGGGCAACACGGTAGTAGATAGATAGATAGATAGATAGGTACATAAATAGGCCCGGCGCAGTGGCTCATGCCTGTAATCCCAGCACTTTTGGAGGCCGAGGTCAGGAGTTCGAGACCTTGAGGTCAGGAGTTCGAGACCAGCCTGGCCAACATGGCGAAACCCTGTCTGTATTAAAAATACAAAAATTAGCCAGGTGTGGTGGCACAAGCCTGTAATTTCAGCTACTAGGGAGGCTGAGGCAGGGGAATTACTTGAACCTGGGAGGCAGAGGTTGTGGTGAGCGAGACTCCATCTCAAAAATAAATAAAAAAAAATAAAGAAAGAAACTGCCAAACTATTTCCAGAATGGTTGTACCATTTTACATTCCCACCAGCAATCTACAAGTGATCCAGTTTCTCTGCGTCTCCAGCATTTGATGTCACTATTTTTTATTTTTGCCATTCTGATAGGTGTGTGGTGATAGAGATTCATTGTGGTTTTAATTTGCACTTCCCTAATGACTAATGACAGTGAGCATCTTTTCACATGCTTAATTGCCATCTGTATATCCTCTTCAGGGAAATATCTGTTTATGTCTTTTGCCCTTTTTCTAATTGGACTGTTTATTACCAATAAGTTTTTCTTTTCTTTTTTTTTTTTTCTGAGACGGAGTTTTGCTCTTGTTGCCCAGGCTGGAGTGCAATGGTGCGATCTCGGCTCACTGCAACCTCTGCCTCCTGGGTTCACGCCATTCTCCTGCCTCAGTTTCCCAAGTAGCTGGGATTACAGGCATGCACCACCATGCCTGGCTAATATTACTGATAAGTTTTGCAAGTTCTTTATATACTCCAGATGCTAGTCCTTTGTCAGATATGTGATTTGCAAATATTTTCTCCCAGTCTTTGTCTTTTCATCCTCTTAACAGGGTCTTTGGCAGAGTAATTTTTAATTTTGATGTGGTTTCTCCTTAAAGGTTAAAAAATAATAATGATCTCAGGCCGGGTTCAGTGGCTCAGGCCTGTAATCTCAGCACTTTGGGAGACCGAGGCAGGTAGATTGCTTGAGTCCAGGAGTTCCAGGCCAGTTTGGGCAACATGGCGAAACCCCGTCTCTACAAAAAATACAAAAAAAAAAAAAAATTAGCCATCTATGGTAGCATGTGCCTGTGGTCCCAGCTACTTGGGAGGGTGGGGTGGAAGGATCGCTTGAGGCCAGGAGTTGGAGGCTGCAGTGAGCTGGGATCATGCCACTGCACTCCAGCCTGGAGTGACAGCGAGACCCTATGTCAAAATAATAAAAATGAAAATTACAAAAATAATAATAATTATTATCATCTCCTGGCCTGCCCTGTCATCCATGCCAAGTAAGGGCATGTACAAATTTCATCTACCCATTCAGTCAATGTTTATTGAGTACCTACTATGTTCCAGGTTCAGTCCCAGGTGCTAGTGATCTGAAAATGAATAAAATACAGTTGCCTTTAAGTGTTCACAGTCTAGTGGAGACAGAGACATTTTTTTTTTTTGAGATAGAGTCTCACTCTGTCACACAGATAGAGTGCAGTGGCACAATTTCGGCTCACTGCAACCTCCGCCTCCCAGGTTCAAGTGATTCTCCTGCCTCAGCCTCCCGTGTAGCTGGAACTACAGGCCCCCACCACCACGCCTGGCTAATTTTTGTATTTTTAGTAGAGATGGGGTTTCACCATGTTGGCCAGGCTGGTCTCGAACTCCTGACCTCAGGTGATCCACCTGACTTGGCCTCCCAAAGTGGTGGGATTACAGGTGTGAGCCATGGCACCTGGCCGGGACAGAGACTTCTGAGCACATGCCTTCCGTGGAAGTGTGGTAAGGGATGGAAAGCAGGCTGTGGGACCTCAAGGCAGAGCACATGCTCTGGCCAGGGAAGTGGCGAAGGCCACTCCTTGCTTGTCAGTTACAAACCAGTTGAAATCTTAGTATTATTCTTGCTATATACAGGTTATAGTATATTCTATAAAAACATTTCCAGCCATTATTTTCATCATGATTACCACTGGTTCATTTTCTGCAAGATTCTTTTCCAAAATGCCAAAATGGCTAATATCTAAACTGAGATCTTGTGAAATTTATGGCGGATTCACCCCTATAAATGATCATTTTTCAAAAATACAATGACAACTGTTAGTTCAACAAGTGGTCTTTGCTGTGAAGCTCAGGCATCAAGGAAAGGTGTAGATAGGTCTTATTGCATAACAGTCCTCGGTCCTAATATAGCAACGTTCATCTGAGAAGCTTAAAGGACTTGCCTCACATGACAAGCTGCCTCATTTTTGCACTGACTCTTCGAGGAAGGCAAGATAAGATTTATTATCCAGTGGCCTATATTCCAAGTAGAGAAGGATCCTCTCTGCCCAGGTAACTAGAAAAGTGTGTCTGATGACACATTTGGGAGGAACGAAGGGATCCAGCAGCAAGAAGGGGATTGAACCATTGGTTTCAGGTTGCAGTTCTCCACCAAGAATTTTTTGAAGTGTAAGGCCTGATCTTGCTTATATAGGACTGATTAAATTTTTTTCTTTCTTTCTTTCTTTTTTCTTTTCTTTTTTTGTTTGTTTTGAGTTGGAGTCTCACTCTGTAGCCCAGGCTGGAGTGCAGTGGTACAATATCCAGCATTGCAACCTCTGCCTCTTGGGTTCAAGCGATTCTCCTGCTGCAGCCTCCCCAGTAGCTAGGACTACAGGTGCACACCACCATGGTCGGCCGGCTAATTTTGGTGTTTTTAGTTAGAGACAGGGGTTACAGGCGTGAGCCACCGCGCTCATACTAATTTTTTTTTTTTTTGAGATGGAGTTTTGCTCTTGTTGCTCAGGCTGGAGTGCAATGGTGTGATCTCAGCTCACTGCAACCTCCAACTCCGAGGTTCAAGCAATTCTCCTTCCTCAGCCTCTCTAGTAGCTGGAATTACAGGCGCCTGCCACCACGTCTGGCTAATTTTTGTATTTTTAGTAGAGATGGGGTTTCACCATGTTGGTCAGGCTGGTCTCGAACTCCTGACCTCAGGTGATCCTCCTGCCTTGGCCTCCCAAAGTGCTGGGATTACAGGCATGAGACACCGCGCCCGGCCCTTACATTTTCATTGCAGTAAATACTTGAGCCTCAAAACCTGAGAATGCTTTCCAGCCCCATCTCTAATCAGGACCTTGTCTTGTCAATTTTCCCTCCATGAGACAGCTCTGGTGAAACAGTAACAGAGGGACGGGGAACACCGAGGTATTGATGTCTGGGCCAGAGCTGCCATCCAGGGCCCCACACCCCACCTTTGGTCCAGACAGCCCCTTGGCCCAGGTGTCCCTGCTGCCAGAACACATTGGACTGGGGTACAGGAGTTGCATATTCCATGAAGCCGGTGTCAGGGGAAGCAGGAACTCTCACATTAGCCAGGTTATTCCTCTCCTCCGGGCCAATTTCCCTCCACAACCCAGGGGTTTCAGTCTCACATCAACTATCATGTTTTAAAACAGAAAACATGCCTGTAGTCCCACCACTTTGGGAGGCCGAGGTGGGTGGATCACCTGAGGTCAGGAGTTCGAGACCAGCTTGGCCATCATGGCAAAACCCCATCTCTACTAAAAAAAAAATTAGCCGGGCATGGTGGCACATGCCTGTAATCCCAGCTACTAGGGGGGCTGAGGCAGGAGGATCACTTGAACCTGGGAGGCAGAGGTTGCGGTGAGCCGAGATCATGCCACTGCACTCCAGCCTGGGCAACACAGCGACTCTGTCTCAAAAACAAAAACAGAAAATAGGCAAAATGTTTGGCTAAAATAAAATGAAAACACTGCAGGGAAGAGGCTTGAGTGTGCTGGTGGACAGGCCGCCCTGCTCACCTGTGGGAAGGGCAGGGCCAGCAAGGGCAGGAGAGCTCCCTGTGGGCAGCTAGGCTGGGTGTGGATGTGGTCCTCCAAGTGGTCCCAGGGAGGATGCAGGGACAGGAACAGTCCAGGCAGACAGCTCTCAGATGAGTAGGGCTCTGCCTGAGGTGTTCTGGCATCAGGAGGCTGCCTGACCCCCAATGGGCATGACACAGGCTCCAGGGAGCAATGGGACATCGGCCCAAAGGATCAAAGCCCAATTTGGTCAGATCCCAAGCTTTACCTACATTATGTCTCTGGCTCTGCGAAGGGTACCCCCAACTCTGGGGACAAGCCATGGCCTCAAGTGGCAGCTGGCTACGCTGCTGAAATCAGGACACATCTGTATCATACTCACAGAAAGCTGCGCCATCCTAGTGTGACAGGCCACACTCCGTCACCCTAGGGGAAGCTGGAAAAGAACTCCAGATGTGCCCTGGAGAGCCCTCCACCTCTCAGGGGCCACCTCCCAGGGTGCCCCCACCACCCCATTCTTCGAGTTTGGCTTGAGATTTTAGGAAGCATAATTTCAGGTGAGGAAGATAACAAAGTCTGGTCCCAACCCACTCTGCTGGCAAGGATCACTCCCCACCTAGTCGGCATCAGAGGAAGCCACGTATACAGACAGGACACACATAGCACACACGGGGCATAAGGAACCGTGCCTGCACACCACTCACACACACATGACATGACCAAGTGGCAGCCAGAGAGGCCAGGGCATGCTCAGGGGGCCGCCTTCGGGGCATCCATGTAGTCTGGGTTGGAAGGAGGCTGGCTGGTGGGGTAGGGCGTGGCTGCTCCTCCAGCCAGGGTCTCGAAGTAGGCCGGCGGGCCCATGGGCTGGGCCGGGTAAGGTGATGGGTACTGCACTGGGTAGGATGCTGCTGGCATTCCTGGCTTGGGGGGGGCATGGGGTGGTAGCCCTGGTAGTCCAGGGTAGCTAGGTGGCACACTTGGAGGCTGAGGGTAAGGGGCATGCACCACAGTGGTGGGCGTGGTGGTGCTCACAACTGGACATGGTCAGCGGCACATCTTGTAGAGGGAGCAGCAGGAGCAGGTGAAGCAGATGATGATAGTGACGACAGACAGCACAAAGATGGTCAGGCCGACGGCCACGGTCGCTCTGAACCCCATGTTAGCCTCTGCCTTCACCCAGGGGCTTCCTGTTCCCCTAGACTTCCCCTTTCCATCATGGGCCACTCAGTTCCAATTTCCTCTCCTTTCGGAGAAAAGGAAAGCAAATCTCCCGATGATGTCAGCCACAGGAAGGACCACTTCATGAACTTTCGAGTCCATGATGGCATTTTTCTCCTTAGAACAGCTACTGTGCTTTTGGTACTATTCATTCATTTGTTCCACATTTACAAAGATGAATAGAATGCAGGCCCCACCGTAGAGGAGCTCACAGTCTAGATGACTGGCACTACATACTGCCTCATGTTGTGTCACAATCTTTTTGTGCATGTGTCTTGTGTCTCCAATTCCATGACAGCAGAGGCCATGTCCTAAACTTCTTTGTCTTCCCCAGAGCCCTTACTTAGCATGGTGTTCAATAAACGTCTCTTTTTTTTTTTTTTTTTTTTGAGATGGAGTCTTACTCTGTCACCCAAGCTGGAGTGCAGTGGCGCAATCTTGGCTCACTGCCACCTCCACCTCCCGGGTTCAAGCGATTCCCCTGCCTTAGCCTCCCGAGTACCTGGGATTACAGGTGCATGCCACCACACCCAGCTAATACTTTTTGTAGTTTTAGTAGAGATGGGGTTTCACCATGTTGGCCAGGCTGGTCTCAAACTCCTGGCCTCAGGTGATCCACCTGCCTCAGCCTCCCAAAGTGCTGGGATTATAGGCGTAAGCCACCACACTTATCCAATAAACATCTCTTGAATAAGTAAAATAATTTGATTTGATTTGGTACTTTCCTCTTCCGTGGTTTACTTCTGCCACCTAGATAAAATAATGTATCACCCATATGTAGAAATGTATTTTATTTATTTATTTATTTTATTATTATTATTTTTTATAGAGATGAGGTCTCACTTTGTTGCCCGCTCGAACTCCCAGGCTCAAGTGATCCTCCCACCTCAGCCTCCCAAAGTGCTGGGATTACAGGTGTGAGCCACCGCACCCAGCCTAGAAACTTGTAAGTGAGGAAATTGAGGCACAGAATGGTGAAGTAACTTGTTCCAGGCTGCAAGTGACTCATGGTTGCTTCATTCAAAATATATGCTGGACAACTTTGGAACCAAAGACAGCTATATATCCTTGATGCCAGTATTTAGATGTCTCTTAGATTCTGAGATGCAAATTGTGCCTTCATATACACACACACAGACTTTATCAAAATCATGTATATGTTTGAAGCCAGACTCTGGTTTATGCAAAATGATTAATATTTCTTCTTATATTCAATATCAAGTTGTGTGAAAGGTAACACATGATAGGTTCAAAAATATTCCAGAGAGGAAAGAGTGGGTGGCAGTTGGTGAGCTGCAACATTTTTCCTTTCACAGAACAATTCTTGTAGAAGAAACAGCATCGCTGACTTTTTCTATTTTCAGCACAAAGTAACACTTAACTGATTAATATTCAAGTGAAGGTGTACAGCCACAAACCTCATTTAATCAACAAGCAATGCAAAACAACAAACTAATGCACAGCGGGGATGCAAACGGGTGGTCTGCCAGCGAAACTGAACTCACAGAAAGGGTTTCAAGAGTTCTCAACTTAATTTTGAATACATAAGAAATGATATTTATAATATTTCTTTTTCTTTCTTTCTTTTTTTTTTTTTTGAGATGGAGTTTTGCTCTTTCACCCATGCTGGAGTGCAGTGGCGCAATCTCGGCTCACTGCAACCTCCACCCCCAACCCGGGGTTCAAGCAATTCTCCTGCCTCAGTCTCCCAAGTAGCTGGGATTACAGGCATGTGCCAGCACACGTGGCTAATTTTTGGATTTTTAGTAGAGACGAGGTTTCACCATGTTGGCCAGGCTGGTCTTGAACTCCTGACCTCAGGTGATCCACCCACCTTGGCCTCCCAAAGTGCTGGGATTACAGGTGTGAGCCACCACACCCAGCTGATATTTATATTTCTATAAGGCAAGAAAAATACAGGAAAACCAAACACTCATCTACCCATCAACCCGGCTGAAAAACAGAACAGTACCAGTAGCCCTGAAGCCTTCTAGACACAAACAGTACACTGAAATAATCAGAATTAGCTGCCAACAGTTACAAATTGGGACATTTCACACAAAAATCTGGATTTCCAGCCTCTCTTGAAAAAGCTGGCATCACTGTGCCTATATTCCCATAGGGAAATAAGGGGCTGGCCCTTCATGGGGCACCCATGCCGATCACCCCATCCCACCCTCATCTGTTCTCTGCTGCCTCCTCCATCCACATGACCTGCCCAGCCCTGGAGACATCTGCATTGGTAACCCCTGCCATGTGTTTCCTTTCTGGGTTGGCTCCTTCTCCCTTGATGCTGTTCAAGCTCTCCATTTCCCTAGTTCTCCTGCCTGTGCTTTGGGCCGTCTCCTTTCTTGGTGGAGCAGGACCTTTAAGAGGCCAGGCAAGGTGGTTCATGCCTATAATCCCAGCACTTTGAGGGGCCGAGATGGGAGGATCGCTTGAGCCCAGGAGTTCAAGACCAGCCTAGGCAACATAGTGAGACCCCGTTTCTACAAAAAAAAATTTAAAAACCTAGCCAGTCACGGTGGTGCACCTCTGTGGTCCTAGCTACTCAGGAGACTGAGGCAGGAGAATCACTTGAGTCCAGGAGTTCCAGGCTGCAATGAGCTATGATCATGCCACTGCAACTCCGGTATGGGTGACAGAGTGAGATCCTGTCTCTTAAAAAAAAAAAAAAAAAGGCACTAGGCTCCATGGAGATGTGCAGACAAGGAGAAATGGTCTGCCCTCAGTAAACGTGTAGCTGTGGAGGAAACTGACCTGTGGGCCAGGCGCAGTGGCTCATGCCTGTAATCTCAGCACTTTGGGAGGCTGAGGCGGGAGGATCACAAGGGGCCAGGAGTTTGAGACCAGCCTGGCCAACATGGTGAAATCCCATCTCTACTAAGAATACAAAAATCAGGCGGGTGTGGTGGTGCACGCCTGTAATCCCAGCTACTCGGGTGGCTGAGGCAGGAGAATTGCTTGAACCCGTCAGGCAAAGGTCGCAGCGAACCAAGATTGCACCACTGCACTCCAGCCTGGGCGACAGAGTGAGACTGTCTCAAAAAAAAAAACAAAAAAAAACCGACCTGTGTCTGATTACATATCATACAAGACAGGCAAAGATAGAAATAGAAAGAGGGTTACGGGAGCACAGAGCAGGAAAGACTGTATTAGTCAAGGTCTTCCAGAGAAACAGAACCAATAGGATGCATGGGTATGTGTGTGTGTGTATGGAGAGAGAGAGAGCGAGAAAGAGAGAGAAAGAGAGAGAGACAGAAAGAGAGAAGAGAGAGAGTATGTATGTATTTAATGAATCGGCTTACATGATAGTGGGGTTAGCAAGTCCAAAATCTTTAGGACAAGCTGCAGGCTGGAGACCCAAGGAAAAGTTGATGTTGCAGTCTTGAGTCTAAAGGGAGTCTGGAGGCAGAATTCCCTCTTCCTAGGGAGACCTCAGTGTTTTAAAGCCATCAGCTGACTGGATGAGGCCTGCCTGCAATATGGAGGCTAACCCACTTTATTCAGTCTACTGATTCAAATATCAGTCTCATCTAAAAAATACCTTTACATGGCTGGGCGCGGTGGCTTATGCCTATAATCCCAGCACTTTGGGAGGTTGAGGCGGGTGGATCACCTGAGGTCAGGAGTTCGAGACCAGCCTGGCCAACA
The DNA here is from genome assembly GCF_000001405.40 of Homo sapiens. Classification (NCBI taxonomy): domain Eukaryota; kingdom Metazoa; phylum Chordata; class Mammalia; order Primates; family Hominidae; genus Homo; species Homo sapiens. Next base: position 41,327,050 of record NC_000023.11, read on the forward strand.
TGGTGAAACCCCATCTCTACTAAAAATAAAAAAATTAGCCGGTGTGGTGGTGCACACCTGTAATCCCAGCTACTCGGGAGACTGAGGCAGGAGAATCGCTTGAACCCGGGAGGTGGACGTTGCAGTGAGCCAAGATTGCACCACTGCACTCCAGCCTGGGCGACAGACCGAGATTCCATCTCAAAAAATAAAAAATAATAAAAAATATATTTACAGTGACGTCTAGACTGATGTTTGACCAAATATCTGGGTACCGTGGCCTAGCCAAGTTGACACATTAAAATTAACTGTCATTGGCTGAGTGAGTGTGTATGCAGGGATTAGAAGGTGGAAGCACAGGTGCCGGGAGGGACGTGGTGAACAAAGGTGCAGAGGTGGGGAGATGCTGAGCATGCTCAGAGAATAGTGAGAAGTCCAGTAGAGGAGCAAAAAGTGCAGCCTGGGGGTGGGGTGGTAAAAGGGGGCAAAGTGCACAAGATGGGTGGGGAACCATGGAGGATAGGAGCCATCGTGACTGGATAGGCACTAGGTCTGCAATGACCTTGAATGCCATGGGAGGTGTCAGAGGTTTTCAAGCAGGGAAATGGCACAACAGGACTGTGTTCAAGAAGAAAACTCTGGTAGACACACAAAGGGTGAGGTAGAGGGGGAGAGGTTGGAAAGTTCTATGGGACAAATGATCCATTTTGTTTGTTTGTTTGTTTTTTGAGATAGAGTTTTGCTCTTGTTGCCCAGGCTGGAGTGAAGTGGGGTGATCTTGGCTCACTGCAACCTCCGCCCCCCAGGTTCAAGCGATTCTCCTGGCTCAGCCTCCTGAGTAGCTGGGATAACAGGCGCCCGCCAACATGCCCGGCTAATTTTTTTTAATATTTTTAGTAGAGACGGGGTTTTGCCGTGCTGGCCAGGCTGGTCTTGAACTCCTGACCTCAGGTGATCTGCCCGCCTCAGCCTCCCAAAGTGGTAGGATTGCAGGCGTGAGCCACCGCGCCTGGCAATTTTTTTTTTTTTTTTTGAGACAGGGTCTCACCCTGTGCCTTAGCCTCCTGAGTAGCTGGGACTACAGGTGCATGCCACTACACCTGGCTAATTTTTTATTTTTTGTAGAGATGGGAGCTTGCTATGTTGCCCAAGCTGGTCTCAAACTTCTAGATTCAATGGATCCTCCCACCTTGGCCTCCCAAAGCTGAGATTATAGGCGTGAGCCACCAAGCCTGGCCCAGTTTTTCTTTTTCTTTCTTTCTTCTTTTTTTTTTTTTTTAATTTTTATTTATTTAAGAGATGGGGCCTCGATCTGCTGTCCAGGCTGGACTGTAGTGCACTCATAGCTCTCTGCAGCCTCAAACTCCTGAGCTAAAGAGATCCTCCAGCCTCAGCCTCCCAAGTAGCTAGGACTACAGGCATGAACCACTGTGCTCAGTTTGTATTTCTTGAGAGGACACTGGGTTGGACAGTTATAGCAAGATATCTTTAAAGGGCTGAGTGTGGTGGCCCATGCCTGTAATCCCAGCACGTTAGGAGGCTGAGGCTGGAGGACCACTTTAGCTCATGAGTTTGAGGCTGCAGAGAGCTATAAGTGCACTACAGTCCAGCCTGGACAGCAGATTGAGACCCTGTCTCTTTAAAAAAAAAAAAAAAAAGAAAGTCTTTAAATAATTCAAAGTTAAAACCTTGAAAAAGGTCCAGGCGCGGTGGCTCACGCCTGTAATACCAGCACTTTGGGAGGCCGAGGTGGGCGGATCACAAGATCAGGAGATCAAGACCATCCTGGCTAACACGGTGAAAACCCGTCTCTACTAAAAATACAAAAAATTAGCCGGGCGTGGTGGTGGGCGCCTGTAGTCCCAGCTACTTGGGAGGCTGAGGCAGGAGAATGGTGTGAACCTGGGAGGCAGAACTTGGAGTGAGCCGAGATCGCGCCACTGCACTCCAGCCTGGGTGACAGAGCGAGACTCTGTCTCAAAAAAACAAACAAACAAAAAAAACCTTGAAAAAGTTTTAAAAGCTTTAAAAATGATTAACTCTAATAGACATCAAAGAAGGTCTGTAGGACAATAACAGCAATAATCTGTAAGTAGGAAGGTGTAGGGGAGAGTAAATTGGTTTGAAGTACAGAGCATATAATTCCAACAAAGGACTGCTATGCAGCCCACAGCCCTATCTGTGAGGTAAGGCTAGGCTTTAAGTTCTGCATCACCTGAGAGAGTGATTGCTTAAAATGCCCCTACTACCTAAGAGGCAGCTCGGCCTCCTGAGGGCATATGACCCAACCCCCTTCACTATACTTCCAAGACTTCAGTCTTCGGTCACTTTGCATGAACAAAGGCAGAAATGCACTGAGCTTTGCTGTTTGAAAATATTTTTAGCAATTTTAGTGGTAGAAAAGATGCCCTTTGATACAATTTTGTTTTTGATCTTGTCTTCTTTGAGGAAGGAAAGCAGATTCCAGGCCGGATCTGCTGTTTGAGAGTATAATAATTGCCTAAGGCCAGGCGTGGTAGCTCACGCCTGTAATCCCAGCACTTTGGGAGGCCGAGGCGGGCAGATCACCTGAGATCGGGAGTTCGAGACCAGCCTGACCAACACGGAGAAACCCCGTCTCTACTAGAAATAGAAAATTAGCTGGGCGTGGTGGCGCATGCCTGTAATCCCAGCTACTCGGGAGGCTGGGGCAGGAGAATCGCTTGAACCCAGGAGGCGGAGATTGCGGTGAGCCGAGATCGTGCCATGGCACTCCAGCCCCTGGGTGATAGAGCGAGACTCCGTCTCAAAAACAAAAAACAAAAAACAGAGAGAGTAAGTACGGAACTGCATTTACCTCCACACCTATAATTATCCTTCTTATTATAGGGAAGTTCTATGTCTTTGAACTTTATTCCAAATCCACCCTAAAGAAAAGTATGGATCAGCTGGACCCAGGAGGCCCTTCCCCTGGACCTTGCAGAAAAATGACTGACAATCATGAAATTCACTAAAGGCTTTAAGGTACCTATCTCTTGGAATCCCTTTTACAACTCCTTTTCTTCTAGCTTCGGAATAGTCTAATTATCTTTGTCCCAGGTTTTAGGTTACTTGGGCACATTATTTATGTGCATCGCAATAATGTGATTTCAGTCTATCTCTGTCTCCATTCTGCATAGAGAGGTGTGACAAATTTCCTGTCCTCTGTGGGCTCACACACAGCTGCAGTACCACACGGAATTACAGTGGAAGTTTGAACAGTGGAGACTGTGGGAGCCCAGTGCCCAGAGCAACCTACTCTACTAAGGGAGTTGAGAGGATGGGGAGCTAGACACGTGTTATGTGGATCCAGAGCCACTTGGTACTAAGCTCTTACTCCCTGCAAAACACTTAAAAAAAAAAAAAAAGATCTTAAACACTACCTCTCCTCCCCCCCACCCCCGCCTTCTTTTTGAGACGAGTTTCACTCTGTCGCCCAGGCTGGAGTGCAGTGGCGCAATCTCAGCTCACTGCAAACTCCACCTCCTGGACTCAAGCGATTCTCCCACCTCAGCCTCTGGAGTAGCTGGGATTACAGGCGCGCGCCACCAAGCCGTAACTCCTGGAATCAAGTGATCCCGCGTGCCTAGGCCTCCCAAAGTGCTGGGATTACAGGCATTATCCACCACGCCCTGCCTCGCAGAGCACTTTCAATTCATGCACAAGCCCTTGAATCCCAAACACTCTTGGAGGCAGAGACTACTTTTATTCCAACTTTATAGATAAGGAAGCCAGGGCACTGTCAAGGGAGTTGCCTGGTGCCTGTAAGCAGGGAGCTGAACTGGTAGTTAGAGGAATTGCAATTCCCAGGCTCTGGTTCACTGCGCTACCTCCAGGAATGGGGGTGGAAGTGGAGGGAGGGGGCGGTGTTGCAGGAAGTACATTTGCTTCAATATGAACAGTTAAAATGCCTGGAAACATTAAGAAAGGGAGCGTGCAAAAAAAAATTTCCCTGGTTTCAGCCATTTCTTTCTTTTTTTTTTTTGGGGGGGGGCGGAGTCTTGCTCTGTCGCCCAGGCTAATTTTTGTATTTTTTTTAGAGACGGGGTGTCACGGTGTTAGCCAGGATGGTCTCAGTCTCCTGACCTCGTGATCCGCCCGCCTCGGCCTCCCAAAGTGCTGGGATTGCAGGCGTGAGCCACCGCGGCCGGCCTGGTTTCAGCCATTTCTAACCCTTTTTTAGGTCACTTCAAATAAAATTTGCAAATAACTGCCATGTGGAGAAAATATGCAAATGTTGCTAAACGGAAAAGTCATTCGGAGTGCTGTGAAAGTTGGCTCATTTATTTAGCTGCCTCAAGTGTGCACATCATTCTTTTTCAAAGTGAATGTGTTTAAAGACAAAGCTTTGTATGTTTTCCCGCTTCCTCTCCAATTGGATATTCCAATTATAACGTATTGATTAACAAAATACCCTGGTGGTTTGAACCAAGTATGCCTATGAGCAGGGGTTAATTGAAAATAGGGAACTGCTGTATATTTCAATTCTTTTAGGTACTCCCATGGCGGTACCCTGTACTCGGCTCTACTCAAAAGTAAAACAAAGCCCAGAACCAGGGTAGTCAGTGCATCCCATTGTTGCTATATGCAGTTTGAAGAGCTGTCGGAACTCACAGTTTTCGAACCTGACTCATGTTTACCCTGGTTCATAGGAAAACGAAACTGAAACAAAACCGAGGTCCTTCACCAAAACTCCATGAGAATCCACGAATCTCAGGGCAGGAAGGGACCCTAATATCATTAAACCTAGTGGCTCTCCAAGGGGCATTGTAGAAATCTGTGTATTTCTGGTTGTCACAATGACTGGCGAGAGCTACTGGCATTTAGTGGGCAGGAGCCAGGCACGCTAGGATGTTCTATGATGCTGGTCAGTCCCACAGAGCGAATAATTGAATCACTGGACACATGTCGGTGAAAAACTAGTTCATTATCATCTAAGCCTAGAACTAACACTGTTTTACATATGAACACAAAGTATCTTTGCCCAGTTTCCATATATCCTGAATTTTCCACAAATGCAGGTACTGTTTCAATTGAAGGAAGATTGTACTGTTTTATTTAAAAATTATTAATAGTTCATCATTTTGGAAAATGAGGTTCCTAGTAGCAATGCTGCTCATGGAACTTGAGTTGTGAAATCAACACACCTTTCCAGTTTGCATTTGTGGCTCTACTGGGCAAGTGTCTTCCCACCAGTTAGTGTAGCTGTGCGGCGGCATTTACATATTATAATACATTGTTTTATTATAATCATTTTGCTTTCGTTTGTTGACAGATCATGTTTTTTGAAATTGTGTTTGTAGGTTTACATAAACAATTTAGGTTTTGTTATTTCAGTATAGGTAAAGGGGGCGTTAGAAAATACTCGTTATGAAAAGGAGTTGGGTCTTTCACAGGGTTATGGAATGTAGCAGACTCCTTTTATAGATGAGCAAATTGAGACCCAAAGCCGTTAAACAACTTGCCCCCGACAGTGTGATATTCTCTCCCTATCTCGTTCGAATTTCCGTCTCGATTTTAAAAATTGAGAAGGGAGAGAAGTTATGTGTATAGTAAATTATGTGATGAGCACGAACTATTTGAATTCTGGCAGCAGAAGACCTTTTGTGGGGGTGGTGGAAACCACTGCGTTTTATTTAATTTCGTAGGGCTGAGGGTCAGAAGAGAGGGGAAAGCGGTCATAAGAAACTACGGATGTGCGGGCGCCGGCTCAAAGCCGGGAATCCACTAGTAAACACCTTCTTCTATTTAAGGGCCTGCGGCACCGAAGCCGGGACTTGGGGTGGCCTGCCTAGGAGGGAACCACAGGAAGAGGTTCCACCGACGGTAGAAACCCGGTTCCTCCTGTTCCTCATCCACCGCAGCGGCCTGAGAGTCACCCCGAGCCCAGGCCGGTAACCCCGCTGCAGCCCCTCCGGCAGGCCCAGGTTGCACCGGCTACAAACATTCCCGACACCCTTGGGCCCTAGAAGAGCCGTTCGCCACCCGCGGGGTCCCCGCAACGCCGGTGGTCACCGGCCCTAAGCCGCTGGGCGCCCCGCGGGAGGAAACTAGGGGCAAATGTAGCCCGCATTCCTGCGGAGAGCCGGGGTCCCGGGAGGGCGCGCCAGCGGCGGTTCCGGATCAGCGCGTGTCTGTCTCATTGTTCCCTCACCGCGGGGGGCGGGGGCGGAGGCGCGCGCGCACACGTCGGGGGGTTGGCCAGGAGGGGCCATTGTGTGTTTCTAGGCGGCGCCCCCGCTGCCTAGGCAACCGCGCAGGAAGGTGTCCGGCCACCTGCGCGCGCCGCCGGCTCCCCTCCATTTCCCCCCGACTCCCGCCCCGGTCACCATCCTACCCTCCTCCCTCCTCCTTTCCCCTTACTCCGCTCCCCTCTTTTCCCTCCCTCTCCTCCCCTTCCCTCTGTTCTCTCCTCCTCTTCCCCTCCCCTCCCCCGTCCGGAGCACTCTATATTCAAGCCACCGTTTCCTGCTTCACAAAATGGCCACCGCACGCGACACCTACGGTCACGTGGCCTGCCGCCCTCTCAGTTTCGGGAATCTGCCTAGCTCCCACTAAGGGGAGGCTACCCGCGGAAGAGCGAGGGCAGATTAGACCGGAGAAATCCCACCACATCTCCAAGCCCGGGAACTGAGAGAGGAAGAAGAGTGAAGGCCAGTGTTAGGAAAAAAAAAACAAAAACAAAAAAAACGAAAAACGAAAGCTGAGTGCATAGAGTTGGAAAGGGGAGCGAATGCGTAAGGTTGGAAAGGGGGGCGAAGAGGCCTAGGTTAACATTTTCAGGCGTCTTAGCCGGTGGAAAGCGGGAGACGCAAGTTCTCGCGAGATCTCGAGAACTCCGAGGCTGAGACTAGGGTTTTAGCGGAGAGCACGGGAAGTGTAGCTCGAGAGAACTGGGACAGCATTTCGCACCCTAAGCTCCAAGGCAGGACTGCTAGGGGCGACAGGACTAAGTAGGAAATCCCTTGAGCTTAGACCTGAGGGAGCGCGCAGTAGCCGGGCAGAAGTCGCCGCGACAGGGAATTGCGGTGTGAGAGGGAGGGCACACGTTGTACGTGCTGACGTAGCCGGCTTTCCAGCGGGTATATTAGATCCGTGGCCGCGCGGTGCGCTCCAGAGCCGCAGTTCTCCCGTGAGAGGGCCTTCGCGGTGGAACAAACACTCGCTTAGCAGCGGAAGACTCCGAGTTCTCGGTACTCTTCAGGGATGAGTCATGTGGCAGTGGAAAATGCGCTCGGGCTGGACCAGCAGGTGAGCCGCAAGAACCCCACCGGGCTGGCTGCTGCGTGAATTCCTCCCCTGACCTAACCTGGCTAATGGCGCAGCGCTAACCGGCACCCTTACTTTTCATTTTCTGGGTGCCCCGGGCTGGCGGGTGTGAGTGCCCCGGGGCTATAGAGGGATAGGAATGTTGGTTGGGGCTGTCGCCCGGGCCCGGTCTCGGCCCGCTGTATTGTCCCCGGGACGAGCACAATGGCGGCTTTTGTGTGTGCGTGCGCAGGCGGGCGGAGGGGGAGGAAGTGCGCGCGCTCTCGCGGGGACGCGCATGCGCGAATCCCGACTGATTAGTGACCTGGGGGGGTTTGCGGGAGTGCGCAGCGCGGCGGGACGCGACTGGAGGCCCTTTTGGCTTGGAGGGCTTCGGCCTTCACGGCTGGCGCAGCCTGGATTCCCGTCCGGAGGACCTGGCGGCACCCGGTGTTTGCGTGCCTGCGAGCAAGGGGTAGAACGCGGCCCAGGAATGTGGGAGGGGGCGGCCTTCGCTCGGGGTAATGGCGGCGGCCTCTTTTGTGTGGTGCTGGGCGGCGCTGTGGCTCACCTCCGGGAGACGGCGGGTCTCGGGCGGGCGAAGGCCTGGAAAGGAGGATGGAATGGGTTTCTTGTTTTTTCCCGGGTTCCTTCCGCTGGCTTTTTCGCTTCAGCCCAGGTTCCGCAGGGTCCGGGGGCCCTGCGCCGCAGCCGGGGAGGCTGCGTTTCCGGAGTGGAAAGTTTTGTGACGCAGAAGATTGGGGAGGAGTGGGGGAGGGGTGGGGGCGGGGAGGGGAGGCAGGAATTGGCCGCTGCGCGCTGGGCCCTGGAGATAGAGGTTGGACGTGGCGGGGAGGTTAGGGAGCCAGCGAGGCCCTTTCTCCTCCTTGCTTGCCCCAGATTGTCCCTGTGTGGTATGTTAGCCGGGAGTCCCGCGTTGTTTTTCTGGGGTGGAGGGGTCATCGCGGGTTGTGGTAGTGTCTTCGTGTTAGTGACTGTGATCCAGGAATCCGCCATTGGAAAAACACCCGGCTTAGGGGGGAAGTAAACAGTTTTGTTGTTGACTTGTTGCTATCTGTGGAGTAGAATCTTGCAATGGGTCCCAGGCCCCCGGGTTTTTTCTCTTAGCCAGAATCCCCTCTTCTAAGGGTTTAGGGGCAGAGGAGAGAAAGATGTGTGATTTGAGAGGAGAAGGTTATGGACTTTGGTGGCAGGAAGTCTGCATCCCACCGCAACAGTGGCACCAGGCTTCAGATAAGCTCTTGTGTGGGTTATGCGGAGCTTTTAAATAAACTACTGTCTACTGTGATTAGGGGAGCGTTGATTTCACAAACTCCGGAATAATCCTGAGACGAAGTTTAGTGGCACAAATTAATTGAATACATAGTTTAATGTAGTCATATGTAATATTTTTTAGGAATTGATCTGTTCCTTTGGAAGCATTTTCTACCCGTTAATGAACCAATTATATTAAATCCTCTAATTGCTGACACATGTTGAATTGAACAGACACTTTAACAACCTACCAGCAGCACAGAGTATTCCCAGTTTTACCATTTTCCATTTAGCTATAGTGTCCTTTTAAGGATTCTAGGCAACAGTGAACCTTATTTAAAAAGCAAAATTGTGCTATAACAAGTGCAAAAGGAAAGTTTGTGTTCCTACCGTGCTTTAAAGTATTGATGGTAGCAAGAGAAAGCGCAGTGGTGTTTTTGCTCATAGAAATTCTGGAAATTAGGTGCCTGAAGTCTTACACTCATTTTTTAAAAGTATAGCATCTGCTTCCAGTTTTCAGTGACTCCATTGATGATGCATGCGGTTTGGCCGTATCATACTGAGCTTTAAACACAAGATTTATAAACATGGTATGTAGTGCATCTTTTGCAAACAGGTTGGCAGCGGTACTGTGTGACTTGGTCTTTTGTGGCTTTTTTGAGAAAAATGAAACACTTTGCATGTATAGTTTTTTCTCCCAACTACTTGTGAGTAGTTCCTGGTTATAAAACGTTATGAAGGTAGCACATAACCCTTTTCTAGAATGAAGAGGCTTTTGAGCTACCAGTGTAAGGGGATAGGTAGAAATAGAGATGAAAGGCACTAAGATGTCCTACTCTTTAAGAGCATTGAACGCCAGTTGTGCCATTTATTCAAAGTCATCTTTGAACTTATGTTAAAATGGGGTAAAAACAGGTAACTACTTCAGGCCGGGCTCATGCTTGTAATCCCAGTGCTTTGGGAGGCCAAGGCAGGTGGTTCACCTGACCTGAGGTCAGGAGACCAGCCTGGGCAACATGGCGAAACCCCATCTCTACTAAAAGTACAAAAAGTAGCCTAGCGTGGTGGCGCACCCCTGTAATCCCAGCTACTCGGGGAGGTGGAGGTTGCAGTGAGCCGAGATCACATGACTGAATTCCAGCCTGGATGACAGAGGGAGACTCTGTCTCAAAAAAAATAAAAATAAAAACAAACGAAACAGTCAAACTACTTAAGAGTTGTGCTTAACATAGTGTTCTGTAAGTGGTAGGTATATTGCTATTTTTTTGTTGTTCTTAAGAGTACTACCCGACTAAAAATACTTGGGCAATATTTAGGGATGAAGTATCTAACTAAAAGAACGGCCACTTCGAAATTTGTCCTGACATTTTTCAGGTGTGCATTTTAGGTTTAAAATATCAAGTATTACGGAAAGTTGGCATTGGAAACTTTCATAACCGGCACTAAAACGAATCCTTTATCTATTTGACATTGAGGAATAATTTTGAGATTCAGTGTAAGCTTTAGTTTGGTGATTAGGGAGCCTGTGCTATGGAACATGTTAGTGAAAATTTATTTTGAATGCATGAATTAAATTTGGACAGTTTCTACTGAACAGCACAAGCATCTTGGTGTGCCGCCTTCTGTAGTATATACAATAGTAATATTGCATTTGCTTAGAGCATTGCAGACTTGAAAACATTCTTAGTCACATTCTCATTAAGGGTTGGTATTAGCCCTGTGAGGTGGACTGGGCAACTACTTGAATGCAGTACTAGCAAATGCTAGAGGGCAGGACTAGTTTTCTCTTAATGTAGTATTTGAGCACATGGGGTGCTAACCATCTCACTCTCTTCTAGTTTGCTGGCCTAGACCTGAACTCTTCAGATAATCAGAGTGGAGGAAGTACAGCCAGCAGTAAGTACAACATCTTGTGGGTTTATTGAATATTAGAGCTTAACATCTTAAGATTTCATTGGGCTTATGTAAAATTTAAGAAATTTGCCTTTCAATTTTTTACTGCTTAAAGAATTATGTAGTCTTTGTGTTATAGAATTATGTAGTACTTAGTGATCAATCTAAAGCATCGTTGCCTTTTTTTTTTTTTTTTGGTTGAGATGGAGCTTTGCTCTTGTTGCCCAGGTTGGAGTGCAATGGTGTGATCTCGGCTCACCGCAGTCTCTGCCTCCGGGTTCAAGCGATTCTCCTGCCTCAGCCTCCCGAATAGCTGTGCCTTTCTGATAATAAAACATCAATGACTAGCTGGCTCTCTTGAGTAAAAGCAGCTAATCATTGGAAAGAACCTTATTATATCAAATTATCTCTAGAAGAGTTTTTGTCCATTATAAATCCTGAGCCCAGTTTAGAGGTGATGGGAATGTGTCCCTGTTAACTGACTATATTTATTAAATTGAATTAAGGGAATATGCATTTCATTGGTTATAGCTACTCCTTTCTCCTGAAGAACAGAAGACTATACTGAATTTTGGATTGGTGGTTAGGTTAGGTTTTCAAATGTGTCATTTCTTTTAAAAAGGCATTAGAAAAGTTGCTTTTTTTCTTCTAAGGGGGGTTATTTAGAGACTTGTTAGAGGTTAGTGTTAAGATAGGGGATCTTGGTGGTTTATTATAAGGGCAATAGACCCTTATTTTTAGCTCAGATCTCTTCCTACTTATTAAAACAAAAGTGAGTATGGGCTATGATGTGTCCTCATTTTTAGGCAAGAACAGCTTCACTGGGAACAAAACTTGGTGTTTGCTTTAACTTTCACCTTATTTGTCATGCTAAGAATCTTTTAGGAACTGATTGTCCTAGTAGAGATTTTTAAAAATATTTAATTCAGTCTAGAAGTGAAAAAGAAAAATGACACGTTTACTAGTTATAAAGCAAATTTATTTGGCTTTATGTTGTTTTTTTTGCTTATCCATATTCTAGGCTGTACTCCTGCTCGCATACAGAGCAACTGTCAACTTTCCTTAAACTCAGCAAGCCCCAAATTAAAACCTGCAATTCCTTGAAATTAACTCCCCTTTGCAGCTTTTCCTTGTTTATTTATTGTATGTTTTGCAACTTACTGGCATAGAAACAAAAGATTGTGAGATATGTTACATGAGTAATCTTAAATTGTTACAGTAATACTTAATGCTTTTGTTGACAGTTTTGATGACAGTTCTCTTAAATCTAGCAGGCCTTTAAAAAAATCACATTAAATGACCACTGGTGGCTAAATGTGCTCAATTTGTGGATTTCAACTATTAGGTTCCAAATCAGCTTTTTTTTATCAAACTCCTTTCAGAGTTCTCCTTATGAAGCAGTAACCCATTTAAAATTAGATTCTTATTTTTCCCCCCTCTCAGTGTCCAGGTAAGTAATCAGATTGGAAGGCTGGAGATTTTAATTTCCCAGAACCATTTTTTAGTAACAGAAATTTAAATGGGAAGGTTTTTTGGCATTTAATTAATTTTATATATATATATATTTTTTTAGAAGGGCGCTATATTCCTCCTCATTTAAGGAACCGAGAAGCTACTAAAGGTAGGTCCTCACAAGTAACTTCGTAGGTCTATTTTTTGCCTCCTTTAGAAGTTAGTAAAGCCTAAGGAAAACCAGGCATTTGGGGGAGGTCTAAACATGGTGTTGTTTTTCTATGCTTCTGTCAGCCTTGGTTCAAATACTAGAGCTTAATAATTTTGGAAGAACTCATCTAATGTTACGCAGTGGGAAATTCGGCATTCCTATGTCAAACTGTTCTGACGCCAAGGGCATGGTTTTGTACAGTTTCACTAGTGTTGTGCTGAATCTGTTTGTAATCATTCACAGCATGGTTTTAGTTTGGAAGAGGTGGGTGCCCTACTGTGTAAACCAAGCTGTATAATGATAACAACCTGGTTATTTCTGTCTTGGCAAAGTTGCTAGAAATGAAGATGGGCTTATTGTAGAACAGTTAACAAGTTACAGCGTTGGAAGTGATTCTCTGGTTTCATCTCCTTGCCTTGCTGCTTTTGAAAGGTTTTGTCCAAAATGTATTACAATATCTGGTGTCTTTTCCCATTGTAATTGTAACGTAGTGATAGATGACAGCTAGTATATGTTTCATATTATGAGACAGCTGTTCGGGTGCTTTATATTCTGTAAAATAGACCATCCAAAATTTGGAGGAAAAGGGAAAGTCAGGAAAACCAAAGATTAGGAGGGAAGATACTGTATAAAGAAGGCAGATAGGAAGAGTGGAGAGTCCACAGGGGAGCACATGGTTTGCTGCTGTTCCTCCATCTCCATATGTAGTCTGTATTACCTTCACTGTCCTGGCAATGCATGGATATAAAATCTGTATTATTTCTACCAGAAGATCACTTTGGCTTTTTTTTTTTTTTTTTTTTTTTGAGACGGAGCCTTGCTCTGCTGCGGAGGCTGGAGTGCAGTAGCGCGGGCTCACTGCAACCTCCGCCTCCTGGGTTCAAGTGATTCTCCTGCCTCAGCCTCCCAAGTAGCTGGGATCACAGGCATGTGCCACCATGCCCGGCTAATTTTTGTATATTTAGTAGAGACGGGGTTTTGCCTTGTTGCCTAGGCTGGTCTCGAACTCCTGACCTCAAGTGATCCACCCGCCTCAGCCTCCCAAAGTGCTGGGATTACAGGCGTGAGCCACCATGCCTGGCTGGCATTATATTCTTTTTAGGGGAGGTTACTTTGGAATTTGTCTTTATCATCATGGATGTTCTCAATATTCCTAGTATACTAGCTAGAATTGACCCTCGTGTATATGGCAGTATCATAGAGGTTTTAGAGCTGGTAGAGATCTGGCAATCTAACTTAACTCTTTCTTGCTAGCAAAGGCTGTTGGTCACCTGACTGGCCTAACGGTAGGAGGTAGAAGGCAGAAGGAAAGTAACTGAATTGAGAAGCTGTTTCTGTTTAATAAGGTGTTGCTGAAGCTAGTTAAACCCTCTACCTGTCTTTAAACCCTCTACCTGTCTTTGGGTTAATTTACATGTTTGTCATCCCCTTACCTGGATATTTATAGCTGTACCCAGGAACCTTGTCTATACTGAGAATATATAGTGATGAGGGTTTTTCTTTTTCCCAGGTATTCCTGATTGTCATCAAGCTTATAGTAGATGAACCACTAAAATAATACTACAATTTGACATTAGTGTTCTTGTACTTTATACTATTGAAACTGAAAAATACTGTATTAAACCAAGTAATCTGACAGTCTATGAATGTTCTAAATGAATACCACCTCCAAGAAACATGGAAACAATGGTAACTGTTTTTCCTAGTAAACTCATTCACACCTATAAAATGAATGGAAATTAAATTGTTATGGTCACACAACGTCATAATGCGTTACAGGCAAAGCTGTTGACCACTTAGAGGTAGTATTCATTGAGAAACATTCTTAGACTGTCAGATTGCTTGATTTAGTGTAAAGTAATTTTTTTTTTTTTGAGACAAGGGTGTTTCACTCTTGTTTCCCGTGCTGGAGTGCAGTGGCGCAATCTTGGCTCACTGCAACCTCAGCCTCCCGGGTTCAAGTGATTCTCCTGCCTCAGCCTCCTGAGTAGCTGGGATTACAGACGTGGGCCACCACGCCTGGCTAATATTGTATATGTAGTAGAGACGGGGTTTCTCCATGTTGGTCAGGCTAGTCTCGAACTCCTGACCTCAGGTGACCTGCCCGCCTTGGCCTCCCAAAGTGCTGGGATTACAGGCGTGAGCCACCATGCCTGGCCAGTGGACAGTATTTTCTAGTGGGGAGAATTAAAGAAAAACTTTGTCCGGGTGTAAACCAGCTTTAAATCTTGGTTCTCTTACAGTGCCATGGTAGGGATAGTCAGTGGAGGCTTTCAAATTCAGAAAGATTGATAATACCTTAACATGGTTCCTATTTCTAATTAATAATAAAATGTATTTGTGCTTTTTTAATCAAAGGTTTCTACGATAAAGACAGTTCAGGGTGGAGTTCTAGCAAAGATAAGGATGCGTATAGCAGTTTTGGATCTCGTAGTGATTCAAGAGGGAAGTCTAGCTTCTTCAGTGATCGTGGAAGTGGATCAAGGGGAAGGTAAGTGATTTCTTAATCACCTTACGTGTATGTATAATAACAGTTTAATAAGTCGTTATCCTGACCACCTGTTTGGATGTTAAGCATTATGTCTGTTTGGTCATTGTATTTTCTTAGCCGTAAGAGGCTTTTACTAAATTGAACCTGTTACTTAGAAATTAGATGAAAATAGGAATATGCTCATTGGCATAATGAAATGAGTTATTCTATTTCTCGAGTTTTATATGTTCTACTTAAAAGAGTAAGTTCATCTAGTGAATGGCCTAATTTGGTTGGGATTTTTGTGGACTCTATAACAATTTCTAAACACCTTGTATTTTTGATTACACAAGTGTGGTGAACTGACCCCACGTGCCTAATAGCTGTGGTTAGTCCTGTGTCCTGATTTTTCGCAAACAGGCCTAAAACTCTTAAAAACATCTTAGTTCAGGTAAGGATTATTTTCTACCTTTTATCCAAAGTCTGTCACACAGGTGAATTGTCCTTTAAGTGACATCCTAGTATAACTAGGACGATTGATATTTGGTGTGCTATTTTCTTGTTTTCCCTACCATTAAATATATTTGGATGAGCACTTTAAATGAAGGTTGTGAGCTGTGTGCCGATTTCAAATAAAATCCTTATTCTTAATTTTGGCATCTGTGAGGCCTTTTAGGCTATACAACTTTATAGAAATGTAAAGATTACTGATTTTAGAAAACGAGGTTATGTAAATGATGCTGGTTAGAGAGCCTTATTTGTCAAGTAACTCAGAATTGGATTGTTGACATCCTTATGGTTAGCCATAACTTAAGTCTCCAGATACAGTTCTAGAGTAGGGATAAGAATCTGATAATGGTTAAATGATATGATTCTGATTAATTGCTTGTGCTGTTCAGGTTTGATGATCGTGGACGGAGTGATTACGATGGCATTGGCAGCCGTGGTGACAGAAGTGGCTTTGGCAAATTTGAACGTGGTGGAAACAGTCGCTGGTGTGACAAATCAGATGAAGATGATTGGTCAAAACCACTCCCACCAAGTGAACGCTTGGAACAGTAAGTTTTTGAAGTGTATGTTACTTGTGATGAAGCCTTACTAGCTAGTATAACAAATGAACTTATCCATTTTTTGATTTGAGGGAACTCTTTTCTGGAGGCAACACTGGGATTAATTTTGAGAAATACGATGACATTCCAGTTGAGGCAACAGGCAACAACTGTCCTCCACATATTGAAAGTGTGAGTATTTTTGCTTGACTTTTTAAGACACAGAGAGGTTAAATGTTTTCATGTTACATTAGAATGTGAGATGGGCTTCATAAAGTCATGTAGACCAGAGGCTTCATAGATTTGTGGAAAAGGAGAAGTTGAGTTCAGTGTCACCATTATGAATAATTTATTACCTAAAATAGAAAATGGGTCAAACATAGGAACAACCCAAAGTCTTCTCCAATGTGCAGTAAGCCTGGGGGTTGGTTTTTCTCAAAGTATAATGTGATAATTTTACTTAAACTATAAACTGAGTTACCAATCAGCTGTTGGTTGGTTGTTTCCATTATTAGTATAAAACAGAAATAGCTCTAGATAGCATTCCTAACCCCATTGAATTTCTTAACAGTTCAGTGATGTTGAGATGGGAGAAATTATCATGGGAAACATTGAGCTTACTCGTTATACTCGCCCAACTCCAGTGCAAAAGCATGCTATTCCTATTATCAAAGAGAAAAGAGACTTGATGGCTTGTGCCCAAACAGGTAAGCTCAACTCATAAGAGTAAAACATCATATTTCTTCTGTAAAGGACTAGACAATAAAATATTTTATTTTTTATGGGTCATGCAGTTTTGCAGCTGCTCTGCGCTGCTATTGGACTGTGAAAGAAGCCATAGATGATACATAAATTATTGGTTACGGCTGTATTCCGTAAGAGCTTTATTTATAAAAATAACAGGCTTTATTTACAAAATAGTCTCAGTTTGCTGACTCCTCTTAGAGGTGGAGCAGAGAAGCCACTTTTTGGAAAACTTAAGCATAAACTAAAAGTACTAATTATTAGTAATAGGGTAGTTAAAAAACACTGTCATCTACCAATGTCTGTTTAAAAGTAATGAGCAGGATTTGTTTGTTTGTTTTTGAACAGGGTCTGGAAAAACTGCAGCATTTCTGTTGCCCATCTTGAGTCAGATTTATTCAGATGGTCCAGGCGAGGCTTTGAGGGCCATGAAGGTAGATGTTTCTTTATAAAATGGGAAATTGTAGAACTTTGTAGGTGGCCATTGAGAGGGCTTTCTAAATGATGCTAAGACTTAAGTAGAATGAAAACCAGTTTTCAAGTGTAATCTGTAATCTATAAATTACAAAAGGGAATTATGTTGTGATGAACTTTTCAAACAGGGTAGGTAGAGTTAACTTAAAAATTAACTTATTTCTTAGGAAAATGGAAGGTATGGGCGCCGCAAACAATACCCAATCTCCTTGGTATTAGCACCAACGAGAGAGTTGGCAGTACAGATCTACGAGGAAGCCAGAAAAGTAAGTATGAGTTCCAGTGATTATTAGCTTTTTCATTGATTCTAATTAAATGTTTTATGAACATGTAAAAATTTTGACCTTGAAGTTCATAACATTTTTTTTGCTTATAGTTTTCATACCGATCTAGAGTTCGTCCTTGCGTGGTTTATGGTGGTGCCGATATTGGTCAGCAGATTCGAGACTTGGAACGTGGATGCCATTTGTTAGTAGCCACTCCAGGACGTCTAGTGGATATGATGGAAAGAGGAAAGATTGGATTAGACTTTTGCAAGTATGTTTTATTTTGTTTTTGTTTTTTTGTTTTGTTTTGTTTTGTTCTTTTGTTTTTGGCAGAGTTGCGCTCTTGTTGCCCAGGCTGGAGTGCCATGGCGCGATCTCGGCTCACCACAACCTCTGCCTCCCGGGTTCAAGCGATTCTCCTGCCTCAGCCTCCCAGGTAGCTGGGATTACAGGCATGTGCCACCACGCTGGGCTAATTTTTGTATTTTTAGTAGAGGCGGGGTTTCTCCATGTTGGTCAGGCTGGTCTCGAACTCCTGACCTCAGGTGATCCGCCTGCCTTGGCCTCCCAAAGTGCTGGGATTACAGGTGTGAGCCATCGCACCCGGCCAAGTATGTTAATTTTTAAATGTATGGGATGCAGTATTAAAGTTACTGCCCATTAGTTTTGTGGTGATGTTAACATTGTCTAAATGTTAAGGCTGAGAAGTGATGTATTTCAGACATCTAACTTTCACAAAAAGCTTGTTCATGGTAATTTTAATGTTGAAAAATCAGTAACATCTTGGTTGAGACTTACAACAATGATCAGCTCGTGGGACAGTCAACTAGGATGGGCTAATTTGACTGTGTAATCTTGAATGACTTATGTAGTGGCAAGAATCCTGTGCTGTGTCTGTAAAATTATGCAGTGTGAGGCACCATCTTAATGAATATATAATTGTAATAACCTATACAATTGTATTTGTAATTATACTAACAGCCATACTAAAACCATGTTGATTTCTCCTCAAATTCTAAACTCAGGCTTGTTTTTTTTCATGACATGACAGATACTTGGTGTTAGATGAAGCTGATCGGATGTTGGATATGGGGTTTGAGCCTCAGATTCGTAGAATAGTCGAACAAGATACTATGCCTCCAAAGGGTGTCCGCCACACTATGATGTTTAGTGCTACTTTTCCTAAGGAAATACAGGTACTGTTTGATGTTGCAAATTTTATTTATTTAGAAATTTGTTTATCTCAGGTAATAATAAAAATTTTTTTTCTTTCAGATGCTGGCTCGTGATTTCTTAGATGAATATATCTTCTTGGCTGTAGGAAGAGTTGGCTCTACCTCTGAAAACATCACACAGAAAGTAGTTTGGGTGGAAGAATCAGACAAACGGTCATTTCTGCTTGACCTCCTAAATGCAACAGGTAACATTATGAATTTTTTATTTTATTAGACATGGGGGTTTCTCTTTGTTGCCCAGGCTGGAGTGCAGGGGTTATTCACAGGTGTGATCTCATTACTGATCAGCATGGGAGTATTTGACCTGCTCTGTTTCTGACCTGGGCCTGTTCACCCCTCCTTAGGCAACCTGGTGCTCCCTTGCTTCCGGGAGGTTACCATGTTGATGCCAAACTTAGTGTGGACACCTGATAGGCATAGTACACTACAGCCCAGAACTCCTAGACTTAGACAATCCTCCTGCCTCAGTCTCCAGAGTAGCTGGGACTACAGGCACTCACCACTGCACCCAGCTAAAATTATGAATAATTTAATTGCTCTGGTAATAACCCATTTGGGCTGGGTGCAGTGGTACAGTGCATGTAGTCCCAGCTACTTGGCAGGCTGAGGCTGTAGTATGCCATGATTGCACCTGCGAATGGCCAGTGCACTCTCAGCCTGGGCAATTTAGTGAGACCCCCATCTCTTAAATGTATTTGGATTACCTTTATTACTTTTCCTCCTCAATTCAAAACATGCTGTGTTGAAAGCCCGTTTTTAAGAAGATATATATGTATTTTAATTGACACATTAAAATTGTGCATACATAAGTGCAAAGAGAACTAAGCCATGTTAGTGACAAAAACCTATAATTTTTCAACGACAGGCAAGGATTCACTGACCTTAGTGTTTGTGGAGACCAAAAAGGGTGCAGATTCTCTGGAGGATTTCTTATACCATGAAGGATACGCATGTACCAGCATCCATGGAGACCGTTCTCAGAGGGATAGAGAAGAGGCCCTTCACCAGTTCCGCTCAGGAAAAAGCCCAATTTTAGTGGCTACAGCAGTATGTATAAACATCTTTCTTTTATTCAAATTGAGCATGTTCAAGTATTTGTTTTCTTTTAAGTGGGCCATATCTCATAAAAGTTATTTTCCAGGTAGCAGCAAGAGGACTGGACATTTCAAATGTGAAACATGTTATCAATTTTGACTTGCCAAGTGATATTGAAGAATATGTACATCGTATTGGTCGTACGGGACGTGTAGGAAACCTTGGTAAGTATTTGATTACTTGATGGTTTCATTGTTTTTTGCTGTGATGTGTGCAGGAAAGAACTTGCTAGGATCTAAAATACATTTTTAACAATGAAAGTGACAAAGATTTTGCTCAAAGCACTTGTTTAAATATTACGTGGTAATATTTTAAATATTTCTACGTAGGAAAGTAAGAATAGTAGCAAGTTACTTTATGGAAGACCTTTGTTTATATACTTTTTTGGGAACTCTTTTAGGCCTGGCAACCTCATTCTTTAACGAGAGGAACATAAATATTACTAAGGATTTGTTGGATCTTCTTGTTGAAGCTAAACAAGAAGTGCCGTCTTGGTTAGAAAACATGGCTTATGAACACCACTACAAGGGTAGCAGTCGTGGACGTTCTAAGAGGTGAGGTATAAATAGTATATAATGAGGGGAATGGGTGTTCACTTACAGTTCATAGTGTTTCCTCTGCATGCATAACGTCCAAGGTTAACTGTACAGTATTTAAAAAGCTTAATCATCTTAGGCTTCCTAGATTCTTTGGTAAGGGGTTGTATTAGAATGGGTGACACTCTGTTGGGGAAAATATGGCTGGATGGGGAATTGTTTGAATGGAAAAATTAGAAATTGGTCATTAGGAAAGAGTTAGGTTACTTTAGTGGAATTTCATCTTCATGTGAACCAACATAATTTTTTTCTTATAGTAGCAGATTTAGTGGAGGGTTTGGTGCCAGAGACTACCGACAAAGTAGCGGTGCCAGCAGTTCCAGCTTCAGCAGCAGCCGCGCAAGCAGCAGCCGCAGTGGCGGAGGTGGCCACGGTAGCAGCAGAGGATTTGGTGGAGGTAGTGTTAATCTGTAACTTCATAGCTTTGGGAAGGGTTTTTTTCCTTTTAGTCATCTTTTTCAAAGCCTAATTAAACAATTTAAGTTCAGCACTATAGAAACTTGATGGCAAATTACGTAAGGGAAGGATTGTATTTAATGATGGATAACTTCATTAATTTCTCTCTCTTTTTAAATCTCTCATTAGGTGGCTATGGAGGCTTTTACAACAGTGATGGATATGGAGGAAATTATAACTCCCAGGGGGTTGACTGGTGGGGTAACTGAGCCTGCTTTGCAGTAGGTCACCCTGCCAAACAAGCTAATATGGAAACCACATGTAACTTAGCCAGACTATACCTTGTGTAGCTTCAAGAACTCGCAGTACATTACCAGCTGTGATTCTCCACTGAAATTTTTTTTTTAAGGGAGCTCAAGGTCACAAGAAGAAATGAAAGGAACAATCAGCAGCCCTGTTCAGAAGGTGGTTTGAAGACTTCATTGCTGTAGTTTGGATTAACTCCCCTCCCGCCTACCCCCATCCCAAACTGCATTTATAATTTTGTGACTGAGGATCATTTGTTTGTTAATGTACTGTGCCTTTAACTTTAGACAACTTTTTATTTTGATGTCCTGTTGGCTCAGTAATGCTCAAGATATCAATTGTTTTGACAAAATAAATTTACTGAACTTGGGCTAAAATCAAACCTTGGCACACAGGTGTGATACAACTTAACAGGAATCATCGATTCATCCATAAATAATATAAGGAAAAACTTATGCGGTAGCCTGCATTAGGGCTTTTTGATACTTGCAGATTGGGGGAAAACAACAAATGTCTTGAAGCATATTAATGGAATTAGTTTCTAATGTGGCAAACTGTATTAAGTTAAAGTTCTGATTTGCTCACTCTATCCTGGATAGGTATTTAGAACCTGATAGTCTTTAAGCCATTCCAGTCATGATGAGGTGATGTATGAATACATGCATACATTCAAAGCACTGTTTTCAAAGTTAATGCAAGTAAATACAGCAATTCCTCTTTCAACGTTTAGGCAGATCATTAATTATGAGCTAGCCAAATGTGGGCATACTATTACAGGGAAAGTTTAAAGGTCTGATAACTTGAAATAGGTTTTTAGGAGAATTCATCTACTTAGACTTTTTAAATGCCTGCCATAAATGAAATTGAAATGGTAGAATGGCTGACCACAGCAATGACCAGCCCTCATTAGGGCCCTGGATGATTTTTGGTCTAATAACGCATGCTAGTGTTGATGTTTTTTGGTCAAGAGGGTATGAACAGGAAGAATTAAATGCAGCAGGCTTTATTTTAAATGCCGATTCACATTACTCTGTTCAAGCTGCGTTGAGATGTTAAACTGGCTTACTATAGACTTCGTAAAAATGGCTCCAGAAGAGTAACAAACTGAAATCTTTGAGATCACACAGGTTGGAAATATGTACATAACTGCACAAGGTGTCAATTCTGCTCTACAGTGCAGTTTTAGTCAGTTTTAGTTGCATAGGTTTCCATTGTATTTATAGTCTGTTTATGCTAAATCTGGCCAAAGATGAGCATTGTCCACCACTAAAATGCCTCTGCCACTTTGAATTCTGTGCTAATTTTGTGGCCAGAATGCGGTGATCAAAACGCTCCATCTTTTTACAGTGGCATAGGAAGACGGCAAAAATTTCCTAAAGTGCAATAGATTTTCAAGTGTATTGTGCCTTGTTCTAAAACTTTTATTAAGTAGGTGCACTTGACAGTATTGAGGTCATTTGTTATGGTGCTATTTCAATTAGTCTAGGTTTAGGCCCTTGTACATTTTGCCCATAACTTTTTACAAAGTACTTCTTTTATTGCACATTCAGAGAATTTTATATATATGTCTTGTGTGCGTGTCCTTAAACTTCCAATCTTACTTTGTCTCTTGGAGATTGTTGAACGCAGCTTGTCTAGGAAGGGGATGGGACTAGATTCTAAAATTTATTTGGGACCATGGGAATGATAGTTGGGAAGAAAACTATTTGCACACGACAGATTTCTAGATACTTTTTGCTGCTAGTTTTATGTAATATTTATTGAACATTTTGACAAATATTTATTTTTGTAAGCCTAAAAGTGATTCTTTGAAAGTTTAAAGAAACTTGACCAAAAGACAGTACAAAAACACTGGCACTTGAATGTTGAATGTCACCGTATGCGTGAAATTATATATTTCGGGGTAGTGTGAGCTTTTAATGTTTAAGTCATATTAAACTCTTAAGTCAAATTAAGCAGACCCGGCGTTGGCAGTGTAGCCATAACTTTCTGATGTTAGTAAAAACAAAATTGGCGACTTGAAATTAAATCATGCCAAGGTTTTGATACACTTGTCTTAAGATATTAATGAAACACTTCAAAACACTGATGTGAAGTGTCCAGATTCTCAGATGTTTGTTGTGTGGATTTTGTTTAGTTGTGTGTTTTTTTTTTTTTTTCAGTGAATGTCTGGCACATTGCAATCCTCAAACATGTGGTTATCTTTGTTGTATTGGCATAATCAGTGACTTGTACATTCAGCAATAGCATTTGAGCAAGTTTTATCAGCAAGCAATATTTTCAGTTAATAAGGTTTCAAAAATCATGTAAGGATTTAAACTTGCTGAATGTAAAGATTGAACCTCAAGTCACTGTAGCTTTAGTAATTGCTTATTGTATTAGTTTAGATGCTAGCACTGCATGTGCTGTGCATATTCTGATTTTATTAAAATAAAAAGTTGAACTGCACAGTCTCCTTTGTTGTTGTCAATTGTGGTTTATTTTCAGAGGTGTAAATAAAGTGCTCTTGCCTGAAAAATTGTAAAATGTTATTTTTTGCTTGTCATCCAGTGCTATTTTTTGAGATGCCTCTTGGATACAGAATGACTCATACCATAAGTATTTGCAATGAAAGATGAAGATAGTATTAGTTTGAAATACAGTGAAACAGGATTTTTGTAATAGACGGAAATCTAAAAGGCCCTTACTGATAATACAGCATGTATTAGAAATTGGCTTATACTTTGAACAATTTGACATGGGTGGGAGTCTCTTTGTTCTTTGAAGTATCTATTATGAAGGATGGTTGAACAGTGGAAGAATGAGCAGGATAAAAGTCAAGTGTGTCAGTAGTCCAACAAGTGATGGTAAGTATATACTTAGGGAAGGAATCAAGACTATTTGGGCCAGGTGTGATGATTACATAGTCCTATAGTGCTAGTTTACTTGGAAGCTGAGGGGCAGGAAGATTGCTTGAGCCCACGAGTTCAAGTCCAGCCTGGGCAACGTATAGCAAGACCTTATCTCTGAAAACAGGTAATAAGACATCTATGCTTACTGTACACACTGCTGCAATAGGCTGCTACCACAAGTGTATAGGTGCTTGGTTAGATTGAGCCATACTAGCGGTTTGATACGTTTCAATCTAACAAATACGTATTCAGCTTTTGTTTCAGTAAGTTGAAGGTTTGCAGTATGATTAAGAATTTTTTGCATTGTAAGGAAGTATGGTTCTGGATAATCTTTCCAGTCATGAACTCAAAATAAGCATAAGTTTTTAGGGCAGAATTTTGACACATGGCCATATGTATTTTGAAGATAGAAAAGATGATGGTACTTGAGTCTCGATTTAGTCAAAATAAGCATGGAAAGGTTTGGGATTGCTAGATTGGATAGTCAATGGCTGAAAGTGACTCATGGAGTGAAACGATGCTAAGGAGAGTTCAGTTTCCACTTTATGTGAATGATGAGTGAACATGACAATCTGCTCTGGAGGAACTGCCAAAATTTGAGGTTATTTCTAGTCTAGCATGGTTAGGATTATGGTGACATAAATTTAGTATGTTTACATACTACATTAATGTGGTTTAATTTTAATTACACTTAAATGCAGTTGTCACTCTTGGGCACTGTTGATGTGTTTCCTGGATTCTTGGCTGAATTTCAAGATTTTTAAAATGGCTTTATAGGAGCTGTGTCTAACCTTCATGCTTAAAATGTTTCCTTTGCTCCTATGCTCTACGTGACCTGCTTGAGTGGCCACAGGCTTGCTCTTTAGAGCACAGTGACTTTGTTGATAGGGCCTCACTACTCCCACAATGCAGAGATACCTACTTATTGTAGGTACAGGGCATTGAAAGTTATAAGACTATCTTTGGGTTTTGCTTTCTTGTGTTCCATTCTATTTTTAATACAATTCTGAGTATATTTAAACCTGCTTTGCTTCATGTCCTCATTTCAGTTTATGATCTATTTTTCAGCATGTTTAGTGTCATTGTTTCTAATGTGGCTGTCCTCTATAATGACTACTCTTCAATTTCTTCATTTTTTTTTTCCTCTTAGTTTTCTCTACATACACTTGACTGGGTTTTTAGGATAATTCTGAGAAAGGACTTTTTTTTGACAAAGCACTGTTTAATTATATTATGAAAGGATATTTTGTGACTTGGAAAGATGTTTATTATGGGAGAAAACAAAACGGACCAATACGATTTAAGAGCAGGAAATAGGTGTCTCAAAACAAGATAAAGTCAGCAATTCCACTCCTAGGAGGATTCTACCCAGGAGAAATGAAAATGCTAAGTATGTGAATGTTTTGTAGCATTATTCATCGTAACCAAAAAGTGGAAACAAAAATGTCCCTCAACTGACAAATGGATAAACTAAATATATACATAAAATGAGATACTATCTCCTCTAGGTGAACAGCCACATCCCCAATTTCCTCCCCCCTCTTCAAAGGGTCATTAGGTAGGCCTATCAGTACTGTGACATATCTATATTCTAAGGCTTTCTGTAGATGTATATCCAGTTTTAGTCCTTATTTTACTGTGTGAAGCAGATACAATCATGGTTTATTGGATATTTACTGTCTTCCTTGTTACATTGAAGATGTTTCATTTTTCGAGAGAAGTACCTCCTATCTTTCGCTGGAGATCCTCCATTCACTTCCTTTTCCACTCATTCTATTCCCAACAGCCCATCTCATTTACCTAACAGTCAACATTAGTGGTATGCAGAATGGTCCCTGAACCTCTTCTCCAGACCTCAATCACCTGATGGGATCTTTCAGTGCAAGGCGAGGGTTGACTTAGGGTGCAATCAAAACCTGATTTGGTGTCTGCTTGAGTATTGGCACTGGGAGATGTAGTGATTAATTTAGATTAGTCTTTCCTTTCTTGGAACCTAGCCATTTTCCTTTTGTGTTTCTCCAACTTGGTGTTGCAACAGAAAGTACCTGGGAAATGATTCTAGGGCAACTCTCCTAACAGGATCCTCCACCTCTGAGGTTCTCTCAGAAATCTGTGGTTTTGGTTTTGGTTTTTGCTTGTGTTTTTATTCCTAAAGCTCCCCAGGCAATTCTGATACAGCAGGCTTAGGTGTGGAGTCCACTGTTCACTCCCCTTCTTTTTGTCATTTGTTTCAGACTTAGCATTGCCATGATCATGCTTCTGGTTCTTCATTGTGGAAGCATCTCTGTATTCCAAATTAAAACAGATATTGCAAACAAAGTAATGGCATTCTATTACGTGGCCCCTATGGCGTGGTTCTAATCTACCATTGCAGCTTTAACTTGCCTCCCAGACCTTATCCTGTAGCTGAATGTCATGCTACTGTCTATGCAAATCCTGTGCTTTCTTCTGCCTTTGCCTTAGTTTTTGCTCACCATGTTCCTTCTAACTAGAATTGGAGCTAAACTAATGTTTTAAAATATTGGGCTGGGCGCAGTGGCTCACGCCTGTAATCCCAGCACTTTGGGAGGCCGAGGCAGGCAGATCACGAGGTCAGGAGATCGAGACCATCCTGGCTAACACGGTGAAACCCTGTCTCTACTAAAAATACAAAAAAAAAAAAAAAAAAAAATTAGCCGGGCAAGGTGGCAGGCACCTGTAGTCCCAGCTACTTAGGAGGCTGAGGCAGGAGAATGGTGTCAGCCCAGGAGGCAGAGCTTGCAGTGAGCTGAGATTGTGCCACTGCACTCCAGCCTGGGTGATAGAGCAAGACTCCATCTCAAAAAATATATATATATTGTATTCAGAATATTAAGGTGCTGGCCCGGCACAGTGGCTCACACCTGTGATCCCAGCACTTTGGGAGGTGGGTGGAGTTCAAGACCAGCCTGGCCAACATGGTGAAACTCCGTCTCTACTAAAAAAAAAAAAAAAATTAGCTGGGCGTGGTGGCAAGCGCTTATAGTCTCAGCTACTTGGGAAGCTGAGGCAGGAGAATCACTTGAACCTGGGAGGTGGAGGTTGTAGTGAGCCAAGTTTGTGCCACTGTACTCCACTGTGGGCAACAGAGTGAGGTTCCATCTCAAAAAAAAAAAATCTCTCTCTCTATACACACGCATACACACACACACACACACACACAATAAAGCTGCCATTGACAATTACTAGTGACATAGAGAAAATAACTTGTTCCAGTGGGTAGAGAAAAAAGTAGGTTACATCTCAGTGTGCAGAATGATCTTAAGTATTTTGAAAATACATAGAAGACCAGAAGGAAACCTGCTAAAATATTAATAGTTTTTGCTACTGGTTGAAATTATAAAGATTTTCTGCTGCTTTATCCTTTCCTGAGCAGATTTTATACGGTTAAAATGTATTTTCTAATAAAACTGTATAGATTCACAGGAAGTTGCAAAAACAAGAGAGGTTCCACTGTATCCTTCACGCAGTTTCCCCCAATGGTAACATCTGGCATACTGCAGTACAAAACCAGGAAATTGCCATTGGTACAATCCACACACCCTGTTCCAATTTCACCAGTTTTACTCATTTGTATGCAGTCATGTGTGTAGTTCTGTGCAGTTTTATATGTGTAGATTTGTGTAACCCCCTCCACAGAACAGTTCCATCATCACAATGATCTCCCTTGTGCTACCTCTTTTTTTTTTTTTTTTTGAGACAGGGTTGCGCAGGCTGGTGTGACCATAGCTCGCAGTAGCCTTGACCTCCCAGGCTCAAGCAATCCTCCCACCTCAGCCTCCTGAGTAGCTGGGACTACAGGCGTGTGCCACCACACCTAGCTAATTTTTAAATTATTTGTAGAGATGGGATCCCACTATGTTGCCCAGGCTGGTCTTGAACTGAACTCCTCAAGTGATCCTCCTGCCTCAGCCTCCCAAAATGCTGGGATTACATGCATGAGCCACAGTGCTCAGCTTGCTACCT
Organism: Homo sapiens; assembly: GCF_000001405.40. NCBI lineage: Eukaryota > Metazoa > Chordata > Mammalia > Primates > Hominidae > Homo > Homo sapiens. Next base: position 41,354,632 of record NC_000023.11, read on the forward strand.
CTTTTTAAATCGTATCTGTCCCCTTCCTGCTTCCCTAACCTGTCCCCAACCCCTGACAACTACTTGTCTGTTTAACATCTCTAAAATGTAATTTTAAAATTGTTACATAAATGCAGTATGTGACCTTTTGAGACTAGGTTATTTTGACTCAGTATAATGTCTCTGATCAATCCAAGTTGTTGTAAATAGTTTTGTTGTTGTTGTTGTTGTTGTTGTTTTGAGATGGAGTCTCACTCTGTTGCCCAGGCTGGAGTGCAGTGGTGCGATCTCGGCTCACTGCAACCTCTACCTCCAGGGTTCAAGCAATTCTCCCCAAGTAGCTGGGATTACAGGTGCATGACACCACACCCAGCTAATTTTTGTATTTTTAGTAGAGGCGGGGTTTCACCATGTTGGCCAGGCTGGTCTCGAAGTCCTGACCTCGGGTGATCCGCCCGCCTCGGCCTCCTAAGGTGCTGGGATTATAGGTGTGAGCCACCGTGCCCGGCCAGTTTGTTCTTTTTTATTGCTGAATAGTATAGATATTCTGTAGTTTATCCGTTCAGCCGTTGAAGGATATTTGTCTTGTTTCCGGTTTGTGACTTACAAATAAAGCTGCCATGAACATTCAGCTACATATGAACCTATATACAGGTTTTCGTGTAGACATAAGTTTTCATTTATGTGGCATAAATGCCCAGGAGTACAATTGCTGGCTCCTGTGTTAAGTATGTGTTAGTTTAAAACACTGCCATACCATTTTTCAGAGTGGCTGTACCATTTTACATTCCTACCAGCAATGCAGGACAGATCCAATTTCTCTGCATCCTCACCAGCATTTGGTATTGTTATTATTCTTACTATTATTATTTTTTGAGACAGGGTCCCACTCTGTCACCCAGGCTGGAGTGCAGTGGCCCTATCATGGCTCACTGCAGCCTTGAGCTCCCAAGCTCAAGCCATCCTCCCACCTCAGCCTCCTGAGTAATTGGGACCACGGGTGTGTACCACCATGCTCGGCTAATTTTCTTTTTCTTTTTTTTTTTTTTTTTGAGATGTGGTCTCACTATGTTGCCCAGGCCAGTCTTGAATTTCTGGGCTCAAGTGATCCTCCCATCTAGCCCAGCACTCTCAAAGTGCTAGGATTACAGGCATGAGCCACCACACCAGGCATGTCATTATTTTTAAATTTTGGCTGCTCTAATTGGTGTAAAGTAGTATCTTATTGTCTTAATTTGCATTTCTCTAATGGCTGGTGATGTTGAACATCTTTTCGTGTTCTTATTTGCCATCCCTGTATCCTCTTTGGTAAAATATATGTCTGTGTCTTTTGCTCATTTTTAAATTGATAGTTTTTTACTGTTGAGTTTTGAGAGTTCTTTATTCTAAGTACAAGTCTTTTTGACAGCTTGCAAATATTTTCTCTCAATCAAAGTCGTCTTTTCATCTTAAAAAGGTCTTTTGCAGAGCAAATGCTTTTAATTGTTCTTAAACATTTAAAAGTTTGATGTAGTCCAATTTGTCAGCTTTTTTTTTTTTTTTTTTTTGAGACAGTGTCTCACTCTGTTGCCCAGGCTGAAGTGCAGTGGTGTGATCTTGGCTCACTGCAACCTCCGCCTCCCAGGTTCAAGCCATTCTCGTGCCTCAGCCTCCCAAGTATCTGGGATTACAGGTGCCCACCAACATGCCTGGCTAATGGCTAATTTTTGTATTTTTAGTAGAGACGGGGTTTCACCATATTGACCAAGTTAGTCTCAAACTCCTGACTTCAGGTGATCCACCTGCCTTGGCCTCCCAAAGTGCTGGGGTTACAGGCATGAGCCACCTCGCCTGGCCAGTATTTCTTTTTTTTTTTTTTTTTTTTTTTGAGACGGAGTCTCACTCTGTTGCCAGGCTGGAGTGCAGTGGTACGATCTCGGCTCACTGCAACCTCTGCCTCCTGGGTTGAAGTGATTCCCCTGCCTCAGCCTCCTGAGTAGCTGGGACTACAGGCGCACACCACCACACCTGGCTAATTTTTATTTTATTTTATTTTAATAGAGATGGGGTTTCACCGTGTTGGTCAGGGTGGTCTTGATCTCCCACCTTGTGATCTGCCCGCCTCGGCCTCTCAAAGTGTTGGGATTACGGGCGTGAGCCACCGTGCCCGGCCGGCATCATTCGTCAAAAAGAATGTTCTTTCTCCATTGAATTGCTTTTGTACCTTTGTCAAAAATCAGTTGGCTGTCCTTTTGTGAATCTATTTCTAGGTTCACAATTCCGTTTCATTAATCTATATGCCTATCCTTCCACCATTCCTGCAGAATATCACACTAATTCTTTTTTTTTTTTTTTTTTTTTTGAGACGGAGTCTTGCTCTGTCACCCAGGCTGGAGTGTAGTGGCATGATCTCAGCTCACTGCAACCTGTACCTCCTGGGTTCAAGCGATTCTCCTGCCTCAGCCTCCCAAGTAGCTTGGATTACAGGTGTGCGCCACCACACCCAGATAATTTTTGTATTTTTAGTAGAGACAGGTTTTCACCATGTTGGCCAGGCTGGTCTTGAACCCCTGACCTCAGGTGATCTATCCACCTCGGCTTCCCAAATTGCTGGGATTACAAGCGTGAGCCACTGCGTGTGGCCTCAATTATTTTTATCTATATAATAAGTCTTAACGTTGGGTAGGAGTGATTCCTCTCACTTTATTATAGTTTTGCAAAAGTAATTTAGCTCTTCTAGTTCCTTTGCCTTTCCACATAAATTTTAGAATAAGCTTTTTTTCTATCTACAAAAGAATCTTGCTGGGATTCTGATGGTAATGCTGCTAAACCTATAGATCAGTTTTGAGGAGAATCGACATCTTTACTATGTTGGGTCCAAAACTTTTTTATTTTTATTTTTTTGAGACAGGGTCCAGTCTTGCTCTGTCACTGGGCTCAAGCAATCCTCCTGCATTAGCCTCCTGAATAGCTGGGACTACAGGCACACACCACCACACCTGGCTAATTTTTGTATTTTTATTTTTAGTAGAGACAAGGTCTTGCTATGTTGCCCAGGCTAGTCTCCAATGCCTGAGCTCAGGCGATCCTACCACCTCAGCCTCCCAAAGTGCTGGGATTACAGGCGTGAGCCACTGCGTGCAGCCTAAATTTATTTTTATGTTGTGAACTTGGAATATCCAACCAACAGTAAAGATTACCTAGTACTTCCTAACATGGGATTCTCCTATTTGTTCATCCTAGGATCATGCTCCTCTGTGGAGCAAGTGCCTCCATGAAATGCCATATTTTGTGAAGAAAGTGCATGCAGGAATATTCAGGAGTCCAGCATGTAGTCATGGCAGCCTTAGGTATTTGAGACCGACCAACCCTCCTGATGAAGACAACCATAACTCATGCAGGCATGAGTCTGTAAGCATTCTTAGTCTGTAAGCACCTTTTGGAAGGTTTCCTATCTGGGACAGAGATAGACACTCTTTTTTTTTTTTTTTTTTTTTTTTTTTTTGAGATGGAGTTTCGCTATTGTTGCCCAGGCTGGAGTGCAATGGTGTGACCTCTGCTCACCGCAACCTCCACCTCCTGGGTTCAAGCAATTCTCCTGCCTCAGCCTCCTGAGTAGCTGGGATTACAGGCATGCGCCACTATGCCCTGCTAATTTTGTATTTTTTAGTAGAGACAGAGTTTCTCCATGTTGGTCAGGCTGGTCTCGAACCCCCGACCTCGTGGTCTGCCCGCCTCGGCCTCCCAAAGTGCTGGGATTACAGGTGTGAGCCACCGTGCCTGGTCGACGCTTTCTAATAGTCAATTAAGTAAGTTAATAACTGCCTGGGCAGAAAATGCAGTATTCAGCTAATCCCAAACTTGGAATTTTCTACCTTTTCAGTTTCATCTTCTTAAAACTCATCATTTTGAGAGTACTTTGGAGTTACTTGAATATTAATTCTCAGCATGCATTCAACTTAATTACCTTAATGTCCCAGGATTTTAATAACCCTTAAAATTTCCATGTCAATTTTCATCAGGGAACCTTGTCCTTGAATGCTGCTGCTGTGACTTCCTGTAGAAGTTCTTTAATTGGAACACTCTTGGCAGAGCCTTCCCTTTCATATGGAGCACAAAAGCAGCTGCCATGCTCAATTTGCAGTCCTCTTTATTGTGCGGGGATTTTTTTTATTTTTTATTTTTTGAGATGGAGTTTCACTCTTGTCCCCTAGGCTGGAGTACAATGGCGCCATCTTGGCTCACTGCAACCTCCGCCTCCCGGGTTCAGGCAATTCTCCTGCCTCAGCCTCCCGAGTAGCTGGGATTACAGGTGCCCACCACCACTCCTGGCTAATTTTTGTATTTTTAGTAGAGACAGGGTTTCACCATGTTGGCCAGGATGGTCTCGAACTGACCTCAAGTAAGACACCCACCTTGGCCTTCCAAAGTGCTAGGATCACAGGCGTGAGCCACTGTGCCTGGCCTGTACAGGAATTTTGAAGAAATCTACAGTGTTAACAGAACCCGTGGTATAAATTTATCCCAAGTATCAGTGTCACAAATACTCTTTGCGTCTAAGAAACATGCTTTCTTGGAAGCAACACTGGGAAAACTAAGTGATTTCACTTTTGCCCACCACAGGAATGAAGTCTTACTGCATTTATTAGCAATACCCATGGTTGAATCTCTTTTACTTATTTTCTATTTCCCAACCTTTTCATTTTCTTGCATGGACATCTGAAAGTTGCCTCCAGGCCGGGCATCGTGGCTCATGCCTGTAATCCCAGCACTTTGGGAGGTGGGCATATCACCTGAGGTCAGGAGCTTGAGACCAGCCTGGCCAACATGGTAGAAGCCTCTACTAAAAATACAAAAATTAGCCAGGCCTGGTGGTGTGCACCTGTAATTCCAGCTACTTGGGAGGCTGAGGCAGGAGAATTGCTTGAACCCAGGAGGCAGAGGTTGCAGTGAGCCAAGATGGTGCCACTGCACTTCAGCCTGGGCAACAGAGTAAGATTCCATCTCAAAAAAAAAAAAAAAAAAAGTTGCCTCCAAATTTTGGAGTGAGATAAGGTATAAGTATATCAAATGAAACGTTAAAGCTATTTTTAAAAAAGTGGGCCAGGTGTGGTGGCTCATGCCTGTAATCCCAGCACTTTGGGAGGCCGAGGCAGGTGGATCACGAGGTCAGGAGATAGAGACCATGGTGAAACCCTGTCTCTACTAAAAATACAAAAAAAAATAAAAAATAAAAATAAAAATTAGCCGGGCGCGGTGGCGGGTGCCTGTAGTCCCAGCTACTCGGGAGGCTGAGGCAGGAGAATGGCGTGAACCCGGGAGGTGGAGCTTGCAGTGAGCCGAGATCGCGCCACTGCACTCCAGCCTGGGCGACAGAGCGAGACTCTGTCTCAAAAAATAATAATAATAATAAATAAATACATAAATAAATAAAACCCCAAGAGAGGAAGTAGTGTCACTCCAGCCATATGTGTGCCTTTTCTTCCCTTAGAAGCTTTCAATTTCCGGCTGGGCATGGTGGCTCATGCCTGTAATCCCAACACTTTGGGAAGCGGAGGTGGGCGGATCACCTGAGGTCAGGAGTTCAAGACCAGCCTGGCCAACATGGTGAAACCCCGTCTCTACTGAAAGTACAAAAATTAGCTGGGCGTGGTGGTGCGTGCCTGTAATCCCAGCTACTCGGGAGGCTGAGGCAGGAGAATCGCTTGAACCCGGGAGGCAGAAGTTGCGGTGAGCTGAGACCATGCCATTGTATTCCAGCCTGGGCGGCAGAGTAAAACTCTGTCTCAAAAAAAAAAAAAAGAAGCTTTCTGTTTCCTCCTAGTGGAGGAGGTATGGAGTGCTCTTGTTTGTTTGTTTGTTTGTTTATTTGAGACAGGGTCTTACCCTGTCGCCCAGGCTGGAGTGCAGTGGCGTAATCTCGGCTCACCGCAACCTTTGTCTCCCAGGTTCAAGTGATTCTCCTGCTGCAGCCTCCCAAGTAGCTGGGATTATAGGCATGCGCCACCACACTTAGCTAATTTTTGTGTTTTTAATAGAGACGGGGTTTTACCATGTTGGCCAGGCTGGTCTTGCACTCCTGGCCTCAAGTGATCCACCCGCCTTGGCCTCCCAAAGTGCTAGGATTACAGGCATGAGCAACCACACCCAGCCTAGTGCCTCTGTTTAAGGCCAAATCTTCTATTTGTTTCTCAGGAACCTAGCGCTTGTGGTTGTCTCTCATCTATTCATGCATCATCTATATTTCCCACTCTCCTGGCTCACTCCCTTAATATCACCCATCTTTGTTTGGGGGGGGCACAGTTGGGGTATAGGGTCTCACTCTGTCACCCAGGCTGGAGTGCAGTAGCACCATCACGGCTCACTGTAGCCTTGACCTCTTGGGCTCAAGCAATCCTCCCACCTCAGCCTCCCAAACTGTTGGAATTACAGGCATGAGCCACGGTGCTTGGCCCAATATCACCCATCAAGCCCTCTTGATCTTATGTCCCTCTGCAGCTTGCCGCTCTGTTTTTTTTTTTTGTACTGCCCCCTGCTTCCTGCAAGACCTCAAATCCACTGTGTCTACTTCTTGCCTTATTTTTATTCTACTCTAATCAGCTTTTGTCATCCCAACGAAGTGGCTCCTATAAGTCACAGTCGGCCGGGCATGGTGGCTCATGCCTGTAATCCCAGCACTTTGAGAGGCCAAGGCGGGTGGGTCATGAGGTCAGGAGATCAAGAACATCCTGGCCAACATGGTGAAACCCTGTCTGTACTGAAAATACAAAAAATTAGCCGGGTGTGGTGGCTGGCACCTGTAATCCCAGCTACTCAGGAGGCTGAGGCAGGAGAATCACTTGAACCCGGGAGGCGGAGGTTGCGGTGAGTTGAGATCATGCCACTGCACTCCAGCCTGGCAACAGAGTGAGATTCTGTCTCAAAAAAATAAAAATAAAAAAAAGTCACAGTCACCTATTCTTTGTCGTTTTACTAGGCCCTTCAGCAGTACTGTACACTGAGTACATCCTCATGGACATGCTTTAGTCCCTAGGTTTCCATGTGCGCACACTTCTTGGTTCTCCTCCACTTTGGCCTCTCATGCCTGGCCCTCTTTCTCCTCACAACCCAAATATTAGACAATATATCACAAACAAATCCCGAAGTGCTGGGATTACAGGCATGAGCCACTGTGCCCGGCCTACTTAAGTATTTTCATAGATTATCTAATGTTCAAATAATGCAATATTCCTCAGCATCTGAACAAATGCATGGAATGGATGGTGGATAGCAAGAGATACTTGTACTTTCTCTCTGCCTTTCCCTGCCTTCTCCAGGGTCCCCCCACATCTCATTAAGTGGCATCTTCTTTCACCTAGTCACTCAGGTCAAAGCTGGGAAGTCATTCCTTTTTTCTTTCTCTCATACCACTTGTCATTGAATTTCCTAAGTTCTATCTCCACACCTGCCCACTGCATCATCACCACTGCTAAAATCCTGAGCCAAATAATTAACTTTTTTTTTTTTTTTTTTTTTTGAGACAGAGTTTTGCTCTTGTTGCCCAGACTGGAGTGCAATGGTGCGATCTCGGCTCACTGCAACCTCTGCCTCCTGGGTTCAAGCAATTCTCCTGCCTCAGCCTCCTGAGTAGCTGGGATTACAGGCGTGTGCCACCACGCCCGGCTAATTTTTGCATTGTTAGTAGAGACGGGGTTTTGCCATGTTGGCCAGGCTGGTCTCGAACTCCTGACCTCAGGTAATCTGCCCGCCTTGGCCCCTCAAAGTGCTGGGATTACAGATGTGAGCCACAATGCCCAGCTGAGCCAAGTTAACTTCTTTCCTCATCTGAACTACTGGAACAGCCTCCTTACCTGGTCTCCCTGTCTCCATCATGACTTACTATACAAGACTCCTGCCAACCTTCCCTCATCCACTGTGCTCCTATCATACCAGCCGCCTTTCAATCCTTAACTGCGCCAAGTTCATCCTTTCTGCTGGAACCTCCTTTCTTCACATGGCTGTCTCCTCCTCATTCAGGACTCAACTCAAGTGTCACTTCTCCTGAGAGGCTCTCCCTGACATCCTTAACTAACTACTCTAATTATAAAGTTCCAAGGAAGCGCTACAGAAAAGACATCCGTCCCCTGACAGGGCTCTGGGCTAGTCTCTTCCCTATGGGAGGTGGGGCAGGAGCTGCTGAGGCTCATGATTCTTCTTTGGCCACCTCACTCCCAGCTGATGAGGGACAGGTCAAGGACAGCCTGTGCTTCCACTGGCTCCTGGTCACTACATGTAGCGCACTCCAGGTAGACACGTTCTTCCTGGCTCCCATATTATGAGCTCATCAGACAGCCTCCCCTGCTGTCTTCCTGCCTTGAAAGGATCTAACATGAAAGCACTTTTACTTTCTAAAAGTAAAATGCTCTCTATTCATGGGCAAGAGATTACCACCTCACTGACTGGGACCTTCAGCTAATGCCTTTCTTTCTGGGCATTTCTTTCTTTGCTATGAAGTGAGAAGAACCATACTTGCTGTATACAATTAAGAAGTGATCTATTCAAAGAGCCACTTGATGACTGAGTGCAATGGCTCACACCTGTAATCCCAGCACTTTGGGAGGCCGAGGCAGTGGATTACTTGAGGTCAGGAGTTCAAGACCAGCCTGGCCAGCATGGTGAAACCTTGTCTCTACTAAAAATACAAAAATTAGCTGGGCATGGTGGCAGGCGCCTGTAGTCCCAGCTACATGGGAGGCCAAGGCAGGAGAATCGCTTGAACCCAGGAGGTGGAGGTTGCAGTGAGCTGAGATTGCACCACTGCACTCCAGTGTGGGCAATAGAGTGAGACTCTGTCTCACAAAAAATAAAAGAGTTGATGATTCCATGGTTCCTATGGACATATAATAGTTGACTGTCACAAAAAATATAACTCTGGCCGGGCGCAGTGGCTCACACCTGTAATCCCAGCACTTTGGGAGGCCAAGGAGGGCAGATCACCTGAGGTCGGGAGTTCAAGACCAGCCTGATCAACATGGAGAAACCCCGTCTCTACTAAAAATTCAAAATTAGCCAGGCATGGTGGCGCATGCCTGTAATCCCAGCTACTCGGAAGGCTGAGGCAGGAGAATCACTTGAACCCGGGAGGCAAAGGTTGCAGTGAGCCGAGATCGCACCATTGCACTCCAGCCTGGGCAACAAGAGCGAAACTCCGTCTCAAAACAAAAGAAACAAACAAACAAAAAACCAAAACCCTGCCGCAATCCTTCCACTACTCTCCCATGGGAGGAAGCTCAGAGCCACCCTGACCGCTCTTCATTTCACCACCTCTCTCCATTTGTCAGTGACCTGAGGCTGCCTCATTGTTTCTGAGCACTGTTCATATCAGCTGTTCTTCCACGCTTCCTTCAGCCTAGACCCCAGAAACAGCTGCCCCTCTGCCTTCATTCTCTCACCCTTCTGTAACAGATATCCCCTTCCACTCCTTCCTTCCTAACAGAACCCCAATTTGGTTCAGGATGGCAATGTGCCTCTCTAAGAATAGTTGGCTCCTCAGCCTTGTACTCCAGGAGAGACTTGCCTCCCAGTTCCGGTCAATGTAGTAATGGGAGTAGGTGGGAGTATTAGGTGGAAGTCCATGGGGCGGGTGCCCCTTCCCAAGCAAAGCCTCACAAGAGGCTTTTGGCTCTGCTCTTTTTTCTCTCCTAGAACTTGGAGCGTGATGCCCAGAAGTGTGTGAACTGGTCTGTGACCACAAAGATGAGAACCGCATGCTGAGATTGGTGGAATGGAGACTTCAGTGAGCCTACATGCAGATGACATGGTGACACCCGTGCCCAGCCTGAGCTGTTTTCTTCTGGCCCTCTTATTACATGAGAAAAATAAACACCTATGCACCTTGGCCTCATCCCCTCGGCTGTCTATTCTTGCAACTTTGGGGCAGGTTTAAATTTTTTTCCAAATTAAAAATTGGGGCCAGGTGCAGTGGCTCATGCCTGTAATCCCAGCACTTTGGGAGGCTGAGGCAGGCGGATCGCTTGAGCCCAGGAGTTACCAATGAAATGGAGTGATGTCTGGGATTTGCTTCCAAATAGAGAGGAAGTGGGTCAGGGTATAGATGAAACAGGATTGATCACAGTTGACAGTTGTTGGAGTTGGGTAATTGGTAAGTCTTTAAAAAAATATTCTCTTTAGATAAATTCCCAAGAATGCTGTGCGAACACTTATGAGCTTGATATTGTGTTATGAATTGATTCTTTTTTTTTTTTTTTTTTTGGAGAGACAGAGTCTTGCTCTGTTGCCCAGGCTGGAGTGCAGTGGCTCAATCTTGGCTCACTACAACCTCCGCCTCTGGGGTTCAAGCGATTCTCCTGCCTCAGCTTCCCAAGTAGCTGTGACTACAGGTGTGTGCCACCATGCCCAGCTAATTTTTGTATTTTTTAGTAGAGATGGGGTTTCACTACATGTTGGTCAGGCTGGTCTTGAACTCCTGACCTCAGGTGATCCACCTGCTTTGGCCTCCCAAAGTGCTGGGATTACAGGTGTAAGCCACCGTGACCAGCCTTTTTTTTTTTTTTTTTTTTTTTTTGACACAGAGTCTTGCTCTGTCACCCAAGCTGGAGTGCACTGGCATGATCTTGGCTCACTGCAACCTTTACCTCCTGGGTTCAAGCAATCTTTTCCCCTCAGCCTCCCAAGTAGCTGGGACTATAAGCCCCCACCACCATGCCTGGCTAATTTTTGTATTTTTTGTGGAGGCATGTTCTCACTATGTTGCCCAGGCTGGTCTCAAACTTCTGGGCTCAAGGGATCCTCCCACCTTTGCCTCCCAAAGTGTTGGGATTACAGGCCTGAGCCACCTGGCCCGGCCTGGATCAGTTCTTCACACTGCTAATGGTGCATAATTGCTATCTGCTTAAACCCCATGGTTTGTGGTTCCTGAAACACATTTGTCTTCTCCTAATGTAAATGATTTGAAAAGGAGGTAAAAGGTATTCTGGTTCCAGCCCCCTGCATGGGCTAAAAGGACACAAAAGGAAAAGGATGATGTTAGTAAGAAAAGGATTACGCAGCTCAAAAAAGCTGAGCCCAGGCTCCCTTGACTTCCTGCATGGCCCCTGTGCCCTCATCAACACCCCAAAATGCTAACTCCAGTTGGCTCCACTGTCCAAGCTCCCCTCCGATGCCTGCTTCTCCTAAACTGCCTGCCGCCACCCTGGTTGAGGCCCCCATCGATGCCCTCACCTTAATTGCTGCAGCAGCCTCAGAATTGGTCCAGCTGTCCTGAGGGCTCTCACATTCCATCCGTTCTCCACCCAGAAGTCAGAGCCACCTCCCCAAAGAGCAAATCAGATATATTATTCTTCCGCTAAAATAAACCCTGCAGTGTCAGTTTTTTAAAAATGCAGGAAAAAGGCATATCACATAATTTAATTTTTTTTTTTTTTGAGACGGAGTCTCCCTCTGTTGCCAGGCTGGAGTGCAGTGGCATGATCTCGGCTCACTGCAACCTCTGCCTCCAGGGTTCAAGCAATTCTCCTGCCTCAGTCTCCTGAGTAGCTGGGACTACAGGCGTGCGCCAACACGCTTGGCTAATTTTTGTATTTTTAGTAAAGACGGGATTTCACCATATTGCCCAGGCTGGTCTTGAACTCCTGAGTTCAGGCAATCCGCCCACCTCGGCCTCTCAAAGTACTCGGATTACAGGCGTGAGCCACCACGCCCGGCCTAAAAAAATTTTTTTGGAGGGATCAGAGTCTGGTTCTGTCGCCCAGGCTGGAGTGCAGTGGTGTGATCTCAGCTCACTGCAGCCTCGATCACCTAGGCTCAAGTGACCCTCCCACCTCAGCTTTCCAAGTAGCTGGGACTACCGGTGTGCACCACCACATCCTGCTAATTTTTTTATTTTTATTTTTAGTATTAATAGAAACTAGGTCTTGCTGTGTTGCCCAGGCTAGTTTTGAACTCCTGGGCTCAAGTGATCCTCCCGCCTCAGCCTCCCAAAGTGCTGGGATTACAGGCATCAGCCACAGTGCCAGGCCGATCATATAACTTATAACACAAATAGCAGTCTATTAATAACTGTCTCCCAGGCCAAGAAACAGCTTTGCCAGCATCCCAGAGGCCCATCAGAGAGACTTTCCTGGCTGGACGCGGTGGCTAACACCTGTAATCCCACCACTTGGGGAGGCTGAGGCAGGTGGATCATTTGAGGTCAGGAGTTCGAGACCAGCATGGGCAACATGGTGAAACCCTATCTCTGCTAAAAATACAAAAATTAGCTGGGTGTTGTGGTGCACGCCTGTAATCCCAGCTACTTGGGAGGCTGAGGCAGGAGAACCACCTGAACCTGGGAGACAGAGGTTGCAGTGAGCTGAGATCAGGCCACTGCATTCCAGCCTGGGCTACAGAGAGAGACTCCATCTCAAAAAAAAAAAAAAAAAAATACTCTTTTCTAATCTTAACCCCTTCTTCCTAGGGGCAGCCACACTCCTTCCTTGCTTTATAGTTTAATCACCCACATACACAGCCCTAAATTTTGCTTTGCCTGTTTTTGAGCTTTCTTTGTTGTATAATATTCCATTTCATGAACACCACAATTTATTTGTTTGTTTGTTTGTTTGTTTTTGAGACAGAGTCTTGCTCTGTCACCCAGGCTGGAGTACAATGGCACAATCTCAGCTCACTGCAACCTCCGCCTCCTGGATTCAAGCAATTCTCCTGCCTCAGCCTCCCGGGTAGCTGCGATTACAGGCGCCTGCCACCACGCCCGGCTAATTTTTGTATTTTTAGTAGAGACAGGGTTTCATCCTGTTGGCCAGGCAGTTCTCAAACTCCTGACCTCAGGAGATCCGCCCACCTCGGCCTCCCAAAGTGCTGGGATTACAGGCGTGAGCCACCGTGGCCGGCCAACCACAATACATTTAATCCATTTTATTATTGCTGGACATTTGAGTTGTTTCCAATATTTTGCTATTGAGAACAATTGCAAAGCAAGATTGGAGGTTACAGAATTTTCAAACAAAAGTAGAGAAGGAATGGTATAATGAACCCCCATAGCGCTGTCTGCAGCTTCAACAATTAACACTGCAATGCAATTGTTTGTAATGAGGGATGCGCATCAGAATCTCTGGAGGTGCCTTTGCCAAACACACAGCAGGCTCCAGTTCAATCTCTGGAGATTCTCAGTTGTTGGCTTGGCTTGTGGGTTGGGAATGTGTAGTTTGCAAGCATTCCCCATATGACTTTGGGGCACACCTCTGGGTAGGAATCACTGTTTCAGTGGCTCCTTGTTGCCCTTATTCTTTAATGTGACTGATATGGCCTGGCTCCTGCTTTAGCTTTCCTACTTTTTTGCTTGCCTTTTATTTATTTATTTATTTATTTATTTATTTATTTATTTATTTGAGACAGAGTCTAGCTCTGTCACCCAGGCTGGAGTGCAGTGGCACGATCTCAGCTCACTGCAACCTCCACCTCCTGGGATCAAGAGATTCTCCTGCCTCTAAGCGATTCTCCTGCCTCAGCCTCCCGAGTAGCTGGGACTACAGGTGTGCGCCACTACGCCCAGATAATTTTTGTATTTTCAGCAGACATGAGGTTTCACCATGTTGACCAGGCTGGTCTTGAACTCCTGACCTCAGGTGATCCGCCTGCCTCAGCCTCCCAAAGTGCTAGGATTAAAGACGTGAGCCACCGCACCTGGCCAATTTATTTATTTATTTATTAGAGGCAGAGTCTTGCCATATTGCCCAGGCTGGTCTCAAACTCCTGGGCTCAAGCAATGATCTCACCTTGGCTTTTATTCCTAAAGTCAGATTACAGGTGTGAGCCACCGTGCCCAGCCCCTACTTTTTTTTTAAACTACTCCCTCCTTTACACTCTCACTCTAGCCACACTAAGCCACGTTTATTCTTCTGATGTTTTTCTCGCTTCCTGGCTTTTGCACATGCAGTTTCTTTCTTTCTTTTTTTTCTTTTTTTTTTTTTTTGGAGGCAGAGTCTCGCTCTGTCACCCAGGCTGGAGTGCAGTGGTGGAATCTCAGCTCACTGCAACCTCCGCCTCCCAGGTTCAAGTGATTCTTGTGCCTCAGCCTCCTGAATAGCTGGGATTACAGGCATGAGCTACCACACCCGGCTAATTTTTGTAGTTGTAGTAGAGATGGGGTTTCACCATGTTGGCCAGGCTGGTCTTGAACTCCTGATCTCAGGTGATCTGCCCACCTGGGCCTCCCAAAGTGCTGGGATTACAGGCATGAGCCACCATGCCCGGCCTGCACATGCAATTTCTGTCAAAGACATGCTTTCTTTTCCCTTTCTTCTGCCTATTTTCTCCTTTAAATCTCTTTATAGTGGCTGGATCAGTCAGGGGCCTGAGAGAAAACAGAAGCACACCTGGCAAGATTTTTTTTTTTACTTGTATTTTTTAAAGTTTACATAGAGTAAAACTGAATTTTTGAGGCTGTACAGTTCTGATTTTAACACATACACAGACTGTGTAATCACCACCACAGTCAGGACACAGAGCATCTCCATCATCTCTAAAATCTCCCTCTTGCTGTTTCTATCACACCCTCCCCTGACAACCAATGATCTGTTCTCCATCACTGTGGTTTTGCCTTTTCCAGAGTATCATATAAATGGAATCATATCGCACGTAACCTTTTGGACTGGCTTCTTTCACTCTGCGTGCCTTAGAGATTCAACCATGTCGTTGTGAGCATTAGTACACCTTTCCTTTTATCTTGGAGTAAATACAGTATTTCATTGAATTGACATACCACAATTAGTTTAACCACTGACATGTCAAAGGACATTTTGATGGCTTCTAGTTTTTGGTGATTATGAATAATGATGCCATAAGCATTCATGTACAAGTTTTTCTATGAAAATAGTTTTTATTGGATCACATGGTAAGTAGATATTTAACTTTATAAGAAACTGCCAAACTGGTTTGTATTTATTTATTTACTGAGACAGAGTTTTGCTCTGTCACCCAGGCTGGGGTGCAGTGGCACGATCTCGGGTCACTGCAACCTCCACCTCTCAGATTCAAGCGATTCTCCTCTCTCAGCCTCCCGAGTAGCTGGGATTACAGGAGTCTGCCACCACGCCCGGCTAATTTTTGTATTTTTAGTAGAGACAGGGTTTCACCATATTGGCCAGGCTGGTCTCAAACTCCCGACCTCAGGTGATCCGCCCCCCTTGGCCTCCCAAAGTGCTGGGATTACAGGCGTGAGCCACTGTGCCTGGCCCCAAACTGTTTTCCAGAGTGGCTGTACCATTTTGAACTCCTACCAGCAGTGTATGAGAGTTCCAGGGGCTCTTCCATCTTACCAGCTGGTGTTGTCAGGGTGTTTTTTATTCCAGCCATTCTAATATTTAACTTAATATCTCATTGTGATTTTGTTTTGCATTTCCCTAACAGCCAACAATGTTGAGCATCTATTCATGTGCTTATTTGCCATCTATATTATTTTGGTGGAATATCCATTCAAATCTTTTGCCCATTTAAAAAATTGGCTTGTTTTCTTATTGTTGAGTATTGAGAGTTCTTCATATATTCTGGATATAGGTCCCTTGCCAGATATGTGATTTGCAAATATTTCCTTTCTGGAGCTTCTCTTTCCATTCTCCTAACAGTGTCTTTTTTGTTGTTGTTTTTTGAGACAGGGTCTCGCTCTGTTGGCCAGGCTGGAGTGCAGTGGTGTAATCTTAGCTTACTGTAGCCTCAATCTCCCTGGCTCCAGCGATCCTCATACCTCAGCTCTTGAGTAGCTAGGACTACATGCACGTGGCACCACACCTGGCTAATTTTAAAGTTTTTTTGTAGAGACAGGCCTCACTATGTTTCCCAGGCTGGTCTTGACCTCCTGGGCTCAAGTGATCCTCCCGCCTCAGCCTTCCAAAGTGCTGGGATTACAGGCATATGCCATGGTGTCTGGCCCTAACAGTGTCTTTTGGGGACCAAAATACTTTTAAGTTTGGTGACGCCCAGTTTACTGATTTTATCTTGTACAGATCAACTTTTGGACTTAAGTCTAAGAACTCTTTTTTTGTTTGTTTGTTTTTGAGATGGAGTCTTGCTCTGTCACCCAGGCTGGAGTGCAGTGGTGTGATCATGGTTCACTGCAGCCTTGACCTCCTGGCTGAAGTGATCCTCCCACCTCAGCCTCCTAGGTAGCCAGGACTACAGATGTGCACCACCACAGTCAGCTAATTTTTGTATTTTTTTGTAGGTGGGGTTTCACCATGTTGCCCAGGCTGGTCTTGAACTCCTGGGCTCAAGCAATCCTCCTGCCTTAGCTTCCCTAAGTGCTGGGATTACAGGTGTGAGCCACCACGCCCGGCCAATTGGAAGGTTTTTAACTACAAATTCAATTTCTTTATTAGACATGGGACTATTCCACTATGTATTTCCTCTTGGGTAGTTGTGGCTTTCAAGAAATTGGTTCATTTAATCTAAGTTGTTAAATTTATGTAAATAGTTATTTATAGTATGCCCTTACTTTTTTAATATCTGTGGTATCTATTGTGATACCCACTCTTTTATTCCTGACATTGGTAATTTGTGTCTTTCTTTGTTTCTTTGTCAGTCTGGTTAGAGGTTTATCAATTTTACTGATTTTATTTTTTTCAAAAAACTAGCTTTCGGTTTCATTGATTTTCTTTATTGGCTTTCTGTTTTCTTTCTTTCTTTTTTCTTTGGTTTTTTTTTTTTTTCTTTTTTTTGAGACAGAGTTTCTCTCTTGTTGCCCAGGCTGGAGTGCAGTGGCATAATCTCGGCTCACTGCAACCTTTGCCTCCTGGGTTCAAGTGATTCTCCTGCCTCAGTCTCCTGAGTAGCTGGGATTATAGGCGCCTGCCACTACGCCTGGCAAACTTTGTATTTTTAGAAGAGACAGGGTTTCACCATGTTGGCCAGACTGGTCTAGAACTCCTGACCTCAAGTGATCCACCTGCCTCGGCCTCCCAAAGTGTTGAGATTACAGGTGTGAGCCACAGCGCCTGGCCTGTATCTCATAACAATACAAAAATTAGCCAGGCGTGGTGGCGTGCACCTGTAGTCCCAGCAACTTGGGAGGCTGAGGCAGGAGAATTGCTTAAACCCAGGAGGCGGAGGTTGTAGTGAGCTGAGATTGTGCCACTGCACTCCAACCTGGGTGACAGAGCGAGACTCTGTCTCAGAATAAATAAATAAATAAATAAATAAATAAATAAATAAAAATAAAAATAAAATAAAAATAGACTTCAGAGCAAGAAAATACCAGGGATAGAAAGGGATGTTACAAAATGATAAAAGGGCTAATTCACCAAGGAGACAGAACAATCCTAAATGTGTACAAGTTCCAAATTCAAAATATGGGGAGCAAAAACTGAGATCATTGAAAAGAGAAATGGACGAACCTACAATTATAGAGACTTAAACACTCCTTTCTCATTAATTGATAGACCAAGTAGGGGGGAAATCAGCAAGGATATAAAAGAATTGAGCTGGGGCCAGGCGCGGTGGCTCACGCCTGTAATCCCAGCACTTTGGGAGGCCGAGGCAGGCAGATCATGAGGTCAGGAGTTTGAGACCAGCCTGGCCAACATGGTGAAACCCCGTCTCAACTAAAAATACAAAAATTAACTGGGTTTGGTGGTGGGTGCCTGTAATCCCAGCTGCTCTACTCCAGAGGCTGAGGCAGGAGAATCGCTTGAAACTGGAAGGCAGTGGGTGCAGTGAGCCAAGATTGCACCACTGCACTCCAGCCTGGGTGACAGAGAGAGACTCCGTCTCAAAGAAAAAAAAAAAAAAGAATTGAGCAACACCATCAACCAACTGGATCTAATCAATGAGTGTAGAACATTCCATCCAACAACAGCAGAATATACGTTGTTTTGAGGTGCACATGAAACGTTTACCAAAGTAGACCATATCTTGTGTCATAAAACAAACCTTAACAAACTTAGGAGAATTGAAATAATGTAGAATGTGTTCTTTGTCCACAATAGAATTAAACTAGATAACAGATACCTTAAAAATCCCCAAATACTTAGAAATTAAGTAGCACATGCTTAAATAGCTTATAGATCAAAGAAAAAGCCTAAAGAGAAATTAGAAATTATTTTGAACTGAATGGTAATGCAAATACATCATACCAAAATCTGTGGCATGCAGCTAAAGTGCAGTGCTTAAAAGAAAATTTCTAGCATTAAATGCTTATGCTAGGAAAATTGCTGGGCGAGGTGGCTCATGCCTGTAATCCTACCACTTTGGGAGGCCGAGGCGGGACGATCACCTGAGGTCAGGAGTTCGAGACCAGCCTGGCCAAAATGGTGAAACCCCATCTCTACTAAAAACAACAAAAATTAGCTGGGCATGGTGGCAGGCGCCTGTAATCCCAGCTACTCTACTCCAGAGGCTGAGGCAGGAGAATCGCTTGAACCCAGGAGGCAGAGGTTGCAGTGAGCTGAGATCGTGCCACGGCACTCCAGCCTGGGCAAAAAGAGTGAGACTCTGTCTCAAAAAAAAAAAAAAAAAGAAGAAGAAGAAGAGAAAAGTAGCCTATCCTATTTATTCAGATATTTACCATTCCTATTGCTTTTCCTTTATCCCTAAAGTTCCACATTTCTTTCTGGTCTCATTTCCCTTCTGAAGAACCTCCTTTAGCTTTTGTTTTAGAGCAGGTCTGCTGGTGGCATACTCTCTCGGCTTTCCTTTGTCTGAGAATGTCTTTATTTTGCCTACATTTCTGAAGGATATTTTCACTAGATATAGAATTCTGGTTGACAGTTTTTTTCACTTACAGCACTTTTAAAATGTAATTTTAAAACTTGACTTCGGCCGCGTGCAGTGGCTCATGCCTATAATCCCAGCACTTTGGGAGGCCGAGATGGGTGGATCACCTGAGATCAGTCAGGAGTTTGAGATCAGCCTGGCCAACATGGTAAAACCTTGTCTCTACTAAAAATACAAAAATTAGCTGGGCGTGGTGGTAGGCACCTGTAATCCCAGTAACTTGGGAAGCTAAGGCAGGAGAATCACTTGAACCCGGGAAGCAGAGGTTGCAGTGAGCTGAGATGGTGGCACTGCACTCCAGCCTGAGTGACAGAGCAAGACTCCGTCTCAAAACAAACAAACAAACAAACAAAAAACAGTATATATGAAGCACACACTGCATGCCAGACCCTTTGCTTACAGATACTATGGGGATACAGTGGTGAACCAACCAGCCAGCCAGTGATGGAAGTAAGGAGATTACAGCCCTTCCTCCCACTGGAAGTCTCTCTCACTGCCCTGTGTCCTGCCCAGGCCAAGTTCAGGCCCCTCTGGCATCCTTTTTATCTTCTCCAGAACTCTGACCCAGCACACAAATATTTGTGTTTTTTAATTATTTTAAATTTATTTATTTATTTATTTTTGGAGACGAGGTCTCACTCTGTTACCCAGGCTGGAGTATAGTGATAATATCATAGCTCACTGCAGCTTGGAACTCCTGGGCTTAAGCAATCCTCCTGCCTCCGCCTCCCGAGTAGTTGGGACTACATGTGCACACCACCATGTCCAGCTAATTTTTAAACTTTTTGTAGAGACAGGATCTTGCTATGTTGCCCAGGCTGGTCTTACACTCCTGGCCTCAAGCAATCCTCCCACCTCTGCTTCCCGAAGTGCTGGGATTACAGGCATGAGCCACTGTGCCTGGCTGTGCACACAAATGGAGTTTTCTTGCCCTTTCCTGTGAACTGAGTTGTATCCCCCAAAACTCATGTGTTGAAGCCCTTACCCACAATGGGATTGTATTTGGAGAAAGGGACTTTGGGAGGTGATTAGGTTTGGATGAGGTCATGAGGGTGGGGCCCTCATGATGAGGTCAGTGTCCTCACAAGAAGAGACACCAGAGAGCTTGCTCTCTCTATGTGCACACACTGAGGAAAGGCCATGTGAGAACACAGCGAGAAGGTGGCCATCTGCAAGTCATAAAGAGAGCCCTCCCCAGAGCCTGATCGTGCTGGTACCTTGATCTCAGACTTCCAGCTTCCAGAACTGAGAAATAAATGCCTGATGCTTAAACCACCCAGTCTGTGGCATTTGGTTATGGCAGCCTGAGCTGACTAAGACACCCCTTGAGGTGACAAATGCCCCACGCCCTGCCCCAGTTCTAGGGGTATGGCTCATGATCCTTGGCTTCAGAGGCTGTTGATGGACATGAGTCCTGGGAGCTGTGGTAACGGCTCAAGATGCTGGGGTCCTGGGGTGAAGTGCCCAACCCATAGAACTGGGGCAGATGTGGGCCTGGCTCAGGGGATTGGCGGGGAGGGTGCTCTGCAGTCGACCTAGCACAGCAGGACCCCAGCCTGAAGCGCATTTGGGGTTCCTTGCAGCTTCTTGAGTGAAGTTTAAGTCCAGCGCACCCACAGCCGTGCGCCACTCTCGCCCCTTACCATGTTGCAGGTTCTGCTCCTTTAACAAGCAGGCTGGTTACCGAGAAGCAAGGATACGTGGCACAGAGCATCCTCAGGGTCTTCAAAGGCAACACCCCCAGTGCTTAGGGCTTGCCCCGTGCCCTCTGGGTGGAGCTGGCCGGCCTCCCTGGGCCAACGGCCTCTCGGCACTCTGCAGCACAGTCAGCCTGGCCTGGGGTTGGGCAGGCAGCGTCCTGTGGCCTCACCTCCACCCTCCTGCCCAGTTGGCTGTGTCACACTCACTCTTTTTTTTTTTTTTTGAGACGGAGTCTTGCTCTGTCTCCCAGGCTGGAGTGCACTGGTGTGATCTTGGCTCACTGCAACCTCCGCCTCCCAGGTTCAAGCGATTCTCCTGCCTCAGCCTCCCGAGTAGAAGGGATTACAGGCGTGTGCTACCGCACCTGGCTAATTTTTGTATTTTTAGTAGAGACGGGGTTTCACCCTGTTGGCCAGGCTGGTCTCGAACTCCTGACCTCAGGTGATCTGCCCATCTTGGCCTCCCAAAGTGCTGGGATTGCAAACATGAGCCACTGCGCCTGGCCCACAGTCACCCTTTTAAGGTCAGGTTGGTTCCTGGCAAAAGTGTCCTTTCCGGGGGGCCTCCAAATATAGGATTTGGAAGACATAGGAATAGAGCACCCAGATGACTACGTTAGCAGAGCAGCCGCACTCAAATGATGCCTTCTCCATTACTTGAAGCTTCTTTTTGTTCAGCCATTAAAGAAGAAACTTGACAAAATAGGAACAAGGTGATATTTCTCAATTGCAAACCTTTGTAAAGGGACAGTTGGCCTCTAAAGGCTTTTTTTTTTTTTTTAATTTTTAGTAGAGATGGGGTTTCACCATGTGGCCCAGACTGGTCTCGAACTCCTGAGCTCAAGTGATCCACCTGCCTCAGCCTCCCAAAACGGTGGGATTACAGGCATGAGCCACCAGGCCCGGCCAGTTTTTTTTTTTTTTTTTTTTTTTTTTTTTTTTTTTTGAGACGGAGTCTCACTCTATTGCCCAGGCTGGAGTGAAGTGGCATGATCTCGGCTCACTGCAACCTCTGCCTCTTGGGTTCAAGCAATTCCCCTGCCTCAGCCTCCCAAGTAGCTAGGATTATAGACACCCACCACCACACCTGGCTAATTTTTGTATTTTTAATAGAGACAGGGTTTTGCCATGTTGTTCAAGCTGGTCTCAAACTCCTGACCTCAAGTGATCCATCTGCCTCAGCCTCCCAAAGTGCTGGGATTACAGGTGTGAGCCACTGTGCCCGGCCAAAGTATACTTATTTTTGAGAACAAGCTTTGCGGTTGCCAAATATGTACACAGATGCCGATGCCTCCCCTGTGAGCAGCATCCCAGGACCACTCATGTGCCCCAGCTCTTGTCCTCATCCTCACTACCTTGGCCAGGTGCTGTCAACATGAACAGCCACTGCCATGGGCAGCCTGTTCCACTGTCCCTTCTGCCCGGCTCACCCTCTGGGTGCTGCGGGGGTTTGGCACGTGGGGCAGGTTCTGATGCAGACTTCCTCCCTGGTCGTTATGTGTGTGTTTTTCTTTATGTCCTGATCCTTTTTCATTGAACCTAAAAGTGGTGTCTGGGTGCAGGTGTAACCAATGGTGGATCCAGAAATAAGAGCTTTGTGTGATAAGATTCTTACAACTGTCCCTGTCTTACACCTGGCCAGTGACTGAACCCTTGGTCTTTTTCAGGAGCTGGGATGTCTAAACCTATTGAAAATGAAATTGGAATTCCTGACATGGGAATTCGGTGTTTTCTCCTCGCTCCACCAAAACACTCACTTCTAGCATAGGGATTCAGGAAATTGGCATGTGGCTTCCAGAGTCATTTTGGAATGTCACAATCTAGACTCTTTTTTTTTTTCTGAGATGGAGTCTCACTCTGTTTCCCAGGCTAGAGTGCAGTGGCGCAATCTTGGCTTACTGCAACCTCTGCCTCCCGGGTTTAAGCGATTCTCCTGCCTCAGCCTCTGGAGTAGCTGGGACTACAGGCACCTGCCACCATGCCCAGCTAATTTTTGTATTTTTAGTAGAGATGGGGTTTCACCATGTTGGCCAGGCTGGTCTCGAACTCCTGACCTCGTGATCCACCCGCCTTGGCCTCCCAAAGTGCTGGGATTACAGGCATGAACCACCGCGCCCAGCCTTTTTTAAATGAAAGGCACCCATCAGTGGCCCTCACTGTGGGTCCCGGAACGTGGTCAGGGAGCAGGTTCTGTCTTCATGCGTCCTTTAGGGGTCCTGGGGCTGACTCCGCCTGCGAGCCCCATCCTGGGGTCACGTTAAGCACCTTTTGTAGACATTGTATTTTTATTAAAATGTCAAATCTGGCCGGGTGCAGTGGCTCACGCCTGTAATCCCAGCACTTTGGGAGGCCAAGGCGGGTGGATCACGAGGTCAGAAGTTCAAGACCAGCCTGGCCAACATAGTGAAACCCTGTCTCTACTAAAAATACAAAAATTAGCCAGGCATGGTGGCGTGCGCCCATAATCCCAGCTACTCGGGAGGCTAAGGCAAGCGAATCGCTTGAACCTGGGAGGTGGAGGTTGCAGTGAGCCAAGATTGTGCCACTGCACTCCGGCTTGGGCAACAGAGTGAGACTTCGTCTCAAAAAAAAAAAAAAAAGTCAAACCTGTGTTCCTGTAACAGTGCAGAGTAATATTTCTGAACCATTTGACACATGAGTCAGAATGGAAACTGTGAGCATTGTCTGTGTGTCTGCGTGGGCTGCAGTCTGGGTCCTGGGGAGCCCCCCAGTGATGTGTGCAGCTGCAAGACCCACACCAGAAGGAGCCTTGCCGTCCTCTGGGGGTTTGAGTGCTGGGACCCCTTCCGTGGGCTCAACCCCTAGCTCCAGGCCTCCTGCCCTGTGGGACAGGTCTACGGGGTTGGGACACCCACGTTGCCTGATCTTGTGACAGCATGAGGTGCTCATGGAGCGGAGTGTAGGAACCCTGCTGCTCAGATGTCATGCTGCACCAGGCTGACCAGGGCCGTGATAGTGACCAGCCACATGGCCATGGTTTCTAAGTACACCATTTGATATAAGGAGACGATTTAATAAAGCATTGTCTTAAAAAAAAAACTGGAGCAGATGGAAAAGGTTTTCATTCTTGTTGAACAGGGTGTACTGGGTATCCTTCAACTGTAGCAGTAGAGATGTTGGCTAGACAAGGAAATCATGCTGCTGGCAAAAATGCTGAGCTCCAGAATGGTGCTGAGTGGAATGTGACCATTTCCTGTTTTTGTTTTTGTTTTTTTGTTTTTCATTTTTGAGATGGAGTCTTGCTCTTTTGCCCAGGCTGGAGTGTAGTGGCGCGATCTTGGCTCACTGCAACCTCTGCCTCCCAGGTTCAAGAGATTCTCCTGCCTCAGCCTCCCGAGTAGCTGAAATTACAGGCGTGTACGACCGCACCTGGCTAATTTTTGTATTTTTAATAGAGGCGGGATTTCACTATGTTGGCCAGGCTGGTCTCCAACACCTGACCTTAAGTGATCCGAGCACCCTGGCCTCCCAAAGTGCTAGGATTACCGGTGTAAGCCACTGCACCTGGCTGAATGTGACCATTTTCTACATGAAATTGCCACATGAGCTCATTTCGAGCTTTGTATATTTATTTTGGTAATAAGAACTCTGTGGGATTATCCTTTAGAAACCAACAATATATCTATCAAAACTGAACATACACATTCCCTGACCCAGCAACCCCACTCCTAGGTAGATAGCCAACGGAAATGCAGATATATGTTTACCCAAAGGCAAAAATGTCCATAGCGGTGCTCTTTGTAATAGCCCCAACAGAAAACTACCCAAATGCCTACCACCTATAGGGAATGGAGAAATAAATGGTGTATTCACCCAGTGGAATACTCTACAGCAACAAGAATCAGTAAGCTCTTGAGAAGACATGGAGGAACCTCATGCATGTAATGTTGCACAAGAAGGCCAACAAATGTAGGAGTCCGTACTTTATGATTCCATTCATATTCCAAAACAGGCCAAATGAATCCAGATACCACAACTCAGGATAGTGGTTATAGTTCACTAAGTTTTGTTTCTTTGTTTGTTTGTTTATTTTTTTCTCGAGACGGAGTCTTGCTCTGTTGCCCAGGCTGGAGTGCAATGGCGCAATCTCAGCTCAATGCAACCTCTGCCTCCTGGGTTCAAGCGATTCTCCTGCCTCAGCCTCCTGAGTAGCTGGGGCTATGGATGTGCACCACCGCACCCAGCTAATTTTTTGTATTTTTAGTAGAGACGGTGTTTCACCATGTTGGCCAGACTGGTCTCAAACTCCTGACCTTGTGATCCACCTGCCTCGGCCTCCCAAAGTGCTGGGATTACAGACATGGGCCACTGTGTCTGGCCATAGTTCACTAAGTTTTTAAAAATCCGTGATAGCAAATGGTTTACAGGGTACAAAGTGCCTTTGCATATGTGTTATCTCACGTTTTGCTCATTTTCATGCCAAGTGGACTTTATTGAGATATTATTTACATATAACAAAGTGCATAAATTTTAAGTGATGACCCTAATGAATTTTACCACACATACACACCCAGGTAACCCACACCAAGATCAAGCTACAGAACATTCCTGAACTCCTGAGAGTTCCTTCACATGATCTCCTTTGATCATCATGACAATCTCTGGACAGCAGAGCCATTATCTGCCCATATCATCTCTGAGGAACATCAGCCTTAGAGGCCAAGACCTGCCATGGTCCCAGTGCCCCCTCTGGGTTGGGACGGTGCTGCCCTCATGGCAGAGAAATGGCTGAGAGGCTCTCAGTAGCCTTCTCAGAACCCTCTGACTTGAGTTGGCATCATTAGCCTATGAATTCACTTTCTGGAAAATGAGGCTCTGTCCCCTTGCTACACAGCTGGGCAGGGAGCTGGGGAGGTGGGTTGGGTGGCACTAGCTAGTTATTTTTTTATTTTATTTATTTATTTATTTTGAGACAGTCTCACTCTGTTGCCCAGGCTGGAGTGCAGTGGCATGATCTCGGCTCACTACAACCTCCGCCTCCCAGGTTCAAGCGATTCTCTTGCCTCAGCCTCCTCATAGCTGGGACTATAGGCGCGCACCACCGTACCTGGCTAATTTTTTTTTTTTTTTCTTGAGATGGAGTCTCGCTCTGTCGCCCAGGCTGGAGTGCAGTGCGCAATCTCAGCTCACTGCAAGCTCCGCCTCATGGGTTCACGCCATTCTTCTGCCTCAGCCTCCTGAGTAGCTGGGACTATAGGTGCCCGCCACCATGCCCGGCTAATTTTTTGTATTTTTAGTAAAGGCGGGGTTTCACCGTGTTAGCCAGGATGGTCTCGATCTCCTGACCTCGTGATCTTCCCGCCTTGGCCTCCCAAAGTGCTGGCATTACAGGCATGAGCCACCTTGCCCAGCCAGTTTTTTTGTATTTTTAGTAGAGATGGGGTTTCACCATGTTGGCCAGGCTGGTCTCAAACTCCTGACATTAGGTGACCCACCCACCTTGGCTCCCCAAAGTGCTGGGATTACAGGCATTAGCCACTGTGCCTGGCCCTGGCTAGTTATTTTTAAACTCCAGTTATTTTCCAGAGCTATCTCCCAACCATCACCATTACGGACAATGCCCTGGAGTCTGAGGGTTGGCAGTGCCAGGTGAGGGATGCTAGTGTCTGTGAGAAACTGCCCTTGGGGAGGGAGTGGCCACCAACCAGCCCAACTGGGTGGGCAGGGCTCCTGGGAGAAACAGGCAGATGCTGCACGGGAATGAGGCCTGTGTGGGCCTCATGCTGAAGCTTCAGGGGCGGCTCGGTGTGAGTGCATTCAGGGTTCGATTCTCACCACCCCCAGTCCCTGCCTGGGCCTGGGTGAGGTTTGAGGGCTGACCCGAGGCAAGCCCAGAGCAAAGACAAGGTGCACATTGGGCTTTCCTGAGGCCTTCTCCCTCCAGTTCCAAGCCCTTTCTCAAACTGACTGTTTCCCCAGGACATGGCCCTGGGGGCGAGGCCAGAATCCCTTGTGGCCTCTTTTCTCTCTCTCTCTCTTTTTTTTTTGAGATGGAGTTTCGCTCTTGTTGCCCAGGCTGGAGTGCAATGGCGTGATCTCGGCTCACCGCATCCTCCGCCTCCCAGGTTCAAGCAATTCTCCTGCCTCAGCCTCCCCAGTAGCTGGGATTACAGGCATTTGCCACCATGCCCGGCTACTTTTGTATTTTTAGTAGAGACAGGGTTTCTCCATGTTGGTCAGGCTGGTCTTGAACTCCCGACCTCAGGTGATCTGCCCGCCCTGGCCTCCCGAAGTGCTGGAATTACAGGCGTGAGCCACCATGCCCGGCCGTTTTTTTTTTTTGAGACGGAGTCTCACTCTGTTGCCCGGGCTGGAGTGTAGTGGCGAGGTCTCGGCTCACTGCAACCTCCACCTCCCAAGTTCAAGCAATTCTGCCTCAGCCTCCCGAGTAGCTGGGATTACAGGCGCCCGCCACTACGCCCAGCTAATTTTTTGTATTTTTAGTAGAGACGGGGTTTCACCATGTTGGCTAGGCTGGTCTCAAACTCCTGACCTTGTGATTCGCCCTCCTCTGCCTCCCAAAGAGCTGGAATTACAGGCTTGAGCCACCAGGCCTGGCCTCGTGGCCTTTTTTCTTTAGGGGCGACCTGGTGGGTTCATCTGGAGCAAGGATGCCCTTCCTCACTTTGCTCAGAGCTCTGGGAAATTTCTGGGCCCTCTTAGGCAGTTCTCTTGATTCTCCCAGTCATGAACAAAGGCCCCCGTCCCCCACTGGGACTGGAACTCTTTGTTCTGGAAAGCTGAGTACTGCAGGGCAGGCCTGGGTCAGAGGCCACTGCCTGGTGTTCCCTCGGGGCAGAGTCCCCTCTAGCCACACTCTCACTGGCTTCTGAAAGAGGAAGGCTGACGAACTGGGTGACTCATCCCATTTCTGGAAAAGAGAGGATCAGGAGTTCAGATGGGCATGTTTATGACTGACGTCTGGATGAGATGACACGATAAACATAAGGGCTTAACAAAATTTAGCAAAGACTTGGGCAGCAGCCCATGAAGAAGTGTTTAGTTTTTCTATTAAAAAAAAAAAAAAGCCGGGCGCCATGGCTCACACCTGTAATCCCAGCACTTTGGGAGGCCGAGGCGGGCGGATCACGAGGTCAGGAGATCGAGACCTTCCTGGCTAACACAGTGAAACCCCGTCTCTACTAAAAATACAAAAATTAGCCGGGTGTGGTGGCGGGCGCCTGTAGTCCCAGCTACTCGGGAGGCTGAGGCAGGAGAACCGCGTGAACCCGGGAGGCTGAGCTTGCGGTGAGCAGAGATCGCGCCACTGCACTCCAGCCTGGGCGACAGAGCGAGACTCCGTCTCAAAAAAAAAAAAAAAAAAAAGCCAGCCGAGCGCAGTGGCTCACACCTGTAATCCCAGCACTTTGGGAGGACGAGGCAGGCGGATCACCTGAAGTCAGGAGTTCAAGACCAGCCTGCTGAACATGGTGAAACCCCGTCTCTACTAAAAATACAAAAATTAGCCGGGCTTGGTAGCGCGCCTATAATCCCAGCTGCTCTGGACGCTGAGGCAGGAGAATCGCTTGAACCCGGGAGGTGGAGGTTGAGGGAGCTGAGCTCATGCCATTGACCTCCAGCCTGGGTGGCAAGAGTGAAACTCTGTCTCAAAAAAAAAAAAAAAAAAAAAAGCCTTAATTCCAAAGCCACAAATGAGCCTACACCATTGGCTCATCTCAGCCTAAGAATCCAATTCCAGGAGGTAGGAGAGGGTGACCTGCGGTGGCCGAGAAGGATGTGACGGCTCTCCGAGGTGAACAACCGTTCATTCTCAATGAATAGTTTCACATGGACCCATGGACCCATTTCAGGGATTTGCTGTTCTTTAAAACACGGCAGAAAAAACCCCAAACAAAAATTCCTATGTACACCAGTCACCCCTTCTCTCTTCTGCTTTTTGGCTAACATCAGGCCAGGGACACATGGTGGCCCTAGCTCAGTCTTTGCTGGGACTTGGTGACAAGCCCAGGGACAAAGAAAACCAGTCTCTACTCTGACCTACCCCAAAGGGTGCCCATTAGGGACGGGGCAAATAAACAAGCTTTGAGATTTTTACATGGAAATCTCAAGGGACCAAGATTTCACTCACTCTGGTAAAACAAAAACAAAAACACCCTCCTTCTGTTCCCCGGAACTGAGCTTCTGAGTAACAACTGTTGGCCTCTACCCACACACACAGCTCAGTCTCTATTTGCAACAAGATCCTGGATGCTGGGCTTTGATATGAATTCTAACCCTTTGATTTCAGCACCTGTCTGTCCCTGCTGTGTTGTAAAAGTGGGGTGGGGGTGGGAAGCTATAACCACTTCTAGACAGGAAGTTATTTAGGCAAAAAAAAAAAAAAAAAAACAAACAAAAAAAACAGATGAAGCATTGCACCAAGTACAAAGGTAGCCACACCTCAGGCTGAAAGGTTCCTTCCAGAGAGATAAGATACCCGACAGCAAAAGTCACACAGCTCCATGAGATCTGGGTGAAATGGAAACTTCCTGTTTATTTTAGTCCCTTCAGCCTGGGGGTGGAGAGGGAGCAGCAGAGATGGAAGCCGTGGCTGCTACTTTTGTTAAGAATCAAAACTGCTGGATCAGTCCAGAAGATTGTGGCATCGCCTGTCCCATCAACCATGCCCTCCCGTTCCCACCAAGGACACGACAGAGATAATACCATGAGAATATATGAGTTGCCCACAACTAGCACCAGATGCTGTTGGCAGGCTCATTTTAACTTCACAGCATCCTTCTGGGGATGGGAATAGGAGGGAGTAGATACAATCGTCTTTTTTTTTTTGAGGCGGAGTCTTGCTCTGTCGCCCAGGCTGGAGTGCGGTGGCAAGATCTCGGCTCACTGCAACCTCCGCCTCCCGGGTTCAAGTGATTCTCCTGCCTCAGCCTCCCAAGTAGCTGGGATTACAGGTGCCCATCACCACGCTCGGCTAATTTTTGTATTTTTAGTAGAGACGGGGTTTCACCACGTTGGCCAGGCTGGTCTCAAACTCCCGAGCTCAGGTGATCCGATCCACCTGCCTCAGCCTCCCAAAGTGCTGGGATTACAGGAGTGAACCACTGCGTGTTTTTTTTTTTTTTTTTTTTTTTTTTTAACATATCAGAGCTGCGCTGGGGAGGGTAGGTGACGCAATCACAGTCAAGTAGGCGCTCAGAGGCTGAGTCAGGACCTGGCTTGCTCTCAGGCCCTGCCCCCACCCCAGCTACTTCCTCCTAAATATCTCTAATCGCTCAGTTTCTTGGACCTTTAGTTTTAGCACTGGGACTGCCCTGATTAATTCCTTTAGCAATGATCACACCCATAAGTACGCCATTTCCACCCTCCCCACCCTAGGGCTCTCTGGGGAAGATGACCTAGTCCAGGGCCACCCAACATCTCAGAGCAGTCCCAGGTAATTCTCAGGATGGTAGACAGGGCTTCTGAGCTCAGCACAGGGATGCTTGATGTTGTTCACACCTGTGAAGAAAGGCAGAAATACACATGCCAAAGACGTGGAGAGACTGGATCCCTCATGCATTGTGGGAGGGATTGCTAAATGTTGCAGCCGCTTTGAAAAACTCCTAGGAAAACCAGAGACCCTTGTTCACTTGTTTATCTGCTGACCTTCCCTCCACTATTGTCCTATGACCCTGCCAAATCCCCCTCTGCGAGAAACACCCAAGAATGATCAATAAATACTAAAAAAAAAAAAAGAAAAACAGTTTGGTGGTTCCTCAAAAGGTTAAACATAGAGTTACCATACGCCCCAGCAATTCCACTTTTAGTGTAAATCAAAAACTGACTGATGGCAGGCCTTCGTGGCTCACGCCTGTAATCCCAGCGCTTCGGGAGGCTGAGGCAGGCGGATCACTTGAGGCCGGCGGATCACTTGAGGCCAGGAGTTTGAGACCAGCCTGGGCAACATGGCGAAACCCCGTCTCTACTAAAAATACAAAATTAGCCGGGTGTGGTGGCTCACACCTGTAATTCCAGCTACTTGTGAGGCTGAGGCAACAGAATTCCTTGAGCCCGGGAGGCAGAGGCTGCAGTGAGCCACGATGGTGTTACTGCACTACAGCCTGCGACAGAATGAGACTCTGTCTCAAAAACAACAACAACAAACGACTGAGACAGGTTTCAACGAATTTAGAGGTTTATTTAGCCAAGGTTGAGGACATGTCTGGGGGAAAAAAAAACACAAGTCACAGTAGAATCTGTGTCCTGTGCTTTTTCCAAAGAGGGTTTGGGAACTTCAGTATTTAAAGGGGAAAGAACAGCCGGGTGTGGTGGCTCAGGCCTGTAATCCCAGCACTTTGGGAGGCCAAGGCAGGAGGATCGCTTGAGCCCAGGAGTCCAAGACCAGCCAGGGCAACTTGGCAAAACCTCCTCTCTACTAAAAATACAAAAATTGGCTGGGCATGGTGGCTCACGCCTGTAATCCCAGCACTTTGGGAGGCCGAGGAGGGTGGATCATGAGATCAGGGGTTCAAGATCAGCCTGGCCAAGATGGTGAAACCCTGTCTCTACTAAAAATACAAAAATTAGCTGGGCGTGGTGCAGACACCTGTAATCCCAGCTACTTGGGAGGCTGAGGCAGGAGAGTTGCTTGAACCTGGGGGAGGAGGTTGCAGTGAGCCAAGATGGCGCCACTGCACTCTAGCCTGGGTGACAGAGTGAGATTCTGTCTCCAAAAAAAAAAAAAAAAAAATTAGCCGGGCGTGGTGATGCATGCCTGTGGTCCCAGCTGCTCAGGAGGCTGAGGTGGGAGGATCACCTGAGCACAGGTGGTAGAGGTTGCAGTGAGCCAAGATCATGCCACTGCATTCCAGCCTGGGCATCAGAATGAGAGCCTGTCTCAAAAAAATAAATAAATAAATAAATAAAAATAAAAATAAATGAAAAATAAAGGGGAAAGGGCCAGGCGTGGTGGGTGGCTCACTCTTGTAATCCCAGCACTTTGGGAGGCCTAGGCTGGCAGATCACTTGAGGTCAGGAGTTCAAGACCAGCCTGGCCAACATGGTGATACCCCATCTCTACTAAAAATACAAAAATTAGACGGTCATGGTGGTACACGCCTGTAATTCTAGCTACTCAGGAGGCTGAGGTGCGAGAGTTGTTTGAACCTGGGAGGCAGCAGTTGCAGTGAGCCAAGATTGCACTACTGCACTCCAGCCAGGGCGACAGAGGAAGACTCCATCTCAAAAAATAATAATAACAATAAATAAATAAAAAATAAATAAAGGGGAAAGGGCAAGCAGGAGGGGAAGAAAAAAAAACAAGGTGGGTAGGCAATGAGGCACCTGGTTACATTCTTATGAGACTGTGAATCTACATTTTACATGTGAAAAGAAAGGGGAAGGGGAGGGAGTCAACTATGCATTCCTCCCCTGCTCAGTAAATCTACATTTTACATAAGGTAAAGTAAGCAAGTGAAATTACAGCTATCTGTTTGAGAATGAAAGGAAAGCAGTTTTTGCATGACTCAGTTCCCAAGCTTAACTTTCCCTTTGGCATAGTGAGTTGGAGTTCCATTTTTCTTTCACGCTAGGTATCTACCCAAGAGAAATGAGACGTATGTACGCATAAAACTCCTACACGAGTGTTCACAGCAGCATTATTCATAATAGCCCCAAATTGGAAACAACCCAATTGTCTACTGAGAAAAGAAAAATAGCTCAGAGCAGGCCCAGAGAGACATGAATAGGGACTTCAGTCATCATCTCCCCAGCCCCCACCGCATGCCTGGGGACAATTGTTTAAAGTCACTTTGTTCCTGACTAGCTGGCTCACCTATTATCTTCATGTACCTGGGATTTGTGATATAAAGACAAATTTTTACTTTAAAAATCCACTTGTAGGCCTGGCACGGTGGCTCACGCATGTAATCCCAGCAGTTTGGGAAGCCTAGGCAGGTGGATCACTTGAGGCCAGGACTTCCAGACTAACCTGGCCAAACATGGCAAAACCCCGTCTCTACTCAAAATACAAAAGTTAAAAACAAACAAACAAACAAAAGTTAGCTGGGCATGGTGGCGTGTGCCTGTAATCGCAGCTACTCAGGAGGCTGAGTCAGGAGAATCTCTTGAACCTGGGAGGGAGGTGGAGGTTGCAGTGAGCTGAGATCACGCCACTGCACTCCAGCCTGGGCAACAGAGCAAAACTTGGTCTCCAAAAAAAAAAAAAAAATCCACTTGTAACTGCTGCTAGGCAGAATGTTATGTTCAGGGCAACCTGAATCTGTGCTCTCAGATAACAATTTTAAAGCTTGGCCCAAATAAACTCTCTACGTATATTCATTTTGCCCCAGCTTCTTCCTTTTAGGTTGACACCATCAAGTGACAAATGGATAAACAAAATGTGGTATATCCAAACAGTAGAATATGATTCATCAGTGAAAAGGAATGAAGTATTGATACATGCCATAACACTGGCGAAACTTGAAGACCTGTTAGTTAAGTTTATGGATACAAAGGTCACATATTATATATTGTATGATTCCATTTATATAAAATGTCCAGAATAGGCCGGGCACAGTGGCTCACACCTATAATCCCAGCTACTTGGGAGGCTGAGGCAGGAGAATCACTTGAACCCGGGAGGTGGAGGTTGCAGTGAGCCGAGACGGTGCCATTGCACTCCAGCCTGGGAGACAGAGCTAGACTCCGTCTCAAAAAACTAAAAAGATAAATAAAAAATAAAAAACAAAAATCCAGGAGCATTGCGGCAGGGGATATGGAGCCAAAGGCCATTGCGACGACATGAAGAAAGTAGAGTTTGAGAAGGAATAGCCTGGCATTTATGGAAAAATGTCTCAGAAGCAATGACTAGCAATAAAAGGCTGATTGAGAAACTGGGGCAGGAATCCAGAAATGAAATGATGAGGGTCTAGGCCAAAGCCTTGACAGGGAACTGGAGAGAGAAGATCCAATTTACAGTCTAAAGAGGAAACTGGCACCAGATTACATGGTCACATTAGTGAACCAAACTAGGGCCCACTTGCCTGGAGCAGCAAAGCCAAACACTGACATCGGGATAGCAGCGAAAGTGAGACATTTATTGCAGGACACCAAGCCAGGAGAATTGGCCAGCTAATGCTTGAGACTGGAACTCCATGATGACTTACAGGTAAGGGTTTTTAAAGGCAAAGAGGTAGAGGTTACAGGCAAAGTCATAAATCAAGGCAGGACATCCTCAAGTCCCGGGATTGTGGGGGTGGGGGCACAGGTCGTAGGTGGATTCAGAGATTTTCTTTTTTTTTTTTTTTTTTTTTTTTTTGATACAGAGTCTCCGTCTGTTGCCCAGGCTAGAGTGCAGTGGCACGTTCTCGGCTCACTGCAACCTCCGCCTCCCGGGTTCAAGTGATTCTCGTGCCTCAACCTCCCGAGCAGCTGGGATTACAGGTCCGCGCCATCATGCCTGTCTAATTTTTGTATTTTTAGTAGAGACGGAGGTTTCACCATGTTGGCCAGGCTGGTCTCGAACTCCTGACCTCAAGTGATCTGCCCGCCTCGGCCTCCCAAAGTGCTAGGATTATAGGCGTGAGCCACCGGGCCCAGCCAGGATTCAGAGATTTTCTGATTAACGATTAGTTAAGGAGGTGAAGCTTTGTCTAAAACTTTGAGATCAACAGAAAGGAATGTTCACTCTTGCTTGTGGACATGACCTCCTCTGGGCCCCTCAAAAAGAAATTTAGAGCAGAGGTCAGAGTTCAACCTTCAGTTCCCCGTTATCTGAGGTTTACATGCCAGCTGATCCTTGTGATGGGGGCCCGAGGTTCCGAAAAACAACTCAGGGACATATATCAAGATGTTATCTTCAATTTCTTTTTTCTTTTTCTTTTCTTTTCCTTTATTTTATTTTATTTTTTATTTTATTTTTTGTGACTAGATCTTGCTCTATTACCCAGGCTGGAGTGCAGTGGCGCAATTTCGGGTCACTGCTATCTCCACCTCCGGGGCTCAAGCCATCCTCCCACCTCAGCCTCCTGAGTAGCTGGCACTACAGGCATGGGCTATGTGATCTTTCTGTGCTTTAATCTTCCCAGTTGTAAAAATTAAAGAACAGTAGTGACTACCTCCTAGGTTGTCCTGACAGTAACCGAGAAAATCCATGTGGAACAGCAGAAACACTAAGAAGAATGCAAATGTGCTTTCCTCTCTTGTATTTCCATACAGACGACCTTTTCCCTGGGCAGCCTGTAGCCATCTGCTTGGGAGCAGGGAAGGTTTTTCCAAAGTTCTTGAGCAAATTAAATATAAATCCTAAAGATCTCAGATCACAATGTCTCTTCCATGAGAGAAAGAAGATACCCCTATGCCAACCTCAGTCAAGCCGTGAGACTTGTTGCCTTTTAGTAGGAGGATATGACCTGCAGAAACTGAAAGCCCAAAAGTCGTCCCTTCCGGTTCCCAGGACTTGTAGGCAGAAACATGGAGGCAGGACCAGGAGAGGTGTGGCAGTGGGTCCCAAGGTCACTCTTCTGGGCATATGGCCAGAGAAAGGGTAGAAAGTTGGGTAAATTGAAAGAGAAACCAGAAGCCAAGGTCTCTGGCTAGATTCAAATCTGGGACCCTGAGAGGAGATTGTGTCCCACACTGCCACCCCCCCCCACCCCCCAACCTGGGGGCCACATGGAACATCTTGGAGGTGCAGGACAGAGAGAGGAGGGCGGGGGTGCTGCTGTCCAGAGTTGCCCTGTGGTACTGCGTGGCCTGGACAGAAAGTTCTGTTCTGGCTGGATTTCAGCAAAGAGGGAGTCAGGCTACAGGTAGATATTGAGGCAAAAACGTCTACTGAGCCCCTAGAAAGCTCTGCCCTGGGAAATAGAGAGAGAGTGGTGCAAGGTTGAATTACAGTTGGAGCTCTCAAGGAATGATCTTTGAAGCCAAGCTTGGTGAGTTCACTGATGAGCAGGGTGGGGAGGGTGTAATTAGGGAAGAATCG
The DNA here is from genome assembly GCF_000001405.40 of Homo sapiens. Classification (NCBI taxonomy): domain Eukaryota; kingdom Metazoa; phylum Chordata; class Mammalia; order Primates; family Hominidae; genus Homo; species Homo sapiens. Next base: position 41,389,996 of record NC_000023.11, read on the forward strand.
GATAGAAGCCTGGGAGCATCCGCAGCCGAGGAGAGGATGAAAGACAAGGAGGTGCTGCAGAGACCTGAAGTGCAGCAGGAAAACTGGGGAAGTGTCAGAGGCATGTGAACCAGAGCAACTCCATCTTGAATAGGAGCTGGGTAAAATGAAGCTGAGACCTACTGGGCTGCATTCCCAGAAGGTAAGGCATTCTAAGTCACAGGATGAGATAGAAGATCAGCACAAGATACAGATCATGGCCCGGCACGGTGGCTCACACCTGTAATCCCAGCACTTTGGGAGGTCGAGGCGGGCAGATCACAAGGTCAGGAGATCGAGACCATCCTGGCCAACATGGTGAAACCCTGTCTCTACTAAAATACAAAAAAATTAGCTGGGCATGGTGGTGCAGGCCTGCAGCCCAAGCTACTCGGGGGGCTGGGGAAGGAGAAGCGCTTGAACCTGGGAGGCAGAGATTGCAGTGAGCCAAGGTCACGCCACTGCACTCCAGCCTGGCAACAGAACGAGACTCCATCTCAAAAAAAAAAAAAAAGAAAAAAGAAAAGAAAAGATACAGGTCACAAAGACCCTGCTGATAAAACAGGTTGCAACAGGTTGCAGCAAAGAAGCCAACTAAAACCCACCAAAACCAAGATGGCGATGAGAGAGACCTCTGGTCCTCCTCACTGCTATACTCCCACCAGCACCATGACAATTTACAAATGCCATGGCAACATCAGGAAGTTACCCTATATGATCTACAAAGGGGAGACATGAATAATACACCTCGTTTAGCATATCATCAAGAAATAACCATATAAATGGGCAACCAGCAGCCCTCAGGGCTGCTCTGTCTGTGGAGTAGCCATTCTTTTATTCTTTTACTTTCCTAATAAACTTGCTTTCACTTTAGTCTATGGACTCGCCCTGAATTCTTTTTTTTTTTTTTTTTGAGACAGGGTCTCGCTCCGTTGCCCAGGCTGGAGTGCAGTGGCGCGATCTTGGCTCACTGAAACCTCCGTCTTCTGGGTTCAAGTGATTCTCCTGCCTCAGCCTCCCGAGTAGCTGGGATTACAGCCGCACCACCACACCCGGCTAATTTTTGTATTTTTAGTAGAGACAGGGTTTCACCATGTTGGTCAGGCTGGTCTCAAACTCCTGACCTCGTGATCCGCCCACCTCGGCCTCTCAAAGTGCTGGGATTACAGGCATGAGCCACCATGCCTGGCGCCCTGAATTCTTTCTTGCACAAGATCCAAAAACCCTCTCTTGGGGTCTGGATCGGGACCCCTGTCCTGTAACAAAAGTACTGTTCCAAAGCAGCTCCGGGGGGCAAGAGCTTCAAGGATGTTCCCTAAGCACGAGGCTAATCCACGTGGAAAGGGCTGTGTTCCTCCTATGCTGCTGAGCACCTTGCTCTCCTTACATTTCTGCGTGGGTAAGCAGAATCCCCCAGCACTTAAACATACTCTTTTCTGCAGGCCCTGGAGCAGTCCTGTTGGATCCCAGGCTGACAGGCAAGCAGGTCCCCATTCTGGGAGCCACCCAGGGCCTTACTGGCAGGGTCCCTGCTAAAGCCACACCTGCTGTAGGTAGAGCAGGTGAGCTGGGGGCTTCAGTAGCCCAGGGGAGCTCTCCCTGGTAGCAGGGAGCTCAGGTCCTGACTCCAGGCCAGAGGGCATGGGAGCAACTCAGTCTCCTTCCACTTCCATGGCAACCTGGGTGGAGTGGCCCGATCCAGGTGCCAGCGTGGCAGAGGCCGTGGGAGTGCTCAGACGGGCACACCCACCGGCCCAAAGGCAGTGGGCAAGTCACTTGCATGGCCAGGCCTGCCCTGTCCAGATTTATGAACTGGGCCAGGAGGGTGTGTTGGGCAATTAGGCGAGGATAGCCGTCGCTGTGCACACAACACCTGATTTCCACACGACTTGTTTCTACTTGTTCTTCCTGTCTGGGGTAATCTTAGTTTTGCCCTGTTTGTTACTTTCAATAGCATTTAGGCTTAAAAAGGAAACTCAAAAGAAACAGCTCCTCTATTTGGACACACAAGGAAGTTTGGGGATGGATTGAGCTAGCCCCTTGTTGAGAAGAGGATGCTGGGGAAGTCACTTCCTATGGCTCTCGGTGCTACATTCATCCTTGTGACCCGAGGTGGATATGGAACCGTCTCATTTACCAAGTTGTTTCGAGACTTTTATGATTTGAAACTCCCGTGTTTTCTGTCAATTTCTGTGTGTGAAAGTTCCCCACAAATTGTTAAAGTTGACAACTCATTCTGGCATCCAAGCCGCCGTAATTGGATCCTAGTACCGACAAAATCTACCTGCTCTGTCAGTACTCAGTAACAGAAACTCCAAGTTTGTTCATTCATTCATTCATTTATTCATCCATCCATTCATTCATTCAGTAAATTGCTTCTGAGCAGTCAGTGTGTACCACTGTATTGCTTGAAATGGGATACAGAGATGAAAATATAGTCTAGGCCTTGCGCAGTGGTTCACGCCTGTAATCCCAACACTTGGGCAGGCCAAGGTGGGCGGATCACCTGGGTCAGGAGTTCGAGATCAGCCTGGCTAACATGGTGAAACCTCGTTTCTACTAAAAATACAAAAAATTAGCCAGGTGCGCCTGTAATCCCTGCTACTCGGGAGGCTGAGGCAGGAGAGTCACTTGAACCCGGGAGGCGGAGGTTGCAGTGAGCCGAGATAGTGCCACTGCACTCCAGCTGGGGCAACAGAGCAAGACTGTCTCAAAAAAAAAAAAAAAAAAGAATTTCCTTCCTACAAAATTTATCTCCTACAAAAAATAAGATAAAATAAAAATTAGCCAGGCATGGTGGCACACACCTGTACTCCCAGCTACTTGAGAGGCTGAGGCTGGAGGATCACTTGAGCCCAGGAGTTCAAGGCTATAATGAGCTATGATTGCACCATTGCACTCCAGCCTGGGTGATGGTGACAGAGCAAGACCCTGTCTATTAAAAAAAAAAAAAAAAAAAAAAAAAAAACAGTCCCATTGGAGGACAGGGAAGCTGGGACTTTTCTTCATCAACTCCCATCTCTGATTGCTAACTCCCTCCCCACCTACAATTCAAGGTTACCCCTCCAGTGGCTCTCAAGAGAAGCTGAGAGAGGCAGGTGCTTGAGGTAGGATATGAGGTGGTCACCTGCCTGCCACAGCTACAGGTAAGCTCAGGTGGGCCCAGGGACTATGGGGCCACCAGAGGATTCTCCTGCCTCAGCCTCCCGAGTAGCTGGGATTACAGATGTGTGCCACCACGCCCGACTAAGTTTTGTATTTTTAGTGGAGACAGGGTTTTACCATTGTTGGCCAGGCTAGTCTCGAACTCCTGACCTTAAGTGATCCTTCCAGTTCAGCCTTCCAACGTGCTGGGATTACAGGTGTGCGCCACCGCGCCTGGCCTGGAAGGAAATTCTGACACATGCTACAACATGGATGAACCCTGAAGATGTTTTACTAAGTGAAAGAAGCCAGACACAAAAGGGCACACATTGTATGAGTCCACTTATCTGAGGTTCCTGGAAGAATCACACACATTGAGACAACAGAAAGTAGAATGGTGGTTGACAGGAGCTAGAGGGGAAGGAAAAATGAGGAATTAGAGTCCAGAGCATCTAGGACTACAGGTGCTCGCCACTATGCATGGATAATTTTTTTTTTTTTGAGATGGAGTCTCACTCTGTTGCTCAGGCTGGAGTGCAGTGGCACCATCTTGGCTCACTGCAACCTCCGCCTCCCGGGTTCAAGAGATTCTCTTGCTTCAGCCTCCCGAGTAGCTGGGATTACAGGTGTGTGCCACCATGCCCGGCTAATTTTTTGTATTTTTAGTAGAGACGGAGTTTCACCACGTTGGCCAGGATGGTCTCCAACTCCTGACCTCAGGTGATCTGCCCGCCTCAGCCTCCCAAAGTGCTGGGATTACAGGCGTGAGCCACTGCACCCAGCCAATTTTGTATTTTTAGTAGAGATGGGGTTTCTCCATCTTAGTCAGGCTGTTCTCGAACTCCCGGCCTCAGGAGATCCGACCGCCTTGGCCTCCCAAAGTGCTGGGATTACAGGTGTGAGCTACCACGCCAGGGATAATTTTGAAGTGTGCTCCACTCAGTCTCCCCAGCTATCCCCAGCAGGGGATTGTGAACCAGTTGCCCACAGGGGTAACCAGCTCATAAACACACCATTGGTTTTCTCCCTGCCCTGTCTCACCTCCCCTGCTCTCTCACATCTGACACCTGGGGTCATGTCCCAAATAAACCACCTGCACCCAAGTCCTTGTGTCAGCGTTTGCTTTTGGGGGAATGCAAACTAAGACAATCGAGATGTGAATGGGGGCTCTGGGAGCACAGGGGAATGGCCTCCAACCCAGACCGGCTGGATCATGTTTTACCAAACAAAAAACCTTTTACCAAACAGAAAGCCTTGAACCAAGTCAGATATGAAGCCTGAGTTGGTCAGGCACAGAAGAAGGAGGAGGGATTAGGTTCCAGGGGGAGGGACCTACAAAGGGGAAGGGCACGCCGGTGTGAGAAATGCTGTAGAACGGCACAGTTCCGAAGGGCTGGACTGCAGGGTATTAATATAATCCCAACCATTGTCAGGGTGGGCAGGGCCAGATCTTTCGTGCAGCTAGGTCTGGAGTCCATGCCATATTCTGTTTTTTTTAAGTTTATATATATACATATATTTTTGAGATGGAACGTCACTCTGTCACCCAGGCTGGAGTGCAGTGGCACAATCCTGGCTCACTACAACCTCTGCCTCTCTGGTTCAAGTGATCCTTTCACCTCAGCTTCCTGAGTAGCTGGGACTACAGATACGTGCTACCATACCTGGTCAATTTTTGTATTCTTAGTAGAGATGAGAGGGTTGCCATGTTGGCCAGGCTTGTCTCCAACTCCTGGCCTCAAGTGATCCACCCACCTCGGCCTCCCAAAGTGGTGGGATTACAGGCATGAGCCACTGCGCCCAGCCCCAGATTCCATTCTTTTTTTTTTTTTTTTTTGAGACGGAGTCTTGCTCTGTTGCCTAGGCTGCAATGCAGTGGTGTGATCTCGGCTCACTGCAGCCTCTGCCTCCCTGGGCCCAAGTAATCCTCCCACCTCATCCTCAAGTAGCTGGGACTATAGGTGTGTGCCACCATGCCTGGCTAATTTTTGTATTTTTTGCAGAGACGGGTTTTTGCCATGTTGTGCAGGCTGGAAATGCCAACTTATATTTATTTATTTATTTCTGATACGGAGTCTCACTCTGTCACCCAGGCTGGAGTGCAGTGGCGTGATCTCGGCTCACTGCAACCTCCGCCTCCTGGGTTCAAGCGATTCTCCTGCCTCAGCCTCCCGAGTAGCTGGGATTACAGGCGTGTGCCACCATGACCGGCTAATGTCTGTATTTTTAGTAGAGACCGGGTTTCACCGCGTTGGCCAGGCTTGTCACGAACTCCTGGCCTCAAGTGATCTGCCCACCTTAGCCTCCCAAAGCGCTAGGATTACAGGCGTGAGCCACCATGCCTGGCCTGGAAATGCCAACTTTTAAACGAAAGTTTAGAAATCTTTCAACAAACATTAAAACAACAACAACAACAACAACAAAACACATTTCCACCCTAACTTGCAGCAGTAAATATCGATGGGGCACCTAGTGTGTGCCAGGTGGGTGTACAGGCAGCACCAGAACCCGGCAGGGAGTCGTTCTCACAGGGGGTGTCTCTGTGCCTGTCTGCAAGTGGACATTTGCCTGGAAATGAGCCATAGTGTTGATACCAAGTAGAAGAGAAAGATTCAGCTGAACAGAGGGGAAATGGCAGTAAATCTTGCTCTACCCTTTTCCATCTTGCTCCCTTCCTCTCTCCTCCTTTCTCTCTCCCTCCCTTCTTTCCCGCTCTTTCCTTCCATCCTTCCTTTGTTACTATTATTTTCTGAGACAGGGTATTGCTCTGTTGACCAGGCTGGAGTGCAGTAGCATGATCTCGGCTCACTGCATCCTTTGCTTCCTGGGTTCAAGCCATCTTCCTACCTCAGCCTCCTGAGTAGCTGGGACTACAGGCATACACCACCACACCTGGTCAATTATTTTATTTTTTGTAGAGACAGGGTCTTGCTATGTTGCCCAGGCTGGTCTTGAACTCCTGAACTCAAATGATCCTCTCACCTTGGCCTCCTGAAGTGCTGGGATGACAGGTGTGAGCCACCATGCCTGGCCTCCTTCCTTCCTTTAAAGAAACTACATTCTCAGCCAGGCCCAGTGGCTCACGCCTCTAATCACAGCTCTTTGCGAGGATGAGGTGGGCAGATCACCCGAGGTCAGGAGTTTGAGACCACCCTGGTCAACATGGCGAAACCCCATCTCTACTAAAAATACAAAAATTAGCCTGACGTGGTGGTGTGCTCCTGTAATCCCAGTTACTTGGGAGGCTGAGGCAGGCACACTTGAACCCGGGAGGCGGAGGTTGCAGTGAGCTGAGATGGTGTCACTGCACTCCAGCCTGGGCAACAGAGCGAGACTCCGTCTCAAAAGAAAAAAAAAAAAAAAAAGAAACTACATTCTCTTCAAGAACCCACAGGGGCAGAACTACTCTTGTTTTTTGTGTGTGTATTGTTCTGAACAGGTAATACATACATCTTCTCTGTTCTCAGATGAGAACAGATAACCTGGAAACAGTACCTCTCCTTCCTGGGTCCCTCCCCAAAGGCAGCTGTCAGGACCAGTTTTTTGTTTATCTTCCAGACACCTCCTGTGCATTCACCAACATATCTAATGACGTTTTACTTTTTTGCCCCATCTAAATAGCATTCTATACACTATCCTAAACCTTACAGTTTTACCTGTAAGTAATTCCTGGAGAACTTTCTGTTTCGATATCTCTGGAGTGGCCTCATTATGAGGGCCGCACCATCATGTATTTGGCTATCCTACTATTGATAGCTATTTATTTATTTATTTATTATTTTTGAGACGGAGTCTTGCTCTGTCACCCAGGACTGGAGTGCAGTGGCGCGATCTCTGCTCACTGCAACCTCCATCTCCCGGGTTCAAGCGATTCTCCTGCCTTAGCCTCCTGAGTAGCTGGGACTACAGGCACATGCCACCACACTGGGCTAAGTTTTGTATTTGTAGTAGAGACGGGGTTTCACCATGTTGGCCAGGCAGGTCTTGAACTCCTGACCTCAAGTGATCCACCTGCCTTGGCTTCCCAAAGTGCTGGGATTACAGGCATGAGTCCCTGCGCCCGGCGAGCAACTTGAATTTTCATAGATATTGCCAATTTGCCCTCCATGGAGGTCATATCTATTTACATGCCAAAAAATTCATGTAATCATTTAAATGCAATAAATGAATGCGCAGGTTTCTCCACACCCTTTTAAACACAGCAAATTAGATTTCTATTGCTACATAACAACCACAAACTCAGTGGCTTAAAACAACACACCCATTTATAAGCTCCCAGTTTGGGAGGTCAGAAGTCTGGCATGGCATGACTGGGTCCTTTGCTTAGAGTATCATAAGGTTAAAATCAAGGTGTTACCAGGCTGAGGTCTTGTTTGGAGGCTTCCAAGCTTGTTTTTGGTTTGTTTGTTTTTGTGGGGGTTTTTCTGTTTGTTTGTTTTGTTTTGTTTTGTTTTGTTTTGTTTTTTTGAGACAAGGTCTGGCTCTATTACCCAGGCTAGAGTGCAGTGGTGCAATCTTGGCTTACTGCAACCTTCGCCTCCAGGGTTCAAGCCATCCTCCCACCTTGGTCTCCCAAGTAGCTGGGATCACAGGCACGCACCATCATGCTTGGCTACTTTTTGTATTTTTTGTAGAGATGGGGTTGCCCAGGCTGGTCTCAAACTCCTGACCTCAAGTGATCTGCCTGCCTTGGCCTCTCAAAGTGCTGGGATTACAGGTGTGAGCCACCGCACCTGGCCCTAAACTTGTTTCTGTTGTTAGTGGAATTCAGTTCCTTATGGTTGTAGGACTGAGGTCTGAATCTCCTTGTTGGCTGTTAGCCAGGGGCCTGCTCTCAGCTCCCGGAGATAGCCACATTCCTTGCCATGTGGGCCCCTCCCATCCTTAAGGAAAAAACAGTGCATTGACTCCTTCTTGTGCTTTGGATCTCTGACTTCCCAGTCTCCAACATCTAGGCCCAGATTTAAGGGGCCCATATAATGAAGTCTGGCCCACTTGGATAATCTTAAAGTCACCTGATTGGGGAATTAATCACATCTGCAAGATCCCTTTGCAGCACCACCCAGATTAATGTTTGGGTGAATAACTGGGAAAAGGTGCCTGTACACCAGGCAGTGGGAATTTAGGGGCCTATCTTAGAATTTTGCCTACCACACACAATGTTATCAAACTTTTTGATATTTGCGAATGTGAGAGATGAAAACAGAACTTTTTTTTTTTTTTTTTTTTTGAGACGGAGTTTCCCTCTTGTTGCCCAGGCTGGAGTGCAGTGTTGTGATCTCGACTCACTGAAACCTCCAACTCCTGGGTTTGAGTGAATTCTCCTGCCTCAGCCTCCTAAGTAGCTGAGACTACAGGCGTGTGCCACCACACCCGGCTAATTTTTGTATTTTTAGTAGAGATGGGGTTTCATCCTGTTGGCCAGGCTGGTCTTGAACTCCTGACCTCAGGTGATTCGCCTGCCTCGGCCTCCCAAAATGTTGTGATTACAGACATGAGCCACTGTGCCTGGCTGAAAATGGAACTTATTGAGTATTTCTCTTATTATGTCTGTGAATCGTATTTTATATTTAAGACCTATTTGCACTGTGATTTTTTGGTTAATGATATCTGCGTATATTCTTTGCTACCCACTTTTTTTTTTTTTTTTGAGACAGGGTCTTGCTCTGTCACCCAGGCTGGAGTGCAGTGGTGCTGTCACAGCACACTGCAGCTTCGATCGCCCCCCTCAGCCTCCCGAGTAGCTTGGACTACAAGGGAACGCCACCACACCCAGCTAATTTTTCCATTTTTAATGAGACAAGGTCTCGCTCTGTTGCCCAGGCTGGTCTTGAATTCCTAGGCTCAATCGATCCTCTTACCTCTGCCTCTCAAAATGCCAGGATTACAGGTATGAGCCACCGTGCCTGAATCTGTGCTCCTTCTTCTACTGAGTTTTTGGTCTTTTTCTCCTTTTTATTCCCTTATTAATTAGAAGAGCTCTGGCCAGGTGCAGTGGCTCATGCCTGTAATCCCAGCACTTTGGGAGGCCAAGGCGGGCGGATCACCTGAGGTCAGGAGATCAAGACCAGCCTGGCCAACATGGCGAAACCTTGTCTCCACTAAAAATACAAAACTTAGCTGGGCATGCTGGTGGACACTTGTAATCCCAGCTACTCAGGAGGCTGAGGCAGGAGAATCACTTGAACCTGGGAGGCAGAGGTTGCAGTGAGCCAAGATCGTGCCACTGCACTCCAGTCTGGGCAACAAGAGCGAAGCTCCCTCCCTCTCTCTCTCTCTCTCTCTCTCACACACACACACACACAAATTAGCTGGGTGTGGTGGTGTGTGCTGTATGTAGTCCCAGCTACCTGGGAGGCTGAGGCAGGAGAATTGCTGGAACCCGGGAGGTGGAGGTTGCAGTGAGCCGAGGTCGCACCACTGCACTCTAGCCTGGGTGACAGAGCGAGACTCTGAAAGAAAAAAAAAAAAGAAGAGCTCTTCGTAGGTAAAGATCTTTCCTAGATTAATGACTTTGTTTTTCTTAATTATTTTACCTGGCACTCCTTCTTGCTGTCTCCAGAAACACCATTCATTCCTTAGGGCCCAGGTCAAACCCACATTGCCTGCAAGGCTGTGCCTGGCAACGCTAATGTTCACTATTTTATTTATTTATTTTTTGCGATGGAGTCTCACTCTGTCACCCAGGCTGGAATGCAGTGGCATGATCTCGACTCACTGCAATTTCTGCCTGCTGGGTTGATTCTCCTGCCTCAGCCTCCTGAGTAGCTGGGATTACAGGTGCATGCCACCATGCCTGGCTAATTTTTGTATATTTAGTAGAGATGGGGTTTTACCATGTTGGCCAGGCTGATCTCAAACTCCCAACCTCAAGTGACCCGCCTGCCTTGGCCTCCCAAAGTGCTGGGATTACAGGCGTGAGCCACCGCGCCTGGCCGGGTTAATTCCTTTTAAAAGCCTTTGCAGGGCGGGCATGTGGCTCACGTCTGTAATCCCAGCATTTTGGGAGGCTGAGACGAGCAGATCACCTGAGGTCAGGAGTTCGAGACCAGCCTGGCCAACATAGTGAAACCCTGCCTCTACTAAAAATACAAAAATTAGCCAGGCATGGTGGCACGCACCAGAGCTACTCAGGAGGCTGAGACAGGAGAATCACTTGAACCTGGGAGGCAGAGGTTGCAGTGAGCCGAGATGGCACCACCGCACTCCAGCCTGGGCGACAGAGCAAGACTCCATCTCAAAAAAAAAGAGCCTTTGCCAACCATCTTAGTGGGGTTTGGGTAAGAAGAGGAGAATATGTGTGGTTGCCACTTTAAACCAGAACTCCTCACTTTCAACTATCTATCATTGATAGCCCAACCTCAAAGAAGACTGTCTAAACTATTGGTTAACCTCAGATCTGCTGATCTGACCCCTCCTCATGGGAAATCCCTCATGCTTCCACATGATATATATCCTGTAAGTATTCAGCATCATCTATAATGACAGTGGTTCTGCTTTCCAAATGGGAAATCTGGTCACGAAATCTGACAAGCATTTTTGTATTTAATTTGTGACTTTAGCAAGTTGGCTTGATGTTCAAACCCTCACTCCATCATTTGGTTTTAAATATATATATTTTAAATATTATATATATATATGTATATATATCTGTCTCTCGTAGCAGCTGTGAAAGCAGATTACTTCCTAGTCTGAGTCTTGAGTTTCTTTATCTGTAAAATCAATCAGGATGATAATGCTTGTCTCCTAGCGTTGTCAGGATTGAATGAAATAAAGCACTTAGTTCATTATCAGTGTTCGACCTGTGTTAGTCTCGTCGGTCCTGTGTTTATATGAAAAGTCTTGGCAGAGCGCGGTGGCTCACGCCTGTAATCCCAGCAGTTTGGGAGGCTGAGGTGAGTGGATCACCTGAGGTCGGGAGTTCGAGACCAGCCTGACCAACATGGGAGAAACCCCGTTTCTACTAAAAATACAAAATTAGCCAGGCGTGGTGGCACATGCCCAGCTACTTGGGAGGCTGAGGCAGGGAAATCGCTTGAACCTGGGAGGTAGAGGTTGCGGTGGGCCTAGATCGCGCCATTGCACTGTAGCCTGGGCAACAAGAGTGAAACTCCATCTCAAAAAAAGAAAAGAAAAGTCTTATGAATAAAATCGAATTTAGTTATATATTTAATATATGACCTACAGTGAAATGAAAAATTAAATGCATATGAAATAATTAAAATGCATATGAAATTCAGCAATAAAACACATGCTAAATAGTACATTATTCATGTTGTCATTTTTGCCATTTACCATTATGAATTGAAGAGAAAATTATGTGGATCTCTCTCTCTACATCTTTGAAGAGCTCAGCTCTCTCAACAATTATTTGTTCTTTACAATTTCAAAAATATCTTGGCCTGTCTCTGAGTAATTAATTTGAATTCTTAGGAGAGGTTTTCAATGGTTAATTACTATTCTTATCCCTCAAACTGGATAATCAACAAAAACAATCTCACTTCCCTGAAAGTGAGGAGGCCAATATCCTTGTGCTCTCATGATGAATGTCTTTACGTATGTTCAACCATTCCTGACTTGGAGATGATGCTGTGTGTTCCTTTTTTATTTTATTTTATTAATTAATTAAATTAATTAATTTATTTTTTGAGATGGAGTCTCCCTCTGTTGCCCAGGCTGGAGTGCAGTGGCATGATCTCAGCTCACTGCAACTTCCACCTCCCAGGTTCAAGCTATTCTCCTGCCTCAGCATCCCGAGTAGCTGGGACTACAGGTGTGTGACACCACGCCCAGCTAATTTTTTTTTTTTTTTTTTTTTTTTGAGATGGAGTCTCGCTCTGTCGCCCAGGCTGGAGTGCAGTGGCACGATCTTGGCTCACTGCAAGCTCTGCCTCCTAGGTTCACGCCATTTTCCTGCCTCAGCCTCCCGAGTAGCTGGGACTACAGGTGCGCGGCACCACACCCTGCTAATTTTTTGTATTTTTTTTTTTAGTAGAGACAGGGTTTCACTGTGTTAGCCAGGATGGTCTCGATCTCCTGACCTCGTGATCCGCCCGCCTCGGCCTCCCAAAGTGCTGGGATTACAGGCTTGAGCCACCACGCCCGGCCTCCTGGCTAATTTTTTTGTATTTTTAGTAGAGACGGGGTTTCACTGTGTTAGCCAGGATGGTCTCCATCTCCTGACCTCGTGATCTGCCCGCCTCTGCCTCCTTAAGTGCTGGGATTACAGGCGTGAGCCACAGTGTCCAGCCCTTTTTAATTTTAAGTTCTGGGGTATGTGTGCAGGATGCGCAGGTTTGTTACATAGGTAAACGTGTGCCATGGTGGTTTGCTGTACCTGTCAACCCATCACCTAGGTATTAAGCTCAGCATGCATTAGATATTTTTTCTAATGTGCTCCCTCCCCCTACCCCACTCCCCAAGAGGCCCCAGTGTGTGATTCCCCTCCCTGTGTCCATGTGTTCTCATTGTTCAGTTCCCACTTATAAGTGAGAACATGCAGTGTTTGGTTTTCTGTTCCTGCATTAGTTTGCTGAGGGTAATGGATTCCAGCTCCATCCATGTCTCTGCAAAGGACATGTTCTTGTTCCTTTTTATGGCTGCATAGTATTCCATGGTGTATATGTACCACATTTTTTATCCAGTGTATCATTGATGGGCATTTGGGTTGATTCCATGTCTTCGCTATTGTGAATAGTGCTGCAATGAACATACACATGCATATATTGTTGTAATAGAATGATTTATATTCCTTTGGTTATATAACCAGTAATGGGATTGCTGGGTCAAACGGTATTTCTGGTTCTAGATCTCTGAGGAATCGTCACACCATCTTCCACAATAGTTGAACTAATTTACATTCCCACCAACAATGTAAAAGCATTCCTATTTCTCTGCAGCCTCACCAGCATCTGTTATTTCTTGACTTTTTAGTAATCATCATTCTGACTGGAGTGAGATAGTATCTCATTGTGGTTTTGATTTGCGTTTCTCTAATGATCGGTGATGTTGAGCTTTTTTTACACAGGCTTGTTAGTCACATGAATGTCTTCTTTTGAGAAGTGTCTGTTCATATCATTTGCCCACTTTTTAATGGGGTTGTTTGTTTTAATCTCATAAATTTGTTTAAGTTCCTTGTAGATTCTGGATATTAGACCTTTGTCAGATGGATAGATTGCAAAAGTTTTCTCCCACTCTGTAGGTTGCCTGTTCACTCTGATGATAGTTTCTTTTGCTGTGCTCTTTAGTTTAATTAGATACCACTTGTCAATTTTTGCTTTTGTTGCAATTGCTGTTGGCAATTTTTGTCATGAAATCTTTGCCTGTGCCTGTGCCCTGAATGGTAGTGCCTAGATTTTCTTCTAGGGTTTTTATAGTTTTGGGTTTTACATTTAAGTGTTCTTTTTGACTACTGTTCTCATTGAGGAATAGTAGAAGGGTGACGCCACGCTATGATAAAGAAGGGGAAGGAATATTTATTTATTTATTTATTTATTTATTTATTTATTTTGAGACAGAGTCTCACCCTGTCTCCCAGGCTGGAGTGCAGTGGCGCAATCTTGGCTCACTGCAACTTCTGCCTCCTGGGTTCAAGTGATTCTCATGTCCCAGCCTCCCCAGTAGCTGGGATTACAGGTGTGTGCCACCATGCCCAGCTAATTTTTTGTATTTTTAGTAGAGATGGGGTTGGCCAGGCTGGTCTCAAACTCCTGGTTTCAAGTGATCCACCAGCCTTGGCCTCCCAGAGTGCTGGGATTACAGGCATGAGCCACGGCGCCTGGCTGGGAGAGGGATTTTAAAAGATCCCATGCTTTCCTCAGATCATCCCATTCAGGACCCTTTTTATTTTCCATATTGAAATTAGAATAGTCAATAGATGCTCTCAGAATTTGTCTATACTGTCACTGGCAATTGTCTCTTACAATTTTCTTTCTAGGAGCAACAAAATTCAGACATTTTTTCTTTCTTTTAAACTCTTTTACAACTCTTAATTTTTGCTTCTCCAAAGTCTCTATTCATTTTCTCTTGAGACAGGGGCTCACTCTGTTGCCCAGGCTGGAGTGCAGCGGTGCAGTTAGAGCTCACTACAGCCTCGATCTCCTGGGATCAAATGATCTTCCTGCCTCAGCCTCTCATGTAGCTGGTACCACAGGCAAGTGCCACTGTACTTGGTTAATTTTTTTTTTTTTTTGAGATGGAGTCTTGCTCTGTCGCCCAGGCTGGAGTGCAGTGGCATGATCTCATTTCACTGCAACCTCCACTTCCTGGGCTCAAGAGATTCTCCTGCCTCAGCCTCCAGAGCAGCTTGGATTACAGGCACGTGTCACTATGCCCAGCTAATTTTTGTTATTTTTAGTAGAGACGGGGTTTCACCATGTTGGCCAGGCTAGTCTAAAACTCCTGACCTCAAGTGATTGGCCTGCCTTAGCTTCCCAAAGTGTTGGTATTACAGGCCTGAGCCACCACACCTGGCCTATGCTTGGTTACTTTTTAAAATTTTTTGTAGGGACGGGGTGTGGGGGGCATCTCGCCCTGTTGCCTAGGCTGATCTCGAACTCCTGGGGTCAAGCAATTCTCCCGCCTTGGCATCTTAAAGTGCTGGGATTACAGGCGTGAGCCACTGTGCCCAGCCTAGTATTCATATTTTGAATAGACATGCCAGAGGTCTTAGTGGCATGTCCTTTATGGCTCATAACAGTGAAAATATTAATCTAATCAGTCAGTTAATTTCCACAGTAGAATGTAAAGTCCAAGAGCTTTCATGTTAACTATAATGTTGTCATGAAATGACAGGAGCAACTTTTTATGTTTGAATTTAGATACATCTATATAAGAGAAAGTTTCACCCAACACTATTGGTTAATTCTTTTGCAGTTTTGGAACAAAGTGTTTCCAGAGTTGTTCTACTTTTTGTTGGTGCTGATGAAAAAATGCAAGTTTTAACTATGTGAAAATTGATGCTTAGTACAATCTGAAACCATGGTTGTGTTAGATAATGATGTGAGCCGTTTAAAAGATAACTTTTTCTGATTAGAAAAGTACTCTTCCACTTTAACAGAAGAATTTCATGAAAATCTTCACACACACAATAGAGGCTACAGAACTGGCGGAACTGCTGGTTTTGTTCATGAAGTCTGATTTCCTGCTGTAAAAAAGATTTATCCCACTTTTCCACTGAGTACAGAATGGCATAGGGTCAACTTTGTAAAACTACATGTTCTTCTCATACCTTTTGTGCTCATTTTGACAGTAAAATAAAAATCGCATTTAACTGTTTTCCCCGAACTCTTCAAACAACCTGGAACTGTTGACAAATTTAGCCAGACTGACTCACACACACCCCAATTGGGACAGCCAGTGGAAGCATTCCACCGGTCCCCAAGCCTTCAGTCGGTGGGGAGTCACCCCATGCCTCCCTGCCTCCCACTCAACTTGGCCCCTCTGAGTTCGGGCTCCTGATGCTGGGTTTTCTCTCTCATGTCTGGTCCTGCTGTTCCCCTTTGGTCTCCTCGAATGATCCCAGCTACCTCGGTCCTGGGCTCACCAGGCTCAGCTGGCTTGGCCTTGCCCCCGGCTCACTCTGCTCCAGCTGCGTCTTGCAGGTGCTCTGCACTGGCTTGGCTGTAGACGGAATCCCCAGCACTGGATTGTCTGGCCACTTGTCACTGAGACAGAGGTGCCAGGGACATGCCCTGCATTACAGGGATAGAGAAGAGATGGCTGTCAGGTCCCAGGGCCTGCCCTTGTTGGGGGTGCATACTATCATCCCCCTGCAAGTATGTGCCCAAGCTGAGAACAGGCTTGGGCAGCTCTTAGGGCCTGGACATCCGCTTTTGACCACCGAGCCTCTGTGGGGAGCCATCTGCTGGACTTTCTGATGGACCTGTCCCATCCTAGTGCCACAGTGACATCAAATAAGCCTCACTACCTGTGCTCAACAGACTGCCATCTGCCCTGCTTATCAAAGAGCCTTTCTTCCTCCACAGGCCACTCTCTACCAGATTTCCAATGGAGGCTGCAGTTTTATATAATTATAGCCTTCATTGAGTGTTTTCTGTGTGCCAGGCACTGCACTAAGCATTTTGCACAGATAATCTGCTTATGCCTAATTAAAACCCTGTGAGGTAGGTAGTATGTTCATCTCATTTCACAGATGAGGGAACAGAAGCTTCTAGAGTTTCCATCACTGGACAATAGTCACCACAGTTTTCCAATTCATGCCCCACAGCTAGACTGAATGACTCACCTGGCCCCACACTAAGTCATCATCCCCGAAGAGGCCAGCTGTAAATCTGCCTCCCTGTATCCAGAACATTCCATTCCTTGGACACTAGAACTTCCATCCTTATTCCCCCTGTGCCCTATCATAATGCCAGCTGCCTGTTAATATCTAGCAAGACTTCTCCTTGCCCTACCTAGTAGGACACAGCCCACTTCAGCTTTTTTATTTATTTTTTCTTTTTTTTGAGATGGAGTCTCACTCTGTCACCCCAGGCTGGAGTGTAGTGGCGCGATCTCAGCTCACTGCAACCTCCACCTCCTGGGTTCAAGTGATTCTCCTGCCTCAGCCTCCCGAGTAGCTGGGACTACAGGTGCATGCCACCACACCAGGCTAATTTTTGTATTTTTAGTAGGGGTTTCACTATGTTGGCCAGGCTGGTCTCAAACTCCTGACCTCAGGTGTTCCACCCACCTCGGCCTCCCAAAGTGCTGGGATTACAGGCGTGAGGCCACCACGCTCGGCCTTTAACAGCCCACTTCAGCTTTAAGGGAGGCCTATGGGATACCTTACAATATGGCCAGCAGACATTAGGCCCCAAGGAACAGAGTCAGAGAAAAGAGCCCAAGGCTCTCCCCCCTCTGTCCCCAACTGCTTCAGCTCTCCCAGTTGAGAAACAAGTCTACTTCTTGGCCCATGCAAGGTCACAGGCTTAATCAGTGCATGGAATTACACTGTCATTGATCTCTGTCCCAACAACATCTACCATCCCTGCCTTGGCTGGCTCATCTCCAGCCAGCCCCATTTCCTGATGTCTGAGTTTTCTATTGCTGCTGTAACAAATTATCACACATGGCCGGGCGCGGTGGCTCATGCCTGTAATCCCATCACTTTGGGAGGCCAAGGCGGGTGGATCACTTGAGGTCAGGAGTTCGAGACCAGCCTGGCCAACATGGTGAAACCCCATCTCTACTAAAAATACAAAAAATTAGCTGAGCGTGGCGGTGCGTGCCTGTAATCCCAGCTACTCAGGAGGCTGAGGCAGGAGAATCACTTGAACCTTGGAGGCGGAGGTTGCAGTGAGCCGAGATCCGCCACTGCACTCCAGCCCGGACAACAGTGTGAGACTCTGTCTCAAAAACAAACAAACAAACAAATTACCACACATTTAGTGACTTAAAACAATAGGTCGGGTGCAGTGGCTCATGCCTATGATCCCCACGTTTTGGGAGGCTGAGGTAGGAAGATCACTTGAGGCCAGGAGTTCGAGACCAGCCTGGGTAACATAGAGAGACCCTGTTGTTACAAAAAAAAAAAGAAGACAAGAAAGAAAAACCAAAAAAGATATCCATTTATTATCTTACAGTTTGGGAGGTTAGAAGTCCTAAAATCAAGGTGTAGGCTGTGTTCCTCTTTCTGGAGGCTGTAGGAGAGAATCCATTTTCTTGCCTTTTCCAGTTAGAGACTACCTGCATTCTGCATTCTTTGGTTGTTGGCCCCTCCCTCCATCGTCAAAGCCAGCAGCATAGCACCTTCAAATCTCTATTTCTCTCTTGGGCCTCTGTTTCCACTATGACATCACCTCTGACTCTGGCCCTCTTGCCTCCCTCTCAGAAAGACTGTAATTATGCTGGGCCCAGCCAGGTAATCCAGGATGATCTCCTCATTGCAAGTTCCTTAACTTAATCACGTCTGCCAAGTCCCTTTTGTCACGTAAGGTAATATAGTCACAGGTTCTGGGGATTACCATACCTCCCTACCACTGTAGCCCAACCACCAGAAATACGAAGCAAGAGAACATGGTGAAGGAGGTACTCAGTTATGGCAGAGGCCCTGGCTAGCTCTATCTAATATGGGAAGATGAGATGGACCAGAAAAATCTTGAGGAAACCTGCCTTCCTTCTCAGGAAAAGGCAAAGGTCTTTTCTTTGACAAATTCAGAGCAGCTCTGATTCTGCCTTGCCCTGTCCAGCTGCCTAGAAAAGTTCATCCATGGCTTTTCCCCAGAAACCTTGTGGATGGGGCTGGTGCATATTTACCTCTCCATTGCTGTGGTGGCATCTACATCTTCAGCTCGGTCACTGGCTCCCAGCATGCCCCATTATTTTCTAGAACTCCCTCTTGGTGGCCCTGCCCCGTACTTGGCATGTCCAGTGATAACCTCAGGGCCCAGGGGACCTTGCCCCAAGTCATGGTCTCCTAACTTCATTCCCACCTCTGGCTGGCTTCAGTAAGGTTGTAGAGGAAGAAACCAGACTCTCTCCACAAAAGATGCTGTAGACCCCATCTGGGGTTGGGGCCTGTCTTCCTACGAAAGAACTATCTATGTCAGCAGTAGTACTGCCTCTGGCAAGTTGCTTCAAAAGTGAGCCTGAATCTCGGGAAGCGCCGGTGACTGTCCAGAAGGTTCTTTATTGTAGTCTTTTCCTCCCCTGGCCTGGGTGGGCCTACAACATGGGCTTCCCTAGGCGGCAAAGGGAGCTCCAAATCCACTATTGCCCTTGGCGTAAGGCTAAAGGGCCCTGCCCTGGGCCCCATGCTTTGGAGGCTGCCACACGCCACAAAAGTATGCGGAATACGTGTAGCAGAGATTGCCTGGGCACCTCTGCTATTTTGGGATCCAGTGGTCAGTTTTCCCTATAACCCTGAGCTATGCCCTTCTTGGGATAGCCACTTCTATAACTAACACTGCTCAGACCCCACGGAAATACTTCTGCACAGCAGTTGCCTTATGTTCTTGAAACAAAAGGCAGCTATTCATGGATGCTGTGAAGGTTTGTGGGCTGTGCCTCCGCAGATCTTGGAGATGACCCATAATTCGGAGTGTGGGGGAGGATTTCAGCTGCAGAAGGCTTAGGTGAAAGGAAAGACAAATTAAGTTGTCAAACCCTTCCTTTCAGATAGCATGAATGTGAGAGATTCACACGTAACCAAATACCATTTCCCACTGATGCCGTGTGTCCATATTTTTGCTTCTATTTGTGTTCCAATTTTGTGGTTCTAGAGGTACCACATGGTAGCTAAGCAACACTATAAGACATTAAACATTTCATATTTCTTAGATGTATATATGTGCATGTTATACACACACACACACACACACACACAGACACACACACACACTCCTAATATACGGGGAGCATGATATCAGTTCTTTACAATGGAACCTGAATGGACGTTGAACACTGATAAATGCAAAAATTTATATAGTTATAAAAACATGTAACAAGGTTTAATTACATTTTCAAATAGCTAAATAAAATTTCAGCTTGATTTAGGTCATTTTGACTGTAAATTCTGAGGTATACATTTTAAGTAGTCAGATATTATATGGGGCCTTGCAAATGTGGGGGCTGGGCCAGACCTTGACCTTGTGCTCCAAGCTGTAAGACAGCCCTGGATAATTTCTTTTTCTTTCTCTCTTTCTTTCTTTCTTTCTGGTGTTTTGCTCTTGTTGCCCAGGCTGGAGTGCAGTGGGGCACTCTTGGCTCACTGCAACCTCTGCCTCCCAGGTCCAAGTGATTCTCCTGCCTCAGCCTCCTAAGTAGCTGGGATTGATTACAGGCACTCGCCAACACACCCGGCTAATTTTTTGTATTTTTAGTAGAGAGAGGGTTTCATCATGTTGGCCAGCCTGGTCTCGAACTCCTAACCTCAGGTGATCCATCTGCTGGGATTACAGGCGTGTAATCCTGGGATTACAGGCATGAGCCACCGTGCCCAACCAGACCTGGATAATTCAAATGCTTTCTTTAAAGCTCAAGGCTTGGTCTAGCCATTCTACTTTGAGAATGCCACTGTTTCCTCCTTTCTTCTTTTTTGCCGATATTGCTATTATGAACACAGATTACTTGATTAATTACAATCCTAAAAACTTTCTACTGTTTATAACTCTTCTTGGTTGGGAGACTGATTCATACAAACCCCAATAAATTTTAAGAGAATTGATCCAGTCATTCAATGACTATTTACTGAGTGCCTACAAAGTGCCAGGCACAGTTCTGGGAGCTGGGGTGACAGCAGCAAAGCTTTAATTCTCTGAAATAAAAGATTTATAATTCGATCCGAAAAAAATCCAGAGAGGATGTAGGATGAAGCCAAAGGGAAGATGGTTGGGAATGAGGAGAAGCAGGAATAGAAGGTAGATTCAACTCTGGATTGATTTGGGATTAGTTTATTTTGTCTTATACCTAAGTCTCACTACCTATGAAACAATTTCAGTATGTTGTGCATAAGCTTATGCAACAAACCACATTTTAAATGGATAATTAGTAATATTACAATGAAATGCAATAATTTTTGAAATAGGTTTCTGGGACATAGTGTAACTGCCCAAAGGGTTCACCCTGCCTGCTGCCTAGACAGAGCCGATTTATCAAGACAGGGGAATTGCAATAGAGAAAGAGTAGTTCACGCAGAGCCGGCTATGTGAGAGACCCCAGTTTTATAATTGTTCAAATCAGTCTCCCCAAGCATTCGGGGAGCAGAGTTTTTTTTTTGAGACAGAGTTTAGCTCTTGTTGCCCAGGCTGGAGTGCAATGGCGCCATCTCAGCTCACTGCAACCTCTGCCTCCTGGGTTCAAGTGATTCTCCTGCCTCAGCGTCCCGAGTAGCTGGGATTACAGGCATGCGCCACCACACCTGGCTCATTTTGTATTTTTTGTAGAGACGGGGTTTCTCCATGTTGGTCAGGCTGGTCTCGAACTCCCGACCTCAGGTGATCTGCCCGCCTTGGCCTCCCAAAGTGCTGGGATTACAGGCATGAGCCACTGCGCCCGGCCGGGGAGTAGAGTTTTTAAGGATAACTTGGTGGGTGGGTGGGGAGACAGTGAGCCAGGAGTGCTGATTGGTCAGAGATGAAATCATAGGGAGTCGAAGCTGTCTTCTTGCACTGAGTCAGTTCCTGGGTGGGGGCCACATGATCTGACGAGCCAGTTTATAAACTACAAACTAAGTTTCTCTCAAAGTTAGTTCAGGCTACGCCCAGGAATGAACAAAGACAGCATGGAGGTTAGAAGCAAGATGGAGTCGGTTAAGTTAGTTCTCTTTCACTATCTCAGTCATAATTTTGAAAAGGCGGTTTCAATAGGAATACTTGTGTTTAAAAATACATTTAAGAAAAGCTTCGGGCCAGGTGCGGTGGCTCACGCCTGCAATCCCAGCTCTTTGGGAGGCCGAGGTGGGTGGATCACCTGAGGTCAGGAATTCAAGACCAGCCTGGTCAACATGGTGAAACCCCGTCTCTACTAAAACAAAACAAAACAAAAAAACAAAAAGTAGCCTGGCATGGTAGTGCACGACTGTAACCCCAGCTACTAGGGAGGCTGAGGCAGGAGAATTGCTTTCATCCAGGGGGCAGAGGTTTCAGTGAGCCGAGATCATGCCACTGCACTCCAGCCTGGGTGACAGAGCAAGACTCCACCTCAAAAAAAAAAAAAAAAAAAAAGAAAAAAGAAAAGAAAAAGAAAAAAAAAGAAAAGCTTCAAGAGGTCGGGTGTGGTGGCTCACGCCTATAATCCCAGCACTTTGGGAGGCCGAGGCCGGTGGATCACTTGAGTCCAGGAATTCGAGACCAGCCTGGCCAACATGGTGAAACCCCATCTCTATTAAAAATACAAAAATTAGCCGGGTGTCATGGCACGCACCTGTAATCCCAGCTACTTGGGAGGCTGAGGCACAAGAATCGCTTGAACCTGGGAAGTAGAGGTTACAGTGAGCCGAGATCGCACCACTGCAGTTCAGCCTGGGCGGCAGATCAAGACACCGTCTCAAAACAAAACAAAACAAAACAACTTCAAGAATAATCAAAATCAGCTTCATTCACAGGCTCACAGGGTAGAAGACCAAGAGTCACCTTCCCTAAGTGAGAAGTCCTCTGCAGATTTTGCATTGGTAGGCAATCTCAGCTTCTTGCACAGAGAAGGTTCTAGAATCTCCCTAAGCATGGGGGTGGGGGCAGGAGATGTGATGGGGCACACCCTTATGAAGCGGAGAACTTGCCAGCTGCTGAAATAGAATAGAGTTCAGAGCTGAAAAGGGCAGGGAGGGTGGAGACACCTGGCTACCAGAAGAACAAAGTTCAGTCCAAGCCCAATTGTCCTTTCCTGGCCAGCTGCCAACCTGCTAGCCTAGGCATTCTAAACTTTAACATTTAGTAAAATGGTCTCAAATTGGAGAGAGAGTGTCTCTTCTCCTGGAGGAGTGGAAAATGATGTTGTTCAGTCAGGCCGAGGTTAGCAACGTTAGCAAAGCCCTCTCTGTCCCTACCTGGTGGCAGGAAAGAGACAAGGAAGGTCTCAAAGATGGATGCCTTGCTACCTTCCTGCAGGCTTTGGGTCAGGTTTGGCTAAGCTATCATTAGCTGTTTCCTGGTTGATATTCAGCTGTAGCCGTGGTGGCACTTCCTACACAAGCACTGATTTTTCCTCATGTTTGTAAAACCGGGGCAAAACTTGGTAAACTTACTCTTGCCAAAGTTCTGGATGCTTACTTCCCTTTTGAATTCTTTTTTTTTTTTTTTTTTGAATCTCACTCTGTAGCCCAGGCTGGAGTGCAATGGCGCAATCTCAGCTTACTGCAACCTCTGTCTCCCAGGTTCAAGCAATTCTGCTGCCTCAGCCTCCCAAGTAACTGGGCGCCCGCCACCACACCTGGCTAATTTTTTGTATTTTAATTTTAATTTAATTTTATTTTTTGAGACGGAGTCTCGCTCTTGTTGCTGGAGTGCAATGGCAAGGTCTCGACTCACTACACTCTCCACCTCCTAGGTTCAAGTGATCCTCCTGCCTCAGCCTCCCAAGTAGCTGGCATTACAGGCGCCCACCACCACGCCCAGTTAATTTTTTTGTTTGTTTGTTTGAGATGGAGTTTCGCTCTTGTTGCCTAGGCTGGAGTGCAATGGTGTGATCTCGGCTCACCACAACTTCCGCCTCCTGGGTTCAAGCGATTCTCCTGCCTCAGCCTCCCAAGTAGCTGGGATTACAGGCATGCACCACCACGCCCAGCTAATTTCTGTATTTTTAGTAGAGATGGGGTTTCTCCATGTTGGTCAGGCTGGTCTTGAACTCCCGACCTCAGGTGATCCTCCTGCCTCTGCCTCCCAAAGTGCTGGGATTACAGGCATGTAATTACAGAATGATTTTTCCAGCATGGCCGCTCAGGAATATTTGGTAATATTAAACAATTTATGTTACTCTTGCTTTGGTATATATGTAGGTCTGGACCTAATGTGTGAAAGGTAAGACCAGTTTTTTAATATTGTTTTATTGTTACAAAATACTTAATAAGAATTACATTAAAAATAAATTTAAAATGTGCCAGATGCAGTGACTCATGCCTATAATCCCAGCACTTTGGGAGGCCAAGGTGGGCAGATCACTTGAGGTCAGGAGTTCGAGGCCAGCCTGGCCAACATGGTGAAAAAATACAAAAATACAAAAATTAGCCAGGCCTGGTGGCGCACGCCTGAAATCCTAGCTACTCAGGCGGCTGAGGCAGGAGAATCGCTTGAACCTGGGAGATGGAGGTTGCAGTGAGCTGAATCGGGCCACTGAGCTCCAGCCTGGGCAACAGAGTGAGATTTCATCTCAAAATAAATAAATAAATAATAAATAAATAAATAAGTATAAAATGTCAGCTTTATTTAAATAATTTAGATAAAAATTTGATGTTTTATATTTGCTATTTAATTAGAATTTTTTATTGTAATAAGATACACATAAGATTTACCATCTTAATCATTTTAAGTGTACAGTTTAATGGTTTTAAGTACACTCGTGTGCAACCATCTGCACCATCAATCTCTAGAGCTCTTTTCATCTGGCAACAGTGAAATTCTGTACCCATGAGACCAAGGGTCCGAACCCCTGGGCCACAGACCAGTACCAGTCTGTGGCCTGTTAGGAGCTGGGCAGCATAGGAGGAGGTGAACAGCCGGCGATCGAGCATTACCGCTTAGATTCTCATAGGACTGCAAACCCAACTGTGAACTGCACACAAACCCTACTGTGAACGGCACATGTGAGGGATCTAGGTTGCACGCTCCTTATGAGAATCTAATGCCTGATGATCTGAGGTGGAACAGTCTTATCCCGAAACCATCCCCCCACCCGTCTGTGGGAAATTTGTCTTCCATGAAAACGGTCTCTGGTGCCAAAAATTTGGGGACTGCTGCATTAGACAATAATTCCTCATTTCCCCCTACCCTCAGCCCCTGGAAACCACTGCCATTTACTTTTAATACATAATTTTGAATATTTTCTTTTTTTTTTTTGAGATGGAGTTTTGCTCTGTCACCCAGGCTGGAGTGCAGTGGCACAATCTCGGCTCATTGCAACCTCTGCCTCTTGGGTTTAAGCGATTCTTCTGCCTCTGCCTCCCGAGTAGCTGGGACTACAGGAGCGTGCCACCACACCAAGATAATTTTTGCATTTTTAGTAGAGATGGGGTTTCACCATATTGGCCAGGCTGGTCTGGAACTCCTGTCCTCGTGATCCGCCCACCTTGGCCTCCCAAAGTGCTGGGATTACAGGTGTGAGCCACCGTGCCCACCCTGTTTTGAATATTTTCTTTTTTTTTTTGAGATGGAGTCTCGCTCTTTCGCCCAGGCTGGACTGCAGTGGTGTGATCTCAGCTCACTGCAAGGTCCGCCTCCCAGGTTCACACCATTCTCCTGCCTCAGCCTCCCGAGTAGCTGGGACTACAGGCACCTGCCACCACACCCAGCTAATTTTTTGTATTTTTTGTAGAGACGGGGTTTCACCATGTTAGCCAGGATGGTCTCGATCTCCTGACCTCGTGATCCGCCCGCCTCGGCCTCCCAAAGTGCTGGGATTACAGGCGTGAGCCACCGCGCCCGGCCTTATTTTGAATATTTTCAAAGGGATTTTTTTCTTTTTTTTGAGAAAAGGTCTTGCTCTGTCACCCAGGCTGAGTGCAGTGGCATGATCACAGCTCAGTGCAGCCTCCACCTCTCAGGCACAAGTGGTCCCCCAACCTCAGCCTCCCAAGTAGCTGGGACTACAGGCAGCACCACCATACCAGGCTAATTTTTAAAGTTTCCTCTAGAGATAGGGTCTTGCTATGTTGCCCGGGCTGCTCTCGAACTCCTGGCATCAAGTGATCCTCCCTCCTCAGTCTCCCAAAGTGCTAGAATTACAGGCATGAGTCACCACACTGAGCCAAAAATATTTTTGCAACATA
Organism: Homo sapiens; assembly: GCF_000001405.40. Taxonomy (NCBI): domain Eukaryota; kingdom Metazoa; phylum Chordata; class Mammalia; order Primates; family Hominidae; genus Homo; species Homo sapiens. The sequence continues at coordinate 41,415,578 of NC_000023.11, forward strand.
AATAATTTAAATATTTTGATTTTTCCTACTTGCTTTATTATTATTATTATTTGGGTTTTTTTTTTTTTTTTTTTTTTTTTTTTGAGACAGAGCCTTGCTCTGTTGCCCAGGCTGGAGTGCAGTAGCACGATTTCAGCTCACTGCAACCTCCGCCTCCCGGGTTCAAGCAATTCTCATGCCTTAGCCACCTGAATAGCTGGGACTACAGGCCTGTGCCACCACGTCCAGCTTATTTTTGTATTTTTAGTAGAGATGGGGTTTCGCCATGTTGCCCAGGCTGGTCTCAAACTCCTGATCTCAGGCGACCCACCCACCTCGGCCTCCCAAAGTGCTGGTATTACAGGCATAAGCCACCTCACCCAGCCCCTACGTGCTTTAATTTAAATTTTTGATGTAAATATATTTAAAATGTGTCCAATTTTAATACAATCTAAATTTTATTTTAAAATCCTTTAGATAATTACTATGACCAGATCAGAAATCGTGACATTTTTTATTGTAGTAGCATAATTTGTGATTGTGTAAAATAAAGACAATGAAATAAGCTTTATGGACTACATATGCTAATATATGAATTAGGTATATCTTTATTTTATTACTCATCCAAACTTCTAGAATACACAGACATGCACAAACATAACTGATTCCAGTAGTCTTTGATATTTTACTGACTTTCAGCCAGTCATTGTGAAGGTGTATTTGTCAAGATAGGAGAATAGAACACGTTTTATTTATTTAAAAGTTTGTTAGTTTGGTGTATAATCTTAAAAATCTTTAAGGCGGGGCGTGGTGGCTCATGCCTGCAATCCCAGCACTTTGAGAGGCTGAGGCAGGTAGATCACTTGAGGCCAGGAGTTCGAGACCAGCCAGGCCAATGTGGTGAAACCCCATCTCTATTAAAAATACAAAAATTAGCCGGGCGTGGTGGCAGGCACCTGTAATCCCACCTACTTGGGAGGCTGAGGCAGAAGAATCGCTTGAACCTGGGAGGCAGAGGTTGCAATGAGCCGAGATCGCGCAACTGCATTCCAGCTTGGGCCACAGAGTGAGACTCTGTCTCAAAAAATAAATAAATTTTAAAAAATCTCACGGGGCGCGGTGGCTCACGCCTGTAATCCCAGCACTTTGGGAGCCCAAGCGGGGGCAGATCACTTGAGGTCAGGAGTTTGAGACCAGCCTGGCCAACACGGTGAAACACCGTCTCTACCAAAAATACAAACATTAGCCAGGCGTTGTGGTGGGCGCCTGTAATCCCAGCTACTCAGGAGGCTGAGGCGGGAGAATCACTTGAACCTGGGAGGTGGAGGTGCAGTGAGCCGAGATCGTGCCACTGCACTCTAGCCTGGTCAACAAGAGCGAAACTCCGTCTAAAAAAAAAAAAAAAAAGGGCCGGGCGCCGTGGCTCACGCCTGTAATCCCAGCACTTTGGGAGGCCGAGGCGGGCAGATCACAAGGTCAGGAGCGAGACCATCCTGGCTAACACGACGAAACCCCGTCTCTACTAAAAAAATACAAAAAAAATAGCCGGGCGTGTTGGCGGGCACCTGTAGTCCCAGCTACTCGAGAGGCTGAGGCAGGAGAATGGCGTGAACCCAGGAGGCGGAGCTTGCAGTGAGCCGAGATGGCGCCACGGCACTCCAGCCTGGGCGACAGAGCGAGACTCTGTCTCAAACAAACAAACAAACAAACAAAACTAACTTTAGATATATGGGTATAGGGGGCCTTCTTTTGTACTCCTGTCCCGGAGAGTTTAAAGTTGCCAAATTGAGCAAATAAAAATATAGATGTCCAGTTAAATTTGAATTTCAAATAAACAAGGCGTAACTTTTCTAGTGTTAGCATGTTTCATGCAATATTTGAAATACACTAAAAAGTTACTTGTTTATCTGAAATTCAAATTTACTGGGCATCTTCGAATTTATCTGGAAATGTTACCCGGATTCTTCAAATGTAAGGAGCAGACTTGCCTGCAGTCTGCCCTAATCGGCCGAGAATTCTGACTGTAATTCAACTTTGTGTAACCTGATAGAGTTTTCTTTTAGTCTTCTTCATTGCAAAGTACAAAACAGAGAAGTGTCTAAAACTTACATGTGTGGTTTAACAGATGTTTCTAGAGTGAGCACCCACATCAGCAACATCCAAACCAAGAAATACATCGCCCACACCTTGGAAATCTCCCAGGTGTCCCTCTTGATCACAGTTCCCATCTTTCCTCTAAAAATAATCCCTCTCTTGACTTTTTTTTTTTGAAACAGAGTCTTGCTCTTGTTACCCAGGCTGGAGTGCAACGGCATGATCTTGGCTCACCACAACCTCCGCCTCCTGGGTTCAAGCGATTCTCCTGCCTCAGCCTCCTGAGTAGCTGGGATTACAGGTGCCTGCCACCATGCCCGACTAATTTTGTATTTTTTAGTAGAGATGGGGTTTCTCCATTTTGGTCAGGCTGGTCTCGAACTCCTGACCTCAGGTGATCCACTCACCTTAGGATTACAGGCATGAGCCACCGTGCGCAGCATCTCTTGACCTTTATACTTTAACTATTCATGTGTTCATTCTTTGTGTTTGAGTTTTAAAGAAATAAGTCATACTGTGTGTATTTTTTGGCTTTTTGGGGAGGTCTAAACACTATATGTTGTGTCTTGTAGCTCTAATTTGTTCACTCTCATTGTAGTATAGTATTCCACGTTATGTATACTGCATAATTTTTTTTAAGAGACAAGGTCTTGCTCTATCACTCAGGCTGGAGTGCAATGTCGTGATTACAGCTCACTACAGCCTTGAAATCCCGGGCTCAAGCAATCCTTCTGCCTCAGCCTCCTGAGTAGCTGGCACTGCAGGTGCACACCTCCTTATCCAGCAGATATTACATAATTTATTGATCCTTTCTTCTGTTGATGGACAGTTAAGGTATTTCCAGTTTGGAGCACCTATAAATAATGCTTCCATGACTCATGACTGTTATTTTGTTTTGTTTTTTTTTTTTTGAGATGGAGTCTCACTCTCACCCAGACTGGAGTGCAGTGGTGCGACCTCAGCTCACCACAACCTCCACCTCCCGGGCTCAAGCGATTCTCCTGCCTCAGCCTCCCGAGTAGCTGAGATTACAGGCATGCGCCACTATCGCCAGGCTAATTTTTGTATTTTTAGTAGAGACGGGGCATGTTGGCCAGGCTGGTCTTGAACTCCTGACATCAAATGATCCACCTGCCTCAGCCTCCTAAGCTGCTGGGATTACAGGGGTGAGCCACCGCACCCGGCCCTACCATGACTGTTTCTGCACGTGTATCCTAGCGCACACATGTCAGGATTTTACTAGGAACACTCTAGATTTTAGATTACCTAAGTATGGAGATTAAATAAACATCCAAATAAAATGCATTGTACAAATTGAAAGTCTGTGCTTCAGAGACACATGAATGGAAACAAAAATGGAAAGTTCTAGATTTCATCTTACCTAATTCAATGTGCAAACTATTATTATAGTTTAAACCAGAAAAGTGTCACTTTTATGTATACATGAGAATATACAGTTCCATCCCCTTTTGCTTCTTTTACTTAAGTTTAGATAGCCTATGTTTTAGTTTGTGGATTTCTGAAGTTCCCAGTCTTAGGAAAAGTGGAATACAAAGTAGTCATCTTCAATTTTCTTGGTCGTCCTTTCATCTTGCCAGTTTTGTGACATCCTCTTGCTTGTTATGTCAACTCAGCTGAATTCGCCTATAATTATGGTGTCTGCGTGCAGGAAGCAAGGCTGGAAGACAAGGCAGAAACAGCTCCTGCTGACCCAGATCAATTTTTTCCAAGTGAAATCTCTGCAATTAGGCCAGTAATGGTATTTTCCTGGAGAAAGAATTGAGTGAATTTAGGAAAAGAGTTTTAAAGCTCAACATGCCTGTGTCTGGGGGCAATTCAGATGCAAGATAATTGAAGAGTTTGTTTCAGCATTTACTCACCCCTTTCTGTAAGAAACTTATTTTCAGTAACACCAACCCTGTCTTTTGGGAGGAGGAGCTCCCCTCAAGAGGGAGGAATAGAAAAGTTTTAGAAAGAAACACAGAGGAGATATATATATATATATATGGAAAAGCCTTTTAAAACAAGTTCCAAAACTCAGAATCCACAAAGCAAAAAAATTGGTAGTTTTGATTATATAAAATTTAAAGTGTCTATATGACCAAAAGTACCCTAACTAAAGACAAAAGATAAATACAGACCAAAAAGAAAACAAAACAACCTTTGAAATACACATGGTAGTATGTAGACTAGTTTCCTGAGTATAAAAGGAGCTCTTTTTTTTTCTTTTTTTTTTTTTTTGAGATGGAGTCTCACTCTGTCTCCCAGGCTGGAGTGCAATGGCCCAATCTCGGCTCATTGCAACCTCTGCCTCCTGGGTTCAAGCGATTCTCCTGCCTTAGTCTCCCAAGTAGCTGGGATTACAGGCACCTGCCACCATGCCTGGCTAATTTTTGTCTTTTTTTGTGGAGACGGGGTTTCGCCATGTTGACTAGGCTGGTCTTGAACTCCTGACCTCAAGTGATCTGCCCACCTCAACCTCCCAAAGTGCTGGGATTACAGGCCTGAGCCACCACGCCTGGCAGAGCTCTCTTAATGAGAAAAAGGAACAATAATCCAGCAGAAAATGGGCAAAAGTCAGGGACCAGTAGTTTAAAAAATAATGAAATACAAGTGGCTAATAAACATGTGATAAGATGCTAGATACAATTCCTAACTAAATAAATGCAAACTAAAACTCTTAGTTTGGCTGGGCACGGTGACTCACGCCTGTAATCCCAGCACTTTGAGAGGTTGAGGCAGGCAGATCATAAGGTCAGGAGGTCGAGACCATCCTGGCTAACACAGTGAAACCCTGTCTCTACTAAAAAATACAAAAAATTAGTCAGGCTTGGTGGCATGCACCTGTAGTCCCAGCCACTCGGGAGGCTGAGGTGGGAGAATCGCTTGAACCCGGGAGGTGGAAGTTGCAGTGAGCCGAGATCGCACCATTGCACTCCAACCTGGGCAACAGAATGAGACTCTGTCTCAAAAAAACAAAAAATGAAAATAGTTCAAGTATCCATCTATAGGAGACTAGATAAACAAACTGTGGTCTATTCATAAAGGGGAATCATACAATAGAATACTGTATATGTGAATATGAACACCCTATCATGTGAATATGGATATATCATACAGAGGAATTCATACAATGGAAAACTCGCTATTCAGCAATGAGAATGAATAAACTACATGCCAACAGCATGGATAATCACACAGATGTAACACTGAGCAAAAGAAACCATCTACAAAAGAAGATGTACAGTTTATTCTATTTATGTACAGAAACTGGCAAACTAATTTGTGGTGTTGGAAGTTAGGATTGTGATTATCTAAGGGACTGGGTGGGATTTGATGGAAATGGGGTCCACTGGTGGGGGGCAGGGGGGCTTTTGGGGTTCGGGCCACATGGGTCATGCTCATTTTGCAGAAATTCATGGAGCTGTATCTTATGATGTGTGTCCTTTTCCATATCCAGATTACACTTCAACAAAAAGTTCAAAACCAAATCCAGTTAATATAAAGAATAAACAAATAGAAGGTGGCCATTGGCTAGATTGTGCTGGTGGCACTGGGCAGAGCTGGGGCAGGCTGGTGGGCGCTTGTGTTGTCCCGGCCTAATGGTGCCCTGTTGGCAGCAGCTCCCCAACCCCTGCGCCCTGCAACCTCCAAGCAGGGCAGGCATGGGCACATTTGTGCATTGAAGCTCCAAAAGCTCAAAGCCCTGGTACGAGCTCCCAAATAAAACCTGAGCAGGGTACGCTCCCCTCACATGCATGACCTTAGCGTCTGCTGCTTAGCATTGAGTTAAAAAAAAAAATCTGCATTGACATCTGGAATCTGGAGTGGTGAGCAGGGCTTTCCAGCAGGTACAGGGCCTCTTTGACAGCCAGGACAGCAGTGTCTTTCTATTGCAGGCAAGATGCAGAAGCGCAAGTTCGAACAGGAGCCGCTGGCTTCTTGGCAGAGAGGCTTAATTAGCTTCCTGCAGAAGGCGGTTTCATTTTTAACATTCGAAAAAGTTATCCAAGCAATTTTCTGTAACAAAGAATCTAATGAAATGCAATCTTGTTTAATCCATTTCTATGTAGCGGTGGCTCTAAAGTGTGGTTCATGAAGCTTTGGGGACTCCTGAGACCCTTTTGGGGGGGTCCCATGAGGTTAAAACTACTTTCATAATAATACTAAGATATTGTTTGCCTTTTTCACCATCATTCTCCCTCCAGTATACCGTGGCGTTTTCCAGGGGCGGTATGATGTTTCCTGTCACAACAGACTGAAGGGAGACACACAGAGATAATTCAACTAACTGTCTTCTATTAAGCCAGACATGAGAGATTTGCAAAAATCAAAAACAGTGCCACTCTTCTGGCTAATTACTTTTGGTTTGGAGAACATAATTATTTTTTATAACAATATATATTTGTTAATATATAATAGATTTATTATTCTTATTTATTTACTTATTTATTTTTTTGAGACCAGGTCTTGCTCTGTTGCCCAGGCTGGAGTGCGGTGGCACGATCATAGCTCACTGCAGCCTCCAACTCCTGGGCTCAAGCGATCCTTCCGCCTCAGCCTCTCAAGGAGCTAGGACTACAGGCACACAACACCGCACCTGGCTAATTTTGTTGTTGTTGTTGTAGAGACAGAGTCCTGCAATGTTGCCCAGGCTGGTCTCAAACTCCTGGCTGGGCTCAAGAGATCCTCCCTGTTCAGCCTCCCAAAGTGCTGGGATTAGAGGCACGAGCCACTGTACCTGGCATATTCTTACTTTAAATGAATCGATGAGTACATATTTCTGTTTTTTTGTTTGGTTTGTTTTGTTTTTTGACAGAGTCTTGCTCTGTTGCCCAGGCTGGAGTGCAATGGCACAATCTCGGCTCACTGCAACCTTGCAACCTCTGCCTCCTGGGTTCAAGCAATTCTCCTGCCTCAGCCTCCTGAGTGGCTGGGATTACAGGTGCACCACACCATACCTGGCTAATTTTTGTATTTTTAGTAGAGGCAGCGGTTTCACCATGTTGGCCAGGCTGGTGTCGAACTCCTGACCTCAGGTCACCCGCCCGCCTCAGCCTCCCAAAGTGCTGGGATTACAGGCATGAGCCACCACACCTGGCCATGAATACATATTTCAAAATTTCTGTTTTAATTTCGAATACAGTAAATATTGATAAGATACAACCCACATAACAAACCTCTTTGGGATCATCAATTATTTCTCAGAGTGTAAAGGGATCCTGAGACCAAAACATCTGTGAACTGCTGCTAGCTATAACGTTAAAAGGTTTTTTTGGAAAAACTTAAAATCTACAGAGAAGATGTAATGATAGTAGAGTTGCTGTATAGCCCTGATTGTGCTTCCCCTAATGTTAGCATCTTGCATAGTATACATGGTACATTCGTTGAAATTAAGGAGCCAACAATTGGAACATTACTATTTTTTTTTTTTTTTGAGACAGAGTCTCACTCTATTGCCCAGGCTGGAGTGCAGTGGCACGATCTCGGCTCACTGCAACCTCTGCCTCCTAGGTTCAAGCGATTCTCCTGCCTCAGCCTCCCAAGTAGCTGGGACTACAGGCATGCTCCACCATGTCTGGCTAATTTTTGTATTTTTAGTATAGATGGGGTTTTGCCATGTTGGCCAGGCTTGTCTCGAACACCTGACCTCAGGTGATCCTCCCACCTCGGCCACCCAAAGTGCTGGGATTACAGGTGTGAGCCACCGTGCCCAGCCTGGCACATTATTATTAACCAAACAATGGACTGGCCAGATTTCCCCAGTTTTTCCATGAATGTGATTTTTTTGTTCCAGGATACAGTGTGAACTAGTATTTGCATTTAGAGCATGTAGCTTTTTCAAAATTTTCCACTTTCAGTCACTTTTTACACTTTTTATGAAGTATAACATGGTACAGAAAAATATAATACACATATCAGAGGCCCATCGCTTGGTTATTGGTTTTGTTTGTTTTTTGAGATGGAGTCTCAGCCTACTCAATGCGAAAACGATGAGGATGAAGCCCTTTATGACGATCCACTTCCACTTGATGAGTAGTAAATATATTTTCTCTTCCTTATGATTTTCTTAATAACATTTTCTTTTCTCTAGCTTACTTTATTATATATAATAAGGGGCCAGGCACAGTGGCTCACGCCTGTAATCCCAGCACTGTGGGAGGCCGAGGTGGACGAATCACGAGGTCAGGAGATCGAGACCATCCTGGCTAACACAGTGAAACCCCATCTCCACTAAAAATACAAAAGATTAGCCAGGCGTGGTGGCAGGTGCCGGTAGTCCCAGCTACTAGGGAGGCTGAGGCAGGAGAATGGCGTGAACCCAGGAGGCGGAGGTTGCAGTGAGCCGAGATCGTGCCACTGCACTCCAGTCTGGGCGACAGAGCGAGACTCCGTCTCAAAAAAAAAAAAAAAGAATAGTGACTGTAGGTTCGGTGCAGTGGCTCCTGCCTGTGATCCCAATACTTCAGGAGGCTGAGGAGGGAGGATCGCTTGAGCCCAGGAATTTGAGACCAGCATGGGCAACATAGCAAGACCTTTTCTGTACAAATAATTAAAAAGAAAAAGAATAGTGACTGTAATGAATTGAAATGCATCAAATAAATATATTTTTTAAGCCCATGAGTTTATAATGATACCTTAAAAAGACAAACACTCATTGGTAGACTCTGAGGGTTACTAGGGCATTATTCTGAAAAGTGCTAACTGAAGGAAAATATTCACACATGTATCTTGCCTTTGCTTTATGGACTATATTTCAGGGTAACCAAATACAGTAGTTGATAAAGGAAAGTTTTTTTTTTGTTTTGTTTTGTTTTTTGAGACAGAGTCTCGCTCTTTTGCCCAGGCTGGAGTGCAGTGGCACAATCTCTCCTCACTACAACCTCCGCCTCCCGGGTTCAAGCAATTCTCCTGCTTCAGCCTCCCAAGTAGCTGGGACTACAGGCACATGCCACCACGCCTGGCTAATTTTTGTATTTTTAGTATTTTTATTAGAGATGAGGTTTCGCCATATTAGCCAGGCTGGTCTCGAACTCCTGACCTCGTGATCTGCCCGCCTTGGCCTCCCAAAGTGCTAGAATTACAGGCGTGAGCCACCACACTCGTCTTTTTTTAAAACAGCGTCTCTGTTTGTCACTCAGGCTAGAGTGCAGTGGTTCAATCATAGCTCACTGCAGCCTCGACCTCCTGGGCTCAAGTGATCCTCTCACCTCAGCCTCCTGAGTAGCTGGGACCACAGGCATGCACCACCTTGCCTGGCTAACTTTTTGTTCTTTTGTAGAGATGGGAGTCTCCCCATGTTGCTTAAGCTGGTCTTGAACTTCTAGGCTCACGTGATCCTCCTGCCTCAGCCTTCCAGAGTGCTGGGATTACAGGTGTGAACTACTGTGCCCAGCAGAAAGTTTTTCTTTGTTTTTTTTGAGAAACTCTCGCTCCGTCACCCAGGCTGGAGTGCAGTGGCATGATCTCAGCTCAGTGCAACCTCCACCTCCCAGGTTCAATGGATTCTCATGCCTCAGCCTCCCAAATAGCTGAGATTACAGGTGCGCACCACCACACTCTGGTTTTTGTATTTTTGGTAGAGACGGGGTTTCACCATGTTGGCCAGGCTGGTCTCGAACTCCTGACCTCAAGTGATCCACCCGCCTCGGCCTCCCAAAGTGCTGGGATTACAGACATGAGCCACCGCGCCCAGCCAAAAGTTTTTCTTTATAAAAGAATCACAGCTAATAGATGCAGACATGATAGAATGAGAAAATCAGTATGCTGCAATGACATCACAGATCCTATCAATCCACCTTTTAAAAAATTGTATTTTATTTTTTAGAGATGAGGTCTCACTATGTTGCCCAGACTGTACTCCAACTTAAATGATTCTCCCATCTCAGCCTCCAGAGTAGCAGGGACTACAGGCAGGCACCACTGCAGCCGGCTGTACCAATTAATCTTAACATGCCCCCAAAATGGCACAACCAGACATCATGTGCTCCCAGTGGGATGGCAATTGATAGAAAGTACAGAGCACAACTATTGGAGAAGTATTCATATTAAAAGAAAAAAAGCAAAACGGCTGGGCACGGTGACTCACGCCTGTAATCCCAGCACTTTGGGAGGCCGAGGTGGGCAGATCACCTGAGGTTGGGAGTTTGAGACCAGCCTGACCAACATGGAGAAACCCTTTCTCTACTAAAAATACAAAATTAGCTGGGCGTGGTGGCACATGCCTGTAATCCCAGCTACTGGGGAGGCTGAGGTAGGAGAATCGCTTGAACCCAGGAGGCGGAGGTTGCGGTGAGCTGAGATTGCGCCACTGCACTCCAGCCTGGGCAACAGGAGTGAAACTCTGTCTCAAAAAAATAAAAAAACAAAATTTTAAAAAGCAAAACAGAAAGACCCCAAGGATAATCAAACCTCCAGACCTAACTACCACTTAAAGAAATATGAGGGGCCGGGCATGGTGGCTCACACCTGTAATCCCAGCACTTTGGGAGGCCGAGGCTGGCAGATCACCTAAGGTCAGGAGTTCAAGACCACCCTGGCTAACATGGTGAAATCCCATCCCTACTAAAAAAAAATACAAAAATTAGCTGGGCATGGTGGCAGGCGCCTGTAATCCCAGCTACTAGGGAGGCTGAGGCAAGAATCGCTTGAACCCAGGAGGCGGAGGTTGCAGTGAGCCGAGATCACACCATTGCACTCTAGCCTGGGTGACAAGAGCAAAACTCCATCTCAAAAACAAAAACAAAAACAAAAACAAAAAACACCAAAGATACAATCGGCTGAATATAGATTGGAAAGTTCTACAGGGCAAATGATCCAGTTTTTCCAACAAATTAATGGAATGGGGGAGGGGAGGAGGAAGCGGGACTTGTTAAGTAAAAAAGCCTTAAGAGACATCAATCAACGCCATTTTTGGACAATTTTGAAACACTCAGTAGAAACAAAATATACACTGATTATAATCATTATAAGATAACATTAAAGAATTGATTTTCTGTTGGGCGTGATCATGTTATTATGGTTCTTTTTTTTTTAATTTTTATTTTATTATTATTATACTTTAAGTTTTAGGGTACATGTGCACAATGTGCAGGTTAGTTACATATGTATACATGTGCCATGCTGGTGTGCTGCACCCATTAACTCGTCATTTAGCATTAGGTATATCTCCTAAAGCTATCCCTCCCCACTCCCCCCTCCCCACCACAGTCCCCAGAGTGTGATATTCCCCTTCCTGTGTCCATGTGTTCTCATTGTTCAATTCCCACCTATGAGTGAGAATATGCGGTGTTTGGTTTTTTGTTCTTGCGATAGTTTACTGAGAATGATGATTTCCAATTTCATCCATGTCCCTACAAAGGACATGAACTCATCATTTTTTGTGGCTGCATAGTATTCCATGGTGTATATGTGCCACATTTTCTTAATCCAGTCTATCATTGTTGGACATTTGGGTTGGTTCCAAGTCTTTGCTATTGTGAATAGTGCCGCAATAAACATATGTGTGCATGTGTCTTTATAGCAGCATGATTTATAGTCCTTTGAGTATATACCCAGTAATGGGATGGCTGGGTCAAATGGTATTTCTAGTTCTAGATCCCTGAGGAATCGCCACACTGACTTCCACAATGGTTGAACTAGTTTACAGTCCCACCAACAGTGTAAAAGTTTTCCTATTTCTCCACATCCTCTCCAGCACCTGTTGTTTCCTGACTTTTTAATGATTGCCATTCTAACTGGTGTGAGATGGTATCTCATTGTGGTTTTGATTTGCATTTCTCTGATGGCCAGTGATGGTGAGCATTTTTTCCTGTGTTTTTTGGGTGCATAAATGTCTTCTTTTGAGAAGTGTCTGTTCATGTCCTTTGCCCACTTTTTGATGGGGTTGTTTGTTTTTTTCTTGTAAATTTGTTTGAGTTCATTGTAGATTCTGGATATTAGCCCTTTGTCAGATGAGTAGGTTGCGAAAATTTTCTCCCATTTTGTAGGTTGCCTGTTCACTCTGATGGTAGTTTCTTTTGCTGTGCAGAAGCTCTTTAGTTTAATTAGATCCCATTTGTCAATTTTGGCTTTTGTTGCCATTGCTTTTGGTGTTTTAGACATGAAGTCCTTGCCCATGCCTATGTCCTGAATGGTAATGCCTAGGTTTTCTTCTAGGGTTTTTATGGTTTTAGGTCTAATGTTTAAGTCTTTAATCCATCTTGAATTAATTTTTGTATAAGGTGTAAGGAAGGGATCCAGTTTCAGCTTTCTACATATGGCTAGCCAGTTTTCCCAGCACCATTTATTAAATAGGGAATCCTTTCCCCATTGCTTATTTTTCTCAGGTTTGTCAAAGATCAGATAGTTGTAGATATGCGGTGTTATTTCTGAGGGCTCTGTTCTGTTCCATTGATCTACATCTCTGTTTTGGTACCAGTACCATGCTGTTTTGGTTACTGTAGCCTTGTAGTATAGTTTGAAGTCAGGTAGTGTGATGCCTCCAGCTTTGTTCTTTTGGCTTAGGATTGACTTGGTGATGCGGGCTCTTTTTTGGTTCCATATGAACTTTAAAGTAGTTTTTTCCAATTCTGTGAAGAAGGTCATTGGTAGCTTGATGGGGATGCCATTGAATCTATAAATTACCTTGGGCAGTATGGCCATTTTCATGATATTGATTCTTCCTACCCATGAGCATGGAATGTTCTTCCATTTGTTTGTATCCTCTTTTATTTCACTGAGCAGTGGTTTGTAGTTCTCCTTGAAGAGGTCCTTCACGTCCCTTGTAAGTTGGATTCCTAGGTATTTTATTCTCTTTGAAGCAATTGTGAATGGGTGTCCACTCATGATTTGGCTCTCTGTTTGTCTGTTATTGGTGTATAAGAATGCTTGTGATTTTTGTACATTGATTTTGTATCCTGAGACTTTGCTGAAGTTGCTTATCAGCTTAAGGAGATTTTGGGCTGAGACGATGGGGTTTTCTAGATATACAATCACGTCATCTGCAAACAGGGACAATTTGACTTCCTCTTTTCCTAATTGAATATATGGTTCTGTTTTTAAAGTTCTTATCCATTAGGAAAAAACACAAAGTATTTATAGTGAAATGATGTCTGGAATTTACTTTAAAATGCCCTGATGAAATGAGTGGTAGGGGAGAATTGAAACAAGAATAGCATGCAGTAGAAACTGGGTGATGAATACATGACGTCTCTCCATTTTTGTGTATGCTTGAAATTTTTCATAATAGCTTTTAAATAGTATGCCCCTCAGGCTGGGCTCGGTGGCTCATGCCTGTAATCCCAGCACTTTGGGAGGCCGAGGCGGGTGGATCATCTGAGGTTGGGAGTTTGAGACCAGCCTGATCAACATGGAGAAACCCCATTTCTATTAAAAATACAAAATTAGCTGGGCGTGGTGGCACATGCCTGTAATCCCAGCTACTCAGGAGGCTGAGGCAGGAGAATCGCTTGAATCCAGGAGACGGAGGTTGTGGTGAGCCGAGATCGCACCATTGCACTCCAGCCTGGGCAACGAGAGCGAAACATGCCCCTCATTTGTTCCCTTTCAGATTATAACTAAATATATTTGGTGCAAAGAAAATTTTCTATTTTTCTCTGCATTTCTTCCCATGCATTCCTATCCACTTTCCTATATTTCCTTTATCTGAAAGTGAAAATGACCTATAAAAAGTGCAATAATTAGCAATCAGTTTTCTTGTTTGTTAAGATAATCTTAGGAGATAGCTCATCATAAGCAATTTCTTATGGACCCCAAAATGTGCTATTTTTGGCTCAGATGTCTAAAGTGTCAAGGTGGGAACAAATTTGTGTACTTTATTTAAAGCCTTTGAATGTCAGTTCTTAGTCAAAGGGAAGGAGAAAGGTTCTGCTCACTGTTGAGCTGTGGGGAGGCAGCTTTATTCTCCCAAAGGCCTTTCCCCCAAGATCCTTCTCCTAGCATTTCATTTTCCTCTTTTGTAAAATGGGGCTGTTTTTACTTACTAATTAAAGCCTGTGGAAGCACTTTTAAAGAAGATCCTAAGATGTACGATGCTAGAGAAGTGAAAACTATCATTAATATATTTTAATCATCACATTAAATACCCACATAGACACACCCACCTCTTCGCCATTCAAGCAGATTTTGCAAAGGGGTAATTAACAGTAATGATGTCATCACCATCGCTGCTTTCATCCTGAAAGCTGTAAAGTTTCCAAATACTTACTAACTCCTGATTAGGCTTTTAAAACATACCAAATAAGTACAAACTCCCCATATCTGAGTGAAAGCCTGTGGAGAGAGAAATCTTTTTGCTTTGTGAATGGAGTAAATGATCATTAAAAGTGGCCATATTTTTGGTAAGCCTACCAAAAACCCAGAGGGCAGCAGTAATGAAATAAAATGCTGAGATTGAGGGTTTGGAAAACTCAATGTAACTGCCTCCAAAGACTCTCAGAGACCTGTACTTGTCTTTTAAGTCCTCACCAGGAGGTAAGGAGCTACAAGTTTCCTGTCTCCTGGCACCTGATGGGCAATTTTCCAGCCATTAAATGCCAAGCCTTCTGGAAAGTAGCTGACCAGCGCATTGACAATCCAGACTTCAGCTATAGGAATGAAGCTGTTTGAAATTTGAATACAATGAGCTCAAATCCCTTGCAGTGGGAAACCCTGTTCCCTTTTCCAGAATCTGCAGATATTCCACTAGGATAGTGGGATGGGGCACAGGAGAACCTTGCATTTCACCCAGTGACTTCTGGTTCTGATTTCCGGCTTGCTCAGAACTCTCTGTCATCCACATTTCACCTCTTGTTTTCTCTCCACTCCATGTCAACCCTGACGTGAATAAAGCTCCCTTTCCTCGATTTCCCTAACCACCACTCACCAAAGCTGATGTGAATGTCTAGCAGACATTCACTAGGATTTGGAGGCAGCAATGGAGAGCTGCCTCACAGAAGAGCACAAGGGAGAGTTTAAAATAGAAGAGTAGATCGCCGTCAGCCATCCATCCATCTCCCCCCACCCTCCATTCCCACCAGGGACCCTTCACTGGGCATCTCTTCTACTCAGCTCTGTCTCTAGCCACATTGCGAAGCCATCTTCCTCTCCTTCATCCCAAATACCTCAAGTTTTTAAAATTTTTTTTTAATTTTTAATTTTATTATTTTTTTGAGACAGGGTCTCCCTCTCTATTTTTTTGAGACAGGGTGTCACCCAGGCTGGAGTGCAGTGGTGTGACCACTGCTCAATGCAGCCTCGAACTCCCAGGCTCAAATGATCCTCCCGCCTCAGCCTCTCAAGTAGCTGGGACTACAGGCGAGCTCCAGCATGCCCAGCTAACTTTTTATTTTTACTTTTTTAAGATGCAGGCCAGACGCAGTGGCTCACACCTGTAATCCCAGTACTTTGGGAAGCTGAGGCAGGGGGATCACTTAAGGCCAGGAGTTTGAGACCAGCCTGGACAGCATGGTGAAACCCTGTCTCTACTAAAAATACAAAAATTAGCCAGGCATGGTGGTGGGCGCCTGTAGTCCCAGATACTCGGGAGGCTGAGGCGCAAGAATCACTTGAACCTGGGAGGCAGAGGTTGCCGTGAGCTCAGATCATACCACTGCACTCCAGCCTGGGCAACAGAGCGAGACTCCATCTCAAAAAAACAAATAAATAAATAAAGATGCAGTCTCACTATGTTGCCCAGGCTGGTCTTGAGCTCCTGATCTCAAGCGATCCTCTCACCTTGGCCTCCCAAAGTGCTGGGATTACAGGCATGAACTACCGTGCCAGGCCTCAGTTTTTCATTGTTTTCTTATGTTGAGCAGTCTAGCTCTCTCTCCACCTCAGCCCCAGGTCCCCTCAGCTCCGCTACAACCACAATGGTCCAACAGTTTGCTTTTCTAACAAAGACAATTATCCCCCCAAAAGAATTCTTTTCTGTCATTCAGCAATGTTTTGGGCAGTAATTGACAGAAAAACCTATCTAATGATGGCTTAAATTAGCAGCTTTCAAACTTTTTTGGTCTCAGGACTCCTTGACGCTCTTAATTATTGAGGATCTTCGGGTATCAACTCCAGAAAAAAAAAAATTACTGAGGAGCCCAAAGAACTTTTCTTTGTGAGGGTTATGTCTATCAGTATTTACTGTATTACCAATTCAAACTGAGAAAATTTAAATATAAGTATTCATTAATTCATTTTAAGTGTTTTTTTTTTTTTTTTTTTTTTTTTGAGACCTTGTCTCGCTCTGTTACCCAGGTTGGAGTGCAGTGGTGCCATCTTGGCTTACTGCAACCTCTGCTTCCCAGGTTCAAGCGATTCTTGTACCTCAGCCTCCTCAGTAGCTGGGATTACAGGTGTGTGCCATTGTGCACCACCATGCTTAGCTAATTTTTATATTTTTAGTAGAGACAGGGTTTCGTCATGTTGGCCAGGCTGGTCTTGAACTCCTGGTCTCAAGTGATTCACCCGCCTCGGCCTCCCACAGTGCTGGGATTACAGGCATGAACCACTGCAACCAGCCTATTAATTCATTTAAAAATAACATTAATAAGCTCAATAATACATTTTCATGAAAAAAATTCCAAAACAAAAAAATTAGTGAAAAGAATGACATTGTTTTGTTTTACCTTTTTGCAAATCTCTTTCATGTCTGACTTAATAGAAGACAGCTGGATTCTCTATCTGCTTCTGTCTATTGAAGAGCTATCAAACATATAGCCTCTGGAAAACTCTACAGTATACTTGTAGAGAATGAGGATGAAAAAAATAATGTCAATATTATTATGAAAATGAGGCCAGGCACAGTGGCTCATGCCTGTAATCCCAGCACTTTTGGAGGCTGTGGCGGGTAGATCTCTTGAGCTCAGGAGTTCAAGACCAGCCTGGGCAACATAGTGAGACCCCACCTCAAAAAATATATATATACACATTATATATATATATTTATATAAGTATATATGTATATACATATATACATACAAACATATATACGTATATACATACACATATATGTGTGTGTGTGTGTGTGTGTGTGTGTATATATATATATATAAAATCATGAAAATGTTTTGTCCTTGTGGGATCCCTTAAAGGGTTTTAGGGATCCCCAGAGATCTCCAGAATACCCTTTGAGAACTACTATGATAAAACATAAAGACATTTATTGTGTATTGTTAAGAGGTCTGAGGTAGGTGGCTCCGGGTTGGTTTGGGTAACAATCTCCCCAGGTGCTTTCCTACTTTCCATTCGCCCACCACTGCATGTTGGTATTTCAGCTTCATGCTTGTTGCAAGATGGCAGCCACAGCTCCAGACATTCTGTCTTTGAAGCATATATTCAAAGGAAGGAGGAAGAAGCTGTATCCAGGGAGGCTGTAACTTTCTCTTCATCGCTCTGTTTCTTACCAGGAAGAGAAATTTTTTCCCAGAAGTAATCCAGCGGACTTCTCCTTGAACATTTTTGGCCCTGATGGGTCCATATGGCTACTCTCAACTGCAAAGGAAGATAGGGAGGCAAATCTCTGGCAAAAGAAAGCAAGATGCCTATGATAGGCTGAAGCCCAGCCTCCTTCATCCACTGGAGCTGGGCACAAGTTTGCCCAAACAAAGTCAGGATTCTGTTAGCCATGTAGATGGGAGATTGGCTCTATGGTAAGCAACAAACAATGCCACCTCCAGCTCTTAAACTAATAAAGATTTCTCCTCCTATACCTTTATCCACAATAAGGAAGCAGAATGCACAATTGACCATTGGCAGAACCTCAGACATGAGGCTTGGGATTTCTAGTAAAAATGTTCTCGTAGAAATCCCTGGTCAACTTGAACTACCAAGTGGGGTGAAAGTGTAGAAAAGCATTGCCATTTTTTTTTTTTTTTGGAGATGGAGTTTCACTCTTATTGCCCAGACTGGAGTGCAATGGCACGATCTCAGCTCACTGCAACCTCTGCCTCCTGGGTTCAAGCGATTCTCCTGCCTCAGCCTCTCGAGTAGTTGGGATTACAGGCATGTGCCACCACGCCGGCTAATTTTATATTTTTAGTAGAGACAGAGTTTCTTCATGTTGGTCAGGCTGGCCTTGAACTCCCGACCTCAGGTGATCCACCCGGCTCAGCCTCCCAAAGTGCTGGGATTACAGGCGTGAGCCACTGTGCCCAGCCACCTTTTTTCAAACATTAAAATGAACATTAAATCAAATGTGAAAATCCTTCATCATATAGATTCTCAAGGCCATCTCTAAGGTCATTTTATGAATATCTTATCAGAAAAGAGTTTTCTGTGGTTTCCTTGGATGTAAGATTTTTGTGGAGACAACAGAACTCCATGCTAAAGATTATCATAAAGATTAAAGAATATCATTCACTTAAGTGGATTATCAAGCAAAGCTATGACTCCACATAATTGCAGTGCAATGAGTGTCCAAAGATGATGAGCCACAAATTTGAAAACGCTTACTCAATCTTTCAGGAAACATTCATTGAGCAGTCTTGGCACATATAAATAAGAGTATTATTATAATTATTTTGAGACAATTTCGCTCTTTCACAGGCTAGAGTGAAGTGGTGCGATCTCGGCTCACTGCAACCTCCACCCGCCCGGGTTCAAGTGATTTTCCTGCCTCAACCTCCTAAGTAGCTGGGATTATAGGCGCCCACCACCATGTTCCACTTACTTTTGTATATTTAGTAGAGACGGGGTTTCGCCTTGTCGGCCAGGCTGGTCTCAAACTCCTGACCTCAGGTGATCCACTCGCTTTGGCCTCCCAAAGTGCTAGGATTACAGGTGTGAGCCACCGTGGCCGGCCAAGTGTTATTATTTGAAACTTATACCAAAAGGAAGTCTAGTGGCATACAACACAAAAGTAAAATAAAATAAATTGGGCTTCTACAGTAAGACTTTTTAAAATCAACTTTTTTCTAACCAAAGTGAAGAAATTGGACAGGAAGGAAAACAGGACAGGAAAAACAGAATGAAGCCTAGGTTAGTGTATAAAATTCATGATGTAACATATACTGGGTTTTTTGGGTTTTTGTTGTTGTTGTTTGTTTGTTTGTTTGTTTGAGACAGGGTCTCATTCTGTCACCCAGGCTGGAGTGCAGTGGCGCAATCCCAGCTCACTGCAACCTCTGCCTCCTGAACTCAAGCAATCCTCCCACCTCAGCCTCCCGAGTAGCTGGGACTCTAGGTGCAGGCCATCATGCCCGGCTAATTTTTGTATTTTTTGTAGAGACAGAGTTTTGCCATGTTGCCCAGGCTGGTCTCAAAAGCCTTGCCTCAGGTGATCCACCCACCTCAGCCTCCCAAAGTGCTGGGATTACAGGCATGAGCCACAGCGCCTGGCTAACATGTATTGTTTGTGGTTGTTTTTTTATTTTTCATTGCTATGAAGTATATTTCATTTGAGTTTGATTGTCATAAATATCTTGCTGGTTAAATCCTGAGTCAAAACTACAACTTTGGCTGGGTGCAGTAGCTCACGCCTGTAACCCCAGCACTTTGGGAGGCCGAGGCCGGCAGATCACCTGAGGTCAGGAGTTCGAGACCAGTCTGACCAATATGAAGAAACACCGCCTCTACTAAAAAAATACAAAATTAGCCAGGCATGGTGGCAGGCACCTGTAATCCCAGCTACTCGGGAGGCTGAGGCAGGAGAATCACTTGAACCCAGGAGGCGGAGGTTGCGGTGAGCCGAGATCGCACCATTGCACTCCAGTCTGGGCAACAAGAGTGAAACTCCATCTCAAACAAAACAAAACAAAACAAAACAAAACAAAAAACTACAACCTTGGGATTTGACATTTTAAGAGAAAATTTTTGTTTGTGTTTTTTTTTGGGGAGGGATGAGCTTTTTTTAATTTCTTCTAAAGAAAACGGGAAAATGTGCAGAATGTGCAGGTTTGTTACATAGGTATACGTGTGCTATGGTGGTTTTCTGCACCTAATGACCCATCCTCTAAGTTCCCTCCCCTCACCGCCTACCCCTCAGCAGGCCCTGGTGTGTGTTGTTCCCCTCTCTGTGTCCGTGTGTTTTCAATGTTCAGCTCCCACTGATGAGTGAGAACATGCGGTGTTTGGTTTTCTGTTTCTGTGTTTGCGGAGGATGGTGGACATGTACTGTTTTTAGAGGTGTCAAAGAACAAAGTTTCAAGAAACGGAGTTTTAAAGATCTAATTGGTTTTTATTCGCGATTCATGAATTGGGTAATATCCTGTGTACAAAATAGAAGGAGCTTTGCTGGTCTTGGCAGACTGATCAGCTTTTGTAAGGCGGACCCAGCAGGAAAAAGGAAACAACGTAATACAAAATCGTATTGGTTAACATCGGGTTACTTCAGGTTACTTTACTTGTGCGGGTTAAAGCAGAAGGGATGCCTTCGTCCATTTTGTGCTGTTACAACAGAATACTTGTGCTATGGTTTGAATACTTGTCCTCTCTGAAACTCATATTGAATCTTAATTTCAAATGCAACAGTATTAAGAAGTGGGGCCTTAGCCGGGCGCAGTGGCTCATGCCTGTAATCCCAGCACTTTGGGAGGCTGAGGCAGGTGAATCACTTGAGGCCAGGAGTTCGAAACAAGCCTGGCCAACATGGTGAAACCCCATCTCTACCAAAAAATACAAAAATTAGCCAGGTGTGGTGGCGTGCACCTATAGTCCCAGCTACTAGGGAGGCTGAGGCACAAAAATTGCCTGAATCCAGGAAGCAGAGGTTGCAGTGAACTGAGATTGCACCACTACACTCCAGCCTGGGTGGCAGACTGAGACCATGGCTCAAAAAAAAAAAAAGAGGTGGGGCCTTTAAGAGGTGGTTGGATTAATGGATTGATAGGTTATCGCAAGAGTGGATCTATTATAAAAGCCAGTTTGGCTCTCAGAGCCCCTCTTGCCCTATGATGCCTTCTGCCATGTTATGAACACAGCACAAGGCCCTCACCAGAAGCCGACCAGATGGACTTTTCAGCCTTCAGAACTGTAAGAAATTAATTTGTGTTCTTTATAAATAATCTAGTCTCGGCCGGACGCAGTGGCTCACATCTGTAATCCCAGCACTTTGGGAGGCCAAGGCGGGTGGGTCACCTGAGCCTAGGAGCTGAGGCAGGAGAATCACTTGAACTCGGGAGGCAGAGGCTGAAGTGAGCTGAGATCATGCCATTGCACTCCAGCCTGGGCCACAACAGCGAAACTCCATCTCAAATAATAATAATAATAATAATAATAATAATAATAATAATAATAATCATCATCATCATCATCATCATCATCCAGTCTCAGATATTCTGTTATAGCAACAGAAAACAGACTAAGGCAGTTTCAGACTGGGTAATTCATAAAAAACAGAAATTTATTTCTCACTGTTCTAGAGGCTGGCAAGTCCAAAATCAAAGCACCTTAACAAGGACTTTCCTTCTGCATCCTTGCATGGCAGAAGGCAGAAGGGCAAGAGAGGGATAACCTCTGTCTTCACATGGCAGAAGAGCAGGAGAGAGCGAACCTACAGCCACAAGCCCTTTTTATAATGACATTATTCTATTCATGAGGGTGGTGCCCTCTCTGATTTCTTGAAAGACCCTATCTGACAAGTGAACAGCTTAGGTTTTGGTTTGGTGATATGGAAACAGCATGAGTGACTGCATTTTGGGTTGGTCTGTTGGGGTTTTGTGCAGGAGCTCAGTCTAATCAATGGCCTCCATAAATTGTATTTAACAGAGATGACTTTCAAATTTGATGCTTAACAGCCAGCAGCCAATTAAAAGATGGAAATGCAATTAATACACAATTCCACTGTTTCTAACGAAAACTTTGTCTCCCAGGCCCACACACATACATACATAGAGGCATTGTGATATTTAAAAAACCAAAAATGAACTTTGAAACCCATCTCTATAATAAATAAGCAGCTAAATCGGACTACTTATTAACATCTTCAACATAGGTGGGGGGCATAATGCCAAGGCAAGTTTCCATAAATGTTATACCACAAATGCTCACCCTGATCAGGCACAGGTACACAGCTCTTTGATGGTCCAGCTTAAGCCAAAAGTAAAATTTCAAGACAATAGAGGTTTGCAAACAGCAAGATGCAAATGAGAGATCAGGACATTCTAACATTAATAAAGGACAAGCTTGACAAGAAAAAGTAAAATAAATCAGTAACAATTTTTTAGAAATAATTGGTACAGGTTGAATTTCAATGAGACTATCTAGTAATCATAGATGATGGGGGTGGGCAGAGAACAAAGAAACAGAGGATAAAGTTTTGAAACTATATGTTTAACATCCCCACATGAGAATTCAAAGTATGCTAAGAACAGAAGTAAATACTGGAACAAAACAGTTGTGTAAAAACCTAATAAATAGAAATGTTAGAAAAACAAAAATTAGGCTGGGTGAGGTGGCTCATGCCTGTAATCCCAGCACTTTGGGAAGGTGAGGCGGGAGGATCACCTGAGGTCAGGAGTTCGAGACCAGCCTGGCCAACATGATGAAACCCTGTCTCTACTAAAATTACAAAAATTAGCCAGGTGTGGTGGCTCATGCCTGTAATCCCAGCTACTTAAAAGGCTGAGGCATGAGAATTGCTTGAACTCAGGAGGCGGAAGTTGTAGTGAACTGAGATAGTGCCACTGTACTCCAGCCTGGGGGACAGAGTGAGGCTATCTCAAAAAAAAGAAAAAAAGAAAGAAAAACAAAATCTTCTGATGTCATTTAAAAGGAAACAAAGGCCCGGCGCAGTGACTCATGCCTGTAATCCCAGCACTTTGGGAGGCCGAGGTGGGTGGATCACTTGAGGTCAGGAGTTTGAGACCAGCCTGGCTGACATGGCAAAATCTCATCTTTACTAAAAATACAAAAATTAGCCAGGTGTAGTGGCACACATCTGTAGCCCAAGCTACTCGGGAGGCTGAGGCAGGAGAATTGCTTGAACCTGGGAGGTGGAGTTTGCAGTGAGCCGAGATCATGCCACTGCACTCCAGCCTGAGAGATAGAGTGAGACTCTGTCTCAAAAAAGAAAAGAAAAGGAAACAAAAAGTTTTTTTTTTTTTTTTTTGAGACGGAGTCTCACTCTGTTGTCCATGCTGGAGTGCAGTGGCCCAGTCTTGGCTGACTGAAACTTCCACCTCCCGAGTTCAAGGGATTCTCCTGTTTCAGCCTCCCAAGTAGCTGGGATTACAGGCGTGTGCTACCATGCCCGGCTAATTTTTTTTTTTTTTTTTTTTTTTTTTTTGTCTTTTTAGTAGAGACAGGGTTTTACCACGTTGGTCAGGCTGGTCTCGAACTCCTGAACTCAGGTGATCCGCCTGCCTCGGCCTCCCAAAGTGCTCGGATTATAGGCCTGAGCCACCATGCCCAGCCAGAAACAAAAAGTTAAGTAATCTACATAAACTCCATAAATTGAAAGGGAAGTAACAAATAAAAATTAAACCTAAAAGGAAACAGGGTATGGTAAAATTTTACCAATTAAAGAATTAAATGTAAACAGACCGAACTCTCCTATTAAAAAATGGCAGCCTACCAACTGCCTACAACAAAATCTAACAACTTTTTGCAAACAAGAGACGCACAAACCAAAATCATCATCAAGAGAGTAGCAATGTTTGAGGATATTCCCATGTGAACAGAAGAAAAGCTCGGATTACTATTTTAGTAGCAGATAAAGCAGATGTCATGTCATAGCAAAAGGCAGTACAATAAATAAATAAGGTCATTACATAATGCTCAAATGTATATTACATTATGAAAATTGAAAATACTGAATGTATGTGTTACAAAAACCATTGTAACAAACCCATAAAAGAAAATAGACAAAAAGGCAAGAAGAAGTAAATATGATTTTAATTGGAACCCTCAATATTCCATTTCTGGAAAAAATAGACACAAACTAAATTGAAAAATACTGTATAATTGAATAATTCTTTCAAAAAACTGTTTTCAGGGCTTACTAGATTTTAAGTCTGTGCTACATGCTAGAAGACAAGTCCATGAACAATATGAATTTAACAGACTTATGGAGAGATTAGAGATGGGACAAGTTAATATTGTCTCTTTTCAAGTGTACATAGATCATACCATCTGCAAACAAACGAACATATAAAAAAACTAAGATCCTATATTGGACAATAAAGACTCATTCTTTCATTAGTTTAGCACACATTAACCAGTTTATTCAATGTATTAGGTTGTTTTGGTATTCACAGAAAGGCAGAAACACCATCCACCAAATGGTCAAACCACAGGTCAATAAAATTAAAAAAAAAATAAAAGCAAGTAGGGCTCGGTGGCTCACGCCTGTAATCCCAACACTTTGGGAGGCCGAGGTAGGCAGATCACCTGAGGTCAGCAGTTTGAGACCAGCCTGGCCAATATGGTGAAACCCTGTCTCTACTAAAAATACAAAAATTAGCCAGACATGGTGATGCACGCCTGTAATCCCAGCCTCTGAGTGGGAGGCTGTGGCAAAAGAATTGCTTGAACCTGGGAGGCGGAGGTTGCAGTGAGCCGAGATCGTGCCACTGCACTCCAGCCTGGGTGATAGAGTGAGGCTCAAAAAAAAAAAAAAAAAAGTACAATTCAATAGCAGTAGGTACACTTACATTGTTGTGCAACCATCACCACTATCCTTCTCTAGAATGCTTCCCTCATCTCACACTGAAGCTCTATACCCTTTAAACTATAACTCCTGATTCTCTCCTCTCTCCAGGAAATTCACTTTTGAGCTTAAACTGTTTTGAGTTAGATACTTGTACCTTGCAATCAAGAGTCAACTAACATAACTTTGTAAGAGAATATATATAATATATAGAATATATATATATATTCTATATATAATATATAGAATATATATATATTCTATATATAATATATAGAATATATATATTCTGTCTCTATATATTCTCTATATATATATTCTCTATATTCTCTATATATTCTATATCTATATATTCTATATCTATATTCTATATCTATATATTCTTTATATTCTATATATATTCTTATCTATATTCTATATATATTCTTATCTATATTCTATATATATTCTTATCTATATTCTATATATATTCTTATATATATTCTATATATTCTTATATATTTTCTATATATATTCTTATATATTTTCTATATATATTCTATGTATATTCTATATATATTCTATATATGGATTACATATAATCTCTATATATTCTATATATATGGATTATATATAATCTCTATATATTCTATATATATGGATTATATATAATCTCTATATATTCTATATATATTCTATATATATATTCTATATATATATTCTATATATATTCTATATATATATTCTATATATATTCTATATATATTCTATGTATAATCTATATGGATTATATATATTCTATGTATATTCTATATATATTCTATATATACAGGTGAGGTGGCTCACACCTGTAATCCCAGCACTTTGAGAGGCCAAGGTGGATGGATCATCTGAGGTCAGGAGTTCGAGACCAGCCTGACCAATATGGTGAAACCCCATTTCTACTAAAAGTACAAAATTAGCCAGGCATGGTGGTGCATGCCTTTAATCCCAGCTACTTGGGAGGCTGAGGCAGGAGAATCACTTGAACCCAGGAGATGGAAGTTGCAGTGAGCCAAGATCATGCCATGGCACTCTAGCTTGGGCAACAAAAGTGAAACTCCATCTCAAAACAAACAAGCAAACAAATATTCTCTGCTGGGTACAGTGGCTCACGCCTATAATCCCAACACTTTGGGAGGCCAAGGGAGAAGGATAGTTTGAGTTCAGGAGTTCAAGACCAGCCTGAGCAGCATAGTGAGACACTGTCTCAACAAAAAAAAATTTTTAAATTTAGGCAGACATGGTGGTGCATGCCTGTAGTCCCAGCTACTCAGGAGGTTGAGGCAGGAGAATCTCTTGAACCTGGGAGGTGGAGGCTGCAGTGAGCTGAGATTGCAACACTGCACTCCAGCCGGGGCGACAGAGTGAGACTCTGTCTCAAAAAAACAAAAAACAAAAAAACAAAAAACCACAAAACACACACACATACACAAACAATAACTGGCCAGGCACGGTGACTCACGCCCTTAATCCCAGCACTTTGGGAGGCCGAGGCAGGTGGATCACCAGGTCAGGAGTTCAAAAGCAGCCTGGCCAAGATGGTGAAACCCCATCTCTACCAAAAATACCACGCCCGGCCCTTGGTGTAACTTTTATTGAAAAAAAAATCCAAGTGTAAGTGGTTACGCGAAGTGTAAACCCATATTGTTCAAGGGTCAACTGTATCGGGAAATGGAGAGACCTACTTTGTTTTTTGTTTGACATCTGCTGCAATGGGAGAGAAACCTACTTTGGATGCAATGTAAAGAACGATGATTTCAGAAGAGGCCCCAGGAAGGTGTATTTGTGGGCAGTGGGCAGAGCCTGTTGGTGAGCTAACCCTTCATTTACAGGTGACAAACAGGCCATGCGCACTACGCGGCCTGGTCAGGAGGACACGGCACTGGGAGATCTTCCCCAGGGTGTGACCTTTGGCAGGTTAGGTCCCCACCCTGGCATCCCTTCCAGCCCGGGCATTCTGCGACTCCAGGTGCGTGAGGAACGTTTCTGGCACCAGGCACGCCCTGGGACTTTCCCCAGCCCTGGCCCCCGCCCCCACCGAGTAGGTGCGGGTGCCGCGGCGGGGAGCAGACAGAGGTCCCGGGGCCGCCCCACCCCGACTCCCGAACCTCGGTGCCCTCTGGCGGCCACGCTGGGCAGGACCGGGCTCATCGGGGGCGTGGCTCGCCCCGGAGGCTCCGCCCCTTCTCCCCAGGGTGGGGCCGGGGTGGTGGTTACCGGCAGAGGCTGCAGAGGTTTCGCAAGGACGTGACCTTTATGGGAAAAAAAAACCACTGTGTCACGCACGGTTGCCAGCCGGGGCCAGCGAGCTGAACTAGTTTTCTGAAGCCCGCGGAGGGAGGAGCCAGAGCGGAAACGTCCAGCCCAGTGACTCGCTGCCTACTGCCCCTCCAGGACCGCGGCGGCGCGCCCTGAGCCCCGGGGCACCAGATGGGGCGCGAGCCCGCACCTAACTGTGTCCGGGCCTGCCGTTGGGGCGACGTCACTGTCACTACACTGGGAGTCAGCGGAATGAGGGCACTCTCGCCTCTCTTCCTCCTTCCTCCAATTCCAGAAATGAGGCCCGGGAGCCCAGGCTGATCCAATCCAACCCCACTGAGCTGGGGTTTGGATTGGAAGGGCGGATGTGAAACGACAGAAGTAGGATAGTTTGCGAATAAAGAACAAGGGAGTTGGGTGCTTTAGCCACAGAATAGGTTCAGCCAAGGTCATTTAGAGGTGCCCAGCAAGAGGGGAGTGGCTACCCCTCCCCCATCCTGATCTGAGGCATGCAGTGGGGACGTCGGGGGTGGCCACAGGGGCTGTGTGTGTCCTTATTAGGACCCGAGAAAAACCCAGGGACTGGGAGGCAGGAGGACAGGGTACCCACTGGGTCCCAGCTCCACCTTCATATGTCACTCTGGGGAGCAGGTCACTTAATCTCTCTGGGCCTCAGTTTCCTCACTTGAAGAATGAGGGGTCTGGACAAGATTATGGAATATGTTTCGAGTACAATCAGGCCTAGGAACTGAAAGTCCCTGTCCTGACACCATCCAGTAAGTCAGAGAAAAAGGAAGGGTAAGAGGCCAAGGCTGTCACTCACCCGGTTCTCTTTCTATAGCTCCCTTACAAATTCTCACATGGGCTTCAATTCCCTTCAGCAAACAATTGTGCACTTCCGCCTGTGTGCCAAACCCAGGCTTGGGCCCAGCTTTGTGGGGCCTGGGGCAAGAGTACGCACGGAGGACCACACACTGTATGTCTGAATATTTAAAAGCTACACATCAAGCTAAAAAACTGTTAAATAAAACATGTTCTATCCTCCTATCTGAGCAGATATACCTTCATAACAATCTGGAAGGTTAAATTCAAGTTTGCAATTCTTGCATTCCTCAGCATTCTGGGCTAGGGTGTGATGGCACAGAGAGTGGCCCCAGCTCAAGGCCATGGCGTAGCTTCCCTCTATTCCCAGGCCGGATCCATCCCATGCTATAGCGGATCTTTCCCACGCACGTCCTCATATCCAAGCTCTGTCCCCTTCTCTGCAACTGTCTACCCCCTAAAGGATCACCTCTCGAGTATGCACATTGGTGAGACCATCCACCTTCAGGAGACTGGACCTAGAGGAGTGGGTTCAGAACCTGTTGGGCAGTGAATTCCCAGGTCGCAGGTATCCAGAACGTGGTTCTGGGTGGGTAAGTGTCTTGGCCTCAATGACTCCTTGCCCTGTGTCTCCCTGCCTCTTGCCCTGTCTGAAGGCGACACCAGCCAGACATTGTGGGAGTGCAGACTTGGATCAAGCACAGCCCCTCCAAGGAGGCCAGCCATCCAAACACTATGAACTTTGGGCGCAGTGGCTCAGGCCTGGCGTGGTGGCTCACGCCTGTAATCCCAGCACTTTGGGAGGCCGAGGTGGGCGGATCACTTGAGGTCAGGAGTTTGAGGCCAGCCTGGACAATATGGTGAAACCCCATCTCTACTAAAAATACAAAAATTAACCGGACATGGTGGCGCGTGCCTGTAATCCCAGCTACTCCGGAGGCTGAGGCAGGAGAATTGTTTGAACCCGGGAGGCGGAGGTTGCTGTGAGCCGATAGCGCACCACTGCACTCCAGCCTGGGCAGCAGAGCGAGACTCAGTTTCAAAACAAACAAACAAACAAACAAACAAACAAACAAACAAACACTGTGAACTTCGAGGCAGATGCCTGCAAGTGAGAAAGGAGGGCACTGGAAGGGGATTCATTTCTTAGAGGTGGTAGCGCTTATGCTAAGCATAGCAGGCAGATTGAGATTTCAGCAGGTGGAGAAGTGGGGAAAGAAAGGAGCAAAGCAAAGGCCCAGGAAGGGCTACCCAGGGTTGGGGTGTCTGTGAATTGTCACTACAGGGCAGAAAGGCTGGAGGGCAAATCTGTGTCCTCCAGATAGCAGGCAAAGCCTCCAGTAGTCGCCGGCTGTCTTAATTAATCGGTAATTCTTACCAATTCCAAGGTGGGGAAGCCTGGCCAAAACGGCGAAACCCCATCTCTGCTAAAAACACAAAAATTAGCCAGGCATGGTGGCCGGCGCCTGTAGTTCCAGCTACTTGGGAGGCTGAGGCAGGAGAATGGCTTGAATCCAGGAGGTGGAGGCTGGCAAAATCATGCATCTTGGGCCATCACTATTTCTCAAGGTCACTTACACACCCCTTCTCCCTCCTTCAGCTCCTTTTATGGGCTACCAACTGCATGATGAGTGAGAACTAGCATGGGTACAAAACCACCCCAGGAGGGCCAGGTACAGTGGCTCACGCCTGTAATACCAACATTTTGGGAGGCTGAGGCCAGTGGATCATTTGATGTCGGGAGTTCGAGACCAAACTGGCTAGCATGGTGAAACCTCATCTTTACTAAAAATACAAAAAAAATTAGCCGGGTGTGGTGGTACTCACCTGTAGTCCCAGCTACTCAGGAGGCTGAGGCAGGAGAATTGCTTGAACCCGGGAGGCAGAGGTTGCAGTGGGCTGAGATCACGCCACTGCACTCCAGCCTGAGGGACAGAGTAAGGCTCCATCTCAAAAACAAAAACGAAAAAATCCCTCCCCCAGCAGCCCACGAGTGGCTGGAGTAGGCTCTGAAAGGGCCGGCCTTTCTCCTGTCTTGAGCTTTAAGTTTCTCCCAGGGGAAGTCAGTCAATCGCATTTCCTGTAACAACCCTGGGCCACCTGCTTTTCTCCCTGCAGCAAGGTTTTGATTAAGGGCTGCTCATCCTCCCAAGTCGGTGGTACCAGCTCACCTGGTGGATGGGCTCCTTCCTTTTTATGCCAAGAGTCTCTGATGCCTCCTTATTTTCCACTTGGGAGAAATGTTTCAGTTCACAGGTGGAGAAGAAGGTCTTCCTTAGTGGGATCCCAGTGCCAGAGCACCAGGCCCACTGGCCTGGAGAAGATTGAAGGGAAGGTTGGACCAATAAGCTGCGAACAAAGGTTGTGGGTGCAGACAGGTTGGCTCTTACAGTCGAGATTCAGCCTCTGGACTGCTGCTGGGGGAGTGGGGGCTTCGTTGGGCTAAGGCTTGGGGTGATGGCTACAGGGACACCTCCGACACTGGTGGTCACAATGAGAGGGCTGCCCACTGCTCTCATCTAATAAGCCAGGCGAGTCCAACACTGGGGATAGAGATGTCATTTGAGAGGCCTCCCCCACCCACATCCCTACCCCATCCCTAGTATTCTCTTCTTTCCAGCAGGTTAGACAAGTTCAGCCACATTTTGGCTTTCAAGGCTCAAATGGAAGAAAACAAAAATTCCCCAGGGCACGGTGGCCTGAGATGTCTAGATTCACATCCAGAACCCTTTCTGTGGGAAGGGAACTCCTGGCTTCCTTTCATCAGCACTGGCTCACCAAGTCCTGCGTGGCCAGAACTTGGCAGGTTGCCATGGATACCTGGAAGTGCTGTCCCAGCAGACAGCAGAGGCTTGCTGGGGCCAGGAGAATGTGGGGGCACCTGAACTGCTGGCCAGAAAGGCTAGATAAACAGGCCCCCCTGCCACCCTCATTTTGATCAGACCCCCTCCACCAGTCTCCTAAAACAGGGCTTTCCAAACTTTACCGGGCACAGGAATCCCCCTCTCCGCCGACCTAGTTAAAATGCAGATGCTGGCCGGGCGCGGTGGTTCACGCCTGTAATCCCAGCACTCTGGGAGGCCGAGGCGGGTGGATCACAAGGTCAAGAGATCAAGACCATCCTGGTCAACATGGTGAAACCCCGTCTCTACTAAAAATACAAAAAATTAGCTGGGCATGGTGTAGTCCCAGCTACTCAGGAAGCTGAGGCAGGGGAATCGCTTGAACCCAGAAGGTGGAGGTTGCAGTGAGCCAAGATTGTGCCACTGCACTCCAGCCTGGGCGACAGAGTGAGACTCCATCTCAAAAAAAAAAAAAAAAAAAAAAAAGCAGATGCTGATTCAACAGGTCTGGGGCGGGGGGTAGAAGGCGCTGAGATTCTGTTTTCCTAACGAGCTCTCAGGTACTGCTGCTGGTCCACCGGCCACACTGAGTAGCCAGGGCCTAAACTGAGTCCTGGTGGGTTTCAGAAACCTCAGCCAGATTCTGAAGGTCCCATTCCTGGACCCACTGCCTTAGGCCACCACTACCAGCCCTAACCCCAGTGGGAACCTCTTGCCTTCTTGTAGTGGAAGGACTCTCTCCAGTCCGTTTTTGTATCATTCACCATCAACCACTTCAAAGAAAGGAAATCAGCAGCCGGCATTTTGGGGAAACATTTTAAGCTGTCCTGTCCCTTCTCCAGCTCTCCAAGTTATATAATGCGTCCTTGTTGAAAATGCTGATAATGCTGTTTGGGTGGCAGGAAGCCAATTTCAGGCTACATATTGCTTGGGGCTGGGGCTGGGGTCAGGGAACGGGGCAGGGTCTGGGGAAGGTTTAAGGAGAGAAAGGGGCCAGGCAGATGGAGAGAGGACAGGAGGGCCAGGGTGGTCAAGGCCCGGGGATAAAGCCGATTGGTATGTCAGCAAAATCTGTCACTGGCTTTAGTGATTCGAAAGGCAGACACATTCTTTCATCTCTGTTAATCCTCATGTGATACAGAGGATTTTCCTGCCATTAAATCTGGAGAAAGAAAAATAAGCACTCAAACCTGCACAAGTAACTATTCCTCTTCACCCCTTCCTCCCGTCCCCCCACCCCCACCTTTACTTCTCTCTCAAACCATTTTCAGCATCTGTGGCTGCCTGACTTGGGAGATGGATGGGCTGAGGGAGTGGAGGGGGACCTCAGAGGAGCAGGACCAGGGAGACTCCCAGGACGGTAAGCAACATTTGAGGACCATTCACTAACGCTTCTCTGCAGGGGTTTCCTCTCCATCCATTTCCTTGCTGGGTTGTCAGTGATGCCATCTGAGTTGCTGTCAGGGCTGTAGCCTGACAAAGGGTTTCCTAATAGATCCAAACTGTCCATTTGTGGGGAGCTTCTGATTTTCTGTTGTTACTGGTTTCCCTTAGCCCAACACCAGGGTCATTAAGAAGGAAGGAATGTGAGGAAGAAAGAAAGGCAGGGCATTCAGGAAGAAGTGTGGAGGCATGGGAGGGTTCTCATGGGGCCCTCCTGGGCACTGGGTGACCTGTCCTTTCTCCCCTCAGGTAGGGGTCCCACGGCTGGGTGGTCCTAAGCCACTGGGTGGATGAAAGGCCGAGGGATGTTGGTCCTGCTTCTGCATGGTGAGTTCTCCTGCCGGTGGGTGCAAGGGTTGGGAAGAGGGGTGGAAGCCACAGAGCTTCTGCCCAAAGAGTCTTTAAAGTGGCTTCTGGGACAGCGGTATCTGGACACTTCTGATCAGGTTTCACTGACCCTGTGATCGTGGGGGAGGGGATAGAGAAAGCAAGAAAACAGCAGGTGGTGGGGATTTTTGTTTCCTAAAAACAAAACTCCTGAGCCGAATATATGAAATAGTCCTCTTGGTGATTTTCTTATTCTAATTTCAGATATGAATTCATTGGTGTGATAACCAAAAGCTACAGTGCTACAGTGTTTTTTTGTTTTGTTTTGTTTTTGGAGATGGAGTCTCGCTCTGTCACCCAGGCTGGAGTACAGTGGTGCGACCTCGGCACACTGCAAGCTCCGCCTCCCGGGTTCACGCCATTCTCCTGCCTCAGCCTCCCGAGTAGCTGGGAGTACAGGTGCCCGCCACCACGCCTGGCTAATTTTTTGTATTTTTAGTAGAGACGGGGTTTCACCATGTTAGCCAGGATGGTCTCGATCTCCTGACCTCGTGATCTGCCCGCCTCGGCCTCCCAAAGTGCTGGGATTACAGGCGTGAGCCACCGTACGGTGGTTTTTTCTTTTCTTTTCTTTTCTTTTTTTTTTTTTTTGAGACAGAGTCTCACTCTCGCCCAAGCTGGGGAGCAGTGGCATGGATCTTGGCTCACTGCAACCTCCGCCTCCCGGGTTCAAGTGATTCTCGTGCCTCAGCCTCCTGAGTAGCTGGAACTATAGGCACCTGCCACCACGCCCAGCTAATTTTTTGTATTGTTAGTAAAGACGGGGTTTCGCCATATTGCCCAGGCTGGTCTTGAACTCCTGACCTCAGGTGATCTGCCTGTCTCGGCCTCCCAAAGTGCTGGGATTGCAGGCATGAACCACCGTGCCCAGCCTACAGTGGTTTCTAATCACATTATTTTAAGCTCATTTAGTTAAAAACAAAAGTCCCTTTAAAAAACCACCTTCCTAAAGGAAAAAGAAAAAATGAAAAATGCCTTGGAATTATAGGATTATGGATATTGAAGTTATTTTTCAAAGTTTCTCGCTCTGTTATGTGCACTTTAATATACCAAGAAGACTCGTTATGAAATATTTTCCCTGGCTCTAGCTGTTCCAATCTGACTGAGATAGCCCAAGGAAAAATCCTTTAAATTCTTCAGTAAATGATTCTACACAAAGAATCTGTTTTTTTCTGACCCTCAAGTGAATTTAATTATTTGAGATATGATGATCTATGTAATAGACCTCTGTATGCGATGCTGATAGAGAACATTTTACCAGATCATCTAAAACAGGAGTAATGGAGTTTTCTTCCTCTTTATTCCACCTTTTCAAAAACCGGAACTTGCTCTGTTCAGTCAACCAACAGGCATACACTGTGTGCCTTCAAAACGCTCGAGAGATATTTATGAGGGATATAATAGCATGCTCTTTGTCTTTGAGAAAATTCTTTTATAAGAGATTCAATAAATAAGCAATAAAAAAAATTGGAGCAAGGCACGTGGAACACTGTGATAAATAGGACATGACTTCCTACCTCGAAGAGGTTCTAAAGAACAGAGGTTGATATTTATATAATTACTAACAGTCAACTTCTTGCCATTCCTCCTACCTTGAAAAAAAAATGAAACTTGATTGACTCATTGGGGCACAATGTTTGCTTCCAACAGCCAGTATCATTTTAAACGTGCACCAAAAGCTCTACCGTTCCTCACAGAAAGCAGACCGTATTCATAGCCTGCACACTTCAAAACAGGAACTGTCCCTGCTACAGAAACCCGAAATATATCCAGACTTCTTGTGACAAGTTGGAGAGCTCAGCGGTGACATCATTTGCTAACAATAGATGCACTTAAAATTAATGACCATCTCCACATCCCCTGGCACTTTAATTTAAAACACACTCTAGCAAGCACAGAGAATATTTCTCTGACTGCGAGTCACAAGCAATACGGACAATATGTTCCCGAGAAGCAGGCAGGGATAGTGCTCTACCTCCTTGGCCAGAAAGAAAATGACTAAGTGAGCCTCACAAAACAACACCTTGGAGAAATCAGAAGTGGCTCGCAGCAGGGAAATTTGGGGCAAGAGAAATTCTCCTCTGGACACACAGGGCTCCTGGAAGTGCCCCACTTCTCAGATGCATAAGTGCAAATACCTCCACCTCCTCCCCCCATGTTAACCCCTGGGGTCTTCCCGCTGTTCACAGCATAATATCTGAAACCCTTAACTTCTTTTACAGGGTCTTTCACATGTGACTTCCTCTACACTGAGTCTTCAAAGAGAGTCAGGGGTTGTGTGTTTGTGTTTTTTGTGTGTGTTTCTTTTGAGACAGGGTCTCGCTCTGTTGCCCAGGCTGGAGTGCAGTGGCATGATCTCAGCTCACTGCAACCTCTGCCTCCCGGGTTCAAGTGATTCTCGTGCCTCAGTCTCCAGAGTAGCTGGGATGCGCCACCACCACACCTGGTTAATTTTTGTATGTTTAGTAGTGATGGGGTTTCACCATGTTGGCCAGGCTGGTCTTGAACTCATGGCCTCAAGTGATCTGCCTGCCTTGGCCTTCCAAAGTGCTGGGATTACAGGTGTGAGCCACCGTGCCCCACCAAGATTTGCATTTTAAAGGAAGTCTATAGGAAAATAAAATCACAATGAGGTGCCACTCACACAGCTAGAATGGCTACATTTTTTTTTTTTTTTGAGACAGGGTCTCACTCTGTCGACCAGGCTGAAGTGCAGTGGTACTATCTCGACTCACTGCAACCTCTGCCTCCTGGGTTCAAGTGATTCTCATGCCTCAGCCTCCTGAGTAGCTGGGATTGCTGGCGTGAGCCACCACACCTGGCTAATATATATATATATATATTTTTTTTTTTTTTTTTTTTTTTTTTTGGGTATTTTTAGTAGAGAGGGGGTTTCGCCATGTTGGCCAGGCTGGTCTTGAACTCCTGACCTCAAGTGATCTGCCCACCTCGGCCTCCCAAAGTGCTGGGATTACAGGTGTGAGCCACCACGCCCAGCCATAATTTTTGCATTTTTAGTAGAGATGGGGTTTTGCCATGTTGGCCAGGCTGGTCTCAAACTCCTGGCCTCAAGTGACAGGCTCAAGTGAGGCTGCCTCAGCCTCCCAAAGTGCTGGGATTAGAGGTGTGAGCCACAATGCCCAGCCAAGAATGGCTACAATTTAAAACACTGACAACACCAAATGTTGGTGAGAATGTGGAGTAACTGGAACTCCCATACATTGCTGCTGGGAATGTATAATGGTGCAACCATTTTGAAGAACTGTTTCTTAGAAAGTGAAATACATACTTATCATATAACTCAGCCATCCCACTCCTAGATAAATGAGAAACAAAAACACATGTCACAGCTTTAGTCACGATAGGCTGAAACTAGAAGCAATGCAAATGTCCATCAACAGGTGAGTGAATAAACAAATTGAGGCACCTCTATCCAGGGAAATACTGCTCAGCAATAGAAAGGAATGATCAACTGATATTCATGACCACATGGATGAACTTTACAGAAGGTTGTGCAAAATAAGCATTTGATTTCATTTCCTTTTGAGACAGAGTCTTGCTC
Organism: Homo sapiens; assembly: GCF_000001405.40. Classification (NCBI taxonomy): domain Eukaryota; kingdom Metazoa; phylum Chordata; class Mammalia; order Primates; family Hominidae; genus Homo; species Homo sapiens. The sequence goes on from NC_000023.11 coordinate 41,451,549, forward strand.
TGTCGTCCAGGCTGGAGTGCAGTGGTGTGATCTTGGCTCACTGCAACCTCCGCCTCCCGGGTTCACGTGATTCTCGTGCCTCAGCCTCCTGAGTAGCTGGGATTACAGGTGCCCCCCACCATGCTCTGCTAATTTTTGTATTTTTAATAGGCATGGGGTTTTGTCATGTTGGCCAGGCTGTTTTCGAACTCCTGACCTCAGGTGATCCACCTGTCTCGGCCTCCCAAAGTGCTGGGATTGCATGCGTGAGCCACTGCACCCGACCTTGATTTCATTTCTGTAAAGTTCTAAAACAGGCAAAACTAATCTATAGTTCAGAAAGCAGGTCAGTGGTTGCCTGGAGCCAGGGGTGGGAAAAGGACTGAAGTCAAAGGAGCCTGAGGAAACTTTCTGGGTGGTAGAAATGTTTTAAGTCTTTTTGCTGTTGCTGTTGTTGTTGTTCTGAGACAGGGTCTTGCTCTGTTGCCCAGGCTGGAGTGTAGTGGTGCGATTATGGCTCACTGCAGCCTCAACCTCCTGGGCTCAAAGGATCCTCCCACCTCAGCTTCCCGAGTAGCTGGGACTAAATGTGCACCACCATGCCTGGCTAATTTTTGTTTTTTGTTGTAGAGATGGGGTTTCGCCATGTTGCCCTGGCTGGTCTTGAACTCGTGACCTCAAGCAATTCTCCTGCCTCGGCCTCCCAAAGTGCTGGGTGCCCAGCCAGAAATGTTCTAAGTCTTGATTGGGGTGGTGGTTACACAGGCATGTGTACATTTATTATACTTACTGAACTGCACGCTTAAAATGGGTACATTTTATTGTAAGTAAAGTATACCTTAATCAACTTGATTTAAAAGAAAAAATGAAGGCTGGAGGGAGAGAGTGGCTGTACCAGAAGCAGAAAAAATGCTTCACTGTCCACAGTCAGGCAGTGTGGTATATCAGGCAACATGTATGTGAGATTCATCAACGTTATTACGTGGATTAGAGTAGTTTTTCCTTTTGAATGCCTAGTAATATTCATTTGTACAGATTGACTGGTTAGTTTATCCATTCCCCTATTGTCGGGTGTTTGTTTCCAGTTTGAGGTGATTGTTTATATTTAGGCCCGGAGGCCTTTCTGGGGCCTTGCGTTCTTCTCCTTAGATGGGACAGATGTTCATCTTCAAGTTTCACCAGGCCTGCGAGGCTACCAGCACACCACCCCTCTGGAAACATTGACTTCTCCATCCCTTATGACTCACGTTAGCCAGCAAAACTGCAGCTCGAATCCTTTCTTTCCTGTCACAAAAGGTACCTGCATGGGGTGAAAACCAAGTTCTGGGGTCACAGGAGGCCAGAGGCCACAGCATGGTCTCCGCCTCCGCACTTCTGTTTCCTCCAGCCAGTCTTGTTTTGAAGATCCAGCATTGGGTTTTGGTCCGAGGAGCCACTTGGTAGCATTTGCCAAGAATGGAAGGAAAGTGATTTCTAGAGCCAAGGTAGCTAAATAGATTTTGCTGAAACCAGAAATTTGACCATGTTTTCCCTTGCTATTTTTGGTTTCATAAGGCTCAAGTTCTTTTAAAACAATGAGAATAAAGAAACATTCCAATCTCAGTCTGTGGTTGGAAACACCAAGTAGCTGTTCTCCTAGCAAACCTCAAGGTGGGAAAGCACATATTTGAAAAGCCGAGGGCTTAGGAAAGAGAAACTGCTCAGATGGTCTGCATTAGACCTCATTATGCGGGTGCCTGAGGCTGGCCATCCCTGCCTCCTTGCAGCTCGGGGGCTGGCCAGGACACCCGATAGGGACACACAAGCAGGGAGCCATTTCTGGTGTTTATTTTCCCAGATTCAGGGACGCCTTGTAAGATTTTTAAAAAACTGAAGGAAAATTCACACAAGATAAAATTAACCATTAACTATCTTATTTTCTTCTTCTTCTTCTTTTTTTTTTTTTTGAGATAGAGTCTTGCTCTGTCGCCCAGGCTGGAGTGCAGTGGTACGATCTCTGCTCACTGCAACCTCCGCCTCCCAGGTTCAAGCTATTCTCATGCCTCAGCCTCCCGAGTAGCTGGGACTACAGGCATGCACCACCATGCCCAGCTAATTTTTATATTTTTAGTAGAGATGGGGTTTCACCATGTTGCCAAGGCTGGTCTTGAACCCCTGGACTCAAGCAATCTGCCTGCCTTGGCCTCTCAAAGTGTTGGGATTATAGGCGTGAGCCACCGTGCCAGGCCTTCATTCCTTTTTAAGGCCAAATAATATTCCGTTGTATAGTTATGCCACATTTGCTTATCCATCCATTGGCTGATGGACATTTGTTGTTTCTACCTTGGGCTGTTGTGAATAATGCTGCTGTGAACGTGCATGTGCAACTGTCTCTTTGAGACCTTGCTGTCAATTCCTTTAGGCATATGCCTAGGCATGGAATTGCTAGGTCATATACTAACTCTACATTACACTTTGTAACTCTTTATATCACACAGATGAATCCCATTTTTATAAAATTGGTGCATCTAGACCTTTGATTTTTGACTTTGGCTGCATATGGTAATCACCTGTGGAGCTTCAAACATACCAATGCCTGATCCCACCCCTGAAGATTCTGATGTAATTGATCTGATGTATGGCCTGGGCACTGTGAGTTTTCAAAGCTCCACAAGGTGATTCTAATGTTCAGCCCTGGAAATGAACCATCCTAGACTCCAGACTCCTCTTTACAGCCTATCCCTAGTAATAGCTTCAGTATTCTGACAACTGGTGTCTTGCTTTCCATTCTAGGGCAGATTTCCACATGGTCCCTTTTTTTTTTGAGATGGAGTCTCACTCTGTCGCTCAGGCTGGAGTGCAGTGGCGTGATCTCAGCTCACTGCAACCTCCGCCTCCCGGGTTCAAGCAATTCCTCTGCCTCAGCCTCCGGAGTAGTTGGGACTATAGGTGCATGCCACCATGCCTGAATAATTTTTTGTATTTTCAGTAGAGACGGGGTTCACCATATTGGCCAGGCTGGTCTTGAACTCCTTACCTTGTGATCCACCTGCCTCAGCCTCCCAAAGTGCTGGGATTACAGGTGTGAGCCACTGCGCCCGGCTGATCCTTTTTTTTTAAGATGGGCTCTCACTCTGTCACCTAGGCTGGAGCGCAGTGGCACAGGCACAGCTCACTGTAGCCTCGACCTCCTTGGCTCAAGCAATCCTCCCACCTCAGCCTTCCAAGTAGCTAGGAGTACAGGTGTGCATCACCACGCCTGGCTAATTTTTGTATTTTTTGTAGAGATGAGGTCTTGCCATGTTGCCCAGGCTCATCCTGAACTTCCGGGCTCAAGTGATCTTCCCACCTTGGCTTCCCAAAGTGCTGGGATCACAGGCATGAGCCACTGCACCTGGCCTCCACATGGTCTTTGAAGGATTTGTGCCTTAGTGAGGTTTAATCCTGTGACAAGAATGGTTCATAAGAGCCCACAACTAGCTTGGGCCAGTGTTTTCACAGCTGTGTCAAGCAACGAGACACATCTGTCCCCCATAACTGTCTACAAATTACAGATGAGGAAACTGAGAGACAGAGGTTGTCTGAGGTTTTTGTTTTTTTGTTTTTTTTTTTCTTTTGAGACAGAGTCTCACTCTGTTGCCCAGGCTGGAGTAAAGTGTTGCAATCTCGGCTCACTACAACCTCCGCCTCCTGGATTCAAGTGATTCTCCTGCCTCAGCCTCCTGAGTAGCTGGGATTACAGGCGCCCACCACCATGCCCGGCTAATTTTTTGTGTTTTTAGTGGAGACAGGGTTTCACCGTGTTGGTCAGGCTGGTCTCGAACTCCTGACCTCAGGTGATCTGCCTGCCTCGGCCTCCCAAAGTGCTGGGATTACAGGCATGAGTCACTGCGCCCAGCCTGAGGATTTTTTTTTTTTTTAAAGCAGTATGACAGAACAGGGATGAGAGTGTCCTCAGAGTTTATGAGAGAACTAGGTCAAGAGGCTGTGCCCTCGGGGTGAGTATTTTAAGACCGAATGTTCTGGAAAGCCTTGCATGTGAATCCCGGGGTGATGACAGAGGCTGGCTGAGTAGGGACCTGTCATGAGCCCAGGGCAGTCCTGCTACATTTATTTCTCATCTTCCCCTCCCTACCTCAGACTGGGAAAAAAAAGCTCTGAAGCCTTTTTCCGATTTCCAGATGGATCCTTCCCCAAAATACCGGTGCAAGAAGAGAAATTGCTAAGCAACTGCCAAATGAGTTTCACCTTCTCTTTTCACAAACTGTAATCTTTATTTTTAATGTGGTAAATGTTTTTCTGGCCAAGGTATTCCCATGGAACCCAGCTCTGAATAGCCAAGGAGATTCGTTTTTGGAATGATCACTGCTGATTCTGGGAGAGGCTATTTTTTCATTTGGATTCAGCAAAACCAGGGATGTCCTAAACAGTGTTTGATTTGATGTTATGTATTTCCTGTCAGCGAATGGGGAGCAGTTTCCTTTTGGTTGAGGGGTGCTGCATGGTCCTGAATTTGAGTTGTTTTCTCTGCCAAGGTGAAGAGGTCACTGGCTGGGTGCGGTGGCTCATGCCTGTAATCCCAGCACTTTGGGAGGCTGAGGAGAGCGGATCACTTGACTAGGCGGTTCAAGACCAGCCTGATCAACATGGTGGAACCCCGTTTCTACTAAAAATACAAAAATTAGTTGGGCGTGATGGTGCGTGCCAGTAGTCCCAGCTACTTGGGAGACTAGGCAGGAGAATCGCTTGAACCCGGGAGGCAGAGGTTGCAGTGAGCTGAGATCCTGCCATTGCATCACGTGGTTCTTCAGGAAAAGGAGGAGAGGCCAGGAAGAGGGAGATGGTTCTAGAGAGATTAAGGGAGCCTGTCTGATTCAGGATATTGCTCAGGACTCTTGTTGCAAAGCATCTTCTCTAGGTCATTGAAGGCAAGAAGGAGTTTACTTAGGGACATTAGGTATTCTCAGGCTTCCTACTAGAGGCCACACTGCCCAGAGCAATGCCTAAACCAGGAAGTGCACAGCTCCAGCAAAAATCCTGTGGCCACTGCCATTGGTGGCCATACCTGGCAGCTCCAGGGAATCATGTTGGGTACTGGGTGCCAGAAATGCAAGCCTAAAAGCCTCTGCCATCATTCTGGCCAGACATTGGTTTCTGCCTGGTGCCTACTTCTGAATCCAAGTCTTACTGGGTGTTTGATTGACAAAGCTATGTCACATGCCTGAGCCCTAACTGTAAAGGGAGTTGAGAAAGAGAGTTTCCGGCTTCCATCTTGAGGAGGCAGGACGTATGATGTTGGAAATTCTCTAAATGTAGAAAGAGTGCTTAAAAGGTACTCAGGAGCCAGAACACATGCTATGGTCTGAATGTTTCTGACCCCCATTCCCCACCCAATTCATATATTGAACCCAACTCCCCAAGATGATGGTATTAGGAGGTGGCGCCTTTAGGAGGGGATTAGGTCCTGAGAGTGGAGCCCTCATGAATGGAATTAGTGCCCTCATAAAAGAGGCCTCAGAGGCCAGGTGTGGTGGTTCATGCCTGTAATCCCAGCACTTTGGGAGGCTGAGGCGGGTGGATCACCTGAGCTCAGGAGTTCACACCAGCATGGGCAACATGGTGAAACCCCATCTCTATTAAAAATACAAAATTACCTGGGCATGGTGGCGCATGCCTGTAATCCCAGCTACTCGGGAGGCTGAGGCAGGAGAATCGCTTGAACCCGGGAGGCGGAGGTTGCAGTGAGCCGAGATCGTGTCATTGCACTCCAGGCTTGGGCAACAAGAACGAAACTCCATCTCAAAAAAAAAAAAAAAAAAAGGCCTCAGAGAGCTCCCTTGCCCTTTCTACCACATGAGAACACAGTGAGAAGACAACTGTCTATGAACCAAGAAGTGGGCCCTTGGCAGACGCAGAATCTGCCTTGCTCTTGGATTTGCCAGCCTCCAGAACTGTGAGAAATCAATTTCTGTTGTTTGTAAGCCACCGAGTCTACGGTAGTGTGTTATGGCAGCCTGAACTGATTAAGACAATACACCAGCTTCTTCACCTTGCCCTTGGCTCCTGCTCCCCCATAACTTTGACCTGCACATGGCTTTGGTACAAACTCCAGCCCCAAAGCTAGACAGGTTGGTGCTCACATCACCTTACTGACTAGTTATTCACTGCCTATTCCATTTTCACGGAGAAAGAATGAATCTGATTAGCTCTGTTTAGGTCAAAGTGTTCAACTGCGGTGCAAACAGCTGTGGTTGGGAGGAGATGGCAGAGACACATGGGGCTCTGAGTAGGGTATTTTTTTCTTAGAGGCAGTGGCTGGCAACACCTGCTGTCAGACCGTGGAAAATGAAAGCTACAAGGGCTCTCAAAGACCAGGATGTGCAGTGTCTTAGTCTATTTCGTGCTGCTGTAACAATACTAGAGACTGGGCAATTTATAAAGAACAGATATTTATATCTTACATTTCTGGAGGTTGGGAAGTCCAGGATTGAGGGGCTCACATCAAGTAAAAGCCTTCCTGCGGCGCCATCCCATGGTGGAAGGTGGAAGTGTGAGAGAGCAAGATGGGGCTGAACCTGCTTTTATTACAAATCTACTTTTGCAATAATAACATTAATTCCTTCATGAGAGCAGAGGCCTCACGACCTAACCACCTCTTAAAGAGCCCACCTCTCAACACTACTGCAGTGGGGTTTAAGTCTCCAACACGTGAACTTAGGAGGACATATTCAAACCATAGTATGCAGTTTCTTCAGTTTACAGTTAAAGCAATGAAATCTCAGAAAGGCTAGGTGTGTGGGGTGGGAGATAGTACAGTATAGTGAAAAACAAACAAAGGTTGGCATCATTTAACCGTCCTGAACCTCAGTTTCCTCTTTCATGAGAAGAGAAGAATAATCCTTATCTTGCATGGCTGTCATATTAAATGGAATAATGTCTATGGCAAGCTTAGCCCTGAGCAAATTCTTTTTGAGACGGAGTCTCACTCTATTGCCCAGGCTGGAGTGCAGTTGTATGATCTTGGCTCACTGCAGCCTCTGCCACTCGGGTTCAAGTGATTCTCCTACCTCAGCCCCTCTCCCCCTGAGTAGCTGGGACTACAGGTGCGTGCCACCATGCCCAGCTAATTTTTGTATTTTTAGTAGAGATGGGGTTTCACCATGTTGGCCAGGCTGGTCTCAAACTCCTGACCTCAAGTGATCTACCCACCTCAGCCTCCCAAAGTGCTGGGATTACAGGCATGAGCCACCACACCCGGCCCTGAGCAAATTCTTATTAAAAGCTGGTTGTTGGCCAGGCGTAGTGGCTCACGCCTGTAATCCCAGCACTTTGGGAGACCAAAGTGGGCAGATCACTTAAGGTCAGGAGTTCGAGACCAGCCTGGCCAACATGGTGAAACCCCGCCTCTACCAAAAATACACAAAAAATTAGCCAGGTGTGGTGGCAGGTGCCTGTAGTCCCAGCTACTTGGGAGGCTGAGGCAGGAGAATCACTTGAACCCGGCAGGTGGAGGTTGCAGTGAGCTGAGATGGCGCCACTGCACTCCAGCCTGGGCAACAGAGCGAGACTCCGTCTCAAACAACAACAACAACAACAACAAAGTTCGTTGTTTTAAGAGCAAAAGAAACCCATACAATTTAATTAATTTGAGTAGCATTATACATGTTCATATTACCCAGATAACATATGTTACCACAGTACCTAAACTATGTCCTGTAGATATTTGCTGTCATTTGGGGGTGCTTCCATCTGTAGGTCTTGTTCTGTTGAGCTGCCCCGAGCCACTCCCAGCAGCTCTGTTCTAGGACTGCACGTAAATGTCATCATATAGGCTGGGTGTGGTGGCTTATGCCTGTAATCCCAGCACTTTGGGAGGCCGAGGCAGGTGGATCTCCTGAGGTCAGGAGTTCGAGACCAGCCTGACCAACATGGTGAAACTCCATCTCTACTAAAAATACAAAAATTATCTGGGTGTGGTGGTGGGCGCCTGTAATCCCAGCTACTCGGGAGGCTGAGGCAGAAGAATCACTTGAACCCAGGAGGCGGAGGTTGCAGTGAGCCGAGATCATGCCACTGCACTCCAGGCTGGGCAACAGAGCAAGACTCTGTCTTGGGGAAAAAAAAAGAAAAGAAAAAAGAAAACAAAAAGTCATCGTATAGTATGTTTCTTTTGTGTCAAGTTTCTGTTAACATGTTTTTATTGCTTGTATCAGTAGTTTGTTCCTTTTATTGCTGAGTAGTATTCTACTGTACAAATAAATTATAATTTATTTCTCCATTCTACTGTTGGGTAATTTCTACTTTTTATCAATTATAAATTAGCCTCTATGAACACTCTTCTATAGTCTTTTTGTGGACTTTTTTTTTTTTTTTCATTTCTCTTGGGCAAATACCTAGGAGTGGAATTGCTGAGTCATATGATAGGCATATATTTAGCTTTAATAGATATTGCCAAAGTTTTACAAAGCTATTGAGCTATTTTACACTCCCATTGACTATGTGAAAGAATCTAGTTGTTCTCCATCCTCATCAACATATGGGGTTATCAGTCTTTTGAATTTTAGCAGAAAATCTCACTGCAGTTTTAATTTGCATTTCTCTGATGGCTAATGATGCTGAGCACCTTTTCATGTGCTTAATGGCCATGTAATATATTCTTTTTCTTTTTTTTTTTTTTTTGAGACAAGGTTTCACTTTGTCACCCAGGCTGGAGTGCGGTGGTGCCATCTTAGCTCACTGCAGCCTCTGCCTCCTGGGTTCAAGCGATTCTCCTGCCTCAGCCTCTTGAGTAGCTGGGATTACAGGCACCCGCTACCACATCCGGCTAATTTTTGTATTTTTAGTAGAGACGGGGTTTCGCCATGTTGGCGGGGCTGTTCTTGAACCCCTGACCTCAAGTGATCTGCCCACCTCGGCCTCCCAAAGAAGTGTTGGGATTCCAGGCGTGAGCCACCGCACCCAGCCTATTCTTTTGTTAAGCATTCAAGTCTTTTATCCATTTTTTAAAAATAAATTTTAAAAAATTTTATTCTTTTTCTTTGCTGGCAAAGTGAAAGCAATCACCGATTTTTACTTAGTTGTCTTTTCATTATTCATTTGTAGGAGTTATTTTTACATTCTGTATAGTCATATATATAACACATACATACATACATACAATTCATATTTAAAGTGTATCCTCACGAAACCATCACCTCAATCAAGATAATGAACATATCCATCACCCCCAAGAATCATGCCCCATTATAATCTCTCCCTCCTGCCCTTCTTTGCCTCCCTACTCATCCCCAGGCAACCCCTGATCTTTCTGTTACTATAGATTAGTTTACAGTTTCTAGAATTTTATGTAAGCGGAGTCACACAGTATGTATTTTTTTTTTTTTTTTTTTTTTTTTTTTTTGGTCTGGCTCCTTTCACTCAGCAGAATTATCTATCACGTGATTCATCCATGTTGCAGGTATCAATAGTCATTCCTTTTTTTTTTGGCAATTTTAACATTATTTTTTTCTCTTTCATTTTTTAAAATTTCCATAGGTTTTTGGGGAACAGGAGGTATTTGGTTACATGAGTAAGTTCTTTAGTGGTGATTTGTGATATTTTGGTGCAATCATCACCTGAGCAACAAACACTGAACCCAAATTATAGTCTTTTATCCCTCACCCCCTCCCACCCTTTCCCTCTGAGTCCCCAAAATCCATTGTATCATTCTCATGCCTTTGCATCCTTATAGCTTAGCTCCCACTTATGAGTGAGAATGCATGATATTTGGTTTTCCATTCCTGAGTTACTTCACTTAGAATAATAGTCTCCAGTCCCATCCAGGTTGCTGCGAATGCCATTAATTTATTCCTTTTTATGGCTGAGTAATATTCCGTCATATATATATATATATATATATACACCACAGTTTCTTTATCCACTTGTTAACTGATGGGCATTTGGGGTGGTTCCATATTTTTGCAATTGCGAATTGTGCTGCTATAAACGTGCGTGCAAGGATCTTTTTCATATAATGACTTCTTTTCCTCTGAGTAGATACCCAGTAGTGGGATTGCTGGATCAAATGGTAGTTCTACTTTTAGTTCTTTAAGGGATCTCCACACTGTTTTCCATAGTGGTTGTAGTAGTTTACATTCCCACCAGCAGTGTAGAAGTGTTCCCTGTTCACCACATCCATGCCAGCATCTATTATTTTTTGATTTTTTGATTATGGCCATTCTTGCAGGAGTAAGGTGGTTTTGCGTTGTGGTTTTGATTTGCATTTCTCTGATCATTAATGATGTTGAGCATTTTTTCTTTTTTCTTTTTTTCCTGAGACACAGTCTCACTCTGTCGTCCAGGCTGGAGTGCAGTGGTGCGATCTCGGCTCACTGCAACCTCTGCCTCCTGGGTTCAAGCAATTCTCCTGCCTCAGCCTCCTGAGTAGCTGGGATTACAGGCACGGGCCACCACGCCTGGCTAATTTTTGTATTTTTAGTAGAGACGGGGTTTCACTATATTGGCCAGGCTAGTCTTGAACTCCTGACCTCGTGATCCACCCGCCTCGGCCTCCCAAAGTGCTGGGATTACAGGCATGAGCCTCCGTGCCTGGCCAAGCATTTTTTCATGTTTCTTGGCCATTTGTATATCTTCTTTTGTGAATTATCCAATAGTCATTGCTTTTTATTGCTGAGTAATATTCCACTGTATGGCTATATCATTTGTTTGCCCATTCAACTCTTGATGGACGTTTGCACTGTTTCTAGTTTTGGGCTATTAAGAATAAAGCTGCCAAAGTCTTTGTATAGACATACGCTTTTATTTCCCTAGGAGTAGAATGGCTGGATTATAAGGTAGGCATATGTTTAACTTTTAAAGAAACAACCTCATTGTTTCCAATTTGGAAGTCCCATTTTACATTCCACCGGCAGTGTAAGACAGTCCCACCTGTTCCACATGTTCTCCAACACTTGGCACCTGTTTTAGTCCCTTCAGGCTATTGTATCAAAGTTCCATAAACTGGGTGGCTTATAAGCAACAGAAATGTATTTATCACAATTCTGGAGGCTGGAAGTCCAAGATTGGGGTGCCAGCATGGTTGGGTTCTGGTGATGGCTCTTTCCTGGGCTGCAGGCTGCTGTCTTCTTATAGTATGGCCAGTCTTTCTAATTTTAGCCATTCTAATAGGTGGCTACTTTAATTTGTATCTCCCTAACAACTAATGATGTTGAGCATCTTTTCATGTGCTTATTTATCTTCTGTCTATCTTTTTTTGGTGAAATGTTTCTGCAAATATTTTGCCCATTTATTAATTGGATTATTTTCTTATTGAGTTTTGGGAGTTCTTCATATATTTTAAATACAAGTCTTTAATGAGATATGTGACTTACAAATATTTTCTCACAGTCTATTGCCCGTCTTTTCATTTACTTTGCAGTGTCTTTGAAAGAGAAGAAGTTTTAAATTTTGATGAAGTCTAGTTTATTATTATTATTTTTAATTTTATGGTTATTGCTTTTTCTTCTTCTCTCTCTCTTTTTTTTTGTCCCAAGAAATCTTCACCTACCTCTAGGTAACAAAGATACTCTCCTGTGTTATCTCCACGAAGCTTTGTAAGTTTTAGCTTTTACATTTAGGTTTACGGTCCATCTAAAATGAATTTTGCGTATGGTGTGAGGTAGGTGTTGAGATTCTTTTTACTTTCCAGGGATTACACTATGCATCCTTGTCGTGGTCTACCTTGAATTAATCTTGTATTGCTTCAAGTATAATGTAAGATCCTTATGAGAGTACAATTCAATTCACCTCCCTTCTCATCCTTCATGTAATTGTTGTCATAGTTTTCATTTACGTGTTTTAAACTCCACAATACATTGTTATTTTTGTTTTAAATAGTCACTTGTCTTTTAAGCAATTAAGGTGAGAAATAGTAGTCTCTTTTTTTTTTTTTTTCTGAGACGGAGTTTTGCTCTTGTTGCCCAGGCTGGAGTGCAGTGGCGCAATCTCGGCTCACTGCAACCTCTGCCTCCTGGGTTCAAGCGATTCTCCTGCCTCAGCCTCCCGAGTGGCTGGGACTACAGGTGTGCGCCACCACACCCAGCTAATTTTTGTATTTTTAGTAGAGACGGGGTTTCACCATGTTGGCCAGGATAGTCTAGATCTCTTGACCTAGTGATCTGCCCGCCTCGGCCTCCCAACGTGCTGGGATTACAGGCATGAGCCACCACGTCCAGCCCAATGCCTGGCTAATTTTTTGTATTTTTAGTAGAGACAGGGTCTCATCATGTTGGCCAGGCTGGTCTTGAACTCCTGACCTCAGGTGATCCACCCCCCCATCGGCCTCCCAAAGTGCTGGGATTACAGGGGTGAGCCACCGTGCCGGCCAGTAGTCTTTTATATTTAGTAACATACTTACCATTTCCATCGCTCTTTATTCCTTCTTGTAGACCTAATTTTCATCTACCAGCATTTTCTTTCAGACTGAAGAATGTCTTCATTTCCTGTGCAGAAGATCTGCTGGAGAAGAATTTTCTCAGATTTTGTTTACCTGAAAATATCTCTATTGCCCTTCATTTCTGAAGATATTTTTACTGGAGAGAGAGAGAATTCTAGGTTGCCAAATTTTGCTTTTCATTCAGCGCTTAAAGAGCACTAATCCCATTCTTTTTTTTTTTTTTTAAAACAAGGTCTGGCTCTGTGGCCCAGGCAGGAATTCAGTGGCATGATCTCCACTTACTGCAACCTCTGTCTCCTGGGCTTAAGCGATCCTCCCACCTCAGCCTCCCAAGTAGCTGGGATTACAGGCACATGCCACCACACATAGTTAATTTTTGTGTAGAGACAGGGTTTTGCCATGTTGCCCAGGCTGGTCTCAAACTCCTGGGCTCAAGCGATCCACCCACCTCGGCCTCCAAAAGTGCTAGGATTACAGGCATGGGCCACTGTGCCCAGCCACTAATCCCATTCTTGATCATCCACTCTCCTGACCTAAGTACCTCTCAAAGTCTCCATCTCCTAATACCATCACTTTGGGGGTTAGGATTTCAACACATAAATTTGGAAGGCGGACATAAACATTCAGACCATAACTGTGATTATCTTTTACTGTTTTTTACTCTATGTAATATGTCTTTTTGTTTTGGATACTTTTAAGAATTTTCTATCTTTGGCTATGATGGGCCGTGCGTGTGTGTGTGTGTGTGTGTGTGTGTTTTATGTTACTTGGGGCTTGCTAAGCTTCTTGTTTTAATCAAATTTGGAAACTGTCATCAACTATCTTTTAGCCATATTCTGTATCTTCTCTCCTCTGAGACTCCACATACATGTATATTAGTCTAATTGCTTGATATTGTTCCACAGGTCATTGAGGCTCTGATAATTTTTCCCCCAGTCTTCTTTTTATTTTCTCTCTGTGCTTCACTTTGGTTAATAACTACTCGCCTCTCTTCAAGTTTATGAAGATTTTCTTCTGCAGTGTCTAATCTGCTATTTATCTTATTCAATAATTTTTAAAATTTCAGCTATTGTTTCAGTACTAAGATTTCTACTGGGTTCCTTTTTAGAGTTTCCATACCTCTTCTAAAATTCAGATTCCCCATGTCTTTGCCCATGATCCCTATCTTTTCCTGTAAATTCCTTAACATATTTATAGCAAATCTTTGCTTGGTAATTCCAACATGTGGGCTGTCTGAATCTGCTTCTGCTGTTTTTTTTTTCCTTCTTGACAAGTGTCATGTTTGCTGCTTCTTCACATGTCTACTAGTATTTGGTTGTACACTGGATACTGCGGAGCCAGTGGTAGAAACTCTGGATTCTCTTGTCTTCTGTTGAAGAGTGTAGAATTTTGTTCTGGCATTCAGTTAAATTACTGGCAGATCACCTTGTTCCCTGAAAGCCTTGGTTTTAGGCTTTTTAAGGGTAGGACTACTTGAGTTTTGCCTTTAGTCCTGGGAAATGGTCTTCACTCCTGAGGCATGGTCCTTTGGGGTTTCAGTGGAAAGCTCAAGGTATTTGACAAGCTCCTCTAACTTGGCAGACCTTGAACTCTTTTTTTTTTTTTTTTAAGATAGAGCCTTGCTCTGTTGCCCAGGCTGGAGTGCAGTGGCATGATCTCAGCTCACTGCAACCTCCACCTGTAGTCCCAGCTACCTGCCCCCCGAGTAGCTGGGACTACAGGTGCCTGTCACCACACCCAGCTATTTTTTTTTTTTTTTTGTATTTTTAGTAAAGATGAGGTTTTACCATGTTGGCTGGTCTCGAACTCCTGACCTCAAGTGATCTGCCTGCCTCGCCTTCCCAAAGTGCTGGGATTACAGGCGTGAACCACCACGCCCAGCTGGGACCTTGAACTCTTAAACTGCCTCCTGTCACTGGGCAATTGCTAAAATCTCTGTTTAGGTCTTTTGGTGTTTAGTTCTTGCTTTCCCCTTGGGCTCCCTGGAGTCATCCCACACATATGCCCTTCAGAACTCAGCCAAGGACATAAGGGGAACCTGTATACTAACTTTGTGGCTCCTCTTTTGAGGCTCCCTTTTTCCATGTTTTCCCTCCTCAATTTCCAGCCACTGTGGCAGCTATAAATGCTGACCTCTAAGCTGTCAGCTTGCTTTCTGCTTTAGCTTCACTCACCATGTGCTGTGTGGACTTGAAATTGCCCTGAGAGAGCCGGGCCCAGAGGCTCACGCCTGTGATCCCAGCACTTTGGGAGGCCGAGGCAGGAGGATCTCTTGAGGTCAGGAGTTCAAGACCAGCCTCGGCAACATAGTGATACCTTGTCTACATAAAATTAGCTGGGCATGGTGGTACATACTTGTAGTCCCAGCTACTTGGGAGGCTGAGGTGGGAGGATTACCCAAGCCCAGGGAGGTCAAGACTGTGGTGAACCGAGATTGCACCACCGCACTCCAGCCTGGGCAACGGAGAGAAGAGACCCTGTCTAAAAAAATAAAAAATAAAAAAAAAATCCTGAGAGGAAAAATCAGTTAGATGCACATCTCACCTAGTTTGTGTCTCTTCTTTGAAGGGTTGCATCGACTCTGATTGCCTGTTTTGGTTGTTCCCTGGTGCTTTAAAACAATTTTTTTTTTTTTTTGAGACAGAGTTTCGCTCTTGTAGCCCAGGCTGGAGTGTAATGGCGTGAACCTGGCTCACTGCAACCTCTGCCTCCCAGGTTCAAGCAATTTTCCTGCCTCAGCCTCTCGAGTAGCTGGGATTACAGGTGCCCGCCACCATGCCTGGCTAATTTTTTTTTTTTTTTGTAGTTTTAGTAGAGACAGGGTTTCGCCATGTTGGCCAGACTGGTCTTTTTTTTTTTTTTTTTTTTTTTTTGAGATGAATTTTCGCTCTTGTTGCCCAGGCTGGAGTGCAATGGTGTGATCTTGGCTCACTGCAACCTCCGCCTCACGAGTTCAAGAGATTTGCTTGCTTCAGCCTCCTAAGTAGCTGGGATTACAGGTGCCTGCCACCATGCCAGGCTAATTTTTGTTTGTTTGTAGTTTTAGTAGAGGCAGGGTTTCGCCATGTTGGCCAGACTGGTCTCGAACTCCTGACCTCCGGTGATCCACCCACCTCGGCCTCCCAAAGTGCTGGGATTACAGGTGTGAGCCACCACGCCCAGCTAAAACAATTTTTTTAAAAAAATTTTGTCCAGAGTCTACCATAGATAGCAGTGGGAATGTTAGTCTGATAGAAGCTACTCTGCCATGATTGCAGTAGAACTCATCCACATATATTATTATTAAAAGAATTTTTTTTTGGTGCCTTGCTTTTCTGGCTCACTAAACATGTACTTAGTCTTTATACTGAACAAACCAATACAGTTTTGCTGTCAGTTCTGAGAATTTACTTGACTTAATTTATTATTATTATTATTTATTATTTATTATTTTAGATGGAGTCTCACTGTGTCACTCAGGCTGGAGTACAGTGGCATGATCTTGGCTCACTGCAACCTCTGCCTCCCGGGTTCAAGCGATTCTTGTGCGTCAGCCTCCTGAGTAGCTGGGATTACAGGCGTGTGCCACTGCGTCTGGCTAATTTTTGTATTTTTAGTAGAGACGGGGTTTCACCATGTTGGCCAGGCTGGTCTCGAACTCCTGACCTCAGGTGATCTGTCTGCCTCTGCCTCCCAAAGTGCTGGAATTACAGTCATGAGCCACCGCGCCTGGAGACTTAATTTATTATTTTTTGGGAGGACAAGGTCTTGCTCTGTTGTCCAGGCTGGAGTTCAGTGGTCCAATCATAGCTCACTGTAATCTTGAACTCCTGGGCTCAAGTAATCTTCCTGCCTCAGCCTCCTGAGTAGCTGGGACTACAGGTGCACACCACTGTGCATGGCTAATTTTTTTATTTTTTATAGAGATAGGGGTCTCACTATATTGCCCAGGCTGGTCTGAAACTCCTGGGCTCAAGCGATCCTCCTGCCATAGCCTCACAAAGTGCTGGGATTACAGGTGTGAGCCACTGTACCCGGCCTTGACTTAATTTAAATGTCACTAAATAATCCAGTAAATTAGTTATTGCTCCTAATGGCTATCAAAGTTTCAGAGGCTAAAAATAAGTCTCTAATAGTGACAATTTCTTGAGTGTTTAATTAAAGTTTAAACTCTAATCTATTTTTTGAAATAGGTAACATAGCCACATGGTTCAAAATGTTAAAGGCTAAAAGCAGTGTACATTGAGAAGCTTCAGTCTCACTCTTCTCATATATGTTTTTTAAACATAGGCAGCTACCTTTCTGATCTCTTGCATTATACAAATTGGTTGTATCCTGACTGTTGTAATCCCAGGAGTTCCTTGACAAATAATTTTTTTTTTTTTTTTTTTGAGACAGAGTCTCGCTCTGTTGCCTGGGCTGGAGTGCAGTAGTGTGATCTCAGCTCACTGCAACCTCTGCCTCCCTGGTTCAAGTGATTCTTATGCCTCAGCCTCCAGAGTAGCTGGGACTACAGGCACGCGCCACCACACCTGGCTAATTTTTGTATTTTTAGTAGAGATGGGGTTTCACCATGTTGGCCAGGCTGGTCTTGAACTTCTGACTCCAGTGATCTGCACGCCTTGGCCTCCCAAAGTGCTGGGATTGCAGGCATGAGCACCATGCCTGGCCAGCAAACAATTTTTAAAATAAATGGAGGAATCCTTGCATAGGAAGGCATCATTTAATTCTACAAACGTTTATTGAGCCATACAGTGCGCCTGGAACAGTGTTAGCTATTGTGGGGTATAAACATGAGTCATATGACTGAGTGTACTTTCCTTAATTAGAAAGAAGAGAGTAGAATGAAGGACTATTTGTAAAGAAACCTGATGCCTGATACTTGACCTAGTTGGAAGGGTTGATAGAAAAAGGTTCTGCCTCTTTCCAGCTGAGGCCTGCAGTTAAGGTTATATTCTTGGCCCTGTCTCCCTAGCAGGGTGTCTCCCCAGCCCAGCAGCAGCCCTGTTTACAGCCAGGCTCAGCACAGAGCCCAAGAACCTTGCTGGAAGCTTGGTGTCTATCTCAGTTTTTAGGGAGATGGAAAAGCTAAGTCAGGCATCCTCAACATCAGAATGTTGAAGTGGCTCCAGTTTACAACTGAGGGGCTGTTCAAAGGCCTGAGTGCTCTTCAGCTGTGTCTGAGAGGGCTGGATCCACTTCTCAGCTGCTTAGAAAACATGGAGTGTCCATAACAGATGACCTGAAAAGACACTGGAAACCAAGCAGAGCTACAGAGGTGGCAGCAAGTGTATTCTACATATCCCTTTTGGGGCCACATCTTCAGGTTCCTGCAGGGACTTGGGTAGGCAAGGCCGGGTAATGTGTACAGAATGGGAGGATGTGAGTGGCAGGCCAGGGGTATTTGCTAGGAATTCGGGAGTACTGATGAGGAGGGGTAGAAATTATGAATCGGTGGGCATATTTACATCTGGGTACCGTTTGCTCTCCTACAGGAATTTCAGATAGAGCTGCCCCTGACCATGAAATAAACATTGTGCATCTACCATGCTGTCTTTTCCATTGGTCCTCAAGATTGGGCTTGGGGCCTCTGGCTTCCACAGGGTAGCAGGCCACGATGACATTCTACTTTTTTTTTTTTTTTTTGAGACGGAGTCTCACTCTGTCACCCAGGCTAGAGTGTAGTGGTGCAATCTCGGCTCACTGCAACCTTTGCCTCCTGGGTTCAAGCAATTCTCCTGCTTCAGCCTCCCGAGTAGCTGGGATTATAGGTGCATGCCACCACACCCGGCTAATTTTTGTACTTTTAGTAGAGACAGGGTTTCACCATGTTGGCCAGGCTAGTCTCGAACACCTGACCTTAGGTGATCCACCCGCCTCTGCCTCCCAAAGTGCTGGGATTACAGGCATGAGCCACTGTGCCCAGCCTCATGACATTCTACTTTGCTGCAGGTGGCAAGCCTACTTGTGGGCTTTTGAAGTCTTTATCTGATCCTCCATTCAAATGCTCAAAATGAAAGTAATTTATAAGCAACTTACTCTCCCATGATGATGTAAAAAAGTTTCTAGCAGGCAAGGACTGGTGAATGGAACTTAACTGCAGCGTGTCTATAATTAATTCTTTTGAGATGTGCAAGAAGGTCATTGATTTTATTTAGTATGCTGTCCTTTTGGCTTAATTTTAGTGACTGTTACAGAAAAAAAAAATTGATTGACAGGCTTTTCTTTCATTCCCAATCTCCTGCTCCCTAATTCTCCCTCCTCCTTGAGGCATAATTTACTCAATGGGGGTGTTCAGGAATTGAATTCTTCTGGTGAGAGGAACTATAGTAGCACCAACAGAAATATAACACAAGCCGCATGTTTAAAAATTCTGAGTAGTCACATTAAAAAACGTAAAAAGAAACAGTTAACATTAATTTTAATATTTTATTTAACCCAATATATCTAAAATACCATTGTAACATGTAATCAGTATAAAAATCATTGATGCAGCTGGGTGTGGTGGCTCACACCTGTAATCCCAGCACTTTGGGAGGCCAAGGTGGGCGGATCAACTGAGGTCAGGAGTTTGAGACCAGCCTGGCCAATATGGCAAAACCCTATCTCTACTAAAAATACAAAAATTAGCCGGGTGTGGTGGCACATGCCTGTAATCCCAGCTACTCGGGTGGCTGAGGCAGAAGAATCACTTGAACCTGGGAGGCGGAGGTTGCAGTGGGCCGAGATTAGCGCCATTGCACTCCAGCCTGGCGACAGAGTGAGGACTCTGTCTCAAAAAAAAAAAAAAAAAAATCATTGATGCAGTATTTTACTCTTTTTAAGTCTTTGAAATCTGGTGTGTCTTCTATATGCATAGCACATCTCAATTTGGGTTGGCCACATTTCAAATGCTCAGTAGCCCACGGGGCTAGTGGCTACTGTATTGGGCAGCGCAGATCTAGGGTGAAGGCCACAGCGATGTCCTCGGAGATCCCCCAGGGCCTGCAGACAACAAACCCTCAAGGCCACATTCTAGTGTTCCCCGACCAAACTGAGGGTGGGGCTGCTATTTCTCACGGCCCAATAATGAGATGCAGATGAACTGGGAAAGGAGGGAGTTTTTTATTTCTGTAACTGGTTACAGGGAAAAGGCCTGGAAAATATCTCTAGACCAACTCAAAATTACGAACTTTTCCAGAGCTTATATACCTTCTTTTTTTGGAGGGGGGGGATGGAGTTTCACTCTTTTCACCCAGGCTGGAGTGCAATGGCACTATCTCAGCTCACTGCAACCTCCGCTTTCTGGGTTCAAGCAATTCTCCTGCCTCAGCCTTCTGAGCAGTTGGGATTACAGGTGCCCACCACCATGCCCGGCTAATTTTTGTATTTTTAGTAGAGACGGGGTTTCACCATGTTGGCCAGGCTAGTCTTTAACTCCTCACCTCAGGTGATCTGCCCACCTCGGCCTCTCGAAGTGTTGGGATTACAGGCGTGAGCCACCGCACCTGGCCCAGAGTTTATATACCTTCTAAGCTACATGTCTACGTGTAAGTGTGCATTCATCTAAAGACATGTGATTAACTTCTTTTAATCTATAACTAAGGTCTGAGTCCTGAAGACCTTCCTCTGGAGCCTCAGTAAATTTACTTAATCTAGATGGGTCCAGGTGCTGGGGTGATTACCCTTATTTTGTCTCCTGCTAAATCATGGAGGTTTGGGGAGTTCCTCCAGACCCCCAATAAACTTGTCTGTGGAGGTCTGGGGAGTTTAGACCCCCAGTAAAACTTGTTTAATCCTAAATGGGTCCTGTTAAGAATTATTTCATAATCTTGTCATGCTTTAAGGCCCAGGAAAGGCTTGGGCAAAACTCTTGGTGGGCTTTTGTTACCTTCCAGCCTTTGTATAAGGGCACTGGTGTATATATATATATGTATTTTTTTTTTTTTTTCCCCTGGGGTAACTGGTTCTTTAGCAAGAGGGGAGCACTGGGGAGTATCTTCAGGGTGGCTGAACTTTGCAACCTCTTTAATAAACAACTTCCCCCTGTGCAGTTTGTCCTCCTTTATCACCACACTCCGATGCCCTGGTATTCAGGCAATGGCATCAGGCCCATATTTCCGTAGAGTTCAGAGTTCTGTGAGGTAGAGCATTCCTTCCAATGGGATCTTAGAATTCTTAGAGTTGCAGAATTTTACTGACTAGACTCAGGAGGTCTCAGGAGTCCAGACTTCCTTAAAGCTTGGCTCAAAATTCCAAGGGAGCTCATAACTCCATGGAGCCCAGAGTTCCTGGCTCGGGAACATTGGGAGGCCTGGGATACAGTGGCTTAGCCTCAAGCAAAAAGGTGAACAATATCTTTATGGCTTGAAGGTATACGAAATAATGTCACTACATCGGAGCAGCGCCTCTGCTTGCACACCTATGGGAGTCTGTAGCTGTGACACATAGAAGTTGGCCACATCCATGTCGGTGGCTCCAAAGTGGGTGGCCACACGCACACCCTCGTGCAATGTGAAGCTCACCTGATGACTCACCATGGCCAGCAGGCCGCGGAGGTAACGATCCCGAAGGGCGGCTCGGGCCCGCTGCTTCTGGGATTCCAAGGATTCTTGAGCTATGGAACACTCCTGGATTTCAAGAACCTCTGACTACAGGGGGGCTCTGCGTCCATCAGGGGCAAAGCCACGGCTGAGACCATCAGGGCCTCGGGGCAGCCGGAGCACAGGCACAGGAAAGGTCACTGGAGCCTGCATTGTCTTGGCGAGGTCCGTGGCTACTGTGCGCGCCCCCACTTCCGCCGGCACCCCGCAGTAGAGGCCAGGGCAGGCCCCGAGCCGCGGAGCCTGGGTTCCGCCTGCGCCACCGCCACCAACCCACGTGTCACGGGCAAATTTATTTATTTATTTATTTATTTTTGATATGGAGTCTCACTCTGTCGCCCAGGCTAGAGTGCTGTGGCGTGATCTCAGCTCACTGGAACCTCCGCCTCCCGGGTTCAAGGGATTCTCGTGCTTCAGCCTCCCAAGTAGGTGGGATTACAGGAGCCCGTCACCACGCCCGGCTAATTTTTGTATTTTTAGTAGAGACGGAGTTTCACCATGTTGCTCAGGCTGGTGTGAACTCCTGAGCTCAGGTGATCTGCCCGCCTCGGCCTCCCAAAGTGCTGGGATTACAGGCGTGAGCCACTGCGACCGGTCAGCTTTTAATATTTAACTTAACCATTCAGTCAGTGCCGAAACAGTAGTTATGGAGGCCTGCATTAGTGAGTCCTGGCCTGCCACACTAGGAGCACACAAGTGGTGGTACAGGCAGGAGGGAGTTTAGAACGGGGTCAGCTGCAGGGATTGCAGCTGGGTTTTGCTGATTAAGGTAACCGGAAAGCAAAGGAGCGGGTGTCTTAGGTGGATAAACCCGTGTGAGGCCGCGGAGGTGGGAAGAGGCCATGTGCCTGACACAAGATAACTCGGTGGAGGGCCTGCATCCTGCTGCCCGGACAGGCAGGATTTTTCCTGGGGTGACCTTTGGCTGACGGTTGCTCCTTTTTTCTCTTTTCTCCTCCTTCCCGACTCCCCACCACCCTGTCCCCGCAGCGGTGGTCCTCGGCCTGCCCAGCGCCTGGGCCGTGGGGGCCTGCGCCCGCGCTTGTCCCGCCGCCTGCGCCTGCAGCACCGTGGAGCGCGGCTGCTCGGTGCGCTGCGACCGCGCGGGCCTCCTGCGGGTGCCGGCCGAGCTCCCGTGCGAGGCGGTCTCCATCGACCTGGACCGGAACGGCCTGCGCTTCCTGGGCGAGCGAGCCTTCGGCACGCTGCCGTCCTTGCGCCGCCTGTCGCTGCGCCACAACAACCTGTCCTTCATCACGCCCGGCGCCTTCAAGGGCCTGCCGCGCCTGGCTGAGCTGCGCCTGGCGCACAACGGCGACCTGCGCTACCTGCACGCGCGCACCTTCGCGGCGCTCAGCCGCCTGCGCCGCCTAGACCTAGCAGCCTGCCGCCTCTTCAGCGTGCCCGAGCGCCTCCTGGCCGAACTGCCGGCCCTGCGCGAACTCGCCGCCTTCGACAACCTGTTCCGCCGCGTGCCGGGCGCGCTGCGCGGCCTGGCCAACCTGACGCACGCGCACCTGGAGCGCGGCCGCATCGAGGCGGTGGCCTCCAGCTCGCTGCAGGGCCTGCGCCGCCTGCGCTCGCTCAGCCTGCAGGCCAACCGCGTCCGTGCCGTGCACGCTGGCGCCTTCGGGGACTGTGGCGTCCTGGAGCATCTGCTGCTCAACGACAACCTGCTGGCCGAGCTCCCGGCCGACGCCTTCCGCGGCCTGCGGCGCCTGCGCACGCTCAACCTGGGTGGCAACGCGCTGGACCGCGTGGCGCGCGCCTGGTTCGCTGACCTGGCCGAGCTCGAGCTGCTCTACCTGGACCGCAACAGCATCGCCTTCGTGGAGGAGGGCGCCTTCCAGAACCTCTCGGGTCTCCTCGCGCTGCACCTCAACGGCAACCGCCTCACCGTGCTCGCCTGGGTCGCCTTCCAGCCCGGCTTCTTCCTGGGCCGCCTCTTCCTCTTCCGCAACCCGTGGTGCTGCGACTGCCGTCTGGAGTGGCTGAGGGACTGGATGGAGGGCTCCGGACGTGTCACCGACGTGCCGTGCGCCTCCCCGGGCTCCGTGGCCGGCCTGGACCTCAGCCAGGTGACCTTCGGGCGCTCCTCCGATGGCCTCTGTGTGGACCCCGAGGAGCTGAACCTCACCACGTCCAGTCCAGGCCCGTCCCCAGAACCAGCGGCCACCACCGTGAGCAGGTTCAGCAGCCTCCTCTCCAAGCTGCTGGCCCCGAGGGTCCCGGTGGAGGAGGCGGCCAACACCACTGGGGGGCTGGCCAACGCCTCCCTGTCCGACAGCCTCTCCTCCCGTGGGGTGGGAGGCGCGGGCCGGCAGCCCTGGTTTCTCCTCGCCTCTTGTCTCCTGCCCAGCGTGGCCCAGCACGTGGTGTTTGGCCTGCAGATGGACTGACCTGGCCAGAGGGGGGAAAGTTTGCTTAACTGGGCTTGAGTGTGTTTGTGGTAAGGGGAGAGGAGCCGGAATGGAGGGCAGAGGTGAAAATCCCAGTGGAGGGTGGAAGGAACCGTTTGCCTCCAGAGATGGCCCCAGGGAGAACACAGGGACGTGCCACTCGAGGGGGAGGATGGTATGGATTTCTGCTTTTGTCACACGGGCATCCATTGGAAAAGAGAAGCAAGAATGAACGTGGGCCCTCGGGTGGGAAGACTAGGAATCGGAAGCTTCTAGGGCTTCACATCCCTTCCCCTCCCCTCCCCTTCCCCTCATCTTCCAGGCAACAGTGCCTGCAAGGCCTGAATTAGAGAGACTTCCATTGGCTAAGTAGTTAAGAGCCGTCCCATTTCTCCTGGCGGGGTAACCCATTACACCGAAGTCCTTTGTTTTCTACCACAATCCTCCTCCTCCTCTCCAGGGGCCTGGAAACACTAGGATTCAGGAAGGTAGGCAGGACGTGAGAGAAGGGAGATGGGAGAGAGATTTAAGACAAAGGGTGGCGGTGGTTCCTGGGGTCTGAGATGTGTTAGGAGGCGTTTAAAACAAAGATCCAGTTCATTTACTCCACAGTTATTCCCAGGGCTGGCCCTAGCCACAAAGGAACTTTAGGGCAGGGTAGGGAAAAAAGGGGCAGCAGGGGGTGTGTTTGTGGACAAATAAATTTGTAAAGTCCGAGGATTAAAAAAAAAAAAAGGTTAAACCGGTTTCTCTACTGCTGGACTTTTCAGAGTCTTTCATATGCTAACATTCATTGTGAATCTCCCAAGAGGCCACACAATCCTTTTTTCTTAGCGTTTTGTGGGATGAATGTCCGGAAGACACAGAGAGCGGGGCAGGGAGGCTCCAGCTTGGATGATTCCATTAGGTGTGGAAATTATTATGGGCTGCACACTTCGGGGCTGACTAACGGCCAAGAGGGAAGGAGGCAGCCAGTAGCTGGGAAAGGGGATTTAGAGATTTCTCAGGTTGGGGGTTGGCCAACTATATTCCCCCCGGCTTGACTGCAAGGGCAAAGGCCAGCCAGGCCTGCAGCAAGCATGCATGGCTCTGGGTGTGCTGTGCCTGAGGGCGGGGCTACCAAATCCCACCTAGGGGCCCTACCAAACCCAGCTTTTCTCAGGGTTGCAGTGGGAACAAACGGTGTTTGTTCTGTCTGCCTCAGGATCAGCAGCTCGTTTAGCATATGCTGCAAGAATAAGGCTTTGCAGGCTGAGTTGCAAATGCTGGCTCTGCTGGTCTGCAGTGGCCATCTCTGTGGTTTGCAGCAGAACCGTCCTAAGCTGGTCACAACAGGCAGGGATTCCTGACAGACTGTAAGGCAGTCAAGTCAAGAAAAGTGCATATGCTGCTCACCACTTACACAAGAACCCAAGCTGTTCTCTGCACTGCATGCTATGACTGCATTTGTCAACATTCTGGAAATTGTCATCTTTTTAATGTCCTCTCTATATTTGAAGAGGTGGGTTTTGAAAACCCACATGAAGGCCAGGCGCGGTGGCTCACACCTGTAATCCCAGCACTTTGGGAGGCTGAGGCAGGTGGATCACGAGGTCAGGAGCTCGAGACCAGCCTGGCCAACAAAGTGAAACCCCATCTCTACTAAAAATACAAAAATTAGCCAGGCATGGTGGCACGCACCTGTAGTCCCAGCTACTTGGGAGCCTGAGGCAGGAGACTCGCTTGAACCTGGGAGGCGGAGGTTGTGGTGAGCCGAGATTGCGCCACTGCACTCCAGCCTGGGCAACAGAGCAAGACTCTGTCTTGAAAAAAAAAAAAAGAAAACCCAAATGAATTCGGGGTGCACCAAGCTGTCACTTCTTTTTTTTTGAGACGGAGTTTCATTCTTGTTGCCCAGGTTGGAGTGCAGTGGCGCGATCTTGGCTCACCACAACCTCCGCCTCCTGGGTTCAAGCGATTCTCCTGCCTCAGCCTCCCGAGTAGCCGGGATTACAGGCACGTGCCACCACGCCCGGCTAATTTTGTATTTTTAGTAGAGACAGGGTTTCTCCATGTTGATCAGGCTTGTCTCGAACTCCTGACCTCAGGAGATCCGCCTGCCTCGGCCTCCCAAACTGCTGGGATTACAGGCGTGAGCCCCCACGCCCGGCCAAGCAGTCACTTCTTCATGGGGACACTCCTGTGTCTCTGTGTAATACTAAGTATTGGAAGTGTCGCACAAAGTACTGCTGAGGACAGGTGTATTCAAATGTTTCAACCATTAATGGTCATTAACTCAATGGGTTTTAAATTCTTAAAAAACCAGACCGGGCACAGTGGCTCATGGCTGTAATCCCAGCACTTTGGGAAGCTGAGCCAGGAGGATCGCTTGAACCCAGTAGTTTGACACCAGTGTGGGCAACATGGTGAGACCCCATCTCTACAAAAGAATAAAAAATTAGTTTGGCATGGTGTCGAGCACCAATAGTCCCAGCTATGCAGGAGACTGAGATGGGAGGATGTCTTGAGCCCAGGAAGTTGAGGCTGCAGTGAACTGTGTTCATACCACTGCACTCCAGCCTGGGTGACAGAGCAAGGCCCTGTCTGGAAAAAAAAAAAACAAAAACCAGCGTTTAAAAAAAAATTATAGAATAGAAAAGTCACAGAGTATCACGTAATATTATAAGACTAAGTATTGTTTTGTGAAACCTTTTTTTTTTTGAGACGGAGTCTCGCTGTGTTGCCCAGGCTGGAGTGCGGTGGCGTGATCTCGGCTCGCTGCAACCTCCGCTTCCCGGGTTCAAGCGATTCTACTGCCTCAGCCTCCCGAGTAGCCGGGACTACAGGCACCCCCCACCATGCCCGGCTAATTTTTGTAATTTTAGTACAGACGGGGTTTCATTGTGTTGGCCAGGCTGGTCTCGAACTCCTGATCTTGTGATTCACCCGCCTCGGCCTCCCAAAGTGCTGAGATTATCAGGCGTGAACCACCGCGCCCGACAGAACTTTTTATTTAATATATATGTATTTGTTCAAATTATACTTGTATGTGTGTGTGTACTGGGTTCCTGTGTACAATTTATATTTTATTGTGGGTTATGTTAAAATTTGAAAGCTACTGATCTGGAGCATGTGTGATTTTTTATTTTGAAAAATTTCAAACCTACAGAAAAGTTGCAAGAATGAACACTTTGGCCATTTACCTAGGTTTCCCAATTGTTAACATTTTACCATATTTGCTTTTTCTCTCTCTCTTTCCGTATTATTATTATTTCTTACTAACAGTTTTAGTTGCAAATATCATGACCTTTTGAGCCAGGAGTTTGAGGTTACAGTGAGCTATGATTGCGCCACTGTGCTCCAGCCTGGGGAACAGAACAAAACCTCTTCTCTTCAAAAAAAAAAAAAAAGATTCACTCTATATTGAAATTTTAAGAGTTATCAAAATTATTAAGCAGTCATGTTTTTTTCCTATGGGCGAAAAATGAGGTTTCTAGGTCATGGCTTGCTTTGGTTTGGTCACAATACTCAAAACTAGAAACCTGTTGATTGATTGCAATATTTCAAAGTGAATTTGTTCTCCAAATGTCTTACTTTTGAAAAGTGACAAGCAGATGAGGGCAGAATTGTTGTTTGCTTAAACCGAGTGTTGTGACCATGGTAACTGAGTGAAGATCACGAGAATCCTGGAGACCAGATCTCTGCATTGAGGTATCCATGGAAGTCCGTGGCTGACATGCAGCCTGGGTTACTGAGGAACAAGGTGCTGCCTTGAGAGGAATGTCCTTCCTTTCATTTGGAGCGGGTTTGTGAGAGTCAGCCTCAAAATGCTGCTCCGGTTCTGCCTGAGTGGTTAGATGGCCAGCTTTTTAATGGACATTTGCTTGGCTGAATGTTTTTGAAGGAGTATCAGCATTAAAATAGCCTCCAGGGAAACAGGTTTTTATAGAGCTACTCAGCCCAGTAGAATTCTGGGAACGTGGGAGCTACTTACTGCCAAACAGACCCAGAGTTGCTTGGAATGAGTTGCCAGTGAATTTGTGGCCGTTATGAGCTCTCGTGAGAAAACAGGGAGTGAAGACTTTCCATTTTGAGTTCATTTAGTCTCTCACCCCATCACTGGCTACATGGTACCTTAAGTAAATAGTAGGTACTATAGATTCTGTTAAGCAAAACTATGTGTACCAATCAGGATGGGCCATATTATGCTGCGGTAACAGATAACTCCCAAAGCTCAGTGGCTTACGGAGGTTTATTTCTTGCTCATGCTACCTGTCCATTGTAGGATCATTAGCAGGGCTCTGCTCATTGTAGCTATTCAGGGACCCAGGCTGACAAAGGGTACACCATCTTAGGACATTGTTATCCAAACACGAGGCTCTAGGGTTTGCCACAGAAGAGGAGAGCTTGGGAGAGTTGTGCATCACTCTTTTTTTTTTTTTTTTTTTTTTTTGAGACGGAGTCTCGCTCTGTCACCCAGGCTGGAGTGCAGTGGCACGATATCGGCCCACTGCAAGCTTCACCTCCCGGGTTCATGCCATTCTCCTGCCTCAGCCTCCTGAGTAGCTGGGACTACAGGCGCCCGCCACCACGCCTGGCTAATTTTTTGTATTTTTAGTAGAGGTGGGGTTTCACCGTGTTAGCCAGGATGGTCTCGATCTCTTGACCTTGTAATCTGCCCACCTTGGCCTCCCAAAGTGCTGGGATTACAGGCGTGAGCCACCGTGCCCGGCCTTTTTTTTTTTTTTTTTTGATACGGAGTCTCGCTCTGTCGCCCAGACTGGAGTGCAATGGTGCCATCTTGGCTCACTGCAACCTCCCCATCCTGGGTTCAAGCAATTCTCCCACCTCAGCCTCCCAAGTAGCTGGGAGGGCACCCGCCATCATGCCCAGCTAATTTTTGTGTTTTTGTAGAGACGGGGTTTCACCATGTTGGCCAGGCTGGTCTTGTACTCCTGACCTCAAGTGATCTGCCCACCTCAGCCTTCCAAAGTGCTGGGATTACAGGTGTGAGCCACTGCACCCGCCCTGTGCATCCCTCTTAAATGCTTCCACTCAGATGTGACACACATTGCTGCTCAAATCTCATTGACCAAAAAGGACACATAGCCAGACTTAATTTCACTGAGAAATGGAAGCATGATTCCCCTATGTACCCAGGAGAGGGGAACTGGGAATATCAGTGAACACTAGTAATGCTCCAGGCTGGGTGTGGTGGCTCATGCCTGTAACCCCAGCACTTCAGGAGGCTGAGGCAGGAGATCACTTGAGGCCAGGCATTTTAGACTAGCCTGGGCAACACAGTGAGACCCTGTCTGTACAAAAAAAACAAACAAAAAAATTAGCCAGGTGTGGTGACACATGCTTGTAGTCCCAGCTACTAGGGAGGCTGGGGTGGGAGGATCACTTGAGTCCAGAAGTTGGAGGCTGCAGTGAGCTATGATAATGTTAGGGTAGGTAGTCAGGCATGAGCAGAGCAGAAGAGGGCTCTCCCCCCACCAGGAATGGCAGGTGGCCATCAAGTGATGGGCAGGCAGTTGGTAAAGTGTGGCGCTCAAATAATAATTTGTCACAGCTGGTGTCAGGGAAAGGCAGGCTGCCAATAGATAGAAAACACCTGAAACTGGTGATCAGCAGCTTCCCGATAAGATCTCAGGAGTTGGCCGAGTGGACTCAAACATGCACACAAAATGGCAAAATGGTGGAGTTTAACCTTCCTCTAGGAACACTGGATTGGTAAGGGAAAAATGCCTCAAGTGAGCATGCATGCGACTCCAGTAAATGCACTGTGCGTACAGCCCCTCCCAAGTGCTGGCAGGCCACTGCGCATGCAGGCAGCTGACCCCAAGGGAAGACTCAGGGGAGAAGTAATGCAACTCCGGAAGCATGCCAACATAGAAAACCCCAAGTCAAAGGTCACACCATGCACTTGAATCTCTCAAGTTGCCTGCTTGGCCCTCTTCCAAGTCTACTTTACTTCCTTTTGTTCCTGCTCTAAAACTTTTTAATAAACTCTCACTCCTGCTTTAAAACTTGCCTAGGTCTCTCACTCTGCCTTATGCCCCTTGGACAAATTCTTTCCTCTGCAGAGGCAAGGATCGAGTCTGCTGCAGACCCAGGCGGATTCACCACTGCTAACAATCACGGTACTGCATTCCAGCCTTGGCGACAGAGTGAGACTCCGTCTCTAAAAAACAAATAAAAACCTTTACTTCTCAGAACTGTCAAAAGGAATAGAGACTCGAGGGGGAAATCTGGTGAGCAATCCACTAGCCCCCGGCTAGGCTTCTGGACACTGTATTTAGCCAATAGGAATGCTATGGCCTCTTTGTATTGGTTCTTTCAAGTTAAGGGGACAGAAAATATAAAGACAAAAGGTTCATATTTTTCCTTTAAAAAATGTTTTCCATACAAATACTCAACGTACAATATTCAACTCCCCAGAAGCTTGATCTTTGGAAAATATTCCCCCTTAGCCCTCTGGCTCTTTCTGAGAGGCTCCTCTGTGGTGGTTTCAAACCTGAGGTCAACAGCCCCCACACCCACCCATCTTTGTTAGGCTACCACAGTGCTGCCCTCTAGAGGACAATATCTGCTGGGCACAGCTGTCCTTGGCTGGCTGTCCCTTCTGCCAACCTCAACCTGACCTCAAGGAAGGGAACCCTAGTCCTCTTTGATCCTCAGGCCCAAAGATGGTTTAGACCCTTTCTTCACAGCCCAGAAGAGAACACCAGGCTGGGAAGTGAATGAGACTTTTCCAAAGGGTTGGTTATAATAGAAGGGAAGTGAATAGGCCACTGACTAACACTGGATGGGGCTGTTGGCAGAACTGTCAGCCCCCAACCGCCTCAGGCGACCCTGCAGCTGGCCTAACTTCCCTCCCTAGCCACACGCCCTGGGAATGCTAAGGCCTCCCTCTGTTTCTGAGGCCAAACTCTCAGGGAGGATTTTTTTGTCCCCCAGCCTAAAGCCCACCTCACCAACCCCACATGGGAAACTCTACTCTCCAGGCAGTGGCCCGCTTTGTCCTCAGCAGCATTCCCCACAGGATGTCACACATAGTTCTACTGTGTGGGCCATCGGAGCTGCCAAAAGGAGCAGTCAAGTCCAGGTCCTCAGCCCACCTGCCTGCCTGCCTTCCAGTCCCTTCTTTGCCCTGGCTCCACATTGTCTAAAAACTGCTGCTCAGAGCTCCAAAAGAACAAACAATAATTCTGGGGACACCAGTTAGCCTAATATTACACAGACTAAAGTAACATTTCTCTCCAAAAAGCCCCAACTTCTGGGAGACTAGCAGATACTGGGTGGCTGAGGCAGGAGGGTCACTTGAGCCCAGGAGTTTGAGACCAGCCTGGGCAACATAGTGAGACCCCATCCCTACAAAAAAAAAAATTAGCCAGGCATGGTGGCACGCACCTGTAGTCCCAGCTACTCAGAAGGCTGAGACGGGAGGATCCCTTGAATCCAGGAATTTGAGGTGGCAGTGAGCCATGATTACACCACTGCACTCAGCCTGGTGATAAAGTGACTCTGTCTCAAAAAAAAAAAAAAAAGTACAGCATGCTCCTTCTTTTTTAACTGTTGCATGTATGACCAGTGTTTTTATCTGGAAAGATACTTCCTTTTTCTTTGATGGAACAAGACTTTTCACTCCCCGCTCTGAGACTGTGTTCAGGTTTCCCCCGAAGGGTGAGGGGTGGGCCCTGCCTTTCTATTTGCACTGGGCCTGATAACTTCACAGAGCAAAGTACAGTCTTTCTTGGAGGCCCCACCATCTCCACCCCAGAGGGCAGAAACTGCTTGTGACATTACATGAGTTTTTCAGATTCCAGAAGCCGGAGAGCTCCATCTTTGTCCCATTAACCCTGTTGGCCAGGAAATGTCCCTGCATCTACTACTGGCTCTCCTGGGTGATGGGTGTGGGGATGGCATGACCTTGTCCTCAGTGTCATCCAGAAAGGATGAGGGGGACAGGTGTCATAGCAGGAGTATTAGTTCATTCTCACATTGCTAACAAGACATACCTGAGACTGGGTAATTTATAAAGGAAAGAGGTTTAATTGACTCACAGTCCCGCAAGGCTGGGGAGGCCTCAGGAAACTTACAATTATGGCAGAAGGGGAAGCAAACCCGTCTTTCTTACGTGATGGCAGCAAGGACAAGTGCGGAGCAAAAGGGAGAAAAGCCCCTTATAAAACCATCAGATCTCATGAGAACTCACTATCACAAGAACAGCAGCATGGGGGAACCACCCCCACAATTCAATTACCTCCCACTGGGTCCCTCCCACAATAAGTGGGGATTACGGGAACTACAATTCAAGATGAGATTTCGGTGGGGACACAGCCAAACTATCCATATCACCAGGGGAGGTGGTATTCTTGTGTTTAAGCAGTAGTAACTCCCCTCCCTTCCCCTCCCTTCCGCTCTCTTCCCCTCCCCTCCCCTCCTCTCCTCTCTCTTTTCACGGGACTGGGCTGATTTGAGGAGTCTTCTAATTCTCCTCTCCCTGGTCTCAAGCAGCCCCTGGTCTTTGGTGTCTGTCCCCACTGTGGTCTCGGGTACAGGCAGGGGTACCCAGCACTTTGGTGTCTGCCCCCACTGTGGTCTGGGGTACAGACGAGGGTGAAGTGTAGCCACTCCCGGTCAACTCCAGTTCCTGAACAAATGTTATTTCTATTCCATTTATGTTCCAGGCAGAGGAAATGTAGAAGCACTTAGACAAACATGTGCAATCTTCAAGAGAGTTCCCTTGACATTTTGCTGACTTTTACAACTGTGATCCTGCGAGGAGAAAAGGAGTTTTTGTTCACAGGTGGACTCACTGAAACACCAGCCTTCAGGGAAGCCCATGGAGGTCTTTCCTTCGTGGTTCCCATTTGCCTAGCAGGAGTTCCCTAATGGGCCTACATCACCTCAGGCCTAGGCCGGCTTGTGGCTTGCTTGCCATCCAGTAGCAGGTCACGTGGGTTGTGGCATCATTAGTTACAAGCTGCAATACAAAATAATAGTAACAAAGTAGATGGGGAAATTTCCACATGCATCACAGGTAGTAAGATAAGTATTACTTCATTAAACGTTTGCTTCAGTTATGTGTGTGTGCTTGTGTGCGTGTGTGTACACCGGATTACAATACAAAAATGCATCTTTCAGCTGGGTGCAGTGACTCATGCCTGCAATCCCAGCACTTTGGGAAGCGGAGGCAGGAGGATTGCTTGAACTCAGGAGTTTGAGACCAGCCTGGGCAACATAGTGAAACCTCGTCTCTACTAAAAATCAAAAAAATTAGCCGGGTGTGGTGGTGCCTACCTGTAGTCCCAACTACTCGGGAAGCTGGGGTAGGAGGCTCGCTTGATTGCTTGAGGCTGCAATGAGCCATGATGAGGCCACTGCACTCCAGCTTGGGCAACAGAGTGAGACCCTGTCTCAAAACAAAACAAAACAAAAAGCGGCCAGTGCAGTGGCTCATGCCTGTAATCCCAGCACTTTGGAAGCCCGAGGCGGGCAGATCACCTGAGGTTGGGAGTTTGAGACCAGCCTGGCCAACGTGGTGAAACCCCGTCTCTACTAAAAATACAAAAATTAGCCGGTCGTGGTGGCAGGAGCCTGTAATCCCAGCTACTTGGGAGGCTGAGGCAGGAGAATCGCTTGAACCCGGGAGGTGGAGGTTGCAGTGAGCCGAGACTGTGCCATTGCACTCCAGCCTGGGAAACAAGAGCGAAACTCAGTCTCAAAAAAAAAAAAAAAAAAGCACCTTTTTCTGTCAGTCACAATCATATTTGAAAGTCAGTGTTGGCTGGGTGCGGTGGCTCATGCCTGTAATCCCAGCACTTTGGGAGGCCGAGGCGGATGGATCACTTGAGGCCAGGAGTTCGAGACCAGCCTGGCCAACATGGTGAAACCCCATCTCTACTAAAAAAAAAAAATTACAAAAATTAGTCGGGCATGGTGGCGTGCCTGTACTCCCAGCTACTCGGGAGGTTGAGGTGGGAGAATTGTTTGAATTCGGGAGGCAGAGGTTGCAGTAAGCCAAGATCGCGTGCCACTGCACTCCAGCCTGGGGCGACAGAGTGAGACCCTGCCTCAAAAACAACAACAACAAAAAATTAGCTGGGGGTGGCGCACTCCTGTAATCCCAGCTACTCAGGAGGCTGAGGCAGGAGAATCGCTTGAACCCGGGAGGTGGAGGCTGCAGTGAGCTGAGATCGCGCCAATGCACTCCAGCCTGGGTGACAGAGCAAGACTCTGTCTCAGAAAAAAAAAAAAAAAAAAAGAAGGAAAGAAAATCAGTGTCATAGATCAATTTGATTCCTTATTTGTTTTCAAGGAGCATAGGACTGAAAGTAAAGTGCGGTAGTACTCCATTTCATTTGTTGCTTATTTGTCTTCTGGCCACTGTATTTTCCTGCACCACCACCACAAAGTGGACTTGCCTTATTTATACCATGTTTAAAGACATAGTTAAATCCAAAGAAGTAAGACTGGGAGTTTTGAAGGTTACCTGGGCAGTCAGGAGTTATTAGGTTGGTGCAAAAGTAATTGCGGTTTTTGCCATTACTTTCAATGGTAAAAATAATGTAATCGAGGTACTCTTCAGCCTGAAAAGGCAGGGTGAATTTTTATGTGCAGAGCAGGCCACTAATGAGTGCTGGACTCCTGCAGTGCAATTCTGTTTCATTCAATATGTTAATAACTATTGATAAGAATGTCTTTGAATGACCTTCTTGGTGTCTTGCAGTGATACTTATCAAAGTACTCAATAACATGAAGAAAAAACCCCCACCCAACCACCCAAGGATGAATGATTACAGAGGTTGTGATCATTTAGGATAAATCCCATCGTGTCAGCTCTGTGTCCTGTTCCTAATACTATATCTAACTGCCTTTCCAAAATTCTCCAATTTCTACTCCAAAATGGTTGTTGCTCTGGAAATCAAATGGTTACCATGACTGACTGCCAGGCAGGTAGTCAATGTGTAATCACCTTAGTGATTTAGTTCCTTTAACAATCCTCTGACATAAGCATTGTCATCCTCATTTTGCAGATGTGGAAACTAAGTTTAGAGAATTAAGTGACTTGCCAAAGGCCCAGAGCTAGTAAATGGCAAAACTGGGTTGTGAATCCAGGTCTCTAAGTTCCAGAAGCTCCAGACCCTGAGTAAATGTCCCTATCTCTAGATAATGAGGTGACATTTCTCTTCTGGGGCTAATAGTTGAAGTTCAGAAGAAATGACTTTTAAAAATTCCAAAAGAATTATACACCATGACCAAGTGAGATTTATTCCAGGTGTGCAAGGCTGGTTCAACGTTTGAAAATTAATGTAACTTATCATGTTAACAGGCTAATGAAGAAAAATCGTATGATCACGCCAACTGGTGCAGGAAAAGCAGTTAACAAAATCCAATATCCATTCATGATAAAAATGCTCAGCAAGTTAGAGGGGCATGATTTCAACTTGATAGCATTTACAAGAAACCTATCACGTTGGTGCAAAAGTAATTGTGGTTTTTCCCATTGAAAGTAATGGCAAAGGGCCAGGCGAGCTGGCTCATGCCTGTAATCCCCACACTTTGGGAGGCCGAGGCAGGCAGATCACCTGAGGTCAGGAGTTCAAGACCAGCCTGACCAACATGGAGAAACCTCGTCTCTACCAAAAATACAAAATTAGCCCGGCGTGGTGATGCATGCCTGTAATCCCAGCTACTCGGGAGGCTGAGGCAAGAGAATCGCTTGAACCCAGGAGGCGGAGGTTGCGGTGAGCCAAGATCGCGCCACTGTACTCCAGCCTGGGCAACAAGAATGAAACTCTGTCTCAGAAAAAAAAAGTAATGGCAAAAACCACAATTACTTTTGCACCAACCTAATATTACTAATATTAGCTGGGTGTGGTGGCACATGCCTGTAGTCCCAGCTACCTGGGAGGCTAAGATGGGAGGATCCCTTGAGCCCAGGAGGTTGAGGTTGCAGTGAGCTGGGATCAGCATGCACTGCACTCCTGACTGAGCAACAGAGCAGACTCTGTCTCTAAAACAAAAAACCAACAAGGAAACAAAACCAAGAAACCTATAGCAAATACCATACTTACTGGTGAAAGACTGAATGCTTTTTTTTTGAGACAGGGTCTCAAAATGAGGCGAGGATGTCCACTCTTTTTTTTTTTTTTTTGAGATGGAGTCTTGCTCTGTCGTGCAGGCTGGAGTGCAGTGGCATGATCTTGGCTCACTGCAACCTCTGCCTCCCAGGTTGAAGTGATTCTCCTGCCTCAGCTTCCCGAGTAGCTGGGAGTACAGGCATGAGCCATCATGCCTGACTAATTTTTATATTTTTAGTAGAGACGAGGGTTTCACCATGTTAGCCAGGCTAGTCTCAAACTCCTGACCTCAGGCAATCCACCTGCCTCAGCCTCCCAAAGCGCTGAGATTACAGGCATGAGCCACCATGCCTGGCCAGGATGTCTACTCTTACCACTTTTATTTAACATAGTACTGGAAGTTCTAGCCAGAGCAATAAAGCAAGAAAAAGAAAAAAGACATACAGAGTTGAAAGGAAGAAATAAAACTCTCCTTATTTGCAAACAACCCAATTTTCTATGTAGGAAATTCCAAATAATCTACCCCAAAATTCCTTGAACTAAGAAGTGTGTTCAGTAAGGTCACAGGATGCAAGATCAATACACAAAAATTAACTGCATTTCTATACATTAACAGTTGTGAAAGGAAACTATCTTGGGCCCCCAAAATCACGAAGCTAAAAGGAAAAGTCAAGCTGGGAACTGTTTAGGGCAAACCTGCCTTCCATTCTATTCAAAGTCACCCCTCTGCTC
Organism: Homo sapiens; assembly: GCF_000001405.40. Lineage (NCBI taxonomy): Eukaryota > Metazoa > Chordata > Mammalia > Primates > Hominidae > Homo > Homo sapiens. The sequence continues at coordinate 41,487,703 of NC_000023.11, forward strand.
ACTGAGATAAATGCATATCTGATTGCCTCCTTTGGAGAGGCTAATCAGAAACTCAAAAGAATGCAATCATTTGTCTTTTGTCTACCTATGACCTGGAAGGCCCCTTCTTCCTTCGAGTTGTCCCGCCTTTCCAGACCGAACCAACGTTCATCTTACAGATGTTGATTGATGTCTCATGTCTCCCTAAAATGTATAACCACTTGGGCACCTGTTGTCAGGACCTTCTGAGGCTGTGTCATGGGTGCATGTCCTCAACCTTGGCAAAATAAACTTTCTAAATTAACTAAGACCTGTCTGATTTTGGGGGTTCACACAGTGAACACATGGAAACTGAAATTCAAAACACAACATTATTTACAGTCACTCCAAGGAAAATGAAATACCTAGGTATGCATTTAACAAAACATGTACAGGATCTGTTCAAAATGCTGATGAAAGAAATTAAAGAAGGCCAGGTGCTGTGGCTCATGCTTGTAATCCCAGCACTTTGGGAGGCCGAGGCAGGCAGATCACGAGGTCAGGAGTTCAAGACCAACCTGGCCAACATGGTGAAATCCCGTCTCTACTAAAAATACAAAAATTAGCTGGGTGTGGTGGCAGGCGCCTGTAATCCCAGCTACTTGGGAGGCTGAGGCAGGAGAATTGCTTGAATCTGTGAGGCAGAGATTGCAATGAGCCGAGATGGCACCACTGCACTCCAGCCTGGGCGACAGAGAAAGACTCCGTCTCAGGGGAAAAAAAAAAGAAATCAAAGAAGACCTAAATAAACAAAGAGACATACTGTGCTCAGGGACTGGAAGAATCAACATAGTAAAGATGTCAGTTCTCTCCAAATGGTTCTAGAGGAGTAATGCAATTCCTATCACAGTCTCAGCAAGGTTATTTGTAGACATAGACAAGCTCATTCTAAAATGTATATCTGAAATGTATATGGAAAGACACAGTCCCTAGAATAGCTAAAGCAATCATCATGGAGAAGAATAAAGTGAGAGGAATCACTCTACATGATACTAAGTCTAACTATATAACTACAGTAATCATGACTGTGGTATGGTCAGAGAGATAGGAACATAGAAACATAGATCAATGAACAGAATAGAAAACCCAGACATATGTCCAGGTGCAGTGCTTTACACCTGTAATCCCAGCACTTTGGGAGGCAGAGGCGGGAGGATTGCTTGAGCTTAGGAGTTCAAGACCAGTCTGGGCAACATAGTGAGACCTCGTCTCTACTAAAAGTAAAAATAAAAATAAATTAGCTGGGCATAGTGGCATGTGCCTGTAGTCCCAGCTATTTGGGAGGCTGAGTTGGGAGGATCTCTTGAGCCTGGGAGATTGAGGCTGCAGCAAGCTATTATTGTGCCAGTGCACTCCAGGCTGGGCAATTCAGTGAGATCCTGTCTCAAAAAATAACTTAAGAAAACCCAGACATAGATCAATGCAAATATGCTCAGCCAATTTTTGACAAAAGTGCAAAAACCGGATTTTAAGACATCATCTAGCTACATAATCAAGGCTCTGTGGTACTGGTAGAGGGATAGACAACAGAACAACAGAACAGAGTAGAGAATCTACAAATAGAGCCACACAAATATGCCCAGCTGACTTTTGACAAAGGTGCAAAAGTAAATCAATGGAGGCTGGGTGCAGTGGCTCACACCTGTAATCCCAGCACTTTGAGAGGCTGAGGCTGGCGGATGACTTGAGTAGTTCAGTTTGAGACCAGCCTGGCCAATATGGTGAAATCCTGTCTCTACTAAAAATACAAAAATTAGCCAGGCATGGTGGCGTGTGCCTGTGGTCCCAGCTACTCAGGAGGCTGAGGCAGGAGAATCGCTTGAACCTGGGAGCTGGAGGTTGCAGTGAGCTGAGATGGTGCCACTGCACTCCAGCCTGGGTGACAGAGCAAGACTCCATCTCAAAAAAAAAAAAAATGTAAATCAATGGAGAAATGAGAGCCTTTTCAGCAAATGGTGCTGGAGCAATTGAACATCCATAGGCAAAAAAATGAACCTTCAACCTAAATTCACACCTTAGATAAGAATTATCTCAAAATGAATCATGAAATTAAATGTAGGGCTGGGCGCAGTGGCTCGCACCTGTAATCCCAGCACTTTGGGAGGCTGAGGCAGGCGGATTACGAGGTCAGGAGATCAAGACCATCCTGGCTAACACGGAGAAACCCTGTATCTACTAAAAAATACAAAAAAATTAGCCGGGTATGGTGGCGGGCACCTGTAGTCCCAGCTACTCGGGAGGCTGAGGCAGGAGAATGGCGTGAACCTGGGAGGCAGAGCTTGCAGTGAGCCGAGATTGCGCCACTGCACTCCAGCCTGGGCGACAGCGCGAGACTCCATTTCAAAAAAAAAAAAAAAGAAATTAAATGTAAAATACAAATTATAAAACCTTAAGTAAAAATAGAAAATCTGTAGGCCCTAGGGCTAGACAAATAGTTCTTAGCATTGAGGGAAAATTGACAAATTCTATCTCATCAAAATTAAAAAATGTTGTTCTGCAAAAGCCCATGTAAGTAGGATGAAAAGACAAGGTATGGCCTGGAAGAAAATATTTGCAAACCGCATATCCCACAGAGGAATCTCAAAACTTTTTGGTAAAAAAGCCAACAATGCAATTAGAAAATGGGCAAAAATTACAACAGATATTTCACCGAAAAGGATACACAGATGGTAATTAAGCACACGAAAAGAGGTTCAGCATCACTAGCCATCAGAAAAATGCAAATTCAAACCATAGTGAGGTAACACTACACAAAAATAAAAAATCATGACAACACCAAATGCTGGCAAAGATAGGGACAAACTGGATCACTCATAGATGGCTGGTGGGAATGTACAAGGGTATAGTCATTCTGGAAAAAGGTTTTCAGTTTCTTACAAAATTAAACATCCAACTGCCCTATGATCTAGCAATTGCACTCCTGGCCATTCATCCCAGAGAAACAAGAACTTATGTTTACAGAAAAGCCTGTACATGAATGTTCACAGCAGCTTTATTCATAATAGCTAAAAACTGAAACCAGCTCAGATATCCTTCAATGGGTGACTGGTTAAACAAACTCTGGGCTGGGCGCAGTGGCTCACGCCTGTAATCCCAGCACTTTGTGAGGCCGAGGTAGGTGGATCTCCTGAGGTCAGGAGTTCCAGACCAGCCTGGCCAACACGATGAAACCCTGTCTCTATTAAAAATACAAAAATTAACCGGGCATGGTGGCTGGCACCTGTAATCCCAGCTACTCGGGAGGCTGAGGCAAAAGAATTGCTTGAACCTGGGAGGTGGAGGTTGCAGAGAGCCGAGATCGTGCCATTGCACTCCAGGCTGGGTGACAAGAGCAAGACTTCGTCTCAAAAAGAAAAAAAAAGAAAGAAAGAAAGAAAAAAAGAAACAAACTCTGCTATCATTTTTTTTGGCTTTCCCCTGCTCACCACTAGTAATTTTCATTTATGTATTTTTTTTTTGCTTTCTCTATTTTTTTTAGTTTTTTCTTTAAACTTTTTTTGTAGATTTTTTTATTTCTCTAGTTTTATTTTTTCTTTATTGTTTTAGTTTTGTTCTTCTCTAGTTTTAAAATACATGCATCAAGTATACACCTACTATGTACCCACAAAAAATAAAAATTAAAACATAAAAAAATTAAATACATTCATCAGCAAGACAGAACATTGTGAATCATATCGTCAGAAGCTCCTCCCAGGGATGTAAAACTTTTCTCCCTCAAGCTGAGCGGTGGCATTGCGGGTTTGCCTGGCATGTTTTTGACCTTGTAAAACAGCATCCTGTGATTAGGAGCTGGTCTCTAGATGAACGAACCCAATACAGCACTTTAGTAATTTCAGGTGATGGCTGACAAGGAATGGCGTGTGCTTTCTGGTTTCTCTGGCACATAGCTGACATCACAGGGCTTACTCCTTGTGATTTAGGCGGCAGCTGCAGGAACAGCCTTCTGGAAAGATAAAACCAGCATCATTTGTCTCACCTCTCCTCGGAGTGCTGAAGCTTCCTTTTCCTCATTAGGAACATTCCTTTTACCTCAAAGAGCTATTGTGAAGAATGAAAAGCAGAAATAGCTGGGAAGCACTTCACGCCAGCCAAGGAAATGTGAGTCACCGCTTGAGTCTCAAGTAGGATTGGGCTCAGCTGTGAGTAACATAAACCCTGAAATACCAGTGGCTTAAACGAGGTAGAAGTTTATTCCTTTTTCGTAATAAAGTGCAGGAGTGTGACAACATGGATGATCGTGGAGAACATTATGCAAGTGAAATTAACTAGTCATAGAAGGACAAACACTGCATGATCTCACTTACATGTGGAATCTAAAAGAGACAAACTGGAAGAGTGGAGTGGAGTGGTGGTTACCAGGGGCTGGGCAGGAGGGGTTGGGGAGATGTTGGTCCAAGGGTACAAATTTTGTACCTCAAGAGATCTATTACTAAAATGGTGACTGCCGGTCGCGGTGGCTCACACCTGTATTCCCAGCACTTTGGGAGGCCGAGGCGGGTGGATCACCTAAGGTCAGGAGTTCAAGACCAGCCTGACAAACATGGAGAAACCCCGTCTCTACTAAAAATACAAAAAAATTAGCCCTGCATGGTGGCGCATGCCTGTAATCCCAGCTACTGTGGAGGCTGAGGCAGGAGAATCGCTTGAACCCGGGAGGCAGAGGTTGCGGTGAGCTGAGATTGTGCCATTGTACTCCAGCCTGGGCAACAAGAAGGAGACTCTGTCTGGAGAAACAAAAACAAAAACAAAATAACAATGTATTGTATACTTGAAAATTGCTAAGAGAGTAGATTTTTTTCTTATTTATTTATTTATTTATTTATTTATTTATTTTTTTGAGACAGTCTCACTCTGTCATCAAGCCTGGAGTGCAGTGGCACAATCTCAGTTCACTACAACCTCTGCCTTATGCCTCAGCCTCCTGAGTAGCTGGGACTACAGGCATGCGCCACCACGCCTGGCTAATTTCTGTAGTTTTGGTAGAGACGAGGTTTCACCATGTTGGCCAGGTTGGTCTCGAACTCCTGGCCTCAGACGATCCACCTGCCTTGGCCTCCCAAAGTGCTGGGATTACAGGCGTGAGTCACTATGCCCGGCCACCAACAGACTTTGATCATGGCGACAAAAACATGCACACTGTGCCTTTCATATCAAGCCAACTCTGGGTTGCAACTGGCCTGAAAGTAGGAACCCCCACCCTTGGGAGAACTCACCCTTAGCCCTGTCCCAGGCCCTTGGGAGGTTTGCCCCATCTTGGCATGACTGAAGGTAAGGGCAAGCACATGTCCTTGCTGCCCTTAGGGTTCTCATCTCCCTGCTCTGAGGGATTCCTCCTGTTTGCCTGGCGTTACCTGCCTGCTTTCAGCCTGGCGCTTGAACACTCCCCAGGTCCCCGAAGGGAAAACTGCTCTCACAGCCACTACTTCTTCCATTCCTATGGCCACCTGCAGTCCCATATGGGAGACATCGAGCAGTTTCTGAAAACATACAGGGGATGGGAGTTGGGATTCCTTCTCTCTAGAACCTGGTGGTTCAACATCTATATCAAGCATCCACATATGACAAATCAAATGACCTTGAACAAAACTACTTAGCCCGGGCATGATGGCTCATGCTTGTAATCCCAGCACTTTGGGAGGCTGAGATGGGTGGATCACTTGAGCCCAGGAGTTCGAGACCAGCCTGGACAACATAGGGAGACCTTGTCTCTACAAAAAAATACAAAAATTAGCCAGGTGTAGTGGTGCACGCCTGTGGTTTCAGCTACTTGGGAGGCTGAGGTGGGAGGATCACTTGAGCCTGGCAGGTGGAGGTTGCAGTGAGCCGTGATTGGTGATTGCACCACTGCACTCTAGCCTGGCGACAGAGGGAGACCCTGTCTCATAAAAAAAAAAAAAAAAAAGACACAAGGGCTTAATATGGAGATGTAGCGCAGGGCAGTGAAGGTGGGATGGGCCTGTGCGAAGAGGCATCAGAGAAGACTTCACAGAGGAAACGTTGCTTGAACTGTGGTCTGAGGTGAGCAGGGTCCCTGGCTGGACAAGGAGGAAGGGCATTCCCAGCTGAGGGGACAGCGTGAGCAAAGCCAGAGAAGCTTGGAAGAATCTGACCCAGGGCAGCCAATGGCAAGATGGCTGGGGCCATGGGTGCGTGGTGGGAGATGATGGGAAATGAAGCTGGAGTGGAGGCAGAAGAAGATTGGAAACATGTCTCCCGCACTCACTATGACCCTGGCACTGTGCTAAATACTTTATAGATACTGTCTGGTTGAAATTTCATAGTGACACTATGAGGGAGGTATTATTATTATTCCCATTTTACAGATGAGTGCATTGAGACTCAGAGAGGTTAGGCATATTGATGAAGATTGCATAACAAGGACTCAGTAGGGCTGGGACTTGAACTAAGTCTGTTGGACACCAGGGCCTAGTCTCTTAAACAGTTAACACTTTTTCCTGCTGGCATTAGAGGGCTTTCGGAAGCTAGCTAGCTTTCTTTCTTTTGGTCTTTCCTTCTTTTCTTCCTGTTTTTTCTTGTCTGCTTTATTTTTATTTTTATTTTTTTTTCTGAGACGGAATTTTGCTCTTGTTGCCCAGGCTGGAGTGCAATGGCACGATCTCGGCTCACTGCAACCTCCGCCTCCCAGGTTCAAGCGATTCTCCTGCCTCAGCCTCCTGAGTAGCTGGGATTCCAGGCATGCACCACCACACCCAGCTAATTGTTTGTTTTTTAGTAGAGACAAGGTTTCACCATGTTGGCCAGGGTGGTCTTGAACTCCTGACCTCAGGTGATCTGACCGCCTCGGCCTCCCAAAGTGTTGGGATTACAAGTGTGAGCCACCGTGCCCAGCCTTGTCTGCTTTATTGAGACATGAATTATATACCATATAATTCCTCCACTTAAACTATTCAGTGTTTTTTGTTGGTGGTGGTATTTTTGTTTGTTTGAGACAAGGTCTTGCTCTGTTGCCCAGACTAGAGTGCAGTGGCACAAACTCTGCTCATTGCAGCCTTGATCATCTAGGCCTAAGTGATCCTCCCATCTCAGCCTCCCATGTAGCTGGGACGACAGGTGTGCACCACCATGCCCAGTTAATTTTTAGGTTTTTTTTTGTTTTTGTTTTTGTTTTTGTAGAGGCAGGGTCTCACTATGTTGCCCAGCCTGGTCTTGAACTCCTGGGCTCAAGAGATCCTCCTACCTCGGCCTCCCAAAGTGCTGGGATTACAGGTGTGAGCCACTGTGCCCGGGCCTACTCATAGAGTTGTACAACTATCATCACAACCAATTTTAGAACATTTTTATCAACCCCGATCAAAACCCCATACCCATTAGCAGTCATTCCCCATTTCCCCCCAAATTCTGTCCCAGAACTGGAAACCACTAATCTACTGTCTGTCTCTATATATTTGCCTGTTCTGGTTAGTTCATATGAGTGGAATTGACATATGCATCCTTTTGTGTCTGGCTTCTTTCACTGAGCATAATGTTTGCAACGTCTATCCATGTTGTAGTGTGTGTCAGCACTGCATTCTTTTTTTTTTTTTTTTTTTTTTTTTGAGACGGAGTTTTGCTCTTGTTGCCCAGGCTGGAGTGCAGTGGCACGATCTTGGCTTACTGCAACCTCTGCCTCCTGGGTTCAAGTGATGCTCCTGCCTCAGCCTCCTGAGTAGCTGGGATTACAGGCACCCGCCACCACGCCCAGCTAATTTTTGTATTTTTAGTAGAGACACGGTTTCACCATTTTGGCCAAGCTGGTCTCGAACTACTGACCTTAGGTGATCCGCCTGCCACGGCCTCCCAAAGTGCTGGGATTACCGGCATGAGCCACCGTGCCGGGCCCAGCACTGCATTCTTTTTTATGGCTCAATCATATTCCATTGTGTGGATGCACCGCATTGTGTTTATTCATTTGCCATCAGTTGATGGCTCTTGGAACCTTTTTAATATATTTTTTAAAATGTGTATAAATGTATGGGGTACATGTGCAATTTCATTACCCACATAGATTGCATAGTGGTCAAGTCAGGGCTTTTAGGGTATCCAACACCCACAAAATATACTTTGTACCCATTAAATAATTTCTCATCATTCATCCCTCTCGCCCTCCCCTCACCCTTCTGAATTTCCATTGTCTATCATTCCACTCTCTACATCCATGTCTACACCTTTTCTAGCACCCACTCATGAGTGAGAAGGTGTAATATTTGTCTTTTTGTGCCTGGCTTGTTTTCACTTAAGATAATGACCTCCAATTCCATCCATGTTGCTGCAAAAGACATGATTTCATTCTTTTTATTGCCGAATAGTATTCCATTGTGTATACATGCCATGCTTTCTTTATCCACTTGGAAGTTTTTAAGCAAAGAAGAAATGGAGTAAGAGTTGTGATTTAGAAATATTATTTTGGTGAGTGAGGAGATGAGAAATCAGTTAGGATGCCATTTCCACGGCCTCCATAAGAAAGGATGAAGGCTTCCAAAGTGGGGAGGTTGGAAAATCTAGGACTGGAGGCAGAGATGAGGGGACACATTGGAGAGATGTTTAGAAGGCGAAAGTGACTTGACTTGGCCATGCTTTGGATGTGGGAAGTGAGGGAGGAAATGGGAAACATCTAGAACACATTTGTTTGTTTGTTTGTTTGTTTGTTTGAGTCGGAGTCTTGCTCTGTCGTCCAGGCTAGAGTGCAGTGGCTGGTCTTGGCTTGCTGCAACCTCTGCCTCCTGAGTTCAAGCAATTTTCCCTGCCTCAGCCTCCTGAGTAGCTGGGATTACAGGCACCTGCCACAACGCCCAGCTAATTTATTTTTATTTTTATTTTTGTTTTTAGTAGAGACGAGGTTTCACCATGTTGGCCAGGCTGGTCTCGAACTCCTGACCTCAGGTGATCCACCCACCTTGGCCTCCCAAAGTGCTGGGATTACAGTCGTGAGCCACCACACCCAGCCTAGAACACATTTCAATTTGTGTCTTGAATGATGGGTAGATTTGGGGGCCATTCACTCTGAAGTGGAAGAAGACAGAGGAGAAGCAGGTTTGGGTAGAAGCAAGAGGGAAATAATGAGTTTGGTTTTGAGCTGTTGAATGTCATTTTGCAACGAGAACAAAGAATATTCTTCCCCAACTCTTTCTCTCAATGTTGGGGGTCAAGCATCTGAACATGATTCCTATTTGGGGGTATATTTCAAGGTAGGTGGGGAGGTGGAGCCCTACTTTCCACTTTAAATGATGAAGAGAGGCAAATATTCTTTCCTCTCCCTCTCTGGCAGGTGGGGGTGTGATCAAGGCAGCCCCAAATGGATACTCCTGTCTGGGTCTCTCAATCTTGAGAGAGGGACAGAAAGATACAGGCATTCAGAGATTATTCAGAGCAACTGTGCAAATAATCCCCCCAGAATTTGTTCTGGGATAAGATAAAGGGAAAAAATAACTGCTTTGGAATAAAGAAAAGATGAAAAAATTAAAAGAATAACATAAATATCTTTATTTTCCAAGTAGACAGTATCCGGGTTCCTGCTATTTGTGAGTTTTGTTCCAGAAAGCAAACATTATCACAACCTGTAACTATATACTAATAAACTGATCATTTGCAAAATTAGTCCCCATTTAAACTCTCCTCTGTCTGAGAAGCCCTGCCTGGCCTTTGCTTCCATGTCTTTGTCATCAGTCTCTTGATGATTGTCTGATGTTGTGATACCTAATTAAACTGTGCTAAACAGTACTATGCACTTGATTACAAATGGAAATTACAAACATTGCAAAAAGATGCAGATTTTATAATGTCAGTGAAAATGATGCTGAACTGCATTGCAAAGCTCTTGACAAATGAGCCTCTGGTAGTGATACCAAGTAGCAATTGAAGAATAAATTGACAATGGTGATGATGGGAACATCAAAAGAGCATAATGCTACAGTTTGAATGTCGCCTCCAAGACTCATGTTGAAATTTAATTGCCAGTGTAGTGGTATTAGGAGGTGGGGCCTTTAAGATGTGATTAGGTCATGAGGCCCTGCCTTTAAAAAAAAATTTAAAGAAAAGAGGTTTAATTGACTCGCAGTTCTGCAGGCTGTGCAGGAGGCCTCAGGAAATTCACAATCATGGCCGAAGGCAAAGGGGAAATAAGCACGTCTTCACATGGCAGCAGGAGAGAGAGAGTGAAGGGAGAAGTGCTACACACTTTCAAACCACCAGGTCTAGGGGGAACTCTATCACCAGACAGCACTCGGGGAATGGTGCTAAACCATTAGAAACTACCCCCAACCACCTCCCACCAGGCCCCACCTCCAACACTGGGAATCACAGTTCAACATGAGGTTTGGGCGGGGCAACAGAACCAAACCATGTCAAATACAATGGATTTTTGCGTGTTGACTTTGTATCTTGCAATCTTGGTAACCCCACTCATTGAACTTCATTGAATTTGCTTTTTTGTAGATTCCTTGGGATTTTCTACATAGACAACAATGTTGTTTGGGAATCGCGACAGGTTTATTTCTGCATTTTCAATTTGTATTCCTGTAATTTGTTTCTCTTGTTTTATTTTACTGGCTAAGACTCCCAGTAGATGTTTTTTTTTTTTTTCTTGTTTGTTTATTTTGAGACAGAGTCTTGCTCTGTCACCCAGGCTGGAGTGCAGTGGTGTGATCTTGGCTCACTGCAACCTCCACCTCCCGGGTTCAAGCGATTCTCCTGCCTCAGCCTCCTGAGTAGCTGGGACTACAGGCGCCCACCGCCACACCCAGTTTTTTTTTGTTTTTGTTTTTTTGTCTTTTAGCAGAGATGGGGTTTCACCCAGAGATGGGGGGCCACCATGTTGGCCAGGCTGGTCTTGAACTCCTGACCTCCAGTGATCCACCCGCCTCGGCCTCCCAAAGTGCTGGGATTATAGGCGTGAGCCACCATGCCTGGCCAGTAGGTGTTGATAATAGGGGCAAGAGTGGATGTACTCATCCTGCTCCTGGTCCTGGGAAAAGGATTCTCTCACCTCAGTACAGCACTGGCTGTACTTCGTCAGAGGTCTTTCTTAGATTGAAGAAGTTATTTTCTGTTCCTGCTTTGCTGGGATGTTCATCATGAACGCATGCTAAATTTTGTCAAACGCCCAACTGTCCGTTGCTTGATGTAAAAGGCTTACAACTGTGTTTTGGTGCTTTTTAACAAATCCCAGAGTCTGTGCTATCTCAGTGTTAGCGTTTACTGACTGTTGTTCTCCTTTTAAATTGATATTTTCCTGGTTCACTTATGCCAAGTAATTTTGGGTTTTATCCTAAAGTTCAGGGTTTTTTTCTTTTTAGAGGTGGGGTCTCTCTCTGTCGCCCAGGCTGGAGAGCAGTGGTGCGATCATAATTCACTGCAGCTTTGAACTCCTGGACTTGAGTGATCCTCCCACCTCAGCTTCCTGAGTAGCTGGAACCACAGCACCTGGCTCTTTGACGAATAAACACTCCTTGGTTTGTTGTTTGCCTTTGGTTAAATTCCAAAGCACTGAAATGGTTGTTTCTGGCTTTCGTTCAGATTTACAGGTGCATTTTGGGGAGAGGGTTTGTTGACCTCCTCACTCCTTCACGCTGGAAATCTTTAATATCTTTTATTATGCAATTCAATCTTCCGTCCAATGTACGTATTGAATGCCTCCTACGTGGCTGTCTCTGCCTCAGCCACTGGGGACCCAGGGGTGAACAGATACACCACCTTCTCCCACAGTGCTTGTTCAACCACCGAGCAAACACACTGGGTTACTTCCAATAGTGAAAAGTACAGCGATTAATATCCAACTTTCATTGAGCACCTGCCCTGTGCCAGATACTGGTCCAAGCACCTGCAGGAAGCATCTTACCTTCAAAGTCATCCCAGGAGTTAGATATGCCCATCTCATGGACAGGGACACTGGGGAACAGGGAGCCTCAGCTGCTGCCCTCAGGACTTCACCTGGCCACATCAAGTGCTACCAGCATAGTAGGCCTTCATCAAATATTAGTCAGCATTTCTATTTTCCTCTGCAGATGGTGATACTATCTAAGAGGCACCAGCTCCAGCCAGAGAGCTGGGCAGCAGCTGCCAGCCAGGATGAAGAGCCTCTGACCCCGAAGGCAATGGGCAGAGCTGGGCCACCAGGACCATGGGGCAAACATGCCACTCTCCCTCCAGGTGCCAACCAAGGAGCCCTGGGGGTCCAACCCTAGCTCTGGCTTTGGCAGAACTCTCTCCTTGCCCACAGACACCTGTGGCAGGAGGACAGTGCAGGTGGCGACAGCTCCCAGTGGCTGAGCGAGGGCTGTGAGCCTCTGCACTAGGAGGCCTCTCCCATCTAGTCCTCCCCACACACTGGTTAGGAAGGTGCCACCATCTTCCCATCCACAAGAGAGGAGACAGTGGCTATGGAATGGCAGGCAGCCCTTACAAGTGGGACTGGAAGCCTTTCCCTCCCACCCTGTGGGAAGCCTGTGGCCATCATCACCCTAGTCCAGCTGTGCCCTGTCCTTGTCCTCTCCAGCTGACTGTCCCTGTCAATGTCATCCCTGCCAATGATCACATCCCAGCAGCAACCTGGGCTGGACCGAGGCCCCCCTTTATGAATGGATTAATGTTGTTACTTCAGGAGTGGGTTAGTTATCTTGAGAGTCTGGCTCCCTTTTACTCTGTCTCGTGTTCTCTTGCCCTCTTTAGCCTTGTGATACCTTCTGACATGCTATGATACAACAAGAAGACCCTCACCAGATGTGGCCCCCTTGATCTTGGACCTCTCAGCCTCCAGAACCGTGAGCCAAAGAAATTTGTTTTCTTTGTAAATTACCCAATCTGTGGTATTCTGTTACAGCAGCAGAAAACAGACTAAGACATGTGATAAGCAAAAGATTGACAGAGACCCTTGGGAAAATCAATGAAGCCCCAGTACCTTTTACTGAAATGATTATCTTTCTACTCCAAAAGTCAATCATAAAGTAAAAGGCATAGTATATTCCATCATACAATTTTGTACAAAAATATATAAAAAATTTAATCTATTACTTTTTCTAAGTATCACAGCACAGTTGCAATTATGCCTTTTTTTTTTTTTAGACGGAGTTTCACTCTTGTTGCCCAGGCTGGAGTGCAATGGCGCTATCTAGGCTGACCACATCCTCCACCTCCCAGGTTCAAGCAATTCTCCTGCCTCAGCCTCCTGAGTAGCTGGGATTACAGGGATGCACCACCACGCCAGGCTAATTTTGTATTTTTAGTAGAGATGGGGTTTCTCCATGTTGGTCAGGCTGGTCTTGAATTCCTGACCTCAGGTGATTCACCCGCCTCAGCCTCCTAAAGTGCTAGGATTACAGGCGTGAGCCACTGTGCCTGGCCAATTATGCCATATTTTTGAGGGCATAAGATCAAATATATTCATTATTTTCATAAATTTTAGGTTTCATTCCCAAGATAAGAGTTTTAATCAGAACTTTTTCTTTATTACTTAACACAGTCTTGCTCCCTATTTCAAGTGGATTCACTTTTATTGATCTTTTTCTTGTATTGATTATCTGGATATTATGAGGAACTCTCAGGACTATTAAGAATGTCCCTTAGAATGCAAGGATGTTTCACTACCTTTTTTTCTTTTTTTGAGATAAGGTCTGCTATGTTGCCCATCCTGGAGTGCGGTGATATGATTTTGGCTCCCTGCAACCTATGTCTCCCAGGCTCAAGCCATCTTCCCACCTCAGCCTCTTGAGTAGCTGGGACTACAGGCACATGCCACTATGCCTGGCTAATTTTTGTATTTTTTATAGAGACAAGGTTTCACCATGTTGCCTAGGCTAGTCTCAAACTCCTGGGCTCAAGCAGTCCTCCCATGTTGGCCTTCCAAGGTGTTGGGATTACAGGCATGAGCCGCCATGCCTGGCAGTTCACTCCCTTAATAGGGGAAAATCCATATAATTATCTCAATAATGGCCAAAGAATTTATTTGGGCCAGGCACGGTGGCTCACGCCTGTAATCCCAGCACTTTGGGAGACCAAGGTGGGTGGATCACGAGGTCAGGAGATTGAGATCATCCTGGCTAACATTTGAAACCCCGTCTCTACTAAAAAAACAAAAACAAAAAACAAAAAAAATGAGCTGGGTGTGGTGGTGGGTGCTTGTAGTCCCAGCTACTCGGGAGGCTGAGGCGGAGCTTGCAGTGAGCCAAGATCACGCCACTGCACTCCAGCCTGGGTGACAGAGCTAGACTCCATCTCAAAAAAAAAAAAAAAAAAAAAGACATTATTTGATAATGTTCAAAACACATTCCTGATAAACATTCTTGACAAACTAGGAATAGAAAATAAGTCAGCGTTCTAGAATCAAGAACCATTCTAGCTAGTTTAAGTACAGAAGGAATGTATTAAAAGCTATTAGGTCCACACAAGGTAGCTTTTAATTACAAAGGGGAAAATCAGTAACTTAATAGTGGAGAAACCTGGTAGGCACCACTTTAATAAAGTGATCAATGTTCACATCACCAGAAATCAGACAAATTGACAACTTGTGCCTCCTGATATAATGCACTAAGAAGGACACACTATCACTTCTGTGGTATTCTTACAGAAATGCATACCTGAATTTAATCATGAGGAAACATCAGAGACACCAGAATTGAGGAATGTTCAACAAATAACTGGTACTCTTCAAAAGTGTCAAGGTCATGAAAGACAAAGGAAGACTTAAGAACTAGCCCAGATTGAAATAGACATGATGATGACTAGGATGATGTGTGATCCTGGACCAGAAAAAGGAGGACATTAGTGAGGCAACTGGTAAAATTTGAATAAAGTCTCTAAATTAGATTACAGTAATGTATTAGTGTTAGTTTCTTAATTTTCATCTTTGTACTGTTGTTATAGTTTTACATTTTACATTTTTTAATTTTAATTTATATATATATATATATATATATATTTTTGTTTTGTTTTGAGACGGAGTCTCACTCTGTCACCCAGTCTGGAGTGCAGTGGCGTGATCTTGGCTCGCTGCAACCTCTGCCTCCTGGGTTCAAGCAATTCTTGTACCTCAGCCTCCTGAGTAGCTGGGAACTACAGGTGCCCACCACCAAACCCAGCTAATTTTTTATTTTATTTTATTTTATTTTTTTCTGAGACGGAGTCTCACTCTGTCGCCCAGGCTGGAGTGCAGTGGTGCGATCTCGGCCCACTGCAAGCTCCGCTTCCCGGGTTCACGCCAGTCTCCTCCCTCAGCCTCCGGAGTAGCTGGGACTACAGGCGCCCGCAACCGCGCCCGCAACCACACCCGGCTAATTTTTTGTATTTTTAGTAGAGACGGGGTTTCACCTTGTTAGGCAGGATGCTTTCAATCTCCTGACCTCGTGATCTGCCTGCCTCGGCCTCCCAAAGTGCTGGGATTACAGGCGTGAGCCACCTTGCCTGGCAATTTTTGAATTTTTAGTAGAGATGTGGTTTCGCCATGTTGGCTGGGCTGGTCTCCAACTCCTGACCTCAGGTGATCCACCCACCTCAGCCTCCCAAAGTGCTGGGATTACAGGCATGAGCCACCGTGCCCTGCCTTTACTGTGTGTGTGTGTGTGTTTTTTTTGACGGAGTCTTATTCTGTCGCCCAGGCTGGAGTGCAATGGCATGATCTCGGGTCACTGCAACCTCCACCTCCCGGGTTCAAGAGATTTTCCTGCCTCAGCCTCCTGAGTAGCTGGGATTACAGGTGCGCACCACCACGCCCAGCTAATTTTTGTATTTTTAGTAGAGACGGCATTTCACCATGTTGGCCAGGATGGTCTCGATCTCTTGACCTCCTGATCCACCGACCCCGGCCTCCCAAAGTGCTGGGATTACAGGTGTGCACCACCATGCCTGGCCCTATACTGTTATATAAAATATTAGCATTTAGGGAGTCTGAGTATATGGAAATTCTTTGTACTATATTTGCAACTCTTTTCTTTTTTTAAAAAAATATTCAGGCCGGGCACAGTGGCTTATGCCTGTAATCCCAGCACTTTGGGAGGCTGAGGCAGGTGGATCACCTGAGCTCAAGAGTTTGATACCAGCCTGAGCAACATGGTGAAACCTCGTCTCTACTAAAAATACAAAAATTAGCCAGGCATGGTGGCGTGCACCTGTAATCTCAGCTACTCAGGAGGCTGAGGCAGGAGAATGGCTTGAACCTGGGAGGCAGAGGTTGCAATGAGCCAAGATAGCGTCATTGCACTCCAGCCTGGGCAACAAGAGCGAAACTCCATCTCAAAAAAAGAAAATAAATTCATTTATTTTTGTGGAGACAGGGTCTTACTGTGTTGTCCAGGCTGGTCTTGAACTCTCAGCCTCAAACAATCCTCCTGCCTCGGCCTCACAAAGTACTGGGATTACAGATGTGAGCCACTGTGCCCCACCTATATTTGGAACTTTTTTGTTTCAAAGTATCTCAAGTTTAATTTTTTAAATTTAGAATTTAAAAAACTATTAGGGTAGATCAAAGAATCCTGGGGTGAGCTGGGCATGGTGGCTTGCACCTGTAGTCCCAGCTACTCAGGAAGCTGAGGTAGGAGAATAGGTTGAGCCCAGGAGTTTGAGACCAACCTGGGCAATATAGTGAGACTCCATCTTTAAGAAAAAAAAAAAAGGAATTCTGGCATGGACCAGACATTCAATAGTGAAGAAAAAAAAAAAGAAAGAAAATCCAAACTGTCTTGAGGGGTTCCTCCGGCGAAGCCCCATGGCCACTGCTGCTGGGCATGGGAATCAGAACCTCTGTCACCTCTGCCCCTGACAGCCAGATGCCACCACTGCCATCCTGATTATAAAGCTCCTCATTGGACACTTACTCCTCATGTTGCTTTCTTCTGAATCCAGGTGCCTTACAGGGGCAGAACCTAGATCACACACATGCCTGGTTGTCAGCTGCAAGGGAAGCTGAGAAAGAGAGCCTGTGGCTTCTACTTTGAGATTTACTTATAATGTAGGAAATTCCAAATTTCAGAGGTTGTTCAAAAAATGCCAGGCCCATTCTGTGGTTTGCCTTTTCAGCTTCTTCTTCTTCATCTTCTTTCTTTTTTTTTTTTTTTTGAGAGAGGGTCATGCTCTGTGGCCCAGGCTAGAGTGCAGTGGCATGATCACAGCTCACTGTAGCCTCGACCTCCTGGGCTCAAGCAATCCTCCTGCCTTAGCCTCCTGAGTAGCTGGGGCCACAGACACACACAACCATGCCTGCTTAATTTTATTTTTTGTAGAGACGGGATCTCACTATGTTGCCAAGGCTGCCTTTTCAGCTTTTTATTATATGTTTTGATGAATAGATCTTAATTCTTAACATCCCAAATTTAATAGTCCAATTTATTAATCTCTTTCTTTATGGTTTGTGCTTTTGTGTCCTGTTTAATTTAGCTTGGAAGTTATACATTCTCATTTTTCTTTTAGTGGTTGCTCTAAGCTTGCATCCTTGACTTGCCAAATTAATTAATCCTAATCCCTTCTCCCTTGACAATGTAAAGACTTTAAGACATATTAACTCTATTTACCTCCTTTGCAACTTATATGTCAGAGTTATCATGTATTTTAAATCTTTTTAAAATTTTTTTTTGAGACAGGGTCTCACTCTGTTGCCCAAGCTGGAGTGCAGTGGCACAATCTTGGCTCACTGCAGCCCCGACTTCCTGGGCTCAAGCAATCCTTCCACCTCAGCCTCCTGAGTAGCTGGGACTATAGGTGTGTGCCACCGTGCCTGGCTAATTTTATTTTATTATTTTTAGTAGAGACAGTGTCTCACTATGTTGCCCATGCTGGTCTTGAACTACTGGTCTCAAGCAATGCCCCTGGCTTGGCCTCCCAAAGTGCTGGGATTACAGGTGTGACATGTATTTTAATTCTATGTTTATTTATTTATTTATTTATTTATTTATTTTTTGAGACAGGGTCTCCCTCTGTCATCCAGGCTGGAATGCAGTGGTGCGATCTCAGCTCACTGCAACCTCCACCTCCCTGGTTCAAGTGATTCTCCTGCCTCAGCCTCCCGAGTAGCTGGGATTACAGGCACATGCCACCATGCCCGGCTAATTTTTGTGTTTTTGGTAGAGACGGGGTTTCACCATGTCGGCCAGGCTGGTCTTGAACTCCTGACCTCAGGTGAGCCACCTACCTCGGCTTCCCAAAGTGCTGGGATTACAGGCGTGAGCCACCGCGCCCGGCCTAATCCTATGTATATTTAAAACCCAAAAGATCTGATTGCTATTTGTTTATACAGATGTATCCATCTATTTACCTGTTTTCTCCTCATGTGCCTAATTATTTTGTGTCATTTGTCACATTGTATCTGCTAAATTGTAGACATTATTTAAGGCCTAGGAGTATGTTAACTTCCTCCAGGGATGAATGACATTTTCTTCTGGGAAGCACCCAGGACACAACCAAGCTGGGATCACTTCAATCAAATGTCAGGGCTTGAGAAGATCTGAAGGTGAGCAGTTGCTGTGAGGACCGGTTTGAGGTTCACCCTTCCTCCTAGGAGGCAAACTTTCAGGGTCCCCACTGAAAGTGAGAGAAGTACGCTAGCCCCTCTCACTCCAGCAGACACACCCGACTCCAATTCCTTCCCCCAACCCCTGTGCTGGTCGGCTTCTAGGCTGCCTCTTCTGGAGTGGGCAAATGGCACCTGAGGAGAAGTGGCCTTCAGTGCTCTCTCCCTCCCTTGGACATCAATTTTCTCCCAGATCCTGGCCCAAACTATCTTGTTAGTTTGCAAAAGTTTCCAAACAGATGTTTTAAATATTTCAATCATCAGCTGCTTTAGTTGTCTTAAGAATGAGGATTGGGTCCAAATTACATAGTGTGCTATTCATGAAATATAAAATATATATATATATTTTTTTAATTTTGGAGATGGAGTATTGCTATGTCACTCAGGTGGGTCTTGAACTCCTGGGCTCAAGCGATCCTCCTGCCTGAGCCTCCCGAGTAGCTGGGATTACAGGCGTGTACCACCACACCAGAAAAGTGAATTTTTGAAGTTCTTTATAAGTTCTGGATGGCAGTTCCATGTGCTGCTAGTGTCTCCAGGCCTGTGGCTTATCTTTTTAGTTTGTTTATGGGAATTTTTTTTTTTTTTTGGTTAAGAGACAGGGTCTCACTCTGTGGCCATGGCTGGAGTGCAGTGGTGCAATCTATAGTTCACTACAGCCTCAAACTCCTGGACTCAGGCCATTCTCCTGCCACAGCCTCCCAAAGTGCTGGGAGCACCTAGCTTGTTTATGCAGATTTTTGCAAATAAACTTTTCAGTTTTCAATTTCAAGAGATTCAACTTTATCAATCCTTTTCTTTCATAACTTATACATTTTGTGTATATATATGTATATATATGTATATATGTATATATACGTGTATATATATGTGTATATATATGTGTGTATATATGTATATATGTGTATATATGTATATATATGTGTATATATGTATATATGTGTATATATGTATATATGTGTATATATATGTATATATGTGTATATATGTATATATGTGTATATATGTATATATATTATATATGTATATATGTGTGTATATATGTGTGTATATATGTATATATGTGTGTATATATGTATATATGTATATATATGTGTGTATATATGTATATATGTATATGTGTGTATATATGTATATATGTATATGTGTGTATATATGTATATATATGTATATATATGTGTATATATGTATATATGTGTATATATATGTATATATGTGTATATGTATATATGTATATATATATAGCCCAATATGTGTGTGTATATGTGTATGTGTGTATGTGTATGTAATATTTTAAGATTTTCACAGACCTTTCAGCCATCTAAAATTTTATTTTTTATGTATCATGAGGTAGGGATCTAATTTTATTTTTTCCATATGAATAATTCTTGAAGAGTTCATGATTTCACCACTACACTGAAGTCCCATCTTTTTCTTTTCTTTTTTTGAGATGAATTCTCGCTCTGGAGTGCAATAATGCGATCTCAGCTCAATGCAACCTCAGCCTCCTGGGTTCAAGCGATTCTCCTGTCTCGGCCTCCCGAGTAGCTGGGATTACAGGCGTGTACCACCACGCCCAGCTAATTTTTTGTGTTTTTAGTAGAGACGGGGTTTCACCACGTTGGCCAGGCTGGTCTCAAACTCCTGACTTCAGGTGATCTGCCTGCCTTGGCCTCTCAAAGTGCTGGGATTACAGGCGTGAGCCACCGTGCCCGGCCTGAAGTCCCATCTTTGTCATCTTCAGTTTTTCATCCGCCCAGGCTCTGTTTCTGGGATCTCTATTCTGTTCCTAGGGCCCTGCACACTGTGTTCACTACTTCACTTAAGCTCACTAATATATTTTGTTCTCTGATTGGACAACTCTGCCCTTAAGATGTTTATGCTTTTCAGCCTAGTACAACTCTGCCACTGCAGTTTGTTTAGATGAACAAGCTGTGTAGCTCACTTAGCTGAAAATTGCCAGCTTGAGTTCTTAGGCAGAAATCCAAAGCACTTATTGGGATGAATAAATTATTCGGACTGAATTTCATGTCTTGCTATGAGGTGTCCTTTGACTTCGTCCCTTTTCCTCTTTGCCACTCTGTGAGCCCCCAGTTCTCAGGTCTGGCTGGCTAGAGAAGGGTGTCCTCGCAGGGAAGCAGAAATGTTCCCAGGCTCCTGATGGTGGCAGCCAGGCCTAGTGACATGGTGAAAGCGGACCCGGAGAGTGGCTGGCGTCAGCCATTCCCAGGCCATGCTCTCTGCTACGCTCCCATCAGGCAGCCATAAAAGAAGTGCTCAGGTTGATTCACTTTAAAAACTGTACAGAGGCTGGGCACGGTGGCTCAGGTCTGTAATCCCAGCCCTTTGGGAGGCCAAGGCGGGCAGATCACCTGAGTCCAGGAATTCAATATCGGCCTGGCCAACATTGCAAAACCCCACCTCTACCAAAAATACAAAAATTAGCCAGGCGTAGTGACAGGCGCCTGTAATCCCAGCTACTCGGGAGGCTGAGGCAGGAGAATCACTTGAACCCAGGAGGCGGAGGTTGCAGTGAGCTGAGATCACACCACTGCACTCCAGCCTGGGTGACAGAGTCAGACTCTGTTTCAAAATAAATAAATAAATAATAATAATAAATAAATAAAATATTACAAGTAGACTTGTAAAATAAAGAAAAACTTCATTGATTATCCTATCATAAAGCACTGTTTAAATTTGGGGATATTTAGTAATATTTATGGTTAAGAGCCCTCAGGTCAGAGGACTCAGGGTGGAGGTACGCTGAGGCATGCAAAGCACTCAGTGACCGGAACATCAGAGTGACGGCTCAGTCAATGGTACTGATTGCCTTTTTACAAAAATTTTTTAATCAGGGTTTGCTATGTCGCCCAGGCTGGTCTCAAACTCCTGGCCTCAAGTGATCCTCCTGTCTAGCTGGGATTACAGGCGTGAGCCACCACACCCAGCTTGATTGCCTTTATTTTTATTTATTTATTTAGAGACAGGGTTTTGTTGTCACCCAGGCTGGAGTGCAGTGGCGCAATCATGGCTCTCTACAGCCTCGACCTCCTGGGCTCAAGTGATCCTCCTGCCTCAGCCTTCTGAGTAGCTGGGACCACAGGTGTGTGCCACCATGTACTGTTTGCCTTTATTATTTTAATTTTTTTTAAATTTACTTATTTATTTTGAGACGGAGTCTCATTCTGTCACCCAGGCTGGAGTGCAGTGGCAGGATCTCAGCTCACTGCAACCTCCACTTCCCGGGTTCAGGTGATCCTCCCGCCTCAGCCTTCTGAGTAGCTGGGACTACAGGCGCATGCCACCACGCCTGGCTAATTTTTGTACTTTTTGTAGAGATGGGGTTTTGACATGTTGCCCAGGCTGGTCTCGAACTCCTGGGCTCAAGCAATTCACCTGCCTCAGCTGCCCAAAGTACTAGAATTACAGGCGCGAGCCACTGTGTCACTTACATTTTCTTGATCATTGAGATATTTTTCAATGTTTTTAATAGTAGCTCTCTGTATAGTCTGTGCAATGTTCATCATGTCCTTTGTTCATTTGTTGGAATGTTAGCATTTTTAACCACTTTATGTCTTCATTGCATAATAAATATATTAACTCTTTGTGTATTATATTTGCTGTAAAATGCCTTTCTTTTCTGTTTGTGGTCTACAAGTTTTCATATCAAAGCTGTAATGGTTTTGGCCGGGCGTGGTGGCTTATGCCTGTAATCCCAGCATTTTGGGAGGCCGAGGTGGGCGGATCACCAGGTCAGGAGTTTGAGATCAGATTCCTAGCCAACATAGTGAAACCCCGTCTCTACTAAAAATACAAAAATACAAAAATTAGCCGGGTGTGATGGTGGGCACCTGTAATCCCAGCTACTCTGGAGGCTGAGGTGGGAGAATTGCATGAAACCACAAGGTGGAGGTTGCAGTGAGCCGAGATCACGCCACTGCACTCCAGCCTGGGCAACAAGAGCAAAACTCCATCTCAAAAAAAAAGAAAAGAAAAAAATGCTGTAATGGTTTCATGGGGTCAAATCTTTCAATTGCTTTCTGACTTTTTTCTCCGGCATAAGGTTAAAAAGTTACCCTCTTCCAGAGTTTTACTGACTACTCATTCTATTTGTTTTCATTTTCTAGCACTGAATTTTAATATTTAACTCTTTAATTGGGCTGAAACTAATTTTGGTATACATATATATATATATATATATATATATATATATATATATATATATAATTTTTTTTTTTTTTTTTTTTGAGACCGAGTCTTGCTCTGTCACCCAGGCTGGAGTGCAGTGGTGCAATCTCGGCTAACTGCAACCTCCCCCACCTGGGTTCAAGCAATTCTCCTGTCTCAGCCTCCTGAGCAGCTGGAATTACAGGTGTGCCCCACCACACCCGGCTTATTTTTGTATTTTTTTTAAGTAGAGATGGGGTTTCACCACGTTGGCCAGGCTGGTCTCGAACTCCTGACCTCGTGATCTGCCTGCCTCGGCCTCCCAACGTGCTGGGATTACAGGTGTGAGCCACCGCACCCGGCCAATGAACAGTCATTTTATAAAGGCCCAGAAAAATCATTGTGTGGCATTTGATTTGGTATTATATTAAGCCTACATTAATTTGGAAAGAACTGATGCCATTAAAACATTTAATTCTTTCATCCAAAAACATGTCTCTGTTTATTTGCATCTTTTATATTCTCAGTGCAGCTTTGCCCTTTTCTCATATCGATCCCATGGATTTGTTAGTTTGAAAACACTTGTTGCATTTGAGAATGGCATCCTTTCCCCATTTAATTTTCTAACTTTACTGTGAATATACAAGAATGCTATTGATTTCTGGGTGTTTTTGTATCTGCTCTTTATTATTTATTTATTATTTATTTTTTGAGACAGGGTCTTGCTCTGTCACCCAGGCTGGAGTGCAATGGCGCAATCTCAGCTCACTGAAACCTCCACCTCCTGGGCTCAAGTGATTTTTCTGTCTCAGCCTCCCGAGTAGCTGCTTTGTAACTCAGCTACTTGTTGTCTGGTTGTCCTTTTTTGTGTTTCAAGGTATACAATGATATTATTAGCAAATATGGACAATTTTGTGTCTTTTCCAATGGTTATACTCTGTTCTGTTGTTGAGAAATGCTTTAAAAGCAATAGTAGCATTTTGGGAGTCTGAGACTGGCAGATCGCTTGAGCCCAGGAGTTTGAGACCAGCCTGGGCAACATGGCAAAACCTCGTCTCTATAATAACAAAATACAAAAATTAGCCGGGCATGGTGGTGCCTGTAGTCCCAGCTACATGGGGTGATGAGGTGGGAGGATGCCTTGAGCCCGAGTTTGAGGCTGTAGTGAGCTGTGATCACACCACTGCACTGCAGACTCGGTGACAGAGTGGGACCCTAAAAAGATAAATAAATAAAAGCAATAGTAAATAATTATGATGGAGGAAGATATGTTATGTAATAGAACAGTGTGTTTAGTATGACTTTCTTACTGTATTAAAAATATGTATAGGGCCAGGTGTGGCTCACATCTGTAATCCCAGCACTTTGGGGGGCCCAGGTGGGAAGACTACTTGAGCCCAGGAGTTTGAGACCAGCCTGGGTGACATGGTGAAACCCCATCTCTACAAAAAATACAAAAATTAGCTGGGTGTGGTGGCACAGGCCTGTAGTCCCAGCTACTGGGGAGGCTGGGGTGGGAGGGTCACTTAAGTCCAGGAGGTTGAGGCTACAGTGAGCTGTGATTATGCTACTGCACTCCAGCCTGGGCAACAGAGTGAGAACCTGTCTCAAAAATGAAAAAAAAAACCAAAAAGCAAAACATATATATATACACACACACACACACACACACACACACACACACACATACATAAATTTATACTAGCCTGCTAGCCTGACAGATATACATAGATATGTTTATAGCAGTTGGCTCTGCATAGCAGAATGTGGTTGAATCTCCCTTTTTTTTGTTTGTTTATCCATATTTTCTAATCATTCTATGATGATCACGTGTTATTTAATTTTTAAATAATGGCAATTTTACTGCTTTTGTTCTGTCACTTCTAGGTGGATTATGTTGGCTGTGGGTTGAAACAGTTATTCTGTATATGCTAAGAATATTTCCTATCTTATTTTTAAGGGTTTTTTGTTTGTTTTTAAATTAGAACTGGGTGTTGAATTTTGTGAAGTGATTTTTTTTTGGCAGCTGCAAAGATGATCATGGTTTTCCTTGTTTCTTTTTTGTAACTGAGACATATTTTACAGAAAATAGAATGCACAGATCCTAGGTGTTCAGTCTGATGTGTTTTGACCATTGTATACACCCATGCAACCACCACTGAAAACAAGAAATGAACATTTCCACCACCCCCAGAAAGTTCTGAGGGAAATTCTGTGGTAAGCTGTTGATCTGTGTGGCTAAGCTGCTGCCACCTGCTTTGTACATGGTCTCCATTTCCCCATCTCCGGCCTCAGTTTAACATCCTGCAGGCCCGAAGCCACTTTTTTTTTTTTTTTTTTTTTTTTTGAGACTGAGTTTCCCTCTTGTCACCCAGGCTGGAGTGCAGTGGTGCAATCTCCGCTCACTGCAACCTCCGCCTCCCGGGTTCAAGCGATTCCCCTGCCTCAGCCTCCTGAGTAGCTGGGATCACAGGCATGTGCCACCACACCCGGCTAATTTTGCATTTTTAGTAGAGACAGGGTTTCTCCATGTTAGCCAGGCTGGTCTCAAACTCCTGACCGCAGGTGATCCGCCCGCCTTGGCCTTCCAAAGTGCTGGGATTACAGGCATGAGCCACTGTGCCCGGCCTGAAGCCACTTTTGAGGTCCCAGCAGGCTGCCCCCTCTGTCACTCTCAAGTTGTTCATCAGACCATTCTGGTGGCAGAAAGGAGCCAGATTCTCTGCAGGGCAAGTGGCCATGGGGGGAGGGTTATAAAGCTGCCTTTGGAGGAGCGAAGAGGGCAACAGCAGTAGATTGAAGCTTTTCAAGATCCTGCCTAAGAATGCATCTATGGCAAAAACATTTCTGGGCACCACCGCCTGAAAGGTTTATTTTTTAATTTTTTTTTGAGATGGAGTCTTGCTCTGTCACCCAGGCTGGAGTGCAGTGGCACAATCTCGGCTCACTGCAACCTCTGCCTCCCGGGTTCAAGGGATTCTCCTGCTTCAGCCTCCTGAGTGGTTGGGATTACAGGCACGCGCCACCACGCCCAGCTAATGTTTGTATTTTTAGTAGAGACGGGGTTTCACCATGTTGGCCAGGCTGGTCTCGAACTCCTGACCTCAAGTGATCCACCCGCCTTGGCCTCCCAAAGTGCTGGGATTACAGGAGACAGCCACTGCACCTGGCTTCAAAGGTAATGATGGGTGAGGAGATTAGGGAATACGTGTGGTGGGTGCAGTATTTCCGACAGTGCCACAGCCATGGGATTTTATCTGCAGGCCCCATGCCTTGTGTGTGTGCTCACTTGTTGTTAAAGTCACATACCACTTTCTGGAACATTCTCTCCCAGAGCATCCCTTCCTTTAGTGGCTGGGTGGCTTACTTGCACTACAACACTGACCTTTCATGGGACTTGCAACCTTCAGTGACCTTGAACTCTGTCTATTACCCTGCACCAATCTCATTGCATTCTTTCTGCATGATGTGCTGTTCATAGCGGTTCATGGAATGATCCCTAGTGTTATTTCTTCAGTTTATCATGTTATAGCAAATTGGGCAAAAACACAGAAAAGACATGTTTATATTTTTCGACCAGCTTAATATTACCATGTTGGATGTGTTTTAAATACCATGAAGTTCAAAAAATGAGCTTAATGGTAGCATTTTGCTTTCCGTCCTCTGTATATCTAGGGTAAGAAGTCTGTACAAAGGTAACAGGATTTTCTGAACTAAAAGGCCAGGGGCTCAAATTTTGGGTCTGAATGTGGCCTAAACTCTTCTATACAATTTTTGTAGCGTGATATTTATTTGAGTAAAGCAAATAATCACTGGTAGTTTATGTTTCCTTCGTATGTGTCTTCTGAAAGTGAGCCAGGTAAGCTCATTCAGGCCTGGGCTCTTTCTAGGGTGTGTGTGACACATACAAGTGTTGTCTCTGAAGCCACCATGGTTCCTTGCTTGGGCAAAGCGTAGGGCAAGGGCAGGGAAGGAATCGTGTGTAAACCAGGTTAGTGAGGCACGCCAGGAAGCATGTCCCAGACTCCAGCCAGAGACCAAATCAAACCATGAAATCACAAAGGCACTGGGCGGAGCGGCAGTCCTGGAGCAGGCGTCCTCCCACGGCTCTTGATGCAAATGTCAACCAAGGGCCACATTTTCCATGCTGTGGCACCTACACCACCGAAATCAATTTAGACTTCTATTTCTAGGAGATGTCACAACTTAGACTTTTTCTTTTTTCTTTTTTTTTTAAGATGAAGCTATTTTAAGCCTGCATCCAAATGCAAGCAACTGAGCTGGAACTGCTTGCAGGATGCCGTCTGTTAACAGCCATGGCTGAAGACTGAAACCTGCAGGATGGGCACCAGGAGCCTGGGTCGTGCTCCTTTACAGGGCCAGGAGCTGTCCCTCTGCAACACCCCCACCCCACCCCAACCATTGTGGGAAGGTGTCTGAGGCCTAACTGTGTGGATGAACTCTGCAGAGGCCTTTAGAAATCAGGCCATCCCTCTTCTTTTAACCCTCTGTTGTTTGTCCCCAAGCTGTTTGGCCTGCAATCTGAGGAGACAACTGCCTTTTCATGTTTTATACATTTTATTCATACATTTCTCCAACTTTGAAATGACAAAAGCCCAATTCTATGGTTTCCCATTACACAGCATCCTACAGGTATGTATATTCTACAAGGAATACTATGGAGTTTCTCTTCTTCCCCTGTCACACAAGATAACTGATTAGGGTTTCATCAACTTGTACTGTGCCGGCAGCGCACCAGCATTCTGGTTGTTCCGGCGACAGGGCAAAGGGATCAGGATGGGAGGGCGTGTGCTAAGGCATGTAAATAGATACACACAGAGAGAAAGAAAAGCAGGACATTTACAAAGAATCCAAACCTTTCCAATCCCTTCAGCTCCTGGGTGTTGAGGGACACCTCCTGCACAAACGCTCTTGCAAGCTAAGGCTCTGCTGTACCCTGCAAATACTTACAATTGGATACGGTGAAATATACAACAACCATTAACATCTCTCTCTTTTTATCACTGAGACAATACTTCAACACCTTTTATAAAAAGGCAATAATACATACAGAAAAAAGAACACGTTGGCAAAACTTTATGCAAAACCACCCCAGAACTGAGTTTGAATGGCGACGTGCCTACACTGCAATTAAACACGATACTCGGGTCTTAGCACGTGAGGATTGGGCGGCCTTCACATCAGTCACGCTGCCTGCTGCACCCGGCAGCCGCCTACCTGCCTGCACAGATGACATTCCGGGAAACAGCTAAGACTGGAAATCAATTCCCCCAATTCTTGGTCTCTTCCAAATAAAAAAAAAATAGGGGGAGCCACTCACTGTGGAGGAATGCCTGTTTCTGTTCCCAAGGACAATTCTCGCTACAGAGGTTGTACTTCCTCTGGGTCCAGAGAGGGTCACCCCTAAGCCTCTGTCAGTAAGAACACTGGCGTGTTCTCTCAGTCACACACCAGAGAGAATGGAGCTAACACATAAGTAGCAGCTAAATTCTGAGTTTCTGAGCATACGCAGAGATGGAGTTGTGCTTGGGGCCAGAAAGGAGGTCTCCTGTGTGGTGACAAACATCTCTTTCCATTTTCTTTTGCTCAGTCCATTTGCACAGGTTCGAGGGAGTTGATGGAGGGTCAGACGAGAGGTGGTGGGAGCTCAGGATTTTCTATTCCCACAAAGAGCTAAGACTTAGGAGTGCTGGCCCCAG
The DNA here is from genome assembly GCF_000001405.40 of Homo sapiens. Taxonomy (NCBI): domain Eukaryota; kingdom Metazoa; phylum Chordata; class Mammalia; order Primates; family Hominidae; genus Homo; species Homo sapiens. Next base: position 41,516,095 of record NC_000023.11, read on the forward strand.
AGATGGTGCGGCCCTCTTTCTACTTCTGTTTCTGTGGGCTCTGTCTGCCCACCTGCTGCACAAAGCAAGGCAGGGGAAAGACCGGATGGGAACATGGTGGTGAATATCCTCTTTTTTTCCCTTTTCCCCCACTTCCTGGATGTAGGTGACAGCTAAACTTCACCCACTAAGCTGGAAAATCTGGGACTCCCCATAGCTCCAAGTTTAAGGCAAACTGATGTGTGTGTGCACAGGCAAAGCCAATCAAGCCATGAGCTTGGAGGAGAGTCCTGTATCCAGAGATTCCAAACAGAGAGGGAAATCTTATTTCTAAAGGAGTTAGAAAAGGAAAGGCTCTGGCAAATGAAATGATCTGTGATTAAAGCTTGTAGCCTTTCTGTAAGCTGCAGTGAGAAGGAAAGCATCTTTTAATAGAAGAATTAATTAGAGGCGCAGAACAAGAAAGCCACGCTCAGGGACCTTTAACTTATTACAGCCTGTAATCGCTCTCAGTATTGTAAGCCCTAGTCAAGAGGATGGAATTAGGAGGCTGTGTTCAGTTCTGAGAAAACAAGAAACACACACGAGTTTGATAATAGGAAGCAAGAAGGAGGAGGGATGAGGATGACAAGGAGCTTGGTTTTGGAATGCCGATTCCAAGGTGCCTTCTCTTTTCAAAGAGACAGTGTGGGAGGCATTTCTATTAAGAATTTGTTAATCAAGCAGTTTTCTTGGTAGCTTTAGCAACACATTCTCTTTGCCCCAAGTTAAGAAACTGGCCTGAAATGAAAAAAAAAAAGGACATGACATCAGTGGGGGACAAAAGAGAGCTGGCTTTGGGCTGCCTTGTTTTTCAGGGGCAGTTTCCACGCTGGGAATCTTCCTGGAGGGTGGTTCAATTGACTAAACTTTTTCAAGAAATAAACTTGAAGCCTTAATGAAGAGACAAATACAAGTGATTTAAAAACAAAAGAACTCTGCAGCGATCAGATCAAAGGCTGTAAAAAGGTAACAGTAGCTGCAGCCCAGGCCTGCCTGGAGCACAGGGGAAGGCTTGGCCCACTGGCTGTCTCTAGCAGCCTAAGAAGGAATTGGACGGGGAACAGGAACACCTCCTGCATTTCTACTGCAGTGGGGGACTTTGCGACATCTTTAGATATTCTGCCACCAATAGGATGGGCTGGGACGATGCCTTCTGAATGCAAATAGCAAGAAGTAGGTCAACCATTTGTTTTCCTCTCTGAGCAAAGATTTTAAATCATCTCACCTGACAAGAGATACATTTAATTGCATTTAAAAAGGCTACAATGTTATCTTGACACTGGGAAACTTCCAGATGAATTAAATTGAGTGACATTTCCCTTTTTAGCATTAAAATGGGATATGCTGTATGTGCAAAGTAATTACTGTCTTGTGACTGGAAAATCAGGACATTTCATCTTTTTAACAAAGAATTCAACATATAAAAACACTCCCTTTCTTGCTGTGGGGAATGGAGTTGGGTGGGGGAGAGAACCTTCAAAATGTGGCTCTCCAATACTTCAATTGACCACTAATAAGATTTAGTACTCTAAACATTCATTCTGGTCTTTAAAAGAAAGAAAGAAAAAAAAAGGTTCTGCTGATGGAATGGAAGCAGTAAAGAAGCTTTTAGCAATTTTCTCTGATTGCTTAGTGGACAATTGTAATGTAGCAGTAGCAGCAGCAGCAGCAGCAGCAGCAGCAGCAGCAGCAGCAGCAGCAGCAGCAATGTACTGAAATTACTCTGAATTCAGAAATGTAAGTATATGCAGCTAGGTCATAAAGACACTGCTTTAGAGAAGACATGTATTAGTGGAATGGAACAGGTAACATCTTTGAGAAGTCAATGAGTTCTGCATGCAGGGATTTCACCATCGGAATGATGGCAAGAATGATGCCTGCCTGTGTGCTTCTCAGAGGACGTATAAAGCCACTGAGGATGAGTGCTACAGTGCTTGTGAATTGTGGGGCCACAGACATTTAAGTTGGCATTGCTTTTCTCCTCCTCTGCTTAATCCACCTTTATAAATATGGCAGATGGCTTAAGACAGGCATCATCAGCATCTCTGGAGATGTGGGCTCAAAGGGCAAGTGGGGGCGTGGGGGTTTCCACTAGAGGGAGGGAAGTTTCTGTTTCCCATGTGTTAGTTGTAGTTGTCTTTGTGCTTCACCAGAAAAGAGGTAGAGTGCGCACCTTCACACTAAGAGCCCGAAATTGTGGTCAGTACCATACCAGGAACGACTGTCTGGCCTTGGCATCTATCAGATTCGAATCAGTTCTAACACAGCCCTACCCAACTCTTTGAAGGTTTCTCTCTCTATCTAGTGTGAGACCACTGTTGAGCTTATCTCTGGTTTGGTGGCTTGGTCACCCCACTGTGGGGCCCATACAGAAGTAGTTCACTCAATACCTTGTTAGTAAGTTGCAGACTCATCTGGTCACTGGCAAAGAACAACATCAGAAAAAAAAAAATCGCCACCATTTAATAATAGGCGGTGGGGGGCGGAGGCGGGTATGGTGTTGACAATGTAAAAGAAGTATACTAATGCCTTCTCTGTTTGGTCCTTTAAGAGGAGCTGTTCAGCTCAGAACACACCCTGCACATCCTGCCAAGGCACAAAGTGACAAGGCCATCTAACCTACAAGAAGCAAAAAATGATGGTATGTTTTCAAGGATCACAGGTTAATATAAGCACTTCACACCCTCACATGCTAATGAAAAACATTCTACTGACCTCTGGCAAAGAGTCTGAGAACCCCAGCCCGAATCTCCTGTATTGGAAGAATGTGACTTCATGGAAGAGTTATGAGATGGTTAATGTCTCTAAAGCAACAAGGACAGATGATTCCCCTGTGCCAAGGGATACAGCAAGAGGAAGGAGAGACCACAGGTGGCCTCCAGTACACCCGTGGCCCTTGGGCGCATGGCTCTGTGCGAGTCAGACGTGGTCCAGCTGTGCTCTGGCAGGCTACTTTGTCACCCTGCCAACTGATACTCACTCCTGGGCCTTCAAAGGTTCAATGAGCATCTAACAAATTATACAATTGTAAAGATTATCAGCTTGGAAGCCTGAACAAATCTATAATGAAATGAAGGACCCAAAGGCATTTAATTATTGAACACATAAAAGGAAGTATATTTAAAAAAAATTGGTCAAACTGTCCTGTTAGTTATCATTTTAAAGGAATTTACAGGGCTGTTATAGATGATTCTTTTGGAATATTTCAGTTTATAGCAAATGCCTAAACTGGTTTCTTCATTGCACAGTATTTTCTCTTAAAATGGGTGCTTTAAAACAATTACATACAGATTAAAAATCATTTCTTTGCTTAATTAAAACGTTAATACTCTTAGACAACACAGATCTGAAATGGTGAAACCAGCAATTCCCCCCACCCCACCTTACAACAAATTAAATTGAGACAAAATTACAAACACATTTCACTACATGATTATTATTAATAAAAATCAGTTTCTTTTTTTTTATAAAGTTGCCCAAAATGCAAGGGATGTGCATAGGTTTACAACTTAGTCATAATAGCATTTTATTCTTATTCCCCTGGGTGTGCCCCATGAACGGAATGTAGAATGTACTTTGCTGTAGATTACAGATTGTTTTGTCCAACACAGACACACCGACAGCATAAACGCTCGCGACTGTCCACATGCATTAAGAGTCAAGACCCAACTTCAAATCTCTAAAAGGTTTACAGGGTGCTTCAAAGAGACAGTATCACATTATCTGGATGTTACATAAAGGACTTAAAAAAAAATACTATTCTAAAAAAAAAAAAAGAGAGAAAAAAGGCCTTTAAAAATTTATGACTGTTTTGTAATCACTACACTAATTATTTCAAATAAATAAAGGAAAGAAAGATATCCCAATATTCCAATCCATAAAATCAGACTCTAAAAAGAATGTAGTGTTCCACCCCCAGTCAAGGTAACAGAATCATTGTTTATTATTATTAAAATAGATTATAGAAAGCAGCATCTATTTTGTGCAGTTTTTAGGGGCCTTGGAAATAAAAAGCTATGATTTCCAAAAATATAACATTCCAAAGGATTGAATAATACATACATTTAAAGATACATTTTATTAAAGTTTAGGAGAACTGATTAAAAAAGATACTGTCTCTTTAAATTAGTGTGTAATTGTTTTTCTCCTCCTATCTATTCGGACATGACAATAATTATAAATGTAGGTCACACTACAACTAGGTAGTCTCTAGGGACCATGACCTGCTGACACAAGGCCGATAACAAAGAGGCTTTTCCACAAATGAGGTGCTCCCAGTTATGCTCAGATATCTGGGGAGAGGCCTAATAGACCCAGGAGACAGGGACCCACTGTGGGGCTGTGCACACGAGCTCAACAGCTTCCTCCAGATGTCTGATTGTCTCATCAATTTCATTGTTGATAATTGTGAGATCGAAGTAGTGTGCATATGTTCTCTGTAAGATGTCAGACTCCTTCTGCAGACGCTGAAGAGATTCATCCTAAATGGTGATGAGATGGAGGTAGGGGTGGGCATGAGAGGAGGGAAAAGCAAACAGAAGAGAGAAATCAGTTGGATTCGTTCTCTTTTCACATTTTTGTTCATCCCAGTGTCAGAAACAGTCAAGGCCAGACCCTGATATGCCATATGCCAGCATGAGGCCAAGTCCGCTCCATGACAGAGGAGACAGTGATTGCTCAACATGCAACAGAGGGTCCATGACAAAGCAGACGAACCAGAGAAAACAGATACTCTTCAGGAAACATGCCACCCCCACTCAGGCCTAGCTGTGCCTGTCCCCAGAGTCAGGCTTGGTAGGGCCATGCCAGGTGTGGGTTACAGTGGCTATGGTGGCCCAAACAGGCCAGCAGGAAGCCCCCCGCCCTAGCCTCAAGCCACTCTCCCAATTGGCGAGAGGGCTACGGTGGCAAGGCTGGAGCTCTTTGCCCCCGTCCCCTTGGTCCTCCACACTCACTGGAGCCAGGCCTCAGGGCCCAGCTGTGTTTGCACCAACAAGTCCCTGCCCTTGGATGACAAATTAAGTTGTATTTTTTCCTCTTCTACTTAAAGGTGCCACACGTTCTAGGAATTCAATTACATATAATGGCCCTCACTCAATAGCAGCTGATGCCAGAGGCAAAAGATCTTTGAGTGTTACAAATAATGGCTGGAATAAGGCTGTTTCCCCAATAAACAGCACCTGGCATCTGATGAATCCCCCCAAATTGGTCTGCATTAGAAGTGGCTAGACAAATGTCACTGTTCGTAGGTCCTCATATCTCTTATGAAAAAAACAGAAGGAAGAGAACTCTAGGGAGTACTGAACTCTAGGGAGGTTTGCTGCAACAAAGGATGTTCCCTAAGCTGCAGCTTGCCACAGATTTTAAGAACTCTTGTAAGAGGGATCCAACAGGAGGAGGGAGTTTAGGGTCCCAGCTTTGTCATGCAAGTATAGCTTCTGCTACAGAGTGGCAGTTCTTTCAAGACAGGGGTCTCTTAAGAGCCACCAGAAAGAAGTCTGCCTCTATATCTTCGCAAGTCATATTTGTCATGCTGAACTCCCAAAGGGCAAGTTCAACCTTGACACTAGGGAACTTTGTGAGTCAAATTAACCACCCCCTACCTGCCAAACACTAGGTGGGTGAGCTCTTGGGCTGAGTCTTAAATATACATAGAGATAACGAAATACCTCTTTATTTGATTAGTGGCTATGTCTCCAGCTAGGGCATAAACTTGTCTTGTGTGCCCTGTAATTGCTGTGCCCCAGCATTAGGCATAGTGCCTTACACATAGTAAGTGCTTAATAAATGCTGTCAAAAGAACAAGCACTTGTCTGACTAGTGCCAGTCATTATAGGGTTTTACAAGTATTAAATCTAAAATCAAGAGACTGAGCAATTCTTCCAGGAAATTGGGGCCCTGGGTGACAGAGACAGATCTCCAGAGAAAATAAAAGATGCGGTACCTTCAAGGACCTAGGAGCCGTAGTACCCAGTACTGGCTTAGGGCCCCTCCCCTCCTCTCCTCTTCTCTAAAGCCCCTCTGTTATTGGCAAGAGACCTTTCCTGGGAGGCTGCTGGGAGGTCCAGGCAAGCCTCAGCTCTCTGGGTACAGCTCTCAAGAAAGGGGACTAGAAGTGAGATAAAGAGACTTGCTTGATTCTGTCCTGGCACTGCAGTGGGCATGCGCAGACACCACAGCAGACAGGAACTCAATCTTTTCTCTCAGGGCACTCTGAACCAAGAATGTCCTACCTGTTTTGTCCTCTTTTACTGGCATTTCAAAGCAGGACAGGGCATGCTTTGAATGTTAGTGTTAAGTACTACAGTGTAGATAAGACCCCAGTTAATCATCACCTTCTAGTTCGGCTTGCACTTAAAAAGCATAGTATTTTCACTGTGGCTTTACTTCATAATCAACACAATGCAAAAAACGCCATTTTAGCAAATGTGCATTCACCCAAAGACAGGAGTGCTTCCTACCAGGATGAAAAGGAACAATTCCTACAACATCACTCTCTGGCACACGGGATTCTATTTGAATATATAGTCCTGAGCTTCAAAAACCACTAGCAGGGTTTATGATTTGCTCAGCAAGCTGGGCTGATGAAAATATTCAAGAAAATTTATGGCTGAAAGTATCACATTTTTAATGTAGGTCTCTTTACAGAAAAATAAAGCTCCCTCTTAAGAATCTTTTAAGACGAAGCTATATTTGTCAGTCTCTTCCTCGACAACAGCTTGTCTGTGTGCTTGACTCACACGTGAGCAGGGTTTAACTCAGTGAAAACAAAATGCCTTTATTCTAACAGCAAAAGCAAGGATTTGTGGGAACAAAGTGTCTACATTCTAAATCTATTAAAAGAAACACGGCTGTATTTCACCACCTCCTAGCTGGTACTTACAGGCAATTTTCTGCACCATTTTGGCAGCTATGGAAAATTAGTAAAAGGGCAGGAAAACAGGCAAAACAAAAACAAAGCAAAGATGATGATTCAAGAAAAATACATGGCAACTGAAGGATAAAAGCTAACCACAATGTGGAGTTTCAAACATGCTTATGTATTAAATAAGATGGGAAGGTAGAATTTTACAAAGGAATATACCTCTTGCAGATGAAATGACAAAAACATAATGACGGAAAATATGAGTAACATAGGTAAATCAAAATCCTGAATCTTCCTTAAAGGTACACAAAGGGAAAATTTCCAAGCCATGATTTAATTAGATTTTAAGCTTGAGTGAGTTTAGGTCAGTGTTGACTGAACAGAGTCAATCAAGAGTCCTCTGATGATTTCTAGAAGCTGTGAAAGCAATGGTCTTCAGGATAACTTGGTATAAGAGTCTCCCCTTAACTAAGGAACCTACAGAAGATAGGCACTGCTACACTTAGCAGACACATGGTAAGTACCCTTTGATCTGCTCAGCAATGGAAAACCTTCTAAGTCAGCAGCCAAGTCTCATGAGCACCATGTCTGTGGCAGTTTCTGACTTGAGCTGGCTTGACAGTGGACAGAGCTGATTTCTAGGTTTGGTAGTCTTCAGGGGCCTGGAGAGAAATTCCACAAAGGTTCCACTCCAGGGGCCACACAATCCCTATCCGGAGAGGGAATAGGCTGGCAGCCCTGGAGGTTGTGAGACACCTGGGATGCCTCGGTCCTGGTGGGAGTGAGGGTGTTTGTCCTCAGATTTTAGAAGTCAGCTTACTGATAAGACTGTCCCATGTAGCATTCTATTCCACATCCCATTTCATCAGAGCAGCCTTGCTGCAAATGTAGACTGACACGCTTCTGACTGTGCTGGGGAGTAAGGCTTGATCCTTACAGCTTATTTGGGGAAAAACAGATTGATTCTTACCTCATTTAAACCTGGAGTAATAGTTGGTGCAGCAATGAAAACAACAAAAGGAGCAAACTCTGCAGTTCTCAGGACCTTCAGTGCCTGTGTTAAGAAAAAAAAAAAAAATCCCGACTTAAAAGAAGAAATAACTAATGTAACTTTCAAATGAGTCTATAAAAATTTTTATACAACTGAAAATTCCAAGCTCTTGGCTCAAATTTTTGGCAAGGTATTATTAAATTTACCAACTTTATACATAACTTATATTACTTTTTTTCTAAAGGATGGACAATAGCCATCAGAAAATAAAAGTTGGCAAACTGGACATTTTTCTTATGACTCATGAATCAATCTATTTTTCTTCATAAAAGTTAACACTGATTATGTTGGTTAATGTTCATTTAAACCTGGCTATTAGTTTTAGCCTGAATTTTAATCAACAGGAAATGCATTTAAGGGGAGACTTGGACCTGCCGGCTGGTTTTACCACTAATCTGGAGGCCACTCCCTCACATTTCAAATTTCAAATTGCTAGCCAAGGATTGCTAGCAAATCTGTCCACTGTAACTGTGTGTTGCTCTGCAGAAAAGCCCCCTGGGACTCCTGGGGAAGGGGGAACCTTGCCCAGGGCTGGAGTTAGGAGCCCTAGACTTTGTGTCTTAGTCCTGTCGCTAAAGACACTGTGTGGCTGTGGGCAATGTATAGGCCCATGAGAAAATGCTGCACTCAAGACAGAAGGGCCTCTGAGATCCCTTTCAGTTCCCTTCTAAGGCATTGAAAACCTCTAAATGCCAGCTACTAGTTTGGATAGATATACTGCAACGCTGCAGTCAGACGCTGTGGGAGTTGATTCTGCTAAGGGATTACTGTTTCAGCTCCTCCCCAGGAGGATATGATTATCTTGGAGGTTACAAACTCCCTTCCAAGGAACAAAACCCAACACATACAGGTACCCAATTCACAAGTGACTGACATGTGATTAATTCATATGCGCTGGGGTAAATATCTTGCTGTCACTTACACAAGAATTTAACTATCCTGCTCCCCACATATTTTGCTCTCTAAATGGTCTTTAAATTTGCTTGCTTCACGCTATTCCTATTGCTCCATCTTTTGCCCAGCTTATTGTAATAGTAATTAGACTGGTTGCCCTGCCTCTGGTTTTGCTGCTTTCCAATCCATACTCTACCCTGCTACTGGAATGATCTTTCTGAAATTCAAAACCCATGGCTCCCCTGCTCAGAATTCAACAGTTCCCTCTTGGCCTCAGGATAAAATGTATACTCCTCAGCATGAATGTCACCTCTCTCCCTCACAAGCATGCCTATGCTTAACCTCTTCAGCCTTTCTCTCTGCTCCTTTGGCTCCATGGACCAGCCTTCCTGAACTACTTTCAGTTCCAGAAAGGGCCAGACTCTCTCTGGCTTCCTGGCCTTTTGATTTACTACTCCCTCTGCCTGAACCTCCCATCCTCTCTTCCCCTTCCCCACTCACTCTTTTGCTTGGCTGAGTAATCCTTCAGAACTCAGTACTGATGCTCTTTTCTTTGGGAAGTCCTTTGTGAGCTCTGAGACCCTCCCATGTGCTCCTGAAGTACCCATCACGTGGGAAACCCAAGACCCCAGGGACTAGCGGGTACCCTCCTTGAAGGGAGGGACTGTGTCTTGTTCAGCTATCTCACTCATGCCCAATATGGCACCCAGCATAAACTGCCCTTATGAAAAAATTAAAATGTAAAAATAGTAGATATAATTTGCACAGAATTTATCTTGTCTTTTAAGGCAGGTTCATCTACAGAGCACTCTACTCTCTTGGCTGAAGGGACTCTCTTAGCCTCTTTGTGTATACAGGCATGTAAGAGACAAATTTGACATGAAAGGTTCTTTCTTTTTTTAGTGCAAGGTTGGCTTTCACTAGGATTATATTTCTGAATTTTAGTCACACAGCATCTTCTTGTGGGTTGAGGGAGACTGGTACATTGTATTTATCCATCAAAGTTTTTTAACTCTTAAAGTCCTAGGCTCTGATTCTTCTGGTAAGAAAGCTCTTTAAGCTTGCATATGTTAATTTTTGAAAGAGGTAACTGGCAATTTCTTTGCCAATCCTTTTGTGGCTGAAGACTTAAGCCAGGAACAAACATTATGACAAAGTCCATATATAGCTCAAGCAAGCTAACAGGGATCTTCACTTAGAAATATCCTTTATGTCAGTATTATCTTAGGCCTTTTTTCCTTCCTTCCTATGCTCATAGATCAGGTGAATACAGGGTCAGCTGAGACAAGGTTTTCTCATCACCCCTACTCCCGGTCACACACATATACCCATCCCATAGCCTGCTTCTGGGCAACTGAGATGGGAAAGAATCCTATTTGCTTCTATCCCCAAAGCTACTCTAAGTGCTAGATGGAAGTCCACCCAGCCTGGATGCTGAACGGAACCCACAGATGAAGTAGAGAATGACACCCTGGGCATGAAATGGTTTTTTTCTGCACTCAGTGGCCCAGCCTGCCAGCTACCCAGTCCTTATCATGTTTTCCATTCCAGCTATCACATTACAACAGCAGAAAACAAACTGCTTGGAACATTAGTTTAGCTTCCTGCAGATTGCCCATCTCTGCACTGCATTCACACCCTTGGTCTATATCCATAGACTGCACTCACTGCATAAAACCATCAATGGTGGCCATGTTCCTCACATTGCCAAATGCCTCTTATGTCTACGAATCAGGTTATATTCCTTGATTTCCTTTTTTTTGCCCTGGTTGTCAGGAAGTTCAGAGCCAAATTTAATGTTTATCACAGTAACTAAAGTAGCCCTGTGGTTAGCATATTTGCTTTCTCCTCCTTTTTGTAGCTTTTTCTATTTCTATACTTTATTATTGTACTTTCAAAAATTCTAAGATGCCTCAAATCCTGATTGAGATTTTCCTGTCTAGTCAGCCTCATATTTTCAGCAGACTCACCACACATTTCCTCGCTTGTTCTTGAAGGTCTTTGGGCCATACTCTGCACTACTTACGGGTCTCAAGTGGGTGCCACTTTTGGTGCTGTGGTAGCCTGGCTGAGGTTCAGAGTTACTTCAGGGACAGGAAATGGAATTGCTCACAAGGATTCCCCTCTCTCAGGCAGTTAATAGGTGACTTAAAGATGAACTCTAAACCCTCTTCCTTTCTGACTCAGGATGAGGCACACATTTTTTAATGTTCATGGGCAAATATTTCTCTCCGAATCTCTCTGGGATTCGGAGAGAGAGACGGGGACAGAGAGAGAGACAGAGAGTGAGAGAGAGGGGGAGAGGCAGAGAGAGAGACAGAGAGAGAGAGAGAGTGTGTGTGTGTGTAGAGAGAGAGAGAGAAACAGGGACAGATATGGACAGGGAGAGAAAGAGCACGCTCTAGAAAGATCACTGAAAGCATGCTAGATTCAGATAGTCAAAGTAACATTAATCTAACATTTGTGGAGATAAATTGATTCTATGGCTTGGCTATGGCCAATAATTAATCTCAGGTTATTATCCTCAAGGAATAGAAACTCATTTGACCCAAGTGTATAAGAGGCAGATATCTATTCTGGTTTGCAAACTTAAAAGGCACACAGAGGCAAGCATCTGAGTCATTTTGTACAAAAATCTAAGGGTTTAGGAAGAGTGCAGTGACCCCAGAACCCATCTCAAGAGAGATAACTGATTTCACAAAATAGTCTCTGGTTCAGAACCTGGCTCTTGTTTTAAAGTATGGATTCCTAACAAGACTGTATGCTGCCTCTTGATGATGACCTCTTCCGCTGTGGGCAAAAGCAAAACTACAAATATTCTGCTACTATTAACTTTTTCATGCTACAAATGGATACATCAGAATAAAGTTAAAATCTAAAACCATCACATTAAGCTCTGATTACACACTGGGGCTATTACAGTTTCAGCTTTAGGGGCACAGATTATTTTCTGAGCCATAGCTTTATTTTCATGAGAAATAAATTCTACAGCTTTTCTTAGGTTTGACTGAATTACAGATTTTTCTGAATGTTAAGAAAAAATGAGGCTTTACATTGTACTACTATGGATAAGGTGAACCATCTTAAGGATTCCCAGGGTTACCTCTTCTAGGGTGGTACAGTGAAAGGAAGTGGGGATTTACTGTAAAAGAATAAAAATTTAAAAATCAACACAGTTCAACTTCACACCTCACTTTCAATTGGCTGTAAAGCCTTAATCGAGTCACAATTATGTTAAGCCTTGGTTTCTCCATCTACAAAACTAGATACTGATCTCCAGCTCATAGGGTTACAAGGATTAGGTAAGGAGTCATAACGCCTGGCAAAATATACAGCACTATAAGAACATAATCTATTACTATTTTATGAGAAGCTAGGTTATTAATTTCTTTCTAGTTTAATGTCTTTACCATCATCCTCTAGCTTTAAAGTTGGACCACAACATCTTATCATATAGTATTATTAGACGTGCTCAATTGGGCCTCAGTTGTCTGAAATAAGATGGCATAAAGTATTAGACCTGTACTAAAAGAGCTGGACATGTGTTAGGTGGTTTTCCTATGGTCCACATGTAGTTTGGCAGAAGTGAGAGGATTCTAAAAAATGCCACAAGGCCCTTCTGTTATGGACAGTTTTGGATGTACAATGAGGAAGGAATTTCATCCTCACCATCTTGTCTTCTGAATTGTATTCTTAGCTCCTGACCCTGTGCTTGACATATAATAAGGGCTTAATACAAGTTTGTTGGATTAAATTGTCTGTAAGATACAGTAGAGGGGTCATCTAAGAAGCTGGAGTGGGAAAGGGGGATGGAGAAAAATGTCCTAAGGAGAGAGCCTCCCTGGAGCAGTGAGGCTCTGCCTGAAAGCAAGTTGTTCATGGTCACGGGTATCCTGAAGGCAGGATGAAGGCCTTGTCCAGCTGAGGAGAGACTGGGCTGAGGGCAGAGAAGCCCGAGAGTGAAGCCCAGTCGGTGCAGACTGCGGGCATTCTCAGCTGTACTGTGGTATGCAATGGTCATTGTGAGACCAGGACTGGCATGAGGCTGGCCTGCGCAGGAGGGCCTGGGACCAGTGTAGTCAACCAGACCAACAGGAGGAGCAGGACCTGGGCAATCCCTATCCCCAGGGCCGCTGGCCCAAAGAGACTCAGGCAGCCAGGATGCCTATGGCCGGCCCTCAGGGCTAGGTGGATCTGAGAGATCACAGTTCTGAGAGGCAGGGACCCAGGAAGCAGGAGAGAAGAGTGCAGGTGAGCTCATCCAGCACTCAGGGGAGCAGAGGAGAGTGCCCAGCCGGGGTGAGGAGGTGCTTTGGGGCCAAGTGCAATGGGTAAAAGTAACTGCTGTGGGTGTCCTGAGGAGGCTGAGAGAAGTGTCTCCCACTCAGCAGTGCAGAGCAATGCATGGCTGTGCAAGGGCAAGGAGAAAGGGAGAGCTGGACGCTATGGGTGGAGCAGCAGCAGCAGCGGCAGCAGCAGCAGTGGCGGTGGCGGCGGCAGCAGCGGAGGCAGGTAAGGCAGAAAGCCCTCGAAAGTGGACTTAGGTAATGCAGAGGGAGTCTGAGGAGCCCTGCAGCCAGCATACTGCTAGAGACATTACTACCAGCAGAAAACGACGTTCAGGTGAAGACCAGTGTGGAACCCAAGGAGAGGATGTCGAAGACCAGGACCAGGATTGAGACTTTGCCTCTAGCCACCCCTGGCCAGAAGATTTTTCCAATCCCTAGTAAGGAGGGATTAGTAGTTAAACAAAAATCAATCTGTGGTACACATCATATATTTAGTTCTATATAGGTCCAAGTTAATTGTTAAGTAAACGGCAGTGTTCACCCTACTGCTGCTTTCCTCCCTAGCCCCTTGAACAGATCCTTTTGTGGTTTCCAAAGTTCCAAGTTCAAGAACCCCATCAGGTGTTGTAAACGGAAATGGGTGAACCCACTGGCCACGAATTAGGATCCTGGAGCCCAGAAACTGAGCTGTCAGGTCCCAGGTCACACAGACTCTGGCTATATAGGTTCTGTCCTTGCTTTAGGGATGGTTAGGGGACCAAGTCTCATACAGTGGCCCTTGAACAGGGATTCGCCCTGCCTAAGATAGCCAGGTAAGCCTCCTGATGAAACACAGCCTGCTTGAGGGAAGCTGGTCTACTATTTCAGCAGGTAGCATACTGGTTCTATTTCTAAGGGTTAAAGGAGATTTGGTACAGATCAGTCCTAGAAATGGCAGACCCAGGAGTCACATGGCACCCACAAGCCTCTCCTATAACCCACCTTGATGTCTACAACTCCCAAATCCTTCCTACTATACTTTGCCTCCCATATCTACTTGGTTTGTACTCAGAGATGAAAAAACAGCTTGTCAGCATTTTTGATGTAAAGCCTTCAGCTTTCTCTTTTTCAAGTTTAATAATTCCTACTGCAAGACATATCTAGAAACCATTTCATCATCTCTGTGTCTGGCTCTCTTTTGAGTCCTCTTCCAAGTCTTTATCTCTCTCCTAGTTTTTGCTCAGGGTCAGGCATTGTGCTCAGGTAAGGAAATGGCAGAGGCTGAGAGCCACCATGGGTTTCCATCCCTGCTGTCTCTGACATCTGGGCTCACTCATGCTTGCTTTCATAAAGCTAGTGCTGTGTTTCAGACCCAGGCCCCAGGATCAGTTTCTCACTGGAGATTAACATAATGTGCTGGTAGAGGCTCTGATGGTCCAGCGTGAGCTGTACCCAGAGAGGGAAGGTGGCTGTTGTGATAACAAAGTGCCAGAGCCTCATCCTGAGGTCAGATGATCGTAGGATTTCTGGCAGGCGTAGACACAATCAGGAACCTTACTGAGCTTCTGCATATAATAAACCTCTTAAGAGAATAATCTCTGCTTCTTAAATACATGGTGTGTGCACTGAGTCCAACGATTAGTCAGCTGGCATTCTAGACTGTGAACCCCCAACGCCTCCATTACTGATACTTTTCTGTGGTTTATGAAATTATTATGTGACCTGTGACTTTCTGATGGCATTTTTGATTTCAGAATCTGTGCTTATTGGCATGCAGGCAGGATGTCAGACATTCGGGGAGGCTGGGCATTACCTGAGGCTCCACGTCCAGTATTGCAATCAGCCCCTGCTCGTGGATCTTCCGGATGGTCTCCAGTTTTGTCCCATACATCGCATCCTCGTGGCTGCCGTACTCCAAGTACTCGTTATTAGAGATGTCTTGCATCATTTGGTCATGAGATACAAAGTAATAATTCTTTCCATTTTCTTCGTCTTTCTTTGGAGGTCTGGTTGTATCTGCAAAGTCGCATGGCACAAGAGGTTTAAAAGGCTGAGCTGATGAGCTTACTACACTCCCAACAGATTTACTCAAACCCAGTCTCTTCCTAAAAGCTGTGGATTCTTTAGCGTATATCTCATATCCCCTGTTCTCACCCCCAGTGGCTTTGCAGAACTAAATTCTAGAAACCATATTTATCTGTGTGCATCACACCATAGTAGCCAGTGAATTGTCTGGTTTGGTGAAACTTTCAGTGTTCAGGTGAGATGTATTTTATCCCTTCATGAACCACCACAGGAGGAAGACGTGAAATGACCCAAGATTAATATAACTCACTGTATGCCTTAATGCAGTTGGGTCTTGTGTAGAAGGAAAAAAGGAGAATAAAAAAATGGAAAACTGCATATGGTTAAATTTAAATAAGCCAAAATTAAATAAAATTCAAATTTTAGTTTCTCAGTCTCACTAGTGGCATTTCAAGGATTCAATAACCACGTATGGTTAGTGGCCACTGTACTGGACTGCACAGACATCAAGTACTGTCATTGTCACAGAAAGTTCTATTGAAAAGTGATGTTCTATAACATCTTGCAAAAGGAGAATGTTAGGATACAGCAAAAGACACGTTACACTGAAAACACAATGACTGTGGCCAGACATACCCATAATTATTATGGAAGACCTAAATCAGGAGGTGACAAACTGGCTTATGGGCCAAACATGGTCTACTGTCTTTTTTTATTTTTATTTTTTTATTTTGGAGACAGAGTCCCACTCTGTAGCCCAGGCTGGAGTGCAGTGGTGCGATCTCAGCTCACTGCAACTTCCACCTCCTGGGTTCAAGAGATTCTTGTGCCCTCAGCCTCCTGAGCAGCTGGGATTATAGGCGTGTACCACCATGCCCAGCTATTTTTTGTATTTCCAACAGAGACGGGGTTTCACCATGTTGGCCAGACTGGTCTCAAACTCCTGACCTCAGGTGATCTGCCCGCCTCAGTCTCCCAAAGTGCTGGGATTACAGGTGTGAGCCACTGCACCTGGCCACCTACTGTCTGTTTTTGTAAACAAAGTTTTACTGGAACACAGCCATGTGCTTTTGTTTACATATTGCCTATGGTTGTTTTCATGAGACAACAGCAGAGCTAAGTGCTTGTGATAGACTGTATGGCCTTAAAGCCTCAAATGTGTACTATCTGGTCCTTTACAGAAAAGGCTTGCCCACCCCTCACCTAAGTGAGTGTAACTGAAGTATATGCCAATAAGCTCTAGTTCTGTGGATACTAATAGGACCAGTATCCTGCAAAACACACTTTAGGAAATGTTTTTCTAGATGAGCCAGGAACACTGGTTTTAATATTCTCTCTCCCTACCCCCCTTTCTTTTCTCCCTTCCTTCCCTTTTTTTCCCTCTCTCTCTCAATTTCTTTGCTTCCTTCTTTCTTTGAGAAAGAACAAATTTATGCTACTCTCTTCTGTATACATGAGCCTAAACTAATGGGGAATCCCCCTTTCCTGCTAGCCTGTTTGTTAGAACATAAAGTGCTCGTGGTCATCAAAATGTGGACATTTTAAGAGAAGCCCTTTCTCTAGGCACATCAAAAGCTGAAGAACCGGCGTTACTATTTATTTATTTATTGAGACAGGGTCTCACTCTGTTGCCCAGGCTGGAGTGCAGTAGCAAGATCTCAGCTCACTGCAACTTCCAGCTCCCGGGTTCCAAGCGATTTTCATGCCTCAGCCACCCTAATAGCTGGGACTACAGGTGTGTGCCACCATGCCCGGCTAACTTTTGTATTTTTAGTAGAGATGGGGTTTCACCACATTGGCCAGGCTGGTCTCAAACTCCTGGTCTCATGTGATCCACCCATCTCGGCCTCCCAAAGTGCTGGGATTATAGGTGTGAGCCACCGCGCCCAGCCAAGAACTTACATAACATATTGATGTTGTACTATCTTCAGTCATCTCAGTAGTTAGATATATGTTATATACACATACAGGGTCAAATATTTCAAAGACTAGTCATGATTGACATCATCAAAGGTAAGTTTTAAAACCAAACTAGTTAACTGGCCATTTAATAACATGGAAGTTCAGTTGTTACGTGGTTAAGAAGAAGCTAAATGTTAGCTAAGCTTGCTGTACTCATGATCTAGACATAAGGAGAATTAAAAGAACACTTCAAAGTGTTTTACTAGAAAACCCCAGTAGTGCCAAATGAGACACTATTGGATACATTTCTTTTCTTGTGTAAATCAGACAAGGTTTTGGGATGAAGGTTTTCTCATGAAGCCTCCTGGCTCTCTGAGGTGTACAGATAACTGTAAGTGGTATTGACATTGCTTCAGGAAGGCATGTGAAGGCCCTATAGAATGGAGCCAATCTTCACATTTTCTCCTGTTGCTCTTAAAAAATAATTTTCCTTTAGCTCTTCCAACCCTGAGCTGCTAGAAAGCTTCTGGGGTTAAAATTTTATTTATTTTTTTTTGAGACGGAGTTTCACTCTTGTTGCCCAGGCTGGAGTGCAATGGCACGATCTCGGCTCACCACAACCTCCACCTCCGGATTCAACTGATTCTCCTGCTTCAGCCTGCTGAGTAGCTGGGATTACAGGCATGCACCACTATGCCTAGCTAATTTTGTATTTTTAGTAGAGACGGGGTTTCTCCATGTTGGTCAGGCTGGTCTCAAACTCCCGACCTCAGGTGATTCGCCCACCTCAGCCTCCCAAAGTGCTGGAATTACAGGCATGAGCCACCGCGCCTGGCCTAAAATTTTAAACTTTAGAATAATGATGATAATAATGAAATGATAGTGGTAGATAGCTTCTACTTATCCACCATCTGCTAAGTGCTTCATACACATGATCTCAAATCCTCTCTGCAATCCTGAATTACTTCATTTTACAATTGAGAAAATGAAGAGGGCAAGAGGTTAAGAATAAGATACGGAAAATAAGGAGAATTAAAAATCTTACAGATTTGAAAATCTTTACAGAAACAACTGTTAGCATATTGATTGGGTTTAAAAAGTGGTAAGAAATCAACAATTTAAATATTAACTAAGGGAAAAAAATTGTCATATCAGAAACTGTACAACTATGAAAACTTATTTTTCTGAAGAATAATTCATCTAGGTAATGTGTATGACATATTGTTAGAAAAATTGTTACAAACAGAATGGATAAAACTAATTTTATTTAAAACACACACACACACACACACACACACACACACACACACACACTTTATACACATATCTGTACTAAGACAAGCCTAGAAGGGTATACAACAGAGAAGCCTAGAAGGGTATACAACAAAATATTTATAGCACTTATTATAGGGAAAGAGGGGTTGGGATTACTGTTAACTCATTTTCCTCCTTGTTCTTTTTTTGATTTTACAAATTTCCTACAATGAACAGTTATACCTTATGTAATCAGAAAAAAATACATAAATTATAGAGTTAAAAAAGTGATAGGAAAAATATAATGAAAAGAGATTGAGACATTGCTTACGTGGAATAGGGTACGCAAACCGGTCTGGGTGCTTTGTGATGAGAGTGTTTTTTATGTGTCTTCTCCCAACACCATGTGCGCCTATGTCATTTAGAAAAAAAGAATGTTAAAACTGACAACTCTTAATAATGTTCACAAAATGTTTTGAAAGTGAGAATAAGCAACTCACTTACACAATCAAACTTACCTAATAAGACTAGTGTTTTCCTCTTGAATGCTGGCAGTTTTACTACTTCTTCATATGTGACAAGATCTAATTGATCAAACACTAAAACGCAAAGATTTAGAAGAAAGGTAAATTTGTAGAATGACTATTTCATGTACATAAATTATAATTTTACTGGCAAAACTACAGTTATATTAAAACCATGTCTTAAAAATATGAATCCAACTTATGATATATGGCTTACATGTAATTTAAGTCATATAGCATCTAGGGAGAAATTTTCATTTTTAAGCCCATGAAAATGCTCTTTAGAACCAGGGGCATCCAAAGATGCTGAACACATGCATTAAAATGTCCAAATCTAAAAGATACTACATATCTTTTCATGTAGTATCCAACAAATCATATGAATTAATTTGAAACCACATGCTGTTCATATTTTTCCAATTCTAAGAAGTCAGCAATACTAAAAAGAAAAAGTCTACAGACAGTGACCAACATGAATATAGCATGAATGCAACTAAAGTTAACCAGGAGAGGGGCCAGCTAGATCATTTCTAGAGATGGATGAGAAATGCATGGACAGCTGGTCTTTAACTTCATGGTTCTTTCTTTCAACAGAGTTGATGAAGGTGGCATGCTAGATTCTAAGGCAAGTTCTGTAACTATTGCACAAGCTTATCAATGAGCATCTCACAAGCTTTACTGTAACCCAGATATCCACTCAATGGAAAGTCTTGAATATGTAAGGAGAGTTACATGCTTTCCTGGGCCTGAAAACTTGTCGCCCATTACATGGGCAGCCTGTGTATGGTGGATCAGGATGGAAAGAATCATGAAGCAGAGTCTGAGCTCAGAAACCTTTGCAAAAGTGGAGTTCTCTAATCACTACAGACTGAGGAGAAATACTTTAACAAATATTTTTCTGAAACCTGCCTCTTAACACTATGATAAAAGCAATTTCAAGCAATGTACAAAACTTTCCTGAGCAGATGCCCATTCCTGTTGAAATTCAACATGGTCCAATTCTCACACACATTTGGAAATTCTCACAAAGGGCTAAAATTGTATGTCTGTGTTTCCTGTAATATTTTTTGTATGGTCATACCCAAATGCTGTCAGTTACATACTGACATTTCTTTTTTTAAAGAATATTGAATAAACCCTGGATTTTAGAGGGGTTAAAATAAATTCAGTAAAATTGATTTGATGATGTAATAAAGGAATCTGGGCTGCTTTATTATTTATTTATTTATTTATTTATGAGATGGACTCTCGCTGTGCCACCCAGGCTGGAGTGCAGTGGCGCGATCTCGGCTCACTGCAACCTCTGCCTCCCAGGTTCAAGCGATTCTCCTGCCTCAGCTTCCTGAGTTACAGGCACCTGCCATTACGCCCAGACAATTTTTGTATTTTTGTTGAGATGGGGTTTCACCATGTTGGCCAGGCTGGTCTTGAACTCCTGACCTCAGGTGATTCACTGGCCTTGGCCTCCCGAAGTGTTGGGATTACAGGTGTGAGCCATCGTGCCCGGCCGAAATCTGCATTACTTTAGCCAATCATTTATTAAGAGAACCTTCTACTCCTAGAAACACTATGGCCAAATGACTGTGAATATCACCTTAGTTCTTAACATTAGTGATTTGCCCAATCACTTAAAATGCAAAATAAGATACTTGGGAATAGAATAGAACAGAAACAAACAAACAAAAAGCACCATTATCACAATATATAAAAAAAGAAACACGATATATTAAAATAGAGGTTAGTGTATATTAATGGGTTTTTGCACATTTGTTTTCTTTTGATAACTTGATTTATAAAGGTTGATTGAAAGTCTTTAAAGCATATCCTCTAGCAATAGCTAAAAACCAAGAAATGTTTTCTGTGTTCAGAATGGCAGACTCACAAAATTAAAATGAACATGAGGCTCTCTGTGGTAGGGCTAGTTAGTTATACTGCAGTAGTAATGGAGTGATGAGAGTTGCAAAAATAAAAGCAGGAGTGCTGATGGCATTATTTTTTAGACCTATTGCCCTCTGAGTGATATTTCCATCAAGAAAAAGTATGCTTACAGAAGAAGTGCATTGACAAGCAGATATGTTTTAATATATTTTAATAAAAATAAGCAAGCATCTCACAAAAGAGCAAGATGATGATGATGACACAAGCTTTCCGAATGGTATATACACACACCTATCCCTCTATAGAGCCCTAACTGTGATCCTACCAAATTAAGACTTGTCATTTTTTTAAAAAACACATAAGAATGAGTTAGATGTCAACCATCAAAACCACAAACAGACATGTTATGAAAATGAAATGAAACAGATATGTTAAACATCAATATCTTAACCATAAATGAGCAGCATGAAGAGGTTACTCTGGTCTAAATGAAATTGCCACACGGTCATAGGGTTGAGAAACAATAAAAAAAGGGTATTTTAAAATAAGAGATACAAATAATATTAGGAAAGCACTTAAAGAATGAGCTTTTAAAGGTTTTAAGTTGCTTGCTGATTAAAAAAAGGACTTAATAAAAGAAAACCACCAAAAACACAGAGGCATAGTCATTCAACAGGTTACTTACATGCACAGAGGCCATTGGGAGTGAGACAGCATGAAAAATGTACAGGGGTCATTGAAATATGGCTTTTCATATATTAGTAAAATAAAAGTATAATATGTATAAAATAAACTTTATCATGCAATATTCTAAACACAAGGCAAATAAATCACATTAAGAAACAAACTCATTTTAATAGAAATTCGACAATATCCTTATATAAAAGCCAGCGGATTTTATATACTAGCATATGCATAGACATTTTATCGAGAATAGTTACAAGAAAACCTCTTCAGAGAGTGTAGACGTGGAAGCCTTTTGCTTTTCACTTTGTACCTTCCTGTACCATGTGTAATTTCTAACCATGTGTGCCTATTACTTTTATTATTATTATTATTATTATTATTATTATTATTATTATTGAGACAGGGTCTCGCTCCTTCACCCAGGCTGGAGTGCAGTGGTGGGATCTTGGCTCACTGCAGCCTCCGCGGACCTCCCGGGTTCAAGTGATTCTCCTGCCTCAGCCTCCCAAGTAGCTGGGATTACAGGCGTGTGCCACCACACCCAGCTAATTTTTGTATTTTTAGTAGAGATGGGGTTTTGCCATGTTGGCCAGGCTGGTCTCGAACTCCTGGCCTCAAGTGATCTGCCCACCTCGGCCTCCCAAGGTGCTGGGATTACAGGCATGAGCCGCTGCGCACAGCCTATTATTATTTTTAATGCCAACAGGGCAGTGAGTTTATGGGCTACTTTTTGTTTCCTTTAGAGTTGCTTGTATTCCAGAAAAAAAAGAATAGCTTTTAAAGTCAATAGTACTAATTTGTGGTATTAAGCATAATTTAAGCACACCTATGAATGGTACTGTAGAAATCCCCTATGTTCAAATATGTGTATGTAAATAGAGTATTTCGGGGCTCTAACATTTAAGAAACCAAATTAATGAAGACTTCCTACATTTTTAAAAAGTTTACACTAGTAACTTGATCTAAAATGACTTTTGGAAGTCCTGGGGGCTGAGGAATCTCAATGCCTCTAGAGTTCAGTTGTTCCAGCCACACCACAATGCTTTTTGTACCAAGTATACATGGCTAGAAACCTTCTGTATGTTACAGAAAATGTATTTGCTGTAAAAGCTACACACACCATAATCAAATCTATTCCCAAGGATTCAGAAATACTGTCTAGCATAGTTTGCTCATATTACCCTGATTTTCTGCTAAACTACTCAACATTCCAGACACTTCTTTTAAGTATTTATGTAACTACTTTCCAGGTTGAATTTTTTCCATAAAAAAGCCATTAACATTGAATCCTTGTCTCAGCTGGAAACACTATCAAGATCTTCAAATACTATAAAGACCTCCAATTCAAAAGAGCATTGCACACTGGTAGCATTGGGTTAAGGAGTACATACTTGAATGCCCGCAGGGGTCAGGTAGCTAATGTGGTTGAATGAAGTGGGCCAGGTGCAAAAACAGGGAGTGGTGCGGACAGTGTGTGCTGGAGAATGAGCGTCCATTCAAAGGCCATATTAACCACCCAGAGTTACTAAAAGAGAAAGTGGACCTGGTATTGCTGCATTCCTTGTTCTTCTAAGGGAACTCTGAAACCCAAATTTTTATGTTAAATATCCTGACTTTCACACGTGATGACTTATTAAAACTTAAACACTGTGTGTGTGGGAGTTAGAGGGACAAAATTTACTTATGGGTCAAATTCAGCGAATAGGCTGTCACTTTATGATGGGAGTTGTAGGTAACACAGTTTGAACAGAATTCCACTTTAACAAGCTATGTAGAATTTCCTAACGACAAAAATGGAAATAATTCTAGTATTATCATTCCCACCAGTTCTAGATAATGACAAAATTCCCAACCTTCATTTGTACCACAAATACAAATAATGTCAGAACTTGATAAGGTTTGGATCTTGCCATCAATATATGATGAATTCTCAAAGATTTGAAGCAGGAAACAAAACATACAGCCCTTATTTTAATTTACTGAGTAGTAACAGAAGAACAGAGTACTGTATTTTACCATCAACTTCTAAAAAAGCCAGAAAAATCCTTTTGAGATATTGTTTGATCTGTGGCCCATGAGCCCATCTGGTTTGGTATGAAAGGCTATGATATTTCTAAGTTCTCAAAGCAACTGCCTCACCAATGGAAGTCAAGAGTATTTGTTTCTCACTCTTTTAGAGCAATTCTTTATAAGGACACTTCTGTATATTGGGATGACCTTTCATCGTAGCTAAAAGCAGAACAGCTGATTAAATACTTGACCCTATGATCTCTTGTAAAGCAAAGGTAATACTAAGCAAATGGTTCTTCTGGACTTTCTAATGAACAAAATGGAAGAGTTGGTTGATGACACAGAAGAAACCTGAAGAGATGGTGACAGAAAGGAATGCTAGGCTTTGCAGGCAGTGTATTTCAGAAAGTCAAGGAAAAAAGCTGGGAATCTTCTCCCAAAAAGAGAAACTAAAAAGAGAGCTCACAGTGATTATTTTGCAGGTGAGGGAAGCCTAACAATGATATCCTGACTAGAGAATCACAAATAGGCCTAAACACAAAGTTCTACAAAGACACTTAAGGGGCTCTGCAAGGACCATCTAAGAAGCTCAGACTTTCTTTCAAAGGAGGGCCTTATACACAGTGACACACACTGACATGTAGAACAACCCCTTAAGCATGGCAAGGAAGGTTCTGATGCCCAGACGGCCGCTGGTTAGGAAAATACTGATGATACCAAACAGGTGGTGGCAGTAGGCTCCCCTGTCCTCTCAACCCCTCCTTTCTTCATTCTAAGTTGACAAGAACTTAAGAGAGGTCAATGGTTTGGGATAGGAGGTAAATGTCAAAAGACAGAGGAAAAAGCAATTCTGTTCTACCCCTATTAGGCTCCTGCCTTCTATGTCAAGGGTGATAGCTTTCAACCTGGATAGGCAATGTCTACCAGAGAGCAAGAGCCTGAGATAGACAGTACAAGAATACTTGGCTTCATTGAATGATCGCCATTTGTCAGGCCCAGTGATGAAAGAACCTGAGACCCACTGATCTTTAGAATTAGAAAAGATCTCCTTGATTGACTAACCTAATTCCCTCATTTCAAGGCCCGTAGGAGCGAAGTGATTTGCCCAAATTGCACGGTTACTCAGGTGTGCTAATTCCTGGTCCTATCTCCAGCTGCCTATTAAGCTTACAGGTGTGTTTGCAGGACCACTGTGCACCATCTAACGGGAATCAGAGAATGGGAGCAATGGAAGAAGATCAGTGATACCCTGGTGGTGAAAGAGTGGAAAAAGTGAAAACACTGGCTGCCAGATCGGATGCTGATTCTCTGGCAAAATTCTTAAATTAATGATTAAATTGACTCTTTGACAGCATTTAGAGAATTCTAGTTTTTCAATGAATTTCTTACTTTCCTCAGAGCTGAATTAAAGAATACTGGCAAACTGAATACTCATGTTTACATGACCTCTATTAGTACAGCATAAATCTAATGATAAACTGACAGCCTGAACCAGCCATTTCTTTGCTTTTCTAGGTGTAAGTTAATTTCAATCCCATCTATATCTATGTATCATTTAACACTGCTGTACAAATTACAAGGTGAGATGCATACATTTCTCAATTTATATGTCAACACATCTCCTTGTGAGCCTATTAGATTGTGTTAGACTGTTAGAAGCTGACAGAAGTAAGGGCAACTAAGGAGACTTGGTAATAACCACTGACGTTTTGTGTGAAGCAACATTCTGCTGATACTGCTGTGCATTTCTATTTAGTTTATTTTTATTTTGTATAGACAGGGTATTGCTGTTGCCCAGGCTGGCCTCGAACTCCTGGGCTCAAGCAATCTTCCTGCCTCAGCCTCCTAAGTAGCTGGGATTACAGGCACCACCACCGTGCCTGGCTCTGCAGTGCATTTCTTCAAATAGTATACTTGAGCATTTGCTTAACAGTTGCTACATTTTGTGTAACTAGTCTGCTTTATTTCTTCCCTTCATAAAACCAAAAAAGCCATTATGAAACTACTGCTCTGTAGTAGTACATAACCAGAAATTACACTGTTTTTGGAAATAAAAATGTGGTACAATGTAACTAATGCGAAGGGAATGATTCCTTATTTAACTGAGCCATTTAAACTTAACCCATGTGGCCACTCACATTCATTCCACATTATACAGCAGTTTGAAATGTTTACTTTTAATCTCTGATTGAGAAATGAACAATTCAGAGTACGTTATAACATTTACAGAGAAAAATGCATTTCATACTTGTCAGAAACATTATGCCATCAATCTGGGTATGCATGACTAGATTCACTTGATTTTTTGGGCCACATTTCTAATTTTTGGAGTTATTTCTGAAACCTTGGGAACTAACCTAATGCCAGTCAGGACTTTCAATTCCTCAGAAAAAGTTCCTTATAAAAGGAGTTGTATTAAGAAGTTATTGAAAATAACTTCTTGTATTAGCACTCCTGTGTATCACCATGCATTTTCTTTAGCTTAAGTTGCACCCTGTGAATCTTCTGGGGATTCTATTGCAACAACAGATCATGCCTTTTTGGTATTAATTCCAGTTTTCAACAAGACAAGTGAACATTTTGACTTAAGTTGAATACAAACTTCCATATGGGCAAACATACATACTATAAAGGGAAGGCCAAGATAAGATTCTTGCTCTTGTGGTAGCTTGGAAATACCATGAGGGAAGAAGACGACTCACAGAAATGGACAAAACCAAGTTAGTGTCCATGTCATTTGTACTCTCTCAAACCAACCACAGAACCATTTGTGGCACAGTTCTCTGATAAGAGCACACCTCTACCCTCAGATGTTTATCTCAGGGCCACGCCCAAGGGCCAGGCAGGAGCCAGGCGGGAGGAGATCTGTTCAAGACCAATCCCAGCCAAGGATAGATAAGAATCCTGGCTACTCAGCAAACTCTCAAGCTTTCATTTCTCAGGGGAGGACTTAACGTGTTGGATTCTTTTCATTCCAGAGGATACTATTTCAAAATAACATTTTTGTCCTATAAAGTATAGCTCTGTAAAATATCTAGCAAATAATCAACATATTAATTGGAGGTAGGGGTTTCTTAAAGGTTTTGAAAGTTGATGAAGATCTCATATGGTAGAATTTTTTGGATAGAGAACACTGAAGACTGAATTAAAATATTACATCTTTTTAGGTCTTGGAGATGCTTAACCCAGCCTCAGTAACAGTTGTGCTTTTCCCTACCTGCATTGTGCTTTGCCAAATATTTATCTTTGTACTGCTTCTTTTTCTTGCCAAACCAAGTACAGCTGGCCTGCTGCTCCTGTTTGGTCTTCTCCATGGCAATGCAAGCTACTCGCCTAGCACATACAAAAAGAAAAATAAAATAAAATGAATTTATAATTCTGGTTGATAAAATAGAAGAGTCATCCATTTGAAGAATTTATATAAAACAGCATAACCATACTCATCCTAATCTTTTAAAAAATTTGGACAAAGGCTATTCTTTGGTTTTCATGACAATTTCCTAGAAATGTTTTTAAAATATAGGCTTATATTAAAATGGCATGGTATTCCTTGAACATATACTGACAACTCAGATTAGATGCCTAAACATGTGGCCATGAGATACAGTAGAATGTTTCAACACAGGCCTGGTTTGAATTCTGGCTTTGTCACTTGTTAGCTGGTACTGAGCACTTAATGTTAGACACTTTCCTAGGAACTTTACATGTATTAACTCCTTTAATCTTTCTAACAACACAGGGAATTGCATCACCATTTTACAGATGAGGGGATTGAAAGAATGAAAGGTTAAGCAATTTGCCCCAAATCACACAGCTAATAAGTGAAAGAGTGGGGAAGGTCTGGCACCAGAGCTCATGATCTTAGCCAGAATATTCTATCCGCAGTGTCTTTAAACTTTTGGAGCCTTTTGGATGGCTATTGTAAAGGTTTAGAACAAAAAATGTAAATAATGTCCCTAGTACAGTACCAGGCACACAGTATATGCTTAACAAATGGCACTACTGCTACATGGAGATTCTAAGATAAGATATAAAAAGTGTGCTCTGATTAAATTCACAGTTATAACCACAATCAGGAAATTATAATTTTGATCTATAATATCCAGCATTGGTAACATAAAGATGATATTAAAAAGTTGCTCTTTCAGGTTCAGTCTAAACAAATACTTGCCTTTCAGAATATTGCCACAGAAGACTTTGCTCTCCTAATGATTTTGCTCATGGGGGCCAACCAAGGGTCCCCAAGTGAGTCACATATAAGAGTCCAAAATCACGATCAGAATGCCATATGGTGCTATTGTAAATGGCAGGTTGCTTTACAATGACATTGTACTGATTTACACTCCTACCAGCAGTGTATGAACATTCCTATTGTTCCATTTCCTTGGCAACACTTGGTATTATCTGTCTTTAACTTTAGCCATCATGGTGGATGAATAATGGAATACCACTGTGTTTTTAATTTACATTTTAGTTTACGTTTCACTCATTAGTAAGACTGATCATTTTTTCATATGTTTAATGGCTACTGAATTTCCTCTTTCGTTAAGTGTCTGTTCAAGTCTTTTGACCGTTCCTCTGTTCAGTTGTCTTTTTCTCATAGATTTGTAGAAATTCTTTATATAGTCTAGATATTATGCTTTTGTTAGTTATTAATATACGTGTTGCAGATATCTTCTTCTACTCTGTGGTTTGCCTTTTTGCTCTCTTTATGGTATCAATTGATGAACACAACTTATTAGTTTTAATTTAGTCAAATTTATCAGTCTTTTCTTTAATGGGAAGTATTTTTGATATCTTAAGAAATCCTCAGCCAGGTGCGATGGCTCACGCCTGTAATCCCAGCACTCTGGGAGGCTGAGGCGGGTGGATGACTTGAGCTCAGGAGTTCACACGAGCCTGGGCAACAGGGCGAAATCCCATCTCTACTGAAAATACAAAAAGTAGCTGGGTGTGGTGGCATGTGCCTGTAGTCCCAGCTACTCCGGATGCTGAGACAGGATAATTACTTGAGCCTGAGAGGTGGAGGTTGCAGTGATTTGAGATTATGCCAGTGCACTCTAGCCTGGGCAACCGAGCGAGACCTTGTCTAAAAAAAAAAAAAAAAAAAAAACAAAAATGAAATCCTTAGCAGGGGATTTCCCAACACTTTGGGAGGCCAAGGAGGGAGGCTCACTTGAGGCCAGGAGTTTGAGACCAGCCTGAGCAACATAACAAGACCCTATCTCTACAAAAAAAAACAAAAAACAAAAAACAAACAAAAAAAAATTAGCTGGGTGTGATTGGGTGTGATGTTACGTGCCTGTAGTCCCAGCTACTAGGAAGGCTGAAGCAGGAGGATGACTTGAGTCCAGCAGTTCCAGGCTGCAGTGAGCCAAGACTACACCACTGCACTCCAGCCTGGGAGACAGAGACCCTGACTTTAGAGAAATAAAAAATAAATAAAAATAAAAAGAAATCCTTCCTTGTCCCAGAAGATATTCTCCAATATTACCTTCTCAAAGTTTATAGTTTTGTCTTTTACATTTTGGGTATTAATGTACTAGTACTGCTGTTTTTTTTTTGTTTTTGAGACAGATTCTCCTTGTGATGCCCAGGCTGGAGTGCAGTGGTGCAATCTCGGCTCACTGTAACCTCTGCTTCCCAGGTTCAAGCAATTCTCATGCCTCAGCCTCCTGAGTAGCTGGGATTACAGGTGTGTGCCACCATGCCTGGCTAATTTTTGTATTTTTTTAGTAGAAATGGGGTTTCACCATGTCGGCCAGGCTGGTCTTGAACTCCTGCTTCGTGTGATCCACCTGCCTTGGTCTCCCAAAATGCTGGGATTACAGGCGTGAGCCACTGCGCCCGGCCTAGAACTGATTTTTGCTTATGGTGTAAAGGAGGGGTCCAATTCCTTTTTTCTTCCTAATGGATACCCAATTGTCCTACATTATTTAAAAGCCTGTCCATTCCTCATTGCTGTGCAGTGCTATTTCTGTCACACATCAAGTGTCCATTTACGTATGAGAGTGTTTTCAGGTTCTCTATTCCTTTCTGGTCTATTTGAGCATCTCTAAACCCATACCTTATTATCTTGTTTACTATAGCTTTATAATAAGTCTTGGTATCTGGTAGAGCAAGACCTCCTTCCTTGTTCTTCAAGAGCATTTTGGCTATTCCCGACCTTGTGCATTTCCATGTAGACTTTAAACTTAGCTTGTCAATTTCAAAACTGTTGGGATTGCATCTTATCTATGAAATCTATCTAGGAAGAATAGACATCCCTGCAATATTGAGTCTTCCAGTCCTTAAACACAGTATGTCTCTCCATTTACTTATATCTTTTTAAATGTCTCGAGATATAATTCCCCCCCCACCCCCGCCGAGACGAAGTCTTACTCTGTCACCCAGGCTGGAATGCGGTGGTGCAATCTTGGCTCACTGTCATCTTGACCTCCTGGGTGCAAGTGATCCTTCCGCCTCAGCTTCCTAAGTAGCGGACTACAGGTGCATGTCACCCATTTTTTTTTTCTTGAGACAGAGTGTCGCTCTGTTGCCCAGGCTGGAGTGTAATGGTGCGATCTCAGCTCACTGAAACCTCCGTCCTCCCAGGTTCAAGTGATTCTCCCTGCCTCAGCCTCCCAAGTAGCTGGGATTACGGGTGCCTGCCACCACGCCCAGCTAATTTTTTATATTTTTAGTAGAGATGGGGATTTGCCATGTTGGCCAGGCTGGTCTCAAACTCCTGACCTCAGGTGATCCGCCTGCCTTAGCCTCCCAAAGTGCTGAGATTACAGGTGTGAGCCACGGAGCCTGGCCTAATTTTTGTATTTTTGTAGAGACTGGACCTTGCTATGTTACCCAGGACAGTCTCAAACTTCTGGGCTCAAGTGATCCGCCTGCCTTGGCCTCCAAAAGTACTGGGATTACAGGCATGAGCCACTGTACCCGGTCTCAATAAATTTTATAATTTATTCTGTAAATGTCTTGACATCTTTGTTAGATTTATTCCTAGGTTATTTTATTTTTTAAGACAGAGTCTCTCTCTGTTGCCCAGGCTGTAGTGCAGTGGCACAATCTTGGCTCACTGCAACCTCCACCTTTCAGGATTGACATATTCTCATGCCTCAGCCTCTTGAGTAGCTGGGACTACAGGTGTGCGCCACTACACCCAGCTAATTTTTGTATTTTTTTTTCCTTTTAGTAGAGACGGGGTTTTGCCATGTTGGCCAGGCTGGTCTTGAACTCCTGGCCTCAAGTGATCCGCCCACCTCGGCCTCCCAAAGTGCAGGGATTACAGGCATGAGTCACCACGCCTGGTCATTTTTTAATAAAGGCTTTGTAAATGGTATTTTAAGAAACACTTTGTAACACTAAAACTTTCAAACACATACAAGGATATAGTGTAATGAAACCCAGCTATCTACAACCCTGCTTTGACAATTATTAGTCATAGCTTATTTTATTTTTTTATTATTTATTTATTTATTTTTGAGACAGAGTCTCACTCTGTTGCCCAGGCTGGAGTGCAGTGGCACGATCTCGGCTCACTGCAACCTCCGCCTCCCGGGTTCCAGCGATTCTCCTGTCTTGGCCTTCCAAGTAGCTGTGATTACAGGCACCCGCCACCACGCTCAGCTAATTTTTTTTGTATTTTTAGTAGAGATGGGGTTTTGCCACGTTGGCCAGGCTGGTCTCGAACTCCTGACCTCAGGTGATCCGCCCGTCTCGTCCTCCCAAAGTGCTGGGATTACAAGTGTGAGCCACTGCGCCTGGCTTTATTTATACCACCTTATCATAGATTATTTTGGAACAAATCCAAGAGTACAGTTTTCTTCTGAAATCCCTTTAAAATCTATAGGTTCCCTCTCCCTCCTTTTTCTTTTCTTACAATTTGTTTGTTGTAGAAACTAGTTTGTCCTTTAGTTTCTGTAGAGTCTGGATTTTTCTGACTGTGTCCCTGTGGTATCTTTAGTATGTCTCTCTGTCCTTTGTATTTCCTGCAAATAGGTAATAAAACCTAGAGGCCTAATCAGATCCAGTTTTGTTTTGTGTGTGTGCAAGAACACTTTATAATATTATGGTGTTGCAAGTGGTGTTATGTATGGTACCCTTTAAAAGTTTTATTTTCTGCTTGTGGCTTGTAAATAGAATTGATTTTCGTATATTGATTTTTTTTTTTTTTGAGATGGAGTCTTGCTCTGTCGCCCAGGCTGGAGGGCAGTGGCGCGATCTTGGCTCACTGCAAGCTCCACCTCCCGGGTCCAAGCCATTCTCCTGCCTCAGCCTCCCAAGTAGCTGGGACTACAGGCGCCCACCACCAGGCCCGGCTAATTTTTTTGTATTTTTAGTAGAGACGGGGTTTCACCGTGTTAGTCAGGATGGTCTCGATCTCCTGACCTCATGATCCGCCTGCCTCGGCCTCCCAAAGTGCTGGGATTACAGGCGTGAGCCACCACGCCCAGTCCCTTGTATATTGATTTTATATCAGCAACCTTTCTAAACCTTGCTACTAATTCTAATTGTCTACAGATTCCTTTGAATTCTACACACAGAATCATATCATCTGCAAATTTTTTCCCTTTCTAGTAATGTTAGTTGTAGGTTTACTATACATGTCCTTTATCAGGTTAAGTTCCCCTCAATTCATAGTTTATGAGACTTTTAATCTGATTGGGTTTTGAATTTTACCAAATGCTTTTTCTGCATCTATTGATATGACTATGTGGATTTTCTTCTTCAGTCTGTTAATCTAGTGGATCGGCTGATTGGTTTTCAAATGCTGAACCAGCTATGCATTCCCAGTACAAATTCCACTGGCTCATAATATATTATCTTTTTAATATATTACTGGATTCAATTTGCTAATATTTTGCTGAGGATTTTTACTTCTGTGTTCATGACAGATACTGGTATGTAGTTTTCTTTTCTTGAACTGCCTTTACTGAATTTTGGTATCAGGGTAATGTTGACATCATAAAATGATTTGGGAAGTATTATTTTCTATTTTCTTAAAGAGGCTGTCTTCCATATCTCTTACTCGCTCTTGTTCACTGAAGTTTTTATGTATTTATTTTTGGTTGGGGGAAAGACATTTATTGGAAAATACTGCGAACTCTCAGTAATAGTATCAAAGTCCATCTCCATATATTACCCACGTGGCATACAGAGGAGGCTGATAAAGGCTTGCTTTGGGGATTCTTTTGGTGCAAGTCAATATGTGCTATTAGTCAGAACTAAAAGGCATAGAATCTTTGGAAACAAACAGAATTGAGGAATTTTTTGACAGGTTAAGAGACAAAATCGTGTGACCTTGTGAAGCTTATGTTACAATGTAGAGAGTATCTTATAATAAATGTTCTTAAGCTTAAAACAAAAATACAGGTTCCCAGGAAAAAATTGTGGCATAGTCTCATGTGGTGTGATGACAGAGGAATGAAATTGATTTTTACCAGACACTGCAGAAATAAACATTAGCTCTTTTAGCTCAGTAAGTGCACAGAAACCGTGTTAGGGTTAAGGTCAACCTGGAAGGAAATTTCAAACACATGCCTACCAATTTATTGATGGCTTAGATCAGGATCTTGTAGGCAAGGCAAGGGGAGGGATGACAGAGTCCGGGAGCTAAAATATATTGAAGGGCTAAATTGATGTGCCTAGAGTAAGGCATTTGGGTCCGAAAAAACTGATTTCTCATCTAGAAAATGTGAAGAATGTGACTTGGTAGCAATATATTTGATCAAAGTTTTGGGGGTCTGGCTGATACAATTGTTTCAAATCTTTCTTGTTAGTATTGGATGCCCACTGACATCCCAGAGGCCAATTCAGTTTCCAAGCAAAGGAAAATTGATCTTTCTCTTCTGCCAGGAATAGCTTCCTATACCCCCAAAGTCCTATTCAGGTCTTGGGGTACACACTGCCCAGTGGGCCTCTTTCTTATCATCTCAGTTAGAATCCTTTTCTCCCTCTATATATTTTGCAACTTTAACAGTTCAGTTTTTTGGCAATATATTGAACATATTTAAAGTATACAAATTTATCAGTTTTGATATCTGTAAACATCCCATGAAACTATCACTACAATCAAGAAAAACATATTCTTAGCCAGGTGTGGTAGCTCACACAGGTAATCCCAACACTTTAGGAGGTTGAGGCGGGCAGATCACCTGAGGTCAGGAGTTCGAGACCAGCCTGGCCAACATAGTGAGATCTCATCTCTATCGAAAATTTAAAAATTAGTTGGGCGTGGTGGCGGGCGCCTGTAATCCCAGCTACTTGGGAGGCTGAGATAGGGGGATTGCTTGAATCCAGGAGTTCCAGGCTGCAAGGAGCCAAGATTGCACCACGGCACTCCAGCCTGGGAGACAGAGAGGGACCTTGACTTTAGAAGAATAAAAATAAAAAATAAAAAATAAAAATGGCTGGGTGCTGCGGTGGCTCACACCTGTAATCCTAGCACTTTGGGAGGCTGAGGCAGGCAGATCACTTGAGGTCAGGAGCTTGAGACCAGCCTGGCCAACCTGGTGAAACCCTGTCTCTACTAAAAACACAAAAAATTAGCCAGGCGTGGTGGCAGGCGCCTGTAATCCCAGCTACTCGGGAGGCTGAGGCAGGAGGATCACTTGAACCGGGGAGGCAGAGGTTGCAGTGAGCTGAGATTGCGCCACTGCACTCCAGCCTGGGTGACAGGGCGAGACTCCGTCTCCAAAAAAAGAAAAACATATTCATTACCTCCAGAATTTCCTCATGCCCCTCTGTAATTCCTCCCTCCCTCCACCCCCATCTTGCATTTTCCAGAAGTTTATGTAAATGGAATCATATAGCGTGTTCTCTTTTTTGCCTGGCTTCTTTCACTCAGCATAATGATCTTGTGTTTCATCCATACTGCTGCATATATCAATAGTTTGATCCTTTTTATTGCTGAGTGGCATTCCATTGTATGGCTATATCACAATTTATTGATCTATTTACCCACTGATGAAACTTCAAAAAAATGTTAGCCATTCTAATAGGTGTGACCACTGAGATTCTAATTTTGTTACTGCATGTTTCCCCCTGGATGTTCCTCTGGTTCTTTTTAAAATCTGCTATGTCATTAACATTTTTTTTCTGCTCTCTGAAGATATTTTACAAGCTTATTATTGATTTTTAAAAACCTGGGCTAGGCGTGGTAGCTCACACTTGTAATCCCAGCACTTTGGGAGGCTAAGGTGGAAGGATCACTTGAGCCTAGGAGTTGGAGATCAGCCTGGGCAACATAGTGAGACCTCATCTCTACAAAAAAAAAAAAAAGAAAAAGAAAAAAATTAGCTGGGTGTGGTGGTGCACGCCTGTTGTCCCAGCTACTGGGAAGGCTGAGGTGGGTGGATTGCTTGGGTCCAGGAGGTCGAGGCTGCAGTGAGCCATGATCATGCCATTGCACTCCAGCCTGGGCGAGAGCACAATACCTTGTCTCAAAAACAAACGAACCAACTTCGTAAGCTTATTTTTAAAATCTTTGTCTCTTAATTCCAATATATGCAGTAGGTTTGGGTTTGTTTCTACTATCTGTCATTTCTGTTGGGTCTTACTTGTTTCCTTGTGTGCCTGATAATTTTGACTTGCTGGCTACTGCCCTGGAAAAAGTTTATGTCGGGCGGATAGGATGAAGTTAGTGGGGGTTAGGATAAAAGTGTTTGCCTTCAGAGACTTTCTGTTTATACCATACATCTGAAACTATTAGTAAAGAAAGGGGAAACTTCAAATCAAGTACATGGCTTCAGCTCCCCTGGCTGCCCCAGGCTGTGTGTACCTGGGTGCAAATCCATTCAAGGTGGACTGGTGGCCACAATTTGGAAGTTTGTTCCCAATTTCCTCATCTTTTGCTTTGCTCAGTGACAAGGCAGCTTTCTCTATAGTCCTCCGGTGTTGAAGGGAAATAAGGGTATGCTTATCTGTTTCCTTTTAGCCTGGGGGGACTGCCTCTTGCACTCCTAACAATGAGGAGGGTCTTCTAACAGATTCCCCAACTTGTACTGGCCTTAGATCTTAACCTTGGTTCTCTGGCACAGAAGTGTTCAGTAATGACAAATGCCCTGTTTGCAAAATGGGCCACTTGGTAACTCTGATATTCCACTTATCATTCTTATTAAAGGCTTTCACATAAAAATTGGTCACTGAGGCCTGGTGTGGTGGCTCACACCTGTAATCCCAGCACTTTGGGAGGCCAAAGTGGGTGGATCACGAGGTCAGGAGTTCACGACCAGCCTGGCCAACATGGTGAAACCCTGTCTCTACTAAAAATATGTGGTGGCGGGTGCCTGTAATCCCAGCTACTCAGGAGGCTGAGGCAGGAGAATTGTTTGAACCCAGGAGGTAGAGGTTGCAGTGACCTGAGATCATGCCATTGCACTGCAGCCTGGGCCACAGGGCGAGACTCCGTCTCAAAAAAAAAAAAAAAAAAAAAAAAAATTGGTCACTGAGCTCCCCAGTACCTTTTTTTATTTCCCGGACACAGAGTCTCACTCTGTCGTCCAGGCTAGAGTGCAGTGGCGCGATCACGGCTCACTGCAACTTCCACTTCTCGGGCTCAAGCAATTCTCCTGCCTCAGCCTCCCAAGTAGCTGGGATTATAGGTGCCTGCCATCACACCTGGCTAATTTTTTTTTTTTTTTTTATTTCAAGTAGAGACAGGGTTTTACCATGTTGGTCAGGCTAGCTTCGAACTCCTGACCTCAAGTGATCTGCCCACCTCGGCGTCCCAGAGTGCTAGGATTACAGGTGTGAGCCACCATGCCTGGCCCCTGATACCTTTTCAGCTATTCAGTGCTTTCAAGGTCATTTGAAAAACATATTTTCTGCGGCACTTTTCATTTTTTTTCATCAGGAGGATTTATCCAAATAATCTCATCCACCATTACAGGAAATAGGAAGCAAATCTGCTTTTTGCACTGCCATCACTCAGGATTCCTCCAGAGGACTCAGAGTTCTAGAAATTGGTGAAACATTTATATAGATGATCTGACTAGGCAGAAGAGGTCTGGAATCTACACAATTATTTTCAATAAATGCCCATAATATATGGTAACATTAAAGAAGACATTCTGTAAAATGTAAATATCAGTAAGAATATAATGGCATCATCACGGCAACGACTTAAAGATTGCTTTCCTCCTGCTTATGCTTGAACTGTTTCTCGAAGATCAGACTGAAAGACAATGCCAGATGGAAGGCTGCTGCTTCTCCATTTGGGCCCACGTTTCCTTATGTATAAAATGATGGCATCTGAAGTCCTCATCAGCTCCAACATTCTAAATTTAATACTATTTTTTGGGGAAACATGGGATAGCTGAAAGAGGCGATCAAGCAAAAGAGATTAACTGAGAAATCTCTTAACTAGTGAGAAAAATAGATAAAAGCAGGTAGAAATTTCTATGGACTCAATGTCTTTGGTCTCTTTTAGCTGGGTTCAAGTATTTTAGGAGGAACTGGCAGGATGCTTAATGGCTGTTATTTTTTGCCACATGAAACAAAACTCAGACATTATCTCTTTTGTGCTAGAAATAATCTGGTATATTGCCCAAGTACCAACAAAGGTAAAACCATCAATATTTTCCAAAAGACAGTTCAACTAAGGAAACGGTAACAATAATAGCAGAAATAGATTTTATCAAAATATACAGTGATCTGTGACTCCTTTTCTCTCAGTTAAAAACAGTGCCTAAAACCCCTAACTTTAGCCTGCTTTTAGGGCTTAAACTTTCTAGCAGAAAAGGTATTTTTAAAGGACTGGCAAGGTAAAGAACAAAGCTTCTGACTACCTCCTTCTAACAGTGAAATACATTTTATCTTCAAATACTCTGAGTGACACTGAAGCACTGCACCTACATTTTTTGCTGGTGGTGGGAATGGGATGGGCATGAAAGCATGTAGAAGGGCAAGGAGAACGTACATTTTTTTAATGCCATTCTAAAACAATTATAACAGCATATAGGAGTGGAGGGCTCTGCTGTGAGACCATGACTTGGCTCAGGGCTGCTCATCCAATCTCTTTCCAGACCTTCCTTTCTTTTTGTGTAAAATGAAGCCCTGACTCTGCAACTAGGATCTCACTAGATACTGAAGATATAGAATTCTTGGATGACTAATTTAAATTT
The DNA here is from genome assembly GCF_000001405.40 of Homo sapiens. NCBI lineage: Eukaryota > Metazoa > Chordata > Mammalia > Primates > Hominidae > Homo > Homo sapiens. Next base: position 41,553,591 of record NC_000023.11, read on the forward strand.
TGTTTGGCTCGTAAAGGAAGGAATATATCAAACAGGTTTTACACTCTAAAATAATATAAAATTGGAAAATGGATGGTCAGGGCTTTGTTTTTATAACCAAGCAAAGCAAAACACGCATAAAAACATACCATTCCTGAAGTTCAGGAGAAGGAATGAGACCTGCAGTTCCATTTTTGGAGTTTTCCAGTTTACCCTGCCACCAATTATGATCATCCTTACTAATAATCTGGATGATGTCACCAACTCTGAATCGAATGCCAGCTTCTTTACAGGGGATGAGGTCATCCTTGGCTGGATCATATTCAAATTGTGCTCTTACATAGATCTATAAAACAGGAGTTCGTAAGAAAGGATGCCATAGTGATGTGAAAGAGAAGTTAGCTCTAATGTCATAACCACACACCAACAGTTACAATACAAACAGGACATCAGATGGTGAAAGCAAAAACGATGCATGGAAATACGACACAAAAAACTTCTACCGCTAGAAACAATGTACTAGTAATCTTTGATGAGTATAGCTTCAAAACTTTGCTGTTTTTATTTGGAAGGAACACTTGAAATACTTGTTTAATAAAAATAAAGACTTAATTTATGCTTTTACTGTAACAGAATAGGCCTCTAATTATAGAAAAGTATGCTCGCTCTTTTTTAAACCTGCATTGGTGATGCTGGCATTATGGATACGTTGTCATGACTGCGTGGCAGCCTTTAAGCCATAAATACTAGCAGTCAGGATAGGTTTTAACCCTAAAGCAGCACACGATATAAAATTAGCAAGAACTCTGGGTTGGTATCTTGCTGTAGAATGCTTATATGACAACTGGCAGTGTGTCTACACATTGCTGATAAAGTTAAGTGTAACTCAAACAATTTTTTAAAAGTTAAAAAAAGCTTCATTTTTTTCTAATTTAGGTTTTAGGTTTGTATTTTACTCTTCTGAGAGAATAAAAATGAATTTGAACCCTAGCTTCCCCCAATGTAACACTTGAAATCAGCACAGAGCTTCAAGACATGCATAGTTCAAGGCTCTGAGTTTTATGATATGTGAGTTTACTTAGGAAATAGATTAGCATTCAAGGGTTTATTATATGGCAGCATTTTATGAATTATTTTATTTTTTAAATGCTTTAAGATAAGGTAATTCATACCCAATGTTCCATCAATTATACAGTCTTAAGACAAAATTATGGGTGAATTCTATCAGGTACTAATTTATACATATCTTAACACTAAATCTGATTATTTTTAATACCATATTTCAAGATAAAAATCCCATAAAAATTCTATCTCTTGAAATTAAAATTGAATATTAATGTTTAAGTCACTGTAAAACCAACCTGAAGACTTTGGAACCACTGTGTGATTTTTCTGTTTATTTTCAGCAATCCAGCCTATAAAATTACAAGTCTCTGCATTTGCATTTAAAATCTATACCTCTAAAGTGCTGGCAATTTGAAAGTTACTTGCCAGTGTTAGGCAGCACTTAACTTTTCATGTTTGAACTAACACAGGTATATCAGGATGTGAAGCTAAGATAATTTATATTCTTTTCTTATTTTTCATTGCAAATGGCTTTTAGAAATACACATGCAAATACAAATTTAAGAAAAAGCTTTCAACTTCAGAAAATTTTTGCTTAAAAATGTTCATCAGCATTTTAAGAATAACTTTTTAGTTAGTCTTAGAATTCTAAGAATTTTATAACCTTTAAAATTCTTTTGCATGCCAGAGGCAGGCCCACAGCCACCCCCAAAGGCTGAATTCTTAACCATTAATATAAAATTATCAGGTTGAAATTACAATAACCATTACAGCTACAAAGATGTGAGGAAAAATTCTTTATAGAGAATTAGTCATGTGTAATGTGTTAAAATGAAATGGTACAAGCTCTCAATGCTCAAATGTTATGGTCCAAAATGCAAACATTATGGGATGGAAAGGGTTAATAAAGGATTGGCTATTAGCTGCTCAGTTTAGAGAAGTTTCTATAGAGGATATCTATTCACCTGTCGTCCTTTTGGTTGGGTAGTTGATGGCAAGTCCTGTAGAATAAAGCCAACCCAGGAGAAAAATTTTCATTTATTTTTCAAGAGTACAAAGTAATTTGTGTGTTCTGTTACAATATGGTTAAAAAAATGAGCTAGATTTAAGTTGTAAAGAGATAATATACATTATTCCATTTATCAGAAATGTTGAGTTATCAAAAAGTCAAACCCAGGCCATTTAGCAGCAAGCTGAAGAAAGCAGGTAAGTTTAAGCAGAGAGAAAATGTGTTCTTAAGAAACAACTCAGCATCTTCAACACAAAAGCCACTGCAAGTGAAACAGCCTATTAAAAAAAAAAAATAAATAAAAGGAGCTGTTGCCCTTTTCAACTTAGTCACTGCAACCATTTAGATTTTGAAAAATTCAATGGCTATATGGCTTTTCATCATCTTAAAAGTATTAAATGTTAACTGTTATGAATGAATTCCTTTGGTAGCCTATTTTAAAGTTGAAAATAAAGTCATAGACAATTTTCTTTCATAATTTCTCTTACGATATACTTAGAATATCATTCCATTTGAGATAATTTCTAAATTATTTACAATTTTACCTGATAAAAAAGTTGATATATTCTCAAAGGGCAAATTAAAAGTCAGGAAAGAAGAATACTGCTGCATTATTAGAACTCTCAATAATTTTAACTGGGTCATAAACAGCAGTATTAGCAACCAAAATATTGCCAGTCTGCACCTGTTAAGTGCTTCCATTTGTTTAAATAAGTTAAAAACAATTCTTTCTATATTCCAAAATGGATAGTTCTGAAAAAATTTAAAACTCCAAGTTCAAGTCAAATATAAAGTACTTTGTGTTAAAGATGTGATAACAGCGTGGCTTAAGTGCAGTTTGAAGCCAGTTCTTTTTGCTTTTCATATCCAGGCAAGGCTTATAATTCACAAAAATATGTGCACGTACCACAATAACAGAGGGCACACCAATTCGTAAACTTAGATAGCGGAAACTAAAACATGTTGCTGATATCACTCAGAATAGAAAACTACAAAGCCCAAGAATACCCAAATGCCTACTCTGCAAAATTCTTACATTTATCTTTTTCAAATTAAAAAATATTTAGAAGTTTAAACAAATTTCCGTTTACATCCTTTGCATAGGTTTGAGCAAAGTCATACATACAAATGGGGTGGCATAGAAATATTTTTAGAATGACCAAAGCAGTCTTGAACTATATTTCTTCAAATTTAACTATTGAAGGGGATTTTTAATGAGAAGGAAATGTTGAAAAAGATTTTCCAGGAGTAAAGTGCATTGTAGCTGTAGTAGCCTTGTATATCAGCAGAAGACACTATTTCCACTGAACACATGTAACTAGAACACTCATGGCAGGTGAGCACCAACAAAATTGTCACACTTTGCTGTGTGGAGCTAAAGTTCTTACCGAAACAGAATTGTTAGTGCTGCTATGACCATTAGCTGGGGACTGTCTGGAAGTGGAAGGGGAATCTCTCTGAAATAAGACACAAGGTTCATTAACACAGAACACCAGCACAGAAACACAGAGATATTTACATCAACAGTAACAACCACAGTCTGACAACCATTTCCTTTGAGGTTTGAGCTGTATAGGTGCCATACTGACTTGCTTGCATGATTTCACAGAAGTATGAAAAAAATTTTGCAGTTCGAAGGCTCACATATTTTAAGTGATGACTGTGTCATTCATTAATCAATTCTTTCCTATCTCTAACATTCTATACCTTTTCTTTCTTTTAATGAGACCCAGAAGAGTGACTTGATATTAAAACCCTATCAAGTATAAGATGACAAACATTACCATAAATTATCGTGCTGAAGATCCCAACTGCCTAATTTTTATTAAAGATTAGGTTTGAAAAGTATTTAATAATTTTTAGTACCTGTGTCAAGAGTTACTAACTGACCCAATCTGAAGAGAAACAAACCTAAGATTTCACATGTTACAATCACCTCAGAATCTTTCTATTATAGAATAAATATTATTACTAGTAAGGGTAAAAGAGATATACATCAGAGAAGAACTCTTTTTTTAAGACTATTTTAGCAGATTGATTAAAACAATAATCTCAAGCCTATAACAATATTACACTTCCAGCAAAGATCCTAGGAGCCACAGCCACTCTTCCTATATCCAGGCTCCTCTATCGCTTGCTTTCTCTCTACTATTCTATACACTCAAAATATTTTCCAGGCTCCATTCCCTTAGTGTCCAAATCAACTTTAACGATAAGAACAAGGAGAGGAAGGAAATAAGTACTTTTTAATTTTTGCTTCTGTAGAGTTCTTTTAAGCCTTAGAAATGTGCATGTCTTTTTAAAAGACATTTTTTTTCCCCAGATGACTTAAGAGCATTTCTAGAACCTGTCAGCCTTAAAGGTAATGAGATCCCTTAGAAGAGCATTCTCATATGTTAGTGAGCAAGACTGATCTCCAGGTGCCACCCGCAGAGACTCAAGTCAGTAGAGCCAGGGTGAGGGGCAGGGGTCTACTCTTTAACCAAGGACCTGGGGGATGCAGATGCAGGTGGCCAGAGAGCCTTCTTTTTTTTTTTTTGAAGTATTGCCCTAGCTGGGAAGAGTCCAACCACAAGCTTGAATTCTGCCAGGGAACAGGAGGGCCAAAAAGGCTGGAGGTGGAGCTAGGAGAGAAGTATCATTATTTTTTCTACTATTCAAAGGCAAAGAAGGTAAGAGGGGTTCTTCTTACTCAAGAACATAGAATTTACATCTATGATACTGGTTCCACCCCAAACTAGTTCGACCATTTAAAAAAAAAAAGAGAAACTTATGTTGTATTAATAACTAACAGTACCTTCTGGTTAGTTAGCCAAAAAGACAAAAGTCAATTGTATTTACTAAATTTCTTCAACAGATGAGAAATGATATAAGGACATCTGTAACTCTGGAATATTAAAATTATTTACATAGAATGTTAAGTGTGACATTCTTTGTTTCCCAGCAAAGTTTGTGTTCTAGGTAACAAATTTCAATACTCTGAATCCTGGAACAGAAGCAATTCTGCATTTTCTTTTGAAATATACTATTAATTGAAGTTCCATAAAAAGCCACCAAGAGGAGCTCAAGACCCGTTACAACGGACACCTCAATTGCCATGGCTCACCAAAAATATACTTGACAAAACTATACATTTTAATATGTATCTTCAATAGGCTTTTAAAAAATATGAAGCCTCTGATTTTTCTTATGAAATTTACACCATCACTAGAGACTAGAAGTATTACAATTCTCTCTCAGGTTCTCCTAAGTACAAATCCAATAAGTTACCTGTCAGTCTTAAAAATAAACTTTAGGAAGTGTGTACTTCATATTGATGCACATACTCTCGGAAGATGCACATGAAAGAACAAGCTTCAATAAATAACACTCGAGCTGAACGTGCAATGACCAAAGGATGATATCATTTATGCCCATTTATATTTCCAATACAAAAAGAATAGATTTTTGAATCTCATTTAACAACCAACACAAAACTGAATAATATAGGTTGGAAGAACTATAATTTCTACAGGATAAGCCTATTTTAAGAAAGAAACTTTGGGGCTGTATTACTCTAGAAAACTTACTTGTTTACAGATCACATACCATTCTAAATTTAAACAGTTTTACAAAAGGTTGCAAAAGCCTATTTCCCTCTAGTGAAGTCAATTATCAATTCATTGCAGACTTAACTTCCATCTAGAGACCTGTCACAATTGTATGAACAACTGTATCTCAACAGAAATAGATCACTTCTCAGATCCTTAGAAAGAAGAACTATCTATGTGATTTCTTAACAAGGGAAGTGAATGAACTTCCTGGAAATATTACTGCAATTATGGCCTTTAGTTTTTTTCCCTCAGACACTCCGTTTTTTCCTTATTAAGCCTTATGTCATCATTTGTAACTTCTCTACATTTTGCTCAGATTTCAGCCTGCAAAAAGTTCAAAGTGCTGAGGAGATCCACATGGAAGCAGGGCTGAGTAGGTGGATGGGACCTACTCTGTTCCGTTATCTTTGTTGTAAAATTGGTGTGCAGTGATCTAACAGCACAGGCAGAAACAATTTCCCAGAAAGCAAAAACATACAGCCATCAGCAGACAGTTAGTTAAGAACTCAGAGCAGATGGGGGTGGTTTGTTAGAGTCATTACCTCACAGGACGAAGACTGAGTGCGGTAACTTGGCACAATCTTGAAGGTAATACTCCCCCGCATTTCCCTCTGGAGGGGGGGTGGTGGGAAAGAAAGAAAAGTTTTCTTACAAACAATTGTTCACAAAACCATGTAAGAAGCCACTCAAAACACATGGGGGCAATTAGCACAAGCCATCTGAGAGCACATAGCCGGAAAATGAAATGTAGTCATGAAGCAGGGACTGCTCGAGTTAACAGTAGAGTAAGTTCCTGGGAAAAGCCCAGCAGCCAATTGCCTTTTGCTCATACAGCAATGGTCTCACAGATCTTCAATGGTCACCTTTTTATAGATGTGAATACAAAACTTTCTAAGTGACATGCCTTTCAAAAGTGAATATACATTGAATTAGACAATAGACTAGGTAATTACATAAAAATTACATTGAGTATGCCACATTATAATGGTGTACCCCATAGAATATGCTTTTTACTTTTAAAAATTTTTTATTTATTTATTTTTTTGAGACAGAGTCTCGCTCTGTCATCCAGGCTGCAGTGCAGTGGCACCATCTCGGCTCACTGCAAACTCTGCCTTCCAGGTTCCAGTGATTCTCCTGCCTCAGCCTCCCGGGTAGCTGGGATTATAGGCACGCGCCACCATGCCTTGCTAATGTTTGTATTTTTAGTAGAGACGGGGTTTCACCATGTTGGCCAGGCTGGTCTCAAACTCCCGACTTCAGGTGATTCACCCACCTTGGCCTCCCAAAGTGCTGGGATTACAGGCATGAGCCACCGCACCCAGCCACTTTTTGCTTATTAATTTTGGCTTTTTTTTAAAAAAAAATTTTGGGCTGGGAGTGGTGGCTCACACCTGTCATCCCGGTACTTTGGGAGGCCAAGGCTGGTGGATCACCTGAGGTCGGGAGTTCGAGACCAGCCTGGCCAACATGGAGAAACCCCGTCTCTACTAAAAATGCAAACATTAGCAGGGTGTGGTAGCGCATGCCTGTAATCCCAGCTACTTGGGAGGCTGAGGCAGGAGAATCCCTTGAACTCGGGGGGCAGAGGTTGCAGTGAGCTGAGATCACGCCATTGCACTCCAGCCTGGGCAACAAGAGCAAAACTCCGTCTCAAAAAAAAGAAAAAAAAATGTTTGGTGAGTCTGTGAAGCTTATTTCATACTTAATAGGTATTCATAACCTGGGTGCTACTACACTGCAGTGGGAAAAGGGATCAGAGGCCCCAAACACCTCTGTCTGCTTGCTATGACAATGAACATAGGCAAAGGCTGTCATTTTGCCTTTTTAAAAAATCCAAAGCCTAATTTGAATACAGATTTTGGATATGTATGGTCAAAAATGGCCTGGTCTACCGTGGCTTTCCTCCCTTCTATGCTGTAGAGAAATCCACGACAGCTGGCTATGACTCAGCTCAACAGGAAAGAGGTTTCTGACACTGCTGATGTCAGGAGAGTTGAGGTCAGTGAGAAACTAGTTCACATGTACAAACACTGAAAAGGTTTTCTTTAATCATCTGCTTGGTAAGAAACAGGAGATAAAGGATAAAAGGAGAGTGTTAAAGCCCACACTGCTAAAGACAGGCAAAATGTTTGTAAACTCTATTGTATTTCAACATTTTTCTAGTTGTCAGTTTTATGAATGTTATATAAGTTCAAGTCCACATAAATATGGTACCAGAAATTCTCTGATTACAGAAGAATACTCCTTATTTGTATATTTAAAAACAAGCTAACAAAGTAAAAGTCAATTTTAGGAAAGGAAAAACTTTCATTTACTTACAAGCATTTTTTGCAGTTGTTCCACTGTTTGGTTAGCCACACTGATGCCATTGATTTCTCGAATTTCATCACCAACATGAAGTGTACCTAAGAAATTATATAACATTATAAACATGAAATGATATATGCTTTCATAGTAACAAAATCCAGAGGCATCAATGTAATTTTTAAAAACTAAGTTGAATATTGAGGGCCAATATTTCAGAGGCAGGTACAAGTTTGGTTGCAGCAGAATTATTTAACTCATGTAGTAACCTCATCAAAACAGATATATCTACTTGTGGAAGGCACAGTTTTGATGGATGGCTGCAGAAATCTATTTTTCTGAGAGAGGTGGTATGTATAGTGGTTTAAAAGTATGGCTTCTGGATCCAGACTGCCTGGGTTCAAATTCCAGCTTCCTTGCTTACTAGCTTTAAGATCTTGGGTAAATTACTGAAACTCTCCATACCTCAGTTTTCACATTTGTAAAATGGAGATGAAAATAGTACCCATCTCATAGGATTGTTTTAAGAACTAAACAAATTTAATAAATGCAGAAGGCTTAGAACTGTTCTTGGCACATACCAAGCACCATGACAGTGTTGGCTGCTATCGTTATCTACCAGATATGATACGAAGGTTGTCAATTTTCCAAGAGTTGTGACATGATAATATCTACACAACAGCAAATTCTGTTAAAGATAATTTAATCTTTTGGTTGGCATTTCAGCATCTTGTAATACTTCAGCTAGAAAGAAATGACCAAGAACCAATGCTTAGAGTGTTATTTACAATGTTGCTTCCTTATTTATAAATTGTGCAGAAATGTACACACTGACCTGGCTTCATTACAAAAAGATACCTCTGCATGCAACAATTAAAGAATAAACATTCATCTTAAGTACACGTGGGCCATTTATAAAAACGATTAAAGTGCTATGCCATAAAGCAAGTCTCAACAAACCTCAAAGAAATGGTGTCATACAGACTACATTCTCTGACCACAATGTAATTAAGTTAGAAGTAAATTACAAAAAGATATACAGAAAATCCTGTTAAGTGTGAAAAGTAACAGACAATTATAAATAATATAGGTCAATGAAAAATATCATAATAGAAATATAAAAATACTTAGAACTGAGTTATAAAAATGCGTCATGTCAAAACTGGTGGGATACATTAAGACAGTACTTAGAGGGAGAGTTTAGTCTTAAAGGCACATATTAGAAAAGAAGGCTGGGCCAGGCATGGTGGCTTCCACTTGTAATCCCAGCACTTTGGGAGGCTGAGGTGGGCAGCTCATGAGGTCAGGAGTTTGAGACCAGCCTGGCCAATATGGTGAAACCCCGTCTCTACTAAAATATAAAAATTAGCTGTGCGTGGTGGTGGGCACCTGTAATCCCCGCTACTTGGGAGGCTGAGGCAGGAGAATCGCTTGAACCCGGAAGCAGAGGTTGCACCATTGCACTCCAGCCTGGGCGACAGAGCGAGACTCCATCTCAAAAAAAAAAAAAAAAAAAAAAAAAGAAAAGAAAAGAAGGCTGGGCATGGTGGCTCATGTCTATAACCTCAGTGTTTTCGGAGGCTGAGTGAGGCGAGAAGATCACTAGAGGCCAGGAGTTTGAGACCAACCTGGGCAATAAAGCAAGACTCTATCTCTACAAAGTATTAAAAAAATTAGCTGAGTGTGGTTGCCTGTAGTCCTAACTCAGGAGTCTGAGACAGGAGGATTACTTGAGCCCAGGAGTTCGAGGTTGCAGTGAGCTATGATTATGCTACTGCATTCCAGCCTGGCCGATGGAGCAAGACCCTGTCTCAAAAAAAAAAAAAAAAAAAAAAAAGACTGGAAATAAATGAACTATGTGTCAAATTTGTAAAGTTAGCCAAAACCAATAGAAAGTTAAAAAAAAAGGAGATAATAAAAATTAGGTCATAAAACAATGAAACAGAAAATAAACATATAATGAAGAGAATGAACCAAACCCAGAGTGGGTTTCTGAACAAACCTCTGGCAAGGTTGATCAAGAAAAAAAGAGTAGGCACAAATAAACAATATTAGAAATGAACAGGGGCATAATGACAAAGATGGCAGAGAATAAAAAGATGAGAGAATACTATGAAGAAGCTCTCTGCAATATTTTAAAACTTATTTTTTTTTAGGAAAATGTAATTTACCAAAACTCACTCAAGAAATAGAAAGCCTGGATGGCCTTTTAATGTTAAAGAAATTGAAGCAGTTGTTAAAAAACAAAAACAAAACTTTCTTAAAACTAAAAACCAAAACACTAGGCTGTGATACTTTACAGGCAAGTCCTGCCAAACTTTCAAGACACAAATCATTCCAATATTATATAAAATCTCTCGGAGAACTGAAGAGGGAATACTCTCCAAGTCATTGTGTGAAGTAGATATAACTTTGAAACTAAAATCAGAGAAATACAAGAGAGGAAAATTAACTACGGGCCAGTCTCACTCATAAATGCACATACTGAGATCTTATAAACAAAACATTAGCAGACAGTCGGGCAGTACATAAAAAAGATAATATGTAATGACTAAGCTGAGTTTATCTGAGAAATGCAAGGGTAGTTTATCATTAGGAAATCTTTAAAAGACATTCACCACATTAACAGATAAAAGGAAAAAAACAAATGATCATCTCAGCAGATTCTGAAAGAGCATTTGATTAAATTCAAAACCCATTCACAATTAAAATGCTCAGCAACTAAGAATATAAAGGAACTTCTTTAGCCCTAATAAAAGGCATGTACTAAAAATCTACATTATTCTTAATGAAGAAATATTGGAAAGGTTCCTTTTTAAAAAAACATTTTTTTCTAGAGACAAGGTCTCTCTCCGACACCCAGGTGAGTACAGTGGCGTGATCATAGCTCACTACAGCCTCGAACTCCTGGGCTCAAGCAATCCTCCCACCTCAGCTTCCTGAGTAGCTGGGACTATAGGTGAGCGCCACCATGCCCGGCTAACTTTAGATTCCGTTTAAAAACAAGAATAGGACGGGATGTCTACTATACCACTCCTTGAAAGACTGCCGGTCCTAGCCAGTGCAGTAATATAACAAAGAGAAGTTAAAGAAATAATGATGTTTCCTGCTGTCAATATTAGACAGATCAATGAGACAGAAGGTTAACAAGGACATCCAGGACCTGAACTCAGCTCTGCAACAAGTGGACCTAATAGACATCTACAGAACCCTCCACCCAAAATCAACAGAATATATATTCTTCTCAGCACCACACTGCACTTATTCTAAAATTGACCACATAATTGGAAGTAAAGCACTCCTCAGCAAATGTAAAAGAACAAAAATCACAACAAACTGTCTCTCAGACCACAGAGCAATCAAATTAGAACTCAGGATTAAGAAACTCATTCAAAACCGCTCAACTACATGGAAACTGAACAACTTGCTCCTGATTGACTACTGGGTAAATAACGAAATGAAGGCTGAAATAAAGATGTTCTTTGAAACCAATGAGAACAAAGACACAACGTACCAGAATCTCTGGGACACATTTAAAGCAGTGTGTAGAGGGAAATTTATAGCACTAAATGCCCACAAGAGAAAGCAAGAAAGATCTAAAATCGACACCCTAGCATCACGATTAAAAGAACTAGAGAAGCAAGAGCAAACAAATTCAAAAGCTAGCGGAAGGCATGAAATAACTAAGATCAGAGCAGAACTGAAGGAGATAGAGACACAAAAAACCCTTCAAAATATCAATGAATCCAGGAGCCGGTTTTTCTGAAAAGACCAAAAAAATTGATAGACCGCTAGCAAGACTAATAAAGAAGAAAAGAGAGAAGAATCAAATAGATGCAATTAAAAATGATAAACGGGATATCACCACCGATCCCACAGAAATACAAACTACCATCAGAGAATACTATAAACACCTCTATGCAAATAAACTAGAAAATCTAGAAAAAATGGATGAATTCCTGGACACCTACATTCTCCCAAGACTAAACCAGGAAGAAGTTGAATCTCTGAATAGACCAATAACAGGCCGTGAAATTGAGGCAATAATTAATAGCCTACCAACCAAAAAAAGTCCAGGACCAGACGGATTCACAGCCGAATTCTACCGGAGGTACAAAGAGGAGCTGGTACCATTCCTTCTGAAACTATTCCAATCAACAGAAAAGAGGGAATCCTTTCTAACTCATTTTATGAGGCCAACATCATCCTGATACCAAAGCCTGGCAGAGACACAACAAAAAAACAGAATTTTAGACCAATACCCCTGATGAACATTGATACGAAAATCCTCCATAAAATACTGGAACGTCGAATCCAGCAGCTCATCAAAAAACTTATCCAACACGATCAAGTCAGCTTCATCCCTGGGATGCAAGGCTGGTTAACATACGCAAATCAATAAACGTAATCCATCATATAAACAGAACCAACGACAAAAACCACATGATTATCTCAACAGATGCAGAAAAGGCCTTCAACAAAATTCAATGGCCCTTCATGCTAAAAACTCAGAATAAGCTAGGTATTGATGGAACGTATCTCAAAATAATAAGAGCTATTTATGACAAACCCACAGCCAATATCATACTGAATGGGCAAAAACTGGAAGCATTCCCTTTGAAAACTGGCACAAGACAAGGATGCCGTCTCTCACCACTCCTATTCAACATAGTGTTGGAAGTTCTGGCCAGGGCAATCAGGCAAGAGAAAGAAATAAAAGGTATTTGATTAGGAAATGAGGAAGTCAAACTGTCCCTGTTTGCAGATGACATGACTATATATTTAGAAAACCCCATTGTCTCAGCCCAAAATCTCCTTAAGCTGATAAGCAACTTCAGCAAAGTCTCAGGATACAAAATCAATGTGCAAAAATCACAAGCATTCCTATACACCAATAACAGACAAATAGAGAGCCAAATCATGAGTGAACTCCCATTCACAATTGCTACAAAGAGAATAAAATACCTAAGAATCCAACTTACAAGGGATGTGAAGGACCTCTTCAAGGAGAACTACAAACCATTGCTCAACGAAATAAATGAGGACACAAACAAATGGAAGAATATTCCATGCTCATGGATAGGAAGAATCAATATCATGAAAATGGCTATACTGCCCAAAGTAATTTATAGATTCAATGCCATCCCCATAAAACTACCAATGACTTTCTTCACAGAATTGGAAAAAAAACTACTTTAAAGTTCACATGGACCCAAAAAAGAGCCCGCATTGCCAAGACAATCCTAAGCAAAAAGAACAAAGCTGGAGGCATCACACTACCTGACTTCAAACTATACTATGAGGCTACAGTAACCAAAACAGCATGGTACTCGTACCAAAACAGAGATATAGACAAATGGAACAGAACAGAGGCCTCAGAAATAATGCCACACATCTACAACCATCTGATCTTTGACAAACCTGACAAAAACATGAAATGGGGAAAGGATTCTCTATTTAATAAATGGTGCTGGGAAAACTGGGTAGCCATATGTAGAAAGCTGAAACTGGATCCCTTCCTTACACCTTATACAAAAACTAATTCAAGATGGATTAAAGACTTAAATGTTAGACCTAAAACCATAAAAACCCTGGAAGAAAACCTAGGCAATACCATTCAGGACATAGGCATGGGCAAGGACTTCATGACTAAAACACCAAAAGCAATGGCAACAAAAGCCAAAATAGACTAATGGGATCTAATTAAACTAAAGAGCTTCTGCATGGCAAAAGAAACTACCATCAGAGTGAACAGGCAACCTACAGAATGGGAGAGAATTTTTGCAATCTACCCATCTGACAAAGGGCTAATATCCAGAATCTACAAAGAACTCAAACAAATTTACAAGAAAAAAACAAAGAACCCCATCAAAAAGTGAGCAAAGGATTTGAACAGATATTTCTCAAAAGAAGATATCCATGCAGCCAACAGACACCTGAAAAAATGCTCATCATCACTGGTCATCAGAGAAATGCAAATCAAAACCACAATGAGATACCATCTCACACCAGTTAGAATGGCAATCATTAAAATGTCAGGAAACAACAGGTGCTGGAGAGGATGTGGAGAAATAGGAACACTTTTACACTGTTGGTGGGACTGTAAACTAGTTCAACCACTGTGGAAGACAGTGTGGCGATTCCTCAAGGATCTAGAACTAGAATTACCATTTGACCCAGCCATGTCATTACTGAGTATATACCTAAAGGATTATAAATCATGCTACTATAAAGACACATGCACACGTATGTTTATTGCAGCACTATTTACAATAGCAAAGACTTGGGACCAACCCAAATGTCCATCATTGATAGACTGGATTAAGAAAATGTGGCACATATACACCAGGGAATACTATGCAGCCATAAAAAAGGATGAGTTCATGTCCTTTGCAGGGACATGGATGAAGCTGGAAACCATCATTCTCAGCAAACTATCACAAGGACAGAAAACCAAACACCGTATGTTCTCACTCATAGGTGGGAACTGAACAATGAGATCACTTGGACACAGGGCGGGGAACATCACACACTGGGGCCTGTCAGGGGGTGGGGGGCTGGGGGAGGGATAGCATTAGGAGAAATACCTAATGTAAATGATGAGTTGATGGGTGCAGCAAACCAACATGGCACATGTATACCTATGTATCAAACCTGCACATTGTGCACATGTACCCTAGAAGTTAAAGTATAATAAAAAACAAAAAAGAAAAGAAAAAAAAAAGAAAGAATGATGTTGTGGCTTTACTGAACATATAAAAATTATTAAAAATAGCAAACAAAAAACACATACTGGAATCTAAAACCAAATATCCTCCTGTGGGAGTGCTGTACACCCTCTACGCCTACAAGGATTCCTCTGAAAGCAGCAATGATGCCAGACATCATGTTGTGTACACAGTGATCTCCTCTTATTCTCAAGAGGAGAATAAGGCACTAAAATGCTTAGAGTGTTACTTCTCGCTCTCTGGGGGTAAGGAAAGAGGTGTTAAGTACAAAAATAACCCTATCTCAAAGACAGAGAGTCTGCCAGAAGAATCATTTTTGGAACATCCTCTAAATACTAGTGCATATAACTCAATCCTTTCAAAGAAAAAGCCTAAATCCACATATCCAAACCCTGCCCATCCTTGAGAGTTAACTGAAGATGCACCTTCTTAAAAAATCATTCTTCGAGCTGGGCAAGGTAGCTCATGCCTATAATCCCAGCACTTTGGGAGGAGGCAGGCAGATTGCTTGGGTTCAAGAATTGGAGACCAGCCTGGGCAACATGGTAAAAGCCCATCTCTACAAAAATATCAAAAGTTAGCCAGGCATGGTGGTGTGCACCTGTGGTCCCAGCTACTCAGGAGGCTGAGGTGGGAGGATTGCTTGAGCCCGGGAGGAGAGGTTGCAGTGAGCCAAGATTGTGCCATTGCACAGCCTGGGTGACTGAGCCAGACCTTGTCTCAAAAAAAACCCCCACATCATTCTTTGTCTATTCCAGTTCTTAGTGAATTCTCTCCACAGAATGACTGCACTCACCATGGCAGGTATTAATAATTTAATCATCGATTTGACATCTCTTACCATTTAATTTTTGTATTATTTAACTCTATGATGTCCTAATTTATAAATAGCATATCTAATTCCTAAATGAATGAGAGAACACTTCTTAAATGGTTATTTATTTACATATATCTTTTACTCTAGAACAGATGTCTCTCCTACATCGTGAGGCCCAGTGTAATTATTTGCTTTATCTCCCGTGGTCCCCGTAAGTAGTAATCTAATACAGAGATGCTCTGGCTAACAGAACTCTAATATATTCTCCCTTCATTATCTACATGCTGGAGCCTGTGCAGATGAATAAGAAACAATGGAGGCCAATAATGATTAAAATCAAAGATGATTTTAAAAGATTCTTTATATGTATCCTTTATACTTTCTTAGCTGGGTGTGATGGCATGCACCTGTGGAAAGCTGAGACGGGAGGATTGCTTGCACTTAGGAGCTCAAGACCAGTCTGGGCAACATAGTGAGAGACCCCATCTCAAAAACAAAACAAACAAAAACATTTTCTTCACTAGGCTACAGGGAAAAAAAATTAAGGAAGGCAAAGAAAGAAATATATATGAAACTTACCTTGCCTGTGAATCATGCCCCCATGCATAATTCTTGCAACAATACAATGATTTAGTTCATTCATTTTTAAAGTGATTCCCTGTTAAAAAAAAAATAAAAAGTTCAGCAAAAGTAGAATTACTATGACAGTGCTTCTCTTAATATTTGTGATTTTGCGGTAGATAATTTTAATTACCAGTTAAAAAAAATTAAAGAAAATATGGAAAATGGAGAAGACCATCCAGTATGCCACGCACACAAAATTGCTCCATGACAAAAATACTATTTTTGATTTTTTGATTGCTATATACATATATTTTATATAATGCTTTTAACACACTATTTTCTTTTCTTTTCTTTTTTCTTTTTTTTTTTTTTTTTTTTGAGACTCTGTCACCCAGGCTGGAGTGCAGTGGCACAATCACAGCTTACTGCTACCTCCACCTCCAGGGTTCAAGTGATTCTCCTGCTTCAGCCTCCTGAGTAGCTGGGATTAAAGGTGCCTGCCACCATGCCAAGCTAATTTTTGTATTTTTAGTAGAGACGAGGGTAAGGAAAGAGATGGTTCACTATGTTGGCCAGGCTGTTTTCAAACTGCCGACCTCAAGTGATCCACCTGCTTTGGCCTCCCAAAGTGCTGGCATTACAGGTGTGAGTCACCATGCCTGGCCGATAGTGCTTTTAAATCTTCTAATTATGATTATTTTCCCTGTTGCTCCATTTTTAATGTTGCCTATTATTTTTAAAAACAGTTTTCATTGATATATAATTGACATACACATATTTAAAGTGTACAATTTGATAAGTTTGACATATGTATGAAACTATGGCCACAATCAGGATAGTGATATATCTATCATTCCCAAAAGTTTCCTCATGCTCGTTGGTAATATTCTCCCATCCCTCCATACCCTCCCCACCACATCCCTAAGCAACTACTAATGTGACAATCAAAAAGCTGATAATATAGTTGTCGACCAAAGGCTGATACAGTCAACTTTTGCTGACTACAGATTTGTTTGCACTGTACATAAATGAAATCATACAGTATGAACTCTTTTTTGTTGTTTTTTTCACTCAGCATAATTATTTTGAGATTCCACCATGATGTTGCATGTATCAGTAGTTTGTTCTTTGTTCTTGCTGAGTGGTATTCCATTGTATGGACATATCAGTTTATCCACTCACCCACTGAATTGTTTCCTGGTTTGGGCTATTATAAGTAAAGCTGTATTCCTGGGTTAATCACCATTTGATCATAACATATATATATTTTAAAGATCTGGAACACTTCATGCATTTGTATGTCATCCTTATACAGAGGCCATGATAATATTTTCTGTACTGTTTATATTTTAGTATATGTGCTGCTGAAGTGAGAACATATTAACCTTTTCATATATTGTTGGATTTGCTTTGCTAAGACTTTGTTTAGAATTTTTACATCTACATTCATGAGGAATACTAGTCTATAGTTTTCTTTCTTTGTAATGTCTTAACTGGTTTTGGTATCAGGGCAATGCTGGCTTTCTAGGATGAGCTGGGAAAAATTCCTTTTTTTTCAATGTTTTGAAAAGAGTTTGTATAGAATTGGTATTATTTCTCCATTGTATGTTTGACAGAATTTACCAGTGAAGCCATCTTGACCTGGAGTTTTCTTTGAGGAATAGTTTTTAACTACAAATTCAATTTTCAGATAGTATAGGGCAATTCAGTTTATTCCTTCTTAAATAAGCTTTAGTAGTTTCTGTCTCCCAGGGAATTTTTCCATTTTATCTAAGTTGTTGAATTTATTGGCATAAATCTGTTTATTTCTTTATCATCCTTTTTATATCTGTAGACTCTGTAGTGATGCCCCTTCTCTCATGCCTGATGTTGGTAATTCATGTTTTTTTTCCCCGTGATTGTATAGCCATTTTTCCTGATCAGTCTGATCTTTCCAAAGAAAAAGTATTTTCTGTTTTATTGATACTCTATTGCTTTCTGCTTTCTATTTCATTAATTTCTACTTTGATCTTTATTATTTCTTCTCTTCTACTCATTTTGGGTTTAATTTACTCCATTTTGTCCTAGTTACTTTTAAGGTATAAGCTGAAGTCATTGATTTGAGATGTTTCTTCTTTTCTAATATAGGTGTTTAATGGTACATATTTCTCCCTAAGTACTGCTTTAGTGGCATCCTGCAAATTCTGACATACTGTGGTTCATTTTAATTCATTACAAAATACTTCTTAATTTCCCTTTTGATTTCCTCTTTAATTCATGGGTTACTTAGAATTGTGTTATTTAATTTTCAAGTACTTGGCGATTTATCTCTCTCTGTTATTCATGTCTAATTTAATCCCAGTGTGGTCTGAGAATATATTTTGATATCAATAAAGCTACTCCAGCTACCTTTTGATTAATGTTATCACAGTATATCTTTTTCTATCTTCTTACTTTTTTTTTTTTTTTTAAGAGATGAAGTCTCACACTGTCACCCAGGCGGAGCACAGTGGTGCAATCATAGCCCACTGCATCCTCGAACTCCTGGGCTCAAGTGATCCTCCTGCCTCAGCCTCCCAAGTAGCTGGAACTACAGGCATGCACCACCAAACCTGGCTTCTACCTTTTTACTTTGAAACTATTCTTTGTGTATGAAGTGCATGTTTTACAAGCAGAACATGATGATTGATACAGTCTGGTATAAATATATATTCTTGCTATTTGACTTCTATTTGTTCCACCTGTTCTGTTATCTTTTTCTGCCTTTCTTTGTATTATTTTTTATTCTGTTTTCTCTCCTGTGTTTTCTCTCACAACTCTTCATTTTGTTGTTTTAGTGGTTGCATTAGGGTTTATAGCATCTATCTTTAACTTGTCAGTGTACCTTCAAGTGATATTATACCACTTCACATATAACCCTTATCCCCCCTACATCATATAAGAGCCTTACAATAGTATATAGTACTTCTATGTCTTTCTTCCTGACCTTTGTGCTACTGTTGTCATACATTTTATTTTTCCATATACTATAAACTCTAAAACACATTGTTATTTTTGTTTAAATTGCCAATTATAAGAGATTGAAGTAATAAGAAAAAGAACTTATAGATTTACCCATATAGCTATCATTTCCAGTGCTCTTTATTCCCTTTTTGTAGATTCAGATTTCAATCTGTTATCGTTTTCCTTCTGCCTGAAGAATGTCCTAAATATACTGTGGGTCTTATAGTGTGGGTCTGCTGAATTCTTTCAGTTTTGGTATGTCTGAAGACATTTTTATTTTGCCTTCTTGTTCTTGAAAGATACTTCTGCTTGGTTTAGAATTCTAAGTTGAGAAATGTTTGTTTTTAGTACTTTATGACACTGTTCTTGTTTGTACTGCTTCCGATAAGACATTGATGTCATCCTTATGTTTGTTCCTCTGTGTGTAAAATTTCTTTTTTCTTTTTTTTTTTTTTTTTGAGATGGAGTCTCGCTCTGTCACCCAGGCTGGAGTGCGGTGGCATGATGTCTTGGCTCACTCCAACCTCCACCTACCAGGGTCAAGCAATTCTCCTACCTCTGTCTCCCAATTTCTTTCTTTTTTTTTTTGTTTTTTTTTGGTCTGTTTCTCAGATTTTCTCTTTGTCATAGGTTCTAAGCAGTTTGATTATGATGTAGCTTGGTATTGTTTTCTTCATGTTTCTTGTGCTTGGGGTTTGCCATGGTGTTTGGATCTGTGGGTTTATAGTTTTCATCAAGTTTGGAATGTTTTCAGGCGTTATTTCTTCAAACATTTCTTCTTTCTTTTCCTCTCTTCTTCATGAACTCCAATTAACCATGTATTAGGCTGACTGAAGTTGTCCCACGGCTCAGTGATGCTCTTTTCATCTTTAAAAATTCTTTTTCTTGCTGTGTTTCATTTTTGATAGTTTTTATTGCTCTGTCTTCAAGTTCACTAATCTCTTCTGAAATGTCTAATCTGCCATTAATCCCATAGTGTATTTTCCTGCTAATTCTATTATCTGTCAGTTCTATGTCATTTTTGATTGATTATTCTCCATATTATAGGTCACACTTTCTGGTCTTTTTACATGCCTAGTAATCTTTGATTAGATGTCAGACATTGTGAATTTGTTGCATAGTTGATGTTTTTGTATTCCTAAAAATATTCTTATGTTTTGTTCTGAGACTTAGATCAGTTACTCGGACATAGTTTGATCCTTTGGGTCTTGCGTTCATGATCCATTAGGCAGGTCTGGAGCAGTTGTCAGTTTGGGGCTAATTACTTCTCATTACAGAGATAAGACTTCCCTGAGCGCTCTACACAATGAGCCATGAATTAGAAATTTTTCTAGTCTGACTGGTGGGAACAGGTAGTGCAGGCGCTGTTCCTTCCAATCCTTTTGGATGGTTTTTTTTTCCATCCAAAGTGGAGAGTGTTGGGGAGTTTCTCAGTGTTGGGGAATTTCCTATTAGACATGCACTGATCGATACTCTGCTGAATACTTGAGGGAGATCCTCTGCAGATCTGAGGTTCTGTCTGTGTGCAGCTCTCTCCTCTTCAGTACTCTGTCCTATGAACTCTAGTTGCTTTGGTCACCCCAGACTCTCAGCTCTGTCCCCTCAATTTAGGGAGTCTGCCTACTCTGCCTTAGTTCCCCTCCCTGTGCTGTGGCCTGGAAACTCTCTCAAGGCAGCATGGTGGGGCATTCATATGGGTCACCTTGTTTCCTGTCTCACAAGAGATCACTGTCCTTAGTTGCCTGATGTCTAATGTCTTGAAAACTGTTCTTTCATGATATTTTGTTTTTTATATGTTGGGTTGTTTCAAATGAGAGGATAAATCTGGTCCCAGTTACTCTATCTTGGACAGAAATGAAAGTTCTATAGTCACATTTAATGCCAGAATACTATTCTACAGAGTGGATTACTTTTTGTTTTCTGATTATCCACTATTAAAAAAAACAAGCATTCATAAACATATTTTTTGCACTAGATCTGGTTAATCCTAAGAATCACACAGGGAAATTTTAAATAATGCTGACTCTTAAACCCACTCTTTAGATTTAAGCTCAGGAGGCCTCGAATGGAGCCCGGAAATCTGTACTTTTTAACAGGCTCCCTTGCTGGAAAGTGGCCTTGAATTTGAGACAGTTAAGGGTAGGGACTGTGTCTTTTATTTTTCACTAGAGAATAACACTGTCAGAAAGCTTGATAAAAATATCTGAGACTTTATACTCTAAACTTAATTTGTACCACTCCACAAACTATAACTTTGCATTGTTCCTATTTTGCAGTTTTCAGAAGTGGTAGGTGAGCAATGTGAAAAACTGGTTTATCAAAATGTTTCCAGTCCTAAGATTCAATTGTAATATTCAAGTTTCATTTCCAACTTGTACATTCAATCAGCTTGTATGGTTACTAAGAAAAGTGTTCCTGGAAAAATGCTGTAAATTAGTGTGTAAGTCAAATCTAATTTCATAAGGGAAATGATAGTACAATACAGCTTCCACCCTTGAAACTAATAGATGTATGTATTCATTCAACTAACATTAACGTGAATTTACTATGAGGCAGGCACTCTGCTAGGTACAGTAGCAAATGAGACAAAAAGGGTCTCCCATGGCCAGGAGAAGTTCACCTCAAACCAACTGTAGTTAACATTTATTATTCTGTAGGTCCCAAACATTTCTCTGTAGAGAGGAACTGATTCACTTTCTCTCTGTTCCCAAGTTCACAAATTCTAGGGAAGGCATTGGCATAGCTTGGGTTAGGTGCCTACTCCTGAACCTACCAGCTTGAGGGGAGATATTAGGAAAGTTATACTCCTGGCCTTTCCCTGTTTATATAAGCCTTTCCTCTATTTTGTAAGCTAGTTCAAGCTTGATTTTTGTCACTTGCAACTATGGGAATTCCAATCAATAAAAAAAAAAATTATGAGTATGATGCTACAAATGGGAAAACAGAGGTGTGTAACAGGAGTATGTCACCCTTGAGGAATGGACACATTGCAGAGGGTCTGAAAAACAAAACAGATCATATAGGAATATCCTGCACAGTAACATAATGCTTTGAATAAGACAACTAAGAAAGCAAATAAAGTTGTATTAAATGCATTAGAGATTGACACTCTATTATTGAAAATATATATTTTATATTTCACATAAAATAATTCCTGTTTTCATGGAAACCCATCAAAAGGAGAAGAAATATACATCTTCACTAGGATCATCGAAGACAGAAAAGCTTTTGGAAGGAGACTTTTAGGGGAGACTCAAGACCATTTTACGCTTTCTGAAAAAGTAACTCAGGGATGTAGTTTTATGCTTTTATTCAGTCTATGTTTCTTTTTTCTTTTCTTTTCTTTTCTTTTTTTTTTGAAACGGAGTCTCACTCTGCTGCCCAGGCTGGAGTGCAGTGGCGCGATCTCGGCTCACTGCAACCTCCGCCTCCCGGGTTCAAGCGATTCTTCTGCCTCAGCCTCCTGAGTAGCTAGGATTACAGGCACCCACCACCACACCTGGCTAATTTTTGTATTTTTAGTAGAGATGGGGTTTCACCATATTGGCCACGCTGGTCTCGAACTCCTGACCTCGTGATCCACCCGCCTCGTCCTCCCAAAGTGCTGGGATTACAGGTGTGAGCCACTGCACCGGGCCAATTCAGTCTATGTTTCTATGTAGTGAGTCTTCACACAAACAATCAAGCAGCTGTCACTGGACTGCTTGAGAACTTAATGATCCCAAGACACTCTGAGGCCTCCTTCTTGTGGTCCCTTCTACCTTCTTGCCTGCTTTGCCTGGCTGAACATCACACCTTCCTGCCTCTCCAACACAGCTTTCTCTCCTCTCCAGCTCTGTCATAACTGGGCTTGTTAAGTAAACCGTGCTAAGCTACAAATTTACTTGTTTAATGTAGCCAGCCCTGTGGAACGTGAGCTCTAGTAAGGGGCAGTGTCTTATCTGACAATAGATCACTGGCATCTAATAAGAGTGATTTGCACTTAGTAGGGACTTCAAAAATATTTGGTGAATAAATGAATGAATATATAAAATGAATGAATGGAATATTAGACTTTCAGAGCTAGGTGGGATCTTGGGGATCATTCATTTAGTCAACTATGCTTTTAGAGATGAGCCAACTGAGGTCCACTGACATGAAGTGATTTGCCCAAGACACCCAAAACCTGCTGTAGCCTATGCTCTTAAGCCAAAGAGTTGCCTGGATAGTACCAGAAGGGGTGAGGTGATCTGCATGCCCCCCATGTGCTGCAAGATAATATTGTATAACTGGCAAAGATTACTAAATGAGGATTAGGACCAGAAATGTCTAAGCTGAGGGCTCTCCAAAAATCATGGTCATAGAGTCACTGCTATAACTTTTCCCTTAATCTAAAAGGCAACTTTCAGAAGTAGGTAATTTGTTTTTCTATATCCTAATATCCCTTTTCTATGTTCTGAGGAAAAAGATATGAATGCATAAATTTGAATTTTTTTCCTCTTCTAAAGATATGGTTTCTCCTCCAACTTGGAACTTATCCAATGTTCCCTGTCTCAACGTCCATTCAGTTTTAGAAGACTAAAGCTTAAGGGCTGTGCTTGATCTTTGCTTCTCCCTCAGTTCTACTGTCAATCCATTGTTAAGGCTTACTGATATTACCTACTCTTTCATTATTTCTTAAATGTGTTCACTTCTTTCCATCTTGACATCCATCCCTCAAGTTCAGAGTTCCATCATATCTGCCCTGCACTGCTGCAATAACAGCCTCTTAACTGGTTTCTGTACATCCACTCTTGACCCCTCTCATACATTCTCTAGAGTGATATTTCTAAAACAAAAATCTAATATTATCCCCCTGCTTGAAAGTCTTCAATAGCCTCCCATTGTTTTTAAGATAATGAACATAATCCTTAACATGTCTTCCAACACTTGTATGATTCTGTTCCAGCCACTCACCTTGCTGTCTGCAGTTCAGCCATGGTGCCTTCTTTCCATTGGGAAACTATGATAAGAGCCTTTTTACTACCAGGTTTACACATGTGCTATTTGGTTTGCTGAATAGTATTCCCCTGCTTCCCCTCACTCCCCTTGCTCTGTTCAGTTAACATCAAGGAGCCTTTCCTTGATCTTCTCAGTCTACGAGAATTCTATGAGAATGGAGGCAAGGTTCAGCATCAATTCTCTTCCAGCTCTACTCCCAAGCACTGAGTAAATTGATTCATATTAAGTAGGTAGCTGGGAGTGGAAGAAATTTATTTCAGCAGTGTTACTCAATTCTTTGAATGCCCCCTGAATTAATCTTCCTCTAATTTTGTTGAAGGCAAAAGATCTGAAAACTATAAGATTTATAAAAGGATGATTTTTACAATGTTACTAGACATTCACTTTCTCAATACCAATACCAATATTTCAAATTGTCCCTTTCTTTGCTGCCCCAGAGGTTTTTACACCCTGGAGGAATGTTACAGTATGTTCCCCTTTTTTTGGTTGAAGGGCAATTGTGAAAGGAGAGGTGAGAAAGAGAACCGGAATGCCTAAGACAGTTTCAGGCAGAACAATTCTAGAAAAGAAGGGCAGGGGGGAACTGAAGATCTGGAAACTGATTTCTTTAAAACTATCCATGTCTTCCTTCCCTCCCCAACTCCTAGTAGCATAGGTTGAAGTTAGTTGATATAACTCATGCTGGGATCTTATGAGAGTATTGAAAACTTTCTCTTCCTACTTACCATTGGTTCATCTGTGTTCTTTTGAAACTGTACCAGCCGAACTCTGGTCACATTCTCCATATCCATGTCTCCGTTAGCACTTTCTGGAGAATCGCCGTTTAAATAGGGAGAGGTGGGAGGAGGTGTGACCCTCAATGCTTCATCACTGTAAACTTCATGTGCCACTACGTCGTGAGTCTGAAGTAAGGCCTAGTGTTTTATGAAGAAAAAAATTATTAATAACATTACTATTTCAGCAGAAATTTATTTTATTTATTTATTTATTTTGAGACAGGGTCTCACTCTGTCACCCAGGGTGCAGTGCAGTGGTGAGATCTCAGCTCACTGCAGGCTTCATCTCCTGGGCTCAAGCGATCCTTCCTTTGCAGCCTTCTGTGTAGCTGGGACCACAGGTGCATGCCACCACACCTGGCTAATTTTTAAATGTTTTCTTTGTAGACATGGGGCTGACAAATTTATTCTATAAACATATCTCATTCTTTTCCTCTCAAAGGTATCATTCATCTAAAGAGAACATAAAGTGTGTAATATCGACATCCAACTATCTCAATTTTTTTGTGACAATCATGATAAATAGATTTTTTAAAACGTAAGTGAATAAATGAGTGAATCAATGAAGAGATGTGTTTGATGATTATCTGGGTCAGAGGTGTTATCAACTAACTTGTTCAAATGAAGGTAGACGGTACAATTTCAAGTAATTTAGCTAAAAGAATCATCTATAAATAGAGTTGGCAAATTTGTGCTGGGGCTTAGAATTGAAACAAATTTAAAAAGAAATAGTGCAATAATTGGAGTATTGAGCAAGTATCTTTCATCAATGGCATTTACAATGACGCTTTTATATAACCCAAAGGATGAAAATAATTTATAGCATATGATTTAGAAAAAGAAAAAAATACACACAGATGTACCTTAAAAACGTAATCTTCCAAAATATCACGTATGATATGGAACTCAAACTCTAAATATGTTAAATTTTTTTGTTCATTATATTTTTTGGAGCACTTGTTTAAATAAAAAATAAGTTGAGAATTATTATTATGACTTCTTTTTGCAAAGCCTATTAACAAAGAGAAAGTGATTTCTTTGAACTGACATCTCTATTTGTCAGCTTGGTGAACTTCAACAATAAAATGTCCCTTGTTTCCCTAAAAAAGAATGTCCTTCTACTCACCACACTTTTTGTGCCATCATAATAAACCCTTTCTATTAAGCATAAATATTTGAACATTTCTATTTCAAAGAGAATCTACAGCTATCAAAATGTCTGGAGCTTTATACAAAGATTATATTTTCTTATGTGCTAACTATAAATTTGGTTCTATTTTAATTTGGGATCTGTGCGGTAATATCTGCAGATAATGAAATGCAGTTAAAATTGCTTTAAAAATAATAACTCATAGCATCTGAAATTAAGTTATTTTATTAAAAGGCTTAAAAAAGTCATGACTTGGCTATTTAATTTTAAAGGCATGCATACGAGGCAAAAAAAAAAGGTAACAATCTGGTAAAATCATAAAGAAGATAATGCTGATTTGTTACCAGTAAAGAATATGCTTTGAGCATTATACACAGTTGAGTTTCTAATGGAAATGGCAGATATTTTCACAATCTCAGAAGGCTGGTCTAAACTGGGATTTGGGTGAGGAGCACCAAGGGGCACTAAGCAATATATAGCTTGAAAGTAGTGCTCCATGATGGCCCTGGGGACCTTGGCTTCCTCACCAGTGCCCTAACTGCACCTTGTACTGGTACTCCTGAGCCCAAGTATAGAGGCTGTCCTATGTGGGCAAATCCCTCTTTTTCTGATTTAATTGTGGTCACATAAGAAACCAAGATTTAGGGCAAAAAGCAAAAATCAGTAACATAAAAACTGGAACATTTCATTTGCTAAAATTATGTTCGTCATATCACTGCAGCCTTGACCTCTTGGGCTCAAGTGAACCTTCTACCTCAGCCTCCCAAGTAGCTGGGACCACAGGCATGTGCCACCACACCCAGATCATTCTTGTATTTTTTGTAGACACGGGGTTTCATCATGTTGCCCAGGCTGATCTTGAACTCCTGAGCTCATGCAATTCACTCACCCCGGCCTCCCAAAGTGCTGGGATTACAGGCCTCTACTCATTCTTTTAAATTATATAAGCAAACATTTGTATTTAATGCATTATTTACAAGGAAGGATTAAGCCCACAATCATAAAATAATACTCAAACTGGACTCTAAAAGAAAAATGCTTAAATGATGTCACCAAATAAGGTCATACTCGATATTAACCACAATTTGGCACTGTAAATGATTGCTACCACAAAACGAAACTTAACCTAAAGCTCTAATTCATATCCAAACAGAAAAAGGGGGCCACTTACAGACTATCTTTTTAAAAGCTTAAAAGAGTATATAAAATAAAAAATAGGGAAACCAAAATTTGAACATTTTTCTTCAAATATGTTAAGACGTATGAGTGAGCAGTTGTCACTAAGCTGAAATAGCTGTCAGTTTTAACTACGTAACAATCGTGTAATAGGAAAAAAACACTTTCACTTTTTGTACTATAGTAAGGATATGTATAAGACAACTAACAACATCAGACTAGAGTGGAAAAAATCTGACTATTTAATGTTTCATATTTTACAGCTGCAATAAGCAAAGGAAATATTCTTTTTAAAAAGTCAGCCTTTCAAATGGAATAACTAAAAAAGTAATCAGTGAGATAATATTCTTTTATGATGACCTCTAAAGATACAGATTTTAGGCCAGGTGTGGTAGCTCATGCTTGTAATCCCAGCACTTTGGGATGCCAAGGAAAGAGGACTGTTTGAGCTCAGGAGTTCAAGACCAGTCTGGGCAACAAAGTGAGACCCCCGTCTCTACAAAAAATAAAAAAAAGTAGACAGGCATGGTGGTGCATGCCTGTAGTCCCAGCTACTTGGGAGGCTGAGGCAGAAGGATTGCTTTGCCCAGGAGTTGAAGGCTACAGTGAGCTAAGAAGGTGTCACTGCACTCCTATCTAGGCAATAGAGCAAGACCCCGTCTCTTAAAAAAAAAAAACACAGAATTTTAAAGTCGTTTAAATTTACCCTTATTTCCTCTTCCTTTAGTTACTGTAAATATCTACAAGTATCTGGATTTTCAGTGTTGGGTAATTCAATGTTAAATCCTCATGTTATAATAATCAGAAAGCAAAGAAAAATTCGGATGACTGAGCAAATAAGTGTGAAATTATAAATATGCCAAGAATAACTCCCAAACCTTGGCATAATAAAAAAATTGTAAGTATTAACATATTTCCCCTTAGCTATTAATATTTCTTTAAAAATACCAAGATTTTGAAGCCATGATTTTAAAAACGCTTATAAGATAGAAAGCCCCAGCATTTAAAAGCTTATTTAATATAGTATATATATATATATATATCTCAGAATTATATTTCCCACATAAGATATTATCTACACAAAAGCTTATTTAGGAATGACCAATGAGCTCAACTTAAATTTATTAGAAATCTGATTAGCATTATAAATCAACTGACTTTTAGGAGCATAGGCTTTGGCGCTAGCAGGATCTGGCTTGAACCTCATTGAGGCCACTGATTGGTGAGTGACCTTAAGCAAGTCTCTTTACCTTGTTAGGGCACAATTTCCTCTCGGAATTGTGAAATGGGTTTAATTACACCAGCTTACATCCCAACCATCAGCAAGTCCTCTTGTATGTAACCATCTCCAACACAGAAACCCCATCTGCCCATGTTCTACCATCCTCACCTTTCTCCAAGCCTCTACAACCTCTCACAACAGCCTTCCAATTGGTCTCCCTAAACTCTTATCCCCCCTACAGTCCGTTCTCTACACATCAGCTCCAGCAAGGCACAGATTAGATATTTTCCTGCGTGCCATCACTTAGTGTCATCCTACTGCAATCAGGAGAAAACTGCAGACTCCTTACAATGGCCTGGAAGGCTTTTATTTATTTATATTTTTTATTTTATTTTTAGATGGAGTCTCGCTCTGTCTCCCAGGCTGGAGTGCAGTGGTGCGATCCCAACTCACTGCAACCTCTGCCTCCTGCGTTCAAGAGATTCTCCTGCCTCAGCCTCCTGAGTAGCTGGGACTACAGGCGCCCACCACCATGCCTGGCTAATTTTTGTGTTTTTAGTAGAGACAGGTTTCACCATGTTGGCCAGGCTGGTCTCGAACTCCTGACCTCGTGATCCGTCCACCTTGGCCTCCCAGAATGCTGGGATTACAGGCGTGAGCCACCATGCCTGGCCTTATTTTATATATTAAAAAAATAAATAAATTGGTCTGGCCTCTGCTGACCTCTCTTGGTACAGGAAGTACCACTCTCTCCCTTGTTAACTGTATCTCAGCCACAAAGGACTTCTGCTCCTTGAATCTACAAAGCTCTTTCCTGTCTCTGGGCCTTTGCATTTGCTCTTCCTCAAAGGAGTCTCAGCCCAAATGTCTACTCCTCAGAGGGGCTTTCCCCTATCTAAAGCAGCTCCCACTTTACTATAATCTCTGCACCATTATCCTTTCATTTCTTCATAGTTATTATTGCCATATGAAATTATCTTGTTAGCTTACTTGCTCATTGTCTACCTCTACCTCTCCTACCTGTCCTCCCACCCCACCTCCACTAGAGTGGAAGTTCCATGAGGGCAGGGATCTTGTTTGTCTTATTCATTACTAGGTCCTTAGTGCCTGGCATAGTGTGCCTGGCATACAGTAGGCATTTACTTATTTGATAAATGAATGAAAATGTCTTTTAAGCACCTAGCTAGGTATTCAATAAATTATAAAAATTACTTATTATTTCTGAAAATGTTTACTAATAGCAATGCACATATTAACTTCTCTCTGACTTCAGAAAAGCAAAACATATCGAGACTTAGAAGACAGATAAGCTGTCATACAATGGGCTATATGAGCCGTAATGATTTTGATGAAAAAAAAGGCTCCTATTTGGGTATATGTTAATTTATTTAGCTTACTTCAAATCTGAAAGATCTATTGGTCTCATACGGCCCTATATCATTCTCTGAATTGAGCTGAGTTTACTTAGCAATTTATAGAAAGACATGTCTGTCCAAATTCATTTTTTATTTTTTTTTTGAGACAGAGTCTCACTCTCACCCAGGCTGGAGTGCAGAGGCGTGATCTCGCCTCACTGAAACCTCTGTCTCCTGGGTTCAGGTGATTCTTGTGCCTCAGCCTCTCAAGTAGCTGGGACTACAGGTGTGTGCTACCACGCCAGGCTATTTTTTTTTTTTTTTTGTATTTTTAGTAGAGATGGGGTTTCACCATGTTGGCCAGGCTGGTCTTGAACTCCTGACCTCAAATGACTCTCATTCCTCAGCCTCCCAAAGTGCTGGGATTATAAGCGTGAGCCACAGTTCCTGGCATTTTTTACTTTTTGAGACAGGGTCTCGCTCTGTTGCCCAGGCTGAAGTGCAGTGGTGCCATCATGGCTCACTTCAGCCTTGACCTCCCAGGCTCATGTGATCCTCCCACCTCAGCCTCCTAAGTAGCTGGGACTACAGGCATGTGCCACCATGTCTGGCTAGTTTATTTTTAATTTTTTGTAGAGATGGGGTCTCCCAATGTTGCTGGTCTTTGACTCCTGGGTTCAAGCAATCCTCCTGCCTTGGCCTTCCAAAATGCTGGGATTACAGGCGTGAGCCACTGTGCCTGGTCCAAAATTTATTATATATCTGTTTCTAGCTATGGAACACTGCACAGAGCAGTCAGCCAAGGAGAGCCTAACCTATCTGCAAACGGGCAGGTTCCTAATCTATTCAATGTTTTACTGATAACTTACTATGTGCCCTATACATGATAGATACTATGGAGCAACTAATAATAGGTATCAGATAACATCTATTAGGCACTAAGCATATGTCAAGCATTGTGCTACGCACAGTAGATATATCAGCTACTTAATTCTTATTCTGACTCCACGAGGTTGACTCAGAGTCAGAGTTCATAAAGTTACGGTGGCAAGGATGGAGTTCAACCCCAGGTCATCTGAATTCACATCTTTAACCACTTTTATAATATAGAACAGTGGTCCCCAACCTTTTTGGCACCAGGGACCCATTTTGTGGAAGACAATTTTTCCACGGATGGCAGGGTGGGTGGGGGTGGGGGATAGAGGTCGGGGAATAGTTTTGGGATGAAACCGTTCCACCTCAGATTATCAGGCATTAGATTCTCATAAGGAGTATGCAACCTAGATCCCTCGCATGCGCAGTTCACAATAGGGTTCCCACTCCTATGAGGACCTAATGCCTAGGCTGATCTGACAGGAGGGGGACACAGGTGGTAATGCTGGCTGGCCTGCTGCTCACCTCCTGTTGTGTGGCCTGGTTCCTAACAGGCCACGGATGGGTACTGGTCAGTGGCCCAGGGGTTGGAGACCCCTGCTATAGAAGACATGCTGTCTAAAAGGGAATGAATTATAATCTGGGGAAACACAGCACATATGCATGAAACAGTGAACAAGGTAATATTAACGGTAATTTAACTGCAGATATTTGTGATTCATCACATTTGAGGATTATTAATAAAGCATATAGTTTCTTTATTCTCCTGCTCTGTGAAATAGAGATAATCACAATGACTAAATGAGATAAGCTCAATGAGAACAACAAAACTGGGCTGGGATATGGAAGGACAAAGAAAAATTGCCCTGGCTCATTCACTGGGAAGAGACCTGCTCTGGCAGGCCAGCAAGCATTAGAATGTTATGCAGGTGAATACAAACAAGTGGAAAAGAGTTAGAGAAGAGAAAGTTCAAGAGAAGGGTAGAGAGGTTACAAGATACCTTGATAAAAGAGGTGAGATTTGAACGAAGTTCTGTGTTTATACACCTAGGTTGTAAAAATGCACTCATCTACAGGCATTAGAACCTGTATCCTAATTGTATTTCACTGGACAGTGCTGTTACCATAGAATAAAGTCAAATACTCTCAAGGATTATACTTGAATTCAGCCTTTAATGCTTGGGTGGGAGAGTTAGGAAGGATGAATATGGTAATTGCTTCTTTCCAGGTAGTTACTTTTAGGAAAAAAACTTTATTTCAATAACTTGGTTAAAAGTTTAGAAACACTATCATAAAGGGCCAGGCACGGTGGCTTACGCCTGTAATCCCAGCACTTTGGGAGGCTGAGGCGGGCAGATCACGAGGTCAGGAGATCAAGACTATCCTGGTTAACACAGTGAAACCCCGTCTCTACTAAAAATACAAAAAAATTAGCCAGGCGTGGTGGCGGGCACCTGTAGTCCTAGCTGCTCAGGAGGCTGAGGCAGGAGAATGGCGTGAGCCCGGGAGGCTGAGCTTGCAGTGAGCCGAGATTGCGCCACTGCACTCCAGCCTGGGCGACAGTGCGAAACTCCGTCTCAAAAAAAAAAAAAAAAGAAAAAGAAAAAAAGAAACACTATCATAAAACAGCATATATATAATAACTCACAGGTAATTGCTTTGATACACATATTATACTGTTACTATTATTTTAAAAGTGTCACCTGTGGCCAGGCATGGTGGCTCATGCCTGTAATCCCAGCACTTTGAGAGGCTGAGGCAGGAGGTAAGGTCAGGAGTTCTAGACCAGCCTGGCCAACATAGTGAAACCTCGTCTCTACTAAAAATACAAAAATTATCCAGGTGTCGTGGTGCACGCCTGCAATCCCAGCTACTCGGGAGGCTTAGGCAGGAGAATTGCTTGAACCTGGAAGGCGGAGATTGCAGTGAGCTGAGATCGCGCCACTGCACTCCACCCTGGGTGACAGGGTGAGACTCCATCTCAAAAGTAAATAAATAAATAAAAATTCAAAGTATCATCTGTAATAGTAGTTATAAGAACAAGGCTTTTAAGTCAGATTTTCTCCCAAAGGGCAGTGAGGTAAATTTTCCACTTTTCACATATTTTTCACATAAACTGATGTGGCTAATGCTTTTAAAATGGTATATTCAACATGAATTTCCATCTGTAATTGTGTTTTTGTATTGCAGTTAGGTAGATAAGCATGGACCTTTTTCCACAGCAAAGTATCTTATCTATTTTGAGCTTTGAGCTTTGTTTAGCTATTTAGCTTTATATTTGGCTAAATACAGGTGTTATCCCCATTTTCCATATAGTAGAAATGAACCAAGAAAGTGCAGCAGTTTTGCATTGTCAAAAGAGATGTAATTCTTCCAATATATCACCTAGATTCAGACGATTCCTTATTATTGAAAACTGTCTCTAATTTTAGTTCTTTGTGGTTTAAGTAACATAAACAGTTCCAGTGACTAAAGGACTACCCCATAAGAAAGAAAATCCCTTGTCTGATGAGTACAGTCCCTGAAAAGCCACTTCACCAAGAGTATCTTTACAGTTGTGACACAAAGTAAACAAAACAGTCTTAAAATATTTGGTATTACCTGGTATTGTAATCTTAATAGTCTCATATGATATGGATAAAAATGCATGAGATGAAGCTGGCTACATTTTATGAGGGTAGTTTAAAAACTTCTTTTGAAAGTGAGGTTTCAGTTCTATGGAAGTTTAATTATTACTTACCATGAAATGAGGTTGTGTTAAAATACGCTTTAGTTCCTTTGCGTCGTTATTCTCAGGGTAACATGAAATTTCTTCCAATACCTAAAAAATAAACAAGATATACAATAATACAAACATGACACAAGATTTACAAAATGTTAAATTCTTTTAAGTTAAAAATTATGAGTGGATTTTTATGGCAGGCAAAACAATTATTTTGAAAAACTTTTCATTTTATTCAAATGTTATTAATACATAGAAGAACAGTATTGATGGTAATAAAAATGAAGCAAATTGTTCTAAAAGTCTGTCAACTATAACCTAAAAGGTTATTGAAAAATATAAAGCAAAATGACAAGGCTGCAACATATATTTATTACAGATTTATGAAACTTAACGGAAGAGTATCTCTGAATATCCTTTTCCAAACTCACCATAAAAATCAATATGGACAAAAAGTTAATAAGAAGTTTTCTTTTATATTAACAGCACTGCCAATTCCCTTTAGAAATGTCAAAATGACACAGGCACAAATAGAAACGATTTCAAGAACAGAACTAATTAATTAGACTACTTAATTAAGAATACACAAGTAATTTTTCTTTAAGTAATGTAGAAAATGCAAAAATGCCTGCCGGATCAATGTTTTTCCCCATAGTCATCTGCCCACACAGAGAAAGTCATGCCTCTGCTAATGGCTCTTAGGGTTAAATGCCAGGGAGCCTAAGAGAACAATTTTTTAAAGCCTTATTTTCTCTTTCCACTCAAATTTTCTTCACTAATTAGTCATTAACATTTTTCTGCACAGGTAAAATTGATTGTTTTCAAATAAAATTGTTTTAAAAAGTTCTCCTTTACCACCAGGATGGAGTTTACCTGTGTAAGTTATTTATGGGACATGAACCCATGAAAAAGCCTCTGTTCTTTTTCTGAGTAAACACCTGCTGCTATTCTAACTGCATATGGCTGGATTCAGAGGTTTGCATTACACTCAACTGAATTCCAACCATTAAGCCAATAAAGGATTGCTTTGGCACAACTGGATGGCAGGATCATACCACCATCCATCCAGGAGGACTCTCACCTCAACCTGTGAAAACCATACAAAAGCTTCCTACTGGGGCAGGAGGGGGATGTTGTGAGGTCACATGGCCCGAGCCTTAGATTTTAGCATCATAACTAGAATGTTCTGTGCTACTCAACTACTGCCTCAGGGAAGAACAAACAAACAAGCAAAAATGACAGAGCTTTCTTATCCGAATACCCTGTTCATTAGAGTGCTGGTTATGCTGTTAATTCATATTGTTTCAAGATGATAAACCAATTATCCTTGGTGTATTTTATGCTCCGAGTTTCTCTATTAGTGAAATGAGAGGACAAAACCACATACTCTCTCTGGGTCCTTGCTCCTCTCCTAGTTTATTTTTAAATACAGAGGTGTGGTATTTCCACCTAAGCAGGGTTAGGGGGAAACCAGCAGGTTTTCACTGTCCAGTTGAGCCAAAGAATTGTCCCCAGAGTCTCTCTGCTTCTATCTGCGTATTGTGAAGACAGGGTGGTGATTCATGCCTCTATCAGCGATATCTTAATTCCCTTCTATGAGCCCTTGGTGGTGAAGTCAGAGACAACCCCTCCAAGCTAGTCCTGACCAAGTGGGCAGGCCGGGCAGCCTCCACTGCATGGGTCTCATTTCTCAGTGAACGTACACCATCTTCCAGTACAGACTTTCTGTCTAAAATCTGGTAGGGAAGGGATTATGTCCTTCATAGTCTTTCACATAGTAATTTCACTTTATAAGAAATAATTTTTCTAAAAGAAAAATGTTTATTTGCACAAAGACTGACATGATCAAAAAATGAAAAAAAAAAAAACCCATGTGTCTAACAATGGGAGAATTGCTAATATGTTATACTTTAATAACAGCAAAGAAAAATATTGCAGTCATTAGAAGTTATATTTGTAAAGATCAAGTAGAAACATGGAAATATGCTTATTATATAACGGTAGGTTAAAAAAGACACATTTTGATTACAACTATAAAAAAATTTATATGCAAATGGAGAGTGACTAGAAAACGATATATAAAAATGGAAACTACTGTGTTAGGGTGATGAGATTATGGATCTATTTTTATTTTCCAAACTTTCTGCAATGTTGTATTTCTATCATAAATAGGTTTTTAAAAGTTTGTGACAGATATAGCCACATACCTTGACAATTTACAAAAATGACTTCTTTGAACTCAGTATATTTAATTGCTACAGAAATTTAATTAACTTTCAAACATTACCACCTTCAAAAAGCAACTCAAATTTTTATAGCATGTCTATTTCCACCAAGTGTTGTAAAATAACTTGCTTTTTTAAAAAACAGAAAAAGAGAAGTAAAATTGATGGTAATGTATTCAAGTTTACATCGCAGAACCAGAACTAGAAATCTAGGCAATATTGCTGCAGAGATCTTTTTTCTTTTCTGTATGTTCAGTAATAAACTTAGAAATACTAAATCTGAATATAATGAGTCAAATTGTGACTCCAGGGAAACTGCCTCTTAATGTGCAACAGAAATGTCTTCAATAAAGGTGGCAAATATGATGATGCCAAATACTTCTATAAAATATATCACTTACCTCTTTGGCTCTCTGTACTGCATCGCTTGGAGGATTCCTGATTTGTGGTGAAGACTTTGTGTTAATTTTGTCATACAGCTAAAAAGCAAAGAAGAAAATCCAGTAAACACTCACAATTCTTTGCTAAAAATCAGAGCTTCATATTTATTATTTCACTAAACAATATTTTTCTTTTAAAAAGGCAGGCTGATGATTTCAGTGGGATCCTCTTGGTAATAACCTCTGAATTGTTCTGTGAAACTTGTCAGAATATGAGTCTTATGCATATCTTTTCAAAAAATCATCTTTAAATAGATGGACCAAAATTCTGTCAATGTGGCAATTTCCTTGTCATTTAAAATTCATCAATATTTCCTCAATCACAGTGTTTGTTTCCTCTGACAGAAGCAACTTTCAATAGCATGAATACAGAGTAAAATGAAAGAATGCTTTCTGGCCAAGGCACGTCTACACGGAGTAAAATGAAAGAATGCTTTCTGGCCAAGGCACGTCTGGAAGAATTTTCACAGAAACCTAAATCTTGGGAAAGGGCAAACCCAACTCCTTCTAGGAAGGAATGTTCTCACAAAGGCTTATGGTTGTTTTACTAGGGCTGTTCATTAACAGAATCAGTGCTGGTATCCTTCAGCAGGAAGTCAAGGACATAAACTTTTTTTCTTTTGACTCTGCCAATTCAGAGTGGAGAAGACACTGAAAAGAAAGCAAATATACGCTGGGAGCGATGGCTCATGCCTATAATGCCAGAACTTTGGGAGGCCAAGGTGGGCGGATCACCTGAGGTCAGGAGTTCAAGAACAGCCTGACCAACATGGCAAAACCCCGTCTCTACTAAAAATACAAAAAAAATTTGCCGGGCATAGTGGTGGGCGCCTGTAACCCCAACTACTCGGGAGGCTGAGGCAGGAGAATTGCTTGAACCTGAGAGGTGAAGGTTGCAGTGGGCCGAGATCACACCATTGCACTCCAGCCTGGGCGACAGAGCGAGATTCCGTCTCCAAAAAAAAAAAAAAAAAAAAAAAAGAAAGAAACTAAATATATTTCTAAAATTCCACAAACCTAAATGATCCAAAGTTCAGCTTTCTGAAGAACATACATTTAATTATTTTAGAAATACAATTAAAATATTAATTTCTACCTCAAATAAAGTGTTTCATAGTCAACAGTCTGCTTTGAAAAGTGAAAAGTTAAAGATGACCTCGGCTGTTGTGAACACTTTTATTTCCTAACTTCTCTAAAACAGGTGGGGATTTTCGTGGTCGGTTTTATTCTTTTTTTTTTCTTCACCTACTCTGTACACCAATGCTAGTTGAGAAGTCAAATACTGACTATAAACATTCTTCAGATTATAGTCAGATTTGCTTATACTAATGCAAGATAAATTTTTATGACTTATAAATATTTGGGCCACATCATACATAAAAATGCCTAACAAAAGCAATGTGAAGATAGAGCAGGGACAATTTTTTAAATGATGTATTAATTAAGAAAGCACTACTAAATCAGAGATTAAATAAATAGTATAAGTAGACTAGTAAAATGCTGCTCTATTTAAAACATTATATTAACATTTTAGGGAAATGGTGATTTGTGGCTCGTCCACAAAAGTTTGCCCAAATCCCTGTAAAATATATGTGGGCAGTCTCCATCTTCTGAATGCTTTCTATCTCTAAAGAAATGTCAATGTTGTAACTGGGATCATATTTTCCCAGAAAAATAATGTTATAAATAGTGATTAGGTTTCCAGACTAGCCTATAGAAATGAATTGCACTGCATGCATGCAATAAAAAATAGTAAAACAACAAAAAACCACCACCCAAACCCAAACAAAATGCAAAACCAAAAAAACTAAGAAACCATAAAACACACATATACACACACACTACATTACATTTGCAAGATGAATAAGTTCTAGTGATCTGCTGTACAACATTGTGTCTATCATTAACAATACTGTATTGTGCACTTTGTTTTTTTTTTGAGGCGGAGTCTCGCTTTGTCTCCCAGGCTGGAGTCCAGTGGCTCAATCTCGGCTCACTGCAGCCTCTGCCTCCTCGGTTCGAGCGATTCTCCTGCCTCAGCCTCCTGAGTAGCTGGGATCACAGGCGCGTGCCACCACGCCCAGCTAATTTTTTTGTATTTTAAGTAGAGACGGGGTTTCACCATGTTGGCCAGGCTGGTCTCTAATTCCTAACCTTGTGATCCGCCCGCCTCGGCCTCCCAAAGCGCTGGAATTACAGGCGTGAGCCACCGTGCCCAGCCAACAATACTGTATTGTGCACTTTAAGATTTGTTGAGAGGGTAGAGCTCATGTTAAGTGTTCCTATCACAATTAAAAAAATACATAACACTTTAAAAACACATTTAGTCACCCCCTGACGTGTCATAATATTATCAAGCAAAGTTTAAATAATCTAAGTGAATACATAAAAATATTTTTATAAAATCTCAAACCCGGCTGGGTGCAGTGGCTCACACCTGTAATTCCAGCACTTTGGGACGCTGAGGCAGGCAGATTGCTTGAGCCCAGGAGTTGGAGAACAGCCTGGGCAGCATGGCAAAACCCTGTCTCTGCAAAAGAAATACAAAAATTAGCCAGGCATGGTGGCATATGCCTGTATTCCCAGCTACTCAGAAGGTCAAGGCTGCAGTGAGCTATGATCGCATCACTGCACTCTAGCCTGGGTGACAGAGCAAGACTTTGTCTCGAAAAAAAAAAAAAAAAAATCTCAAACCTGTTTGAGAAAAAAAGCAAATTTAATTTGAGGCTTTACAAGTTGATAGCACCATCACTTTATAATGTCTAATTCCATGATAAACTGTAAGTTTTGCCTTTTTCTTGATCAAGGACTATTATTTCCAACATTTTCAACTATGATTATGGTTCGTTTCTATTTAAACATTTAATAAATGCACATCAATTTTTCTCACAAAGAAAAAATAATCCCACAACTCCCCAAATTGGAGATAATTTTTGACCTGGTCTTACTATGTCATATACAGTTCCTTAGGTCTTATATCTGTAATTTCTTAAGAACGTGTGGCCGAATCAGATGTAGTACTTATGGAACATAGATTCCTGGACCCCCCTCCAGACCTACAACATCAGAATTTAAGAAGGAGGTCCAGAAATCTGTGCTTTAATAAACTCCTTAGGTATTTGAAAATCTTATGTCCAGTGCTAACTTTTGAGAGTACTAATAGTACTACTACTAATAGCAACAATATTACTTTTATTGAGCACTTACTAGATGATAGTTACTAGTCTAAGCTCTTAACATATACTCATTCACTTAACCTCAAACAATCCTACGCAGTTGGTTACCCCTACTATTCTCACTTTAAGATGAGAAAAATGAGGCACAGAGTGGTCAAGTGAGAACCGCTGTTCTATCCATACAACTTCATAGGTGGCACACAAGTGCCTGGAATCTCTTTTGAGGCACTGCTCCAAGGAAAATACTCAGACCAAATTTTTTTCCACGCCTTTGGTCTGGTCTGATCCAGTTCAATCACTTAAATTAAATTCAACTCACCTAAAGTTCAGTGGAAGTAGTGGCAGGATGAGGGGGAGGTGGGATGCTTAATATGAAAGGCAGATACAATGGGAAGGAATTAAAAGGTGGGGCTTCTACCTGAGGTGGGGGCATTGGGCTCTGCTTCTTCTAAAAACTGCAGCTCTCAAGTCCTAGAAACTGCACCTCTCAAGGCAGCCACAGGATAGAGAGGATGGTGTCCATGTGGCAAAGAATACACTGTGAATCTCGGCTGCTGGCTCATCAACCAAAAGGGCAAGTAAGAACTGAAGCAGGAGGGAGTGAGGAATGGGCTCATTTTGTCACTGTCAGAGAGAAGTGACCCTTTGTTGGTTCATCCACATACCCATCCACTCAATATTTATTGAAGTCTTACTAGGTACTAAAATGTGGGGTTCTATGTACTAGGGATACAGAGATGAAAAAGATGAGTTTCTGTCTTCAAAGAGCTCACAAATTCCAAAAATCTGTATAACCAAAGGCCCAGAAATGTATGAAGGATTCAACCCTTTGGAGACCAGAGAGTAAGTAGTTTGGTCCCCAGCAATAACAACTGGCAATGATCTCAGTGGGCAACCCGAAGTTGGAAAGTATCTTGATGTATATGCATAATATGTCAACCTTCATTTCCCCCACCAATTTCTACATTTTTGTCTTAGAGACTCAAAATACTTTAGTGATATCCATAGCATATACAAAGCATTTGAGAAATATGGCAAAGCAGGTAAATAAAAAGTCATCAATGGAAAAAAGTTCGAATGCGATGTAACATTGAAGTGTTTAAAAACAGTAGTTAGAAACATAGTGCTTTTGGATTTCTCATTCTCATGGGTCATCTGCATATTATATGCTGCCTGCAAAGATATGCAGGACTCAAATTTCAAATCTAGGTAGAGTTTTGTCAAGGTCTGGGGCAAATGAAAGGTAGCTGGGTTTTGAGAACAAAGGAAGACTGCAGCTTGTCTTTCTTACCCTTTACCCACCCCCCATTCTATCATATATAAAGAATATATAAAATGTTACTTGGGACCTTACCAGTAGTCTTGGACTTTCAGCTAAAGCCCAAAGCTAAGGCCAAGAGGAAGTAAATGGCACTGAACCTGCTATAAAGCTGCTAGACCACTTCTCCTGGGCTTGCTGAAAGGCAGTCAAAATGGCCCTTCCATATTCACCCCAGGACCCCTCATTCTGCCTATAGAGGCAGAAGTCTGGGATTTGTAGGAGTCACAGGACTAAGAAGAGCAAGTATTTGATTATTCCCTTCTCCTTCTTGTTCGGGAGGAAAGGAGAGGGGATTGCACCCTCCCTCATACAAAGTGAAGGATGGTAGATGCCCCAAAAGAACCACGCATTAGACACTGGAGGTGCCAGCCAGAAGAGCTCACTATCTCATTCTCTGGAGGGATGCTTGCTGAATTGTAGCAACTTATAGGCCCACCTTGGTACACTAGAAAGGATCTCTGTGTGAGAGAGAGTCCTTGGGGCAGCTTGACATGTAGCATTTGGGGTCCTAAGCAAAAAGAGACTGGTGCCTGCCTCTTTCATGACTGGAGGCCGCCTGGGGCAGGCCATGCTTGTAGTGTATGTTGAGTTAAGCATGTGTGTGTTTCCCATGAGTCAAGGAGACACTGCAGAAGGTAGCCTGGCTGGAGCCATCTGGATACAGCCCTGCCCAGGAGGACAAGAGGACTCAGAAGTAAAAAGCTATGTGGTAACCCCTGGGGGCAGGGGACGAGAACGTTTCTGAGACCAGGTGCTGAGTATACTGACGATGCAGAAACCACACGTCTGCAACTCAGGACAGAGCCAACACTGGGGTGTCTGCCACACCAAGGGCATCAACAGCCAAGAGGGAACTGAATGTCTGAGGTACATTATAGAACATGCTGTTTAAGTGGTTCTTTTTCTTTCCCACGACCAGACTCGGGTTCTCTGACATTAGGTAATAGCCCCTAGCGTGAGGCTGAGTACATAGTAGTGTTTAAGAAATGCTTCCTCTAGAAAAAATAAGTATTATATTTGGACTAGTACATAGAAATTGTAAATAGATTTAAAAAAAATTCAGAGTAACATAAAATAAACACACCAGGAATATTTATTTCAGCTTGTTTCTTTAGGAACCAGATATTATTTCTCTTCGATCCTGCATGTGCAGTTAAAAACTTTCCCTCAAAATTAAGAAATGTGTTTTGACTATATTTAATTCTTTCTTTTGTATCTTTTAAGTCTGACTTACTTTATACAACTTTCAAGGTAAAAGAGACCTTAGGGCTGGGTGTGGTGGTTCATGCCTGTAATCCCAGCACTTGGGGAGGCCATACGAGGTAGGAAGATCACTTAAGCCCAGGAATTCAAGACCAACCTCGGCAAGATAGTGAGACTCTGTCTCTACAAAAAAATAAAAAAATTTGCTGGGTGTGGTGGTGATTGCCTGTAGTCCCAGCTACTCAAGATGGGGAGGTAGGAGGGTTCCCTGAGCCCAGGATGAGTGAGCTGTGATTGTGCCACTGCACTCCAGCCTGGGTGACAGAATGAGACTCTGTTTGGGGTACCAAAAAAATAAAAATAAAAAAAAGAGGAGATCTTAGATGTCAACATGATTCAACTCCTCCATTTTAAAAAGTCAAAAGCTGAGTTCCAGTCAGGTGAACTGTCATGGTCAGGGTCATACAGCCAGAGTAGCAGGGACCTGACCCTGCCCTGCTGATATGCTGTCCTTTCTCTCATCCAGATCTCCTCAGCTTGTTACTAGAATTCAGTAATACACAATGCCTTGTGCCAGGGAGATATCTTTGGCAAATACTTGGGAAAAAAGCTGTAAAAAATTCTATTTATAGGCTGCAGGGAAAAATACACTCAATATGATTTGAAAACTATTAGCTACTCAATTACAAGCCTTGCCATGTTAAAGAATGTCAGGATTCTCACCTGAGGTGAGGAGTTCGAGACTAGCCTGGCCAACATGATGAAACCCCATCTCTACTAAAAATACAAAAATGAGCTGGGTGTGGTGGTGCATGCCTGTAGTCCCAGCTACTAAGGTAGCTGAGGCAGGAGGATCGCTTGAACCCGAGAGGTGGAGGTTAAGGTGAGCCGAGATCACACCACTGCACTCCAGCCTGGGCAACAGAGTGAGACTCTGTCTCAAAAAAAAAAAAAAAAAGAATATCAGGATCCTAATCCTATCCTGGCAAGATAGGAAATATTTTAGGCTTTGCAGGCCATATGATCTCTGTCACAGCCACTAAACCCTGTTGTGTTGTATGAGGGCGGCTGTTAATAATCCATAAATGAATGAGCATGGCTGTGTTCCAATAAAACTTTATTTACAAAAACAGGTGGCCAGCTGGATTTGGCCTGAGGGCCATAGTTTGTGAATCCCTGCTCTAGAAGCTTAAATTCAAGTTATATTGGAATGACAAAATGTATTTCCTTTTGCTATTTGCTTTCCTGAAATTTGAAGGTATCAGGTGTATTTGTAAAGCTGAGGTGTGAAGGGGGAGGAAGAGAGAAGGAAGAATGTTAATAAATTATCCCTAGAGGGAAAACAAGAATGAATCTGTTACTGTTTACTCTCTTTTTCTAATGAAATTATCATTACCCAAATTCAGCACTTTTTATTAAAAAAAACAAAAAACAAAAAACATGTACACACAACACCAGGGCAAAACAAGGAAATGTGAACAGCTGCAAGGGAAACAGACTGTCTCATATTGTCTCACAGATAGGCCTGCTCTCTGCAAATCTCTGGTACTGAGTCAGATATGACCACACATACCTACACCGACACGCTTCATTCATCTTTCTGTCTTAGGAAGTGTCGCCACAGTTCCATAAAGAGAACACATTCTACATTTGACATGGGTT
The DNA here is from genome assembly GCF_000001405.40 of Homo sapiens. Taxonomy (NCBI): domain Eukaryota; kingdom Metazoa; phylum Chordata; class Mammalia; order Primates; family Hominidae; genus Homo; species Homo sapiens. Next base: position 41,596,916 of record NC_000023.11, read on the forward strand.
TTCAAATGAAGCAGAATAAACTTGGTAGTGATATTAAATTCAAATCTCCTGAGATTGTACTTTCAAACATAAAGATGATAAAATCAGTTAATATGTCACCTTTTATTTACATTCAAAGCACTAAATCAAGTTTCATTTTTTATCATACTCATTATATCACATTATCTTCTGATTTCTTAGTTATCAAATAGAAACCTGTGTTTTGCTCATAGTTTATGTGCAGTATTTATCAAGATCAACATTTAAAATGGAATGCATGGTAAGAAGCTATAAAATAATTATCACTGAGTTGTATGTCCCACTAACTTTTTTTGCACAGAGAAAACCAAATCTAAGGACCAGAATGTATACTGTTTCAGACAAGTTGATAACTTTTGCAACTATACTGTAGGCATAGGCTTGTAGGGTTGCAAAGAACATTGATGTTCATTAGCAACCATCATCTTATCACTTACTTTATAGATACTGAAGAAGTTTCCTGCTGGAAAAGAATGAAAGTTTGCAAGAATCAAATATTTAGCTGCAAAATATTTAATGAATGTGTCTGTGATGATCCTAATAAAACAGATAATAACAGTGTGCACGGAATTACACTGTGTAGCAATAATGACCATTGAAATAACTTGTTCTGGAAACACTGACTATCTTATTAAGAACTTTCTTCAGTTTCTGTGAATTACGTGGGTAAATAGGAACAAAGTTTCAATGTCACATCTTTTCAGTGAACTGAGCAGATCAGCCATCAATACATAACAGGTATTTTCTCATATACATTTGAAATTGAGCAAAATATTAGGGAAAGCTGATTTAATACTGAAACACAGAGAACTGATATTCAATTACTGTACTGGAACTGATTTTCTGAAGTTGGAGATCACAGAAAACTTTGTAAGATCTAAAAATCTATTTTTCTTGCTCAAGTTTACATATAAACTTGTTGAGGCCAGGTGCAGTGGCTTGCATCTGTCATCCCAGCACCTTGGGAGGCCAAGGTGGGCAGACTGCTTGAGGCTAGGTGTTTGAGACCAGCCTGGGCCACATGTGGAAACCTCGTCTCTACAAAAAATACAAAAATTAGCCAGGTGTGGTGGCGCACTCCTGTAATCCCAGCTACTTGAAGGGCTGAGGTGGGAGGATTGCCTGAGCCTGGAAGGTCGAAGTTGCAATGTGCTATGATTGCATGACCGCACTCCAGCCGGAGTGACAGACTGAGGCCCTGACACACACACACACACACACACACACACAGAGTCCTTTCAAAGATCCTTGGCATCATTAAACATCATGTAGTTCAAGCTTGGAGAAGAGCAGTGTATTTAGCAGTGGCCTAAAGATTGCATGATGGGCAACGTAAGTGTGAAAGAAACATTGCAAAATTTAAAATGGCATTTTCAAAAACTTAAGGAGCTACAATTAAACACTAGGAAGAAGTTTTTTTCTTTTTTCTTTTTTTTGAGACGGGGTCTTGCTGTGTTGCCTAGGATGGAGTGCAATGGCACGATCTTGGCTTACTGCAACCTCCGCCTCCTGGGTTCAAGCAATTCTCCTGCCTTAGCCTCCTGAGTAGATGGGATTACAGGCACGCACCACCACTCCCGGCTAATTTTTGTATTTTATTTTATTTTTAGTAGAGACGGGGATTCACCATGTTGGACAGGCTGGTCTTGAACTCCTGACCTCAGGTGATCCACCCACCTCGGCCTCCCAACGTGTTAGGATTACAGGCGTGAGCCATGGCACCCGGCTGGAAGAACTTCTATAACCTGTCCTTCTTACAAATCTAAACACAATTCTGTATCATTGGGATATTACAAGTTACAAAAAGAAATCAAAATCACTCAGGCCATTTTTCTTTTTTGACGTGCAAAGAATGCCTATCCTACCTGCACCAAAAATTGTTTTTCTTGAAATTTTATATTCTACAAAATTGCTAAAAATCAATTTATTTTAAATAGTTGAAAGCACTCAAATAATAGTCATACAGATGACTATCTGCATGGAGATAGCAAACTCCATTCATTTGAAGGGAATTCATTTGAAGATTTCATTTCATTCATTTTGAAAATTTTACAAATCTTACACTAAATTTGTTTCTCATCTTAAAAAGTGTGTAAATTCCTAAATCTAGTGACTGAAATCAAGGAGCAAGAGTTCCACCCTGGAATTTAGATTTTCCCTGGACTAAGGTTCAGGGCTGCTCCCAATACCATGGCCCAGTTTGTACTACATAACTCAAGTTGAAGATGGACATGTAATGGACAACTGCTTACTGTATTTAATGGCCAAGAAGAATGTTCCTGGATGCTCTTGAGTTAGGTGTTCCGGGAAAGCTTTAGTTTAATAGCTTAGCAGTGAAATGCTAACTTAAATCAAGTTTTAGTAAAATCATGATGGGGAATATATCCTTACTTGAAGGTGCAAGAAGGAGTGCAGCTGGCCTAGTAATACGCTGCTCTAAATCCATTATTAAAGTTTTCTTCTGTCAGCAAAAAAGGCAATTAAAAAATCAGTACATCTGGGCCAGTACAAGATTTCCTGAAAAAGCTGCAAAAATCCTTTGGATCCTGACAGCAAAAGAACCTCTAAGGAGGCCCTTGTTTTGTTTAGGTTTTATTTGTCTGTATACAGGGCTGCTTTTGTTCTAATCCTATTAGAACATCGCACTTACAGGGATTTATTTTTGAATTCAAGAAATTAAGACTTGCTTGACCTCCTAGTTCAATCCAAGAAGACTGTGCCTTTGGTGGCCTAACAACATAGGCCAGTGTGGCAGATTTCTGGTCAGTTGGCAGCTATTTCTGAGAAACTCAAACACTGGCCTCAGATGACCTAGCTTGACTGTTCTCTATGCCTTTTTCAAGTGGTCAAATAACTCTAAAATTAAGCCCTGTAAAACACAAATCATAATGCCTATTCTTGAGCAAAAGAAAGCATGAGGAAAAAAACCAGTTACATGATATAATATAGGCAGATTTTATCTTGTTTTAATAAAATCTTCTGAAATACGGTACTTTTTAGTATCAGATACAAGAGCTTGCCCAACTATGAGAAATTTTCACTATGATATTAATTTCCTTTCTATTTTTTTAAAGTGTTAAAATCACATTTCCTAGCTTGGCTCTTCTTAAGCAACTACAAGAGTTAAATGATATTTACATTAAATGAACATACAATTATTAATGTGCTGCTTTAAAAGGTAACATTTATGTTACATTAGGTGTGTCAGATAATATTTTATTTAATTATTTTTGGCTTTTGCTACCTTTTTTATTTTGCATAGGTAAACACCAAGCATTTGTACTTGGTGTAGCTGTAGCAAAAATGAATTTCTGTCATGAAAAATTTAAAGAGAATAGCACAAAGGCAGTCTGGCAGAAGAGTTTTATGAGATCATGTTTGAAGGGCCACAAAGAGAAGAAAACAGCTATGTTCTTGGATTATGAATGCTGCAAGCCACTCCATCGAACATTCTTTAACTGAGCATATCACATTCCTTTCTAGGGGGAAACCCCTCCTTTCCTTGAGCATAGCATAAAGAAGAATCAGTGCTTATTGTACTTAGAAGGCTTTCTGCAAATTCCTTTGCCTTTTGGTAAAGTTGATCATGGTGTCATAAAAAGAGAATGGCACTCAGTGGGTAACACTGATACTGGTGACAAGCTGATTCATTATTCTTGGTATTCTAGAGTAAATTCTAAACCCTGCTTTAAGAAGTAATTTATCTGAACAAATAAGGGAATTGGAGGGACTTCCGTAGTCATTAATACTTTCAGTGGAAATCACACATTCCTTCACGAAGATGTATAGCATAAGATTTAACTTGCATCCTAGAAAGAGTAATTGTGTGGAGATGGAACGAGGCAGAATTCCCTACGATTAGACAGCCTTATTCTGAGAATTTGGTTTTTCCTAGTACATAATTATCAACCACAAAACATCAATATTGGATGAGTAGACAAACAAAATGTACTATACACACACGATGGAATATTATTCAGCCTTAAAAAGGAAGAAAATTCTAACACATGCTACAACATGGATGAACCTTGAAGATATCATGCTAAATGAAATAAGCCAGACACAAAAGGGCAAATACTGGATAATTTCACTTATATACGTGGTACCTAGAGTAGTCAAATTCATAGGGACAGAAAGTAGAAGGGTGGTTGCCAGGGGCTAAGGAGAGGGGTGAATGGGAGTCAGTATTTAATGGGTACAGACATTTAGTTGGGAAAGATGAAAGAGTTCTGGAGATGGATAGTGATGATGGTTGTATAACAATGTGAATATACTTAATGTCATTGAACTGTACACTTAAACATGGTGCAAGTGGCAAATTTTATGTTATATATATCTTGCCACAACAAAAAAGACCAAAAAATTGATGTTAAAAAAGTATCAAAAAGCTGTGAATTTTTGGAAATGGCAAATATGTACTTGAATGTAGAAGGAATGAACTAAAATAAGTTGCTCTAAGGTGTCTTCCATATTGAAAATCTATAAAGTTATGTAATTCATAACATTTTCAAACAAAAAACACAATTTGGACTTCTTCCATAAGGCACAACTACACGCTGGTTAATAAAACAGTTCTTGGGAGAAAAAACCATATTTAGTATTTTTGAATCAGTGGTAAATTCTTAGCCACAAAGCTAAATTTTAATTTAGTGTAATGGCCCTGTGAAATCTAGTGGGATGATAGTAAATTTATATAGTTGTACAACCACCATCTCAATCCAGCTTAAGAACATTTCCGTAATCCCCCCAAATTCCCTTGTGTCACATCTAAGAACTCTTTGCCTAACCCAAGGTAATGAAGATTTATTCCTATATTCTTTTAAAAGTTTTATAGTTTTAAGCTCTTAAAGTGAATCTATGATCCATTTTGAGGCAATTTTCTTTTGTGTATGGTATGAGACAGGGTCTAAGTTCATTTCTTGCATATGGATCTCCAACTGCTCCAGGACCATTTGAAAAAAAAAGACTATCCCCCTTTCCATGTAATTGCATTGGCAATCTTGTTGAAAATAAATTGACCATAAAGGTGAGGGTTTATTTCTGGACTCTTTTTTGTTTCAGTGATCTGTATATCTATCCTTATGCCAACACCATACTATTTTGATTATTGTAGCCTTATAGTAAGTTTTGAAATCAGTTATCCAATTTTTTTCTTTTTCAAAATTGTTTTGGCATTTTTATATAAATTTTAGGATCACCTTGTTGACTTCTACAAAGAAATCCTACTGGGATGTTGATAGGGACTGCACTGAATCTATAGATCAATGTGGAGAAAAGCGCCATCTTAACAATATTAAGTCCTCCAATCCAACAGTATATCTCTGCTCATTTATTTAGATCTTTCTTTCATAGCATTTTTTAGTTTTCAGTATACAAATCCTACATTTTTTTTGTTCAATTTATTCCTATTTTATTCTTTTTATAATATTGTGAATATTTCTTTAATTTTATTTTTGGGTTATTTTTTGCTCACATATAGAAATTTAGATAATGTGTGTATATTAATCTGGTATCTTGTGACCTTGCTAAGCTTGCCTATAATGCTATTAGATTTTTTGTGGATTCCTTAGTATTTTCTACATGCAAGATAACAACTCTGGGAAAGGATGATATTACTTCTTCCTTTCCAATCTTCATGCCCTGAATTTCTTTTTCTTGTCTTAGCTGCACTGGCCAGAGTCTCTGGGACAATGGTGAATAGAAGTGGGGAGTGGACAATCCTCATCTTGTTCCTGGTTCTATCAGTTTTCTATTGCTGCTTAACAAAGAACCATATGCTTAGCGGCTTTTTTTTTTTTTTTTTGCTAAGTTTATTGACATTTATTTACATTAAGAAAGAAGGAAAAATACTTTGAGAATATTCACGACATATGGTATTTCTAGCTTTCAGGTATTTTGTTTCATGCCGTACTTTTACACTGACAATACTACTTCAATACATGGAGAGAAACAGATATGGGAGGTTTTGCCCCTCCAGTTAGAAAACAGTGGAGAGACACTCAAATTCAAAGGGAACAGCAATGCGCTTCAGTCTACAGCCCCAGGAGGCAAGAAGCACAAAGACCACCACCACTGGGCAGGGGCCCACTGTGCAGCTGGTTTCATAATTGCCAAAGCTGACTCTTAAGACTGGATGGGGCCCTGAGAAATTACTAGTAGCTCATCCTCTGAAGGTCCTCAGATAGGCTTTATTATTCTAGACATTTAAATGCAAATTGGCTGGACTACAAATTCTTGGGAAACTTAGCTTTGGCATTTCCTGATTGGCAATCTCTTTAAATATCCAAACCTAACATTGTATTTAACTTACTTCTCAGACCCCAAATTGCTCAAAAACATTATCTCCAGATTATTGTAGAAGTTCCATCTTTTTCCTTTAGGAAACTTCTGAGTTCTAAAAATAAGCTCTTCTAAATATGGCTACTAATTTAATGTCATCTCAAAAAAGCGAAATAGTAAATCAAGAATTGTAGTTTTCCATGGCTAACTCCAGGCCAGATGGAAAAATGCTAACTCTCCCTAAACGGTAAAAAATTATAATAAAGATGTTGGCCATACAAAATATGAAAGATTCCAAGTATCAGTTAATTGCTAATGCAATATTTAAAAGTTACTAAGTCTATTATAAAAGTCTACTTATAAATTAATATTATAAAGACTCCTAAATTAATTGCTACTGCAATTTTAAAAATTCATCAATAAATTGCTATATTAATCTAATCACCCATTATATTTTCAGAAACCACAATTTTAAGACTTCTTACAAAAATAATCTTAATTAGGTGGGGGCATTTACTATGGAAACAGCAGTGCGTAACAAATGCTAACAGCTGTTCAGAGGTATGACAGATGGCCAGTTAATGTTTAAAACTTAGTTGTCAAAGTTTGGCAGAGAGATGTGTCATTTAACAATGTTTTGTAACACTGGTGATTTACAAACTAAACATTTATTATTTTAATAGGAAAATTTATACTAGAAACTGAGAAGACTGAAAACTACTACCAAATAATATTTGTAAAATGTTTTTAATCCAAAAAACATGGCTTTTCAGTCCATCAAAAACTCACCCACCCACTGACCTTCCAATGTATCACATACAAATTCCAATCCATAACTGATTCAAAATATCATTACAAGACATAAATAACACTTTAACACCAATTCCCAATAAAGCATAATTAATGGATGACAGGGTAACATTTCATTATTTTATATTAGATTTGTGTAATTTGCACTCACACGTGAAGAATTAATTCAGGGTTAAATCAGTTTTCCATGCTGTACTGGGGTGAATATTGTCCCTCACTCAAAATTTATGTTTACCCAGAACCTCAGAATGTGACCTTATTTGGAAATAAGTGTCTTTATAGATGTAATTAATTAAGATGATGTCATACTAGATTAGGGTGTCCAATGACTGGTGTCCTTCTAAGAAGGCCATGTAAATACACAGACACACACGCACAGAGAATGACATGTGATGACGGAAAAAGAGACTGGAATGATGCATCTACAAGTCAAGGAATGACAAGGATTGCAGGCAACCACCAGAAACTGGAAAAGACAAGGAAGGATTCTTCCCTGGATCCTTTGGAGGGAGCATGCCCCTGCCAATGCCTTGATTTAGGACTTTCCAGCCTCCAGAACTATGAGACAATCAATTTCTGTTGTTTTAAGCCACACAACTTGTGGTACTTTGTTATGGCAGTCCTAGCAAACTAATGTCAAATTGTACTTTACTAATTGATCTATACATTTCATACGAAGATCATCTTAGCACCAGTGCTTTTAATTTTTAAATACAGGCATACTGCAACAAGCTGGACCAAGCAGTTCCTCATGCCTCTGTATTTCTTCCCACAAAATGAGAAGCTGCATATGTGTGCCAGGCTGGAACCACTTGGATAGCAAATATTTAGAGTTTTCTGTATCAGTTTCTAACTACAGATTAAACTAAATGTGTTTTACTCAAATTCAAAGGTTTTCAGAAAGCATTTCCCTTTCAGTAGAATCACAGTACTTCTCCATTTTAATGTAAATGTTTCAGTTTGGCAGTTTTGTTTCCTGTAAACAAATTCTAATAATGCTTCTTCAAATTTTGAGCTTGTTATTATTTTAAGAACATGACTAGAAAAAATAAAGAAGTCATAGATAATCTTTAGTTTTTCTTAGGAACTTAATCCTGTTTCTTTTTGTCAGCCTTAAAATTATGGCTTCATACCTAGCTATTTAGAATGTTATTGAGTTAACAGAAATAACATAAAAATGGTAAAGATATTTCCTAAAATGGCTCAGTGGGATTAATTAGCCTTAATTAATTCATGGTCCATAAAACTATGCCCCCTGGGTGTCCCTACTTGGAATCCTTAAAAAGGAATTCATGCTGGGGCAATGACTCATGCCTGTAATCTCAGCACTTTGGGAGGCCGAGGCAGGAGAACTGCTTGAGCCCAAGAGTTTGAGACTAGCCTGGTAGCCTGGGCAAACATGGTGAGACCTGTCTCTTCAAAAAAAAAAAAGGGCTGAGTGTGGTGGTGCACCTGTGGTCCAGATACTTGGGTGGTTGAGGTAGGAGGGTGCTTGAGCTCAGAAGGTCAAGGCTACAGTGAGCCAGCCTGGGAGAGCCCTGTCTTAAACAAAAAACAAACAACAAACAAAAAAAGGCAGAAGAATTCGTTTTGATTCTGCAAAATAAAACAATTCCAAATCAACCATGGTATGTGGAACATGGGAAGAAAGAAAAATGAAAGGCCCAATTTTTTTTGACAGAGTTTTGCTCTGTCTCCCAGGCTACCGTGCAGTGGTGTGATCTTAGCTCACTGCTACGTCCACCTCCTGCGTTCAAGTGATCCTCCTGCCTCAGCCTCCCAAGTAGCTGGGACTACAGGCATGCGCCACCATGCCTAGCTAATTTTTGTATTTTTAGTAAAGACAGGGTTTTACCATGTTGGCCAGGCTGGTCTCAAACACCTGACCTCAAGTGATCCTCCCGCCTCGGCCTCCCAAAGTGCTGAGATTATAGAAGTGAGCCACTGCACCCAGACTGAAAATCCAACATTTTAACAGCTGCTCCTCAAGAGTTCGTCATAGCCATTTTTCTTCCTTAATGTATACCACAAACATTTAAATATTAAAATTTTTTAAATGATTAGATTTCTCTATATGGCAGTCACTTGAATTCTTCATTGATTATATTATTAAAATGTAGCCTGTTAGCTGTGAAATGAGCTTAATAAGCCTTATTTATGGGATGTAGGGTATGAGGGCACATTCTAATGATGGTTTATTTCATTCATGATGATTAAGCTTTCATTCATTCATTCATTCATTCATTCATTCATTCATTTTTGAGACGGAGTCTCGCTCTGTTGACCAGGCTAGAGTGCAGTGGCACGATCTCGGCTCACTGCAATCTCCACCTCCTGGGTTCAAGTGATTCTCCTGCCTCAGCCTCCTAAGTACCTGGGATTATGGGTGCCCACCACATTTTTGTATTTTTAGTAGAGATGGGTTTCACCATGTTGGTCAGGCTGGTCTCGAACTCCTGACCTCAGGTAATCCGCCCGCCTTGGCCTCCCAAAGTGCTGGGATTACAGGCGTGAGTCACCGTACCTGGCCTAAACTTTCATTTAGAAATAGCTCAGTTTGGAGATTCAGAACCACATGCATGCAAATATTGTCCAGGGCTCGGCCTCATAGTCATTAATTTGACTGGAGCTCATGTATGGCACCTGTTTACAAAATTCAGAAGATACTGCACCTTTTTTTTTTTTTTAGAGATAGAGTCTCACTTTGTTGCCCAGGTTGGAGTGCAGTAGTGTGATCATGGCTCACTGCACCCTTGAATTCCTGGGCTCAGGTGATCCTTCAGCCTCAGCCTCTGGAGTAGCTGGGACCACAGGCATACACCACCATGCCCAGCTGCTTTTTAAATTTTTTGTAGAGATGGGGTCTTGCTTTGTTGCCCAGGCTGGTCTTGAGCTCCTGGGCTCAAGTGATCCTCCCACAATGACCTCCCAAAGTGCTGGGATTACAGGTGTGAGCCACTACTCCTGGTCTTATACTGCACCTTTTTAATAGGCATGGTTCATTTTCAGTCCAACAGCTCCTCTTTCAAATTGACCTGCACTGACAGGGCAGATGCCAATAAGGCAGATACTTCTTTATAATGTAAACAAATGCAAAGGAAAGTTAAGTATGTTTTTCTCACTAACATCTAAGAATCTCTTCTGAAATTGTGACAATTTATACCAAACAGTGCAGCAGTTATTCGTGTCTGAATAGCTGCCCCTTTCCTTGTGTAAGCCAGTAATGTTCCTGCTTCTCCCCTGCAATCTCAAGCTTGATGTGCTCAGATACCTTGCTATATCAGTAAGAAAAAATACAACTTTGAAACCAATTTGGGCTTCTCTCAGTGTTTAAATTACAAAAAGTCTTTGTTACAAAAAGTCCTTGATTCAAAAGAAGGTCAGTAAATCTACCTGGCAATGACCTAAGCACTGACCACAATAAAATAAACAAAATCTCCACACACTGCTGTAGCCTTTTCTAAATATTGCACTAACTAGTTCTAGTAAAGGGTATAAACTTCAGTGGGAAATACACAATTGTGAAAACTTTCTGCAGCAATGACAGTGAATAGATACTACTTAAGATAAATTACACTAAAGAGAAGACCCAATTCCTTATCTTCCTGAGCACATTTCTAAACTACGTTCCTCAGCTCTCACATCCAGGTGAGCACGTGACTAGCAGTTGCCAAAGAATGTGAGATAAACCCATTTCCAAGCTTGACCCTGCAAGATTCTCCATGTTCTCTCTTCTCTCATTTGCTGGCTAGGTACAAAGGATACAGTAGAAGATTCCAAGACCCTGGGAAATAGCAGTGTGACCTAGTGGAAGAGGCCTGGGTCTCTGAATGACGGTGTGGAAAAGACCTCCCTCATCTACCTGCATTGGACTGTGAAGTGAGCAAGAAGTAAACTTCTATTCTGTTAAGCCACTCAAATTTTAGAATCACATGTTATAACAGTTAGTCAGCCCTAATTAATATGTACACTATATACAAAGGCCAAACTAGCCATGAAAATCTGATAATTAATTTGAACTGACCACATTTGGGGAAAGAAGCAACTGTTAGATACCTACGGCTGCATTTAGTGTAAAGCTGAAGCATAATGCAACAAACACTCTTAGCTGAGCTTTTCCCAAACTGGTCCTCATCAAAACAGAACTCAACAGGATTGTGAATAAAAGTTCTGTGCCCAAATTAGTTTGAGAAATGCTGATAAAGAAAGTTAAAAAGGTTTCTTTGCTTTAGATCATCTCAGAGCTATCAATATACCAACACCCATTGTGGATCTGTATAAAAAGACTAAAGAATGTAGCATTTCCCAAACTTATTTAGTCAATAAATAATTTAACCAATAAATTTAAGATCTACTTCCCCCTCCCACCATGGCAACACCCATAGCAACCTCCCAGAGCCATGCTCTGTAGAACACATTCTGGGAAATTTTGCTTTAGCTTCATTTACATCATATGGTGAATTATTCAGCACCAAACAGTTCTAGGCACCCCAAAGCAAGTATGATTCTCTCATTAAGGGAAGATTTTTCTTGTAAAAAGACTAACATGTTCAAATACCATCGAAACCACCCAAGAGTTTTCATTGCTGAAGTGAACCAAGTTCTCTAAGAAAGGTATTTTACTTAAAATGTGACTGAAATGAAAATGGTCAGCTTCTGTTTTTTCCTTTGTATCCCAGTCTGCTGTCAGTGGAGCCTGTAATATTTAAAGATGGAGTATATGCTTATGTTTTAAGGAGAAGACATTGAATCTATGGAACAAAACAATGTTAAATATGAAATGTGTGTGGGAATACAGCCTATTGCAAAGTATCTCATTTGCTTTTCTCTCTCCTATACTCATGCTGGAGGTATAATGTTTTAAAGTAATGTGCAAAGCAATAAAAAGTAATCACAGCTAACCTCAATGGATTCTTTTAACAGAAATACAAGATAATTCAGTAAAGTAGGATTGTACTCTACTCTTTTTTAAAACTCACATACCACTTGCATGCATTATGTACATATAATTTATAAATATAAAGATATATAAATTTTTTCCCATTGTAGCCTGCTAGGCTCTGTTGCATTTGTACTGTACATATACTGTATTTCTTTTTTCTTTGTTTTTGAGATGGAGTTTCGCTCTTGTTGCCCAGGCTGGAGTGCAATGGAGCGATCTCGGCTCACTGCAACCTCTGCCTCCTGGGTTCAAGCGATTCTCCTGCCTCAGCCTCCCGAGTAGCCAGGATTACAGGCATGCACCACCACAACTGGCTAATTTTGTATTTTTAGTAGAGATGGGGTTTCCCCATGTTGGTCAGGCTGGTCTCGAACTCCTGACCTCAGGTGATCCACCCGCCTTGGCCTCCCAAAGTGCTGGGATTACAGGCATGAGCCACGGTGCCCGGCCATATACTGTATTTCAATCATGAATTTTTGATGGATGATTTCCCACATTTCTCATAGGCTTAAGGCAACTGAAAAGAATTGTTATGATAGACATCTGAGAATTCATGTAAAGTAAAAAGGTATGCTAAATATTCAATTTCTTTTTTTTTTTTTTTGAGACAGAGTCTTGCTTTGTCACCCAGGCTGGAGTGCAGTGGTGTGATCTTGGCTCAGTGCAGCCTCCGCCTCCCGGGTTCAAGTGATTCTTGTGCCTCCGCCTCCTCAGCTCAGTCCTAACTGGGACTACAGGCATGCGCCACCACACCTGGCTAATTTTTGTATTTTTAGTAGAGACCACGTTTCACCATGTTGGCCAGGATGGTCTCAGTCTCCTGACCTCCTGATACGCCCGCCTCTGCCTCCCAAAGTGCTTGGACTACAGGCATGAGCCACCGTGCCCGGCCAATATTCAATTCACCAAAAAAGAAGAATAATAAAAAGACAGACTTACATCTAGTAGTGTGTGAAGATGCTGATCCTGGAAAACACTGTGTAGAAAATCTAGGTCCTTTTCACTGCAGTCTGTAAGCGCATGAATCTCTTCCAGGCTGTCCAGCACCTGTGAGACTGCTCCTAAGGGGGACAAACAGAAAAGAAACAGCCAGTATAGAAAGTCAATGTCAAACTAACTTTTTAAACCTAAATCTTACACTTAAGAACAATGAATTCATATCAGAACTTCAAAGGCTAGTGTCTTTACTGAAGGATAGACTTAAATGAGTTTCATATAATTTAAGGACACAGTATTTTCAGAGAGTTCATGTTCTTATTAATGTATTTGTGTGCTCTTCATTTTTCAGAGGAAACTGCAGCTTATCTTCTTTGAATTAATGAAATTTATCAAGTATAACCTAAGCACTAGAAGATCTGGACACAGCAAGTTTTATGTCAGGAAGAGAGTATGGGTTTCAGGACTCCAAGATGTTCTGAAATATTATAGAAACGAGGTTGGCCTTTTACCCAGGTGCATTCCATCAAGAACTGAAGGTAAAGCCAGCTGTAGATACAGGGAACAGACCTTCAACTGGGAACTCCTGCTGCTTAAAATAGGCTTCTTAGTTTTTAAGACTTGAACTTTAGTTAACAAAAATCCCAGTCCACTCCTTTTTTTTTCCTTTACATACAGACTCAAGAGATCCAAAGTCATTCTCATTCTGTTTTACTCTTACCCTTCTTACTCAGAAGATAAAGACAAAGTATAGGGACGCTGACTGACACTTCCAAATACCATATTAAATTTCAAGGCAAATCATTTTTGTAGGGCAAAGCAAATGGAAGTGCCATCACTTTAAGTTTCTTCTCATAACCAGGAAACCAGGCAGATGTCAGTAGGGAAAGATACACAATGAGGAGTAACAAAGCCATTTACACAGCCTTAAAAAAAAGATCAGCCTCTTTTACATTGCAGGCAATATGCAGAATACACATATATACTCCACAAAAAAAGAGCTCCAAGGAGCTAAGCTTCAGAACATTAGTACACAGTAGAGAAACTCTAAGAATAAGTGTCTCATTGCACATTTAAGTCTTTGGATCAGTGGTTCTCAACCAGGGGCAATTTTGTTACCCAGGTGGACATTTCCCAATGTTTAGAGATATTTTTGGTTGTTACAACTACAGCGGGAGGGCAGCTATTGCTATCTAGTGGGTAGAGGTCAGGGATGCTGCTAAACATCCTACAATACCCAGGACAGCCCCCACAACAAAGAATTATCTGGCCCAAAATGTCAGTAGTGCTGTGGTTGAGAAATTATATTTTTGATAAAGATAAAAATCTTTATGCTCCAGAACTCTGTTTCTAATTCTTCCTGACTTAGACCTTATCCATTCTCATGCAATTATTGGTGAGAATATATATCAGTACCACTTTTCCAGAAAGCAATCTGGTAACATATATCAAAAAGCCTTAAAAATGTTCATGCACTTCGATTTAGTAATTCCATTTACAAAAACCCACCTTAAGGAAAAAAATGGAAGATTTATATATAATGATATTATCATACAAAATGGAAAATAAATCTAATAGAGGATGATTACGTAGGTTATAGAATATCCATATAATGGAATATGTAGCCAAATGAAAATTGTTTTTGAAGAATTTCAAAGACACAGAGAAATCTTCATGATATAGAATTCAAGAAAGCAGCTCTCCCTCTCCCTCTCCCTCTCCCTCTCTCTCTCCCTCTCCCTCTCTCTCTCCCTCTCCCTCTCTCTCTCCCTCTCCCTCTCTCTCTCCCTCTCCCTCTCCCCACGGTCTCCCTCTCCCTCTCTTTCCACGGTCTCCCTCTGATGCCGAGCCGAAGCTGGACTGTACTGCTGCCAACTCGGCTCACTGCAACCTCCCTGCCTGATTCTCCTGCCTTAGCCTGCCGAGTGCCTGCGATTGCAGGCGCGCGCCGCCACGCCTGACTGGTTTTCGTATTTTTTTGGTGGAGACGGGGTTTCGCTGTGTTGGCCGGGCTGGTCTCCAGCTCCTAACCGCGAGTGATCCGCCAGCCTCGGCCTCCCGAGGTGCCGGGATTGCAGATGGAGTCTGGTTCACTCAGTGCTCAATGGTGCCCAGGCTGGAGTGCAGTGGCGTGATCTCGGCTCGCTACAACCTCCACCTCCCAGCCGCCTGCCTTGGCCTCCCAAAGTGCCGAGAGTGCAGCCTCTGCCCGGCCGCCACCCCGTCTGGGAAGTGAGGAGCGTCTCTGCCTGGCTGCCCATCGTCTGGGACGTGAGGAGCCCCTCTGCCTGGCTTGCCCAGTCTGGAAAGTGAGGAGCATCTCTGCCCCGCCGCCATCCCATCTAGGAAGTGAGGAGCGTCTCTGCCTGGCCGCCCATCGTCTGAGATGTGGGGAGCGCCTCTGCCCCGCCGCCCCGTCTGGGAGGTGAGGAGCGTCTCTGCCCAGCCGCCCCGTCTGAGAAGTGAGGAGACCCTCCGCCCGGCAACCGCCCCGTCTGAGAAGTGAGGAGCCCCTCCGCCCGGCAGCCGCCCCGTCTGAGAAGTGAGGAGCCCCTCCGCCCGGCAGCCACCCCATCTGGGAAGTGAGGAGCGTCTCCGCCCGGCAGCCACCCCGTCCGGGAAGGAGGTGGGGGTCAGCCCCCCGCCCGGCCAGCCGCCCCGTCCGGGAGGTGAGGGGCGCCTCTGCCCAGCCGCCCCTACTGGGAAGTGAGGAGCCCCTCTGCCCGGCCAGCCGCCCCGTCCGGGAGGGAGGTGGGGGGGTCAGACCCCCGCCCGGCCAGCCGCCCCGTCCGGGAGGGAGGTGGGGGGGTCAGCTCCCCGCCCGGCCAGCCACCCCGTCCGGGAGGGAGGTGGGGGGGGGTCAACCCCCCGCCCGGCCAGCCGCCCCGTCTGGAAGCTGAGGGGCGCCTCTGCCTGGCCGCCCCTACTGGGAAGTGAGGAGCCCCTCTGCCTGGCCAGCCGCCCCGTCCGGGAGGGAGGTGGGGGGGTCAGCCCCCCGCCCGGCCAGCCGCCCCATCCGGGAGGTGAGGGGCGCCTCTGCCTGGCCGCCCCTACTGGGAAGTGAGGAGCCCCTCTGCCTGGCCAGCCGCCCCGTCCGGGAGGGAGGTGGGGGGGTCAGCCCCCCGCCTGGCCAGCTGCCCCGTCTGGGAGGTGAGGGGCGCCTCTGCCCGGCCGCCCCTACTGGGAAGTGAGGAGCCCCTCTGCCCGGCCACCACCCCGTCTGGGAGGTGTACCCAACAGCTCATTGAGAACAGGCCATGATGACAATGGCGGTTTTGTGGAATGGAAAGGGGGGAAAGGTGGGGAAAAGATTGAGAAATCGGATGGTTGCCGTGTCTGTGTAGAAAGAAGTAGACATGGGAGACTTTTCATTTTGTTCTGTACTAAGAAAAATTCTTCTGCCTTGGGATCCTCTTGATCTGTGACCTTACCCCCAACCCTGTGCTCTCTGAAACATGTGCTGTGTCCACTCAGGGTTAAATGGATTAAGGGCGGTGCAAGATGTGCTTTGTTAAACAGATGCTTGAAGGCAGCATGCTCGTTAAGAGTCATCACCACTCCCTAATCTCAAGTACCCAGGGACACAAACACTGCGGAAGGCCGCAGGGTCCTCTGCCTAGGAAAACCAGAGACCTTTGTTCACTTGTTTATCTGCTGACCTTCCCTCCACTATTGTCCTGTGACCCTGCCAAATCCCCCTCTGCGAGAAACACCCAAGAATGATCAATTAAAAAAAAAAAAAAAAAAAAGAATTCAAGAAAGCAGAATGCAAAACTAAATAAACTGTATATTCCCAGTTACGATAAAAAACCAAACAAAACATATATGCAAACTCCGGAAAAACAAAAAACAGAATGAAACACAGCAAAAGTGTTACAGTTGTTATCTTTACTGTCCTATTTCTATTTCATTCTGTTCTTATCCATACTTTCCAAGTTTTTCTACAATAGCAAAACAAAACAAAATGCTATATAAGCTACTGATTTTTGTAGCTCTATTTAATTATGTTAAAGATTTGGGTCTTAAGCCACATACTGTGTGGCTGTCCACGTGGAAATTACTGTAGCTATTTTTTAAAATTTGACTTTTTATTTTGAGATAATTGTAGATTCACATGCAGTTGTAAAAGAAAATAACATAAAGGTCTCATGTGCCCTTTACCCAGTTTCCTCCAATAGTAACATCTTGCAAAACTGTAGTACAATATCACAACCTGGATATTGACATTGATACAGTCGAGCTATAAAACATTCCATTACCACAAGGATCCCTCATACTGCCTTTTTATAGCCATGCTCATTCCCCTCCTACCCTATCCCCTCCTAACCTGTGGCAACTACTCATCTGTTCTCCATTTCTACAATTTTGTCATTTTGATAATAAATGAGGCTCCTATTCTGGGCATACTGCCTATGGGGTAGCCCTGGTCTGCAAGGAGGAGTCCCTCTAAAAATTAAAAAATAAAATAAAATAAAATAAAAAGAATAAATGAAATCATACAGTATGTAACCTTTTGGGACTGCATTTTTTCACTTAGCATAATTATCTGGGGCTTCATCCAGGTTGTTGTGTGGATGTACCAGTTTGTTTGACCATTCGTCTGTTGAAGGAACTATGGATAATTTTTTTTTTTTTTTTTGAGATAGAGTCTCGTTCTGTTGCCCAGGCTGGAGTGTAGTGGCATGATCTTGGCTCACTGTAACCTCTGCCTCCCAGGTTCAAGCGATTCTCCTGCCTCAGCATCCTGAGTAGCGGGGATTACAGGTGCGTGCCAACACGCCCAGCTAATTTTGTATTTTTAGTAGAGACGGGGTTTCACCATGTTGGTCAGGTTGGTCTCAAACTCCTAACCTCGTGATCTGCCCGCCTTGGCCTCCCAAAGTGCTGGGATTACAGGCGTGAGCCACTGCGCCTGGCCTGGATAATTTTTTTTTCTGAGGCAGGGTCTTGCTCTGTTGCCCAGGTTGGAGTGCAGTGGCACAATCTCGGCTCACTGCAACC
Organism: Homo sapiens; assembly: GCF_000001405.40. Taxonomy (NCBI): domain Eukaryota; kingdom Metazoa; phylum Chordata; class Mammalia; order Primates; family Hominidae; genus Homo; species Homo sapiens. Next base: position 41,614,902 of record NC_000023.11, read on the forward strand.
TCGACCTCCTGTGCTCAAGTGATCCTCCCACCTCAGCCCCCAGAGTAGCTGGGACCACTACACCCATCTAAGTTTTGTATTTTTTATAGAGATGGGGTTTTGTCATGTTGCCCAGGCTGGTCTTGGACTCCTGAGCTAAAGCGATCCTTCTGCCTTGAGCTCCCAAAGTGCTGGGATTACAGGTGTGAGCCACCATGCCCGGCTGGATAATATTAAATTTTGAATTATGCCTGCCAGGCTATTGGTATCCTTTCACTGAAAACATTAAGTGGATATTAAGTGGGATAAAAGAGATAAATGGCAGAAATCAGTCCTCATCTCCTCTGTTATTCCTAAAGAGGTATTAACCCAATCCACTTCCTTCTACCTGATCTTCTCAGGATTTACTTTGTTCAGAGTGCCCCCCCCTCCATCAAAAAATCTGGAAATTAGTTAAAAGCCAATTTTCTCTTCATCCTTTACTGAAAGCCTTGGAAAGCAAGAGATGATGTGAAGAAATTAGTCCCAAATGTCCCACTGAACCCCTGACCCCAGCATGTCATCAACAACAGAATTAAATGATGCTAGGTTTATCAAGTTACTAAAGCCAGTTCTAAACTTCTGGACTTATGAAACCACAATAACAAAAATACTAATCAAGTGCCTTTTTTGTATATTAAAAAATTCAGCTGATACCACAGAAACCTAATTATCATCTTCACTCAGTTATCTTACTGAAATCTTACTGAGTTTTTTTTTTCTTTTTTTTTGAGACAGAGTCTCACTCTGTCACCCAGACTGGAGTACAACGGCATGATCTCAGCTCACTGCAACCTCTGCCTCCTGGGTTCAAGCGATTCTCGTGCCTCAGCCACCCAAGCAGCTGGGACTACAGGTTACCACGCCCAGCTAATTTTTGTATTTTTAGTAGAGACGGGGTTTCACCATGTCGGCCAGGCTGGTCTCGAACTCCTGGGCTCAAGTGATCCGCCTGCCTCAGCCTCCCAAAGTGCCGGGACTACAGGCCTGAGCCACTGTGCTCGGCCTTTTACCAGCATTGCTCATGCTGATATACAGTTTATGTAGCAGTTTATTAATAATATAAGATTAAAGCAAAAACAACCTTTTATCAAGTGAATACTAAGATGGTCAGTCTCAAGACCAGGAAGCAATTTTGGCTGTACCAGACCAGGGATGTATCATTTGTTGGTCTGTGAACTTCCCAAGTGCTCCATGCCATTCCTGTACCACCAGCGCACTCCATGAGTTACTTATGTGCGTGCTTGTTCACTCTTTTTTTCCCTTAGCTGTAAGGTCCTTAAGGCAGCTCTTTATTTTATTCATTTTATAATATCTACAAAGTATGCACTGAATTAAGTACTTAAGGAAACACTAACAGCAGCTCCCAATTCTTGAGTGTTTATTATGTTCCAGGAACATCCTCAGGACAACACAGTAAGGCAGATATATTATCCCACCTTCTAGATAGGGAACTGAGCTTCAGAAGGTTCATGGAAGGGCATAACTAGTAAATGGTGGAGCCAGGACTCAATCCTGGGTTTGTTTGGCTTCAAAGTCTATGTTTTGCCTAACTTACTACACTAATAGGCTATGCTAGGAAACATACAGGAAACCTTCAACAAGAAGTTGTGTGGTTTATGCATGAATATGGAGGTTGGAAAAGAACTTGAACAATGCCCTATTGGGTCAGACAATAACCAAAATCTTTTTTTTTTTTTTTTCCTGAGACAGAGTTTCACTCAGTTGCCCAGGCTGGCATACAGTGGCATGATTTCAGCTCACTGCAACCTCCGCCTCCTGGGTTCAAGCAATTCTCCTGCTTCAGCCTTCCAAGTAGCTGGGATTACAGGCACACACCACCACACCCAGCTAATTTTTTGTGTTTTTAGTAGAGACGGGGTTTCACCATGTTGGCCAGGCTGGTCTTGAACTCCTGACCTCGAGTGATCCGCCTGCCTAGGCCTCCCAAAGTGTTGGGATTACTGGCGTGAGCCACAGCGCCTGGCCCCAAAATCTTTATTGAATATTCCTGCTTTTTGCTAGGTACTAGGCAAGGGCTTCAGAGAAATCAGAGATATGATCACCGGCCCTGAGGAAGGGGCTCTCAGACTGGTGTGTGAAGTAGGCATATTATACCCTGAAGTAAACGGTATAGAAGAGGTAAAAACAAACTGACACACAGGCTGCCTAGGGAGGAGTTGGGGAGCCGCAGAGAGGTGGATGAGCAGGAATTCACCACCCCCACACAGGATCAAAGCTGTGTTGACAGGACCAGCAGATACTTTGCTGGAAAGCACAAAGGCATCTGTTAGCAGGCATTTAAAGTAGGCAAGAGCCACAATTCCAACAGGTCTATTAAACCTCCTTGGATCTGTCACCTCTTCTGAACTGATTTATAGTCTTATCTTGTACCCAAATATGATTAACTTGATGGGTTCTCAATCATGAAAAGAAGCACTTCCCTAGTTGTACTCAAGTTGTCTATTTCAAGCTCTGAAAAGTGCCCCTATTTTTAAGTTTCTGTAATTAGGTAGAAAAATTAGAGTTTTTATTCCATTTCTCCTTCATCTTTTCAAATGGAATAAATACATATTTTTGGCTTAACCTCAAAATCTGTCTTCACCCTTGATTATTTTAACACCTTCCATTAACACCTGTTCTAGTTCCGTTATTTCTTTCTTTGGGTATGACAAACAGAACCACAGAACACATTCTTGGTTGGATAGATGTGTGTATAATTGATATCTGTAGTTCAGTACCAACCATCTAAAAATCCCATGGTGTTTCAATTCATTATAAGATATAAATAGACACAAAGACACTTCTCGGGCTTCTCCATTGCTATTTGTTTTAGATTTTAAACCCCGAGGCAGTAGTGATTATTAATATAACACATGCAGCACATGCTAATTAAGATGTTACTAGTTTTCATTTTGAAGATCAATACTGTCACATATAAAATAACTATTTTTCTCAAAGACTAAAAAGGCTGTTTTTCCTATAAAACCTCTGAATAAACTTGTAACTATCTTGAAAACAAAATCAATCAATAAAAAGTACACAAGTTCACCTCAGAGGGCAGTTGATTTAACGGCAGGACTGTAGGTATCCTATTTACCTCTGTATTCTGGGGTGTACTTTGCAGAGTCCTTTGTACCAAGACACTTCATAAAATGGCCTGATTAAAATGATTTTTTTCTGAGTAAATTCTGAAGAATTGAAAACAAAGTATGAGAAAGACTTAACCACAGAAAACAATTTCTTTTATAGTACTGTTTCCTTAAAGCCACATTTGAAATTATTTTAATACTTATATTTGTATTAACAGCTTATAATTTCCAAAGTGCTTTTATACTTACTACCTTATGTGATTCCACAATAACCCTGTCTCTGCAGGCAAGTGTTTTTTTTGTTTTGAGACAGGATCTTGCTCTGTTGCCTAGGCTGGAGTGTAGTGGCGTGATCCTGGCTCACTGCAGCCTCGACCTTCTGGGCTTGAGCAATCCTTCCACCTCAGCCTTCCAAACAGGTGGGACTACAGGCACGCTACCATGCCTGGCTAATTTTTTAAAAAGTTTTTTGTAGAGTTGGGGGTCTCTCTCTGTTGCCCAGGCTATTCTCAAATTCCTGGGCTCAAGCAATCCTCCCGCCTCAGCCTCCCAAAGTGCTGGGATTATAGGCATTGAGCCACCATGCTTGGTCAGCAAGTGTTTTTATATTTGAAAAACCAGAGGCTCAGTAGGGTTAAATAACCTTTCCAAGGGCCACAGGCAATAAGCAGAAGATCAAATCCTAGAACCCAGGTCTCACTCCTAATTCAGTGTTCCTTCCATAATAGACTGTCCCCCACCCACAAAATCATGTTTTATCCTCAGCAATGCATCAGAATGATTTGCATTTGGTAATGAGGTGATGTCCAATTTCTTTTTTTTTTTTTTTTTTTGAGACAGAGTCTCACTCTGTCGCCCAGGCTGGAGGGCGGTGGTGTGATCTCGGCTCACTGCAAGCTCCGCCTCCTGGGTTCATGCCATTCTCCTGCCTCAGCCTCCCGAGTAGCTGGGACTACGGGCACCCGCCACCACACCTGGCTAATTTTTTTTTTGTATTTTTAGTAGAGAGGGGGTTTCACCGTGTTAGCCAGGATGGTCTCAAACTCCTGACCTCGTGATCCACCCGCCTTGGCCTCCCAAAGTGCTGGGATTACAGGCGTGATGCCTAATTTCTGTTCTCTCTTTAATCTCAATTTGATTTACCATATAAGGTTTTTTCCTAGCCCTTGGTCCAAACTTCCACATTCATGAACTTATTAGATACTATAATGCCCTGCCTTCAGAATAGTATTTTGTTTTCATAATTCATTTGGCAATAAAGTTTGTATCTAAAAATCAGGTTTATAATCATACTTTTTTTTTTTTTAAATAGAGATGGGATCTCACTATGTTGTGCAGGCTGATCTCAATCTCCTGGCCTCAAGCAATCCTCCCACCCCAGCCTCTCAAAGTGCTGGCAAGGCATGAGCCACCATGACTGGCCTGCACATTTTAACTTTGAATACTTCTACTTTTTCAAATAATCTCACCAGTACAAACAAGTTTTTCAAAAGTTTTCTGCTACTATTATGAAATAATAGTCAAAAAAAGCATAAATATGTCAACTGTTTAAAAAATGTTTCTATTTCTTTAAAGAGAAATATGCTTTTAAGGTCAATAAAAGCTTTGAGTCTAGAATAATCTCATTACGAGAGTGGAAGTCTCATAAAAAGGTTGACCAAGTAAAAATAAACCAAAAGGAGGACAGAAAAATAAACAGTCAAATGTTTAGACTAAAAAGTTCTCAGTGTTAAAGTAGGCTGAGTATGTCTTAAAAGTTTTTCCCCTTACATTTTACTACGAAAAGCTTCAAACATACAGAAAGTTTGAAAGAATCGTGCCCACCACCTAGATCCTACATATGTTGACAGTTTGCTGTATTTGCTTTATCACATGTCTACCCATCTATCCATCAGTTCACGTATTTTTCATTCATTTCAAATTAAATGGCAGTGGCCAGCATTAGTACACTTCACCCTTAAAGACTTCAGCAAAGATTGCAATGCTTATTTTTCTCTCTGAGGTAAAATTTACATAGAATGAAATACACAAATCTTAAGTGTACCATTCAATGAGTTTTGATATACCCAAGTTTTCACTGTAATTGTTTCAATAAAGATTTGTGTATTTCTTTTTTTTTTAAATAGTACAAACTTTATTCATAAATAAAACTTCATAAAGATAAAAGCAGGGACATTTCCTGTTTTTAAAAGGGAATAGTGGAAGGCAGTATGCCATCTTATTTAAAATCACAAGTTAGGTTTTTCAGATGGATGACAGTTGAGATCATTAAATCCCATTCCTGCTTCTCAGATTTTCACAAAATAACACATTAAATTCTCAATGTGTGTGTATTTCTTAATTTACAATGTATAGCTATGAAACTCAGCATCACTGAGCAAATCTAGAATCTGAACCTAGCCTAGCTTCTTCTAAGAGTAATCAATACCTTTTCTATTATATTAGCGATCAATTAATACATTGTATTACTACACACACACATTATCACCTACTCAATCAAAGCCCCTCCTTGCAAGCACAATACTTTTTAAAAAAAATCTGCTTACTAAGGTATACTGTTTTAAGTTAAAAGTCGCCATTTAAGTGTACACTGTCATCACTTCAAAAAAGTTCTCTCTTGTCCCTTTGCAGCCAATCTCTTCCCTCTATCACCACACCCTGTTCAACACTTTTTATTCCCACTGCACAAAGCAAATTCTTTGTTATCAATCAAGTTATAAGCAATAATGAATCCTGTAATGGAAACTGTATTTTGGACATAAGCATCTGTGCCATATCCAACTCAAGTTATGAGAACTTACATATGGTGATACATGCTTTAGATTCTCCATATGTGGATTATGGTACAGATACCTTGAAATTTATTAAAGGAAGTAAACTCTGCATATGTATTCTGTCAGCGTATAGATGTTATAATCTCTAATGCCATTATGATTATTAAAATAGTTTATGCTTCCATATAGAAACATCTTCGAGCACAGATTTTTCAAAGTACTTTAATAACATTCTGCTATTAAGTACCCACTCGTGTAAAGCTTTACAACTAAGGAAAATCACTACTGATACATCCAAGATGCCCATTCTCAAATAACATGACAGGTTGGCTGATTTAAAAAAAAAAAAAAGAGGAGCGCTAAATCTAGACGGGAAGAATCTTACATTTTAATAGTTATTAATTTGTACGTGGTGGGCAGCCTCTAAGATGGGCCCCAGTAACCTGGTCTCCTGGTATTTCCAGCCTTGTGTAATCAGTCCCCTCCCCTGGAGTGCAGGCTGGACTTACTGACTCATTTCTAATGAACAGAATAGTGCAGAAGTGATAAGACGTCACTATGAGATTAGGCTGTAAAGACTGTGTCTTCAGTCTTGGGCACTGTCTCTCACTTTTGCCCCCCTCTTTTATCTTTCGTGCTGGGAAGTGAGCTGCCATGCTGTGAACAGCCAGCCCTGTGAAGAGGACCACAGCCAGTAAGGAACCGAAGCCTGGCAACAACCATGTGAGTGAGCTTGGAAGAGGATTCCTCCTGCAGTTGTGCCTTCCGGTGAGATAGCAGCACTGGACCACAATCTCATGAGAGATCTTGAGCCAGAGGCACACAGCTAAGCCACGCCCAGATTCCTGACCCACAGGAACTGTGAGATGACAACTGCTGTTTTAAGGTAATTCATTACCCAACAATAGGTAACTAATATACTATAAGATTTATATTAAATCAGCTGCAATTTGAGCTACAGATAACTAATGTAAGAAAATGTGAAAATGAATTCAATCATTAGTACCCAGGCTTTCTCATTTATCTTTGAGGTAAAGGTTTATTTTTTTAATTAGAATTTTTATTGAGATAATTGTAGATTCACATGCACTTGTAAGAAATAATACAGAGAGATCCCTTGTATTCTTTGCTCAGTTCCCCCATTGGTAACATTTTACAAAACGATAGTATATTATCATAACCAGAATACTGACATTGATACAATCCACCCATCTTATTCAGATTGCCTCAGTTTTACATGTACTCAACTGTGTGTACATTTCTTACATTTTAATTTTCTCCCAAACTCAAATTATGCCCCTTTGTAATTAAAATCTAGCTATTACATTATTCCTTATAAATGTTCTATCTGATGGTAAAAGTTGTTAAGAGATATGATTTCAGAATTTATTTCACAGGTCCAAATAAACTGAAAATGGACTCAGTAACAGGAAGCAATAAAGACCACTTACAGGTGATGTAATTGTCAAAGAAAAATTCACTTACCCTGAAAGTTTTCTTGAAAGCAAACTCTAAAATAAATGTTACTCTTTCCCCAGAATTAATGTATTCGTATGTGAAATTCAGATGTGAAGTATTAAATGCCGTTGAAATTTTAACACTGTCTTTTTTCCTCTTATGAAAGAAGTGAGAACTTAATATTGTTTGTGCAACAATGCCTCAAAAATCAATATATCCAAGTTTTAATTTTATGACCAGGCAGTGTTAAAATTAATACTTAAACAACTACACACAAACAGCCAAGGAAAAAGTCAAGCTGATTACGAACCATGCAAAGCCAAACACTTTTGCATAAAAGATACACCTTAAAGGAAAACAAAGGGATACCTACTTTCTGCTGCTAGAAGTCCTAGGAGGAAGGCAGCATATGGACAAACAACAAACAGTATGATTTTAGAACAAGCAGGTTATCAAGCCACAGTTCGGCCCACTACATGAGCCACCAGAAGCATGGTCCCCCAGCTGACCCCAAAGTGAGCCCTCATGTTCCATGAGTACAATCACTGGAACTGTTTGGGATTTCAGACATCAAACGTTGGGTTCTGATTCTGAATTACTTGATTTGAAATATGAGAAAAGAATATTTCAACATTGATTTTTTTTTTTTTTTTTTGAGATGGGGTCTCACTCTACCACCCAGGCTGGAGTACAGTGGTGCAATCTCAGCTCATTGCAAACTCTGCCTCCTGGGCTCAAGTGATCCTCCTACCTCAGCCCTGGCTCCCTACCCTCCTGGTAGCTAGGACTACAGGCACATGCCATCACGCCCAGCTAATTTTTGTATTTTTAGTAGAGACGGGGTTTCGCCATTTTGGCCAGGCTGGTCTCGAACTCCTGACCTCAAGTGATCCACCCACTTCCACCTCCCAAAGTACTGGGATTACAGGAGTGATCCACCGTGCCCAGCCCCACTTCAAGCAATACACAGTTCATCATAAGATTAAATGAATTCTAGTAAATGCATAATGTATGAATTTCAATAATCAAAATAGAAAATTATCATTTATAGAAAAATTGTTTTACATCGTAAACAATATACCTAAACATGTTTGACTTCTTATTAGATGACAAGTTTTTAAACTGTTATTTTAAATATTCATATTTTCCTAAATGCATAGAGTATTACTCTTTTTATTTTCCTTTCCTTTTGTTTTTGAGATGGAGTCTTGCTCTGTCACCCAGGCTGGAGTGCAGTGGCACGATCTCGGCTCATTGCAACCTCCGTGTCCTGGGTTCAAGCAATTCTCTTGCCTCAGGTGGATTACAGGCGCGTGGCCATCATGCCTGGCTAATTTTTGTATTTTTAGTAGAGATGGGGGTTTCACCATGTTGGCCAGGCTGGTCTCAAACTCCTGACCTCAAGTGATCCACCCACCTCGGCCTCCCAAAGTGCTGGGATTACAGGCATGAGCCACTGTGCCTGGCCCCTTTTCTTTTTTTTGAGACAGAGTTTTGTTCTGTCATCCAGTTTTGAGTACAGTGATGCACTCACGGCTTACTGCAGCCTTGACCTCTTGGGCTCAAGTGATCCTCCTGCCTCAGCCTCCCTAGTAGCTGGGACCACAGGTGTGTGCTACCACGCTTGGCTAATATTTTGACTTCTTACAAAGTAGAGGGTCTCCCTATGTTGCCCAGGCTGGTCACAAACTCTTAGGCTCAAGCAATCCTCCTGCCTTGGCTTCTGAAACTGTTGGGATTACAGGCATGAGCCACCATGCCCAGCCTTTAGCTCCATTTCTAAAGATGAAAATGGTAGTAGAGATCTTGACCTAAAATCTCAAAGAGATTTATCCTAAATATATTATAAGCATGTGATTATATCATACAGCCACAGTATGACAATACAAACCATTACTGGATCCACTCCCCTTAAATAGGGTCCACTGTAATCTGAGTGTGAGGAGAGAAGACAGAGGTTTCAGCTAACAAAAGAAGTTACAGGTGGAGGGAACAAAATGGAGTGGAAGAAAAGACAGACGTGAAACAATAAGAAGCACTGGGGACCACACCTATAAACACAACTAGATCCCTGCCTTTCATGTGGGAAGGGCTCTGGATAATGACCAAGTCAGCACAAGAGAAAAATGGCAAGGCTTTCTCCTCAGTCTCTTCTCTAAGATTCCCATTTCTGAATGTTTTTGGAAATCACCTTCACTCAAAAGAGGAAGATTCACATCCTAATTGGTAAAGGTCAAAATGAGGAACTGTATAACTGCTGGAATGGGAAAGTTGATCTTGTCATTTTAAAAAAGTTCTAAATTTTTGTGGGTACATAGTATACATTTATGGGGTACAGGAGACATTTTGATATGGGCATAATGATCACATCATGGTAAATGGGGTATCCATCACCTCAAGATCTTGTCATTTTGCACAAGGTACAAGCACATACTAATTGGTAAGAAATTGTGTGTGTGTGTATGTGAATGTGTAGGTGCACACACATGTATAAACAGAGGAGAGGAGAAGCATAAATACTGACAGATGCTCATGGTACCAACAGGAAAGAAGCATTAGCACATTAATTCTTCCTATATTACTAACTGTGGGACAGAAACCTCAGGCTTTAGGAAGGGCCCAGGGCCTCAGTCCCAGTGGTAATATATGAATATTGATGAAGCTAGTCCAAGAGTACAAAAATCAAAGATGACAAATATGGAGTGGCTCTAATGAAAGAAAGAAAAAAAGCTGAGGCCAGAGGACACATGATTCAGGAGTTAAGTAAATAAAAAATGCATAAATAAAAATTTAGAACACACACACACACGCATTTACATATACATATAAATGGACCCTATGGGTTTTTAGTAAATGATTCTTGAGAATATTACACTGGTAAGATGGAAATCTGAGCATTTTATAAAATGGTTTTGGTTTTTTATTTTTTTATCTCTTAATTTTTTTTTTTTTTTTTTTTTGAGACGGAGTCTCACTCTGTCGCCCAGGCTGGAGTGCAGTGGCGTGATCTCGGCTCACTGCAAGCTCTGCCTGCCGGGTTCACGCCAGTCTCCTGCCTCAGCCACCCGAGTAGCTGGGACTACAGGTGCCCACCACCACGCCCGGCTAATTTTTGTGTATTTCTAGTAGAGACAGGTTTTCACCGTGTTAGCCAGGATGGTCTTGATCTCCTGACCTCATCATCTGCCCGCCTCGGCCTCCCAAAGTGCTGGGATTACAGGCGTGAGCCACTGTGCCTGGCCTTTTATCTCTTAATTTTTAAGAGGCGAGGTCTCATTTTGTTGTCCAGGTTGGAGAGCAGTGGTGTGATCACAGCTCACTGCATCCTCAAACTCCTGAGCTCAGGTGATCCCCCTGAGCCGGGTGCCTCAGCCTCCTGAGTAGCTATGACTACACATGCACACCACTGCACTGGCTTATAAAATGATTTTGTGAACACTGGCAGGTTGTTTCAGGGGTACTTATATACAGTTCATCAAAACAAATAACTCTTCTGTGTTCTTCCCCTTTGGATACTTGTATGCATGTGTTACAGATTTTTTTTTTCTTTTTTTGAGATGGAGTCTCGCATTATCGCCCAGGCTGGAGTGCAGTGGCATGATCTCGGATCACTGCAACCTCCGCCTCCCGGGTCAAGTGATTCTCCTGCCTCAGCCTCCCAAGTAGCTGGGACTACAGGCGCAGGCCAGCACGCCTGGCTTTTTTTTTTTTTTTTTTTTTTTTTTGTATTTTTGTGTTTTTGCAGAGATGGGGTTTTGCCATGTTGGCCAGGCTGGTCTCGAACTCCTGACCTGAGGTGATCTGCCTGCCTTGGCCTCCCAAAGTGCTGGGATTACAGGCATGAGCCACCATGCCTGGCCGTGTTATAGATTTTTATACAGAAAGAAGAACTTGGTAACTGTTTCAGGAGATAACTCACAAGACAGCTCTACACTGAAAGATTCCATTCAAAGCAGTGCTGCCCACAGTCTGATCTAATACGACTGACCTGGGGAAAAGCTTATATTAGAAGTTTTTGTTGAGAGAGAAGGTAATCAGAAAGATCCCAAAAGACTGACTAGGATGTTGGATTGGATGGAGTGCAATGCTGGGTCTAGAGTGTGGAAAGGGGAAGAAGTATTACTGAGGTGAAAAGAAAAAAAAATGAAGTGTTGGTTTTGGAGCCACAGGAGAAAGCAACTTTGGTATTAAAATGAAAAGGAACAAGACACATGTAGACAGGATTTGGTTGCTGACAAACTTCCTTAGAATCCGTTGGAGGATTTAACTAAATGCACAGGAAAAGTTTATTCACAATGGGAGAGAATGGATGTAAATGCCAAATGACCCACACAGGTGAATAAGTGAATTATCCAATTACCTGAGGAGGTAGGGTCTTCGGAGAAATCTGGTAACTCTTCAGGGGGATCCCCATAGAATGAGTTGAATTTGTGACTTGACACAGCGGCTAGTACTGCACCCTAAAACAAAGAGATGAAAAAATAGATTATTAAAACAAATACACAAATATAAATAAGTTATTTAACAAATTATTTATCTTAAGGATTATCCATTAAGTCAAATATATAGGAGATGATGGCTAGAAGAGAGGTAGTTTTTAAATTATTTCAGATTCCTTGAAATAAATTACATATGCATATACCAGAATAACACTAATCGGGAATTGTAGAAGTATATGAAACCACTTACATCTTGAATTCAAACATGTAACACAGGATGGAATATTCTGCAGTTATTATAAAATGATGTTGTAGAAGGGTGTTTAGTGGAATGAAAAGATGTCTGTGATTAATTACATGAAAAAGGTTTAAAATCAATGTATATTATAATCTCATTTTTGGGTAAAAAAGTTAATATGGATATAAAAGACTGCATATACACCAGAATGTTATTAATTATCTCTGGGTGGTAGGATTATGTGTCATTTTTCTTTTTAAAATCTTTTTTCCCTCTTTTTGTTTTAACAATGACAATGTCTTACTTTTGTATAGTAATTCTCCATCAGGCCACACAACAGAATCAACTACATATGACTCTTTTAAGCTATATGCATAGCCTCCCCTTATTCCTAGTTGGAAATCACTGCCATTTGAGTGCATGACATCCCTTAGGACTGTAGAGTGGAAAAATGTTGGGAGTTACTGCTTCAGTAAATCATATTTATTTTATTTTTTATTTAAACAGCTTTAGGGGTACAAGTGGTTTTTGGTTACATGGATAAATGGTACAGTAGTGAAGTGTGGGCTTTTAGTGAATCTGTCTTCTGAGTAGTGTACAGTGTACCCAACAGGTGATTTTCTATCCCTTGCCCCTCCACCCTCCCCTATTCTGAGTCTCTAGTGTCCATTATACTACTCTGCATGCCTCTGTGTACCCATAGCTTAGTTCCCACTTATAAGGGAGAACATGTGGTATTTGGGAGTAAATCATTTAACCTCTCTAGGCTTTCTTATCTGTAAAGTAAGAATATGAAAACGGGCTGGACGCGGTGGCTCACGCCTGCAATCCCAGCACTTTGGGAGGCCGAGGCGGGTGGAACACCTGAGGTCGGGAGTTTGAGATCAGCCTGACCAACACGGAGAAACCCCGTCTCTACTAAAAATACAGAAAATTAGCCCGGCATGGTGGCGCATGCCTGTAATTTCAGCTACTTGGGAGGCTGAGGCAGGAGAATTGCTTGAACCCGGGAGGCAGAGGTTGCGGTGAGCCGAGATCGTGCCATTGCACTCCAGCCTGGGCAACAAAAGTGAAACTCCGTCTCAAAAAAGAAAAAAAAAGAATATTAAAATGGACTTATCTTACAGGATTGGCAAAAGTCATAATGTATTAATGAAAGTGCTTTGCAAATTGTAAAGCATTCTGTAAGTGCATATCATTACTAACTCTACTAATAAAGATCTAGAACATGAGCACAGCCTTTTGCTGGTCTATGTAGAATCACTCATTTAGTTAGTTTATCAAATCACCTAAGTAGTCTAAGTCTAAATTTTAAATATTAACTCTTGAATTTTTCTGGAAAGATAAAACTTGTTTGTGTTTAGGTATCTGCTAATATGAGAACATTATTATTATTTTTTTGAGACAGGGTCTCGCTCTGTTGCCCAGGCTGGAGTGCAATGGCACAATCTCGGCTCTTTGCAGTCTCAACCTCTCAGGCTCAAGTGATCCTCCCATCTCAGTCTCCCAAGTAGCTGGGACTACAGGCGTGTGCCACCATGCCTGGCTAACTTTTGTATTTTTTTGTAGAGATGGGGTTTCACCATGTTGCCCAGGCTGGTCCTGAACTCCTGCGCTCAAGTGATCCACCCACCTCGGCCTCCCAAAGTGCTGGGATTACTGGTGTGAGCCACTGCGCCTGGCCAGAAAACATTAATAAAATATATTTCCACAAAGTTTACTTACTGTAGAAAGGGAAGGGCAAAAAGAGAGAAGTGATATTGATGTTAACATTCCAGGTAACTTTTGAGATTTCTGAAAGTCTAAAGTTACGCATGAAAGGTTCTTATGCAGAATTATAGTTACCATGTTGAAAAAACAGTAGTGAATGTTGAGTTCTTCTTTTTATAAAAACTTATTTTACTTTACGTATTATACATGTTTCCTAAAAGCTGGGTGGGAATGGAATTTTTATATATCAAATCACGTTTCCCACACACGGAAACTAGGCTTTTAGAGATGCTTTATTTTTATTTCCAAATGAAGTACAACTGTATTTCTTAAGATGTTAGTTATACGCTTCAAGGCCTGTTCTTGCTACTATTGTCAAAGATCTGTAATAAATACCTATACTACTAGGAAAACAGTATCTAAAAGAGCCCTGAGATGCAAATGCTTTTGAAACAATAGTAGTATGCTTTAAATTTATCTGTCTTATGACTAGCAGTTTTGTTTACGTAGTTTGTTTTTTTTTTAAATAATAGAAACTGAGTCTCACTATATTGCTCAGGCTAGTCTCAAACTCTGGGGCTCAAGCACTCTTACGGCCTCAGCCTCCCAAAGTGCTGGGATTACAGGTGTAAGCCATGGTGCCCCACCTAATATTTAGTTGTCTGAACCCAGTGACTATAGATGGTTTAAATATTCAATGCAAGCCATTATGTAAAACAGCAACATCATTCTGAAATAGGTCACGGATTCATATAATTTTATTAGTTTGAGAATCAACCTTAGAGATTATTCATTCTAAGGGACTCATTTTGCAGACGAGAAAACTGAGGTCCAGAGAGGCTTAGCAACCTGTTAAGGTCTCTGTCAACTTAGAGACATAATGAAGAGTAGACATAATTGACATTCAATGACTACTCTCCCCAGTTCAAGGATTTCTACTATACTAGGGGTCAGCAATTTTTTTTCTGTAAATAATCAGACAGTAAGTATTTTAGGCTCTAAAGGTCATATGATCTCTTTTGCAACTACTCAGTTCTACCACTGTAGTGTGAAAGCAGCCATGGACAATATGCAAATTAATGTACTTTGCTATGTTCTAATAAAACTTTATATACAAGAATAGGCAGTGGGTTGGATTTGACCCCCAGGTCATAGTTTGCCAACCCCTGTATTACATTATTGCTACTGATTGCTAATAATGTAATATTGCTCATCGATAGCAATAATGTAATACAACAATTAAAAAATCAGATTTTATACAAGTAGTTCTTCAAACTTTCTGGTTTATTAAACCCTTGACAAAGAAGTTTTCTACCTGCTTTAATTTAGAAGGTATAATTTAGTATCTTTTAAGGGCGAAACATAATACTTTTGAGTTAATTAGACTATTCACAATCTGTTAAGATAAATAATATTAAAGTTGTAATTTTCTATCAAGCAAATTAACCTAGAAAGGAGAAGGCAGATTATAAATTCAGAGAAAAAGAGCACCACAAGTTTTTAATTTGTAGTTAAGAACTAGAAATAATTCTTAATCATAATTATAGTTTTCTTGAAATGTCAATATGTCAAACATCAAAATGGTATGCTTCTGGCTAGATGATTCTGTGTGGCATTTAAGGAAGTGGAAAACAAGAAAATGGTTAGGTCAGATTTCTGCTAAGTTTAACTACTGAATGCACTTAAGGAGGGAACAAAGTTATTGAGGAACACAAGAGCTGAACAAAGATGTATTGCTGACTTGAAGACAAAAACCAAAAACCGAATACTCCCTTTTTGGTATTTCCTGAGCTCAGAAACACGCATCATGAAGTTTGATAGGCACAATGGCAGAAGGGTACATTTTTAAACCTTAAATACAAAATACACAAGTATTGGATATAAAATAATTGGTTTTGTACCTAAATAACAAGGCAATACACAGTCATGGCAGGAGGGTACATTTTAAAACATCTAAATACAAAATATACAAGTATCAGATATAGAATAATTGGCTTTGTACCTAAATAACAAGGTAATATATAGTCATATTCCTGAGTGAACAGGGAAATATACTGAGGGGAGAAAGTGTATCACCAGAACATACCAATAGGAGTGTGACAAAGAAATTTGAAAGATAATCATCCTATTAGAATTCAGACGACTGAACTCAAAAGCCCTAAAAAGGGTGGAGAATTTGGAGAGGTTGAGGCTGAACAGAGATGACCAAAAGTCAAGAAAATCATTTCAAGGTAGAGATGTTAAAGAATTTGGGTTGATTATACTTAATAATTAGGTCCTAGATGATAATTAGGTGAGATGATTAATTAAATCAGAACTTTTGATATGTCTCCATATAGCCAAAACCAGAGTTATCATTCAGTTTAGTCAGCATAGCCTATACATATATAATACTCAAACATAACCTAAACATAGGTCTAAAACCTTTAATTTCATAATTTTCAGTCAGGATATATGACTAAAAGAGGCTGCAGTATTTTCTCTAGAGAAAATGAAAAATGAGACTTGTAAGTGTACTAGATATAGTTATATTTAAGAGTAATTGCACAGAATAGATATCTTAGAAATTCTTTTGGGTCTATGTAAAAGTATTTTATAGAGATGGTCTTAAATGTACATAATTTTCAAAATCTATTGCCCAACAGGAAGTAATATATTCTACATTTCAGAATCATAAACTGGTGGGACATGGTGGCTCACACTTGTAATCCCAGCACTTTGGGAGGCCAAGGTGGGAGGATTGCTTCAGTCCAGGAGTTTGAGACCAGCCTGGGCAACAGAGTGAGACCCTGTCTCAATTAAAAAAGAAAAAACAACATATATCTATATATGTATTTCTTTTCTTTTTTTGTTTTGAGATAGAATTTCGCTCTTGTTGCCCAGGCTGGAGTGCAATGGTGCAACCTTGGCTCACTGCAACCTCCGCCTCCCAGGTTCAAGCAATTCTCCTGCCTCAGCCTCCCGAGTAGCTGGGATTACAAACATGTGCCACCATGCCCAGCTAATTTTGTATTTTTTTTAGTAGAGATGGCGTTTCTCCATGTTGGTCAGGCTGGTCTCGAACTCCTGACCTCAGGTGATCCGCCCGCCTCAGCCTCTCAAAGTGCTGGGATTATAGGCGTGAGCCACCGTGCCTGGCCTATATATGTATTTCTTAAAAAAAATCACAAATTAATTGATTTGTAAAATCAATATGTAAGATCAAAATCACTTCACTTATTATTTGTGGAACTGTTCATACCAGAATATTTGCGGAACTGCTCATACCAGAATAAGTTTTCAGTTTTTAGAATTAAGGTCCCCACCCCGCTTATTTTTGAGACAGAGTCTTACTCTGTCACTCAGGCTGGAGTGCAGTGGTGTGATCACAGCTCACTGCAGCCTTGACCTCCCAGGCTCAAGTGATCCTCCCACCTCAGCCTTCCAAGTAGCTGGGACCACAGGCGTGTGCAACCACACCCGGCAAATTTTTTATTTTTGTAGAGCCGGGGTCTCCTTATGTTGCTCAGGCTCAAAGGTTACCTTTTGGATACCAGATTTAATGCTCTGATTAGCTGAAGCCCACAACGACTGCTATCTCAATTTACTGCCTTTGTACAAACCCTTACTACAGAGAGGACTGTATGTAAATGCTGGGTTTCATTACGGTACAAAGGTCTTTGATAAATCTTTAAGTTAGTTTTTGTTGAACTAACAGAAAGAAAATTGCCAAAAAATATCTATTATAGCTTCCTGGTTGACCTATCAAAAAGTGCTGCTTATGTATAAGCATTACTCTGCAGTTACCAAGACTCTATAGCAATACCATACAATAGAACTATCTGTGATGAAGGAAATTTTCTAAACCTGTGCTGTCTAATACAGTAGCCATCAGTCACACGTGGTATTGAGCATTTGAAAGGTGCTAGCGCAACAGAGCAACCAAATTTTACTTTTTATTTAATATTAATTTATTAAAATTGAAATGTAAACAGTTACATATGGCTATTTACTACTGTACTGGATAGTACAGCTTTATACAGTATTAGAAAATGGCACTCCTAAACAAACCTTTCGTAGTTATGCACAGTTCAGGAACACAAGTGACCAATCAGTAAGTCAGAGAATACTTTTGCAATTTGCAAAATTAATAAAGGCTGGGCGCGGTGGCTTATGCCTGTAATCCCAGCACTTTGGGAGGCCGAGGCGGGCGGATCACTTGAGGTCAGGAGTACAAAGCCAGCCTGGCCAACATGGTGAAATCCCGTCTCTACTAAAAATACAAAAATTAGCTGGATGTGGTGGTGCCTGTAGTCCCAGCTACTTGGGAGGCTGAGGCAGGATAATCACTTGAACCTGGGAGGCGGAGGCTGCAGTGAGCCGAGATTGCGCCACTGCACTCTAAGCCTGGGTGATGGAGTAAGACTCTCTCAAAAAAAAAAAAAAAAATAATAATAATAATAAAGAAAAACTGTAGAAAGTTATTAGAAATCCTTGCTTTCTGTATATATAGGAAATAAATGATTTTATCCTCTTAACTGAATCACGTGGACTCGACTCACCATTTCTTAAATGGACTGCAATAAACTTACCCAAACATAGAATATTGCTTCTATTTGTATAGAATTTCTTCAACACACTTCACTGTGGGGAATTTGCTTTCTAGGGGTAGAAATAATTGAAGAAGCAATAGGGATGACTTCAGAATACATTCCCTCCTGAGTCTCTTCTCTGGATAGACATCCTCAGATAACAACAGTTACCACTTTCCTCAGTACCTCCTTCAGTAGATGACAGCCAGGGTTAGAGTACAGGTGTGCCCCCTCAAAAGCCCCAGACCACAGAGCACAGATTTTCCACACAGCCTGGAGATCATGCAGTCTGTCTCATGTATCCTAATATTCAGTTTGAGAAAATGTCCTCATATTCAGTTCTGTGCTCAGAACGATGTAGTTTATTAAAGAAAGTATTGTTATCTAGAGGATTCTTTTTTTTTATTTTTTTTTAATGAAGTATTACAATTCCAGAGCTTAGTATGAATTAGGAGGAAAAAACTCGACACATGAAACATGTGGTAACCAAAATGGGGAAAATACATTTTCCATCATTCCATCATGACTAAGTTACCAAAGTAATTTTCTTTCTTTCTTTTTTCTCTTTTTTTTTTTGAGACAAGGTCTCACTTTGTCACCCAGGCTGGAGTGCAGTGGCGTGATCTTGGCTCACTGCAACCTCCGCCTCCCAGGCTCAAGTGATCCTCTTGCCTCAGGCCCCCAATAGCTGGGATTACAGGCATGCACAGCCACCACACTTGGTTAATTTTTGTATATTTTGTAGAGACGGGGTTTCACCATGTTGCCCAGGCTGGTCTTGAACTCCTGAGCTCAAGCGATTTGCCCGCCTTGGCCTCCAAATGTACTAGGATTACAGGTGTGAAACACTGTGCCTGGCCACAAAAGTAATTTTCTACCGCTTTCTGTGAACTCCCTTTTAATCACTTCCAAGGGAGTCATTACAAATTAAACTGTCACCCACCACTGAGGAGGTTAAGAATAGTGTCTGGGTAGGATGAGCACCTAGTTGTGTGAAAATAAAGTGTGTGGTGGACTCTGAAAGCCAAGGAAGTTGCAATCTCTGTTCTAGAAGTCCACTGAAGAGGCAGAATGGGAATTAGTTCCTTGAGGATGGTAGGTGTAACATGTTTTAACAAGGTGGCTGAACTACTCAAAAGAATACAGCCTTATCAGAAGCCAAACACATTCACTAATGACCCTGCTGATGTTCCTAGTTCTAGGTTGTTTGGTGGGTCTTAAAACTTTAAATAGCCCTGCAAGGGGATGTGGTAAATCCACATGACCCCTCTCTGTTTTGACAGCTTGGCCCTGTCCAAATGAATCTTAGTCACCACTTTGGCTATTTTAGGCCCAAGTCTGATTCTGTGGCCCCGGGAGAAGTACAGCATGTGTTTCTTGTGATGGGGCAAGCCCAAGCTCTCTGGTGAAATGTTTGTATTTGGGCAATGAAAGGTTCAACCCCATACAGCGTAATGTCACATGAGGCCAAAGCAATTAGGTTTAGAATGACTTATAGAAAAGTTGACAAAAAAGTGTAATAATAGTTTCTTTGGGGAGGAAACTAACTTCAAAAACAGTTGACCAAATTTCACTTTGAATAATAAAAGAGTTTTTTATTTGTAGGCTACACAGGTTTAGGTGGATATCAAGGCAAAAAGAATAAAAGTTTTGGGAAACTTCTTTGGCTACCATCTCAATAATGGCTTATCATTAATAATTATTTTGGCCAAGGATTTTTAAAGCAAATAGAGAAGAGTCACTTTGAACCCTTGACTGCAAAATCAGTGAGAAGAAAGGCTAAAATGGGAATAATCAACACCAACAATGATATGTTAATATTTCCCTTGTTCTATAGTAGCATGGTTGAATAGATCCTTCTGTAATGATGGAAATGTCCCAAGCTACATCTGTGCTGTCTAATATAGTAGCCACTAGCCAACTGTGGTTACTGAGCACTTGAAATGTGCTAGTGTGACTGGGAAACTGACCTTTTAATTTTATTTAATTTTAATTAATTTAAATTTAAATAGCTGCATGTGGCCAGTGGGTACCATGTTAAAAGTTTCAGGTCTATAGGATAATATTGTAGCCTAATAGTTTCCTCAAAATTCATATAAATGTTTTTATAAGTCTAGAGTTATACATAATAATTCACTAATTTCAGGGGTTGAAAAATAAAATGGTATTATTAGAATTTATGGCATATCTGAAAATACTTAAGAAGAAAAGTTTTATAGTTGGCAGGAGTCATGTGACTAAGGAAGACTACTATCTAATCAACCACTTAGAGAACAGTTAACATTTTTCAGTATCAAAAGTAAGTCAAACATAAATTAATTCTAAGAAGTTAAGATAATCAATTTCCCTTTGTTACTCTGGAGGGTTGGGTGGGGGATGGTCTCTCAGCATTTTCTCTCAGTGCTGAAAAGATTCCATTACTTTATGTCTGGTCTTTTTCAGAACCTTTTAAAGTCAAATGGACTCCCCATATGGGGTGATTACCAGTTTTCTTTTCTTCTTCTTCTTTTTTTTTTTTTTTTTTGGTGAGGTGGAGGATAGGGAGAGTAGTAAGAGGGAGAAAGACACCTAGGAAGAATAAAGAAGGTGAGAAAAGTGATCTGAGCTGAAAATATTTTCTAGTAGATCAAGGTAGTGTAAGATTTTATTTACTGCTTTCTGATAGTTGTTCAATCCTAGTTCCAATTCTTTTTTTTTTTTTTTTTTTTTTTTGAGATGAAGTCTTGCTCTTGTTGCCTAAGCTGGAGTGCAATGGTGTGATCTCAGCTCACTGCAACCTCCACCTCCCAAGTTCAAGCAATTCTCCTGCCTCAGCCTCCCGAGTAGCTGGGATTATAGGCGCCTGCCACCAGGCCCAGCTAATTTTTGTATTTTTAGTAGAGACGGGGTTTCACCATGTTAGCCAGGCTGGTCTTGAACTCCTGACCTCAGGCAATCCGCCCGCCTCGGCCTCCCAAAGTGCTGGGATTACAGGCATAAGCCACCACACCCGGCCCCTAATTCCAATTCTAATTCAAAGTTATTTCCATTGAACTAAACATACATTTGTCAAAATATTTAAGTTTGAAAAAACATGGTCTAGATTCATATTCAATAATAATGGATAATAATATATCTCTGCTATAAATTTAAGACAAATCTAAAATACAACTAATCTTCTATTATAATTTATTGTTCAGACTCATACTGATATACTACCTTAAATAATTTAAAAAGCCAAAATCTTATTGAAGTGGTGGTAATTTTTGGAAATGAGAATTTAGCTACAACAAAAACAATGGCCAGCATTAGTACATATTTATGGGCACCAAAATAGAATAAAAACATGATCATTAACTATATCTGTTTGGCTTTTTTGCTGATTTGTTTAATTTACCTTTAGTTTCCTCCTTGCATTGAATTTCCTCAGCTGCTCTACTGTTTCTGGAAGATGAATCTTGTAGGCGTAACGATCCCGCTCCTATGTAAGATGAAAGATAATGAACATATATAACCGTTTAAAAAAGTGCAGAAGCTTAATCTAAAACAAATAATAAAGCTAAAATTCTTAAATATAAAACTCAGATTGAATTTTAGATTGGAGATTTTATTCCATGATACTGGTAAGCAATCTGAAATGAGGGATATTAAGGTTAAACTGATAGTAATAAAATAATATTTCATTTTCAGCAATAAAGGGCTGAAATAATAGGTCACGTAAATTTCATATATATGGCTATGTGGCTAAAATAACAAATCGTAATTATTATAAAGGCATTGTTACTTTTTTTTTTTTGAGACAGGGTTTCACTCTGTCGCCCAGGTTGGCGTGCAGTGGCACAATCATACCTCACTGCAGCCTCAAACCCCTGGGCTCAAAGTGATCCTCCCACCTCAGCCTCCTGAGTAGCTGGGATATAAGTGCACCAGCCTGGCTAATTTTATTTTTTTTAATAGAGAAGGAGTATTGCTATGTTGCCCAGGTTGGTCTCAAACTCCTGAGCTCAAGCGATCCTTCCGCCTCGGCCTCCCAGAGTGCTGGGATTTACAGGTGTAAGCCACTCTGCCTGGCCTCAGGTTACCTTTGACATGATTTGCCAGGTAAAACAAGCATTTGAAAAATCAATTCCACAACTGATTCAGCATTCTACGTTGTCATGGACTATAACAATTACAGACTCTTCTAATTAGGACACGCTTTTTTTTTTTTTTTTTTTTTTTTTTTTTTTTGAGACAGGGTCTTCCTCTGTTGCCCAGGCTAGAGTGTAGTGGGCTGATCATAGCTCACTGCAAGCCAGGTGTGGTGGCTCACACCTGTAATCCCAGCACTTTGGGAGGCTGAGGCAGGAAGATTGTTGGAGCCTGGGAGGTTGAGGCTGTGGTGAGCTAGGATCTCACCATTGTACTGCAGCTTAGGTGACAGCGTTAAGACCCTGTCTCAAAAATAAATGAATCCCCCATTATTTATTTATATATTTTTAGAGACAGGGTCTCATTCTGTCGCCCAGGCTGGAGTGCAGTGGTGAGATCCTGGCTCACCACAGCCTCGACCTCCCTGGCTCAGGCAATCCTCCCACCTCAGCCTCCTGAGTAGCTGGGACTACAGGCAAGTGCCACCATGCCTGGCTAAGTTTTGTATTTTTTGTAGAGATGGGGTTTTGCCATGTTGCCCAGGCTGGTCTTGAACTCCTGGACTCACACGGGGTCCTCCCACCTTGGCCTCCCAAAGTGCTGGGATTACAGGTGTGAGCCACTGTGCCTGGTCCCTCATGTGTATTTTAAACCTCTTCTTACTCTTCTCCCCACTTTGGTCCTACTCTAATTTGCCAATGTATCTTGAGGATTCATATGCTATAAGCACTCATTAATTTCATAAATATTTCAAGAGCTGATTATATGCCAGGCATTGTCCTATGCATTTGGCATACATGAGGAAAACCAACAAAGATTCCAGCCCTCATGTAGATCATATTCTAGTGCAAGAAGATGAGAAAACACAAAAAAGGTAAATTGTAGAGTATGTCAAAAGTACTATGGAATAAGGCAAAAAAGTAAAGCAGGTAAGAGGGATTGGGTACCTTGATATTTAAAATAGGGTGGTTGGCTGGGTGTGGTGGCTCATACCTGTAATCCCAGCACTTTGGGAGGCTGAGATGGGAGGATCACTTGAGGCTAGGAGTTCAAGATCTAGCAAGAACCTGTCTCTATGAAAAAATTAAAAAATTAGCCAGGCGTGGTGGCATGCACCTGTAATCCCAGCTACTTGGGAGGCTGAGGATTGCTTCAACCCATGAGGTCAGGGCTGCAGTGAGCCATGACTGCAACTGCACTCCAGCCTGGGCAACAGAGCATGACCCCATTTCTAAAAAACAAAAACAAAAACAAATTGGGTGGTCAGAGTAGGCCCAATGGAGAAAGTGACATTTAGAAGAGGTGAGGGAGTGGTCTAGGCAGAGAAAATAACCAATGCAAAGGCCCAATGGAGGGAGTATGTTTGGAATTTTCAAGAAGTAGCCAGGAGACCAATGTGTGTGAAGTGATGTGAAGGGGTCAAGGAGAATAGCGGGTCAGATCAGAGAGATGACAAGGCTGGGGTAGGCCATGCGGGCCTTTGGCTTTTATTCTGAGTAGGAGAGGAAGCCAGTGGAGGGTCTTGAGCTAGAGTGACATGATCTGACTTTATTTTTATAGATTCTGGGGTTACATATGCAGGTTTGCTATATGGTTATATTGCATAACAGTGAGGTTTGGCTTCTAGTGTGCCCATCATTCAAATAGTGAACACTGTATTCAATAGGTAATTTTTCTTGTTTTCCCTCACTTTTATTCAACACAGTACAAGATATCCAAGCCAGAGCAATTACAGAACTAATAGGTAAATTTTCAACCCTCAACTTTTTTTTTTTTTTTTTGAGATGGAGTCTCACTCTGTCGCCAGGCTGGAATGCAGTGGCGCAATCTCGGCTCACTGCAACCTCTGCCTCTCAGGTTCAAGCAAATCTCCTGCCTCAGCCTCCCGAGTAGCTGGGACTACAGGTGTGCACCACCACGCCCAGCTAATTTTTGTATTTTTAGTAGAGACGGGGTTTCACCATGTTGGGCAGGATGGTCTTGATCTCTTGGCCTCGTGATCTGCCTGCCTTGGCCTCCCAAAGTGCTCGGATTACAGGCGCGAGCCACCACGCCCAGCCTTCAACCCTGAACTGTAAATAAACATTAGTAGTTTTGCCGAGAATAGATTGGAAGGAGATGAGGGTTTAAAAAAAAAAAAAAAGCGGGAAGACTAGTTAGGAGGCTTTTACAGTAATCCAGGTGAAAGATGATGGTGGATGAAACCAGCTGGAAATAATAAAAAGGGTGAAAGAGAGATAGACTCTGAATATATATTTTTTTGTTTTCTCCAAAAAGCTTTTCTGAGGTATAATTACATACAATAAGCTGCACATTTAAAATGTACAATTTGATAAGTTTTGACATATATTTACAACCATAAAACCATTACCATGATCAAGATAATGAACACATCCATCATGCTCAAAAGTATCTTCATGCCCTTTTGTAGCCCCCATCCCCATCCCCAGTCAGCCACTGATCTACTTTCTGTCACTTAGTTTGCATTTTCTAGACTTTTATATAAATTGAATCATATAGTATGTGCTCATTATTGTCCAGCTTCTTTCATATAGCATAATGATTTTGAATCTATCCATGTTGT
This sequence comes from Homo sapiens, assembly GCF_000001405.40. NCBI lineage: Eukaryota > Metazoa > Chordata > Mammalia > Primates > Hominidae > Homo > Homo sapiens. The sequence goes on from NC_000023.11 coordinate 41,639,896, forward strand.
TGCATGTATCAATAGTTCATTCCTTTTTAACACTGAGTGGTATTCCATTGTATGCATGTATCATAATTTATCCTTTCACCTGCTGATGGACCCTGAGTTGTTTCCATTTTTTGGCTATTACACATAAAGTTGCTATGAATATTAATGTCTTTGTATGAAGATGTGTTTCATTTTTCTTAGGTAAATACTAAGGAGTAGAATGCCTGGGCTATATGATAGGAGTATGTTTAACTTTTAAGAAACTGCCAAACTGTTTTCCAAAGTGGTTATACCATTTTACGTTCCTACTAACAGTGTTATGAGTTTCCATTGTTCTTTTTTTTTTTGAAATGGAGTCTTGCTCTGTCGCCTAGGCTGGAGGGCAGTGGCATGATCTCGGCTCACTGCAACTTCTGCCTCCTGGGTTCAAGCGATTCTTCTGCCTCAGCCTCCTGAGTAGCTGGGACTACAGGCGCCTGCCACCACGCCTGGCTAATTTTTACATATTTAGTAGAGATGGGGTTTCACCATATTGGCCAGGCTGGTCTCGATCTCCTGACCTTGTGATCTGCCTGTCTTGGCCTCTCAAAGTGCTGGGATTACAGGTGTGAGCCACCGCACCTGGCCTCCATTGTTCTATATCTTTGTCAACAATTGGTATGGTCAGTCTTTTTGATTTTAGCCACTGTAAAACATGTTTACAGGTATCTCATTGTGGCATTAATTTGCATTCCCCTAATGACTAATGATGAACATCTTTTCCTGTGCTTATCTGCCATCTGTATTATCTTCTTTGTTGAAGTATCTGTTCAAATCTTTTCTCATTTTGAATTGGGTTGTTTGTATGTTTTCTTATTATTGAGTTTTGAGAATTCTTTACATATTGCAAATATGTTTAAGTTTACTACATATCTGACTGTGAACTCTATTTTTAGCAAACACCTTTTCTGCTCACCATTCACTAAGGTGATGTGGAAAGAGAGGTGAGGACAGAGTCAAAATGTATTTTTTTAAATAAAATTATGCTTCAATTATGATATCAATTATTTTCTAAGCTAGTAAAATCACAAGATTTAAAAAAAAGTCTGTTAAGGTATCTCGTCTTTTTTTTTTTTTTTTTTTTTTTTTGAGACAGAGACTCACTCTTGTTGCCCAGGCTGGAGTGCAGTAGCATGATCTTGGCTCACTGCAACCTCCACATTCTCAGTTCAAGCTATTCTCGTGCCTCAGCCTCCCAAGTAGCTGGGATTACAGGCATGCGCTATCACGCCCGGCTAATTTTTGTATTTTTAGTAGAGACGGAGTTTCACCATGTTGTCCAGGCTGTTTTTTCTGAATTAAATAGTATCTCCTGACACTAATAATAATAATGTAATATGAATTCAGAAAAAATTCAATAGTAATGTGCCTTGCACTTTAATGAAGTACATGATTCATAGTCCCTTGTGCACATGAGATTTGGAAAACACGGGTAATTGGTGTGTTCATTACCCAAAATTCAAATTGATTAGCCTGATATAAATATCCTTTTCACTTTTTTTAAAATGACAGTATACTTTACAGTCTATATATTAAGGCTATAGAGGGTGTGAGAAGAGCTCAACCATCTGTGAGGAAAATATAATCTTAGATGGCCTACTTTTGTTGGAATAAATATTCACACCAAGTATCATTAATTCAGAGAGATAAAGGTGTTAAATAGGTATCATTTAACAGTCATAAGACATTAACATATTACTTGGTCTAACACTCAAATTCTTTTTTGATGTGAAATAAGTGAATAGAACTTTTTTTTGGTGGTTTTATCAAAGAAATAATTCCTATCTTTTTTTTAATTAAAAAACTTTACTTTTATTTATTTTTTTCATGTTATAGTTTTTTTTATTATACTTTAAGTTCTAGGGTACATGTGCACAACGTGCAGGTTTGTTACTTATAGTATACATGTGCCATGTTGGTGTGCTGCACCCATTAACTCGTCATTTACATTAGGTATATCTCCTAATGCTATCCCTCTCCCCTCCCCCGACCCGACGACAGGCCCCAGTGTGTGATGTTCCCCACCCTGTGTCCAAGTGTTCTCATTGTTCAAATCCCACCTATGAGTGAGAACATGTGGTGTTTGGTTTTCTGTCCTTCTGATAGTTTGCTGAGAATGATGGTTTCCAGCTTCATCCATGTCCCTGCAAAGGACATGAACTCACCCTTTTTTAAGGTTGCATAGTATTCCATGGTGTATATGCGCCACATTTTCTTAATCCAGTCTATCAATGATGGACATTTGGGTTGGTTCCAAGTCTTTGCTATTGTGAATAGTGCTGTAATAAACAGACGTGTGCATGTGTCTTTATAGCAGCATGATTTATAATCCTTTGGTTATATACCCAGTAATGGGACGGCTGGGTCAAATGGTATTTCTGGTTCTAGATCCTTGAGGAATTGCCATACTGTCTTCCACAATGGTTGAACTAGTTTACAGTCCCACCAACAGTGTAAAAGTTTTCCTATTTCTCCACATCCTCTCCAGCACCTGTTGTTTCCTGACTTTTTAATGATTGCCATTCTAACTGGTGTGAGATGGTATCTCATTATGGTTTTGATTTGCATTTCTCTGATGGCCAGTGATGATGAGCATTTTTTCAGGTGTCTGTTGGCTGCATAAATGTCTTCTTTTGAGAAGTGTCTGTTCATATCCTTCACCCACTTTTTGATGGGGTTGTTTGATTTTTTTCTTGTAAATTTGTTTAAGTTCTTTGTAGATTCTGGATATTAGCCCTTTGTCAGATGGGTAGATTGTAAAAATTTTCTCCCATTCTGTAGGTTGCCTGTTCACTCTGACAGTAGTTTATTTTGCTGTGCAGAAGCTCTTTAGCTTAATTAGATCCCATTTGTCAATTTTGGATTTTGTTGCCATTACTTTTGGTGTTTTAGTCATGAAGTCCTTGCCCATGCCTATGTCCTGAATGGTACTGTCTAGGCTTTCTTCTAGGGTTTTTATGGTTTTAGGTCTAACATTTAAGTCTTTAATCCATCTTGAATTAATTTTTGTATAAGGTGTAAGGAAGGGATCCAGTTTCAGCTTTCTACATATGGCTACCCAGTTTTCCCAGCACCATTTATTAAATAGGGAATCCTTTCCCCATTGCTTGTTTTTCTCAGGTTTGTCAAAGATCAGATGGTTGTAGTTGTGTGGTATTATTTCTGAGGGCTCTGTTCTGTTCCATTGGTCTATATCTCTGTTTTGGTACGAGTACCATGCTGTTTTGGTACCAGTACCATGCTGTTTTGGTTACTGTAGCCTTGTAGTATAGTTTGAAGTCAGGTAGTGTGATGCCTCCAGCTTTGTTCTTTTTGCTTAGGATTGATTGTCTTGGCAATGCGGGCTCTTTTTTGGGTCCATGTGAACTTTAAAGTAGTTTTTCCAATTCTGTGAAGAAAGTCATTGGTAGCTTGATGGGGATGGCATTGAATCTATAAATTACTTTGGGCAGTATGGCCATTTTCATGATATTGATTCTTCCTATCCATAAGCATGGAATATTCTTCCATTTGTTTGTGTCCTCATTTATTTCATTGAGCAGTGGTTTGTAGCTCTCCTTGAAGAGGTCCTTCACATCCTTTGTAAGTTGGATTCCTAGGTATTTTATTCTCTTTGAAGCAATTGTGAATGGGAGTTCACTCATGATTTGGCTCTCTATTTGTCTGTTATTGGTGTATAGGAATGCTTGTGATTTTTGCACATTGATTTTGTATCCTGAGACTTTGCTGAAGTTGCTTATCAGCTTAAGGAGATTTTGGGCTGAGATGATGGGGTTTTCTAAATATACAATCATGTCATCTGCAAACAGGGACAATTTGACTTCCTCTTTTCCTAATCGAATACCTTTTATTTCTTTCTCTTGCCTGATTGCCCTGGCCAGAACTTCCAACACTATGTTGAATAGGAGTGGTGAGAGAGGGCATTCCTGTCTTGTGCCAGTTTTCAAAGGGAATGCTTCCAGTTTTTGCCCATTCAGTATGATATTGGCTGTGGGTTTGTCATAAATAGCTCTTACTATTTTGAGATAAGTTCCATCAATACCTAGTTTATTGAGAGTTTTTAGCATGAAGCGCTGTTGAATTTTGTCAAAGGCCTTTTCTGCATCTATTGAGGTAATCATGTGGTTTTTGTTGTTGGTTCTGTTTATATGATGGATTATGTTTATTGATTTGCATATGTTGAACCAGCCTTGCATCCCAGGGATGAAGCTGACTTGATCGTGGTGGATAAGCTTTTTGATGTGCTGCTGTATTCGGTTTACCAGTATTTTATTGAGGATTTTTGCATTGATGTTCATCAGGGATATTTGTTGCAGGAAGTCAGAGACCTTAAACAGAAGGACTGGCTGAAACTATGGCAGAAGAACGTGGATTATGAAGATTTTATAGACATTTATTAGTTCCTCAAATTAATACTTTTGTAATTTCTTATGCCTGTCTTTACTGCAATCTTTAAACATAAATTGTAAAGATTTCATAGACACTTATCACTTCTTTAATCAATACCTTTGTGATTTCCTATGCCTGTCTTTACTTTAATCTCTTAATCCTGTCAGCCGAGAAAGATGTATGTCACCTTAGGACCTTGTAATAATTGCATTAACTGCACAAATTGTACAGCATGTGTGTTTGAGCAATATGAAATGTAGGCACCTCAAAAAAAGAACAGGATAACAGCAATTGTTCAAGGAATACGAGAGATAACCTTAAACTCTGACTGCTGGTGAGCCAGGCAGAACAGAGCCATATTTCTCTTCTTTCAAAAGCAAATGGGAGAAATATCGCTGAATTCTTTTTCTCAGCATGGAACGTCCTTGAGAAAGAGAATGCGCACCTAGGAGTAAGTCTTTGAACTGGCCCCCTTGAGGCGTACTTGTCTCTTATGGTCAAGATTGCAGAGGTAAGATAGACTCTAGTCTCCTATAGGCTCTTAGGCTCATTAGGAAGAGGAAATTCTTGCCTAATAAATTTTAGTCAGACCAGTTGATCTCAAAACCTTGTCTCCTGATAAGATGTTATCAATGACAATAGTGCCTGAAACTTCATTAGCAATTTTAAATTCGCCTCAGTCCTGTGGTCCTGTGATCTCGCCTTGCCTCCACTTGCCTTGTAATATTCTATTACCCTGTTAAGTACTTGATGTCTGTCACCTACACCTATTCGCACACTCCTTCCTCTTTTGAAAATCCTTAATAAAAACTTGCTAGTTTTTGTGGCTTGAAAGGCATCACAGATCCTACTACTAGAATCCCTTACAATCGCACTTTAAAAACCCAATTGTCCCAACAGTCTGAACAACCAAAACATGATTTAACAACTCCCCACTCCCAATTACATTTGGCATTGTTTACTTTAAATTTTTTAAATGTTCCTAAAGATAATACTCTAACTGCAGCCGAATGCCATTATACAGGCAAAAAATTTTCCTTAAACGAAGGCAAGCCAGTGTTATGGAAAAACTCCCAAACCAATACCTAGGAACCTGGCACAATTATAACATGAGGAAGAGGATATGCTTGTGTTTCACCAGGAGATCATCAATCCCCTGTCTAAGTACCCACCAGAAGACTCAAGCTTCAGGTGAATACTGACAATCAAAACCACAGAGAAAAGACGTCTGTGTCAGAGACTGCCTTCAGATATGATGAGATCTGTGCTGATTCCTCAGAAACAGGCACATCAAATCACAATAGGTGTAAATCAATCCTCCCTGAAGGCAATGGAGACCCATCTAACTAATCCCACTTCTCCTGATTACTTTTCTTTTTCTCCTTACAAACCTAAAAATCTCACCATTTCTATTAGCCTGAAAATAACATCCCTCTGTTCTTCTCTTCCTCCTTCAGCACTCAATCTCGCTTACACTAGGTTTTATTTAATGATTCTCCTCCTTATACTTTCTGTCTCACCAGTTTCCTCTCACACTGATTTACCTGCTACACATAATTATTCTTATTAGGCTTATGTGCCTTTTCCTCCACTTATTCGACCTCTCACCTAGATAGATGCTCCTGCAGAAATCTACACTAACGATAGTGTGTGGATGCCTAGAGCCACAGATGACCGTTGCCCTGCTCAACCAGGAGAAGAAGGCACTGCATTTAATGTTACCATAGGTTATAAATACCCCCCTCTGTGCCTCGGACATGCACCTAGTTGCATCCATCTACGAACTCAAGTCTAGGCTGCTTATCTTCCGGAAACATCAGCTACAGATAAAACAGGACATTTAGTCTCTGGTCTCTCCCTTTCTCCTTTAAAACAAATGAAAGGAGGAGTAATAGGAGATACCCCATACTTTCAATATAAACCTGCAGGAAAACCATGCCCTAAAAATTTTGAGGGCCCATCTAAAACTTTAATTTAGGAAGACTGTGTTAACTCACATGCAGTAATACTAAAAAATGACTCATATGGTCTAGTAATAGACTAGGCACCAAAAGGCTATTTAAAAAACAATTGCTCCTCTGGTGGAAAGGAATGCCTGGAGGCTACTTATTTTACTTCTTATCAGGAGAATGAGAATCATCATTCTACTGTGCATACGAGGATCAGCTCATTCTTTCTCTTAAAATAGGAAGATAAAGGCATTACCCACCCCCAGGCCTCGTATGATACTCCCCATTCTGAGCCCAGAACACCCAGAACTTTAAAAATTGGCTATTGCCATGTCTGGACTGCCAGTATAGGAAAAGAAAACTATTTCGACTGTTGTTCCCATTACCATCCCACTCTCTCAGTATCAACGTAGACCCAGACATTCTGCTTTACTTACCTCCAACCTGACTATTCCCATACAGAGTTGTGTTAAGCCTCCTTACACACTGTTAGTAGGAAATATCAAAATTTAGACGAATAATCAAACCGTCCGATGCATCAATTGTCATCTATACACTTGTATTAACTCCCATTTTGACTCCAGGAAAAGTGTAATGTTGGTTCGAGCTCAAGAAGGAATCTAGGTTCCGGTAACTTTACCTAGACCTTAGGTATCCTCCCCCTCAATACATTTAATTAATGAAGTGCTACAGCGAATTCTAAAAAAAGATCTAAGAGATTTGTTTTCACTTTAATTGCTGTTATCATAGGCCTAATTACTGTCACTGCAATGGCCACCACTGCTAGAATGGCATTACACCAATCTATTCAAAGGGCTCATTTTGTTAATGATTGGCAAGCCAATTCCACCCAAATGTGGAATTCTCAACAAGGCATCGATCAAAAATTGGCAAATCAAATTAATGATTTAAGACAGTCTGTTATTTGGCTTAGAGATCAAGTAGTGAGTCTCGAACATCGCATTGCAAATGCAGTGCGATTGGAATACTTCGGATTTCTGCATCACCCCGTATTCCTATAATGAGACTGATAATTCATAGGAAAAAGTCAAAGGACACCTTCTAGGTAAAGAAGATAATTTATCATTAGACATAATTAAAGAAACAAATTTTTGAAGCCTCTCAAGCTCACTTATCCATTCTGCCTGGAGCTGAGGCGTTAGATCAGGTGGCAGAAAATCTTTATAGATTAAACCCCACGACTTAGATTAAGCCTATTGGGGGCTCCACTGTAGTAAATTTTAGAATTAAGTTTCTCTGTTTAATCGGTTTGTTTTTAGTGTGCTGGACCAGTCAAAGAATCCTGCGTCAAAATCGAGAGAACGAACAAGCCTTCATCGCCATGGCACATTTATATAAAAAGAAAGGGAGAGATGTTGCAGGAAGTCAGAGACCCCAAACAGAAGGACCGGCTGAAACCATGGCAGAAAAACGTGGATTGTGAAGAGTTTATAGACATTTATTAGTTCCCCAAATTAATACTTTTGTAATTTCTTATGCCTGTCTTTACTGCAATCTCTAAACATAAATTGTAAAGATTTCATAGACACTTATCACTTCCCCAATCAATACCCTTGTGATTTCCTATGCCTGTCTTTAATCTCTTAATCCTGTCAGCCTAAGGCTATGTCACCTTAGGACCCTGTAATAATTGCATTAACTGCACAAATTGTACAGCATGTGTGTTTGAGCAACATGAAATGTAGGCACCTTGAAAAAAGAACAGGATAACAGCAATTGTTCAAGGAATACGAGAGATAACCTTAAACTCTGACTGCTGGAGAGCCAGGCAGAACAGAGCCATATTTCTCTTCTTTCAAAAGCAAATGGGAGAAATATCGCTGAATTCTTTTTCTCAGCATGGAACGTCCCTGAGAAAGAGAATGCGCACCTAGGAGTAAGTCTTTGAACTGGCCCCCGCCCACCCCGAGGCGTACCTGTCTCTTATGGTCAAGATTGCAGAGGTAAGATAGACTCCAGTCTCCCATAGCACTCCCAGGCTTATTAGGAAGAGGAAATTCCCGCCTAATAGATTTTAGTCAGACCAGTTGATCTCAAAACCCTGTCTCCTGATAAGATGTTATCAATGACAATAGTGCCTGAAACTTCATTAGCAATTTTAATTTCGCCTCAGTCCTGTGGTCCTGTGATCTCGCCCTGCCTCCACTTGCCTTGTAATATTCTATTACCCTGTTAAGTACTTGATGTCTGTCACCCACACCTATTCGCATACTCCCTCCCCTTTTGAAAATCCCTAATAAAAACTTGCTAGTTTTTGTGGCTCGAAAGGCATCACAGATCCTACCAACGTGTGACGTCTCCCCTGGATGCCCAGCTTTAAAATTTCTCTCTTTTGTACTCTGTCCCTTTATTTATCATGCCGGCCGACGCTTAAGAAAAATAGAAAAGAACCTACGTGATTATCGGGGCAAGTCCCCCGATAGATATTGGTCTAAAATTCTCCTTTTTTTTGTTGTGTCTCTGCCAGGCTTTGGTATCAGGATGATGCTGACCTCATAAAATGAGTTAGGGAGGATTCCCTCTTTTTCTATTGATTGGAATAGTTTCAGAAGGAATGGTACCAGCTCCTCCTTGTACCTCTGGTAGAATTGGGCTGTGAATCCATCTGGTCCTGGACTTTTTTGCTTGGTAGGCTATTAATTATTGCCTCAATTTCAGAGCCTGTTATTGGTCTATTCAGGGATTCAACTTCTTCCTGGTTTAGTCTTGGGAGGGTGTATGTGTCCAGGAATTTATCCATTTCTTCTAGATTTTCTAGTTTATTTGAGTAGAGGTGTTTATAGTATTCTCTGATGGTAGTTTGTATTTCTGTGGGATTGGTGGTGATATCCCCTTTATCATTTTTTATTGCGTCTATTTGATTCTTCTCTCTTTTCTTATTAGTCTTGCTAGCGGTGTATCAATTTTGTTGATCTTTTCAAAAAACCAGCTCCTGGATTCATTTATTTTTTTGAAGGGTTTTTTGTGTCTCTATTTCCTTCAGTTCTGCTCTGATCTTAGTTATTTCTTGCCTTCTGCTAGCTTTTGAATTGTGTTTGCTCTTGTTTCTCTAGTTCTCTTTCAATTGTGATGTTAGGGTGTCAATTTTAGATCTTTCTTGCTTTCTCTTGTGGGCATTTAGTGCTATAAATTTCCCACTACACCCTGCTTTAAATGTGTCCCAGAGATTCTAGTATGTTGTGTCTTTGTTCTCATTGGCTTCAAAGAACATCTTTATTTCTGCCTTCATTTTGTTATGTACCCAGTAGTCATTCAGGAGCAGGATGTTCAGTTTCCATGTAGTTGAGCAGTTTTGAGTGAGTTTCTTCATCCTGAGTTCTAGTTTGATTGCACTGGTCTGAGAGACAGTTTGTTATAATTTCTGTTCTTTTACATTTGCTGAGGAGTGCTTTACTTCCAACTGTGTGGTCAATTTTGGAATGTGCAATGTGGTGCTGAGAAGAATGTGTATTCTGTTGATTTGGGGTGGAGAGTTCTGTAGATGTCTATTAGGTCTGCTTGGTGCAGAGCTGAGTTCAATTCCTGGATATCCTTGTTAACTTTTTCTCTCGTTGATCTGTCTGATATTGACAGTGGGGTGTTAAAGTCTCCCATTATTATTGTGTGGGAGTCTAAGTCTCTTTTTAGGTCTCTAAGGACCTGCTTTTTGAATCTAGGTGCTCCTGTATTGGGTGCATATATATTTAGGATAGTTAGCTCTTCTTGTTGAATTGATCCCTTTACCATTATGTAATGGCCTTCTTTGTCTCTTTTGATCTTTGTTGGTTTAAAGTCTGTTTTATCAGAGACTAGGATTGCAACCCCTGCTTTTTTTTTGTTTTCCATTTGCTTGGTAGATCTTCCTCCATCCCTTTATTTTGAGCCTATGTGTGTCTCTGCATGTGAGATGTGTCTCCTGAATACAGCACACTGATGGGTCTTGACTCTTTATCCAATTTGCCAGTCTGTGTTTTTTAATTGGAGCATTTAGCCCATTTACATTTAAGGTTAATATTGTTATGTGTGAATTTGATCCTGTCATTATGATGTTAGCTGGTTATTTTGCTCGTTAGTTGATGCAGTTTCTTCCTAGCATCGATGGTCTTTACAATTTGGCATGTTTTGCAGTGGCTGTGAACTTTAAAAAATTATATAGCTGGGACTATAGGTGCATGGCATCATGCCTGGTTTTTGTGGTTTTTTTTTGTTTTTTTTTGTTTTTGACACAAAGCAATGGTATTATGACTTTGGGTAGCCTTCATTACAAAGTTTTTCTTCATCTTATTTGTTTTTTTTTTTCTTTTTGTGGAGACAGGGTTTTGCTCTGTCTCCCAGGTTGGAGTACAGTGGCATGGTCGTAGCTCACTGCAGCCTTTCACTCCTGGGCTCAAGTAATCCTCCCACCTTACTCTAATTACTTAGAGTAATTACTCAGTAATTACTTACTCAGCCTCTCAAGTAGCTGAGACAACTATAGGCTCAAGCCACTGCAACCAGTATCATTTTATTTCTTCAATTTGCAAGGTATCCAGGTGTTTTTCATATTTAAATTTCAACCATTCTAAAAAAATACCTCTTACATCCACAGTAATGATTTATAAATACACATGGACAAATACTGAAATATAACATAAGCCTGCTCTTACCAGCTGGATAACATTCTAATTGAGTTTTTCCATCTTCAGATGACATAAGTAGTGAAGTTAAACTGTTGTTTAGACATGGCATGCGATACTCAGCTCAAAGAGCCGTCTTAAACTTTTTCATTTAAGTTACTGACATTTTTTGTCTTTCTTGTGCTAGAAATTTATTATGTATTAAGCTCAAATTACTTAGAACGAGAACTATAATCATTGGCAGGAACAAAGGTTTCCAAAAATAAATATGCTATTAGCCAAGATAAGCTTTGAAAGCACTGTAAGTAGGTATGGTATAATGTTAAACCACCTTCTAAGAGATTTGAAAAATGACTAAAATGCCTGCCATTTTCATTGTTATTTGGCATTTAAACCAGCTTTGAATGAACAAAAGATCCCCGTTATGGAGAAAGTGAGAAAAGTAAAGGAGAAATAGGAATTACCTCTAAAGTGTTCATTATATATCTGGGAGGGCAAAACAAACAAATAAAAAACAAAACAAAACAAAGAAAGTATCTAAAAATTGTTCACTACTCTTTTCTAGGGGAAATCAGGAATAACTAGCACTGAGTATCAGAGAGGTGAATGCATATTTTTGAAGTAGCAGTCCTCCCACCTCAGGCTCCTGAGTCACTGGGACTGCAGGTGCGCACCACCACGCTTGGCTAATTTTTTAATTTTTATTTTTGTAGAGACGGGATTTCCCTATGTTGCCCAGGCTGAGAAGTAATATTCTTAAGGAGAATCAAGATCCACTGAAATCTCAAAATTGTCCTGTAATACTATTCCATGTCATCACCTTAAGATACATTATTAATCTACTTTTAAAATATTTTATTGTTTTGCATAATCTGAGGAAGTAGCATGGTATAATACAACGAACATTCATTCATTGATTAAATCATTAATATTCATTGAGCACCTACTGCATGCCAGATACATTCTAGGTGCTAGACAGAAGTGAACCAAGAGCCAAAAATCCCTAGACTTATGCAGCTTATATTTTATGACCTAGACAGACAATAAACATATAAGTAACATATAGGTATGTCTTAGGGTGACAGATGCTATGGAGAAAGATAAGGGAGGGGAAGGGGGATAGGGAATACTGGTGGCATTCCTTCCCCCACATTTTAAATAGGGTGGTCAGGGAAGGTCTTACTAAGAAGCTGATACCTAAGCAAAGACCTGAAGATGGTGAGGGAACAAGCCATGATATCTGAGGGAAGAGTATTCTAGGGAAGGGTCATATAAAGGTGCTGAGGTGAAATGTGCCTGCAGTCTGAAGAACAGCAAGGAGGCTGATATGATGGGAATGGAGTAAGCAGGGAGAGTAGGAAGGGGTGACATGAGTCAAGTGTCAGGGAGCCAAACTGTATACAGAATTAAGAAAGAATACCTAGGGGGAGAGGCCTGGATTCAGGAGTCATTGTTGTACAGATAGCATTTAAAGCCATCAAAACTAGATGAGCTCTCCAAGGGCCGGAGTGTAGATGGACGTGATATTTTGAAATATATATTTGGTCTACAGCTCCGTTTCCTGGAATACAATTCCTAAAATCCTTAGAATGGCGTAAGGGCTATCTTTGTATGCCAATGACTGACTGATGGCTGGCAGCCCCTAGGCAGTTGCAGGATGAGGGGTGGTCACAGGAAAGACCAAGGAGGGATGAGAGGGTTGGGACTTTTGGCCCCACCCCCAACCTCCAGGGAGGGGAGAGGGGCTGAAGGTTGAGTTGACCTCCAATGGTCAATGGTAATGAAGCCTCCATAGAAACCCAAAAGGACAGGGTTCAGGGAGTTTCCGGATAGCTGCACACATGGAGGTTCCTGGAGGGTGGTGCATCCACAGAGGGCATGGAAGCTTCCCACTTCACCCCTATACCTCCATCAATGCATCTCTTCATCTGTATCCTTTGTAATTTTCTTTATAACACAATGGTAAAAGTGTTTCCCTGACTTCTGTGAGCTGATCTAACAAATTAATGGAACCCAAAGAGCAGGTGTAGGATCTCTGATTTGTAGCCAGTCAGTCTGACATTCTGGAGGCCTGGACTTGTGACTGGTGTCTGAAAGGGTGGGAAGGGGAGGCCTTGGGGACCAAGCCCTCAAACTGTGGGATGTGATACTATAGTGTCAGAATTGAATTAGAGAATACCCAGCAGCAGGGCTGATTACTTGCTTCTTAATGGGGAGAAATCCCCACACATTTGGTGAAAGAAGTCTTGTGTGTTGATTGTTGTTGTTGTGTGGTGCGAGAGCAGAGGAAAACAGTTCTGAGTTTTTCCACCTTCAGTTAGTGTCAGTGAAGTAGGGTTTGCTAGAACGGCCCTGGCTCACAGAAATATGTGGTTTGGGAAGAGAAAGAATGAAAGGGTGGGAGATGAGGAACCTTTGATTCCTGGTTCATTATCGTGGTCTTCCATGGTTTGGAGCTGCAACTGTGTCGCAATCAATTGCTAAAGGTAAAAGTTACCAGTGGAATTTAGAGATGGATCCAACTCAGGGAGTTGGTTCACTGGATGCATAAGGATATGCAAACTAGTAAGAAAAAGATGAAATATTCACTCCCTTGGTGGTGGTTGTCTGTAATAGCTGAACAGAAATGAAACAAATGCTGGATGAGGCCTTGATGCTAGACCAAGCTCAGATTTCAGTCTATCTGAGCCCAGGCCACTAGCCTTCAAGCTGACCCCCAAAGGAAAAATTATACAGGGATGACAGTACCTCTACGACCTGTGGTTACCACGAAGGTAGTTGATGTGAGGGAAGGGCAAAACCAAGAAACTACTGAAACCAGAGGGTACAGTGTGAAGAAATTGTCTCATTTCATAGATTGGTATCATCAGTTTACTGAAAATCCTTTACTAAAATGGATTGTGAGAATAACTAATTTAGGGCACTTTCTTTGGTTTTAAATGCTGCAGAGTGGACAGGCATGTTTGGGTTGATGCAGGACCCACAGCTCACTACTGAACAATCAACAATGGGTATAATGTGATCCAGACACACAGGGAGTTATTCCTGAGGGAACAGTCAGCCTAGTGAATGGAATAAAAGCCACTGTAAGGTCTGTACACCCTGAGAAGGTAGAGACTGTCCAACTCTACCTATCAATGCCAAGTGGAGTACCCCAGGTGAAGCGGCTCATTTGGTTCCTATGCAGGCCATGTGGGACTGGCTTTATGATGACTGAGATATTCACTCACTGAATACATCCATTACTCTGGCTGTAGTAAATGCTATGGCTGAGGGAGCCTCTTTTGTATGGGCACCAATGAAAACATGAGCGTAATTAACAAAAGACTGGGGAAAGGCAGAGAGGAGAGTCACAGGACTCATCCCAGGAAGGTGGAAAGTTTAAATGGTTATTAATAAATAAGGTGAATGAAGAAAACAGTGATGGGGTGAAACTAAGAGAAAAAAGAAAGAGGAGAATCATGGGACTCATCCCAGCAGGGTGGAATCTTTAGAGGGCTAATAAGAAATGGGAAGAATAGGGCCGGATGCTGTGGCTCACATCTGTAATCCCAGCACTTTGGGAGGCCGAGGCGGGTGGATCACCTGAGCTCAGGAGTTTGAGAGCATCCTGGCAAACATGGTGAAACCCCCTCTCTAATAAAAATACAAAAAAATTAGCCAGGCATGGTGGCGGGCACCTGTAATCGCAGCTACTCGGGAAGCTGAGGCAGGAGAATGGCTTGAACCTGGGAGGCGGAGGTTGCAGTGAGCTGAGATTGCGCCACTGCACTCCAGCCTGGGTGACAGGGCAAGACTCTGTCTCAAAAAAATAAAAAAGAAATAAAAAGAAATGAGATGAATAAAGTGGAAATCGATGGGGTTAAAACAAAGATCTCAATATAATACTATCAAAGGTTGGTAGGGAGCTTCTGCTGTTCTCCCAATGTTAAGGGATTCCAAACAGGTTTGCTGTATTCACCCCAGTTTGGAGAAATTGAAAAAGTCAGAAGGCAGAGATTACAGTGAGAAAGCTGACCAACAGTTACTTGGGGTAATGTTGAGGCAGGTTAATCAATACAAAGACTGACAAAAGGGGCAAGGTCCCTTGGCTCAACCTGCTGTTGGGGACTCAACATTTTTTTTTTTTTTTTTTAAACAAGAAAGGGTAAAAGTGAGGGTTGATAGGAGTATGAGATTTGGAATGTTTAAACAGGATATACATAAATAAGTTATGTCTCCTTTACCTAAATGTTTTATGGAACTGGATAATTATGACTGGGTGGAGAACACTTCCCCTACCCAGTATTGTAAAACAGAAGAAATGTAAATCTGCACTTCGAGAAATATTAATTGGACACGCTAACTAGGCACCAGTAAGATTGCTTGAGCTCACACAGTGTGGAGTTGAGAAGCTGGAGTGCTGGTAGGGACAAATTCTCCATCTGCTCGCCCTTTGCAGGATGTTTACTGGGGCTTATGGCCAAAGTCTGTGAGCATCTCCCAGTGACAACCACTAGGACTTTGCACTAGAGAATTTCCATCTCGGTGCATTTACTACCTTGCTATGGGACATTAACTGAAACTATCCCTAATGACTGAAGGACATAAAATGATCTTGACACCTGAAATACCCATGCTTTCTCACATGATGTCAGAGAAACATTCAAATGGGGATGGCAGCGCCCAGAATAGTTCCATAATAAAATGGAAATGGTTTATGCAGGAACATCCTCTCCGGGAAGTGCAAGGAGGAAACATCCTCAAGCAGGGAGCCTCTTTTCCCCTAGGACTGACTCTGGAACTGTGTGAGGAACTGTGGGATTCTACTGACACTTGGACAGGGCCCCGTGAACAGCTCTCAACTGACCAACGAAGAGCTGCTTGGTGTGTGGATGACAGTTCCAAGGTGAATCGACAGCATCCTGTTTGGAAGGATGCCACTCTTGATCAAAGAAGGTAAGATCACATTAGCTTGGCAGTTGAATTGCATTCTGAAGAAATGAACAATAACAAAAGCTCCCGTGTTTGGTTTTTTACTGACTCATGGACAGTCACCAGTGGCCTGGTCACATGGTCAGGCAGAAGGGCAGTGGAAACCTGGCCTATTTATTAAAGGGATGCCCATATGGAGAATGGCCCTATGGAAATTTGAGGGGTGCAATAAGTAGAATATGTTGATGCCCATCATAAGAGCCTCTTTCTGGGTTTGGAAAATGATTGACATTGACAAGCAGAGAACCCTGTGTGCTCCCTCGAGGTGGCCACCTGGGTCCATCAAATGAGTGGATAAACGGGTACTGCAACAGTGCAGAGATGGGCTGCATCTAGACAGGTTTCTTTTGTATCATTTCAGGCACAAAATGCCAATAAGAACTGTTCTGTCTGCCAGCAAAAGAGACAGACACTGCCCATGGCTGTGGGGCAGATTTCCCTGGTGGGAAAGCCCTGAACAAGCTGGCAAGTGAGGCTGATGCTGGTAACCCTGGGAGGCCACAGATGGGTTTTGACAGGAGTAGACACTGATTCTGGACTGGGCTTTGCTTGCCCGGTGGAAGATGTGAATGATGAGAATACCATAAAAAAGCCAGAACAGAAGATATTGCACATATTTGGAGAGCTGAACACCATTTCTTTAGGCCAAAGAACACACGGTACAGCCCATAATGTTCCAGCAGTGGGCAGAGATATTCTTCTCAGAGTAATAGTTTGATAGAGACTAAAATGGGCAATGAAAACATTGGTTGTCTAAAACAGGGGGAGATGAAAGCAGGAAGGGCTGGCTTACTTGCCTTTACCAGTGTGTACTCACACTCAACATGAGTGGGGCTAAAGGAGTGTCCCCACTAGATATTCTTTCGTTTTTCTGATTGATCTGGGGAAGGGGGGTGGTAGAGGATGCTGTTATGACTATGCAATTCTTGACAAGAGGGGAGTATGCTGATATAATGACTATACTTTTTTCTTTCCTTCTTTCCCATATCATCTAAACTCCCCCTGCCCCTCCCTATGCAGTGGTTCTAGGACCAGAGCCATAACTACCAGTGTTAGAACCAGGGATGATTCCTAAACAAGAAATTGTAACTATGTTTTTAAACCTTGTGTCAGAATTCCTAAGGACCTGATGGGGGTGGGTTGTGCAAAACGGGTTAATTGTGAATGCAGCTATATTGCCTGGTGGTAAAAACGGTCCACTAAATTGGCACCTATGTAACCTTAGTCTCCCTGCATGGGAGTGGACTGAGGAGGAGGTAATTACTAGACTAATATTGCTGTCTGCCATCTAGACCAGCACGATGTTGATTCTAATGTTTCTTCCAAAGGTTATTAATAAAGTGAGGAAAAAATTAACAGCTGAGAGTAAAGGAATAAATAAATGTGTTATGAATTCAGGGAAATCCATTATCACATTACATTAACACCTTGAAAGAGACTCAGAGCAAGAAAGGATACTGTTTCTTAGCTCAATTATATCAGGTGTCTGAAACGGTGAAACCAAGACCATTCCTGCTTTTAGAACCTGGCAAGATCAATGGAAAGCCTGCAAACCTGAGTGGCCTCATGCTGGGAGACCTATTCATACATTATGATGATGGACTGAACTAATTATCAATGCCTGAATGAGATTCTAGTAATGTGGCAGTGTCTTTTGAATTATATATTCTTTTATATTTCTTTTTTTTTTGTTTGTTTGAGACAGAGTTTCGCTCTTGTAGCCCAGGCTGGAGTGCTATGGCGTGATCTTGGCTCACTGCAACCTCTGCCTCCTGGGTTCAAGCGATTCTCCTGCCTCAGCCTCCCAAGTAGCTGGGATTACAGGCACCTGCCACCACACCCAGCTAATTTTTATATTTTTAGTAGAGATGGGGTTTCACCACATTGGCCTATATTTTTTTAATGTAAGGAATCCAGGTTTGAAGACCAGAGGTATACTGTGAAATATATATTTGGTCCTCTAGCTCATTTCCTGGCATACAACTCCTAAAATCCTTAGAAACGCCAAAGATGTCTGATGGCTGGCAGCCTCTAGGCAGCTTCAGGATGGGGTCACAAAGACCCAGGCAGGATTAGAGGGTTGGGACTTTCAGCCCCACCCCTCAATCTCTGGGTAGGGGAGAGGTACCAAAGGTTAAGTTGATCACCAATGGCCGATGGTTTAATCAATCATGCCTATAGTAATAAGGCCTCCATAAAACCCCAAAAGGACAGGATTTGGGGAGCTTTTGAATAGCTGTACACATGGAGGTTCCTGGAAGGTGTTGTGCCTGGGGAGGGTATGGAAGCTCTGCTCCCCTCCTCTCCTGTAACTTGTCCTGTGCATCTCTTTATCTATATTCTTTGTAATATCTCTTGTAACAAACCGGTAAACATAAGTAAATGTTTCCCTGAATTCTGTGAGCTGCTGTAGCAAATTAACCAACCCCAAAGAGGAAGAGGCTGTGGTGTCCCCAATTTGTAGTTGGTTGGCAGAAGTTTCAGCGGCCTGGACTTATGACTGGTGTCTGAAGAGGTGAGGGTTGTGGGACTGAGCCCTCAATCTGTGGGATCTGATGCTATCTCCAGGTAGATAGTGTTTGAATTTAGTTGGGAGGACACCCAGCTGCAGTCTGCTGCAGAGTTGATTGCTTGCTTGTTGGTGGGAAGAAATCTCCACACTTCTGGTCACAGAAGTCTTCTGTATTGATTGTTGCTGTGTGGTGTGAGAGCAGTTTGAGTTTTTTCAGCTTCAACAGAGAAAAAGAGGAGGAGCAAGGATGGAGGCCTATGGCATTCCAGTGTGAAGAGGTGGGAGAGGGGAGATGAGGAAGAATCAGTAGGATCTGAGAAGGAGCAGCCAGGAGGTAGAAGGACAACCAAGAGAGCAGGTGTTCCAGAAGCCCAGAGAAGACAGTGTTTCAGAAGGATGGATGTCAAATGTTGCTGACAGGCCAAGAAGAAGCCCTGGGATTTGAACACTGGACTTAGCAACATGAAGGTCAGTAGTGACTTGACCAGAGCTGTTTTAGTGGAATAAATAAGATTGTGATATTGACTAGACTGGGTTCATGGGAAAGGAATGGGAAACTGGACAATGTGAGTAGTCTATACAACTCTTTTCAGGAGTTGCTGTCAAGGGAAGCAAAGAATAGGGGCAAAACCTGGAGGGGGTTGTAGGGTCAGGAGAAGGTATTATGTCTATATAAGAGTGTGCATAATACAAATAACCTATAGCATGTTAGATCCAACAGAGAGAGAACTCTGATGATGCAGGAAGGGAGGAAGTTGTTGGGTCAATGTGGTCAAATAAAAAGGGATAGGATCTAGTGCAAAATCAAAGGGTAGTGGTAGGCTGAATTAGAATCCTGGTTTCACCACTGACAACTTCTGTGACTTGGTGCAAATTCTTTTTTTTTTTTTGGGAGACGGAGACTCGCTCTGTCACCCAGGCTGGAGTATAGTGACACGATCTTGGCTCACTGCAACCTCTGCCTCCCGGGTTCAAGCTATTCTCCTGCTTCAGCCTCCTCAGTAGCTGGGGCTACAGGCGCCCGCCACCACGCTAGGCTAATTTTTGTACTTTTAGTAGAGATGGGGTTTCATCATATTGGCCAGGCTGGTCTCAAACTCCTGACCTTGTGATCCACCCACCTTGGCCTCCCAAAGTGCTGAGATTACAGGCATGAGCCACCGCACCCGGCCAACTTGGCGCAAATTCTTAACCTCTCCAAGCGTTAGTCTTTCTAACATCTAAAATGAAAATTGCCTGGAATTATTGGGCTGTATAATGTTTTAATCAAAAAGTACTGTTTCACTGCTGTCCCAAGTTATAATTTTCCTTAATACTCACTGGCAAGATGGGATATAAAATGAACTTTTAAAATCTGCCTTTTGGCTGGGCGCAGTGGCTCATGCCTGTAATCCCAGCACTTTGGGAAGCTGAGGCGGGCAGATCGCTCGAGTCCAGGAGTTTGAGACAAGCCTGGGCGACATGGTGAAACCCCCATCTCTACAAAAAATACAAAAATTAGCCAGGTGTGGTACTGCATGCCTGTGCTCCCAGCTACTGGGGAGGTTAAAGTGGGAGGATCGATTGAGCCCAGGAGCAGAGGTTGCAGTGAGTAGAGATGGTGCCACTGTACTCCAGCCTGGGCAATGTTGTCAGACCTTGTCTAAAAAAAAAAAAAAAAACCTGCCGTTTTCCTAAGACAGAAAATTTATACCTAGTATCTACTGAAAAATAGTTAATGCTATAAAGCACACAGTCACACCCAAAATAAAGATAGTTAATTTATTATAACATGGTATTACTTCAGTTGTTGATGTTGCATATCTTTGGAACACATGTTGGCAGAGAAAAAAGAGGCCTTCCCCTGATATATTCTGTCTTAATCCTGTTTTTTACCCTCTGATAGCTGCATGACACTCAAATGGTATGTCTTCTATTCAGATGTTCACAGATGATGTGCAGGAACAGCAAACAAGATGAAAAAAACTAATGAAAACTGCTCAGAAAAAAGAAAAGGTAAAAAGGACCATCTCATAGAGCAACGCATTCCTGTCACTGGAAGTGTTCAGACAAAGTGTAGAAGGTGACCTGTGAATGCTCATGTACCTTAAGCCATGGGTGATTCAGTGCTTCATAAACAGTGATCCTTTCAGCTGGATCCAGCATCAGCATGCGACGTACTAGGTCTTTGGCACTTTCAGAGATATGGCTCCACTGCCTTGGATTCATCTGAGGAGGAGGAAAGGAAAACTACATAGTTACCTTAAATGAGACATTAACATTCACTATTATTTAATATTCCTATATTGCTTCAATGTGAATAAAATTCTGAGAGCAAAGAACAGAAATTTGATTCTAAAGGCTTGCATTCTAAGAAAAGGACAAATGCAATTCTTCTGTTGTTCTTTACTACATAAGAATTTGTGTTAGTAAATATTCCATACCCATATTCTTGTTATGTAAGTGATAATATTTTCAATAATTGAAGACTAGAATGTTCATTATTCCAGTTTCTATCTTTAGATCCTTAGCTAGGGAGACTAGAATACATCGATCCAGAAAGAACTAAAATAAAACTTAAAATTTTTAAAGAAATATTTTTAAGATATGTTTTAAAAAATCGAGGTTAGCAATAATTGTGAACTGTGCAAAGTTTTTAATAGGATATTTTGGTCACTGCATATCAACTTCGGTGTTTAGGAAAAAGTATTCTACTACCGTAGGTCCCACAGAATAACAGATTTGCTTGAATACTGTCCTCAGTGAAGTTACTTTTGTCTCTTTTAGAGATGAGACAACTAAGCCACATGGTATATTGATTAAAATCAAACAAAAATAATTATGAATTGTTCAAAAGACACAGGACTTATGAGAAAGGCTGTGGATCTGTGAGCCAAGTGCTAGAAGGCTCCTGGGAAAAGGGATATGTCTGAGACCCAGAATCATTTAAAAAAAAATCAGAGTGGTTAGGGCATGGGGTTGGGAAGGCAAGTGGGGAAAGGAGACAGAGACAGAGTAGGGTCTCATTCCTTGTTCAATATCAACAGGTTTACTGATGGGGTGAGTTTATGTGAGCTACCCAGTGCCAGGACCTTCAAGCAAAGCCATGGCTTTAACAGGCAGAGACCTACATCACCTTCTAAGGAAGAAAGATGAAGAATAAACTCCACAACATTTTAAAGCCAAATGAAACTGCAGTACTTGCACTGCAGTATAAATGAATCATCACAATTTGAGCAAGGGCTAGCATTAGCTCTGACTAATGTGAGACTTTGTACTTGAAGATGGGGAGTGAAAAGTGTCTTTATGTTGGGGATAGCCCTTAAAATTGAAGTGTGCTTCATTTTTCCCCCCAACAGGCAGAATTTCAAATAGTAGCCACTTCTGCTTGTCAAATCCCATTAAGACTAATGCCATAAGGCTGTTTAATTATCATTATCCAGCCGGGCACAGTGGCTCATGCCTGTAATCCCACACTTTGGGAGGGATGAAATCCCACACTTTTCATCCTAGTGAAATTGTGGTCAACTGACCAGTTTGAAATGAGGTAAGTGATTAGACAGGGCTTGGGTAGACTTGTTTCCTCTCCCTATCCTGGAGCGAATGTGCTCTTTAAAGTCTGAATAATTTTTCCTTGACAAAGTGGTTGAGAAATCATCTGAAAGGGGTGGTAAGATTTCTGAAATGAGTAGAGGTTTAGAAGGATACTCCCTTGTCCTTTTTACAAGACAGTCCAACACAGGATTTTCTATTCCTTCAGCTGAGAAGAGTAGCTAAAACAAATTGGGGAGATTGAATCTATACGGGGGAACAAAATAAGGCTATAAAACAATCTTACTTATTTGAATACCAAACCCATAGCAGCTTAGAATCTTGCTGTGTATATACTAACTGGTTATCTGTAATAATGATATGACATTACACTTCTTATATATGGTTTGGGAAATATATTTTTGCCCTTTACAAAGAAGTTAATTGAGGTTAAGTGTTAGCATATACTCCAGTGAAACAGTATTTTCTAATGTGGTCTCACATTTGCAACTGCTGGAGGTAAAAAAAGAAAAAAAAAGTACTGCATTTAAAAGGTGTCATCAAACTTTTCTTTAAAATATCCATAG
Organism: Homo sapiens; assembly: GCF_000001405.40. NCBI lineage: Eukaryota > Metazoa > Chordata > Mammalia > Primates > Hominidae > Homo > Homo sapiens. Next base: position 41,662,451 of record NC_000023.11, read on the forward strand.
AGATCAAGAATTTTGTTAATAGTTCTTTTGCTCAGAACCATTAGGGTGATGAAATGTGGCCGGGTGCGGTGGCTCACAGCTGTAATTCCAGCACTTTGGGAGGCCGAGGCAGGTGGATCACTTGAGGCCAGGAGTTTGAGACCAGCTTGGCCAACATGGTGAAACCCCCGTCTCTACTAAAAATACAAAAATTGGCTGGGTGTCGTGGTGCATGCGCCTGTAATCCCAGCTACTCGGGAGGCTGAGTCACGAGAATCACCTGAACTTGGGAGGGGGAGGTTGCAGTGAGCCAAGATCGTGCCACTGCACTCCAGCCTGGGTGACAGAGCAAGACTCTGTCTCAAAAAAGAACCACCAAGGTGATGAAATAATTTTTTTGAAATCTATTTTTTTTTTTTTTTTGGGAAGACAGGGTCTTGCTCTGCTGCCCAGGCTGAAGTGCAGTGGTGTGATCATGGCTCATTGCAGCCTTGACCTCCCAGGCTTAGGTAATCCTGCCACCTCAGCCTTCCAAGTAGCTGAAATTACAAGTGTGTGCCACCACACTTGGCTAATTTTTGTACTCTTTGTAGAGACCAGGTCTCCCTATGTTGCCCAGGCTGGTCTTGAGCTCCTGAGCTCAAGTGAGCCCAGCTGAGATCTGCTTTAAAATAATGTAATAATATGTTGAATACAGATAAAACAAGATTGTCTGTGTTACTGAAGCTGGGAGCTCATTATACTATTCTCTCTACTATTTTTGTTCGAAATTTTTGATAATAAAAGATAGAAAAATAAATGCTGACAGAATCATATGACAGTATACTAAAAGAAAAAGGCCGAGATTCATCATAGATGGTAGAGATGGATCTATACTTCAAACTAAGGTGGTGAAAACCTAGGCTTTTTGTAAGGAAAGTCCTGAAGATAAATGAGAGGTGAGGTTAGCCAAGTAAAAAAGTAAATAAATTATTAACCTCAAAGCTTCAAACCCCAGGTACAAAAAAAAATTATGATGTAGCTGCCACCATCCATCTGACTTACTATAATACTAGGAAGAGGGAATTTTTAAATGACTTAATTTTTGCACATATGTGAATAGTCTAAGTCTTTTTACCAAGAAACAAAAATAACTATTCAATGTTTTAAAAATAGACGAAATAAAATACCAGAGTCTGTTGGAATGAAGCACATTGCCTTGGAAACTAGGAAGTTAACAACTGAACAAACACAAAGGAAGAATTCTATTATTAGCAAATGCCTATAACTCAAAAACGCAGGTGGGGGATTATTATTATATGGTACCTACCTCACAAGTTGCTGTGAGGGTTAAATGAATTAAACTATTCTAAGCACTTTACTTATGTAAAGTATGCTATGCTATGTGCTATGCCTGAGTTAGCTATCATTATTGCTAGTATTATTATTATGCTGATGTATCACTAATCATGTTTCTTTTAAAACGTTAGTATCTGTGATTTCACTTGGCTAAATTCAACCAGAATTTGGCTGTGCATTCCTGAGAGCAACTTACAACTTCCCTGGATTGAAGAGGGATGACTACTTACAAGCAGTTTCCTGAGACATTTAGTTACCTGGTAAGTATTGATTTTATTCCCCAGTGGCCAGCTGACTCTGGGAGGAGCAGAATATGCTACACTGAAAACATCTTTCTCTGTTAACAGAGTTTTGGTATATATCTTAAACTAACTAAAACAAAAGACAAACTTATATGCACTCATAAACTGATGGTGAGTGAGGTAAATAAACCAACAAAAGTATATACCATTCTCATCTCCATAAACTTCAGTTATGGCTTAAAAGGATAAGACTGTAACTCTGGAACCACTTTACTTTTCTTCTTTTTAAATTTTATTTTTCCAAGTCCCATATAAAATTCTAACATTACCGAGGAATTGAAGAGAAAACTTTAGGGGCCTCATAGTTTTAGAGTCCAGTGTTACATACACATGTTTTTGGTTTTATGTTGTCAGTCATGGCTGAAAATGAAACAGTGATGAGGTTGAATAGAAAGTATGAGTTTCAGTAATAATGAGAGGAAAAAGAATTTCCCCAACTTAAACAGCCTTAACCTGATACCCAGACACACACATCCCCATGCTTCCCATGCCCAGCCTCCTAGTCACTGTCAGTCGTACCTTGTGGGACAGGGCAAAGGAGTCTAAAAGCTGGGGTAGTGAAATCAACTTTAAGCTTACTTATTTCCAAGAAGTCCTTAGGTGTTTGTGATATCGCTATTCATAAAGTCAGTAATGAATTTTCAATTTTTTACTAGTTAAAGTAATGATTTACTAATCACAAGTCTGTGATAGTACATGAGGCTGCCAACACCTAATAGCCAAAGAAGAATAGGAATGTTTAAGCCACACTGAAATGCCTCTATATTGTATCATGAAATGCAGTTGTCATCCTGGCATTTCAGTTTATCCTGGAATGTAAATGGCAAATGTTTTCAGCTGTGCTGGCCTAAATTTAAAATTAAGATAAAGAATGACTAAAATTATACCTGGATGAAATTCCATTTTAACTTTACAAATTAAGCAGAAGGCTTTAAAAATGAAGCCCCTTTCTCAAATTACACAAAGAAGGTTCATAAATGTTTTCTTCACCAGGGTGATAGCTCAGCTGACAATGACTCAGAAATTTACTTGAGGCCTATGTTGCCTACCAAGGCCACTGGATCAATGATGTAAGCAAAGACCTTTTCTCTGATGGGGTAACTACCTGGCAGTCAATTAGTGGGCAAAGACAGACAGTAACTTCAAAAAAACATTTTTCAGGATAAATTAATCTCAATGGAAAAAGAAAATGTTCATGATGCATTACCTTATATTTTCCTTTAATAATGCCTTCAAACAATCTTTCCTTGGTTCCGTAAAAAGGCAAACAACCACTGAGCAGGATAAAAAGGATCACACCGCACCCCCAGACGTCTACAGGCTTTCCGTAAGGCTCTCTTTTGACCACTTCTGGTGCCATAAAATGAGGTGTTCCAACACGTCCTACATTTAAAACAACATTAAGGAAAAATGTTTACATAAAATGGGATTTTCACTTGAAAACTAAAAATAATAGAACAATAACAATCCAAATAAAAAGTTTACCAATACATATACTCTCACCACTCCTCCACCTCTCCATAAAATCAAGTTCACATAGGTGAAAAAAATTACTTATCTAATTGCTTCCTGAAAACATTGAGCCCAGAATAGGTATTCTGTCTTGTACACTGGCACTCCCTATTGAATTCTGCATGCTACGTAGTAGGTATTTATGTGGTTCTTACCTCATGAAGAAGTTTAAATTTTCTAATTTTCACATGGTTGAAAGTCACCAAATATATAGAGCAGAGGCAGGTGAAAGAGTCAACAGGCAGAGCCTGTAGCTGTCCAGGAAAGAGTTGGGAGGCCTACCCTGGGCAGAGGCAGAGGCAGGGGAAAGGAGAGGAGGGGGCAGGAAGTCATGAGAAAAAAATCGGTGGAAAAAAGATGACTTGACTGCCAAATGGAAATTCCCCAATGAAACCAAATGCTGAGAACTGTTATTTGAAATATGAATTTGACTCTGAAATCCTGTTCAGTTGATTTTATGGGTTAATTATAGCAATTAACAATAGTTAGTAATATTTTGTTATAGTAGGAGTTTTTAGCTTCCTCCTAACATTAACATATGAAGAGAATGAGAGCAAATATATGGCATAAACAAAAGCAAAATTATGAAGCTCCTCCCATTCAATCCTCTTTGACTTTCATCTTCTTTAAAGAGTTTTCTTTTGTTTCTCTATCAAAAATTAGCTTTCTGTAAGGAATCTGATACTAGCTGTTTGCACATTCATAACTATCTTTAACTCAGTATCCCAAAAGAAGTCTTCTATTGTGGAATGAAAGGCTTGTACCCGGCAGGAAGATCACTGTGGGATGGGGCACTGCCCACTAGACTTGGCAGCTCTTCTAGATATATGCAAGCCCAGCCACCTCCCTTCCTCCCTCTGTCTCTCTCTTTCATCATACTGAGTTCAAGATAATTTTTAGTTTGAAGATTGTGCAATACTTTATCTAGAACTCAGAACTGTGGTTTTAAAAGACCTTAGAGATCTTCTGGTTCAGCTAGAGAGAATATATCAAGTTCTGTTCATGATTATGAAACTCAGTTGGGATGCAGAAAGATAAAAGAGCTCTTAGCTTGTGTATCAGGATGTACCTTTGCTGCAGATCATATGGTTTCCCTTCCTCCCCCCATAATAGAAAAGCTTAAGTTCAGGGTTCCAGTAGTGAAAATATTTTCATTTAAAATGTACGATAGATCAGTGAAAACTATTGACTAGAAGGACCTGGCTAGAGAAATACTTTTATTTCTGTATTGCCCCATTTTGCTTCCTCAAGTAACACGAAGAAGCTGCAGGGATGGGAACTAAGCCTTCCATACTTCATTAATAGCCTGGACAGGGAGGGGCCACTGGAGAATTAGCCTTGTTCTGATGGACAGGAGCTAGCAGGAGTAGGGGAAACCAGTATCATTCAATTGGTACCAGGGTACCAGTTAGGTACCTGCTGACAGTTTGGATGATGCTTTGAAACTCAACTTGACTCCTACCACTTCCTGGGCCAAGCCACTCAAAATGGGGGCCTTAACTTGGGAATAATCAGAGCGACCATGGCCAGTCCCAGCCATCCTGAGAAGGTTCTCTCCATTTAGCTAGACGAAGACTACCCAATTCTGGAGAATTAGTGTTCAATCTTCGGGAAGATGCCTGTTGTTTGGTTCAATAATTTGCTCACAGATGATAGGGGAAAAACCATGGTAGAAAGAATGTAGAGGAAGGCTCTTTTATTTCATGTAAATCAGTAGAAGGTAAAAAGGACTGGAGTTAATCTTTAATATACACCAACTTCCTAAAAATCCTTGTTTTTGCTGATACTTCTTCTTGACTTTTAGGACTTTGACCACAAAATTTTAAGAAAAGGAAACAAATTAGCAAACTAAATTAAATGGCAGTTTGAGATATTTTGGACAAATATTTAAATATTATATATTTTGATAATACAATAAAACCTTCCTACCAGAATCTCAGGGGGAGAATTGTTCTGAATAGCTACATTTTTAAATACATTGTGATTTGAATCTTTATGCGCACAATCCTTTTTGTTTTAATAATTTTTTTGCAGAGTCTCACTATTTTCCCCAGGCTAGTCTCAAACTCCTGGGCTCAAGCGATCCTTCTGCCTTGGCCTCTCAAGTAGCTGGGATTACAGGTGTGAGTCACAGTGCCCACCTTAGTTAAATAATTTTGTATGGCTTTCTACAATTTCCTGACTTCTTTTACACAGAATGCTGCTCATAATTTAACCTTTTCTTGATGACTCAGAGTTGTCATTGTAGATACTGATTAAAGACCTAGGCTGTAGAACAGAAAGCACCCTCAGGAACTTCAGAGGTATGCAAGAGTTGATTTCTTTCATATTGAAAGGCTGTTGCGCTTTCCAAGTTTTGGTGTCTGCTCAGTATATATCATATATATTTTTGTCAGGCTTTTATTTCTTTTCTCTCACTATGCTTTAGTTCTGCGTTCTCCTAATTTGTTGCTTTTATAATCTGCTATTAACTAGAACCTGACTAGCAACCAGTTTATTTCATTTAATAGCAATTTCCTAAGTGCTTGCTAGGTCCTAGATACCCTCAGCCATGGTCCCCCTTACTCTTACAAATCACAGTCTTTGATGTAAGTCCCTGCATCCAATGCTACATGGAGGTATGTAGCCCAGATAGTTATGGGAATATAGAGAGAAGGAATAGGGCTATCCAACTCGGGATGGTGAAGGTAAGCCTGCTTTAAAGAGGAGATAATTGTTAGCTCAGCCTTCCAGAACAGTAGGAGTTAACCAGATAGATAAAATAACAAAAGGCACTCCAACTAGAAGGAATAGCATGTGCAAGGTATGAAGGAACACGAATCTATACAACTTTTTAAAACATGGGAGCAAGTCAGCCTTAGAGAGTGTCTTTAGATGCTCAATTGTGAGGAGCATGAGTGGATTTTTAAGGGTAGGAATAATTTTGCTGCTATTGTAGTTATTTTCTAGGTTTCTAGTTGTATTCTGGATAAGTAAGTTTCCTAAATAGCTGAGTTTCAGGTAGGGGGAGTGTAAATATGTTTAAATGATTTTTACTATATGCAACATATAAAGAAATGAATTCCTTTCTATTTGGAGGACTAGGGACTGGGATTTCAAACTGACAGGAAAATGGCTTTCTGCTTTAAAGTTGATAAATAATTAAATGATTGACGGAATTTCTTTCTTTTTTTTTTTGAGATAGGGTCTTGCTCTGTTGCTCAGGCTGGAGGGCAGTGGTGCGATCTCAGCTCACTGCAGCCTCTGCCTCCCGGGTTCAAGCGATCCTCCCATGTAGCTGGGAATACAGGCTCTTGTCACCATGCCTGGCTAATTTTTGCATCTTTTTGGAGAAATGGGGTTTCGCCATGTTGCCCAGGCTGGTCTTGAACTCCTGGGCTCAATCTGCCCGCCTCAGCCTCCCAAAGTGCTGGAATTAGAGGCATGAGCCACCGTGCCCAACCTTAATTACCAAAATTTCAAAAGTACCTTAAACAGCAGAAAAGCTTTTTCTAAGAGAAATAATTTATCTCTAATTTATTCATATTCTATTTTTTAAAACGTAACATTCAGTTATTTCAAGAATACAAAAAAAGGTGTGCTAAGAAATGACAATATTTTGACCATCAGGAAGTATTTTAATTCTAGAAGCATGGAGAAAAATACATTTTGAATACTGACATACCAGCGGTGGGCGGTGGGGGGGAGTTCAAAATTAGCTTTAAAAATAAACAATTTAGGTGAAAGGTTCATGGACTTTAGAAAAAGATTAATATGGAGAAAATGTCCAGGTAAACATAATGCATCTATTTTCCCCCCCAGTCAAGATGTACAATAAAATACGAAGAACATGACATTCTAAATACCAACAGGATATAGATCCAGAGCAACAGAAACAAAGTCATTATATATGGCCAGTATATAACATATAAAATAAATTCATTTCATTTCATCCCATTAACCTTGGTAATATAATCATCAGAAATTATTTGTTATAATTACGTAGTCTTAACATAGAAATGATCTGTATAAGTACCAGAATTGAGAGAGTTAGCTTAACAGTGACATTTGTTTAAAAAATAATTTAGGATTTTCACTTGATTACAAGATCAGTATGAACCATCAGTGCTATGTAGTTGTCCAAAAAGCTAATGCAATTTGGGGAACTCGAGGGAAATTTAAGGCCCAGAACACAAAAAAGTGATAGCCCAATGCTACTGTGCACTGGATCGGCTGTACTGTACTACCTGTAGTTAGAGTGTTCAGTTCAGGCCCTGTACTTTGTGGATACTGAAGAGATTTTGAACCAGTTTATATGAAGAATGGCCAAATCACCCTAGGGAAGTTAACTTGGATAAGACCTAGGGGGACATGGTAGTTGTCTACAAACAGATGAACGGTTATCATACGGAAGGATGAAAATTGTTCAGAGTGGTTTCAAAAGTCAGGATTAGGATGACTGGGTAGAAGTTACAGAAAGATGCAAAGATGAGCTTTTTAATACTTAAGGAGTTATCCAAAAATGAAATGAACTGTCTTGGGATGTAGTGACTACTTTGCTCTCTGAGGTTTAATACCAGAACTCAATCTTTTCTTGGGAATATTATGGAAGAATTCAATCATTAGTTACAAGACTGGAGAAGTTAAGGCCCTTTGGAGTCCTGAGATTCTATGATTAAACTGTGCTTTACTACCTGACCCTTTGGTCAGTCTTCCAATCACTAACAGAAAGTTTTAAATTAGGGGAAAAAATTAGCATTCTTTGAAACTATACTCAGCTTGCAGTTTTGCATATTATTGGAAATGATTAACTGGAAAAGAATGTGAAACTAAAAGAAAATTTGAATGTAATTTAATTTTAGAGGGCACTGTGGTGAAAAAATTATTTAAAGAATACAACTATTGGCTGGGTGCAGTGGCTTACACCTGTAATCCCAGCACTTTGGGAGGCTGAGGCAGGAGGACTGCTTAGGCCCAGGAGTTTGAGACCAGCCTGGGCAATGTAGTGAGACCTTGCCTCTACTAAAAATAAAAAAAGTTTGCTAGGTATGGTGGCACACGCCTATGATCCTAGCTACTTGGGAGGTTGAGGTGGGAGGATCACTTGAGCCTGGAAGGTCAAGGGTGCAGTGCAGTGTGCCATGATCGTGCCACTGTGCGCTCCAGCCTGGGTGACAGAGCAAGACATTGTCTGAAAGAAAAAAAAAAAAATTACAACTATGACCTATGGCTCATTTTTCTGAAGATGGTCTATGTTGTTACTGCTTGATGTTCTAGCTATAAGGAATTGAGTTATATGAAATGTGCTGTGCAAGATTATATAATTTGTAACTTTTTTCTTTTTATTCTGACATGGGAATTTAAAAATTATGTTTTGCTTTGGCTAATAATAAAATCAGCCTGCATTCACATCTGCTTATTCTTTGCTAATATACAGGCTGATGGCTTGAGCAGGATTCTTTGATAAATGGAAAAAGGCAAACAGTATGAAATTAAAAATTAGCCATCAGTGTAAACCAGGAAGTGGCTAATCTACACATTTTAGATTTGACTTCATTTGGCCAGTTCAACTTTAAAAGGCACTATGCCTCAAACTTATTTTCTCTGAACACTGTTTTAATCTTGTACAGTCTCTTAAGTACTGGAGGTACAAAGAGAAAAAAGAGTCTATTCTTAAGGGACTAAGATTCTAGTTATGACTACAGAGTTATTAAATTAAAAACTATCTGATGATGCTTTTTGGGAGTTGGGGTGGGGTGGAATGAGGTATGAAACACTGAGGTTGGGCTAATATGTAGCTTGAAAGTTTTATACCAGTCGCAAGTGACCAGGTTTTGAAGAATTTTTTTTTTTTAAAGCAGTCTTACCTCCAGCTACAAGTCCAGACTCCCCTAATTGAATAGCTACCCCAAAGCCTCCAAGTTTAACAGGTGCCGAGTTTTCTTTTGAGGCAAGGAGAACACAGTGGGGCTGAAAAGAAAAACAGACGAACAAACAAACAAAAAACAAACCCGAAGATAAGGATTCATTGAAGATGAACAATGCAGTTTACATAAAATTAGATAACATGATAATAGAGAAACACATTAAAAACTTCTAAATTATTCTGGATGCTTGAATTATTTGTCATATTCTCACGTCTGGCTGATTTCTCCAAATACATACCTGTTCCATCCAATGTTCTTTAGGTATTATTTGCTTGTAAGGTTAGAGTACAGTGCTAAGAATTACTAAGGAAGCATGGATGTTCAAGAAACACAGATACATTTTTTTTGCCTTACTATGCAATATTGTCTTCCTTTGAGTGACAGTCTAGATTTCTTTAGGAAAAAATATATTTTACACTTCCAAAATGTTTCTTGAAACCTCTGATTTTACCTACAGAGCCATTGTATCCTGGTTGTTAGGGGATAGCCATGGCCCTTTCTTTCTCCACCCTGCCCAGTCCTCTTTTCTTTGCTTTATTCATTCCACCCTTAAGCCAAGGAGTACTACATGGATGGGTCAGATTTAATGATTTTAATTAAGCCTTGTTCCCAGGGACTTCAACGCTCTTCCTGGGCATGTCTTCTCTGGATCTGCTTTTCCTCTCTGTGGGGGTGGGAGGTGAAAAAGGAGAAGGGGAAAGAAAACCACTTGCCTGATTCCTAGTCCAGGGCAAAGACATCCTCTCCCCAAGGGGTATCCTGCTTGACCAGGGCTCCTTTATATCATATGCTTTGTGATAACAATGAGGGTTTCCTTTGTAGGATGTTGTCCTCTGCATCTATTTCTTACTGGGACCTAGTTGGGGCTGGTGTCAGGAAAGAATTTCATAATGGGGAGCTCTGGTATCTGCTTAAACACTGTCCTCCCCAATATGACTAAAACTACATCTGACCGGCTCTCAAAACAGGGGCTAGTAAAAAAAGCAAGTCTCTTTAGTCATAGAAGACAAAAGGTTTTTAAAAATTCTCTCCTATATTTTCTCATTCATAAAAGGACACAGTTTTTGTTCAGTTTTAGCCAACATAATAGGTATAAAAAAAGGGTGCAATCATACTGAGCTGGTACACCTGTGTTTGATGATGACACACAGGTGGGAGGAATCCTTACTCTGCCCAATGGGAGCATCAGGATTCTACTTTGGAAGTTATTCTTTCTGTCCAAAGAAGTTTAAAGACTTTTCCAATAGTCTAGCACAAACAGAGATGAGCCAGGAAATACAAGTGTGTATGTGAGAGCCAGAGAAAGAAGGAAGGCAAGTGTAGAAATGAATAGTGAGCAAACCACAGCATGACACAAAGTAGCAAGAAGAGTCTATGGGAGAGCAGGCAAACCTCTACCGAAATCAACTGATAGACTGCTGTTAGTTAGAACTTTCTGTTGGTTCAAAGAGAGAACAATGACAACAGACTAAGATGGCAATACCCCTAGCATGATTCCAGTATGGGACACAGCAAGTGAGCAAGCCTAGAAAAGAATGAACATGATACAGAAGAAAAAAGTGCAAACTAGACTCCAACAGGGTCTTCTGGCCATGGCTGTGTAACTGTTATCACCTTAGGAAGGAGTAGAAGCTGAAATCAGAACTCCAAAGTTCTGTATGCCCTTAATAGTATGTTGATGATGTTTAGGCTTAAGTTAATGTTACAAGGGAATTTATATAATTCTCCTCTGTGTAGATTCAGTCATTCTTGAATCCTTAAGACAAGTTATAAAATGTGAACTTAATTAAGTTAAATTAATTTATGTTTAAAAAGAGATGAGGGGTCTTGATATGTTGCCCAGGCTGGTCTTGAACTCCTGGTCTCAAGTGATCCTCTCACCTTGGCCTCCCAAAGTGCCCAGATTACAGGCATGAGCCACTGTGCCTGGCCTAAAGAGTTGAATTTAAGAAAGCAAATAGAGCCATAAATGCAAATTAACAGAATGTAAAGCCAGGTAGTATTACTTGTTAGGAAGTAAAATTAAGCTGGTAAGGAGGTGTTATAGGGATGGGGACTAGGGAATTGCTATTTTAGTTGGGGTCAGAGAAGGCCTCTCTAATGGGTAATATCTGAACAGAGACCAGAACGAAGTGAAAAAGCAAGCCACATGGAAGCAAGTTCCAGATGAGAAGAACAGCCAATACAAAGGCCCACAGGAATAAGGAGGGTTGTTTGGAGAAGAAGAAGGAAGCCCAGTGTGTCTGGAAAGGCATGAGAGCAAGGGGCAGAGCGGTGGGAAATGTGATCTGAGGGATGATCAAAGGTGTAGGGCCTTGAAACTGTGGTGAGAACTCTGGGTGTTTTTTTTTTTTTTTTTTTTTTTGCCTCCCATCATCAATATTTATTGAGCATTTACAGTGTACTAGGCACAACAGAACATACAGAAAACATTGTCCCTGCTCTTGAGGAGCTTACATTCTAAAAGAAAAAATATACCTCTTTTAAAATGGCATTTTTGTTTGGTGTTTTCTGCAAAGTACTGAGGAAATATTTTGTAAAGTGAGCTTTGGGTATAACTTAGCCCCATCATTATTTAGAGAACAGAGGAGGAAGAAAGAGGAAGGATTTTAAAGGCAGACAATGACAAACCATTCAGGATAGGCAGGGTTTTAAAGGGAGATAAACACAATCTCATCAACTAAGGAGAGATTTGCTGCAGTAAATAGGATGAGGGAAATAGTCTGTGGGATGCAAGCAAAGGAAGCAGGGTGCCTTAGACACTGAGTGGAGCCAGAAAGGTCATGCGGCCTTTTTCCAAGTACATGGCCACCAAGTAGGAATGGTTGGTGACAAGACAGAAGGCTAAAAAAGGAAGGTAATCTTGTGCACCTGACAAATAGAATAAAGGATCAAAATTGAAGGCAGACTATAAGAGTATCAAGAAATTCTTAAAAACCAAAAAGTGATTTGGAAGCACAAAACTTATAGTTAATGCTACCCAATGTCATGACGGGCCAAGAACATTGTGGCTTCCTAAGTTAGAAAATGCCATACGCCAAAATTTTAAATGGAACATATTACATTTTTTTCTAATCAATCTCCCCTCTCCCAAAAAAATTGGAACTCATTTTTTTCAGGGTGGGGAGGAAGAGAGGGGATCACGGGACATGGAAACAGTAGTTATATTAGTAGTATTTTTGTTGTTATGATAAATTTTGTGTTTAAACTTGGTAAAAGCCCATTAGCTGCCAAGAGGGAATAAGGAATAAATTTCAAAAAATGTACAATTTCCTTTAGAGAAGTTTCAGAACCAAAAGACTAATTTACATGAAAAGCTGTAGAGAAAGTAGTTGAAAAGTCCATTCATAAAACTTTTATTCCACTTACATGAATTTAATACATGTGTTCTTAACAATTATGCTTGGATTGTTATACAGCACATGCATGTTAGGCAAGTATCAAAAAAAAAATCACAAAAGCAAAAAACCTAAAAAAAAAAAGTTAAATACATGGGTTTTTGTTTTACTGCTGTGCTTGATACAGATGAAGTAATGAATACCAAGCAATTCATTTTTCCTGCATCTTTACTTTTACATTTGTTCTTAGGTTGCCTAAAACATTTAGATACAAATAAAATGAGTGTAGCAAAAATAATGAAAGCTAACAGCAGGTAACTTTACAAATAATGGAATGTGAACCGTTTCTGCCCTTATCCAGAGTAAAATGGGTCACAACTTTGTCTAAAGGAACACTTCTGCAGTTGTAGTCAAAGGTGTGCACATTGAGATTGAGTATTCCACAGATATACATGGTTTAATATGTGGTATCCATGGGGTATGTTTCTACCACAGCCTTGTAAGTGCTCCAAACCTTAAAGTACCCACAATTACTACACCTGTGACTGGAACCAATGATCCCTTTTATTCCCCACCAGGACAAACCAATATGTAGGCAGTTTTCTTTGCTTGGACAGGGAAGCAGTTTTACCCTGGCCCTTGTGAAGCCACAATGTACCAAAAGTACTATGCCAAACATTTATAACTTGTATAAAAATTCCACATCCCCATATTGGCCACCTCAAGATGAAAACAGGTAACTCCCTAAATGTTAACTGGCTCTACTCCCCTAATATTAAACATGAAAACCACATGGGAAACATAGAAATTCAAATAGAAGTAACATAAACCTGTCATAAATCGTAAATAAAAAACTTTGTGGGACAGCATGGATGACAAATGGTCTACTGTGTAAATTTTAGAATGAGGCACACAAAAGTTGGAAGGCCGGTTAATTTTCCCCTCCTTCTCCTGCTTCAGCTTCGTCTCCTTGGGTATCTGATGTCCACAATGTCAAGTTGTCTCTCAGTAATTGCATTATTAGCATGCTGTCTTTGTATGACTCTTCAATTAATGTATCAAGTTCAGCAATGGCTTCATCAAAAGCTGTCTTTGCAAGAGAGCAGGCTTTCTCTGGGGAGTTCAGAATCTCATAATAGAACACAGAGAAGTTAAGGGCCAGACCTGGTCTGATAGGATGTGTTGGTTGCATTTCCTTTTTGCTGATTTCAAAAGCTTCTTGGTATGCTTGTTGTGACTGATCCACAATCCCTTTCTTGTCATCACCAGTGGCAACCTCTGCCAAGTAATGGTAGTAATCTCCTTTCATTTTCAAAGAGAAGACTTTGCTCTCTGCTTGTGAAGCACTGGGGATCAAGAACTTTTCCAAAAGAAACAGTACATCATTGCAGATATCTCTTAGCTCCGTATCAACTTTCTCTCTGTATTCTCGAGCCATCTGCTGTTTTTTCTCAGCACCTTCCGTCTTTTGTTCAATACTTGAGACGACCCTCCAAGATGACCTACGGGCTCCTAAAACATTTTTATAAGCAACTGAGAGAAGATTCCTCTCCTCATTGGATAATTCAGCTCCTTGCTCAGTTACAGACTTCATGCAGGCTGCCATGTCATCATATCGCTCAGCCTGCTCGGCCAGTTTGGCCTTCTGAACCAGCTCATTTTTATCCATGACTGGATGTTCCCGCAGTGGGCTCCCCTCGCGCCGGCACGCGGCCTCGCCTGGGTCTACCTGGCGGGCGCCGCTGGGCCGGGCCTGGGCTCTGGCCTGCTCTCCGAACTCTGGGTTTTATGTTGAGCGAGATGGGAAATCACCATAAGGTTTTGAACAGGGGAGTACTATCATCAGTTTTAGGTTTTAAAAGGATCACTCTGGCTGCTGTGTGAGGAGATTGTGAAGAAACAGGGAAAAAGGAGACCAATTAAGAGGCTACTGCAGTTGCACAGGCAAGAGAAGATGGTGACTTGGACTAGACTAGAGTGACAGAAGCAGAGATGATGAGAAGTAGTCAAATTCAGTTTATGTTCTAAAGGTAAAGCTGACAGGAATTGCTACTGGATATGAGCGTGAGAGAAAGACACAAGTCAATTATAACAATTAGTTTTCTGGTCTGAGCAACTGAGTGAAAATGAAGATGCCATTTACTGAAACAGGGAACACTGAGGGAGGAGTTTGTAAGGTGGATCAAGAATTTGGTTTCAGGCTGGGTGCGGTGGCTCACACCTGTAATCCTAGCACTTTGGGGAGCCAAGGCGGGAAGATTGCTTGAGCCCAGGAGTTTCAGACCAGCCTGGGCAACATGGCAAAACCCCATCTCTATTTTATAGAAAAATGAAAAAAAAAAAAAAAAGAATTTGGTCTCATACGTATTGAGTTTGAGATTTTATAAGATGACATTAAGGGGAAGCTGGGATTAGAGGTGTAAATTTGGGAATCAACAGTACACAGATGATATTTACAGCCATGGTAAGGAATGAAATTGCTTAGGAAATCATAGAGAAGAGTCAGAGGATTGAGTCCTGGTGCACGCCAATATCTGAAGTCAGAAGAAAAAATCTAGCAAAGAAAACAAGGTCTAGACAGTGAAGCAGGAGGAAAATCAGTTTGGTATCCGGAAGTCAAGTGAAGAAACTTTTTCAAGTAGGAATGATTAGTAGTCATCAATGTTACAAAGGTCATTTAAAATGAGAACTGAGAACTGACCATTAGATTTGGCAATTTGGAAGTTACTGGTGACCTTGATAAGAGTGGTTTTGGTGGCACGATGGAGGCAAAAATCCCCATTGGACCAGGTTCAGGAGAGAATGGGAGGAGATGATGTAGTGACAGTAAATACAGATATCTTTCACAGTCTTACTGTAGTAAAAATGGAGAAATGGGATGTAGAAGAAAGTGTGAAGCTGAGGATGCCTCTTTTTAACATTTACAAGTGGAGAAAATAGATTAATAAACTTCCATGTATCTATCACCCAGCTTTGGCAATTACTGACATTCTTTCAGCTCCTCCCCTGGCCTGCTGGGATGTATGGGCAACTTGCCCGTCTCCAGGCAAAAATAAAACAAAAACAAACAAACGAAAAACCCAAAAACAAGGACATTCTTTCATTTTTGCTTCATCTATCCCCAACTGTTTACTTTTTTTCCCCAGAAGTATTTTAACATAAATGTAATTTAACCTGTTAATAGTTCAGTATTTCTAACACAGGACTTAAAAATAACCATAATATCATTATTAAGTCCAACAAAATGAGCAATACTTCTTTAGTATCATCTAATACTCAGTCCACATTCAGTTTTCCTTGATTGTCTCAAAAATGTCTTTTCTCTACCAATAACTTGAAGGAGTAGAACAGACTAAAAAAAGAAGAAAGGTCTTATTACGGTTGGTTGGTTCTAGACAGGATCCAAGGTCTGTACATTGCATTTGATGACTATGTCTTGTGAGTGTCTCTTACTCTGTAACAGATCCCCTTCCTTATGCTTTTTTTTTTCCAATGTTCATGCCATTGATTTGTTAAGATACTAGGTAATTTTTCCTGTGAAATCCCCCACAATCTGTACTTGACTAATGGTACCTACATGGTATTATTTAATGTTTTTTACTCTCCTGTATTTCCTGTAAATTTGTAGTTAGATCTAGAATCTTGATTAGATTCAGATTCAATTTTAGTTTTATGCACTAATACTTCATAGGTGATATATCTATTGTATTGCAACAGGAAGAACATAGCACCTGGCTATCCTACTTTTAGTGACAGGATTGAGCAGTGGGTTCAGGTGTTGTCTGCCTGACCCATCATTATAAGATTCACCATCAACTTTTCACTCAATGATGTTAGCAGATGTTGATGCCTAGACCCATAATTAGAGGTGCCAAAATGGAGGTTTTCTTCAACATTTTGTTATGAAAACTATCAAACATATAGAAAATTGAAAGAATTATATTGTAAAGAGCCACCTAGATTCTACAATTAAATATTGTTACATTTGCTTTATCAAATATCTATCTCTTTATCCTTCTATCCATCTTACTTTTTAATACACCTTAGCACACATATCATTGAAATTTAATATTTGTTTAAAATTATGCCTCTACTTAAAAAAAAAAAAAAGCCAGTTTTGGTGGCGTGCACCTGTGGTCCCAGTAACTTGGGACCAGTAACTTGAGGTAGGAGGATCACTGGAGCCTGGGAGCTTAAGATTGCAGTGAACTGCAGTTGTGCCACTGCACCCCTGCGTGGGTGACAGCAAGACCCTGTCTCTTAAAACTTCTATAAAAAGTAAAAAAAAAATAAAGTTATGCTTAAGGTAAAAAATGTATATACTGTGAAATGCACAAAAGCGTACCATTAGAGTTTTGATGAACTGCATACATTTGTGTAACCCAAATCCCTAAAAAAATTCATTATCCCACAAACCTCCCTCCCTCATCCCCTTCCCATTCAATCTCTGCTGCCATCTCCCCCAGTGCAAACCACTACTCTGATATTTTTTTCACCATAGGTTTGTTTTGCCTATATTAGAACTTGATAGACACAAAACCGTAAGTATGTATTCTTTTATGTAAGGCTTCTGTCATTCAGCATGTTCTGAGATTCATTCATTTTGTTGTGATCAGTAGTTCATTTCTTTTTACTACTGCCGTAAGTATTGCATTGTATGAATATATCAGTTTGTCCATTCTCCTGTTGACAGACATTTAGGCTATTTCTAGTTTTTGGATATTATGAATAAAGCTGTTATAATTTATTTCCAGAATACCAAGTTAGTTTCTAGGCAACCTCCAAAGGTGACTGATGAGGTGTTTTTTTTTTAATTATTATGAACTTACAGATTTTTATATATTTAATGTGTTTTAATCAGTTGCTGCCTTTACAAATTTTTGTGCTCAAATTGTCCCATTTTGGGCCAGTGGGAGCCCCTTTAAGTCAGTTCTTCTGTATTTTTGTAAGACTCCAGAAGTCTGATAACTTCCTTGCTTTCAGTCACAAGATGATGTTCCAGGCTTGTCATGTCCATTTCTTGCCCCAGATCTGGAATCAGCCATTTCTCTAAGTAGCCCTGTTTCTTTTTAGTGCAAAAAACGATTTAAATCCATGATGTGGGCCAGGTGCGGTGGCTCATGCCTGTAATCCCAGCACTTTGGGAGGCCAAGGTGGGTGGATAACTTGAGGTCAGGAGTTCAAGACCAGCCCGGCCAACCTTGTCCCTACTAAAAATACAAAAATTAGCTGGGCGTGGCGGCACATGCCTGTAATTCCAGCTACTCGAGAGGCTGAGGCAGTAGCTTCACTTGAACCCAGTGAGCTGAGATTGCACCACTGCACTCCAGCCTGGGTGACAGAGTAAGACCTTGTCTCAAAAAAAAAAAAAAAATTGGCTGGACGCAGCGACTCATGCCTGTAATCTCAGCACTTTGGGAAGCCGAGGTGGGCGGATCAAGAGGTCAAGAGATTGAGACCATCCTGGCCAACATGGTGAAGCCCTAACTCTACTAAAAATACAAAAATTTGCTGGGCGTGGTGGCATGCGCCTATAGTCCCAGCTACTCAGGAGGCTGAGGCAGGAGAATCGCTTGAACCCAGGAGGCGGAGGTTGCAGTGAGCCAAGATCGCGCCATTGCACTCCAGCCTGGCGACAAAGCGAGACTCTGTCTCAAAAATAATAATAATAAAAATAAAAATAAAATAAAATATATAAATAAATCCATGATGTGGGTACTAGGCATATTATTTTTACTGGGTTATTATTACTTTGGCTTTTCAGTGGACAGTGCTGAAAAAAGAATGCATTTTTAGGAGAAAAATAAACCATGCTGGGCGTGGTGGCTCACGTCTGTAATCTCAGCAATTTGGAAGGCCGAGGCGGGAGGATCACCTGTCGGGAGTTCAAGACCAGCCTGACCAACATGGAGAAACCCCGTCTCTACTAAAAATACAAAATTAGCTGGGTGTGGTGGCAGAAGCCTGTAATCCCAGCTACTTGGGAGGCTGAGGCAGGAGAATCGCTTGAACCTGGGAGGTGGAGGTTGCGGTAAGCCGAGATCATGCCATTGCACTCCAGCCTGGGCAACAAGAGCGAAACTCGGTCTCAAAAAAAAAAAATAAATAAATAAACCACAAGTTCAAGCTAATATTTCTTCCTATTCAATTATAGCATTTTTACTTTAATTCTTTGATTTGGCAAGTATAGTTCACTTTTGAACATGGGTTTGAACTGTGTGGGTCCACTTATACATGGATTGTTTTCAACAAAATATATTGAAAGTTTTTTTTGGAGATTCGTAACAATTTGAAAAAACTCGTGGACCAACCATGTTGCCTAGAACTATTTTAAAAATTAAGAAAAAGGTGAAGGATGACTTCTGGAATAAAAAATTAAGAAAAAGCTATATCATAAATGCATAAAACATATTTAGATACTATTTTATTATTTAGTACTATAAAAATGTACACAAATCTATTATAAAGAGTTAAAATTTATCAAAACTTACACCTACACAGACTGTAAACGGTGCCATTCAGTCAAGAGAAATGTGAACAAATACAAAGAATGCAATATTAAATCATAACCATAAAATTAACTGTAGTACATATTATACTACTGTAATAATTTCACAGCTCCCTCCTGTTGCTGTTGCAGTGAGCTCAAGTCTTGCGAGTATTCACCTAATATGTTGTGTGATGCTACTTATCTTTGCTTGAGCAGTTCATCTCTCCAATAAATTGCATATCACAGTAAAAGTAATCTCACAGTTCTCATATTATTTTCACTGTGTTTAGTGCAATACCTTAAACCATAGGATCCATAAAAAGTGCCATTGGTGATGCTAGAAGTGCTCCTAAGAAACAGAGGAAAGTCATGACATTACAAGAAAAAGGTAGGCTGAGGCAGGTGGATCACCTGAGGTCAGGAGTTCGAGACCAGCCTGGCCAACATGGTGAAACCCCATCTTTACTAAAAACACAAAAATTAGCCGGGCATGGTGGCAGGCGCCTGTAAATCCCAGCTACTGAGTAGGCTGAGGTGGGAGAACTGCTTGAACCTGGGAGGCGGAGGTTGTAGTGAGCCGAGATTGCACCACTGCACTCCAGCCTGGGTGATAAGAGCGAGACTCCATCTTAAAAAAAAAAAGAAAAAGCTGAATTGCTTGATATGTATTGTAGATTGAGGTCTGCAACTGCAATTGGCTGCCATCTCAAGATAAATGAATCCAACATAAGGACCATTGTAAAAAAAAAAAAAAAAAAAAAGGAAAGGAAATTCATGAAGCTACTCCTGCAGCTAACACCAGTAGGTGCTAAAATCTTGCACTTTTTGTGAAATACCTTTTTAAGTAGTATTGAAAATGCAGCTTTTATGTGGGTATAAAAAAGACATACCTATAGATTCTAACATAATTTGAGAAAAAGCGAAATAGCAACTTAAAGCAAAAAGAAGGTGAAGGGGTCAGGTGTGGTGGCTCATGCCTATAATCCCAGTACTCTGGGAGGCTGCGGTGGGCAGATTACTTGAGTGGAGGACTTTGAGACCAGCATGGGCAGCATGGCGAAACCTTATCTCTACTAAAAATACAAAAATTAGCCCAGCATGGTAGCGCGTGCCTGTAGTTCCAGCTACTCAGGAGGCTGAGGCGGTAAAATTGCTTAAACCCAGGAGGCTGACACTGCACTCCAGCCTGGGTGACAGAATGAGACTGTCTCAGGAAAAAAAAAAAAAAAAAAAAAAAAAAAATGAAGGATCTAAAAGCTGGA
The DNA here is from genome assembly GCF_000001405.40 of Homo sapiens. Taxonomy (NCBI): domain Eukaryota; kingdom Metazoa; phylum Chordata; class Mammalia; order Primates; family Hominidae; genus Homo; species Homo sapiens. The sequence goes on from NC_000023.11 coordinate 41,682,578, forward strand.
GAATGCAATGGTGGCAAAAGACAGTTTGATAAATTTTTTTTTTTTTTTTAAGAGACAGGGTCTCACTCTGTCACCCAGGCTGGAGTGCAGTTGGTGCAATCATAGCTTACTGTAGCCTTGAACTCCTGGGCTCAAGCGATCCTCCTGCCTCAGTCTCCAGAGAAGCTGGCACTACAAGTGTGTGCCACCATGCCTGGCTAATTAAAAACATTTTTTGGGGGGTTAGAGTGTCTCGTTATGTTGCCCAGGCTCATCTCAAACTCCTGACCTCAAGTGAGGCAGATAGGCTGACTCTACTGTTTTGTGCAAATGCAGTTGGAATTATATCAGGACTATGCTTATTAGAGTTAGTGTATCCCTTCCTGCCCTAAATCTTGGTGCTTGCTTCTGTTCCTTATTAATAGATGTTCTCTGTGGCATTTTCTTTCCAGAATAGGGCACTTTTCATCCATATTAACAGCCTGTTCAGGCAGATATTGCTCCTCTTCAATACTTTTCTGAATGGCATCTGAGAACTCATCTGCTGCCTCTTTGCTGACAAAAACTGATCCTCCTGTTATGTTGACATTATTTAATTTTAATTTATTTTCAGAGGTGGGAGTCTCGCCCTGTTGCCCAGGCTGGAGCGCAGTGGCTATTCACAGGCACAATCCCACTACTGATCAGCACGGGAGTTTTGACCTGCTCCGCTGACAACCTGGGCCAGTTCACACCCCTCCTTAAGCAAGTTGGTGGTACCCCCCTCCCGGGAGATCATATTGATGCCAAACTTCATGTGGACACCTGATTGGCATAATGCACCACATCCCAGAACTCCTGGGTTCAAGCAAACCTCCTGCCTCAGATTCCTGAGTAGCTGGGACTATAGGCATGTGCCACTGCATCCTGCTATTTTGACATTTTTAAAGCCAAACCTCTTTCTATAATTATCAAACCGGCTGGGAGTGGTGGCTCATGCCTATGATCCCAGTGCTTTGGAAGGTCGAGGTGGGAGGATCACTTGAGGATCACTTGAGGCTCCCTTGATGCATATAACACAAAATATGTGTTAATCAACTATGTTATTGGTAAGGCTTCCAGGAGTAGTTAAGTTTTGGGGGAGTCAAAAGTTATGCATGGATTTTCAACTGTGCGGGGATTAGTACCCCAATCCCCATGTTGTTCAAGGGTCAACTGTAATCTTGGTACCTAATGATACTAACATAATTACTCATTTGCTTTGTGCTTCAGAATGTGTGTGTATGTGTGTGTGAAAGTTTTAAAATAATAGTAATACCTACATTATCAATAACAACACCACTGAATGCTGTTTAAGATTTTGTGGTTCTTTTTGTCCTTAAGATATATCCCACTAGGTATGCCCGGTCAAAATAGCATTTTACTACTGGGTAAAGAATCCATGAGTCTATGCTGATGTAAATAAATAAACAAATACATGAATGGGGAAGGAGGAAAAGCTTTAAGTAGAAAATCAATTAAATGTAGAAGAAATGCTGGAATCTGTCAGTTTTCATTATCGTAACTGATTCAGGTAAGAATCATCAAGGATGCTAACTTGTGAGTGGAAGTTTGAAGAGTGGTAAGATATTTATGTGATCTCTAAATATCTCCCTACAGCATACTTATTAATTACAAACAGGAAACTAGTAATTTTACAAGGGAGAAACCCAGCAGAAACTAGCGAAGTTAACACTGCTTCTAATGGGACTGATTGATAGCATGTGCTTCCTGATATGATGCATTGAGAACTTGGCAACACTGCTGTGGTATTCCTGCCAAAGTACATAACGAGATCTAATCATGAAGGAACCCTGGGCAAACCCAAAGAGGGACATTCTAGAAAGTAACTGGCCTATATTCTTCAAATACAGTTCCAGGTTAAAGTGATTAAAGGAGACTAAAAAGATAGATCTTGTTTTTAATATATATATATTTTCGAGACAGGGTCTCACTTTGTCACCCAGGCTGGAGTGCAGTGGCATGATCTCTGCTCACTGCAACCTCCACCTCCCGAGTTCAAGCGATTCTCGTGCCTCAGCCTCCCAAGTAGCTAGGATTACAGGAGCGTGCCACCATGCCTGACTAATTTTTTGCATTTTTGGTAGAGACAGTGTTTTGGCATGTTGGCCAGGCTGGTCTCGAACTCCTGGCCTCAAGTGATCCGCCCGCCTCATCCTCCCAAAGTGCTGGGATTACAGGTGTGAGCCACTGTGCCCGGTTTGTTTTTATTTTTGTTATAAAGGATATTTACTAGGACAACTGATGAAATTTTAACAAGGTCTGTAGAATACATAATGATATTAGGTCAACATAAATTAACTGATTTTGATAACTGTACTGCAGCTATGTAAAGGAATTCCCTATTTTTAGGAAATACATAAATGGATAAGAGTGAGAGATTGAGAAGGATTAAACAAATGAAGGAAAAAATGTTAACATAGAGAATCTGAGTAAAAGGTATCTAGAATCCTCGTACTTGTTCTCATAACTTTTCTATAAGTCTAAAATTACGTAAAAACAAAACAAAAACCCCTACCCTATTTTAAAAGTTACCAAAAATAATTCTCCTTGTGGTTATGCTTTCACTTTGCAATAGAGTGAGGTTCATTTGTTTCAACTAGATTTTGCCTTAATTTGGTGTTTTAATTGTATAAAACATGTACATAGGTTCTAAAGTACAAACTGTAAAACAGATACTATTCAGAGAGGTCTAGCTTTTGCACTCTTCCCCCACTCCCAATCTTTTCTTCCCCATTGGTAACTATTTTTATCAGTTTTCAGTTTATCCTTCAGTTTTTTAAAAATAAGAAAATATGTACAAATATTCAAAATTTCCACATAACAATATATTCTACAGGTAATTCCATAGTAGTACCTAGAGCTTTTTTGTGGAGGTTTTTAAATTTTTTATTTTATTTATTTTGAGACAGGGTCTCACTGTCACCCAGGCTAGAGTGCAGTGGCACAATCATGGCTTACTGCAGCCTCCACCTCCTGGGGCTTAAGCCACCCTCTTGCCTCAGCTTCCTGAGTAGCTGGGACTACAGGTATGTGCCACCACACCCGGCTAATTTTTGTAGTTTTTGGTAAAGACAGGTTTTCGCCATGTTGCCCAGGCTACTCTCGAATTCCTGAGCTCAAGGGATCTGCCCACCTCAGCTGGCCAAAGTGCTGGGATTACAAGCATGAAGAACTGCGCCCGGCTTTTGTTTCTTAGAGAGACATTTGTATATACTAGCAGAGGTGGACACTGGAAGACAATAAAATTCTCTTCTGAGTGATTCTATTTTCTCAGTGAAATAAAAAGTGATCACCAGGTGGGAGTGAGGAAGGAGAGGGGTTCCTGGCAGTCTGAGAAGAGTACAGGTGTGAAAAAGTATTTTCAAGGAATAGAAGAATGAACTGATTAAGCAGTGGTCCTCAAACCTTAGCATCAGAATCACACAGGCTGCTGAGCCCCATCCCCAGAATTTCTGGCTCACAGGTCTGGGATGAAGTCAGGAACATGCATTTTTTTTCTTTTTTTATTTGAAACGGAGTCTCGCTCTGTCACCCAGGCTGGAGTGCAATGGTGCAATCTTGGCTCACTGCAACCTCTGCCTCCCGGGTTCAAGCGATTCTCCTGCCTCAGCCTCCTGAGTAGCTGGGATTACAGGTGCGTGCCACCATACCCAGCTAATTTTTGTGTTTTTAGTAGAGATGGGGTTTCACCATGTTGGTCAGGCTGGTCTCGAACTCCTGACCCTCAGGTGATCTGCCCGCCTCGGTCTCCCAACATGCTGGGATTACAGGCGTGAGCCACCACACCTGGCCTTTTCTTTCTTTCTTTTTTTTTTTTTTTTTAGGGACAAGGTTTTGCTATGTTGCCCAGGCTAGACTCAAACTCTCAGGCTCAAGTGCTCCTCCCATCTCAGCCTCCCAAGTAGCTGGAACTACAGGCGTACGCCACCATGCCCAGCTAAGAACATACATTTCTAACAAGCTTCTGAGTGGTGTTGACGCAACTCGTTTGGGACCCCTGTTTTGAGAACCACTGGACTAAGGAAATATACTAGGACTGTTGGCAGCCCAGGGGCCCACTTGAGGTTTGTAGTCATGAATTTGAAGTGAGACCAATCAGCATCATTGAGTGTTTGTATCCAGCAGTCCTCATTTTACATGGCAAGGTTCAGGCCTGGAGTAGGTGGTGAGCTGAATTTAACCAGGGTTGGGATTTAAAGAGAACAGTGATATCAGTAATAGATGGCACCAAACAAGCGTATACATTTGTTCTTTTCTACTTCTATCTTAATATAAATACCTTATAATCCCAACAAGAGAAAGAGGAAGCGTGAAGGGAAGAGGACATATCGAAAATGAGCTAAGAACGCAGAGACAAACCAGAATGTTCAGAATGAACAGGAAAAAGCTTATATAAAGAAAGAACTAGAAAAAGATTATACTCAAATCTGGTGGTAGCTGTGCTGACTCACATTGAGGAGAAAATGTGGTCACAATATGAGGAAACTGAAGATTAAAACAATTAGTGTTTTGAAAAGGGTTGTCTTAGGTGTAGGAAAATAATATAGAAAAAAATATATTCATGCTAGATTATATGAAATAGAATGCACGTAGTTAAATGCCTATTTAGTCATTAAAAAATTCCTGCTAGGATCTTGAAGAGATATATGCATACTCATGTTCACTGCAGCATTATTCACATTAGTCAAGAGGTGGAAGCAACCCAAAAATCCATCAACAGATGAATGCATAGGGAAAATGTGGTGCATATACAGTGGAATATAATGCAGTTTGATAAAAGAAGGAAATCCTGTAACATGCTGCAACGCAGATGAACCTCGAGGATATGACACCAAGTGAAATAAACATGTCACAAAAGGACAAATACTGTGTGATTCCACTCATATGAAGTGTCCAAAGTAGTCCAAATCAATGAAACATAAAGAATCATGATTGTCAAGGGCAGGGGGAGAGGAGAGAAATCGTTTAGTGGTGAAGAGTTTTAGTTTTGCACGATGAAAAACTTCTAGAAACTGTTGCACAACAATGTGAATATACTTAACACTATTGAATTGTATACTTAAAAATGGTTAAGATGGGGCTGGGCGCAATGGCTCACACCTGTAATCCCAGCACTTTGGGAGGCTGAGGTGGGTGGACCACCTGAGGTCAGGAGTTTGAAACTAGCCTGGCCAACATGGCAAAACCCTGTCTCTATTAAAAATACAAAATTAGCCGGGCATGGTGGTGCATGTCTGTAATCCCAGCTACTTGGGAGGCTGAGGCAGGAGAATCGCTTGAACCTGGGAGGTGGAGGCTGCAGTGAGCCGAGATTGTGCCATTGTACAATCTCTTGTCGCCTGGGCAACAAGAGCGAAACTCCGTCTCAAAAAAAAAAAAAAAAAAAAAAGTTAAGATGGTAAATTTAATGTTACATATTGTACCACAATAAAATAAAATCCTGCCAATACAACAATATTGCAGGACTAATACAGCAACCACCTTCCTTCTCAGAGGTTCTAAGGGGAAGTAAGAGCTACAAAACATTTTTATTCTATTAATTTAAAAATATCCTGTCCCATAAATCATATTTATAACAAACAAAAAGCTCTGGAGAATATAATGTTCAGAAGAGTGTACCCAGAAATAATTAGAATGTTAGATACAGCCCAATGAGTCAAATATTTAGTGCAAACAAGCTGCAGGATAACAATTATGGGGAGAATAAAAACTAACTTCTTCATTTCAAATGACAACAAAAAAAGGGAAATAACACTAAACTGCAGGGCCAGCAGTTACATAGATGGACAGATAGTGGTTAAATTTTGGACTAGGATCAAAACCAAGACTGCAGAATCCCATCATTATTTCGCTTAAAATACAGGTGATGTTTTAATTTGCTCGGGAGAGTTTATCATAGTGATCAAAAGGGGAGAACACCATCAGAAATCTCATCTAGTCCTAATAATACAAGTTTGTTTTAGCAAAGGTCTTAAAGGAATACATGAAAATATGCTAAAATAATGTACAGATGAAAACTTAAGAAACAGAAATTCAGTGCTTGTGCTTTGAAAGTCCATATAGCATATTATGTATCATTTCTTACAAAACACAGAAAATACATATTTCTGCTTAGAATTTATAAAACTTTTAAATTTTGAGCGGGGGGAGGAAAACATTCCACAATTGTCAAGTTGGAAGGTATTCATAAAGAAGATATAAATAATTTCCTAAAGTTCAGTGTTGGTTGAGCTTAAAGTTGTTCCATGGTAGTAGGGCTTTTTAATATTTTCAAAAGGAATCTGAGAGTTGTCATACCGAAAAAAGAAAAAAAAAAAGAGGGGGAAAAAAAAAACCCTACCACCACATATGAACATAAAAAAGAAGAGAACCCCAACCAATTGCACCACGACCGGATGGAAGAGCCCAGCTGACACAACCAAGACGAGTCTCAGTGTCTAGGGAAGCTTGGGGTTCTGCTCCTTTTACTTCAGGCGAACCTGAACTGTGAGTATTTCTTGATTTCGGCTACATAAATGAACCTTTATTTCAGCTAAAATTTGATTATCTGAACATTCAAAGTGAAACGTGATTCATGGTGATAAGGCTACTCTAATGTCAGCAGTTATTCGCTTTTAGAACTACTGAGTAAATTGCTTGAATGACACCTCTGCCTTGATTTCAAATGAGACTGTCTTTTTAGTTACTTTAAGTACTTTAAGACATTCAAGGTATTTAAGCTCCTACTGTCAATATAGTCACATTGTTGATACTGCATTTGGATACTGCCATCAAGATTTTGCAGATCTACTTGCATGAATTAAAAGTTATTTTCATATGCAATACATTTTATTTCTAATGTATTATAAATTATAACTTATTGACTTTAAGTTATGCTGTCTCCCTATTTTAAATTACTGTCTTTTCTTTATTATATTATTACTATTTTATAGTATTACCAGACCATATAACATTTAAGTTTGGTGTTTCAGAAGTAAATAAGGTGAATATTAGATAAGAGAGAAAGCAAAATATGCTTTAGTTCAAATAATAATTTTTTAAAATGTGTTTCTAGGGACACAGTTAAATTTGTAACAAAACCTAACACACTATTAATAGTATTATTTCCAAAGTAATATGTTTTCAATTTTCATTTTTTATACAGCAGTTAATGCAATTTTGAAGCATGCCCTGAATAGATTCAGTCATTATCAAGTCAAACTAAAAACGGTGAAAGGTTGCGACTATTACCAAATAGGTATGTATTTCAACATAGCAATGTGATATTTTCACAAACATACCCAAACTGCATTTTAAAAGCTTCTGCTCATCTGGAGTCACAGTGGAATCTGTTGGGTCCTGCCCTCTGGGTCCAGTACTCCTACATGAGCCAGTTGAAAAAAAACTGCAGGAGTAGGTGGTGGTGCGGGGGTACAATGCACTAATACTAGGTTTTTGAACTTGTGAATAGGATTTGCCAAGTAACAACATTTAAAAAACACTATCTACTATTACAAAACTATTGTGACCACTTCAATATAGCACATGGGTCACAAGTAATGCCCACTGGGAAATTAATCCCCTATGTAAACACAGTGGTTTGTTTCTTGTCTTCACAAGCAATTCTTAACATATCAAACAGGTAGTTTAAAAAATATCAGTAAATAGCCTTATATAGTGAATGACATTGTAATGTACTAACCAACTTCAAAGGAGAAAAAAAAACAGTCACCAAGTTTAAAACAGAATGTAATTGTGATTTTTAATTAAAAAAAAAATTTTTTTTTGAGACAGACTCTCGCTCTGTTGCCCAGGCTAGAGTACAGTGGCATGAACACAGCTCACTGCAGCCTCTGTCTCCCGGGTTCAAGCAATTCTCCAGCCTCAGCCTCCGGAGTAGCTGGGACTACAGGTGCGTGCCACCACGCCCTGCTAATTTTTTTTTTTTTTTTTGGTATTTTTTAGTAGAGGCAGGGTTTCGCTATGTTGGCCAGGCTGGTCTCGAATTCCTGGACTCCAGTGATTTGCCTGCCTCGGCCTCCCAAAGTGCTGGGATTACAGGCATGAACCACTGCTCCCGGCCAATTTTTTTTTTTTTTATGTTCTTTTTTTTTGAGACAAGGTCTTACTCCGTCACCCAGGCTGGAGTACAGTGGAGTGATCTAGGATCACTGCAACCTCTGCTTCCCAGGCTCAAGCGATCCTCCCACCTTAGCCTCTCGAGTAGCTGGGACTATAGGCGCACGTCACCATACCCGCTAATTTTTATACTTTTTGTAGAGACAGGGTTTCACCATCTTGCCCAGGCTGGTCTAGAACTCCTGAACTCAAGTGATCCTCCCACTTCAGCCTCCCAAAGTGCTGGGATCACAGGCATGAACCATGGCGCTCAGCTGTCAATTTGTGAATCAATAATTGTATGCTAGCTGTCTAATACATAGTTCTAAATGATGGCCACTATTATAACATAAACAAATGCACTGGCTTTGCTTTATGCTCTTTAAACTGAAGACTAAAGCAAAACCAGAAATGCTTACTGACAGATTTGTCCAACTATTACTTATTTTATTTGCAGATTAGAGCTGAGGCAAATGGTTTCAGGATATGTGCTTTGTGCTAACAGCTTTCTGGAGACATCTTGATTATGGCTATCGGGTCTAGAAGTTTAAAAAGATATGCTCTGTGGGTAGTGGCAATCATTCTGATGAATGATTTGTGATTCTGTAAACTCTGGATTTACTTCCTTATAATAATGGACATAGCAAATAAGATTAATACCCTTTCCAAAGAAGTAAAGCTAGATGGCATAACCTGTTCTTAAAATTGTTAAAGTGTATGTTAAAGGAATCATGTCAAAATACTGCTGATAGAACTCAATATTAATAAAGAAAATGCTGACCCTATGTGATAAGGAGTGAGATTTGGTGAAAAGCATCATGGGCTCTAAAAGTCAGATCTGAGTCCTAACTTGGGCACTGTCATTTAAGAGTTGTGTGGCCTGCCGGGTGCGGTGGCTCACGCCTGTAACCCCAGCACTTTAGGAGGCAGAGGCGGGCGGAAAATGAGGTCAGGAGTTCAAGACCAGCCTGGCCAACATAGTGAAACTCCGTCTCTACTAAAAATACAAAAATTAGCTGGATGTGGTCCCAGCTACTTGGGAGGCTGAGGCAGGAGAACTGCTTGAACTCGGGAGGCGGAGGTTGCAGTGAGCTGAGACCATGCCATTGCACTCCAGCCTGGGTGACAGAGTGAGACTCTGTCTCAAAAAAAAAAAAAAAAAAAAAAAAAGAGTTGTGTGGCCAAGAGTAAAGATCATAACCTCTTGAACTTTCTTTCTTTCTTCCTTTTTTTATTTTAGAGACAGGTTCATGCTATGTTGCCTTGGCTGGCAGGCTGGTCTTGAACTCCTGGTCTCAAGTGATTCTCCAGCCTCAGTCTCCCAAAGTGTTGGGATTACAGGCGTGAGCCACTGTACCTGGCCAACCTTTTGATCTTTCATTACCTCTTTTGTGATACCTACCTCACAGAGTATTGCAAGAATTATGTAAAGGAAGTAATATAAATGTGTTTAACACAGTGTCTGGTACACAGAAAGTACTAAATAAATATTAGTTAATGGTTTGGCCATCTAGCTTAAGAGTTCAATTCTGACTGCACATTAAAATCCCCTAAGGAGCTTTTAAAGGAAACCAGTGCCTGAAACCCATTCCAGACCAATTAAATCAGAATATCTGGGGAAGGAGCCAAGCACTGGTATCTTTAAAAAACCCTCAAGAGGATTCTAATATGCAGCCAGGATTGAGAACCACTGATAATCCCTTCTACAAAGAACCCAATTGGTGGTAGTCTCAAAAATCTCCAGTGGTAAGATCCTTATATTGCCTCCCAAGAGAGATCATTTCATTAGAAAAAAATGATTTCCTTAAAAGGAGGCAACATCTGTCTCTGCAATTTCTATCATTGGTTCTTGTTTTGCTTTGTGAAGACACATATAACAAAGTGAAACCCTTTTCTCTATGGCTTTGTAAAGCATTCTCATCTCCAGGGTAACGTGCCTATTTCCTTCAACTTGCTTCTTTGACATGATTTGAGTTCTTCTCTCCATTTGGTCCATGGCCTTTTCTAAGTGTGCTGCTGTGGATCAAACACTGCATTCCAGGTGAGACCCTACCAGCCTGGGACAGAAGCAGCATAGTAGTAACAATTTTCATTTCAGACATCACGTATCTAGGAATTCAACTAAAGATGGGTTTTTCGTTGCCACCACACTACGCTAGTGATAGAGCAATTGCAATTGTGTTTGTTAATGCAGCTAAAGCTCTTCCTGTACTTGTACAGCTGCTTTTAATATCCACATGTAGAACTTCATATACATTTCTACTAAATTCCCTCTTTGATTTAATAATATTTATTATGCTAAGCATTAGGTACAGAGAGCCGAACAAAATTGACTTGGTTCTTAATCCTAATGGAACTTAAATTCTAACATGAGAGAAGAAAAAAAATCCAAAATAACTACTCACAGGTGAGTTTTTCACGTCATTTCAGCTACTTGAGCTCTCAAAATCACATTACTTCTTGTGCCTCAATTCCCTGAACCTATGAGAGCTCCCTACATAACCACACAATATAGGTGGTTCCTCTACAGACACCCTTTTCCTTTTCCTGGTAATGCAGGTTGCATTATCAGTTTCATTTTTGGTAGCCTGACATTCTTTCTAGATTGCCCTTTCCTTTTAGAATCTTAGATCACAGGTTGGGCATAGTGGCTCACACCTGTAATTCCAGCACTTTGGGAGGCCGAAGTGGGCAGATCACCTGAGGTCAGGAGTTCGAGACCAGCCTGGCCAACGTGGTGAAACCCCATCTCTACTAAAAATACAAAAATTAGCCGGGCATGGTGGCGGGCGCCTGTAATCCCAGCTACTCGGGAGGCTGAGGCAGGAGAATCGCTTGAAGCCAGGGGGCGGAGGTTGCAGTGAGCCGAGATCACGCCATTGCACTCTAGCCTGGGTGACAAGAGCAAAACTCTGTCTCAAAAACAAAACAAAACAAACAAACAAACAAAAACCAGAATCTTAGATCACAAGAAACATGCCTATACCTTTCTATAAACTTTCTGAAATTTGTCTTCCTGCAGTTGAGACACATGACAGACTAGACTCAGTCCTTCCCCGCTCCCTTCCTTTCTCCCTCCACTTTCCTGAATTCTGGAAACAGGCTCTTACCAGGGATTACATAACTTCCTCTTCACCAGCCAGTTCCTCTTCTGTGGAATCAATGCTCCCCAACTTTACAACATTTTAAATCTTAATGTTACCCTCTACCAAAATGCTTTGTTTTTAATCAAATTATGTGTAGAGCTTTAAGAAAGGCTATTTTTCTCTGTGTATAAGATCAAATCAGGGACTTAATTTATGTAATTCAAATCCACTTTGCATGGTAGCAGTCAGGGTTTGAATGTCCACTCCTCCAAAATGTTTACTAATAGGGTCTCTGTCTTATTCACCTTCCTTTCCCACACAGTACTTAGCCAAGTGTGAGATATTTACTAAAATGAGATTAATCAAAAGGTGTTTATTAAAGCTAACTTTTATTAAGCAGTCACTATGTGCCAGGATTAAGTTCTTCTTATGCATTTTTCATTTTCACAAATGAGAAAACTAAGGCATAGAAAAGATTAAGTTATTTGCCCTTGGTCACAAGTTAGTTGGGTCTGATTTTGAGAACCTTGCTCTGGGCATCTTTATGTTAACCCTGCTAAGTGGCTGCTGTAGAGAAATAGGGCAGTCACTCTATGAGAGGAATGTGATGAGACCTCCAGAAATGCTTTCTTTACTTGTTATGACCAGCTCTCAGACTAAGCTCTTTACAGCAGTCAATGGGCCAATAATAAGTAGCTTTGCAAATATTCTCTGCTGCCACAAACAAGTAGAATTCAAACACTATCTCTTCGAAGGTTCTAGCAAGTCTCAAATTATTGAACCCAGGGCACATTTAAGCTTTGGTCAGGTTACTTTCAAAATCTTGGATTGCACATGCTGTTTCCCATCTACGTTATTACTCTATGCTTCTAGGTTAGGAGTGGCTAACTGGCAGCTGCCAGCTAACTTGGTTTTGTTTGGTTACTTTTTTCTCCTGTCCAGTGATACAAGAGTCTGTGTAACCTTGCAGGTGCTGTATTCTCTTAGTCTATTATGTTAATTGCATGCCCTAAGACCCCTACCTTGGTCTTAGGCTGAAAAGAAATTTAGGATCCTCTTCTTTATTCCCACTTATAGAATGAGACCACCACAAGTCACACGCCATGTAGCAATACATGTCAAAATGAATGAATGCCACATATGAGGGAAAAAGTCAAGGCAGGAAGTGGTTCTGAAGCTGGGCAGGGCCAGCAGTGGGCCCAGCTCTCTTATGGCTGTACATACCTTTAGAGAAACTGATGCTCATCTTTGAGAAATATGAGCTGTCATTTCTCTTCACCACCATCTGTATTCCCATAAGAACTTCCCTAAGAGAAGATGATCTCATAAATTGAGTTATTTTAATATAATACATGAAACAGAACTTCAATGTAGGCCATGGCCACAGGAAAGGTTAGAGCATGAAACTCCATGAGATACCACACTATGTGCTGCTTGTTTAATGATACAATAATGTTACTACATACAGTAGGATAAAAGTAAAGTTTCTCGCAATGTCTGAAAATAAATCATTTATTATTTACACTGTCTTTTTTTTTTTTTTTTTTTTAAAGAGATGGGGTCTTGTTCTGTTGCCCAGGCTGGAGTGCAGTGGCTCAATTATAGCTCACTACAGCCTTGAACTCCTGGGTTCAAGCAATCCTTCTGCTGTAGCCTCCCGAGTAGCTAGGACCATAGGCGTGTGCTGGGAAGCCCAGCCTATTATTTACACTTTTAGTTAAAGTAACTGTTATTAAAATAGCAAATGACTCAATGTTTGGCATTCCGTTGTAGGAAAAATCTGAAGACATAAGAACTACACATGAGGAATATGTCATTTAGCACTTTCACTTTTTGATCTCCACAGAAGACAATGAGAAGTCATACCATAACAATGACGACAACTTCAGTCAGCAGCTGGCCTTACTCCTCCCACAGAATGCGCTTTATAACCAATCATAGCGACCAACCGCCACAAAACTTCTCAGCAACACCAAATGTTACTACCTGTCCCATGGATGAAAAATTGCTATCTACTGTGTTAACCACATCCTACTCTGTTATTTTCATCGTGGGACTGGTTGGGAACATAATCGCCCTCTATGTATTTCTGGGTATTCACCGTAAAAGAAATTCCATTCAAATTTATCTACTTAACGTAGCCATTGCAGACCTCCTACTCATCTTCTGCCTCCCTTTCCGAATAATGTATCATATTAACCAAAACAAGTGGACACTAGGTGTGATTCTGTGCAAGGTTGTGGGAACACTGTTTTATATGAACATGTACATTAGCATTATTTTGCTTGGATTCATCAGTTTGGATCGCTATATAAAAATTAATCGGTCTATACAGCAACGGAAGGCAATAACAACCAAACAAAGTATTTATGTCTGTTGTATAGTATGGATGCTTGCTCTTGGTGGATTCCTAACTATGATTATTTTAACACTTAAGAAAGGAGGGCATAATTCCACAATGTGTTTCCATTACAGAGATAAGCATAACGCAAAAGGAGAAGCCATTTTTAACTTCATTCTTGTGGTAATGTTCTGGCTAATTTTCTTACTAATAATCCTTTCATATATTAAGATTGGGAAGAATCTATTGAGGATTTCTAAAAGGAGGTCAAAATTTCCTAATTCTGGTAAATATGCCACTACAGCTCGTAACTCCTTTATTGTACTTATCATTTTTACTATATGTTTTGTTCCCTATCATGCCTTTCGATTCATCTACATTTCTTCACAGCTAAATGTATCATCTTGCTACTGGAAAGAAATTGTTCACAAAACCAATGAGATCATGCTGGTTCTCTCATCTTTCAATAGTTGCTTAGATCCAGTCATGTATTTCCTGATGTCCAGTAACATTCGCAAAATAATGTGCCAACTTCTTTTTAGACGATTTCAAGGTGAACCAAGTAGGAGTGAAAGCACTTCAGAATTTAAACCAGGATACTCCCTGCATGATACATCTGTGGCAGTGAAAATACAGTCTAGTTCTAAAAGTACTTGAGGTAAACATACTAAAATGAATTATATAATGCAGCCTCTTAATTCTTTGAAGAACTAAAAAATTAGGAAACAAAGTTCTAGCATTTACAAAACTCAGATCTCAAAGCTCTGCTTGTATTTGTGATATTTCATTTGCTTAACTGTAAACCATTTCAAGGTACTAACTTTTAAATCTGTATGTAAAATCTTTTCAAAATACATTTTTAAGCTAATACTCTTAACATAGATTATGAAGTTAAGTGAAATTTATGGCTCTAACAGCAAAATAATTAAAGTGCCATAGTTTCTCAAGTGACTAAAGTAGTTATTAAAATCAAGCACTTGATACTAATTTGAAGTGTGTTTAAAAGTAAATGATTTGGGAACTGACAATGTGTCAGAAAATATATGTTCATTTATCATTTTAAAATCTTGTATAATTTGCCACTGTATTCATTTATGCCTAAATCTCTATAACAGATGAAAAGATAATTAATAAAATCCTAATTAAAAAATGAGATCACCCACTATCTATCACTGCTTAGATAAAAAGGGAAAGAATTTAAATACTGTATAGTAAAAATTAACAGATAAGCTAACGATTCAATAGCCTAGCAATAGGTCTTAAAACCACACCTTACTTAAAACAGGTTTATAAACAATAGGGTCATTTCAGCCACAGTTTGATAAAGTAACATTGAACATGCATATTCTGTGATCCAGCAAGTCATCTACAAGGTATACATCTTACAGAATCATTCAAATACGTACACAAGAAACATGTAATGATGCTCAGTGAACTAACATTCATAATACGAAACAACTGGAAATAAGGACATAACAGCAAAGGCATGGAGAAGTGAACTGGTTTACTCACGAAATGGAATATCATGTAGCGATGCAATGAAATGAACTACACTCACATGCATCAACATGGGTATATCTCAAATATAATGTTGAGTAAAAAAAACCCCACAAAATTGCAAAAGGGTATGTACTGCATGAAATCATTTATGTAAAATATAAAAACATAAAACAATACCACATTCTTTTTTTTTTTTGAGACAGAGTTTCACTCTTATTGCCCAGGCTGGAGTGCAGTGGCCTGATCTTGGCTCACTGCAACCTCCACCTCCCACGTTCAAGTGATTCTCCTGTCTCAGCCTCCCGAGTAGCTGGGATTACAGGCGCATGCCACCACGCCCGGCTACTTTTTGGATTTTTAGTAGAGACGGGGTTTCATATGTTGGCCAGGCTGGTCTCGAACTCCTGACCTCAGGGTGATCCACCTGCCTCAGCCTCCCAAAGTGCTGGGATTACAGGCATGAGCCACCGCGCCTGGTAGAAAACAATACCACATTCTTATGGATCAATACATATAAAATAAAGATACAAAACATGTATGATAATATATACAAGATACATACCAACTTAATGGTTATATCTGGAGAAATTTGAAGCAAATATGGCAAAATGTTAATGTCTTAAATCTAGGTAGTAGGCACGTGATTATATTATTTTTGGTAAACTCCTGGGTATTTGAAATACTTTACAACAATAAAAACCTGCAAATTAGAATTAAAAGGAGCAAACTCTGCAATTTTCATGTACATTAAAAAATAACAGGACAGCAAGCTCTAAAAGAAAGCGGTCTTAGTCTTGTTCGTCATTGCCTCCCTGGAGCTTAGTATGTTTCTTGGCTATAGGAGATCAATACACATTTATTGAATAATTAAGAAGAATGGACGGATGAATAAGATAGGGAGAAAGGGAAGGAAGGGGTGCTTACAAGAAAAAAAGTTGGGAGTAATTAGCTTTTTTCCTAGTCCATTTGAATATAGCTGTATAGAACACCATACAGTTGCAATCTAGGGGGTGTCATTAGGCAAACATTCTTGAAAGTTTGGCCAGCATTTGTCCAGTTCTTTGGTCATACACAGAACCTGAATGTTATTGACTGAATTTATGTAAAAGCATCTTAGGACAAACTCCAAGGACTCATCTGAAAGTTTCTATCATGGTGTATAAAATTTTTTTAGAGTCAGAATACTTCTTAAAACTTAAGGTAGGCCATTGGCTGAGAAATCAATGTGAATGACCATGAAGATTTTGATCAGAACTGAGTTTATTTTAATGAGATTTGGCTTGTATACAGTGCTCAGTTAACTATATATAGATATATTTTTTGAGATGGAGTCTCACTCTGTTGCCCAGGTTGGAGTACAGTGGCGTGATCTTAGCTCACTGCAACCTCTGTCTCCCGGGTTCAAGTGATTCTCCTGCTTCAGCCTCCCGGGTAGCTAGGATTACAGGCGCCCGCCACCATGACCGGCTGTTTTGTATTTTTAGTAGAGACGGGATTTCACCATGTTGGCCAGGCTGGTCTCGAACTCCTGACCTCAAGTGATCCACCCACCTTGGCCTCCCAAAGTGCTGGGATTACAGGCATGAGCCACCGCGCCCGGCCAGTTAACTATATTTCAATAAGTGCCCGCAAATATAATTAACTGAATAAAGAATAAGTCAAAGCAAAAGTATATTTTAAAAATAAGTAATATTTGAGGATAAATACTGAAATTTGCAGAAAAATTAGAGGGTCAGAAAAAGGTGACAAAATTATATTAATTACTTTGCCCTGACAATGTTAACACATACCATCTAAATGAAATTTAGCATTTCTGTTTGTATGGTTTTAAGTTATGAAAACTTCTATTTTCCTTCATGTCCTCAAACTTAAAAATTTATTTTACATTACTGGTAAACATCTTACATATCTCATTGTATACAGTTTGGTGAAATTATATTATCAATTATTATCACTTTTAAGGGACATTAAAATGAATATAAATACACTCATAGTTCTAGAAGCTGTCTCATTATACTAGATGATTACTATAAAGCTCTGCACAATGGCATTCTTAAGAAAATTTTAAAGTATACTCAATTAATTATTGCTATATTATTTGGAATAAAATACATTTTGATATAAATCAATCTGTCTATTTATAACAGATTGCTTACTGAGAGAAATCTGATAACATGCCTTAGAGTAACTTGAATCCTGAGAAGGTTTCTAAATTTTTAGAAAAAATATGCTACTGTCTTACCAAAGTTAAGGCTACTTATGACATATAATCTTTCATTTCTTACTAAGCATTAGTATTTGCAAGCAGGAAACAGTTCCTACCTCTCCTAACCCAAGGTTTAGTTCTAGAAGCATACAGGAAAAGGAAATTCAGAAGTATATACGTATCTTTACCTTGCAAAGACCTTCAGAACAGCTTTCTAAATAACATCTCATACATGCAAAACCAAATATGGGCAAAATGAATTGTCTGGCTGTCAGAGTGAGACCTCAGTGTTGAATATTGCTGTTAGTTTTAGAAAAGTATGCTGTATAGAGCCAGGTTTGATGGTGGTTGAATTTCTAAGATTAGGTCAGTAGAAAAAGACAATCCTCTTCCAGTACAGTTTTATTTTCAACTTTAAAAAATGGATTCTTTATTCCTGCTGACATAAAAGTAGAGGTAATATAACTATTTGAACGAAAGACTTACTGAAAGTTATCCCACAAAAGAAAAGCAATATGAAGAGAGTTCTCCCAACAAGCAACCTGGATGCTGCAGCAACATGTTAATGGGCTAATTATTTTTTAGGTTTTCAAAATATAATACTTTATCAGATATTAAAATATATTCTTATCCTTCAGTAAGGATAACACTGGGGAGCAGACACAAGGATAAACTTATCTGTGGAACTGAATACACATGTCTAAGCAGATCCTAGATGATATATGAGAAAAGTACAAAATACGTATATGACTTTTTTTTTTTTTTTTTTGAGACAGGGTCTCACTCTGTCACCCAGGCTGGAGTGCAGTGGTGCAATCTTGGCTCACTGCAACCTCTGCCTCCTGGGTTCAAGCAATTCTTCTGCCTCAGCCTTTGGAGTAGCTGGGATTACAGGTGCGTGCCACCATGCCTGGCTAATTTTTGTATTTTTAGTGGAGACAGGGTTTTGCCATGTTGGCCAGGCTGGTCTGGAACTCCTGACCTCAGGTGATCCGCCCGCCTTTGCCTTCCAAAGTGCTGGGATTACAGGCATTGAGCCACCATGCCCCACTGAGATTGCACCACTGCACTCCAACCTGGGCGACAGAGTGAGACTCCGTCTCAAAAAAAAAAAAAAAAAAAAAAAAGGTTCCTGTTAGTCAAGATGTGCTGGAATCTTGCAAAGGTGGGGTTAAGTGTGTTTTTGCAAAGCTCAGGTGACCCCCATACATTCTCCTCCCTCAGAGAAAATCACTGCATATATAGGAAACATCACAAAAAGCATCAGGAAGGAAGGGATGGATTAATAAATAATAGTGCTGTGCCTATTTAAAATAAAAGGCCAATTTACAGCCTTACCTTTTATCATACCCCAAAATTTATAAGGACACTCAAGAATTAAGTGTAAATAATGAGACCATAAAAGATTAAAAAATGACTAGTTCATCTGTAGATGGGAAAGAACTTTCAAACAAAATAATAGAAATAACTATAGGGAAAAATTCATAGATTTGACTTAAAAATTTAGATTCTTTGTCCCAAACCATAAAAACTGAAGCAAAAGTACAAAGCAGGAAAAATATTCACAACAGATATGACATTTACTGGAGAGCCTTTTATTTCAGCCACCAACAAACAAACTTCACTTGTAAAGAGGCTTGTAGGGGTATTTTTAATCGGAAGAAAAGATTTGAAACTCGGAATATAATCTGAATTATGTCAACTCAGACGAGAGATAAACTATGCGGCATTCCCATGTTGGATGATGTAGTGTCCTCTGTCATAGCTACATGGCCCAGCTGAGTGGCTGCCATAGTGCCTCAGTCAGTCCATGTTTTCAGATGAAGACTTGGAGAGCTGGTTGGGGATGGTAACAGTGAGCACAGAACTGGAAAGGAGGTAGTAAGTTTGTTCGAAACTTCTATTTTTCCTTTTATTTCCCCACTTCAAGTTCACATGCAAGGGAATGGGAAGCAAAGTAACATTTGTTTATTTATGTGCCCTTCACTGTTCTAGGTGCTTCCCATGCATTATCATCAGTTAATCTTCATGGCATTGTGATGTAAGCAGCAACTGTATTTTACATATGTAGGGATGCAAGTTGGTAGACTTCCATTCTACTGACATTGTCTCTGCTAATGCTTTTCACTTTTGTTTAGTTCTGTCCAAGCACAATGGTGATTGCTGAGATGTCTTTTATTTTAAAAAACATAAATTGCCATTAATATGTATTGGGGGTAAAAATTTCTGCTTACCACTCATCAAAATTGTATGATGTCAAAAAAAACAAAATCTTTGCCGGGCACGGTGGCTCACGCCTGTAATCCCAGCACTTTGGGAGGCCAAGGTGGGTGGATCACCTGAGGTCAGGAGTTCAAGACGAGCCTGACCAACATGGAGAAACCCCGTCTCTACTAAAAATACAAAATTAGCCAGGCGTGGTGGCGCATGCCTGTAATCCCAGCTACTCGGGAGGCTGAGGCAGGAGAATCGCTTGAACCCGGGAGGCGGAGGTTGTGGTGAGCTGAGATTGTGTCATTGTACTCCAGCCTGGGCAACAAGAGCAAAACTTCGTCTCAAAAACATAAATAAATAAATAAATTACAATAAAATAAAAAAACATAAATTGCCATTAATATGTATTGGGGGCAAAAATTTCTGCTTACCACTCATCATAATTGTGTGATGCCAAAGAAACAAAATCTTTGCCAGGCGTGGTGGCTCACGCCTGTAATTCCAGCACTTTGGGAGGCCAAGGCGGGCAGATCACGAGGTCAAGAGATCGACACCATCCTGGCCAACATGGTGAAACCCCGTCTCTACTAAAAATACAAAAATTAGCTGGGTGTGGTGGCACGCACCTGTAGTCCCAGCTACTCGGGAGGCTGAGGCAGGAGAATCGCTTGAACCTGGCAGGTGGAGGTTGCAGTGAGCTGAGATTGCACCACTGCACTCCAGCCTGATGAAAGAGTGAGACTCTGTCTCAAAACAAAAACAAAAACAAAAACAAAAAACAATCTTTAAAACTAGTCTTCTAACCATCACACATTTATATACTCTGGAAGCTCTCTCTGAAACATGTACGATAATCCAGAACAAACTCATACAGGTTGAATAGAAGAAAAAAAATGGAATCAAATTAGAGCATCCTACCCTTATTAGTTTTGCTTCTGGCCCATGAAATGCATAAAGAACCATCAGAAGATGGAAAGGCCTTCTAATTATGGTTTGGATACAGGTGTTGATGATACATGGAATCTCTTTTTGCTTTAATAAGTCATGCAAGTTTTTTGGGAGCAACAGTTAACTGTTACACTTATATTCTTTTTTGGTAATTTCACATATAAATAGTTTTTAGTTATAAAACGTTTCAAACATACAAAAATGGAAAAACACAACATAACAGGCAGCTAAGTACCCATCACCCCAATTGAAAAGATGTTAACATTTTCGTTTTACTTAAAAGTTTTTTCATACCCGTATACATCATCCAAAATGTTAGATATATTAAAGCTCACTTCACATCCTTCCCTGAGGAAACCTCTTTCCTGAAGTTGGTGTATATCACTCTGACGTATATTTTTGTGCTTTTACAACATACATATGCATAACAATATGCACTTTTTCTTTTAAAAATTTACACAAATGGTATCTTACTATTACATTCTTTGTAACTCTTTTCACTCAAATTTTGTTTATCTATGTAGACTCATGTAGGTCTTGTTCATTCATTTTCACTGATGTAGTGTTTTACTGCATGAATAAACAATGGTTCATTTCTCCATTTCCCCTAACAATGGGCAATTTGGTGGTTTCCACTTTTTCCACTAATTGAAACCATGCTCAAGTGAATTCTTTTGTATACCCAATGCCCATGTGTGAAGTTTATGGCTAACACCTAAAAGCAGAAATGCTTGGTTGTAAGGGTATGTACATTTTCAGCTTATCTCAGTTTTGACAAATTGCTTTCCAAAGTGATTTTACCAATTTATATGCCCATCTCACTACAAGGCAGAAATGAGTTCCTGTTTACCCACAACCTTACCAACACTTGGTTTTATCAGATTTACTAATTTTTGCCAATCTGGTAGGTATGAAATGGTATCTCATTGTGGTTTTAATTTGCACTTCCCTGATTACTAGTGAAATGAAGCATCATTTCATATACTTTTTGCTCATTCAGTTTTCTTCTTGGGTGAATGGCCTATTCATATCTATACCCCTCCCCCTCCCTTTTCCCCTAATGAGTTGCTTATCTTTTTTTTTCCTTTTTCTTTTTAAAAAATTGTTGAAGTAGTTCTTTATATATTCTGGGTTCTAAATCCTTTGTTATTTATATAGTTTGCAAATAACTTCTAACACTATGCACTTGTCTTTTACTTTGCTTATGGTTTCTTTTGTCAGACACTAGAAGCAAAGCTAAAAATTTTTCTAATCAATAAATTGAAATAAACACTGGCACTTATGCATTCCTCAAGGACCAAGCTAAAGAACTTGCAGATGAAATTATCTTATAATTAGATAGCTTGGTATTTCAGTTATAAATAGTATAGAGGAGTCGAAATCAGGTGTTCCTTGAGAACATGAAAATAGAAATGTTTTCTAAGAGTTCAACTACAAAATCCAAATACCTGAGTACAAATATGTAAAACAACTTCAGAGACAGAAAGTCTCTTAGACCAGGAGATGACCTGATTAAATGCATTAGCATATCTACAGAAAGAATTGGCTGTTCACTAGGAGATGAGGGAAAATTAGAAGAAAAAAAGTGCTAGAAAAATGTTGGTATTGCCCATCCAACACAGTCCAGGGGATTGATCTTGGCCAATGTATACGGATTATTATGGTCCCATCATTAAGGCCATGGCAAGAATTATGGTAAGGCTGAATCCAATAGGTTTTCTTATCCCAATAATATTAAGCATTATTAAATAACAAACTGAGAGGCAGCATAAAAGACTGGTTAAAAGGGTGAATGATGCAGTCAGACTGCCTGAGTTATTTCTGCTGCCATCACTTACAATGTAACATTGGGTAAGCTCTATTTCCTCTACTAAGAAAACAGGAATTATAGTAGTACCTAACTCATAGGGTTGTTAGGAGGACTCAATGAGTAAATAAATGTACCTGGCCAAGTAGAAACATGCAATATATGGTATCTAAATACCCAAATGCCAAGGGAAAGGCAGAGAAAATACATAAAATGGAATGGCTAGAAGCTGAGGGTAAACATCAGAACTAGGAAGATACATAGTGGAAGTTGATCTGGATCAAGGGAGGTGGGGGAAGTAACTCAGAAAGAGTTATTTTATTCAGCCTCAGCTTTCACTAATAATAGCAATGTCCAGGACAGGAGAGGTAACAGATCCATTGTATTTTATGCTAATCAGAACCATACTCTGAAACTTGAGCAAGTAAGGAGGAGAGTGTGAGGGCACCTGGCAGGATGCCATTAGAAGAAATGTTGGGCCAGGCACAGTGGCTCATGCCTGTAATCCCAGCATTCTGGGAGGCTGAGGTGGGAGGATTGCTTGAGCTCAGGAGTTCCAGACCAGCCTGGGCAACATAGCGAAGCAGTCTCTAC
This sequence comes from Homo sapiens, assembly GCF_000001405.40. NCBI lineage: Eukaryota > Metazoa > Chordata > Mammalia > Primates > Hominidae > Homo > Homo sapiens. The sequence goes on from NC_000023.11 coordinate 41,705,392, forward strand.
AAAATATTAAAAAATTAACTGGGCATGGTGGCATGTGCCTGTAGTCCCAGCTACTCAGGAGACTGAGGTGGGAGGATCACTTGAGCCCAGGAGTTTGAGGCTACAGTGAACTACGATCATGTTACTGCACTCAAGCCTGGGTGACAGAGATCTTCTAAAAAAAAAAAATTAGAAGAGATGTTAATACATATCTGATTCTTGGTTTTTCTCCGTCTAATCAGAGACACCAAACAGGTCACCATATTGCATTCTGAAGTGAGGACAAGGCACCTTCATCTAAACCTGGCTCCATAGCATGAACTCAGGCAGGCCCAGTAATCACGTAAATGTGGTATATTTTGAAATTTTGTCCAACAGCAAATTTCTAAACCAAAAGTTCTTAATGCCTTCCATTAATACTGCTGGCATAGCTATTATAGGCCCTTTGCAGACAGTTCCTTCCTACATTTCCTGCCTTGTCCTGTGTGCCATTACTTATTGAGACTTTCTAGCACCCCGGCACCCCTCCCCGTGGTCTGCTTTTTTCCTTTCCTGTACTCAGCAGCACCTCTCTCTTCCCCAATTCAGTTTGTCTCTTTGTTTTCCTAGTTTCTCTTTTAATGGCCTTTCTCACAATTTGGTGCCCTCTTCTCTTGGGTCCTCTGAACTGTCAGAAGATGAAACACTTCATATTTGTGTGGAAATTCAGTTTGTTCTCAAAAGAAAAACACTGTTTCCTCTACATGAAAAATAACTTTCAGCTGGCTGCAAAGGGAACTGGTGAGGTTTGCATGCATGTTCATATTCAGTTCCCCTTTGTGGCTAGTGAAACTTGAAAAACACAGGAACACACAGGGTCAGCTCTTGTGGGGACTGATTACAGGGTTCCAAAAAGATGTGGCAAGTAGGGAGAGGATGCAGCTAAGTAAGTGAATGCAAGTCTCATGGCCCAGTAGTTTGACATTTATGATCCTGAAAATAATGAAACCTTGAATAATGGTAGGAGGGAATAAGCATGGTAGGAGGGAAAGCTACCCCACCATGCTAGACTAATCATCTTTCTACATCCTTTTAAGCTCTGGTATTGAAGATGTCAATGAACTTATCCAGCTCTCAGGATCAAACTAGCTATTGGGAAGCAAGAGCAACAGACTTTTCTTCTGGTTTTATTGAAAAGTTAGATTAATATTCTGGAAAGAGAAGGTAAAGGGAGAGGATTTATAGAAGATAAAAAGCACAAAGGAAACATCATGGATTCATGGCATATTATATATACATATACACATATACTTTTTTTTAGAGACACAGTCCCACTCTGTCACCTAGGCTGGAGTGCAGTGGCACGATCATAGTTCACTGTAGCCTCAAACTCCTGGGCTCAAGCGATTTTCCTGCCTCAGTCTCCCACGTAGTAGGGACCACAGGCAAGTGCCACTGTACCCAGCTGGATTCATGGCACACTGAATATACCTTTTAATACAAGAAACAACCAAAACAACATGACAGCTCCAAGACCAAAGTGGGACAGGGTGGGTATCTCTCACAAAGCAAAATTTCCTTTTCTTTTAGGAATATTACCCAGGAAACTACGAACTCTGAGATACACATACTATAGTAATCCCTAAAGAAAGAGCCAATTCACTGCATTTCAAGGAGAAAATATAACAAGTCTAGTTAGAACATTAAAGTTGAAAGCACATCCAAGGAAATGTGTTAGATTAAAAATTGCCCCCAATTCCTGGCCACTCTTCTCATCCAGAGGTGGAGTCTACTTTCCCAGTTGAATCTGGGCAGGTATTAAGACTTGCTTTGACCAATAAAATGTGGTAGACATTGTATGACATTTGAATAAGGCCTTAAGAGACCTTGCAGCTTCCAGTTTTGCCCTCTTGGAACCTGAGACCATCACATTGTAAAGAAGCCCAGGATGAAAGATCACATGGAGAGAGGGGCACAGCCTGCTCAACTCTTCCAGGTGATGCTCCAGACACGTGAGTGAGGCCATGTTGAACCAGCTAGCCTCAGCTGAGCTGACAGATGACTAAGCTGCATGAATGACCACCAGGTGAGACAAACAGAACTACCCAGCTGAGTCTAGAACAAATTGCAGAATTGAGAGTGAATAAATGGTTCTTGTGTTAAGCCACCAAGTCTAGGGGTAGTTAAGTATGCAGCAATAGATAAATGATGCATAAAAAATATAAATGAAGAATATGTGTAGCACTGATTTCTAAAAAGATGACAATAAATATAGTAATTTAACAAAAAAGACAATGCCTTGAGTTATTTTACTTGAAAGCTTTGTGTGTGTGCATGAGAGAGCGAGAGAGAGAAAGAGAGAGAGACAGAATGTACCTTCCAAACCAATGAAGGGCAGGGAGTAGTGGAGCTGCTGAAGATTTAGTAACAAACCACTTGTTCTAGGAGATAAAAACAAGTACATGCTCCCCCTGATGAAGAGAGCTGAATAAAGAGGGAATGGTTATTATAAGCTATCTCTTCACTTTGGGAGGCTGAGGTTGGTGGATCACGAAGTCAGGAGATCGAGACCATCCTGGCCAATATGGTGAAATCCTGTCTCTACTAAAAATACAAAAATTAGCTGGGCGTGGTGGCGCGTGCCTGTAATCCCAGCTACTCGGGAGGCTAAGGCAGGATAATCTCTTGAACCAGGGAGTTGGAGGTTGCAGTGAGCCGAGATCGCGCCACTGCAGTCCAGCCTGGCGACAGAGCGAGACTCCATCTCAAAAAAAAAAAAAAAAAAAAAATTACCACTTAAGTGGAAGGGATATGTAGCGTAAGTTGTTACACTGACAGGAGGAAGTGACTATAGTCGAGGATAGAGGTGATTTCTCCTATACTGTCTTCATTAGGTGAAAATACTTTAAATTACATTTATTAATAGACATAACATGTTTTTATTACAAGCTTTTCAGTGTTATTTGACTTTTAAAACTATGTCCATCAATTTCTATGATTAAAAAAAGTTAAAGAAAAACTAAAAGATACAGTAATAAAAACTTTCACATACTGAAATGTAAGACTTTCTTTCTACCACTAGGATAACTGTAGTTGTGAATACTTTACAAAAGTAACTCTTGTGATAATCACTAGTACAAAACAAAACAAAAACTATCCCTAAAGGACATACCCTATTAAGGGCAGATGAGTGGCACCGGGCTTTCATCTTAAGGACAGAAATCCATTGTCTATACAATTACTTTTTTTCTATCATGTGTAAAGTGGTTTTCAGCTACTAAAAGAAATTTATTGTTGTATTAGAGCTTCAAAAAATCCCCAAACTTTTCTATTGCTTTATGTTTCTAGCTGGAAAATAGTGCAATGTGGGCAGTTTATGCGTCAGCAAAAGTGGTTTAACTAGGGCTGGTAATATATTACCCTCTGCTGGCCAAGGCACTATTAAAAAAGTGACCCTCTTAAAGACTTTTTTCAGTGTTATTATAAAATTTAACGCAGGTTTCTTCTTTCCAGTTTTTTTTTTCTCCAGATATTTCTGGAACTCTAGAGAACTTATACTTCCAAGTTCAATACTTTATTTGTAGGTTTATTAAAACCATACATTTTTAGGCTGGCTTTTGATAGAGGAAAGGGAAGAAGAGGCAACATGAAAATATTAGAAACTATGCCACATACAGTGCTGTTTGAGAAATAATATAAAACAACAAGACTTGTTTAGAGTGATGTCTTAAAAGGACTACTTCAAATGTAATACATCCACTCACCAAAAGATGTCTTAAAAGGACTACTTCAAATCTAATATATCCATTCACCAAAAGATTACCAAGATGCCACCACCAAGGAAACAGCTGATTTAGGCAAGAAGAGAATCATCGAAGAATGTCAAAATCCAGTGGGTGAAAGGGAAACACAGTATACTCATAGAGTCTTAAAATATCACCTTCAGATTACTTATCAATTACAATGAAAACAGGGTACCTTTACAGTGGAGAGTTGGCAGGAGTTAATAAATCTCGAGATTGAAAATTGGAAACAAGTACATAAATGAGATATATTTTTGGTCATTGGGGATAGCTGGTCTCCTTATTTAAAGCAATAAACTAGATTCTATTGAGTATTATCATATATTATGAGAGTCCATATAAAACAGTAAAGAATGTGGGCTCTAAAGTCAGACTATCTGGGTTCAAATCTAGACCTTATAATAGAGCAGTTTTATCACTGTAGGCAAGTTATCCTCTGTGGACCCACATCCATCATCTAGAAAGTGACAGTAATAATAGAATCTATCTCAGAGATATTTCTAAAATTATATGAATATATATATAAAAGCAGATCAGTGGCTGTCACTTATTATTATTAATTTTCTAAATGTGGTTCTCAGAGAAACCTGTGACTTTCATGCTTGGGGCGCTTAAGAGAAAATGAATACAGACACTAATGGGTATAGGAGGGAAGACATGAGATATTCAATTCTTCTTTCTCTTCCCTTGACATCTATCTCTTTTTTTCCCCTTGATTAAGGACAGGAAGTTACATGGAGCAGGGGACTTCACCTTAAGACAATTGTATCTAGAAATTCAAAAGAAGTGATTGGTAATAAAATGGCCAGGAAACCTTGGCCCTAGAAAGAGACAGTGAAGTGGAGAATTCTGGGCACTGATATATGATGCCTTTTAAATTCGCTAAATCTCACTGCAATCCAAGTCACTGTTTCCCAGGGTATAGATTTTGTGTGTGTGTGTGTGTGTGTGTGTGTGTGTGTGTGTGTGTGTGTGTGTGTTTTGTACCTGGGGTGATACAATGGAACAGCATTATTTTTGGAATTCTATCCTCAACTGCTTTATTCATAGAAATCTTTATCTACTTTTGGCTTTTTAAAGAATCTACAGAAAAGAATGGTTAGTTCTGAAGCATAATATGAACCAAGTTTGACTGATTTGAAGATGTCAAAATTCAAAATTTGTCCCTCAAATATATTTTTGCCTCACGTAATTCAATGCTAAAGTTTCTCCCCTATTCTAAACCTGCTAATTTCCTGTCTGCTTTTCAACTACCACCCCTGAAATGATTCCAGTTCTTATGACTGCCACTGAAGTCGCTAGAGTTTCTATGCTGTGCATTCCTAAAAGACAATGTTTAGCCAGCACACTCAAGCTTATATGAAAAGCCAAAAGCCAAAGCTGAAGGATAGTGAAACTTTGATGATCAGGTCTGTGATACTATAAAATATATATTTGGTCTTCAACCCTCTTTCCAGGCATACAACTGCTAAAATCCTTAGAAACTCCAGAATGATGTCTTTTTGTATGCTAATGGTTGACTGATGGCTGGAACCCTTAGGTAGTTTCAGGATGAGGCTGGTAGCCTTGAAAGACTAGGCAGGATTAGAGGGTTGGGACATTAAGCCCCATCCCCAACCTCCAAGGAGGGGAGAGGGGCTGAAGGTTAAATTAATCTCCAATGGCCAATCGTTTAACCAATCATGCCTACATAATGAAGCCTCCATAAAACCGCAAAAGGACAGTGTTCGGAGAGTTTCTGGATAGCTGAACTTGTGGAGTTTCCCAGATGGTGGTGCCTCTGTCCAGAGAGGACAGGAAAGCTCCGTGCCCCAGGATTATGCATCTTTTCATCTGTATCCTTTATAATAAACGGGTATATGTAACTGGTTCCCTGAGTTCTGTGAGGCGCTCTAGCAAATTAATTGGGCCCAAAGAGGGAGCCGTGGGATCCCTGATTTATAGCTAGTCAGTCAGAAGCATAGGTGACACAGCCTGGGGCTAGCCATTGGCATCTAAAGGTGGGGGCCAGTCTTGGGGACTAAGCCCTCAACCTGTGGAATCTGATGCTATCTCTAGGTACATAGTGTCAGAACATAACTGAATTAGAGGACACCTAGCTGGTGTCAACTGCAGAATTGCTTGCTTGCTTGTTGGTTGGGGAGAAATCCCCACACATTTGGTCACAGAAATCATCTGTGTTAATTGTTGTTGAAAGAGTAGAAAAGTACTTTGTGAGTTTTGTTTTCCTTCCAAACTATGAATTGGTTTCAGTGAGGTAGGGTTTGCTAGAATGGACTTGGCTCACAGAAACATGTGGTTTGGGAAGAGAAAGAATGAAAGTGACAGCAGCAGGAGGCAGACAAAATGCCTAGACAGATAGGGGCGAGTCCTCAGTGAAATTGACCTTCAAGCTGAAGACAGTTTAAAGCCTACCTACATGTCCCGGGTAAATCCATGGACTGGATTGAGAACCTGTCTTCCTGTTTGGTGTGCTTTCCTCTGATTGATCCCCGCCCCTCACCTATTTTACATATACCTACCCTTCCCTAATTGGTTTTCTACACTGTTGTGCCCACCTTTGAGTGGTGTCTTCGCTTTAACCTTTTCTGCATACTCACAAACCAATCAGCACACATGCCCCATTCTGAATCCATAAAATACCATGGACCCAGCCACACTGAGAGAGACAAACCACCCGACTGCAGGGGTGGGGGGGCCACCCGTGTCCCCTCTCTGCTGAAAGCTGTTCTGCTGCTCAATAAAATTCTTCCCTACCCATCCTCACCCTTCAAATTGTCAGCGTATCCTCATTCTTCGTGGATAAGGACAGGAGCTTGGGAACTGCTGAACGCAGGTACAAGCCATAGCACAGGTGGGGTGAGTGGGCCTGACGCCTCAGCAGGCCCATGGCCAAGCAAAGGCCAGGTAGGGGGGCGTTGCTGGCCATGGAGGTCCCTGATTGGCAAAGTGGCCAAGAAAAATCCTGCGTCAAAAAGGTGGGAGATGAGGAATCTTTGATTCCTGGGTGGCCATGTGGTTTCCCACTGTTTTGAGCTGCAGCTGTGCTGCAATCAGCTACTAAAGGTAAAAGTTACTGGTGGAATTCAGAGATGGATGCAACTCCCGGGGAGTTGGTTCACTGGTTGCATGAGGGTATGCAGACTAATATGAAAAAGTGAAATACTAAATTCTTTGGTGTTTATCTCTAATAGCTAAATGAAATTAAAGGAGAATGCTAGGTTAGACTTTGTCTGTCTGAGCCCAGGCCACTAGCCTCAAAGCTGACCCCCAAGGAAAAATTATGCAAGGACACTGAAGTACCTTTACGATTGAAACTGCCTTTGCAAAACTGTAACTAAGGAAATTATGACAGTGAAAAATATCAGACCTAACCAACTCCATCTTGCTTCTAACCTCTAAACTGTCCTTGTCCATTACTGGGCATAGGCCAAACTAGCCTTGGGAAGGAATTTAATTTATAGTTTAAATAATAGCCCTTCCCAAAAGCTAAACTGTTCTTGTAAAACGAATGAAAGGCCACCAGCCACCAAGTACGGATGAGAGGGGCTGGAATTCTAAATGTTACCAGCCATTATTCTGGAGGTCATAAGATTTGCAACTTACATCACTATCGTGAACCTAAGATTGGCCTTTTGAGATATCTTTTCAGGTATTTGCATTTCTAACAACTGGATGGCCCCACCTGGACCTGCCAACCAGTTCTGTGGCCCCCTACCCAGGAACTGAATCAGCATGAGAGGACAGCTTTGACTCCCTATGATTTCATTCCAGAGCCAACCAATCAGCACTCCTGATTCACAGCCCACTACCCACCAAATTATCCTTAAAATCTCTGATCCCCGAGTCTTCTGGGAGACTGATGTGAGTAATAATAAAACTCCGCTCTCCTGCACGGCTGGTTCTGCGTGAATTACTTTTTTTCTATTGCAATTTCCCTGTATTGATAAATCAGCTCTGTCTAGACAGCGGGCAAGATGAACCCACTGGACAGTTACACAACCTGTGGTTATCAAGAAGGGTAGTCAATGTGGGGAAAGGGTAAAACTGATAAACTATTGAAACTGGAGGGTATACTGTGAAGGAACTGTCAGAGCAGTTTCTTTGGTTTTAAATGCTCAAGAGTGGAAGAGCATGTTTGGTTGAGGTAGGACCTGCAGTTCATTATTGAACAATCACAGATGGAAAGGTAGATTTCCAGACACACAGGAGGTTATTTCCAAGGGAATGGCCAGCGTGGTGGACTGGACCTGTTTACCCTGAGAAGGGGACTGTCCAATTTCACCTATAAATGCCAAGTGGTGTACCCTGAAGCAGCAGCTCATTTGCTTCCTATGTAGACCATGTGGGACTGGCTTTATGATGACTGAGATATTCACTCACTGAATACATCCATTACTCTGGCTGTAGTAAATGCTATGGCTAAGGGAGCCTCTTTTGTATGGGCACCAATGAAAACATGAGCGTAATTAACAAGAGACTGGGGAAAGGCAGAGGGGAGAGTCACAGGACTCATCCCAGGAAGGTGGAAAGTCTAAATGGTTATTGAGAAATAAGGTGAATGAAGAAAACATTGATGGGGTGAAACTAAGAGGAAAAAGAAAGGAGAGTCATGGGACTCATCTAAGCAGGGTAGAGTCTTTAGAGGGCTATTAAAAAATGGGATGAATAAAGTGGAAATCGATGGGGTTAAAACAAAGGTCATCACTATAGAAGGTTGGTAGGGAGATTCTGCTGTTCTCCTAACGGTAAGAGGATCCAAACAGGTTTGGTGTATTTATCCCAGTTAGGAGAAATTGAAAAAATGAGAGGAAGAGATTACAATGAGAAAGCTGACCAACAATTACTTGGAGCAGTGTTGAGGCAGGTTAATCAAGACAAAGATTGACAAAAGGGCTAAGGTCCCTTGGCTCAACCCTCTGCTGGGGATTCAAAGCTTTTTTCTAAGGAGAAAATGGTAAAATGGTCTGGGAGTGAAGAAGAGAAATTCTGGGACTGGGACAGAAAGTAAGGGTTGGTAGGAATACGAGATTTAGAATGTTTATAAACAGGCTTTATGTAAAGAAGTTATGTCTCCTTTACCTGAATGTTTGATGGAACTGGATATTATGTCTGGGTGGGGAACACTTCCCCTACCTAGTACTGTAAACTCAAAACCTGTTGGTAAAGTCGTAATAGAGGCTACAGTTAGGAAAGTAAGCATTGAGAAAATTAAGGTAAGTTGGTACATTTGAACACACTTTACATGAAGTGGTTGTATCTCTTTCACTTGACTGTATTATGGGGATATTGTGTCTGACTGGGGAATGTTTCTCTTACCTTGTATTGTAAAACACCCTTGTAGCAATATTAATTGAACATGCTAAATGGCAAACCAGTAAGATTACCCAAGCCCACAATCTGTAGAATAGAAGCTGGAATATCATAGGGACAAATTCTCCATTTGCTACCCCTTTGTCAGCGTTTACTGGGGCTTACTCAGAAGTCTGTGAGCATCTCCCAGTGACAACTACTGGGACTTTGCAGTAGAGAATTTCCACTTGGGGGTATTTACTACCTTGCTATGGGACATTAACTGAAGTTAACCCCTATGACTGAAGGACATAAAATGATCTTGACACCTGAAATACCCATGCTTTCTCACATGATGTCAGAGAAACATTCAAATGGGGATGGCAGTGCCCAGAACACTTCCATAATAAAATGGAAATGGTTTATACAGGAGCATCCTCCCTGGGAAGTGCAAAGAGGAAATACTCTCATGCAGGGAGCCTCTTTTCCCCTAGGACTGACTCTGGAACTGTGTGAGGAACTGCGGGATTCTACTGAGACTTGGACAGGGCCCCGTAAACAGCTCTCAACTGACCAACAAAGAGTTGCTTGGTGTGTAAATGACAGTTCCAAGGTGAACAATCTTGTTTGGAAGGATGCCACTCTTGATCAAAGAAGGTAAGACCAAATTAGCTTGGTGGCTGAATTGCATTCTGCAGAAATGAACAATAGCAAAAACCCCTGTGTTTGATTTTTTTACTGACTCAGTGGCCTGGCCACATGGTCAGGCAGAAGGGCAGTGGAAACCTGGCCTATTTATTAAAGGGATGCCCATATGGAGAATGGCCCTATGGAAATTTGAGGAGTGCATTAAAGTAGAACATGTCAATGCCCATCAGAAGAGCTCCTTTCTTGGCTGGACGTGGTGGCTCATGCCTGTAATCCCAGCGCTTTGGGAGGCCAAGGTGGGTGGATCACCTGAGGTCAGGAGTTTGAGACCACCCTGGCCGACATGGCGAAACCCCGTCTCTACTAAAAATACAAAATAATTAGCTGGGCATGGTGGTGCGCACCTGTAATCCCAGCTACTTGGGAGGCTGAGGCAAGAGAATCACTTGAACTCAGGAGGCGGAGGTTGCAGCGAGCCGAGATTGCGCCATTGCACTCCAGCCCAGGAGACAAGAGCAAAACTCTGACTTGAAAAAAAAAAAAAAAAGATCCTGGTTCAGAAAGTGATTGATATCACAAGCAGACAACCCTGGGTGCTCCCTTGAAGTGGCCACCTGGGTCTGTGAAATGAGTGGATAAACGGGTACTGCAACAGTGCAGAGATAGGCTGCATTTAGACATGTTTCTTTTGCACCATCTTAGGCACAAAATGCCAATAAAAACTGTTCTGTCTGCCAGCAAAAGAGACAGACATTGCCCATGGCTGTGGGGCAGATTTCCCTGGTGGGAAAGCCCTGAACAAGCTGGCAAGTGAGGCTGATGCTGGTAGCCCTGGGAGGCCACAAATGGGTTTTGACAGGAGTAGACACTGATTCTGGACTGGGCTTTGCTTGCCCGGTGGAAGATGTGAATGATGAGAATACCATAAAAAAGCCAGAACAGAAGATATTGCACATATTTGGAGAGCTGAACACCATTTCTTCAGGCCAAAGAACACACGGTACAGCCCATAATGTTCCAGCAGTGGGCAGAGATATTCTTCTCAGAATAATAGTTTGCTCAGAGTGCCATAAAAGCTAGAGCAGAAGATATTGCACAGATTTGGATGGCTGTCACTTCTTCAGACCCAGGAACACATTATATAGCCTATAATGTTCAGCAATGGGCAGAGAGATATCTTCCTCAGAGTAACGGTTTGATAGAGAGTGGAACAGGCAATGAAAACACTGGTTGTCTAAAACAGAGGGAGATGAAAGCACGAAGAGCTGCCTTATTTGCCTTCGCAAGTGTGTGCTCACATTCAACATGAGTGGGGCTAAGGGAATTTCCCCACTCAATAGATTTCTCCGCTTTTCTGAGGTATCCGGGAAGAGGAGGTGTGGAAGGATGCTGGTATGACTATGCATTTCTTGCTAAGGGAGGAGTACACTGGTATAATGATCACTCTTTATTTTTCTTTCCCACATCACCTCAACTTTTTTTTTACATTTCCCCTACCTGATGCATTGGTCCTAGGACCAGGGCTGCAACTACAAGTGCTGGAAGCAGGGGCAATTCCTAAGTAAGAAACTGTAACTATGTTTTTAAACTTTGAGTCAGAATTCCTAAGGGTCTGATTGTGGGGTGGACTCCTAAGGGGTGGCTTGTGCCTTATCCCATCTGGCAAAATTGGGGCTAACAATAAATGCAGCTATACTCCCTGGTGGTAAAAACAGCCCACTCGTTCTGCTGTGCCTATGGAACCTTACTCTATCTGAATGTCAGATACAATCAGTTTCTCTTCAAAAGTTTGGCATGTTAACTCCCTTGTTCTTTGTTCTCAATCTCAACTTCCTTGTTCTTCATGTCTCCTTGCCCCTGACTGAAGTAAACAACCTTCCCGCCAGTCTATAGTCCACAGCTGTTTCTTGCTCGTTGCCCTTAGTCACTCACTCTGCAAATTACCCCTCCTGCCATAACAGCTCTTACCCCCAAAACTGCCCTTCCCGCCAGTGTAACCCCCTCCCTGCACACTTCAAATTAGCCAACCAAGACCAGTTTCGATTGTGTGGTCCAGCTCCATCCAATGGAGACAGGACACAGTAGTAGAAACTCATTGCATTAGGAATAAAAACCCCTGCTTTCCTTTGTTCTGTGTGCTCTCGCCATTGCTCCACCCGCGAGACGCACGCTTCTATGGAAGTTAATTTGCCTTGCTGAGAAAACTTTTTGCGGGAGTGCTGATTTGATTCTTCTTTGTGGCACCGAAAATTTATTTCTAACATGAATGGGAGTGGACTGAGGGGGCAGCACTTGCTAGACTAGCATTGTTGCCTGCAATCTAGATAAGCACAGTGGCTGATTCTATTGTCCCATCCAAAGGTGGAAAAGTTTGGGAGTTTATAGAGATAAGGAAAAATAGTAGTGAGAGTAAAGAATAAATGGGTTATGAAATGAAAGAAACCCAGTATTATATTAATACCTTGAAAGAGGCTTAGAGCAAGAAATGATATCTGTCTCCTAGCTTAATTATACCAGCTGCTGTAAAGGGTGAAGCTATATGTTTGCCGAGAGCACTCTGACAAGACTGAATGGAAGCCTGCAAACCTGAGTGGCCTCGCCTTGGGAGACATTCATACAATATGATGGGCTGGACTGATTATTACTGATTGAATGAGATTCTAGTAATTTGGCGGTATCTTTTGAGTTGTACATCCTTTTGATGTGAGGGATCCAAGACAGAGGGTGGACTGGATACTATGAAATATATATTTGGTCTTTCGTCTGTTGTCTGGCATACAACCCCTAAAATCCTCAAAAACTCCAAAGTGATGTCTTTTTGTATGCTAATGAGGTGACTGCGGTCTGGCAGCTCCTAGGTAGCTTCAGGATGGGGCTGGTCATAGGAAAGACCAAGGCAGGATGACAAGGTTGGAACATTTAGCCCTACTCCCAACCCTCCAGAGAGGGGAGAGGGGCTGAAGGTTAAGGTAATCAACAGTAGCCAGTGCTTTAATCAATCATGGCTGTGTAAGGAAGTCCCCATAAAACCCCAAAATGACAGGGTTCAAGGAGCTTCTGGATAGCTGTACATGTGGAGGTTCCTGGAGGGTGACACGCCCAGGAGGGCATGGAAGCTCCACGTCCCTCTCTTCTCCCACACCTCACTGTATGCATCTCTTCAACTGTATCCTTTGTAATATACTTTATAATAAATCGGTAAACGTATTTCCCTGAATTCTGTGAGCTGCTCTAGCAAATTAATTGGACCCAAAGAGGGGCTGTGGGATCTTTGATTTATAGCCTGTCGGTCAGAAGCACAGGTGAAACAACCTGGGGCTTGCCACTGGCATCTGAAGGTAGGAAGAAGTCTTGGGGACTCAGCCTTCAACCTGTGGGATCTGACGCTATCTCCAGGTAGATAGTGTCAGAATAGAACTGAATTAGAGGACACACAGCTGGTGTCCACTGAATTGCTTGCTTGCTTGTTCATTGGGAGAAATCCCCACACATTTGGTCACAGAGGTCATCTGTTTAGACTCTTGTTGAATGAGAGAATAGAAAAAGCACTTTGGGTTTGTGTGTGATTTTTTTTCTTTTTTCTACCCTCAATTGGCATTGTTACCGATCATGGGTTCTTGGACTCTCAATGCAATAGAAATTGATATGAGGCCAAAAGCGCTTTCATAGACAAAGCTTCACTGGAGCTTATGCCCAAACAAAAGGGAGGCAGCACAAGAGAGAGAGAATTCCCGGGCTTCCTTCTGAAAAGAGTCATAGGGCTTTCTTATTAGGCAAAGTGCAGGAACTGGTAACAGGGGAAGGGTATGCAGGCTGGGCTGAGCAAAGCAGGTCAGCAGATCTGGTTGCTATGGTTATCTTGAGTAATGGGCCACCTGGTGGCGTGGCCTGTGGCAACAAGGCTGTAAATCAATTGTTCAGCATTCCTTCCTGAGGCAATCTTAGTTATCTCATAAGGCCAATTCCTGGAATTCTTTAAGAACTATTAGCATTTGAGGTAGTGGTGTGGGTTTTGTGATCAGTGGGAGTGCTCTAGTGGAGGTGAGCTGAAGCCAAGCCTGTCTCTACTCTTTCTCAGTGTCAATGAAGTGGGGTTTGCTGGAATGGCCCTGGTTCAGGTTCATGGAAACATGTGGTTTGGTAAGACAAAGGATGAAAGGGTTGGGAGATGAGGAACCTTTAATTCCTGGGTGGTCACCCACAGTTTGGAGCAGCAGCTGTGCTGCAATCGGTTACTGAAGGTGAAGTTACTAGCGGAATTTAGAGATGGATCCAACTCCTGGGGAGTTGGTTCACTGGATGCACAAGGAAATGCAAACTAATAAGAAAATGCCCTTTGAGTTTGTGTATGTGTTTTTCAACTCACCAAGTCCATTTCTGTTTTGTCATTAGTCTTTTCTTAAAAGCGTTTGAAATGCTTGTTCCCCGGTACCATAAAGAAATACCACTTGAACATAAATTTAATTTACTCAGCAAGGCCATTTTTACTTCCTGCAGAAAGGGTACACTCGCCAGCAGTTTTGCCACAAGAGTACACTGAACAAAGGAGACAGGGTCATTTATAAGCTGACGTGTCCACCCTACTGCTGTGTCCGGTTTCCATTGGCTGGAACGGGACCTCGCATTCTGTATCTGTCCCGATTGGCTAGCAACTTAGAACTTCTTAAAAAAGGCAAAGGCAGAGGAGAACAAAAGAAGGAGGAAGTAACTTGTGGAATGCTGAGAAAAGTAAAAACCTGCAAATAAGGAAGAGGAACAGGCTATGACCCAATGCTTGCTTGCACCAGTATAAGCATGCCAGGGCAAATATTTAGGCTAAATTGTGGGAGCTAAGAACATAAAGTACATTGATTTCTTTATCACGGCTAGCAGATATTTAAGAATGTTAGCACAGGTCTTTGAATAAATTTCACTTCTAAGAGAAGTTACTATTTATTCCTAATTAAATGGGGAGGAAAGTCTTCGAAGAGGAACCTCTGCTTTACTTTTTACAAAAGCTGATAACTTTTCTGTGTTATTATAAATTTACAAACTTCAGACTGTATTTTCTGCTGTTTTTAAAAGTAATTCTTGAGAGAAACGCTCCCATTGCTTGCTGAGAAACCAGCTCTTCAGAACAAGGAGAGGTTTTTCTTCACACTCTGATTAAGGGTGGGACACCCACGATCAGAGCTGCTTGTGGCAGGCGGTGAGGGCCTGAGAACAGTGTGACTGGAAACAAGGCTGTGGCCAGACACCACTTCCTGGAGAGGGCAGGGGGCTCAGTGAGCCTTGAACAAACCATAGCTTTGAGTAACTGCACTGTGTCTCACTCCTCCTAAAGATAACCACTGGCTTGGGTGTATGTTGAACTGGACAAGGCTTACTTACCACTGCCCCTGATTTAAAGAAATAATTATCTTTTGAATATGATATTCTAATGTGTACTAAATTAGTCATGTCTTCTCTTTCTGCATACCAGCCTCCCAATGCCCTGAGCTCCTGATTGGTTAGTGAGAGTACTTAAGAGGCCAGTTGCAGCCAGTTTAAACACTAGTTTGGATAGCCTAAAATAATTTCTAGATGAAGCACATGGCTTCAGGAATGACTAAGCTGTCCTGTGTCCTCTGGGTTCTGGCTCTGAGGGAAATTGATAAGGGACCCTAATTCTAACCCCAACAATCCATGTGAGTCAGGAAAGCTCTCATGTCCCCTTGCTATGTATAGCCCACCATGGATTGCCAAAATAAATGTCCACATGCCTGCCCTTTGATGATGGTATCTCCTCTGCCAGGTAAGTATATGCCTGCCCTTTGAAACACTCTCACTGAACCACTCCAGATGAATTTTGGGGCCAGATTAAAAAACACACTTGATACACAAATCCATCTCAAAAGCAGGAAAATTAATACAAGACAGAACTTCAATTGTAGGACATAACTCTAACACCTCAAGGAAGTAAATCCTAAGGGTGACAGCAGAACACTTAGGAGATCAATATTTGGCAGATGATACAGGAATCAACTAGAACTGTTAGGCCAAGAGCATTTGGACTTGGACAATAGAAGGGGAACCTTGAAGAGACGGATGGGCAAGATGAATGAGAACCAAAGAAAACTATTGGTGATTTGAATGAGAAAAGTCCAAAGGGGCCACTTTTACAGAATACTTGTAACATACTTTATTAATCTAGTATTCCCTGACATTTACTCTTTTTACCAATTGTAACAATATTTCCTAATTTCTTAGAAGAATGAAAATAAAATTTACATATATTTCAATTGGGGAACTCAAAATCACTGAATCCTAAAGAATTTATACTGCCATTGTTGGAATAATAGTTTGCTTAACAAAGTCCAGAGTTTTCAAAGACAGAAAAAAACTGGACTTGATTTCTTCCATGGTCAGTTTCTGCTACCTCAAGTCTAGAACAGGATACACAAATACATAAATCAGAACAGGAAACCCTATCTGAACAAAGTTAAAAATACTTAAAACATGACCCTATTGTGAGTACCATAAGGTACCCTTATTGACCTGCTAGAACAACCAATAATTTCTTTCTAAGGCAGAGAATGAGGTCATTTTAAAGCTAATTTACTAATTGTATTCCTCTAGGCAAGCTATTTAACCTCTTTGAGCCTCAATTTCCTCCCGTGTAAAATGGGACTCCCACCACACATCTCTAGGGTTCTTAGTCATAAAATGCTCTGTCCCATACCTGGCACAAAACTGTCACTTACTAGGTTATGTTCTCCTCTCTTTCCTTCCATTTGCTTTCACAAAGCCTTTCAGAACCACTTTGAGTCACTGTTTCTGCCCTTCTCTAATTCACAGAGCATTTGAAATCTGTATCACATATTAATCTAAATTCTTGGCTTGCTTGTGGAATCTGCTCAATTTCCAGAGACCCTCAATTAGCTTGTGACTAAACATCCTACTTCTGTGACCTCCACATGCTGCTAGGAACATAGTAGAAACTCCAATAAGTATTTGTTGAATGAATTACACTGTTTAACAAAAATAGACCTAAAAACCAAAATAGTGTAAGAACTGGCAAAACTTACACCTATCCAGGTATGCTTGTCCAATAAACAACCAGTGGACTGACAACGGTTTTTAAGCAGTACTTCTGACTCTTCCTTTGTTTCAACGGTTGATTGACATCTGTGATAGCCAGTTTCCAAGATGGCTCCCAGTGATCATCACCTCCTGATATTTACCCGTCCCACACTGATGCAGGGCTGGCTCTGTGTGACCAATAGAATACTGCAGAAGTGACACTGTTGACTTCAGAGGCTAGATCACAAAAAGGCATTGCAGCTATGGACTTGTTCTTGAATTAGTTGCTTTGAGGTGAGCCAATCACCATCCTGTGAGGACAGATGGCTGTGTGACCTTGGGCAACTTATGAGATCTTTCTGAGTTTCAGTTTTCCTCACCTTTAAAATGAGACATTTCACAGGGTGTTGTGAAAACCAAATAAGACTTGGATGTAAGGCACATAGCGAGATATCTGGCACATAGTAAGCTCTCATGAAATGTGGCTAATGAATGATGGTAGTGATAGTAGAAGCTGTAGTACCAGCAATTGATTAGATGTGAGATGTGAAAGAAAGAGGAATTAAGGATGATTCGTAAGTTTTTGGCTTGAATAACTGAAGGAGTGATGGTATCATTTACTGAGTTTGGAGACAATGGAGGAAAACAAGAGCGTTCTTTTTTCGGACCAAAGACGCTTATGCCTGAACAGATAATATTACAACTATCTTTCAATCACTTAGAAATAGCATTCCATTTCTGTTCTTCTCTAAATTAATTAAAACTGTTTTTTGTTCTATGTAATTCCTTCCTGGAACATGATACATTACTGAAGTAAAAGTGATGGGAATTCTAAAAGCCAAACTACTCTGTAATGAACGGCCATGTAACCCTGGATGAGTCACTGTTCTTAAGTAAATGGTGGCAAGGCAAAGATGAACAGCAGCAGAACACAATCTGGACACTTTAGGCAGTTCTCACTTTTGTTTTGGAGAGAAATATTAGCAAACATCATAGAGAATTTATGAAATAAACATGAAATAAGGTAAGCATTGCGGGTTTATGAGAAATGGCAAGGTACTTCTGTAAATTTTAAGTGAAGATTTACTGATAACTAAAATGCTCAGGTTTGATGAAATTAGATTTCTGTTCTCTTTTTCAGACTCCCACTGGTTTAACTACTCAAGGATGAGAGGGAGTGCTTGATGCAAGTCTTCCTCCCCAGATGTACACACTTAGCTTTCATTTAGTTAGTAGGTCACAGACTGATTCGACAATCCTGAACAAAAAAATTGGTTTCACAATT
The DNA here is from genome assembly GCF_000001405.40 of Homo sapiens. Lineage (NCBI taxonomy): Eukaryota > Metazoa > Chordata > Mammalia > Primates > Hominidae > Homo > Homo sapiens. The sequence goes on from NC_000023.11 coordinate 41,723,419, forward strand.
CTATTTTTTATTTTTAAAATTTTTATTGTTTTAGACTAGTCATGGTTTCACAATTCTTTATAACTATTCATTTGATCTGAGGCATACTTGGCACTTCCCAGGATTTGCCAAATCCATTATGAAATGCCCCAAACAGTGTATTATGTTGACAAATGGAGATAGTGCAGGGCAATTAGAAACAGAGTGGGTTAACTCATTAGTAACCAAACTGGGACCCAACCCTGGGTGCAGTCTGTGCTTACAGTGAGTTCCTCTGGGCCTCAGCTTCTTCAACTTTAAAACAAAGGGTCTCAGTCCACAGATGATCATGAAGTTCTATTTTAGCTCTATAATATTTGATTCTAGTAAGTTATAAGAAAACTTTGAGTTTTGTTTCTATTTTTGATAAAGATGGATTGCAAATAAGCCATCCACAAACAATTTTACAAACGAGTTTGCACCAATATTTGTATTGGGTTACTACAGAGTGGCTCCTTCTATCACTGTGTCATATAAAACTGGCCATGGGGGATTAAACCTGTGAACTTAACTTCAGTCAATCGTGCAAACAAAGGTTACTGGAGTGTAACTAGTTCATGAAATAATCATAAGGAAGTATAATATGTATATTGTTCACCACTTCCTCCCACTACAGAAATAGAGAAATGAGGGTTTTTTGAGGAGGCAGTTGCCACATTGACCATAACTATTGAATTTCTTCAATATTCTGTTTAATTTCCCCTTTTCCTCCCACTGTAGTTGGTGTCATGCAAGAATCTATTCACACTGACTAAAGATATTGGAAGAGTGAAGATCAGAGAATTTTAAGTCTGAAATTTGGCATCACTGCCCTGAACAATATAACCTTAGTTGGCATAAACTACTCATACAGGTAAGAGTGATTATTATTCATTTTTAGCTTAAAAATTAAACTCTATAAAAATAAACAGGACCTAATGGTTTAAATTTTGAAAGCTGATCATTAAGAAAGGCAGTCAGCATATTAACTATGTAGACAGTCATTAGTAACTGAAGTTAAGAGTTGTAGAACTTTTTTCATTTGTCAAATTAGCAGAGACAAAATGTATGCATGAGTGACTTGAGATAGACATTCTCCTGAGGGGAATATAGACTTAGAGACATTTTCTGGAGACCAGTTTTGCATCTGTAACATGTAATTTTTATTTGATTTCTTAATAGTACTTTCCAAATTCTGGAAAATAGTTATCTAGTAGTTTTATGATCCAAGTTTATTTTTGAAGGAGATGTACATAGTAGATACAAGTTTGGGAAGGTAAAGATGGTGACCTAGTTGTTGACTGCTACACTGAGAGTCCTACAGAGACTCAACTTCTGTCTGATAAAGCTAGCCTCTGCAGAAGTCTATGTCCCTTTTGTTTGGAAGCATTTAATATTCATACAGAAGCACCATTACCTTTGCAGTTTTTAGTATACTATGCATTATCTGCACAAGGTAGGAGCTACTGCTTTTCTTTAACAGCATCATAAAAGGAAGCTCCAATCCTTATGTAAAATCAAAACCTACTGTGAGCAGATAATTTTTTCTTAAATAAACTGGCTCATTTCACTGTCTGACTGATTTTTGAACTGGTGAAGTTACAGATTAGGTTTTATATATTTATACCAGGGTCTACACTAACTGAAACCAGATTATAATTCATCAGGTTGCACTAGATTCAGATACAAACTTACAATGAAGCATATGGACTGTTTTCTAAATAAAAATAGCAAAGAAATAAAATTATAAAGACAGTGGTAAACATTAATTAAGAATCTTGTTATTTAAACCCACAGACACTGCACAGTCCTCAAGTTTTCAAGACTTTGGGTGTGGATTGGTTTAAAAAGTTATTATAAAATTATAATATCATATTTGAAAAAAAACCCCAATTTCTGTAATCCAAGATGCAGAAAATAAATCAAACCATAATTCTGAAGGGGGTAGAGAGTAAAATTGCCCTGAGGGGCTGGGGGGATATAAGAATTTCAAAGGGTTGTGTATGGTACAGTTTTTATGTTTATCAAAAGAGAACATGATTAAAAAGAAGATTGAGAAACCTTGCTCTAGATCATGAAAGAGTGGAGAATGTGGTGCTCAGAAGGCTATGGTGAAGAACACAGAGAATATGGCACATTCTGAATAGAGATCATGGTTCTTATTTGACCAGAATCCAGTAACTTTTGTTATTCTCACCTGAAAGAAGTGAGGAAATAAGGAGAAAAATAAGAATAAAAGCAGTTTGTATATGATTCTTCAGCACTTCATGTGTACCCTTTGAAGCGAGAAAGATTTAAATATAAGACAGAAAAAAGTAAAAACCAGCATTTATGTTGTGATTAAAACATCATATCCTTTAAAAAAAATCCTCTGAAAAACTCAGATAGCAAATTACACACAAGGACACTCTAACCAACAAGCATAGCAGCTACAGTTTTTTTTTGTTTGTTTTTGAGACAGGGTCTCTTTCTGTTACCCAGCCTGGAGTGCAGTAGAATGATCATAGCTCACTGCAGCCTTGAACTCCTAGGCTCAACTGATCCTCAAACCTCAGCCTCCCAAGTAGCTGGGACTCCAGGCACATGCCAGGATGCCTGGCTAATTTTTCTGTAGAGACATGGTTTCACCATGTTGCCCAGGCTGGCCTTGGCCTCCCAAAGTGCTGGGATAACAGGCATGAGCCAACATACCCGGTCTAGTTTTTGTATTTTTTATAGAGACAGGGTCTCGCTATGTTGTCCAGGGTGTTCTTGAAATCCTGGTCTCAAGCATTCCTCCCACCTTAGCCTCCCAAAGTGCTGAGACTACAGGTGCAGAGCCACCACATCTGGCTGTAACTACAGTTTTGACATACATGTGTAAACTTTTATTGAAGTATGACAGTTTAACATTAAATATTTGAAAGGACATTTTAAATATTCTTTGGTAATGACCCTGGGATTTTGGAGTCTGTCCTTGGTTGCTATACTTCTGTTCAATTCAGGATCTTGCCTGAATTTTTGTTCATGTAGAACTGAGTTAACTTCTGAAATATGAAAAGAGACTCTTCTAATAGTATTAGGTTATAAAGGAGTGTTTTAGCCTAGCCACAAAAAGACACCATTTTGAAAACTATATATAAGTAATGTGGTAATTAAAAACCAGTCAACTCTCTATTATTGTGGCCGCAAAATACTTCTGTAATACTTTGGCCAACATGAATTGGTTACATGTGCCTTAAAATTTTTTAAATTATATTTCTAGGAAAAATCAATCATCACTTACAAATTGTTTTACAATCTAAGAACTATACATTTCTCTAAGTAAAATTATAAATCCCAGGCATGTAACTATTCACATCAAATTTTGTTTTTCAGACAAAGGCATTATCCATCACAATAAGTAACTTTTTGTCTTTATTTCAACCGGACAATCGTGATTAGAAAAGGTAAGAAGCCATCTATACTTTCCCGTTCCATCCAATACATTTTTGTTACTATTTTATTTAATTCAATGTTTTTCTTTTTTAAAAACTATTCAGCTTAAATACTGTACCAAAAATAATTTTAATATTAAATATCTGCAATTCTATTCTAGCTCCTGTGACAAAATTCAAGAAAACCTGACATAAATGAACAACAATACAACATGTATTCAACCATCTATGATCTCTTCCATGGCTTTACCAATCATTTACATCCTCCTTTGTATTGTTGGTGTTTTTGGAAACACTCTCTCTCAATGGATATTTTTAACAAAAATAGGTAAAAAAACATCAACGCACATCTACCTGTCACACCTTGTGACTGCAAACTTACTTGTGTGCAGTGCCATGCCTTTCATGAGTATCTATTTCCTGAAAGGTTTCCAATGGGAATATCAATCTGCTCAATGCAGAGTGGTCAATTTTCTGGGAACTCTATCCATGCATGCAAGTATGTTTGTCAGTCTCTTAATTTTAAGTTGGATTGCCATAAGCCGCTATGCTACCTTAATGCAAAAGGATTCCTCGCAAGAGACTACTTCATGCTATGAGAAAATATTTTATGGCCATTTACTGAAAAAATTTCGCCAGCCCAACTTTGCTAGAAAACTATGCATTTACATATGGGGAGTTGTACTGGGCATAATCATTCCAGTTACCGTATACTACTCAGTCATAGAGGCTACAGAAGGAGAAGAGAGCCTATGCTACAATCGGCAGATGGAACTAGGAGCCATGATCTCTCAGATTGCAGGTCTCATTGGAACCACATTTATTGGATTTTCCTTTTTAGTAGTACTAACATCATACTACTCTTTTGTAAGCCATCTGAGAAAAATAAGAACCTGTACGTCCATTATGGAGAAAGATTTGACTTACAGTTCTGTGAAAAGACATCTTTTGGTCATCCAGATTCTACTAATAGTTTGCTTCCTTCCTTATAGTATTTTTAAACCCATTTTTTATGTTCTACACCAAAGAGATAACTGTCAGCAATTGAATTATTTAATAGAAACAAAAAACATTCTCACCTGTCTTGCTTCGGCCAGAAGTAGCACAGACCCCATTATATTTCTTTTATTAGATAAAACATTCAAGAAGACACTATATAATCTCTTTACAAAGTCTAATTCAGCACATATGCAATCATATGGTTGACTTTTGAATGGAAAACCCCACAATATTAAGAAAAGCATTCATGTGACTTTATTAGGGACACTAAACTACATCATTAACATGTCACAGCTTGGTTGACAATAATCACCAAGAAAATCTCTTTGGTTTTTAAAAATAAATAAACATATATTCATAAAACTCAAAAAACAGTTATACTGAACGTTGAGATGGCAGAAACTTTCAGAAGCAAAAATTAAGCATATTGAAAGGATCCCACTCATATGAAACTAACAGGCTGTTTTCTGTTTAAACTCAACTGTCAGTGCTTCTGTTCAGAACACGTTATTTCATGACTAGGATAAAGAAGCAAATGGTTTATGACTTGTCTGCTTTCTGGTAGTTAGAATACAAGGGTCAATCTATGGCTAGTGTTTATTGGTAATTTTAAAATCTTTAAAAATAAGTAGCTGGGCACAGTGGCTTACGCCTGTAATCCCAGCACTTTGGGAGGCTGAGGTGGGTGGATCATTTTGAGGTCAGGAGTTCAAGACCAGCCTGGGCAACATGGTGAAACCCTGTCTCTACTAAAAATACAAAAATCAGCTGGACATGGTGGTGGGCGCCTGTAATCCCAGCTACTCGGGAGGCTGAGGCAGGAGAATCGCTTGAGCCCGGGACGGAGGTTGCAGTGAGCGGAGATCGTGCCACTGCACTACAGCCTGGGAGGCAGAGCGAGACTCTGTCTCATAAAACAAAACAAAAAAATAAAAATAAGTAAAAAAATAAATAAGAAATATCCTCATTCACATCTTACCTAAATGCATGAATAATACAGTGAAAAAAATCCAAGGTTTTATAAACATATTATTTATTTGAAATTATCTGGCTCATGTTATTGGGGAGAAGCAATATTCATTGACTATATTTTTAAAGCAGATGATACTTATAAAAATGCTTAAATATTTGGATTAGGCTTTGTCAAAGTAAAAAGCTATGTCATTATATGCCCATCTTCATCACATTGTGCATATTTTCTTCTGTATTCAATATAAATAATGTTATTAGTGACAAACAGTACCTGGCAGTTAATTTTTTGTGAAATAAATGAATGAATAATAAGGGAGTGTAATAGTATTGCAGTTAAGAGATTGATCTCTGAAGTTATACTTCTTGGGTTCAATCTGGCTCTACTTTTTATTTAGCTGGACAATCTTAGGCAAATTAACTTATCCTCTGTACGTGTTAATTTCTTCATTTGTAGAGCAGAAAATACTATCTTATTTACAGATCCTATTATTAAATCAGCTGTTACTATTATGAGTAGCTAACGCTTAGTAAGCACTTGCTGTTTGCCAAGCATTCTACTTATATGCTTTACATATATTATTTTAATCACCACAACTCTAAAGTATACTAATTTACTGATGAAAATATTGAAGTGGGCTGGGTGCGGTGGCTCATGCCTGTAATCCCAGCACTCTGGGAGGCCGAGGTGGGCAGATCACCTGAGGTCAGGAGTTCGAGACTAGCCTGGCCAACATGGCGAAACCCACCTCTACTAAAAATACAAAAATTAGCTGGGCGTGGTGGTGTGTGCCTGTAGTCCCAGCTACTTGGGAGGCTGAGGCAGAAGAATCACTTGAACTCGGGAGGCTGAGGCAGGAGAATCACTTGAACTCAGGAGGCGGAGGTTGCAGTGAGCCAAGATCATGCCATTGCACTCCAGCCTGGGCGACAGAGTGAGACTCTGTCTCAAAAAAAAAAAAAAAAAAAAAAAAAAAAAAAAATATATATATATATATATATATATATGTATGTATGTATGTATATGTGCATAGTTAAGTAAATCACCCCAATTTTTTCTAATATTTAAGTGAACATTTAAAGATAAGCATTTCTTAATGTTAATTTCTTTTCTTTCATGTAATCTTGTCAGTAGACAAATGATGGTGACTATATTCTGTAATAAGTACATATATTATGATTAAAAAAAAAAGCGTGTACTATCTGCCCAAAGAGATCATAAGCACTTTGGAGCTATAAACTTCTTGTCTATTTCTACTTCCATGGTACTGATATTCTCTTCTCAGATAACCAAACAAAAACAGCTGAATAAAATCAACCATTAATAGTAACTTGCCACTTTGTTAGAGACTGCTTAAAGACTCCTTTTTTTCTTCACATAGTAATTACTTCAGTGTCCAAAATGAAGTTTAAAGTAAGTTCACGTAATCCTTCCAAGGCTTTAATCTCATAGCATGTTTTGTTCCTGAGTTAGAGCTGTAAAAGCAATTCACAGTACATTGCCCAAGAGCCATGTGTTCAAAAATCACCAGAGGTTATTCCGGGGGCAAAACAAACAAACAAAAAACCACACACACACACACACAAAAACCCAGTAAATTTTTTTTTCCTTTTCTACTTTGATGCTTAACTGAGACATGAAAATGTTCTGAGAAAAGTCTGAACACATTCTGGCTTCAAATATTTACAGTGAGTATCAATTCGTTTATAGTAGTAATTGGATTTTTGGCTCATTAATGTGCAGAGACAAAGGAGATTTGGGAACTTGAGGTGACCGCCCTGAATGCTAGCTGTAAATGGAAGTGTCCAATCTAGTGATTTCTAGACATGTAAATCATAGAGTAACTCAAAGTCCATCAGGGAGAGTTCCTGAGATGCACAGATTTCTCCACAGTTACAAAAGTAGTTTTATTCTTTTTATGAGATGGGGTCTCACTCTGTCACCCAAGCTGGAGTGCAGTGGCGTGATCTGGCTCACTGCAACCTCCACCCCCCCGGGGTCAAGTGATTCTCCTACCTCAGCCTTCTGAATAGCTGGGACCACAGGTGCCCACCATCATGCCCGGCTAATTTTTGTTATTTTTTTGTAGAGACGGGGTTTCGCCATGTTACCCAGGTTGGTCTCGAATTCCTGAGCTCAAATAATCTGCCCATCTTGGCCTCCCAAAGTGTTGGGATTACAGGGGCAAGCCATTGTGCCCAGACTAAGTAGTTTTATTCTTACATGAGTTTTGAGACCAAAACTCATCCGACTAAGACAGTAATGTTTGTTTAACATAAGCTATACTGCATGTAATAATCTCACTGGACTTAGGAGTTTTAAAAAAATACAACTTCCAGTCAGGTACAGTGGCTCATGCCTGTAATCCCAGCACTTCAGGGGGCTGAAGTGGGGGGATCACTTGAGCCCAGGAGTTTGAGACCAGCCTGATCAACATAGTGAGACCACGTCTCTACAAAAAATAGAAAAATTAGCTGGACATGGTGGCACATGTCTCTAGTCCTAGCTACTTGGGAGGCTGAGGTGGGAGGATCTGTTGAGCCCAGGAGGTTGAGGCTGAAGTGAGCCATGATTGCACCACTGCATTCCTGCCTGGGTGACAAAGCGAGACCCTGTCTCAAAAACAAAAACAAAAAACCCAAAAAATACAACTTCTAAAAATAATTATTTAAAAAACAATCACTTTACAGCTCTACCACTACTTTAAACAAAAAATATTTCTAGAGATTCTTACATTTAAAAAGGCAGGAAAAGAGATATGCAATTTCTCTTTAAGTTACTCATTCTGATAAACTCACATTTTAATTTCCTATACTGAAGAATGAACTATATACTCAGCTCATTATCATCATGGATATCTTTACACCATAGATGCTTTCCTAAACAGTTGATTTTAAATCATGTTGAATTTTTTTATGTAATTGAAGAACTGGCTATTTAATGGCATAGTAAATATTTTACTTAAAATATCACTTCTGTTTTTGGAGACAGGGTCTGTCTCTGTCGTCCAGGCTGGAGTACAGTGGTGATCATAGCTCACTGCAGCTTCAAACTCTTGGGCTCAGGTGATCTCACCACCTCAGCCTCCTGAGTAGCTAGGACTACAGGTGTGTGCCATCATGCCTGGCTAATTTTTGTATTTTTTTTTTTTTTTTTGTAGAGATGTGCTCTTGCTATGTTGCCCAGGCTGGTCTTGAACTCCTGGGCTCAAGCGATCCTCCCGCTTCAGCCTCCCAAAGTTTTGAGATTATAGGTGCAAGCCACTGTGCCTGGTTTTAAAATCACCTTCAAAACTTACCCTATTTTAAAGTTTGGATTTCAAAAAAACAGTGTTTTTAATGTGTCTGTGTGAGTTACAGTCAAACACAAATTTGGGGTTTCAGGAATCTCAAATTTTGACTCAAAGGCCAACAAGATTTTATCTTAAACTGTAGAAAACAGGCATACACATACTCTCATTAAGGCAGCTTTCAAACTATAATCAGGAACACAAACCATTAAGACTAGACAAAATTTAGGATAAACAACTTAACAGGGAAGTAAGTTTCTACTCCCTGGATAGAAGAGGAAGATGGCCCATTCTGTTCAATTTGCTGAGGACTCTAGGCCTATCACTGGCCTTGTGCTCTGTCAGGGTGGGAGTTACGGGCAAATCTGGGAAGACAAGGTGAAAGGAAATCCTGCCGGCAAACCACAAAGGGAGAACAGAGGGAACACTGGTAATCTGCTAAGCATAAGCATTTCAATCCAGCAGCCTAATGCCACAAACCTTCCTCTGATGGCCCCTACACTCAAATGGAATTGATAACACTGGGAAGAGTTACTACAGCTATAGTTGCACCTGACAGAAAAACCTCTGGCTATATCACACACGCTACTCCTGGCTCAGAAGGAGAGGAACAGTAAAAGGATTCACTTCTAATAAGCAAAAGAATTTTTTTTTTTTTTGAGATGGAGTCTCACTCTGTTGCCCACGCTGGAGTGCAGTGATACAATCACAGCTCATTACAGCTTCAACCTCCTGGGCTCAAGCAATCCTCCTGCCTCAGCCTCTCCAGTAGCTAGGACCACAGGTGTGTGCCAACACACCTGGCTAATTTTTATTTTTTGATAGAGATAGGGTCTTACTGGCCAGGCGTGGTGGCTCACAAGGTCAGGAGTTCGAGATCAGCCTGGCCAACATGGTGAAACCCTGTCTCTACTAAAAAATATATATATAAAAAAAATTAGCTGAGCGTAGTGGCAGGCGCCTGTAATCTCAGCTACTCAGGAGGCTGAGGCAGGAGAATTGCTTGAACGTGGGAGGTGGAGGTTGCAGTGAGCTGAGACCGTGCCACTGCACTCCAACCTGGGCAACAGAGCGAGATTCCATCTCAAAAAAAAAAAAAAAAAAGGAGAGAGAGAGATAGGGTCTTACTATGTTGCTCAGGCTGAGAAACTTAAAACCAAGGAGTTGATTTCTTTTTTTGTAGGAGTAGGCTGGGCAAAGAGAAGTATAGCAGTTAGAAACACAAGATAAATTTATAATAATCATGTAATCCATGAGATCTTCCTAAGTACAATTATTAAAATGCCACATTAAAACTGAACGTGCACATTATGTTAAAAAATCTTATAAAAGAAATGCAGAAGATTAACCAATGTTAATATAATAATAAAGAATAGTGGCTGGGCACGGTGGCTCACGCCTGTAATCCCAGCACTTTGGGAGGCTGAGGCGGGCAGATCATGAGGTCAGGAGATCGAAACCATCCTGGCTAACACAGTGAAACCCCGTCTCTACTAAAAATACAAAAAAATTAGCCGGGCATGGTGGCGGGCACCTGTAGTCCCAGCTACTCGGGAGGCTGAGGCAGGAGAATGGCGTGGACCTGGGAGGTTGAGCTTGCAGTGAGCTGAGATGGCGCCACTGCACTCCAGCCTGGGCGACAGAGTGAGACTCTGTCTCAAAAAAAATAAATAAATAAATAAAATAAATAAAGAATAAATACGTTTTTGTTTTATGAGAATTTAAATTTCTCTATACAACATGATAAACTTTGGGGAGTTGTGGTATCAGGTGTAAAAGAAACATCAGTAACGGAGAACAAGAGACTACGGAATGCTTTAAGAAATCCACAATGTCATGCCAACCAGTGTTATATGATAAACACAAATTTATCATAAAGTCTGGCCTTAAATAGGTAAAAGGAGAACTGAGACCAGAAGGGAACCAAAAAGCAGCCAGGCGTGTTCACACAGGTTAGCAAGGAAAACCATTTAAAGGAAGCACACTCAGAAACACTCTGGCCTCTGGCTGAGTGTGTGTGTGACTGGGGTTTGCACAGTTCTAAGAACTAAAAACAGCACCCAGACCTTCTGGGCACAGGCACCATTCAGAATAGAAAGTGATTGTGGGTAGCAATTTGCATTCTCAGAGAAACTGTTTCACTTCAACTTCAGTTATTAGAATTATACATGAGTAGGTCAGAGTGACAGAAAGGTCTAAAACTAAGTCTCCCCACAACCTCATGATCTAAGGCTGCCTGCAAGAGTTAGGAGAGAGGAGAAAATTCCACAAACTCTCAGTGCTTAGTAGAGCCCATGAAAGAAGGCAAAGAGCCAGGAGTTGCATTTACCTTGACAACTGTGCTATTTCTTTCTAAAGTACTTTTAATTTAGGGGTGAGAGGAAGAAAAAAAAATACCAGAAACATAATGAAAGTTTTCACATTCTTTCACAAGAAAAAGTAGAATTAAAGGGAAGAAGATGACAGAAAAAAATAGAAATTTATATGCATGCCTTAATTAATACCTGTAGGGAGGCAAATCTTGAGAATTATAACAGTCTATTATGACAGTGGGCCTTAACCAGGGACAATTTTTGTGCCCCAGGGGACATTTAGCAATGTTTGGAGACATTTTTGGTTGTCACAACTAGGGGGAGATGCTACTGGCATCTAGTGGGTGAAGGATGCTTAGCAGCATCCTACAATTCCCAGGACAGCCTCCCACAGCAAAGAATATAGCCTGATATGTCACTAAGTGTGGCTGTGGGGAGGCCCAGCACTATGTTCACACATCTCTCGAATTTCAAAGGATTATATGATTGCTTTTTATGCAGTTTTATGTGAAACTGCTTCTTCAGAGCAAGCAGTTCCCAAAAATAGATTACATGGTACCATATATTCAAATCTAACCAAATAATCCTTTTAAGACTCAGTTACAATGATTACAAAAGGAAATACCTTTTGTAAAAAAGTAAAGAAAAAAGTATTAATAAATATAATAACAGGATCCTTGGGAAATGTAATGCTTTTGGATCATATGCCAAGAATTATGAGAGAGAGAGAGAGAATGAGAATATTCTTGGCTAGATGAAACAGATGATAAAATAAATTTTTCTTAGAGAAATAAAATATTGCAATGCTCTTCTGTTTTCGTTATTAAATATAAGGAAAGAAAACTTAGACAAAAACTTTAACTGCAGAAACAAAAATCTACATACAAACCAAATCTACATACAGATAAGTCACTGAATATATATCTGAATGGAAAGAAAAGCTCATAGGTTGCTTTATTGGCAAAAATATTAACAAATCAAACCAAGTGAAAATTTACATTATTAGCATGTGAAATGTATTGTTCTTGAAGTTTTACAATGACCACTATGTTGGAATACCCCTGTAACAGGGTCTTGAATAAAACTAAGTTTTGCCTACGTTACCAAAGATATATTAGGAAATCCTATTGGCATAATCTCCAAAATATATCAGGAATCTAACTAATTTTTTTTTTTTTTTTACTACCTCCACTGCTACTACTCTGGTCTGAGCCAGGCAGGATCATCTCCTGTCTCCTTTTTACTCTCCTCTTTGCACATTTTGCCTCAGCCACACCGGCCTCCTTGCTGTTCCTCGAGCAGGCTACTTGTGTTCCTGTCTTTCGGTCTTTGCACTGGCTGTTCCTTTTAACTGAAGTGCTCTTCCCTCAGCTGTCAGATTAGCCCGCTTCCTCTCTTCCAAGTCCTTGCTCAGATATCATCATCTCAATGTGGCCTACTTTGACCACCATATTTACAAAAGCAAGCCCTTCTCTGGACACTCCCTAACCTTCTGACCACTCTAGTTTTTTCTGTGATACTTTTCACATTCTAGCCTACTATGTAGTTCATTTGTTTACTGAGTATTGCCTCCCTGAACTAGAATGTCAGCTCCATGAGGGCAGTGATTTTTGTCTGTTTTCTTCACTGACGTAGCTCCGGTTCCTAGGACAGTGCCTGCCACACAGTAGGCACTCAATAAATATCTTTTGGATGAATGTCTTAAGAAAAATACACCAACATTAAAAATTTTCAATTAACTAAATGTGAGTATTCTATTCACCCATGTAAAAATGTGTGGATTTCGGCTTCTGAAATATAAAGAATATCAACACCGGGCGCGGTGGCTCACGCCTGTAATCCCAGCACTTTGGGAGGCTGAGGTAAGAAGATTGCTTAAGCCCAGGAGTTCAAGAGCAGCCTGGGCAACAGGGTGAAACCTCGTCTCTACAAAAAACTACAAAAAAAATTTAGCCAGGTGTGGTGGCGCACGCCTATAGTCCCAGCTACTCTGGAGGCTGAGGCATGAGGATTGCTTGAGCCCAGGAGGCAGAGGTTGCAGTGAGCCGAGATTGCGCCACTGCACTCCAGCCTGGGTGACAGGGCGAGACCCTGTATCAAAAAACAAACAAAACAAAACAAACAAACAAACAAAAAACAAACAAAAAAAGAATATCAACATTAACGTGTGCTCTGTGTTGAGTGTGTCTCCCAACTGAACAATGGCAATTTTTGGGGTGGTTTCTTCTTACTTATTTGCAGTTTGAGAATTACTTCTTTTTCATTCCTTGGCATGTTTCTACGTGCTTCCTCTAAACTATTTAGCATGTACTTTAGAAATAATAAACTAATCTAACATACTCCAACGTAAGACTACTTTTGGGCCTTTGCACAAACTGTTCCTTCTGCCTGAAATGTCTTTTTGTCTCCATATAACTACCCCATGATTCAAGAACAAGCTCCAATGTGACCTCCCCCAGGAAACTTCTCTGACCTCATCTTTTAATGATACTTATCACCTTCTACCTTGCACAATAATTATTTGTCTTTCTAAAGGTGGCCACGAACAAGTTCTCCCATCCTTGTATATATCTGGCACTCCATCAATCAAAATATGAATCTATGTTTCTTCCCCTTGAACTCAGACTAGCCTTGTGACCTTTTTGTGAAGTATGTTTCAACTAATGAAATGCATAAGATGTGACACAGTGTCAGTTTGCTTCAGGAGGCCTAGCACCTTCCATTTTTGCTCTTTTGGAGCCCTAAGACACTGTCTTGCTGGAGATAGGGCCACGTGGAGAGAGAGAGACGTTTTGAATGAGAGACCGCAAAGAGCGCCCAGCCAGCTCCCAGCTGTTCTAGTCACTTCAGTTGAGATGTCAGAAAAATGAGTGAAGCCTATGTGGAAACTAGCCACGCTACGTCACCAACATCCTGTGAAACAGAATTGAGCAGTCCTATCAAGCTCTGCCCAAACTGCAGAATTGTGAGCAAGTAAGCAGCAGTTATTGATTGAAGTCACTATGTTTTGGCATGTGTTGATCTGCTACAGTAGATAAGAGATACCGAGCCTTATCTCCCTACTGAGACCATAATACTTTTAGGGCTCCAAGCACAGTAATCTGTATAAAGTAGGCACTCAAATATTTGTTAAATAAATAAATCAGAAGGTAAATTAAAAGGTGAGGTCAAATTATCTACTTTTGGATATTAATTAGGTTTAGGTTGTCATATCAAATACCAGTTAATCAAAAGCTGACTACATTATTGAAAGTATTACAGTAGAATATATTGTCAATCATTGTTTATTATATGATGTTGATATAATTATCTTTCGAGAATAATTCATTCAAAATAAAATTGCCTCTTGAGCAAAACAGTTCTTAACATAATGCTATTACATGAACACATTTTAGGTTTTTAAATTATCATTTTTTTCTTGTATATAGTTTAGAATATATACAAAGAGATATATTTTACTCTCTACATATGAACTTTCTTACATTAATTAATGCAAAATAACTGCACAGCAAACTACTACAGTTGACAATTTCCCGCCTTTTACCTTTCCACACTTTTATTTCTTTTTGGATAACTGAAGAATACTTTTTTGAGACGGAGTCTCGCTCTGTCGCCCAGGCTGGAGTGCAGTGGCACAATCTCGGCTCACTGCAACCTGTGCCTCCTGGGTTCAAGCGATTCTCCTGCCTCAGCCTCCCAAGTAGCTGGGACTACAGGCATGTGCCACCATGCCCAGCTAATTTTTGTATTTTTAGTAGAGATGGGGTTTCACCATGTTGGCCAGGCTGGTCTTGAACTCCTGACCTCAGGTGATCCACCCGCCTTGGCCTCCCAAAGTGCTGGGATTATAGGCATGAGCCACCGGGCTTGGCCAGAATACTTTTTCATAAAGGGGGACCCATTGAGATGCTCGGTGTTGAGTTCTGATAATAACAATATCATTTTCTTAACACATCTGAAAAGGATGAGTGAGATATTTTACAACTAATTTACACTAATGTGTATTTTGTATATTTCTCCAGTGATTTTCATTTGCTATTAAAATATTTTACTAGATGGTTTTGGAATTGCTCATGTTTTCCCTCAGCTTTTAACTACAAGGATTTCTGTGAAAATTTCCCAAACATTATAGACACTTTAATTAAACTCTACTTAATTTTCTTAATCATTTAAAGTATTAAATACATCGAAGAAGCCAGGCCTTTAATAATATATCTTGAGGGAAGGAACACTATGTATGTGCATGCTGGAGGTTAGAGAAAGGCCAGTGACAAAATATCAGAGCTTAAAAGTGTAGCCCAGGGTCAAAGGGACCTCAGGGGCTCCCTAGTGATTCTGGGCCTTGGGAGAAGCTAGGGATCAGGAGGAAGGCCTACTGGTCTCATTTCTTGCCTCCCTCTATGTTTGGCTTGACACCGTTAAAGAACCAGGAACTGAGAGTTCTCATTAACCCGATACTGGGATGAAATAGGCAGAAAGACTGAATAATGATAATACCGGTATTCCAAGCATAAAATCGTATTACATGTATAATTATGATTTCATACTATATTTAAAAACTATCTGCAAAAAAATACAATGCTGACTATTCTGCATTGCAATATTATGAAAATATGTTATGATTAACTTTTACTATATAAACCAAATTCTAATTTCCCCCCCAATTAACTCAGTATAGGATATTGTTTGGTTTTTCCTATTTATTGGATTTTTCATTTCTCTCTCACACACAATGGCAAAAGAGAAATAATACAATTTTAGATTGCATGAACACTTCAGTAAAAATAAATAAATTGAAATTATAGTGTTCCTAGTAAGAATTAGTACAATGACTTCCCAAATACAAAGCAGTTAAATACATTTTTACTTAGAAGTAAAATTAAGATGTTCTTTATGACAATATTAAAGAAGAATTCTTGATTATCATTGTTATATCAGTATTTCTTCACAAACATTAAAGTTAGTGATAACAAATGACTTACCTTCACATCCCTGTGAATTATGTTATTATCATGGCAGTAGCGTAGAGCTTCCAGTATCTGTCTCATATAATGGCTGTAAAAAACAAAAGAAATCTAAAAACTGTAAACAATTTTTATTTTAAAACTTAATATACAGTGCTCCTAGTTTATAACTCCCACTCTCATATTAGCTGTCCATGGACACATTTGATTTGAGCAGACAGGATTGGTGTAAAGTGAGGCTTAATAATGAAAATGTTGGCAGACTCAAAAGTTTATGGGCTTCATGAAGAAATAGTATGCTCTATATTTTCTAAGCTATCTAAGTCAAAAGAATTACACATAGTTCATAAGTAAATTTGCTTTGCAAACTAAAAATTCAAGCTTAAAACATGACAATTTTTTTCCCCAATACTCAGGTAATTCTACTTAAACTGGACTGCGTTATGTAAACAGTGCTCAGGGCTGCCCCAAGGATTCAGACTCAAGCAGTGGGAGCCTTTGATCTGCCAGCAAATAATAAGATGCTCTTCATCTTACTTCTATTTAGCTGTGAGGACAAATGAGGGAAGAGCCACCCTTATCGGACAATTTCTTTTTGTAACATAATCAAGTTTTAGTTGGGGCTCCCTTGAACAAAGTGGAGTTAATTCTAGGCACATGTCCTAGAAAGCCTGACTCCTTACATGGCCAGCTGAGGAGCCCTCATGGAGCACAGGTGAAGAACAAAGAAGAAATCAGCATTTTAAAGAACAGGAATTAAAAAATGGTAATGGGGTTAACTAGCAACCATGTGTGACAAGAGCAGTTGATTCAGTACCACTTTAGAACCTCCTTCTCCTATTTCTAAAGTTCTTCTATAATTGCCCTATTACTCTTTCTCTGAGTATCTGTTTCATTTTCTGTATTTTATTCCCTCCATATTTGTCTCTTTTCTTCCTATTCCCCTTCTTTTCTCATTTTTTCCCTTTTCCTTCCCAACCAGCATGACAGAAATGCAATAGACTTAACACTGTTCACTGTATAATATTTATAGAATTTTGTTTTGTTTCCAGATCTTATATTTCTGATACAAGTGACCTTGAACATGTGTATGTGACTCAGGACTAAAAAAAAAAAAAAAATCCCTATCCTGGCTTTACAATTAAAAGACATTTCCATCAAGTTCCCTCTTTGGCATGATACCATTTAATCAAGCTCACAGGAATATTTCTCTAGTTAGCATATGCATTATTTCATGTATTACAATTAATTGGAAAGGTTCCATTTTAAAAATGAAAGGTAGGAGAAAAAACAAAAACAAAAACAAACCCAAGCCTTGTTCCTGTACTAATCACAAGCCTTGTTCCTGTACTAATCACAGGCTCCTTACAACGGGGCTTTAAGCCAGAGAGCTAGGCTCATGTAATCATTAGCTCTGATGTTTTAATTTATCTTACTTTGCAAATGCACATATAAGGGGTTGTGCTCATATACTCTTTGCTTGGGCCATTGTAGCCTGTAATTAAGTTTTGTTTATTTTTTATTTTTATTTTTTGAGATGGAGTTTCCCTCTTGTCTCCCAGGCTGGAGTGCAATGGTGGGATCTCGGCTCACTGCAACCTCTGCCTCCTGGGTTCAAGCGATTTTCCCGCCTCAGCCTCCCAAGTAGCTGGGATTACAGATATGCGCCACCACGCCTGGCTAGTTTTTGTATTTTGAGTAGAGACAGGGTTTCACCATGTTGGCCAGGATGGTCTCAAACTCCTGACCTCAAGTGATCAGCCTGCCTCAGCCTCCCAAAGTGCTGGGATTACAGGCATGAGCCACCACGCCTGGCCATAAGTTTTGTTCAAATGAGGGGTTAACTTGGTGTTGTGGCCCATTACTGGTTCAAATCAGGCTTTGGAAGATCTGTAACCCCTTGAAATGGCTAAGAGACTACACCTGTCAAAGTGCTTTGTAAACTCTAAACCATGCTACAAAGGTTAAGACATTATTAGTACAATATTATTATTGTTAAGTTCAATCAAAGATTTAGGAACAGCTTATTTGTCCATCTAGATGTCAACATGGAAATACTGGGTAAATTTAAATTAGTTAAAGTGGACATAGCTTGTACCCACAGAATGAACTATTTTGGATACAAAGCACTGAGACAGCCACCTAAATTATCTTTAACCTAAAGAAAATTCCTATCTCAAAGTCTCATAACACAAAACCAAACTCAATGAATGAGGCTTTTTTCATTTGCATATGAGAACACTCAATTACTTGACCCAAACGTATGTACACAGCAGAATCTTTGCGGCGTGTGTGGAGACAGTGGAACTGTTTTTCTTCCCAAGTTATAACAGAACTGAACTATCTTTCTCCACCCTCCCAGTCATGATCCTGCGAGGCAATGCATGTCAAAGTGTGCAAGCAGAATAAAACAAGAACTAAAATCTGCCCACATGTTCTAGGAAGTTGCTGACTAAACTTTTAATCAAAAAACTTCACTTCATGAAGCATCATAGAGACCTGTGCTTTCAGAGAAACTCAGCAATATATTTGTTTATCTTTATCTTTCCTAAGGATCAGCAAGATAATAACTCCATGGAAGGAAAAAGCTGGCCAGCAATGCATTTACTGCCTTTGGAAGGAGGCATTTCAGGGGTGCAGCATGGTAGAAGAGAGGTGATTCAGTCTGCTATTCTTGTCAATGCAGGTGAAAAGCCTAATGCTATTTGCTAGGCAGAAGAGACCTTATCTCTGAAATGCCCTTAATAGGATATCTCTGGCTAAGGATTACTATGGTAAGTAGAACACGGGATCTCTGAGGCACAGATGGCTTCCTGGAGAATGTCAATGGAGCTATCCAAATCTCTGGGGTGTAAAATGAAGATATTTGCAATGCTCCCCTTTGTGTGTGGAAACCCACAAACCCCAGTATAAACCTCATCTATTCTGGGCCAGAGGTGCATTTCTGAGGCAGTAAGAAGTGACGTGGGGGGCTGCCCTTCCCTTCTCTGCTTCACTTGAGCCTTCTGACTGCCTGTATCCTTGAGATTATTTAGTAAAGCTTGGTACTAGTTAAGAAGATCTCTGAGAGTTTGATTTGATAATCTGATCTTGTGTGTTAGCTCACTCCACAACTCATCACCCCTGAAAGGATGGAGGTAATAACTAATTGGGTTGCACTAAGGACTGAACACAGTTTTATTTTATGCCATGCTTTGCTGCTCCTCTTGAAGCTCAGCCAGTTGGAGAAAAACAACATTATCAATTTGATTACTTGGTGTCTCAGAGTCTTCTTGCAGTCGGTCTCACTAGAATACTGATACAAGCTGAATTTCCTAACAATAAATCACAGAATCAGAGAGGACGAAGAAAGATTAGAAGTCATCTGTCATTAAACCAATGGAAGAATCTACGCGCCCTTGTTGCATGGTCATTGATCCTCTGCAATAGCAAACACACATAATAATACTTTCTGAGTCCCCGCCTACTTTTTTTTATTGTTCAGAGGAAGAACCTTTAATAAACTGCCTCCAAACCTCTCTCTTTGCAATGTCATCTACTGGTCCCAATGCTACTCTTTTCTGGTCCACTCTGGAAAGTTCCTTTCACCATTTTAACAGCTTATACAGGTGGCTTTAAAAATCAATAGGCTTTCATTTTGATGTGTATAAACATCTACCTTTTCTATAAATCTCAAGATTAGGAGAGACCACAAGTCATGTCATTGTATGACATCATCTCTTCACACTACCATCCTGCTTATCCTGACATGTAGCCCAGTGGCAGAGATAGGCTTGAAGTTAAGGAAAAGCAATAAAGATGACTGGGGACCAGAGTAAAAGTGGTACTGGTTTCACATCAATCCTGTCAGCATACCTGCCAGGTATCCCCGTGTTATTGTGGTTCAAGAAGGGAAAAATCCCCTTCTTCCATTGAGTTTCACTAGTATTGACTATTTTTGGTATGAAAGAATGCTTTAAAATTTTGAGGGACAAGAAAGAATAAAAATTTAAAATTGTAATAAAAACTCAAAATAATAGAAGATGGGATTTAAAAAAACCCTGGAATGTGCTTTAGAGAACATTGCACAAAAGAAAAGAGAATATTTAGCTTTAGTTCTACCGCGTATAGATCAGAAGCCTAAAGAACACACATAAACTTTCATTTGCTCCTTCGCCCTAGCCCCAGCAGTACAAAAACACAGCGACCACACATTGAGCATATTCTTTATTTTGTGCCATAGCCATGGCTGCTCCATCCCTGAGACTAGGTCCCTTGCTCTTCAGCCAGAAGGAGTCAGGGCAATGAATTTGAAGACATTCAAGTCATGCTGAGCTCAAAGCTGTATTAAGGTGGTCTCCAAGTTGTTTCCAGCTATGTTTGTCTAAGATGCTATAATTGTAAAAGAAATGGTAAGACAGAGGAAATCATTTAATATAACTGTTTTTCAAATGATAAAAAGTTTTCATAAATCCTAGGCTAGGAACAGTAGGTAGTTCATGCCTACAATCCAAGCACTTTGGGAGGTTGAGGCGTGCGGATCACTTGAGGTCAGGAGTTCAAGATCAGCCTGGCCAACATGGTGAAACCCCATCTCTATTAAAAGAAATACAAAAATTAGCCGGGCATGGTGGCGCATCCTGTAATCCCAGCTACTTGGGAGGCTGAGGCAGGAGAATCACTTGAACCTGGGAGGCAGAGGTTGCAGAAAGCTGAGATAGTGCCACTGCACTCCAGCCTGGATGACACAGTGAGACTCCGTCCCCCGCCGCCCGCACCCCCCGCAAAAAAAAAAAAACTTAATATGTTTGTGAGTTTGAACCCTTCAACATACTATGGCTGGTGACTAAGGAGGGATGCTGTATTCCATGTATTAAAAAGGCAACCTACAGGAGTGGGTAATTATGATTGAATGTAACCAAAACAGAAAGCTGTGTTGCTCTAAATGTATAAGCAAGTGGCCCAGCACGTGCATGGCTCCTGTGATTTTTCATATTTACTTCTTTTTTTTTTTTTTTTGAGACGGAGTCTCGCTCTGTCGCCCAGGCTGGAGTGCAATGGCACGATCTCTGCTCAATGCAAGCTCCGCCTCCCGGGTTCATGCCATTCTCCTGCCTCAGCCTCCCGAGTAGCTGGGACTACAGGCTCCCGCCACCACGCCCGGCTAATTTTTGTATTTTTAGTAGAGACGGGGTTTCACTGTGTTAGCCAGGATGGTCTCCATCTCCTGACCTCGTGATCTACCCGCCTCGGCCTCCCAAAGTGCTGGGATTACAGGCATGAGCCACCGCGCCCGGCCCATATTTCCTTCTTATTTTGAGTCATTAGGTCTTTACAAACAACTTCTCCACTTAGAACAACAGCTGCCATTTGATTGGTAGGTCTCACACTGGCCTGAAGCAAATATATTTTTAAAAATGGTGCTTTTATTTCTCTTCCTTTTACTGTTCTTTACTTTTCCT
The DNA here is from genome assembly GCF_000001405.40 of Homo sapiens. Taxonomy (NCBI): domain Eukaryota; kingdom Metazoa; phylum Chordata; class Mammalia; order Primates; family Hominidae; genus Homo; species Homo sapiens. The sequence goes on from NC_000023.11 coordinate 41,744,807, forward strand.
TAATTATTGTGAGATAATTTGATATCACTAAAAGGCAAAATGAAGAACTAATGAGGCAGATTTGCCAAAACAAAAATAAAAAAACCCAAGTAGAATTCTACATGGTTCCTGAGCTATTAGATCCCCGCTTCCTGTACAAAAATCATCAGAAATGGGAAAGACAGCAGTACTGAAAATGTAAGCCTGTATTATAAACCCACGTTTTCATTTTATTTATTTATTTATTTTGAGACTGAGTTTCGCTCTTGTTGCCCAAGCTGGAGTGCAATAGCGCAATCTCGGCTCACTGCAACCTCCACCTCCTGGGTTCAAACGATTCTCCTGCGTCAGCCTTCCGAGTAGCTGGGACTACAGGTGCATGCCACCACGCCCAGCTAATTTTTGTATTTTTAGTAGAGAAGGAGTTTCACCATGTTGGCCAGGATGATCTCGATCTCCTGACCTTGTGATCTGTCTACCTTGGCCTCCCACAGTGCTGGGATTACAGGCGTGAGCCACCGTGCCTGGCCCCTATAAACCCATGTTAATAGATAAACTCATTGTTCGGTATTTTGCATTTCCAGTGACTATCGGTTCTACTAACACATACTAAAACAGAGATGTTCCCTGTAGCAAAGAGCAGCAGCATGCTCTTTATCAGTTTGTCATGTGATGTCTTTGTCATTTTCTTTTTTTATTTTCAACTTGACCTCTGGTGATTAGATATACAATACATACCTGGCTACAGCTTCACTGTACACAAAACCAGCGTCAGCTCGCTTTACGATTTCAAAACACAGATCTGCTCCATCCATACTGTAAAAAAATGTGAAAAAGAACATAAGAAAAGAGGAAATTCCAGGAAGACAACACTGAAAGTGAATACATTGTAACTAAGTTATTAGTTGATTTACTGCTAAGGGTTATGTTATTTAAATCTCCTTTCTTTCAATGAAATATAGACATAAATTATAAAGGGCATGACAGTCATCTTCACATTGAAAATCTGCAGGGAAAGAAACAGGAAGAGTAGGCTAACAGTAATATCAAATAACATTGAGTATATAAAATTGACTATAATTTTTCTTTAGGTTTTCACAAAAAGAAGCATCAGAAAACAGCAATGCTAGGGTTGTGTGCATATTTTTAAGTCAAATTCCAAAAATATTCAGTTATGTAGAATACAAGGATTTAAAAAACAATCTTGCTATTGTTATTACCACTAAATGGAAAATTCAGGCTATATACTGTGGAAGGAAAAAACAATGACATATATAAAATAAAATTTATTTTTGTTTACACTGCCATTCCCAAAGTTCATCGCTACAAACATATTGTAACACATAGATGTGTTGGTAACGCAATGTCACGATATTGTCTTAGAACTTACAGTAGTTTTCTATTTCTTACTAGATAAGTAAGGCCTCTTGTTGTCTTGGCCACACCTTGCCTCTTCTACCTACCTTGTCCACTGATGTTTCAAGAAAATCTTCCTCTCTAGGCAGAATGGTCTTATTATCACTCCCTGAGTACACCATTTTCTTTTTTACTTTTGTATATATTGCTTTTCATTTTCAAAACCTACCTTAATTCAAGGTTTCATTCCAATCCTACCTTCCCTGGAAGCCCCCTCAATGATTACCAGCCATATTAATGCCTTCCTTTGCTTTTCATTCTATAACAACTCTATATGGTCCATAACATTTAGCACATACAAACACCTCCCCCTCCCCCCACATACACCTATATATGTATACATGAATTTTGCCATATTATACATATTAATGAAACTATGCAAATATTAACAGCTAACATTTTCATAATGCTTTAAGGCTTATAACATATTTTTAAATCCAGTATCTCATTCATTCATTCATTCATTCAGTAGTTCAGTTTCCCAATATACCTGCTGCAGATATTATACTGAGGAAATAGAAACTTCTGGAAGGGAAAGTAAAGGAACTAACATACTTCCTATTCATGAGGCATCATAGGAAGCAGTCCTTGTTATGCCTCCCTTCATACTTATAACCACCCCATGAGGTCAGCATCATTTTCAAATAATTTGTCTAAGTGAGTGGACAAGTATGTGATAGGGACAAGATCGAAATCTCTGTCTAGCTATGTCCTGTGCTCTTCCCATTGATTATAGCTATACCTACTGGGTGTGCAAGGAACAAATGCACATCTTTAAGCCCTACAACAGTTCCATGATAGTGTAAAGTCCTAAAGAACAAGAAAAAATATATTTATACTTTCAATGTACCCCTACCTAATACTCAGCAGAAGACACACTGTAGACACCTAATGAACAGTTGATTCTATTATTTGATTCTCGGTGTGGTTTTATATAAATGAATGAAAATACTTTCACATTTATACAGGCTCTAAAAACTTTACCAAGTTTCCATTTCACACCTAAGGAACATTTTCCAATGTCAAATAGGATTCTTCTCCAAAATAATGTTTATAGTTGCCTAGTCTACTATAAACATTATTATAATGGTCTAGTCTACTCCCTAGTATGGCAGCACTCATTTTCCACCATCAGAAATAAAGCCTGGATGAACGTGATCATGCATCTTGGTGAGCAACTCTGATTATCTGTATGGTAAAATTCCTACAAGCTGAGTTGCTAGGACAAGGGGTATATACAATAGCATTTTTTTTTTGAGACGGAGTCTTGCTCTGTCGCCCAGGCTGGAGTGCAGTGGTGCATCTCGGCTCACTGCGAGCTCCGCCTCCTGGGTTCATGCCATTCTCCTGCCCCAGCCTCCCAAGTAGCTGGCACTACAGGCGCCCGCCACCACGCCCGGCTAATTTTTTGTATTTGTTTTAGTAGAGACGGGGTTTCACCGTGTTAGCCAGGATAGTCTCGATCTCCTGACCTCGTGATCCGCCCGCCTTGGCCTCCCAAAGTGCTGGGATTACAGGCATGAGCCACTGCGCCCGGCCTACAATAACACTTTTGATACATACACAAGACCAGAAACAGTTTAACAATTTATACTCCCACTACCATGTGTGAATGTGTCCCTTGCTCTACTAGGATAATGATTATTTTTTTTCCATCTTTGCCAATTAGATAAGAGGAAAAAAGTCATTCATGATTGCTTTAATTTGCATTTCCTTGATTACTACAGAGAGTAAATATTTTTCATTTCTTTGTCCTGTGGGGAGAAAAGAAACGCTATTTTAAAAACTGGCTGTAGTTTAAGCTGGTTAGTTGATCTATGAGGACTAAAAAACATCTCATAGCGAAGGAATCAGTTTTGCTTAGGCGTTTTCCTTTGTAATTGTGATATATGAGGGTAAGCACGATTCAACTTAGATGAGAGAGGGGTTAGGAAAAGGAGAGAGCTAAACTGATTGCATAATGAAGCAATAAGAATTTAGGCTCTTTCTGCCATCTCTCCATGCTGCCATAATGGTGTGCATGAATGTCCTGGCTGATGCTATCCAGAGCATCAACAATACCAAAAAGAGGCAAACACCAGGTTCTTATTAGGTTGTGCTCCAAAGTTACTGTCCAGTTTCTAACTGTGATGATGAAGCATGGTTACATTGGTGAATTTGAAATCACTGATGATCATAGAGCTGGGAAAATTGTTGTGAACCTGAGGTAGGTTAAACAAGTGTGGAGTGATCAGCCCCAGATCCCAGATTTGATGTGCAACCCAAAGATCTAGTAAAATGGCAGAATAACCTGTTCCTATCCCACCAGTTTGGATTCACTGTACTAACGACCTCAGCTGGCATTATGGACCATGAAGAAGCAAGATGAAAACATATAGGAGGGAAAATCCTGGAATTCTTTTTCTAGGGATGTAATATATACTTACAAATAAAATGCCTCAATGGACTCTGGTGTTTCCAAAAAGAATTTGGGAGATGTTCTGAGAGCTAGAGGACTTTCTGGAGGGACCCAGAAGGGATGAGGGAAAAGACGGAGCCTGGGGAGGAGGCAGCAAAGTGGTGAGAAGTATAAAGACTAAGGAGGGAACCAGTCCGTGAGAAATACTTGGAAATTATTTACTGCCCTGTGCTATAATTATCAGCAAGGATCAATCCATTTTGTCTGGTCATATCTGAAATACTGGTACTTGAAATGACAATCTCTACACATGTGCATACACACATGGGGGTATTTTTAGGTTTCTACTTTCTTCCACTGACTTGCCTATTCTTGCATCAAGTTACCATTTAAAATACTGTAGGGCCGGACACAGTGGCTCACACCTGTAATCTCAGCGCTTTGGGAGGCCGAGGCGGGCGGATAGCTTGAGGCCAGGAGTTCGCGACCAGCCTGGCCAACATGGTGAAACCCTGTCTCTACTAAAAAAATACAAAAAAATTAGCCAGGCATGGTGGCCTGCGCCTGTAGTCCTAGCTACTCTGAAGGCTGAGGCAGGAGAATCACCTGAACCCGGGAAGCAGAGGTTGCAGTGAGCTGAGATTGCACCACTGCACTCCAGTTGACAGAGCGAGACTCCATCTCAAAACAAAAACAAAAACATGGACAGACAAAATAAAATACTGTAGTAGCAGCTTTTAATATTTGGCAAAAAAAAATCTCATTATTCTTCACCAATTTTTTTTTTTTTTTTTTTTTTTTTTTTAGACAGAGTCTTGCTCTGTCACCCAGGCTGGAGTGCAGTGGCGCCATCTCAGCTCACTGCAACCTCTGCTTCCCAGGTTCAAGTGAGTCTCCTGCCTCAGCCTCTCAAGTAGCTGGGACTACACGTGCTTGCCACCATGCCCAGCTAATTTTTGTATTTTTTTGTAGAGACAGGATTTCACCGTCTTGGCCAGGCTGGTCTCGAACTCCTGACCTCAAGTGATCTGCTCACCTCGGCCTCCCAAAGTGCTGGGATTACAGGCACAAGCCACCACAACTGGCCTTCACCAACATTTTCTTATGATTTTTTTCTTCCCAGTTGACTTTTAAAATCATTTTGTCAAACTATAAAAAATCTTTGTATTTTGATTCAGATGGTAAATGTATAGGTTAACTTCTAGAAATTAACATTTTCTAATATTCTCATCAATGAACATGATATGTCTCTCCACTTCCTTTCATGTCTCTAAGTTATAGTTTTACGATTTTCTTTATATTGGTTTAAAGTATTTATTATTAGGCTTTTTCCCTGTACATGTTATATTTTAGTTGCTATTGTAAATGGGATCTTTCAGCCATTATATGTTTTTTTTTAATTCAATGCTTCATAACCACAGATATCAAACAAAACCACCTGTGCAACTTAGTAAATATACAGGCACATTCTTTGAAGGGTTACTCTGAAAGAGAGGCATCACTGTGAAAATATTTTTCTATTATTAAAGCTATTTGATTATTTATAATATTAATTGATATTAAAGTAAAAGAAGCAATCTACTAATTTTAAATTTCATGAGATATAGAAATAAAAACTAAAAATACTGTTATTTATGCAAATTTTATTCAACGAAATTTAAAATACACATATTCATAATACATACCATCCTGATATCCTAACCTTGAACCTTTTGAACAAAGTTGATGACTCAATTCTTTGATAAACTTTATTTGATAATATAATGATTCTACAAACTGACAAGGCATCTTTTATTGCTCTTCTCTTTGGCTTCCCATCTTGGGGTGCTTCTGGGGCTGTCAAGAACCCCCAAAGAACACATTGTGAATTTTCCTAGTTGGCTCCATTCTGAGGGAATGAAAGGAGAGGGAGAAGAAACCCTCCTATGGAAGAGTATGGGGGAGGTGGACTTCTATACTGTATGCAGAGAGAAATTAAGGGCAGTTTAGTCTGAATTGTGAAAAGTAATGGGATTATGAATGAGCTTAGCTGTCTCTCCTTTTCATCCATCTGAATTTTTAAAATTTATAATAAACATGCATTATTTATATAATTAAGAAATTATCCAAAACCAAACTCATCAAATAAACAAAACAGATCACAGGTCTTGAGGCACAAGGTATTACTGGCTGCACATTGAGGGAGATCAGAATATGCCACTCCAAAATATGCTGCTTTGGCAACAGGATTATCTGGAGTTGAAGGCACAAAATCACGTGCTATGATTTCACAGCAATGTCAAATTGCTGTAACAGTTTCTAAATGTTTACTGTCAATTTCTGTATGTATCTCATGGCAGACTGGTGACAGATTGGTACTTATCTGCAAATATCCTTGAAGAACACTGTTGTACAGAGCAAATCTGGATTTTTCCAACCAGCATTTTTTCTGAGGATGACAAAAACGCCAACTACAAAAACTGTATGAAATGTTTAAAATTATTTATTTATTTTTTAAATGGAGACAGGGTCTCGTTTTGTCACCTAGAGCTGGACTGCAGGGGCACAATCATGGCTCACTGCAGCCTGGAATGCCTGGGCTCAGGTGATCCTCCCGCCTCAGCCTCTGAAGTAGCTGTGACTACAGGCATGCACCACCACACCTGGCTAATTTTTTTATTTTTAATTTTTGTAGGGACAGGATCTGGCTATGTTGCCCAGGCTGGTCTGGAATTCCCGGGCTCAAACGATCCTTTTGCTTGGGCCTCTCATCTTAAAGTGCTGGGATTACAGGTATGAGCCATTGTGCCCAGTCAAACAAAAAGTTTTTGTTAAAGCTTGTGAGAATTAACAGTATAGTGAGTGAAAAACTAGTCCTGAGAACAGAGAAAGGATTACAACTCAAAGAGGTGAACAAGAGCTGCTTCTGCCCTAGGGGAAGAATGTGGGTTTTGGAAAGGAGGGGTACTTTTAGGAACTCTAGAGAGGTAGGAGGGGGTGGGGTGGTCAGATGGAGAATGACAGGGTCCAGTTGCTTTTGCACCAGGGTGATCTAAGAGGTTAAGGCTCTGATGAAACACCCTTTGCTCCTGGCTGGGACCATAGAGCTGCACTATGAAAAATGGGGTACAGAATAAATTCTGGTATGTCATGTTGGTAGCACAGAAAAACCTCAATGCTGGTTGGGCATGGTGGTGGCTCAGGCCTGTAATCCCAGCACTTTGGGAGGCTGAGGCAGGCAGATTGCTTGAGCACAAAAGTTCAAGACCAGCCTGGGCAAAAGAGTGAGATGCTGTCTCTACAAAAAATAAAAAAAAATTAGCTGGGTGTGGTGGTACACACCTGTGGTCCCAGCTACTCAAGAGGCTGAGGTGGGAGGATCGCTTGAGCCCAGGAGATTGAGGTTGCAGTGAGCCATGACTCTGTCAGTGCACTCCAGCCTGGGCAACAGAGCAAGACCCCATCCCCACCCACCAAAAAAAAAAACACAAAAAAAAAACACCCCAAAAACCTCAATGCTTACTATGGAGATAAAAGCTCAGTCTAAAAACTTCTGCAAGAAACGAGTACTCAGAGTATGTTTCCTAACCACAAAGTAGTTATGTTAGAAATAAATTAACAAAATAACTAGAAAACCCTAAATGCTTGGAAATTGAGAAATCATGCTAAATAGCCAATTAATCAAATAAGAAATCATCATAATGAAAATTAGAACTTTTTTTTTTTTTCCAAGACAGGGTCTTGCTCTGTTGCCCAGGCTGGAGTGCAATGGCATGATCTTGGCTCACTGCAGCATCCACCTCCCAGGGTCAAGTTATTCTTCTGCGTCAGCCTCCCGAGTAGCTGGGATTACAGGCGCACACCTCACGTCCAGCTAATTTCTGTATTTTTAGTAGAGATAGGGTTTTTCTGTGTTGGCCAGACTGGTCTTGAGTTCCTGGCCTCAAGTGATCCCCTCTGCCTCGGCCTCCCAAAATGCTGGGATTACAGGCATGAGCCACCATGCCCAGCAGAACATATTCCTAACAATGATAATGAAAAGAGTACTATCAAAACTTGTACAGGATTGGTACGTTACATTTCAAGATCAGGGTTTTGCCATTAATAGACCCACAAATATAGAAAAATGGCTGAAAGGAGGAGGGGCATAGGTCCAATCTTACAGGTTAAGAAGCTGGTGATCCATGTTACATACACAACTTGGCACTGGAGAAACCTTGCTTAAAGTAGGTAATCTACTATTGATAGAACAATACACCAATACAACTTTCTGAAGGGCAATTTTATAATGTGTGACAAAAACCTTAAACATGTATATGTCCTTCGGCTCAATTATTTCCTTCCAAGGGAAATAATTAGGAATACTGGTCAAGTTTTAATGACAAGGGTTTATCACAGCTATTTATAATAGGGAGAAATTAGAAGCAACCTAAATTCCCAACAGAATGGTTACATAAATTGTGGTAACTAGAGTAGAATATTATATTGCCATTAAATGATGTTATAGACATATATTTATTGACATAGATGTTCATAATACATTAACATGTATAAACATATATATGCATATTTATGTATAAGTAGATGCAGTGTGAAGCCTTTGCTATTAAAATGGGGTGTTAAAGACTGGGTAGAATTCTATTTGAAATTTTTTGTTTTCTTCTTTTTACCTTTACTTTTAAAAAAATGAATAGGCACTATACTTTTGTCATAGGAAATCAGTTCTGTTAAAAAAAAAAAGCAGAATGCAGATGAAATGGTACTTACAAAGTAGTTTGTATCCATAAACTTGTTTTAAAACTTTAATTAGAAATTTAATAGAAATATTGTGAATGCTGACTTAAAATATTAGAAAATATGAAAAGTTACCAAGTCAGTGACATCTCATCATGAGACATGTTTTAAAAAACAGCAAATTAAACCCAATGAAGGTAGAAGGAAATAATAAGCAGAAATTAATGAAGTAAAGAGACAAAATAGAGAAAAAGCAAAGCAACAAATAGATTCTCTGAAATGATTAATAAAGGCCAGGTGCAATGGCTCATGCCTATAATCCCAGCACTTTGGGAGGCCAAGGTGAGAGGATCATTTGAGGCCAGGAGTTCGATATCAGCCTGGGCAACACAGTGAGACTCCTTCTCTACTAAAAATTTAAAAATTAGCTGGGCATGGCAGCACATGCCTGTAGTCCCAGATACTCCAGAGGCAGAGGTGGAAGGCTTGATTGAATCCAGGAGTTTGAGGCTGCAGTGAGCTATAATGGCACCACTGCACTCCAACCTGGGCTATGGAGCAAGACCTCATCTCTAAAAAAGTAAATAAATAAATTTTAAAGCAATTAATAAATCTAGAAAATTCCTAACATTTGGAAACTAGACAATATACTTTTATTACATGTATCTCAGAATAAATCATTAGAAAATATTTTAAACTGAATAATAATAACAGTAAACACATCAAAACTTGTAAAATGTAGGTAAAGCAGTACTTAGAGGGAAATTTACTGCTATAAATGTACATATTAGAAAAGAAAGGCTGGCCAAGTGCAGTGCCTCACACCTGTAATCCCAGCACTCTGGGAGGCTGAGGTGGGAGGATCACTTGAGCCCAGGAGTTCGAGACCAGCCTGGGCAATATAGTGAGACCCCCATCTCTTCAAATAATAATAATAAAAATATTAGCTGGGCATGGAGGGGCCTGTTGTCTCAGCTACTCAGGAGGCTGAGACGGCCAAATTGCTTGAGCCTGGAAGGTCAAGGCTGCAGTGAGCCATGACTGCACCACTACACTCCAGCCTGGACAACACAGTGAGACCCTGACTCAAAAAAAGAGAAGGGCTAAACATTTAAGAACTAAACATCTACCTGTATAAGTTACATAAAGATCATCAAATTAAATTCAAAGAAATTAGATGAAAGGAAATAGAAGCAGAAATTAATGAAATGGAAGACAAACATATTCAAGAAATTAACAAAGCTAAAAGTTGTTCCCTGTGAAATGATGAATCTCTGGCAAGACTGATAACAAAAAGAAAAGAGAAAAGACACATATAGCACCCAGTATTAACAATGAAGGAGATATCATTTCATATGCTGCAGAAATAAAAGATGATACTGAAACTTTATGTCACAAATTTAAAAATGTATATGAAACCGACAAATTCTCAGAAAAATAAAACTCACCAAAATTAACAAAAAGAATTAGAAAACTTGAATAATCCTTTACTGATTCAAGAAACTGAATCAGTAATTTAATCTTCTGAGACAGAAAACTCTAGGCCTAGATGCCATTTCTGACAAGTTTTTTTTTTTTTTTTTTTGAGATGGAGTCTCGCTCTGTCACCAGGCAGGAGTGCAGTGGTGCCATCTCGGCTCACTGCAACCTCCACCTCCCGCGTTCAAGAGATTCTCCTGCCTCAGCCTCCTGAATAGCTGGGACTACAGGAGTGCACCACCACACCCAGCTAATTTTTGTATTTTTAGTAGAGATGGGGTTTCACCATGTTGGCCAGGATGGTCTTGATTTCTTGACCTCGTGATCTGCCTGCCTCGGCCTCCCAAAGTGCTGGGATTACAGGTGTTAGCCACTGCACCCAGCCCATTTCTGACAAGTTCTATTGAACATTCTAAGGAGAAATAAAAGAATAAAAAGCAGGAATAGTTTCCAACTCACTTTATGAAAATAGTTTAATCCATATACTAAAACCTACTGTGGACAGTATGAGACAATTAAAAGACAACCTCACTAAAGAACATAGATGCAAGTAACCTAAACAAAAGTTTAACAACCCCAAACAGGCAATATATAAGAATTACACCAGGTCCAAATTGAGTTTACCCGAGGAATGCAAAACTTTTAACATTTGGAATTAATATAATTGTGTACACTGATAGATTAAAGATGAAAGATTATGTGGTCAGGTCAATAAATGTCAAAACACTTAAAACTATGTATTTGTGATTAAAAAACTTAAAAAACTCTTAGATCAGGAACAAGCCAAGAAAGTCCACTCTAACAATTTAAACTCAATATTATTCTGGAGGTCCTAGCCAGGGCAGTAAGGCAAGATAAAGAAATAAAATGTATGAGAATAGAAAAGGAAGAAACAGTCACTAATTACAGATGGTATATATAGAATATCCAAAATAATCTAAGTTAAAATTAGAACTAAGCAGAGTTCAGCAAAATCATTGTAAGTTATATGAAATTTTAAAAGAGTGTTTCTTTAAGAATGTAGAAATAAATCTAAAAGAAAGGTATATAAGATCTCTGTGGAGAAAAGTATGATTTTTTTAAGAGAAATTAAACAAATGAAATAAATGGAGAGAAAATTATCCTGTTCACTGACAAGAAGACTCAATATTGTAAACAGCCGATGTCTTCCAAGTTGAAGCATAGATTCAACAGAATTTGAATGAAAATCCCAACAGGTTTTGTGGAAACTCTAAAGCAGAATCTAAAATGTATATGGAATTGCAGAAGGCCAAGAAGACTCAAGATATTCTGGAAGAATAACACCTCTTGGAGTTTTTGCTGTACTTGATTTCAAAATTTAGCCCCCACCTCCATGTCCACAGGTACTATGTATGGAATGTCCTACAAAGCTCAGTAATTAAGTGTATGATATTGACACTAGGACAGACAACAGCACAGTAGAACATAACAGAGAGCCTAGAAACATAACCATACATACATAGAGGCTTGATTTATGACAAAGGAGGATACTGGGCAAACACAGTCTCTTCAAAGAAATGTGTGCTTATGTGGACCAGGATATGTGTACCTGAATGTTTATAGCAGCATTGTTCACAATGGTCACAAACTGTGAACAACCCAATGTCCATCAATAGTAGAATAGATAAAATGGGTATAGAATACTATATAGCAATGAAAGGAAATTAATTACAGCTACACAAAGGAATATGGCTGAATCCTGAAGACAAAATACTGAGTGAAGCAGATGTAGCCAAACCTAAACTGCTTGGTTTATTTTATATACAGTTCAAAGACAGAAGTAACCTTATTTTGCTGTAATAAATAATTAAAGCTAGCATTTATTGAGTGCTTACTACGTGAAAGGTATTTTCTAAGTCCCTTATATGCATTAACTCATTCAATGTTTACACGAGAAGTCTACGACATAGGTATTATGACTACCTCCCCTATTTTACTTACGAGAAAACTGAGAAACAGCAAAAGTTAAGTAACTTGACCAAGAGATCACACAGCTTGTAAGGGGTAGAGCCTGGATTCTAACTCAGGCAAGCTGACTTACAGTCCATGCATTATCCTCCACAAAATGCTCAGGTTACAAAGAGGGAAACTTCCTCACTTCTGCTCCAGGCTTTCAGTTACTTAATGGAAGACAAGAGATTACAACTAAGTAGGTAAAATCATAATGTAAAGAAAGGCTCCATATGTGAAATCCATTTTCATGCCTATTATGGGGGCCCCATGTTCCAGAACCATATAGGGGGATTTTTAAAATACAGAGCCTATGTCCCCATCTTTCCAGATGATACATATGAATACTATATTATTGATATAATTTAAATGAATTGTCTATATTTAGTAAGTTTGTTGATAAATGCTGTAATCCTTGCATACACAAATCAGTCTTTTTTAAAAAAATCTTTAATTCTGTTTTTTTTCTAATTCAGGGCTTTGTTTGTGGTACTGTTTTGATGTCTTCACAAATGTCCCATAACTACCATCTTTTCCCAACACTTTTGCATTCTTTATGCTCCTGCCTGGGATGTCCTTTCTTCACCTTTCCACCCATCTGACTCCTACACTGGTGCTGATGCCCTTTATCAACTTCCTATAAGCCTGTCTGCCTATTCTAGCTCCTAACTGTTTCTTCCAATGAACTTATGAGGCCCTAACAATCTGTACCTCTCTACGGTCATTTAGACCTACACTACAAGTTGTTTGTTTGTGTGTACGTATGTATTTATTTATAAGTCAATGAATGGCAGTCTTGCTCTGTCACCCAGGCTGAAGTGCAGTGGTACAATCATAGCTCACTGTAACCTTGAAGTCCCAGGCTCAAGTGATTCTCCTGCCTCAGCCTCACAAGTAGTGCTACCATGTCTGGCTAAGTTTTAAATTTTTTTGTAGAGATGGAATCTTGTTATATTGCCCAGGCTGGTCTCAAGTGATCCTCCCACCTCAACCTCCCGAAGTGTTGGGATTACAGGCGTGAGCCACTGCACCTGGCAGTTACTATTATTTATTTCATGGGTAGGTGCCTTCTGGTCTGTACAATTGTCTATAGACAAATAGAGAGCATAAACAGGTATTTTGTCTTCAGCATACTATCCCACATATTGATGAATATATACAAATATTTGTTGGTGGCGAATTCATTTCTGAAAGAAAGGAGTCATGTACGCATAATCTTTTTCACCCTTTCCCCATCTAAACTACTCCGTATTTGTGGGGGGATTATGTTTCATTCAGTATTCAATCATTAAACATCTACTATTTGTAGAGGATAGAAGGACCAGTTACATGAAGATCCCATCTTCTAAGAGCCTACATTACAGAAGGAGAGATTAAGAAAGTCTTCATGGGCTGGGCGCAGTGGCTCACACCTGTAATCCCAGCACTTTGGGAGGCCCAGGCGGGCGGATAGCCTGAGGTCAGGAGTTCGAGACCAGCCTGGCCAACGTGGTGAAACCCCGTCTCTACTAAAAATACAAAAGTTAGCCAGGTGTGGTGGCAGGCATCTGTAATCCCAGCTATTCGGGAGGCTGAGGCAGTAGAATTGCTTGAACCTGGGAGGCAGAGGTTGCAATGAGCCAAGATCATGCCATTGCACTCCAGCCTGGGTGACAAGAGCGAGACTTCATCTCAAAAAAAAAAAAAAAAAGGAAAAAAAAAGAAAGTCTTCATGGAGTAGTCAGCCTCTGAGACAGGTCCTCAAGAAGCAAGGGTGAGAGCATGGGGGAGTGGTGGTGACTACATGGTAGTTAAGAGGACAGCAGCATTTCAAGGCATTTGTTCCGACAAAGAACAATAAGGCCTGGAGCACCAGGAAATGTGTCAACATAGTAGGTGGGTTTGGGGTTGGGAATGTCTGAGGTGCTATAAATGGAGCTAAGGCCTCCTCTTGCACTGATACTGTAAATAGGATATAATCATATTTTTTCAATATGAATGGTGCTTATTCAGGATTGTTAATTAAGATATGCAAGTAGATAGAAACCTTCACCTTTTCAATGGAGAAAGGGAATATTCACTGTTTAATAAAGCAATTCTGATATACTGTCAAAGACATTAAAATGACTGAGCATATCCTCAAATGCCTCTTTACCAATTGTAGTTCTTTTGGTGGAAGCTGTCTATTCCTGTCCTTGCCTGTTTGTGTATGAAGCTTAATATCTTCCCTTTCGTTGGGGTGAACTCTTTATGTTCGATAGAATGTAAACCTTTTATGTCAAGATTGAAGCAAATTAATTTTCTAGTTTTTTCAATTTTTGTTAAATCTATTGATACCTTTTTTCTTTGTGGATCCCAGTTCTTTGAAGTTTTAAAAGCTCTCTAAAGATCTGTTAAATAATTTTATCTTTTGCTAGCTTTCCTATGATTTGATTAGCTTCTATCAACTCTATTTTGTTTGTAGTATTTTTGTTGTATGTGCATGTGTGTGGGGAAGGGTGAATCTAAATTGATTTCTGAACTGTTAACTTGTTTTCTCAACACTATTTAAAAATCTTTCTTTTCCCTGTTATATTTACTGAACTTTATTGTATATACTACTGAAAGGACTCGTACTGCAGAGGAATGCCTGGTGCTGCCTGACTAAAAAGCTGTTTTTTCTTTCCCCCTGTCCTGTATCCTTCTAAGTGAATCTGATGCCAAGTGTGTCCTGTGGTAGTTCTGTGGGTCTAAATGTTTAGTAGTGCAAATATCTGCCATTTTTAGCTTTTATAGTAGAATATGGGATTTTTTCCCCTATCAAGGCTCTTAAAATGAGGGATTCTCCAAATACTTGAAGAGAGTTCAGGTGTTGGGATGGCCAAAATCAATGAGAAATGCCCCCCCTACACATCGGTTTTAGGCTCAAGCCTGGCAGATCTTGGTCATGACACTTAACCTTTCTGGGTTGATCATGACTCCTCAATAAAGATGGGATTTGGCTCAGTAATTTCTAAGGTCTTTTTTCATATCTTATTTGTTTCTTCGAAAAAAAGACTGCCTTGAAAGATTTTGCCACTTCTAAAATTGATATGTAGTCTGAAATACTGTTTATCGAATTTTAGAAACTGAGAACTGTTCTAATGTCCATCTAGATAACAAAGATTGATTTTTCACAATTTCCAGGGTCCTATATTTACCTCTTTTTTCTTCTTTCTAGACATTTTTCCTCTCCAATTGCTTAAATGATCAAGAGCTCTTGACCCCTAATCAATGTTGTTTGACAATGGTGCCTCCTAGTGGATAAGGAAGCTCCAGCTACAAGGGATAGCAAATAATTCTAAGACGACCTCTGGATTTGTTGTTTACGTTAACATACATATCTGTATGGCTTTCTAATAATTTCCAGAAAAAAAGCAAGGCAGATAAGAGCAATAGCCCCTATTCTGTTCTAGCTTCTACCATGTAGGAACTTCACTGTTAGTCCTCAGTGTACTCACTAATCCTCACAGCTAAACACCCACCTCCCTAATCTCTAACACTAAAGTGAGGGGGAGGGACCTCCAGATATAAATCACGATGAGTTACATCACAGAATCTTAGAACTGGAAGTTTAAGAGACTTGCTTTAGGTTAGTAACTAATTAATAGCAGATAGGACTAGAACCTCAGTCTCTTGATTCTCAGCCCGCTGTATAACTCCATGCTTCCTGTTCACCTTTTTGAAGGAGGAGGCTGCTATTGCCTTAACTTGGACTTACGGGGGTTATCGAGAGAACAGTGACATTCTAATTCTTCAAGGGGATTATTTTTTTAATTACTGAAATCCTCACAAGTTCTTTCCCAACTGACCAGGAGACAGACAGGGTTTCATGGGGTTAGGTAGAACTAAGTTTCCAAGCTACTATTGTTTCTGTACTCAAAATGAGCTCTGTTCAACTAGGACGTTGGTTAGTTAAATGGCCCCAGTTATGCTTGCAGGGTTTAAAGGCCCAAGTTCTCGAGTTTCTCTCTCTTCTACCCAGCCCTCTCTCCCCAAATTTTTTAACTTCATTAATTCAAAAAAAATTATTATACAAATACCTTATGTGCAATTCTTTATCTACTGGATGTATTAGTTCAGCTAGTTTAAACACACTTTTTTTTAAGTTTCTTAGACCTTTGACCTAGTCCTACTTACTTTTGCAGGTAGAAGCTGGGATGGATCCTCTGCCACCCCAAACCAAATCAGTCATAACCATTGCATCAGTTTGCTTGCTATCCTGTGTAAGTTCTTGTAACTCTGGTATGGATGTGTATCTGCGATTGTTTCTAAGTCTCTCTAGCCCTTATTTCCATTCTTCTCTCTAGAAATAAGTTCTCCTTCTTGCTCCTCAAAACCTTCTCTTCATTCAGAGGCAGGTGTATCAGTGCAGCCCCTGCCATCACTAACAGTACAGCTCCTGATCTCTAGGAGAGGGAGTGCCCTTTCAAACGATGTAGATATGAAAACCACAACAAGTTCCTTCTAGTCGCTTGTGGAATTCATGGATTTTGGGGTTTTTTTTTGACAGTTCTACTTGTGTCCTGTCTTCTGTTTATCTGCCTCACAGAACATCTAAATAACTGTAAATAACCATGCCAGCCCTGATATGGCCTTGCAGATCAGGAAGGTGGTACAGGTGAAGGATGAATCTGGAAAATGATCTCACCTTGAACAAACACACTGGGGATTACAAAATAATCATATGGTTAATTTTTTATTTTCTGCTTTCATTTTACTGCCATTTGCACTCTGAAATCAAACTAGCTCGTGTAATCTTACTTTTAGGCAAGTTTCTGGCTAAAATGAAAATGTCAATATTGGTATTTGTAAAACTATAGATGTATACAGATATAAACAAAAACAGAAGCACAAGCATAGGTATTTGCTCAAGATTAAATTGTTCCAACTTAGCAAGAAAAATGGAACCATTATTGTGTCCTCAGGAGAATATCCCATATGCCCATGAATTATTTCCAAGTTTCAGACATTACCAAGAAAAAAATAGAAGTCCTTGAATGTTCAAATAACATCATGAGCAATTTGCAAACAACCACAAAACTCTTTACATAGACAAAAGCCAGCAGTTAACTAAACTGATCCTTTGAGTATTACAGGAAGACACAGATACCTAAATTTATTATCCTCATAGACTATGATTTTTACATTAGTCACTCCTCTGAAATAAGATACTGAAGGTTCCTGTGAAATGCAGGTACTTTAATAGCTAATAGCAAAGATTTACTGGGCATTTATCTACATGCCAAGTGCCATTTAAAGTGCTTTACAAGTAGTAACTTATTTAATCCTCATAAAAACACTAGGAGACAGGTACTATTTCACAGATGAGGAAATTGAGGCTTAAGACAAATGTTATATAACTTGTCCAAGGTCACATGGTTACAAAGTAGCAGAGCCAGGATTTGAATATAGGAAATCTGGCTCCAGGTTCCTTAGCTCTTCTCCTCTAATACTGAGGCTCTATACTCAATAGAATTTATGACAATGACAATGAAGACAATGGTAAAACTATGTAGTGTTGTGATTATCAGAGTACTTTTACACTTCATTTCATTCTCAAAAGTTGCTAGGGTAGAAACTGAGGTGCCAAGAAGTGAAATGGACCCTGTGCTAATGGTAATGCCTCCTAAACTCTTATTGCTAGCCTAGGTTCTTCTCCTGGGGGCCAGACTCAGGCAGTTTGGAGTAGACACCTACAGGTGGGTATCCTACAACCACCATAAACTCAAATAATCCAAGAAAATTAGCAATTTTCTTCTCCAAACCTTACATCTATCTGAGGTTACAATGTTTCTTCAATTTGGGAAAGTTCTGGGCTATTATCTTTTTGAATAAGGTCTCTTTTCTTCATCATTCCCTCTATGTTCTACTTCTAGAATTCCTGTTTATGTGTGTTGGATATTCTCAACTGGCCTCTATGACTCTCAGCTTCTCTTTCATACTTACCGATGGTTTTATTTGTACACATCCAAGCTAATCTCCATTCTCTCATCTTGCACCTTGTTCCAAAGTCATAGCCCACCACTATTAGCAGTGTCCCAACCACACAAGCTGGCTCATATTTCTGGCCATTCATTCCACATGCTCTTTGCCTGCCTGTAATGCCTCTCTCTTTTCCCACTCATATAGTCGATTTGCCATCTATATTCTATTAAACTCTCCCATCTAAAGCCCCAGCCCAATCATGGAAACAGCAGTGGGCTTCTGTTTGCCACTGGATGAAACAGATCCCTGATTCAAAAGAAGGTTATCTATAGGGGGGTCAGGTCAACAACTTAGGATACTCAGTTCTAGAAAAAAGGGGGGGAAACTGAGATAATCAGATAGATACATTCACTCATTCATGTTTATTTTTTTTCTATCTGGAATGTGAAGTAAGAAAAGCAGAAAGAAATTACTTGGGCTTCAAGGTCATACAAATTTTGGAAACTGGGGTGCCCGTTTTGGGGTCATGTGCAAGCGCTTGAGTAACTGGAGAAAGCTGGTTCTTCCAGAGCAAAGTAGACACAAAACCCTAAGGAATGAAGAGAACAGTAACTTGGATTCCTGAGATCTTTTTTCCTAGTTCCTATGAGGCCTGGCTTCATTCTATTTTCTTTCTTTAAATTTTATTATTTTGCCAGGTGCAGTGACTCATGTCTGTAATCCCAGCACTTTGGGAGGCGGAGGTGGGTGGATCGCTTGAGCCCAGGAAATTGAGACCAACCCAGGCAACATGGTGAAACCCTGTCTCTACAAAAAAATACAAAAATTATCCGCGTGTGGTAGCGTGCACCTGTAGTCCCAGCTACTTGGAGGCTGAGGTGTGAGGACAGCTTGGGCCCAGGTGGTCGAGGCTGCAGTGAGCCATGATTGTGCTACTGCACTCCAGCCTGGGAGACAGAGTGGGACCCTGTCTCAAAAAGAAAGCTTTATGATATTTCTGTATCTTTATAATATATTTACTACTTCTTTCTAGTTTCATCCTTGCCATTACCACTTGGCAAACTCCTGGTCATCCTTCAATTCTCAGTATCACCTCCTCTATGACGGCTCTTTCTCTTCCTCTCTCTCCTTACTTCTCATTGTAATTGTTTCCATGTGTAGCCATCTCTGTCCTGAAATTCTAGCTATATCTCACAGATAATAGGCATAAAGAAACAAAATTACTAAATAAAGTTGGTGACAGAGCTAGGACAACAGTATAGGCCTTTCCATTTGTCCTCTAATGTTCTTTCACTCACTATGTCCCTCACTAAGGAAATGAGATATCAGATAGGAATACCAAATGGCAGCAAAGAGATACCAATAGATACCAAAAGGCAGCACATCTCAGAAATGAGGCCGAATGGGAGCTGTGCAGAGCATGAACACTCGACAATAGTTGAAGAATACAGGAATCTAGTAAAGGATGGAACTAAGAATTACCCAAACCCTTCATTTTCCTATAATATTGTTCCTGATACACTTTTTTTTTTCTGGCTTCTGCAACTCCTTGCTGTCGTGATTTTCTATCTCTTCAGCTATTCCTTCTCTATCTCATTTGCTAGCTATTCCTCCTTTTCTACAACCTCCAAAATTTGGAAGAACCTCAGTCCTCAAGTCCTTTTTTCTTCTCCCTCTATATACTCTTCTAAATCATCTAAGTAGCAACCATTCCCAAATCTCTGTATCTACCCAAGATCTCTCTCTGTGCTCCTAATCCACATATCTAACTTCCTATTTAGTCCTTTCATTCAGATATCTTACAGAGACTTCAAACTCAGCATGTCCAAAGTATACTGCATCATCTGCTTCCAGGGTTGCCCAAGTTAGTCAGTGGCACCATCATATATCAGGTGCCCAAGCCAGAGACGGCAAGTCAGCTTTGACTCCTCTTCCTCCTTTACTTCCTTTATCTAATCATCAAACCCTATCCTTTCTAATTCCTAATTCACTTCTGTTGCTCTCTGCTGACACTGATCTATCCTAGCCATCAATATCCATACTGAACAATGGCAATGGCCTCCCAATTCTCCCCATATCCAAATGTGTTCCTTCCTATACTATAGCCATACTGTAGCCAAAAAAAAACAACCTTTAAAAATGGTGATCTGATCACATGCCTTAGGATGGCATCCACATCTTCAAGATAAACCCCAAATCCTTGCCTTGTCTTAAAAGTCCCATCAAAATCTTGCCTTTATTTCCTGTGAACCTCTTGAGCTCTCAATGGTGTGTATAAGAAATATGAATAGCTTTAGTACTTTTTCGAGTCTGGCAAAAAGAGCAAGTATGTTTTTTATATTTCCTAATAAGATTCAATGACTCTGCCTACTATCTAAAGTAAACAAATGGCAGAGGGACAAATGACCTTCTCTCTATTTCTGAGTATTACAAATTTTCTTAGACCTAGTGACCTTACAATGATAAGAAACCCACTCTAGTTAAAAGCATTCTGGTCAAGTCCACAGATATAAATGAGGGCCATAAAATAAATCAGAATTTATCTATGACTCTCTTTGTCTAGCCTTATACATATGAGTACAGTTTTTTAATGAAGTAAGACATATACTAATTTATATGACAGAGATTAGTCCTTTAAATCACAATTTAAAATTGAAGCCTACAACCCTCAGACAGTGCTGGTGGCGATGCAAAATGACACAACATTTGAGGAAGGAATTTGACATTAGCAACAGTATGAAATAACGTATGCACAAGGTTATTCATGTAGTAAAAGAAGGCTGAAAATAATCCCAAAGTCCATCATTAGGGGAATGGTTTAATAAACAATTCTTTGCCATAATGGAGTATTCAGCAGGCATAAACAGGAATGAAGAAGATGTCTACTTACTGCCATGGAGTGATCCCCAGTGTTTTCATATTAAAATTTTTTAAAAATCAAGGTTTAGATGAGAATATATGGAAGTGTGTAAGAAGGGGGGTGGCACAAAATCATATACATATCTTCTCATATTTTCAAATAAAAATAATGGAAAAATAAAATAACTAATTTTTAAAAATTGTTTTCTTTAGGGCAAGAAAGTGAATGGGGACAGGGATGCAAACTAGACCTTTCTGAATGAACCCTATTCACAGGTTTGACTTTGTGTAATCATATACATGTTTTTCATAATCTAAAACCAAAATTAAAGCAAGGAGAAAAAAAAGACAATTTTAAAAATTAAAAACAAACTGATGCAGATATCTGAATAAGATCAGTGGATTGTATCAATGTCAATATCCTGGCTGTGACACAGTAGTTTTGCAGAATGTTAATTTTGGGAAGAATTGGGCAAAGTCTACAAGGATCTATATTTCTTATAGCTGTATGTGAATCTAAAATTGTAATAAAAACTATGTAAATAAAAAAACAAACTGAAACAAACAAACAAACTTAAATCTATCTATATCAAGCTTGTGGCAAAACCACAATGAGAAGAGTTATTTAAAATTTCTTTAAAACCCAGGGTTTTGATTGTGCATTCCTGTGGGATATACCCTTCGGATGAAAAGAAGTGCAAAGAAATCCTAATCTGCATTCAATAGTCTTATTTTTATTGCATATTTAAACTAGTAGGATGAAGCAAATAAGTATATTAATGTGGCAAGGAACCCAGATTTTCAGAGATAAGATATACAAATATAAAACTTAAAAAGTTAAAAACTATGTAATTTCTTTCTCACTTAAAAAAACTTTATATTATGGAAAATTTCAAAAGTAGAAAATACAGAGTTTCATACATTCATTACACTGCTCTAACAATTAACAACACATTGGCCAATCTTGTTTCACCTGTATTCCAACATAGTACCCACTGCCTACCCACTGCTTGATTTTGAGGCAAATCCCGGACATCAATAAAACATTATGCATAAATGGCTAGGCGCACTGGCTCACGCCTGTAATCCTAGCACTTTGGGAGGCAGAGGCAGGTGGATCACTTGAGCTCAGGAGTTTGAGACCAGCCTGGCCAAAATGGTGAAACGCTGTCTCTATAAAAAATACAGAAATTAGCCGGGCATGGTGACGCGCACCTGTAGTCCCAGCTACCTGGGGGGCTGAGGCAGGAGGATGGCTTGAACCTGGGAGGTGGAGGTTGCAGTGAGCCGAGATTGGGCTACTGCATTCCAGCTGGGGCAACAGAGTGAGACCCTGTTTCAAAAAAACAAAAACAAGAGCATTATGCATAAATATTTCAGTACTTATCTCCAAAAGGTAAGAACTCTTTTTTGTTATATAACTATAATACCAAAATTACTTATAATAATTCCTTATAATTTAATAACTGTCTTGTAAATAAAAATCTGTAATTGCTACTTTAAACTGGAAATGGTGTAAACTCATGGTTTCTTTTTTGTTTGTTTAGAGTAAAGAAAACTTTTTATTTTAGAATAATTTTAGATTGACGTAAAAGTTGCAAAGATAGTACAGTTGATCCTTTAACAACACAGTTCTGAACTGTATGGGTCCACTTATATGCAGAATGTTTTCAACCAAATGCAGATAAAAAATACAGTATTTGCTAAATGCGAAACCTGCCTATATGGAAGGCTAACTTCCTATATATGGGTTCCACAGGGCTGACTGCAGAGCTTGAGATGCGTGGATTTTAGTACACGTGAGGTTCCAGGAACCAATCCCCTGCATATATACTGAGGAATGATTGTACAGAGAGTTCCTGTATACCACTAAATGAACTTCTTCTAGTGTTATCATCTTAGGTAACTATAGTACACTTGTAAAAGCTAAGAGTAACTCTGGTACATTACTATTAACTAAACTCCAGACTTTACCTGGACTTCATCAGTTTGTCAACTATATACTTTTTCCCTTGCCATTTAGGATTCCACGTTGCATTTAGTCGTCAAGATTCCTTAGTCTCCTCTGGTTGGTGACAGTTTCTTAGTCTTTACTTGTTTTTCATGACCTTGATAGTTTTAAAGCATGCTGGCCAAGTATTTTATAGAATGTTCCTCAATTTGGGTTTGTCTGATGTCTCCCTCTTGCCTAGGTCAGGGTTATGGGTTTCTTGGGAAGAATATCAGAGGTGAAATGCCCTTCTCATCACATCATATCAAGGAGCGGATGATATACGCAGGAATGATCACTGGTAATGCTAATGTGATCACTTGGTGAAGATAATCTGTTAGTTCTCTCTACTGTAAAATTACTATTTCCCTCTCCATACTTTGTTCTTTGAAAGTGAGTTACTAAGTCCAACCTACACTCAAGGGTGGAGGGAAATTATCTATACCTAACACTTGGAATTCTTCTTTTTTTCTCTCTCAATTGTTTATCTAATTATTTCTTTATATCACTATGCACTCATAAGTATTTATTTTATACTTTGGATTGTAATCTATACTGTGTTATTTTTTGCTCAAATTGTTCCAGTTTTGGCCACTGGACATGCTTTCAGGTTGGTTCCTATGTCTCTCTGATATGCCCCCATCTTTTTGAATACTTCCTTACCTTCAGGCACTCTAAGATGCTTCATGTTTATCTTATATTTTCTCTTTTCCAGCCCTAGAATTTATAATCATTTTTCCGAGGATCCCTGGCTGCTTAAATTAGAGGAGGACATTCAGAAACAAAAATCTAGGTGTGGGTATGCTTTAGGCTCTCTAAGTGGACAGAGCTAGGAATGTATGTGTACTAACTCATGTATGCACATATAATTTATGATTTCTGTATATATCTGTACATGTATATGTGTATGTGTGCGTGTGTGTACATATAATAAATTCAATATGAGATTATACTGCTGTCTTCAACTCTAATCTAGTAGCTAAGAGTTCATTCTAGCCTTCCCTATTGCTTATCTGTAATTTTCTGACAGAATTTTAATGTTCTGCATGTTAAAAAAAAATCAACAAGCAAAATAAAACAGGCAGATTTGGGGAAAATATTTACAAATACATGAAAAAGGTAAATATCTTTAGCAAATAAAGAATTCTTCGCCAGGTGTGGTGGCTCATGCCTGTAATCCCTGCACTTTGGGAGGCCAAGGTGGGAGGACTGCTTGAGCCCAGGAGTTCAGAACCAGCCTAGGCAAGCAAGGGAGAGCCCATCTCTATTAAAAACAAAAAACAAAAACAAACAAACAAAAAAGAATTCTTACAACTAAAACAACTAAGGAAAACTAAACAACTAATGAAAGTGACTAGATGCAAAAGAAATGGGTAAATTTACTTTTAAAATATTTGACCACACTAATGACAAAATAAATGCAAATTAAACCAAAACATCCTTTTGACCTATCAAAATGTAAACATAGATACATTTATTTACCATGTGTGAATATAAATTGGTAAATCTTTATGGAGAGTAATATGAAAACTACGTTAAAAGAGTTTTAAATACATTGCTAGAGTTCTGCTTCTTGTAATGGTAGACTAGATGATGTCTCCCATTGAAGACAACTAAATAAGTAAAAAAAAAAAGTACTTTTTTCTTTTCTTTTTCTTTTTCTTTTTTTTTTTTTTTGAGACAGAGTCTCACTCTGTCGCCTAGGCTGGAGTACAGTAGTATGATCTTGGCTCATTGTAGCCTCCATCTCCTGTGCCCAAGTGATCCTCCCGCCTCAGTCTCCTGAGTAGCTGGGACTATAGGTGCATACCCCCATGCTTGGCTAATTTTTAAACTTTTTTAGAGATGAGGTCTCACTATATTTCCCAGGCTGGTCTCTAATTCCTGGGCTCAAAAGGGAAAATGAGTGAGAATTCAAGAGAATCTGATAAACTCTACTCTCCAGCACTGAGCTGATGCCCTAAAGAGCTAGGGGTGAACTGGAAGCAATCAGCCCCTTCACAGACTTGCAACCCGGCTTTACATCTAGGTGGCACTGAAAATCTAAGCCTTAAATCTTGAGTAAGAAAGTCTTAAACAGCTAGGTGCCTGAAGGTTCGCAGTAGAAGCAGCAAATAAAAATCCTCTTTGGGCCAGGCACAGTGGCTCATGCCTGTAATCTCAGCACTCTGAGGAGGCAGGATGATTCCTTGAGCCCAGGAGTTCAAGACCAGCCTGGGAAACACAGTGAGACTATGTCTGTACTAAAAATAAAAAAAATTAAGTGGCTGTGGTGGTGTGTGCCTGTCATCCCAGCTACTCAGGAGGCTGAGGCAGGAAGATCACTTGAGCCCAGGAGGTAGAAGCTGCAGTGAGCTGTGATTGAGCCACAGCATTTCAGTCTGGGCAACAGAGTAAGACCCTGTCTCAACAACAACAACAACAACAACAAAATTCCTCTTTGGAGAAAGAAAGCATCATCTTAGGCCAATAATTTTCAACATAATTTCTAGCACAAGACAAAAATGAATAAGGTACATGAAGGGATAAGAGATCTCGACCAATAACCAGCAAAAATAACAGACAATAAAAGCAAACCCACAGGGACTTCATATACTGAGATTATCCAGCACAGATTATCAAACAATGAAGCTTACTATGCCCTAGAACATAAAAGCTGAGCTTGTTTTTTTTTTTTGCAAGAGAATAAAAGCCAAAAATAATACAATCTATCTATCTATCATCTATCTATCTATCTATCTATCTATCTATCTATCTATCTACCTACCTACCTACCTATCCATCCATCCATCCATCCATCCATCCATCCATCCATCCATCCATCCGTTTTTTGAGACAGAGTTTTGCTCTTGTTACCCAGGCTGGCTGGCTGGCTATCTATCTATTTTTTGAGATGGAGTTTTGCTCTTGTTGCCCAGGCTGATTGGCTCACTCCACCTCCCGGGTTCAAGCGATTCTCCTGCCCTCAGCCTCCCAAGTAGCTGGGATTACAGGTGCTCGCCACCACGTCCAGCTAATTTTTTTGTATTTTTAGTAGAGACGAGATTTCACCATGTTGGCCAGGCTGGTCTTGAACTCCTGACCTCAGGTGATCTGCCTGCCTCAGCCTCCCAAAGTGCTGGGATTACAGGTGTGAGCCACCATGCCCGGCCAAAAAATAATACAGTAGATTTTAAAAAGGAAATAGAAACATAAAACTGAAAAATATAATTAACATTTAAAAATTAGTGAATAGATTAACATCAGATTAAACAGTACTGAAGAGAAAGAGACCAGTAAGAGAGGACAGAAGAAACAAAAAGACCAAAGCATGGAGAAAAAAAAACATGCAAAATACAGAAAAGAAGGTAGAAGACATAGAAAATACCACAAGGTATACCTCTACCAATATTTAATTTGGTCACAAAGCTGACGAAAGAGATAAAGGGGCAGAAGCAACATTTGAAGAAATAATGGCTGAGAATTTTCTAAAACCATGAATAATATCAATACACTGATTGAAAAAACAAAGAACCTAAGGCAAGGTTCAAACACACATACGCACACTCTTAAGACACATCACAAACTACAGAAAACAAAAGATGAAATAATTTTTAATAACCTGAGAAATAATGACATTACCTTCAGAGAAGTTACAGCCCCTGCTAGCTGAATTCTCCACATCAATGGATGCCAGAACATAGTGGAATGATATCTAATGGAAAGAAAATGCCAATCTAGAATTCTCTACCCAGTGAATATCCTTCATGACTGAAGGGGATATAAGAAATAACTCTGAAACTAAGAAAAATGGAAAGTTTGCATCCAGCAGACTGACACAAGGAAAATGAACCCAGATAAAACCTTAGAGATGCTGAAAGAATAAAGAACAAACAAAGGATAAGTGTGTGGGTAAATCCAAATCGATACAAATAATATAAGAAATAGGAGATGATATAAATACATGGGATTTATGTTTTTATACACACGAATATAATTTAAATACATGAAAAACATAGCCTAAAAGTCAAGGAAGGAATTATATAAAATTAACATGTTCTACAGTACTTGCACTGTTCAGGAGGACAATAATGGTATCAATATCAGAATTTGATGTGTTACGAAGCATACTGTAATTTCTGGGATATACACTAAGATAACAGAAAAGAGTGCTTAAACTTCAAAATTAACAGAGGGAAAATAGAATGATAAAAATATTCATTTGATTCAAATAAATCAAGAGAGAAAAAAACATGGAATAGGTGGTGCAAATAGAGAACACATAAGACCATAGATAAAACTCAAAATATACTAAAATATAATTAAATGTAAATGGACTAAATGATCCAAGTAAAAGACAAAGATTGAGAGACTGGAATAAAACACAACTATATGCCTTTAACAAGAGGTACAAATAAAACCCAAGGATACAAAAAGGTTGAAACTAAAAGGGAAAAAGCTCCCAGAAAATTAAACCCAAAATAAAAGGATGGAAATAACAGCAAGTAGAAATTACTAAAATAGAAAACAACACACAATAAAAAGAAATTACAGGCCAGGCGCGGTAGCTCATGCCTGTAATCCCAGCACTTTGAGAGGCCGAGGCAGGCGGATCACTTGAAGTCAGGAGTTTGAGACCAGTCTGGCCAACATGGTGAAACCCCGTCTCTACTAAAAATGCAAAAATTAGCCTGGCATGGTGGCAGGCACCTGTAATCCCAGCTACCTGGGAGGCTAAGGTGGGAGAATCACTTGAACCTGGGAGGTGGAGGTTGCAGTGAGCCGAGATCACGCCACTCCAGCCTGGGCAACAGAGTGAGACTCTGTCTCAAAAAAAAAAAAAAAAAAAAAAAAAAGAATTACAAAGCTACAAGTTGTCACTGAAAAGAATAATAAAACTGGTAAATGTCTGGCAAGGCTGAGAAAGAAAAAGAGAAGGCACAAATTACCAGTATCAAGAATGAAAAAGAAGACATGACTACAGAACCTGCAGTGGTATTATGAACTTTATGCCAAAACTGTTTAAAATTTAGATAAAATGCACTCATTCTTAGCAAAATACAGTTTACTAAAAGTGACACAGTAATGAATAAAAACCCTGAATATTCCTATAAATATTTAAGGAATTGAACTAAGATTGAAAACTCTGGCCTGGATGGATTTAGAGGTGAGTTCTACAAATCACATAAAGAGAACAATAGAGGCCAGGTGTGGTGGCTCACACCTGTAGTCCCAGCACTTTAGGAGGCCGAGGCGGGCGGATCACCTGAGGTAACGAGTTTGAGACCAGCCTGGTTAACATGGTGAAACCCTGTCTCTACTAAAAATACAAAAAATTAGCCAGGCGTGGTGGTGCACACCTGTAGTTCCAGCTATGTGGGAGGCTGAGGCAGGAGAATTGCTTGAACCCAGGAGGCGGAAGTTGCAGTGAGCTGATATTGCGCCACTGCGCTCCAGCCTGGGCGACAGGAGCAAAGCTCCATCTCAGTCAATCAATCAATCAATAGAACAATAGTAACAACAAAAAAACCGAGAGAACATTCCCCAATTCATTTTATGAGGCAAGTGTAATCTAGGTATGAAAACCAGGAAGCCACAGTGGTTCATACCTATAATCCCAACACTCTGGGAGGCTGGGCGGACAGATCACCTGAGCCCAGGAGTCTGAGACCAGCCTGGGCAACATGGCAAAACCTCATCTCTACAAAATTAGCCAGGCATGGTGGCACGCCTGTGGTTCCAGCTACTCAGAAAGGGGCTGAGGTAGGAGGAATAACTGAACCCAGGAGGTCGAGGCTGCAGTGAGCTGTGATGGTGCCACTGCCCTATGGCCTGGATGACAGAATGAGACCCTGTCTCAAAAAAAAAAAAAAAAAAGTAAAAATAAATTAAAAAAGAGAGACACAGAAAGCCTAAACCAAACCCAACAATATGTAAAAAGGATTATGAAGATCATAAATCATGACCAGGTTTGGTTAACCCAAGAATCAATGCAATTCACTACAGCAATAGATTGAAGGATGGTATTATATAATTATTTCAATATAGTCATGTGTTGCTAACGATGGGGATATAGTCTGATAAATGCATAGTTAGGGGATTTCGTTCCTGTACAACCATCATAGAGTGTACTTACACAAACCTAGATGGGATATCCTACTACACACCTAGGCTACAAACCTACATAGCATGTGACTACTGAATGCTGCAGGCAACTGTAATACATATTTGGGTATCTAAACATAGAAAGGGTACAATCAAAATATAGCATAAAAGATAAAAAATGGTACACTGGTATAGGGCACTTACCATGAATGGAACTTGCATTCATGGAACTTGCTCTGGGTGAGTCAGTAAGTGATGAGTGAATGAGAAGACCTAGGACATTACTTTCTACTATTGTAGACTTTCTAGACACTGTACACTTAGGCTACACTAAATTTATATAAAAGTATTTTTCTTTCTTCAATAATAAATCTTAGCTTACTATAATTTTTTATATAATAAACTTAAAAAATTTTAAAACCTTTTTGACTCCTGTAATAACACTTAGCTTAAAACATACTGTAGGCCAGGGCAATTAGGCAGGAGAAGGAAATAAAGGGTATTCAATTAGGAAAAGAAGAAGTCAAATTGTCCCTGTTTGCAGATGACATGATTGTATATCTAGAAAACCCCATTGTCTCAGCCCAAAATCTCCTTAAGCTGATAAGCAACTTCAGCAAAGTCTCAGGATACAAAATCAATGTACAAAAATCACAAGCATTCTTATACACCAATAACAGACAAACAGCCAAATCATGAGTGAACTCCCATTCACAATTGCTTCAAAGAGAATAAAATACTTAGGAATCCAACTTACAAGGGACGTGAAGGACAAATGGAAGAACATTCCATGCTCATGGGTAGGAAGAATCCAATATCGTGAAAATGGCCATACTGCCCAAGGTAATTTATAGATTCAATGCCATCCCCATCAAGCTACCAATGACTTTCTTCACAGAATTAGAAAAAACTACTTTAAAGTTCATATGGAACCAAAAAAGAGCCCGCATTGCCAAGTCAATCCTAAGCCAAAAGAACAAAGCTGGAGGCATCACGCTACCCAACTTCAAACTATACTACAAGGCTACAGTAACCAAAACAGCATGGTACTGGTACCAAAACAGAGATATAGATCAATGGAACAGAACAGAGCCCTCAGAAATAATGCCGCATATCTACAACTATCTGATCTTTGACAAACCTGAGAAAAACAAGCAATGGGGAAAGGATTCCCTATTTAATAAATGGTGCTGGGAAAACTGGCTAGCCATATATAGAAAGCTGAAACTGGATCCCTTCCTTACACCTTACACAAAAATTAATTCAAGATGGGTTAAAGACTTAAACATTAGACTTAAAACCATAAAAACCCTAGAAGAAAACCTAGGCATTACCATTCAGGACAAGGCATGGGCAAGGACTTCATGTCTAAAACACCAAAAGCAATGGCAACCAAAGCCAAAATTGACAAATGGGATCTAATTAAACTAAAGAGCTTCTGCACAGCAAAAGAAACTACCATCAGAGTGAACAGGCAACCTACAACATGGGAGAAAATTTTCGCAACCTACTCATCTGACAAAGGGCTAATATCCAGAATCTACAATGAACTCAAACAAATTTACAAGAAAAAAACAAACAACCCCATCAAAAAGTGGGCAAAGGACATGAACAGACACTTCTCAAAAGAAGACATTTATGCAGCCAAAAGACACATTAAAAACTGCTCACCATCACTGGCCATCCGAGAAATGCAAATCAAAACCACAATGAGATACCATCCCACACCAGTTAGAATGGCAATCATTAAAAAGTCAGGAAACAACAGGTGCTGGAGAGGATGTGGAGAAATAGGAACACTTTTACACTGTTGGTAGGACTGTAAACTAGTTCAACCATTGTGGAAGTCAGTGTGGTGATTCCTCAGGGATCTAGAACTAGAAATACCATTTGACCCAGCCATCCCATTACTGGGTATATACCCAAAGGACTATAAATCATGCTGCTATAAAGACACATGCACACGTATGTTTACTGCGGCACTATTCCCAATAGCAAAGACTCGGAACCAACCCAAATGTCCAACAATGATAGACTGGATTAAGAAAATGTGGCACATATACACCATGGAATACTATGCAGCCATAAAAAATGATGAGTTCATGTCCTTTGTAGGGATATGGATGAAACTGGAAATCATCATTCTCAGTAAACTATCGCAAGGATAAAAAACCAAACACCGCATGTTCTCACTCACAGGTGGGAATTGAGCAATGAGAACACATGGACACAGGAAGGGGAACATCACACTCTGGGGACTGTTGTGGGGTGGGGGGAGGGGGGAGGGATAGCACTGGGAGATACACCTAATGCTAGATGACAAGTTAGTGGGTGCAGCGCACCAGCATGGCACACGTATACATATGTAACTAACCTGCACATTGTGCACATGTACCCTAAAACTTAAGGTATAATAATAATAAATAAAATTAAAATAAAAACAAAACAACAAAAAAGTATAGTATATACATAAACCAGTAACAGAGTTATTTATTATCATTATCAAGTATTGTGTGCTGTATATAATTGTATGTGTTATACTTTTATATGACTGCTAGCACAGGCTTGTTTATAGCAGCATCACCACAAACGTGAGTGATGTGTTGAGCTATTATGTTATGACAGCTATGATACCACTAGTCGATAGGAATTTTTCAGCTCCATTATACTCTTATGAGAGCACCCATGTATATGCAGTCTGTTGTTGACTGAAATATCATTATAGGATGCATGACTGCATATGCAGAAAAAAGACATTTGATAAAATTCATGATCCATTCATGCTTAGCAAACTCTAAGATCAGAAATAAGCAGAGATAACTGCCATCACCACTGCCCTGAATGTTTTATCCATTGTAATAAAGGCAAGAAAAGATGTAAAAAAGTTGGAAAGGGCAAATCAAATCCTCCTTATACACAGATGATATGATTATGTATGGAGAAAATCCAAATGATTCTACAGATTAATTGTTGGAATTAATGAAGCCTGATGAATAGGAACACAAAGTTAGTACAAGGAAAGGGAAAGAGAAGGGAGAATGAGAGAAACTGACTTACCCTAAAAACAAAATACCTAAGAATAAATCTGACAATACATAAATCTAATACAGATGTACACAACCTCTACAGAGGAACATATAAAACTTTATTGCAAGAAATCAAAGAGCTAAATAAATGGGAAGATAGACACTATGTTCACGAATTGGATGATTCAACACTGTAAACATGTCAATTATTCTCAAATTGCTATCAAGATTTGATATAGTAATTCAAGACAAAAATCTCAATAGTTTTTTTGTTTTGGTGGAAATTGACAACCTCATTCTAAAATGTATATGAGAAATGCAGACAAGTACATCCCTTAAAACATGGCTGAAGAACAACGTGGAAGGATCTGCTCTACAAAATAGTGAAATCTGGGAATCACCCAAATACTCATTAGCATTAAAATGAATAAATAGTGCGAGTTTGTTCACTGCAATACTACATAGCAATAAAATAAAGGAACAGCTGCACAAAGCAACCAGATGAATCTCAGAGACCAAAAATAGAGTATATACTGTAGGATTCCATTCAAATAAAGATTTTAGGCCAGGCGTGGTGGCTCATGCCCGTAATCCCAGCACTTTAGGAGGCAGAGGCAGGCGGATCACTTGAGGTCAGGAGTTTGAGACCAGCCTAGCCAACATGGTGAAACCCTGTCTCTACTAAAAATACAAAAATCAGCCGGGCGTGGTGGTGCATGCCTGTAGTCCCAGCTACTCGGGAGGCTGAGGCACGAGAATTGCTTGAATCCAGGGGGCGGAGGTTGCAGTGAGCTGATACAGCATTGCACTCCAGCCTGGGCGACAGAGCGAGACATCGTCTCAAAAAAAAAAAAAAAAAATAGATTTTAGCAGACGACAGTGAACTTTATTATTTGAGAATTCTGAGAATTCCTATTTTGATGCTAGGGATATAAAAAGCACAGAAGTGAAGTCCAGATTAGTTATTTCTGAGAGAAGAAGGGGATTATCATGAGAAAGGGGAATTCAGGGGCTGTTGAGGTACTGGCAGTTTTAAAATTTCTTGACTTGGGTTATAGTTACATGGTTGTTCACTTCTACAATAATTCTTTAAGTTGTATATTTATGTGAATGTATTTTTCAAAATGTGAGGCATTGTACTGAGAAAAAGGTTAAATCTAAGTATGATGTATGTATTTGTATGTATTCATATACTCTTTTACCCAGTTATTCTACTTTCAGAAATGTATTCTGAGGAAACAAAGCAATCAAGGGGCGTGAACAAGTAATTATGTACAAGATATTAATTATAAATTATTTCTAATAGGGAAAAACAATGTTAATGTTGAACTATAGGGAATTTATTAAACATGGCACATGCACACATTTAGATGTCTTAATGAAGTCATTAAAATATTGTATCCAAAAAATATTTAATGGTATAGCAAAATGCTTCCAATAGAAGGAAATGGTCCAAAATGTTTGTGAATGACATTTATTTCTGTTACAATTTTTATAACAAAATTAAGACATTATTTTTTGTCAAAATTTTCTGTAATTTCTAAATTTTTACAAGTTATGTATATGGCAAAGGTTGTACACTAAGAATTTTTTTTTTTTTCAAGACTGAGTCTCGCTCTTGTTGCCCAGGCTGGAGTGCAGTGGTGTGATCTCGGCTCACTGCAACCTCTGCCTCCCAGGTTCAAGTGATTCTCCTGCCTCAGCCTCCCGAGTAGCTAGGATTACAGGCGCCCGCCACCACGCCTGGCTAATTTTTGTATTTTTAGTAGTGATAGGGTTTCACCATGTTGGCCAGGTTAGTCTCAAACTTCTGACCTCAAGTGATCCGCCCGCCTTGGCCTCCCAAAGTGCTGGGATTACAGGTGTGAGCCACCGTGCCTGGCCAATAACTTTTATTTTTAAATGAACAAACTATACTTCTTTTAAATAACAGAAAATTAACTGAATTTTCTTCAGATTTTATATGTACACAAATTTATTCAAAATTATTTTAGTGGCTTGAAGATTAGTTGTCATAGACGAAAAGTTATCGGAGTGACAATTTCAAATGTATTTCTAAGACAGTAGCATCTGAATAGTTTATTTTCTCATATAGCATTCAAAGTTTAAAATCTGTTCTATACTGTAACATCCCAATCCAGGATTTGTTTTATACAAAAATCTGACCACCTAAATGTTTTTTAACAGATATAAAAATGATACTGTATTTACAGTTAAAAAGAAAAAAAAAAAAACCCCAAACTCCAAACCCTGTCATTATCTTTACAGTCAATTATATTTTGTTTGCAGATCCAGGAGTTTATATCAACTCTTTTAAAACCCTTCTTCTATTTATCTCTATTTTAGTTTGTGCAGAAGAGTTAATATAGCAGGCCTAAACTACTATCTCATAAAAGGCTTGAAAGGCCTACTAAGGTTGGCCCTTGAGAGGTTTATCTGGGAACTTGGATTTCAGGACGGTCCTCTACATTCCTGACTGAAAAGACTGACTCACTGTGTCTAAACTGTTTGTGCTAACAATGTGATTTAGGCTGAACACCTGCTTTCTTTCTGGGAGTCTGGAATTTGGTTAAGTGCCAAGTGGAAGATGCCTATGTGACCAGCCCCCAATAAAAACCCAGGGCAGAGTCTCTAATAAGCTTCCCTGGTTGGCACCATTTCACATGTGTTGTCACAACTCATTGCTGGGGAGACCCTTGAAAGCTTGTGCCTGGTTTCCCCTGGACTTCAGCTAATGTATCTTTTCCTTTTGCTGATTTCTCTTTATATCCTTTAGCTATAATAAATCATAGCTGTGAATATGACTATATGCTGAGTCCTTTGAGTTTTCTTAGTGAATCATCAAGCCTGGGGGTGGTCTTGGGGATCCCTGACACACAGTTTGCAAAACTAAAATCAACTAAACATTTTGATACTGTGAGTCAAAAGAGATGTTTACTTTGCTGAAAGAACAAATAGCAATTTATATCATCACACATAAAAAGAAAAAATCAAAATAGATTATATAAGACTAGCTATGAAAATATGAGCAAATCTTCAAATAGATTAAAATGCTACAGTACAGATATTTATTGCTTGGTATGAGACAAACATATTTTCCCTTAAGCAGCAAGTTTGCTGGTAAGTAGTAATCAGTTCCACTCTATCAGTATAAATAAATTTCACAAACACTCCCTTCCCCAGGCATAAATACTAGACCAAAAAAAAATAATAATAAAAAAAGAGCTTTCAGTTTATCGCCTTTGTGAGCTACAAAAACACAAACTGCTAATATTATTTTAAAATATACAAAAAAATTAAAGATATAAAAGGTAAAAATATTAAAGATAAAAAATTTAAAAGATACAAAAAAATTATTTTAAAAGATACACATCATGTCGGATGTGTTTTAAATCAATATTTAATTATTGTAAAAGTCTCCCCGTGGTATATGTAATCGCTCTGTAATAAGGTAATTAAAATTCCTTGGCCAGCCAATTTAGGATTTACAGCTTAACTCAAGTACCAGATACTACTAAAGACAAGCCCAAATGTGTCACTTAGAAATAAATATTTAACTTGTGGGGATAACCCAACTCAGCCTGTCTTCAAAACTGAACCTGTATTTAAAATATGTTTCAGCAAATTGCTACAGACAGGTTCAAATTTAAGTGTAATCCCAAAGTAATGGATGTGCAAATATATGCAGATGTCTACAAAACTACTGTGTGTGTTGGGACAATGATGATATAGCCTTTATGTTGTATTACCCCCATTTTAAAGGTCAATCATCTCTTGACCTGCCCGGTCAGAACTCACATCTGCAAAAGTGAATGTCTAGAGGTGGGACCTGGGTACCTGCTTGTTTAACAAGTTTTATACCGGATTTTCTAACCTAAAATTTGAAATTTACTAATCTAATCTTTTCCATATCTAAAATTCTGGTTTTGTGAGTCTCTGTTTTTAAGCATGCTTTAAACTTATAAACCATTTGTGATTAAGTAGATATCAACTATTATTATTATTATTATTTTATTTTTAGAGACAGAGTCTTGCTCTGTAACCCAGGCTGGAGTGCAGTGGTGCTATCTTGGCTCACTGCAACCTCTGCTTTCTGGGTTCAAGTGATTCTCCTGCCTCAGCCTCCCGAGTAGCTGGGATTACAGGTGTGTGCCACCACACCCGGCTAATTTTTGTATTTTTAGTAGAGACGGGGTTTTGCCATGTTGGCCAGGCTGGTCTCAAACTCCTGACCTCAAGTGATCCACCTACCTTAGCCTCCCAAACTGCTGGGATTACAGGTGTAAGCCACCAAGTCCGGCTTATTATTTTTGAGACAGGGTCTCACTTTGTTGCCCACACTGGAGTACAGTGGCATGATCTTGGTTCACTGCAATTTCTGCCTCTGTGGCTCAAGTAATTCTCCCACCTCAGCCTCCCAAGTAGCTGGGACTACAGGTGTGTGCCACCATGCTTGGCTAATTTTTAAAATTTTTTCGTAGAGATGAGGTCTCACTCTATTGCCCAGGCTGGTCTCAAACCCCTAGGTGATCCTCCTGCCTTGGCCTCCCAAACTGCTGGGATTATAGGCGTAAGCCACTGAGCCCAGCCATCAACTAGTTCTAAGGATTTTCTAACATGATAAACAACATTCTCGGGCCATATAATTTCATGACTTCAGTTTAGGAAGAAAAAAAGGAGTGTTGGTTATACATAGTCTGTGGCAAAGACAGATATGGACACCATATTAAGAAACTCACTCATGATCCAAATATGCTGTTTTGTCTAGCCTTTTCTCCACCAAAATGATAAATGCTGCTTCTAAGTAGCCAACAAACAACAAAACTAACTGACCTAATTTTATTTTATTTTTTTGCCTTTCATTGTCTACACTGTATGGGTGTCATGTTACAAAAACTGTAAAAAGGATCCAGATAACCCATAACCTGAGCAATGAGCCCCTAAATACCAGGGGTAATTACATCTGTTGCCAGAAACATGAGGGCAATTCTGGAGTAGCTTAGTCTACGTAGCAGCTATAGAAGCAATCTCTCACCTAGCCAGTAGGTGGAACTATACACAAGTGCATTGGCTTTGTTTTTTGCTCCACATGACTTTAAATCTTAGAGTAATCGATATTTTTGGTTTGTTTGAAACCCAGGAGATAAGGAGGATGCAAAAAACTGTGCAAGGCCAATTGTTGAGGTGAATTTACAAAACAATGATACAAAAGAACAATTTTCTATTTCTAGTTTGCTTCTGGCCCTTTTGAGAAATAACTAAGTTATTTTAACTGAATTTATAATCTACTTTCAGGTCCCTAGAGCTAATAAAACAATTCTAAATTCAGAAATCTGTCAGTTAAAATTCATGTTCAATCAGGGAAAACTGAGTATCAACTGATCATGACATGATATTAAGGAATTATTGTTGATTTTGTTAGGTATAATAATAATATGATCATTTAAAAAATCCTTATCTGTTAGAAATACAAACAAGAGTATTTATAGGTGAAATTATAGTGCTTTAGAAATCTCCAGGGGAGAAAAAGACATCAGGAGGAACAGAATAGGAATGGCAAAATGTTTTGATAACTATTGAAGCTTGGTGACCAGTATGCTGGGGTTTATTATACTATTCTCTCTTTTCATTTGAAATTTTCCACAATTACACTGTTAAAAAAGAAAACAAAACAAAAGAAAACATAAGGCCATGTTCTAGTGATTTGGGTTAACACTGGGATCAGGTCACTGGAAAATATCCAATTTAACCAGGTCTCATCTCGATATACAGCCAACCATGAATTATTTCCATCACAACATACAAAATTAGTTACATAAAATCCCACACAGACTACTTCAACAATGAGGGACTAAAACTATCCTGTTAAAGCCACTGGAAATAATACTTTATAGTTAAAAAGCACTTCACCACTTACAAAGGGAAGTCACATACAGTTTCTCATCTAGTTCTCATAATCTTAGGAAGATTCTGAAGGTAAGCAAACTGAGGCTCAGGGAACTTATAAAACTTGGCCAACCTCACATAATTAGTAAAAGTGACAGAGCTGGGATGTTAACCCAGGTTTTATGAAACCAAAGATCCTTTTTTCTCTACTACACTGTCACTAAGTCCCCTTTGATACAATTAGCATACATGGTGAAATTTAGGTGAATTTTTAAAATTTGCTTTCTGTGATCATTACTTTATATAGTATGTAAAACTTGCTTTTTAGGAGGCTGGGCGTGGTGGCTCACACCTGTAATTCCAGAACTTTGGGAGGCTGAGGAGGGTTGATCACTTGAGGCCAGGGGTGTGAGACCAGCCTGGCCAACATGATGAAACACCGTCTCTTCAAAAAATACAAAAATTAGCCAGGCGTGGTGGCATGCGCCTGTAGTCCCAGCTACATGGGAAGCTGAGGCAAAGAATCGCTTGAACCCAGGAGGTGGAGGCTGAAGTGAGCCAAGATGGCGCCACTGCACTCCAGCCTGGGCGACAGAGTGAGACTGTTAAAAACAAAAACAACAACAACAAAAAACAAACCCAACTTGTTCTTAGTTTTCTCAGAAAATAAACATACAGACAGAAATATATTTCTTGAATAAAGAATAAAATTAAACCAGATAAGTAATTTTAAAAGAATTATAATATCTTGGCCGGGCACAGTGGCTCATGCCTGTAATCCCAGCACTTTGGGAGGCCGAGGCAAGCAGATCACCTGAGGTCAGGAGTTCGAGACCAGCCTGGCCAACATGGTGAAACCCTGTCTCTACTAAAAATACAAAAATTAGCCAGGCGTGGTGACCTGTGCCTGGGAGGCTGAGGGAGGAGAATCGCTTGAACCTGGGAGACGGAGGTTGCAGTGAGCCAAGATCGCGCCGCTGCACGCCAGCCTGGACAACAGAGCAAGACTCTGTCTCAAAAAAAAAAAAAAAACAAAAGAATTACAATATCTTAAAATTAGAAGGGATGTTAGAGGCCATCTCTAGTCCAAAATTAAAACCTTATCTTCAGGCCCCTTGGAAGGATCCAGCTTCAACTTGAGTGCTTCTAGTGAGAAACTACATAGTCTGTGAGACAGGCTGCTTCATTCATGGAGTAAGTTTAATCATCAAAAAGGTCTTCTTTAGTTAGAGGTGACGTCTGCCACTTGTTGATTCTAGTTACAGCCTCTGATGCCACACTGAATAAGCATATAGTCTTATATATGACAATCTTTCAAATAACTGTGGACATTGATTATGTTCTATCTATGGGCTTCTGCTTTGGGGACTCTTCCAGCAGAATAATGAAACGAATACATTCGTGGATAACCAAAGCCTCCCAGTCTTTTCAACAGCTCTTCTAGGCCAGTGGTCTTCAACCTAGGATTTGGGTATCTCTGGGAATACCCAAAGTCCTTCCAGGAGACACATGAACTAGGATATTTTTAAGGCAATCAATTTCCATATCTTCATTTTCCATAATTTTGTCTGTTTGTAAACAAGTCTGTGGTCTGCGGTTTTTCTTTTACATCTCCACAACTACAATCACCCATCTCCACATCTCCAGTTACCCATCCAAAAGGCAAACTACTCCTCCAACCCAAAAAGCCTAACTTCAAAGAGATGGCTGGGAAATGCACAGCCCCTGAGGGAGGGAGAGACCTTTGAAAGCAAAACAAAGAGAGTTTGAGAAAAAAAGGGAGGTTCCACCTTACTTTATCCAGGCAATATATTCATGGTAAGCTGTTTAAGAATTCAAAATCAATACTAAGATGAGTGTCACAGGGATGTCCATTTAACACTTTAATTTTGTTTGAAAAATGAAGTCAGATTTTTTTTTTCCCTGACAGAAAATGAGTCTGATTTGGCTGAGTGATTTGACAATAAGGACTAGCATTGCCATGTAGGTCACATAGCAGACATTTTCCATACAGTGAATGAGATAAACAGGCAATTCTACAGTTGTGTAGAAAATATATTTAAGGCTGGGCGTGGTGGCTCATGCCTGTAATCCCAGCACTTTGGGAGGCCGAGGCGGGCAGATCACAAGGTCAGGAGTTCGAGACCAGCCTGGCCAACTTGGTGAAACCTATCTCTACTAAATAATACAAAAATTAGCCGGGCATGGTGGCACGTGCCTGTAGTCCCAGCTATTCGGGAGGCTGAGGCAGGAGAATTGCTTGAACCCAGGGGGCGGAGGTTGCAGTGAGCCGAGATTGCGCCACTGCACTCCAGCCTGGGTGACAGAGTGAGACTCTGTTCAAAAAAACAAACAAACAAAACATATTTAAAAGAATATTCAAGATACTGAGAATTATATTCTCACAATAAAAGTTTTTATATATCAACCTAAAAAATATGTGAAGGGGTACATACGTTTTTCAAAATTCTTTTTTTTTTTTTTTTTTTTTTGAGGCAGGGTCTTGTTCTGTTGCCCAGGCTAGAGTACAGTGGTGCAATCATGGCTCACTAAAGCCTTGACTTCCCAGGCTCAGGTGATTCTCCAACCTCAGCCTCCCAAGTAACTGGGACTACAGGCGTGTGCCACCATGCCCACCTAGTTTTTGTATTTTTTGTAGAGACAGGGTTTCGCCATGTTGCCCACGCTGGTCTTGAACTCCTGAGCTCAAGCAATCCGCCTGCCTTGGCCTCCCAAGGTGCTGGGATTATTGGCATGAGCCACCACGCCTGGCCTCAAAATTCTTTTAGCAGGTTTGCCAGAAAAGATTTTGAAGGCTGTGTCTCTATGACACAATTTTCAGGCTCCTTTCCATTCTGGTTATCCTATTCTGCAGACATTCCAGTGTCCTGCTTACTATGAATGGTCCAGGGTGAACGGGAGGAGTATGACTTTGTTCTGAATACTATATACTCCTAATTAATGTAGCATAACCTTCCATTCAGCGCTTTTTAAGCTGTTGCAAACAACAACTAAAATGTTTACATCTTTTTTCACATAATCACAACTAAATTCACACTGATCTTGCACTTACTCATATTTGAATGAAGGAGTTAACATTAACTGGTCTTAAATTTCACCTTCTTTGTTTCAGCTCCTTTGCTACAAACTTGTAAAAATATTTTTGAATTTTGATGTAGACAGCCAATATGTTAGCTAGCCCTTTGTAGGGGGCAACTTGTGAAATGCCTCCCAGTGATCCTCACCTCCTGATATTCAGGCCCTGGTATAATCCCATCCCCCTTGTGTATAGGCTGGATCTAGTGACTCATTTCTAACTGCAGAAGTGATGGTGTGTAATTTTGGAGATTAGGTTACGAGACTGTGACTTCTGTCTTGCTCATACTCTCACTTGTCCTCTTGCTTGCTCTGATGAAGCCAGCTGCCATGCTGGAAGCTGCTCTATGGAGAGGCCCAACGGACAAGGAACCAAGGGAGGCTTGGGCCAACAGCTCTTAAGGAATTGTGGCTCTCAGTCCAGTAGCCTGTGAGGAAGGTAAGACTGCCAACAATCATGTGAGTGAGCTTGGAAGCAGATCCACATTGTAGTGGAGCCTCAAAATGACTTCAGCTCTGGCCAACAGCTTTATTATCACCTTGTGAGAGACCCAGAGCCAGAGGACCCTGCTAAGTTGGAACACACATTCCTGATGCACAGAGACTAAGATAATAAATGTATGTTGTTTTAAGCCATTACATTTTGGGGCATTTTGTTATGAAGCAATAGGTAATGAATATAACCTCTGACCTTGGTATCTTTTGAATATTTAGCAAGTATATCTTCTGTTTTTTTTCCTAATCAAAGTCACTGATTACAACCTTTTTTTTTTTTTTTTAGAAAAAAATAGAGATAGGTTTTGGTATGTTTCCCAGGCTGGTCTCGAACTCCTGGCCTCAATCAATCCTCCCTGCTTCAGACTCTCAAAGCACTGAGATTACAGGCATGAGTCACCACTCCCGGCCTGATTACAATTTTGAACAGAATAGGATCAAAGATAAAACCCTGTAGGATGCTGTCCTATAAAGCTTTATATAATCTCTTTGGACACAATCATCCGACCAGAGCTGGATGACCCAGTTGTACTATCCTTAGCTCACAATTCTCCATCTTACCAACAAAAAGTCTGCGACAGACATATCAAGTGACTTATTGAAATCAAGATACACTGTGATCTATAAAATTGCCCTTATATGCCATATGGTGATTATATCAAAAGAGGAACTAAGTCTGTCGTTACTTGTTTTTAGTTGCCAAGAGTCTTGCTACATGGATGCCTCCACTTTCATCCTACTCTTCTTCACTAAGACTTCTACTGGTCAGAAGTTTATAGTTTGGGGTCCTCCTATTCCTCTGAACTCAATTTCCTTTTGGAGTCTCTTCTCTGAAGCATGCTGAAAGCATGAAGAGTAACTGAATATGCCCAGCTTTTGCTTCCTTTGCCACTGTAAACCTTATGATGACATAATCCTTTTTTCTTGTGACTTTAGGTCTTTCTGAACAGATAAGTTCACAACTACTGCTAAATTTCAAGAGAAAAGTGTTAGCATTATCCAACACCAACATTGCTTCAAGTTTTACCCTTTAAGAATTAAAATACACACTCACAATTCGAAAACCATGTAAAGCATTCCATCTGAGCTATATGTCTCCAATAACTCTACAATGTGTGGATGTTTCAGCATATGACAGATACTGGCTTCCCGCTTTAGATCTGTAAAACAAACATACAGCATACTTCATTAGGTAGGAACAAAAGACAATTAGAGT
The DNA here is from genome assembly GCF_000001405.40 of Homo sapiens. Lineage (NCBI taxonomy): Eukaryota > Metazoa > Chordata > Mammalia > Primates > Hominidae > Homo > Homo sapiens. The sequence continues at coordinate 41,787,340 of NC_000023.11, forward strand.
GAATGATGAATGAATGGATGTGATCTATGGTAACATGGATACTTCTCTAACTAGAGAGATGAAATCCCCCATTTAAACTTAGCTTAACTTTTTACCCTTTAAAATCTTTGACTATAGCTTTTCATATTTTTTGCAAGCTTAAATCTATATACAGTATAGAGTGAGCTTTTAATAAAAAAAGTACACATTTCTTAATACTTTCCCCAAAAGCAAAAAAAAAAAAAAAAACAAACCACAAATACTTTCCCCAACTCTTCTAATAAAATCTTAGCCTCCAAATTTGTAACTCTTCCTTGATCTGCTAATAAACTAATAACTCAATTTACTGTTTTGATTTTTACCTCTTTTTCTTAGTTTTCCCTAAATAAAATAAAAATATGTTGTCTATTCTTTAGCCTAAAATCTAGCATTTATAGACCTATCAGGGAAGTTATACGGAATAGGGAACAAAAAATAGTATGGTTTAAACAGAAAAGGCACTATTCCTAGAGTCAAAGTCAGAATTTTTAAAATATCATTTATAAAATGTGCTGGGGCCAGGCGTGGTGGCTCGCACCTGTAATCTCAGCACTTTGGGAGGCCGAGACAGGTGGATCACTTCAGGTCAGGAGTTTGAGACAAGCCTGGCCAACATGGCGAAATCACATCTCTACTAAAAATGTAAAAAATTAGCCGGGCATGGTGGCGGGCACCTGTAATCCCTGCTACTCGGGAGGCTGAGGCAGGAGAATCACTTGAACTCGGGAGGCAGAAGTTGCAGTGAGCCGGGATCGCGTCATTGCACTCCAGCCTGGGCAACAAAGAGTGAAACTCTGTCTCAAAAAAAAAAAAAAAAAAAAAGTGTTGGATAATTCCAAACTCTACCTACCTCACAATGTTACTTTGAAGAACAAATCCAAATAATGTATGTAGGACTACTGTGTAAACTCTATAATACTATTTGGAAAACAAAGTTGTTAATATCATCATCATCATCATACAAAACAGTTTGGGCATGGAAATCGCTTGCCATGTCTACATGGAATAGAATAATGAAAGCCATCCAGTGCTAATAGCACTGGGGCTTTACCCGTTTGCTGATGACTTAAAATCCAATGTGACATTTTTATATTAGAAAGTCGAAGGGAGACAGGTAAGGAAGAACCAAGGCTAAGGATGTACTGCAGAAAGTAAAATAGATAATATTATCTCCTTTCTGATTTATTAATTCAACTTAGTCTTGTCAACAGAGCAATGATCGTAGATGGAACCTTAGAAGATTGACTTACATAAGGGTAGAATGAGAAAAAGAAGTCAGAAAATTTGACAAAAGAGAAGCCACAAGGAAAGGAAGAATCAATAATATTAAGAAAATCAAGAGAGTAGAGGAAATTAAGTTGTAAATAGCTGGAGAAGGCTGAAAGCTGAGAAAAGACCACAAGATTCAGCCAGAAAAGGTAATGAGAATCCTGAGCAAGATCAACTTTTGGGGAGGAGTCAGGGTTGAGGTCAGTATGCCAGAGACAATTATGTAATAATCAGTTAAAATTATCACACCTCTCATTGGGCTAAGTACTTAATATAGTCACTGTCACTTGATGTCCCAACCACACTGTGAGGTAGGTATTTTACAGATGGAGAAACTGAGGCTTAGAAACGTGTTCAAGATCACACAGCTATCATGAGGGTAGGTTTTGAACCCTGGCCTGCCCAATTCCAAAGTCAGCAGTCCTTCCAATAATGCCATGCTGGGTTTGAACACGATCATATTAGAAGAATCTGGCAGTAGGAAAGAAATAGCGGGGTCAAGAGAAGGTTTTACTTGTTTGTTTTTTTAAAGGAAGCACTCTGTGTGTTTGTAAGTGGCAGTGAGGAAAAGCCTACAGGATCTGGAGTCAGAAAATATGGTGCTGGTCCTGCCTTTGTCCTACCATCTGCAAGCTGACTGCTAACTTCTACAAATGACTTTCTTAGAGTCAATGAAATGGGGCAGTGACAAGTGATGTGGTACCTGCAGAGTCTACCAAATCAGTTGGAGAGGGCAGTGTTAAGATTCTAATGAGAAGCTGGATGTTTGGAGCCCAGCATGGCAGGGCTGGGGGCTCAGTGTTTACTGCAAAGGAAGAGATCAGAGGCACAGGAAAGATGCCTCCATCTCCAAAAGTAGTTAGGAAGGCCCCGCAGGAGGGGAGGATGTGAAGCAGCTGTGGGGTTTGTGCTGGGAAGTCATAACCATGAGGAAAGCTTTTAACAAGTGTGCTGGAGGGCCAGGCTGAGCCAGACAACATCAATCACATGCCTGCACAGATTTTTCCTCTCCAGGAGTGTTCTGCCTTCTAATTCTAGGAAAAGCTTAAAATTTTTATTACTCATTTTTATGTTTATCTCTAGCTTCCCATTTTTATTAGAACTCACCCTTTCATATCTTCTGTTTTCGACTTAAGTTTTTCTCTTTCCATTCCTCTCTATTCTAATCAAAAGCCTGATTTTAACTCTATCCTGTGACACAGGAGTCATGAAGTAAACAGATTTGGTGTTTGCCACAATTAAAACTGATATTTTCTCTTTATTTTCAGCTTATTTTCTATTTTGCCTCTTTCATGTAACTAAATTGTATTTTTCCTTTTTTGAGACAGAGTCTTGCTCTGTTGCCCAGGTTGGAGTGCAGTGGCGTGATCATGGCTCACTGTAGCCTCCACCTCCCAGGTTCAAGAGATTCTCCTGCGTCAGCCTCCTGAATAGCTGGGATTACAGGTGTGCACCACTATGCCTGGCTAATTTTTTGCATTTTTAGTAGAGACTTTTTTTTTTCTTTCAGAAGCAAACCATCACAAATGAGGACTTTTTATTTGCCACTATTTTAAGTCTGAACTTTAAACAGATTCTTGGACTGGTGGTTCATATCCATCAGCTCGTTCAACTTTAGCACCTGGAGATGGGGTTTTACCGTGTTGGCCAGGCTGGTCTTGAACTCCTGACCTCAAGTGATCCACCCTCCTCGGCCTCTCAAAGTGCTGGGATTATAGGCATGAGCCACTGTGCCCAGTCTAAATTGTATTTTTATCTCCACATTCACCATTTGCTATGTGATACATTGGTTATACTGAAAGTTTGTAAGCAGAAATGGATGCTCCATTTCTGCCACACATTTGGCTCCATTTGAGCCTCACATTTTGATTTGGTAAATGGCTGAACAAGTCCTTGGTCTAGTCTCTTATCACCTACCCACTCTCAAAATAAAGGCAGAATTGCTGGGGGGCCAGCCTTCAAAGCAATTTAAATGTCACCGGATCTGACATTTCAGAACTAAAGTCAGAACACTGATTTGACTTGATTTGCTAGTATGAAACTAGCAACATAAAAATATATTTCAAATGATAAGGGCAATGATCTAGAAAAATTGTGGTCATGTTTTCCTGAATTCAAGTATAAATTAAATAGCTCAAATAGCACAATTAAAAACACAAATATATCCATTCCAACTATAGATTCCACGAATATTAAACTCAAAATGTTTGTTTCTAAATATGAATGTGAATTAAAGATATATGTATTAAGTGCTATTAAGTCCACGCTGATATAGCAAACTAAAAACACTATTTGCCTACAAATCAACTCTAGAGGCAAAGTAGGAAGGAATTTGAAAGCAGGTGATGAAAATATGATTTAAAGTGGTGATTATCTGACTGCTTACAGATGTTAGCACAAAATGTACCTGGGAATGACATGACCCAGGGTTACCATCTCTATTTTGAAGTATTGTTTTGTTTACAGACTAGTAACTGGTACCTCTCTTCACTCTCCTTTGTACTTTCTTTTTTTTTAATGAGTACATTTTTTATTTTAATTTCAATAGCTTTTGTGGAACGGGTGGTGTTTAGTTACATGGAAAAGTTCTTTAGTGGTGATTTCTGAGATTCTGGTGCACCCGTCACCCAAGCAGTGTACACTGTACCCAATGTGTAGTCTTTATCCCTCACCTCCCCTCCCACCCTTCCCCCAAAGTCCATCGTGTCATTCTTATGCCTTTGCGTCCCCATAGCTCAGCTCTGACATACTAGTGAGAATATACAATGTTTGGTTTTCCATTCCTGAGTTACTTCACTTAGAATAATGGTCTCCAGCTGGGTGCAGTGGCTCACACCTGTAATCCCAGCACTTTGGGAGGCTGAGGCAGGTGGATCACCTGAGGTTAGGAGTTCAAGACCAGCCTGACCAATATGGTGAAACCCCGTCTCTACTAAAAATACAAAAATTAGCCGGGTGTAGTGACGTGCACCTGTAGTCCCAGCTACTCGGGAGGCTGAGACAGGAGAATTGCTTGAACCTGGGAGGCGGAGGTTGCAGTGAGCCGAGATCACGCCACTGCATTCCAGCCAGGGCAACAAAGGGAGACTCCATCTCAGATTAAAAAAAAAAAAAAAGAATAATGGTCTCCAACTCCATCCAGCTTGCTGTGAATGGCATTATTTTGTTCCTTTTTATGGCTAAGTTGTACTTTCTTTTTTGTAATTTCTCAGGAAATTTTAAAAATATTTTAAACTAATCTATTTCTGTGTTTAGTGTCCTTACATTTAACTATATGCCTATATTTATTTTATCAATTTATTTCCCTTTAAAAGGGGAACTAGTAATACAGGTAGCAATATTTAATTTTCTAACCCAAATTAGAAACTTAAATGAAATCAACCTGCCATATGGCATTAGAATGACTATTATTTTCCTAAAAAGTTTGGGCTCTCCAACAATAGTAAAGCAAGTATCCCACCAGGGTCTGCCTATCAGACTGGTCAAGTAAGGGAAAGTTAGGGAAGCTGGTTCAAGTGGTCTGTTTTAAAAATGATTTTCCTGTAAAGTATTATTTTACTACTATTTTTCTTGAAGAACTAGGAGAACTTTTCATTCTATCTGTATCTGAACTTAAAAGATCTAAATTTAAGATTTCGTTTGCTCGAGAGCATTCAATAAGGATTTTTTTTTTTTTTTTTTTGAGCTAGGGTCTCATTCTGTTGCTCAGGCTGGAGTGCAGTGGTGTGATCATAGCTCACTGTAACCTTGAACTCCTGGGCTCAAGGGATGCTCCCACCTCAGCCTCCTGAGCAGCTGGGCTACAGGCACGTGCCACCATGCCCAGCTAATTTTTAAATAGTTTATAGAGACAGAGTCTCGCTATGTTGCCCGGGTTGATCTCGAATTCCTGGCCTCAATCAATCTTCCTGCCTTGGACTTCCAAAGTGTTAGGATTACAGGTGTGAGCCACTGCACCTAGCTCAATAAAGATTTTGATCAACACCATCCAATTTAAGTATAATGTAAGCCATGCATATAATTTTAAATTTTCCAGTAGCCACATTAAAAAAGTAAAAAGAAACAGGTAAAATTCATTTTGATAACATATTTTATCCAATTCAATGTATACAAAGTATTATTTCAACATATAATCATACTAAAATTAATAAAATAAGTTACTTTTTTTGTACTATTATCTCTGAGATCTAGCATGTATTTTTACACTTATAGCAAATCTCAATTTGGTCTGGCCACATTTTAAGTGCTCAATAACTGCATGTGGCTAGTGTCTACCAAATTGGAATGGTGCCACTCTAGATAAGTTGACTTGCTTTAATTCTTATCCTCTCCTGATTGTGAGTTCTGTAATTCTTACAGATATTTATAATGTCAGTCATTCCAAAAAGAATCTAAATTCAAACAGATGTGTTTTTAAAAAATACTTTCACAGAAGGAAATCCTATAGCTTCTTTTAATAACCCAAATCCATCATTTAATAACTAAATCTGGAATTTCTTCACTATTGTTAATCTAATGCAAACTCTGAGACTTTAAAGTGCCCCTCTATAAGTCCTCATTTGTTACTGTAATAACCCTGCATGACATACATGTACATATACACATACATATATATGCACATATATCTCCCCATTTTACAGAGGTAGAAACTGAGGTCCAGGGCTCAATGATATAAATCACACAGCTAGTAAGTGGAGGAAGCAGGACTAATAACCAAAGCCCTTTGCTCTTTACATCACACCACAGTGCCTCCTGGGTCTGCATAGTTTTTATATATCCTAAGATCCAATCACACAATAGTGCTAATATGGTAATACTGACTTGAATGACAGGCTATCAAGACTGTTACAGAACCGGCTTATTTCAGCTGCATTGTAACTAGTGATAGTCAGAAACTAGATACTGCGCTTTTCCTAACAAATATACAAGTATTCTCATTCATTTCCAAACAATGTCTAGGTTGTGTTAGAAATTCAACAGTTAAACAAAATTCGCTAAGAGCTGACCTGGACTCAAAATCAAAATAAAGAATATTCTAATCTAGTCATAGAAAGAACTAGGACAAGTACTAATGTGTTCATTTCAATAAATATTAATAACAAAATAAGTAAATGAAAGTCATTATTGACTCAACATATTTTTCCTTAGTGTACTGAAATGAATGACCAAATGATACTTTAAGAAAGGAATCCAAGCAGAACCTTGGAAGGATTATAGTAGCAAAGTCAATTTCTGCTGCTGGGTTCTACCTTTATCTCATAATCAAGTTGAAGAATAAAGATCCCAGCTGCCTTTGGCAACAACACAGGTCAGGTTGGCTTTAATGAGGCTATCTTCCTCATTGACCTTCAGGAAAGTTGACCTCAGCTAGTGAAGAGTAGAGGCCTAGACAGGCCACCATAGAAATCTGGGTCAACTGCAAACTCATAATTTCTTTGATTCTTTTTTACATGTTTCACTACTAGCTCTATACATTTTGTTGTCTTTTTTCACACACACAAACAGAAATCCAAGCACCTTCTAATTTCTTTGAATTCTTGCCCATTGAAAAAAAATTCCTATGGCCCCAAATATCATCATCAGGTGAATAAAGAAAGGAAGCAGCATACCATTAATTCAGTGTTTGACTGATGTGAAAATTTTCTTAAATAGGCAAATGTGTATTAATTAGAAATCAATCTTAGCTGCATTAAGCATTTACAAATTAATGGGGTTTTGTTAATATATTTCCCAAAGAGTTTTCAGTTCTGATAAGTGTAACAAATTTGTATATGACAAAAATAGAAATACAATGCTCTAAGTTTGTCTAAAAGGTGCAATTGCTCTGTTGCTTTTCATTTTGGGAAATGTAAACCAAAGGGGGGAAGATCAGGGCATTTGACTATTAGAAAAACCAGACACCTATTTCAACATGGTATTCCTTACTTTATACAAGAAAATTAGAGAAATATCAGTTTATAACTCAATTACTTTTCAATATTAAAGTCTTAAAAATCATACATGTTAGAGCCCGAAGGAACTTTGTGGGATGACAGAATGCATACATTTGTCAAAACTCACTGAAGTGTACAATTAGATGGGTACATTTTATTGTGCATACACGTTCTTCAATAAAATTTAAAAAGCAAACGAGAAGTTACTGAAATAAAATGGGAATTCAACTAATATGTCAAAGAAAAAAAATGTTCTTCACATACCTGTGCTTTATACTTTCATAATTGTGTTATCTATAATTTACTTTCTATATTTATTAACTGATAGCTGAGGAGCTCAACAAGGACACGTTGACAGGATAGATTTCCTTACCACCCATTTCTCCCCCAAATCTTCTTCCAGGATGGGGCCAGCCCAGGAAATACTGACAGCAGGGCCAAAACTTTTCCCAGAAAGCAATTTGTGGTCTGTTTCAATATGTAAAAAATGAATGAGGTAAAAATTCTGTACGGCATAGTGAAATGATTATCTGAGGTTTTTTTTTCTTTTAATAATATGGGTTTCCCCATCCAGCTACAGAATCCTTTTGTCAACAAAGTCTCATAAAAATAGTATAAAACAAATTTATCGTAAAGAAATAACTACCAATATGTGATACTTATTTGAAAAAGGACCAAGAAAAATGAGTTAATTGTTTTGATAAATACTTTGAAATCACAGATACTGACAGCCCTCCTTGATTTTTCCCTGAATAGCTCTTTTGCCATTTCATCAAATTTGGAATGGGCAAAGCATAAGTTTCCTTAAAAACTGACTTAGAGACGAGGCACGGTAGCTCGTGCCTGTAATTCTACTAGCACTTTGGGAGGCTGAGGCAGGTGGATCGCTTCAGCCCAGGAGTTTGGGACCAGATTGGGCAACATGGTGAAACCCTGTTCCTACAAAAAATACAAAAATTAGCTGGGTGCGGTGACGTGTGCCTGTAGTCCCAGCTACTCAGGAGGCTGGGGTGGGAGGATCACCTGAGCCCGAGAGGTGGAGGTTGCAGTCAGCCAAGATCATGCCACTGCACTCCAGCCTGGGAGACAGAGTGAGATCCTGTCTAAAAATAAACAAATAAATAAATAAAAATAAAAAATAAAATAAAACTGACTTAGAAGCAAAGGCATCTAGTATCTGATTCACACACAGTTGAGTGTAACTGCAGCAAGGCAGGATGCTCAGAGCCAGTGAAAACAAACAGATGGAAGGAAGGCGGGGCCTTAACTCCTCTTCACTTAGGAATCATTTGTCATTTAGCATTGATGACACAATATTATGGGAAAGAAATACAGTAAATACCTTATTTAAGTCATTCTAGATAATGGTTTATTTCATATAAGTGACTTTTCTGGACAGGGTACCAACCTGTCCTGGTTTGCCTGGAACTTTCTCAGTTGTGGCACCGAGGATCTTTCCAGGTTGAAAGTCCTGGGTTCTGAGAACCCACCCTCATTCCCAGGCAAACCAAGATGACTGGTCACCCTACTTCCACAGATCTGGCATCTATCCTTTTAAGCACTAACACATTCTGCTGGCAGGCAGTTATGATATAATAGATAGGGCAATAGACTTGTAGTCAAAAGACCTGTCTTTCCTGTCTTCATCACTTAGTAGCTGCATAACCTTAGAACATCTGTTTCCTCATTTGTAAAATAGAAAGAGTAAGATAACAACTCCTATACAGGGTTGTAGTTAGGCCTGGATGATTAATAAAGTATGTGAGAGTGCACATGCACAATAAGTTTTGTTTTCTTTTCCTTTCATCATTTTTGGTGGAAATCATTCTATGTTTAACAAATGTCAATCAAACCGAGTTTGACACCAAGAAGGCAGCAATGTGAACATCTATTAGTAAACCACACTGCTATATATAGTGTAGTTCTATGCCTACTTTAACTTTGCAGTTTTTCATCTACAGTTTTTTGGGAAATCACATATTTCGTAAAAAACCTCAAGATGACCATAGGGTTATTTGGGAAAAAAACTAGACACACTCAAAATGTTTAATAATAAGGACACTAGTTAAGAAAAGTAAAACAGAACCCATGTAGCTGTATGTGTGTGGCCTACTGATTACCAAAATTATTAATCTTCCAGACAGCCCTTGGAGTCATCTTCACACCATCTACCACTTCTCCTCTACTTCCTATATGCAGCTGCCAAAACCTGTCCATTCTATTTCTGCAACACCTGTCAAAACTATCTTTCCCTTACTGCGGTTACCCTAGTTTCAGCCCTCAACAATTCTTGACTGGATCACAGCAAAGATCTTTAAATGGGTTTCTTTGCCTCTAGTTTCTTCTCTTTAGACTCATTAAAGTGTCATCATAGTTTTACTCTAAAACAGATATTATATTATTCCAAAACCTTCACTGAGCTCCATTCCATACAGCAAGACATTATAATCCCTAAGCATGGCTTTGAAAGCCTTCCAAAAAATCTTTTAAGTCCAACAACTTAACTAGGGTTCACAGACCTATTTAACAGTATAACTGGAAATAGAAGCTAGCTCTCCGGCTTCTTAGTCAAACAATTTAGCTCTTGTTTTTTTTTTTTGAAGTCACACATTTATACATTCCTTTCCAGTAGCTTCTTCCTTCAGCCTCCCTGACCCCAATCCTGAACCACCCGCAGCTTGTGCACCGGCCCCCTGCTCTCTGTCCCCTGACAAATGTTGTTCCCTCTGTATGATACTCCACGTGCTTCCTTCTCTGCCTGGTAAACCCCTACTTGTTCATCAAGATCCCACTTAGACGTTGCCTCAAAGTTCTCTTTAACAATCTCCCAAGCTGAGGGAGGCATACCCTGCTGCAATCTAGCAACCGCCTCCATAGATGCCTCAAGATCTTGGCATTTACCAAATCATTCCACTGCTGGTGATTTCCATTCCTGCCAATCCTGCTAGAAGGCAACATCAAGCATACAGGACCCATTTACCCAACTTAGACTCAACATCTATTATACATCTCCTGTCTCACATCAAAGTGTATGTATCACTGAATCAGAGAATGTTAGAAACAGAAGTGACAGCAAGACAGTCATCATCACATGCTCCTCTCTATCCTCAAATTTTACTCAGAAGGAAAATGAGGCCCTAGTAAGACATGCCCGAAGTCACACAGATATTTCATAGCAGAACTGGAAGATGAACCCAGGTCTCAGATTCCCAATCTAGCAATCTTTCTGTTACCCCATAGGCTGTGTGGAAGAGGATACTAAAAATGCCAAAACTTCAAGGAAATCTACTCCAGGTGGCATATCACAATGATTAAAGACTTCTCAGAGAATGACCAAGAAATGCCATCTACTTGCAGATAACTGGGTATGAATGTTAAAATGGAAAACTTCAAGGTACTACTACTACTGAATGCACTTGTTTTAAACAAAAGTAATATATGCCTAACTTTTTATGTCACTGGATGGTTTATATACTATATTATTTAATATTATAAATTACACGTCCCCAAAAAAGTTTCACTTGGAAAGAATATTTAAGATTGTAAGTTTTAACAATTTCTTAAATCCATTTATGTATGTGGATATTGTCTTTGGTTAATTATTCAGGGGTAATTTTATTAGGTTAAATGATCACAATTCCAAAAGCAGCATGTTTATGCAAAGAGCCTATCTAATTTTCTTCCACTAGAGGGAACTAAAGATCATATTATAGCTAGCTGGGCACCCAGCGTTTCACCAAGGTCTCTGGCTTTAGACAATATTATTGGTCTCAATAATAAAATACAAAGATGAGATGATTATTTGCCTTTAATGTGTCTAACAACAATAACCATCAGCTAACATTTACTGAGTACTTACTATGAGTCAGGCTCTATTTTAGATGTGTTGACCCATTTAACCTCGCAATAATTCTAAGGGGCAGATGATGCTCATGTTATATATGAATAGACAGAGAGCAGTTAAGTAACTCATTCACAGAACTAATAAGCTGCGGCCAGGGGCGGTGGCTCACGCCTGTAATCCCAGCACTTTGGGAGGCCAAGGCAGGTGGATCACCTGAGGTCAGGAATCTGAGACTAGCCTGGACAACATGGTGAAACCCCGTCTCCACTAATAATATAAAAATCAGCTGGGTGTGGTAGCACATGCCTGTAATCCCAGCTACTTGGGAGGCTGAGGCAGAAGAATTGCTTGAACCTGGGAGGCAGAGGGTGCAGTGAGCTGAGATCATGCCACTGCACTCCAGCCTAGGTGACAGAGCAAGACTGTCTCAAAAATAAAAATAAAAAGAACTAACAAGCTGCAAAGCAAAGATTGGAACCCAGGTAGAACCAATAAGCTGCAAAGCAAAGACTGGAACCTAGGTAGTCTGGCCCCAGAACCTATGCTCTTAATAACTCTGCTATATTGCTTCTTAGGTCTACAATGACTCAATTCTGAAGATGAACTTTATAGGTTAGCTATTTCTCTGAATTAATTCTAAAAATGGAAATACAAAGTCTTGATTAAAATAAAGCTCAATCAAGCAAATTTCCGTAATAAAATCATACCTTTCAAAAAAATCTTAGGTTTCAATTTCAATTCAATTTTCAATTTCAATTCAGTTTTCAATCTTAGTCCTTTCAATTTAAGTCACTTGATTATATTTGTGTAAAACTAGTTTTCTATTAAGACAGAATCATTAAAAACACAATGACAGCCAGGTGCAGTGGCTCACGCCTGTAATCCCAGCACTTTGGGAGGCTGAGGTGGGCAGATCACTTGAGGCCAGGAGTTCAAAACCACCCTGGCCAACATGGTAAAACCCTGTCTCTACTAAAAGTATAAAAATTAGCTGGGTGTGGTGGCGTGCGCCTGTAATCCCAGCTACTCAGGAGGCTGAGGCAGGGGACTCGCTTGAACCCGGGAGGCAGTGAGCCGGTTGCAGTGAGCTGAGATCACACCACTGCACTCCAGCCTGGGAGACAGAGCAAGACTCTGTCTCAGAAAAAACCCAGAAAACCCCCACAATGACTAGGTGGGACTTCTGGAATGGCTGTATAAAGGAGCTCAGGGATATCTCTCCCCTGGAGAGACATATATTTAGCTGGTCAAAAATCACAATCATTCAAAGTCCCTGGAGACTGATCAAAGGGCTTACAACAAATAGAGAAGCATTTATTCAATAGAATCTACAGAAATTCGATAAGAACAATAAGAGGCTGTAGCATTCGAGATAGGGACCACACAGGGACTGCACCTGTCCCCCCACAGCTCTGTTTTGCCAAAGAACTGTTTTAAGGAGTTCAGCAGCTAAGGGCAGATCCGCCCCTTGAGATGGAAGAGCTACTCGGGGTGGATTTGGCAGCTAGTAAACATTGGCAGATCCCATTTTCCACGGCTCCATGCTGTGGAAGGCCTATATAGAGCAAGCGGCAGAAGCTGATGGCAGCAGCCATTTCTCTCCCCTGAACTCCAGCTAAAAACAGAGGAATCAGGTGAGGAAGCTGGTAAACAGTGTAGTCCCCCCTGCCCACACAGCTCTGTGTTGTCAAGAGAGCTACAGAGATGTGTTTGGCAGCTGAGTGGCAGCTCCCATCTCCTTCAACTTCCTAGGGTGAAAGAACTATTCTGAGTACTTTCAGCACCTGGTGAACACTGACAGATATCATACTCCCTGGTTTTGAGCTGTGGAAGATCCACACTGAGTAGCAGCAGAGGCAAAAGGAGGCACAGTTCATACCTCCTCCTTCCCGGCAACACAAAAACCCTGCTTCAGAGGGAGGATCTGGGTGGAACAGCCAATGAGGAGTGAGTTCCCCATTTTCCCCAGCTCCTACTCTATAGTGCAGAGATTCTGCTCAGGGAAGGGTATAGCAAGTCTCAAAGACTAGAAAAACTTGTCCCTGACAAGGGACTCAATGTTATTTTATTTTTATTTATTTTTATTTTTTCTTTTCTTTTCTTTTATTATTATTATACTTTAAGTTTTAGGGTACATGTGCACAATGTGCAGGTTAGTTACATATGTATACATGTGCCATGCTGGTGTGCTGCACCCATTAACTCGTCATTTAGCATTAGGTATATCTCCTAATGCTATCCCTCCCCCCTTCCCCCACCCCACAACAGTCCCCAGAGTGTGATGTTCCCCTTCCTGTGTCCATGTGTTCTCACTGTTCAATTCCCACCTATGAGTGAGAACATGCGGTGTTTGGTTTTTTGTCCTTGCGATAGTTTACTGAGAATGATGATTTCCAATTTCATCCATGAAGGGACCCAATTTTAATTGGATCAGACTATGGAGCAATTTATACCACAAGGCATTGTCAAAAAGAAGGGAGCAATCAGCTATCGATTGGTTAAGTTTAACACCAATAGAGGTAGCAGAGAAATGCATGGATAAGGACCACACCTGTCCTGAAGAGGGACATCAGAGGTTGCACTGAACTAGTCCAGCAAGTAACTAAAAAAGAATAACCCTGGAGTGGAGGAAGGTGTCAGTATCCACAGTTGCTATAACAAAGTGTTAGGAGACATGCAAAATGCAGAAAAGTGTGACCTTTACAAAGGAGGGGAAAAAAAAGCAGAAAATAGAAACTGCCTTTGAGGGAGCCCAGATGTTGGAATTAGCAGAAAAGACTTCAAAGCAGCTATTATAAATACTCTCAGCTGGTGACTAAGAGCAGCAGGAATACTTAAGCAGGCTAATTCCTGTGAGATATGGGTCTCTGATGGTCAACTTTGGCTCAAGGACTCCCAATACGCCTTGCCAAAACATCCTTGAAACTGCACCTTGGTCAAATAATTTCCCCACCCAATCCTCCTCTTTTTCTTCCCTTTTTCCTCCAACGGGGTCAGACCTGCATGACCTGTGATGGCTGTCCCAGCCTCCTCCAGCTCCCTACCATTCATTTTCACTCTCAATAAATTTCTTGCACATCAAATCCCTTCTTGACATCTTTTTGTAGAACCTGAACACAAGCTTTCTGTAGAACCTGAACACAAGCTTTCAATAAGGCGAGCCAGTAAGAAGCACGCTGATATGCCTGTCAAAATGTCCCTAAGAAAGGTTTAGCAATAGGAAGCACCAGGTATCTTTGAGGGCAGGGTTGCATGGTGGAGCAGATAACAGGAGGACTGGCTGAACCTTTATAGGTATGCAGTATGACCTTGGATATCTTTGGCCAAGCAAATTATCCTTACCCCACTTTTTGGAGACTTTGGACACCAGACCCCTAGCTCACGTCAAACTGAAGTGCTGTACTCAAACAAGAGGATTAACTGGAAAGTTCCATGTATTAAACATGTTAAAATAAAGACCCTCAGCCTTTATCTCTCAGAACCACTGCAGTCAGACTTAAATGCCCCTACGTACCCTTTCTCCCCCTAATACACATACCCTTAGCCCAAGGCAGAAGATCAGAAGATTCTTCTGTCAAACTGACCTGCTTAAGAACAAAAGATCTACAGATAACGGATATCCATAAGGCGCTCAAAAAATGGCCTAGTCTTTGTCTGATCACTGATAATGAATTTACCCATATACAGAGTGTTCCCAGGCACCTATTTAACACTTCCCTCTTAATATTTTTCTGAGGAAACTGTTCCCTGTATAAGGCAAAGAAAATTTCAAAAATATACTACTTTGAGATAGATAAGAATATGAAACCTATGAAGACAAGAGTATGAAACTATATAATAGTTTAAAAGAAAAACATTCAGAAAAAAGTCCTTGAAAATAAAAAATGAGAGCTAAACCACGAGACTCAAACAGAAGGGTTAGAAGATCAAGTTGAAGAAATCTCTCAAAGTAGAGCAAAAAGATAAAGAAAGAGGAACAGGAAAGAAAAGGTTAGAGATGAAGCCCTACCTTATAAGCCCTTATGTTATTTGAATCACAGCAACTCCTGAAAAGAAGAACAAAGAAACTGGAGAAAAGGATGTTATCTAAGAAATATTTTAAAGAATTTCTAAACTAAAGAACAATGAGTTTCCAGATTTAAAAATATTTCTAAGCAATCAGTATAACGACTTTTAAAAAGGCCCACAGTAAAGCACATCATTGTAAAATTTTAGGGCACTGGGGTAAAGAGAATATCATTAAAGCTTTGGGAGAAAAACGGCCAGGCACTGCCCTAAGTGCTTTACATACATTATTCAATCAATCCTCTCAATAACTGTAAGGGCAGGTAAGATATTATGCCTGATTTTTAGATGAGAAAACTTAAGCACAGAAGGGTTATGTGATGTGCCCATGTCACACACAGCTGGTTAAGTGTGATATGAACCTAAGTAGTCTCGTTGCATCATATAAACTTTCACCCATATGCTATATATTTTCAAAATTGTCACCTAGAATTCTACACCCAGCCAAACTATCAAATTGTAGAGTAATATAAAGACATTTTCAGGTATCTCAAAAAAGCACCTCTTCTCAGAAAGTTACTAGAGGGCATACTTTATCAAAATGAAGAAGGAAGCCAAAAAAACCAAAAAAGCAAAAAAACAAGAAACCTAGGGAACAAAGACTCTAGCACAGATGAAAGGCAAAAGGAATTCTCATGACGAGCCCAGCAGGCCAGGACAGCAACCAACTTACAATGAAACAGATGAAAGGCTCACAGGCAGGGGGCCCTCTGTCACCAAGAAAAACAATGAATGTGATAAATTATCCAATGGGGTTGAATGTACCGAGGAAAGTTACACAGTTTAGTGGGACAGCCTAGGGATAAATTAGCAATAATACATAAAATAACAAGCAATCGGGCTGGGCACGGTGGCTCACGCTTGTAATCCCAGCACCTTGGGAGGCCGAGGTGGGCACATCATGAGGTCAGGAGTTTGAGACCAGCGTGGCCAACATAGTGAAACGCCATCTCTACTAAAAATATTAAAAAAAATTAGCCAGGTGTGGTGGCACGCTCTTGCAATCCCAGCTACTTGGGAAGCCGAGGCAGGAGAATTGCTTGAACCCAGGAGGTGGAGGCTGCAGTGAGCCAAGATCACGCCATTGCACTCCAGCCTGGGTGACAGAGCGAGACTGTCTCAAAAACAACAACAACAAAAAACTAAGCAATCAAAGAAATGAGTCAATGATTCACCCCAGATATAACAATAAATTACACAAGAAATACAATCATATTATATGAATAACTGAAATATGAATATTATAAAAATGGGGAAGGGAAAGTAAGTAGGGACCAGGAAGTGGGGTGGGAGGGTAGCAACATAAAACAGCTACATCTTTCATAGCAAAAAGGCAATAACTGATGATATCTGAAACTATGAAATCAAGAAATAGTAATATATGTTGCTGGTTACAGAAGAAACAGCAAAAATGCTTAAAGTGGTGGAGTTGGAACAAATTAGGAGAGACACTGCTTTTTTGTTGTTAGAAGTAGCATGATTTGACTTTTAAAACCATGTGCTTACATTACTTAGATAAAAGTAAAACCCAACCATATAAAGAACCAGAATAGAACTTTCTATATGGTCCACTAAAAAGCATATATTTATGATAATTGGCCAGGCGCGGTGACTCATGCCCACAATCCTAGCACTTTGGGAGGCTGAGGTGGGTGGATCATTTGAGGTCAGGAGTACGAGACCAGCCTGGCCAACATGGTGAAACCCTGTCTCTACTAAAGATACAAAAATTAGCCAGGTGTGGTGGCGGGCGCCTGTGGTCCCAGCTGCTCGGGAAGCTGAGGCATGATAACTGCTTGAACCCGGGAGGCGGAGGCTGCAGTGAGCCAAGATCACACCACTGCACTCCAGCCTGGGTGACAGAGGGAGATTCCATCTTAAAAACAAACAACCAACCAACCCTCAATAGGTCACATTCTCCCAAGAATTCCCCATGCCATATTGAGCTCTGAAATTGGGGCTGTGTTCAAACATTTTCTTACATAGGTGCCACCATCTGCATATTTATTTACATGCCCATACATAGAGACACACACATTAAAATAAGAGAGCAAAAAAACCTTAAAGCATGAAAGACAGAAAACAGAGAGAGCACAACTGTGAACTACTGTCCTTAGAAATCCCATCTTTCTCACTAAAACTACTAAGGTGACACCAGGGACATGCTTGCTTTGTAAGTAGTTCAACACAGGTCCTGGCTCTCTTCTTTTTTGGGAAGGGTTATTTTACATGCTACAAATTATAAAGCTCCCTGTCGAGGGTAACAATGCTGATGTAATTTGCTGGGGCTACAAGAGCATATCACCACCAACAAAAGCAAGCAAATTCTAGCTGTTTTATTTCTTGTTTAAACTTCATTTATTTAGTCAATTTAGTGTTTGTTCTCTATAATAACAAAAAAAAATGCCTTTTGTTAAAATAGACACTTAAGCATTACCTAATGGTGGTAATACTCATTCAGGTCTGGGATACTCTAATAAATACAATGCTCTGTACCGCAGACTGATGGCTTTCCTACTTTAACGTAAGCACTCATTTTATACTGTCTCAATTCATAAGGAGCTTGATGCACTGTTAATGGAGTACTAAAAAACACAATTAAAATGGCCTTTTCTTGTTTTATTTCTTGGTTAATTACAATGTTCAAACAGACTACTGGAAACAACTCCCTTTTAAAATTCTCAGTTTTGCCCTTTTTATCCTTTGTTTTAAAAAATATGGCATGGCTCTCATTAATGTCATTAGTTGCAATGCCTGATGAGAGAAAATGCTGACTTAGTGAACCTGGAATCAATTTTCTGAATTAAAAAAGGTTTTTTTGTGAGACTACTTCAGGAATAGTATTTATTTTCTCAGAAGCCTTCACTGTAGGAAATGCTTTAAGTAGTACAGTAGGTGCTAGATTACCACATCTACATTCATGTAGTGAAATCATATGAAACTTCTTGAACATGTTCCTTCACCGCTTTTCAGCCATTTAACCTTACTGCAACCTACAATTGTATGAGGAAGCATACAAAGACCTGAGAAGTTTCCTTCTCTAAGAAAACTAGACAAGTAACATGTCTTAGCTTTATATTTGTGGATTTAGGGACAAGGGTTACGCTTGACTAAAGCCATACATAGTGTCAGGAAAGAAATTAGAAAACCTAGAGAGCAACTGGGGAAAGGGGAAAGAGAAAGGGAAGGGGGCCTTATATGCAGAGTTCAAGAGCAACTAGGTTAACAGCTCCAGGATGGAAGAGCCAGGAGTAGCCAAATGATAACATGGATAGGCTTCAGGGCCACTACTGGAGGACAGGCAAAGAAAAGGTAAACCCAAGGTGTAACCAAGATGACTTTAAGGAGAGACACCATATTCAAAGATGCAAAGTCAGACTCAGGACCCTGAGAGACGGAGTGCCCCTAAGAGCCAACAAAGAGATAGGAAGGACAATACCTAGCACAGATATACCCACTCCCGTGACAAAGTACCATAGGTGAGCTGCTTTCAATAAGTCTAGGCTAGTACCCCCACAGCCCCAATGCCTAAGTCTTCAAAGAAAAGTTCAGCATCTTATGAGGTACAGACATTAAAGAAATAAGAAATATTGGAGAAGAGTACAGATGTGAGTGAGGTACAGAACAGGAACCTGTTATAATGATAATGGTTGGAGTAATATTGGGAATAAAGAGGTGCCAAGTTTTTAAAAGGATGGTATAATTACAGTAATTTGGACTGTCTGGTATATTCTGACTTTAGAGTGACTAAAATTAATAGCAAGTATTTAGAAATAGCATACATTCATATGATGTACTTCTCTGCCTCACACTTTACAATCATATATCTAAGTATTTTAAATGTTGGGACGTGTTCCTAGACTGCTTATAAATACTACTGAAATGACATTAAATATAACAGAAACAATAGATGGCAAAAAAATTTTTACTCTGTTCTCTAAAAAGGAGATGGGTAAAAATAAAAATAATTGTTACTGGATCAGCTACTGTGAGAGGTACACATTTGTAAAAGTATTTTAAAATTCTGTAAGTTTCTTGAGGGTGAAGACTATATGTTGTTCATTTCTGTTTGCCCTACAATGCTATGCACTACCCGTGACAGATGACACACACAGTAGACAATAAATGTTTATCAAATGAGATTTTGAAAAATTTAAATCCAGTGGAATATCCTGGAGCTTTAAAAAGAAAAAAGGACAATCTTAATACCATGCTATTGAGTGAACTCCAGAGTATCTACGACTTAATAAAACAAGAAGATGTAGAATAGTGTGTAGAATATGCCACCTTTTATCCAAGGAAGAGGGAAATGTGTGTGTATGTATGTGTATGTAAAAACACACACAGCTACAATATTTACAATTTTAAAGCAAAGACAATGAGTATAAACTGAAAGCTAATGAAAATGATTACTTATGAAGGAGGGTGGGAACAGGGATAGAAAACATACTTCTTTGAAAATATTTTCTTTTATAGTTTGCCTTTGGAACCACGTAAATGTTTTACATGATTATAAAAAATTAAATCACAATAAAAAACCCCCAAAAATCAAAATAAAACAATCTAAGAATATAGGAAGCTGGTGGCTAAACTGAAAAGAGACTAATTATTTTAGGTAAATTTTTCTTAAAAATCTTTTTATTTTGAAATAATTTGAGACTGAGAACATCATTGACTGTTTTGCTTTTATAAACCTAGCCACCACTTTTCCAGTAATGTAATTCTGCTCCCATGGTACCTTATCATTCTCAAACAACAACAACAACAACAACAAAAAACACCCCACTTTAATGTAGAGTTACAATAAAAAAAGATGGTCAGTGACAAGGTTCCCAAATGCTCTTAGATTTCCAATCATATGCAGATATAAGGAAGATGCCATCAGAACCTACCCATAAATGTTGCTTAAAAGATGTCTGACTTGACCATTTGAAGTAAAGAGCAGTGAAAATGTGACCCAAGAAAGACTGCTGTACAAAACCTGAAAATGGCCCCCAAAGCATTGCATCCCAGACACTTAGTACTGAAGCTGATTCCTTAATTGTCCCAGCTGCTCACCCACTTCAAAGCAGCATACTATGGTATCATAGTCTGTTTTCTGCTGTTATAACAGAAACCCACAGACTGGGAAATTTATAAACAACAGGTTTATCTGGCTCACTGTTGTGGAGGCTGAGGAGTTCAAGAGCATGGCATGAGCATCTGGTAAGGTTCGTCCCATTGCAGAAGGGCAACCAAGCACAAGACATAGAGAGAAAATGGGCCCAAGCTCATTCTTTTATCAGGAGCCCACTCCAGCAATAACTAGCCCACTCTCGCGATAACAACATAAATCCATTCATGACGGAGGATTCCTCATGACCTAATCACTTCTTTATGTATGTATGTATTTATTTATTTATTTGAGACGGAGTTTCACTCTTATCACCCAGGCTGGAGTGCAGTGGCATGATCTCAGCTCACTGCAACCTCCATCTCCCAGGTTCAAGCGATTCTCCTGCCTCAGCCTCCCAAGTAGCTGGGATTACAGGTGTCTGCCACCATGCCCAGTTAATTTTTGTATTTTTGGTAGAGATGGGTTTCACCATGTTGTCCAGGCTGGTCTCGAACTCCTGACCTCAGGTGATCCATCTGCCTCGGCTTCCCAAAGTGCCAGGATTACAGGTGTGAGCCATCGTGCCAGGCCAATCACCTCTTAAAGGATCCAGCACCCAATACTGTTACAACGGCAATTAAATTTCAACATGAGTTTTGGCAGGGACATCCAAACCATAGCACATGGTGATGATAAGCAAGGCCTTGGCAGTTTGACAAGATTGAGTTTGAATCTAGGTTTTGCCATTTACTCGACTGATATGTGAGCTTGAACAAGTCACTTAACTGTTTTCAAGCTGCAGTCCTCCTTTCTGTAAAATAGGCATAACATGGCACCTTTATAATAGGATTATAATGGGAACTGAGACACCTCTTAGCAAGGCGTCTCACATCACTGAAATGCTAAATAAATGTTAGCTTTGTTAGATAAAACTCTGTAATAGTCTGTCTCTATTTGAAAGTAATATCATTAGAATTAAGATTCTTTAAAATCACATTAAAACTCACGATAAGAGCTTCTAGGGGGGCAGTTCCAAGATGGCTGAATAGGAACAGCTCCAGTCCACAGCTCCCAGCGTGAGCGACGCAGAAGACGGGTGATTTCTGCATTTCCAACTGAGGTACCGGGTTCATCTCACTGGGGCTTGTCGGACAGTGGGTGCAGGACAGTGGGTGCAGCCCACCGAGTGTGAGCCAAAGCAGGGCGAGACATCGCCTCACCCGGGAAGTGCAAGGGTTCAGGGAATTCCCTTTCCTAGCCAAGGGAAGCTGTGACAGATGGCATCTGGAAAATCGCGTCACTCTCACCCTGATACTGCGCTCCACCCTGATACTGTGCTTTTCCAATGGTCTTAGCAAACAGCACACCAGGAGATTATATCCTGTGCCTGGCTCAGAGGGTCCCACACCCACGGAGCCTCACTCCTTGCTAGCACAGCAGTCTGAGATCGAACTGCAAGGCGGCAGCAAGGCTGGGGGAGGGGTGCCCGCCATTGCTGAGGCTTAAGTAGGTAAACAAAGCGGCCAGGAAGCTCAAACTGGGTGGAGCCCACCGCAGCTCAAGGAGGCCTTCCTGCCTCTGTAGACTCCACCTCTGGGGGCAGGGTATAGACAAACGAAAGGCAGCAGAAACCTCTGCAGACTTAAATGTCCCTGACTGACAGCCTGGAAGACAGTAGTGGTTCTCCCAGCATGGAGTTTTAGATCTGAGAACGGACAGACTGCCTCCTCAAGTGGGTCCCTGACCCCCAAGTAGCCTAACTGGGAGGCACCCCCCGGCAAGGGCAGACTGACATCTCACATGGCTGGGTACCCCTCTGAGACGAAGCTTCCAGAGGAACGATCAGGCAGCAACATTTGCTGTTCAGCAATATTCGCTGTTCTGCAGCCTCCGCAGCTGATACTCAGGCAAACAGGATCTGGAGTGGACCTCCAGCAAACTCCAACAGACCTGCAGCTGAGGGTCCTGACTGTTAGAAGGAAAACTAACAAACAGAAAGGACATCCACACCAAAACCCCATCTGTACGTCACCATGATCAAAGACCAAAGGTAGATAAAACCACAAAGATAGGGAAAAAACAGAGCAGAAAAGCTGAAAATTCTAAAAATCAGAGTGCCTCTCCCCCTCCAAAGGAACGCAGCTCCTTGCCAGCAACGGAACAAAGCTGGACAGAGAATGACTTTGACGAGTTGAGAGAAGAAGGCTTCGGATGATTAAACTTCTCTGAGCTAAAGGAGGAAGTTTGAACCCATCGCAAAGAAGCTAAAAACCTTGAAAAAAGATGAGACGAATGGCTAACTAGAATAACTAATGTAGAAAAGTCCTTAAATGACCTGATGGAGCTGAAAATCATGGCACGAGAACTACGTGACAAATGCACAAGCTTCAGTAGCCGATTTGATCAACTGGAAGAAAGGGTATCAGTGACTGAAGATCAAATGAATGAAATGAAGCGAGAAGAGAAGTTTAGAGAAAAAAGAGTAAAAAGAAACGAACAAAGCCTTCAAGAAATATGGGACTATGTGAAAAGACCAAATCTACGTCTGATTGGTGTACCTGAAAGTGATGGGGAGAGTGGAACCAAGTTGGAAAACACTCTGCAGGATATTATCCAGGAGAACTTCCCCAACCTAGCAAGGCAGGCCAACATTCAAATTCAGGAAATACAGAGACCACCACAAAGATACTCCTCGCGAAGAGCAACTCCAAGATACATAACTGTCAGATTCACCAAAGTTGAAGGAAAAAATGCTAAGGGCAGCCAGAGAGAAAGGTCAGGTTACCCACAAAGGGAAGCCCATCAGACTAGCAGCAGATCTCTCAGCAGAAACTCTACAAGCCAGAAGAGAGTGGGGGCCAATATTCAACATTCTTAAAGAAAAGAATTTTCAACCCGGAATTTCATATCCAGCCAAACTAAGCTTCATAAGTGAAAGAGAAATAAAATCCTTTGCAGACAAGCAAATGCTGAGAGATTTTGTCACCACCAGGCCTGCCCTACAAGAGCTCCTGAAGGAAGCACTAAATATAGAAAGGAAAAACTGATACCAGCCACTGCAAAAACATGCCAAATTGTAAAGACCATCGATGCTAGGAAGAAATTGCAGCAACTAACAAGCAAAATAACCAGCTAACATCATAATGACAGGATCATTCATTCATAACAATATTAACCTTAAATGTAAATGGGCTAAACGCTCCAATTAAAAGACACAGACTGGCAAATTGGATAAAGAGTCAAGACCCATCAGTGTGCTGTATTCAGGAGACACATCTCACGTGCAGAGACACACATAGGCTCAAAATAAAGGATGGAGGAAGATCTACCAAGCAAATGGAAAACAAAAAAAGGCAGGGGTTGCAATCCTAGTCTCTGATAAAACAGACTTTAAACCAACAAAGATCAAAAGAGACAAAGAAGGCCATTACATAATGGTAAAGGGATCAATTCAACAAGAAGAGCTAACTACCCTAAATATATATGCACCCAATACAGGAGCACCCAGATTCATAAAGCAAGTCCTTAGAGACCTACAAAGAGACTTAGACTCCCACACAATAATAATGGGAGACTTTAACACCCCACTGTCAACATTAGACAGATAAACGAGACAGAAAGTTAACAAGGATATCCAGGAATTGAACTCAGCTCTGCACCAAGCGGACCTAGTAGACATCTACAGAACTCTCCACCCCAAATCAACAGAATATACATTCTTCTCAGCACCACATTGCATTTATTCCAAAACTGACCACATAGTTGGAAGGGGAAGTAAACCACTTCTCAGCAAATGTAAAAGAACAGAAATTATAACAAACTGTCTCTCAGACCACAGTGCAATCAAACTAGAATTCAGGATTAAGAAACTCACTCAAAACCGCTCAACTACACGGAAACTGAACAACCTGCTCCTGAATGACTACTGGGTACATAACGAAATGAAGGCAGAAATAAAGATGTTCTTTGAAACCAATGAGAACAAAGACACAACATACCAGAATCTCTGGGACACATTTAAAGTAGTGTGTAGAGGGAAATTTATAGCACTAAATGCCCACAAGAGAAAGCAGGAGAGATCTAAAATTGACACCCTAATATCACAATTAAAAGAACTAGAGAAGTAAGAGCAAACACATTCAAAAGCTAGCAGAAGGCAAAAAATAACTAAGATCAGAGCAGAACTAAAGGAAATAGAGACATAAAAAACCCTTCAAAAAATCAATGAATCCAGGAGCTGGTTTTTTGAAAAGATCAACAAAATTGATACACTGCTAGCAAGACTAATAAAGAAGAAAAGAGAGAAGAATCAAATAGACGCAATAAAAAATGATAAAGGGGATATCACCACCAATCCCACAGAAATACAAACTACCATCAGAGAATACTATAAACACCTCTATGCAAATAAACTAGAGAATCTAGAAGAAATGGATAAATTCCTGGACACATACACCCTCCCAAGACTAAACCAGGAAGAAGTTGAATCCCTGAATAGACCAATAACAGGCTCTGAAATTGAGGCAATAATTAATAGCCTACCAACCAAAAAAAGTCCAGGACCCGACAGATTCACAGCCGAATTCTACCAGAGGTACAAGGAGGAACTGGTACCATTTCTTCTGAAACTATTCCAATCAATAGAAAAAGAGGAAATCCTTCCTAACTCATTTTATGAGGCCAGCATCATCCTGATACCAAAGGCTGGCAGAGGCACAACAAAAAAAAGGGAATTCTAGACCAATATCCCTGATGAACATCGATGCAAAAATCCTCAATAAAATGCTGGCAAACCGAATCCAGCAGCACATCAAAAAGCTTATCCACCATGATCAAGTGGGCTTCATCCCTGGGATGCAAGGCTGGTTCAACATATCCAAATCAATAAATGTAATCCATCATATAAACAGAACCAAAGACAAAAACCACATGATTATCTCAATAGATGCAGAAAAGGCCTTTGACAAAATTCAACAGCCCTTCATGCTAAAAACTCTCAATAAATTAGGTATTGATGGGACGTATCTCAAAATAATAAGAGCTATCTATGACAAACCCACAGCCAATATCATACTGAATGGGCAAAAACTGGAAGCATTCCCTGTGAAAACTGGCACAAGACAGGGATGCCCTCTCTCACCACACCTATTCAACATAGTGTTGGAAGTTCTGGCCAGGGTAATCAGGCAGGAGAAAGAAATAAAGGGTAACCAATTAGGAAAAGAGGAAGTCAAATTGTCCCTGTTTGCAGATGACATGATTGTATGTTTAGAAAACCCCACTGTCTCAGCCCAAAATCTCCTTAAGCTGATAAGCAACTTCAGCAAAGTCTCAGGATACAAAATCAATGTGCAAAAATCACAAGCATTCTTATACACCAATAACAGACAAACAGAGAGCCAAATCATGAGTGAACTCCCATTCACAATTACTTCAAAGAGAATAAAATACCTAGGAATCCAACTTACAAAGGATGTGAAGGACCTCTTCAAGGAGAACTACAAACCACTGCTCAAGGAAATAAAAGAGGACACAAACAAATGGAAGAACATTCCATGCTCATGGATAGGAAGAATCAATATCGTGAAAATGGCCATACTGCCCAAGGTAATTTATAGATTCAATGGCATCCCCATCAAGCTACCAATGACTTTCTTCACGAAATTGGAAAAAACTACTTTAAAGTTCATATGGAACCAAAAAAGAGCCCGTATTGCCAAGTCAAACCTAAGCAAAAAGAACAAAGCTGGAGGCATCACACTACCTGACTTCAAGCTATAATACAAGGCTACAGTAACCAAAACAGCAAGGTACTGGCACCAAAACAGAGATATAGACCAATGGAACAGAACAGAGCCCTCAGAAATAATACCACACATCTACAACCATCTGATCTTTGACAAACCTGACAAAAACAAGAAATAGGGAAAGTATTCCCTATTTAATAAATGGTGCTGGGAAAACTGGCTAGCCATATGTAGAAAGCTGAAACTGGATCCCTTCCTTACACCTTATATAAAAATTAATTCAAGGTGGATTAAAGACTTAAATATTAGACCTAAAACCATAAAAACCCTAGAAGAAAACCTAGGCAATACCATTCAGGACATAGGCATGGGCAAGGACTTCATGTCCAAAACACCAAAAGCCATGGCAACAAATGCCAAAATTGACAAATGGGATCTAATTAAACTAAAGAGCTTCTGCACAGCAAAAGAAACTACCATCAGAGTGAACAGGCAACCTACAGAATGGGAGAAAATTTTTGCAATCTACTCATCTGACAAAGGGCTAATATCCAGAATCTACAAATAACTCAAACAAATTTACAAGAAAAAAACAAACAACCCCATCAAAAAGTGGGTGAAGGATATGAACAGACACTCCTCAAAAGAAGACATTTATGCAGCCAAAAGACACATGAAAAAATGCTCATCATCACTGGCCATCAGAGAAATGCAAATCAAAACCACAATGAGATACCATCTCACACCAGTTAGAATGGCAATCATTAAAATGTCAGCAAACAACAGGTGCTGGAGAGGATGTGGAGAAATAGGAACACTTTTACACTGTTGGTGGGAGTGTAAACTAGTTCAACCATTGTGGAAGTCAGTGTGGCGATTCCTCAAGGATCTAGAACTAGAAATACCATTTGACCCAACCATCCCATTACTGGGTATATACCTAAAGGATTAAACATCATGCTGCTATAAAGACACATGCACAAGTATGTTTATTGCGGCACTATTCACAATAGCAAAGACTTGGAACCAACCCAAATGTCCATCCATGATAGACTGGATTAAGAAAATGTGACACATATACACCATGGAATACTATGCAGCCATAAAAAATGATGAGTTCATGTCCTTTGTAGGGACATGGATGAAGCTGGAAACCATCATTCTCAGCAAACTATCGCAAGGACAAAAAACCAAACACTGCATGTTCTCTCATAGGTGGGAATTCAACAATGAAAACACTTGGACACAGGGTGGGGAACATCACACACCGGGGCCTGTCGTTGGGTGGAGGGAGGGGGGAGGGATAGCATTAGGAGATATACCTAATGTAAATGACGAGTTAATGGGTGCAGCACACCAACATGGCACATGTATACATATGTTACAAACCTGCACGTTGTGCACATGTACCCTAGAACTTAAAGTATAATAATAAAAAAAAAGAAATGCAAATAAAGATTTTGAAGGGAAAAAAAGAGCTTCTAATCATGCAAATTTAATTGGAATAGGACTTTCTTTACCCACTGAACTAGAAAATTGAATAAGATGTATGAAACAAATATTATCAGGCACTGAGACAATAGGCAGTAAAAGATTGTGATTCCTATGGAAAGGGAAATGAATGGAATGAGTACCAAATGAGAGCCTGGCTTCTTCCTGGAAGCAATTTCCAGTATGCAGCACAGGGAGGGGAAGCAAAGCAGTGCATGCAGTGTCACTGAGTAGAGAAAACAGAGATTATGGTTTGGGGAGGATGAGGGAGATGGAATGTTCAGGAGAGGGTACTGAAAAGAAGGGACTGAGGTATAAAAAAAGTCCCAACAATACTTTAATAATAATTTGTCCTTGCATAACTTGAAACTCCATGAGGCTGGTCAAAAAGAGCAGGGAGATACTGCAGTTCTAACCAGACACAGTAGAGAGACCTCACTGAAATGCTAAGGATAATTCACACCTAAGTAGTGGAGCTAAATTTGGCACTAAAATAATGGCTATTCTAGATATAGTCTAATGAAGAAAGCAGCAAATTGTAAAATATAACCAAAAGAAAAACTAGTCAATACAAATAGACCTATAAATGATAGCTATGTAGGCATTACAAGGCAGGAATTTCAAAATAGCTTATGAATATGCTCAAAGATTTAAAAGAAAGCATGGACATAATGAGAAAAGAAATACAAAAAAATAAATAGGAACAAAATGGAGCTTCTAGAATTAAAAAAATATATTATCTCAAATGAAAAAGTCACTGGATGAACTAAACAGATTAGACAATGCATGAAAAGTATAAAATTAAAATACAGAAGCTTAATGACATGTGGGACAATATAAAGGGGTCTAACATACATGTAACTGGAGCCCTTCAAAGGAGAGAAGAGACAAATGGAGAAGAAAAATACCCTAAAGAAATAAAGCCCAAAAAATTTTCAAATGTTATGTAAACTATAAGCCCATAGATATAAGAAGCTCAAAGAATCTCAAGCAAATTAAAATACAAATAAAAAAAGGCACTAAGGCAGATTATCAACAAATTGCATAAAACCAGTGATAAAAACAAAGTTTTTTTTTGAGACAGGATCTGGCACTGTTGCCCAGTATGGAGTGCAGTGGTGTAATCTCGGCTCACTGCAACCTCCGCCTCCCACACTCAAATGATCCTCCCACCTCAACT
Organism: Homo sapiens; assembly: GCF_000001405.40. NCBI lineage: Eukaryota > Metazoa > Chordata > Mammalia > Primates > Hominidae > Homo > Homo sapiens. Next base: position 41,815,982 of record NC_000023.11, read on the forward strand.
TCCCAGGTAGCTGGGATTACAGGTACACACCACCATGCCTGGCTTATTTTTGTATTTTTGTAGAGACAGGGTTTTGCCATGTTGCCCAGGCTAGTCTTGAGCTCAAGTGATCCACCCACCTCGTCCTCCCAAACTGCTGGGATTAAAGGCATGAGCCACTGTGCCCAGCTAAAAAAACAAAATTTTTTAATTCAGAAAAAAGGATACACTGCATAAAGGAAGAACAAAGAAAAAAGATCAGTTCATGATAATAACACAGTCAACTCATCAAGAGGACATAATAATCCTAAATGTATAAGTATCTAATAACAGAACTTCAAAATACATAAAAGACAAAAGTGATAAAAGTATATGAACAGACAAATCCAAAATTATAATTGATAAAACAAGTAGGCAGAAAATGAATGAGGATATAGAAAAGTTGAACAATACTATTAACTAACTTGATCTTAGTCTCCAACTTAATAAACTAGAAGATGAGAAAATTAAAGCAAAATAAGCCCATGAAAGGAAAACATAAAGACCAAAGTTGAAATAAATAGAATAGGAAAAAGTAAATCAACAGAAAACATAAATGAAACAAAAAATGGGTTCTTGAAATAGATCAATGAATTGATAAACCTCTAGCCAGGCTGCTCAGAAAAAAAAAAAGAGAGAAAACACATGAACTAATAATGTTAAGGATAAAGAAAGGTAACATCACTAAAGGTTTTACAGATATACTAAGAATAATGAATGTTACAAACAACTCCATGCCAATAAATTTACCCACTTAGGTAAAACAGACAAATTTCATGAAAGAAACAACCAAACCTCACTTAAGACGAAATAAACTGAATATTCCTATAACTATAAAAAATAGAATTTTTAGTTAAAAATCGTCCTTCAAAGAAAACTTCAGGCCAAGATGAACTCTACCAAACATGAAGAAATAATACCACATCTACACAAACCTTTCCCCCAAAATTGAAAAGGAACACTTTCTAATTCACTCTATGAGCTCAGCATTACCTTGATATCAAAACCAGTTAAAGACTATTATAACAAAAGAAAACTAGAGGCCAATATGCAGTTTTTAGAATACAGGTTGGTTGATCACTACAAAATTAATCAATATAATTCATGATGTCAATAAACTAAAAAGGTCATCTCAATAAATGCAGAAAAAGCATTTGACAAAATCCAACATCCATTCCTACTGAAAATTCTCAGCAAACTTGGAATAGAAAGAAACTTCTTCAACCTCAAAAAGGTCATCCACAAAAACCTACAGCTAATATTAATACTTAATGGTAAACAATCTAATGTTTTTTCTCTAAGGAATAAGAAAACATTTGCTGTCATGACTTCTATTCAACATTATACTGGAGGAGACATCTAGCCAGTCAGTGCAATAAGGCCAGAAAACCAAACAAGAGGAATCCAGATTGGAAAGGAAGATGTAATTAATGCTGATTGTATTCAAGATGACATAACTGACATATAATCATCCATGGAGAAAATCAGAGAGAGTCTACAAAAAAGCTATTAGAACTACAGGTTGAATATCTCTTATCCAAAGTCCTTGGGACCAGAAGTGTTTTGGATTTAGGTATTAGCTATGGAATATTCCAGTTGTGATGTCATATAGGCACTCAAAAAGTTTCAGGTTTTGGAGCATTCTGAATTTTTGGACTAGAGAGCTCAATGTGTTCTGAGTTTTGTAAGACTGTAGAATACAAGACTGATATACAATTGTATATCAGTTGTATTTATATATTCCAGAAGTTAAAAAAAGGATATTGAAACTAGAAAAATTTTGTAATAGCATCAAATATATGAAATACAGAGAAAAATTCTTACAAAACGTTGAAAAAACATTTATACTAAAAACTATAAAATGCTGCTGAGAGATATATGAGAGATACAAATAAAAGAATGATATTGGGTTGATGGGTTGGAAGACTCAGTATCATTAATATGTCAGTTCTCCCCCAAATTATTCTACATATAGGCCATACTTACTTTGCACAGTGCTAGTACTGTGTTAACTGAAACATGAATATTGGAACTGTGCATGGTGAGGCCTTGGTTTCAATATGCACGTTTCATTTAACATAGTGCCATGCAAGGTGAGGACTACCTGTATTCAACATAATCCCAATAAAAATCCCAGGAGGCCTTCTGTGTGTGTGTGTGTGTGTGTGTGTGTGTGTGTGTGTGTGTGTGTGTGTTTGCTGAAATGGACAAACTAATTCTAAAATTCATACGAAAAGGACCTAGAAAAGTGCAAACAATTTTGATAAAGTAGAACAAAGTTGGGACACTGACACCTGATTTCAAGACGTATAAAACTACAGGGCTGGGTGCAGTGGCTCACACTTGTAATCCCAGCACTTTGGGAGGCTGAGGTGGGTGGATTGTTTGAGCCCAGGAGTTCAAGACCAGCCTGGGCAACATGGTGAAATCCCATCTCTACAAAACATACAAAAATTGGCCAGGTGTGATGGTGCACGCCTGTAGTTCCAGCTACTCGGGAGGCTGAGGTGGGAGGATTGATTGAACCCGAGGGGTCAAGGTTACAGTGAGCTGAGATCACCCCACTGCACTCCAGCCTGGGCAACAGAGAGATACCCTGTCTCTATTTTTTAAAAAATCCAAAGACACATAAAATTACAGTAATCAAGATAGTGTGGTATTACCCTAAAGACAGATCAATAAGTCTATGAAACAATATAGAGTTTTGAAACATACCCACACAGGTATGTACAATCAAATTTTAACAAAATTGCAAGGGGAAATTCAATGGAGAAAAGATAATCTTTTCAACAAATGATGCTGGAACAACTATATATATGGAAAAAAAAGACAAGACCAAAAAAAAAGACAACTTGTATCCAGACTTCAGAAAATATCTAAAAATTAACTCAAAATGGACCAAAGACCTAAATGTAAAACCTAAAACTATTAAATTTCTATTAAAAAAAAGGAGAAAAGCTTTCCAACCTTGGATTAGGCAAAGATTTCTTAGAAGGAGCACCAAAAGTACAATTCATAAAACAATACGTCGACAAATTGGACTTTATTAAAACAGTGATAGAAATTACCCAGAAAATGAACAAACAATAAAGTTAATGATACCAAAAGCTTGTTCAATGTATGATCAATGAAAATAATAAACCTCTAGCTAAAAATGATAAACTGGAGTTTGTCAATATTAAGAACTTCTGCTCTTTGAAAGATTCCATTGGAAAGATTTTAATGATCAAGGAAAATGAGAGAAGACAAAAGTTATCAATATCAGCAATGAAAGGGGAGACATCAGTACAGATATGTCAGACAAGAAAATTATAAGAAATATAATAAAGATATACCAATATATCCAACAAATAAAATGAAACTGACAAATTCCTTGAAATACTCAAATTACAAGTACTATCACAAGAAAAAATAGAAAATCTGAATAGCCCTAAATTTATTACAGAAATTACATGTATAATTTAAAATAACCCCACAAAGAAAATCCCAAGCCCAGGAGATAGTGACACTGGTGAATTCCACAATACACTAAGAAAAAGTAATAGCAATCCAATACAAACATTTTGAGAAAATAATGAGCTAATTATATGAGACCAGTAAACCTGACTCTACTGATACCTAAGCCAGTAGAAACTTTAAAAAGAAAACTAGAAAGCAATAACCATCATAACCACTGATGCAAAAATCTTGTAAAATATTAGTATTTTTACCACATGGGTATATAAAAAATTTAATAAACCATGACCAAGTAGGGTTTATCCCAGGAATGCAAGGTTACTTTAGCATTCAAAATTCAATCAATGTAAGTAACAGAATAAAGGAGAACTATACAAAAACTCAACTCAGAAAAAAAGCATTCTAAGAAATTCAACACTTATCCATAATAAAAATTCAACAAATTAGGACGATAAAACAAATTCTTGAATCTAATAAAGGGCATTTAAGAAAAACCTGCAGACAATACCTAATGGTAAGAGACTGGTTTGCTCCCTAAGATTATTGAATTGTATGTCCTAGCTAGGGCATCAAGGTAAGAAGAAACAAAAGTCATACAGAATGGAAAGAAATAAAATAACACAATTGTTCAAATAGAAAATCTTAAGGATTTTTTTTAAAGCCACTAGAATAAGTGAAATTAGCAAGGTTGCCAAATATGAGATCAATATAAGATCACTGAATTGAATGTCCTAGCTAGGGCATAAAGGTAAGAAAAAGAAATAAAAGGGATACAGAATGGACAGAAATAAAATAACACAATTGTTCAAATAGAAAATCTTAAGGATTTTTTTAAGCCACTAGAATAAGTAAATTTAGCAAGGTTGCCAAATATGAGATCAATATACAAGAATCAACTGTATTTCTATATACTATCAATAATCATTAAATTAAAAATTTTAACATAATACTATTCACCATAGCATCAAAAACATGAGGCCCTAACAATAAATGTAATGAAATATGAATAAAATATCTACTCTTAAAACTACAAAGATATTTTCTGGGAGAATGTAAAAAAATCTACATAAATGGAGTAGTGTTCATGGATTGGAGGACTCAATATGGTTAAGATTTCCATTCTCCCCAAATTAATATATAGATTAAAAGTAACACCAATCAAAATCTCATGCTTCATTGCAGAAATTCACAAATTTACTCTAAATTGTTTATGAAAATTTAAGTAGCTAGAATAGCCTAAACACAAAATCCTAATTGTAGGATTTTGGCTACTGGATTTTAAGACTTAATATAGAATAATCTAGACAGTGTGAATCTGATATAAGGATAGACATACAGATCAGAATAGAAAGTGCAGAAAATAGACCAACACATTATTTTTGATAAAGGTGCTAAAATAACTCAATAGGGTTATTTCAACAAATAGTGCTGGAGCGAATGGCTACCCATGAATCTCAACCCTTACACTTCATACGATATACAACTCTTATGCTAAAGTGCATCATAAACGTAGCCAAAACTACAATTATACAAGAAAATATAAAGAAAATTTTCACAAATTTGACGTAGGTGAAATTTTCTTAGGTCACAAAAATCAGGAACCATGAAGGAAAAAAACTGTAAACTGGACTTCATCAAAATGAAAAACTTCTACTCTTTTAAAGATTCCATTAAGAATATAAAAGGGAAAGTTACAAACTGGGAAAACATATTTGCAATATGTATATTTGACCAAGGAAGTGTATCCAGAATATACAAAGAACTCCTACAACTTAATACAAAAGACACACACCTCAATGAAAAATAGACATCGGTGTAAGATCTGAAGATATACTTCAACAAAGATATATGAATGGCCAATAAGTGCAACATTTTTAGTCATAAGGTAAATGCAAATGAAAACCACAAGAAATATCATGACATACCCACCAGAATGGCTAAAATTAAAAAGGATGGCAATACCAAGTATTGGCAAGGATGTGGAAAAGCTGTAACTCTCATACATTACTGGTAATAACATAAAATAGTGCAACCACTATGGAAAATAGTTTGGCAGTTTCTTAATGACCTAGCAACTGCACTCTTGCATTTATGTGAGAGAAGTGACAATATGTCCAACTCAAAAGATTTACATTCAAACATTCAAAGCGGCTTTACTCAGCCCCAAAGTGGAAACAACATATATTTCTAAGAACAAGAAAATGGATTTAAAAACTTTGCTATATGCATGAAATGGAACATTACTAACCAATTTAAAAAGTACTAATACAACAGACATGGGGATGAATCTCAATACCATTATTCTGAGCAAAAGGATGTCTCTCTCAATATTTGCCCTTGGAACTCAGCTGCCATGCTATGAGGAAGCCTTTTCACAGAGAGAAGTCACATGAAGTGTAAGCCAAAGTTCCCAGGTAAAGTCTCTCAGTCAACAGCCAGCATCAATGGCCAGATGTGAGTTAGTGAGCCTTTAGAAGATTCCTGCCCTAGCCCTCGAGTCTTCTGACTCACACCCCAGATTTGCCCTGTCTAAACTGCAGAGCCCCAGAAGCTGTGAGTATATTAAATAGTTGCTTTATGACACTAAGTTTTGGGGTAATTTGTTATGCAGCCACAGTACCTTGAGCACCATGTGGTGAAGCAAAATATTCTAATCAAAACTGGCTATTGTAACATTAAATTAAAATTAGAGCAGGCACTGACTTGTTTCTTTGTGCCAGAATGGCATCTCTAATGTGTTGTATTGCACCTTCTTATTTCTTGAAATATCACTTCATATTAAATATTTGTTGAGCATTTACTATGTGTAAAAATTCAGGTGGCCAGGCGTGGTGGCTCACATCTATAATCCTAGCACTTTGGGAGGCCGAGGCGGGCGGACTGCCTGAGCTCAAGAGTTCAAGACCAGACTGGGCAACATGGTGAAACCCCGTCTCTACTAAAACACAAAAGATTAGCTGGGCGTGGTGGTGTGCACCTGTAGTCCCAGCTACTTGGGAGGCTGAGGCAGGAGAATCGCTTGAACCTGGGAGGCGGAGGTTGCAGTGAGTGGAGATGGCGCCACTGCACTCCAGCCTGGGCGACAGAGTGAGACTCCGTCTCAAAAAAAAAAAAAAAAAAAAAAAAAGAAAAAAGAAAGAAAGAAAAATGCAGGCTTGCTTAGAAGTTAGGTAACTTTCACAAGGTCAAAATAAATAAATGGCAGGATCATTATTTGAACCCAAGTCTCCTGAAATTAACTTCCTTTTCTTACTTACCATACTATTGTCCCTCTTACGGTGATGTCGTGAAAACTATTGTGACTGGTGAGGAGACTGACCAACTAGAATATGTTTGATGCACCTCTAAAATCTTCCTCCCCATCCAGCTCCATGGTCTTTTCTCTTGCTATTACTATTACTTTCATCTCTCTTGATTCCTTTGTCCATCATGTCTGCTGTGTGTAATACTTCTCACTCTAGCACAATCTACCCATACAATTTTCCTTTCCTCAATTGTAGGCTACTTAGTGTTGCTGAGAGAAATCATATCTGCATGTTGATAAGCGCTGCTACAAATTCCTTGCATTTAGCCTCAGCGGGGGTGGGGGGAGGGGCCTTGAGGCAGCCTAGCAATGTCTCTTATCTCTCTTAACCTGCTATTACTAACTCTCTTATCTCTCTACTCTCTACCACCATGCCTACTCTCAGCAGGTGGCTCTGCCTCCCACCTGCTGAAAATCAGGCCATCAGCTGAGGGACATCCTCTGGTTCCTTCTCCTGCCTGCAGGCCTAGCTCTATCAGTACCTTGACTTTCTTTTGGTCTTGATGGAAGAGGGGCCCACCCTCCACCTGCTGCCTATCGAAGATCTCAGTCCATCAGTGCACCCTTTTCTTTCCTCTTAGCTCTCTCTTCTGGCAAAAAAGGAAAAAAAAAAAAAGATACTGGAATCCTTCCCATTTTAATCGCTACCCCTGCCTCCACATGCCCCTGCATCTATGACTGTTTCTCTCTCCTCTTCTCAGTCTAGCCATTTGAAAATTATCCTATATTTATTTTCCCTGCTTCCTCACTCCCCATTCCTTCCTCTGCCTACTACAATCTTGTTTTTGTCCCCAGTGCAATACCGAAATTGCTCTGGCCAAAGTTCACACTGGTTTCCATGTTGCCAAATTCCATAGACATTACAGTTGTTCCCTCATTTGGCTTCTTTATAGCATTTGACAACACAGAAAATCTTTTTGATCTCAGCGTCTATGACAGCATTCTCTGATAATAATTCTTGTACTTCTCTTTCCCCCTCCTGGTTTCCTCTGTCTCTTTCCATCCTTTCTTTAAATTTAGGTGTTCGTCAGGATCATTCCTCATGACCATTTTTCATGACCAAAAATGGTTCCTCATGATCATTTTTTTTCATTGTGGCCTCTTAATATACTTTCTTTAAGCAATCACAGGTATTTCCGAAGTTTCGTCTATTACCAAAACGATGAAGATTTTCAAATCTTTTCTCTTTTGTTCAGATTGTGGTCCTAAATTTTAGACTAAAATATTTAACTGATCAACATTTATATTTCAAAAGTTACTGAGATGCAAGATGTCAAAAACTCATTTATTCTCCCTGACCCTTTGATAGTATCCATTTGAATAAAATAAGTAGCACCACTATCCAACTAGTCATATGAAGCAAAAACGTGGGCATTTCCTTCCTTAAGCCCTATACCACTAAGTTGTATTGAATGAATCTCCTTAAAGGAGGGGGAAAAAAAAGCAAAATGAAATAAAATCATTGCCAAGTATAATGAATGAGGTTGCTTGATACATGTCATCAAAACTATACTCACTGTCATATACACAATCTCTCCACTCCTCATGCCACTTATCAATCTATTGTCTGTCAGCTCCAAATCCACACTTCATTGCCTGCTCTGCACTACTGGAGATTGACTGTGAATATTTTTCCAACTGGCACAACATTAAGCTTTGTCCACTAAGGGCACTGGAGGGGCACTGGAGGAGAAAGGGTTCTGTTGTCCCAGTTCCAGTGTTTTTCTCATCAGGCTCCTGCAGTGTGTGCAGTTTATCTGCAGTGCACAGTGGCCAGCAGCATGCATCTTTCCATGTGCAGCTTCTCTTGGAACCCCCTTCAGGTGCCTTTACAGCAGAGCGCTGCTGGCAAGGTACTCTCCTTGTTACTGGCTTCCTCCAGCAGCCCCTCAGTGAGCTTGCTGCATGTTCAGAGTTCTGTCCCTAAGGATGGCTTCCCCTGGACTCCAGAGGGCAGATTTCCAATGAGTCCCACTAGCATGGTGTCTCAGTGAACCTCACTGTGATCCGGTGAGTCATGGCCATATTTTCTTCAACAAGGTTCAGATCTTAGTGCTGCCAGGAGGAAGGCCAAACCTCTTCCTTGAGCATTCTATCTCAGCCGTTGGAATAGCAGCTGTTCCTTATGCCTGTATTTTTCACAGTTCTCTAACTTTTACTAGCCAATTACCCCAACCCCTTGGCAATAATTCCTTATACTAAACTTTGCATGTTCAAATTAAATTACTATTGAAAAAGACCTAGTATTCGATATTACAACAGGGTGACTACAGCAGATAATAATTTAATGGTACACTTAAAAATAACTGCAAGAGTATTTTTGGGTTTTTTGTAACATAAAGGATAAATGCTTGAGGGAACAGATACCCCATTTTACAGGATGTGATTAATACACATTGCATGCCTATATCAAAACATCTCACGTACCCCATAAATATATACTCCTACTCTGTACCAACAAAAATTTTTAAAAAGTCAAAAGAAACACATTAAATTACTGTTTGGTTTCTGTCTCCTAACTGGACCCTGTTTGATATACTACCCCACCTGTGAAAAAAATAACCAAAACTGTTATTACTGGGCTTTTAGATTAGATTATCTAAAGTGATAAAATATTCACTCTAGATACCCAGCAAATACTTTGATTGCCCCGAATCACAAAAATTAAACTGGTCACATATAGAATGAAAGGAAAGACAAATATCAGCTTCACAATTTTTGTTTCAGACTCAAACGTTTTAAAATGTATTATAAACCAAAAACAGCAAAGTATGTTTTATTTCATGAAATACTCAAAGTTAATCCATCAATATCTGCCTATTATGATGAAATCAAACTAGCTCTGCACTCAGCTCCAAGAATTTCCTTACATGACAATTTTATGATGTGTTTCAGGAGTCCTGAGCCTTGCAGTGGATACTCTACCACTGGTTAGCAGATGACCTGTCTTTTCAGATAATTTTATAGACATAAAACCTCTTACTAAAAATGAAAAGCACTTTATAGTTCAAAAGGCAATCACTACCTGTTTCCTTATATTATTATTCATTCTTAAGAGAAGAATGCCAAAACGAAATTATAAAAACAGCCTGCCTGAAATAATTTCCCTATCTTTTGATTACAAAAATATTAAAATTCTGTTTTAACAAACAGTGCCAGACTGGATTTCAAATAGTCTGTAATTGTGCAACATGGTATGTCCTTATTTTAGTCTCCTATTCACAGTGACAAATTATTCACTGCTGTCATATGTATCCTGAATTGGGACTTAATGAGGACATTGGATCCTCTGGTAGGATTTTAGTACTGCCTCGGAATGGAGTAGCATCAACTACTACAATCTCACTCAAACATTAAGGCAACAAAGTTTAAGTTTAAAATTAATTGATGTGGCAGATTAAAGATGGCCAGAAATTTTTTTGTCATCTCTCCCATCCAGAGGTGGGATCTACATCCTTTCTCCTTCCAACCAGGTGGCTCTGTGACTTCTCTAACCAATAAAATATAGTGGAAACAAAACTGTGCCAGTTTCCCTGTTAGCCTGATAGAGTATTTTCCTCAATATATTCTTAGACATTAATCAATGGTGTGTTATCACTGCGTCCTCACATGGTAGGTGGAAGGGGTGAGTCAGCACTCTGAAGTCTCTAAGGGAAAATATAAAATATTTCCCTGTCACCATACTGCTTTGGCCCTTGGTTTAGTTTTTTGTTTTGTTTTGTTTTGTTTTTGAGACAGGGTCTCACTCTGCTGCCCAGGCTGGAGTGCAGTGGTGCCATCTTGGCTCACTGCAATTCTGCCTCCTGGGTTCAAGCAATTCTCACACCTTAGCCTCCTGAGTAGCTGGGACTACAGGTCCATGCCACCATGCCTGGCTAAGTTTTGTATTTGTTGGTAAAGACAGGGCTTCACCATGTTGGTTGGCCGGGCTGGTCTCGAACTCCTGACCTCAAGTGATCTGCCCACCTCGACTTCCCAAAGTGCTGGGATTACAGGTGTGAGCCACCACGCCCAGCCAAGATTAGTTTTAAAATACCAGATTTTGTGTATGGCTAGTCTAATAATTGTCAATTTTCATTTAAGAGAAATCTTTATAAGACATAAATATCACTTTAGTGTAATTGTATCCCTTTCATTATTCTTGGCTTAATTTTAATAATTATTGACTATTTAATGGAACCCATCGTTTTCAATGTGCATTGGTGAAACTGTTATTAACTCCTCTTAACTGAAATGCTAGCAGTTTATTAAGGCAAAAAATGTTTTAAAAATACAATGTAATGCATTTACTTTAAGAGAAAGATCTAAAAGAGATACCATATAAAATTGAAATGGAAGAGGGAAGTTCATTTAGTATCTGTTAATAATCTTGGGAAAATTTTTAAGAAAAAAGTAAACATGAAAATGCCCTCAAACTAAATCTAAGTCACAGAAACATACACTAGAGAAAAGAGGGGTTCTGACTAGTAAAATAGCCATAGTTAAATACGGTAAGCCAGAACATAAAAGGGCCCTGTCTTAGTCTGTTTGGGCTGGCTATAACAAAATACCATAGACTAGGTGGTCTATAAACAACAGGAATTTATTTCTCATGGGTCTAGAAACTGGGAAGTCCAAGATCAAGGTACCAGCAGATCTGGTATCTAATGCAGGCTGCTCTCTGGTTCATAAGCGGCATCTTCTCACTGTGTCCTTACATGGTAGTGGGGGCAAGTGATCTCTCTAAGGCATCTTTTATAAGAGCACTAATCCCATTCACGAGGGCAGAGCCCTTCCAAAGGCGCCATCTTCTAATACCATCACCTCGACAATTAGGATTCAACATATAAATTTGGGGTGGGGGACATAAACATTCAGACCATAGCAGGCCCATACTTCCTAAATTAGCAGTCTTCAATAAGCATCTCAGACTAATGAGTAGAAAATTTATTTTATCAGCCACCCTGCTGACAGAGTTTAGAAAAGATGGTAACTTCCTTGAACATGTTTGGTTTTTTATTTAAAGGTTTTTTTGGACATTTGTTTTAACACTATTAAAAGAAGAAAAATGTATGTCTTGTCAGAGTACAGAAAATCTACTCTCCTGTAGCTTTATTTAGGAAAAAAGTAAGAGGAAGACAAAATAATTAAGATAAACAAATGGAAATTGTAGAGAATGGATTGAGGTAGGCAAGATAAAGATAACTCCAGAATTAGTAGAGGATATATCACAACAGAGAACAGGAAAATTACTGACCACCTACAGTGTGCTAAGCACTAAGCTGAGATGCTTCACAGATATCATCACCCTTAATCCCTGCACCAGCCCCATGAGGACAGTATCATTCTCCTCATTTGACAACTAGGAAAGCTGAGGTTTATGGAACTACTTAAGGTCACATTGTACAGGACAGATTTGGAATGTCTGGCATGTCTGACTCCAACTCTTCTCATGATTTTCCCACTTTGATGGATCTGTAAGAAAAGCTGTAAACCCTTTAACTATCATCCACTTAGTACTTAAATTTTCTTTGGATTTTATAAGAACTCAACAGGACAGCATTGTTCTTAGTCTCGTGCAAGAGATGGGTATTTTCAAACGACATGAGGGGAGAGGATCATACTAAAAAGACAAAAGGTTCATTTCCAAAGCTCAGTAAAAAAAATCACTGAATGAACAAAAGTGGGGATCCAGGAGAAACTTGGTAGTATTTTCATTCATATATTAAAACTGTTAAAAAAATACTACACATTATAGAGACAAATTGGTGAAGCTCCTCAGAAACCTGGCATTGCTTACTGACTTTACACTTAAAAATGGGTAATTTGGCAATCATTCCTCAATCAGTAGTCTTAAAAATCCCCTGGCAGTTATTTCTGAAGAGTAAACAAAATAGATAAAATCTACTATACTGATGGGGAGGAAATTTAAGCTACCCAAGAGAAAGCCAAACACCACAGACAACACAAGGCCAGTTCAAATAGACTAGTGGAATTTTCTCCCAAACGCTTTAGAAATGGCACTTACGTTGTAACTTTAGATACATTTTGCACCAATGCCTTCTGTCATTATTTTTAAAGTAACCAATAAGGATAACAAAGCAGATTCACCTGTACATGGAGTCACTCTGTCTCTTTAGCATTTACTACTGAGGAAGAGAATCTTATGTCTGGATTATTAGATTTAAAGATATCTATGTTTTCTTTCTATTTTTACATATCCCAGTACTTAGCATTTGGCACAGAACAGGTATGTCATCACCCTTTTCTCCCCAAGACTGAATGAATACTTTTGTGAACAAGTCAGATCCCCATTATGCAAAATATAAATATTTAAATAGCCCAGACAGATCTTTATGCCAGACCACATGAGCTGACAAAATAAAACTGCTCCACTCTTTCCCTTCGGACAATGTATACCTATCCTTCCTACAAATATCATAAATGTACAGCTTGATGAATTTTCAGTGAACTCAACCAGCATCCAGATCAAGAAACAGAACATGACCAGCACCTCCGTAGCTCCCATCATGTCCCCTCCCATTCACTACCTTCCCCCACCGGTAACCACTACTTTGACCTCAAACTTCATATATTAGTTACACTGTTTTTGTACTTTATATAAATGGAATCATAGAGTTGGTAGTTTTTTAAGCCCGGCTTCTTTCACTTATCATTATGCTTGTGAGATTCATCTGTGTTTTTTGTGTAACAAAGTTCCATCCATTCTCATTGCTTTGTTGTGCTCCACTGTATGAATACAGTGGTATTTATTTATGTCATTCCGCCACTGTTGGACATTTGGGTTGTTTCTAATTTAGGGCTATTATGAAGAATTCTGCTAAAAGAATTCTTGTACATGTTTTTGTTTTTTTTTTTTTTGGGGGGGTGGGGGTGAACATATGTTAAGACATTGCTGTTGGGTATATACCCAGGGATGCAAATGCTAGGTCACAAGATATATATATATATATATATATATATATATATATATATATATATATATATATATATATATGTCAGCTTTGGTAGATATTCCCAAACAGTTTATCAAAGTGGTTAAACTAATTTGCATCCCTATTAGCAGTAAGAGTTCTGGTGGCTCTTCATTCTCACTGCCACTTTACAACTGTCATTTTCATTTTTTAGCCATCCTGTTAGGAATGCAGTGGTATCTGGTTTTAATTTGCATTTCTCTGATGACTAATGGAGTTGTGCCTTGTTTACTGCTCATGTGGATACATTTTTTTTCTGAAATATCTTTTTTTTTGTTTTGTTTTGAGACAGGGTCTCACTCTGTTGCCCAGGCTGAGTGCAGTGGTGCAATCACGGCTCACTGCAGCCTCAGCCTCCCAGGCTCAAGCAATCCTCCCACCTTACCCTCCCAAGCAGCTAGGACTACAGGCACACATCACCATGCCTGGCTAATTTTTTTATTTTTTGTAGAGATCGGGTCTCACTATGTTGCCCAGGCTGGTCTTGAACTCCTGGACGCAAATGATCCTCCTGCCTCGGCCTCCCAAAGTGTTGGAATTAAAGATATGAGCCACTGTGCCCAGCCTCTGAAATACCTTTCAAGTCTTTTGTCCATCTCTGAGACTTCCTAATCTGTCTCTGGGATCACTGCAGAATTTACTTTGAGGATACCTAAACATCTTCCTCATAGTTTGAGAAGGGTCACCATCTACTACCATAACTAATTATATGACCTCATTATATTAATAGCAAGCTGTACAACAAGCGTGTACAATAAAGTAGTTTGGATAAACTAGCGTGCCAGCCAGGTAAGAAGTGATAGATGGCCGGGTGCGGTGGCTCACGCCTGTAATCCCAGCACTTTGGGAGGCCAAGGTGGGCGGATCATGAAGTCAGTAGATCGAGACCATCCTGGCTAACTCGGTGAAACCCCGTCTCTACTAAAAATACAAAAAATTAGCCGGGCGTGGTGGCGGGTGCCTGTAGTCCCAGCTACTCAGGAGGCTGAGGCAGGAGTATGGCGTGAACCCAGGAGGCGGAGCTTGCAGTGAGCCGAGATCGCGCCACTGCACTCCAGCCTGGGCGACAGAGCGAGACTCTGCCAAAAAAAAAAAAAAAAAAACAAAAGAAGTGATAGATAAACATGGATTAGAATAATGTGTTTTTATAGCCCAGCTTTGTAGTCCTGACCATGAAAGTGTTACTCAGCCTATTTACCTTTTACAGATGTAATCTTTGCCAAAAAGCAGAAACCTTCCTTTGTTTATCAACTGTCACACTGTTCTCTTATTGCACCATCCCGAGACTCCTCAGTAAATTCACAAAACTTACGTGGCATTCCTTCATTCACTCAATAAGTATTACCTATATTGTGCCAGGCATGGTTCTAGGTGGTCAGAGTAAAGCTGTGAAAAAACAAATCCAGAAAAACAAAACTCTCTACCTTCACTTCACACACATACCGCTTTTGGGTTTAGGGGTGCAGGACACATAAAGTAGCTGGGCACTAGGATATAAAGGGTGAGGGCTAACAGCTTCAGATGTGGGAAAAATACAGCTTTTGCAGTCCAAAAGACAGACCAACTTGGATTCACCTGGCTCTACCACTTCCTGTGCATCAATCCAAAAGTTATTTAACTTCTTTAATCTTCAGTTGCAAAATGTAGATAAAGTATTTTTTTGCAGGGTTTCTCTGAAGATAAGACAACAGATATGAACAGCACCTAGCAACATGCCTGGCATTTTAAATAGTGTTTGATTAGTACATGGCAGTAATTAAAAAGGAGAATATGCTTACTGACTCAGTTATAGATAGAGTCTTTACTACAAACAAGCACAAAACTGCTTCTGTTTGCAGATACTACTCTTTTTGATGTACTATCACTAAAATCTTTTAATTATATAGTAAATTATTCATGCTATTGAAGAAGTAAACAATTGAGATATTATAAAGCAACAGTTCAGCTGGGCGTGGTGGCTCATGCCTGTAATCCCAGCACTTTGGGAGGCCGAGGCGGGCTGATCACCTGAGGTCAGGAGTTCAAGACCAGCTTGGCCAAGATGGTGAAACCCTGTCTCTACTAAAAATACAAAAAAATTAGCTGGGCATTGTGGTGCACGCCTGTAATCCCAGCTACTTGGGAGGCTGAGGCAGGAGAATCGCTTGAACCCAGGAGACATAGGTTGCAGCGAGCTGAGATCGTGCCACTGCACTCCAGCTTGGGTGACAGAGTAAGACTCCGTCTCAAAATAAATAAATAAATAAATAAATAAAAAAGCAACAGTTCATATGAAAATGCTTTTTTAAAAAACACGAAACCTAAAAAAAAAAACACTAAGCTTTAACCCACTTGTAGGCTCATCAACTTTCTATGTAAGGCTTAAACTCTCTAGATTCAATCCCATAAAGCGGCCATCTAGGAACTGGGAAAGAGGAAAGTGAGACAGATGGTGGAAAGCTGGTATAATAACAAAGAAAACAATCTACTCTAGGAAAATTACAATTGAACAGCTTTGGACTTTCCTGAATGTGGTGATTTCTTCCACTTGGGCATGTCTCTTCAGGGGTCCTTGGAAGTTATGTCTATGGAAGTGTCACAAAAGGTGACATTCCTGTGTGTCATGGGGCCAGTTCCACACCAGTCCAACAAGGATCTCATTTTCTTGCATGTGGTAGAATAAGACAGGGCTCAACACAAATTCTATTCCTATTTTCACTTTTATAGATGTGAACGCTGAGAAACCTTGTTCACAAAACAAGCAATGTTATCATATGACCTAGCAATTCTATTCCTGGGTATACACCCAAGAGAACTGAAAACGTATGTTTACATGAAACCATATACAGTCGATCTTCATTATTTGCAGTACTTATATTCTATAAAGTCAACACAAACACTGACTGAGGAAACACAGAAACACTGTTCCTTAGGGAAAATACAGGTTACTGTGAATCTCTGGTTGCACCATATTTGTCCACAGATCAATATATAACCTTATCACATGTGTATTTCAGTTTAAAGACATGTTATTTCATATATATTGTTGATTTATTAACACTGAACCCATGGCCAACAGCCCTATAACTCATGCCTGAATGACACTTGTCTAATACATTTATTTTCTCTGTAAGGCACATCACAGCCTTCTCACACTTAGGAATACTAGACAGCACTCAACACTATGCTTTGGGGCCACTTTAAGAAGCAAAATCACCAGCAAAAAACACAAAAATGTGAAAAAATATGGAATTAAGTAGACATAGAAAAGGGAACTCATTTATGGTATGAGAGCCCAAACAACAAGATAGAAGAGTGTTGCGTTGTCCGACCTTAGCTGGGAATGTGCATGTTGAATGATTCAAACTTGTTGTCACTTTGCACCTGTCTGTGCGTGACGCCAAGAGTATGAGTTTGGGGGTTATAAATATTATCAAGTAGGTGAATTTTTAAATAAAGAATCCTTGAATAACGAGGCTTAACTACACATGAATATTCATATCAAGATTATATATAACAGCTAAAAAACTGATACAACCCAAATGTACATCAACTAATGAATCGATATATATCTACACAATGGAATACTATTCAGTCATAAGAAGGAATAAAGTACTGATACCTGCTACTACATGGATGAACCTTGAAAATATGTAAGGCGAAAGAAGCCAGATGCAACACATATTCTATGGTTCCATTTATACAAAATGTCCAAAAAAGGCAAATCCATAGAAATAGAAAGTAGACTGGTAATTGCCAGAGGCTGGGAGGGGGGAAAATAGTGGGTGTCTATGAAAAGGTATAGGGTTTCTTTTGGGGGAGATGAAAATGTTCTGAAAATAGGTAGCAATGACAGTTGCACAACTCTGAATATACTAAAATCCACTGAATTATACAACTTAAAGGAGTGTTTTATGGTGTGTGAATTATATCTCAATAAACCTATTTGAAAAAAACCAAGTATACGGGAATAGATGGAGTTCTGTTAAAGCAATCTCTTTTTGAGTTATACACCATGAATTATAATGACTTAATAAAAATTATGCTTTTTTTTGAGGCAGGATCTTACTCTGTCGCCCAGGCTGGAGTGCAGTGGCACAATCACAGCTCACTGCAGCCTCGACTTCCTGGGCTCAGGCGATCCTCCCACCTCAGCCTCCCAGGTAGTTGGGACTACAGGCACATGCCACCATGCCCAGCTAATTTTTTGTATTTTTTGTAGAGATGGGGTTTTGCCATGTTGTGCCCAGGGTGGTCTTGAACTCTTAGGCTCAGGTGATCTGCCCACCTCTGCCTCCCCAAGTGTTGGGATTACAGGAGTGAGCCACAAAAATTACTCTTAATAATCCATCAACTTACAAATTGATAAGGTCATCCATCAATTTTGTTGAAAGCAAAGCAAGAATAGATCTAACTTGAAAAAGTATGTTATTGGTCTTTCAGAGTCATTCACTTTCTCAACACTGATGCCAATTTTCAAACTGTCCTTTTGTTTGGCGCCCTGGAGATTTTGATACATATTACAACAGATCTTGTAACGCACCACAATTAAGATTCTGGATGGGTAGGAGGAAGGACAATAGTAAAATGAGAGAAGAAAAATTTGTGAAAGGGGATATAAGAAAGGAGAACTTCTATGTCCATTACAGACATTTTCTTAAGCATATCAACTTTACGAAGAGTATATATAGAAGTAAGAATTTGAAAAGTGGTTCCCTTAAAACTATTCGTGATTGATATTGTATAGAAGTTTTTGTGAACAATTAGGAGCTCTTGTACCCAATTTGAAGTTGCCTGTTAATCAAACTGGTTACGCTTCTCTCCTTCCCCCAGGCCTTCCCACTTCCTCCCACCAAGTTCTTTCTAGTCTTGTTTATTCCTCCCATAAAAGAAAAATATTTTTTGCCTAACCCTTGAGATACTCATAGATCTTATGGTGAGAGTGTTCTATTAAAATAGACCCCACTCCCTATTGCAATAGTTTCTCCCCCTTGCGATAATTCTTTTGAATAAACTGTCTGCTAAGTTAGAATTTATTATATTTTCTATCTGACATGTATTATTTAATTGTGTAATACAAATTTCTTACAGAGCAAACTTAACAAAAGACACTTCTTAGGTTATTTCCAAAGGTTATTCATATAGATGGGATAACAGTAACTTATTCAATACATCTAAGAACACCCCCATCTAATTCTTCAGACTCAAATTTTAATTAGCAAGTATACTCCAAAATTCATCTTGTACCTAGTGTACAGACTGAATTTTCCAGCTACTGTAGCCCATATATCAAGGGTTATGTCAACCCACCAAATTCCTGTCTTTATCTATTTTCTATTCCCACAGCTTCCTAAGGAATTCTCTACGTCACATAATGTAAAAGCTAGCAAAATGCAGATTTGAAAGAAAATAGGTAGCTATTTGTATAGAAAAAGAGAAAACAATGATAAAAATCATTTTTAACTTGTGAAACACAAATTCCACTTATAGTAGAGGAAAAACATTAAAAATAAATATTTTTAGTAAAGACAGGGTTTCACCATGTTGGCCAGGCTGGTCTTGAACACCTGACCTCAGGTGATCCACTCACCTTGGCCTCCCAAAGTGCTGGGATTACAGGCATGAGCCACCATGCCTGGCCACTGTACCTGGCCTGGAAAAACATTTTTTAAAAGCTGCTTTATTTCAGAATAAAAAATGAGTAGAGAAACTCATCTCACATTTTTTTCATATTGCTATATTTCCCGAATGTAACATTAAGATGATACTAAGAAAAATTGAATATATGAGCCAATGAACTTTGAGAGCTCTATTATATAAACATGAGCCTCCTCATCTACATACTGAAGTCATATAAGATGAGAAATTCAGGTTAAGAGACATTTACAAATAAAACGTTGATATTGGGGATTATGGCCAACATGTTACATGTAATATCAAGCCATGTTTACACCTAGAATTATATTGAACAAGTATGAGTCATTTTAGTTAACAAATAGCCACATACTTTCAGAAGTAGGTAATCTACACTATTTTTTAAAAGGCAAAAAACAAGATGAAAGAAGTAAGTTTTCTTTTCCCATGCAGTTGATCTCAAGCATAATCACTATAAATTGTCTTAGGTTTAGAGATTCATCAGCAGTTTTTCACAGAATAGCAGGATCTGATTAGCAAGACAAGTATAAACTTTACATTTGTAATATTTGTATCTCATTGTAAATAGTTATCCAGAAATGCTTGTCATAATACAGCAAAATTAATCATTAAGAAACAGACGTATTTAAAATTGACTCTCATTAGCCTGAAAAAATTCAAAACAGACACACATACACAAAACCATTAGGAAAAACAGCCAAAGATGTACAGTTTGCTAAAACAGTACTCATAATTTATTGTCTAAGGTCTACAGATAGAACTTGCCCTGTGGGGAAAAAAAGATATAAGGTCTACAGAAATATATGAAATTCTATACAAAGAATATTTGCTTTAAAAGTGAAGAAAAACAAAAAAAAATCTAAGGGAAATCCCATTTAGGAAAATACTAGCCAATGAGCAAAACAATAATTAAATGACTATTATGATCAGGAACTGTGAAAAGGAGGTGTTTCATTGAAAATTATTACAGCAGCTAGAAGCTGGTCTCTAGCAGTTTTGCTCAAACTATTCCAAGAAACACAAAACCTTTTCCCCATAGAACCACAATTAACAAATACGTTTTTTAAATACTAGCCAAGTTTAAGGATTTCATCATCCTTAAGAATCTATAATTAATAATACCAATGCTCAAAATGATTATCTGACAACTCAAAAAATATTGCACATTTATATTATGTGACGTATTATGTCACATAATGAACATAATTCATTAATGTTTCAAAGAATGAGTTTTCATTTTAAATATTAAATTTATAAACTATAATTTGATAAATATGGGATGGGAATTTAAAAATACATGATCAAACTGTTCTGGAAGCATATTCTATAGTATTTTGCATGACAAAATTAAACAAAAGTATAAGCCTTAATATCTTGAAATTTGCTGGATTACTTCTAACAATATCAATTGCAAGCCATAGTCAAGCAAATGATGACACTAAGAAAATGCAACTGCAAATAAAAGGTTTTGGCAAATGATTTCTGCATGCAAAAGGAAGGTATAGAGATTCATTAACTAAACCAGTAATTATTCCACAAAATGAATACAAATTTCCTATGTAAATTAAATCTATTAAATATTCATGTTTCTTGAGGAAAACGAGTGACAGTTTTTGATGATGCTATCAGTTATATCAGTCAGGGTTTGCCTGTACAGAACAATTTGGAATGTTTGGAAACCAAAACCTGTAGTTAAAATGCTTTTACCTATACTCCTAAATATTTGTGGGCTAATTATCTCTTTCATGGAAGAGCATACAGTTCATAAGGGAAACCTTACAATTTTTTAAAATTTTAAAATAATTGTACATTAACAGAAAGTTGCAAAAGTAGTACAGAGATTTTGTGTACCTTTAACCCATTTTCCCCCATAGTAGCATATAACAGTAGTACAATATCAAAACCAGGAAACTGACTATTGATACAACCAACAGACTTTATTTCGATTTCAATAGTTTTACATGCACTCATGTGTCTATGTGCACAGCTATTCAATTTTATCGCCATGTGTAAATTCAAGTAGTCACCACCAAAACAGAGATACAGAACTGCTACATAATAATCCCCCACAAAAACCCCAAGTGCTAACCCTTTCTAGTCACACCCACTCACCCATCTCACAATCCTCACCTAAACTTTGCAGTGTCCCACACCTGACAATCACTAATCTGTTCTCCAGTTCTATAATTTTATCACTTTGAAACTTATATAAAGGAAATCATACAGTACACGACAATTAAGAGATTTTTTTAACGAAGTAGAATTTCTTGAGATCTATCCAAGTAGTTGCATGCATCAGTAGATTTTTCATTTTTATTGCTCAGTAGGATTCCATGGTATAGATGTATCACAATTCGTTTAACCATTAACCCATTGTAGGATATTTTGGTACTTTCCAAATTTTAGCTATGACGAGTATAGCTGCTATAAAAACTTGATTACAGGTCTTACTGTGAACATAAGTTTTCATTTCCTTAGGATGTACATTTCCCAGGAGTACACTTGCTGGGTTGTATGGCAAATGTATGTTTTAGTATTTTAAAGAAGCTGCCTAACTCTTTTCTGGAGTGACTGTACCACTTTATATTCACACCAGATATATGAAAGATCCAGTTCTCTGCATCCTTGCCAGAATATGGTATTGTCATATTGTTACTTATTTTTTTTAAGAGACAGGGTCTCCCTATGTTGCACAGACTGGTCTTGAACTCCTGGGCTCAAGCAATCCTCCCGCTTCAGCCTGTGAAAGTGGTGGAATTACAGGTTTGAACCACTGCCCCTGGCCTCACCTTTTTATTGTAGCTGTTCTATTAAGTGTGGAGCGATATCTTATTGTGGCTTTAATTTGCATTTCCCTAATGGATAATGATGTTGAACATATTTTCATGTAATTGTTTAGAACCTGTATAACCCTTTTTGGGAAAAATGTTCATGTCTTTTAACCACTATCCAATTGGACTATTTGTTTTATTTTTTACTGTTGAGGTTTTTTGTTTTTCTTTTTTCATCTACGAATTGTGCATTTAGTGTCATGTCTAAGAATTCTTCATCTCCCTCCATGTCCTAATGATATTAGGGTACATTTTCTTTCAAAAGTATGTATCTTGGCTGGGCATGGTGGCTCATGCCAGTAATCCCAGCACTTTGGGAGGCCAAGGCAGGTGGATCACCTGAGGTCAGGAGTTTGAGACCAGCCTGGCCAACATGGTGAAACCCCGTCTCTACTAAAAATGCAAATAATTAGCCGGGCATGGTGGTGTGTGCCTGTAGTCCCAGCTAGCTACTCAGGAGGCTGAGGCACAAGAATCACTTGAACCCGGGATGGGAGGTTCCAGTGAGCCAAGATCGCGCCACTGAACTCCAGCCTGGGCGACAGAGCGAGACTCTGTCTCAAAAAAAAAAGCTATGTAGCTTTATGTTTTATATTTAAATCTATGATCTATTTTGAGTTAATTTTTTATAGGGCATGAGGTTTAAATTGAGGTTCATTTTTGGCCTATGGATGTCCAATTGCTCCACCACCATTTGTAGAAAAAAATTACTCTTTCTTCATTGAATTGAGTTTGAATCTTTCTCAAAAACTATTTGGCTGTACTTGTGTGGGGGTACTTATGGGTAATCTAATCTGTTCCATCAAGCTACGTGTCTATCTCTCTGCCAGTACTACTCTATATTAATTCCTATAGCTATATAAATCTATATAGTGGGTAGAATGATTCCTCCCACTTTATCATAGTTTTTCAAAATTGTTTTAGCTATTCTTATTCTTTTTCCTTTCCAGAAATATTTTAGGATAAGCCTTCTATATCCATAAAAAATCTTCCTAGGATTTTAATTGAAATTGGGTCAAATCTAGAGATAGATTTGGGGAGAAATTATATATTTACTATGTTGAGTCTTCCAATCCCTGAACAGAGTACATCTCTTCATTTATTTAGATCTTTAACTTCTTTCATCAGAGTTCTGTAGTTTTCACCATACAAGGTTTGTATATGTTTTGTGGGATTTATACCTAAGCATTTCATTTTATTTTAAGCAACTGCAAATGGTACTATGTTTTTAACTGTGGTTTCCAGGTGTTCTTTGCGAGTATAGAGAAATAACTGATTTTTCGTATGTTTATCTCATATCCTTGACAAACGCACTCACTAGTTCTAGGAGTCTTTTTTTTTTTTTTGTAGATTCCTTTTAATTTTTCTGCGTAGACTGTCATGTCATCAGCAAACAGGGACAGTTTCATTTCTTTCTTTCCAATCTATATGCTTATATTTACCTTTCTTCCCTTACTGTGGTAGCTTCCAGAAATATACTGAAGAAGAATGGTGAAAGTGATCAACTTTGCCTTATTCCTGGTCTTAGGGGAAAAGTATTATGAAAAAACTTATTGGAAAAATGTAAGGTCTATGTCTAAATTCATTTTTATTCAAGTGGATGTCCAGTTGTTCTGGCACCACTTGTTGAGAAGACTTTTTCCATTGGTTTGCCTTTGCTACTTTGTCAAAGATCTATTGACAATATTTGTGTGGATCTACTTCTAGGGTCTCTATTCTATTCTATGGATCTATTTACTTATTCCTTCACCAATACTACACTGTCATGATTACTGTAGCCTTAAAGTATTGAAGTCAAGTACTGAAGTCAGGTAGTGTCAGTTCTCCAACTTTATTCTTATTCTTCAATAATATGGTGTCTATTCTGAATCTTTTGCCTTTCCATATAAACTTTAGATCAATTTGTCAATATCCACAAAGTAACTTCCTGAAATTATGCTTGGGATTGCACTGAATCTACAGATCAAGTTGGTAAGAACTGATTCTTAACAACATTGAGTCTTCTTATCCACAAACGTGGAGTATCTATTTATTTAGATCTTTTTTGATTTCTTTCATCAAAGTTTAGAAATTTCCTTTGTATGTATCTTGTATATATTTTGTTATGCTTATACATAAGCAGTTCAATTTTTTGGTGTTAATATAATGTGTTATATTTTAAATTTCAAATTCCACTTGCACATTGCTGGCATGTAAGAAAGCGATAGACTTTTATATGTTAACCTTGTAACCTGCAACCTGCTATAATCCCTTATTTGTTCCAGGAGTTTGTTGTTGTTGTTGATTCTTTGGGACTTTCTACATAGACAATCATGTCATCTCAGAACAAAGACAGGTTTACTTCTTTCCCCCCAATCTGTATAGCTTTCATTTCCTTATCATGTCTTATTGCATTAGCAAGGGTTTCTGGTAGGATGTTGAACAGGAGTAGGGAACAGGAACATCCTGGCCTCATTCCCAATTTTAGGGGAAAAACATCAGTTTCTCACCATTAAGTAAGATGTTAGCTGTAGGGTTTTTTTTGTAGACTTCTTTATCAAGTTGAGGGTGTTAGATTTTGTCAACTGCCTTTTCTCCATCTACTAATATGATCAAATAATTTTTCTTCTTTAGCTTGTTGACGTGATGGATTACATTAATTGATTTTCAAATGTTGAACCAGTTTTGCATACCTTTAATTCCTTTTTAAGGTTGAACAATAAATCTTCTATTGTATGTAATATTCGTTTTGTTTACCCATTCATCAGTTGATGACCATTTGGTTTGTTTCCACATTTGCCTGCTACAAATAATGCTGCAATGACTATTCATGTACCAGTTTTCGTGTGTACATATGTTTTCAATGCTTTTGGGTATATACCTAGGATGAGAATTGCTAGGTCATAGGGTGCTCTAAGTTCAACTTTTGAGGAACTGCCAAGCTTTTCAACAGCGGTTACATCATTTTGTATTCCCAATAGCAATTTATGATGGTTCCAAATTCTCCAAATCCTTGCCAACACATGCTGTTGTTTTTTGTTTTGTTTTTTTACTACAGCCATTTTAGTAGGTGTGAAGTGGTATCTCATTATGGTTTGGATTTCCATTTTCCTAAAAGCCAATGACACTGAATATCTTTTCATGTGTTTATTGACCATTTGTAAATATTATTTGAAGAAATGTCTATTCAAATCCATTATCATTTTAATCAGGTTATCTGTTTTTGTTTATTGTTGATTTTCAAGAGTTCTTTGTATATCTGAGATACTAGATTATCAAATATATGATTTGCAAATAGTTCCCCCAATGCTGTGTATTATCTTTTTCCTTTTTGTTTTTTTTTTTTTTTTGGGTGGGGGGGACAGTCTCGCTCTGTCACCCAGGCTGGACTGCAGTGGCATGATCTTGGCTCACTGCAACCTCTGCCTCTTGAGTTCAGGAAATTCTCATGTCTCAGCCTCCTGAGTAGCTGGGAAGCTTGGATTACAGGCATGCACCACCACCCCTGGCTAATTTTTGTATTTTTAGTAGAGACAGGGTTTTGCCATGTTGGCCAGGCTGGTCTTGAACTCGACCTCAAGTGATCTGCATGCCTTGGCCTTCCAAAGTACTGAGCTTATGGGCATGAGCCACCACGCCTAGCCTCTTTTTACTTTCTTGATAGTGTCTACTGAAGCATAAAAATTTTAAATTATGATGAATCCCATTATCTATTTTTTTCTTTGGTTGCTTGTGCTTTAGGTGTAATAATGAAGAAACCACTACTTAATCCAAGGTCACAAAGATTTATGCCTATGTTTTCTTTTAAAATTGCATGGTGTTAACTCATACATTTAGATCTTTGATCTACTTTGAGTTAATTTTTGTATATGGTGTAGGGTAGAGGTCCACCTTCAAACTTTTGCATGTCAGCCTCCAGTTGTCCCAATACCACTGTTTTGAAGAAACTATTCTTTCTCCATTGAACTGTCTTGGCACCACAGTTGAAAATTATTTGACTGTAAATATATGGATTTACTACTGGATTGTTAATTCAATTTCATCAATCTATATGTCTATCCTTATGCCAGGGTTACACTATGTGTATTAATGTAGCTTTATAGAAAATTCTGGGCCAGGCGCAGTGGCTCATGGCTATAATCTCAGCACCCTGGGAGGCGAGGTGGGCAGATCATCTGAGGTCAGGAGTTTAAGACCAGCCTGGCCAACATGGTGAAACCCCATCTCTACTAATAATACAAAAAAAATAGCCAGGTGTGGTGGCACACACCTGTAATCCCAGATACTTGGGAGGCTGAGGCACAAGAATCACTTGAACCCAGGAGGCGAAGGTTGCAGTGAGCCGAGATTGCACTCCAGCCTGGGTGACAAGAGTGAAACTCTGTCTCCAGGAAAAAAAAAAAAAAAATTCTGAAGTTGAAAAATGTGAGTACTCCAACTTTGTCCATTGTTTTTCAGGATTGTTAAGGCTACTCGGGGTACCTTGCTTTTCCATGTAAATTTTTAGATTAGTTTGTCAATTTTTGCAAAAAGCGCCAGTAGGGATTTTGATAGAGATAGCACTGAATCTATAGATCAATTTGGGAAATATTTTCACTTTAATATTAAGTCTTCTAGTAGGCAAACACGAGAGATCTTACCATTTACTTAGGACTTCCTTAATTTTTCTCAACAATATAGTTTTCCATTTATTAGCCTTGCACTTCCTTGGTTAAATATCTTCCTAAGTATTTTATTCTTTTTGATGCTGTGGTAAATGGAATTGCTTTCTTAACTTCATTTTTAGATTTTTCACTGCTTGTGTATACAAATACAATTGGTTTTTGTATATTTATCTTGTATCCTGCAACCTTGCTAAGCTCACTTATTACATCTAAGTCTTTTTGTGAATTTCTTTGGATTTTCATATATACATGATAATGTTATATGCCAATAGAGGGCATTTTAAGTCTTCCTTTTCAATCTGGATGCTTTTATTTCTATTTCTTGCATAACTGCCTTGGCTAAAATTTCCAGTACAATGTTGAATAAACATGTTGAGAACAGATACTCTTATCTTATTCCTGATCTTCGGAGGAAAGCATTATCTTACAACATTAAATATAAAGTTAGACTTTGGTTTTTCCTAGATGTCTTTTAAAAGGTTAAAGAAATTCCCTTCTATTTGTAGGTTGTTGAGTGTTTTTATCATGAAAGGGGGTTGAATTTTGTTAAATGCTTTTTGTCTGCTGAGATGATCATGTGGACTGTTGTTCATTTTTCTATTAATAAGGTGTATGACGTTGATTTTTAAATGTTTAAACAAGCTTGAATTTCTGTTATAATTCTACTTACTCGTGGTACTTAAAAAATCCTTATTCAGGTACAATTAACTTATCATACAATTTGTCCACAAAGTATACAATTTAATGGATTTTAGTATATTCACAGTCATGCAACCATTACTGTGTTCAAATTTTGAACATTTAATCACTTCGAAAAGAAATCCCATACCCATTACCAGACACTCCCCATCTCATCTTTCTCCATACCCTGGGCAACCACTAATTTACTTCCTTCTGATAGATTTGCCTATTCTGGAAATTTCACATGAATAGAACATATGTAATCTCGTGTGACTTGCTTCTTTCACTTAGCACAATATATTCAAGATTCATTCATGTTGTAGCTTATATCAGTATGTCATTCCTTTTTATGGTTGAAAAAATCATTCCATTGTATGGATATACCATATTTAGTTTATAAATTCATCAGTTGGTAGACATTTGGGTTCTATCTTCCAGCTATTATGAATAATGCTGCTATGAACATTCATATACAAGATTTTATCTGGATATATGTTTCATTTCTCTTAGGCATATGTCTAGGAGTAAAATGGCTGGGTCATATAACCTTAGATTTAACTTTCTGAAGAACTACAGAACATTTTTTAAATTGCTAAACTCAGTTTGATAGTATTTTCTTGAGAATGTGTGTGTTTACATTCATAAGGGATATTGGTCCTTTCTTACAATATCTTTGTCTGGTTTTGGTATCAGGGTATTGCAGGCCTTATACAAAAAGTTGAGAAGTGTTCCCTCTCTTATTTTTCAGAAATATGTGTGAAGGAATTATATGAATTCTATAAACATGTAGTAGAATTCACCATTAAGCTATCTGGGCCTGGGCTTTTCTTTATGGGAAAATTTTGAGTACATATCAGTCTATTTCTTATTACAGGTTTACTTAGATCTTCTATTTCTTCTTGAGTCAGTTTTGGTAGTTTGCCTCTTTCTAGGAATTAGCTCATTTAATCTAGGCTATCTAATTAAGTGGCATACAATTTTTCAGCATATTCTCTTATAATCCTTTTCATTTTTATAAGGTCAGTAGTAATGTCCCTTCCTTTATTATGGATTTTATTACTTTGAGTTGTCTCTTTTTATTGGTCAGTTTAAAGCCTACTCAATTTTATTTTTACCTTTTCAAAGAAACAACTTTTGGTTTTATTGACTTCTTCCATTGTTTTTCTAGTCTCTATGTCTCCTATAATCCTTATTACTTCCTTATTTCTGCCTGTCAAGTTTAGTTTTCTTTTCCAGTTTCTTAAAGTGAAAGGTTAAATTATTGATTTGAGCTCTTTCTTACTTTTCAATATAGGCATTTACAATAATAAACTTCCCCCTAATCACTGCTTTTGCTGCATCTCATAAATATTGGTAAGTTATATTTTTGTTTTCATTCATCTCAGAGTATTTTTAAAGTATTCTTGTAATTTCTTCTTTGACCCACTGGCTACTATGTTAATTTCCACATCTTTGTGAATTTCCCAAATTTGCTTCCGTTATTGATTTCTGATTCCATTCCATTGTGGCCAGAGAAGATACTTTGTATGATTTCAGATATTTTAAAATTGATGGAGACATATTTGATGGGCTAATGCACAGTCTATCCTAGATAATGTTCTATGTGTACTTGAAAAGAATGTATAGTCTCCTGTTGTTGAGTGGAGTGTTCTACAGATGTCTGTTAGGTCTAGTTGGTTTCTAGTGTTGCCCAAATCTACCTTCTCTTTCTTTAATGATCTTCTGTTTAGTTGTTGAATCCATTATTAAGTCAGGTATTGAAGTCTCCAATTATTATTGCTGAATTCTCTATTTCTCCCTCCAATTCTGCCTTTTTCTGTTTCATGTATTTTGGAGCTTTGTTCTTAGGTGCATATGTGTTTATAATTGCTAAATCTTCTTGATGGATTAATGCTGCTATTGTTATAAAATGTCCTTCTTTAGTAACAATTTGTTTGACTATTAAATTTCTGATTTAATTATTAAAGTCTATTTCATCTGATATTAGTAATAGCCACTTCAGAGCTCTTTTGGTTACTATTTGCATAGTATATCATTTTCTACTCATTTACTTTCAACTTATATGTATTTTTTAAATCTGAAGTATGTCTCTTCCAGACAGCAAAAAACGACATGAGATACCATCTCACCTGTTTTTCATCCATGTTGCCAATCTCTGCCTTGTAATTGGAGTGTTTAATTCATTTATATTTAATATTATTACTGACAAGGTACAATTTATGTTTCTAATTTTACTACTGGTTTTCTATCTGTCTTTTTTTTCCTGTATTCCTCCAATACTGCCTCCTTTTGTGTTAAATAGATATTTTATGGTGTTCTACTTTGATTTCTTGTCATTCCTTTTACTACACTTCCTTTTACTATGCTTAGAATGGCTTTTATCTAAAAGTTAGGCAGTGACAAATGCTGGCAAGGATGTAGAGAAAAGGTAACCCTCGTACGCTGTTGGTGAGAATGTAAATTAGTACAACTACTATGGAGAACAGTTTGGAGGTTCCTCAAAAAACTAAAAATAGAGCCATCATACAATCCAGCAATCCCACTCCTAGGTATATACCCAAAAGAAAGGAAATCAGAATATTGAAGAGGTATCTGCACTCCCATGTTTACTGCAGCACTATTCACAATAGCCAAGACTTGGAATCAACCTAAGTGTCCATCAACAGATGAATAGATAAAGAAAATGTGGTACATATACACAATGGGGTACTATTCAGTCATAAGGAAGAATGAGATCCTGTCATTTGCAACAACATGGATAGGACTGGAGGTCATTATGTTAAATGAGATGAGCCAGGCACAAGAAGACAAACATTGCATGTTTTAACTTATTTGTAGGAGCTAAATATTAAAATAATTGAAGTCAGGAGGATACAGGTAGAAGAGTGGTTACCAGAGGCTGGAAAGGGTAGTTGGGGGGGCGGGGGGCTAGTAGGGGTTGGGGAAAGTAGGGATGGTTAATGGGTACAAAAAATAGAAAGAATGAATAAGACCTAGTATTTGCTAGCACAACAGGATGACTACAGTCAAAAATAATTTAATAATTTAATTGTACATTTTAAAATAACTGAAAGAATATAACTGGATTGTTTGTAACACAAAGGTTAAATGTTTGAAGTGATGAATACCTCATTTATCCTGATGTGATTGCATGCCTGTATCAAAATATTTCATGTGACCTATAAATATATATACCTACTATGTACCCATAAACATTAAAAATTAAAAAAATAAGTTTTCCTTTTAGCATAAATAACTACGTTTAGTATTCCTTGTAGGACAAGGAAGCTAGTGACAAATTCTATCCGTTTTTCTTTATCTGACAATATCTTCATTTATCCTACATGTTTGAAGTATGGTTTTGCTGGATAAAGAATTCTTGGTAGATATTATTTTTCTTTCAGCACTTTGAATGTTATCCTGTTGCCTTTCAGTATCCTTGGTTTTTGAAAGAAATCTGCTGTTAATATTTTTATAGATCCCTTGTATGTGATGATTCAGTTCTCCCTTGCTATTTTCAAGATACTCCCCTTGTCTGTAGCTTTTGACAACTTGATTATGGTTTGTTTTTGCATTTATCCTACTTGGAGTTTGCTGAACTTATTGGTTGTGTAGATTTATGTTTTCATCAAATTTAAGAAGTTTTGGACTATTATTTCTTCAAATATTCTTTCTACTCCTTTCTCTCCATTCCTTTTGAAATTCTCATTATGCATATGTTGGTATGCTTGATGGTATCCCCAGAGGTCTCTGAGGCTCTGCTCATTTTGCTCATTCTTTTATCTTTCAGTTCTGAAGACCAGATAATTATAATGAACCTATCTTCATGTCTTCTGGTTCCGATTCTTTATTCTGCCTGCTCATATCTGCTGCTGAGCCTCTTTAGTTACTGTATTTTTCAATTCCAGAATTTTGATTTGATTTTCTCTTTTTGTTTTTTATAGTTTCTATCTCATTATTGATACTTTCCATTTGGTAACTCTTTTTCTAGTAAGTCCAACATCTGGGTTTGCTCAGGAACAGTTTCTATGGATTGCTTTTCCCCCCAAAGTGTGAGCTATATTTTCTTGTTTCTTTGCATGCCTCATAATTTTTTGTTGAAAACTGAGTGTCTTAAATAATATTATGTGTCAACTCTAAAAATCAGAATCTCCTTTTCTGCAGGATTTATTGTTGCTGTTTATTGTTACTCCTGCTCTTTGCTTAGTGATTTTTTGGGGGAACACATTCTGCAGTCTGTATTCTTTTTTATGTGTGGCCACTTAAGTCTCTGCTTATTTAGTTTAGTCTTTGCTCAAGGGTTTTGTGGATGTGTAGGGCATACCTTCAACACTCAGTCAGGGAGTTCACATTTCTACCTTATCATTCAATTCCTGTTTATGTAGCCTGAAAGTCAGCTAGAGGTGAGAAATTAAGGCCTTCTTAGATTTTTCCTGAGCTTGTTCATAGCCTTATATATGTGCATGGCCTTCTTAACATAGTATTTTCTAGAGAATACGTTGTAGCTTTTTCAAAGCCTCTATGGGCATCTCATTAGCTAGCTTTTTGTTTTAAGCTTTTAGGTTAGCTTTTTGTTTGCCCAGCTGTTATCTATGCCTCAGGCAGCAATGAAATTAAACAACTACCTCTAAAGGTTTTTGGCAAATGCCCCCAGAGGAAACTTTTTTTGCACTGGGTGATCTCTGAGTCAGGCCAATTAAAGATGGTATTGCAAGAGGGGTTGCTATAGTTGGGATGTTTGTCCCCTGAAACCTCATGTTGAAGATTGATCCCCAATGTTGAAGGTAGGGGCCCAATGGAGCTGTCTGAGTCAGGGGGGTGGATCCCTCATGAATGCCTTGGTGCCATCCTGGCAGTAACAAGTGAGTTCTCACTCTGTTAGTTATCATGAGAACTGGTTGTTAAAAACAACCTAGTACCTCCCATCTCTCTCTTGCTTCCTCTCTTGCCAGGTGATCTCTGTACACACTGGTTCCCCTTCCCCTTCCACCAGGACTGGAAGTTTCCTGAAGCCCTCACCAGAAGCAGATGCTGGTGTCATGCTTCTTGTACAGCCTGTAGAACCATGAGCCAAATAAACCTCTTTTCTTCATAAATTACCCACTCTCAGGTATTCCTTTATAGAAACACAAATGTACTAAGACAAGTCTTCCAGGGAACTACCAGACAAGTAAAAAAATGACAATATTATGGGAATGCGGCCTTAGAGGAGCTCCATCCCCATTCAGCCTCCTTTGATGGCTGTCAAGTTGCTGGTTTTCATCGTGATTGTGAACTGTTTGTTTTCAAGGTTACTACAGAACTGGAAGAAAGGGGGATGTGAATGGGACAAATTATTATACAATGCTATGAAGTTCACTGTTGTTACTAAGAATCAGTCAGTTTTCTTGAATAAATTATTCCTGGATAGCTGTAAGCCTTTGGTCAATTTCCAGAGCCCTGAAAAAGTTGATTCTGACATTTCTGTCAGTTTTCTCTTTTTTTTAAATGAAAAGTGAGAACTGTCAAGGTCCTTACTTCTTCAATTTCACTGATATCACCTACTATCTGGGACTTTAGAATGAGACATTCTTGAAGACTAAGCAAACTGGAGCCCAAAATATACTCTTTCTAGAACACAATTTATAATACTCCCAAATAAAAACAGTTAATTTTGGACTTTTATAATAAACCATAAAGAATTGAGTCCTATCAAGAACTCAGAACTTTGATAATTTAGTTTCCAATTCTATACATCTTACTTTCCTTTAGTTTCCTTATTATAATTTGTCTGAATTAATTTTGATATCTATTTTTAAGACAAAAACTCTAAATTAGTGGCTCAGTAGAGTAAGAGACAAAAAGTATATTAATTAAAAGTTCAAGATAATAATCTAGGAAATTCATTAATGGAAGCTGTATATGTAAGTATAAAAAATCCCCCAATCAGAAGTCATATCCTAATATAAATTCATCCAGTTTTGATTTAGTAGAAACTTCTTATTCATCTCATGTTCATAAGCATGAATTTCATTTTTTCATACATGTGAAAGGAGAAATTCTAAATCATTTAGGAATAATATGCCTTTTTAGGAATCTAATAAGAGCTATGGACTCTCTAAAAAAATAAACATAATTCTGCTTACTATTTCAAGGGATTATTGAATAGTCGGCAACCTGCAAGTTAAGAAGCCCTATAAAATAAAAATTATGATTTTGATGGCAAAAGTAGAGAACAGATATTCAAAAATATCTCATCTGTTATGAAATGTCTCATCTTTAGCCTCACCAATTATAATATCTCATCTTCATTAGAGCAATGAGAATTTAAAATATTAAAACGTACAGGTGGTCTGCAACAAATCAACACATTTCATTTCAAAAGTAAATTTGTGGGCTGGGAGTGGAGGCTCATGCCTGTAATCCCAACACTTTGGGAGGCCGAGGTGGGTAGATCACTTGAGCTCAGGAGTTTGAGATCAGCCTGAACAATATGGCAAAACCTCATCTCTACAAAAAATACAAAAAATTAGCTGTGTGTGGTGGCGCATGCCTGTAGTCCCAGCTATTCAGGCGGCTGAGGTGGGAGGATAACCTGAGCCCAAGGAGGTCGAGGCTGCAATGAGCCATGATTGCACCACTGCACTCTGGCCTGGGCAAGAGAGAGACCCCATCTCAAAAAAAATTAATTTGTAAATGATTTACTTCGAATTTATTACACATTGTTTTCCTAATAAAAACCATGTTATAAACAATGGTTGGAGACTATTAAAACATAGGTCCCATAAGGCTAGGGGCTCTTTTTATTTATCATTTGTATTATAATGACCTATCCAAATAAATAGCATATGGTAGGTTCTTAGATAACCCTTTAAAGACCTATTTCACTCAATAATGTATTTGAATACAAGTACACTAGGAAAACAAGAAAAAATATTGAGGTAATTAACAAAGAGCAAACAAACCACTAAGCCAAAAATAAAATAATAAAATGAAACAAAAAGGAAAGAATAAAGAATAAAATAGATTTTAAATTATCTGTTGCTTAAGAGATAAGTTTATTTGGGAAAGAATGTAACGGTAAATATAGATATTTCTAGATATTATTTGAACTTATGGATTCCTTTTTACTGTGTTAAATTTTACTTCAAAATATGTGTCTTCTTATGTAGCATCTCCTTCTATGCTAAGCCATGAATGAGGTCATTTTTGGACCCTAACAATTTGTAAATGGACCAGAAGAGCAGAGGAGTTAAGATGTGTTGCCCATAGTGACTGGAAAAGGGTTGAAAGAAGTTGAGGGAGGGGAAGCACTGTTCACAGAGACTTTATATAATGAAATAATTTACTATTTATTACATATATTATACATCTTATAATAAAATGTGTCCAAGTCAGAATCAAGAAAGCTTGTGTGAACATGAGCAACAGAGGGCATGGGAATCCCATCGCAAGAAAAAAAGGTAGAGGTGGTGGAGATGGAATTTTGATTGTTTCCTAACTTTATACTGAGTCGCTGTGCTAAAGAAGATGGAAAAACTTAATTCTGGTGCCATAAACATAAAGGGCCAATTGCATATTTTCACTTGAATACCACTAAACTCCGACCAAAATCAGATAAAGTCATGAGTAATATCCCAAATCCAACTGGATGTCATTTAATATCTATACGCTGTGGTCCTACCATATAGGAAGGATATGAAAAGAGTACATGATTCTATTAAGTTCAAGGAGGCTTAAGAGTATGAGGGATCAATAGAATGGGTGGCTTTGTCTTCAGAATAGGACTTGAAGACATTTATATAGCCAAAGCAATGGCAAAGTAATGAAGGAGTGAGCTATAACTTCAGCAACAGACTCCCATATATTATATTAAATGAAGACAGGACTTAATACCAGGTATATGAACTATATACTAAGTACTTTCCCCTTTTGTAAATTTGGAATTTGACTCCCTGACCAAGTGACAAGAGACAGGTTCAGCTTGGCATTCTGAGTCTGTAGCTCAAGAGATCTGGCTGAAGAAATCTGTCAATAAACAACCTCAGCCAATGAGAAGGTAAGTAATTGTTTCCCGAAAGAATGTCTTTAGCCTGGGGAGATTTAGAATTTGGTACAACAATGAGATAAGTCAAAACTCTGGTATTGATAATTTTGGGTTGAAAAAGAAGCTATTAATATTTATTTTAATTATTTATAACAATGCTTAAGAGAATTTGGCTTATATTATTCCAATTTAATATTGGTAACTGAGTAACTGACTTAGACTTGTGATTTAAAATTGGAATCTTACTAAGTTTATAAACAGGATCAGAACATATGTTTAATGAATTAGGTTTATACAAAATTACCTCAGTATTTGGTCAGACAACAGAGGTAGAGAAAAATCAAATATAGAATATTAAGCTTAAAGGCAGTTAAAGGTGTAAGGAAATATAATTTTGTTCTAAACCCCACTTAAAAGTCAATTTTAAATGTTGCTAGATTTATAAAATAATTTATATTCAAAAGCAATAATAGCCAATTCTAGAGCATAAAACCATAAAATATAAAATCTCTAAATCTTACCATAATATTTTAAATATTAAAGCACTAAAAACAAATCAGTTATTCTTTGTGAGTAGCAACTTCTAAGAATCTTCCATAATCATTATATGAATAATAATAATTCAAAGGGTCACAAAAGTATTTAAAAGAAAAAAAGATCTCCAGGAACAGACAAACTTGAAGCTCACAATATGTGGGCTTCTACTTCCCAAAGTAAAATAACTGGATAAAATATAAATAGGCTACACTGCCCTAGATTTTCCAATCTAAATTATCAACTGTATTGCTCTTGGGATTAAAAAGGGAAGGACTAAAGAAGGATTCATATTTTACTGAACTGTGGAAAAGTGAAAAGTTAGTAATGGGCTAATTAGAAAAGTTAGTATCATGATCAATTGTGCCATCTGAAGTATGAGCATGTATGTCACAGTTACATGAAACTATGGCTTAAAAAACAAACAAAATAAAACTTTAAAATGTTTACGTACTGTTTATAAATATACATATAAATATGATTATCTATAATAATGTATTGAAACAAAATTTTAAGTCCTGAAAGTCCTAACAGTACTGACCTTTCAAATTTTTACACATATATCATATGTGACTTAAGCCAAATGTGAGATATGAATCTTTTGATTCCACTAAATCATAATCCTAAAGGTAGTAAGTGATGCATTTTGAGGTAACTAAGTTTCTTCTGAATCTTCAATTATCATTCTTGCCATTATTTCACCTCCTTCCTTTCCCATCCCATGACCCACACAATATAATTCAAAATTAGACCCTAAAAAAAAAGCCCAGATTTTTGCTTTCTTCCTAGTCAAAAAACATAGGCCCATAGAAATCCTAGATGATTTTATAACTCTGTAAATTACCCTGTCTTTCAAATACTATGTCCTAGAATTCTGACAAACTAGAATAGAGTTTAAACTGTCTCCACCCACTTCCCTCTACATCATACCCTCTGCTTCCCCACCCCCAGAT
This sequence comes from Homo sapiens, assembly GCF_000001405.40. NCBI lineage: Eukaryota > Metazoa > Chordata > Mammalia > Primates > Hominidae > Homo > Homo sapiens. Next base: position 41,853,036 of record NC_000023.11, read on the forward strand.
GAAGGTTAGGTTGGTAAATGGATTTTGGAGATGGAATAAAGCCAGACATCAAATAACTTACTTGAAATCCATCTCTTACCTTCTGTACTTAACCCTGGACTTGATGTGAACTTGGCTACATCAACAATTTTTACAGCAAATTGTTGCCCAGTTTCTCTGTTGATACATCGTCGTACAACACTGAAGGGACCCCTATAAAACAAAAAGTCAATTTTAATTCATTGATTCTCTTAAGTTCCTATTTCCCATTAATGTCTTACTGTTTCATTATCTATATAATATAGATAATGTTTGCCATTCTACTTTAGACTCCAAATTGAACACAGTTTTCAAAATAAAATTTAAGTAATATAACTTCCAACATATTTTTCTATAATTCATGAGATAATTTTAAAAGATTACCAAAACCATAAAAATGACCAATAAATTTGCAATTTGCAGTAATTTTTTAAAAATTCTAAATAGTAGTCTTATGCTCAAGGCAAATAATGACTGTACAATTCTATATAGATTATCAACATCTTAAACAAAATAAGTGAAGTCCATAGTAATGGTGGTATTCTTATGAACCAGAAACCCAAGCCATTCTTGACACTTCCCTCTCATCTTACCCACCATTTACCTAATCATCACTAACAAATCCTACTGAGTTTATCTCAAATATCTCTTGAACCTGTCCTCTTCTCTCCATGTCCCACATCCTACCATCTTCTACTAGAACCACTGAAAAACTTGTTTCTCCCATTCATTCTTGTAATGATATTTAAAAAATGAAAATCTGATATGATATCCCTGTTTAAAACACCAGAGAGAGAGAAAGTATTTGCAATATACAGTCCAAGTCAAGAACCAAAATATATAAGTAACTTGTAAATACAATAAGAAAAAAAACACACTCCAATAAAATCTGGGCAAAAGACTTGAACAAACACTTTACAAAGAGAAAGGCCTGCGTGGTTTGGTCTCCAACCCTCTCCAGTTTCACCTGAAATCACAGAGAAATCCTTAATTTTCCTCAAACTTCAAATTAGAATTGTTTGAAATTACTAGAGGAAAGGAAGTAATTTCTATGAGCACAGCCACTGGTCTAGCTATTTGCTGACCCAGACCTCACAGTTGAATCAGCTGAGATGATTTAAAGATGCCCATACCCTGGTCCAGGGAACATGCGCGCGCGCGCGGGCGCGCGCACACACACACACACACACACACACACACACACACACACACACACACACGGTTCCCTGTGGTTACCAGTTATAAAAGAAATATCTGAACTCAGTTAAGATAATCCAAATATAGATTTGTGTGTGTGTGAATTGACTATAAAATACAGAATGCAATAGCAATGTGATTGGTTTATTTGAAGGTTAATATGGTGGTCATTAAATACATGTGTACATGTATACATGCGTGTATTTTCCCCCTCCTGGGGAGAAGGCAAACAAACAAAAAAACCACCTTCATTCGCTTATTACAGGTACAAACAGTACACCTAGATGCATGTGCTCAATTAGCAGATAGAGAAAAGTTCTTCATTTACAGTACTACACTTGTGATACTGCTGGCCTTAAAGTTTTTCTTCTTTCAACTACAGGACGAACTACTAAATTTAATCTTAGACTTAAACATTTATCCAAGATGACATCATGAGGACATCAACTATACCACAGCTTCAAATCTCTCTTTTCAAGCAACCTAAAAAAGCTAACCTGGGAGGAAAAGAAATGGTAATAATATATCTTTCAAAACTCTACAGAAAGAGGATCCTTTTGATAATCCCTCAAAACTGTTCAAAGATTTTCCTCTGTGAGAAGACAATATTACAAACTGAGGGACAAACGTTTTCATTCTCAACCTGGATGTCTTACTTCTGATTACTTATCCTGACAATAGCAAGCAATTTCAGGAAATGCTTCATGTAATTGGTTTTTGTCCACACATAAACCCTTGGGACTCTATTTATGATACATTTGAATAGTCTGCTTCAATTCACTGTATCTTTTTGGAAACTTCCCAACATCTGTATGTGGGGTTGATTGTTCATGGTCAATCGAGTCAATTCTTTACTTTTTCCTGCTTGAACAAAGGTGAGGAAGAAAGCATATCTTCTCCCCCCTTTTCTTTTAGTAACAATAAAATTAATAGAGCTAGGGAGAAAAGAGAATACTTAGACAACAAAACACAAACTTTTAAAAATCTGTGAATAAAAATCAAATCAAATCCCCAATTCTTTAATTTTATAGTACGAGGCAAAGAAAATAATTATATCTATGAACTACTGAAGACCTGAAGACAGGTTACAAGTAAAGCATTTTAAGGGTCTGTCCGTCAATGACATCCAGGGGGTTAACAATGGTAAACCAAATTTAACACCCTAAAAAGATACTAAAATACGTTTTGAGGTTTTTGCGATTTAACCCATTAACTGGAAACTCAGCAGAAACTGATAAAAAATTTAAAATTTGGCTTGGTTTCCCATCTTAAAAAGGGAGGAGTGATAAAGTAGTGTAACACACCTACTATATTACACTTATTACTTATGCTTGGATGACAGTTTAGGGAACAGCAAAAATTCAGGAGGTATAGGTTTCAGTCTGGCCTGTACATTTTATTGATGTTTGAAATCACCCTTAAAATTTTAAATCTAAGGTACAGTCAATTCTTGAATATTTATGTGGGGGAAAATACTGGTAGAGATAGTTATAAGCCGTCATCATAAACAACTATCTTTCTCATATTTCCACTAATTATGACCGTATTAAAAATGGAAAAAGATAATTGACAGCATTTCAGATTTAATGAAATATATATTCTTTATTCAACTCTTTACAAATTCTGAATATTGATTGGGATGGTAAAACAAGGTTCTACTTGAGGCAGATGGCTGCTTACAGCAGTCTATGTTTTTAAGCAAAAAGGTAAATTAAACCAGAATATGTTAGAAGTGAATATATCACTACAATATCCCCTAAGGTTTTGAAAAGAATTCAATTATGTCCCTATGCAGACACAGACTAATATCCTCTAGTTTTCATTTATGTGAAGAAAACCTAAGTCTAGGAAATAATTCTGATAACAAAGGTAAATATACCAAAATAAGACTAGAATTAAATGAAATTATGCTAGAATACAGCATGTTGGTTTCCAGGATCATGGGATAGATTGAGCACAATGTATCTAATTTATTTCCCTATCCAAACTCCACTACAATGATACCAAAGGGGTTTTTAAAAAGGATTGGGAGTACAAGAGAGGAGATAATAGTAATAATTAAATTTGGAATCCAAGAAAGCAGATGGAGAGTGGTAATTGACTTGGCAGACCTGGAAAAGCTGAACTGCAAAGAGATAATAAGGAAAGTTCAGAACCAAACCCATCTATACTGTAGAATCCCCAAGAAACTCATGAATGGGTTCCAGATAACTCTGGAACTGGAAGTGAAGAGAGGGTAGAGTTAAAGTAACAAGGTTTGAATGAAATGTGTTAGAGAAGCAGTTAGAGCCCTAGGTGGTCTCCTGTACTCCATACCATGGATAACTGCCGCTCCCTCATCCCAACAGGTTAATTATCTGGAAAGAGTAAATAAAACATAGGGTCTCTGAAAAAAAGTAGCTGGGCTTGGTGGCGGGCGCCTGTAGTCCCAGCTACTCAGGAGGCTGAGGCAGGAGAATGGTATGAACCCGGGAGGCGGAACTTGCAGTGAGCCAAGATCGCACCACTGCACTCCAGCCTGGGTGACAGAGCAAGACTCCGTCTCAAAAAAAAAAAAAAAAAACCAAACTGTAGGGTCTCACAACTGGAAACACAAGGCTGTTGAGGAAGTGGGTATTATATGAAAAGCAAGGGTATTATGTGGTCACATATACACTGAACGCAGACAGCCCGAGTCCCTTTTTGACTAACAGGGGGAATATTGGAAGCCAGATCTTTACCCTTAAGGCAGGAGATGAAAGACTTTTCTATTGAATATCTGACTAGCTCAGAAGAAAAGACCTAAAGATAATGAAGAGGTTCTCCAAACTACTCAACTAGATCATCCTCCAGCAAAACCCAAAGTCAACACGTTCCACCTGCACCTTCGGAGCTCTCTTAATCAGCTTTGAGGCCCTCTATTATAGGGTTTCCAATATCAGCACTATTAACATTTTGAGCTAGATAATTTTTTGTTGTGCAGGGATGTCCTATGCATTGTAGGATGTTCAGCAACATCCCTAGCCTCTACTTACTAGATACTAGTAGCATAGCACCCCCTGCAGCTTTAACCACCAAAAAGTCCTCCAGATATTGCCAAATATCCTCCTGGGGTACGGAAGGTTCAAATTGCCCCCAGTTGAGAATCATTGCTCTATTTCTAATCATAAGTATACAACAACCAAGGCTCCTAAGACATCTGAAGAGTCTCTAATTTGGAAGATAGAACCAAAAACAAACAAAAAGAGCAACTTAGAGGAAACACACTACACAATAAGACTTCAAATTACCATTAATATCCTCAGAAAGATATCACAATTGTGAAACAAAAACCAGAACTTTCAGAAAACAAAAGAGCCCTTGAAAAACACACAGAGAAATTTATCAATAGAAGCGTTGGCCGATAATTTGGGAAAAGCAGAGCATAAATAACAAAGAAAATGAAGGGGAAGAAATTAAGGGAATAATCCAAGAAAACTTCCCAGAATTTAAATCATAAGGAGCTCAAATTAAAAGGACCCACCAAGTACTCAGCAAAATAAATGACCCATGTCCATACACACACTGCTGTGAAATTTAAAATCACTGTGGACAAGGAGATTGTCAGGTTTCCAGAAGTGGGGGTAAAGATGTGCAGCGAGGAAGGATGACACAATTCACCCAGAATAGCTTTGGATCTCTCAATGCCAACGCTAGAAGACAATAGAGCAACACCATCATAATCATGAAGGAAAATGATTTCTAATCTTGAATTCAACATCCAGCCAGACCATCATTAACCATAAGGACATTTTCAGACAAAAAAGGTCAATAAATTACTTGCCATGCACACTTTCTGAAGAAATTATTGTAGGACGTGTTTGCTAAAACAAGAATAGACCAATAAAAAGCATGCCTGGAGACAGCAAATAGGAGATCCAACACAGAAGAGAGATGAAGGGAATCCCCAGGAATGCAAGGAAGGGAAATCTCAGGCTGACAGCTGTGCCTCAGGCACAGAGGACAACCAATCCAGACTGAGAGCCATCAGTTTTCCACTGCCACGGGCCACCTTTTTAACCTGAAAACAGAATAGGTAGGTGAGCTGCATCCAGATTCTTCTGTTTTTCTTTTCCTGACAATTGGCTGAGGAGATTTCTGTCCTTCTCTGCTGCCTAGACTAGCAGAGGACTCTTAATTTCACCCTACAGCAGTGCCTGCTTTGACCTATTCCTGAGAATGGGAGGCAGGCATCAGGGAGCTGAAGAGCAGGAAATGCAGGGCAGCCAGTGCCCCCCACCAAATTCCTGCTGGGTGCTCAGTACCTCCCCCTATCCTGCACTACAGCGGAAATGTCCTGCCTGTGAAGAGCCCCTTGTCTCGGGATTTATTTGTGCATGACCTTGCCAACCGACTTCCCAGAATGGGCTCCTAACCACTCTCAGAACATCTGAAGCCAGACTATGAACAAGAGCTTGTTCAGCTTCTCTTCTCCTAAGTCTTCATACAATAGTAGTAATATTGTCCTTTCTTTACCCAGCTAAGTTTGTGTTTGCTACTCAGTTCTAAAAGATTAAACAATATACTCCTTAGAGATACAAACATAGGGGGTAAAGCTATAAAGAGAATTTAAAAAGATTAATATAAAAGGCAGGATAGTGGTTTGAGGGGGAGGGGGTTGTGATTGGGGAGGAGCACAAAGGGCTTTTGAAGGCACTTCAAAAAAACACTGCATCTCAAACATAATAAAGTCAATATGAATTGTCAGTTGTAATTTTATATCTAATTGTAATAAATTTAAAATAATACTTTGAGTTGCTACATATAAACTTTGGAGTTACATGTTAAATTTTCACCCTATGAGAGGTCTATAAACAAAAACACATCATGTCTCAGGAAACCTTTAATAAACGCAATGAAATTTCTGTCCATAACAACAGGCCTAGAAGCCCCATTACATTTATAATGAATTGTGCAATGTACCACAAGATACGTAGGAAAACCGTGAATGATTTAAAAAAGAAAAGACAAAGATGGGGAAAGTGAAGGCCAAGAACAAATTTTTACACACATATATACACAACACACACACACAAAGTTGATATACAGCTGATCCTCATTACATTGCAGAGTGCATGTCTGTAAATTCGCCTACTTGGTAAAATTCACTTATAACCCCCAAATCAACAGTCATGGCACTTTCAGTCGTTTACAGGCACGCATGTAATGGTGAAAAATTTGAATCACCCAATGTGCATGATGCCAGCTGAGGGCAAACAAGATGATGCTCTGCCTTCTTGTTTCAGCTCTCATGCCATCAACAAGTCATCTTTTCAAAGTCTATTTAGAGCATTTTTTTGCATTTTGCGCTTTTTCTTGGTGATTTTGCTGTTTAATATGGTCACCAAGCATAGTGCTGAAGGGACTGTCTAGTGTTCCTAAGCACAAGAAGGCTGTGATGTGCCTTATGGGGAAAATACGTGAGTTAGGGAAGCTTCCTTCAGGCATGAGTTATAACAATGTTGGCTGTGAGTTCAATGTTAATGAATCAACAGTATATATTACATGCAGTATCTTTAAACAGAAGCACACATAAAACAAGGTTATGTATTGATCGGTTGATGAAAATGTTGTGACCAGAGGTTTGAAGGAACCCAACCTTGTACTTCCCCTAGGAGCAATGGTTCAGTATTGGTTCATTCAGCATTCATGGTAACTTTATAGAACACAACTACCATGAATAATGAGAATAAACTGTGTGTATTCACATATATACACACATACATGTATTTATATTATTTCATATATACTTATAATATGTAATGTTATATTTATGTGTGTGTATTCATATTAAAATATAAACTTAATGAGTACCCAGTACACATTAGGCCCTCAAAAAATATCTGGTGAATGATATAAGAAAAATGACAAACTAGAAATGAATAAGCCATTGATACATTTATTAAGTAACGCAATTTTATGTAAGTACATAAAATTTTGAGAAATCATGGTGCTTCTAGATATTTCTCTACCCATTTTCTAAATCTGTGTCTTCCTACTACTTTTTATACAGTTCTGACGTTAAGAATTGAGGGACATAGATGGTGGGTAGGCAAAAAGGAAACAAAGCTAAAATAAAATAACTATAAATGACAACATTAGCAGTAAGAATAAAATCTTGAAAATTATAGACATATATAAATTTATATAAAAACTCTACCGATTAAAGATAACGATGGTCTGTTCCCTATTTCAACACTATTTAGTGTAGTCATTGCCACTAAAGAAGAGCTTATGCATATAATTTCATCAATAAATCCTTTCCTTGTCTTCCTGTGCTTTGTGATAGCTTTGTGAAAGCTTTTCAACCTAAAGGTTTACAAAATCAGCTGTGACAATGATTATCGCGGTAATCAATGTGATAGCAGTAAGGGAACAGAGATGCTGTCCTGACACTTTTTAACACTTCTGGTACCCATCCCCAGCTCCAACACATATGCTTACATACATTCACCAAGCTGAGTTGCTTTAGGTACAGTGATTAAACCAAAGAAAAAAAAGTTTTCCTACTCATTGCTACCGCAAAAAACACACACGGAGTGGAAAATTATTAAAATAAAAGTCTCAGGAACTGTTGCCTAAATGTTAACAATTAAAGACTTGACAAAGGAGTATGATTCAGATCATTCCTTGAAAATAGAAGGGGGAGGTTTATTTGAAACAGCTAGCAATGAATCTCCAATAAGCTAATGGAACAAATCTAGCTCACCTGTCAAAGCTGAACAATTCAGAGTTAAGACTAGCATTTACTAACTCAGTACTTATATTGACATAATTAGTACCTCTGTCACACCTTGATACTTCAGTGAAGTTTAGTAGACTTCACTTTAGATTTCATGTAGCACACCATCTTCTGGTCTGAGTCTAACTATAATACACTCATCATTTACTACTTTTATGAGAGGACTGCCAGTCACATAAGGCAATTTCTGCTCAAAGCAAAGGTTCTGGAAAATTTGATTGGTGTGTGTGTGTGTTTGTGTGCGTGTGTGCGTGTGCATGCGTGTGTGAGAAGGGCTGGGGTTAGAGCCAATGTAGAGGGACATCGATTCTAGGTCTTTGTTAGCTCACACTTGATGGAGGATATATCAAGAACTATTAATAGAGAAGAAAAAAGATTTTTATAACATAAGAAATGTGAAGAAGGAGATTAGACATGCATGGAAAGAAACAAGCAAGAAAACATATGAAGATAAACCTTACAAAAGTGAGAATTCTGACTTGGTTACACACTTTAGGCAATCTTAGCTAAATCAAAAATAAATATTAAAGCACTAAGATTTTAAAAATTCTATTGACATTTGCACATTTTATCTTATTTACCTCATTTCCCCAATGAAAATAAGACAAAGAATATAAAGAATAAACAAGAAAAAGATTAATAAAGCAATTCTTGTCCTCAGGGAACTTCCAATCTAGTAGGCTGCTGTTGACATATGTGTGTGCGTGTATATATACACATATATAATGTATATATATTACATGTATATATACACATATATAATGTATATATATTACATGTATATATGTATATATAATGTATATATTGTATATATGTATATATACATACAATATATACATATAATATATAGTATAATATACATACAGTATATATAGTATAATATATAATATATAGTATATATACATTATATGTATATATACTATATATACTATATATGTATGTATACATATGTATATATACATTATACACATACATATATACATTATGTATGTATACATACGTTATATATAATGTTAGTGTAAAGTTATAAAGTATAGAAATAGTATAACACTATGAGTTTTAAAAATCTGTGGATAGCATGGTACTGAGAGAAGGCCTCTATGACACACGGACATCCTGGAGGGCTTGAAACAATGAATAGGAGTTTGTTGGGCTAAGCAGGGAAAGGAGAGGATTCCAGAGGTAAGTAATAGCCTGTGCAATGGCCTACAGCCAAGTCAAAACACAGGGCATGGTGTTTTGGGCCCTGGCAGGGTGCAGTGGCTCATGCCTGTAACTCCAGCACTTTGAGAGGCCAAGGCGGGCAGATTACTTGAGGCCAGGAGTTCGAGACCAGCCTGGCCAACATGGTGAAACCCTGTCTCTACTAAAAATACAAAAATTAGCCAGGCATGGTGGTGCATGCCTGTAATCCCGGCTACTTGGGAGGCTAAGGCAGGGGAACTGCTTGAACCCAGAAGGCGGAGGTTGCAGTGAGCAGAGATCATGCCACTGCACTCCAGCCTGGGCAACAGAGCAAGGCTCTGTCTCAGAAAAAAAAAAAAAAAAAAAAAAAAGTGTGTGCTGGGCACTTCAAGCTATTTGGTACTGCTAGCATGAAAAACTGGAGGGTGAGAAGTGGCTGGAAAAGGAAAAGGGGACCAAAGATCACTATGACAGAGAGTGAGAGACGTTGTGGAGTGGGTGGGAGCCACTCAGGAAGTTATTGCATTAGCCCAAGCAAGAGGTGATAAAGTAAAGGCGACAGAGAGATACTTAAGAAAATAAATTCACAAGATAACACAGTGAATGATTAGCTAGATGGTGGTTGGGGTTGAGTTGTAAGAAAACTTACAAATTTCTGGCAACAGTTACTGGGTGAATGATACCACCAAATGAGAAAGGAATTACAAGAGAAAGAACTGATAGAAGGCTGAGAAAGAAACGAAGCACATGGCTATGTTTGGAAAATATTGGTTTCCATGGAATATCCAGGCAGAGATTTATAGAGGGCATATAGATAGGAGTATAAAGTTCAAGGAACGGGTCATGATAATGAAGACATCAACAACTGTCATTTATAATATAACATGTCAGCAGCAAGCATGCTGCTAAGAAGTTTACATAGATTCTTGTTATTTATCATAATTTATTTGTCATCATAGCTAATATAATATCAGCCTCATTTTATAGATTAGGAAACTGAGGCTAAGAGGTTGTCTGTGGTCAAACAGTTAGTGGATGTTAGAGCTAGGACTGGAGCCTAAACATATGGAACTTTGAAATCTAAATTCTTAACCTCTATACTCCCTAGGTAGCATGAGTGAATGAGAGGTAATTGAAGCCATTGCTGCTAATGACAGCACTTCAGGATACAGAGGACAGAGCCCCAGAAAACATGAATATATCCCCAAACCCCTCCCCAAGGGGCTGCTGGAAACATCCCCATAGAAAGACTGTAAGAAGCCCAGAAAGGAAAAAGAAAAAGTGCTAAAGGCAAGCTCTTAAGGTACAATATCTTGTGGAGATAACAAACAGGAAGGCCTAGCAGGGTCTGCCCTAAACAGGAACACTCCTCTTAAGGCTGGTGCAAGAAAACCATAACTTTCATTTTTATGTTAAGAGCTATATATTCACATTTTGTTATTTTCTAAATGTGGGCCTATACATCAGAAATTGGCCCAATGAAAATATTTAGTAGAGAAACAACTTTTTTGAAATTCACTATTGACCTTTTTCTCCTCCTCTTCACTCCTCCTTCTCTACTAGTGTTCATAAACCTAATTACTTTTAACTAGTACCTAGCATTATCACAATTGTCAAATTCTCTGTGCATAATCCACTCTTTGTAAATGGAAACTAATAATTATGGAAGTCTGGAAGTCTGAAATTACATTGTAAATCATATTTCTAAGGGGTGTGTTCTGTTAATATGCCACTAACATAGGTTGTTTTCCAAATGCTACATTATCCTATAATAGTATTGTTGCAAGCCATTAATCACAACTCTGCAGCTAGGGGGCGGAGGTTAATATCTGCACTCTGAAGTTGTTATCCTCCTTAAGAGATTTTTATTTCAGTGATACTTCTGTGGAATACCGTTAATCTCTTCTCATTTAAAACCATGTTTTAAAGATCTCCATAACCAGGTAAACCTACTTCTAAATTAAATAAAATTAAATTATCTAATTTAAATAAGCTAGTGAAAGATATCTCAGTCACCAATACGCCTCTCTCTATTCATTTCAGTTGCATCAGGATTATACAAAATTATACTGTAAAACAGAAACAAAAATGTAATTACCTAACACTCTAAGTCAGGGTTTCCCAAATTGGCATCTTGTGGAGTCCTTAAAGAATGAAAGTTTCGCATTCAAGTAAGTTTGGGAAACACCATATAAAATACCTACCTCCTGCCCCCGTACTCATATTACACATTAGCAGTCCAGTCTTGTGGTTAAGAAACCTCTCTCTTCTGTCACACTCCACCCCGTTGCCCATGTAGCATTTATTATCAGTGGACTTTGGACATGATAATCTAAATTTTAGTATTTATAATAACAACACAAATACAAATTATGAAATTGAAATGGCTAAGAACCTTCTGATTTCAAACAACTTTTGTCTGTAAGAAATATTCCCTACCCAAATGTGGCATGGAAATTGTCAATTAAATTCTTATGGGGGGTAATCCAATTGTTTGCTTAGTAAAGGATGGAAAAGATTTAACTATGCAATTTAAGTGCCTATTCATTAATACTCCCAAAAGTAATTTACTTTTTTACAATTGTTAATATAAGCATATTCAGCAGGCAATAATGCAACCTCTGGTCTTTTAACCAAAAAACACTTAACACAAAGGCAAAGCATGCAAACGAAATAACCATTTACACCCAATTACTCAGCTCAGTGCAGGGCAGCAGAAAATAGGTTTTGAATCATAATTGTAGTAATCAGTTTCTAGGTCTAAAGACATAAAGTAGATGATCTGGAAAATAATTGCTTTAGGGGAAAAAATTTGAAAATAAGAGTATAGTGGATGTAACTGTTTAGGCGACATAGTAAAATCAAACATCTAAACACTTGGGGAATTTTTCAAGTTAGGTAAGAAACCAAACTCCCTGCATGTGAGTATGCAAGTTAGTAATGCTCACTTTTAACGAGTTTCCCATGGATGGACCAACCTCTCAGTCTCCGTAATGACTCCTGCTAATCAATAAGGCACACAAGAGAGCATGGAAGACAAGAGAAAGGGCAATCAGATCCCCCAAAACATCTGAGTGAACTGAGCTTTCTAATCTCTCCTCTTGCTATCTCAGTTGAAGGCAACTCCGTATTTCCTTCTGATAGCTTAGCCAAAAATTATGGCACCATTCTTGACCCTTTTTTTTTCTCTGACATTCCAGTTCATTAGGAAATGCTCTTGGCTCTACTTTCCTGAGATCTTCTATCTTTTCATTTGTTTCAAGAAAATTTGCAACTGACTGTTGGATAAATTGCATGACAGCTGAATTAAAAACCTTATCAAATTCCCATATCTGATTCAACTGGGTATTGGCATCAGTTGATGTCTTTTTTCATTCATATTGTATCCTAGATATTTTGTGGTGCTTGCTATGACAAGTGGTTTTCAATTGTACCCTGGATGTTTTGCTTATTGTTAGAAGACTTGATGACAGGATCTTCTATTTTAGCAGGGTGGTCACCCTGCTTAGGTTTAGTGTGTAGGTTCTAGACTACTTTTGTGGGCTTCAGTTCCAATGACAGTTTAGTTTTCTGAGCCCTCACAATGCTATTTTGGTGTGCTTCATTCTTCTGGTGATGTTGGGACTCCCACTCAATCCCTGCTGATGCCATCTGCAGGGATAAAAGGTACTTCCCAGGGCCACTTGCTATTGCTGGGAAACCTTGAGGGGGAGGGGGTCACCTACTGGGGCCTGGGTCTCCTTAAGCCATGAGGTGGAGGGCAGGAAGACACATGGCTTCGCTGCGGCTGCAGCTGCTTACTGCTCCCTACAGAAGAGACCACCTGCTGGGGCCAGTTGGGAGCAGAGGCAGTATAGCCTGGGCTTTGCTGTTGCTGCTGCTGTCTACAGAGCAGACCACAGGGGCTGAAATGGTCTGGTCTTCACCGTAGTTGGCAGAACAAACCACCCGTCATGGCCCCAGTTGTAGAGCAGTGGGTGGGAGGGCCAGGGGCTTTGCTGCTCCCGCAGCAACTGGGGCCATAATGGGGACAGATCAGAGTGCCCACCGGGACCCACTGTGAAACAGTGGGGATGAGCACTCCCACTTAGGTCTTTGTTGGGCTTTCCCTTTCCTGGTCTTCTAGCCAGAGAAAGCAGGCTTTTTGTTCTGCTTTCTTTGCCCACTGGTGATTCTGGGTTGTAGGTCTCTCCAGCACCCAGTCTAGGAGAAAATGGGAGATTAAAAGAAAACCCAGTGAACTTATACTCATTGTCCTCAAACTTCTAGTCCTGAGGTTCCAAGCTACTCTGCTTTCTTCCCAACTTTCAGAATCCCTTTATTGCTGTCAGTTGAATAATTTCCAGGACATTTAGTTATATTTATAGAGGAAGGAAGGGGCAGTGAAAAGTAAGTCTACGCCTTTTTGTTCTGGAAATGGAAATCTGTGCATTTTCAACCTATTTTATTCTGGCTAGCATTAGGAGTCCATTCTTTTTATTGTTGTTGTTGACAATCCCTATTACAGAAGGAGTCCAGTCTATTTAAAATGAGAGTACAAGCTACAGTTCTTTTATGATCAACATACTCAGTTAAAAATGGCAGGCATTAAACTCATCAGGTCCATAATGTAGTCTTCCATGATTCCTCACTCTACCTTAGAATTTTAGGGTCTCAAACAACGATGTTTCTCAATCTTTTGGGGTTTGATGAATACCAACTAACCAAAGCATACTAGACTAGGGGTTCTGCTCTGTTGTCTCCTCATGCACACACATATACATCCTCACTCACTCACTCACTCACCCTCACAGTCTTCCTGAGTCAAAAAGGAAATCTAACATTGCCACAGTCTATTTAGCATATTAAAATCATGGCACACTGTTTGGGAATTGGTGTTTTTAATAACAATTTCATCACTTGGCCTTCCATATTACACAAATAGGAAAGTTAGGGGTTACAGTATTCTACACAAACACGGTTATGCATAACTGAAGGTCAGCTCTTAATAAAGGACCTACCAGTTGACTAAACTAGTTCTCTGAAGGCAGGAATTTTCTCTTATCCATCCTGAGTCTCTAACATATAGAACTGTGCCTGACACTGTGCTAATGAAGACCCAGTAAATGCTACTGGATGGACAAATAGATAAATCCATTTTAGGATGCACAAACATGGGTGCCATCTTCCAGACACTTACATTAGCATAGTTACATTTAAGTTAATTTGAAGCTATAGCTCTCTGATACCTTGGGGGAGATTTTCACTTATCTAATACAAATAAAAATGTTAATTTGTCAATGCCAATTACTGAAAGGTAAACAAAAGCTGTAAAATCATATAACATGTTAACTATTTTTTAAACACATCTTCAAAAATAATTGTTTTACTAGAGACATTGATTGCTAATTCAAAATCCTTCCAGTGATACCATAACTAAGACTCAGAAAGCAGACTTTTTAACTTTTACCATGTAATAACATCTGTTCTTAAATACTTTAATGATTTAAAATAGGCCTTATAAACTTGAGGCATTTTACAAAATAGTATTTTGTAATAGCAGAGAACTGAACCAAACATAGCTCCTAAAATTCAGAAAGCTTTTCAACCTAAAGGTTTACAAAATCAGCTGTGACAATGATTAGCTCAGAATTCATTCAAGCTTTTTGTTGGTTTGGATGTTTTAATAGTTTGCTTAAAAATTTCAGTTTGTATGATCTGGCAAGATGAAATATGACACTCAATCACTATAATAGCTTACCACCAGAAAATATCATTAAATGGAAATAAACTACTTATATTATCCACATGATCACCTTTTTGTGAAGTTAGAGGTATATAAACTCAATTAAGACTCAGATGACAAAGAAAACTTCATGGTTCCTAATTAATGCTGGACTGAAGACTGACAATTTTGAGCACAAATTTAAACCAGTAAATAGACACAGGATGAGATCATAAAATTAGAAACATTTTGGCCAATGACTGTTTATCAATTCATTAAAAATCAAGACATATGCAATTACTATGCCCTGTCCTTTAATGGAATCCTTTACTTTATATCAACCAGTAGGGAAGAAATAGGGAATGAAGCATGAAGAATATCTATCATAGATGCAAACAGATGGCTTGAGATCATGTAAAAGAACAAGATGTTTTAACATGAATTTTTTTAGGCAGCTCCACTGAGAGACCATTGAACTTTTTAAAGAAAAAATAATTTATTCTATTAACCAAGAATCCCTGCACATTAATATTTTACAATGAACTTACAACTTCCTTTTGGCAAGCCCAGGCAACCTGGACGTACAGACACTCCAGCTGCAAACACCCCATAATTATGGGAAAGTCCCCTTGAGAGAATGCACTTTAGCCCCTGATAGACTTTAACTTTTTCCTCTTTGAATCAAAGCCACCACAACATAAACAGAGCAAGGGCTTGATAGCTCAAAAGACCTGGGGCTGCATCCTGGATGTGCCCATTACTCATTACTAACTATAATGAGAGGCCAGTTATTCAATCTCTCTGGGGCTACTTTATTTATACTGTGAAATGGAGATAATAGCTACTTTAGAGGGTTCTCAGCAGTACAGGAAATAACAAGGCATAAAGGGTTGTGTCTGGCGCATACGAACAACAGGAGACTTCTTCTGGGGCTCATCTGCTATTGTACAAGTACTTCTTCATTACTTCTCCCCTAAAAAGTATCATGTCTGCCATACCAAAAGGGTACCCTTTCACTACCAAAACAAAGAAACAAGGAAGAAGCCAGAGAAAGTTCTGCTTCCAATGATCATGAAATAGATAACCTACACTAGCCTTCCTACTGAAAAACAAAATAAAACCTTCCCCTCTCCATCATTTTTTGAAAGTATCAAATATCTTATAAGGTACTTAAATTTTGCCAGTTGATGATCTAGGAGAAAAAGGGAACTCACAGTAGTGAGTTCAATCACATAAAACTACTTTTGCCTGGAGGGTAATTCTCCACCCCTGGGAAGCAACTGCCCCATAGGACTCATAGGGCCTCATAGGAATGAATGAGTGAGTGAATACCTACAGTCCATTTGATAAACCAACCTCCACCTTATTCTGTTTTGTTCTGAAAGGCTACGCCTAGGGTGGAGGTGAACCCAAAACAAACCTGGCCTCGCATGGACTTGGAGCCTGGCTCTCTTTTATCTGGTGGTCCATGGAATTTTAAATCTTAAAGTTGGATTAAAGCAGTCCTGGCCATGAGCTGTCCTATCCCCTAAACCTGGTAGGCAGATGCTCTCAAGAAAAGATACCGTATCTTAGAATTAGCAAAAATAAAAGACAAAATACATGAGGTATTGAAACAAACAAAAAATACAGGCTGGGAGCAGTGACTCACGCCTGCAATCCCAGCGATCTGGGAGGCCAAGGTAGGTTGATAACTTGAAGTCAGGAGTTCGAGACCAGCCTGGCCAACATGGTGAATCCATGCCTCTACTGAAAATATAAAAATTAGCTGGGTGCAGTGGCGCGCGCCTGTACTCCCAGTTACTCAGGAGGCTGAGGTACAGGAATTGCTTGAACCCGGGAGGCAGAGGTTGCAGTGAGCCGAGATCACGCCACTGCATTCCAGCCTGGGTGATGAAGTAAGACTCTGTCTCAAAAAAAAAAAAAAAAAAAAAAAAGCCAAAATTTAAAACTCAATGGATGGGTTTCAGAGGAACTGAAAGCTGAATAAAATTAATGAAGAGAAATATAGGTCAAAATAAATGATCCAGAATACACCATGGAGAAAAACAAAAAGGTGAAAAACACAGAATTAGGGTAAGAAACTTAGATAAAATAATGAGAAGATTTAATGTATGTCAACTGGGGTCCCAGCAGGAGAGGAAAGAGAGAATGAGTTAGAGAAAATCTATGAGGAAATGGCTGAGAATTTTTCATAGGATCTTTTTATAGAATTTTCATCAGATGTGTCTATCTACAAATTCAAGATTCCACTGAATCATGGCAGGATAAACAAAAGAAATTTATACCTAGACACACTACAGAAAAATAAAGACAAAGCAAAAACCTGAAAATAACCAGAGGTAATAAAAGGACAGAGTATCTCCAAAGAAGTGACAGTTTGACAGTGGACAATAGAAATCAGAAGACAACAGAATGATGATGTACCTGATGAGCTAAAATAAAGTGCCATCCAAATAATTTTATAACCAGGGAAAATAATCTTCAATGATGAAAGTAAACTTAAGACAATACAGAGAGTTTGTCATAGCAGATCCACACTACACAAATTTCTAAAGGATACTTCAGGCAGAAGGAAAACTACCCCGGATAGAAAGTCAAAGATACAGCAAAGAATGAAGAGTAAAATAAAACATAAATATGTGAATGAACCTAAGTAAACTGACTATGTAAGTAATAATAATGTCTTGCTGAGTTTTCAAGTACAGAAAGAATTAAAATATATGATAGACATTAACATGTAAATCAGGAAGGAATAAAGTTAAAATGTCCTAAGATCCTTGCATTGGCTGAGATAAGGCTAATGAGACTGACTAATATTATACTTGGTAAGTATATAATACATGTTGCTATTTTAAGGGTAACCACTAAAAGAACTGAGACACAGTGTTAGGGGAACTGGTGGTGGTGGTGGAGGAGGGCATGGTCTCTGTTTGAAGAGCAGTAAGAACAAAGCCTATAGGCTGTATTAGTTTTTTACTGTTGCACAACAAATCACTACAAATTTACCGGCTTAAAACACACATTTATTATCTAACAGTTTCTGTAGGTCAGGAGTCCAGGTGTCTCAGCTAGGTTGTTTGCGTAGGGTCTCACAATGCTGAAATCAAGAAGTTACTTGGGCTGGGCTCTTATCTACAGGTTGTAGGGAAGAATCCACTTCCAACCTCATTCAAGTTGTTGGCAGCTGTAGGACTGAAGGTCCATTTCCTTGTTGGCTATCAGCCAGGGGCCACTCAGTTTGTGCCACAACCCTTTCCATCTTCAAGCCAGCAATGGAGAATCTCTCTCATACCAATTTCTTCTCATAATCTGAATCTCTTTCTTCAGGAAATCTCCTTTAAGTTGACTCTCTTTACTTAGGTAATTTTTTTTTATTATACCACTTTCATTAACAGGAAACAGTATCACTTGCCATAAACAGAAGGTAACCTTAAAAAGAAATAGAACAAACTAAAACAATAGCACTACAAAAGTCCAGGAAAGTATTGTTCCTTTCCAAATGCTGTGAACTTGAGGGCTATTCTCACTTAAACAAAAACCAAAAACAGAGTCTATGTTGGTTGTTTATGCTACATTAAAACTAAATTTTCTCAAATGTATTAATAAGAAAGACTGAAAGAAGACTGTATATAATTCTGTTTATTACTGTTTATTTAATGACTTATTGGGGTACCACCTAAAAACACAGCCTACCACAATACCTGTCATGCACTTGGGAAAATACTACTTTAAGCCCTGATTAGAAATTTCATTGCAAAGAGAAGTGGTATACGGTTTCCCTAAAGGATTTTGTATACTGTGTCATAGTAAAATCAGTTAAGAATAAACAAATAAACAAAAAGACCATAATCAGACTAAATCTAAAAAGAGTGTGGTTAATAAATTGCTCTGAGTTCAGATACATAGACCTTGGGGTTTCCAGAGGCACAATGACCATATGTACAAGTAAACCATGTACTTCTGTCCCTCCATTGCTGCCATTTCTACTCTCCTTGAAAACAGAGGGAAGGCAATATTATTCTATCTTGCTCAGATTGCATTCCTTTTTGAAATAGATATTATAGTACACCTAATGGAGCTGGGCAGTATGATCACTTAGATCAGGGGTCAGCAAACTACAGACCACAGGACAAATCCAGACTGCCACCTGTTTCTGTAAATACAGTTTTATTGGAGTAGAGCCACACTCATCATTCGCTTACGCGTTGTGTATGACTGCTTTTTTGCTACAGCAGAGTTGAGTGGTTGTGACAAAAACGGTATGGCCTGCAAAGATTAAAATATTTACCGTCTGGCACTTTACAGAAACAAGGTTGTCCACCCCTCACTTAGATGTTCCCAACAAGTTTTAATCTCAATTACATAATGCATTTGGAGTAAAGGTTTCAGGTTATGCTAAATGACTATGTTTCCTACCTCTTCAATTCTGCTTCAAGTGAATTCAGCATGTCTATTTGACTTAGAATTGCCCTTGTCCAAGAATTGATACTGCACTACCAGGATTATCACATTCTAGATCTCATGGCATACCCCTACCTATGCTCCTTGTGCTTTTATTAAACAGTTATCTTATACCTTACTACCAAGAGGTCATCTAAACAGAAAGATCACCTCTTATGATGCTGTTCTTTTAAAAGAATAAACTTTATTTTTCAGAATAGTTTTGGATTATCAAAAAAATTACAAAGATAGTACAGAGACTTCCATATACCCTGAATCCAGTTCCCCTATTACTAACATCTTCCATTAGAATGGTACACTTGTAATAATTAATGGACCAATATTGATACATCAGCATTAACTCAAGTCCATTCTTTATTTGGATTTCCTTAGTTTTTACCTAAATGCCCTTTTTCTGCTCCAGGATCCCATCCAGCATACCAGATTACATTTAGTCATCATTCTCCTTCAGCTCCTCTTGGCTGTGACAGTTTCTCAGACTTACCTTGTTTTTGATGACCTTGACAGTTCAAATCACCTCATGGAACTAATCTAGCACTAATCCTGTATAAGATGTCTAACACATTAGCTGGGGCCATGGGCTACTCCTTATTTCTTCCTGTGTCCTCATATAATCAAATACTTCATAGCTGAAGAGTAAAATAAATGAAAAGCTTACAGAAAAGTGCTTTTGTCAGAAGTAATAACAAACAAAAGGACTGAAATGATGTCATTTGAATATTACCTAAAATGCAAAATTTCAGAAGGGGTTTTTATCAAAAATATGTAGATTCTACTACAATATTTTAGCTAAAGAAGAAGAAGTAGTAGTAGCAGTAGTAGTCAGTATTTTTGACCCTGACCCAACTCTGACTCCATTCAAGGAACAACAACCTGGGAAGAAAATGCAAAGCTAATGCTGACCTTGCTTTCTTCCTCACAAAAAAAAAAAAAAAAAAAAAAAAGAGAGAGAGAGAGAGAATCCAATTATGTCACCTAGAAAGACACATTTATACTGCTTAACATTAAGTGTTCCAAATCAAAGACTAAAACTGAAGTAAAAGGTGAAAAATGCATGCAAGAATCAAGACTTTAAAACAGTACATCTGTTGTGCAATTCATTGCAGGGCTGTAGGTAATTAGAGTTTCCTCAAACAACTTTCAAAGAGCCAGCTATAACAGAGAAGAAATGAGTTCCACTGCACATTCCTATTTTATTTTGGCTGTAATATTAGCAAATAACACCTAAAGCACTAAATAACAAAAAGTATATCTACTGAAAAGATGATGGACCACAATTCTTTCTAGGGAACACATCAAAAAGCCATTATCATTTCATTTGTAAGAAAATTCTGGTGCTTCTACAATACACAATGCAGAGTTACTGTGCTTAATGAGATTGTATTAGGTTAGTGCAAAAGTAATTGCAGTTTTTGTTGTTCCTTTTTTTTTTTTTTTTTTTTTGGAGACAGAGTCTCGCTCTGTTGCCAAGGCTGGAGTGCAGTGGCACGATCTCGGCTCACTGCAACCTCCGCCTCCTGGGTTCAAGCAATTCTTCCTGCCTCAGCCTCCTGAGTGGCTGGGTCTATAGGCGCACACCACCACGCCCAGCTAATTTTTTGTATTTTAGTAGAGACGGGGTTTCAGCATGTTGCCCAGGCTGGTTTCGAACTCCTGAGCTCAGACAATCTGCCCACCTTGGCCTCCAAAATTGCTGGGATTACAGGCGTGAGCCACCATGCCCAGCCAGTTTTTGCTATTACTTTTAATGGCAAAAACCACAATTGCTTTTGCACCAATCTAATAGTCTGTTACTACCATATAACAGACTAGATTTTTTTTTAAAAATTTTAAGTTCTGGGGTACATGTGTAGGACGTGCAGGTTAGCTACATAGGTAAACGTGTGCCATGGTGGTTTGTTGCACCTATCAACCCATCACCTAGGTATTAAGTCCAGCATGCATTAGCTACTTTTCCTAATGCTCTCCCTCCCCTGCTACAGGCCCGAGTGTGTGTTGTTCCCCTCCATGTGCATATGTTCTCATTGTTTAGCTCCCACTTATATGTAAGAACATGCAGTGTTTGGTCTTCTGTTCGTGTATTAGTTTGCTGAGGATAATGGCTTCCACCCATGACCCTGCAAATGACATGATCTTGTTCCTTTTTATGGCTGCATAGTATTCTATGGTGTATATGTACTGCATTTTCTTTATCCAGATATCAGACTAGAATTTTAAGCATGTTTTAGACCTCTGATTTCCCACAAATATTTAGCTAATCTGCAATACAAACAATCCAAAGTACTATATATCTCCTGCTTTCATTTCCTGAACAGATGAAATGGATCTCAACACCAGCTAAGGAAATTGCATTATGCTAAAAGTCTCATCTATAGGTAATACACTATTGATCAAGACTAATCATTCTTTTTGAAAGTGATCACTCAGCTAAAACCTCAACTCTAGTAGATAAAATGCATTATAATCATCAGAAAATAAAGACAGTTGTAGTGATCAGTCCAGTTAGCAAAGGCTACTATTTCAATTACTGCTCAAGATACTCTTAGCTCTGCAATAATGTTGCTTTTCACATAACAGACAATCACGAATGGTAACAGATGCTTACTGGTTTGGATTAGTGGTTGATTCAAATACACAATGCTTAATGTTTATCAATCTTAATAAAACATTACACTATCAACCACAGTGTATAACACTAAAGCCATTAGAGCAAATCTGTTTTTATTGCTTTATTTAAAATCTTGGTGAGTCCTACCGTAAATCAAGAAGTCATTGCTTAGCAGAATAGTTTCAATAATGTGATCTTTAAAAAGTGAAATTCTGCATTATATATTTGCCCAGAGTAGAACTGATGAGAGAACAAATATTTGAAAATAACCATGGAAATACTCTTTGGTTTTTCCTTAAGTTTCAGTGAGTCTTCTTTACCACTTAACTAAACATTGTGGCCTCCTTTTCCTGTTGAAATGCCTCTCTTCATAACTCAGATGCTGTAGAGCATTTGCGAAATCATTTTAGCTTTCTTCCTTTTCCCACCTTTATCCTCTCATGCAGAACATCTTGGTGTACTGCAAGACTCAGCCATGCTACTCTTCTAGTCATCAGAAACAGCACTATGGGGCCATTTCACTTTCACCCATAACCTACTGTTTATGCTCCCTCACTCCAGAGTTATTGAAGAAAGTGATGTTAAGAACAATATAAAGGTTGGGGGTGGGGATTGGTGGAGAGGACTGTAGGGGACTGCATTTTAAATGAAGCATAATCAGGGAGGTGTAACAATGCTTCTTTAAAAAAGCTATATTGGTTAGTACATTAGTGTATAATGATGAAGAAAAAAAAAATGTACTTCAATACCAGTACAAAAGAAGACTTAAAATAGTGGAAACCATGATTAATACAATTTGATACTTTAAAAAGCCTGGTTTTAGTATTTAAACAGAAAAAAGTAATCCCAATGAATATACTTTCAGGAACATAAACATGAAAATGGAAAAAATAGTTTAACTGCATGGTACAGAAAACTGATCAAGGAGCTGGCTTAGTGGAACCATCTGGACTGGGAAATATTTTCTTAACAAAAAATTTCATTAATAGTTGTTTAATTATGATTAAAATATTTGTATTTAAATCCAAGTAGTCAAAAGCATCCACAGGTAAAAAGTCCTATACTTACCATAGAAGCATAAAAGGATTATCTGTTCACATGTCACCTTTACCATAATCTTCCAACAAGAGCAACAGTAGCAATGATAAAATTATTAGTAACAGATACTTTATTAGTATTAGTATGTATTGGTATATTATTATTATTATTACAGCTATTGAGTACTTACTATATGCCAGTCATTTTTCTAAGAGGTACTGGTATTAACTCACTTAATTCTCATAACTCTCTAAGGTAGCATATTTATCCCCATTTTACAGATAAGGAAATCGAGTTTCAGAGAAGTTAAATAACTTGGCTATAGCCCCAGATCAAGTAACTGGTTCAGTGAGAATCCGGGTCCTAAAAATTCCAGATCCAAAGTCCATGACTTTTTTAATCAATATGCTATCCCTGTCTCATATCTATTATCAGACATATGCCAAGGTCCCCTGTTGAAGTTATCTAATCTTTATCTCTTTCATTAGAAGCAAATATTCACTTATTTTATATATTGAGAAGGTGTACAGATTTCAGTTGCCTTATATGTTTATGTTCTGTAGGACTTTAGGCTTTTAAAAAATAGTATATAGTAAGTATTCACTTATATGAGAAAAATACTGTATATGTACCCACCAAAATGTATAGAAAGCATCTCTCTTTATAATCAATGGTTACTTTAAAAACAATTTTCACATTTATTAAAGTGAATTTAACACTGCATATTGATTTAGATTCCTTTCTGCTGAAAGACTGCACTATTAACTGGCACTAAAAATATCTTGTTCCTAATTGGTTAGAAGGGGATACAAAACCAGAATATCAAAAATATTTCTTTTGAAATAATTCTACAGTAATGTGGCACTGACAATTCCACTAAATATCTTGTAGGCAAATAAACTATTAGAGGCAGGGCCAGAGTCACACTCTCATATATTTGGCACTAGGGCAAAAGTCAAGACATACGGGTGTCCAGTTCTAGCTTTGCAACTAACTGGTTATATATTTTTAAGTTACAGTCACTCTGCGCCAGTTTCCTCATTTTTAATAGAGTGGGTTAGAACTAGATAAATACTTTCATTTTGTCAAGCTCTAAATTCTGACTTCAGGAAAAACCATAAGGCACTGGAGGTTTATTCATAGGTTTTTCTGCTGACCCCGTCCCTCTCTGTTTCTTCAACCACCACAAGACAATCAACTTCCCTGATTGGAGATTGGAACAGGTGTGTTCTAATTCTAAATGCATCACTTAACTATTAGTTCCAACTCTCTGGGGCTTCCTTCAAATAGGGGAATTAGACTGGTCTCCAATCTCTTTGTACAGATGAGTAACTTTATTTACCCAAAGATTTAGTATTAACAGTCGGGAGCAGGAGGGAGAATACTTATGAGACAACAGCCATTTCCACAGTGGAGAGGAATGGTTTGTTCCCAATAGAAGTTACCAGATTTCAGTCCCATTGCCAAATAGATATTATGAGCAAGGAAGAAATCTATAGTAGTAACTTAAGACCACCAGAAAGATCAAAGCCCAGAGGGTGAGGGTATGGCAATAAACATTAGACATATCTCTAACCCTCTTTTGTTTGAAATACTCATTACCCTGTGGTACTGGAATACCTGTGCCTACAAAAGCAGCTATTGAATAAGGTACTTGCTGGTTTGAATTCTGGCCAATCAGATCCAACTATAACATTTACCAAAGGATTTTCTTAATCCAGATCTAAAATAATAAAACTATCTTAAGAAATCATTTAACAATTCTATACCATTGTAGATATTATGGGAAGAATTTTTCCTTCTTCCCATAATATCTACGTAGGGTAATATAGCACAAAGGTATAGACATAGTGGTGATGGCTACACAACATTGTAAATGCAATGAATGCCGCTAAATTGTACACCTATAAATGGTGAAAATGGCAAATTTTATGTTATATAATTTTACCACAATTAAATTTTTAATGGGAAAGAAACAAAAAAAAATACATTTTAAACACAATGCCTCTTATTTTCATGAGGTGTGAAGATATGTTTTAAAAATTAGCACGTGTTTTAAGCGAAATAAGTAGACTCTGGTGCTTCAATTTTAAAGCACCAACTTCTTCACTAATAGCACTAACCAACATCAATCACATAATAGCACAAAATATTCTTAAAAAAAAAAAAACAGAAAATGGTATTTATTTGGGAATAGGGCATTGCAATGAAAATATGTGTGCCACAGTAAACTATGTGTGTATTTAGGGAAGTAAAGGAAGACAAAGGTTTTCAAAGATAAAATGAGGAAGATTACATAATTGTTTTTAGGTCATTGTCCTTGGCTTCAAGGATCAATAATAAGGGTGATGCCAGTCCAAGGCTGGGCAGATGTCCTCAACAGAAGTGTTCTTTTTTTTGTATACGGTTGCAATGGCCTTTGTGCAAGGTCATGGTTTTTGCAGTCTTTCCTGACTTTTTTTTTAAAATTTTATTTCCATAGGTTTTTGTGTATTTTTTGCAAAGCAAGCTGCCAATAAATTATTCACAAATTCAAAAAATACCCTTGTAGAGAAATCACTGTGGGTTCCTTTTCAAGCTGAGTTTTGTCAGTTTTTCCCTCAAATTCATTCACCTGTAACTCACATGTAACAAAGTCTTCAGAAATACAACAAGTGTAAATGTAACAGTTTTCAGAACTGTAACATGAAGTTCTTAGAATGTTTCTAAGAATGATACAATGGACTTTGGGGACTGGTGGGAGGGAAAGGTCGGGGGCGTGAGGGATAAAAGGCTATAAACTGGGTTCAGTGTATCTTAAAATCTGGAAATCCTGCAAAAGAGCCAAATGTTTATTATAAATAAAGCTGCTCTATTTGTCTATCCCTTATAACTGTACTGCCTATGTTAAAGACTTTCTTAAATTATCAATCAAAAAATTTACTAAACTTTTGAGCTCAGCAGAGATAATTTTATATATCAAAGACAAAAATATGCTAATAAAATGATCTTACCTTATAGAAATTAAAAGTCTTAGTTCACTGTATACAGGTAAAGGACAGAATAGATCTTAAGGGGATCTAATAAGATACCTGTACAGGGAGATGATGGAGAATTGGAAAGCAAATAGGCCTGATAGAAAAATGCAGATTATTGTGGTGACTACAGCTAGTGTCGTGTAAGAAATGGTATGCATCAATCTGTTATTACACTAAACAAAATTGAAACTTTTTCAAAAAGTACTACAAGAGTACAGCAGTCCCCTACCCTTATCCACGTGGGATACATGCCAAGACCCCCAGTGGATGCCTGAAACTGTGGATAGCACCAAATCCCATATATACTATGATTTTTCTGATACATACATACATACCTATGACAAAGTTTATTTTATAAATTAGGTGCAGTAAGAGACTAACAACTAATAATAAAATAGAATAATTACAACAATATACTATAATAAGTTACAAAAATGTGGCTCCCCCCTCTCAAAATACTTTATTTTTGAACTACTGTAATATTTATGAACTACTGTTGACCACACGTAACAAACCATGGAAAGCAAAACCTTGGATAAGTGGGGACTAATGTATGTAATTTCATTTATGATGACTTTGTTACTTTGAAAAAAATCAATTTAGCTAATGGCATTAAGAACATGAAGGAGGACTTCCCATTCTAAAAGTATTCGTAAGCATTCAGATTAACAAAAAGAGACTCAGCATCAGACCTCCTGAAACCCAAACAGAAATATTTGGTGAATTCAAGACTTATGGCTATTTTTAAAACAGAACTTACTTTTATTTCAGGAAGCTACCATTTCTCCAGCATCCTCAAATAATGAGAATAGTTTCACATTTTTTGAACAGGTAAAAATACACAAGTTGCTCTCCTGAATCCCAAGAATGACACCTTATAAGAACAAAAGACATCACATATACTATGCCCATGCATCCTTATGATTCATTTTAGACAACTGTTTTGTCCTTTGCTTTGTGGTTTTCAGAGTTATCTCCTTATGCATCCCCAATTTAATAGGTTTACTAATAATACTATAAGTAAGCTCTATGTACTTCTACAATTTTGGAAGCTGGTCCTACTTCCTAGCATCTCATTTCACTTGTATAACAACACTGAGAGAGATCAAGGCACTTCTCAAGTTGTCATTTTCTCAGCACTTCTAAAAGTGAAGAAGACATTATTACCCCTATTTTAAAGATTAAACAAATGGAAGTACAGGTAGCACAAAGAGGGCTTCTGGTAACATTCTAGTTTCTTGACTTGGGTGCTGTTACAGGAATGTGTTCAGTTTGTAAAAGCTCATCAAGCTACATACTTATAATTTATATACTCTTCTGTATGCCATGTTATACTTCAATAGGAAGTTTGGATTCAGATTCCAAAATACCCAGAGACTTGCCTATGGTCAGTGGTAGAGGCCAGCTCAGATGCAAGCCATGTGTCTCCTACATAGTTCTCAGTGCTCTACATCAAACTGCCCATGTTGCTTTCACTGTTAATAATTTCCTCCCACTTGATCTCTTATTTCTCCTTTGATCATTAACAAAATATTCTGCCTCACCATTGGAATATACCTGGAACACCACACTTAAACCTTCTCTTCAGGCAGACCCAATCTTATACACATGCAGTAATATGTATTTCTACAACACTCAAGCCTCAGTCTAGCCAGGAGATCCAAATGTATTTCACTAATTAATTGCCTTGCTTTGGGTATCTGACTGCAACCCTTAAAATTACTGCATTACATACATTTTAAAACTATAAGATATCTCACTATACATCTATTTAGGCCAATCCTTACACTTTATTTAACAATGCTAACAATTAAAATATGGGGGAGAAAAGAAAATCTCATATCTCTTAGATCCTCTGAAATATGGGGAAAAGTTAATAGACCAACTCTACAGAAACCAGATTTGGTTACATAAATATTTCACATTTTCTATCTATCTTTCCAGCCTCATCTCTCAATACCATCTAGACACACACCGCATCCAGCTATACTAACCATAATTATCTTTAAAGGATTATGTTCTCATCTGCCCCCAATGCCTTTGTGTAAACTTTGTACAAACTGTTTCCTCTGCCTAGAATATACTTCCCCTGGTCTAATTCCTCTCTACTGTCCCTTCAAGATTTAGCTTAAGTATCTAAGAATTGTTTTCATTTCCCCTCAGACCAAGTTAAGCTCTCTTCCCCTTGGTGCTCACAAAGCACAAGACTGCAGTATACTAGTAGAAAGAATAACGATCAAGAATTACAAGACTCACTGATAAAATATTAAAGTATGTTATGGAGTTTGAAAGACAGCTCTACTCAAGGTGAATCACTCCCTTGATTCTTACTCTTGAAGTAGGTTCAGTTCCCTTTTTATACTGTTGCAGCACTTCCATGGCTTCCTTCACAGCACTCACCACCATTGAATTTTAAACAATTGTTTGTAGAATTATTTAACCTGTCTCTCCCTCTCTAACTTGCAAGTTCCATGACAGAAAGGACAGCTTCTATATTATTCACAACTGTACCCTCTGGGCCCAGAAGACCCTGGACCATAATAATTGTTCAATAAATTTCGTAGAGTGAATGTTTCCAAAAAGCTTCATGACATTTTGGGTCACTTGATATGCCATTTTAGTTCACTACTTCAAAAATGATATTCTGACATCATACCAAAGGTGCTTCATATGTGCCAACTTACATTTATAGAAATGATTATTATGAAATGATCATAACAACTATGGCCAAACTAAGAAAGGGAAATCATTCAATTTATTATTTCCGTGTTTACTTCCTCTGTTAAACCAAGTTCCCAAATGGCAGGGACCATCTACAATTATAGCAAGGTAGCTACACAGTTCGGACTTTGGAGTTGAACTTCCTTAGACTCCTAGCTTTACCACTCAATAGCCTGGTAACCCTGGGCAAGTGGCTTACAACTCTCTGAGCCTTGGTTTACATATATCCATAAAGCGAAGATAACACCACCTATCTCTTGGGATTGTTGTCAGGATAAAATGAATATATATAAGATAAAATGTTTACCACTGTGCCTGGTATTTAATAAGCACTCAATAAAAACCAACTACTATTTACTATTATTAAGCCTCATGGTGTAGTAAAAGGCTGATAGTTGGTGTTCAAAAGTTTATTGTTTGATAACTCTTCCCTTCATATCTCATAGGATATGAAAATATTTAAAACATTATGGAAAATAAGATTCTAATAAAGGCCAGGTACTATTTATTCTCTTATTTGACATGTTAATTTTTTTAAGATTAAAAACAAAAGAAATACCTTGAAGAATCCTAATCAAGAAACACTGAAAGGTAGAGAAGTCACAACACTACAACATATTAAGTTAAACAGCATAAAGGATTCTTTTGTAGAACTTGACTTTTGAGACTAACTCTCAGTCTAGGATGCTGTTAAAAGGTAGAGCTCAGGAAGTTTAAGTCTTACTAAAATTGATTGAGCACATTTACATAAAGGTAAGTTTAAGAATATATAAGATAAGTACTAGAGAAATCAGCCACAAGAGAATGTAATACATTTCATTTAGAGGAGAAAATGATTAGATACCATCCGAAGGGTAAATGTGGGAGAACATATAAACTCCTGGTTGTAAGTTCACTTTCTTCTTAACCATGGTTCCTCTCAATGAGGACTGGAACCCAGACCCTGGGTAAACTGCATCACTTGGTGGCTGAAATAGGAAAATGGCTGGCACAATATATATTAACAGGATCACACAGAGATCACACTGTCCATTTTTTCTTGACCATTTACCCATCACTGATGAACTCCTTTCTTGGCAATTACATCCACATATTTCTTCCGTCATACTTTTTCCTTGTCTTTTATAAATGTTCATGTCCTTAGAAAAAATCATTTCCCTTAGTCCTAATTTCTCCCAATTTATAAGTCTAAAAAGTAAATAAACCCCAAGCTGCCCATCAACACTTGGAATATACCTATATCAAGGAAAAGAAAAGACTTTAAGGAAAATTAGTCTTAACTAATCCCATCAGTCTCTAACCAATTCACAGTGACTCTTAAAGCTGGTTACTCTTGTTAGGTAGTGGCAAAACATTTGGTAATACCATATGCCAAATGAGGCTACAGTTTATGGAAATGTAGGACATTTTCGGGATATGGATGTATGATGGTTTCCTCTTGCAGCTTTTGAGCCCAGTCCTAGGAGAGACCAAATAGAACTTGAGCCAGCCATTCTGTGCCTGCAGCCTTCAATTTAAATCGACTGAAAGTCACATAATTTGAAGCTTTGGAGGACTATAAACATCAACAGCTCCTGTACTCTCAAACTGAGGTGATTATAAGCAGTAACTCAGAGAAGTGGCTGTCTTAGCAGGAGATGAAACCACAACCCCAAGCTGTTTTAAGAGTTCCCTTCAGGACAGGAAAGAAAACTAGCCAGCAAAAATCAGATTAAGGGTGTTGCCTACCTCGAGGCAGCTGGCTATTAACTCAAAAGCTGAAAGAAAAGGGCAGAGCACAGAGGCCAGTAAGTAGAAGAATTTTCAGGCTAAGAAACTATGTCTAGATGTGGCTTCTCCCCCGTGGAGCTTACTAAAAACAAGAAGAAAAATATCGACATTTTTTGACGAAACGATATTGTCATGGAAACCCCAAAACTGCCCTGCAGCAGCCAATAGCTATTAAATCTCTAAAATAATTCATGGCTCCAAACCCTCAACAGTAATATGTTAGCTATGAAAGCTGTGTAGTCCCCAAGAAAAATGTGCTCCCCAAAGAGCATTTCAGATAGGGCCATGGAGAAGAATGGACAATAAAGAATCTCCAGAGAACAGCCAGGGGCCTGCTTGGAGCAAAAGAAATCACCCTGTACTAGTCAGTTCATTCTAATTGTTGCTTTGACTCTGCTGTCCATTTCAGTAACCATACCTGCCCTTCCTTTGGCAATTAAGTGCTACTGGTCCTTGCCATCCTGGGATCCAATTACCCTCATTGTATTTAGGCTTCCCAATCAGTGGCCGCAGTTCCCGCTGTTAATTTCTCACTGATCACAGAGTTCTTCAAGGATGCTGGGGCTTCCCTTACAAATTTCTTTCCCAGGCAAAGGAAATTCCCCTAGAGCAGAGCCAGGGCCTGCCAAATGGGCCATCCAAGAAGGCAGGACAGAGAGTCTTTGCTTTTCCTGCCCAATAGGATCTGTTAAATGCTACGTTTCCTACTCTCTCCTTTTTGGTTGGGTGGGAACTTTTACTAAAGTTATCCTATTCTTTTTCTATCTATGTAACAATGAAGGAGGGGGCAGTTTGTGGGACACCAGACCACAAGAAGCCACACCTAGACCTAATTGAGAGGACTGTACATCACCAAGAAATCAAAGACTTAAAAGTTGGATATAGTAACTAGATAAGACTTTGGAGGTGTTCCCATTAAGGAAGGGGTAAGCATGTTCTTTGTGTGGGAAGATAACTGAGTAAGGACTGGATAGCTAAAGAGGTGTACTGTAGCAAAGATTATTAATCATCCATCTGCTTCTTTTTTTGCTGTCAGAAGGCCATTGTTGCTGGGTTCCAATGTGCTTAAGTAAAAATACATTTCCTAGCTTTGCAGTAGATGAGACAGTCATGTGATACAGCTTGGCCAATGAGATAAAAGCAAACTTCAATAGATGTGGTTTACAGCAAAGCTCTTTTAAGAGGTCTTACTCAGCTGACAGGCACCATTTTGCTCCTCCCTGTCTTCCAGCCTGCCTGGAACGCAAATGGGATGACTGGAGCCTCAGGAGCCATCTTATAACTAGGAGCACACAACAAGGATGGCTGGGAAGAAGGTGAGAAGGTGCTTAGGGCCCTAATGACATCATGGAGGCACCCTATCAACCCTGGAATGTTTAATTCTCTCATTTCATTACAGAAAAATGAATCCAAATTTACTTAAGCCACTATTATTTGGGTTTTCTGTTCCACATTGCCAAATTCAATTCTTGATACATACAGAATCCTGTAACTTACTGAGGAATTTGCCAAATTTAATAGAAACTCACGTTAGACAGAATCTGTAAAAAGCTATATTAGGTACTTTCAAAATGCTATATCAAGTTACTGAGTCTGACTGCCACATATTTGTCATCTATATGTTGCCCCATGTCTACTTCAGGCATGGTTAATCAATTAGGGCACTCTCTGCCAATAAACTGGAAATAAGTCAATAAAAATGTCTCAACTCCAAGTCTCAACAGCTACAATTGATATTAACCTGGCACTCAATAAAGAACCTATTTTCCATTTGTATCAACTTAAGTTTCTCTCAGCTCTAGAATTCTAGGATTCTGAGATAAAATTACAAACCTTACAATGTCGAAAATTTGTCAAGTAAAGATTTCTACACATATTAAGTAACTCAGATCTGTTTATAAAAATCTAATTCTACAACTTTGGGCAAGTTGCATTTTCACAAAAAACCTGTTTTTTTCATTTATGAGATGGAAAAAGAAAAATCTAGTTACCTCATACAGTTGATGTGAATGTCATATATAAAATAAGTGTTAACAAACTTTGAACCTTAAGTTACTATGTGTAAATTATTAATAAATCTATAAGTAATTTATTCCTCACAATTAGCATAAATAATTTGCCACCCATTAGGAACACTCAACATCTAAAATTAAATCTATTTCAAGAGCATGGTTACCTTGTCTTGTGTAGTGGTACGAGAACTCTACTAAGATTTCATTCTTCTGATTTTATACCAAAGAAATAACGGACCAGGGTGGAGGGAGCACAAAAAGTTCAGGGTTATACCCTAATGGTCTCCATTGCTTTAATTTGCCAGATAGAAGAAATACCACCATTCATGGAAGAATTCAGTTTTTACTCTACTGGGTTAATATTTTACAAAGAATGAAGAAAAAGTAGTTTCATTATGGTGAAGGGGAGTTTACCACACATATGTGGCTTTTTCTTAATTCAAAGAAAAGGGGAGAAATCTCTTCAGCTCTATAGACCAAAATTTACAATAAGGTAAAAATAACTAGGCAAGTTTAATTAAATCAGCAAGCATTTGGTTGCCTACCAATCATTATAATCTGTTGCTGTTACAATAGTGAATAACATAGGACCCCCAACCTCAAGAAGAGCAGTGAAGTAACCCCTTTGGATTCAAGTCTTAGTGCCTAGGATAAATGTAATTGAAGCTTCAGAGCTTAGAGAAGGTTGGGTAATATATTTTAAAAAGTACTCAATTAACATCTCACTATCAGCGGCCTTTAAAACAGCTGCTACCATACATGTTTCCAGTTGAAGCTTATTAACATATTCCAAAGCTTACTTCAATTTCCTTTTCAACACTTTGGAACCCCTCGGAACGTCTAGAATGTAACTTAAAGAAGCTTGGAAACTTAACTTTCTGAAGGAAACAGTAACAATGTAGAACAAGTTACAAAGACATCTTTAAAGTCAAGCTTGACTAGATAACTTTTAGAGTAACTTACACACTGATTATATAAATATAATACAGATCTCAATTACAGAAAATAAAAGGCATATATGCAGATATTGCAACTGATTGCTCTACAGGTGCTATAAATTAATGTGCCTAAATGCTAAAGGATAGTTTTAAAAATAAACACATAAGAACATGCAATAATAAACACATAAGAACTCTTGTTAGGAAATTTCAAGTTAAAATCAAAACATTCTGGCCAGATGAGAAGATATATCTTCTTTCAAAGACTTAGCTACCTGCCAGAGATAAAAGCACTACATATATCATGTTGTCTAATCCATCCTTCTAGTTGGCTGATACAGATAGAAATGCCTTAGTAACTTTTTAAAAGCCGTAATAGGTATGCTGTAGCGTTATCTTTGACACCAGGCATATATACCCACAATCAGGAGACATATGTTAGAAGCTGTGATATTAACAGCTTTCTTTCTTGCTATTACTAATCCATAATGGCCACCATCTGGGCTGATTTAGAGATTTGTACACACAAAAACAGAAGTTTCAAAATATATTGCATACTCTCCCGTACAAATTTATCTGTAAAGAGCTACCTACAATGATACTAGATTTTGCCAATCTGGAAATGCCAATTTCTGAGGAAAATGGTCAAGAATTAACAGCTGTATCAAAACATAAAAACAAAATACTATACAACCTTCAAAATCAGCCACATGGAAGAGAAATCAGAGGGCAAATTCTTCATCATAGGTACATCCCAAACTAAGTTTTCATAGGTTTTTCCCCTCTAGCTTCTAAGAGGCATTTATCTTTCTTTTAGGCTAGTTGAGTCCACACACACACACACACACACACACACACACACACACACACACACAGTGTCAAATTCCAACCCAAATACTCAAATATTGAGTATTTCTGAAGTCTTTATCTGCTACCTAAGCAAATAAAACTGGGTATGATACATCTCTATTATTTCCAAGAAAAAGGCACTTAAATATTCTAGACATGTCCTAGACATAGAGTGAAATGTTAAAACAATGTATGAGGTTGAAGAATCACCTTGGATTTAAAAAGGGCAGTAAGCAACACAGTGTGCATGAGTAGAAGGGAGTAACTGAAATCAGGACCATTTTACTCTTTTCAGTAAATCATAAGACTTTTTTCTTTTAATGTATCAGGCACAGCAGGCTCAGCCAACATTGAATTAAAAGTTTAACAATCTTTTTAAGACCTATACAAAGCAATGATGTCTTTCTAATTACTCTAAGCCACTACTCTGAAGGCACCACCAATAAAATCATATCTATTAAAACCATCAATACAGATGCCACTTTTCCTCAGCTAATTCTAGGTGAAGAAACGTGACTCTTAAAAAAAAAAATCCATCACTACCACCATGACCAACAAAAAACCCCAAACAGTAACAATATCATCTATAGTCATACTCTTCTGAGAAATGTCAATACTTCTTGAACTTCACAGAAAACACCACAACCTTCAATGTCTTCTTTCTCCATTTCATTTTCTCTTCTATTCTGGAATTTAAAAATAACATAAAAGAAAACCCTGACACAAGGATCCCAGTTTAGCCATCTGCCAATAGATCATAAGGCCTTCTGAAGTTTTAGGCTACATAGCAGCCACAGGTAGCTCCAGATGGTCTAAAAAACTTGGGGACACTGGCTGCATGTGCTCTGCCTACGCTTTCTAGTAAGAATCCCCAATATCCTACAACTGGGAGGAGAAAAGAGGCCTTGGAATTAGTACTTTCCAGAGCAAGAGAAGAAAACTACTTTAAGAAACTAAGGCCCTCCAGCTGAAACAAATCTCCCATATTGGTTGGTTGGTGGTTGGTGATTCATTTATTTTTTTTTTATTTCTGAGATTTTGATGCACCCATCACCCAAGCAGTGTACACTGTACCCAATGTGTTTTATTCCTCACCCCCTCCCACACTTTCCCTTGAGTCCCCAAAGTCCAATATATCATTCTTATGCCTTTGCATTCTCATACCTTAGCTCCCACTTATGAGAACATACAATGTTTGGTTTTCCATTCCTGAGTTACTTCACTTAGAATAGCAGTCTCCAATTCCATCAAGGTTGCTGCAAATGCCATTATTTCATTCCTTTTTATGGCTGAGTAGTATTCCATTATATATATATGTATGTATATATATGTGTATATATGTGTGTGTATATATGTATATGTATGTGAATATATGTATATATATACGTATATATGTATATGTATGTGAATATATGTATATATATACATATATATGTATATGTATGTGTATATATGTATATATACATGTATGTGTATATATATGTATATATACATGTATATGTATATATGTATGTATATATATGTGTGTGTGTATATATACGCAAACACACCCCACATTTTCTTTATCCACTCATTGATTGATGGGCATTTGGGCTAGTTCCATATTTTTGCAATTGCAAATTGTGCTGCTATAAACGTGTGTGCAAGTATCTTTTTCGTATAATGACTTCTTTTCCTTTGGGTAGATACCTAGTAGTGGGACTGCTGGATCAAACGGTAGATCTACTTTTAGTTCTGACCTTCCTCTCCCAAGACCCAGACCCATTCAACCTCTATTCCAATTGTTGAGAACTAGAAATGACATTTTTCATCTGTCCCTTTGAAGAATGCAGTTGCTATCCTGGAAAAAAAAAAAAAGGCACGTTATCTGAGGGTGGAAAATCTATTTAGATGTTAAGGAATCACCATACTGTTTTCCATAGTGGTTGTACTAATTTACATTCCCACCAACAGTGTAAGAGTGTTCCCTTTTCACCAAATCCATGCCAACATCTTTTTTTTTTTATTTTTTGATTTATGGCCATTCTTGCAGGAGTGAGGTGGTATTGCATTGTGGTTTTGATTTGCATTTCCCTGATCATTAGTGATGTTGAGCATTTTTTCATATGCTTGCTGGCCATTTGTATTTCTTCTTTGGAGAATTGTCTATTCATGTCCTTAGTCCACTTTTTGATGGTGACTGGTTATTTTAATGCAATGCTGGTGAGTCAGTATGAAGTGACTCATAATACAAATAAATGTTGGGAAGAGTAAATAGAACCTATCAACACCAAACAATATTTTGAAAGTAACATTTATACAGTGGTCATTTAAAGATAAAATGTTTTAAAACTTAAAACCAGCATAAACACCACTGTATAATAAAATTTTCCACTGGTAACATTTGCTTCATAGCAGCTTCTTAATATTAATCTCATATTTTTCATACAGTACTTCAAGGCCATTCATAGCCTTAAAGAGTATTATGCCTAATATTTCACTAATTGACCTAATGCTATGGCCCAGGAAAAAGCAATGATTGCACTGAGAGAAGTTGACTTATTCAAAAGACTGAGGGAATGATCATAAATAATTTCCCAGTAGAGACTGGCAAAATCGGTGGGGAAAAACATGCTTTCAAGTTTGACAGCTCTGTAGAACTTTGCATAATTACTTCCTTGTTGGCATACCTTTTATTAATAAACAATAGCTTATTAACTATTTAGGTTTATTCAAATGCTTAATAAACTACTTTACCTCACTATAATTCATCAAATAGAGCCCAAGTACCCTTCAAATTTTCATTTTGGAAAGGGCCTGCATTCTAAAGAGGGTTCATTGTACTATATCCTCTTCCTACTAGCTCTGTTATTATCCAATTTCTCAGTTATCTTTTTCTCCTTATCATGTGAATGTGCATGCGTGTGTGTGTGTGTGTGTGTGTATGTGTGTGTGTGTTTTAAATTCCACTCTATGCTCTGCCTGCCCTTCCCCAACCCCAAGGACCATACTGACCTTCCACTCCCAAGACCCAGACCCATTCAACCCCTATTCTAATTGTTGAAAACTAGAAATTACATTTTTGATCTTTGCCTTTGAAGAATGCACTGGCTATGCTGGGGAAAAAAAAAACAGCACATTATTTGAAGGTGGAAAATCTATTTAGATGCTTACATCCTTACTTCTTACTAAAAAACAAAATAAATTTCAGATGAACTAAAGAGTTAAATGTATGAATCAAAAGAAAGACAGAAAAATGTAGGTGAATTTTCACATAACTCTCAAGAAGGGAAGGACTTTCTAAGCATGGAAACAATCACAACAAAGAAAAAGACTGATTAGATTTTGACCATGGTAGAAGCACTCTTAATTGACCCCACTTAACAAATTTCACAGACTGATCCATTCTCCATTCCCTCTGTAGAAACCTAATGAATGCCTGCTGCATGCTGACTGCTCAATGCTGACAGGGTACTGTGTAGTACATATGAGCCCATGAACCCCACAAATTAAGTTGTCTACATACCAAGAGCTATTTGTATTTGTTCCTAAATGTGTACCTCTTTATGTTGGTTGTGTAGGTGTTACTATAATTTCTTTTTTTTTTTTTTTGAGACAGTCTCAGTCTGTCACTCAGGCTGGAGTGCAGTGATGCAACCTTGGCTCACTGCAACCTCTGCCTCCCAGGTTCAAGTGACTCTCATGCCTCAGCCTCCCAAGTAGCTGGTATTACAGGTGCGTGCCACCACACCCAGCTATTTTTTTTTAATTTTTAGTAGAGATGGAATTTTGCCATGTTGGTCAAGCTGGTCTCGAACTCCTGACCTCAAGCGATCTGCCCACCTCGGCCTCCCAAAGTACTGGGATTACAAGTGTTAGGCACTGCATCCGGCCTATAATTCTTAATTATATGTTACATATATGTTACAGCAATTGAATGTGACTACAAAAGAGAAGAACTGGCTTCAAAGACCAGATAAAGGAGATACTGAATTAAATGTGGGTGACAAAACTGCAAAAGACTGGGTGGGGGGGCGGGGGGAGCAAGGATCTATAAAATATCCAAAAGGATTTTGCACTCAGATTACAGCTCATTAAGTCATTACCCCATTTTAAATAAATCAAAACTGGACATCGTTGATGATGCATTTTGGATGAGATATATAAAAGAAATATAGAGCAGGTTTCGAATCAATTAGACTTATTCAAAGAAAAGGGTCACACAATATCAAAGGATTAGCTACTTAATGTATATTTTGTCTTCAAGTTAAAATATTGAAGAGATATCTGTAGACTTTTTTTATACTCCTCCCTCTTTAGCAGACCAGTTGTAATATCCAATCATATCGAACAAAGAGGCTTCTTCTGTATGATTTTTAGTTTCTGCACATCCAAACTCATCAGGAACAAAATGAAAAATTTTAAAAATATATAAAAGACAATAATAGATAAATATCTTTGATATATAAAGTTTACATAAATTAGCAAGAAAAACATTAGGCAACTAAGAGCAAAATGGGGGAAAAACAAATGGCCAATTTATAGAAAGAATTTTTTTTAAAAAGTATGAGGAAAACTAATACTTTCATTGGTTATCGAAGAGACACAAAATAGCTGGGCATGGTGGCTCATGCCTGTAATCCCAGCACTTTGGGAGGCCAAGGTGGGAGGACTGCTTGAGCCCAGGAGTTCAAGACCAGGCTGGGCAACATGGTGAGACCCCATCTCTAAAACAAACAAACAAAAAATTAGCTGGGTCTGCTGGCACATACCTGTAGTCCCAGTTACTTGAGAAGCTGAGATGGGAGGATCATTTGAGCCCAGGAGGTTGAGGCTGCAGTGAGCTGTGATTGCACCACTGCACTCCAGCCTGGGTGACAGACTGAGACCCTGTCTCAAAAAAAGACACAAAATAGTTCAACGAGAATTTTTTTTTTTTTTTTTTTGGCCAATAAGGTCAATAAAACTTGAGCAACTAGCACATCTGATGTCGCCAAATATACAATGCAACAGATAAGGATGCTGCTGAAAAAACAGGTTCTCTTTTTTTTCTTTTCGAGACAGAGTCTGGCTGTCACCTAGGCTGGAGTGCAGTGGCGTGGTCTTGGCTCTCTGCAACCTCTGCCTCTGGGGTTCAAGTGGTTCTCCTGCCTCAGCCTCCCGCATAGCTGGGACTACAGGCACGCGTCACCACACCCAGCTAAATTTTTTGTATTTTTAGTAGAGACAGGGTTTTGCCATGTTGGCCAGGATGGTCTCGAACTCTTGATCTCAAGTGATCCACCTGCCTCAGCCTCCCGAAGTGCTGAGATTACAGGTGTGAGCCACCATACCCGGCCAAAAGGTTCTATTTTGATAGGACTTTTTAAGAAATCAATCTGGCAACCTATGTCAAGAGGTTTAGAAATGCCTATATCCTTTGACCAAGCAATTCCATTTCTGAAACTCCATTCTTAAAAAAAATCTGAAATCTGAATACAGTTTTGGCAGTACGATCCACCTCAAAGTGTTATTTATAACATTTAAAAAATTGTGGGGTGACCTTTATTTAACAAGAATTACTGTGTCAGGCACTGAGGATGAAGTAGTAAACAAAGCAGTCCCAGGCCTCATTCAGGTTAGAGCCTGTTGGGAAAGGCAAATTACACCAGTGATTATCTGAAGTCCAACAACAGGGGAAATTACCAAATCAATTATGAGACATTCAAATGATGAGAGCCAGTAGAAATTAGTTATAATGAGTTATCAAGAACATGAGAAAATATTTATACTAAATGAAAAGCCACAAAACTATAAACAGCTATAAAAACACATTGAAAACCTAAGGCAGAGGTGGGGGGCAGGACTTCTGGAATGGCGGAGTGAGGACCTCAGCTACTAATGATCCTAGGTAAGACCAGCAGGGTCTGTGACATTTTAATTTGGGTCCGCTTCTACCACAATTCGCTGGCCTTGTAGCTTTGTGGACAGTTCCACTGAAGGAAGCTGACTTGATATGGAGCTCCAAGAGAAAGCCCCATGGCCAGGGGCACTGTCAAAAACAATAGCAATCATTAGAAACAATCACAGCTGCTTAAGTCTGCAATACTGGTTGAGGTAAGCAAGACACTAGCCAACATGTAAAAGGTAGATGTGGGGAATGAGACAGCCATAGAAAGCTTAAAGCTCTGACATACTTGGGGGTTCTGGAAGGTTGTATCCATTTGGAGGGCTCTGTGCATGTATGCATGTTCAAGAGAGACCAGAAAGATTCCCAATTATCTACTGCTCCTGGCTGACTGTGAGGCCCTACACAAGCAGAAAGTGAAAGCCAAGGCAGACTTTTAAACTGCCTGAACTTTCAACGTATGCCCCAACCCACACAGAGATTCCTTCAGCAAAAGATGGAAGGCTTATTGGCTCAAAGTGTTTAAGGAAAACTTGTGGCCAACCATTGGATGACCAAGGGGAAAACCCTAGGAAGCCAGGCTTAAAAATAAAAACAAGAATTTAAAACAAAACAAAAAATCCTAGCACAAACTTCAGTGGCCACACATTTCAGCAAAGACAGCCTCTGTAGAATTAGTCCAGGCAAGTCATTAAGCAATGGAAAAACAAAAGTAAAAACAATAACCACTACCTGAGTGGATCAGAATCCAGAGTTGCTACAATATATTATCTAAAATGTTCAGTTATCAACAACAGAAAAATTATGAGACATTCAAAGAAACAGGAAAAGATGGCCCATACAGAAGAAAAAAAGCAGCCAATAGAAACTTCCTGAGGGGGCTCAGCTGTTAGACTTAGTAAAGACTTTAAATTAGCTATTATAAATATATTCAAAGAATTAAAGGAAACTATACTTAAAGAAGTTTTTTAAAGTATGAGGATAATGACTTACCAAATAGAGAACATCAATAAAGAAAAAGAATTCTTAAAAAAAATAGAAACTGAGGAGTTGAAAAGTACTATAATTGACAAAAAATTCACTAGAAGGACTCAACAGCAAGTTTAAGTTGACAGTAGAAAAAAATCAGCAAACTTGAAGCTAGGTCAATAGAGACTATCCAGTATGAAAACCAGAAAGAAAACCTGTAAGATAAGACAGCAAAAGATTGATAATATATAGTTAGATTACTAATTTTTGTTATTCATAATTAAAAAAATTTCAACGAGTAATCCATTTATTCTTTTCAATAAACAGTGACTTAAGGCCCAGCATGTGCTAAGCACTGGATGCAGCAGTGAGTAACAGAAATGTAGTCCAGGCTGTCATGGAGCATATAGAAAAAAGAGAATGCAAGAAGAAACCACCCAAATATTAAAAAAAAAAAAAAAAAAAAAAGCAAATTAGTGAAGGTTGGGGTGGGAGGTAGAGAAAGGAGGTGAAAAGCAGACCCAGAGCAATTCCAAGTTCAAAGTCATTCAGAATTCAATAGGGAGCTTCAAAGAGGGAAAAACCTGTAAATATTAATAGATAAAAGTGGGGGCAGGGATGCTGGTGCTTAGATCGAATACCTCCCAGGTAAATAAACTGAAAAAGAATTAATCAGAAAGCGCTTAGCATTTAAAGCAAGGTAATGACAAGGTTTCTAGCAGTACTGACTTTAAGTGGAATTTCTAATGGTATATGTGAATTATCTAATTTATGTACATTGGTTTTCATTTAGATTTTTGTTTCTAAGCAGCATCAGTGAATCTTTGAAATGGTATATCCCACTTCTCTATCCTATTGCTCCTAGTTATGCTAGGCAGAATAGTATACATACCAGGCTCATTAGGAAAGGCAGACATGGTATCTAGAAGGCACAAAACTACCTTTCTAGAACCTCAACAACTTAGTGCTAGAAATACACCCAACTTACTCTTACTTTGCACATTCATTTGAATAGCTCTTAAAGCCAAATACTTTACCAACGAGGAAATCAAGAAAGAATGATCCATTCTTTTCCTTCACGAGACGCACTGTGGATAAAAATAAGCAAGAATCGAGGAAAGAGGAGAGCTTCCGAACTTATCTGTAAGAGAGACTTCACTGTTTTATTTGAAATTATTTCTCAAGTCAGAGAAATCTATAATTGAAAATAAAGGTATGTTCATTTATTTAATAATCCTACTATACTCCAGGCATTATACAAATGCTGGAGCTATTAAATACCCTGGTTCCTGCCCTTGACAAGCTCTTATTCTAATGGTGGAAACAGTCTAAGAAACAGAAGTCCAAGAAAAAGAGAAGGTGTCAAGGGAGGGAGGCGCTTTTGTTTAAACATAACTGATCAGATACAAGCATTTATCTAACTCCCTCTACAAATCAAAAGACTGAAGAATTAGAAAAGATATAAACCAACAAGATGAAGAGCGTGGGGAGATGATGACAGCAAAGGAGATAGGCCCACAAAATTTAAAATGAAAAGCATTTGGAAAAGAGGTAACTGACTTGATTGTATCTTTCTTCTTTGTGCCAAGTACCTGCAGTGGGGGAATCTAAATTGAGGCAAGTAAGCCAGTTCACTCCTGAGTGCCCTGGAAGAACAGAAGGTAAAAGCTCAGGAATTGCAGCTTATGGGCACATTTGAAGAAAATAATCCTTTTTTTTAAAGCAAGTGGTGGGGGGATGCTGAAAAATTGTTTAAAAAAGAGAAGTAAGATTTTCACATACTCTCACTCCAACCAGAGCATCTGGCAACTGCCTTTTCTCCACATAGCAGAGGGCTTAAGTTACTCTCTGGAGAGGTTGAATCAGAGCCCCTGAACTCAGGAACACCAGCCATAACTGAGAACAAAAATGGGATGCCTTACTGAAAACAAGGGTTAAATAAGTCTTTGCAGCCAATGATTAAGGATCCAGCCCTAGACATGAGCTTATTACTCCCAAACTCCCTCCCACAAAAGATTCAATTTAGAAATCCTATTTAGAAAAGCTGACTGGCTTAAGAAAAAAGAACTGATAGGCTCCCCATAAATAGCCAGGTTTCCCTCAATCACACCACATGAGGTCCATCACTGAACAAGCCACAGTCATGAACACAGTTTCCAATAAACTTTTCCTTAATAGCAACAAACAGCTGAAGATGCTTGAGAAACACCTCTAACATGAAAGACAGACAAGTACCAAAGCTAAAAAACAGGAAAAAAGAAAATAAGAGAAAACAGATAATATAGGGAAAAGACAATGTTAATTATAATTCCATTTCCCTCTCTTTCTCTTGGAGGACATTAGACATAGCATATAAGAAACAAAATCTTGAAGCTATATACAAGAAGAGAGAACAAAAAAACCTCTTAGAAATGAATTATATATTTTTGATTCTATTGTAGATCAGACTTTCTTGATTTCTTTCTCAGTTCATTGCTAGTGCATACAAATGCTATTGTTTTTAATTTTTAATTTTTATGGGTACGTAGGTGTAGAGATTTATAGGGTATGTGAGATATTTTGATAGAGGCACAATAATCACATCAGGGTAAATGGGATATCCATTACCTCAAGCACTTATCATTT
Organism: Homo sapiens; assembly: GCF_000001405.40. NCBI lineage: Eukaryota > Metazoa > Chordata > Mammalia > Primates > Hominidae > Homo > Homo sapiens. Next base: position 41,896,777 of record NC_000023.11, read on the forward strand.
CTGTGTGTTACAAATATTCCAATTATACTCTTCTAGTTATTTTCAAATGTACAATAAATTATTGTTGACTGTAATCACCCTGTTGTGCTATCAAACACTAGATTTTATTCATTCTATCTAACTATATTTTGGTGACCATTAACCATCCCTACTCCCTCCTCCCCCACTATTAATTTTTGTAGGTTGACTCTGTATCTGCCACTTTAGTGAATTTGCTTATTAGTTTTAACAGGTTTTTTTGGTGGAGTTTTAAGAGTTTTTGATATATAATTTTAAGTCATCTGCAAACCGAAAATTTTATTTCTTCCTTTCTGATTTGGATGCATTTTTCTTGTGTACTCTGGCTAGGACAGACTTCCCATATTATCCCGACTATAAGTGGTGAGAGTGGATATCCTTGTCTTCCTAATCTTAGAAAAAAGGCTTTCAGCTTTTCAGTATTGAGTGTTGATGTTAGCTGTGGGCCTGTCATATACAGCCTTTATTGTGTTAAGGTATGTTCTTTCTACACCTAATTTCTTGAGAGTTTTATCATGAAAAGATTTTGAATTTTGTCAAACATATTTTCTGCATCTATTGAGATGATCATATGGTTTTTGTACTTTATTCTGTTAATGTGATTTATCAATTTGTATATGTTGAACCATCCTTGCATTCCAGGGATAAATCTTCTTTGATCATGCTGTATAGTCCCTTTTTTTCTCCCATTCATGCTGTCAGAAATTTATTAAAAAGCAAATGAAGTGTGATAATAGTTTTTAAGTGAATTTGACAGGTAATGAAGAAAAAAGGTAAAGTCATGTAGTTGATGAATTAAACACTTAGAAATTATAAAATTACTCATTTCAGAGCTCAAAGGGACTTTAGAAACTAATGGAGCCAACCTTCCCATTTTCCCATTGAAAAAAACCTAAAGACCAGAGAAGTAAATTTATTTTGTTAAGGTCACACAGTAATATTTTGAGCTTCCTGTACACTAAGAGGTAGTGATGATCAAGAAGAAACCAACCATAGAGAAAAGAGTCTCTTCAGATATATCTGTTGTACCAAGCATGCATGATTTTAATATGCAGTTGAATTCGGCTTGCTAGTATTTTGTTGAGGACTTTGGCATCTATATCCATCAGGAATTTTTTTCTTGTATTTTCTGTAATTTTCTTTTCTTGTACTGTCCTTGTCTAGCTTTAGCATCAGGGTAATGCTGGCTTCATAAAATGAGTTTGGAAGTATTCCCTCTTCAATTTTTTGGAAGAGTTTAAAATGGACTGGCATTAATTCCTCTTTACAGGTTTGACAGAATTTGCCACTGATGCCATAGGTTCTGGGAGTTTCTTTTGGGGGAGGTTTTTGATTACTAAGTCAATCTCCTTTCTCATTATAGGTCTGTTCAGATTTTCTATTTCTTCATGATCCAGTCTTGATAGGCTGTATTTTTAGTAATTTGTCAATTTCTTCTAGGCTATCAAATTTGTTGGTATATAATTGTTTATAGTAGTCTCTTATAAACCTTTGTATCTCTTTAAGTTGCAATGTCTCTTTTATTTATAATTTTGAGTCTTCTCTTTTTCTCAGTCTAGCTAAAGATTTGTTGATTTTACTTTTCAAAAAACCAACTCAGTTCTGTTGATAACTTCTATTGTTTTTCTAGTCTCTATTTCATTTATTTCTGCATTGATCTTTATTATTTCCTTCCTTTTTTGGCCTCGAGCTTAGTTTGTTCTTTTTCTAGTTCCTCAAGGTGTAAAGTTAGGTTGTCTATTTGAGATCTTTCTTTTTTCTTCATGTATTGCTATTTATCATTATAAGCTTCTCTCTTCGAACTGCTTTCATGGCATCCCATAAGTTTTGGTATGTTGTGTTTCCATTTTCATTTGCCTCAAGATTTTATTTTCCTTACAATTTCTTCTTTGATCCACTGGTTGTTCAGGAGTGTGTTGTCTACTTTCCACATATTTAGGAATTTTCCGTTTTCTTTTGATTTCTAGTTTCATACCACTGTGGTCAGAAAAAAACACTTGGTATGATTTCAATCTTCTTAAATTTGTTAAGACTTGTTTTGTAGCCTAACATATCATCTATCCTAGAGACTGGTCCATGCACACTTGAAAAGAACATCGTATTCTGCTACTGTTGGATAAGATATTCTGCAGATGACTCTTAGATCCATTTGGCCTACAGTGTAGTACAAATCTGCTATTTCCTTATTGATTTTCTGTGCATTGTTGAAAGTGGGGTATTAAAATCTGCTAGTATTATTGTATTGCTATCTACTTCTCTCTTCACTTCTATTAATATTTGCTTTATATATGTAAATGTTCTGATGTTGGGTGCATATATATTTTATAATTGTTGTATCGTCTGGATGAATTGACCCCTTATCATTATAAAATTATCCTTTTTGTCTCTTGTGACAGTTTTTGACTTAATAGTCTATCTTGTTTTATATAAATATAGCCACCTCTATTTCTTTTGGTTACCATTTGCACAGAATATCTTTTTCCACTTCACTTCCAGCCTATGTGTGTCCTTAAAACTAAAGTGAGTTTCTTGTAGGTAGCATATGGTTGAGTCTTATTTCTTTTTATCCAGTCATTCATTCTGTGTCTTCTGATTGAAGAATTTAAGCCATTTAAAGTAATTATTGATGGGTAAAAACTCACTACTGATACCTTGTTTTCTGTTTTGTAGTTCCTTTGTTCCACTCTTCCTCTCTTGTCCCTTCCTTTCTGATTTGATGATTTCTCTGTAAGAGAATGCTTTGATTCCTTTATCTTTTGTGAATCTACTACAGATTTTTTCTTTGTGCCATGAGGTGTACATAAACCATCTTATAATTATAAAATATCTTACATTGATAACTTCAACCACATATAAAAGTACGACACTTTTTCTCCTCTGCCCCACTATTATTGATGTCACAATTTACAGCTTGTATATATTGCATATCAACAAATTATTGCAACTATAGTCATTTTTAATATTTGTCTTTAACTTTTATAATAGAATTAAGAGAGATTTATGCACCATCATTACAGCATTAGAGTATTTTGAATTTAACTATATTCTTACTTTTATAGTGAGTTTTACACTTTCATATGTTTTCGTGTTGTTAGAGTCCTTTTGTTTCAACTTGAAGAACTCCCTTTAGCATTTCTTGTAAAGTAGGTCTAGTGGGACATGAACTCCCACAGGGAAGTCTTTATCTCTACTTCATTTCTGAAAAACAGCCTTTCCAGGTATATAATACATGGTTGGCAGGTTTTTTGTTTTGTTTTTTTTTTTTTTCTTTCAGCGCTTTGAATATATCATCCCATTCTCTCCTGGCCTGGAAAGTTTCTGCTGAGAAATCCACTGATAGTCTTATAGAGGTTTCCTTGTAGGTGATGGTTTGCTTTTCTCTTGATGCTTTTGAAATTATCTTTGACTTTTGAGAATTTGATTATAAAGTGTCTCAGTGAAGATCTCTTTAATCTAGTTGGAGGTTCTTTGGACTTCATGGATCTGGATGTTCATTCATGTCTCCAGATTTGGGACATTTTCTGTCATTATTTCTTTAAGCTGTCTTCCCCTTTTTCTTTCTCTGCTTCATCTGGAAATCTCATATGCATTTATTGCTTTGTTTGATGGTACCTCATAACTCCCATAGGCTGTCTTCACTCTTTTTCATTTAGTTGTCTTTTTCTTCCTCTAACTGGGTAGTTTCAAATGACCATCTTTGAGCTCACTAATTTTTTCTTCTACTTCAAGTCTACTATTGAAGCTTTCTGTGGAATTTTTCAGTTCAGACACTGTGTTCTTCAGCTCTAGAATTTCTGTTTGGTTCTTTTTTTTTTTTTTTTTGAGGTTTCCTTGTTGAACTTCTCATATTGTTTGTGTATTATTTTCCTGATTTTGTTGTCCATCTATATTCTCTTTTAACTCACTGAACTTCTTTTAAGATGATTATTTGATTATTTTGAAATCTTTTTTTTTTTTTTTTTTTTTTTTGAGATGGAGTCTTGCTCTGTCAGCCAGGCTGGAGTGCAGTGGCATGACCTCGGCTCACTGTGACCTCTGCCTCCCAGGTTCAAGCAATTCTCCTGCCTCAGCCTCCCGAGTAGCTGGGATTACAGGCGCATGCCATGACACCTGGCTAATTTTTGTATTTTTAGTAGAGATGAGGTTTCACCATGTTGGCCAGGCTGGTCTCAAACTCCTGACCTCAAGTGATCCACCCACCTTGGCCTCCCAAAGTGGTGGGATTAGAGATGCGAGACACTGCACCTGGCCTTGAATTCTTTATCAGTCAATTCATAGATGTCCATTTCTTTATGACTGGTTACCGGTGCTTCATTTTGTTCCTCTGGTGATGTCATGTTTCCCTGATTATCGGTGATCCTTGCAGTTTTGCATTAGTGTCTGCACATTTTACAAAGCAGGCACTTGGCTGGGCATGGTGGTTCACGCCTGTAATCCCAGCACTTCAGAGGCCAAGGCGGGTGGGTTGCTTGAGGACCAGCTTGGGCAACTTGAAGAAACCTTGTCTCTACAAAAAATACAAATATTAGCCAGGCCTGTTGGCACTTGCCTGTGGTCCCAGCTACTCAGGAGGCTGAGGCAGTAGGATTGGCTGAGGCAGTGGTATTGCTTGAGCCTGAGAGGTCAAGGCTGCAGTGAGCTGTGATCACTCCACTATACTCCAGCCTGGGCAACAGAGTGAGACCCTGTCTCAGAAAAAAAAAAAAAAAGAAGAAGAAGTAGGCACTTGCAGTCTTCACAGACTGGCTTTGGCAGGAAAAGCCTTTTACCAGTCAGCCTGTCCAGAAATTCCGGAGGGCTGTCTGGCAGGGGGGCTTGCTGCTGGAGTTTTCAGGTGGGCTATCCTGAAACTTGGGTCCATTAGGACAGGCCTACGGCTTGAGTTTGCTAGGGTGGATCTCAATCCTGGTGTGCATGGGGAACAGCCTAGTGCCAGGGTCCACTCAGGTAAGCCTGTCAAGCCTGTCAGCTGGGCATGCAGGGCAGGCCTAAAGCCTGTATTCACAGGGGCCAGTGTGAATCCTGGGTCCATAAAGCTCAATCTGGTGCTGCACTGGGCCTTGAGCCTGAGTCTTAAGGGACTAGCCTGGTGCTAGAATGAGCCTGGCACCTGGATTCAAGGACGCAGGCTTGGTGCCTGGGATCACGAAGGTAGGCCTGAAGACTGGGTCTGCAGGGGCAGGCCTGGAGTCTGAGACAACCAGGGATGATCCTGGAGCCCGGATCCGCCAGGGTGAGTCTGGAGGCCAAGTCTGCTGGGGTGGGTTTGGAACCTGAGTCCATGGATGGTGGGCCTGGGTCCTGGGTCCACTGCAGCATGGAGCCATGGAGACTAGTATGTGTACATATATATTAGGTCTACATAAACTATCAATCAAGTTAAAGGGCATAATGACATTTTTATACATGGTGTATTCATAATTTCCTACTACTGTTGTAATAAACTACCACAAACTTAGTGGCTTTAAACAACACAAATTTATTCTCTTACAGTTCTGATCAGAGGTCAGAAATCTCAAATCAAGATGTTGGCTTCAGGGGAGAAGCTTTTCCATGTTCTTGAAGCTGCCTGCATTCCCCGGTTTGTGGCCCTCTTCCTCCATCTTCAAAGTGCATCACTCCAAACTCTGGTTGATTCCATTGTCGTGTCTCCTTTTACTTACTTTGACCCTCCTGCCTTCCTCTTATAAGGACCCTTGTGATTAAACTGGGTCCATCCAAATATTCTGGGATAATCCCCCATCTCAAAATCCTAAATTTAATAAGATCTGCAAAGATCCTTTTACCATGTAAAGTAACATACTCACAGGTTCTAGTAATTAGGATGTGTACATCTTTGGTGGGCCATGATTTAGCCTACTACATGTAGTCTCAAAATTTGCTTCCCATTAAACCTTTCTTCAGAAGCTACAGGAGTACATGCTCCATATAAAACCAGAGAGTAAACTGATGTTAGCATAAAGTTAGAAAATATGACCTCAGAATCAGGCAAAGCCATGAAAGCACTTCAGAATTCAATCAGGTATCTTTTTACCATTAAGGGTTTTATGAGCAGAAAAATATAAAAACATGGCAGTATCTCATCAGGTTCAAAAAGCTTAAGCAGAAAAACATATGAAGAGGCAAAGAAAGGCAAAGTTCAGTCAGGTACTGTAGCAGTGTGGGTGGGGATTAAAGAAGGCTGTGAATGGAAAGGAGATAATGTATAAATGGGAGCCAAGGGCCTGGACTAGAAGACCACTTCCCTGTTAGAGTCACCAACACAGCAGCTATGAATTGGGCTCAATGTGTCATAGTGTCACAACAAGAATCCTGTCAGCATTCTTGCTTATATCTTGCGACATTATGTAACCTTAACCAGGTGAGAGAGTAGCCCCTAAAACTGTGGTATCAGATAGCTTCACAAAGGAAGAGAGATGTGCACCACACTTTCAGGTAAGTGGGGCCAGTAAATGTGTGCACATGCACATACTAGTGTTGGGAGACGGCAGAAGGAGGAAGGAGGGCTAGCATCTGCTATGGCACAAAAAGAACTGTGCATTTAGGGTACTGAAAATAGCTCTAGTGGGCTAGCAACAAAGTGGGAGTGAAGGATGGTTGGTAAGAAAATCAAATACCATAAACAGAGGTAAACAATGTAACAGAGATTATGTACCTAGGTTAGAAATTTTGCTCTACCCTTACTACACAAATATCTTAAAACTCATATAATTCAATTATAAAACATGAGTATAACAGTACCTACCACAGGCATTTGTTTTGAGAATAAAATGAAAATCATGTTGAGGACTCCTAGTAGAACAGTCAAAGGGCAACAAAGGGTAAAATTACCCCAAAGTAACATTTCTTCAGAACATAATCTGTTCTCCACTCCCTGTGTTTTTTAGACTGGTTTTTCTTCCTTTATTTTTTGGTCTCAGATTGAGACTCTTAGATCAGTGCTGTCTAACAGAACTTTCTGTGATGATGGAAACGTTCTAAATCTGCACTGTCTACCATGCAGTCACTAGCCACATGTAGCTACTGAGCAACTGAAATGTGGCTAAAGTAACTAAGGAACTGAATTTTTAAAAATAACATTTATTGAGATATAATTCATACCATAAAATTCACCCTTTTTAAGTATACAATCTGGTGGTTTTTAGTATATTCACAAAGTTGTGCCTTGATCACTAAGAACTACCTAAATTCCATTAAAATTTTCATAACCTCAGAATGAAACCCCATACCTATTAGTAGTCACTGCCCACACTCTCCTCCTCCCAGTCCCTAGTAAATACTAATCTAGTGTCTATATCAACAGATTTACCTACTGAGGCCATTTCTTAAAAATGAAATCATACAATATGTGGTCTTTTGTGTTTGGCATCTTTTACTCAGCATAATGTTTTTGAAGTTAATGCATGTTGCACCATGTATCTGTACTTTATTTCTTTTTTTGGGGAAAGGAAGTCTTTATACACAGATGATATGATCATCTATGTAGACTATCCAATGCAATATACATCATTCTACTAGAATAAGTGAATCTAGCAAAGTTGCAGGACATAAGAGTAACATACAAAAAATCAATTACATTTCTATATACTAACAACAATCAATCAGAAATTCAAATGAAAAACAGATTTACCACAGCATAATATATGAAATATTTAAGAATGTGACAAAAGATGTACAAGACTTGTACTTTTAAAACTACAAAACACTGCTGAGAGAAATTAAACAATACCCAAATAATAGAGATATACCTTGTTCATACATTGGATGACACAATAATTTAAGCTATCAATTCTTCCCAAAGTGATCTTTTTTTTTCCTCTTTCCAACTTTTATTTTAGGTTCAGGGGATACATATTACATGGGTAAATTGCATATCACAGGGGTTTGGTGTACAGATAATTTTGTCACCCAGGTAATCAGCATAGTATCCTACAATTTTTCGATCCTAATGCTCCACCCTCAAGTAGGCCCCAGTGTCTACTGTTCCCTTCTTTGTGTCTGTGTGGGCTCAATGTTTATCTCTTACTTATAAGTAAGAACATGTGGTATTTGGTTTTCTCTTCCTGTGTTACTTCACTCAGAATAATGGCCTCCAGCTCCATCTATGTTACTGCAAAGGATATAATCTTATTCTTTTTTATGGCTGCATAGTATCCCACAGTATATATGTACCACATTTTCTTTAACCAGTCCACTGTTGACAGGCATCTAGGTCAATTACATGCCTTTGCTATTATGAATAGTGCTGTGATGAACATACACATGCGTCTTTATCTTAATTTATTTTATAGTTGAATGATATTCCATTGTGTGCAACTACCACATTTTGTTTATCCATTCATCCATTAATGGACACTGGGGTTGTTTTCACCTTTTGGCTATTATGAAATGCTGCTATGAATGTTCATGTATAAGTTTCTGTGTAAATATACATTTTTAATTCTCTTGGGCACATACCTAGGAATGGAATTGTTGGGCTGTATGGAAACTCTATATTTAACTTTTTGAGGAACTGCCAGTGTGTTTTTCAAGGTGGCTGCAACATTCTACATTCCCACCAACGTACGAGAGATCCAATTTCTCCACATCCCTGCCAACCCTTGTTATTGTCTTTTTGATTCTAACCATCCTAGTGCACATGAAGTGGTATTTCATTTGGTCTTGATTTGCACTTCCATAATGACTTGATGTTGAGCACCTTTCCGTGTATTTATTGGTCATTTATAAATCTTTTTTGGAGAAATGTCTGTTCAGTGAATTTTAAATTTTAATTTTAATTAACTTGAAATAGCCACATCTGGCTAGTGGCTACAATATAAAGCAGACGGCAGGATTTGGCCTATGGCCCCTTCGCTTTGCCTAAGGCTGGGTGGGACTAGCTAGGTGACTGATTAGGAAGCTCTCAAAAATTACTGTTGATGTTGAAAACAATTCATGCTCACTGCACACCTGCAAGTCTCCAAGGACTTCATACTCACTATCTTATTTAATCTTCAAACAATACTATCAGTTAAAGTCTACTGTCTCCATTTTACAAGCAATGAAATCGTTTTAGATAGATCAAGTAAGCCAGTCATTAGTAATTCCACTCACTATAAAATTCTCCATTCCATTTCAACCTTAGAAACTTCTTTTCTTCATCTAATTAGAGCATTGGTCTTACAGATCTCAACTAGGGAAACCAGGTATTATTCAGGATTCCACTACTATGTTCGGCATATACTATACAATTCTATGTCTACTAACCTATTTCAAAAGAACATTATGAGAACTAAATGGTTTTGAAGCAGCAAGATATTAGCACTAAAAGAAAATATGAACTTCTGACTTTGTGCATTATAGGCCATAAATTTTACCTTTTCTAATGTGTTCAGTCACTTCTTCCCCTTGTTTGAACTGATTCAACTATATACTGAACATCTACTATGTACCAGACACTACTCTAGGTTGTAGAGATACAACAATGACTATGATAGCCAAGAATCCTGACCTAATGAAGCTCAAAATATGTATTAAACATATGGTTTTAAAAGTACACAAGTTCCAATAAGTTTATGTCACATGGAGGCCTTGTTGTAGTATCTATTTCACAACGAACCTTATCCAATACTGCAGCATAAGTACCCTTAAATAATACTCTCTGCCTACTAAAAAATTTGAGTCTGAACACTATAGCCTTTAAAATGGTTCAAAATCTACACATTTGGCAGAACTTTTCTACAGCAGTTGCTACTCTGGAAGTAGCACCCGGCTCCTAAGCACAGCCAGCTGCCAAGGAACCCAGGGAAATTATTAAAGCTTACCTCTAGCTCTTGGGGCTGCCCCAGCCTCCTATGCACATGAGGGCAGGACAACACAGAAAGAGTCACCACAGCATTTCTCCTGCCTAATGCATGGCATGATTTCCCAAGCTTTCATCATCACCTACCGCTGACCCCTATTTCAGGTAGATAAAACAGAAATGAGGAGGTTGTTCAGATGATTCATGTGGGTGGCTATTGTGCTAGCTGGGACAGTAACACTGCTCTTTTTTTAAAGAGTTCACATTTTATTCACTGCTATAAATAACAATTTAGTTTTTAAAATACTGCATTTCCAACACTATACTGCAGAAGACAGTAAAGCTCAAATTTTCCAGTAGATAGGTTGCCTTTGGCGACAGACCTAAGTAACCACATTCTGAGGGATGGCCTTTGCCTGACCCCTCTTCTCATTGTTCCTCACCTCTGGGATGAGTAAGCAGGGCAAAAGGTATGAAGTAAGTTGATTGGGAAAGCCTAAATTAAATGTCTAACTCAATCATTTCTAGTCTCAAACTCACTATTTCCTGTATCTTCCCCAGCATCTACTACTAAACTATTCAACCCAGATTTACTGAAATAAATCAGGAACCAAACAAACTCACCAGTAATATAGCTCAGTATCATTTGGCAAAGTCATATTTCCTGACTTAAAACATCAGTTATGTAAAGAAAAACACAACCATGGAGTCACAACTGCAAAAACAACACTTTTGCCTGACCTTGCTACCAGAGCCAGGGGAGACTACAAGAAGGCCTTTCTTTCAAAGGCTACTATACTTCCCTCAGTGATATGCATAAAGAGAAACATTCATGTGCATCAATAAGAACAATGGTAAAATTGAGTTGTATTTTATACGAAGTTGACCACCAATCACCTTAATGGCTAAGAACAGGTACAAAGGAGAATCAAGAGTACAACATGACATTCCAGCTACAAAGAGAAACAGCTATTCTTGGAGGGATGTGGGAAGGCTAACTTTTAAAACTCTCCCAGTAAACATTCTAAGATTGCCCGAAATATTCAATATCTATGTGCTCACTAACATCCTGGTGAAATACCCTAACATCCTGGTGAAATACCAGTGACTACAGCACTCCAGGACAAGGGTAACAATTTTCCAGAAGGGATGGCACTATTTCAATGGCTTAGAACAGTGGTACCTAACCTTTTTGGCATCAGGGACCGGTTTTGTGGAAGACAATTTTTCCATGGACGATGGGGACCGGGGTGGGGGTAGGGGGTTCGGGATGAGACTGTTCCATCTCAGATCATCAGGCATTAGATTCTCATAAGGAACATGCAACCTAGTTCCCGCGCATGTGCAGTTCACAATAGGGTTTGTGCTTCTATGAGAATCTAATGCTGCCACTGATCTTACAGGAGGCAGAGCTCAGGCAGTAATGCTGGCTGGCCTGCTGCTCACCTCCTGTTGTGCGGCCTGGTTTCTAACAGGTCATGAACCGGTACTGGTCAGCGGCCCAAGGGTTGGGGACCCCTGGCTTAGAACACACTAAACAGTCCCAGCACTTTGGGAGGCTGAAGGAGGCAGATCACCTGAGGTCAGGAGTTCAAGATCAGCCTGGCCAACATGGTGAAACCCCGTCTCTGCTAAAAAATACAAAAATTAGAAAAATTAGCCAGGCGTGGTGGCCTGTAATCCCAGCTACTCAGGATGCTGAAGCAGGGAGAATTGCTTGAACCTGAGAGGCAGAGGTTGCAGTGAGCTGAGATTGTGCCACTGCACTCCAGCCTGGGCGACAGAACAAGACTCTGTCAAACAAACAAACAAACAAACATTCCAAACAGCTCACATGAATCCCTAAACTTGGCAGTCACAAGGTGGGTTTTCTCTTGAGGAAGTAAAAAGGCAGTAAGAATTGGGAAAAATGAAGATTACAATACATGATTAAGTTAGATTACACTAGAGTACAGAAAAACCAAGGACACACCAGCACACAATCAGTGAGAAAAGGTCATGGAATTGTTAAACAGGCTACCACCACTACCTAACAGAAAAGGAAAGGGTAGAGTAGTATGTTATTTTCATTTACAAGTCTCTACTCATTGAATTAATAATTTGATATGAGAGAGAAGAATGGATCTGTAGAAATAGGAGGGTCAGGTGTAAAGGCAAACACAAGCGTTTACCTAATGATTTTAGCTGTTCACAGTTCAGAATTAAAGGAAAGAAAACAGCACGAATGCTTTATCTTGAGTAGGGATTGGCAAGCTTTTTGTGTAAAAAGCTGGAGAAATGGTTAAGGCTGTATGGACCATTTGGTCTCTGTCATAACTAATCAACTCTGCCCCATAGCATAAAAGCAACCATAGATGATGCTTAAATAAATGACGGTGGCTGTGTTCCAAATAACTATTTACAAAAACAGGCAGTAGGATGATTTGGCCCATGGACCATAGTTTACTGACCCCTGATCTAGAGTTCCAAGACAGTGGTTCTCAATCTTTAGCGTGCCTCAGAATTCCCTTGGAGGGTTTGTTACAACAGAAATAGCTGTGCTCCAACCCCAGGGCTTCTAATTCTGTAGGGCCAGAGCAGGGCCTAAGAATCTGCATTTCTAATGAGTTTCCAGATGCTGCTACTGGTCAGAAGATCCACACTTTGAAAACCACTGATCTAAACCTCACTGACTAAACAGGATGTTCAATATCAGATGGAACAGGATGTGCCATCTGATTGGCCACAAACATTTGTCACTTGTAGTAAGTTCCACACATCAAAGCTCCAACAAAATTAAGCAATTTAAAAAGAAGCTGGGGAAAACAAAATACTCAGAAGTCTTTCTTTACTTTGACTTCAGTGTAAATTTATCATTGCCCCATTCATTCTCAAATCTCTTTATGCAATATTTTCACCTAACATGTTCTGAGCCCTATAAGGAGTTGAGAAGTATTAATGTCTATAAATCAAACAAGAAAATAAAATCACTTTTAAAGACAAAGGTAAATGATTCTTACAAAATCAAAGAAAAGTCAACAAAGCCCATGTTCTTGTTTTGTTTTTTTTTTTCTTAGTCTCGCTCTATCGCCCAGGCTGGAGTGCAATGGCATGATCTCGGCTCACTGCAAACTATGCCTCCCGGGTTCAAACTATTCTCCCGCCTCAGCCTCCCAAGTAGCTGGTATTACAGGCACACGCCACCATGGCCGGCTAATTTTATGACATTTTTAGTAGAGACGAGGTTTCACCATGTTGCCTGGGCTGGTCTTGAACTCCTGGCCTCAAATGATCCACCCACCTTGGCCTCCCAAAGTGCAGGGATTACAGGTGTGAGCCACCGTGCCCAGCCAAAGTACAAGTCCATTAGAAGTGTTTTAGTTTGGGCCAGGCACAGTGGCTCATGCCTGTAATCCCAGCACTTTGGGAGGCCGAGGCAGGCAGATCACCTGAGCTCAGGAGTTTGAGATCAGCCTGGCCAACATGGCAAAACCCTGTCTCTACTAAAAATACAAGACTAAGCCGGGCGTGGTGGTGCACATGTGTAGTCCCAGCTACTCGGGAGGCTGAGGCAGGAGAATTGCTTGAACCCAGGAGGCGGAGGTTGCAGTGAGCAGAGATCACACCATTGCACTCCAGCCTGGGTGACAGAGTGAGACTCCATCACAAAAAAAAAAAGTGTTTTATTTCAATAAAATTGAAATAATAATATACGTAAGGTAGTTTAAGACTTAAGAATTATGTAATTTTATGTGCATGAGAATCTCATGAGGTAGATAATATAGCCATTACTATCCTTCTTTTACAAGATGAAGAAACTGAAGAAAAACCAACTGGTGATATCACACAAATTACTTAAAATGTTTCCTTAAAATCCCTTTTTCCTAGTAACTCTTAAATTGCATTTTTCAAATCCAACTTACACATATCTTTTTAGGACCATGTTTATGGATGTGTCTTTATCGGGGAAAATATTGTTCTAGTAAGATCTTCAAGTCCATATTCATATTTGTGGGCCTAATTCTGAAGCCACCCAGGCAAGTCTAACTAAGAAACCTGAACTTTAATCAGATGGCAGTTTAAAGCCCACTCTACCATTAGAGCAAGTGGGTCACAGATTATGGAAGTATGATGATCCAGCAGTATAACAGAAATACTCAGCAATGGGAGAAATATTAATGTAGATAATCCAAAAAGTAGAGCAGCAAGTTTAGAATGCTCCCTCTCCAGATACCCACACTCCTTCTGCAATGATAATGAATAGATATTTTCATTTAAATACATATTTACACAGATTACTTTCACATCCATAAGAGCAAAATGTTTTGTTTTTTTTAAAGCTTTGCCTATAATATGTATGGTTGGTAAAGGTTTTTTCCATCTTTAGCATGCTGTTAAAAATGTTATGTATGTTGATTATGTGAAATACATTCTCACTTTAACCTGTGATTTTAATATTCTAGTAACAGTTCTCTTAAATTTATATGAAATGTAATTAAAGAAAGTCCTCAGTGAAAACAGCTTCTTGCTTGTTTTACAAGTATCTAATTATTCTACAACTGACAAAATTTTTAAAAAATTTATTAAAAAGATAGTCTCAAATTTAATGCCACACTATACTGCTAACAAAAACCCAGTTAAGAAGATACTAAGCCTAAGATGAGCACCAGCAGAGATTCCATATAAAGGCTGATGATTCTGCTTTTGAACTAATAACTCAGATGGAAGTCAGCAAAAATTTCTAACCTAAATAATGCAATATAAATAATACTGTCCAAGGATTTCTGAAACCAATCTAAGCAGTATTTCCATAGAAGTGATCTAAACAGACCAACCACTCAATTTCAACATGATCATTCTTACACCTGACAATGTAATAAGAACTAGAAGATGAAATACTGTTCTGTGGTTTTAGGTTATTTAGATTCAGTGCCCAGTAGTGTCAGAGACTACAACTTCAGAATCTTTCCACCTCATTTTGCTCACTGTTAAGATGTAGAAATTGCTGTTGTAATAAAATTTTGGGAAGTTACATAAAGGAACACTACAATATTCATAAATCCTATATATGGGTGTTTCTGAAATATATATTCTGGGATTTTCCTTTTTTCAGTCTTGAAATTTCACATTATGAACAATTAATTAATCTGTCAATTGTCTAAATGCAAACATAAGAAGTGTGATACAAAATTCCTTCTTTTAACAATCTTGGGAGTTTTTCACAACACTACGGAATTATAATCTAGAACAGACTTGGAAACAAATTATGAAAATCTGTAACTCAATACTGTATTTTCTATGTACATAAGAGGCAATGACAGTTTTTTTTTAACTTTTTTTATTATACTTTAAGTTCTGGGATACATGTGCAGAACGTACAGGTTTGTTACATAGGTATACATGTGCCATGGTGGTTTGCTGCACCCATCAACCCATCATCTACATTAGGTATTTCTCCTAATGTTATCCCTCCCCTTGCCCCCCAACCCCCAACAGGCCCCGGTGTGTGATGTTCCCCTCCCTGTGCCTATATGTTCTCATGGATGAAGCTGGAAACCATCATTCTCAGCAAACTAACACAGGAACAGAAAACCAAACACTGCATGTTCTTACTCATAAGTGGGAGTTGAACAATGAGAGCAATGACATTTTTAAAAGAATTTTTTTAAGACAGTGTCTTGCTCTGTTGCCTGGGTTGGAGTGCAGTGATTACAGCTCACTGGACAGTTTTTTTGTTTGTTTTCTGTTTTTTTTTTTTTTTTTTTTTTTTGAGACAGAGTTTTGCTCTTGTTGCCCCAGCTGGACTACAGTGGTGCAATCTTGGCTCGCTGCAACCTCCGCCTCCTGGGTTCAAGCAATTCTCCTGCCTCAGCCTCCCAAGTAGCTGGGATTACAGGCACGCACCACCATGCCCAGCTAATATTTGTATTTTTAGTAGAGACGGGGCTTCACCACGTTAGTCAGGCTGGTCTCAAACTCCTGACCTCAAGTGAGCCACCCACCTCAGCCTTCCAACGTGCTGGGATTACGGGCATAAGCCACTGCACCCGGCCTGGACAGTTTTTAAAAAGACAGAAAGGACTCTTCAATATATTTCTTAGGCTGGGTGCAGTGGTTCATGCCTGTAATCGCAGCGCTTTGGGAGGTTGGGGCAGGAGGACTGCTTGAGGCCAGGAGTTTGAGACCAGCCTAGGCAACATAGTGAGACCCTCTCTCCTTCCCTCTTGCAAGTAATTTATATATATATATATATAAAATATATATAAAAATATATATAATGTTATAATATACATAATTTATGAAAGTTATACTTTTTTAAAGTAATATATGTGACTTTATTAAAATTTCTTCAATTTTCCCTACCTGTATTCCTCTACTCCTTTTTATAAATGAGGAAGCAGGCCTACAAAGATAACATGAGTTACCCAAGGAGAAGACCGACAAATCATTCAAGCCTCACCTCCTCTGTAATGATTTCCCCAACTTCCTTCTCCTACTAGGTGGTCACACAGTCTCTGGATTTCTCAGTTAATGTACTCACTCATTCAACAACTGCTGACCAAATATTTTACTATGTGTGTCTGTTGGTTACCAAGTTACGCAGAGGATATGTGCATGAGTGTGTGAATAACTCATTTGAGCTCCCTGAGGCCAGAGAACTCAAGTGTTTGGTGAATAGCAATACCTAATGCTAAATGACGAGTTAATGGGTGCAGCACACCAACATGGCACATGTATACATTTGTAACAAACCTGCACGTTGTGCACATGTACCCTAAAACTTAAAGTATAATAATAATAAAATTTAAAAAATAATAATAATGACAATGGCAATTAAAATAACAACCTTTAGACATTTCACATAGATCATGCTATTCAATCCTCACAACAACCTTACAAAGTATATACCATTAACCACATTTTACAGATAAAGAAACTGAGGGTCAGAGAGGCTAACTAACTTGCCCAGGACCTCATAGCTAGAAATGAATACATAAATGAACAATGAATAAAAGTTAGCACCACTAACAATTTTACACACATGGTAGAAAAGAATGTTCATTTCACCATATTATTTATGTAATAGAGCCTGTGTTTAGCACTGAGAATGTGCACATTTGGAAATTGTTGAAACTTACGTACATAACTGCCAAAAGTAATTTGAGTATCTCAGAGACATTCTAGAAATAAAAAATACTTATGCTGCACTTTACAATTCACTAATCCACACAAATGGTTTGTGAAGCAGCTATCATTCCTTTTATAAATAAGGAGAAAATAGCCACACTGTGCCCAAAGGTTACCAGATCAGAAGGGGGCTGCCTAACAAGCCACAGAGCAACCGCATTCCATACCTTTAGGGGAAATCACATACCAAGGGTAAGAAAGAAGGCCAAGAATTGATGATGTTTTCTAAAAACACAAATTAGAATCTATGAAATAGCAGTAGTATAATGGTAATCTGCACACCATGGAAGGACTAGAGAGAGAGACCTCTGTAACTGAATGAATATCATCATCCTTTAATTTAAGAAAACATTAAAATCTGCATGTAGTTGAATGGTAATACAGTGTACTTCTATCCTAGATTTAAATATACCAAAATACTCTAACTTAAGTGTTAAAAGCCTGAAATACAGACTGAACATAGTATATTTTGGATATTATTAAACTACATGAGAGACAGAACAATCCACATTCTTACCTGCAAATGATTCAAATACTCAAAACAATGATTACAAAGCAAAAAGGAAAGAAAGTATATTAAAAGAAATCACAAAGATTGGGAGAAAAAACAATGTACAACAGCCCAGTAATAAATAGAATACAAGAAGCTGAAGTGAAATAGCACGCACTTAGATACCAAAAAACTGGCTTATGTACAACGAAGCAATCGTTTCTTATTGTGAATGGATGTGGACAACCAAAAATAGCCAATGAACAAATTTAGTTAGGAGGTGATGGGAGAAGAAATGTGAAAGAGGAGGACAGTACTACATTCATCCAACGTGGACAAAAATCCTTGAGGCTAGAAAGAATTCAGTTTCCTATAGTAGAAAGATATAAGACAATAACAGTGGTTTGACACATACCAAGAACTTAAAGTAAATGTAAAGTATCTAAAACTTACTTTGTCACTTCATGAAAGGCTTCCATTTAATTGACAGTCATGCACAAGCTCGGGAATGAAAAGGACATAATCTTAGGAAAACCAAATGATTTTACCTAAAAGCCAGTCATCAGAAATCTGCAAAACACAATTAGAGTGAAAAAGAAATCTACTTTGTTTTTACCCTAAATATGTTGGTTCTGAGATAGATTTACAGAGAGATAGTATAAAATTACTAGTATCCACAGAAAAGAAGCCAGACCTAGCTTTTCAGACACATCATGAATTGACTATTAAACATAATATTCATTTTGATAAGTGCTTTAAATTGTTTCTCTGTTATAGCCACATGTGTTCTTAGTCCTCAGAGTATATTGGCATTTTACATTATTGATCCTCCCCCCTCTTTTAAACTTCTGTGCAGCCCATTATCCTGATTCTTCTAACTCTATGAGTTATACTCCAAACCACGAGCCCTAGAGCAGTCAACCCCCAAGAACTTGTTCACTCAGTTTTACTTCCACACAGATGACTCCCAAATCTTCACTGCCATTCCATACCTCTCACCCAAATTCCAGCTCAGCATTTCAAGCAATGTAAAATTACAATTGGCTTGCACTCAATCCAAAGCCAAAGTAACAATCCATATGACAGAATACTGGGCAGCAGCTAAAGAGGAGATAGAGACAGACAGATACATTGATGGATATGACAAGATCATCAAGTATATACTATTATTCATGAAAAATCAATATTTCAGCATAGTATACAAATATCTCACTTTTAAACAAAAAGCTTCCAGAAAGATGGAGAAGAAACTGAACAATGGTTACCTCTAGAGAATGGGGATATGGATGGTAGGAGAATTGAGACAGACTCACTACTTATCTTTGTATCACCTATATTTTAAATTGTATGGCTGGGCACAGTGGCTCACGCCTGTAATCCCAGCACTTTGGGAGACCAAGGCAGGTGGATCACCTGACGTCAGGAGTTCGAGACCAGCCTGGTGAAACCCCGTCTCTACTAAAAATAAAAAACTAGGCTGGACGCGGTGGCTCACGCCTGTAATCCCAGCACTTTGGGAGGCCAAGGCGGGTGGATCACGAGGTCAGGAGATCAAGACCATCCTGGCTTACATGGTGAAACCCCATCTCTACTAGAAATACAAAAAAAAAAAAAAAAATTAGCCGGGCGTCTGTAGTCCCAGCTACTCGGGAGGCTGAGGCAGGAGAATGGCGTGAACCTGGGAGGCGGAGCTTGCAGTAAGCCGAGATCGCGCCATTGCACTCCAGCCTGGGCGACAGAGTGAGACTCCGTCTCAAAACACACACACACACACACACACACACGCACACACAAATTAGCCAGGCGCGGTGGTGCATGCTTGTAATCCCAGCTTGTTGGGAGGCTGAGGCAAGAGAATCACTTGAACCCAGGAGGCGGAGGTTGTAGTGAGCCAAGATCGTGCCACTGCACTCCAGCCTGGGAGACAGAGCGAGACTCCATCTCAAAAAAAGAAAATAAAATTTACTACGTGCATCATTACTTTTATAATTTACTGTATAAAAACTAATTAATAAAGAAAAGTAACACAAAATTATTAAATCTCAATGTTGGAAATAAACATTAACTTCAAAACAAACTAGCTTCGGAAATGAAATTTTCCCAGGGTAGAAGTCAGAGACTCTATACTGACTTGGGCTCTACAACCAATACCATAGTGGCTCCAGGACAGAAAGGAAGGAGAGCAAGTTCTGTAGCATCTTAAATCCCACAGCATAAATCCAGAGCCATATTTGGTGCTTCTAGAATCTTCACTGTCAGTTGCAACTAAAAAATAAAACCAAAAAATGTGAGAACAGCACATCCCATCAGCTTGTTGGCTGGGGTCCGGTACCTGCTCTGCAATAGTTAACTCAGTCTCTTGATTATTTAAGGTGTACAGTGCTGGCAAACAGCTAGAAGCTCACAGACTCAGCGGCTGCAGCTCACTACACGGTTTTCAGAATCAGAGAGAACAATCTCCGTATTTTTATCACAGGATAAAGGAATAACTATCCTTTGGAAACCACTCCACCCCACTTCCAACAAACATCTACCTCTGAAACCTTATTACTTCTGGTTTGGCAAGTTAGGGGTAATTAATCAACTATCCTGTCTGTTGGGGCAAGGGAAATGGAAGAAAAAATTTGGAGAGTAAAAGAAGTAGAGAAAGTTCCAAAACAAATTATATTTTGGACAGATGGCCAAGAGTCTATATTTCCATTGCTAGATTTACCAGTTAGTTTGGTAACAAATGCTGATGTTTCATTAAAGAGAAAGACAAAAATAAAAAAGAAACAGATGAAAGAATGAATAGTATATGGAACCTCTACTGAAGAAATAAGAAATTTAACCAGAAAGTCAAACAACTAAAATTTGCAGTATAGAAACTCTGAAAATGAAGACGTGTCTTTAAGAAAATCCAACACAGTATTTTCACAACTTGAATTAGCAGCAGAATGCAGCATGAAATGAACAGACTTTAAAACCATGGAACCGCGTTGGAATCTGTGTGATCTTAGGCGAATTACTGATCACCCCCTCTGAATCTCAGTGTTCTCTGTAAAATGGGTATGATTAAATAATACATCCAAAATGCCTAACATTAGAGGGATAAATGTCAATCCCTTTATAAAGTAAGCTTTAAGTTATAGAAGTTTTTTAAACAACCTTATGTCAAAGTTCCTTTAAATGCAGTGCTCCTACCACATTTAAAATGTGAAAACGTTTAAGAAAATGTAATAATTCAAGAATAATCTCAAGAAGCAAGGTATATCTGCTCCTTCAATTTATTGAGTAGAACTACAGCTGGAGACAGAATTTTCAGTTTAAAGGAAATATCCAGGTACACAATTTAGGGACACTTGAGACGTAGTTCATCAGGTGAAACTGTTGCAGATACAAGGAAAAAATGGAGAGAGCTGAACTGCGTATGTCAAGTACATAGAAGCGTGTTACGGACATAAAAATTAAGGGAGTCCACAGGAAGTATTTATGAAGACAACTTCAAACAACACACCCTAAAGCAATCTGTAAAAAGCAGACAGGAAGAGACTAGAGAAGGTTGTATACATGCAGAAAAGCAACGGAGTAGCTCTGTTCTCCCTCCAAATGATCCTAGGATCATCAGGAATCAATATTGCTTCCCCACTCCCATTGAGGCCTGCTATCTGTAGCATCCACACCCTGAGTTCAAAAGGATTTTCCTCTGTAGAAGTACAGCTTAACTCCCATGGCTTGCATTCTTTCTGGGCCACCAACAATTTAGCTGCTGATCACTTCTTTTACCTTGTTACTTGGCTGTCACTGTGATCATGCACTGCTTTCACGATCACTGGTATTTCTGGAATATCTACTCATTTCTGGAAAATTCTCGGTTCCTTCAGGCAAACACTTGATCTTTTCCTAACATTAAAAACTAGTTTACCTACAAAGTCTAGTTAAAATTTCCGGGAAACATTTTTTCAACACAATGCGAAATTCTCCCTATGGTACTAGAAACCCAAATCACTGCATGAATCAATACATGTGAAAGTCATAGTAATTAGTACAAATTAGTAAAGCTGAATTTTTCTGTATGCTGAATTATATACTTTACGTATTATTAATCCAGTATTTACATAAAGGCTGCATTAACTCAATTCTCCAGCTAACAGCATTACTGGAATCACAAGTATGTAATTTAAAGCATACAAGCAACTTAACCATACTCTTTTAATAGAGTGTATGTACAAACACAATCCATACTAAACTGATAAATTTCTTCATATTAAATCAAGCCATTATAGTGGAAAACCATCATCAACTGTTATTGAAGCAATCCTTGTTCTGTGTTGTTCCAAACGTCAGACAATCGCCATGTTAGCATTAGATGAGTGTCATAAATCAATGTGGATCTTAAAAGGCCCAAGAAATCAAAGCCAAACACAAGCTAAAACTAAATTTTTACACAATAAGGCTGAGAAACACAAGTGCATAGAAGATAAAATCCATGTTTTAGCCATTTAGCTTCAATACCTTCCAAAAAGAATTTATTCTACTTTGTAAGAATTGTAAGCCTCTGAAAAGCCAGTCCCAAAATATTACATACATAATCTAAGTTTTAAGCCAATGATTCCTCATTATAGCTGCATATTAGAATCACACAGAGAGCTTTAAAAAAATGTCAGTGACCAGGACCCAGTCCCAGAAACTCGGACTTCACTGCTTTGACACAGGGCTCTGGCGTTGATCTTTTTTAAAAGCTCCCCGGATGATTCTAATATGCAGCCAGGTGGAGAACCACTACTTTAAACTAATGCAGGCTCTTCGGACAATAATTGCTCTGAGGTTGACAAACATGCTTTTTTGCCTTTTAATGAGATTTTATTAAAACTACTCAATTCATTCCACAGCTAATGAAAGGCAGTTACATTGCACGCACTGTGTTAATGGAGAAAGATGTGTAAGAAACATTCCCTGCCCTCAGGAAGCTCCTTATTAGTGAACTAGAGAGATCCATAAATAAGTAACTGTAATTAAATAAAAGTGCTCTCGAGGAGTAAGCAAATACAGCATGCCTCACAAAGTTGCACGTCATCCTTAAGCAAGGGTCATGCTGCATCATTCCAATTTTAGTGTATGTCCTACCAGAGCAGGAAAGTCTGAAGCTACAGGCTACTAAACAGGGCAAGTATTCACCTAACACAAGGTAAAAATGGTATGTATTTTGTTATTCCCTTTCATACACACTGCTGTACCAAGAAAGTAGGCATTTTTCTATGTTTTAATTTCGATGAATTGTCTTAAATTTCCTTCATGTAGTATTACCGGTTGTACACTTACTTATAATTGTAAAAGATACAGTAAATGATCATGACATAAAAATTAGTCATTAACCTCATTTGCATAACGCCCTTCCTTTCCAGTAATCGCTACATTTGCTAAGACAAGAAGTTTTGGGACTATGATAAGGTCTTATTATTGGAGATTTGTTTCAGTCATTTAAAAGATAGTTACATAGAAAATGTTATAGAACCAACAGTCACTCAAAGGAGTTTCTGCAAGATTTTCAAAAATGAGAAACACAGGGAAAAGAGTTTTAATTTTTAAAAAGGGAAACGGCATCCTTCCAATATTTGTAACAAATTGGGCACATGTTCCCTCAAAGACAGCTTTAACAAGGGTAAAGGCTGCAACCACTGGAAAGAAAACATATTCCAAATAATGATCTTATATTTCAAAACCTCATTAACTCTGTAAGTTATCTTTCTCAACCAAGGGGGAAAAAAACACACTGAAGGGTCTAAATTAAACGAGAACTTTCATTTATGCCATCAAGTAAGGCCAAGTACACAGTGGGTGAGTGAGTAGGTGGTTGCGTAGGTAGAGGAGTGAGTGGGTAGTCAATTAGTCTTGAAAAGTGAAATCTATTTTAAAGTACCTTAGTAAAAATTAAAACCTATTAAGATCTAGTGGTGAAAAACAACTTGTGATACTAATTTGGTAAAAAAGAAAATCAAAATTCCATAGAACTTGGATAGAAATCAATAAAAAGGTTTTCAGTACATGTGAATATCTTCAAGGGCTTTCTGTTCAAATTCAGAGGTGAACAAATTATAAGTTAAAAATGTATGCTGTCAAGGTCCCTGCAAGAAAATCTCAAGCTAATTTCAATTTCCAGATCAATATATACTAAGACAATTTACTAGAGAAACCTTCAACCTTTACTCAGATTGAGGAACACTATTATTACATTCTTTAACAATAAGGCTAGCTTGAATTCATTATTTCACATAATGGCATTTTATAATTGGCACTGACCAAGTCAGATTTTGTAGGATATGAATGAGATTTCACAGTTCATAGTAGTTAAGGTAGCCATAGAGTACCTATCACCTCAAAATTAGCTTGCTGCCCCTCTTTATGCAGCTCTGAAACAGTCAGAAAAGATGAATTTTTTTCTCCCAGGGGTGTTTCCTGAAAAATATTCTATCAATTACAAATCAGCAGAATATGGACTGTGTTAATGTGATTCTGACCATTTCTTTTTGATATCCAAAGAGATCACATCATCACCCTTCCAGACTTTAAGGAATCAGAACTAGTTACCAAAACTGATTCAGAGATGGCTATTTTACATCTTCACAATATAATTAACATTTTAATCTCACATTTTCCAATTATGACTTTGTTAGTTCATTTACATCAGCTATAACTAAGATGCAACAAACATCATTCACCCACACATACAGTCATTTGGAGGCTTTTGGGAAACACCTAATTTATCTTCACTGGGTGCTCCTAAGAATGAGGAAACCAAGGAGATTTTTGATGCATTTTTCTCTCTAGAACTGTGCTATTCACATGTGGCTACTGGGCACCTGAAACGTGGCTGGTCCGACTGGGAAACTGAATTTTGAATTGTATTTAATTTTAATTAATTAAAATTTAAATTTAGAAAAAGGTACTTGATTCGGTTATTGGAAAACTTTTATGTATATTGGGAACAACTTGGGTATGTGAATATACTTTTGCAAACGCAAATTTTATGAAACCTAAATACAGATTAAGTATTTCTGATTTTCATCAGAAATGTAGCTTAGTGTCAGAATTGAGATGTGCTATTAGTGTAAAATACACATTGGGATTTCAAAGACTTAGCATAAAAGATGTAAAATATTTCATTAATATTTTTTCATATTGATTACATGTTGAAATGTTAAGTTTGGATCTACAGGGTTAAATAAAATATTTTATTAAAATTAATTGCACCTGTATGTTTTTATTAAATGTGGCTACTAGAAAATTTTAAATTACAAATGTGGCTCATAATATATCTTTTGGACAGTGCTGTTCTAGAACACTTCCACAAGCACTTTAACAGGACACATTTGGATACTTTCCTTTTAAGTCTGGCTGGTCATGTAACAATAGGGCAAGGAGTAACATGTCCTCACATCAATTGGGTCTGAGTAAAGTGTGTAGCAAGCTCTACCCACAATTTCACCATGTGAGGCAACACTGTAATACCTCAATATGGAAAGAAAAGGAAACAAATTAGCACTCAAATTGAAATTGAGTACTGCAGACAACTTAAAAGAGATAGGGCCAACTGCTTTAAGGTCTTGGTTTCATTTCCCAACTGTGGACCTTAAAATAGACAATAAAGCACCGCTTCCAAAAAAAAAAAAAAAAAAAAAAAGAGGTAAGATATTTCAATGTTAGCTCTAGCGATCCTTATTAAGCAAAAATTTGCTCTTAAATCTTATCTCCTCAACTTCTAAAGCCGCAGAATACACGCTGTGTTAGGAAATCAACTTCAGATTGCCAGCATTTCCTTCACAAGCAAATTAGCAGGATTGTGCACTTGGAGTACTGTTTGACAAGAATGAAAAGGAAACTATTCAAAATAGATTTAAGGAATGGACAATTAGATGAGGAACTGCAGATTTAATTCTCAATCAGCACTGTGATTAATCTGATTCCCTGCTTTTCCCCAGCGTAATTATACAACACAGATGAAAGGATGAGCATTTGGACTGTCAGTTCTATATTCTAGACCAGCCCGGTGACTCAAAGCAGACGGCTCTACCACGCTAACCACCATCCCAACAACAGTCGAGGGGAGTCTCGAGCACTGATTGAACAGTCATTGCATAACAAGGCATTAAAAATTCGAATGCCCCCAACTCTTTCCACGTTCGTGTACACCAGGAGGGAATTTGCTGAAACTGAAAGCACCCCGTCTTAAATGACCCCCTCCAATCCGAGCATGGGGTGTACACAAAGGCATCTGTCTAATATCCCGCACAATAGACACACACCCCACAATTAAAACCCTGGACTCTCTCACCACACAAGCAAAGGAAATGCAAGCTGCTCTGTTTCAAAAATGGTCTATGGTACATGCAAGGTAACAATAACCCCAACTGAAGCAACTATAAAATCGGCTGTGCCACGTCCCTGTGCAACCGTCAGATAAAATGCAGGCAGCCGGCCCCACGCCTTACGGGGTGGCCAACCTCGGCTCGGTGGCCTCAATGGACCGCTGAGAACCCCCAGGCCCCCGCCTGGCAGGAGCTCCAGGTACACGTCTATAAATACTCCAGGATGAGAAGGACGAGAGGGGAAGAGGGGAAGGAGGGAGGGCAGGGGGCAGGCCCCGAGCGGGTGCGGGAAGACCGGGGCATCACTGAAATGCATTTTTCCACACTCCCGCTCCCTCGCGTGGAGACTCACTTTCCGATCACCTCGCACAGCTCGTACACATCCTCGAACAGCACGTCGTCGTCGGCCATGGTCCGGAGGGGATAGCGGCCGCAGCGTGGAGGGCTTCGAAAACGGGGGTGGGGGCGCCCAAGAGCTCAGTGCCCAGCCCCGGGATCGCCTCCTCCCCTCAGGACCCGCGAGCCCTCGGTGCCGAGGACGCTCGAGTGGGGCCGCGAGGCCCAGAGACTGCGGCGCCTTCCTCTGCAGGCGACCGCCCCGGCGCGGGCGGCGGGGCCGGGGCGCGGGAGCGAGGGCGGCCCGGGCCCGGCGCCGCCCGCCCGCCCGCTGCTTCTCGCGCTGCTCGGGCCGCGCTGCCCGGCGTGCGGATCCTCGGGGACCGCGCGGCGTCGCGCTCTCCGCTCGTCAGCCCGCGCGGGCCGCGAGGCCGCGACCGCTCCCTCTGTCCGAGGCCGGCTCCGTCGCGTCGCGGAGCAGCTCGGGCTACAGAGGGGGCCGCGGCAGGACCATGGAGCGAGGATCGCCGCGGAGGGAGGTGGCGGCGGCGGCGGATCGGCGCTGGGGACCAGGAGGCGGCGGCAGAGACGCTCCCTCCTCTTTCTCCTCCTCCCGCAGCCGCCACCGCCCGCCCGGGAGTGGGAGGGGGCTTCGCGGGACCGGCGCTCTGTGCGGGCGGGAGCCGCGGCCGCCGCCTTCTGCTCCGCCCCTACGCCTCAGCAGCCGACCGGCTCGCCAGCCCCGCTCACCCGCCTCGCGCAGACACGCCCTCCTCCCCCGTCGGCGGCGCGGCTTCCAGAACCACAGGCTCCGCCCACTCCAACCGGTCGGGAGGCGGTGGCCCAGGGAAAGGGGAGCGGGCCGAGCGGCGCATGCGCGGGGCGCCGGCCGCGTCACGGCGAACGGGCGGGCACCGGGATTCTAGAGGGCGCGGGGGGTTGAGTGGGGCGCGCCGGCTGCAGCTGCCGAGGCGGGGCTGGTTGGGGTCGTCGCCTCCGCGCCTAGCCGCGACCAAGCCGCGAAAGGGGCTGGAGACAAAAGGTCCACGGCTGCACGCTCGTTGTCCGGCAAGAGGCACGAAACTCTGGCCGCTCCCCTTTCCTTCTTTTGTAATCGCAGGGAGCCTTTCCCAGTTTTTTGCTGGGAAAAGAGGCAGGGAAAGGGTGCTAATGAATGAGAAAGCTAAAAGAGAGGTGGAGAGAGGTTGTCACTGAATCCGTGCTTGGCAGCGGATGCTTTTAGTGCTACCCTGTCATTCCTTAATGAAGATGAGGGCTGGGGGTAAGGGGAGGTCGTCCAAGAAAAGGACTAAACAAAAACTGCCTAGGAAGGTGTGCGACAGCAAACGGTCATCTATAGAGACAGCTTCTCCCACGTTCTGCCCCAAACTCAACAAATATCTATCCAGCGCCTACCCTCACTAGAGACCAACCTAGAGAGAAGCTAGGAAGGCAGGGACAAACCGTGACTTTAAGCTCATTTGTATATTGTCCTCAAACTCCCAGGACCTACTCTGCTCTCTATACTCCCTATAAATGTTAGACTTGTCAGGAACAGAATGCAACTAGAGGGAGTGCAGGCACAGGAGCAGCCAGGGAGTGAGGTTCTGGGTGTTGCCGCTGTGCTAGGTTGCATTCAATATGAAGATTTCTGTTCAACTGAGCATGTGCGGAATGAGCCAGCGCCATCAGACAGGTATATGCCTCAGTTGAAGACCAATAGTGTCTTTGTTCCTCCGCACAGCAAAAGTGCCCAATTAGTTCATAAGTCAGTTTCCAGAAATCGTCTGGTAAATTTCTCAGTGCAGTATTTTTTTTAAAAAAAGTATTTATTAATACCAAAGTGGAGGGGGTGATGTGGAGACTCACAGCCTATTTTCTCTTCAGAAACGTTTCGTGCAAACCCTTGACCACTCCCTCAAAAGGCTGAGAGATTTGCCTGCTAAGGATTTGGGTACTAAACCTTTTTTTTTTTTTTAAATGCAGATCAGAGGACAAGTGTAATTGCACACGGTTTTCCTCCTTTCTCAAAGAGCTTGTGCATTCTCTAGAGACGGGGGCTTCAGAACTTGAGAAACATTGCCTCCTTTAAGGGTCCAAGAGTTACTCACCACAAGTTGGCATGTCCAGCTCATGTCTAATGAATAAGGCGTCACTCCATTCTGCCCTGAAGTGCACAGGGACCCTCTCAAGTCACCTTGTCAGCTTCACTTCTTTTCCCCAGCCCAAGACTGAGCTATACCAAGCCTTGTCGACTTCATTTTGGGGTTTGTTGTCTTCTACAGGGACCTATGCTCAGAGGTAGAAAAGGACAATCATAAAGTAAAACAGAAAAGAAAGTGCAGGTGAAAAAAAGAGAGACAGACGATTGCAAAAATAAGTAAGTGCTCTGCTCATAGGATCACAGTTGGTTTGGATCTGGAAAGAGACTCCCTCACTTACAGATGGAAGAATGTGGTGGTTGCTCTCCCAAAAGCCATCCCACCCCTCTCCCCCACCATGGGGTAGCAGCTCTGGACTTGAGGTGAGATTGTAACCATCTTTACTGGAGAGGTGGGCTCTGATTAATTAAACTAACACATGCAGCCCCCTTGCCACAGCGATAAGCCTAATTTAATCAGCTCTTGGCACTCCCTGGTCACAAGCTTTGAGTGGTTTGAGGTCTGCCAATCAGCACAAAGCTGAGGACTTTTTCTCCTGATCTGTACTTAGATCTCCCAGTTCCCAGTGTAATATTTAGTCATATAGAAATTCTCTGCAATACACATCCCTCAGAAGTTGTACCATGTATGATGGTTAGAAGTAGATCCTCTCTGCTTCGGGGACTAAAATAAGCAAACCTTTTAAATTAATTTTTCTCTGGGTGTCTTCCAAAAATCCAATACTGTTCCAACAAATAAGCCCATGTATTAGTGAGTCAGGTGTCAATAATTTGGTTCTGTTTTCGTTTCCACAAAGAAAATGTTAAAGTAAGTGCATCTATTAGATTGTGTTCAGATGTTAGCAACTGAATATTCAACTAACAGTGGTTTAAACAAATGCAAGGGGGCGGGGTGCTCTTTTCCATGTAGCAAGGAGATGTGTGGTTATTAACATTGATCAGCTATTCAAGTGCGTCATCAGTGACCTAGGTTTATTCGTTCCACTCTGCCATTCTTGTAATGTTAGCATCTCATCCTCAGGCTTGTTGCCTCATCATTATGAGATGGCTGCTGCAATTTCAGACATTAAAGGGAGGAAGCAGGAGGGCAGTAAGGACAGGAGAGGCCTTTCTGCTCCGTCTCTCATCTATTAGGGAAAGAAAATATCTTTTTCTCATCTCACGGGCCAGGACAGAGTCACAGGCAGCAACACTTACCTGCAAGGGAAGCTGGGGACACGGATATTTGTCTTCTCCTGCCTCCTCTTGGGAGGTAGACAAGGGAGAAGTAGGGGGAAAATGGGCTTTGGTAGCAGGCTGGAGTGCAGTGGCACGATCTTGGCTCACTGTAACCTCCACCTCCTGGGTTCAAGCGATTCTTCCACCTCAGCCTCCCAAGTAGCTGGGATTACAGGCACCTGACACCATGCCCAGCTAATTTTTGTATTTTTAGTATAGGCGGGGTTTCACCATGTTGGCCAGGCTGGTCTTGAACTCCTGACCTCAAGTGATCCGCCCTTCTCGGCCTCCCAAACTGCTGGGATTACAGGCTTGAGCCACTGTACCCGGCCGATTTCTAATGCTAGGAAAATTACCAATAAAACAGTTCTACGTCTTCATCATAATGTAGCTATACCTCTAGTATATAATTGATAGGCCTTAAAAAATTCAGAAACATCTAAAACCCCACAAGGATGGAGTTGGTGCTAAACAAATTTGATTCTCAGATGTCAGTGCAAATTTTCAGTGACTTCGAGGTCTTGGACTTTCCTCACAACTGCACTAGACATTCTCAGGTTGTCGGGCTCCCACATCATTTCAGCATGACACAGACATACAAGGGAAAAACACACTCCAGAGAAATATTAGCATGAGGGCCACACACAGAGGTCAGTGTGGCACGGGGCTAATTTAGGCAATTTAGAGTTCAGCCTCACTCCATAGTATGATTGTTTAAGGATATAAATTATTACTGAATTAATGAATAAAATTAAGAATGACACTGTTCTCAACTGGAATAGTTATTGCCTCACGGTATAAACAGGATGTTCTAAGCTAAAATGAAAGACACCCTTCCTCTCTCCAGAAAAAGCTACATATATTAGACTTATACTCTGATATCATTTTGCAAGTTATTTATTTTATATTTATTCAATGAATGTCTGTGTTAGCCATGGGGGCTATAGCTGCAAATGGTTCCCGCCCTCTCTGAACTTCATTCTAAAAGAAAACAAGTTGTCGGCAAGTAATTACATTGAAGAGTGATGTTTGTTAGGATTTAGGAAGTATGGGGAACACATATTGAGAGGACTTATGGGTTGGGGAAGGCCCAGTTGAAAAAATGTTTAGAACAAGACTATAGAAATTATAGAAATTAATCAGGTGAAGGGAGTAGGGGCCAGTTGATTATCGGTAGAGAAAACAACATTTCTGAAGTCTTGGAGGTGAGCAAGCATATGCTCTTTTAGAAGAAGAATATGCTGTTTTGGAGAAGTAGGTCACGGCTAGATCATAGCCTATAGGAAGAAAGAGGCCAGAGGGAGTTAGAGAAATAGGCAGGGGCCAGACACTGAAAGGCATCAATTACCATTTTAAAGAGTTCACTCACTGAAAGATTACAGATTTCAGTGGTACTAGAGTCTTATGTGTAGACTGAGTTACCCTGAAACCCCAAGCATGAACAGAATTCTACTTTTAAGTAATTATTCCCTTTGCACTGGGTGCATGTTGTTCTCTCCCTTGCTTTTAAAAATCCAGATACTCCTGTAGTAAATATGAAATCCTTTAAATGGTTTCAGCAGACACTGTAGGTGCTCCATTCAAATTCCCTCGGATCCCCTTTCCCATTTCTGTGTGCCTCACTCCAGCTTCAGTGTATTTTTGCTTCCAAAGTTCATACCTGTGACTCCAAAGGACTTCCCACAAGCTACTGGAATCATTTTGCCCACGCGGAAGTGCCTGGGAGTTTAGGTTGATTAGCTGTTAGCCAATGACCCATAGTGCAAGAATATGAAAGCCTTGACTGGGGAAGAGGGGACAACTCTGAGGGGTTACTTACAGTCCAGAGGTCCTCTGTGGGATCAGGCTGAAGGTACCCTTCCCAGGACTTTGCCTGAAATCCGACCCTTGTTTGGTTCCCTTTCCTACTTCTCTCATTACCTACCAAGTTTCTCCTGGGCGCACTTCCTTACTAAATCACTTGCTCATGAATACCCTATCAGGATCAGCTTTTGAGGAATCCATCCTAAGACAATGGCGTTTCTCCAAGTGATAACTGCCTCAGAATCACCTGGAAGCTTATGAAAAGTGTTAAAAATGTTGATTCCTGGGCCCCACCCAAGACATACTGAACCTGAATCTCCTGGAACATGTTGCAGGGATCTGTATTTATTTTTATTTTTTGAGACGGAGTTTCGCTCTTGTTGCCCAGGCTGGAGTGCAATGGCGCAATCTCGGCTCACTGCTACCTCCACCTCCCGGGTTCAAGCAATTCTCCTGCCTCAGCCTCCTAAGGGATCTGTATTTTTATGAGCTCCACAAGTAAGTCTAGTACACCTAAAAATTAAGAACCACCGTCCTAACACTGGCTGTTGAATAAGCTCTCTGGAAAAAAGGATCCAGGGTTGACCTCATCAATAGGGTGGAGAAGGCATAAGAAATGCAAAAGAACACTCCAGGGAGCAGAAGAGGACCTGATTACAAATGTGTTTCCTTCCCAATTTCTTCTGGTGCCAGTCCCGCAAACCTGTGTCTAAAGATTCATTTTGTGTGGTATATATACATACATATGCATACACACACAATGGAATATTCTTCAGCCATAAAAAGAATGAAATCATGTCTTTTGCAGCAACATGGATGAAACTGGAAAGCATTGTCTTACATGAAACAACTCAGAAACAAAGTCAAATACTGCGTGTTCTCACTTATAAGTCAGAGCTAAATAATGTGTGCACATGGACATGGTGTATAGAATAATAGACATTAGAGACTCAGAAGGGTGGGAGGGGGTCAGGGATGAGAAATTACTTAATGAGTACAATGTACATTACTCGGGTGATGGTTGTGCTAAAAGCCCAGACTTCCCCACTGCCACTACGCGATGTATCCATGTTACAAATTGTACTAGTACCATACAAATAAAAATGATTCATTTTGCCCTTCTTTCTTTAATATCAATGAACAAGTCACTGGAAACTTTGACAGTGGAAATAATATTGCCTTTGGAAACAGCACAGTGTCAGATTCTTTGAGTTGCAAGTGACAGAAAACTTAAACAAGCTTAAAAATACAAATAATCTATTGGCTTACATAATTGAAAATTGAGATGTATGCTAGCTTCAGGTGAGGCTTGATCAAGGGCTTAAATAATATCACTGAAGATCCACTTTCTCCCAGTCTCAACATTATGCATTCTGTGGTATTGGCTTTATCCTTACTTAGGTGCAACAACGTAGCACCCAGAGCTCCAGGCTCTCCCTTTGATGTAGCAAACCAGCTGCCACTGTTTCAGACTTCATCTCCTTATACATCTAGGACAAGAAAAAAGGAGGCTTCTCCAATAGATCCTGCCCATGTTCTATGATTCACTCTCTTTCATCGGCTTGATAGTGGGGCACATAATTATCCCTGAACCAATCAATGTAGCTGGGGAATGAGAATCACTAAATAACTTAACCAATCAGGGTTAAGTTATTAAGCTGGGGGTGGGAATGGGGATAGGAAAAATCCACAAAGGAAAATCAAGACACTTTCAGCAGAAGAAGGGCAGAATGAATGGTGGGAAGGCTCCCTATTCTCCTAGTCCTCCAAACACTGGTATTGGCTTTTTCTTAGCACTCTATTTTTTTCCACATTTCAGCTAGTCACCACACCCTGTCAATTTTTTATTTCAAAATTTCATTTAGATCCTCCTTTCTTTCCACTTTCTTCAGTCCCCACCCCAATTCACTTCCCCATCAACCCATACTAAAATGTCACTCCACTTTACTAACTGGGCCCCTCCCTCCAATTGCTTGTCCTATCCTACTCACCCTGGGGAGGCTCAATTCACGTCCATGAGAGAGGATTCTCAGCATCTAGAACAATGCCTGATGTGTAGTAAGCATTCTAAAGGCATTTGTTGAATGCGGAATGAATGAATGGCTTCATATCCCTTATCACTTCTTGGAATTCCCTTTTATTCATTTTGTTTATATCCTTTTTTTTTCTCTTCACCACCAACTCCTAGAAAGTGTCTGAAGCATAGTGGGTACTCCATATATATTCGGTAAAGAAATAAATTACTATGTATTTATTGAATTAGAGAATTATGCATAGTTAGGAAAAAGAATGAGAAGTCAATAGAAACAAAGTGGTTCAATTCTTGGGGAGAAAACGCCTAACAGAAGAAACAAGATTTTCTCAGAGGAGGGGAGAGTCAACAATATTAGAGCTGAAAATGTATCAGAGAACAGGGACAGAAAAGGGGGCACAGGACTTATTTCTACTAATTGAAAATAGTTCTACTAGCTATCTTTTATGTAGAAAAACAAAATTTCACACATCACTGGAATTTTTCCTTCTGTTTTTAGCTATGAAAGATTTCAAAGGTAAACGTGAGAAATTAAATCTCTCCCTTAAATTATTTTATCTGTATTTCTTGGTGCTTTCTTTCCAAGCTGCCATGAAACTGTCACACAACATGGCAAAAACACACAATCAGCTACAATATGTTCACTGGGTGACTTATATTGAGCCCAGCCCTGGTTAAGTTGCAAAGAGTCATGTAAGTCACCCAAGTTCCAATAGAAATGAGTATAATTTACTATGCTAAGTGCACTATGGAAAAGGTCAAGTAATTAATAAGTCGCCAATATTAGATACAAGCCTATCAACACTGGAAGGTTTAATCATTTACTCTCCTTGGGGCTTCGGTGAAGCAGATCCTTTCTGGGGATCTTTTCTGGCAGTTTGAGTCTATAAAACTCTTAAGGAGATATTTCCTTCTTAGCACACTTTCTCGTAAAATGATATCTTCTTAAAAATGGAGGCGCTCTTCCTGAAAAATCTTTATTCTCACAGAGGTAACCTATGTCAGGATCTGCACTAATGAAATGTTTTCCATTTTGGTCAAGAGAAAAAATACGTAGGCTGTTTGTGCTAATTTCCAGGTCTGTTAGGAACTCTTTAGTAATATTTTACCTTAAGTGTCCTAATCGAATATTTTCCATTCAGGCTTATTTACCTTTGTCATCGCTTATAAATTGTCTTATAAATGGAGACAATAGCTAAGACAGTAGCATTTTTAGAGATGGTAGCAAAACCAAACTAAGGGGAAAAGATAGAGATTCTAATGATCCATAAAGAAATAACAGAAGGACCATTTATTGGAGGCTTATTATAAATGCCGGACACTATGCAAAGACATTACACATGTTTCATTCAACCCATATAACAAACTTATAAGATAAATATTATCACCTTCATTTTACAGATGAGGAAACTGAGACTTGGAGAGAGGTTGATTAATATGTCAAGGATCACACAACAAGAAAGAGACAGGACCAATGCTTGAACCAAATCTGCCATATCTCAAAAGCTGAATCATTGTATACTCTGCCTTTGGCTTTTGTGTATTTCTCTGAGGCAGTAAGTCTTATCTTCACTTTCTTCATATTAAGCAATGTATGCCCCAGGCAAAAGGTACAATAGGTTGAATAACAACAGCAATGACAATAATCATTCCTGTCCATTGAAGTTTTATTTAGTGGCAGGCACTGTGCTAAGTGTTTTTCAAGCATTTATTGGCTTATTCAATAAAACTTTATTGAGCCTTTATTATGTACTAGAGATTAAAGGTACAAAAGTGAGTAAAATCAACAAGATTCTTGCCCTCTTGGAGCTTATAGCTCAGTGAGGGAGGCAGACATGAATCAAATAATCACAAAAATAAATGTATAATT
Source organism: Homo sapiens (assembly GCF_000001405.40). NCBI lineage: Eukaryota > Metazoa > Chordata > Mammalia > Primates > Hominidae > Homo > Homo sapiens. Next base: position 41,931,998 of record NC_000023.11, read on the forward strand.
ATTTTGGCAAGAGTACCAAGACCATTCACAGGGTGGAAAGATAGTCTTTCCAACAAATGGTATTGGGAAAACTGGATCCACATGCAAAATAATGAAGTTGGAGCCAGCCTTACCTTATACCATACTCAAAAATTAATTCAAAATGGATCAAAGAACTAAATCTAAGACCTAAAACTATAAAACTCTTAGAAGGAAACATAGAGGAAAGTTTCATGATATTAGATTTCTCAATGATCTCTTGAATAGGACACCAAAAGCACAGGCAACAAAAGCAAAAACAGATAAATTGGACTGCATCAAAAGTAAACCTTCTGTGCCTCAAAAGAGTGAAATTTTTCTGTGCAATCAACACAGTGAAAAGGCAACCTAAAGAGTGGGAGAAAATATTTGCAAATCACATATCCGATAAGTGGTTAATATCCAGAATATACAAGGAACTACAACTCAACCACAAAATGCCAAATAATCCAATTAAAAATGGATTTGAATATTCATTTCTCCAAAGAAGATACACAAATGGCCAAAATGAGTATAATGCAAATAAAAACCACAATAAGATATCACCTTATGCTCATCGGATGGCTGCTCTCCAAAAAAAAAAAAAAAAAAAAAACAAACAAAAAAACAGGAAATAACGTGTGGTGAGGATGTGGAGAAATTGGAACCCTTGTGCACTGTTGGTGGGGATGTAAAATGGTGCAATTGCTACGGAAAACAGTATGGTGGGTGCCTCAAAAAGTTAAAAATAGAATTACCATATGATCCAGCAGTACCACATCTGGGTATACATCTAAAAGAATTGAAATCAGGATCTCAAAGAGATGTTTGTACACAGATGTTCACAGCAGCATTATTCACTATAGTCAAAAAGTGTAAGCAACCCAAATGGCCATTGACGGATGGATGGTTAAACAAAATGTGGTATACACATACAATGAAATATTATTCAGCCTTAAAAAAGAAGGACATTCTGACACATGCTACGACATGGATGAATCTTGAGGATATTATGGTAAATGAAAGAGGCTAGTCACAAAAAGGCAAACACTGTATGGTTTCCTTTATATGACGCATCAAGAGAAATCAAACTCATAGAAACAGAAAGTAGGATGGTGGTTGCAAAATGTGAATATAATTAACATTACTGAACTGTACATTCAAAATAGTTAAGATGACCGAGTGCACTGGCTCATGCCTGTAATCCTAGCACTTTGAGAGGCTGAGGTGGGAGAATCGTTTGAGGCCAGGAGTTGGAGATAAGCCTGGGTGACACAGTAAGACCTTGTCTTTACAAAAAATACAAAAATTAGCCCAGTGCAATGGTGTGCACCTGTAATCCTAGCTACTCGGGAGGCTGAAGTGGGTGGATCACTTGAGCCCAGGAGTTCAAGGCTGTGGTGAACCATGATTTTTGCCTCTGCACTCCAGCCAGAGTGACAGAGCAACACCCTGTCTCAAAAAAAAAAACAAAAACAAAAACAAAAACAAAAAAAAAAAAGATGGTAAATTTTAAATGTGTTTTATTGCAATTAAAAGTTTTTTAAAAATTTAAAATGTAAAATTAAAACATTTATCTCCTTTGATGTTTTAAACAACTCTGTGAGAGAGCTTTTTATTGTGTTCATTTTATAGAACAAACTCAGTTTTAGAAAGGCCAAGTCACTTGCTCAAGGTGACACGATTAGTCATGGGTGGAGATAAAATTTGAGCCCATTTCCTGTGCTTAACGTTCATGCTCTAAACTGTTACCCAGCTTAGATAACCAGGTCTTCAAATGAATGAACAAAACCACCTCTTGCTGGGTTGAATCACTGCCGTTAAAGAGATCACGGAGCAACAAGTTTAGAGTATGGGTACCAGTGTATATCAAGGGTGCTCATAAAGGGCTTATCTCTAATAATGACGACAGTCCCTCTACCCACCCCGCCAATGAGAAATGCATCTATGTGCGGAATCAGGATAAAAGTTTTGGGTTTTCTTTGTTTTTATTCCAATAACTTTATTTCCTTTTGCACCAAAGATATAACACTTTTAAACCCTGGTGGAGGTAGAGCCTAGATTTTTTTTTAAAGTAGAGTAGCTGCCTTAAAAGCCTGTTGTTGGCAGGGCAGAGTGGCAACTGAGGGCATGACTTCCTAAGACAAAGACCTTGAGTTCAGGTTAAATCACAAAGTTCAGGTTAAATCACAGATTGCTTTCACTTAAATAAGGTAGTTGGTGGGTGTGAGCTGGACAGCGGTTCTCCCAGGGAAAGGAGAAAAAAATGGCAGATGCCCTGGCTGGATAATCATGGGGACTGTGTGGGGGTTATGACCTGTTGGAGCTACTGAAGCACTTCAGACTGAAGCTACTGTGACATTAAAGAAAGCCATTCACACCCGGGCACCGTGGCTTACACCTGTAATCCCAGCACTTTGGGAGGTTGAGGTGGGCGAATCACCTGAGGTCAGGAGTTCGAGAGCAGCCTGGCCAACATGGTGAAATCTCATCTCTACTAAAAATACAAAAAATTAGCCGGGCTTGGTGGTGTGCGCCTGTAATCCCAGGAGGCTGAGGCGGGAGAATCACTTGAACCGGGAGGCGGAGGTTGCAGTGAGCCGAGATCGTGCCATTGCACTCCAGCTTGGGCAACAAGAGCAAAACTCTGTCTCAAAAAAAAAAAAAAAAAAAAAGAAAAGAAAAAGCCATTCACACAAAATTGTTGAGCAGAGCAAGGTTGATGGATGCTGTGCTTTAGGCCAAAGGAGAAATACTGTCAGGCAGCCTGGGATCAGGCAGTGGGTGTCAAGAATGGAGTTGGGGAGAGATGGACCTGCTACTGGCTTAAGTGGGACCAAACAGGGACAGAACTTGGGTCAAGTGAAGGAACATAGTTCTGCCATTCCTCTATAAGCTCACCAATACTGGGGTAACATGGAGGTGGTAGGTGGAGTTCACAATTGCACACGCAGGTTAGAGCTTCATTCCCAGAAGGCCTAAGTCTCTAGAAATTCTTTAGGGCCGTGAACTTGAGGATATAAAAATGGCTGGAAGAAGAATCTGAGTGTGTTGATAAAACAGCTTCTCTGTCAAATGTGATGCTTTTCAATAGGAAGAAAAACCTGGGCAGACTGTCCTCCCCTTAGCCTGTGAGCTATTTTCCTTACAATTGCTTTTTCTGAAAGCAATGTAAGAAATGTTAAAAAGAATGCTAGAATCCACAGTGGTTTGGAATAAATGTTTTCAGGAGATAAGGCATCATTTGAGCAGATTTATCACATGAAAAATCATATAGAGTACTTGGAATAGTAAGTTGAGGCTCTCCAGCCAAAGTACATGTGCCCATTGCCTTATAAATACTTCAGTTAAGGAAACTAAATTGGCCTAGGCACGGTGGCTCACACCTGTAATCCCAGCACTTTGGGAAGCCGAGGTGGGCGGATCACCTGAGGTCAGGAGTTTGAGACCAGCCTGGCCAACATAGCGAAACCCCAGCTCTACCAAAAATACAAAAATTAGCTGGGTATGGTGGTGGGCACCTGTAATCCCTCCTGCCCAGGCTGAGGCAGGAGAATCGCTTGAACCCAGAAGGCAGAGGCTGCAGTGAGCCAAGATCATGCCACTGCACTCCAGCCTGGTTGACAGCATGAGACTGTCTAAAAAAAAACAAAAAACAAAAAACAAAAACAAAAAACAACAACAAAGAAACCCATGAAACTAAGAAACTAAGTTAGTACTAGGCTTGTGGAAAAATCTACTAAACTGGAATGTTTAGAATTTATATACTTCTAAGACATAGGGAGTCATTTTTTTAGGCCTGGGGTTATTGGAAGTCATAAAACCCACCATTAAAATTCATTACATATCAACATACATACAAAGAATTATACCACCAAGTACTATGATCTCTTTTTATATCAGCCTTTAGATTGAGAGGAATAAATACTGCAGCTGGTCTGTAAGTTGAAATTTCCTGAGTCATGAATTCTTCTCCTTCATGACCTGAGAGGTAGGACAAATGCAGAGGAGGGAGGCAGGGAGAGGCTCCTGGTTAAGTCATCATTTATGTCTAGAACACGGAGGCAGTTTTATTGTACCTTACCAGGCACTTGTGGGAAGCATTGACTCCTCTGAGAGACCAGGCGCTGAGGCTGTGCTGGAGAAAATGGTTGCAGGAGAATGATGGAAGGCGTCATAGCTCTCAGAAATGAAGGGATGGAACACATTTTGGCAAGGAAAAAACTGCTTTCTTTAGCAGGTTCCTCTATAACTGGATTTTAAAGCTAATTTTCTTTCCCATATCCACTTTAGCTTCTGCTTGAATTCAAAAAAATTAACTCAATTTCAAGGTAATTTACTAATATTAGACTTTTTTACATTTACATAATTTATTTAATATGTCTTTCATTCTTTTTTTTTTTCTTTAGTGCCTACTGAGTTCCTAGCACAGTGCTCAGCACAGGATACACATTGGATAACAAAACAGAGGAAGATAACTTCATCAAAGGATCACACCAAATAGATAAAGAATTACAACCTAAGAGAAGTACACTCAGGAAAGACACCATTGTGTATAAAATGGAAACTTAACCTAGAACTGGGGGTGTGACAGTGGGAGGTCAGGTAAGCCTTCTCCAGAGGAGGTGTGGACTAGGCCAAGGGTTGGGTGGGGAGTGAGGAAGTCCAAACGAAAAAAATAGCACATACAAAGGCCCTGGGGTTGGAAGATGCAAGGCATATGGTAGGAACTGAAAGAAGGCCTGTGGTGGCAGGAACAACGGGAGTGAGGAGAAAATTAACCCAAGATGAGATTGGGGGTATAGTGAGGATTTTGATCCTTTTGGAGAAGCCATTGATGGGTTTTAAACAGGGATTTACCATAATCAGATTTGCATATTGGAAAGATCACTTCAGCTGCAGTTTGGAGCACATACTGGAGGGGAGCCAGAGTGGATGGTGAGTAACCATTTAGGCTTTCGTGTGGTGGAGGGATGGTGATCGATGGTATGAGGGGGCTATGCTGGACGTTCTCCATCCCCCCTTCCCCAGTTTTGCTCTCCACCTTCTTCATCCTGCTTTATGCCCTGGGAAGCTGAACTGTATGAACTACAGAAACAGCATTCTATGCCCTCTGGCTTCTGGCTGAGTTTGGCCAACGGGAAGCCCCTGTAGGAGAGAATGAGATCAGGGTATTTATTTCCCCAGTTCCTTTCCTCCTGGGCTGCCTCTGGCTGGCTGTGTCCTTCAACAAGAGATGTATTCCTCTCAAATTTACCTTCTGCACACGGCTCTCTTCCCAGGCTCTAGTAACTGCTCCCTCCTCTGGTCCCGTCAGGACTGGGGGTGGTAAAAGCTTTGCTCTTGTTGCCAAGGGTTTCTATATGTTCTATTTGGTGTGGTTTCTCTGCACTCACACTTTTGTAAATAAACATTTTTACAATTCTCCTAATTTGAGTGTGTCACATGTTTCCTCTTGGTACCTTCAGTGGTATAGGTGGTGGCAGGGTATGAAGGGAAATGAACAGATTAGAGATGTAGTTAGGAGGTTAAGTTAGCAGATTTGCTGATCATTAAAAACATTATTTATAGGCATAAAAATATTAAAGTAATAGTACTTTTGTTTTTATTACTAACAAAATAGATGCCATGGACAATTAGCTGAGAATAATAATATTTGTGTTCATTGTCATTTACAGGAATCATGATTTTCAAAAGCAGCAAGATTCTAATAGCAAAAGGGAGATGACAGTGATGGAAAAGTTGTATTTGGGAATTCCACTTCAACCCTCCTTTTTTTCCTTTTTAGTTTGCTTGTCTTCTCCTTCCATAAATCTGTTGTTGAATATCTTAACAGGAAAGTGAGTCATATAACTTTAGATCCAAATTCTAGGCAAACACTTTCTCCAATTATTCTACCTGTTTTTCTAACACATATTCCCTGGTAGCATCCCCTGGGCTTTGCTCCTAAACTCTTTCTAATCACAGAGAAATATAAGCAAATCTATTGCAAGGTCGCTTGTGATCTGCGCAACTCTTAAATGTTTGGTGTTGATTTTGCTTTCAGCTGGATTGCACCTAAACCATACCAGAGTGGTAAATTAAACTCCCCCAGTGTTTAAGTTCCTTCTGAAGAAGACATCGCAATTTTCTTTGGTGAATTAAAATGCCTAATGATGTTACAAATCTATGCCTCTTCCTGATTTCTGTGGAGATTAAGACTAGCTTGCCATTATACGATGAATAAAAAATGTTCATTTGCTTGAAAACTTGATCTTTCCAGAATTATCTGCTCCATTTCCTTGAGTTAACCTTTAGCTTCTGTAATGGTTTCCTATTGCTGTGGTAACAAATTACCACAAATTTAGTGTCTTAAAACAACATACTTTTTTTTTCTCTCCCAGTTCTAGAGGTCAGAGGTCCTCAAATGAGTTGGCAAGGAGGTGCTTCTTTTGGAGGTTCTAGGGAACAATCTGTTTCCTTGACTTCTGCATTGTTTGCTCATGGCCCTGTCCTCTATCTTGAAAGCCAACAGTGTAGCATCTTCTTTCCCTCTCTCTCTCTCTGTTTCTCTGTCTCTCCTTCCATTACCATATTGCCTATTGTCTTCTGTGTCTGTGACCCTCCTGCCTCCCCCTTATAAACCTCTTGTGATTACATGGGGCCCACCCAGATAATCCAGGATAGTCTCCCCATTTCAAGATCTTTACCTTAATCACATCTGCAAAGTCCCTTTTGCCACATAAGGTAACATCTTCACAGGTTCCTGGGATAAGGACATGGACATCTTGGTGGGGAGAAGGCATTATTTGACTTACCCCAGCATCATTCCTATTTGTCTATTCTAAACATACATCATTTTCCCAAATTCACCTCATTTGCTCCTATTGCATAAGTGTTCTGCTACTACCTCTCCATGTATCAAAATCTTCCTTCAATTCAATGGCAATTGAACAAATATTTTCCGAGTATAGTGCTAGATTTGGAGGTGCAGTGGTGAACAAGACACTGCTAATATGTTCATTCCCTCTGAAACCTCCCCATTGTGCTTATTCTTGGCGGGGAGCGCTAAGGATGGGAGTGAGCTCTGGGTTTTAATACACATCTCATCTTCAAGTTCTCACCACCCTAATCATCTCAGCATTTTTTTTTTAATTTTACAGAGAGAGAAAGAGACAAGGTCTACCTCCATTGCCCAGGCTGTAGTGCAGTGGGATGATCATAGCTCACTGTAACCTCGAACTGCTGGGCTCAAATGATCTTCCCACCTGAGTCTGCTGAGGACTTCAGGCATCTGCCACTGCACCCTGACTAATTAGAATTCGTATGGGTCTTCCTTTCCTCATCCCCTTTAGTTTTGGAACCTGGTACAAGACATACTTCTCTAGTAATGTTTTTAAATGTTTCAGGAAACAATCAAAGAAAGATTAATCAATGATATGATTAATAATATCTTTGCAGTCACAGAGGGGGCGTGAGGAAGGTATATTTCTGGGTGATTTTTTTATGCTTTATGTACTTGCCAAATATTCTACAATAAACATAGTTATCTAATTTAAAAAATACAAAATAAAAACACAAAATATTTTCAGTTTCCAGATCTTAAAATTCAAATTTCCTAAAAACGATTAACACCAGATTTTTCATAGACCCAGAAAACAGACCTGCTCCATAGTTTAAGCAATTGTTTATAATCCGGACAGACCACATAATTTGTGGGGTCCATTGTAAAATGAAACCTTGCTAAAAAATTATTAAGAATTTCAAGTCAGCAACAGCAGAGCATTAAATGAAGTGCGGGCCCCTTCTAATTGTAGAGTCTTGTTCGACTGCATAGGTGGTCTGCCTCAGAAACCAGCCCTGGTTATATTTATTGTCACACATAGATACAATGTTTTATTCATTATGTTAGGCAAAATCTGAGAGCTGGAACTAAGTTTTGCAAATTTCAGTGATGAGAAACAAACTACCTGTGGTGATAATTACCTTTGCTAATTTTTGGTATTTTCCTCTTCTTTGTACTGTTTTGATAATAATTACTAGTTTGGCTGTGTCTACCTGACACCAAAATTCATAAAAAATGTGAAACATTCGGGGCCGGGCGCTGTGGCTCACGCCTGTAATCCCAACACTTTGGGAGGCCCAGGTGGGTGGATCACGAGGTCAGGAGATTGAGACCATCCTGGCTAACACGGTGAAACCCCGTCTCCACTAAAAATACAAAAAATTAGTCGGGTGTGGTGGCACGCACCTGTAGTCCCAGCTACTTGGGAGGCTGAGGCAGGAGAATTGCTTGAACTCAGGAGGCGGAGGTTGCAGTGAGCCGAGATCGCACCAGTGCACTCCAGCCTGGGCGACAGAGTGAGACTCTATCTTGAAAAACAACAACAACACAACAAAACAAAAAACAACTATAAAAAAGTGAAACATTCAATTAGTTACCTGGATCTTTCCCCAGAGCTAGATATTTCATATTATGCAACAAACAAATGGGTGCTCAACCTTCAATAACTAGACTCAACCTCAGGGTACTGCCTCCTACCAAGCCTGCCATTAGAAGATTGGAATGTTTTCTTCAACTAACAAGCACCTTGGCCATCAAGTTAGTGGTTAAAATATGAGCCCCTAAGACTGCTGAAGTTTCTTTCTGGCTCTGTGTTTAAATGACTTTGAATAGCTTATTTCATCCTGCTGTGAAAGGGAAATAATTAAATTCTTCAAAGTCCCAATCCAGAGAGGAACCAAATGAAGCCAATGCTTAGAGAGTCTCAGATCAAATATGCTGTGAAAATACAAATCTTCCTCCACTTCTTCAGCCCTGGCTACTTTTTAGCTGAGGGGTCACTTCTCTCTAGAAGCCTTTTTTTTTTTTTTTTTTTGAGATGAGTCTCGCTCTGTCGCCCAGGCTGGAGTGCAACGGCGCAATCTCTGCTCACTGAAAGCTCCGCCTCCCGGGTTCACGCCATTCTCTTGCCTCAGCCTCCTGAGTAGCTGGGATTACAGGCGCCCGCCACCACGTCCTGCTAATTTTTTGTATTTTTAGTGGAGACGGGGTTTCACCGTGTTAGCCAGGATGGTCTCGATCTCCTGACCTCGTGATCTGCCTGCCTCGGCCTCCCAAAGTGCTGGGATTACAGGCATGAGCCACTGCACCCAGCCTAGAAGCCATTTTTTGATCCCCTCTCTGGCCCAGACTCTGCTCTGTATTTCTATAGCAACCTACACACACTCTGTCATAGCTTTCCCCATATTGTGATTAGAATTACATTTGCGTTATGTCCTTCCCACCAGACTATGGCAGACACAGTGATGCACTGCCCAGATCCTCCTTTGAGGGAGGACTTGCTGTCCAGTTGCAGGGAGGGTGGCTAGCTCCTTCAGGGTCTGTTTCTGCTGTGGCATTCCCTTGCCCTAGGTCCCTTCCGAGGCAGCCCACAATCAATGACTGATCAAGCTGCTGGCGTTCAGCCTCACCCAGTTCAGATTCGGAACAACTTCGATGAACAATTCTTGCTTCAGAGCTCCCTGCTGGGTTGAGAGAGACTGTCAGACTTGGATTGCACTTCAACTTCTCTCTCGGCTCAATCCCACTCTCCCCATGTTCCTTTCACAGGTGTTGATCACTAACAACCAAACCTTGTTACGGCCACAGTACACACCCAATAAATGCTAGTTGAACTGAACGGTTTACTATGGACTTAAGACAGTATTATTCTTGATTTTCTCTCCCCCTGTCACAGAGCATCATATGACAAAAATCATTGTGAAGATTTTTAACATTGTTAAACATACAACCAATAAAGAAAAATGTAATAAAGTGGTACTGAAATATCTTTAAACAAATTATTCAGCCAATATAATCTTTATGTGTTATCTGTATAATTTTTGACATGATAACATCAGCATTTTAATATAGTATCAGACTTTGTCAGTCTCTTTATAGACTGTTAAAGCAGTGCCTTTGTTTAAGCCTTGGGAAAATGTTTATTTGTTGGTAGAAATGAAGGCGATCCCCAAAGTGCCTTTTTAATATGAAGAATGCAGCATGAATTCTTAGCTGTGGGTTTTCTTTGTAATACATTTTTGTTTGTTTGTTTGTTTTTGAAAAAGATGCTTTAGAAATCAGTTTGGAGGATCTGAAGGAAGCAATGGAGAAAAGAAATAAACAAGTTGTGAGCAACGTCAAGAGACTGTGAGTGACGTTACAGCTGCTATATCAGTTCCCACGGCATTTAGGTTAGGGAATAAAATTGAAGGGAAAATCAAAAGAAAAGAAAGCAAGTGCCAAACAACATCCCTACAACCACCCTCCTGAAGACACTTCTCTTAAAGCCACAAAAATTTACCTACCCAATAATTTAACATCATACCAAGTACAGCAGGTTTGATTTCCAATTAATAGACAGTAAATTAATCCAAATGCCATGTGTTTGCAGCTTAAAAGATGCCAGAAGTAGAGGGAGAGGGGTATTAAAGTGCACAAGAGTAAGAAGAGGCAAATTGGGGTAAGACTAAATTTGTGAGAACACAACAGGATCTGATACATAGGTTGTCTATTCAAAAAAGCAAGTTTATCAGTTTGTAAAATAATCTCCATTTCTTCCTTTGAAAACAATAGAAATTTTGATAAAGCAAAATATTATCATTTTCAAATCCTTTACAAGTGTTTGTTCAAAACAATGTTTCGGTCAACACTGTAGAGACAGTAAAAAGATCAATGGTTTCAGGGATGGGAGGAGCGAAGGAAAAGATGATTGGTGGGCACAGAGGATTTTTAGGGCAGTGAAACTATTCTGTATGATCCTGTAATGGTGGACACAGCCATTATACATTTGGCAAAACCCATAGAATATACAAAACCACGAGTGAACCCTAATGTAAACCATGGACTTTAGTAAATAATAATGTACCAATATTGATTCATCAGTTGCAACAAATGTACCACACTAATGCAAGATAGGGGAAATGGAAGGGGAAGAGAGGGAGTATATAGTATCTCTCTGTACTTTCTGCTCAATTTTCCTTTAACTGTTCTAAAAATAAAAACCAATTAATTTAAAAATAAACAAACCCTGTTTCTGTCTATGTTAATGACTGCTAAAATGGATAGGAACAGTTTTTTTTTTGTTTGCCAAGAGCTCCTTCTTCCATACTTCTGCTGGTAGCCAGACCCCTTTACCCATCTCAGTAAGTGGGTAAGTGACCCAGACCTGGACACTTTTCTTTGGTCACAAGAATTGGTCCAGATCATATGAGTCAAAGGCAGACCTCTCAGAGACCTTCCTTGGGATTTTTCAAACGAGCTGGGAGAAAGGAGTAAGTCCTCTTTCTACCAGCTGCCTGCCTGCAATTCCATGCCCCAAAACCTGATGAATGTTTCAAAAAACAAAGCAGAGTGAAGCAATGGGCAGAAAGACAGTGTCCAAAGTCCCAGCATCCAGTCACCTGAGGCCAGCTTACCCACGTTCTTTGTTTGGTTCCATAGCCCAATATAAACCCCTTTCTGCTTAAGCTTGTTTGAATTGGGTTTCTGTCCGTTGCAAGCAAAAGAAAACTAACTAATGCATGATGGGTTTAATGCCTAGGTGATGGGTTGATAAGTGCAACAAACCACTATGGCACATGTTTACCTACGTAACAAACCTGCACATCCTGCACATGTACCCTGGAACTTAAAATAAAAATAACAATTTAAAAAAAGAAAAAAGAAAAACAAAATTTTTGTTTCTTTCATGTTGAGCAAGTAGCCATTTATTTATTGGACACTTACTATGTGCCAGGCACTTGCTGCATGATAGTTCTTATGGTTTTCACAGGAAATTTATGAGGGAGCTCAATTGTATATGTGATGAAATGGGAGCTCTGCGGGATTAGGGAATGTGCTAAACATTGCATACTAATAAGAGGCAGGATTTGAACCCCAGTCTGACTCAATCCAAAGCCGATACTCATAACCAGCATGCAAAATGTGTACAACAAACCTTTATTGTCTACTGAAGCAAAGTTTATTCAACCTGGGCCATACCTATTAGAATCACTTTGAACCCACAAGCTTTGTTCTCAATCTGGATTCAAAGCTCCACTCTAATATTTACTATTAGTTTCAGTCGGATAAAATTGTTGATATTTGACCATTTTGACCTGCAGAAACAACAGTTTCATTTAGTTCAACCTAGCAGCTATGTGGTGTGGTGTGCGTTACCTATCCACTTAGAGTCTCAGTTTCTTAACCTATTACATGGTGATGTTGTAGCCTAAGAAGAACCCTGAGATAAACATTTGGTCAGTAGGCTCCGAGACAAAGATTTACGTATAATTATTTTGTTTTGGAGAATTTTGCAGGAAACCCAGTGAAGGAGTGGGGAAAGTGAGATAAGGAAAGGAGAAAGCCAGCAGAGGATATGTTGATGAGCAGGTGACTGCTATGGTCAACTGGGGTTCAATCTTACTGGGGACATTCTGAGGGACTGTGTAGCACGCACCTTGAAAACATTGCCAATGAAAGCCAAGGAAGCTGGGGTATTTATCCACCATCCCTTGTCACTCACTGGCTGAGGGGCACTTCCAGCCCACACCTCCTGCAAGTCTGGAAGGTTCCTGTACCCAGGGAATGTCCCCAGGCAAAGAGATGCAGGAAGCAGAGCCTGTACTGGAATTTTCTGTAGGTCACCTCTGAGGTGGGTCATGGGATATGAACAGGGCACTGACAGTAACTACTCTAGAGGATGCTATTGTCCAGTTTGTGGAATTTTTGGTAAGGGCGAAGTATATATAATATATAGTTGTCAAAATAGCCAATCAATTTAGTTGGAGGGTAAGGGCCAGATTAAATAAAAAGATTCTATGATGTCTCACGGATTTGGAAACTCAGTGGTTTGATTTCTAGGTATTTTATCTGCACAAATAAGCATACCTATGTTATGAATATCCAGCCTCCCCTTTGTTTTACACATATGGGATCATACTGAACATACTGTTTTGCAATTTGGTGTTTTTTTTTAAAAAATATATCTTGGACTTTTTCTCTGTCAGCCCATATGGCTATATCTCATTCCTTTTAATGCCTACATGCTATGCGCAGCATTTCATTCTATGGTTTTACTATAATGTATTTAATCTTTACACTGTTGATAGTTAACTTATATTCTAGTTTGTCACTATTACAAAGAATGTTGCAATAGAAATCTTACATATATATATTGTTGTACCCTTATGCAGGTATGTCTGTAAGATAAATTCCTACTAGTGTATTTGTTGGGTCCAAAAATATGTACATTTAACATTTTGACAAATATTGACAAATTGGCCTCCAAGAAGCTTGCTCCTGTTTGCACGCTCACTAACAGTGTGCAAATTGCTATTTCCTCACACATTTGGCCGTGCTGCTTAGGGTTTTAGATGCTATTTTTGGAGGAGAGCACATTTGGAAAGAATCTTCAAATTGTGTGATGAGCTTTTGCTGTTTAAATATTGCACCAATAATAATAATAACGGATGGGATAAATCATTTGTTGATTCATTCAACCAATATGTTTTAGGAACTACACGTAACAGCATGGTGCAAAAGGTTGGGGCTTGGAGGCCAGCAATCATGTTGTTAAGGATTTATAAATTCAGTTATAGTCACTACTTCAGTGGCAAATTGGAGTGTACAATGAGAGAGGGTAATGGTTGCTAATGGCACCTTGCCTGAATCCCCTCACTCTTACAACCTTAAAGCACATTGGCCTGAAAGTTTTCTCTGACCTCCAGGGCCTACTTTGCCATTCATGTAGCAGGCCGGAAGTACAGGAAAATTAATGCTCCCCTGGGAGTATTGCTTATTCAATAAAGAACAGGAATTGGTGTATAAATACCCCAGCTGTCTGGACCGTTGTGTGTAACAACTCTCAGGTGTATGTGCTCCATTGCCTACCAGGATTCCTCCGTGAACCTGAATTCAAGTCGCCAACGTGAAAACAGGCAGTTTTACTGGCTCCTTTCTGTTTCCTGTTTTGCTTCTTCACTCTGCTTTTGGGTATTTCATTTGCCTTCCAAATAAACGACTTGTACTCCAGTTCTTTTCTCAGGAACTACTTTGGAGGGACCCCAAATTAAGGCCTATGCCTAACCTACATTTTACCCTGATGAACTGTCCTGTAACTAATCCTTACTCCTAGATGTTGTTTTTATAATCTCTACCGTTTACAATCCACGAAACAATAGTAGAGTTGATTCCTAAGAGCTTACTTTCAAAATATCTCTCAAACTCAGAGAGTTCATAATAGGCATTGGCGCTTTTAGTTTCAAATGATTAAAGGAAACTTTTGAGAACAATCACAATGCTGTTGATTCTTCCATAGCTCAAAAATAATCTTTCCCTGAAGTGTAGAGGTTGTTGTTCTCATTTGAATGTGGTGTTTTCTCCCTCTAGCTTCCTGGCTGTGACAGATGCCTGTGCCCTTTGTCCTCTGAGATTTTAAAATATGCAACAATTGGCACACGTGGCCTCCCGTTTTAAATCTTTACAACCCTTTATGGCCTTACCTGACTGCTATGTTTTTTTGCTATGGTCTTTTCTTTTGCTAATTCTGCCCAAGCAATGTGAGTGCAAATATTTAGGGTTCATTTGGATTCTCCAAACTTAAACTCATCTTATAAGCAGTCAGTGACCAAACTGAAAAGATTTCTTTGTCCCTAGTGGATTGATTAAACATGGAATTCCATAAAGCTACTACTATCCTGTGAACTGTGAGTTGGCAATATGTTGAGTTAATTTGTTCCAACAAAACGTTACAGGCTCCATTATATGTCACGATTTTTAGATATAGTGCAGTGGCACTTTCTGCAGCAAAATAATTTCATTTTAAAGCTATAATGCAAATTAGACTTTTTCTTTCAGATTTTAATTACTAAATTTCCACCCCCTGAGGGTTGTGAGGGAGAAAGGCCAAAAATAAAGAGAATGTTTCAGAAATTGAGGTCTTTAGACACAGAGTAGGTGAAAAGGATGTATACAATTTCAGGAGCAAATAGACCTGAAACACTGTTGTCATAGCACCTACAGGAAAATTTTTTATTTGCAAACAAAAAATAAATTTAAAAGGGAGAGCTTCTAAAGGAAATGCTGGAGGAGGGTACTTAACCACTGATGATTCATGAAGGTCTACTGGTTGGCTTGGTTCTGGTGCAAAATGGAAATGCAGGGTTATGACGACAGCATAGGCATAACAGAACAAGAAATGTTGCTTGCTAGATACTCTCTGGTGTCAGCCTAGGTACAGAGGGCATAATCCAATTGCAGCTGAATCTCCCAGTTTTTTCGCTGTGAAAGGAAGCAACAATTCCTTTAAGGACAGAGCAAACAGGAGAAAGAGAAGTGTCTTATCTGACCTTCTGGGCTTGCTCCTTTCTCTATGCTTACAGTTTCTCCCCCATCTGGCCCTTCCCCCGTAGCGTTAAATACCACCAGGCTGCCTCTGAGGAGAGGGGATCAAAGGGACTGTGATCTGCAGAAGTTTCTGTGTGTAAGTCCTGGAAGCATTTAATGCAGATGCTGTCTGGAAACCCCAAGTTTTGAAAATTTTATGTTGAAGGTTTGAGGATAAACTTGGTTTCCTTGGCACTAAACAGACCCCATGTGGAGCATCGTGACTGATATCTAAATTCTTTCTCTGTCCCATATTCTGCCACCAAGTCTGTGACAGGATACACACCTGATTCAGCTCCCAAAATTGTAGTTGTTTTAAGAAAACAGAGGATGGTTATTTACTACGTTATAGTTAAAAGTATAAAGATATAAGTTATGTAGGAAATGACAAGTTTCAGGAGAATAAACTGAATCTACTCTACCTGCTTGGCATGGACAGAAAGCGGTAACTTCTTTCATTAAAGTGATTTTCTCATATTTCCAGTCCTGGTTCCATTAGACTTCTTACATTGCTTCATTCTTCATTTATTTAATTTCTAAATGTTCTGTGCCTCAAACTTCTCTTAGTGGCTTCTATTCACCTTTATTTTTCTTTGCTATTAGCTTTTTGGACTTAATAGGCAGTGACATAAATTTCAACACTGGCTCCTCAAACAAAAATTTCAGAAATAACTCCATGTCCCTTGCCAAATAAACAAATTTCTATACACAAATATCTTCCATGGCTCGAGCCTCTTCTTCCCTTTCCCTTGTATTCTTCCACCATGCAAGTAGACCACCTACTTGTATATATATATTTTCATATCCACATGGATCAGAAGTCAAATAGATACACAGTCTACATAGCAAAATGTTTCTTTTTAATTCTTATTCTCACCCACCCGGTTCTCCTGCCTGGAGGTGATCATGTTAGCAGTTTGTGTGTGTGTGTGTGTGTGTGTGTGTGTGCGTATTTCCAGATATACTATGCATACACAAGTCACATGCATACACATATATACTTTATACATACACACACAAACATGTATCTATGTTTCTTCCCCCATTTTTACAAAAATGGTAACATGCCATGCATACTGTTCTGCATCTTGCTTTTTTCCACTTAACAAAATGTGAAATAATCCCATTTTAATGCATAAAGAGCCACCTCATTCTTTTTTATGGATTTATAGCACTTTATTGCATGGATGTTTCATGGTTTATTTAACCAGTCCCTTACTGATGAAAAATTAAAATGTTTCCATTCTTTTTTTTTTTTTTTTTTCCTGAGACGGAGTTTCCCTTTGCTGCCCAGGCTGGAGTGCAATGGCGCGATCTCAGCTCACTGCAACCTCCGCCTCCTGGGTTCAAGAGATTCTCCTGCCTTAGCCTTCCAAATAGCTGGGATTACAGGCATGCACCACCATGTCCCGCTAATTTTTTTATATTTTTAGTAGAGTTGGGGTTTCACCACGTTGGCCAGTCTGGTCTTGAACTCCTGACCTCAGGTGATCCACTCTCTTCAGCCTCCCAAAGTGCTGGGATTACAGGTGTAAGCCACCATGCTCGGCCCCCATTCTTTTTTTTGTTTTTTAACAAACAGTACTGAAAAGCGTAACTTGGTATGTGCTTCATTTTTCCCATGAGGAAATCTATCTGTAGAAACACAAATTAAATGATGCTAGTGTCAGGTTAAAAGACAGCAAATACTAGTTTTTGTTTTCCATGGCCTCTGTTGAATCTCATCACTGGTTTATCTCACAGACACAGGATTCATATCGTGTATGAGTTTTCTAGTGCTGCACTGCAAATTACCACAGACTTTATTTTAAGAAGTAGGAAATCATTCTTAGAAGTAGAATTGCTAGGTTAAAGGTCATATACTTTTGTTGGGCTGGGCGTGGTGGCTCACACCTGTAATCCCAGCACTTTGGGAGGCCGAGGTGGGTGGATCACCTGAGGTTGGGAGTTCGAGACCAGCCTGGCTAACATGGAGAAACCCTGTCTCTATTAAAAAAAAAAAAAACAAAACAAAATTAGCTGGGCATGGTGATGCATGCATGTAATCCCAGCTACTCGGCAGGCTGAGGCAGGAGAATCGCGTGGACCTGGGAGGCAGAGGTTGCAGTGAGCTGAGATTGCACCATTGCACTCCAGCCTGGGAAACAAGAGCGAAACTCCAACTCAAAAAAAAAAAAAAGGTCATATACTTTTGTAATTTGGGTAGATGTGGTCCAGTCGTCCTTCACAGAGTTATTCCCATTTGCTGGTGTTATATTTCCTTCTGAGCAACATCACTGTATCTGAATCACACTTGCACATTTGCCCATATTCTTTTCAACTGCCACACCCAGGACGCTCTTACATCAGTAACTCTTTTCTTCTTTTTGTCAAGCACACATCACACAAAATATTTTGTTCTCATTTTGAATAACGATTTAAAAAGAAAATAAAAAAAAGGAAATTGGGATCAAAAGACTTGGATGCAAGCCTTAGCTATATTTCTTACATGCCTTGTAACATTGGGCAAATTACTCATCTACTCTAAACCTAGTTTTTCTCACGTGTAAAGCTGGATAAGGCCCTCATCTCAAAAGCTTTGTGAAAATTAAGAGGCACTAAATAAGAAGCACTCAGTATTGTCCTGGAATTCAATAGGAATCCCATAATTGGTGGTTCCTCCCCCTCTTTGTCCTATTCCTATCTTGATTTTCTTATTTTTAAAAACAGGCATTAGGTTTCTGAGATTGTGAAATGATAACTATATTGAAATGTTTTGTAAACTATGTATGATAGGCAGAACTCTAAGATGACCCACAATGGCTCATACCTTTATATAATCTCCTCCCCTTGAGAGTGGGAGGGAGCTATATATGTGATGGGATATCACTCCCATGATTACTTTATGTTATAAGACACAGTTGACTGTAAGAAAGGGAGATTATCCTTAGTGGGGCTGACCTAATGCAGTGAGCCTTTTAGAGCCAAGAGTTTTCTCCAGATGGTCACAGAAGAGGAAGGCAGAGTGATACTGGCTGGCCCAGAAGAAAGCAAACATCCACGTGAAGCACCTAGGGTCTATATGGTAAGGAACTACAAGCAACCTCCAGAAACTGAGCACCGTCCCCAGCCAACAGTTAGCAAGAAAATAGGGATCTAAATTATATAACTTCAAGGAAATAAATCCTGCCAACAACCAGTGATCCTGGAAGAGGACTCCAAGCTCCAGATGAGAGCCACAGCCCTGGCCAATTCCTTGATGTCAGCCTGGTGAGACACTAAGCAGAAAAATCCAGGTACACTGTGCCCAGGCTTTAACCTACAGAACTGTGAGATAATATATTTGTGTTGTTTGAAACCACTAAATCTGTGGTAATTTGCAGTGCAGCACTAGAACACGAATACACGATATGAATCCTGTGTCTGTGAGATAAACCAGTGACGAGATTGAATAGAGGCCATGGAAAACAAAAACTAGTATTTGCTATATTTTAACATGACATTAGCATCATTTAGTTTGTGTTTCAGTTGATTCAATGCTTATTATCTTCTTTCTAGGAGCCAATTTCCCCAAGCAGAAGAATGTGCATGGCACCATAATAGTCCTTTTATATTTTTAGGGCCTTGCATTCACTAAATGCTCATTGCTTGCTTCTAAGAAAACTCTTTTTACTTTTCTTTTTCTTAACATAATTTTTAATTAATTTGTAACTTAACTGTACTATGTTTCAAATGACAAAAATCTGACTTGAAATACACTGATGTGATTTTTGGTAAGTTTCATTCTATTATTCAGGGACGGTAGAACTAACCCTCTCTCAGTCAAAGAGTAGGCTGAGGATTCCATGTTCTGATTTTGTTATTGTTCTTTATTATCTATACACATTGCATTTATTTAGTGTATTTTCTATCTCTTACAAACATAATTGTTCATTCTAAGTAAGATGAGCAGCTAGCTGTGCGTTTTCTTAAGAGAAAGGCATTAGGTGACTTGACTTCAACTGATATCAGTAGTATCCATAAGAACAAAATTATGAATCAGGAGAGCATGTAGAAGCTTAATTTGAAAGTTTATGAGGGGTATAAGACCAGCTATTATATAGAAACAATTATCTGAGAGATAAAACTGATGGATCCTATAAATGTTTTAAGAGTGCTGGCTAAGGCTTCTTAACTTTTCAAATTATTGCCTTAGTCTGGTTTTTTTAAACCCTGGAAAATTAAAACAATTATTATTCATTAAATATATATTTAATAAGAACAATATAATAATCAGATATGTTTTGTCTAATTTTCAAAATTGATTACATTTTAGGGCACAATGTATGAAATTTTATATTTACAATTTAGCATTCTGAGTCCACAGGGTAACTTGGAACCTTATGCCCTGAGCTATTTGGACGACTTAAAAAAGGATTTGGTGTGCGTGTGTCCTTGGATAATCTCTATCTCTTCTAGAGGGTTCAAAAAAAAAAAAGGGGGGGAGGGGGAGCAAATTTCTAGATGGCACATCTACTCCTGGTTGTTAACTTGATAGATTAACTGATTAGGAGTTTCTAACATAGATGTCTGTATCTAGCAATGATAGATGGTGCTTATGTTTATTATTCTTTATTCTTAAAGCTATTGATTCTTTAAAAACTAGTTTTTGATGGTTTATCTTTCCTAAATAAGAGAATGAAAATGTCAACACACAGGCAATCTGCTTTTATAGTGGTCTATTAGCATCTAGTTAATAGACTTCGACTGTTGTCTACGTACCTCACTGTTCCCTTTGGAGCTCAAGGGATTGTACAATTAATCCTCCTAACATCCATTTACACTTGATTAAGAACAGGTGGTAGTATCTTCATTTCACAAATAAGACTCATACACGTAAAGAGGTTAATGATTTGCTGACAAGCCAGCAACAAAACCGGTCCTCATGGCAGCTCTCCCAGCCCAGCATTCTCTGCTCCACACCATCACACTTCTATCTCTGCAGTCATACTTTCAGTGAAACTAGTTTTCATCATTAACCACATGCTTGCTTTGGGGATGAAAATAGAAAACCAGACAAAGCAGACCTTTTATAATACTGTTTTTACCATATCGTTAAAATAGTCACTGGTCAATGTTTGTGTTTATAAAACCATTTTTCTTAAGACTTTGTCCCCTCTTTTGTTCCTCTATGTGAAGATGTTAGAAAGAAATGAAGTGGTCTATCATATTTTTATTTTTGACAAATGCCTCTGGAATGCTATTATTACAATATACAATTTTAAGGTGAAGGGCTGATGTGGGATTATCCTCCTGGTAACATTAACATAGCCGAATACCAAAGAAAATATTTTTTATTCCATCAGTATTTCATGAAGTGAGCTTCCTTTGTAGCCATGTTTGCTGCTGGAGACACTGAGAGAGTTTATACAGTCATGATTATAAAACAAGTCTTAGAATTTGAGGAAACATCAGAACACCTCAGGACCGCATTGTGCAATTTGAGTAGCCCGACCGTGTTTTAAATTTTAAAATGGAGAGAAGTAATTGCAGGCCTCACTTTGAAGATATCAAACATGAAAATTTCACTCAAGCTGTCGTTCCTCTTTCCAGCTGGCAGCATCACCACCAGAATCACAAACAACAGCAGGTAATTTTAGCAGAATGTATCTCATCCAAAAGGGAAAAAAAGTTTAGTTGGACCAACAGACAAGTATATTCAATAATTTAGCAACAATTAACAAATAATGTGACATCAGTTCTATAAAGAATATTTGAAAATTGTAACTGAACGTGGGAAAATGCAAATTAACTTTGTTGGGAAAAATTGATCCAAAATACAGAAAACTCATAGTTGTCTAATAGAGTCAGGAGATGGAATGTTCTTGTAAATCAACATTTTGATTAATAAAGGTAGCATGGCATTACATAAAGAATTTTATGCAATTATGTTTCAGAAGATCAACTCTGCTTCTGAGATAGCTGGGTGACATTTGTCCATTCATTTGACCTCACCAAATTAGTTTTTTTTTCATCTGTAAAATGGGATAGTGGTGGGAATAATGCATACTTTTTCTATCTCACAGGATTATTGTAAGGAACAAAAGTGATTGTAAATACAAGGTTTTTTCAACACCATCCGCAGGGGGTCAGTTTTAAATGATTGGGCTAGAATAAACTGTGTATGGCATGAAAGCTAAACTGTATGTAAATATCTCTTTGGTAAAGCAAGCGTGTAGCATTAATGAATGTCAGTCCACAAACCCATGCGTGCAAAAAATGACCTTTTGTAAATTTTTCTAAAATGCCACTTTCATCATTTTTTGGTTTGCCTTCCCTAAAGCCTATTTAATTCCCATGGCTGGGATCTTACCTCGAGTCAATATACTGTGTATGTGGAAGTGTCCATCTGGTGCTCTGTGATTGGTCCACACTGAGACATACTCTAACCTTGACCATGTGGTGCCCTTTGGTCCCTTAGGTGTTGCTCCCTCCCCAAGGGCATTGCTGAGAAGCAGGGCACCAATCCCTTTGCTCTAAGGTCCCATGAGCCCTTACTTCTGCCAGTTTGAGGAAATCTCTTTCTAGTCTGAGGGAAATCCTTTTCTTTACATGTTTCTTCAAGAAACTCTATATAAACCTACAAATCTTTTCCAAAAGACTTAGGCTTTTAGAAAACAAAAGTCAGGAAGATTTGCAGGCTTTTTCCACTCTCTGTCTTGTCACATACCTTCCCTGAGGTTCAGACCTGGCTATCTGATTGAAGGTGTGAATGAAAAAAAAAAGGAAAAATTCCAGATTGTGAATTTGGAATTATGAAATTGCAAAATATCCATATTCATTTATTCATTTAACACATGGTTATTGAGCATCTACTATATACTAGGTACTGTGCTATGCCCTTATAATATACAATTTGTAAACAAGTTAAGTACAGTCTCCATTTAGGTGCTTGCATTCTAGAGGAGACAGACATGAAAGAGTGATTTAAATGAGTATACAGTTACACTTGTAGTAAATGCTGGAAAGGACATGCTGAAGGTGTTAAGAATGGGTAGAAAGGGAACCCACTGAATCTGGGGGTGGATATTTCTTTGAGGAAGGGCCATTGAAGCTGAGCTTTGAAGGATAAATAGCAATCCATTTGGGGTGGGGAAAGAGCATTTGGGTAGAAGGAATGGTGTGTTTCTTACAGACGAAAAGGTAATAATGGTTCATTGAGCCAGGTTGACATCACATATCATGGCCCAAATGTGCAAATAAATATAACATCATTTTTTGTTATCAAACTCAACTTTAGCTATGTATTAGTCTGTTTTCACACTGTTCATAAAGACATACCCAAGACTGGGCAATTTACAAAAGAAAGAGGTTTAATTGGACTCACAGTTCCACATGACTGGGGAGGCCTCACGATCATGGTGGAAGGCAAGGAGGAGCAAGTCTCGTCTTGCATGGATGGCAGCAGGCAAAAAGAGAGAGCTTGTGCAGAGAAACTCCAGTTTTTAAAACTATCAGATCTCAAAAGACCCATTCACTATCACAAGAACAGCACGGGAAAGACCCGCCCCCATGATTCAATAATCTCCCACAGGGTCCCTCCCACAACAGTGGGAATTATGGGAGCTACAAGATGAGATTTGGGTGGGGACACAGAGCCAAACCATATCAAGCTAAATCAAGGAAACTTTAGCTAAAGCAGATAACTTATTTTATCATTTTCCACTATATTTATTAAATATTTCCCCAAATTCAATAACCATTATTTGTCACTACCAATTCAAAAGGATGTCAATTATCCTTATTTGCCACCATCCAACACCACTCCTGATATTCCTGGATTCTCACACAACTATCTGAGTTTGCACTGTCCATCCCAGGTTTTGAGCCCAAGGTGGGGTGGGATCCTGGGTACTCCTGGGCAAACTTGTGTGTTAATTTTCCCTTTCTCTGTAGAATCCAGAATGGATATAAGGGATGTGAAAGAACACAGGAGACCATCTGCAGTGGTCCAGGTGAACAATGGCAGTATTTGAATCAGAGAGATAGGAGTGATGATGAAAAACGTAGATGAATTTAAGACATATAGAGGAGGGTGAATAAATAGAGCTTGGTGGTTGATTGGATGTATGTTTGAGAGGAATATTTAGGGAAAAGATAGTGGCTTCTGGGTTTCAGGATAGATGGTGTTGCCACTTACTGAGATACGGAACATTGGAGCAAGTTCAGCTTTGGAGGAAGAAAACTGGCAAGGAGTCTCTTGTAGGGAGATACATCATCAAAACGTATCTTTCTGGCAAGGGTCGGCATCCTTTGAATTGAAGCCTAGCAATTATTTGGCTAGATTGCTGTGTTGTTTCAGATCCTGAGAATTTTCTGATGATACAACAGCCTCCTTAGCAGGTCCACTTGGTTGTGTAATTGGCATCGTACACAAAACATGTCCCAAACGGAGTTTCCAGTCTTCCTTCTAAAACTGCTCCTCCGGCAGTGTCCCTTATCTCAGGAAATAGCTGCCTTTCCAGTTGCTCTGGCCAAATCCCCTGGAGTCATCCTTGATGCCTCTCGTCTACACCATACACATGCGATCAATCAGCAAATCCTATCATTTGTACCTTCAAAATATATCCAGAATCCAGCTACTTCTTCTCACTTCCACTGCTACCCCATTTGCTTCAAACCAATATCATTTTAACCTTTCTCTCCTGGACTGTTGCAACAAACTGCCACTGGCCTCCTTTCTTCCACTCAAGCTCCCCATCCACAGAGCAATCAGAGTGATCCTGATAAGCCGGATCATGTTACTCCTCTTATCAAAACCCTCCAGACTCCTCACTCTTGTCAAAGTCAAAGGCCTCATTGTGGCCTACAAGGCCCTACATGATCTGATTGCCATTAGAGGAGTCCTGCATTAGGCAGAAATGGCCAGTCCCTGGTTCTTCTGCCATGATGAGTCATTGGCTGGGGTTGGTTGAGCTGAGGCAGATGCTGAAGACATTACATCTGGGTGCGGTCAGCTGCCTGAGCTTCTTGCAGCTGGATGACAAGTTTTTTCTTGAAGGACAATCTGAGCAGCACATCTCTATGACTGCCACATATACTCACTTTATTGTTATTATTTTGACTACTCCTGGATCTCCAAATTGGCCCATGGTGGATTGGGGAAGAAAGAACAGGGAAGGCAGGCTTACATAATAATTCACTGTGTCTGGGGGTTGTAGGCCTGCCCTCAATTTGCTGAGGAGGGGTTGGTGGCAAGATCTCTTTTCTTTTCTTTCTTCTTTTTTCCCTCTTTGGCTGGGGGAGACAGGAACCAATAATACTGGATTTTGTGAATTTGCTTGAGATAACTGCCTTAAAATAGGAGCTTTTGAGCATTAACCAAAGCCTTATCTTTTAGTGACAGATAGGGCAATCCAGGGCTATGGGAGAGCGTCAATCCTGTTTACATATTTTAAAATATCTCTCACAACGAATGCAAATCAGATACCTTAAAATTTTCAGTCATTCCCACCAGTGTGCACTTCAAACAGTGAACTAGCACTGGTAGTTATTACATCATCTTAAAAAAAAAAGCCACTCTCTTGTAATCAATTAAACTCATTACACCTGAATAATCATTACCAATGATGTGTAATTTAAATTATCTCTGCAAGATGACTTATTTATGACTATCAGGCCTACTAACAACTTTCCAAATCATCACTCAGTAAAGTATTATAAACTTTCCTGCCGAAGACATTTCAGACTTCAGAGATTTTCCAGTATTTCCCTGGGACAAACTGTTACAGACAGGAAGAACAGCCTATGAAAATGACCTAAGTGTCTTGCTTTTCTTTATCTTCCTCCAGCTGGGCACTTTGGAAAGAATTTGTCTTTTTCTTGATGTTCTTTACTTAATGTAGCTCAGTCACTCAGATATCCTTACATTTGGCTACCATGATGTAGCTCAGTCACTCAGACATCCTTACATTTGGCTACCAAGTCCCCTAAACCCTCCTTCTCGATGGGTGTCCCTTCACAGGCACTTGAGACTGCTGGCTATAACTTAAGCAGTTGCTTTGCCACCTATACACGTATTGCCATTTTCCCAGCCCGGGGCTGGGGACACCTTATGACCACTGATTCTACCATCACTCTATGGGTAGTTTCAGATTATCTCTCTATTGTATGCAACTTCATTCCTATTTAGACATGTTTGATAGCAAGAGATAAAAATCGACTCAAGCTACCTAGAAGTAAAGCGGGATTTATTGTCACATAAAATGCTACAATCTCATAAGCACTCAAGGATAAGAACTGGACTGTGGCCACACCACAGAGGAATGGGAACTGGGACGTCAGGCACCGAAGGGGGTCCTGCCAACTCTTGTGGAGCCACAGCACAATTTCTTCTCTTGGCAAGGTTGCTTGGTGCTGTCTTGCATGGCTTTTTTTTTATACATCCTAACTTCAGCTCATGTGTGGATTTAGCTTGCCATGGCACTGGCTCCTACCCTGTCTCTACTCGATTTTCTATCCAAGATTCAGTCTCTCAGCACCCTGATTTCTGAATTCAGTTTCACCATGTTCCAATTCCAAATTTCCAGGAGAAAGTAACTGATTGTCACAGATTGGGTCAGGTGTAATCCCCTGGTGCAATCAACTGTGACTAAGGATGGGGATGACATAACATAGGATGTAGTAAGCTTGCCATTTCTATGGTGGAAGATAAAGCAAGTTTTCAAAGAAGAGAATATAGATGGCAAAGTAATGACTGGCATGACAACTGAAGGCTGAGATTCAGTTTCTTGATTCTCAGAAAGTAATTAGGAAGAAGAAGAATTTGAATAAATGTTTAGAATAATTTTGTTATCTAAACATCAAGAGGCAGTATAGCATAGTAATTAAGAACATGGACTCTGGAGTCAGACTTAACAATCTATGTGACCTTGGACATGTTATTTAACTTCACTGTACCTCAGTTTTTTCATCTATAAAATGGAGATAATGATATCTATCTTATAGCATTGTTGTCAGTTAATATATGTAAAACATAATACATGTAATTAATTAGTTAATTTGGAGTCTCCAACACAGACTTCATTGGATGACTGGGTGTCATTGACTGGATAATAGGTCATAGGCTTATGGTGCCTGGCTCATATTAAGTGTTAAATAAGCATCAGTTATTGTGACTTTATATTTCTTATGTTCCTTACTGAACTTAGGTTCCTTACTTAGCAGTCAAAACTTTATTTACACTTTACTGTTCAAATTTTGTTTATATAAAATATATGTTATTCATGTTATCTTATTGATATCAACTGATTGACAAATAGTTGGTGTGTGTAGACAGGTAAGTTCAGTTTTATGACTATTTGGAGGCATTTGCTTTATTTCACAGTACAGTATTTCACATTTAAGTCGTGTAAGTACTGACTTTTGTTTTATTTTACCACTTATCCTACTACTTAATATTTGTCTTTAAAATAATAAGCTTAAATGAAGAAAAATGTTAACTATGTTACCTTAAAGGAGGAAACACTTCATTATCACCAGAAATGAATACCCTGTATCACTTGCCTTAAATAGAAGATTACCATAGAGAAAAATATAATGAAAACAGCACAGTGTTACTGAATTCTAACTAGATACACTTGCTTGCTCAGGGCCTGAGATCAGCTTTCTGTTGAGAGAGAGAGAGAGAGAAAGAGAAAGTGTTACAGAGTATTACAGACTAGCACACTGAATTGAAACTTTGGTAGTGATGTAATCAGAGGATTAAAAAGAATTGAACAAGGAATAATGCTGTCACTATGTGACTTAATGTTATTTAATGGTAGGTGTGAGGCCTGCCAAAAGCCATCTCTGAAATTATCTCTCCTACCACCATCAGTAGTACAAATTCCACACAATGGGAAACCACTGTTCTGAAGAGACTAAAAGCCTAGAATCAGGGAGAAGAATCAGAACAGTGCTTTATTTTTTTTTTACTCCATTTTCTATACAGGAGAATTATAACTCAAGGAATATCTCAAGCTGGGGGGTCTGGCATTCAAATCTTTTCTGCAACACTTACTAGCCTTGGAAGTGACTTATCATCTCTTAGTTCCTCACCTTTAATGTGGGGGAAAATAATAATGACCAGTTTGTAGTGTTATTATGAAGATTAAATATGACAACACACGAGGAGTGCCTAGCACAGGTTCTGACTAAAATAAGTCCTAATAATATGTGTTTTGTATTACAAATGTGATCATGCATTACTGACTTGCTTTTTACTTGCAATAATAACTTCTCTCTCCATGTGAGTTCCTATAAATTTACCTCATTTTAAAAAATGGCTACATAGAATCCCAAATTATGTATATTCCATATCTTCTTTAACCACCCTTTTGTTGGGGTGTATTCAAGTTGTTTTGCATGCATTTTTTTTAACAAATGAGGGGATTGAGGCTCAAAGAGGTAGAGAAGCCTGATCATACCAAAAGTAACACCACTTTCTGTGCCTCTACACTTGGAAATATTGTCAATAGCAGTTTCATCCCCACCAGTGATGATGCCTTATCTACATATGCCAGAAATATTAGCTGCCCCTGAGTGTATAATTCCTAAACTGTAGTCAAGGTAGATTCGATTGACATGTAAAGGGGCAAATGATATTACTTAAGGGGTACGGAAAAGATCTGCCTTAGGAAGGAGCTTAAATGTGTGGAGTGGAAGGGAAAGAGGGTAGCCAGAGGCTAGAGAGAATTGAGAAAGACTGGAAGGATACCTGGGAGGTGACAATACCAAGACTCACCAGAAGAAAAGTGAAGAAAAGAGGCAGGAAGAGCTTTCTAGCCTCAGTCTACCCACATCTTCTTTTGTCACCTGTTTATGGTGTAGAGAAAACAACAAAGGACATGTCAGTGCCTGCCTAGCATGATACCTCATCTTGCAAATGCTCAACAAATATTTACTGAGTGGATGAAGAGATTTACATTCCTGATTATCTAAGACCCAGGGAATCTTGAGCCAGGCATCCGGGAGTGGCAGGGACGCCATCTGGGAATGAAGGCACCATTCAATTTGGCCCCACACAGATAAGCCAAGTGAGAGACTAGTGGGCAGAAACAAGTACTGACATTTATGGGTGCCACATGGAGTTAGACACAATTAATAATGTTGCCTCAGGTGCTACCAGAGGAAAAAAAAATCTTGAAAGAACCATTACAAGACTTCCCATGCCCTTTGTGCAGCACCATTAAAACAGGATATCTCATCCAAGTTTATGATTCTAGTACAAAAGAAAAATAAAGCAATTAGTAAATCTAAGAAAAGTGATTGAGTACACATCACTTTGTCCAAGCTGGTTTGCAGAACATACTGAATTGGGCTATGTGGCCCCCAAGAGCAAAATCTATGAATTATTTTTAGTGGAGTGAGAGCCTGTCTAAGTAAGTACAAGCCTGTCTGCCTTGCGTTGCTGTTTTTGTGCAGCAATAGTATCCCCTTTATATATTGGTCATGTTTTCAACGTGCAATACTTTGAGCACAGGCAGGCTGCCTCCAGGTCAAATAGCTGTGAACTGAGTACTTATAGAACAGTGCCTTAAATTGATTAGAAGTAGTTCAAGTCAAATGTGGGCTATGGAGTTTGAATTCTGATTGTACCTTGTCTCAGCTCTGTGTGTTATTCATGATTTTGCTAAACTAATACTGTGTAACAAATAACTATCAAATCTCCCTTATTTTTCTCACTAGTAAGCCATTGGGTTGACTGTGGTTCTCTTGAGCTCAGCTGGAATCAGCTGGGCTTAATTCCAGGGTGCAGATTGGATTCAGGTCTGTTCCATGTGTCTCCGTATTCTGGAGAAGTTACTCAGGGCATGTTGCCCCATGGCAGATGGGCAGAAGTTTAAGAAAGAAAGCCAAACTACACAGGCACTTTTAAAACCGTTACTTGTGTTACGCCAACTAACATTTGATTGGCCAAAGCCTATGTCAATGGAGCAGGGAAGTATACTTCTCCTATGGAGGGGGGACATGGCAAGAAGCAAAAATTGCGAGCAAATAATGCAATCTAACACACCATGGGACTTTGGTTAATATGGCAAATCTCTTTATACCTCAGTAGCCATCATCTGCAAAATGGGCATCATAATGTTATTTACTTTAGAGGGCTGGTTGGAAACTTATATGAGTTAATATGTATATAGTAGTTGCAACAGTCCCTTGCCCATAGTAAAAACTCAATAAATGTCAACTTTTCATACTTAAGCTATTTTCTAAGCAAGAAAAGTCAAAAGTTCTTGATTTCTAGTAACCTGAATTCCAACAAGTTTTTTCATAACTATTTTGTTCATACTGGTGAACATAGTAGCACATATTCAGAAAAATGATAAAATAGAGCTGGAATAAGTACAACCTTGATTAATCAGAACTCAAGTAGCATGGCTGTAAAATTTTAGATTGTAGAAACTGCAGGAGACATTGAAGATCCTTTCTTCTGAAATAACATGGGATTGGGGTCTACAGATAAAGGTTAAGATTAAGTCTTTATTACTTGAGCATGTCCTTAAACATAATCTGAAACATCTATAAAATTGGGATAATGAGGTCATTATTATGATCAATCAGCTGATATGCAAATATTGACTGAAAAATGTAAAACACTACACGAAAAGTATTACCCTTTTTTTTTTTTTTTTTTTGAGACAGAGTCTCACTCTGTCGCCCAGGCTGGAGTGCAGTGGCATGATCTCCGCTCACCGCAACCTCCACCTCCTGGGTTCAAGCGATTCTCCTGCCTCAGCCTCCCGCGTAGCTGGGATTACAGGCACGTGCCACCACACCCACTTTATTTTTGTAATTTTAGTAGAGACAAGGTTTTGCCACATTGGCCAGGCTGCACTCGAACTCCTGACCTCAGGTGATTTGCCTGCCTTGGCCTCCCAAAGTGCTGTGATTACAGGACTGAGCCACTGTGCCCGGCCTAACAGTATTGCTTTTAACCCAATCTCTTTTATATGAAAGAAGGCAGAATTGAGGCTCAAGAAAAGACCCAAGTTGTACGAAGTCATCTAACTTGTAGCAGAGCCAAGGCTAGAATATAGACTACTAACTCAGATGTACTAAAAATACAAAAATTAGCTATTTGACCTGGAGGTAGCCTGCCTGCGCTCAAACTATTGCACCTCGAAAACATGTCTAGTATAGAAAGGGGATACTACTGCTGCACATAAAGAGCAACCCAAGGCACTATTCTTTTTTTTTTTTTTTTGAGACGGAGTCTCGCTATCGCCCAGGCCGGAGTGCAGTGGCGCGATCTCGGCTCACTGCAGGCTCCGCCTCCTGGGTTCACGCCATTCTCCTGCCTCAGCCTCCCGAGTAGCTGGGACTACAGGCGCCCGCCACCTTGCCAGGCTAATTTTTTGTATTTTTAGTAGAGACGGGGTTTCACCGTGTTAGCCAGGATGGTCTCGATCTCCTGACCTCGTGATCCGCCCGCCTCGGCCTCCCAAAGTGCTGGGATTACAGGCGTGAGCCAGCGCCCCCAGCCGGCACTATTCTTATAAAAGCAGAAAAGCTAACCAATATATTTTTTAAAGGATGCCAAAAATTAAGGTTGAAACAAATAAAAATTTCTAGTTGATCTACAAATTACATGTACTTTAATACATGCAGTTGTTATCGTTCATCAAGGTTTTAATCCATTTATAAAATGTGACAGTTTTGGTGTTGAGAAATTTTCTGCTGGAAAATGTGAGCTACTGACTACAGTGAGACCATGAGAGGTAGCTTGATTCAGTATAGAGAATATAATCGTTGAGGTCAGAGAATTAGGTTCAAATTCCAGCTCTGACACTTAATAGCTGTGTGGTTTGGGGCAGGTTACTTAAGCTCTCTGGGCCCCTTTGCTTCTTTGTGCCTTGCGGAATCATGTCAAGGATTACAAGAGAACATAGCTCCTTTCAGGTAGGAACTTTGTTTTGTCCCCTGTTGTATACTTAGGGCCAAAACAATGATTGGCAGAGTAAACATTAGAGATAAACTGTCAAGTGTCCAGCACAATATCCAGCACAGAGTAGGTGTCAATTCAAGGTAGCCTCTTTTATTATCATGAGGAGACAAATAATGTTTTTGGGAAGACTGTATAACCTCTGTTTCTAGCCAAGCGGGAGGTACAGGGTTCAAACACAGGGTAGAATTTCAGGAAGTTGAGGAAAGATAGGCATGGAGCCAAAGGCGTTAAAAAAAGCTACAACCAGGGCCAAAGCTGAAGCAGACAATTAAAGAGCTAGCCCTAGGGAAATACTACTCCAAAGCAACTTGGCAGAGAATAGAAAATTCCAGCATCAAATTCAGTGCCTGGCATATAGAAGGATTTGACAAGTATTTGTTAAATGAATGAATGAGTGAATGAAGCGATGAGTCTTTAACTTGAGGCCACAAGATGGAATGCGTGACTGGGAGAAGAATGAGAGGCAGGGTCTGGAAATGTTCTTTGATCTAGTTCTGACAATCTGCAACAAAGGATGGGGTGGGGGTGCTTATAAAAACTATTGAAAGAGGAGTAGGAGGACAATTTACAAACTGCCTGTCCATAGGACATTCTCTGCTAGGGGAGAATTATATGACAGTATAGAGGGACTTGGGGACAGACCAGGTGGACTGAGCACTGCTCACTGAAAGAAACAGCCTTGACCTTAGTTCACAGAAATTACTGTGATATTCTGAGGACAGGATCAACAAAACTAATGAGAATAGAGGGAAAAATTAAAGAAGCAACAAATAGCGATTACCCTATAAAAGTTGCTCAAGAAATAGAGAAGTGTTCAATTCATTTTCAACAAGGGTGTCAATGCAATTCAATGGGAGAAGAGCAATCTCTTCAACAAATGGCATTGGAATATCCACATGTAAAATAATGAGGTCAAACCCTTACCTGACATCATATACAAAAATTAACTCAACGTGGATTAAAGGCCTAAGGATAAGAGCTAAAACTTAAAACTCTTAGAAGAAAACATAATGGGAAGTTCTGCATAACCCAGATTTGGCAGTGGTTTCTAAAATATGGCACCAAAAGCACAGGTGACAAAAGAAAAAAGAGATACATTGAACTTCATCAAAATTAAAAACTTCTGTCTATCAAAGGACACTGTTCAGAGAGTATAAAGGCAACCCACAGAATGGGAGAAGATATTTGCATATGCTGTGGACAAAATATTCATGCCTACCTAAAGTTTGTATGGCGAAGCCCTATCCCCAATGTGATACATCTGGAGGTGAGGCCTTTGGGAGGTAATTGGGTTTAGGTGAAGTCGTGAGGGTGGAAACTCATAATGGGATTGGTGTCCACGTAAGAAGAGGAAGAGAGACCAGAGCATGTTTGCTCTCTGTGCTGCACAAAGAAAAGAAGTGGGATGGTAGCTACCTGCAAGCCAAGCAAAGAGGCCTCAGAATGAAACCTATCTTGCCAGTGCCTTGATTTTGGACTTACAAGCCTTCAGAAATGTGAGAAAATAATTTTATTTTTTTGAAAGACAGAGCCTTGCTCTGCCTCCCAGGCTGGACTGCAATGGTACAATCTTGGCGCACTGCAACCTCCACCTCCTGGGCTCATTCTGCCTCAGCCTCCTGAGTAGCTGGGACTACAGGAGTGCACCACCATGCCGGGCTAATTTTTGTATTTTTTGTAGGGACGGGGTTTTGCTATGTTGCCCAGACTGGTCTTGAACTCCTGAGCTCAGGTGATTTCCCCGCCTCAGCCTCCCAAAGGACTGGGATTACAGGCGTGAGTCACCACATCCGGCCAAATTTCTGTTGTTAAAGCCACCCAGTTTATGGTATTTTGTTATGGCAGCCTGAGCAGACTAAAACCTCATATATCTGATAAGCATTTAATATCCAGAATACATGAAAAACTCGTACAACTCCACAAACAAAAGACAAACAACTTAAATTTAAAAATGGGCAAAGGACTCTAATAGACATTTCTCCAAAGAAGGTATACAAATGGCCAATAAGTGCATAAAAACATGCTCAACATCATTAGTCATTAGAGAAATGCAAACCAAAACCACAGTGAGATATCACTTTGCACCTGTTAGGATAATTAAAAAAAAAACAGAAAATAACAAGTGTTGGCAAGGATGTTGAGAAATAGGAACCCTCATACATTGCTGATGTGAATATAAAATGGTGAAGTTGCTGTGGAAAACAATTTGGCATTTTTTCCAAAAAGTTAAACATAGAACTATTGGTTCCTGCTTAGAATTATATGTCCCTGTAATTCTACTCCTTGGTATTTACCCAAAAGAACTGAAATCAAGGACTCATGCAGGTACTTGTATACTAATATCCATAGCAGCATCATTCATAAACTAAAAGGTGAAAACAACCCAAGTATCCAACAACAGATGAATGGATAAATAAAATGTGGTATATACATATGTCAGAATATTATTCAGCCATACAAAGGAATAAAGTGAAATAAGCCAGATGCAAGAGGGTAAATTGTATATGATTCCACTTATATGAAATATCCAGAGTAGGCAAATTTGTAGAGACAAAAAGGAGATTATTGGTTACCGGGTAGAGAGAGGAATGGAGAGTTATTGATGAACAGTTATAGAGCTTTGGTTTGGGATGGTGAAAGGATTTTGGAAATGGTTAGTGGGGATGATTGCACAACATTGTGAATGTACTTAATGCCACTGAATTGTACACTTAAAATGGTTAAAATGGCAAATTTTATGTTACGTATATTTTACAACAATAATAATAAAACGAGAAACAGAAGCAATGCTCTCATGTGGAGTCACTGCAGCAGGCTGAATAAGGCCCTCCTCCCCCAAAGATGTCTATATCCTAATCCCTGCTGTTATGCCTGTATGTGTTATATTATCTGGCAAAAGGGACTTTGCAGATGGAATTAAGGTTAGGGATCCTAAGATAAGGGGATTATCCTGGATTACCTAGGTGGACCCAATGTAGTCACAAGGGGCCTTAAAGGTAGAAGAGGAAGGCACAAGAGTAGGTCAGAGAGATGTCATGGAAGAAGAGTCAGGAGAGACAGGCAGTGTGAGAGGGACGTGCCTCACCCACTGTTGTTGGCTTTGAAGCTAGAGAAAAGGGGCCATGAGCCAAGGAATTCAGAGACCTCTAGAAGGTGAGAACAGCCCTCAGCTGACAGCCAGCAAGGAAATGGGACCTTAGTCCCACAAGTATAAGGAACTTAATTCTGCCAACAACCTGAATGAACAAAGAAACAGATTCTCCTTTAGAGCCTTGTGGAAAGGAATGCAGCACTGCCGACACCTTGATTTTATCTGGTGAGACCTGTGTTGGTCTTACAGAACTGTAAAATAATAAATTTGTGTTTTAGAAAAGAAAAGAAATATAGAAGCTATTGCAGAGAAGGCTTTTACTGTGTGACTGGAAGATAGCCAGGGCTCAGACGAGGGGTTTTGCTGAGTTGTTACAAAACAGAGAGCAAAAATGACCATCAAAAGTGTTGTAGCAGATTGTATTTTCCAAAGATGGCTACAACAATATCTCCCATCCCACATGCTCTTCTGCAGTGAGAACTTGCCACTTCTCCATCAAGGGGCCCCTCCCCTTGAATATGGGGTGGCCATAGTGACTTGCTTGTAACCAATGGAATGTAATGAAAGTGATGCTGCATGATATCTGAGGCTATGTCAGAAAAGACCAGGCAGTTTCTACCTGCTTCCCTTGAAATACTAATTCTGTACATGCCACTTCTCAGGACACTGCCTCTTGGAAGTGAGGCTCTATGCTGTAAGGAACTCCAAGCCACACAGAGAGACAACATGTAGGTACCCTGGTCAACAGTCCCAACCGAGCCCAGCCTTGAAGTCATCCCAGTCCAGGTGCCAGATGGGTGAATGAAGAAGCCTTCAGATAATTCCAGCTCCCAGTCATTTGAGCCACCTCCAGCTAAATCTGAATCTGTGTGTCCCCCAAATTATAGCACATAGACAAGCCATCCTTTCTGGGCCCTGTCTAAATTTCTAGTCCACAGAATCTGTGAGCATTAAATGGTTGTTGTTTTATGCTATTGAGTTTGAGGTGTGTATTAGTGTATTAGTCGGGATGCTCCAAAGAAACAGAATAGGATATGTGTGTGTGTGTGTATGTGTGTGGTTTTGCTTCATAATTAAGGAGGCTGAGAAGTCCCGTAATCTTCTGTCTGCAAGTTGGGGATGCAGGAAAGCTGGTGGTGTAGTTTAAAGGCCTGAGAGCTGGAGAGCTGATGGGGTAGATTCCGGTTTGAGTCTGAAGGTCTGTGAACCAGGAGGGCAGAAGAAGACTGATGTCTTAGTTCAAGCAGTCAGGCAGAGTAGCTTGAATCCAATCTCCCTCCACATTTTTGTTCTGTTCAAGTCCTCAACAGGTTGGATGATGCCTACCCACACTGGGGAGGGCCATCTGCTTGACTCGGTCCACCAATTCAAATGCTCATCTCATCCAGGAACGCTCTCACAGAAACACCCAGAAATAACATTTCACCAGCTACCTGGGCATCCTGTGGTCCAGTCAAGTTGAAACATGAAACAAACTATTGCAGGGTGTTTTGTTACACGATAATAGATAACTAGAATACGTGTGAAAGAAGAAAAAACAGAATTTAGTAACACCCACAGGGAGGCATGAGAGTGAAGAGGCAAAGATCATTCCTGAGTCTCTTGCTTGAGGGCTAAGGGAATGGTGGTCCTCATTACTCATGACATGCAGATTGCCAGCGATAGTGAAGAATCAGGGAAGGACAGAAACGTGATCATCACTTATCCCTCAGAAGCAGCATCAAAATGAGGGATCCCTTCTGTTTTGATAAAAATCTCCCTGCTGCCATTCTCAGTACCGTGAGGAACACCACAGAAATTCTCAAAAGTATTAAAGTTTCAATTCATTGCAGTAAGGATGACCCTGAGTAAGGATTGACCAGCGCACAAGAATTATTGTCAGTTGGATAGAGTATAGACCTGCATATTGAAGTGCCAGTAAGGAATGCATTCTAACATATTGAATTCTTATGAAAACTGTTAAATAATGAAAACTACCACTGATGCTTGTTGCAGGCCTTTTCAAATAAATTATGACTGTTCAATAAATATAAAACTGAAAAAATTATGAGATTGAAGAATTATGTCCAGAATCGAGCCATCTTCAGAAGATACAACAAAAATGCTTTAATAGCCTCTTAGCATTCCACAAACATAACTATACTAAGAAATCAAGCTGTGATGCAGATTAAAATAGGAGAGCCTTTAGCTGAACTACAGATTCATCAAATTGGTACCCATAACCTTGGCTAGAGGACAAATTAAGGAAAAAGTAGACTACAGGTAATTGAGGTTTAACAAAAGATTCATTGAAAAGAACCTCATGAAAAGCAGACTTTTTTCTTTTTTAATTAGTAAAGATCCCAATAGGTGGCCACACCTATGTTCTTTAGAATCCTCTGGAATCTGCATTACCATTCCTTAGAACTGTGTCATTTAAGAGCACCATTAAAATCATTTGGCCAAAGCCAGTGGCACAAATTTAACTTTCATTCTTAACTACTCAGCTGTGCTACATTAACTACTTGAATCTCTTTAAACCTCTCTTCTCTGTTACATTCTGACATTAGTTGTGTTTTTTCTTATCTGTTTGACTCTCCTGTGTCTTTGCTAATTTTTCTCCTCCGTTAATGATAGTTGGCTTCTAAGCCCCATCCTGTGGTTTCTGTTCTTTTCATTTTGGGCTTCGTACCTTCAGGAAGCTTATCCACGCATACGATGTCAGTACTCCTTCAAGAACTACTTACTGATTCTTACATCGGTAGCTGCCAGTTCTTTCTCCTATCCCACTTTTCACTTCTGTCCCTCCACTGAGCTGTTTTTCCCAGTTTAAAAAATGAAAACACATTATATAAAGTGGCTGGAAGGATTTTTAAGTGGAAATGGTCATCAAACCATTTTATTTTAATCTAATTAATTCGCTTTGCGAATCCTGTTTGCAGTAGTAAGCATTCAAGTAAAAACCCAGTCAGCCATTCTGAATTATTCTGATCCAAATTATGAGGTTTTTAAAAACAAAGATAAAGTCAATGTTAGATAACATGGTATTGTTTTGTAGACTTTGGGGGAGAAAAATGGGAATTCTCTCTCCCCATTAGCAAGAGAAGGTTGGAGTAGATCACTGCTTGTTAAACTGGGCCAAATGAGCACTAGGGGTTTTCTGACCTCCCTTCGAGGGTGCCAGTGGAATGTGAGGGAGAGGGCACACAAAAAAAGAGAAAACCCCTCAACTTTTGCCCCGTCACAAGTGTCAACTCGAACAACTCCACTTTCAGCTGTTTTTGCTATTGTAAGATTTTGTTTGCAGAAAGATTTGAGTCTGATTTTTTTTTTTTTTAAACTTGCAAACAAGTTGATCTCTTAGACGTTCTCTTACTTTCTGTGATTCTGTCAAGTCACTGGAAAGAGGATATAGGATCAGGACTATAAACAAAATAGTTTAAATAAATCTTCATAATATACCTTCATGCATTCGACAAGTTCAGACAGCAAGTGCAAAGGGAACGTTATTGTATTGTATTGTGCAACTCTGCTGAGGCTCTTGATTTGCAAAGGCTTCACTACAATTCTTTTTTTTTTTTCTTGAGACGGAGTCTCGCCCTGTTGCCCAGGCTGGAGTGCAATGGCGTGATCTCAGCTCACTGTAACCTCTGCCTCCTGGGTTCAAGTGATTCTCCTGCCTCAGCCTCCCGAGTAGCTGGGATTACAGGCACGCGCCACCATGCCTGGCTAATTTTTTTCTATTTTTAGTAGAGACGGGGTTTCAACATGTTGGCCAGGCTGGTCTCGAACTCCTGACCTCTTGATCTGCCTGCCTCGACCTCTCAAAGTGTTGGGATTACAGGCGTGAGCCACTGCACCTGGCCACTTCAGTACAATTCTTTAGGCAAAATAAAAGGTGCTCACATTTCATAATCTCCTGTGCCACTTAAGGTAACTTTGGGCTTTGAATAGCTAGACCTCAAAGACTTAACAATCAATGTAGCAGATGCTGCTGGTACTCACCTATCTTTTTGTCCTCACCATTCCTGCATATGACCATATATATATATGTCTGGTGCTGGTGTCTTTGTGCTGAGTGTCTTTTTCTCTAAAAGGCTCACTGGGTCTGGACCCAGACCCATGAGGAAGGGGTACTGGCTGCCTGGGTGTCTCTGGGAAGGGAACATAATGAGACTGGTTCTTGCCATAAACACCTGTGACTCTGCCTGAGGGCTTTCTCTGACCATAGGAGCATGCTTAGTCACTGCACAAAGAAGACTGGAGGTGCTAGGGAGTTAATGTCTCCAGGACTACTTCTCCAGTAATGAAGGACAGGAGCTGGTGGATAAATACCCTAGCTTCATCATCCTGAGGCATGTTCTACAGAGTCACTCAGAGGCCCCCAGCAGGGTTAAACCCTAATTGCCCATAGCAGTAACTTCATAACCCACTCTGTATTGCCTTCCTTCCTTTCCTTGTCTCTCCTACTGGTTATTCTTGGTATCACCTCCAAAATAAACTACTCCCCAATAAGCTACATCCCAAATAAGCTGCTTGGAAAAGAAAGGGAAAATGGCAGATAGGAGGCAGGACTAGATTGCAGCTCCCACTCAGACAGTCAGAGCAGCATGTGGAGACTCGCATTGTGAACTTTTGCTCCAGACCTACTGCAGAAATATACAAGGAAAGCTGAGAGAATCCACAGATCCTCTGAAGGAAGTGGATTGTTCCTGCAGGATCTGGGAGACAGCTCAAATACTGTGAGTGCTAAAGCTGTGAAAGTGGGAAAGGGGGATTGTCCGCCTCCGAACACACACCCTCACTGGGGATCCTGAAGGTCTAGATCACAGGAGAAGGATTCAACCTTAACTTAAGCTGTGTCAATTTAGAAAGCTGAGTGAAATACAGGGGTAGAGGAAGCAGCAGGAAAAGCCCTGTGGGCTTTCTGGGTCCCCAGGGAACCTATTTCTGACTTGTCTCACAGGGGTCCTTGGGAAGGGCTGCCAGAGGTACTGGGAAAAGACCACAGGGAGAAGGAAACCTCCAGCTGAACTTTGTAACAATTCCAACTGATCGCAAAGTCTCCTGGCCAGAACTTGGGGGAGGGCTTGAATCCAGTGTGCAGACTTGACAGGCAGGGAGGCACAAAAGCCCTGCTTGCTTTCTCAGCTGGGAGGCTGGTAGCCTGGGGCAAGTTCTCAGACCTGCTCGCCCACTGCCTGGAAACCAAATAAACTACTTGCGTTCACATCCTTTTTTCAGGGTCTGCTCCTGGAGGGAATCCCAAGTATCAGTCTGGGTCTAGTCAGGAGACAGAAATCCCACCACTTATTATTATTATTTGAGACAGAGTCTTGCTCTGTCACCCAGGCGGGAGTGCAGTGGCATGATCTCGGCTTATTGCAACTTCCACCTCCTGGGTTCAAGTGATTTCCAGCTAATTTTTGTATTTGTAGTAGAGATGGGATTTCACCATATTGGCCAGGCTGGTCTCAAACTCCTGACCTCAAGTGATTTGCCTGCCTCAGCCTCCCAAAGTGCTAGGATTACAGGCATAAGCCCCTGCACCTGGCCCCCCACCACTTATTTTAACAGAGAATTTACTGTAAAAATTGTTAAGTGTAAAGTAGTCAACTTAGTATTTATATTATTTTTTTGGGGGGCTGCCATAACAAAGTACCACAAACTGGGTGGCTTAAATAGTGAGAAATTTATTGCCTCACATCCTTGGAGGTCAGAAATCTAAGATCAAGGTGTTGGCAGGATTGGTTCTTTCTGAGGGCTATGAGGGAGAATCTGTTCCAGGTCTCTCTCTCTTAGTTTCTGGTAGCTTCAGGCTTTCCTTGGCTTGTAGATGGTCTTCTCCCTGTGTCTTCACATTGCCTTCTCTCTGTATATGTTTGTCCCTGTGCCTCAATTTCCCCTTTTTGTAAGGACACCAGTCAAATTGAATTAGAGCCTATCCTAATGGCCTAATCTTAACTTGATCATCTACAAAGACCCTAATTCCAAGTAAGGTCACATTCACAGGTACTGAGGTCTAGGACCTCAACATCTTTTTAGGGGACACAGTTCAACCCAAAAAATACTTAAAGAGGCAAAAAGAAAATTCTAACATATCATGTAGGTAGCAACTTTAGGAAACAGCTACCGTCCCTATGGCCGAGGAAACAAAGGGAGGAAGTTGAAATCATTAAAACTTAAAGGCCAGGAGGAGGGACTAC
Source organism: Homo sapiens (assembly GCF_000001405.40). NCBI lineage: Eukaryota > Metazoa > Chordata > Mammalia > Primates > Hominidae > Homo > Homo sapiens. The sequence goes on from NC_000023.11 coordinate 41,972,605, forward strand.
ATGAGGCTGAGCTGCAGATGCTTGAGGAAGGGACACCAGCCAGTTGGCTGGTGTTGGTGTCTTTGCGCTGAGAGAAGAGGTTTCATGGGGCCTGGACCCAGCCTCCTGAGGAGGGGGTGCTGGCTGGCTGGGTGTCTCTGGGATGGGGGCACGATGAGACTGGTTCTATATGTGTGGGAAAAGCTGCAAACTGGATTCAGCTGCTGCTACAGGTAGGGACTGTCACTGCTGGAATTAGGAAGTGAGGTTGGGGTGACTCTCACAGAAGCAAGAAGCAGATAGAAAATCCCAAATAGAGGAAGTAAACCGGAAGGAGCATGTCTCTTCTTCCTCTTCTAATCTTGTATCTCTCTCTAGCATTCCCTACAGGCAGTGCCTAACAGGGAGCAGTTAGCAAAGCAGAAATGTGGTTTGTATTTATTTGCATCATAAAACAAAGTATAGAAGGCTGGATTTGGAGCTGAGAGAGAATAGCTTAAGAACTGGCACAACAACTTTTGACAATAAGGCAACTCAGAAAAGTTAAGATTTCTATCCCAAGGAAAGTGAAGATCAGGCCTAAGAACATTAACAGGAGTGTTTGATTAATGGCAGTTAATGAGGCAGTATGTGAGTGAGAAAGAAACACCTTATGTAGAGGTGTGGCTATAAAGTAATGTGATTGAATTTTTAACAACACGCTAAAACTTCAGCATACAAATGAGAACCATTCTCTTCAAAGTAGTTTCATGGGAATTTTTTCAACTCATTCTTTCAATATGGCCATGGTTCAAAGAACCTTTGAAACTCCTACTTTGAGAGCCTGTGGCCTGAACTTTTGAATCAGTCTCTGTTGTCACTTGTTTGTCTTTTGAGGGTGAATCAACTTTTTGGAAATAACTTAATGTCATTTCCAAGCTAAACATCGTAAATACAAGTTATATAATTAGGTTTGATTCTACTTTTTTTGGACAGGTTGGGAAGAGGGATTTTGGAGGTGATGTGTTAAAATCAAGGTGTAATTTTTGTCTTAAGATGGTATCTGGCTGGTGGTTTCTGCTGCTATAATTCTTGTCAGTAAAATAATCATGAACACAGAAAAAGATGAAGGCTCATAATAACAAAGAAAATCAAGACTGACATTTTGTCGTTTGCCAACTCTGTAGAATTTCACTTAATTACAAGGGTGATATACTTGTTTGAAAAGTATAATTTGTGATCTGGTACTTTGCCATCAGTTACAGAAAACAAAATCTGCCAATGTTATAAAGGAGGTTATTTCATGCTTCCTTCACTTTCTGTTCTGTGGCTCAGAATCATCAGGCATGACCTACCAGAAAACATGGCAGCCATCCATTTGCTAGTGGGGAGATTTTATGAGACAGCCAGAGCATTCTTTCTTGCATATCTACTTTTATATTAGTATATCTCTTCTTATATTTAGTAGAGACCAAAAATCTTTCAGAAAACAGTTAATAATACCTCATTGCAGTTGAAAAGACCAAAAGAACCCTTACATGTATATAAGGGTTGCACTTTTGATTCAATCTATGTTGTCATTTGTCTTTTGGGGGTGAACTAATTTTTTGGAAACAACTTAATGTCATTATAGTTTTCCATGTTCTTTATTGACTTAGAGCATTACAAAACTAAGCTATAGGGGTGGGAGAAAGTTCCAACTTAGTATATCAGAGTTGCCCAAAATTAATATCTTCTGGGCAGTGAAAATTGGATTGAGAACAGTGAATATCAACATGATTGAACTCTCAGAAGGTGAACTGAGCAATACCCAAAGGAAAATGAGAATAACCAAAGTCTGTCTTTTGTCAAGAACTGGGCCAGGCTAGGTCTCTCTTTATTTTTGGAATGTGCAAATAGAAAAGAGGTACATAGGAACCTATGAAAAAAACTCTGCAAAGCAAGAGAAACACCACAGTGAAGACTCAGGAGAAAAATAGGACTGTGGAAATGATTTACTATTGAAACCAGTAGAAAAGTATATCTTGTAGGTGTGCAGTCTTAAATTAGTTCAGCCATTGTGGAAGACAGTGTGGCAATTCCTCAAAGACCTAAAGACAGAAATACCATTCAACCCAGCAATCCCATTACTGGGTATATACCCAAAGGCATATAAATAATTCTATTGTAAATACACATGTATGCATACATTCATTGCAGCACTATTCACAATAGCAAAGATATGGAATCAGCCTAAATGCCCATCAATGATAGACTGGATAAAGAAAATGTGGTACATAGACACCATGGAATACTATGCAACCATGAAAAAGAACAAGATCATGTCCTTTGCATGGACATGGATGGAGCTGGAGGCCATTATCCTTAGCAAACTAACACAGGAACAGAAAAGCAAATACTGCATGTTCTCACTTATAAATGGAAACTAAGTGAAGAGAACACATGGACACATAGAGGGGAACAACACACGCTGGGACCTATCAGAGGGTAGAGGATAGGAGGAGGGAGAGGATCAGGAAAAACAACCAATGTGTACTAGGCTTAGTACCTGGGTGGCAAAATAATCTGTATAACAATCCCCCATGACACAGGTTTACCTATATAACAAACCTGCATTTGTACCTTTGAACTTAAAATAAAAGTTAAAAAAAGAAAATCATATCTTTAAGGCTAGAAGATGTGACTTCTATAAAGGAGGATCTGAAAGCTTAGGGAAACTAACAGAAATGAAGAAAATTGTAAGAGAATAACAGAAAAACAATTGAGGTAAAGAAAAAAATTTAAAAAAGAAACCATGAGAGAGCTAAAACTTCAATAGCAGAATCAAAAATCCTTTCTGGTGATGGAGAAGAGCAGAATTGACACTAAAAATTGAAGTGGTAATGTAGAAAACAAACACTTTTTTTGCCCTAGAATGTATGGAACAAGTAGAAAAAAGTGAAACAGCATGAGTAAGAACAATTATCAAACCTAAAAATTATAGATATACTAGAGAAAGAGATCAAAATGATTAGAATACAAGCAATAATCAGATATAATTGCAAAAAATGCTCATGAGTAGAAAAAGATCTGATTGTGAAGATTGAAAGAGTCTAGAATCTTCCAGGCATGGAAAATAAAAAGAATTTCCCACGTAGACATATCTTGTATCCTAAAGATTTAAACATATTCTATAAGTGTCTAGATATTTAATTAATTTGCATATAAAAGAAGAAAAAATAAGGCTAACGTCTGTATTTTCCACTAAAGCAAGTGCTAAAAGATTACAAAGCAATGACTAAAATGTTTGGATAGAAAAATATTTGGTTCAAGTAGTCAATTTTCTTTTAGGAATGAAGGCAATAGAAAGACATGAATATCAGGGACTCGGAAAATATTCCATCCATGTTACTTCTTGAAAAATAAGTTGAAGATATATTCCTTCTGTGTAAACATTTACTATACGGATTACTCATATATATACACACACACTTCCTGAAAGTGAAGATAAATTATTAAGATTATATAACTACCAACAAATAATAAAAATTAGAAAATGGCATAACAAGTGAGGGCAAGTTAAGTGGAAGAGCCAGAGGATATCATACTACCATTTTTAACTTGGAAGACTTAGGTACTAGGTTAAAGACTATTCTTTAAAAAAATATTCTCTTTAATATAAACAAAGTTTATATTTTCTAAATGACCAAATGAGGTAAGTACAATGTGTAGAATATATGTGGCTTTAAAGGAACAATGAGAACATGAAAAATGTCATAAAAGCAACAAAACATCAGTTATAACAAATATAAATTGCTAAAACTTCTTATTAAAATACAAATACTCTGTGATTAGATTGTAATATAAAATATACCTATATATTGCAAAATAGCATACAAAAAGACACTAAATCTTAAAAAGAAAAAGACGGACAAAAATTTATCTTTTTCGCAAATGCAAGCAAAAGGAAAGCAGAGGTGGCAATATTAATTTCAGGTGAAGTGGAATTCAAGACAAAAAGCATTATACAGAGCAAAGATATAATAAACTGTATATGCTAAATTACTTAGTGTCACTATTATAAAGCAGAAGCTGTTAGAAACTCATTGACAAATTCACATAAATCTAATAGCTTTGAGAGACTTTGATACAACCCTATTATTTATAAAAACAAAAGGATGTGTAGAATTTGAATAACATAATTAATAAAGTTAATTTAATAAAAATATTGAACTTAATACCCTGCAGAGAATATATTTTCTTTCTAATTAGCCACACCATAATTACAAAATTGATTTTACTATGTCTTAAAGAAAACTTCAAAAAGCGAAATCATGCAGGCACTGCACCATGAGCTGGGGATAAAATGGTGAACAAGATAGACACAATTCTTGTCCTCATGGAGCTTACAGTGTGGTGAAAGAACATAGATAAGCAAACACTCAATCCACACAGTTATCCCACAATACAGTATAATACCCTATGTTATGAACAAGTCATTTTTGAGAAACTGAAAGAAGCTCAGTATTCCTGGAGCACAGGGTTTGAAGGGCTGACTGGTGAGAGATAAATTAGGAAGAGGTTAGCAGGGGCCCCTACCATACAGGACCTTTACAGGACCTTTTAAGCCCAAGGAATCTGAAATTCATCTTAAATGCAATGGGGATCCATTAAAAGATTTCAAGCAGAAGAGATTTAGAACCAGATTTTCACTTTGGGAAAATTACTGTGGTTGCAATATAGAGAGTGGTTTGAAGAGGAGAAAATTGAGGTATAGTTTGTAGACAATTTTAATAATCTATTTGGAAGTATATCTTCTGAATCCAGGGGGATGGAAAAGGTGGGTGGATTTGGGAGATATATAAGAGGCAGACGTTACAGGACTTTGTAACTGATTAGACGTGGGGAGTGAGGGAGAGAGAAGAGTCACAGATGATGCCAAGCTTTCTGGTTTGTACAACTGAGTGGATGGTAATGCCTTTCACTGAAGAGGGGATTCAGGAGGGGCAGGATTTAAGGAGCACATCACCAATTCTGTTCTGGATACATGCAGGTTGAGAGAATTGTGGGGTTTCCAAGTAGAATACCATCTAGACAATTGGATATATGGGTGTGAAGCTTAGAAGAAAACTCTGGGCTACAGATACAGATTTGGAAACTGTCAGCACGTAGAGATGGTAATCAGAGCTATGGACATCCATGAGAGTGCCCTGGAAATACATAAAGAGTGAAAATAGAAGTTGCTACTTGGTTACATCATAATAGCTGCTGAGGTGCCACAGTTTACCTATCCAAATGAGCAGATTGAAGGAAATAGTAATTTTCATATAGAGAGTGGACACTTATTTGCTAACTACACTAATGCTCTAAATTGTAAGGCTTTTTTTCTGGACAAGTGAGCCAAACCATTCCATCCCTAGAGACAGCCATATCCCTATTTCCTTCAGTGAAGAAAGTCTATTCCATGTAATCGACAGTAGGCTTCATCTTGAAAACCACCAATTTCTTTGAGTTTTAATTCTTGTTTTTCAAGATGAAGTCCACTTTTCCACTTTTTGGTTCACTGCATGGTCCAAGATGATTTTAGGAACCATCGCAAGGACAGTGGAACAGTCTTTCTGTAAAATTACTGAACTATGTCAGTGTATTGTAAAACCATATGAAACAATATTCTTTTAACCCCAGCAAAACTCAAATATGTACCCATCTCGCCATTATTCTAATTTCCCCTACTCATAGAAGAATGCTGAATCCTCCACTGGAAATATTTGGGACAGAAACTCAAATACTGACAAGCTTCAAGGACTTCAAATAGCTATTTCTCATGTGTCAATAGATGCTCAAGGTTGTTGGTCTAGAAAGGAACAGGTACATATATTCTTCAGAAGGAAAGCCAAGATTTTGTTCAATTCATCAGAGCCTACCAGACTAAAGTTGCCAGAATCAAAACACAATTTTGAAGAAGATCCCCTTTGCATTTATTAATTGTCAAATAAGCAGTAAGATTTTTGATTAGAATGTATAAATATTTCATAATCTTTGGGCTTTCATTGAAAAATAATAGCCTTTGGAGGTTGAGAAGGAATTGTGAGTGACTATAGAAAAGCATAGCCCCGCTTTTCTTAACTAATTTGTTTACTGAGAGAAATATGTGGAATAAAGATAAATCTGGATCATTAGGCAAATTGGCCATTTTCCTTTGTTTTTAATGAAAATTCAAATAAAGAAAGTTGGAAAAACAGAACAATGGACACCCATGTACCATGTACCTAGAATCATCAATTATTTACACTTTCTCAAATTGGTTCTCTTTCTCTCTCCCTCTTTCTCTGTATACATAAAAATTTCCCCCAAACCATTTGAAAGTAAATTGTAGCCATTATGACTCTTCACCCCTAAATACTTCAGCACGTATTTCTTAAGAACATGGCCATAATGAGAATACATAATGAGATATCATTTTTACACCAAAGAAATTAATATTGTTATAATAATATCTATTTTGAAATCTGTATTTAAAATATCCCCATTGTCCCTAGTAACAGCTTTTATAGCTATTTTTTAAAAATCCAGGATGCTTTTGAGGACCGCATATTGCACTTAACCATGGTGCCTTTTATTTTCTTTAATCTAGAACAATTTTTGAAGTTATTTTCTGGGAAGGTCGAGGAGGGAACTTTTACGACAATGACATTTTTGAGGAGTCCAGACAAGTTGTTTTGTTGTCTCACAGTTCAAATTTGTCCAAATATTTGCTTATGGTTAGATTCAGTTACACATTTTTTGCAAGAATCGCTAGTGTGTAGTGTTCAGTGCATCACATCGGGATGCATATTGTCTCAGGCTTTCTCATCATTGCACTGAATTTGAACACTTGGCTAAGGTAAGTGTTGAATGGATTTCTCCATTGGACCTTTTCTCCTTTGCGCCTAAAAAGTGTTCTATGGTCAGAGGAGATTGGGCACGTTCAGGTTGGTATGGAGAGGGAGAGTATTAGGACAAATACCTAATGCATGCGGGGCTTAAAACCTAGATGACGTGTTGACAGGTGCAGCAAACCACCATGGCACATGTATACCTATGTAACAAACCTGCACATTCTGCACGTGTATCCCGGAACTTAAAGTAAAAAAAAAAAAAAAGTGGTCTATGGTGAAGAAAGCAAGACTGTGTGTAAATATCTTGTTCTTCAACAAGCTTTTCACCAAAGTTTGAATAAATTATTACAGTGGTGGTTGCAAAATGATAACGTATTAGTCTGTTCTGGCGCTGCTATGAAGAAATACCTGAGACTGGGTAACTTATAAAGAAAAGAGGTTTAATTGGCTCATGGTTCTGCAGACTGTACAGGAAGCATGGTGGCATCTCCTTCTAGGGGAGCTTCAGGGAGCTTTTACTCATGGTGTAAGGTGAAGAAGGAGCAGGGGTCTTACATGGCAGGAGCAGAAGGAACAGAAAAAGGAAGGAGGTAGTAGGTACTTTTAAATAACTAAATCTCATGAGAACTCAGAATTCACCTACTATCAAGAGAACAGCATCAAGAGGGAAATCAGACCCCATGATCCAATCCCCTTCCACCAGGCCCCACCTCCAACACTGGGGAGTATAATTTGACATGACATTTGGGCGGAGACACAGATCCAAACCATATCAGATAGTGTTCTAATTTTTATCATTTTCTTATGGTTGTTAGCTGGCATTCTTCTGAGAAAAAATACTTTGCCTCCCTCCTCTTTTCTAGAGTATCACTGTAGACTTTTGAATATTTATTGTAAAAGTCAACGTGTTATAATGTATTACCATTATTATTTACTTTGATGTTCAAATTGACCCAAAGTTGTCCACTCTGGCCATTTTTGTTTGAGAAGGAATACAGGTAGAAGTCAAGGGAATACAGTTACTCATACAGTAAAGAAGGGGATGATCAAAGATGAAATGCTGGAATATTAGGATACATTCCAATCTCATTATGCCACAGGGCTTAGGAACATCTCTTTCTTTCCTTCTCTGAAAACAACAAAGACTTGCTTCCATACTTCTCAGCTTCTCTAAGGAAGGGTTTTAATATTCCTGCTTACAGAGACTGCTGGCAACTACTTTCCTCCAAGGTAATTTGGTCCTGCCTCTAGGCCTAGTCTTGGCCCATCCATCTAAGATAATACCTTGTCTTATCCTTATTTGCTGCTATGACTGAGCATGGTGTGGTCTAATCTCAAATTCTGTTTTTCTGCCTGCTACAGGGTTGATTTTGCTTCCAAAAAAAAAAAAAAAAAAGAAAGTATCTATACTAGTTAGGATATTGCTACAGCTGTTGTAACAGAGAAACCCAAACTAATAGTGGCTTAAACAAGATGGAAGTTTTTAATTTCCTTTTAATATAAAAATCTAGGTAGACCATTCAAGGATGGTATATTGGCTCCATAATCATCTTGGACTCAAGCACCTTCTATCTTGTTTGTTTCTCCTCTACATTTAATTCATTGCTTCCAACTTATGTCCAAGATGTTTGCTTCAGTTCCCACCGTCATGCCAGCGTTCTAATAAATAGGAATGAGCCAAGTGCAAGGTGAGGGCAGGCCTCTGCTCTATAAGGGCACAACCTGAAAGTTGAACATACTACTTCCATTCACATTCCATTGGCCAGAACTGGATAATTTATTATACCTAGCTGCAAAGGTGGTTGGGTAATGTATTCTGGGTGGTCATGTACCATTGCCATCACTATGAAAGTCAAGGAGAATGGACTTAGGAGGACAACAAGCAGTCTCAGCCACAGCCTCTTGTTTAAATTCTCAGAAATAAATTCTCAGAAAATTTACACAGCGATAATTTTAATCATGCAAAAACCAGTGTCAGTTTTCAACTGAGCCTCACACCCTCCTATACAAACCCATATAGAAGGGATGCAAGAGGGAAAGTGTCAGATGGCATTGGTAGGCTTCTGACATGTTCTGTTTTCTAGCCATAGGGCTGTGTGTATGCCTAAAGCTCACTAGAGTAGTCTACTTGGAAAAATTAGATCAAACACATCTGGGGATAGAAGATCCATTAATATATAATGTTCCAACTTTAGAGATGCTTGATCCTAATTTCTTTAAGATTTTATAGCAGTTTGGGTTTCATAGACAGAAACTGCTGAGTCACAGTGCAAGCAACCCAGACTATCTTGTCATAAATCTTTTTTTTTTTTTTTGTTTTTGGGCTGGAAAAATAAGTCGGTGGGAGCTTAATTAGTATACACTATGTGGAAATGAGTCACGATCAGTTAAAAACATTTTCTTTTTTCCTGGCCACACCTACCTAATATTCAGGCTGATGTAGGCATGAGCATATCACTCCAAGCGAAATGTCTGGGCAGCCACCTCCTTCTATCCCCGATTCCCCAGCTTCCTTATAACAATTAGAAAGACACTTACTTCCCTTTACTCTTTTCTTTCTTTCCAACCTACCACTGCTTTATTGGAAAGCATTAGCATTGGAGTAGGTTGTTGAAACAGTGAAGATAAGTTGTTAGATGGTAGAAATAAAGCCTCATGACAGTTCTCAGGATTGATGGCATTAATAGTAACAAATATCATGTACCCTACTCTTAATTGCCAGCGGCCTTGTTTAGCAATTCATCATCCCTACTCGGAAAGGAACAATTGTGATACTACTAAAAGGCAGCTGGGTGGAGAGAACCTATGTTGTCTTTCAGTAAATGCCTGAGAAGGTCAAGGACTTTACAGATTAAAATTCTTTGTATGAGTTAAGTTCAGTAAAAAACTAACATTGATAAAGATTTTGTTCAACGTATTATTTCCTAGATTAGTGAATTTTAATCAGAAGCAGTAACTATGAAATGAGTCAACTTAAAAAAAGAACTTAGTATGAATATATCAAATTTTCTACATCTAAGGGATGGTTTCCTTCAAAGAAAGATGGAGATCTAGTCAGTGAAATAAATGGTTTAGGTTTAAAAATCTACAATGACCCCTAGACCTTTGCACTCAGGCTGTGTACTTAATGAATGTAGCCCTCAAACTTAGATTTCAGGGACTGTCTTGTGACTAAATATCTAGCTAAATTAACAACAACCTGAGTAAGTCTGTGACGACCTAGTGAGCCAGCCTAAAAAGAAAGAAAACTCAGAGTCTGGTTCCAACAACACAAGGCAGGTATGTGCCAGATCCAACTGCACTTCTGTGCTGTTCTAATTTCTGGTTGGACATGTGATCATTACAGGGAGAGAACTCTGTTTTGTCAGGAACATGGAAGTAGAAAACGTGGACATGTATTCATGCAATTGTCCTTTCATCTAACATTTATTGAGCTCCTACTGGGAGTCAGACATTGTGTTAGGCTGTGGGGATAGATCAAAACCCTTTTCAGTCCAGCCAGAGGAAACAGACATATAATCACATACATCACGTGATAAATGTTGGGTCAGTGCTTCTTAAATGTTAATATGCATAAGAATCACCTGGAGAGCTTGAGGAAACACATGTCCAGATGGAAGCACATGCAGGACATGGTAGGTACATGAAGAGGCAGCCATCTGTTTTATCTGAAGGCAGTGCTTGAAGGGAGTCTCAAAAAATAAAATATGTAGATATTCATCAGGCAAAAAAGGGGAAGTGGAGAGAATTCAGAAACACAATTTGCTATGTTCAGGGCACAATGTGTGACAGATAAGAATGTAGAGATAGGTGTGGATTACATCATGGGTCTTAAGTGCCATGCTGAGGAGTTGAAATTTTATCCTGTGCACAATGGAGAGCCAGTGATAGTTTTAAGCAAGGGAATAAGCCAGCAGGTATTTAGTGAAAAATATTCCCATGAGAGGAAACAACAAGGGTTAAGACCTTGAAGTTGAAGTATCCTTGGCCTGTTCATGGACAAGCAAGGAGGCCAGTGTAGGTGGAATACAACGAGTAAGGAAGGCAATACTAGGTGATGAGGTTAGAGAAGTTATCAAGGGGCCAGATCATGTAGGGCCATAGGGATCATGGCAAGAACACTGGATTTTATTTTAAGCCTTTTGAGCATGGGTATGATATGATATGATATGACTTAGATCTGAAAGTATCATTCTGGCTACCATATGCACTGTAAAAGGGCAATACTGGAGGCAAGAGAGCAGTTAGGAGACCACCGTAGGAGTCTAGGGAAGAGTTGATGGTGGCTTGGACAAGGGGGTTTTTGACAAATTCATATATCCACACATCCACCACTAAAGTCACGGCATAAAACAGTTTCATATTCTAAACATTGCCTCATACTGCCTCTTTGTAGTCACACTAGTCCCTCAAGCCCAATAGCTGGTAACCACTGATGTGTTTTCTGCCCCTATGGTTTTGTCTTTTCCAGAATTTTACATAAATGGAATCATATGGTTTGTAGACTTTTGTGTCTGGCTTCTTTCTCTAAGCAAAATGCATTTGACATTCATCTATGATGTATGAATCAAAGTTTATTTATTTTATTAATAACTGCTGGGTAGAATTCCACTATATAGATGTACCTCAGTTTGTTTTTCTATTCACCAACTGAAGGACATTTGGGTTGCTTCCAGTTTTTGGTGATTATGAATAAAGTGTCTATAAATATTTGTGCACAGGCTTTTGTATGAACATAAGTTTTCTTTTTTGGCAAATGTCTGGGAATATGATTGGTATATGTGGTAAGTGCATGTTCAACTTTATAGAAACTGCCAAACTGCTTTCCATAGCAGCTGTATCATTTTGCATTCCTGCCAGCAATGCAAGAGAGTTCCAGTTGCTCTGTAACCTTGTCAGTATTTAATATTGTTGGTACTTTTTACTTTAGTCATTCTCTTAGGTATGAAGTGGTATCTCATTGTGATTTTAATTTGTATTTTCCTAACAACTAATGATGTTGAGCAAAGTAGAGCCAGATTTACTGATGTGATGGATGTGGAATGCGAAAGACAGTGAGGAGTTAAGGATGATTTCAAGGACTTTGGCCTGAGCGAAATAATAGTGAAAGAGGTGGATAGAATTTAGAAACAGGGTTAAATGTGACATGATCTCAGTGGTTCTGGAAAAACTCGGAAATAGTCATTAGGAAAGAGAAAATGGGTGTTGTTATTGGGCAAAGGAAAAGTGATAGCATACTTCTATCCCACATGCCCATCAGGAACTGTGAATAAGATTTATTCAGAGCAAATAGAACTGAAGATGATTAAAGAACTTTTATGGGTGGTGTGTGGGTGGAAAATGAAAGGTGTTACCCTCAAGGAAAGACATGTCAGTCTGGGAAAAGCAGGCTCCTGTTAACATCGCAGGGATGTGATTCACTATGAAAACCTGAAACCGGTTTTATAGCCTGCGTGGGTGGTGGCTGGGGCACAGTTGTTTTAACTGACACAGAGTAGGCAGAAGGTGACCGATTGGATAATGGAACCTGGTACCTAAGTATAATGGACCATGGCGTCATCTTGAATAAGCAAATCTAAGGAAACGGTTACACTGGCCCATACCAAGCAGAATCACAGGAAAACTGACAAAGCAAGGAGGCCTGGCAGAAATATTATGCCCTGGTTTCTTTCTGGCTTCTCAGAGGGACCCAGGCTAATTATTCATGGTTGGATTGTCAGTCATCTCTGGTTCAGATATTGGTGATGGTCATTTAAGAAACAATAAAAGAGAGATTATCTGGAATCTTCTGACTCTGGTGCCATGGTGACAGGTTCCACTAAAAGAAGACACAGAGAGATTTTCTCACCATGTTTCTGGGATGCTTCGTTGCCCAATTTCTAATTCTACTTTGGCTTTTCCCTCCATTCAGCTTTCCACCTTTATTTTTACTTATTGTTTTACCAATGAAAATAGCTTTTAAAACATTTTTGCTTTTCAAAAAATCCAAACTATTTAGAAAAACATGTATGGAAGAAAACAAAAGTTTTCTGAAATCTCACCACCCCAGGATCCTCACCATTAATGTTTTGGGAGACTATCCTTTCATGTTGATGCATGCATATTTACATGGGTACTTTTACTTAAAAGAGAAAATATGATACACACTATCTTTTAAATTGTGGACAATTTTTTTTGAACAGGATTTTTCTTTTTAAAAAATTTAAATTTTTTTATTCTTAATTTTTGTGGGTACATAGTAGGTGTATATATTTATGGGGGTACATGAGATGTTTTGATACAGACATGCATTGAAAAAATGAATTTTGTTTAATTTTTTATTGATACTTCAACCTCCCACTGACACCTCCACTAACCTGTATAAATGACTTGGTATTTATTTTCCCAGACCTTTTCTCAAGATCATAGAATTTCACACACACACACACACACACACACACACACACACACACACAGAGTTAAGAATCATTTAACAGAAACAGGATCTAGGTATGTAAGCACTATACTTCAATACAATGAAAGCCATATATCACAAGCCCACAGCTAACATCATACTCCATGGTAAAACGTTGAAAGCCTTTCCACTAAAAGCAAGAACAAGACAAGGATGCTCACTTTTGCCACTTCTATTCAACATAGTATTTGAAGTCCTAGCCAGAACAATTAGGCAAGGAAAATAAATAAAAGGCATCCAAATTGAAAAGTAAGAAGTTAAATTGTCTCTCTCTGCAGACAACATGATGTTATATAGAAAACCCTAAAGACTCCACTACAAATTGTTAGAACTGACAAATGAATTCAGTAAAGTTGCAGGGTATAAAATCAACATACAAAAATCAGCAGCATTTCTATACACTAACAACAAATTGAGAAAGGAATCAAGAAAACAATCCATTTACAGTAGTATCAAAAAATACTTAGGAATACATTTAACCATGGAGGTGAAAGATCTGTACACTGAAAACTATAAAATGTAGAAAGAAATTGAAGGAGACACAAAAAAATGGAAAGATACCTCATGTTCATGGATTAGAAGAATTAATATTGTTAAAATGTCCATACTACCCAAAGTGGTCTACAGATCCCATGCAATTCCTATCAAAATTCCAATGACATTTTTCACAGAAATAGAAAAAACAATCCTAAAATTTGTATGGAACCACAAAAGACCATGAATAGCCATAGCAATCTTGAGCTAAAAGAACAAAGCTGGAGGCGGCCGAGCACAGTGGCTCACACCTGTAATCTCAGCACTTTGGGAGGCTGAGGCGGGCGGATCACGAGGTCAGGGGTTCGAGACCAGCCTGACCAACATGGTGAAACCCCGTCTCTACTAAAAATACAAAAATTAGCCGGGTGTAGTGGCGTGAGCCTGTAATCCCAGCTACTCAGGAGGCTGAGGCAGAAGAATCGCTTGAACCCGGGAGGTGGAGGTTACAGTGAGCCGAGATCGCACCACTGCACTCCAGCTTGGGTGACAGAGTAAGACTCCGTCTCTAAAACAAACAAACAAACAAACAAAAAGAGCGCAGGCAACAAAAGCATGAATAAACAAGTGAGACTGTTTCAAACTAAAAAGCTGCACAGCAAAGGAAACAGTCAACAGAGTAAAGAGACAACCTATGGAATGGGAGAAAATCTTTGCAAGCCATACATCTGATAAGGGGTTAATATGCAAAATATGTAATGAGCTCAACTCAATATAAGAAAATATATAGCCTGATTAAAAAAATGAACAAAGGGCCTGAATAGACATTTCTGAAGAGAAGACATACAAGTGGCCAACAGATACATAAAAATACGCTCAATATCACTAATCATCAGGGAAACACAAATTAAAGCCACAGTGAGGTATTAGTGCATACCTATTAGAATGGCTATTATCAAAAAGATGAAAGATAACAAGTGTTGGTGAGGATGTGGAGAAAAGAGAACTCTTGTACACCGTTGGTGGAATTTAAATTAGTACAGCAATTATGAAACCAATATACGGAGGCTCTTCAAAAAATTAAAAATAGAACTACAATATGATCCAGTAATCCCACCACTGGGTATATATCCAAAGGAAATGAAATCAGTATATCAAAAACATATCTGCCCTCCTGTATTCATTGCAGCCTTATTCACAATAGCTTAGCTATGGAAACAACCTAAGTTCCATCAACAAATGAATGAATAAAGAAAATGCAGTATTCTATACAATGAAATACTATTCGGCTCTAAAAAATCTGTAATTCATAACAACATGGATGAACCTGGAGGAAATTATGCTAAGTGAAATAAGCTAGACACAGAAGGGCAAATACTGCACGATCTCACTTACATGTGGAAACAACAAAGGTGGAACCCATAGAAACAAAGAGTAAAACAGTAGTTACAAGAGGCTGGGGGAGTGGAGTAGGGAAATGTTGGTCAAAGGGTACAAAGTTTCAGTTAGAATGAATAAGTTCTGGAGATCTACTGTGATCTATTGTGCAGCATGATGACTATTATAGTTAATAATAATGTATTACATATTTGAAAATTGCTAATAGTAAATTTTAAATGTTCTTACCACAAAAATGGTATGTGAGGTGATGAATATGTTAATTAGCTTGATTTACTCATCCCACAATGTATACATATATCAAAATATCACATCGTATATCATAAATATATGATTTTTACTCATCAATTTAAAAATCAATTAATTAAAATGGAAAAACCCAAATCCCAGAATCTTTGTGATGTATCTTCCTTTTCTCATTGTACATTGCTTTTTTTTTTTGCCTCATTCTTTTCTATATCTGCCTAATATTCCATTCTCCAATTAGTTTACATTACTTTATTTTCATGGGTTTTTTTTGGGACTACTAACATTGCTGCAATAAACATCTTTGGATATATTCCATATACATGGGAGATTTGTTTTTCAATTGGTGTTTTTATTTCTATGCATTAGAGTTCAAGGAGTAGGATTTCTGAGTTGAAAAGTATATGTAATTACAGTTTTAATAAATATTGCCAAATTACTTTCTAAAAAATTATTCATGATATCTTCTTCTTATATTTTTAGTGTCTTTTGGATCTGTAATGATGTCCTCTTTTTCATTCCCCATATTGGTAATTGATAATTTTGTTCTCTTTATTTCTTGATCAGTTTTGCTAGGAGTTTATTGGTTATATTCATCTTTTTAGGAAATATTTTTTGGCTGTGGTAATTTTCTTTTTTGCACAATTGTTTTTTATATTATGGTGCTCTATTCTCATCTTTATTATTTATTTCCTTCTTCTTTCTTTGGGTTTGATTTGCTGCTTTTTTCTTAGCTTTCTGTAGTGGATATTTAGATGACTTATTTATTATTCAGCCTTGTTCATTTTCTAATTTATGCATTTATGGTTACATGTTTCTCTCTAAGCACTGAATTCTATAAGCTTTTGATATGTTGTATCTTCATTACCATATGGTTCATATATTTTCTAATATCCCTTGCAATTTCTTCTTTGTCCCATGGATTATTCAGAAGCATGCTGATTAATTCTAACACATTTGGGGATTTTATTTCCAGTTTAATTCACCTGTTTAGGTAATTCAATTTGTGTCTGATTTTAACCATTTGAAATTTGTTGAGACTTGACTAATGGCTCTACCTTATGTTCTATTTTGGCAAAAGTTCCATATTCACTTGAAAAGAATGTTTATTCTGCAGTTTATTGCAATGTTCTATATATGTCTATTAGGGAAAGTTTTTAGTCCTGTTGTTCAATTCTTCTACATTCTTAATGATACCATTAGTTACTAAAAAGAGGTGTATTAAAATTTCTAAATATTATTTCTGATTTCCCTATAATTTTCTTCTAAGTTTTGCCAATTTTGCTATACATATTTTAAGCTTTTTTATTAGTCACATACAAATCTAGGATTGTTATAGCTTCCTGTTGAATTGAACGCTTTATTGTTATAAAATATCATTCTTTATCTCAAATAATATTTCTTGCTTTAAATAATATTCTATCTAATATTATAGTTGTACCAGTTTTCCTTTGGTTAGTATTTTTCCTTCCTTTTAGTTTCTTACTTTCTGTGTCATTATATATAAAGTGGTCTCTTGTAAGCAGTGTATAGTTGATTTAAAAATTCCAGTCTGATAAATTTGTCTTTTATTTTCTATTTTACTTTTTTTGGTTATTATTTTTAATTGATACATAATGATTGTATACATTTTGGAGATACAGTGTGATATTTCAATACAAGTATATAATATGTGATGAGCAAATCAGGGTAATTAGGATAGCCATTACCTCAAACATTTATCTTTTCTTTATGTTGGGAACATTCAAAAACCTCTCTTCCAGCTATTTGGAAATATGCAATAAATTATTAACTATAGTCACCCTACCAAACTATCAAAAACTAGCTCATGTTTCTTCTAATTGCATTTTTTGTACCTATTAATCAACCTCTTTTCATCCTCCCTCTCCCCTACCTTTCCCAGTCTCTGGTAACCACTAATCTACTCTGTAGCTTCATGAGATCCACTTTTTTAGCTTTCACATATGAATGAGAAGATGCAGTATCTGTCTTTCTGTGCCTAGCTTATCTCACCTAACACAATGTTCTCCAGACTCATCCATATTGACATGAATAACAGAATTTCATTCTTTTCTATAACTGAATAATGTTCCATTGTGTATATATACCACATTTTCTTTATTCACTCATCTATTGATGGATACTTCAGTTGATTACATATGTTGAATTGTGAATAGTGCTGCAATAAACATGGGAGTGCATATATCTATTGGACATAGGGACTTCCTTTCCTTATGATATATACCCAGCAGTGGGATTGCTGGATCATATGGTAGTTCTATAGTTAGTTTTCTGAAGAATTTTTATATTGTTTTCCATAATGGTTGTACTAGTTTACATTCCTACCAACAGTGTACAAGAGTTCCCTTTTTCCACATCCTCACCAGCATTTTTTTTTGTCTTTTTTATAATAACCATTTTAACTGGAGTGAGATGATATCTCATTATGGTTTTTATTTGCATTTCCCTAATGATTAGTGATGCTGACCATTTTTCTTTTTTTTTACATTTATTCTGGCCATTTAGGCACCGAGAACATACACTGGGTAAAGAACAGTTTTCAATATATGGTGCTGGGAAAACTGGATAAACACATGCAAAGGAATAAAATTAGAACTCTTTCCCTCACCATATACAAAAATCAACCCCAGATGGTTTAAAGACTTAAATGGAAGACCTGAAACTCTGAAGCTACTAGAAGAAAACCTAGGGGAAATGCTTCAGAACATTGGTGGGAAAAGATTTTATGGATAAGACCTCAAAAGCACAGGCAACAAAAGCAAAAATAGACAAATAGAATATATCAAATTGAAAAGCTTCTGCATAGCAAAAGAAACAATCAACAGATTGAAGAGACAACCTACATAATGGGAGGGACTATTTTCAAACTATCCATCTGACAAGGGGTTTATAACTAAAGTGTATAAGGAACTGAAACAACTCAATTGCAAAAAAAAAAAATCTGATTTAAAACTGAGTAAAAGATGTGAATAAACATTTTTCAAAAGAAGACATACAAATGGCCAACAGGTACATGAAAAAATGCTCATTGCTACTAATCATCAGGGAAATGCAAATCAAAACTACAATAAGATATCATCTCACCCCAGTTAAAAGAACTTTTATCAAAAAGACAAAAAATAATGGATGCTGGTAAGAATGCAGATTAACGTGCAGAACCCTTGTACACTGTTGGTAGGAATGTAAATTAGTGCAGCCACTATGGAAAACAGCAATGAGGTTAATCAAAAACCTAAAAATAGAACTACTATATGATCCAGCAATCTCACTGCTAGGTGTATATCTAAAAAAAAAAAGGAATTAATATATCAAAGAAATATCTGCATTCCTATGTTTATTGCAGCACTATTCATAATAGTCAAGATGTGGAATCAACCTTGGTGTTCATAAACAGATGAATGAATAAAGAAAATGTGGTATAGAGACACAATGGAATATTATTCAGCCATAAAAAAGAATGAAATTCTATCCTTTGTGGAGACATAAATGAACCGGGAATACATTAGCGAAATAATCCAGGCACAGAAAGGCAAATATCACATGTTCTCACTCATATGTGGGAGCTAAATAAGTGGATCTCATTGAGATAGGGAGTAGATTGGTGGTTACCAGAGGCTGGGAAGGGTAGGGAAAGGGGAGGATGAAGAGAGGTTGATTAGCAGGTATAAAAATACAGTTAGATAAAGGAATAAAATCTAGAGTTTGATAGTTCCGTAGGGCAACTATAGCTAACAATCATTTATTGTATATTTCAAAATAGCTAGAAGAATTAGAATGTTCCCAACACAAAGATAAATGTTTGAGGTGATGTATATCCTAATTACATTGATTTGATCATTACATATTGTATGCATTATCAAAATATCACATGTACCCCCAAATATGTACAACTGTTATGCATCAATAAAAACAAAACAAAACAATCTGATTTAAAAGTGAGCAAATGATTTGAAAAGACATTCTCAAAAGAAGATAATCGATTGATAACTGTGTTTTGAGAATTTAGTTCATTCAGATTTAATGTAATTAATGATAGAGTTGATTTTGTCTATTTTACTTATATATTTGTCTAATCTGTTCTTGTTTCCTTTTTCTTCCTTTATTGACTTCTCATACACTATTGAAGTATTTCTTATTATTTCATCTTCTGTTAGCTTATTAGTTATATAGTTTACAACTTTATTTTAGTACTTCCACTTCCAGTATGATAGTGTGACAAGCTCTGTCACACTGTGCTGGTCCAGTGGCCCTATGGACACACAACAAATGACTAAACATATATTTAAGAAAATCTTCTAAAACTTGGTAAGAATTGCAAGAGTCTTTGGTATTTGAACCAATATCTGTGCTATCCTTCCCCTTCCCACTTTGGTGAGCTGGAAGCTCCACTCCAGACTGGTAAACCAAGAACACAAGGTTCCCTCTCCCCAGCTCCCAGAAAAAAGGCTAGCTTCCAAGGAGAGGCAGAATGTTAACATTTCTCATCCTGCTCCTAGCTACCTGTTGCTGAGACTAAGTTTCACATGAGTGGGGCTGAGAGATGGGGCCCCCTTCTGCCCAGCACTACTTGTGAGATGAAGGCTCTACCTTGGGCATGGTGCTGCTTAGAATATTGGGGTCCAGATTGCCCTTGCACCCAGCCCATAGGGCAGGGGCTCAATGCTGAAAGGTGTAAGCTGATGCTCTCTCCTCCCCCATCCATTGAGTGCTCAGCTTCTAAAGCAGTGGTGTCACTGGGAAAGAAGCATGTTCTCTCTGTACTCAGTGCTAGAACCTTGGCTCAAAGGTTTGAGCTGGGAAGAGAAAGCAGACTGTAGAACATAGAGCTACAAATCTCTACTCCCAAAAACTAATTTTATTTGCAACACACCTGGAGCAATTCAAGCCTAAGAAGCTCACAGAAACAGTGGAAATGGTAGTGAAAGGCAACTGCAAAAAGATTGATTGATTTATTAGACATATAGGCCATATTGCTAGAGAGAAACAGGAGAGACAGCTGGGGAGACCTCCTGGGGTCAGAACAAATTTCAAACCCTGACCTCAGGAACTATCTCTTCAAAGGAGCTAGAATTGCAATTAATGGAGCTTAAAAATGGGGTGTGGTCAGAGAATGAGATAGTCAAAGAGAGCTGTGGAAAACCACTGTCATCCTAGAGTGACTCTGGGCATATCCAAGGCTGTATCCCTGAGGAGCAACATCAGAGACTTCACACTACAGGGGAGAAGGGAATAGAGTTCCTTAAAACAAGCCATTCACTAAACTAGTAAACAAGCAAATAACAATGACCAGGCCCAGACAGGGAGGATAAGTACCCAGAATTGCTACAATATATTATTTAAAATGTTTGATTTTCAACAAAAATTATGAGATATGCAGAGAAACAAGAAAGTATAGTCCCTACACCAGAAAAAAAAAGCAGGCAGCTGAAGTGTTTGTGTAAAGTGACCAGATGTCAGAATTAACAAAGATTTCAAAATAGCCATTACAAATATGTTTAAAAAACTAAGGGAAACCATTATTAGACAAGTAAAATAATGTATAATGACAATGTCACATCAAGTAGAGAAAATGATAAAGAGAAATTTTAAAAAATGGAAACTCTGGAATTGAAAAGTACAGTAATTTAAATGAAAAATTTACTAGAGGTGCTCTTAATGTATTAGTATTGGCAGGAGAAAGAATCAGCAAACTGAAAGACAGATTGAAAAAGATTATGCAATCTAAGCAACCGAGAAAAAAGAATGACGATAAACAGAGTCTTAGAGAAATGTGGGGCACTGTTAAGCATGCTG
Organism: Homo sapiens; assembly: GCF_000001405.40. Lineage (NCBI taxonomy): Eukaryota > Metazoa > Chordata > Mammalia > Primates > Hominidae > Homo > Homo sapiens. The sequence continues at coordinate 41,993,806 of NC_000023.11, forward strand.
CCAGTGAATGAATTAAATAATCCAATAAAAAAGGCAGTGATTTTCAGACTGGGTAGGAAAACAATATCCAACCATATGCTGTCTATAGGAGAAACACTTTGGATGCAAATATACAAAGAAATCAAAAGTAAAGGTATGGAAAAAGATATATTATGCAAACAACAACCACAAGAAAGCTGGAGTGACTGTACTAATATGAGAAAAAATAGACCCTAAGAGAAAGAATATTACTAGAGATAAATAGGGACATTTTGTAATAGTGAAAGGGTCAACCATCAGGAAGATGTAAGAATGATAAACATATGTATATCTAATGGCAGAACACCAGAATACATAAAGTAGGAACTGACAGAAATAAAGGAAAAAAACAAACAAACTGGCAATTCTACAGTAATAATGACTTCAATACTCCACTTTGAAGAATGGAAAGAACAACCAGGAAGAAAATGAGCAAGCAAATAGAAGAATTGAAAAACACCACAAACCATCTAGACCTAACAAACATCTCTGCATCTAACACAAGAGAATAAACGTTCTTCTCAAGAGTAGATGGAGCATTCTCCAGGATAGACCATATGTTACATACATTAACTGAATACATTTAAAGTGACAGAAAAATACAAAGTATGTTTTCCAACCATAATGGAACAAAATTAGAAATCAGTAACAGAAAGAAATTTTGGAAACTCACAAATGTGGAAATTAGTATATACTCCTAAATAACCAATAGATCAAAGAAGAAATAAAAAATGAAATTAGAAATACTTTGAGATGAATAAAAATGAAGACACAAGATGCTAAAATGTATAGGATGCAGCTAAAGCAGTGCTAGTGGGAAATTTATACCTGTAAATGCCTATATTAAAAAAGAAGAAAATGTCAAATCAATAACCTAACCTTCCACCTCAAGAAACTCGAAAAAGCAGAGCAAAGTAAAGCTAAAGGTAGCAGAAGGCAGGAAATAATAAACATTAGAAAGGAAATTAATGATACAGAGACTAAAATGATATAGAGACTACATAACAGAGAAAATGATTTTTTACAAGGGTACAAAGACCATTTAATGGGAAAGAAGACTGTTTTCAACAAATGATGCTGGAACAACTGGTTGAAAAACAATATAGTTGGACCTTTGTCTTCACACCATGTAAAATAATTACCTCAAAATGGATCAAAGACCTTAATGTGACAGCTTAAGCTATAAAATTCTTAGAAGAAAACATAGGAGTAAATCTGCAAAAGTACAAAAAAAAAGTAGGTAAGTTGGATTTTATCAGAATAAAAAACTGCTATGCCTCAAAGGTCACTATCAAGAGAAAGCATAAATATCTCATAGAATGGAAGAAAATATCCACAAATTATATATCTGATAAAGGATTTGTTTCTAGGAAGTATAGTAATCTCCCCCTCTTACCTGCAGGGGATATATTTCAAGACCCTCAGTGGATGCCTGAAACCACAGATAGTACTGAATTCTATAGGTACTATGTTATTTTTAAAATCTGGTAACTGAGGTGGCTACTAAGTGATGTTGGCTAGTATATACAGCATTGATATGCTGGATAAAGGGATGCTTCACATTCTGGGTGGGATGGAGGACGATTTCATGCAACTCAGAATGGAGCGCAACTTAAAATGTAGATTATGTCTGGAATTTTCCATTTAATATTTTTGAACTGCAGTTAACCATGGGTAACTGAAACTGTGGAAAGTGAAACTGCAAATAAAGGGGGGAACTAGTGTATAAAGAACAATTATAATTCAATAATAAGAAAACAAATCGCATGATTAAAAATGGGCAAAGAATCTAAATAGATATTTCTCCAAAGAAGATATATAAATGGCTAATAAGCACATGAAGAAATGCTCAACCTCATTGCTTGTCAGGGAAATGCAAATCAAAACCACATGGTGAGATACCTCTTCATACCCACTATATGACTATAATTAAAAAGTAAGATAATAACATGTGTTAGTGAGGGTGCAGAGAATTTGGAATTCTCATACGCTGCTTGTGGGAATGTAAAATGGTGCCACCACTTTGGACAACAGTCTGACAGTTTCCCAAATGGTTAAACATAGAGTTAACCTATGATTCAGGAATTCTACTCCTAGGTATATACACACAGGAAATGGAAACATATGTCAACGCAAAAACATATTCATGAGCAACATTATTTATAATAGCCAAAGGGTGGAAACTACTCATTTTTTTCAACCAAACACAGGATTAAAAAATGTGATATATTCTTAGACTGGAATATTATTTAGCCATAAAAGAGAATGAAGTACTGGTATATGCTGCAATATGGATAAACCTTGAAAATATTATGCTAAGTGAAACAGACCAGTCACTAAAGATGTATGATTCCATTTATATGAAACATCACGGATAGACAAATCTGCTTAGAGCTGACTGGGATGGGGAGATTGGGCAATAGCTAAAGAGTACAGGGTTTTGGTTCTTTTTTTGAGGTGACAAAAATGCTCAAAATTGAATGTAGTGATGGCTGCCCATATCTCTGAATATACAAAAAGCCATTGAACTGTGCACTTTACGTGCATGAATTGCATGGTATGTGAACTATATCTTAATGAAGCTGGTATAAAATTTTTAATTTAGTGCCCGTTCTACAGATTATAACATGCATAATCAACATATTACTGTTTAGTTTAAATGAATGCTTTTATCATTTCTTGAGCAACCTAATAACTTCATAACCTTTTTTTGAGACAGGGTCTCACTCTGTCGCCCAGGCTGTATTGCAGTGGTGTGATCACAGCTCACTGCACTTTTGACCTCCTGGGCTTAAGTGGTCCTCCCACCTCAGCCTCCTGAGTAGTTAGGACTACAAGTGTACACCACCATGCCTGGCTAATTTTGGTAGATAGAGTCTCGCTATATTGCCCAGGCTGGTCTCAAACTCCTGGACTCAAGCAATCCATCTGCCTCAGCCTCTCAAAGTGCTGGGATTACAGGTGTGAGCCATTGCACCCGGTTCTTTATAACTCAACTCCATTTGTTCTTCTTCACATTTTTGTGTTACTGACATCAATATTTACTTCTTCATATATTTAAAATTTTATGAGGATATATTAAAGTTATCATTTTAAACCCTAAGGAAAGTATACATTTAGATTTAGTCACATATTCTTCCCAGTGCTTTTAATTTCTTCTTGAATTATTCTATCTGAGATTATTCTCCTTCCATCTGAAAAACTCTGTTTAGTATTTCTTTTGGTGGAGTTTTGCTGGAATTGTCTTATTTTTATTTGTTAGAACATTTAGTTTTTGAAATAGTTTCACTGAGTGTAGAATTCTGTGTCGGCACTTTTCTCTTAAATCATTTAAAGATGTCATTCCATTGTCTTCCGGATTCTACAGTTTCTTTGCAAAAGACAGTTGTTGGTGTTATTACTGTTTTGATGGTTATATGTCATTTTTCCCCTCTGGAATCTTTAAATGTCTTCTATTTGTGTTGAGTTTTTAGGAAGCTTATTATAAAGTATCCTGTTAGGAGTCTATAGAGATTCTTGAATTGATATTTTTATTATTAATTTTTTTTTTAGTTTTGGGAAATCTTGGCCAGTGTTTCTTTAATCATTGTTTTTGTTTCCTCTCTCTTCCTGGGACTCAATTACACATCTTAGATCCTTCAATTTTGTCCCATATGTTTATTTTCTGCATTTTACATCTCTTTATTTTCTCTCAATTATGGATATTTTCTATTGATCTATTTTTCAGTTTGCCAGTTCTCTCTTCTACTACCAAATTCATCTATTGAATTCTTCGTTTCAATAAATGTGTTTTTCAGTTCTTGAGTTATGTCTATCTATATATATATATAATTTCTTGAATTATATATAATGAAGTTCTTGAATTATATGTATATAATTTCAGTTTTCTGGTGAGATTTTTCATCCTTTGCTTTCTTAAACGTATTGTTCATAATTATTTTAAGTTCCATGTCTGATAACACCAACACTTAAATCACCAATTTTTATTGTCTGGTTTATCTCTCGATTTTCAGGCATCTATTCATGTTTCTTGATGTGTCAAGAAATTCTTATTAATTGGATGCAGGACACTGTGCATGAAAAATTGCGGCTGCTTCAACTGATGTTAGCTCACAGGCACACAGCATTGGAAGAGCGCCTTGATTCAAATGATGGCAGGTGTTAGCCTTTGTCATGGCTGGTCTATTTCCAGTTTGTTGTTACTGGCAGAATATTACCTTTACACTTAGGGATTTTCCCTTCTGGAGTCCCAACTTAAACCCTTGTATGCTTAAAAGGACCATTACACTTTGCTGAGCTTGAACTTCATTCGCTGATTCTCTAGAGCTATTAGACTGCTGAAGTCCTTTAATAACTCTTTAGCCTCCCAGATGTGGCTTTCGTCTTGGTTTCCGGGACTCTCACTTAAGCATGCACACAACTTAGGAATTAGAAAACATCTCAAGGTGAGGTTGATTCTAGAATTTTTTTAGTTTACTTCCCTCCTCTTATTTGAGACACTGGTCCCCTGGGCAACACAAAACTAACTCTTTTCTCTGCAGCCCAAAGAGATTTCCACAAGCCCCTGACCACTGATTTCTGCTAGGCTCCAACTTTCAGTGCAGTGAACTTGCAAATGTCCTAAAGGAAAAGTCACAGGTGAATGTGGGGCTCACCTCAATGTACCTCCCGATTCTAACATTTTGACCCTTGAAGTTTTGCCTGCCTTATTGTCCAATAATGTTAAACAGATACTTGATGTATCCAACAACTTTTATAATGGTTGTTGGCAGGAAGATTATTCCCAGAAATATTGTTCCTTTGTGGCTGGAAGTTGAAGTTCTTTGCATTGTGTTTTGTAATATTTTTCCCTTTTGATCTTTCATACCATCCATATGAGTCTCAAAAGTGTTCATTTTCTCTTTCATTTCATCCACTGATTTTCTTAAAAGTGAAAAAAAATCATGTTTATTGGCCTCAGAAACTCTTATTTTGAACGGTTTGACCCTCATTCGGTGGTTTTTTTTTCCTTTATGATGTCCTTTAGGAAATCTGTTTTAGTACTGCAGCTCCTCCTGGGCAAGTTGTTTGCTACACTTTCAGAATGAAAGACCAGATCCTCGCAATCTCTCTGGCATCGAGGACTCACCTCCAGATTTAGCTCCCTGACAGCTCCTCTCTGGACCACTCCCAGTGGCTTTCACTACCCTACCTCTGGGTGGGGTGAGTTCTGAGATTTTTAGGGAGCAAACGTATCTCTAGGAATTGAGAAGCTCTGGTTCTCAATCCTAGAGTTTCTTGCCACAGGAATTTCCTAGACTCTAGTTCAGTCTGGAGGGAAGCAAAATTGTGTGAAAGTTCCTTCCTCAGAACTCCGAGATGTCTGACCAGGCCTTCCTCACACTTTTCAGCCCTCACCTGCTCTCTGGGCCCTGTGGCTGCCCCTGTGCACATTGGATTGGCGATGTGAGGCATTGGGCAGCAGGGATGAATGTTTCTGTTGACATCTTTCTAGAATCCTTTTTAACCCTCTTTCCACCTCTGAGTGTAGGGGGTTCCCACAGAAAATTAGGTCAAGGCCATTGGTGCATAGAAAGCCATGTGAGCTGAGAGTCTGAACAGTATTGAACATTGCTTAGGTTAAGGCATTCAAAAATCAATCTCATCATTAGCAAACAACTGAAAATATACTTAAAAAATGAAAATTTGGCTTAAAACTGAATATTTGGACACTAGCGAACATGTTTTAATTTGGCTCTGGGTCTCTATGAAAGAAGAGTACATTTCATTAAAATTAGAAATGCATCAATATCAATTCCAGCACTTTCCAAACTGGCTTTAACTGGGAGGCTAATAAGGGTGCCAAATAAGTTTGGTTAACTCTTAAACAATGTTAAATAGGTTTTGGTTTTGCCACTTGACTTTTTTTTTTTTTTTTTGAGATGGTGTTTCGCTCTTGTCACCCAGGCTGGAGTGCAATGGCGTGATCTTGGCTCACCATAACCTCCGCCTCCTGGGTTCAAGCGATTCTCCTGGCTTAGCCTCCCAAGTAGCTGGAACTATGGGTGTGCACCACCAAGCCCAGCTAATTTTTTGTATTTTTAGTAGAGATGGAGTTTCACCATGTTGGTCAGGCTGGTCTCGAACTCCCAACCTTAGGTGATTCACCTGCCTTGGCCTCCCAAAGTGCTGGGATTACAGGCATGACTCATCGTGCCTGGCATGCTAATGGACTTTTTAATGTTGTCCTTATCCTAATGTGTATTGTAAATCTCCAAGAAGAACAAATCAGTGGTCACAGATATCCTGTGTATAGCTGTTTGGGGAAATGCTGCTCTATTCCAGTGACTTGTGAAATAACAGATCATTCTGTCAGTCATCAGTAACATTCCCACTTGGCTGAGTTATTGTGTTTTAGTTTGGATTCCCCAAAAAGCTGATCTTATGAGTAGTCTGAGTGAAGAACATGGGAGGTAATGTTGGGAAGCACTGCTAGGGACATAGGGAAGTTAGACAAGGAAGGAAAATTAGCCAATACATAGTCTATTAATGTGGGTAATTGGGTTCTATCCTGCTGGGGACCTCTAGGAGAGGGTACAGTACATCCTACTTGAGAGGTGAAGAAGCAGAGGAATTGATTAACCAGCTTTCATGCTTCTGCGTCTGAGGGTTGTGTGTAGAGAACAGAGAGTTACAAGGGGATATGGGTTGAGTGTCAATAGTGTCTGCCACATATCGTAAATAATATCGCAAAAGCTCATGCATTTACATTGTATATTTTCTGCCTTTTTCCCTTTATTCCTGGTACTGCTGCTTCTTGAAATCCTAACCAACTTTACATTCTATGTCAAATACTATGTCTTCTCTTGTGTAATTTCCTGCTATTGCATTATAGGTATTCATAAGTAAATTCTCTCTCTCCTACCAAGACACTTGTAGAGAGATAGATGTATTTCATTCATTTTTCTAGACTTGTAGCACAGTGGCCTGTGCCGGACAGGAGCCCAATTAATGTGTGTTGACTGAAGGTCTTCAAATTCTAGAATAGAAACAGTGTTAGCACAGTATGAATTAAAGCATGAAGAATTCACTTGCGACTTCTACAAGCAAGTGGATGGGTTGAACCACTTATTTTTGGAATGGTAATTCTTATTTGTTGGATAAAGTTTGTATCTGGACAGCCAAACATTTAAATAAATGCCAGGAGGGTCTTGGAAGTTTCATCATTCCATCTGGACTGCAAGACACGTATATGGGTACGTCTGTTCTGAAAGCATGCTTAGAAGTAGTTAAGTATATCCTTGGGAATTTTCTGACTTTATTCAGACAGATGTTTTTTCTAACTAGTATTGGCCTTTGTTTAGACAAATCTAAAAGTCAGGATAGTTCCATTTTGCTTTTTTAAAATAGAATAAACAGTGTTTCTTCTGCATTCATAATGAATGTTTATAGTCATTTATATATATTAAATGCTATTAATCAAGAGAAGTAAATGAGTTAAGCTATTGCCCTAAGTAAGTAAAAAATGGGAACATAATTGGAAATGGCCTCCCCTTTCCTATTTTTGTACTGTTCTACTTAATATTTAGCAGATGGAGTATGAATAGAAATGCTTAAGTTGGAATGCTTTATGGGGTTATAAACTGTTGTTAATTAGTTGTGAAATAATTTTAATTACTTAAAAATTCCATTATGACAGTGCTTCAAATATGTGCCACATATTGGCATCCTATTACAGATCATCATTTTGTAAATCCAAACTGGAGTGCAGTGGTGAGATCACAGGTCACTGCATCCTTGACCTCCTGGGCTTAAGTGATCCTCCCACCTCAGCCTCCCAAGTAGCTGAGACCATAGGCATGCGCCACCACATCCAGCTTTCTTTTAATTTTTTTGTAGAGACAAGGTCTTTCCATGTTGCACAGGCTGGTCTCAAACTCCTAGCCTCAAGCAATCCTCTTGCCTTGGCCTTCCAAAGTGCTGGGATTACAGGAGTGAGACACTGCCCCCAGCCCGTAAATCATTTTACTTACACTTATATTGATGGAAGGAAAATAAGGTGAATCTATTTGATATATTTATAGAGAAGAGATTTGACAGGATAAAGAAAAATAGTTTACCTCAAATTGGGCTATAAAAATACTGAAGCCTTTGGGATTTTATCAGCCATTCAAAGCAATTTCTTTAAAAAAATGGAAAAAGTAATGTGAAAGAAAGAGGAAGATCAATTGGATCTAGCCCTCTTCTTCTAAGCTCCTCTTTTTACTCTATTCTTCATTTTATCTATTTGTAGTTTCACTCCTAGCCTAGAGGAAGAAGGTATCAGTCATGACTACCAAAAGTAGCCTATTTTATTTTTTTCCAGCTTTATTAAGATATAATTGACAAATAAAAATTGTATACATTCAGGTGCACAAAGTGATATTTTGATATATGTATACATTGTGAAATGATTATCACAGTCAAGCTAATTAACATATTAATCACTTCACACAGTTACCTTTTTTTGTGATGAGAATACTTAACCACAAATTTCAAGCAAACAATACAGGATTATTAACTATTGTCACCATGCTGTACATTAGATATCCAAAACTTATTCGTTTTATAAGTGAAAGTTTGTACCCTTTGACCAACATCTCTCCTTTTCCCCCACTCTCTGACCCCTGGTAATGACTCTCCTACTCTCTTTCTATAAGTTCAACTTTTAAAATTTGTGTGTATAAGTGAGATCATGCACTGTTTGCCTTTCTGTGCCTGGCTTATCTCACTTAGCAGAATGTCCTCCAGGTTCATCCATGTTGTCACAAATAGCAAGATTTCCTTCTTTTTAAGGTTGATAAAGTATTCTCTTTTTAATAGCTCTGGGAAGATTTTCTGAGGAAGGATGATGTTATATATAAGGCACTGGGGAGTAGAGAGAAATTCATCTCTTAGTTCATTCAATCATTCAAATATTTGTTGAAAGAACAAATGAAAGATTAAGAAGGCAGTTTTCAACTTTAAGGTATTTATTATCTAGTATGAGACAAAACATATGTAGTCAAATTATAAATTTATAAATATTATAAATTATAGACTGTGTAAGTACTCAAAGAAAGGTTAAAAATGTTAAAAAAAAAAAAGAAAAAAAGAAAAAAAAAAGGCTGGGCACGGTGCCTCCCACCTGTAATCCCAGCACTTTGGGAGGTCGAGGCAGGCAGATCACGAGGTCAAGAGATCAAGACCATCCTGGCCAATATGGCAAAACCCTGTCTCTACTGAAAATACAAAAATTAGCTGGGCATGGTGGCATGAGCCTGTAATACCAGCTACTCGGGAAGCTGAGGTAGGAGAATCGTTTGAACCCCGGTGGTGGAGGTTGCAGCGAGCTGAGATCGTGCCACTGCACTCCAGCCTGGACTGCTGAGTGAGACTCCATCTCAAAAAAAAATGTTAAAAAAATATAAAAGAGGGAGACTTTTAGCTAAGTATATACTTACAGTTTGGGTTAATGGTGGTGGAGTCTGGGAAGACTTCTTTAAAGAGGTAGCATTTGTAGAAAACCCGAAAGTCTTGACTGAAAGGCTCCTAGAGCTGATAAACAACTTCAGTAAAGTTTCAGAATGCAAAATCAATGTACAAAAATCAGCATCATTTCTTTACACCAATACTGTTCAGGTTGAGAGCCAAATCAAGAATGCAATCTCACACTAGCCACAGACAGACACAAAGTACTTAGGAATACATCTAACCAAGGAGGTGAAAGATCTCTACAAGGAGAACTACAAAACACTGGTGAAAGAAATCATAGATGACATAAACAAATGGAAAAAACATTCCATGCTCATGGATTGGATGAATCAATGTTATTAAAATGGCAATGCTGCCCAAAACAATTTGCAGATTCAACACTATTTCTGTCAAACTAGCAATGTCATTTTTCACAGAATTAGCAAAAAACAGTTCTAAAATTCATATGGAACCAAAAAAGAGCCCGAATAGCTGGAGCAATCCTAAGCAAAAAGAACAAAGCCAGAGGTATCACATTACCCAACTTCAAACTATTCCACAAGGCTACAGTAACAAAAACAGAATGGTACTGGTACAAAAACAGACACACAGACCAATGGAACAGAATAGAGAATACAGAAATAAAGCCACACACCTATAACCATCTGATCTTTGTCAAAGGTGACAATAACAAGCAATGAGGAATGGACTCCCTATTCAATAAATGGTGCTGGGATAACTGGCTAGCCATAAGCAGAAGGTTGAAACTGGACCCCTTCCTTTCACCATATGTAAAAATTAACTCAAGATGGATTAAAGACTTTAATGTAAGACCTCAAACTATAAAAATCCTAGAAGAAAACCTAGGAAATACTATTCTGGACATCAGCCTTGGCAAAGAATTTATGGCTAAGTCCCCAAAAGCAATTGCAAAAACAACAAAAATTGACAAGTGGGATCTAATTAAACGGAAGGGCTTTTGCACAGTAAAAGAAACTAACGGTCGGGGAAGGAGCCAAGATGGCCGAATAGGAACAGCTCCGGTCTACAGCTCCCTGTGTGAGTGACGCAGAAGACGGGTGATTTCTGCATTTCCATCTGAGATACCGGGTTCATCTCACTAGGGAGCCAGACAGTGGGCGCAGGTCAGTGGGTGCACGCACCGTGTGCGAGCTGAAGCAGGGCGAGGCATTGCCTCACTCGGGAAGTGCAAGGGGTCAGGGAGTTCCCTTTCCTAGTCAAAGAAAGGGGTGACGGATGGCACCTGGAAAATCGGGTCACTCCCACCCCAATACTGTGCTTTTCCGACAGGCTTAAAAAACGGCACACCACGAGATTATATCCCGCACCTGGCTCGGAGGGTCCTACGCCCATGGAGTCTCGCTGATTGCTAGCACAGCAGTCTGAGATCAAACTGCAAAGCGGCAGCAAGGCTGGGGGAGGGATGCCTGCCATTGCCCAGGCTTGCTTAGGTAAACAAAGCAGCCGGGAAGCTCGAACTAGGTGGAGCCCACCACAGCTCAAGGAGGCCTGCCTGCCTCTGTAGGCTCCACCTTTGGGGGCAGGGCACAGACGAACAAAAAGACAGCAGTAACCTCTGCAGACTTAAATGTCCCTGTCTGACAGCTTTGAAGAGAGCAGTGGTTCTCCCAGTACACAGCTGGAGATCTGAGAAAGGGCAGACTGCCTCCTCATGTGGGTCCCTGACCCCTGACCCGTGAGCAGCCTAACTGGGAGGCACCTCCCAGCAGGGGCAGACTGACACCTCACACGGCTGGGTACTCCAACAGACCTGCAGCTGAGGGTCCTGTCTGTTAGAAGGAAAACTAACAAACAGAAAGGACATCCACACCAAAAACCCATATGTACATCACCATCATCAAAGACCAAAAGTAGATAAAACCACAAAGATGGGGAAAAAACAGCAGAAAAACTGGAAACTCTAAAAAGCAGAGCACCTCTCCTCCTACAAAGGAACGCAGTTCCTCATCAGCAATGGAACAAAGCTGGACGGAGAATGATTTTGACGAGCTGAGAGAAGAAGGCTTCAGATGATCAAATTACTCCGAGCTACGGGAGGACATGCAAACCAAAGGCAAAGAAGTTGAAAACTTTGAAAAAAATTTAGAAGAATGTATAACTAGAATAACCAATACAGAGAAGTGCTTAAAGGAGCTGATGGAGCTGAAAGCCAAGGCTCGAGAACTACACGAAGAATGCAGAAGCTTCAGGAGTCGATGCGATCAACTGGAAGAAAGGGTATCAGCGATGGAAGATGAAATGAATGAAATGAAGTGAGAAGGGAAGTTTAGAGAAAAAAGAATAAAAAGAAACGAGCAAAGCCTCCAAGAAATATGGGACTATGTGAAAAGACCAAATCTATGTCTGATTGGTGTACCTGAAAGTGATAGGGAGAATGGAACCAAGTTGAAAAACACTCTGCAGGATATTATCCAGGAGAACTTCCCCAATCTAGCAAGGCAGGCCAACATTCAGATTCAGGAAATACAGAGAACGCCACAAAGATACTCCTCGAGAAGAGCAACTCCAAGACACATAATTGTCAGATTCACCAAAGTTGAAATGAAGGAAAAAATGTTAAGGGCAGCCAGAGAGAAAGGTAGGGTTACCCTCAAAGGGAAGCCCATCAGACTAGCAGCAGATCTCTCGGCAGAAACTCTACAAGCCAGAAGAGAGTGGGGGCCAATATTCAACATTCTTAAAGGAAAGAATTTTCAACCCAGAATTTCATATCCAGCCAAACTAAGCTTCATAAGTGAAGGAGAAATAAAATCCTTTACAGACAAGCAAATGCTGAGAGATTTTGTTGCCACCAGGCCTGCCCTAAAAGAGCTCCTGAAGGAAGCGCTAAACATGGAAAGGAACAACCGGTACCAGGTGCTGCAAAATCATGCCAAAATGTAAAGACCATCGAGACTAGGAAGAAACTGCATCAACTAACGAGCAAAATAACCAGCTAACATCATAATGACAGGATCAAATTCACACGTAACAATATTAACTTTAAATGTAAATGGACTAAATGCTCCAATTAAAAGACACAGACTGGCAAATTGGATAAAGAGTCAAGACCCATCAGTGTGCTGTATTCAGTAAACCCATCTCACGTGCAGAGACACACATAGGCTCAAAATAAAAGGATGGAGGAAGATCTACCAAGCAAATGGAAAACAAAAAAAGGCAGGGGTTGCAATCCCAGTCTCTGATAAAACAGACTTTAAACCAACAAAGATCAAAAGAGACAAAGAAGGCCATTACATAATGGTAAAGGGATCAATTCAACAAGAAGAGCTAACTATCCTAAATATATATGCACCCAATACAGGAGCACCCAGATTCATAAAGCAAGTCCTGAGTGACCTACAAAGAGACTTAGACTCCCACACATTAATAATGGGAGACTTTAACACCCCACTGTCAACATTAGACAGATCAATGAAACAGTAAGTCAACAAGGATACTCAGGAATTGAACGCAGCTCTGCACCAAGCAGACATAATAGACATCTACAGAACTCTCCACTCCAAGTCAACAGAATATACATTTTTTTCAGCACCACACCACACCTATTCCAGAATTGACCACATACTTGGAAGTAAAGCTCTCCTTAGCAAATGTAAAAGAACAGAAATTATAACAAACTATCTCTCAGACCACAGTGCAATCAAACTAGAACTCAGGATTAAGAATCTCACTCAAAACCGCTCAACTACATGGAAACTGAACAACCTGCTCCTGAATGACTACTGGGTACATAACGAAATGAAGGCAGAAATAAAGATGTTCTTTGAAACCAACAAGAACAAAGACACAACATACCAGAATCTCTGGGACACATTCAAAGCAGTGTGTAGAGGGAAATTTATAGCACTAAATGCCCACAAGAGAAAGCAGGAAAGATCCAAAATTGACACCCTAACATCCCAATTAAAATAGCTAGAAAAGCAAGAGCAAACACATTCAAAAGCTAGCAGAAGGCAAGAAATAACTAAAATCAGAGCAGAACTGAAGGAAATAGAGACATAAAAAACCCTTCAACAAATTAACGAATCCAGGAGCTCGTTTTTTGAAAGGATCAACAAAATTGATAGACTGCTAGGAAGACTAATAAAGAAAAAAAGAGAGAAGAATCACATAGATGCAATAAAAAATGATAAAGGGGATATCACCACTGATCCCACAGAAATACAAACTATCATCAGAGAATACTACAAACACCTCTACGCAAATAAACTAGAAAATCTAGAAGAAATGGATAAATTCCTCGACACATACACTCACCCAAGACTAAACCAGGAAGAAGTTGAATCTCTGAACAGACCAATAACAGGATCTGAAATTGTGGCAATAATCAATAGCTTACCAACCAAAAAGAGTCCAGGACCAGATGGATTCACAGCCGAATTCTACCAGAGGTACAAGGAGGAACTGGTACCATTCCTTCTGAAACTATTCCAATCAATAGAAAAAGAGGGAATCCTCCCTAACTCATTTTATGAGGCCAGCATCATCCTGATACCAAAGCCTGGAAGAGACACAACAAAAAAAGAGAATTTTAGACCAATATCCTTGATGAACGTTGATGCAAAAATCCTCAATAAAATACTGGCAAACCGAATCCAGCAGCACATCAAAAAGCTTATCCACCAAGATCAAGTGGGATTCATCCCTGGTATGCAAGGCTGGTTCAATATATGCAAATCAATAAATGTAATTGAGCATATAAACAGAACCAAAGACAAAAACCACATGATTATCTCAATAGATGCAGAAAAGGCCTTTGACAAAATTCAACAACACTTCATGCTAAAAACTCTCAATAAATTAGGTATTGATGGGACGTATCTCAAAATAATAAGAGCTATCTGTGACAAACCCACAGCCAATATCATACTGAATGGGAAAAAACTGGAAGCATTCCCTTTGAAAACTGGCACAAGACAGGGATGCCCTCTCTCACCACTCCTATTCAACATAGTGTTGGAAGTTCTGGCCAGGGCAATTAGGCAGGAGAAGGAAATAAAGGGTATTCAATTAGGAAAAGAGGAAGTCAAATTGTCCCTGTTTGCAGACGACATGATTGTATACCTAGAAAACCCCATTGTCTTAGCCCAAAATCTCCTTAAGCTGATAAGCAACTTCAGCAAATTCTCAGGATACAAAATCAATGTACAAAAATCACAAGCATTCTTATATACCAACAACAGACAAACAGAGAGCCAAATCATGAGTGAACTCCCATTCACAATTGCTTCAAAGAGAATAAAATACCTAGGAATCCAACTTACAAGGGATGTGAAGGACCTCTTCAAGGAGAACTACAAATCACTGCTCAATGAAATAAAAGAGGATACAAACAAATAGAAGAACATTCCATGCTCGTGGGTAAGAAGAATCAATATCGTGAAAATGGCCATACTGCCCAAGGTAATTTACAGATTCAATGCCATCCCCATCAAACTACCAATGACTTTCTTCACAGAATTGGAAAAAACTACTTTAAAGTTCATATGGAACCAAAAAAGAGCCCGCATCACCAAGTCAATCCTAAGTCAAAAGAACAAAGCTGGAGGCATCGCTCTACCTGACTTCAAACTATACTACAAGGCTACAGTAACGAAAACAGCATGGTACTGTTACCAAAACAGAGATATAGATCAATGGAACAGAACAGAGCCCTCAGAAATAACACCGCATATCTACAACTATCTGATCTTTGATAAACCTGAGAAAAACAAGCAATGGGGAAAGGATTCCCTATTTAATAAATGGTGCTGGGAAAACTGGCTAGCCATATGTAGAAAGCTGAAACTGGATCCCTTCCTTACACCTTATACAAAAATCAATTCAAGATGGATTAAAGACTTAAACGTTAGACCTAAAACCATAAAAATCCTAGAAGAAAACCTAGGCAATACCATTCAGGACATAGGCATGGGCAAGTACTTCATGTCTAAAACACCAAAAGCAATGGCAACCAAAGCCAAAATTGACAAATGGGATCTAATTAAACTAAAGAGCTTCTGCACAGCAAAAGAAACTACCATCAGAGTGAACAGGCAACCTACCAAATGGGAGAAAATTTTCACAACCTACTCATCTGACAAAGGGCTAATATCCAGAATCTACAATGAACTCAAACAAATTTACAAGAAAAAAAACAAACAACCCCATCAAAAAGTGGGCAAAGGACATGAACAGACACTTCTCAAAAGAAGACATTTATGCAGCCAAAAAACACATGAAAAAATGCTCACCATCACTGGTCATCAGAGAAATGCAAATCAGAACCACAATGAGATACCATCTCACACCAGTTAGAATGGCAATCTTTAAAAAGTCAGGAAACAACAGGTGCTGGAGAGGATGTGGAGAAATAGGGACACTTTTACACTGTTGGTGGGACTGTAAACTAGTTCAACCATTGTGGAAGTCAGTGTGGCGATTCCTCAGGGATCTAGAACTAGAAATACCATTTGACCCAGCCATCCCATTACTGGGTATATACCCAAAGAACTATAAATCATGCTGCTATAAAGACACATGCACACATATGTTTATTGCGGCATTATTCACAATAGCAAAGACTTGGAACCAACCCAAATGTCCATCCGTGATAGACTGGATTAAGAAAATGTGGCACATATACACCATGGAATGCTATGCAGCCATAAAAAATGATGAGTTCATGTCCTTTGTAGGGACATGGATGAAATTGGAAATCATCATTCTCAGTAAACTATTGCAAGAACAAAAAACCAAACACCGCATATTCTCATTCATTGGTGGGAATTGAACAATGAGAACACATGGACACAGGAAGGGGAACATCACACTCTGGGGACTGTTGTGGGGTGGGGGGAGGGGGAAGGGATAGCATTGGGAGATATACCTAATGCTAGATGACGAGTTAGTGGGTGCAGCGCACCAGCATGGCACATATATACATATGTAACTAACCTGCACATTGTGCACATGTACCCTAAATCTTAAAGTATAATAATAAAATAAAAATAAAATAAAATAAAAAAAGAAACTAACAACAGAGTAAACAGACAACCTACAGAATGGGAGCAAATATTCACAAACTGTGCATCCAACAAAGGTCTAATATTCAGAATCTATAAGGAACTTAAAAAATTCAGCAAGCAAAAAGGAAATAACCTATTAAAAAATGGGCAAAGGGCATGAACAGACACTTTTTTTTGTCTTTTTTTTATTATACTTTAAGTTCTAGGGTACATGTGCACAATGTGCAGGTTTGTTACATCTGTATACATGTGCCATGTTGGTGTGCTGCACCCATTAACTCGTCATTTACATTAGGTATATCTCCTAATGCTATCCCTCCCCCCTCCCCTCACCCCACGACAGGCCCTGGTGTGTGATGTTCCCCTTCCTGTGTCCAAGTGTTCTCATTGTTCAATTCCCACCTATGAGTGAGAACATGCAGTGTTTGGTTTTTTGTCCTTGAGATAGTTTGCTGAGAATGATGGTTTCCAACTTCATCCGTGTCCCTACAAAGGACATGAACTCATCCCTTTTTTATGGCTGCATAGTATTCCATGGTGTATATGTGCCACATTTTCTTAATCCAGTCTATCATTGATGGACATTTGGGTTGGTTCCAAGTCTTTGCTATTGTGAATAGTGCTGCAATAAACATACGTGTGCATGTGTCTTTATAGCAGCATGATTTATAATCCTTTGGGTATATACCCAGTAATAGGATGGCTGGGTCAAATGGTATTTCTAGGTCTAGATCCTTGAGGAATCGCCACACTGTCTTCCACAATGGTTGAACTAGTTTATAGTCCCACCAACAGTGTAAAAGTGTTCCTATTTCTCCACATCCTCTCCAGCACCTGTTGTTTCCTGACTTTTTAAAGATTGCCATTCTAACTGGTGTGAGATGGTATCTCATTGTAGTTTTGATTTGCATTTCTCTGATGGCCAGTGACGGTGAGCATTTTTTCATGTGTCTTTTGGCTGCATAAATGTCTTCTTTTGAGAAGTGGAACAGACACTTCTTAAAAGAAGATATATAAGTAGCCAACAAACATGAAAAAATCTCAACATCACTAATCATCAGAGCAATGCAAATAAACACCACAAGGAGATATATCTCACACCAGTCAGAATGGCTATTATTAAAAAGTAAAAAACAACAACAACAGATGTTAGTGAGGTTGCAGAGAAAAAGAAATGTTTATACACTGTTGGTGGGAATGTAAATTAATTAAACCACTGTAGAAAGCAGTCTGGAGATTTCTCAAAAACTTAAAGCAAAACTACCACCATTTGACCCTGCAATCCCATTACTGGATATATACCCAGAGGAAAATAAATGGTTCTACCAAAAAGACACATGCACTCATATGTTCATTGCAGCATCCATTCACAATAGCAAAGACATGCTATCAACCTAGCTTCCCATCAGTGATGAACTGAATAAAGAAAATGTGGTACATATACACTATGGAATACTATGCAGCCATAAAAAGAATGAAATCATGTCCTTTGCAGCAACGTGGATGAAGGTGGAGGCAGGTATCCCAAGTGAGTTAATGCAGGAACAGAAAACTGAATATCACATATTCTCACTTATAAGTAGGAGCTAAATATTGAGTAAACATGAACATAAATATGTGAACAATAGACACTGGGTACTATGGGGGAGAGAGTGGGAGAGGAGCAAGGGTTTAAAAACTATCTATTGGGTACTATGCTCACTACCTGGGTGACGGGATCATTTGTACACCAAACCTCAGTGACATGCAATTTACTCATGTGACAAACCTGCACATGTACCTCCTGAAACTAAAATAAAGGTTGAAAAAAAAGTAAAGAGGTAGCATTTGAATCTTATCCTGACAGATTTGTAGAATTATTTCAATAGGCATGCAGGAGGACATTCACAAGAGACATATTACCCAGTCCCCTTCCTAATTGTACCCTACCCTTACAGCCCATGTATGTTGGAGAGAGCTGACCCCATTCCAGGCTCCCGGGATGGCCTCAGTTGACTTAAACAGATTTGCATCTTTTGTTCCCTGGGCTGAGTTAGAAGAAAAGCCAGGGTAATTACTGGGTCAGAAATTTACGTGAGGTCTCTGAATCAGAGACCTGGACTGAAGGAGGATGGAGAGCGAGAAGTTGAAGTGATTGGGCAATGGAGCTGTAAGAGTGTTAGGGACTTGGGTTGAATAACAAATGTCCAGGATCCATAGCTTAGGTCAGCAAAGCTGATTTGACTAACAGAGGGAAATTATTCCCATGATGTGTCTAGAACTCACTGCCTTTTTAACACACTGGCTCTGTTGCACCAAACCATTCAGCTTGATTTTCACTGGGCATCCCCCTGAATGCAGTGATTAATTCTTTAATTGTATCTTCATAAATTTCTCAGATCCGTTCACTTTTCTTTGCCCCCACTGCAGCTGTCCTGGTTTCCCCTTCATTATTTCTCACCCATATGACTGCAATCCCCTCTGAATTGGTCTCCCTGGCTCCCATCTGACTTCTTCCTATTCCAGAATGACGTTTTCAAGACAAAAACTGAATCATGATGATATTCTCAAGCCTTGTCTTTCATCACTCCTCAATCTCTATCTGTGTCCCACACATCTGAACATGTAATAGCTTCCTAAAAACAACAATGCTCTCTTCCTTTACACATGATGGTTCTTTGCCTGTAACAATTGTGGCCCCTTCCCTCTGTCCTCAGATTATGCTTTAATTCTTCCCCAGAGTGTGACTCCCCCACTCCTCAATTCTCAACCCACAAGGACTCCAGGGAATTTTGCATTAGTCTCCTACTGTGACTATGGGGGTGAGCACTG
Organism: Homo sapiens; assembly: GCF_000001405.40. Lineage (NCBI taxonomy): Eukaryota > Metazoa > Chordata > Mammalia > Primates > Hominidae > Homo > Homo sapiens. Next base: position 42,013,158 of record NC_000023.11, read on the forward strand.
GGTAGTAGAATGTCAGCTGGCTTGGGTGTGGTGTTTAAGGAAATGTGGTGCAGAGCTGAGCCCCCTATTCTTGCTCCTGCCCCAACTCTCATGAAGCTAATAGTGAGTGAAGCCAGGGCATTGAACAGGCTGACCAAAGCAGCCAGAAGTCAGGGTCTAGAGGAACACAGACTCTAGAGCAGTGTGGGGTTTTGAAACAAGACTGGTAGGGCAAAGAGTTGAAGGTCCTAGACTCTAATCCCTCATCTGTCCCTTGGTTTTTGTCTTGTCTAGCTAGTCTTCACCACCCCCACCTCCTAAAGGTGGCTGATGAAAAATTATCTTGATGCTTAAGGAGACTGTTTTGCATTATTTTAAAGACACCTTATGAAATTTAACAAGAACTTCTAGGTTTTGAAAAAGTTTACATTTGAAAAATTTTCCAGCAATATTTGTCTCTAAATTAATTTTGTTCTATAGGTAGAGAAGGCTAATTAAATCATTCATAAGAATGAGCATTTACAATAATTCCTCTCTTGCCTCATGCCCTGTGGAATTTTAACTAAATACCAGATAAATTAGTTCTGCCTCTGTGGCGTTTTCCATAACTAATGTTTTACAACTGTTCAAAAACATAATCAGTCATTGTAGGACAGCAGTTTTTGCAGCTGCATTACAAAGAAAGTTGCATGGTCTAGATTTGTCATGTTTACCAATCTTAATGTTATTGCTGTTAAACTCACATTAATAAAGATTAAATAAACTCAGTAATTCAACAACTGTTTATTGAGCCCTTAGTATAAACAACACATTGTTTTAGGCACTGGGAGGTATACAAAGATGTAGAAGACCCATTCCAGCTTTCAGGGAGAGAATCTGGTAAGGAATATAAGACACATAGAGAAAAAGTAAAATAGAAGGAAAGATGTAATATGTGTCACTAAAGAGATGTAAAGTTCAATAGTCATTCCACTGGAATGATTGAAGAAAAATTGAGTCTTTGATTATCTGTAGGGAGCAGAGATGGGGAGAGAGATAAATGTCTAGGGAGAGAGAATTCCATGAGTAAAATCTCAATGATAAGAAAGTATAGGGATTGCTCAGTGCAGTGATAAGCAAATATTTGGGAAATGTTGATTTTAACAGATTATCTAAGGCTTTTAAAACATGCCAGTGTAAGATGCTTACTTTTTTGACCAGTATTTCTTAAAATGGGATCTACAGATCTAGTCTACAAGATCCATGTCTTTTCTTTTAGATTATTTTTACAGCAACAAAGGGTTATTTCCAGCTCACATTACATCTACATTTTGGGCCAGTTGTGGCTCTGCTTTACCCCAGGGCCCAAGCTTTTACAATGGCATCTATCTGGAACATTCCTGGTTGGCAGGGCAGAAGCAAAGACAACTATGGGAAGCCATACAATGTCCTTTGAAGCTTTTATTCAGAAGTGATGCATTTCATTGGCCAAATAATGTCTATGAGAATTGAAGAATTTTTTGTTTTTATCTAAATGACAGTCTAAAAAAAATAAATTCAATGTGTTCTGGATGACCCTTTAAACTGAGGACAGCCACAAGATTTCAGAGGCTGCACTGGCTTCAGTGATTAGATGGCACAAAATAATACCAACTGAGTTGTTTTATTAGGACTCCCTAGGCAATTAGAGACAGTCGGAAAAAGTAAATGATCCTGATGTCTTTGCCCTAGTTGAAGCCAAATGACATCACCAGTGTACAGTGAAGATGTTCCAGGGCTTTGAATAAAGAAGTGGGAGGATTTAGTCATCACAGGTGCATTGCAATATAGGTGTGCCAAAAATAACAGCAATAGCCACCATCACCACCAAACTTGGGCCATAACATTCAGTTCCATACTTAAGTTTAAGAGGATAATTTAGTGTAAGCCAGTTATTATCTGTTACATTAAATTATTGTAGTTTGACTTTTATTGATTTGGTGATTTTGTTTCATTTAATTAGTAAGTTACATCATCGGATCTACTTGGATTTATGGGTAAGTTTTATTGAAATTGTAAGCAACAGATCATCCTAATTTTCCACAAAGTCTTATTCAAAGTCTTCTAGAAAAGTTAGCAATTGATATACTTCCCAACTTATTCTATAAGCTTGTTACCAAAACCAGACAAGGACATTATAGCAAGAAATTACAGACCAATCTTATTACTGAATCTATGCAGACATCTTTAACAGACATTAGGAAACCCAATCCAGTCACGTATAAGAAAGGTAAAAATAGGATTTATCCCAGGAATGCAATGGGTAGCTCAGAAAGAGACCCATACATATATGGAACTATAATTTATGCTGTGGATGTCCTTGCAGATGAGTGGGGAAAAAGAGGAATTCTTAAATAAATGGATATTAATGTATATGAATACATTAAAAAGTGAAATTGGATCCCCACCCTACACCATACACAGAATTCAAATCCAGGTGGATAAATGAGAAAAATGTAAAAAGCAAAAGCTAAAAACCTCTAACAGGAGATCTAGAAGAATATATTTCAGACCTAGGGGCATGGAAGGATTTCTTAAACAAGATAAAAAGTTTCAAACTACAAAAAAATTATAGATAAATTTGTCTACATTAAAATTAAGAACATCTGTTTATCAAATGACATCTGAAAAGCAAATGAAAAATAAGCTACATATTGTGAAAAGATATTTATAACACATAAAACTGACAGTATGTGAAGAACTCCTAAAATTAATAAGAAAAGGAGAGCAACCCATTAGGAAAATGGGCAAAAGACATTAGTTAGCATTTTATTAAAAAGAGAGAGAGAGAGAGACAAAGAGAGAGAGACTATCTCAGGCTAGATTCTCTAGAAGCCTGAGACAGGGATTCTTGAGTGAGAGGGGAGTGCTGTAAGGAGAAACCTGTAAGGAAGTGAGAGAAGTAGGACAGAGCAGGAGAAGAAGCCAAACAAGAGATATGTTCTCAGTCTGATCCCATGGTATGGCACTACAGATTTATCTTAAACAAGATAAGTTTCAAACTACAAAAAAATTGTTGATAAATTTGTCCCACTAGAAGAGAAGGGACTGGGCCTTTTTATTCCTATATGGCCAGTCGTTGGCAGTGAGCTGCCCCAGGCTTCTTCAGGTGAGATGACTCACATTGGCCAAGAGCATTTCTCCAGAGAAGAGAGAAGCTATGAGCCACTAGCAGCCAATCTGGCCGCATCTGAAGGAAAAATGCACTGGCCCAATAAAGGAGATCTGCTCAGGGCACCAATAGTGTCTGCTACACTCACTCTTGTTAGTAGTCAGGGAAATGGAAATTGTGACCAAAATAAAAGATTAAAAACATTTTGGCCAGGCCCGGTGGCTCACGCCTGTAATCCCAGCACTTTGGGAGGCTGAGGAGGGGGGATCTTGACCTCAGGTCAACAGATTGAGACCATCCTTACCAACATGGGGAAACCCTGTCTCTACTAAAAATACAGACATTAGCTGGGCATGGTGGTGCGCACCTGTAGTCCCAGCTACTCGGGAGGATGAGGCAGAAGAATCGCTTGAACCCGGGAGGCGGAGGTTGCAGTGAGCCGAGATCCTGCCACTGAACTCCAGCCTGGCGACAGAGCAAAACTCTGTCTCAAAAAACAAAAACAAAAACAATAACAACAGCAAAAACAAAAAAATTCTTAGCTTGTTAAGATGCAATTTACATGCAATAGAAGTCACTCATTTTAAGTGCAGTGTGATGAATTTTGGTAATTGCATACATTCACGTAACATCCACCACAATCAAGATATAAAACAGTTCCATCATCTTAATGATCCCCTCTTCTGGCCCCAGCAAACACTGACCTATTTCCTATCACTAGAGTTTTGATTTTTCTTCAATTTAATATAAATGGACTCATACAGTATATATCCTTTTATGTTTGACTTTTTTCACTTAGCATGTGTTAATATCTGAGATCACCCATGTTGTTTTGTGTATCAATATGAAATAAGATTTTATACTCACTATATTTGTAATAATGATGCAGTCTGACAATACCAAGTGCTGGAGAGGATTCGATTAATGGGAACTCATATGTTGTTGATAGATTGTAAGTTGTTGCAACCATTCTTGAAAAAATTTTGGCATTTATGCTGTAGAGTTAAGCATTTGCTTACCCTATGAGCTAGCAATTCTTCTTTTTTAAATACCCAAAGTAAAATTTTTCCTGTGTGTTCCAGGGAATATACACACATGGAAAAAACATAAAACAAAATCACTGAATGTTCCACAGAAGAATGTATCAAAATGTGCTGTATGTATAAAATTGAATATTATACACAAATGAAAATAATATTCATTAAAATAGAATATTATACACAAATGAATGAACTATATCTCCAAGTGACAATATGAATTATTTTGGGGAACATAATGTTAGTGAAAAATCTAGCTATAAACGTTTGTACTTTTTTTAGTAATAAACTTTTCTTATCACTAGAGTTTTGATTTTTCTTGAATTTAATATAAATGGACTCATACAGTATTTAGCCCGTATTACTTTTTTAGTAATACACACTTTTATACTCAAAATAAGGAAGCTTAATAATATAGGGTTCAAGCACACATACATATTTGATAAAACTGTAAAAAGGAATAGAATGATGAACACAAAATCAAGATAGTAAGTACTTCTGTAGGGAGGTGGGAGACTTGGATAGGGAAGAACACGTAAGTAGGTACAAGTTATTTACAATGTTATAGTGCTTAGGTAAGGGTTTCATTGACTTTTATTACATTCCTTCCTTTTTTAAACTTAAGCATTTCATTTATCTTTTCACATGGATAAAATATTATATAAAATAAAAAGAAAAGCACAATATTTGAAATTAATAATTTACAAGTTGGAAGTAATTTTTTTCCAAGTGAGCCATTTGATGACAATTTTTATCTAGATTCCTTGAGTAACCCATCCTTTCCTCAAGCTCTTTATTCATAGTAACTCATGTGTCACATTCTTTTTCTTTGGAAAAAGTTCCAGAGTAAATATTTGATCATAGCTGCTTAGCAGTTTCTCCTCAAAAAGTGTTAGTCACCTGAAACTGCCACAAGATTTAAACAGCCCCAAACTGAAAAATTTTCATCCAAGTAAACCGTATTGGAGTATGTCACTGTCATATAATAGTAGTTCATTTAAAAATATGACTTCATTTACTTTCTATTGGTCTGTCATGTTCTGTGAAGTATTGGTTCATGGGGCCTGGGAAGATTAAGAACCAGATAAAGGAAACTCTGAACTAAAGGATGACCTACACAGATCAAGTGATGGCTTGTGAAGAAAAACCATTATATTATCCTCCTTCCTCTTTCAGATATAGCTGCTCTTTTTCTCTCCAATTCGGACATTCTGGGAAATAACTTTTCAAGAAATACCTTCTGTTATGAAAATTTTGAGATGTTTCTGGGTTTTCCACTTAAACACTTAATCTGCTGATCTCTGCTAAAGAAAATGAAGCAACCTCGGGGATAACATCACAAATAATAATGGCCTCTAACTTTAGCTGACTTACAATGCTCATATCAATCCGCCTACCCCACCTCTGCCCTTTTACTTTCAACAGGTGAAATGAATTGACAATTTCAAGGAGAAGATAGATAGATGTTAGACATGAAGACCCACAGTTTTACACTCCATCTCTGTAAATTTAGGACTTTTCAGTTCTTTTTTTTTTTTTTTTTGAGACGGAGTCTCGCTCTGTCGCCCTGGCTGGAATGGATCTTGGCTCACTGCAACCTCCACCTCCTGGGTTCCAGCGATTTTTCCGCCTCAGCCTCCCCAGTAGCTGGGACTACAGATGAGTGTCACCACGCCTGGCTAATTTTTGTATTTTTAGTAGAGACGGGGTTTCACCATATTGGCCAGGCTGGTCTCAAACCCCTGACCTCGTGATCCGCCCGCCTCGGCCTCCCAAAGTGCTGGGATTACAGGGTTGAGCCATTGCGCCCGGCCCTGACTTTTCAGTTCTTATTTTACTTTAGCTGTCTGTAGCACTGACCATGCTGGGCAGGTAACTTAAATAAGAGCAGTGAACAAGGGTAAGATACTAGGGAGGGTGGGGACTGGCTAAACTGAAGAGCTGATTTTTGCTGTGTGAGAATGTGAATTGAGGTCTTCCGAGTTTTCAAGAGAATCTGGATCTATGGATGTTAACCAGGTATTGAAGCCCAGAAACATCTATTCCTTGTGACTTCCCCATATGATGAAAACTTCGTCTCTTTCTCCATGCTGTATTCTGGTTTCTTAAAAGAATCTATTGCTACTTGGGCCACAATTGGACTACAATATATCCCCCCACCTCACCTGCTGTAATCTTTGTTGGAATAGTGGAGGTGGGGGTGGCCCTTTTGTGAGTTAGAAACCAGATGCATTTTCTTGTAGGAAATAGGACGCTTAGTACAATTTTTCAGGTACATTATGGGTTAAATAGACCAACAGCTCGGGTTGGCTTGGGAATCTAAATAACCTTTTATGACACTGCTTCTAAAGAAATATGCACACAGTGTTCCAAATAATGGACTTAAAACATGATTTTAAAAACACAGTCAGTGCCTGAGTTGGGAACTGCTTGTTTTGGAAGCTAGAGATGTAGTTGTTTTTAAAAAGTGACTTTTCCTCTTCTTTCCTTAAGTCAGCCATACTTTTCTGAATCTTGCTTTGTGTGTTTTACTACATCAATTAAAATAGTTTTCTTTGATATTATACTAGAACATCTGTTCATCCATCCATCAATATGTCCAATTGCTCCTTTGGATAATATGCTCATTTTTGATGTGGTATTGATATAGAACTTTTAAAGCATCTCTACTTTTGAACTGTCCTCCTACTTGCAAATAACTTTTCTCTTTGCATTAATTGTGTACAGTTTTAATGTATGAAAGTCAAATGGAAAGTTCCAATGGTCTATAAGCTTCTCTACTGGACTGTAAGATTCTCCAGAATGGGACTAAGTCTTATTCTTTTTCGTATAACCTTTGCTTATCATAGGTCCTGGATGGTAAGTGCTGAAGAAACCTTTCTTGCAATGAACTGAAATACTATAGTAGTTCTGCTCCATTTTGAAATATGTTAGCATGACAACTGGCAATGAGGAAACTACCTCATTATAACTTTCTTGACTATTGAGATTAAACAGGTTAAAAATCTCAGTTATGTTATAGTATTTTCAGGAATAAGGAAATTATTTTATATCCTTGTGACAGAGAGTGCCTGCTTGCTCATCAAACCCATTTCCTGTTCTTGGGTTCACAGCTAGAGTGCATTTCCTGAGATGCTTTGTAGTAAGAGGCAGACTAAATTCTAGGCAATGGAATGTGAGTAGAACATTTTCTGTATATACCTTCCTATGCTCTTTCCCCATTTGTTGAGTGTGTGGAGTACTCTGAGGCCCAGTAGAAGGTGGATACCCAAGACGGAAGACCACCCAATGAAGAACACCACTTTTGGATTTCGTATGAGTAAAAAATTTTATTGCATCCAACCATGAGATTGTGGGTCCCACTCTGTCACCCAGGCTGTACAGTGGCATGATCTTGCCTCACTGCAACTTCTGCCTCCCAGGCTCAAGCAATTCTCCCATCTTAGCCTCCCGAGTAGCTGGGACTACAGGCGTGCACCACTAAACCCAGCTAATTCTTTTGTATTTTTAGTAGAGATGGGGTTTCGCCACGTTGCTCAGGCTGGTCTCAAACACCTGAGCTAAGCGATCTGCCTGCCTTGGCCTCACACAGTGCTGGGATTACAGGTGTGAGCCACTGCTCCCAGCTCTAAACATTCTTGAGTACTGTTTTGCCATTTGTATATGCAGATGATGGTTTTGTTCTGACAGCAATTATCTGACACCAACTGGTTGTCCTGCTATTCAATTCAATTGTGACATTAACTACTCAGGAGTTAGTGCAGACCCCACAGGTTAAGGGTTTCTGTCTCACAAGGTGTCCCCTGCTTCAGATGCCAGTCACAAGTTCTGGGTGTTCCCAAGCCACCTGCACTTCTGCCCAGCTGGCTACATATTTGGGGGTTCTGATGACCACTCATCCTTTCAGGTTCACTAATTCATTGGAATGACTCAGAACTCACTGAAAGTGCTATACTTATGATTATAGTTTTATTATAAAAGATACAACACAGGGACAGTCAAATGGAAGAGATGAATAGGGCAAGGTCTGGGTGGGAAATGTGTGTGGTGGGAGGCACAGAGCTTTTATGAACTGTCCTCATGAAATCAGGGCACACCACCTTCCAAGAACATCAGTGTGTTAACCAACTAGAAGCTCTACTGAGACTCAAGGTCCAGTGATTTTACTGAGCTTTCATTACATAGAATGAATGATTAAATCACTGGCCACATGATTGAACCCAATCTCCAGTTCCCTTCCCCTTTCTTGGGGCTGTCTTTCTGATGACCAGCTCTTGTCCTGAAGCTATCTAGGGAAGCCACCATAAGTCACTTCATTAGCATAAACTCAGATGTGAAGGAAAGGGACTTGTTATAAATAAAGACACTCTTATGGGGAATTCCAAGAGTTTTGAAACTCTGTGCCAGGAACAGTGGACAAAGACCAGATATATTCTTTATTATATCACGATGGTAAATGACAAAGATCAACCTTTTATTTTTAGTAGAGATGGAGTTTCGCCATGTTGCCCAGGCTGGTCTCAAACACCTGAGCTCAAGCGATCTGCCTGCCTCGGCCTCCCACAGTGCTGGGATTACAGGTGTGACCCACTGCTCCCAGCTCTAAACATTCTTGAGTACTGTTTTGCCGTTTGTATATGTAGATGATGGTTTTGTTCTGACAGCAATTATCTGACACCAACTGGTTGTCCTGCAATTTAATTCAATTGTGTCATTAACTACTTGGGAGTTAGTGCAGACCCCACAAACATTTGTTGTTTGAGCTTATTGACCAAAGAGTCTCTGGACTGAGGCTTGCCCATGAGACCTTTCCTCCCAAGCTCTAACATTTTCTTCTTCATCCTGGATCTTAGTTTCTCACCCCTATTGCAGCTTCAACATGCACTTGCTTTCAAGTCAGAAGGAAAGGTCACACACATTTGACTGACCAATAGCCTGTTTACCTACTTTAACTTCAGTATTGGTTTGTATCATTTTGTGTCCAGAATTCTACTATGTTGGTAATTTACTTTATAGAAAATGACTCAAATACCTCAAAATAGACACATACACTCATAAGCATGACACATAGATGGAAGAAATGATGTGAGTATGCTGCTACTTGGAAATATGTATACAAAATAATGTTAAGTGAAAAAAGGACAAGGTATAGGAAGTATACACTGGCCAACTAAGAAAAAATATATTGCTGTATATTGATAAAAATTGAGAGAGGATTTAGAGTAACATCAATATTGGTTATTTAAGCATATGAAAGCCTTTTTTTGTAATCCTGTTTAAGTGTTGTGCCAATTTACCTTTTAAGCTCACTCCTTCAATTTACCTCTGGAGAAAGGAGGACTTATTGTTTGGATGTCTACATACTAGAAATAAAGAGTAGGAAGACATCAGCAATTGATGTGGTTCTAGAAACCAGTCTTTCTCCCTCAGTTCTGTGCATCATCTTTGCTTCACACAAGGATCTGCCCTGACTTGGCTTTGGTCTGTTCTTTTCTTTTTCTCTACCGTCTGCTTCTTCTTCTTTTTTTTTTTTTTTTTTTTTTTTTGAGATAGAGTCTCACTCTGTTGCCCAGGCTGGAGTGCAGTGGCACGATCTCTGCTCACTGCAAGCTCCGCCTCCTGGGTTCATGCCATTCTCCTGCCTCAGCCTCCCGAGTTGCTGGGACTACAGGCACCCGCCACCACGCCCAGCTAATTTTTTTGTATTTTTAGTAGAGACGAGGTTTCACCGTGTTAGCCAGGATGGTCTCGATCTCTTGACCTTGTGATCTGCCCGTCTTGGCCTCCCAAAGTGCTGGGATTATAGGCGTGAGCCACCGCACCCGCCTTACTGTCTGCTTCTTATAATCCTGTGAGGCACTCAGGATTATAAGTAACTCCAAGTTACTTTATGGAGTGAGGTGCTCTGATTTTCTTGGGAAATGTTAACTTGAAGGCTAGGGGTCTTGAGGGTACTGACTAATCTTGGGCCCTCTGCCTAGTTCTGCCCAACTCATGCTACCAATAAATGACATAGTACATGGCTACCTTGACTCACCTCTTCTGTGAAGCCATAGGCCATGTGGTTTCCTCAGAAGTTAAGGCAAGCACATTTAGCCTATAAAAGTGTATATGTTTCTTTAAGTAGTAAATGAGCCTCCAGGTGTTTGAAGTTCAAGTAATATAAAGAAGATATTTGGGAAAGACTTGCCCTTAGGCCATTGAATCACCAATTGGCTCCCTATACCATAAATGAGTAAAAAATCAGTAAAAAATCAGGTTTTAATGACAGAGCCACACTACTTCATCAGATCCTCCTTGGGACAAGATGTTAAGGTGGGAGATGGGAAGAAAGACCTGGGTCAGACAGATAAAGATAGGAATGTCAGTAGAGTAGCTTCTAGCTTCTCTCTGTGCAAAGAAACTAGCTTTCCTGAAAGTGAAATCTATGATTTATAGTTTGTGAGCCTTGTATTGTAACTAAACCAAGTGTCTCTCACTGAACATATTCCTACACCTTTAAAATTTCCCAGAGTGTGAAAAAGGTCTGTGCTTCCATCTTATGGCTCTACTGTATTATGGCTCCAAGGATGTCCTGGTGTCAAGGGGCTGGAAGACAGTGTCAAGAGAAAGCATGGAGGATCAACCATGTAACCACCAGACTTAGTCCATTTGTGTTGTTACAAAGGAATACTTGAGACTGGATAATTTATTTAAAAAAAAAAGAGGTTTATTTGGCTCATTGTTCTGCAGGCTGTACAAGAAGCATGGTTCTGATATCTGTATCTGGTGAGGGCTTCAGTCTGCTTTCGATCATGGCAGAAGGGGAGGCAGAACCAACATGTGCGGAGATCACATGGCAAGAGAGGAGGGAAGAGGTGGGGAGGTGCCAACCTCTTTATAACAACCAACTCTCTGGGGGAACTAATAAAATGAGAACTCACTGAGTACGTTGAGGACAGCACCAAGCCCTTCATGAGGGATCCACCTCCATCACCCAAACACCTTCCATTAATTAGGCCCCACCTCCAACATTTGGGATCAAATTTCAACATGAGATTTGGAGGGGACAAACAAACCAAACTACAGCACCACCTTAATTTGGAAGTAATGAGCATCAGTTCCACTGAATTCCATTGGCAAGAATTAATCACATAATCTCAAATAGTTGCAGGATAGGGGCAGGAGGAGCTGGTGAGTGTAGTCTGTCTGGATAGCCACGCTCAAGCCCCAACTCCATACCAGAGAAGGGTGTATTTTTATTGGTCAGTTAGCTGTCTCTATTACACTCTCCTAACTTGTTTTCTGGTCTGCTCTATCTCCTTGATTAAATCTAGCCTACACATTGATAATGAATTAAGTAGCTCTAATTATAACAGTTAAATTGCTCAAAGATTCTGTGACATTCCACCGTCTGCCAAATTAAGTACCAGCTCCTCACTCTGGTATTCAACCCCCAAAGAACATAGTCCCAAGCTAATAACTTGGCTTCATCCTCCAATATTTCTCTAACTTTTAAAAATGTCTCAGCTAAAATGGACCACTTGCTGTTTTTCAAACACAAGATCTTTGATTCATCCTCTGTTCCCATCTGGTACCTCTTTACCTCACCATTCTTCCTCTCATGGGTGGTATGCATTTTAAATAAATTCAGAATATTACTTATTTTATGCCTTTGTGAGTGCTTGATTGAGGGAAGCCACCAAATTCTAAACTGTCAGGGTCAAAAATTGTGTCCCTGTTTAACATTACAACACTTGGCAGCAGCGGGAGGCTCGGCCCACCAGCCCAGGGAGCTGGGTCCTTTCACTGACATGTTACAATTAACACCCATGGAGACAGTCCCTTACATACAATCTACTGTGCATAACTACTAGTTGAAAATGTCACCGTGAAGTCATTTCCTAGGGTACACTGCCTACCATCTAGACCTCAAAATTTTACCTTCTTTATAAAGCAAAATCTAGGACATTTCCTGAGGAGTACAAGGACTCATCAGCGTATAAGAGAAAACAAACTTAAAGCAAGAGGCCTTATACAGAATACAAAAGACAATGAGGAGAGTGGTGCAACAAAGAAGGAGAAAATTATATGAGAGCTTCTAAAAAGAGCTCTTTAAACTTATTAACCTAAGGTTCCCAGTACCAAAAAGCTAATCTAGCTGCTGACACTTCGTTACCTTCCTGTTTAGTAACTCAGTTTACCAGGTTTTCCTGATGTTTCTGGTTTTTGAAAATTCTGTAGAATATTGCCTCCAGGCATCCAATCAAACCCATCCATCTATGCAGACCAATTTTTGCTGTAGTCACCATTTCCTTCCACTGGAATTACCTCTCTACTTCTCTCTGAGTTTCTCAGTCTTCTTCTGAAGATGTAGACATTATGTCTATTAGCTGTCTTTTCAACATTTACTTTACTGCACCCTGAATTCATTTGGACTTGGCAGGCTCAGAGTACCTACTCATTTTTGTAATAGGTAAGCTCCCCAGAAGTTTGCTTAATATTCATTTGTTAGGCTGAGATGAATGTTAAAAATGATGATATAAAAAAAGTTACATTCGTAGTCTTCAAGATACGAAGTACCAGAACTGATATCCAGGTTCTCTAAACTAAATTATTAAGTAGAAAAAATGCTTTGACAGTGTCCTTTTCCCATCACTTCTTTTAACTACCCATTTCTCCATCCATTTGTTCATCTATTTACTGTGTGCTTATTCTGTGTAACCATTGTACTAGGTGCTCCCGCAATAAGACAGGAAGTTTCTCACTCTGTACCTACTCTATTTTCCTTTGGCAAACTTCCTGATATTGTTTGAGCTGTTTTATTTTTAGGTTTGATCATCACTAGACTAATAGCACTGACTGTGTTACTTCCATGACAAAAAAAAAATTCAATTCTTTTTTTTTTTTTTTTGAGATGGAGTCTGACTCCATCACCCGGGCTGGAGTGCAGTTGCCTGATCTTGGCTCATTGCAACCTCTGCCTCCCAGGTTCAAACGATTCTTGTGCCTCAGCCTCCCAAGTAGCTGGGATTACAGGCGCCTGCCACCACGCCCAGCTAATTTCTTGTATTTTTAGTAGAGACGGGGTTTCACTACGTTGGCCAGGCTGGTCTCCTACTCCTGACCTCAGGTGATCCACCCACCTTGGCCTCCCAAAGTGCTGGGATTACAGGCATGAGCCACCACACCCAGCCTAAAAATATTCAATTCTTTAAAAACAAGCAAAATGCTCCAAACCTACCACATAATGTAGAGGAAGTGAAGTATAAATCTCACAACTTGGCACTCAAAGCCCACTATCATTGGGGCTTTACCTTGTTTCCCCAGCTCATCTTTTGGTCAGTCCCCTTTGTTTCATCCTGACTGAACTCCTTGTAGTTCCTTGAAATTCTCTCCTGCATGCCCCCACCCCAAGATTTTTCCTAATATGATCTTTTTTCCCTTGATGCCCTTTTACTGAACTCTCCTGTCAAAATCCTAATCGTCCTCAAAGGTGTTGTGCAAATGATGGAGTCTTAAAGTTTGGTTTTCAAATTTACACCAAATCCATTGATCCCTCTCTGTGAACACTGATAGGGTTTAGTATGTTACGTTATGTGATGTGATGTGATGTGATGTGTGTGCACCTTTTTGTGTATACTTCTCTCAAGGCACTTACACAAATAACACAAATACACAAATATCTTTAATTTAAGGGCAATTGTTTTTTCCCTCCAATTAAGGACTATGTCTTTCAATTATCGAATCTCAGAGAACACCTAGAATAGTGTTATGCACAATTAGGTTTGCAATAAATGTTTTTCGGCTCCAATAGGCAATGTTCAGTCATTTAAGGTCTGTGAGGAGGAGAGAGAGCACATATCCAGACTAGAAGAAAGAGATGATAAAGGACAACTAGGAAGCCTTTGTTGTAATCAAGACATAAAAAACATTTGGGCCCCAATCAGGGTGGGAATGGAAACAAAGGGGTGAATGGATATGAATGTCTACACAGAGAATAGATTCTAGGAGAAGGGGAAACGAATAGAAATAACATCAAGGATTGGAGCCTAGGTAACTGGGAGAATGGTGGCATCCTGAGCAAAAATAAGAAACTCAGAGTGGAGTTGTTTGGGCAAAGGGGCAGGGTAGGTAGGAGATAATGAATTTAGTGTTTTAGGTATTGAGTTAGAAGTGTAGGTGGAACCAGGTGGAGAGGTACAGCAGGTGGCTGGCAATGTGGCATTGCAGCCTTGGAGGGCCACCAGCTTGGAGGCGATGGTTGAAACCGAAACAGTGAAAGAGATTTCACAAAAGAAAACCTTGTAGAGCCAAGGAAGAGGGTTATGAAGTAGACCCTAGTGAATGCCTGGATGCACAGAGCATTGCCACGGGAGATTCCTTTTTTGTGACAAGATTTGCTGACATAAATTACATCTAGCACTTAGCCATCTGTTTCACTGTAGCTGTTGAGATGATTTCTCTGGTTGTGAGTTTTCTCTCCTTCACCTAGACCTTACACTGAGGGAAGGAAGGTATTTACAAAACCCTCTGATCTTGCCTTTCAGAAGGCACCAGATAAAGTAGTTACTTTTTAACCAGAGATAATGAACTGAATTCTTCTGCATATCAGAATTAAATGTACTTTGAACTTGGAGTGGCAATCAAAGAGAAATACATAACTGGGATGGGAGCTGGATAAAATAGTCCTTGGGAATTCTATGTTTTGGTAGAAGCCAACCCAGAAACTACCAGCCTTTTTTGGTAAAACTTGGGAAAGCCTCCTAAACAGACTCAAGAAACATCTATTAAGCATCTATTTTGCTCCAGGTCCTGTGATCAGTTTTTTATTTTGGCATAATTTTCCCCAAACCCTGTGAAGTAGATATTCTCTTCATTTTCAGAAGAGAATGTATCCTGACATTTAAAAAATAGTGAACCTTGAACTATCTCTGCTAATACCGTTGCCAAGGGCCACTGGTTGTTGTGCCCACTGCTCCCACCAAGTGGTAGATTCCATTGTATCAGAGTCCTCAAATGCTGGCTCAGACCTCTGATTGGCTAAGCCTGGGTCACGTGCCTGTGTCCTGTCTGCAGCTTTGTGGATTTTGTAGTTGCTTCCTCCAAGGTTCACACAACAGGATCTTCTCCCCTATGGGAAAGGAGATCAGATGCTGGGAAGCCTCCTAACCCCATTAGTAGATATCTACTCCAATGAGGAAAGCAGAGTTTATATGTCCAAGGACAACGGTAAGCACTGGAGCTGAACAAAACCGAGGCCTTCGAAGTCTGACTGATCTTTCCATTATACTATAGCTGTTTTACTGCAACTATTTGAAAGAGGACAGAGAATTCATTTCCCTCACTTTTCCAAAACTCTCCACAATTAACAAAACTTCTTTTTGTGTACTTTTAATGTACCAGACACTGTTAGGTGCTTTACATACATTGTTTAATCTCTATAAAAACCTTTGGAGACAAAGATTATTGGGAGGAATTAGAATCCTCATGTTACAGATTAAGAAAACTGAGGTTTAGAGAGGTTATGTGGTTTGGTCCAAGACTGTCAGTAAATAAAGGGCTCTTTCTATCTAATTACAAAGTTAGAGGTCTTTATATATCATGGTGCCATCAGAAGCTGTCTGGGTAAGGGTTTGAGCCTTATTTATATTTGCTGTTTCTCCTACTTCCAGCTCCTAATTCGATGACTGGCACATATCAAGCTCTCCATCAATGCTTGTTGAATGAGTGAGTTGGTATGCCTGAATTGAGTGGAGAGGGGAGGGAAGAAAACTTTAAAGAGTGATAGTGACGATTAACAAGGAGGCATTTGGGATGCAGGTGAGAGGAAATCACTCAATGAGGTAGAATTGTCTCTCACTAGATTAAATCAAGCAAGGTAAATAGGTTAAGAGTTAAGGCTGATTTAGAAAGCTTACCCTGTGGTGGTTCCACCTAGGAGTATCAAAGCCCAGCTCCCTTGCCTTAAGTCTGGACAACTCTGCAGTGTAACTTACACTCCAGAATTCTCCTCCTGGGGCCAGAATGCACTCCTCTCCAAGGGACTTCGCCTGCAATCACCCTCTTGCTTGGCTTCCTCCCAATCTCTGTCTTGCTTCCCCCACTCCCTTCCTGGCTTCCCTGGAGGGCAAGTTCTTATTAAATCTCTTGCACATGAATCTTCAACTCAGGGATCTGCTTCTGGGAAACCCAGCTTAAGCCTGGCAGTCATTCTAGAAAAGTTTGCAGTGTGCCTGGAACTGGTAGACACTCAGTAAACACATATTGAATGAATGAATGAATAAACGAATCCTAGAGCTGCCCCTCTCCCTCATGATAAATGTCCATAGGGCCATAGCTCTCTCTTTTAAAACATTTTTTTATTTTTTAATTTTTCCAGAAGTTATTAGGGTACAGGTGGTATTTAGTTAAATGAGTAAGTTCTTCAGTGGTGATTTTTGAGATTTTAGTGTACCCATCACCCGAGCAGTATACACTGCCCCATATTTATAATCTTTTATCCCTCATCCTCCTCTCACTCTTCCCCACAAGTCCCCAAAGTCCATGGTATCATTCTTATGCCTTTGTGTCCTCATAGCTTAGCTCCCACATATCAGTGAGAACATATGATGTTTGGTTTTCCATTCCTGAGTTACTTCCATTAGAATAGTAGTCCCCAGTCTCATCCAGGTCACTGCAAATGCTGTTAATTCATTGCTTTTTATGGCTGTATAGTATTCCATTATATATCTATCTATCTATATGTATATAATATATATATGTATATAATGTATATATATACTACAGTTTCTTTATCCACTTATTGATTGATGGGTATTTGGGTTGGATCCACGATTTTGCAATTGTGAATTGTGCTTCTGTAAAAAAGCATGTGCAAGTATCTTTTTTGAATAATGACTTCTTTTCCTCTGGGTAGATACCCAGTAGTGGGATTGCTGGATCAAATGGTAGTTCTGCTTTTAGTTCTTTAAGGAATCTCCACACTGTTTTCCATAGTGGCTGTACTAGTTTACATTCCCACCAGCAATGTAGAAGTGTTCCCTGCTCATTGCATCCACGCCAAAAATCTACTGTTTTTTAATTCTTTTGATTATGGCCATTCTTGCAGGAGTAAGGTGGTATCGTATTGTGGTTTTGCTTTGCATTTCCCTGATCATTAGTGATGTTGAGCCTTTTTTCATGTTTGTTGGCTATTTGTATATCTTCTTTTGAGGATTGTCTATTCATCTCCTTAGCCCACCTTTTGATGGGATTGTTTGTTTTTTTTCTTGCTGATTTGTTTGAGTTGTTTGAGAAAAATGTGTATTCTGTCCTTATTAGGTAGAGTGTTCTGTAGATGTTTGTTAGTTCTAATTGGTTTGTGGTGTTGCTGAAGGCTTCTATTCGCATTGATCTTCAAACTAGTTGTTCTGCTCATTATTGAGAAGAAAGTATGGCAATCTCTGTCTGTCATTGTTGAATTGTCTACTTCTCTCATTATTTCCGTCAGTTTTTGCTTCATGTATTTTGGTGCTCTGTTGTTAGGTTCATTTATCTTCCTGATGGATTGAACTTTTTGTCATTATAATGTGTCCATCTTAATCGCTAGAACTTTTTTGCATTAAAGCCTATTTTGTCTTATGTTACTAGAGTCACTTCACTTCAGCTTTCTTGTGGTTGTTATTTGCATGATATATCTTTTTGCATCCTTTTGCTTTGAATCTATTTGCACATTTGAATCTAAATTGTTTCTTCTCTAGTTAGCATATAGTTAGATATTATTTTTTAAACCCAGTCTGACAATCTGTTTTTTATTAGATTGTTTAATCCATTCACATTTAATGTTATTATCAATATAGCTGCATTTATATCTGCCATTTTACTTTTTGTTTTCTATGTGTCTTCAGTCTTTATATTTTTCTTGTTCCTCTGTTCCTGCATGTGTGCTTTCTTTGGCATTAAATGAATATTTTCTAATGTAGCATTTTCATTTCTTTAATGATTTTCTCACTGTATATTTATTAGTTATTTATCAGAAATAGCTTTAGATTTATACTAATTTAATTCTAGTAAGATACAGAAATGTTACTTCTCTATAGTTCTCTTCTTTTCCTACTTTTTGCAGCATTATTATACATATTACATCTATAAATGTTAAAAATCCAAAAACACACTGTTATAATTATTACTTTATAAAATTCTATGTCTTTTATAGAGTCTAAGAGAAAAAGGAGAATAAGTATATATTTGTAGCTTTCAGTATATTAATCTTCTTATTCATCATTTCTGGTTCTCTATATTTTTTCTTGTGGATTCCAGTTACCATTTGGAATTCTTTTCTTTAGCCCAATACAGCTTACTTCCACCTACTTTTTGTGCTTTTATTGGCAAATATATTACATTCCTATATGTTATAGGCTTAATGATACATTATATACACATTGTTTAATAATATTGATTTTTAAAAGCAGTTAAGCAGAGAAAGGAGAATAAATATGCATCTGTACTGTCATTTATAATTACATAATTAGCTTTATTGATGTCCTTTGTGCTTTGTGTGTGGATTAAAATTACTACCTGGAGTCACTTGTTTGCAGCCTAAAGAACTTTTACTATGTCTTGCAAGATTGCTGTGCTAGCAACAAATTATCTGTTTTTGTTTATCTGGGAATTTTTAAAATTTTGTCTTCATTTTTGAAAGTTAGGTTTGCTGGATACAGGATTCTCCACTGACAGGTTTTTTTCCTTTGTGCACTTTATATGTTATTCCATTGTCTTCTGACCTCCATTGTTTCTGATGAGATGTTAGTTATTTTTATTGTGGTTCTCATGTAAGTGATTGTTTTTCTTTGTTTTCAAGATTTTCTCCTTGTCTATGGCTTTTAGCATTTTTACTATGATGCGTCACTTTGTAGATCTCTTTGTACTTATCCTACCTAGAACTTATTGAGCTTCTTATATGTATAGATTAATATTTTTCAATAAACTTTGGCAGTTTTTAGCCATTATTTCATCAAATATTTTTTCTACTCCTTTCTCTCTCATTTTTCCTTTTGGTACTCTTGCTATACACATTTTGCTTTACTGGTATTTTATATTTGGTGCAACATTGTTTCCATACTTCTATAATTATTATTTCCTTTAGTTCTTTGAATGTATTTATAATGGTATGTTGAAATCTTTGTTAAATCTGACATCTGGTCACCCTCACAGGCACCTCCTGTTGCTTGATTTTTCCCCTTTAGCATATGGGTCATACTTTCTCGTTTCTTTGAATATCTCATATTTTTGAAAATAGACATTTTCAATAATATATTACAGCACATGGGCACTTCCCCATCACTGTCTTCAGGGCTTGTTATTATTACTTGCTTCCTTACTTATTTAGTAACCAACTGGATTATTTTAGTGAAGTATACTTATTCCTACACTCACAGCATGAGGCTCTGATGTTGCTCCTCAGAAGTGTCAGTCTTGAGTATGCCCATAGTCACCTTGTGATGATAGTGGTTTTGGCAGTACTCTGACTGTCTTTTTCCCTGACTACACTCAACTGTTAAGATGCTTCTCTAATTGTCAGTTGAATTTTCTATTTTTTTTCCAACAAAGCCCTGGTGCATAGATTACTTCTGAATCTAATCCAATCACACTTAGACTCCTTTAAAGGAATAGTTCCTGAGGTCAGTGTTTTAGATATGTTCTGACCCCAAGAGAGGTCTTTTCAGCTGTTTCTTTCCTTGTTTCTCTCCAGCACATTAGTTGGCCTACAATTTAGCCTATATTTCCAATGAATCTACTAATCATTTCCCCATTGCTTTTCAGCACAACTTCCACTGTTTTTGAGAGTGCCCTTAGGCTTGAACTTCTTCACTCTCTGTTCCAAATGAAGCCAATTCCTTTGTAGTGGGATTTGGAACTCTCTGTTCTATGGATTGCTTCTCCCTTCAGGCAACATCTCTTAGTCATGGCTCTGGTGCTGATGGTAGAGTCAATGGCTGGTCTCTGAATGACATCCTTGTATTAGGAGCTGAATGCTTGGTGGATAGAGTGGGAGCAACAATCCTGATCTCCTAGACTTGCCTATTTTGGCATGAAAACCCTGTCCAAGGAACTAAGGCAAAGACAACTGGGGCTCCATTATTCTTAGAGGCACTGAACCAAAGGTGGAACTTCTATTTTGTGAGTAGTGGCTAGGCAGAAGAAGGGAGCACATACCTCTCTGTCTCACTCACCTGGAATTTAAATTTAGCAGCAGCTAGCTGGGGGCAGGATGTGAAATGCTATTTTCCTGCTCCCTTCCTTGGATGATAGCCCTCTGACTGGGAGCATGGTAAAGGGGAGTACTGTATTCCTGGTTGTACCAATCTGAAGTGGAGTTTCCAGCTCACTTAGTTTGGAAGTGGAAGGGCATAGGTTTTGGTTCATATACTACAGACTCTTACAGTTCTTACCAAGTTTTAGTAGGTTTTCTTGAGTAAACATTTCTTCATTTGCCATATGCTCATATGGCCATTTCCAGAGGATTAAATGGTTATTTTAAAACAGTTTTCACCAATTTCTTAATAGCTGAGGAGCGGGTCCATGGAGCTTTTTGTGTTGTCATGTCAGAAGTTGAACTCCTCCAGTGATTTCATTTCCAAGCATAGATTATTGTTTTTTCCATAACCAGATTCTGGCTGTATTGATTTCCATAGTCGTCTATCTTAATGTTGTCCTCTAATCAGCAGGAGTGAAAAAACACTAAATCAAAGTCTTCTATACATTGATTAGGACTATCTACAAGTTTAAAAAAAATAAAAAAGAAAGGTTAAACTGTGTTTTAAAGCATATTTCAAAGCTATGAACAATTCTAAAATTTTTAATGGAAAATTTGCTGTCTCATCCACAGGTCAGTGCAACCTATGGTCACATATTGCCCTGAGTTAACTGAACCAAACTGAGTTGAATTTTGTTCTGGGCATTTGCCAGTCACAGTGCAGCAGGTGAGCAGGAAGCCTGCTTTTACTGCCTGAGGACTAAGTCTTGGTGATTTCAGAGTTTCTAACATGGCCATCAAGAGTTCAGTTTCCCAGGAACTATTTTGTGGGTAATTGCTTTAGTTGTCATAGAACAAGGTTTTGGCATATGTGGATGCTCCCACATAGGCAGAATACCTGTCATTTGGCAGCAATAAACCTCTTCGCAAATGAAGGACAAGTGTGTTCATGCCAGCTTTTAATTCTCTGTGTTAATTTAGTTCAGGGGAAACGGTTGCAAAACTGCAATCCACATATGAACCCCTAAACTAAATTTAGTTAATAGACCCCCTGGCTCCTCAACTAAATTTTATTTTAGTCCACAAACTTGAGTGGATAAGAGACAGTACATTGCACTCTTTATTTTTCTAAAATCAAATCAAATCTGACTCTAGTCTCCATCCTGCCTGGGCTGTGAGAAATACTACCTCAGATACAGACAGGTCCTTATCTCTTCCTTCCCTGGGCTGTGTTGGAGACTGGTTTTTAGATCACATGATTACTACTGCCTTTTTTTTTTTTGAAGTCTAGGCTGCTTCCAGCTCAAGCAGCCACTGGAAATTTTTCTTGGGGCTTCTAATGCCATGGTGCAGGTCTCTAGGTGGTTCTCCAGTCTTTCCCTACTGAGGTCCTCTCCAAGTGAGGGGTCAGGGTTCCATACCAGACTCAGAGATGCCCTCTCCTCTGATTTAGCTGCTTCTACTCTTGAATTCCCCAATGCCAAAGGGGATAATCCCTTTCCCCTCCTTTCTAGGATCTAATTTAATCACCCCAATAAGCTCAAGGATTTGAAAACCAAATCCAAAAAGTGTGTGTGCCTCCTGCTTTCTGCTGTGTAACAACGTCTTCCCCTCTTGCTTGCACAATCTTTCCATACCCCACACAAAGGAATACAAAGGCATTTGTCCTCTCTTTGGGGAAAGGAAAAATACAGCAAAAGCAAAGACAAATCAGCTCATCAATAAATA
The DNA here is from genome assembly GCF_000001405.40 of Homo sapiens. NCBI lineage: Eukaryota > Metazoa > Chordata > Mammalia > Primates > Hominidae > Homo > Homo sapiens. The sequence continues at coordinate 42,035,248 of NC_000023.11, forward strand.
ATTTTTTCATGGTTACTAATAGCCTGTAGGGACCACTTTCTCCTTATTCCTTATCTACTCTTTAGTGGAGTGTCTTAGCAAGATGGTTAAAGAAAGAGAGAAAAAAGTAAAGAAGAAGTTTAGGGGACTAAATTAATTTAGCATGCTCGATGAGTAGGCTCCTATGTTATTAATTGATATTAAACTACATGTGTAGCAACGCTAGGCGTGAACAGTATTTGGTAACACTTCAAATACTCTTTCTTCCCTCTCCTTATACCTGTGGTGGCCACACTGACCCCTATGCTCTCTCAAGGGTTTGGTTTTTGCCTTAAAATACCTGGTATGCTTTAAGGGTGATTACCCATAGGCCCTATAACTCTTCAAAAATCATCCCCACCAGCAGACTGATTCCTGCAATTCCATCATCAGAGCTACACCTTTCTTAAAAGTGCAAATGAGAGGGTTATATTAGTTTCCTGTGGCTGCTGTAACAAAGACCACAAATTTGGTGTCTTTAGAAAACAAATGTATTCTCTCATAGTCCTGGAGGCTAGAAGTCTGAAATCATCTTGTCTGCAGCACCACGCTCCAGCTCTGAAGGCTCTGGAAGAGACTGTCCCACATCTTTCTTCTAGCTTCTGGTGGTTGCCTGCGATTCTTGGTATCCCTTGGCTTATAGCTGCATCACTTCAATCTTTGTATCTGTGGTCACATGGCCTTCTTCCCTGCCTGCCTCTCCGTCTCTCCAAATCTCTTTCTTCTTATAAGGACAGCTATCGTTGAATTGAGGGCCTACCCTAATCCTATATGACCTCGTCTTAACTTGATTACATCTTCAGTGACCTTATATCCAAATAACATCACATTCACATGTACCAGGGATTAGGATTTAGACATATCTTTTGGGGGATGCAGTGGAACCTACAATAAACGTTAACACTAATTATTGTCAGTTACTTGCAGTTTAGTGGGAGCAGTTTTAGCAGACTTTATTTGAGAAGGAATTCAGAATCAGAGACAGGATAGTGGAGGATGGGGCAGATAGAAAAGAGTAGAAATGAGCTGTTAACTGCACATTAATGTTGAGGGTGGGTCTGCTGTGGCCCTGTGACTCTCTGCCAATTTGACCATAAGAAAAAAGAGGAGGCTGAGAAGACACAGTAGCTACAGCTGGACAGAAAAATAGGAATTAAAGGACTTTGGTGATATTTCAGATGAGTCCAGAAGGAAAGAAATCTTGGTACAATGATCCATGATTTGAATAAAACACATCTCTCTAATTTAAATAGATTTGGGAAGTGATTGAAATTTCACATTCGTAAGTTTTTAAATTTTGCTTCATCATTGGTTGTTTCATAGTTGAGCTCCTAAAAGTTTAGCTTTTTGTTTCCTTTAATAGGATATGAGTTATAATTCTAAAGAACTATAGAGTCTTTATTCCTTCTTGATTGTATCATCTTAATTATTTAACGTTTAGAGAAACTATCAAAACAAAGTGTCAAAGACAAAACTAAGTCTGTGGCAAAATTAACCAAGGCTGTTTATTCATCAGCTTGCAGCAAGGGAACCCTTGTTCAGGTCATTTCCATTTCCGCACAGGTTCAAAGGTGTTAGAGAGGAGAGTCAGTTTTATAGCTAGTGAAGAAATGCTGAGACAGTCTGATTGGCAAGCATTCTATCAAGGTGAGACTTTTTGGAAGGGAGGGAGACTTTCTAATGGCCCCTAGGTACATTTAGCAGTCATAGGTTGGCTGCAAGGGCAAGTGAGCTGTTTGGGAATATTTCATAAGAGGAAGGATTGCTTAGTGTTGGGATGAAGGGTTTTCTTTTCTTTTCTTTTTTTTTTTTTTTGAGACGGAGCTCGCTCTGTCGCCCAGGCTGGAGTGCAGTGGTGCGATCTCGGCTCACTGCAAGCTCCGCCTCCCAGGTTCACGCCATTCTCCTGCCTCAGCCTCCCATGTAGCTGGGACCACAGGCGCCCGCCACCACGCCTGGCTAATTTTTTGTATTTTTAGTAGAGACGGGGTTTCACCGTGTTAGCCAGGATGGTCTCGATCTCCTGACCTCATTATCTGCCCGCCTCGCCTCCCAAAGTGCTGGGATTACAGGCATGAGCCACCGTGCCTGGCCAGGATGAAGGGTTTTCTATGGCTGGCCATATCCTGGAAGGAGAGGGGCTCATGGTGTGCTTTTTTTTTTTGAAGTCAAATTGTCACTGTGGTCTTTACCGGGGAGGGGGAAGCTACCATGGCAGACAATTTCCCAGAAGCAGTGAGAGCTATAGCTAATACATCTCATTGTAATGGGATGGAAAGGATAAAAAAGAAGACTACAGGCCGGGCATGGTGGCTCAAGCCTGTAATCCCAGCACTTTGGAAGGCCGAGGCGGGGGGGATCACGAGGTCAGGAGATCGAGACCGTCCTGGCTAACACGGTGAAAACCTGTCTCTATTAAAAATACAAAAAAATTAGCCTGGCATGGTGGTGGGCGCCTGTAGACCCAGCTACTCGGGAGGCTGAGGCAGAAGAATGGTGTGAACCCGGGATGCGGAGCTCGCAGTGAGCCGAGATCGCACCACTGCACTCCAGCCTGGGCGACAGAGCAAGACTCTGTCTCAAAAAAAAAAAAAAAAAAAAGAAGACTACCAAATGGCAGTTTGTAACAAAGCTAAATTTATTTGCTTGCCTGACAACACAAATACTGGATCAGCAGACTCTCTTAGCAGACATAAAGGTCTAGGTATGGAGTGAAAAGGGAGAAAGTACATCAAATGATGAGACATTCTGAATTCAGGTCTCCGGCTGGCTCATAAAACAGATTGTAAATTCTTCTATGCCAGTGGCTAGTTTCAAGTGTTTCATCACTGAATGCCCGGAAGCTGAGTTTCAAACAAGTTCAAGATGGGATGTGTTAAATTCCAGTGCCTAGGTTAATTCAGCAGAATGCTCATATGCACATGCAAGCAGCTCTGGCAAGCTTTTTCTTCAACAGGGAAAACAATATAGCAATATTAAAAAAAAATTACAGGCAAGAAAGCATCCACCCTCTTACAACCTTACTCACTATACAATGTTTTATTTTGGGATATTGCTTTTGTGTTCAATACACACATTTATTTTTTATTTTTATTTTATTTATTTATTTATTTTTTTTTTTGAGATGGACTTTTGCTCTGTCACCCAGACTGGAGTATAATGGTGAGATCTCGGCTCAATGCAACTTCTACCTCCCGGGTTCAAGCGATTCTCCTGCCTCAGTCTCCTGAGTAGCTGGGATTACAGGCATGCACCACCAAGCCTGGCTAATTATTTTATATTTTTAGTAGAGAGAGACAGGTTTTCACCATGTTGGCTAGGCTGGCCTTGAACTCCTGACCTCAAGTGATCTGCCTGCCTTGGCCTCCCAAAGTGCTGAGATTACAGGCATGAGCCACCGCGCCCGGCCAGTAAACACATATTTAATAGTTATAAACACACCACGTGTACTGTTTTGTATTTCCAACTTGCTTTATGACTTGAAAATAATCCTAAAATATTTTTCAATGTTATTACATGGTCTTTATTATTAGGATTTAATGACTAAATAGTATTCTTTCAAGTCAATATGGCATCAACTATTTATTCATGTTTCCTATTTTTGAACATTTGGTGAGTCCAATGACCTCTGTGTAATATGCGTGCGTGTGTGTGTGTGTAGGATAGCAGTGAACATCTTTGCTGATTCAAGAATTTATTTTTTCTCTTAAATTATTTTCTTAAGATCAATTCCCCCAAAGTGAGTATTCTATGTCAAAGTGAAGGAACTCTTGCTGACTCTTAATATGAGGGGCCAAATTTCTTTCCCATTTCCAGGGGTATTTCCCTCACTCTCACCCTAGAGCAGTAGAAGTATACCAGTTTTATCCCTGTGTTGCCAGCACACAATGTTCTTGCCATTAAAAAATGTTGCTAATTTGATGTAAGCATAAAATAACAGCTCAAGGTTACTTTAAAATGTACTTCTTTACTTGGAAGGATAAACATTTCCTCATATCTTTATTTTCTAATGTTAATTAGTTCTTTATGTCTTTTGCTCATTTGATGTATTTGATTTTGAACCAAAATAACACACTGCACACCCTTCCACCTATCCCAATGAAGGCTTAATGTAAAATAATGCTCTTTTGTTTTTCACCTTCTGCATGGGGTGGCTGCTCACAGCAAAAGCAGTCTTTATTTTTAAAAATTTCCTCTTGAAGTTCAGCCCCTGCAATATAAATAAGAGTTCTTGTCCTTGATGAAAAAACAGATTTCTGCTAGCAAAAGAGCCTCTCAAGAATAATGCAAATGTCTTTAGCTTCTGATTTTTTCTCAACCAAATTAAATGGTATATTTTAATGTCTATGATCTATTTAGTCACGTTGTGTGCCTTCTAGCCATGTGCTATACAAAGGTGTTCCTCCTGAATTTTTTTTAAACTTTGATTTTAGGTTTGCAGGGACATGTGAAGGTTTGTTACATAGGTAAACTCATGTCATGGGGGTTCGTTGTATAGATTATTTCAACAATCAGATATTAAGCCCAGTACCCAGTAGTTATCTTTCCTGCTTCTCTCCCTCCTCCCACCCTCCCTTGTCAAGTAGACCCCAGTGTCTATTGTTTCCTTCTTTGTGTTCCTAAGTTCTTATCATTTAGCTCCCACTTATAACTGAGAACGTGTGGTATTTAGTTTTCTGTTCCTCTGTTAGTCTGCTAAGGATAATGACCTCCAGCTATATCCATATCCCTGCAAAAGACGTGATCTCCTTCTTTTTTATGGCTGCATTGTATTACATGATGTACATGTACCACATTTTCTTTATCCAATCTGTCACTGATTGGCATTTAGGCTGATTCCATGTCTTTGCTATTGTGAATAGTGCTGCAGTGGACATCGAATTGTCCACTGAATTGTCCATTGAACAGTGCTGCAGTGGACATTGAATTGTTTTGATTTGCCACCAATTGTAGCCAATTAATCTCTTTGGATACTCATCACCCTTTGTGCCCCTAGCACCCCTTCCCTACCCTGATGTTGGAACCACCAACCTACTTTCTGCATTGGAAGGGATATATCAGAGATTCATCACAAACACTTTTCCCAGATATTTTCACTTTTTCACAGACTCTGTTTTAGTAGAGATTGATTATTTGGTATTTATACTGTAAATGGAATGAATGTGTGCAGAGCCTTGTACATTCAGTCCCTATTTTGTGATTTCATATAAATTATACTTTCATTCATAACGCTACCCCAAAGTCAATATAAAATTTTACCACCCAGCAAACTTTTTCTGTAAAGGGCCAGGTAGTCAATATTTTAGGCTCTGTCAGCTACATAAGGTCTCTGTTGCTTTCACTGCTTCTGCCTCTTCTTCTTTCTCCTCCTCCTCCTTCTTCTTCTTTTTCAACCCTTTAAAAATGTAAAAACCATTCTTAGGTCTAGGCCTTACAAAAAATCAGGCTGTGGTTGGATTTGGATTTGGCACATGACCTGTAGTTGGCCATTGCTGATCTAGAAGAATTCAGAAAAAAAAATTAAAATTTAAATGTTTTCTTTGTGAGTTAAGTAATGCATGACTAGCATTAGTTAGCTGGTTGTTTATTTTTTCTTTTTAAACAATAGCAAAAAGCATATTCATGGCAGTGAGGATGGGCCCCATTTGAATGGCTAATATTCATCTCGACACAGCTATTTTTGAGTAGTTGGTGATATTCTCTTACAAAAAGGAAAGAAAAGAAAACAAAGCTGCCAGACAGTACTTGAAGCTTGGGTTTATTTTCTCCACCACTGCAAGAAGGTCTTGCAATGAGAACCAAAAAAATTATATTTTCTGATGGCGCATTGGGAAAACTAGTGGTGATTGTAAAAATGTATTTAGAGTTTAATTAAAACACAGTCACTGCAGAGGCTTCATAATAATGTATTGTTTTTCTGCTTAGATTTGTATCATCAGTGTGCTAGCTACTTGTGCTTTACATTGACCAAGAGGACATACTGCACAAGTATGTGGATGAAGATTACTGGACTTTTACCTTAGAAAATATTTCTCCGTAGGCCACATAATGAAGTATCTCCATTAATTTTTCTTTTCTAATACTATATTTGAATTTTTTAAAGTAATTTCTTACTTATTAAGTAACTCCACTCTGACATAACACAAGCAGAATATGAAAGTTGGCAACCCCACTGATACGGTTTGGCTATGTCCCCACCCAAATCTCATCTTGAATTGTAGCTCCCATAATTCCCATGTGCTGTGGGTGGGACCCAGTGGGAGATAATCAAATGATAATTAATTCCCCCATACTATTCTTGTGGTCTCGTGGTAGTGAATAAGTCTCATGAGATCTGATGGTTTTATAAGGGGTTTCCCTTTACACTTGGTTCTCATTCTCTCTTGTCTGCCACCATATAAGATGTGCCTTTTGCCTTCCGCCATGATTGTGAGGCCTCCCCAGCCATGTGGAACTGTGAGCCCATTGAACCTCTTTTCCTTTGTAAATTACCCAGTCTCAGGTATGCCTTTATCAGCAGCATAAAAAAGGACTAATACACCCACCCCCTTTCAAAAAACAGAGGCAAAAACACAAAAACACTTCCCTATGTGGTCTGTGTCTGTTCATGCTGCAGTAACTGAATTCCAAGGACAGGGTGGTTTAAACAATAGAAATTAATTTTTTCACAGTTCTAGAGGCTGGAAGTTCAAGATCAAGATGCCCTCAGGGCCAGTTTCTGATGAGGTCTCCCCTCCTGGCTTGTAGATGGCCATACCTTTTCCCTGTGTCCTCACATGGCCATTCCTCTATACACACATGGAGAGAGGGAGAGCTCTCCAGTGTCTCTTCCTCTTATGAGAACACTGGTTTTACCAGATTAGGGTCCCACCCTTATGACCTCACTTACCCTTTATTCTTTCTTTATAGGCCCTGTCTCCAGATACAGTCACATTGGGGGTTAGGACTTCAACAGAAATTTAGGAAGACACAACTTGGCCCATAACACAGTCAAGACAGATATTTCAAAATTATAACATTCCTTGCTCTCTCACCCAGAATCTGCTTACCTTTCAATTCTAAATTTTTGTGTGTGTGTTTTGAGACGGAGGCTCGTTCTGTCACCCAGGATGGAGTGCAGTGGCACGAACTTGGCTCTCTGCAACCTCTGCCTCCCGGGTCCAAGCGATTCTCCTGCCTCGGCCTCCCAAAGTACTGGGATTACAGGCATGAGTCACTCCACCCAGCCTAAAATTTTTTTATTCCATTTCTAAGGCAACATAAAGTTTGTAATAGCAAATGAAAGTGAAAAAGGAGAGGAACTGCTGTGGGGAGACATACCGATTGACCCCAGGCAGGAAGGGACATTGGACAAGAGGTTGCCAGCCATCAGGAGACAAAAAAAAAAAAGGAAAAGAAGATTCAAACATTAGTTTAGCACTGTAGTCTAGGGCCACGGATTGCAGAGGTAAATGGCCCTATGGATTTTGAAAGAACCGTAAGGTATCACTCATTGGAGCTGCCCAGTAATGAATGTGCATAATGACTACGACAAGAAGAAAAGGTGCCTTGTTCAGGAAGGAGGAATGAATGTAACACATTTTAGACAGGATAGTTTAGGACAAGCAAGTGTGATTGCTTATAACAATCAACCCTTAAGTCCCCTGGAGAGGGCCTGGCCCATCTCTAGGGTCTTTTCTTCCTGGGAAGCAGAGTTTAGAGCCCAACCTACTAGATTTCAGAGCCCAGAGTTGAGAACTGTCCCTGCTCTTCTTGTCTTTTCCCCTCATCTCTCCTTAGAGGAATCTTGCTCCAATCTGTGTTCTGAAATCTTTCTTCCTTCATTTTTTTCCTCAAACTTTTGTTCTGCAGTTCAGAGGCTCTCTCTTCTCCTAGGTCCTAGGGGATTAGGCTTTTGTAAACTGAAGCTGGGAAATGTGTAGACTATTTCAGCTTTCAGCCCAGTTCCTCTCCCCACCCTTCCTCCAGGCAAGGAACTTAAAGCTGACTCTAGGCTTGAATGGGAAGGGAGGCTGACCAACCCTGGAAAACAAAGAACACAAACATTGTCTCCCAGACACTTCACAACAACCTTTTGAGGTAGACACTGCCACCATCCTCATTTTTCAGAATAGGAAACTGAGACTTAGAGGGGTTAAGTTGCCCAAGGTGAAACAATTACTTAAGTGATGAGGTGTTAGAGAGAGGCAGGATTCAAACTCAGTTGTGTCTGCTTCTATGCCTATAGCCCCTCTGTGCATCCTCAGAAGGTAGAAAGAAAGCAGTTTCCTAATTGATGTTATGAACTTTGAAGGAATTAACTCTACATTAATTACTTAACAAGTAGGAACGTCTGCAATCCTACTTTATGAGATCTCATATTTTCCAGCAGCAAACCTGGGGCAGGAAAATGATTTTCCTGAGAAATGGGGCTCAGCAACCAGAGCCAATCACAGGAAAACCAATGTCAAAACAGGCAGACCATGTGGCCCAAGTTGTTGGGCCTTGTTGGGACATTAAATAGCACGGTAGATACACCAAGGATATGTCCTAATTGTATGAGTCCAAGGGCAGTATTTATTTGCTAAAGAAAGCAATGAGCAGCCTGCATAATTAGAAATTAACTACCATACTTGAAATTATGCAAACAGCGTAACAGGCAGAAAGCTAAACAAAAATGTAAAAAACTCTTGTCGGCAATATTTGCACTTAACTTGAGTCTTCAAGGTTGACTTCTGCACAGAGTGCTTTTTTTTTCTTCCTGTGTTAGTGGCATTCTTCATGTGGAAGCTGTTGGTCTCGATCCCAGATTCAAAAGCTGGAAGCTTCACCTTGCTGAAAAGTTTAGGCTGGCATCATTCAGCAGGCTGAAGCTTCATTAATGGCAACATCTCTCAGCCATATGTCAATAAATCAATGCTCTAACAGGAAACAAATGCAGAAGGCATATCATCAGCTTCCTGTCTCCTCCTTAGGAAAGCTGAGTTCGTCATAATGAAGGGCAATTTCACCCCTTTCTCTTCACCTTTGTATAAGTCCTGCTTCCCTTGAGTTTCCAAGGCAACTGCAAGCTCAGTTGGAAGCAACAAGTAACTTAGATGGCAAGTTCCCAATGGAATTGGAAGTGACCACCACAGACAAGGACAGCATGAAACAGAAAACAAGCTGCCACGCAGCTGGTCGGTAGATTCGGAGGCCACCCTTTCTTAGAGTCTGGATTTCAGAATGCTTCGTAGGATGAAGTAATCATATAAACAACCAGCTGTGGAAACTAAATAAGCCTTTTCATAGTTTCCATTTTTGCAGCTGGGAAAAAACTGTAAAATAAAGGTGAATTTTGTCTGACAGCCTAATGTTAATCAGAACAGGGCCTTCAAGGATTGAAATCCATTATACTTTAGGGAAGGGTTGATTATCCCTCCCACTTATCCGTTTAACAAACCAAATTGACTTGTTCTTAAGCATGGAAAGAATGCATAGCACCTCGGGATGGATTATTGAAATCTTAATCCTGTGGTCCCATCCATTGAGGCCCCATAGCAAGCACTATTGAAATTATTTTTTCATCCAATCAGCAACTGGTAAATAGTTTGCAGTCATAGACTTGGCTAATATGTTTTGTTCAGTGACCATTTCAATAGGCTCTCAGCCACGATTTGCCTTCACCTCTGAGGGGACACAATTCACCTTTACCAGGCTACTCATGGGGCATCTCAGCAGTCCTGCTGTCCCACACAATTTCACAGGTAAAATCTTAGCCACATCTATCTTTCTCAAGGAACACAGGTATGACATCAAACTGATGACATCCTCCTCTGACGGGATTCACTTGACATACTTATTTAGGCCGTACAAACACAAAGGAACTCTCGAAAAGGGGATGGACCATTGCCTCACACATAGTACTAGGCCCTGCTATCTCAGTTAAATTCCTGTCGTTGTCGGGAAACAAACATTGACTCTCTTAGTGCCCACAACGTTAAAGAAAGCCCAACATCTTTTAGTCATTTTTGGGTTCTGGAGGTAATGCATTCCTCATGTACAAATTTTATTAAGCCCATTTTTGTTACTTACAAATTGGCTTACCTTGAGTAGAGTCACCAACAACAAAAGCCTCCAGAATCTGTCCAAATTTCAATAAAACAGGCACTCCTGTTCGTGCCCTACCCTACCCTGAGACTCCTTTACTGTAGAGGCCTTAGCAATCTCCTCTTGGGCCTCCTGGAGTCTCTGGACCACCCATGATGGTCATAAATTGCCAACGCCTTCTGGTGCAAGAAACTGCCCTCCTTTCCCCCATCATGTATACACCATTAGAGGGAAAAGTGCTGGCCACATACTGGGTGCTTCTGAAGATGAAGGCTCACATAGACCTTGAGCCTATGACCTTCCACACCCAGCTGCCTATTATGTCATGAGAGCAGCACCCTGCAAGCTTGTCATGGACACTGAGGACTCCTTGCTATCCAATGGAGTCAAACCTGGGTCTTCTGGTGTATCCCACTTGCAGAAGGTGGTAGATAGCTTCCTCTGTCCTTGGTTTCTTGCTAGATGCCATGGAGCTGGAGGTCACCCCTTTCCAAGTCCCCATTGTTTATCTGGGAAACCCCTTGGGATCAACTGAGTGAGCGACAATGGGACTTTATACATTTTATGTATGGTATCACCACCATTACATACAATGAATCTTGTGGGAGAGCTGCTGTTTTCATCCCTTAGCCAGATCTTACCTGATCAAGGATGATACCTCAGCACAATTGGCTGAACTTCAGGCAGTCATTTTAATAATGAATTCCCTGGCCAATAGTTAGCCCCATTTGCACATTTATACACTCATGGGCCATTGCCAATGATCTGGCTGTCTGGCTTGGGCAATGGCAGCAGCAACAATTCCTTGTCCAAGCTTGCCCTCTTCAAGGTAAGGAGCTCTGGGAAGCTCCTGCCTCGTAGAGCCTCAAAGTATAAATGAATATCACATGTGTCTACACATCCTAAAGTCACAATACAAGACTTCATGGACACACTCATTATCCCTTTCAGAGTTCCAGACATTATGGAGAGGGACCAAGGCACTCACTTTTTCTTTCATCTTCACTCAAAGTCATTTTTTGACCTTGTTGGGAGCCTGCCCAGAAAGCCTCATTATGTGAAGTAATAAACCCTTTTGTATGTTCTTGGTGTATGTGTGGCATCATCAATCTCAATATCCAAACCAAATTTTGAGTGGTGGTCCATTCTGTTTCTGCCAAATAACTACGACATGTACAATGGCCCCAGTATAATAGAAGTTTATTTCTTGCTCATTAATATTCCAATTGGATATTTCTCATTAATTTCATTAATGGTTGGTTTTCCTCTGCATGACGATTCAGGGACCCAGGATCCTTCCACCTTATAGTTCAACTATACCCTAGGACCTTATATTCATTATCTGCATATAGCCATGTAAAGGGAACGAGTATGGTGAAGGTACACCTGTTTCTTAAAAGTCTTGGCTTGGAATGATGTACTTCATTTTTTGTTCTCATTCCATTGGTAATGACTAGTTATATGGCCACACCTAAATAATAGGGGATGCTGGGAAATGTAGCTCTGTGTGTCTTAGCAACGTCTATTTTATTGAAGGGGCAAGAACTTTAGTGGACAAGTAATTATTTTTGCCGCAGGGACATAGCCATATCTACAGATGTTTGAGAATCTGAATGGAATATGGCCCTACCCTGACATAGGAGAGAATATACATATGAAAGCCTACTCTCTAGACTGTGGAACAACCATTTTTAGAGTGGAGTTGCTTGCTGGGAACAGGTGTTTCAGTAGCTTAATTTTTGCTTTCCCTCAATCCGTCCCTTCTTGCTGCTGCTTCTTGTCTTCTTTTCCCTTCTCCTTCCACATTCATGAATAAAGGCCAAAATGGCGGGGGATAATGGAGTCGGGAAAGAGAAGCATGGATAAATCTTGCTTGGCCATATTAACAAGGGTGGGTACAAAGAGGAGGACCAATCCATCCTCCCATCTCTCTATTGCAAGAGCTCAGCCAAATTCCGGTGAGGCCTGTATATGAAAGCTTTTGTTGCTGTTCACGTGGTCTTGAGCTCCTCAGCTACTTTAATTTCAAGCAATTAATTTTGGAGACAATCAATTTGGGGACAAATATGCTGGCTACTGAGAAAAGAGTCCAAAGAAATATGTATTTTTATTTGGCTCCCCATATCAACTCACTGTTTGCACAGTGCCCCCGACTGCTTCCATTTCTCTATTTTATTTCCTGAGAGCTTAAGGAAAAAAAGCACTATGATGGCCTGAGAGCTTTGATGACGCCACCTAGATTATCCTTATGTTAGAGCGTTTTTTGGTTAGTGATCAAGTAATCACTTCCACTGTGTTCACGCTTATGTACTGCATTTTAACACTGCACCATAAATCAAAATATCAATAACGAGCTAATAAAATAATATCGAGCTGGGGTTGAATGAGGGGAATCAGTGAGCCACAGGACTTTCATGCTCTTCTTCGGCATATAGATTTAACATCGCATCAGATTTAAATCCATACAGTAACTAAGCCCACCATGTGCTGTTTTCATTTAAAAAAAAATCCTCCTCAGACACATCTTGCCAGGTCTATCTCTTTTTCACTTTAATACCCTTTAAATGATTGAAAATCAGATTTTCCCACTGACTGTGCCTTTTGTCCCGAATGATAAATGATGATTTCTGTCTCCTCCTTTCTCCGTCTGGTTCTGAGCGTTGTTCAAAATAAGCCGGCTCTTTGCACTGAGTTTTTGCTGCTGTCAGGGGATTTATGTAGGATGTGAGCTGAGCTATGGCAACTGCAATGATTGGATAACGGTTCCTTCAGAGCTGCAAGCAGAGCACAAACCATGGTGGGTCTTTTTTTGGTTCTTCCCCAAATAGCTGCAGTTCTTGTTTGGGGATTTAAAATGTTCATGTATTTCCAAGCCAAAGAAGGAATGAAAAAAAGAAAACTCTTGGCAATTTAGGATTTGGCAAATGACCCTTACTTCATTACAGTGGAGGCTGACTTTGGGCAAAACATTTAGCTTTTCTGAGCCTCAATTTATTTATCTGTAAAATGAGGAGATTGGTGCCGCATGAATTTTAAGATCCCGTCCATGTATGAAATTCCATGTTCTATATTTGATGCCTTAAATTGCTTGACTGAAATTGTCTTTAATAGCTCTTTTCCTTCTCTTTAAGTAGGGAATTCAAGAGAGGGATGGTATTCTTTTGCACTCTGTGTTCAAAAAGTGAATAAATAGCATTCCCCCATACTTAAAATGTCCAATACTGAACTCATTATGTTTTTCTCCACAAATCCCCTCTTCTCTAGCATTCCCCGCCTTGGGTAACAGCACCACATCCACCCAGTTTCCTGATCTAGAAACTTCCAAGTCATCCTCCCTGTCAGCTCCTTCCTGCATCTCCTAACCATGCCTTGAACAGCAATCAGCCATTCATTGCATTTGTGAAATGTGTTCCTTGGAGGCTAGGCCTACCTTGCTGCTAGGCTGGTCACAGAAGGTAGAAATTCTTAGTGGAAAAATGCCTGCATCTAATCAGGCAGCCTGGGCTCCAATCCTAGCTCTGCCCCTTGCTTTTAGCTCCATGACTTGTCCCAGGATGGTCTGGGAAAGCTTGGCTCCTAGAAAGTAGGACAGGCTGAGCCCCATGTATGAGTGTGGCACTACGATTACTAGCCTTATGACATTTCCGCATTATAGTTTCTTTTCTGAAAAATGCTTATAATGATAGTACCCAGCTCTCTGGGATTTAATGTATGTGAAGTGCTTAGCCCAGTGCCTTGATGTATAGTAAGTGCTTAATAAATGTTAGTAGTTATCATTACTATTATTACAGTAGAATGCTCATTATCAGCCTTAGCTGCCATGTGTGGTAAGGCCTAGAATAAAACATTGCTGCCCAAAACCTTCTGTTGGTTGGGTTAGGCATTCACTCTGGGTGTCTTTGTGACCATGAATCTGTAGCTTATCCCGCCACCTTTCACTGCTTGCGATGGTGAATTAATAGGCTCTGATTCTTCTATCTTATTTATTTATTTTTTGAGATATGGTCTCACTCTGTCGCCCAGGCTGGAGTGCAGTGGTGTGATCAGAACTCACAGTGGCCTTGACTTCCCGGGCTCTGGTGATCCTCCCACCTCAGCCTCTCGAGTAGCTGGGACTACAGATGTGCCCACAAAACCCAGGTAATTTTTTATATTTTTTGTAGAGATGGGGTCTTACTATGTTGCTCAGGCTGGTCTCAAACTCCTGGGCTCAAGTGATCCTCCCGCCTCGGGCTCCCAAAGTGTTGGGATTATAGGCGTGCGCCAACACACCTGGCCTGATTCTTCTACTTTTAAAACTCCTGTCATGTTGCTAGGTGGGTGGATGGTCAGTAGAGAGTGGATGAACTGCTTTGACCTGGTGCCACCTTCCACCCGACTCTGAGAATCACCCACCATGCCCTGCACACAGGACCTGTGCCCCTGAATTTTTTTTTTCTTGAGACAGGGTCTTGCATGATCTCAGCTCACTGCAGCCTTGACCTGCTAGGCTCAAGCGATCCTCCCACCTCAGTCTTCTGGGTAGCTGGGACTACAGGTGTGTGCCATGATGCCCAGCTAATTTTTGTATTTTTTGTAGAGACGGGGCTGACCAGGCTGGTCTCAAATGCCTGGGCTCAAGCACTGCTGCCTCGGCCTCCCCAAGTGCTGGGACTACAGGTGTGAGCCACTGCGCCCTGCCCTCTTGAGACGTTAATGACAGTCTCCCCTACCTCTGACACAGCCATAGTGCTGCTAGCTGGGCCTTGTCCATCGAAGGTCCATTTTTCCTCAGACCCTCTTCTGCCTGTCCCCACCTTCCTCCTCTCCTCCCCTTCAACGTTGCTGAGATGGTGTTTTCCAAAGATAGCCAAACCAAAGCTCCCATCCCACAGGCTCTTCTACGATGGGACTTATCACTCCCCCATCAGAAGATGAAGTCTAATTTCACTCTTCTTGAACGTGGGCTGGCCTTAGTGACTCTTTCAATAATTAACATTAAGATTCTTATTAATTAATGCTATTGATGATTGTTTGGCTGGCTCTCTCATCACTCAGGAGTCTAGCCCATGCTTTTTTACATGGCTGCAGGAGCATTCCAAGAGAGCAAGAGTGGAAGTGGCAAGGCTCCTGAGGTCTAGGCTCTGAAACTCACAGAGCATCACTTCCACCACATTCTACTGGGGAAATTTACTTGTAGTTTTTATATTTATGAAGGTTAGTTATTAATAGAATGTGGTAGAAATGACTACTTGTGGGCTAGGTCAGAAAGGGCCATGTAGCTTCCACCTGGGTGTCTTGGAATCCTAGCTCTCGGGGCGCTCCTCCTCAGGGCACTTCCTCCCAGAGCCCAGTCCCCGTGTCATGAGAAATGTAAGCCATATGGAAAGGCCACGTGTGGGTACTCCAGTCAAAGTCTCAGCTCAGCCTGTCCTTCTGCCATCACAGACCAGACCCACCTGCTCTCATCTGAGGCCTTCGAGTTCTCATGGGCCCACCCTGTGAGCATAGCATGTCCTGTTCCTTTTCGTCCTCCATCCACGTGACTCTGCCTTCATTTGGGTCTTCATTGTCTTATGCCTGAATCTGCACCACCATCTCACACCCACTCTTCTTACTGCCAGTCTTTCACCTCCATATGAGTGAGGAAGTCATCTGGGAGAGGATCCTCCCACCCCAGCTATTTGAGTTGGTCTTAGCTGTTCAAGTCATTCTAGACATTGTGGAGGAGAGATGTCTCCACTGTACTCAGTCCAGATACCTAGCCCACAGAGTCCATGTGCATAATAAATTGGTGGTTCTTTTATGCCACTTCACCTGCTCTCATTTGAGGCCTTCAAGTTCGCATGTGCCCACCCTGTGAGCATAGCATGTTCTGTTCCTTTTCATCCACCATCCACGCATGTCACACCCACTCTTCTTGTTACCAGTCTTTCACCCTCCAATTCAGTGTCACACCCCTGCCAGGGTCATTTTTCTAGAAAACAAGCCCAGTCATATCAATTTCAAAGTGCTAGATATAGCCTTCCCATTCTCCACCGTCTCTAACTCGGCAAACAAGGTTCTTCACAATCTAGTTTCAACAAAACTCTGCGGCCTCATCTGCCTGCCACTTTCTTACTGGAATTCTATACTCCTGCCACCCAAACTTCCTACCATTCCCTAAAAACACATTGTGTTCTTTCACACTCTGCAATGTTGCGCTTGCTGTTTAGAATGACCTTTCCCCCAACTTTTTCTTTTCTCTTTTTTCTTTTTCGTCTTTCTTCCCTCTCTCCCTCCCCCTCTCTCTCCTTCCCTTCCACCTCCTCCCTCTCTCCCTCTTTCCTTCCTTCCTTTCTCAAATAATGCCTAATTCTTAGTTTTCTATTGTTGTGTAACAAACCACTGCAAAACTTACTGGCTGAAAATAACAGTAATTTATTATTTCTCATAAACTTGTGGGTTAACTGGGTGTTCGCATCTTGACTCACTCATGCAGCTGCAGTCAGCTGCCAGCGCAGCTGGCATTGGAAGGTCTAAGGTGGCCTCACTCACATATCCAGGCTGCCAATCCAGATTGAAGAGGTAGGGAAATATACTCTACATCTTAATGGGAGGAGCTGCAAAATCTTGTGGCCACATTGATCACAGCCCCATATATACTTTAAGGTCAAGTTCATCTGCAAGCATTCCCTATTCATTAATTATTTTTAAATTCAGCCATCCATTCTGTTATTTCACTTGAATTTGAAGATTTTTTTCTCTTATTTACTTATTTATTTTATTGATACATAATAGCTGTATCTATTTTGGGGGCACATGTAATAATTTGATACATTCAGACAATCAAATCAGGGTGATTAGGATATCCATTAGCTTCAACATTTATTTTTTTCTTTATGCTAGGAACATTGTAATTATTCTCTTCTAGCTATTCTGAAATTGGTTCATGTTAACTAGAATTGATTAATGTTAATTATAGCCACCTTACTGATCTATCGAACAACAGGTCTTATTTCTTCTATCTAAGTATGTATTTGTATCCATTAATCAACCTTTCTTCAACCTCTCCTCCCCCTACCCTTCTTGGCCTCTGGTAATCACCAGTCTACTCTCTATCTTCATGACATCCACTTTTAGCTCTCACACATGAGTGAGAACAGGCATTATTTGTCTCAGCCATCCGTTCTTCCATTTACTTAGAAAATACATCTAGCATCTTCTATAAGCCAGGTACTGAGCAGTGAAAACCCAGAAGCAAACTCCTTATTGTCCCACCACCTTTTGTCCATACTTCTTTATAATATGTGTCTCATTATGTTGTAATTGTTTACACGTTTTATGCTTTTAGTAGTCTGTGAGGTCCTGTAGGGGAGAAATGATGTCTCCTCTCATTTTGGTAGGAGTAACAAAGTATTTTTTAAAGCTAACAATAATTATTTTGTTTGTTTCCTATTGTTCCTGAAGGGGTAGCTGATTAGTCTGTGGAAGATCCTACACTGCTGTTTTGCTTAAGGGGAAAACACTCTGATGAACTTTTTGTCTATGGAAAGCCTGAGCACACACAGTTCATAGAGAAGTTAAGGGCAAAACAAAAGTGCAAACCTGAACATGCTTCCTGAAGGACTTCTCTATTAGTGCTTGCCGTGTTAGGAAGGAAATGAAAACCCCCGAGTGAAACCTTCGGGGAAGACTAAGCGGGTTTCTCCACAGGAGAACAGTGATCAAGGCTCTTTATTCTTTGGATGTCATAATCACATTTCCTGCAGTGAAATGTTGTTAAATAAGATGATCCAACAATTGGACTTCATAGGGATTGTTTCTTTCATATCCTGGGAAAATATGGAAGGATGTTTTTATTAGTTCCATAGTTTATACAACTGGGCAGGTACTTTGTTTGCATGGTTAAATGATTTCGTTTTGCGTTTGCCTTTTAGTTTGACTTCTCATTTTCAAGTTAGTTTTTTCCATCTATAAAAAAGTTTGTGGCCGGGCCCAGTGGCTCACGCCTGTAATCCCAGCACTTTGGGAGGCCGAGGCGGGCATATCACAAGGTCAGGAGACGCAGACCATCCTGGCCAACATGGTGAAACCCTGTCTCTACTAAAAGTACGAAAAAATTAGTCAGGCGTGGTGGCGGGCACCTATAGTCCCAGCTACTCTGGAGGCTGAGGCAGGAGAATGGCATGAACTTGGGAGGCGGAGGTTGCAGTGAGCCGAGATCACGCCACTGCACTCCAGCCTGGGTGACAGTGAGACTCTGTCTCAAAAAAAAAAAAAAAAAATTGTGACCCATTTTGCTTAATTCACAAATATATCTACATACAAATATATCTGTAAGCTTATTCACACATCCACACGCATTATAACCTAGATGAAATAGTTTAAAGATTTATAGTCTTTTTTTTTTCTTTTTAGCAGAACTGGGATTCTAGTGTGTAAAAGCTGATGTACATATATTTTCTCTTAATATTATCATGAGCTCTTTCCCATCTAATTAAATGTTCTTTGAGGAAAGAATTTCCAGTAATGCAGCACAATTTATTTAAACATTTTCCCACTGTTGAGTAGTTTTTAGCTACTGTAAATAACGTTTCAAAATATTTCCATGTACATAAATTTTTGTGTTTATCGCCATTTCCTTGGGATATGTTTCTTAATGGCAAATTATTGGGTCAAAGAGCATGATCGTGTATAAGCTTCTTGCTCTATATCTCCACATTGCCCTTTAGAAAGGTTGTAACACAATTTCATGGAAAATAAAGAACTTGAGAACTTTCATTTTTCTCTAATATAATTCCAGTTTAGGAAGAAAAGGAAGGTTGTAACAATGTACAATTTTTCATATAGTGTAGAGAGTCCATTTCTGTGCAGTTTATTCTCCTATATTGGTAATTTCATTAAAAATCACTTTGATAAACTGATAGTGAAAATGCTGTTGGTTTTAATATGCCCTTTTTTGCTGTATTGATATAGGTTCTTTTTAAATAAACTGTGGGCTTCATCTTCGGATCCTTACAATCAGAGAGGCACAGTATGTCTGTCTCCTTGGATTCTGAGAGTTCACATTCCCATTTTCTGAGCTAGAACTTGACTCTTTTTCATTGAAAGTGAAGGCCAGGCACAGATAGCTCCATAGCAACCTCTCTGAACTCCCCAAGAGGAATTTACTCACACAAAGCAAACAGTGTCCAATTCACTGAAGATTTTTCAGAGGAGACAGAAGAGAGAGAGCTGGTATTGCACACCTCACTGCAAATGACTTGAAATCTTTGGATGTTTTACTTACCTCCAAGTTCCTCCCTCTCCTTTCTCTGTTGCCCCATAGTCCAAGGTCTTCTTTCAGTTCTTCCTACATATGGCACTCAGTCTCACCAAGTTCTTCTCAGTCTTCAAATGTCCTTTACTATCTCAGCCAATTAGTGACCATAATTTGTGAATCAGCCATGCCATTTGAGGCTGTCATCCCCACCTCCAAGGGATTCACATTCCAAGGGATTTTTAATATTTTCCCATTGTGAGGAGTGATTCTGATGTAGCAGCTGTTAAAAGAACAATATTTTTGCACATTGTTTCAGAAACATTATGTAAAATTATCAATGAATTTAAAAACAATGTATTTCTTAGGCCAGATTCTCAGTTTTTTCTGTATATGGGAGTGTGTCCTTAGGATCAGAATTTTTCAGAGATAAGAGAAGCATGACTGGGTAGAGGGAGGAGTTAAGTTGAGATGCAGTGACAACTGAGGCCTCAGCTGACCCTGTGGGGAGCTCTGAAACTGGCGTGGTCCTTCAGAATTACCCCAAATTGAGACGGGGGGCCAGACTTTCATATCCCACACCCATGGACCAAACCTTGAATTTGACTGTCCTTGAGCGAGTGAGTGTAACTTTGGCAAGTTCCTGTTTACCAAGGGCAAATTCTTGGAAGGGACTCAGCTTCCAACCTTCAGCAACCAACACTCTCAACAAGAAGAGAATGTGTCTTGGCTCTGGAGGGGGATCTGGGTGATTTTCTCAGGGACTTTATTGTTTTTGAGATATACTTACAGTGCAAACCTTTCTTACTCTAAGGTATGCTTAAGGATTAAAGCTGGAGGTGTGTTTGAGGTGGAAAAGTAGAGTGAGGGCTTCAGAGTTGGATGGAGATTGGGTCAGAACACTAGTTCTGGCTGTTTTATCTGTATGGTCTTATGCAAGTCACTTATACTCTCTGAGCCTTTTTTTCATCTGTAAAATGTTGTAAACAATTTCTTTCCCTTTAAGGGGTAAGATACAAGAATTTCAATAAGATGACTAATATTAGATATTTAGCACTGTGCTTCCTGGCACTTTGAAGATGCCCAATTCATGTGAGTTTCCTTTTTTCTTGCTCCTTCCTCATCCTCTCTAGCATTTCTCTCAAGTTTTCTTCCTTTTGACAATGTCGAGCTTGTGTACGCAATATTCTTGCATAGTTCTTCTTAAGTAGAGGCCTGGGTTTTAAAATTAGGAGCTTGGATCACGTGATCTTTAAGTTTATGTATTTGGCTGTTGTTGCATTATTACAAAGGAATACCTGAGACTGGGTAATTTATAAAGAAAAGAGGTCTAATTGACTCATGGTCCTTTGGGCTGTATAAGTATGGTGGTGGCATCTGCTTGGCTTCTGGGGAGGCTCAGGGAGCTTTTACTCATGGAGGAAGGAAAAGTGGGAGCAAGCAGGTCACATGGCAAGAGCAGGAGCAAGAGAAGGGAGTGAGAGGTGCCACACGCTTTTAAACAACCAGATCTTGCAAGAGCTTACTATAGCAAGGACAGCATGAAGCCATGAAGGATCCGCCCCCATGACCCAAACACCTCCCACCAGGCCCTACCTCTAACATTGGGGATTATTACATTTCAACATGAGATTTGGGCAGGGACAAATATCCAAACCATGTCAGTTTAGTTCCAACATTTTAAAGTTCTAACATTTGGCGATTCAATGCATTAGAGCACACTGCATGATTAATTCTTATCTCATTAGTATTCTCACTATTATCACCTTGGTTTTAATGAGCTACATTGGCTATCCCAGTGCTCTGTGTATTCAGATCTTTCTGGTAATTAGAAGAATTACATGAAGAGAGTCTTTTGGGACAGTTTCAGGACCAATGGCACAAAATGATATTTCTTTGTTGTCAGTTTCTTGTGAGGGAAGCACTGATCCTCTATCTTTAAAGGAAGAATTCCTACTACATGAAGGACATTAAATGAGAATATTTAAGTATTTTATATATTATACATTAGCTTTCTCTCCCTAACTAGACTGCGAGCTTTTTGTTGGGGTGAATGGTCTCTCCTATTTCTTGCAGGACCATTTTCTTATTGATTGATTAACTCTAAAACCCCTGTGACCAACCATCACCATTAGAATCACACAGATACACACACAGACACAGGCACAGACACAAACTTTGGTTAATTGACGTTATAGCAGCTCAGTCAGTTGGCTGCTGTGTGTACTGATAGATCTTACAGATGATTTGGGAATCACTTTGTATGCTCTGTACTTCCAAAATATCTCTTATTAGTCTGCTTGGGCTGCCATAACAAAATACCATAGATTGGGTGGCTCAAACAACAGAAATTTAATTTTCTTACAGTTCTGGAGGCTAGTGAGGCCTCTCTTCCTGGCTTGCAGATGGCTGCCTTCTTGCTGTGTCCTCACATTGCTCTTCCTCTGTATGCATGTAGGGAGAGAGTGAGATCCCTCTCTTCCTCTTTTTTTTTTTTGGAGACGGAGTCTTGCTCTGTCACCCAGGCTGAAGTGCAGTGGCGAGATCTCAGCTCACTGCAAGCTCCACCTCCCGGGTTCACACCATTCTCCTGCCTCAGCCTCCCAAGTAGATGGGACTACAGGCACCCGCCACCACGCCTGGCTAAGTTTTGTATTTTTAGTAGAGACGGGGTTTCACCATGCTAGCCAGGATGCTCTCGATCTCCTGACCTCATGATCCGCCCACCTCGGCCTCCCAAAGTGCTGGGATCACAGGCGTGAGCCACCACGCCCAGCCCTCACTTCCTCTTCTAATAAGGACACCAGACCTATCAGATTAGGACCTTTCTTTTATGACCTGATTTCACCATAATTACTTCCCTAAAGGCCCTAGCTCCAAATATGGTGACACTGGTGGTTAGGCCATCAATATATGAATTGGAGTCGGGGACACAATACAGTCCATAACAATCTAAATTTGGTATTGGCACTTGTGTAATTATCTAGTTACTAGACAATCAGTTAAGCAAATCACTCACTGCTGTAATTCATTAGCTGTTCATATGGAAGAGTTAGCTATACATAAGCGAATACGCACAAAGTGACGTTGACTTTCTCCTAAATAATTATTCAAGAATATTAAGTGTTCACAGGCTCCACATTGTCAAAAGGAAGAAAACATTTTCAGACCTCTTATAAGGTTTGTAGAATGAGGACTTGTTAAATTTGGCTATTCCCAGTTGGATGGTCACTTGGGGGTGGTTTAAGTTTTTAACTTTTAATTCCTGTTTTCTATTCAAATTTTCTTTGTATTTTAAACTTTTTTTTCCTGAGCACCGATTTGCTATGTTATGACTAGTTTTCAGAGATGAAGCTCTTCTGTTTCATTTAGGTTGAAAAGTTGCTGTTTGAAGCTGTTTTATGTGAATTTTGCCCCCTCTTTTAGAGCAAATAAGTTTTGTTTATTTATTTCAAGGGAACTATTTTTCAGAAAAATGATTCCCTGCAGGTTTGTGATGGTTTTAATACATCTATAAACAAGGCCATTTCCCCAGAACTGCCATTGTCACTTGAGAGAATTTTTTATTTGTCTCCACTCAAACCTATACTGTATTTGAAAATAATAGATTTTTATTTTATTTTATCTATTCAAATCTCACTTTAAGCTGTATTTACTCATTTCCAAGCACCTTGGAAAATTTGACAGTAGGTACCCAGAGCTGTAAGAGACTACCTGCTCTGAGCTTTATTTGGTGTTTTCCACTTTTGTTTGCAAGAAGAAAAGATGTTTATACACTGGGTCTCTGACTGTTTCCCAACATAAGAGCCTCTCATGTCTTAGCTTGGTTCCACTCTAAACAAAATATTCTTGAGAAGGCATCCATGCCCATAATGCCTTCAGTTGCATTACTGATTGCCTCCTCTCTGGAGGAGAATGAGGCTTTTTAAACAAGAGCTGCTCGTAGTGAGGACCGTTCTATGTGATTGGTAAAGTAGTCACTACTGGTTCATGAGGAGATAAGTTAAAAATCGAGAGTAAGCATCTAAAAGCCGACATTACAAATATATCCAAGTACATATTCACTGAACTCATCTCGAATAGGCCATACACCTGCACTGTTCAGTATAGTAGTCATTAGCTGCATGTGGCTAATTAGCATTTGAAATGTAGCTACTCTGAATTGAGATACCTGTAAATGTAAATTGAACATTGGATTTTAAAGATTTAGTGTGATAAAAGAAATATAAAATATCTCATTGATAATATTCTTACATGTTGTGATGATAATATTTTTCATATACTGGGATAAATAAAATGTAATATCAAAATCGAGGTCACTTGTTTCTTTTCACTTTTTTTCCCCTTGAAATAGACTGTATGTTTTAGTGCAGTATTAGGTTCACCATAAAAATGAGCAGAAAGTACAAAGTGTTCCCATAAACCTGCTGCCCCCATACATGCACAACCTCTCTTACTATCAATATCTGCTGCTACAATGGTACATTTGTTACAACTGATGAACTTATACTGACACATCATTATCATCCTGTATTAGGCCGTTCTTGTATTGCTATAAAGAAATATCTGAGACTGGGTAATTTATAAAGAAAATAGGTTTAATTGGTTCATGGTTCCACAGGCTTTGCATGAAGCATGATGCTGTCACCTGCTCGGTCTCTGGGGAGGCCTCAGGAAACTTACGATCATGGTGGAAGGCGAAGGGGGAGCAATGGTGGGGGGACAGGTGCTGCACACTTTTAAACAACCAGATCTTGTGACAACTCACTCACCATCATGAGAACAGGATGAAAAGGATGGTGCTAAGCCATTCATGAGAAATCCATCCCCATAACCCAATCACCTTCCACCAGGCCCCACTTCCAACATTGGGGATTACAATTGAATATGAGATTTGGGTGGGGACACAGATCCAAACCATATCACATGCAAAGTCTATAGTTTACATTAGGGTTCACTCTTGGTTTTGTACATTCTGTGGGTTTGGACAAATATATAGTGACATGTATTCACCATTGTAGTATCATACAGATACTGCCCTAAAACTTCTCTGGACTCCACCAATTCATTCCTTCCTCCCCTCACCTCCTGGCAACCACTAATCATTTTACTGTCACCATAGTTTTGCCTTTTCCAGAATGTCATGTAGTTGGAATTATATATTAGTTAGTCTTTTCAGATTCGTTTCTTTCACATAGTAATATGCATTTATGCTTCCTCCATGTCTTTTTATGGCTGTATAGCTCATTTTTTTAGCACTGAAAAATATTTCATTGTCTGGATGTATCACAGTTTATTTATTCATTCACCTATTGAAGGACATATTGGTTGCTTCCAAGTTTTGACAATTATGAATAAAGCTGTTATAAACATCTGTGTGCAGGTTTTTGCATGGACATTAAGTTTTCAACTCATTTGGGTAAATACCAAGTAATGTGGTTACTGGACTGTATGGAAAGAGGATGTTTAGTTTTGTAAGAAGCTGCCAAACTCTCTTCTAAAGTGGCTGCCTTCTTTTACATTCTCACCAGCAATGAATGACAGTTCCTTTTGCTCCACATCCTTGTCAGAATTTGATGTTGTCAATGTGTTGGATTCTGGCCATTCTAATAGGCATGTGTTGATATCTTATTCTATTTTAATTTGCAGTTCCCCAGTGACATGATGTGAGCATCTTGGTATCTTTTCATATACTTATTTACCATCTGTATATCTTCTTTGGTGAGGTATCTGTCCATGTCTTTTGCCCATTTTATTTACTTATTTATTCGAATAACCAAAAA
This sequence comes from Homo sapiens, assembly GCF_000001405.40. Taxonomy (NCBI): domain Eukaryota; kingdom Metazoa; phylum Chordata; class Mammalia; order Primates; family Hominidae; genus Homo; species Homo sapiens. Next base: position 42,060,337 of record NC_000023.11, read on the forward strand.
ACAAGTTTTTATTTCTTACTTCTATAAGTATAGCTTATTTTCTTGTGAGGGAATAGATCCATGCAGCTTAGCCACAATTCATGTGTGGAAGCCCTCTTTTCTTGTCATGAGGATATAATGACTGTTGCATGGTGATGCCAAAGACATCTGCCAGAACAGAATTTTCCTGAGGATTTTCATGGCAACACCTAGGCTGCAACTGATTAATTTTCATAGCATTTTCTCCAAAATTTTGTTCTTCATTAAAATTTTCTTAGTGATGTAAGAAGAAAATTGCCTTTGCATTATGGCAAAGACAGTAAAAAGTAGTAAAAACTTTGTAGGCATCCCAGTATATTTTATTTAAAAATGAACTAGATGTTTATGCATGTCATGCTACATTAATAATTTTCGTTCTTCTTTTTTTCAAAATAATTTCAACTTCTATTCTAGATTCAAGAGGTATATGTGCAGGTTTGTTACCTGGATATATTGCATGATGCTGAGGATTTAAGCATGATTGATCCTGTCACCCAGGTACTGAGCAAAGTACTCAATAATTAGTTTTCCAGCCCTAGCCCCCTCCCTCTCTCCTCCCTCTAGTAGTCCCCAGTGTCAATTGTCACCATCTTTATGTCCATGAGTACCTATTGTTTAGCTCCCACTAATAAGTGATAACATGCGATATTTGGTTTTCTGTTCTTGCGTTAATTTTCTTAGGATACTGGTCTTCAGCAGCAACCATGTTGCTGCAAAGGACGTGATTTCATTCTTTTATATGGCTGTGTAGTATTCCATGGTGTATAGGCACCACATTTTCTTGATCCAATCCACTGTTGATGGGCACATAGGTTGATTCCATGTCTTTGCTATTTTGAATAGTGCTATGATGAACATATGAGTGCATGTGTCTTTTTGGTAGAACAATTTATTTCCTTTTGGATATATGCCCAGTAATGGGATTCTGTTAAATGGTCAAATGGCAGTACTGTTTTAAATTTTTTGAAAAATCTACAGACTGCTTTCCACAGTGGCTGAATTAATTTACATTCCCACCAACAGTGTATAAGTGTTCACTTTTTCCATAGCCTCACCAGTATCTGTTATTTTTTGACTTTTTAATAATAGGCATATTGACTGGTGCAAGATGGTATCTCATTGTGGTTTTGATTTCTGTTTCTCTGATGGTTAGTGGTGTTGAGCATTTTTTCATATGTTTGTTGGCTGCTTGTGTCTTCTTTTGAGAAGTGTCTGTTTCTGTCTTATGCCCATTTTTTAATGGGGTTCTTTGCATTTTTCTTGTTGAATTGTTTAAATTCCTTACAGATTCTGGAGTAGAATCTTCAGACAGATAAAACCTTTGCCAGATGCATAGTTTGCAAATATTTTTTCCCATTCTGTAGTTTGTCTGTTTACTCTGTTGGCAGTTTCTTTTGCTGTACAGAAGCTTCTTTAGTTTAATTAGATGTGTACGGGCCTTATTTCTGGGATCCCTATTCTGTTCCATTGGTATATGGAACTGAAAAGTGTCTGCTTTTGTCCCAGTACCATTTTGTTCTTGTTACTGTAGCCTTGTAGTATAGTTTGAAGGTGGGTAATGTGATGCCTCTGGCTTTATTCTTTTTGCCTAGGATTACTTTGGCTATTCAGGCTCTTTTTTTGTTCCATGCGAATTTTAGAATAGTTTTTTCTAGTTCTGTGAAAAATGATGCTTGTACCTTGATAGGAAGTGTTGAATCTATAGATTGCTTTAGACAGTATGGGCAGTTTAATGATATTGATTTTTCTAATCCATGAGCATGGGATTTTTTTTCATTTGTTTGTATGTATCATATATGCCTTTTTTTTTTTTTTTTTTTTTTTTTTTTTTTTTTTTTTTTTTTGAGACGGAGTCTCGCTCTGTCGCCTCATATATGCTTTTTTGAGCAGTGTTTTGTAGTTCTTCTTGCAGAGATCTTTCACCTCCTTGGTTAGATGTATTCCTAGGTATTTTGGTGGGGGGCTATTGTAAATGGGATTGCATTCTTGATTTGGCTCTCAGCTTGAACACTATTGGTGTATGGAAATGCTACTGATTTTTGTACATTGATTTTGTACGTTGAACCTTTACCAAAGTCATTTATCAGTTCCAGGAGCCTTTTGGTAGAGTCTAGGGTATTCTAGGTATAGAATCATATCATCCATGAAGATAATTTGACCTATTTTCCTATTTGGATGACTTTTCTTTCTTTCTCTTGCCTGATTGCTCTGACAAGAACTTGTACTATGTTAAATAGAGGTGGTGAGAGTGGTGAGAGTGGGCATCCTTCTGTTATTTCAGTTCATAAGGGGAATGCTTCTGTTTTTTGCCCATTCAGTACAATGTTGGCTATGGGTTTGCCATAGATGGCTCTTATTATTTTGAGGTATTTTCTTTTAGTGCCTAGTTTCTTAAGGGTTTTTTTCATGAAGGGTTGTTGGATTTTATCAAAAGCTTTTTCTGCAAATATTGAGATGATCATATGATTTTTGTTTATAATTCTGTTTATATGGTAAATCATATTTATTGATTTGCATATGTTGAACCAACCTTGCATCCCAGGAATAAAGAATGCTTGATCATAGTGAATTAAGTTTTTAATGTGCTGCTGGATTTGGTTTGCTAGTATTTTGTTTAGGATTTTTGTGTCTATGTTCATCAGGGATATTGGCCTGTAGTTTTCTTTTTTCAGTGTGTCTTTGCCAGGTTTTGGTATCAGGGTGTTGCTGGCTTTGTAGAAAGTGTAGGAAGGAGTCCTTCCCCCTCTATTTTTTGGCATAGTTTCAGTAGAATTGGTACCAGCTATTCTTTGTATGTCTGGTAGAATTCGGCTGTGAATCCATCTGGTCAGGGTTTTTTTTTGGTTGGTAGGTTTTTTATTACTGATTGAATTTTGGAACTTTATATTGGTCTGTTCAGGGTTTCAATTTCTTCCTAATTTAATCTTGGGAGATTGTGTGTTTCCAGGAATTTGCCCATTTCCTCTTGATTTTTTAGTGTGTGTGCATAGAGGTGTTCATAATAGTCTCTGAAGGTCTTTTGTATTTTTGTGGGATCAGTTGTAATGTCACCTTTGTCATTTCTGATTGTGCTTATTTGGATCTTCCCTCTTGTTTTCTTTGTTAATCTAGCTAGTCATCTATCAATCTTGTTTACTCTTTCAAATGACCAACTTTTGGCTTCATTGATTCTTTGGGTCTTTCATTGGATGTTTGGGTCTTAGTTTTGTTCAGTTCTGCTCTGATTTTAGTTATTTTTTTTTCTTCTTCTAGCTTTGGGGTTAGTTTGCTCTTGTTGTTCTAGTTCCTTTAGGTGTGACATTAGATCATTAATTTGAAATCTTTCTAACTTTTTGAAGTAGGCATTTAGCCCTATATACTTTCCTCTGAACGCTGCTTTTGCTACATCCCAAAGATTTTGGTATGTTGTGTCTCTTTTCATTTATTTCAAATAATTTCTTGATTTCTGCCTTAATTTTATTGTTTACCCAACAGTCGTTCATAAGCAATTGTTTAATTTCCATGTTATTGTGTGGGTTTGAGAGATCTTCTTGGTGTTGATTTCTATTTTTATTCCACTGTGGTCCAAGAGTATGGTTGGTATGATTTTGAGTTTTTTTTTTTAATTTATTGAAACTTGCTCTATGGCCAAGCATGTGGTCATTCTTGGAGTATGTTCCATATGCAGATGAGAAGAATGTATATTTTATGGTTGATGGCTGGAGTATTCTGTAGATGTCTATTAGGTTCAATTGGTCAAGTGTCAAAGTTATGTCCAGAATTTCTTTGTTAGTTTTCTGCCTCAGTGATCTGTCTAATGCTGTCAGTGAGGTGTTGGAAGTCCCTCACTATTTTTGTGTTGCTGTCTAAGTCTTTTTGTAGGTTTGGAAGTACTGGTTTTATGAATCTGGGTGCTCCAATGCTGGGTATGTATGTATTTAGGACAGTTAAGTCTTCTTGTCGAATTGAACCCTTTATCATCATGTGATGTCCTTCTTTGTCCTTTTTTACTTGTTAGTTTAAAGTCTGTTTCATCTGATGTAAGAAGAGTGACTCCTGCTATTTTTTTGTGCTCCATTTGTGTGATAGATCTTTCTCTCATCCTTTACTTTGAGCCTATGGATGTCTTACATGTGAGATGAATCTCTTGAGGACAGCAGATGAATGGGTCTTATTTTTGTAATCCAACTTACCATTCTGTGCCTTTTACATGGGGCATTTAGAACATTTACATTCAAGGTTAATATTGATATGTGAAGTTTTAATCCTGTCATGAAGTTGTTATCTGGTTGCTTTGTAGATTGCATTGTGTGGTTGTTTTATAGGATCTGTGGGCTATGTGCTCAAGTGTGTTTTTATGGTAGCAGATATTGTTTCGTTTTCATGTTTAGAACTTTCTTAAGGATCTCCTGTAAGGTTGGTCTAACATTAATGAATTTCCTTAGCACTTACTTATCTGGAAAACATTTACTTCTCCTTCCCTTATGAAGCTTAGCTTGCTTTTGCCCATTTTAAAATCAGTGTGTCTGTTTTCTCATTGTTGAGTTTTAAGAGTTCTTTGTATATTTTTGATGTTAATAAGTTCTTTATCAGATCTATCTTTTGCAAATATTTTCTCCAAATCTGTGGCTTTTCTATTATTCTCTTGACAGTGTCTTTTGCAGAGCAGAAAAATTTAATTTTAATGAAGTCTGGCCTATCAAGTATTTCTTTCATGGATCATACCTTTGGTGTTATATCTAAAAAGTCATCACTATGCACTAGGTTATCTAGATTTTCTCTTATATTATTTTCTAGAAGTTTTATTTTATATTTTTATTTATGATCTAGTTTGGATTAATTTTGATGAAGTGTGTAAAGTCTATGTCCAGATTTATGTTTTTGTATGTGATTTCCAGTTCTAGCACCATTTGTTAAAAAGAATGCCTTTGCTTTATTTTATTGCCTTTATTCCTTTGTCAAAGATTAGTTGACTATATTTATGTGGGTCTCTTTCTGGGTTCTCTATTTTGTTCCATTGATCTATTTATCTATTCTTTTGCCTATAGCACACTGTCTTGATTATTCTAGCTTTATAGTAAGTCTTGAAGTCAGGTAGTGTGAGTCTGCCAACTTTGTTCTACTCCTTCAATATTTTGTTGACTTTTCTGGGTCTTTTGGCTCTCCATGTATACTTTAGAGTCAGTTTTCTTTGTATCCACAAAATAATAGATTTTGATGGGGATTGGGTTGAATCTATAGATTAAGTTAGGAATAACTGACATCTTGACAATATTGAGTGGTCATCTTTTTACTTTTTTAATGTGGCTATGAGAAAATTAAAAATTATGTATGCGGTTCAACTTATATTTCATTTTAACAGTGTGGGTATAGACCACTCTGGGTGCTGTTTACAAGTAGTTTGAGAAGCACTGCTGTCTACACCCTGGTGCCATTATGGCATCTTGTTAGGTAAAGCAAGAACTGGTCACTTCTGGTAGTTTTTCTTGTTTCTGATTATTATTTACTCTAAATACCTTCTAGGATCATTGGCACCTTCTCGGGGTTTGTCCCCAAGTCACCTAACATCACAGAGTTAGCATATCTCACTGAAGTCAGTCAAACTTGCATAAATTGGGTGTTATTTACCCTAAAGGACACTGTGTGTGTGTATGTGTGTGTGTGTGTGTTCAAAAGCATTAATCTTCCCAGCTCCCATGGAGTTACTTACATCTGCTCTGGGGCCCTGTTTGAGATTGTGGACACTTTACCTCTGTGGCTACTGTTTTCCTGACCTTAAGCTTGTGTGATCAGTTCATCGTTATCTCCAGATTCAACATATTGATGGGCAAATCTACCCCCTCCTCTCAAACTGAGCTCCAGTATAGCCTTCTCTGAGAAACTGCTCCACCCCTTGCCCTGAGCTGGATGTTCTCTCACATGACTTCCCATAATACCTGCTCCTTTTCCTAAATCTGAACATTTACCTGGTTACGTAGTAAATGTGGTCTAGTAAGCCTTCCTCACTTGACATCCCTAGAGTACAGGGAGTTCGCTTTATTCGTCTTAGTAACGATAGTATCTAGACAATTCGATGCATAATGTAACACTTTACAATATCCCTCAGATTGAAGCTGCAATGAGTTTTAAAAAGAAGTCAGTAATGTATTTTGGGTGGCCAGAGTCATTCATCTAATCAGCAAATATTTTTTGGCTATTTCCTTTGCAGAATGCTGTTCTGGGTAATTTAGAGGGGATATGGTCCCTCCTCTCTAAAGAAGCCACATCAGTTATCCTTCTCTGTCATTCAGCCTCCAAATCCCCTTCTCATGTGTGAAGTCTCACTTTATGAGACTTAGTGGTGAGAAGGATCCACCTCCCATTAGGAAAACTTAAAATGCCAGATCCTCATGTTTACAACTTCTTTGCAGCTAAAGCATGGGCACTTGACTGAGGTTTGACAACTCAGATATATTCCTTCCGCATTGGACCTGGGAGCAGTGGCTCAAAGAAGCAGGCACTGTGGGGAACCTTTGGATTCCCAAGGAGCAGTGTCAGTGGTACAGTGGCAGTATCTGGCGTTTTTGGGTGGTAGCAGTGAAATCCTCTCTGGTTTGTAGAGGGGAGGTATTGGATATTGTTTTCAGCTGAGTTCTCCAGATCTTTTGGCATTTCTGTGAGCCACCAAATATCCTTTTGATGAATTCCTTTTCGGTATAAATTAGTCAGAATTAGTTTCTGTTGCTGACCACTAAATATATTGACTTATTGGGGATAATAAGAAATAAATACATGAAAAGTGATATGACAATTGAAAATCCCAGTACAGAAAATGTCACAAAAGTGGCAGATTCAGTGAAAAATGAACCATGTGAGAAATATGCTATTATTGAAAAGGTAATGGACTCAGCAAGTTGCTTCAATAATCTGAGAGGCTTCACAGAGGAGGTGGCCTTGCCTTAGGCTTGGAGAGTGGGCTGGGCACATGGATAGACTCACTGCTGTGAAAAATATGAGTGAAGTAAAAGATGTGCATCCAGTCATAAAGTAGATTTGATCATAAAGGAACTACAGAAAACATCAAAGTAGAAAAGGCCAATATTTACTTGAAAGGAGGCTTGCCAGATTTAGCAAATAACAGGATGCCCCGTTAAATTTGAGTTTCAGATAATGCATAATTTTTAAGTGCATTTCCCTAATATATGTTTTATAGTTTTTATGAGTTATTACATAATTTAGAAATTTATGATTAAATTTTTTAGCATAAGTGAACACTTATTTTATCTGATGACTCTACCTGAAAGGGGATAGAGAACTTGAGTAGAAGAGCCTGGAATTACCAAAAGAAAATTTCTAGGACTAGTGAATTTGAGCTCAGCTTTAAAGGAGATTTGGCAGTCAAGCCAAGAGCCAAATCAGGAACAAACTCCCATTCACAATTGCCACAAAAAGAATAAAATACCTAGGAATACAGCTAACTAGGGAGATGAAAAATCTCTAGAAGGAGAACTATAAACCACTGCTCAAAGAAATCACAGATGACACAAACAAATGAAAAAACATTTTATGCTCATGGATAGGAAGAATCAAATATCAGTAAAATAGCCATATTGCCCAAAGCAATTTATAGATTCTATACTATTCCTATCAAACTACCATTGAGATTCTTCACATAACTAGAAAAAAACTATTTAAGCCAAAAAAGAGCCCAGATAGCCAATGCAATCCTAAGCAAAAAGAACAAAGCCGGAGGCATCATGCTACCCAGCTTTGAACTGTACTACGGGGCTACAGTAACCAAAACAGCATGGTACTGGTACAAAAACAGACACATAGAGCAATGGAACATAATAGAGAATGCAGACATAAGACTGCACACCTACAGCCATCTGATCTTCTACAAACCTGACGAAAACAAGCAATGGGGAAAGGATTCCCTATTTAATAAATGGTGCTGGGAGAATTGGCTAGCCATATGCAGAAAATGGAAACTGGACCCCATCCTTACAGGTTATACAAAAATTAACTCAAGATGGATTAAAGGCGTAAATGTAAAACCCAAAACTATGAACACCCGGGAAAATAACTTAGGCAATACCAATCAGGACATAGTCTCTGGCAAATATTTTATGACAAAGATGCCAAAAACAATTGCAACAAAAGCAAAAATTGACAAATGAGATCTAATTAAACTAAAGAGCTTCTGCCCAGCAAAAGAAACTATCAACAGAGTAAACAGACAACCTACAGAATGGGAGAAATTTTTTGCAAGCTATGCATTTGACAAAGGTGTAATATCCAGTATCTATAAGAACTTAAACAAATTTACAAGAAAAAAACCCAAACAACCCCATTAAAAAGTAGGCAAAAGACATAAACAGACACTTTTCAAAAGAAGACATATATGTGGCCAACAATCATATGAAAAAAAGCTTATCACTGATCGTTAGAGAAATGCAAATCAAAACCACATGAGATACCATCTCACGCCAGTCAGAATGGCTATTATGAAAAAGTCAAGCAATAACAGATGCTGATGATGTTGTGGAGAGAAAGGAATGCTTATATACTGTTGGTGGGAGTGTAAAGTAGTTCAACCATTGTGGAAGACACTGTGGCAATTCCTCAAAGACCTAAAGACAGAAATACCATTTGACCCAGCAATCCCATTACTGGGTATATACCCTAATGAATATAAATAATATAATATAAAAGTATGAATATTATATAATTATATAATAGTTATATAATCTATATTTCTTTGAGTATACATCCAGTAATGTTCTATTACAAGGATACATGTACTTGTATGCTCATTGCATCATTATTCACAATAGCAAAGACATGGAATCAACCTAAATGTCCATCAATGGTAGACTGGTTAAAGAAAATGTGATACATATACACCATGGAATAGTATGCCACCATAAAAAGGAATGAGATCATGCCCTTTGCAGGGACATGGATGCAGCTGCAGGTCATTATCCTTAGCAAATAACCCAGGAACAGAAAACCAAATACTACATGTTCTTACTTATAAGTGGGAGCTAAATGATGAGAACACATGGAGACATGGTGGGGAACAGTACACACTAGGGCCTGTTGGAGAGAGGAGGGTAAGAGGAGGGAGAGGATCAGGAAAAATAACTAATGGGTACTAGGCTTAATACATGGGTGATGAAATAATCTGTACAACAAACACCCATGTCACAAGTTTGCCTATGTAACAAACCTGTACATGTACCCCTGAACTCAAGATAAAAGTTAAAAAAAGGAAACACATGCAAAAATAAAAGAGATTTGGAATATGGAGGAAAAGGTGATGAAGGAAATAAAAAATGCCAATTAATTAAACTTCCACTATTTTCTAGATGCTCTAGTAGACACTTTAACTCATTCTCATATCAGAACAATGCTGTGAGGTAGGTATAATGAAGTTTTCCCCTTTTCTTATACAAGTCAAGAAATTAAGACTCAGAAATTCAATAACTTGTGTAGAAGCCAGAGTTATGCTAGGGGGTCCTCCTGCAAAGCCTATGATCATCAGTAGGAGAAAATATGCATGTGAAGGTTGATAACCAGCTTTTCTTGCATGCAATAAGGGCAAGCCCTGTGTTGGGTGCACAAGAGATGTCAGCTCTGACAACCAAGAAGTGTTTGGGTTTGATTCGGCATGCAAGAATAGGGAAGTTATTTTGGATGAGAGATGTACAGTTCAGTTTCCAATGGATAAATGGGAAGAATATAGAGTCAGGGAAATGGATTAGAAGGTTTTTTCAGTGATTTCCATTTGAGTTTTTGTGGGCTTTGTCTGGGGTGGGAATTTGGAAAGAGTAGGGAAGGGACATGCATAACTGGAAAATCTTAATCCTGATGATGGAAAGCCTAAAAAGAGAGACATTGAAGTGAGAGAACAATGAACTTAATTTTACAAACACTATTGGAGTCACTGGGCAAATGCACTAAAATAACTGGCAACGTGAGCCCAGAGAAATCCTGGGAGACATCTGTTATTAGGTGGAGATTGGAGATATATGAGGGGAGGAAGAATGGGAAGATGAAAGAGAAGAAGGCCAAGGTCCAGGTCTTAGCAAAGGCAATGGTGGAGGCAGGTCAAGAAGGAGTGAAGAAAAGAGGTTGAGAGGAGGGCAGGGAAGTAAGGGAAACAGGAGAGTAACCTGTGGGGCAGAGGGGAGCAGGAGGGTTAAGTGGCCTATCAGTGAGGCCAAACCCGTGACTAGGCTTTTCTTATTTGTGGGAGTCAGCCAGTCACAGGCAGTGGCCATTCTGGTCCTGTAGAAAGTCAAATTCCTATTTTATAGTGTGGACTTAATTTAATTGGAGAACAAATATCTTTGAAAGATTTGATGCATCAGTCTAGAACTCTACCCCAAACTCTAATCTTTAGTGTGTTCTTGTTTTAAAATAAGGTGACATAATCCAGTTTTGGAGTTTTTACAGCTGTTCTTTGCATTGACTGTTATACTGTACGCTGTGTACCCTGACTTGCGTGCTATGCCTTAAATGATTTTTGGTCATGGTCTTTTTTTCACTGCACTGAATTTCAAAGTTATTGTCTATTTCAGTCACTGGCATTATGGTTATCTTTAGAGAAAATTAAACAAGTAAACCATTTACATGCCCTAAGTAGATGGAAAATGATCTAAAATTGCATGCTTCTTTCCTGGAGATCTCTTTGCCAAATTCTTGGGCTAATCATCTAAATATTTGGATTCAACACTTTCTATTGGATCCATTTGTCTCATGACTGGTATGTTCAAAATTCCAGATGTGGAATTTGCCCCTCACTATTTTATTAAACAAAGATGTTACTCTGGTTTGGCAAAATGTCTTAAAGGTGGTGAGCAACAATGGCTTCAATATTTAGTGTATTTGAATACTGCCTTCTCAACAGGACAATATACTGCATTCTTTTCTTGGATAATTAAAATGTACTAAATGTTGTGTTTGGGCAGTAAAACCTAATTAAACACCCTGATGGAAAATAAGGCTCAGGGTCCTGTGGCAGGCCTGTAACCTTTAAACCAGAAGGCAGGGGAGCCCCCATATGTGCATCCATGGTTTTGGTCATTTAGAAGGACATCCAATTTTGCGGCTTCTTAACTGGCTGCCAAAAGAGGGATGGGATGGATGTTATGAGCACTATCTAGCTTAATGCAATTTAGGAAAGTTACCTCCTGAGCTATAATGAGGAGTTCCCCCTACCTGTTTAGCTCATGCCCGCAGAGAACTTGATTGTGATTCTGGGCCAGAGCAAAGGCTTGACTTGCAACTCCTCCTGATCCACTTAGCTGCTGAATTCCCTTTCTGAGGGGCTTTTCCTTCTGGTGCCAAGCTTCTGTTTTCAGAGCAGAGTCATCTGATGTTTCACACACAGGCTTTCCTTGCTTCTCTTTCTCTTTTTCAGCTCACAGTAGCCCAGGCCTTTGGGAAGCTTCTATAAAAGGCCTTGGAGAAGTTCCAGATATGTGAGTGTGGCAACTCAGATCGGAAAATAACACTGGGACCCAAATGCTAGTTTCAATATCCTTCTTTGGTTCTTGTCTGTTTGAATGTGGCAGACATGACCATACGTGAAAGATTTGATCAGTTGATTCATTATGGCTCACTGACTAATAGGCCTCTGAGATATACCTGTCTCTCCTCTGGTGTCCCAAGCTTTAGGGAGGGAGTCTCTCCATGCCAAACTTTACCCCTTCTTCCCTGACCCCAGTACCATCTGGTCTCCCTCCTCTTGTGGTAGAAGCTTAAGTATTAATGTTTTGAAGAAGCCAAGAATCCCTATGTTTTAGCTTGTATTATGAACTGAATGTTTGTGTCCCCCCACCCCAGATTCCTATGTTGAAATCCTCACACCTAAAGTGATGGTATTAGGAAGTAGGGCCTTTCGAAAGTGAGCAGCTCATGATGGTGGAGCACCCCATGAATGGAATTAGTGCCCTTGTCAGAAGATATGAGAAAGATAATTTTTTCTTGGCCATGTGAGGATACAATAAAAAGATGGCCATCTGCAAACCTGGAAGCAGACCCTCGCCAGGCACTGGATCTGCTGGCACCTTGATCTTGGACTTCCCAGCCTCCAGAACTGTGTGAAATAAATGTCTGTTGTTTAAGCCATCCAGTCCATAACATTCTGTTATAGCAGCCTGAACTGACTAAGGCAGATTGGGTTCCCCCAGAACCTGACCCTGACACAAGGATTTGAGGGCACATAATTAATTTGTGAAGTTATTCTAGGAAACAGTAGTAGGGGAGTGGGGAAGAGACAAGGGGAAGGGAAGGAAGCCAATTAAAGGTGCAGTATCAAGCAGGTTACATCTGTGGGCAACTGAGGTCAGTTCCACTGGAGATCTCTGGGAGACAGTGTGGACAATGCCTCAGAGTTACCTGAGCAAGAAAGCTGAGTATTAATCCCCCAACTCTCCCAAATCATCCTCTTAGGGCTGCTCACAAGGGAATTAGCTCCCTAAAGCATTTGCTTCACTGAACTTCATGATAAATACCAAGGAAGAGAGAGACTTGCTGGTTCAGATGAAAAATGAAAACACTGACACATTTAGGAGAACCTATGCCCATTTTGATTCTTGGCGACTTCTTCTCATTCTGTCTTTTGGGGAAGAAAGTGGTGAAGCATTGTTACAATACCCAAGTCCTCCTGGCTAGTAGGAGAGCCTGAGAGCCCAGTTGCCTCTGACCTGAGCTGTAACTATCTTTTTCATAGGGATTGCTCTAACTTCTCCCTACTTCTCAGTCCATCTGACACATGGTTCCCAAACAAGCCCTTCTGAAAATGCTGCTTTTCTTTGCTGCTCATCTCCCTAACCTGGCTTCTAAAGTTACTTTCTCTATTTGATTCTAGCCTACTTGCCAGGCATGTCTCCTATCTGCACTCTATGCTCCATCCAAATGAGATTATCCTGGGTCAGCTTTAGGGCTTCTCTCTTCTAGGCTTCAACTTATGTTGTTCCTTCCACCTGGAATACCCTGCATGAAACTTGTTCTTACTTTATTTGGTTTGTTGAAATCCTACCAAGTCTTTAAAGCCCCACCTAGATTTCTCTTTAATGAACTCTTTTCTTTGCCCTTTAACTCTCTGTGACACTTTTACTGCTGTCTTCTATTGTTTCTGGTATGTGTGTTCTCTATTCTATTAGATTTTAAATGTCTTGGGGGTAAGGACCATGTTTTATTCATCTCTATATCATTCCATATTCATCCAGCTAATTTAACAAAGATTCATTGAGTGTCAGAGACTGCATTCAAAATTGGAGCTCCAAAGATAAATGAGACATGACCCTTGCTCTCAAGGGAGCTCACAGGCCAGGCATAAGGGAGTGACTAGTGTAAATAAGTGTGTGTATCCATCTCGGTGCCTCAAATATTAGAGAATGGGCAAAGATCATGAGCGCAGAGAATGAATGAAGGTACAGGGAGAACGTTTATTCTCATCTTATTTCCTGCAAATGCTCAGAAATTAGTTTGGGAAGATAGTTTTTAGGGGAGAAAATGAACATACAGTAGTCTTCCCTTATTTTTCAGAATATGTTCTAAGACCCCCAGTGGATGTTTGAACCCGGGGGTAGTACTGAACCCTATATACACTAGGTTTTTTCCTATATCTACATACCTATGATAAAGTTTAATTTATAAACTAGACGCAGCAAGAGATTAGCAATAATAACTAATGAAAAAATGGAACAATTATAACAATATACTGTAATAAAAGCTATGTGTAAGTAGTCTTTCTCTCTGTCTCTCAAAATATCTTATTGTATGTAATATTTTTGGACCATGATTGACTGCAGGTAACTGAAACCTTGGAAAGTGAAACAGTGAATAAGCAGGGAATATTGTAATTAGATTATGGCGGGAAGCACTTCTGTGTATCTCTCTTGGGGTGACAGAATGGTTTAGAAAAGGGCAATAAGCTTCAGAATCAGATTGCTCTGAGTTTGAATTCTAACTGTGCCAATTTATAGTTATGTGACTGTGAGTTACCTGCTTATTTCTTTATGTATAAAACAGATAATACCCAACTAATAGCATAGTTGTAAAATTAAATGAGATAACACTTTCATAGGGCCTAGCAAATGTTTGGAACTTATTAGATGCTTGGTAACTAATGGGCTTCACCCTACCATCTCTGCTTTTAAAAAATAAAGGGAATTTTTGATTTTCTGTCTATACTAGAACAATCTGGGTGGAGAGAGGTTTGATCTCTTCACTTTTCTCTACCTAAGTGGAAAGCTTTGAACTTACATTTCTTTTTCATTGCTTTTGAATCTCCATGCCAATTTCAAGCATAGATTTCAGGTACTATTGGGCTCAGTGGTGGAAAGAGGGAGAAGTTGGCCTTCCTTTGGGGCATCTAAAGAAAGACCTTTAGATAGGGTAATGTTCTAAAAGTAGGAATTGCTTTTAGAAATTAGATCTCCTTTCCACTTGAATTTGTGAATCATTAGAGCTTAAATAGTCCTTATGGTTTTTCTATTTTTAGATCATTTCCATTTATTTTTAGAGGATTCAATGAAAAGATGCTGGTTTTGGTGCCCTGGGGTCAGCTTTTTTCTTTATCTTTTCTTCCAATAAACAGTTATTGAATACCTACTGAATACCAGGCGCTGATTAATGAGCAAGTAGTGAGCAAAACAGACAAGGGCACTGCCCCCAGAGACCTTATAACTTGTGGCAATGGGGGCTGGCAGTGATTAAATAATTACGTGGATAAATATATAATGCTAAACTCTGAAAAGAAATGAAACGGAAATTCTAGGAAACTCTGAGCACTGTACTAATCTAGATGAAAAGGAAATTCTAGGAATCTCTAAGCCTTGTACCGGTCTATATGGTGACTCATAAAACTTTCTGGAGGAGGGGGGGCATTTGAATTGATTCAGATTTGTGGGTGAAAGGTGCTAATGAGGCAAAAGGAGTTGGGGTGGGTCTACGCATACCGGGAGAAGGGGATGACTTATGAGTGCCTCCTGAAGCTTGCAGGGACGTGGTTTGACCTTGGAACACGAAAGAGACCAAGAAATAAGGCTAAAGAGGTTGGTGACGATCAGATTTTGTAGAGCCTGGTGTGCCATGGGAAGGCATTGGTTTTTGTGGGAGACTTTTGAAGGATTTTAAAAGGACTGATGTGATGAGACTTGCATTTTGAGAAAGTTTTTTTTTGGCCATGCTATGGAAATGGAGGGCCTAAGAATGGAAGCTAGGAGAACAGTTTGGGTAGATCAGGTGAGAGTCGATGGAAGCTTCATTTGGGGACTTGGCTATATGACTGGGGAGAAAGGAGTGGAATCCAGAGAGATTTAAGAAGTAAACTAAATAGCTTTAGGTGATGGATTGACTATGAGGATGGGGCCTGGCTTGTAATCTTGGTCTTTAATCAGTAAAGCTCTGAGAACCATGCACATGCTGATGACCATTGTAAAAATCACCTGCAACCTCAGAGATGTTCAAGGTGATCAGGGGGCCCAAGAGAACATTAGGCTGGGTGTGAAGAGAAGACTTTTCTTTGCAGTCTTCACAAACCATTGAACTTTTCTAGATCTGAATTTTGCCATCTGCAAAACAAATGGGTTGTATTAGATGAGCTCCACACATGAACTGCATACAGCTCTCTATTCTTAAGGAGCAAATCAATCTTAGATTTTCTATATTAACACTTTTATATTTGCAGAACAATTACTGTGTGTGTATGTGTGTGTGGGGGGGTGCTTTCATATTAATGATCACATAGATTTTCATAACAGTCTTGTGAACTCTTAAAGTTTTCTCTCCAGTGGCCAAATGAGGAGACTGAGATCCAGGAAGATTAGAAAGTTTGTCTAAGATTACAAATTGTTGGCAAAATTAGAGACCTTAAGGCTGAGTGTGGTGGGTCACAACTGTAATCCTAGCACTTTGAGAGGCCGAGACAGGAGGATTCCTTGAAGCCAGGAGTTCAAGACCAACCTAGGCAGCAAAGCAAGATGACCCCATCTCTAAAAAAAACCCCAAAAACATAGAGTCCTTAAGTCTCCTAATTTTTTCTGACCCCCTTTTATTAGTTCTTTCTTTCTTCTATTGTATATTTATATGCCTTTGTATTCTGTTTATCCCCCTTCCATTCCATTTTTTTTAAGTATTCCATCCAAGAAGGCAGAGTGAGGCAGTGTAACTTCCTTTAAGCACTTCTGATATTTGGTTTGAAACTATATGCTCACTTGAAACTTGGACTTACTTGTGATTATTCTTGCCACTCCTGACCCAATTACTAAGAATAAATAATAATTTGGGCAAATTTCAAATGTTCATATAGAGAAAATGTAAGCAGATACAGAGGTCATGAAAGACTGGCCTGATTAGGAAGAAGTCTATTATTATATTTCAACTTTTGCTTCCAAAACCGGGCAGTCACCATTTTATAAGTGGATTTGGTTCTAAAGCCATCTTATAAATGATGGTGAATATTGGGACTGATCATTTTTGAACCCTATTTGATATGTTCTATATCTCAAAGAAGATTCAGCTCAAGAGAAAAATCCAGCCCAATGAATAGCTGTTATTTGAGGGCAGTCTTTCCTTCCTGGTTAACTGGGCTGAACACTTATCCAGAAGGTAATTTGGTCTCCATTCAGCAAACAAATACCCAGCCAGTTTTGATTGTTCACCTACTGTGTCAGTTTGTTCTTGCACTGCTATAAAGAAATACCTGAAGCTGGGTAATTTATAAAGAAAAGAGGTTTAATTGGCTTATGTTCTGCAGGCTGTACAGCAAGTATAGTACTGGCATCTGTTTGGCTTCTGGTGAGATCTCAGGGATCTTTTACTCACGTTGGAAGGTGAAATAGGAGCAGACATGTAACACGACAAGCGAGTAAGCAAGAGAGAGAGGGTGAGGAGGTCCCAGGCAAATCTGAAACCCAGCAGGGAAGGCATTAAATCTTCAAGCTCCAACACAATCCTTGACTCCATGTCCCATATCCTGGTGTGAGGGGTGAGCCCCCAAGGCCTTAGGCAGCCCTGCTCCTGTGGCTTTGCTGAATGCAGCCCATGTGGCTGCTCTCATGGGTTGGAGTTGAGTGCTTGTGGTTTTTCCAGGCAGAGGGTGCAAGCTGCCGGTGAATCTACCTTTCTGAGGTCCAGAGGGCAGTGGCTCCTTTCTCACAGCTCCACTAGGCAGTGCCCTGGTGGGGACTCTGTGTGGGGGCTCCAACCCCAGATTTCTCCTCAGCATTGCCCTAGTAGAGTTTCGCTGTGGGGGCTCTGCTCCTGCAGCTGGCTTCTGTCTGGTCACCCAGACTTTCTCATACATCTTCAGAAGTCCAGGCAGAGGTTGTCAAGCCTCATTTACTCCTGCATTCTGTGCACTTACAGGCTTAATACCACCTGTTAACCACCAAGGCTTATGGCAGGTTACAATCTCCAAAGTTGCAGCCTGAGCTGTACCAGGGACCCTTTGAGCTGAGTCTGGAACTGGAGCAGCTGGGATTTGGGAAGCAGTGTCCTGAAGTGGCTCAGGGCAGTGATGCCCTGGGCCTGGCTGCTGAAACCATTCTTTCCTCCCAGGCCTCTAGGCTTACAATAGGAGAGGCTGCCTTGGAGATTTATGAAAAAGCCTTTAGGGCCTTTTTCCCGTTGTCTGGG
The DNA here is from genome assembly GCF_000001405.40 of Homo sapiens. Lineage (NCBI taxonomy): Eukaryota > Metazoa > Chordata > Mammalia > Primates > Hominidae > Homo > Homo sapiens. The sequence continues at coordinate 42,077,968 of NC_000023.11, forward strand.
ATATTAGCACTTGGCTCTGTTTTAGTTTTGCAAAGCTCTCTATCAAGTGGTTGCTCTGTAGCTTGCTTGGATTCTTTCTCTGTCATAGGGCCATGCTGCAAATTTTCCAAACTTTTATGTGCTCTGTTTCCCTTTTAAATATAAGTTCAAACTTTAAATCATTTCTTTGCTCCCACATCTGATTGTAGGTTGTTAGAAATAGGCCACTTCTTAAATGCTTTGCCGCTTAGAAATTTCTTCCATTAGATACCCTATGTCATCACTCTTAAGTTCAAACTTCCACAGATTTCCAGAGCATGAACATAATATGCCCAAGCTGTTTGTTAAGGTATAACACAGGTGATCTTTAACTGCAGTTCCCAATAAATTCCTCATTTCCATCTGAGACCTTGTCAGCCTGACCTTCACTGTCCATATTTATTTTTCTTTTCATTCTTTCTTTCTTTTTTCCTTTCTTTTTTTTTTTGAGATGGAGTCTTTCTTTGTCACCCAGGGTGGAGGGCAGTGGCATGATCTCAGCTCAGTGCAACCTCCACCTCCTGGGTTTAAGTGATTCTCCTGCCCCAGCCTCCCGAGTGGCTGGAATTACAGGTGTGCACCACCATGCCTGGCTAATTTTTGTATTTTTAGTAGAGACACGGTTCCACCATGTTGGCCAGGCTGGTCTTGAACCCCTGACCTCAAGTGGTCTGCCCACCTTGGCCTCCCAAAATGCTGAGATTACAGGTGTGAACCACTGTGCCCAGCCTACTGTCCATATTTCTATCAGTATTTTGGTTGCAACCAATGAACAAGTCTCTAAGAAGTTCCAAACTTTCCTTCATCTTCCTGTCTTCTTCTCAGCCTTAGAAACTTGTCCCAACTCTGCCAATTACCCAGTTACAAAGTCATTTCCACCTTTTCAGGTATCTTTATAGCAACACTCCACTCCTTGGTACCAATTTTCCTACCATGTTCCCATTTCTTACCTTTTTTCTTCTGGAAACTTCTAGCTTTCTACATAGAGGATACTGCTTCAGTAGTCTGAACTAGAAAAACAGAAAGAAAGCCCACAGTGGCCTGGAAATCCTCAACACTCCATAGATTTAAAAGCCTGGAAAGTCCATAGGCCAAAAAGGATCTTTGGTCAGTGTCTCACTATCTATTGCTGCATAACAAACAACCCCAAAACTTAGTGCTCTAAAACAACAACAAATTTGTTACATCTTATGAATTCATGGGTCACAAATTTGGTTCAGGTTTCTCCTAATCAATTATTCTGTTCCATGTGGTGTTGACTGAGGTCACTCAGTGGTATTCAGTTAATGGCTCATTTGGTCTGGAAGATTCAAGATGTCTTCAATCACATGTATGGTACTCTGGTGAGGATGACTGGAAAGATGACTGGAGAAAGAGACCCAACCTCTCAATGGAAGTTGTGTCAAAGAATTTGTAGCCATGGTTAATCCACCACACTTTAAATGTTATAATTCTTTCATTTCTTCAGTCCCAGCACTAAGTCTGAATACACCATTTACCTAAGGAGCTAGTGTTGTTCTAGCTCTTCCAACTTTCCTTGTCTGGCCTGTCCATGGTTGGGACTCATTGGTAAGGAGTGCTTTCCCTTATTATTGGCCTCTAAGGCCCAGGGATCTTGACCCTCTGAGTGTATCATTATCCTTTGGATGTTCTTGTTGCTTCCTTGAAGGATCCTGCCCTGAATAGGCTCCTGATCTCCTGGAAAAGTGTGATGTATTTTTAAGAAATTTAATCTTGGCCAGGTGTGGTGGCTCACGCCTGTAATCCCAGCACTTTGGGAGGCTGAGGTGGGTGGATCATGAAGTCAGGAGTTCGAGACCAGCCTGGCCAATGTAGTGAAACCCTGTCTCTACTAAAAATACAAAAATTAGTCAGGCATGGTGGCATGCACCTGTAGTCCCAGCTACTCGGGAGGCTGAGGCAGGAGAATCACTTGAACCCAGGAGGCGGAGGTGGCAGTGAGCCAAGATCATGCCACTGCACTCCAGTCTAGGCAACAGAGTGAGACTCCATCTCAAAAAAAAAAAGAAATTTAATCTTAATAAATCTCTTACATATATATTAGCGAATCCCTCTTTGGTAGGTTTTCAGGCTGTGTGACAAACATAAATCTAGAAAGTATGTTGGGTGAATCATACTTGTGCACAAAGTTCCATGCATACTGATCTTATTTTAGTTCTTCAAACATGCCAGGCTCTTTCCCACTTTCCAAGAACTTGTGTATGCCTTTTCTCCTGTCTGAAACAGCTTGTCTTTCCTTCCGCTGGGCTAACATCCATTTAACCTAGGAATTGCAGCTTCGATGGCATTCATCCACAAAGGCTTGTACTTAATCCTTTGTCTAAATTAGCCTCCTTATTTTTGGTCTTCTAGGCCCTGTTCTCTTCCTTTATAATATGCATCATAATTTATAATTAGATATTTATTTTCATGTTTATTTCTTTGTCATCTGTCTCCTCCATGATATGTATGCTTCTTGAGGGTAGAGATTATCTGTTACATTCACTGCTATATTGGCTCAACAAATATTTGCTAAATGAATGTGTGGATGTGTGTGTGTGTGTGTGTGTGTGTGTGTATGAGAGCGTATCATATAGATAGGCAGGCAGTACATCAAGTTGTGCTTCTGGCATCAGTTCCCAGACTTGTTTCTGTTTTTTGTAGGAGTTCTCCTGTCTCTATTACTCTAAACACTTAAAGCCATTTTTAAGAGGCAGGCTCATGGTGAGTGATGGCATCAGAATGTGTGACCCGGGAGAAGGAGGTCACATTCATAGGTAAAGATCAGCCTGGAAATGACCTTTTGTCTGGACCTACTCCCTCAAAATGTTGAACATGGAATTGGAGGAAAGACAGAAAAGAAGCTGGAGTAATGATTGATAGTTTTTTCTGAATAGCTTTTCTCTCTTTTCATAGTATTAGGATTTTCACCTTTGCATGTATGGTTCGAAATAATGAATACATTTCCCATTCTCCCTTGCTGCTAAGTATGACCATGTGTCTATATTCTGGCCAATGGGATGTAAGCAGAAGGATTATGTAACTTTTTTTTTTTTTTTAACTATTATTTTGTCTATCCTGTTTCTTATAATCCAAATGCTGTCATCTTGGACCATGAAGACAAAGAGTAGAACCTCAGGATAGAGGAGCAGTGAATTGGAAGGATTTTGTATTGTTAAAGACTTCGTGAGGAGAGCTACCTTATTAGCATTGGCCTGTATATCTCCAGAATTTTATAGGAGGGTAAAATAAAATTCCACCTTTTTAAAGTGTTTTTAAATAGGTTTTCTGTCCATCTCTGGCAAAGCTAATATTAATGGGTATGAAATTATGTCTCATATCAGATTATGTGAGTTTGGTCCCCAACAATGTCAGAAAAACAAAAGATAAGACAATACCAATGGTAAGACAGAGAGTGTATCACTGACCATGGGCTCCAGGATATTTCTTAATGTATTTCCAAAGGTAGATTTTTTATGGGGGAAAATAAATCCACATTTCAGGCTCTCCTTTCTTGACTGTTACAAAGGATTGGGAAAATTATTCCATGCCTAGAGGGCTTTCTGATTTCACCAGCAACTTCTGCTGTATCTTAAAGCACAAATTGATTTCTTTATTACTGTTAGAAAGTTCACCTGCCAGATTATACTGATTTCCTGAAGTCATTTTGGACAAAGGAAAGGTCACATTGTTTTTTAGTAAAGACAGGGTTTTTCTCCTGTATCACTTCCCTGGTTTTCTTTTTTTTCAGCCTTTCTTTTGTAATGTCTTAAATAAGACATTTCCCCAAGATGTTTAAAGCAACAATACTTAACCTTTGTACAACCCTTTCATCTCTAGAGTCTTTTGCAATGGGTACTGAATGAAGTCAGAAATCTTCTTGCAAAGGATCATTGGTGACTACAAGTGAGTATGGGGAGAGTTTTGAGTTCATGAACTATTAGATACAATTTTAAAAGTAGAAAAAAAACATTATCAAGAGTGGTTGACACAAGTTGCCATGCTTGGTGCTAATGAAAATAATTCTGGACCCTGAAGAATCTGGTCTAGTAGGGTCTCACATGGATATACCTAAAATCATTCAGCATAGAAGGAGGCATCTCTATCATAACTACTCTTGTTTGGGTTCTTTCCATTCACTCTTCCCTCCTTTCTCTGCCTTTCCCCATTTCTTAACCCCGTCTTTACAGATATTTCACCTTTACCTTATCGAGATACCATCTCCCATGGTCTTAGGTTGGATTTCCCTGGAAGTGGACTTTGAGACAAGGACTTGAGTGCAAGGAGTATATTTGAGAAGTGATCTGGTTAGAACTAGTAGGGGAATAGGGGAAGGGAGACAAGAAATGAAAAGTGAGCAGGTTATGAGTGTGAGCAACAGGGGCTCAACCCCACTGGGGACCTCTGGGAGACAGTGAAGAACATGGCTCAGAGTTCTCCCACCTGAGGGAGAGGGTGCTGGATTATTTATTATAAATAAAGTTAAAGAGAAAAGAAGTATGTTTGAGGACAACTGATTTTTAAAAATAAGTCTTGTAGAACTATTTGACTTCCTGAATTATGTGCATGTATAATAAGAAAATAAACAGTCTATAGGGATTACTAAGAATTTTATTGATTTGCCTATGTCAAATAGAAAAATATACCAATTTTAACATTAAAACAGGGGCTTTTCTCTACTCCACCTTTCTAGTATTTATTATTTTTAATTTGACTTTGGGGGTCAAGGGGTAATTTTGAGCACTCACTAAGTATGTGGCATTATGCTAGACCCTCAGAAGTTGGAAGATAGGAGAACTTTAGTCCCAGCCTTCTAAAATTTATAACAGAACAGAGAGAAAAGTCATATGTTGGAAATTACAAAGATTAATTCTATAATTTATTGGAAGTGAATTGGAAATTAAATTTAAGGTTTATACAAGCCAATGTAAGGCAGTGTCATTCAGGATATATATAGTAACACTAAAGGAAGGATAAATAAGGTAAATAGCACTGTAAAGTAAGTAAGTGCAGTAGAAAGTGAATTTAGTACTTGATCCGAAGGACCTGGCTCACAGAAAAGGAAGAGGGAGGGAAGAGCAGAGAGGTGGAATGGCATAAGCAATATCATAGTGATGATGGATTAGGTGTTAAGTTGCAGAGGGAGACTGATGGAACTGATCAGGTGGCAGCAGGTGATGAAGGTAAGAACAGGTGATGGGGCTGGGCTCGGTGGCTCACGTCTGTAATCCCAGCACTTTGGGAGGCTGAGGCGGGTGGATCACGCCAGGAGTTCGAGACCACCCTGGCTAACACGGTGAAACCCCGTCTCTACTAAAAATACAAAAAATTAGCCGTGCGTGGTGGTGGGTGCCTATAGTCCCAGCTACTCGGGAGGCTGAGGTAGGAGAATTGCTTGAACCCTGGAGGCAGAGGTTGCAGTGAGCCAAGATTGCACCACTGCACTCCAGCCTGGGCGACAGAGTGAGACTCCGTCTGAAAAACAACAACAACAACAAAAAAAACAGGTGATGGAGGACCCTGACAGCCAGGCAGAAGTCTGGAAACTGGATTGAATTCAGAAACAGGAAAAAGACAGGTTGAAATGATTTAAAAAAATTCTGGCAAATACTATATTGTTTATTTTTAGTTGAGGTATAATTACATAAAATAAGATGGGCAATTCTAAGTGTACAGTTTGATGAATTTTAACAAATGTACACCCATGTAATCATCACCCAGATATAGAATATTTTCATCACCCAAGAAGGGCCCCTTATGAAGTTTCCCAGTCAATAATTGCCCCGTCCTTACCTCTTAACCACTGTTGAGGCATTATTGAACTGTTTTTGAACTTCATATAAATTGAATCATACAGTATGTATTCTTTTATGACTGGCTTCTTTCACTCAGCTTAATTTTTTTGAGATAAGTAGTTTGTTCCTTTTTATTGCTGAGTGATATTCTATTGAAGGAATATACTACAATTTGTTTATCCAGTCTCTTGTTAATGAAAATGTGGGTTGTTTCCAGTTGTGGACTATTATGAATTAAAAAGTCTGTGAGCATTTTTGCACACGTCTTTTGGTGAACATGTGTACTCGTTTCTCTTGGGAATATAATTAGGATTGAGGTCATTGGTTCATAGGGTAGGCACACATTTAGATTTAGTAGTTACTGCCAAATAGTTCTCCAAAATGGTTGCATCAATTTATACTCCCACCAACAATGGGATGGGGGAGAGTTGTGTTTGCTCCACAGCCTTGTCAATACTTGGTATTGTCAATTTTTTTCAATTTTTGCCATTCTGATGGCTGGGGAGTGGAAATGACTTTTTAAAAAGAAAGAATTAATTATATACTAAGTAAAGGATGGATTTGGTGGGAAGGGATACCAGACACAAATAAATCAGTTGTAAAGCTGTTGTCCCAATGCCAATGAGAGGACTCAAGACCCTGGCCTGGGGGACTATAGGAGCTGTGGGAAGAAAGCGTTTAAACTAAGTGACTTTATAGAGCTTGGCAGAGGATCAGAGCTCATTTCTCAGGATGTCCTTTCTACCTAGAAAAATCTTTGCATTTAAGTTATTTGCTGTTAACTGTAGCCAGAAGAGTGGGATCACGTTTATTAAATCTGCCTAAGAGATATCTTATTGTATTGTGGACACTGTAAATATTTGGAGAAATTTACTAAGAGAGCCTGGAGAGGGTTTCAGAAGTGAGAGGGTTTGCCGTGGGTTTAATGAATTGCCACGAGGTTTTTTGTTTTTGTTTTTGTTTTTTTTTTTTTTTGAGATAGAGCTTTGCTCTGTCACCCTGGCTGGAGTGCAATGGCGCGATCTCGGCTCACTGCAACCTCTGCCTCCCGGGTTCAAGCGATTCTCCTGCCTCAGCCTCCGGAGTAGCTGGGATTACGGGCACCCACCACCACATCCGGCTAATTTTTTGTATTTTTAGTAGAGATGATGTTTTGTCATGTTGGCCAGGCTGATCTCGAGCTCCTGATCTCAGGTGATCCACCCGCTTTGGCCTCCCAAAGTGCTGGGATTACAGGTATGAGCCACTGCGCCTGGCCCACACATGAGGATTTTTAATGTACTCTTCTGTTTGCTCCTTGCCTTGAGGACCTGGTGTTAGGATTCCTTCTTTTCTCCCCTATTCCATTGCCCTCCTTCCATTAATCCATCAGTGAATAAACATTTGCTGAGGGCCTGCCCTGTGCTAGGCCCTGGCTGGGCAACACAGTGGATCCAAAAATTAATTTGACATGTTCCAGTCTTCCAGAAGTTCAGTGCATTCAGTAAAGGATTTGAAAAAAAAAAAACAAAAAGCTTACAATACCAGGAAATGCTGTGTAAATCCCCACTGTCCTGTGTCTGTGAGTCTGTGACCACCCCTCTTCCAAATTACTGCTTAGGACTATTCAATGAAAAGAGTGAGTAGCTAGGTTTGAAATGGAGGGTGAGTAGTGGGGAAGGTGTCTTGTTTGAGGTGGCAGCTAGGTTAAGCTGAAGATGGATAAGATTTCAATAGCAGAGATGAGGGAAAGGTATGATAATAAGAAACAGCCTGAGTAAAGGTGTGGAGAGGCAAAATGTAAGGCACAGTGAGGGAATTACAAATAGAATTTGGCCAGAGCACAGGGTGTATAGAGAGGAGTATATCAAGTAGGAAGGCAGGACGGACTGTGGGCCAGAGTAGGAGCCAGGTTACAAATGTTGTCGATTTCATGGGCAATAGGGAACCACTAAAGGTTTTTGGTGAAAGCAATGTAATCAGAGCTGCCTTTTGCAAAGACGACTCTGGCAGTGATGAGCTGCAAGACTGAAGACACAATAATGTTTTAGGATGCTATTACAATAGTCCAAGGAAGAATTAATGAGGGCATGTATTAGGTTTGTTGGGATAGAAAGGAGGCGATAGGTAACATGAGCAATAATTAAAAAAAAATATGGAGATCAGAGGGGAAAGGGATGGCAGAACAGAAACAACTGTTTTACCTTTCTTTCACACGCTGTATTTTGAACATGAGCCAAACTTCGTGTGAAGTAGGTGTGGGTGTTGATCAGGATTGCATTCCTGATAGCTGAGCTGTGGGTAAGAGGTCAAACGGACAGAACCCAGAGTGGAACATTCTGCTGTGCTCAACATGGAATTCCTTAGGAAACAAAACCCAACCAAAGTCAAAAGCCCTGTTCCTCAACTCCACACTTTTCCTGCTGCTGCTCCATCTCTCTTGTGCCTGCCTTTCAACATCAAACTTCTAGAAAAAGTTGCACATTCTCAATGCCATTACCTTTTCACTTCTTATCCACTCAGCTCTCTCTGATCTGGCTCTTAACTCCTTCACTGCAAGAAAACTGTGTTCATTATGTCACCAGGGCCTTCCATGTTGCTAGAGTTAATGGCTATTCTTCTAGTCTCAGCTTACCTGCAGTATCAGGTGTGTCCAAGCCTGTCAGCCATTCCCCCTCTTTAGAATGCTCTCCTTTCCTGGATTCTGTGACCCTGCTCCTTGTATTTTTCTCATTACCTCATTGACTACTCGTGCTCATTCTTCTTTTCTAGCACATCCTCCTCTACTAGGCCACTACATATTGGAGATGTTAGGCCTTCTTTTGTTTTTACTCTATGCTCTTTCCTTAAGTGACCCTGTAGATACTCATAACTTCTGTTTTTATCTATATGCTAATGATGTATACATTTCTAGCTCCAGTCTAGATGCCTCTCTGCTGAGCAGCAGACCTGTAAACCCAACTGTCTGTTAAACATGTTCACTTGACTGTCCCCAAAGTAGCTCAAACTCAGCATGTGCAAAACTGAATTCATGATCTCTTCCCTCCAACACTTCCTCTGTGGTAAGCGGCACCACCGGCCATCCATGTATGCATGCCAGAAGGTGGAAAAACAGTCTTGACCACCACCTCTCTCTTAATTCTTCATATCAAATCCATTAATTTCTTATTGATTTTACTTGTTAAAATATTTCTTAAACTCATTCATTTCTTCACCCAAGTCTTGGTTACCAACAACTCCCATCTTGACCACTATCATGAACTTAACCTGAATCTGAGCCCAAGCTGCCCTCTACTTCAATGCGTCTTCCACTCAGAGCCAGTGTGAACTTAAATAGGCCTAAATAGGATAATGTTATTGTCTTCTTAAGCAATTTGAATTGTTTTCCATTGCTCACAGAACAAAAGCCATAATGTTCATCTGGCCTTAAAGGCCCTGCAAGGGCTGGTCATTCCTATCCTCTTCGGCCTAACCCCTCCCCACTTTCCTCCATTCCCTTCTTTATGCTGCAGCCGCTCAGACCTTCTCTCTGTTCCTCCTTCGCCACAAAACCCACTCTTCCAACAGGACTTCTGCAGCTTCAGATTGCCCAGAATTATCCCCTCTCACCACTCCTCTGCCCAGTTAACTTCTACTCATGGTTTGAATCTCAGATTATGTACCACTTGCTCAGGGAAGTCTTCCTTGATGCCCTAATTTAGATCATACTAGACCTCCTCCCCACTTGTTATATAATATGTTCCTAGCCCTGGGTACCTTTCCTTGACGGCACTTTGCACAGCTTATAATGACCCACCTATTACTTTGATTATTTGATTAAGGTTTGTCTAACCCACCAGACTATAAATTCTATGAGGGCAGGAACTGTGTCAAGTTTTTACTCACCCTTGTTTGGTGACATGATTGGTAGTGTCTGGAGCACAGTAAGTGTTCAATAAATACATGCCGAATAAATAAATTAGCAAATGGGGTGAGTTAAGCTTTATTACACTGTGTCTCATGGAGGGCTATTGGAGAAGCCTTCAGTGCACACAGTGGCTCTGCCATCAACAATGCCAGCTAAGTATGTTAATAAATATTCTAATCAGAGGTTGAAAATTGGTGATCCTGGGCCACATACAGCCTGGTAGAAATTTTTAGTTTGGCCTGCACAATGGTTTGGGAAAAATTCAAACTGTATGCAAAGATTTCAAAATGTGGAGATTTCATTGTAAAAATCTGGTTTTCTCTTTTTTCCTGAAAAATAAAGCTCTTGCATCACTGGGCCCACATTTCCTTGTAGCAATCATTGAATGAAGTTGAAAAGAGGCTGCCCCATTATGATGAGACATTAGCTCTTCAACTCTATTGTCACCAACTAGCCTCCCTCACTCATTTAATTACCAGCCTGGCCTGTAGGGGCATATCCCTTATCAAGTTTGCTATTTTTGGTCTAATCCTCCTTTATTAGAAATGGTTGGACCCAGCTAATTGGGTAGCCTGAAAAACCCCTGAATTGTTGCCATGAAAAAACACAATTTCTTTTTCTTGATTCTTAGGAGGTTTTCTTAGAAATGCAGAATTCTTTTATCTAACCCTTTCATTTTAGAGATGAAAGGGCTGAGGGCCAGAGTAGGTAATGACTTGCCCAGGCTCACAGAGCGACTTCTTTGTCTTTTGACTGGTGTGCTTAGAAATACCAAAAAAATATTTAGGGAAATGTATTCCTTTATAAATTTTCCATTTTAATTTTTTATCTTCTTAAATCTAGAAGAATTAATTTAAATACAGGAATTGATCTTTCAAGTCTCAAGTTAATCTCGTTAATTTTTTCCTTGAATTGTTTGGGAAACTTAGTGTTGGTTGTGTAGAAGTGATAGTGTGGCAGTAGTAGTAGTGAAACTGCCTTTGCAAAAATTATAACTGAGACAGTGAAAGAGATCCTGACCTAACTGGCTCCATCTTGCTTCTAACCTCCGAGCTGGGCTTGTTCATTCCTGGGTGTAGGCCGAACTTTGGGAGGAACTTAGTTTACGGTTTAGCTTTGAAAAAAGAAGATAACAGCCCTTCCCCAAATAAACCCCCCTCTTGCCTGGGGATAGTCTGACTTTGCAGGACTAACAAATTGGCTACAAGATTAGAAATTACAGTTTAGGGGCCATGCAGCGTCTGGATGCAAGAATCTGAACCTCCCCAAATTGTTCCTGGGGATAACATCATTTTGTAAAAACTAAGATCAGTGCTTGAGATATTTTGCAGACTCCACAGTCGACGGATCAGCTGACACCACCTGGGCCTTTTATCTGGCTCAACGCGTTCTGCCATCCCACCCAGGAACAAAAAAACTCAAGAAAAACAGCAAGAAAAACTCACTTTGACTCCCCTATAATTCCATCTCTAACCTGACCAATCAGCACTCCCCACTTCTCGAGCCCCTATCCACCAAATTATCCTTAAAAACTCTGATCCTGGAATGCTCAGGAAGACTGATTTGAATAATAATAAAACTCCAGTCTCCCGCACAGCTGGCTCTGTGTGAATTACTCTTTCTTCGTTGCAATTCCCCTGTCTTGATAAATCAGCTCTGTCTAGGCAGCTGGCAAGGTGAACCCATTGGGCAGTTACAGTAGTAGTAGTAATAGTAGTAGTAGTAGTAGTAGTAACAAAACCCAGTATGTGAAAATGTGAATTGATAATCCCGGGCTAATAGTTTCCTTCTAGAAAGGCTGCTGATTTTTTTTTCTTTGTGGGTTTTCTGTCTGAGCCTGTGAATTTTGATTCCAGTTTTATATTTAGCTTTTTAAAAAACCGAGGTAAAATGCATATACACAGTGATAAAATGTATGACTGTAGCCATTTTAAAGTGTACAATTCAGAAAATGGAAACCCCACATTCATATCCCTGTTTCTGCCTACCCCCAGCTCCTGGCAACCACAAATATGCTTTCTGTCTCCATGGATTTAAGAATCAAACAATATGTGACCCTTTGAGTCTGACTTATTTCACTTAGCATAATGTTTTCAAGGTTCACCCATGTTGTACCATATATCAGTGCTTTATTACATTTTATAAGTGGATAATATTCTACTGTATGGATGAGCTACACTTTGCTTATCCATTCATCCATTGATGGACATTTAGGTTGTTTCCCCCTTTTTGCTATTGTAAATAAAGTTGCTATGAACACTCATGTACAAGTTTTTTTAAAATGCTGATTTATGAAGTTTGTATTTCAGGAACTCATTTATCATTTCTGAAATATTGCTTGTCTACTGTGAATAAAGGTAAAAAAAGGAGTCGGCAGGTCAACCAAGTGTCAATTTCTATTGATTTCTCTTCTGTATCTCTGTATCTGGCTTGAAATTGCAGACATTTACAGGCAAGAAATAGCAGTTCATTTTCAGTAGGCATCTATCTGGAAAGTACCAGGTGCTTTAAACAAATTACGAAGAAGAAATCAAACTAACCAAGTGATGTAGCCATTATAAGCTATCAAATCTTATGGGAGAAAGTATGGATCTTATTCAGGAAGGTATCGACAAAAGAAGAGCTTAGCTCTGAGTCAAGGTACATCTGTTGAGCTTTTCACTTTCATTCAACAAACATGTATTGAGTGCCCACAAGGCTGATCTTATGCACAAAGGGAGATTAGAGTCTAGTGAGGAAATGTAGACATTAAGTAAATACACACGTGTAATTACAAATAGTCCTTGAAAAAAGTGTGTAAGGAGTATGACAGTACATAATAGGGCTACCTGCTCTCTTCTGGGGGCTATGACAAAGCCTTGCTTTGTGAGAGTTAACAAGGTGGGCAAACAAGTATTGAGTACCTAATGTGTGCTGGTTACTGCCATAAATGTTTTGACTTCAAGGATGAGTAAGAAGTGGCCTTTGCTCAGAAGAAATTTTGTTTTCTAGAGAATGGTTAGGAAACCCCCTCCTGTATCATTTACTATCAAATGCTTTATCTTAATGAATGACAAAGAAAGGGCTCCTGGAACCCATTCATTTTCCTGGGAGCTTCCAGGGGAGCTCTCTCAGAGAAAGGCTCAGTATAGGCAGAGGAATTTTTACAGGAACGTTTTCAAATTCTTCAATTTTAATTCAGATCTAAAGTTTGATAGCTGACATCACGCCAATGCACTCCAGCCTGGGCCACAGAGTGAGACTCCCATGTTGAAAAAAAAATTTCATCTTGACCATAAGATATAACTTCCATAAGCCTTTCATAAACTTTATAAGCTTTATTAAGGAGTTGGTTAAGCCTTCAAGAAAATCTTGTTAATCTGACACAGAGGCCCATGTGCTTGTCTTGCATCAGTGTGCTTTTGACATTAATGATTCATTTATAGAGAAACTGAACTTATTTTATCTCTCAAAATCAGCCCTTACAATCTCACACACCCCACCTCTTCTGCAATAGTCCCTGGGTCTTGAGGAGTTGAATAGCTTTAATTTCTGGCCCTGTGTCTGAGGAATGCCGTTTATTTTGACTGGCATCTTCTGCCAGGCCTGAAGATGAGGCTTTAATTGCTATCAGTGTTTAAGATTTAGCAGGACTTGGTGTCCCTTTTAGACCCAGGAGTCAAAACCCTGTAACTCAATGTCACAAGTACTTCAAAAGCACATACAGAAAGGTACATAAATGTAATAACCTTAATTAAATTTTTTTAATTTCCGTTTTTTTCCTAAGCAAACCAAAACTTAATAATAATGGCGTAGGAATTGTTTCAATAAACTGTAAAATCTGTTAGGCCAGTTACCAAAAGGCAAAAGAAAAGACCTTCTGTACTACACAGAATATTATGTTGGTAGAAAACATTTTCTTTACACCTTTAATAAAACTTCTTTAGCATCAGGGCCGCAACAAACAGAACTTGAGGAAAAAAACTTATATGAGCTGAATATGAGTTGGAGAGAATTACTGTTTCATGCCCTTTAAAAGGGGAGAAAAAACTGAAAACGGTGAGAGGCACTAACAGTTGAACTTTGGGTTAAAAAAATTAAAATCTCTTGTAATTTATTAAGAGTAAGTCAATCCCTTATGAAAATTTCATTGTTCTAACCAATTATTTAGTGTATAAGTGTTTTTTTTAACACCTGTAATTTCCCTTTAATTACAGACAAGTTGATCATATAAAAGTTTCTTTTAAATAAATCCTCCTATTGTGATTTAAACAGACTGTTCATGACACACTTGAACTTTCTGGTTTGTCCTGAACATCCCTCTTTCTTAAACAATCAGTCACTTTATTCTAGAACTAAATTTACCGTACAAGATTCTTTCTCATATAAAATTATTTCTCTTTAAGCTTTCTTACCAAAAAACCTCTTTGTTTTTATAACTTTATTTACATCTTTCTTATTTCCTCGTTCCCTTTACCTTGTTTTATACATGACCTTTAAATAAGCTTTGAATTAGACAAAAATTGTTCACCTTTTAAAAAAAACATTTTTTTGAAAGAATGTTTTCCTACAATAGATTTTTATTGGAAAATACCCAAATAATGAAATATCTATTATTTAATATAACTTTAGATTGTAAATTATGATGCATTTGTCTACCACACTTTAGATTGTAAATTATGATGAATTTGTCTACCAGTACTTATTCCATTACATTTACCTAATTATTTTATTTTAATTGTTTGCCTAGATTATTTATGAAAACTGCGATAGTCATCATTTAAAGCTACAGAACCACTGTTGCAAAATTATAACTGAGACAGTGAAAAAGCTCTGATCTAACTCACTCCATCTTGCTTCTAACTTCCAAGCTGTCCTTTTTCATTCCTGGGCATAGGCCAAACTAACTTTGGGAGGAACTCAGTTTATAGTTTAGCTTTGAAACAAAGACAGCAATAGTCCTTTGCCAAAACAAACCTTACTGCCTATGGACTAGACCACTTAAAATCACAAGATTAGAAGTTATGGTTATCTTACTAAATTCAAGATATAGCTATTTTCATGAAACCTATATTAATGTCTTATTTATTAAAAATTACATAAGCAAAGATCATTCTGTCTTGGTTGGGTTTATAGTTTTATAACCCTATGCCAAATTTTGAAACCTTATAGTATTTGTCAGGAATAAGTGTGAAATTGCTTGATTAATAAATGCAAACAAAAATGTATACTGGCAATTCTTAAGACATTTCTAATATTACTTTAGCAATAATTTTAAAGCTAGCTTATTTATTAAAGATTTTACTTGTTACGTAAACATGAAAAAGCATTTGACTAGTCTTTTCTTTTTTTCCTGATAAAGTATTTGATTCAAGCACTTTTATATTCTTAAGCCAATTAATTAGAGCTCTTTTATATATTTTCAGTAGTGAAACACTGTGTATACAACACATAAATACATAGATGTATTAGGCATGTCAATAGAAGTACATCTTATAGGGTCATAAAGACCCTTTTTTCTCCTATCTTAGACTTTCAAATTGATGATAACCTGTTTCACAAGCCTAGGCAGTTGTCAGCTAAATAGCCTTAAATTTGCAAATTAAAGGAAACAACTCAGGTGAAAATCAAATAGCAAAATTTACATCATAAGGTACGGAGAGAAAAAGTATGATGTGCTAGAGGGAAATTAAAACTGATTTAATTGCCAACTAAAATTATAAAAATGATAGAAATTATAAAGGCCTTTTAAATATATATACACACATATACACACACATACAAAGATCCTATAGCTTCTACTTCAGAACTTTAGCCATGAGATAAATACAAATTCACCACTTTGCAAAAAAACCTGTTGGATCCAAACAGTGGTTTTTATCTTAATTAAAAAAAACCAGCAGATTTAAAGCATGCAGAAAAGAAAGTAGAAAGAAAGAGAACTTGAGAACTCTGTAGTTTTAAGGTCAACCTTAAGATTCTTTTTCCTTAATGCAAATGTGCACATAGACCATATTCTTTCCATTTTACATCTATAAAACCTATGGAGTGCTCAAAAGGGGGGGTCATTCTCCTTGTTTTCTCCTCATTCTTAGATTATTTGTTATCTACTTTGTCTTAAAAGGAGAAGCTGAGATATGACCTAGGGTTTTTGTGTGGTGGATCTGTGTCTGCTGCTTGTGGGCAGGACAACACAGTGTATCACCACTGAGTCGTTTCCACCCTTTTACGTGTTTCAGTTTCTCTCTCCCGAGGTCTGTGACCTCTGAGAGGGCTCAGAATGCCAGCTGATTAGCCCTTATATGCGTTTCCTGGATGAGCTATTTTTTAAAACAGTAATTTTTGTTGGGAATTTCCCTGTAGGGCTGCTGCATGTCACAGGGGGGTCAACCCCCCAGACACTCCCATGAGGTCCCTGGTCACCCAGGGGCACCTTTTGGCTGGGAGGAGAAAAATGCCCTTTCTCTTCCGAGCTGAGAAAACTGTCTCTCATTTACCGATGAAAACAACTGTTCTGTTCCTCATGCAAATGCACACAGACAAGCCAAAATGAAATTAATTTGGGGAGAAAAAGCAATAGGGAAGACCCTTTAGAATGTATCTTCGAACTAGAATTAAGATCCTTAAACAACTTCCTAGGAGAAAAGAAAAAAAACAACAGCCAAGACCACTTCCTGTAAACTGTGCTCAGCCACCCCTAAATTTGTAGCTCTCGTATGCTATTACACACACCAAACTCAAATCCTCTCACAGTACAAGGTAATCTCTGGTATCCCTAAAGAGGTCGGGTTATGCAATACAGGAAAACAGAACTTTAGACCTAAGAAGAATCTGCCCATGACTCTTGAAACTCCAAAGAAAGCAGAACTCCCCCAAAGGGGTGAGTGGGGCATTTGTTCTGATTCATTTAAAGGGGTTCGAATCATTAGAAGCCTTCTCTAAATTTTTTGGTACTGCAGATGGCAAACGGGGAAGGCGGTATAGGGTGGAAGAAAAGTAAACGAAAGAACATTTGTTGTTTTTTAAGACAGGAAGCAAATACAGAAACCAAGTGCATTTTTTTCCCTCTTTTGCAGCTGCAAGGAGTTTTAGCCAAATTAGAGAGGATTTGTTACTCATAATTTGGAATTCTCACTCGGATTTGACCAAGTCAGGTAGAGTTAGTCAAATCTGATGGGAGAAAGACCGGAACAAACAATAAAAATACCCCCAACAATATGATCACTGAGCGCTGTAATGGTAAGGGGAAATTAAGACCAGCTGGTTGTTAAACTTTAGCCAAGACAAAACCCCAATTCTGCTACTTACCTAGGGATGGGTCTCAGGCTAAAGGCTGCTTTCTACCATCCTAGAAGCAGGAAAAAAACCTCAAACTCGTCCTCCCTGCCGGGAGCAAGCTCAAACTCCATAAAGGAGTTACCTGCCTTCCATCATTATGGAAGCTGAAAAGCTTGCCTTTCTTGTTGGAAGCAAGTAAAAATCCAAAAAAAAGGGGTTATACAGCAAAATAAACTTTTGATTTCAATCAAATTTTGGGAGATCAGGGATTTTCTGGAGTAAGTGCTCCCAGACCTCAGCAAATTGTCCTATTGGTTTGAGCCATAAAGTTAGCTCATGCTGGTACCAAGCACTGATAGCAGATTTGTCAAAGGTCAGGGGTACCTCCACCCGGAATCCCTCCATCGTTACCAAAATGTGAAACCCGAATATCTGAGATAGGTCTCAGTTAATTTAGAAAGTTTATTTTGTCAAGGTTGAGGACGTGCACCTGTGACACAGCCTCAGCAGGTCCTGACGACATGTCCAAGGTGGTCAGAGCACAATTTTTTTTTATACATTTTAGAGAGACATGAGACATCAATCAACATATGTAAGATGAACATTGGTTCGGTCTGGAAGGGCGGGACAACTCGAAGAAAACGGGGGACAACTCGAAGTGGGGAGGGAGCTTCCTGGCCATAGGTAGACAAGAGACAAATGGTTGCATTCTTTTGAGCTTCTGATTAGCCTCTCCAAAGGAGGCAATTAGATATGCATTTATAATAAAATGGGAGACAGGTTTTTCCCAGTTCCCAGCTTAACTTTTCCCTTTAGCATAGTGATTTTGGGGCCCCAAGATTTATTTTCCTTTCACAATATGATTAGGTTAATAGTGATTTGTCTTATAACCTTTCAGGAACCCCTTTACTGAAAATGAGAATATTGTGAATAAATTATCATTTACATGCTCCCATTGTGGAATGTGATCATAATTTTAGCAAAGGGCTTGCTGATTACTGGACTGAGAATCACCAAAGAAGTGAGATAAAATGTGTGGAAGGGTTTGGAAGGCCTCTGCAAAGAGCAGGGAGAAGGGAGTGGAGAAAGATAAGGCAAAAGCACACAGAAATGAAAAAGAGTACAGTAGGTCCTCTGTACCTGATGGTTCCATATCAGCAGATTCAACCTACTGCAGATCAAAAGTATTTGAAAAAAATAATGAGAAATAAAAATAAAATCCTAAGACCCCCAACTGACTGAACAGACCTCCTCTTGGCTAAGGGGAATCCCAGAGAAACCTGAAAAGTGGAGTTCCTGGCCATGAAAGGATAGGAGGTAAGACATGCCTCAATAGGCCTTTTTCTTATTAATTTTTAACCCAAATTCTTTCCTAAAGAGTAAGCAGAAATCAGTGGTGGAAAATCAGAAATGGACGACTCATTCCTTTATCATCCTTAGCCAAGTATCTGGGGCAGTGACCAGATTTTCCTTCCCGTTTGTGGTTTCAACACAGCAACTGACCAGCATTCCTTCCTGATAAGAGGCCACCGATCATGGAGTGGTTCCGGCCGGTCTACAAATGACGTACAGTGAGGGTTTTCACGTCCTCTGCTTCACCTTTTGACATCAGAAGGCTGAGAACTCCACCCTCTGATCATGCTAACACACCATTTTTTGTACATGTGACCCATGAAGAGGCATGAAATTCGATTGGATATATGCATGCTTCTTTCATAAATATTCATAAATCCTCCTACAGCTTATTAAATATGTATACTTACACAACCCATCCAGCACAAATTCCTTTCTTATCCTTCCCTCCCTCAAAGTGTTTGCTCTCAGCTTTTACTGGAAGCTACGCATCCCAGCCTGTGGCATGGCCAGCCTGCAGGCTGCAACCCTTTATGAGAAATACAGCTCTCCTTTCCAAATTTATAAACCTTGTGGTTCTTCAGTTGACAATAACAATACAACAGTAAAAAAAATCCAAATAAAATATAGTATAACAATTATTTACATAGCATTTATAATGTATTAAGTGTTATAAGTAATCTAGAGATAATTCAAACTATATGGGAGGATGTGTGTAAGTTATATGCAAATATTGCACCATTTTATGTAGAAGACTTGAGCATCCACAGATTTTGGTATTCTCTTGGAGTGCTGGAACCAATCCCCTGTGGATATGGAGGGATGGACAACTATATTATGAAGTGTGGGTATGACTGAGAACCAAATGACATTGCCTCAGTATCAGTGGTCAGTTGCCTGAAGAGTCTTGAGCCCCTCAAGCTGAGCCAGTGGGAAGAACAATTTTGTGGGGCCTATGCCTGTTAAAACTGCTCTTTCAGACTAGATAGTTCTAGCAGAATCTTAGTGGTCCCCAGCCTGTTTGGAAATGCCTGGAACTTTTTCAACAAAAGCAGAGACTCTTCCTTGATGGTGGAGAAGCACAAAGGGGAGCCAGGAAAAAGCACACATTTTGCTCAAGAAAGCTTTGGAGAAACAAAAATTGTAGAGAGAAAGTAAATGAACACTACAGAATCAAAACAAAAACAAAATCACTATTTATGAAGAAAAACTGGAAGGAAATACAGTTGATATGGTGATGGGATTTGAGCTATCCTTTATTCCAAATTTTCTGCGATGTGATTATATTGTAAGTTTTTCATTTTAAGAGAAAGTAATTCCGGCAGTTTGGTGTGTGTGTGTGTGTGTAATGGGGTAGCGGGTGGTGAGCAAGCCCTGGACTTGTAGTCAGGGGCTCTAGGTTAAACTTTAGCTCTGTTACCAGCTGCTCACTTCTGAGCTAGTTATTTAACTCCTCTCTGCCTTGGTTTCCTTATGTTGAAAGCTGAAATCAACATAAATTCCGTTCCTGTGTTTAACAATACTGAGACCAGGCATATGTTCCTGTTCCCATGTTAAAAAATACTGAGAACAAACAAAAATAACTTAAGCTACTTGCTCTAGGAAATAATAGTTCCTAGAAGATAAGACTGTTAACTAACTAAAATAACTCACCTATGAAGACTAACAGCTTACTCATAAAGACTCGTTCAAGTCTTTCCTGTGCCCACCAATCCAAAGCTAGTATGTCGTAAACTCGGCCCAGTCCTAGTTTTGCACCTTGTAAAACTCACCTTAAAATCACCCAGCTCAGGCCCTAAAACTCTATAAAGATACTTCCAACTTACCCCTTCTGAGACACTACTAAGACTGTCAAGATGGTGTTCTTCCTTACCGCAGTGAGTCTGATCAGGATACCCCTCAACTGCTTTGCATGGTACTGTAACAGGTTCTCCTGGCAGGTTTTTTGAGGACTTGACAATATGTAAAAGAGGATGGTTGGACTCTATACTCTCAGAAGTCCCTTTTATTTCTCACTTTCTCAAATTCGTGTTGGTGACATTTTCTTCTTGTTGGCTGTCTTTCTGACATGGATTCAGTCACTTTTACAAACTATTTTTTCAGGCTTTGTTATTTTTCTTTTTCCTTCCTTAATTTGAAAGTGCAGTCTAAGCTGGGCATTTCAGAGGAACAGCCACTGGTAGGTTCCAGCTGCAATTAAGAAGCTGAAAGATGGATAGTGGTGATGGTTGTGCAACCATGTGAATGTATTTAATGCTACAGAACTGTACAATTAAAATGGTAAAAATGATAAATTTTGTTATGTATATTTTACCAGAATTTTTTTTCTTATTAATACAGTATTTGTTTGTCTTTTCTCTGTCAAAACCTGAGCCAACCACGTTCCCCAGGCTGCCTGAGGAGGTATAGGAAAAGGAACACACAGGGCTGACCACACGTGGGAGAAAGAACTATGGGAGGTGGAGATGGCTCCTTCACATGGCAGAGAGGATGAGAAAGGCCACCATCAGGCAAAAGCACCCCATGGCGTCTCAGAGGGCAAAGCCCAGAGTGGCGTAGGAGAAGAGCTGTTGCTTCAGAGAAGGGTTCCTGGCATAACCAATGATGAGGCTCCCAAACACAGTCCCAATCTGAGCCGCAGAGCCAGCCACCCCAACTGCGGCAGCCCCAGCTCCAGTGAACTTGGCTGTTGTGTCGATGTCCCTTGAAATGGTGCTGGTTTGGAAGCTGCGGCTAGAGACAAGTGAGGTAAGGGGACGTGAGACTGCCAAGCTGCTGAGGCTCTCATCTGTCAGTATCTCCGGTCATTTCAGCACCACTGCAGATAGCTGACGGCTCAGCAGCTGTGAGGTGCTCTTGACCAATGAGGGAGAGGAGACGAGCTTGGAGCAGGCGAACGTTTTCCGGGGCTGAGGGGCTGTAGCAGGAGAGCTGCTCCCACTGCAGAGAAGACAGTACCAGAATTTTTTTAAAAGAAGAAGCTAAAGGCAATTTCCTCTTTCCAATATTTACACTGGCACCATAGGATGCCAGCAAAGGGCTGCTGGAAACTGTTCCTCTTCTAGGTTAAAAGACATATACACGAAATGTACAGGTCTAGAGCTTGTTAGAGTAAGGAGGTGCTCAGTGTCCAGCCTCCTCCTCCTCCTTTCTCCTTCTTCTCCGGGGAAGAGTAGGAGAGGCAACACTTTCTTTCCTATTCCTATTTAGCTGGATTTCAAACCTAAGAGTATAAAGACAGAGTGGGTAAATACCCAGAACCTGGTTCAGGAACGTCTTGGTTCAGTACACCCCTCTATTCTGACCCAATTTTTGCACTGGTGGATTGGGGTACAATGACAAGAAGGGTAACGTTATGGTTAGACCAATGTTAAGTTTAGGGAGAAGGTGGATGTAACTTGAGGAGAGGCAGACGTGGTTAGAAATGGCAGACACAAGCAGTATATCTGAGTATCAATTTTTCTTTGGCAGCGAAAGCATAAGGAATACACAGGTTATTTTATGTACATATAAGCTCGATAAATCTGGCATTTCTAGCTCTCACCAAAAGGTCCATCCAGTGTCAGCTATATGATTTGTGGGGCCCAGTGCAAAATGAAAAGGCAAGGTCCTTTGTTCAAAAAGCAGTGAAAAAATGCTGTTTAAAAAAGCAGTGAAAAAAGCTTTAAAATATAAAGCTTTTCCCTTTCGTCCATGGTCTCTCTCTTTGGACTTTCATGGTGTTTTCTATCTGTGATTTAATGTAGTTCTAAGTGAAGAAAAATTAAAATCTTAAATTATTAGAATGAATTTTACCATTCATTTTTGTACTGTGCAATGACAGTTTTAAATGCAAATATAAGAGTATTTAAGTCATATGTGGAATAATCAAATACGCGATTTGTCTTTTGTAGTTTGTATGTGTGTATGTGTTTCATTCTTATCAGAACAGTGGGAATGCTGCAGAAAAGAACCATTTTTATTCTACTTCTTGATGTACACACATTCTACCAACACTCTCTACCTTCAGCTTACTGATGAGTAAGGAAGAGTTGAAAGGAAAGGAAAAGGTTTGCAAAGACAGGGCAACCTTTTCCTTTCCTTCTATGTTATCATTTTCTGTGGAAGTGGTTGGTTAACATGGAGGAGTAATATGAGTAAGAAAGTATATGATAGAGTTCCTTGGTCATTCGTGTTTCGGAGAATGTCATTGCTTTCTTTCTGTGTTCAAAGCAAATTCTAGTTTGTATGGAAAACATGATCTCTCAGGACTGTCAGCAATCACACTTATTTACTCATGGGTGTAACACACTTACCTTGTACTTGCTGTGGGTCTCAGTGAACTCTCATGCATTGCGGGCCCATTGGAATTCTGTGCTTATGGAGCATCACAAAAGCTATATCTGAATGGGGTGGCAAGAAATGGTGGACACACATACAGTGTGTATCTCCTCTGCTCATGCTCCATTGAAATCCCATTGGACATCTACAAAACATAACCTCAAAGATAAAATGATTAAGAATTTCAAGATGGTGACAGCAGAGTATTAAACCAAGCCTGGGGTCTTTCTGAGTGTGGGGCTTGGTGGGACTGCACAGGTTTTGTGTTCATGAAGTGGGCCCTGGACCCATCAGAGTATGATATTACATCTGAAAAAAATACTAATCTGACTCCAAAAATATCCATGAAAATCAACTTTGTTTTTACTGAAATTTTCTTGAGATTACTAAGGAGAGGGTGTCAAAGTACACCACCAGGTAAAATTTCCCACAAATCCTTTTAAGTTTCTCTCTCACCAAAGAGAGCTCTTTGAGGCAGCTGTTATGTTGGCAGTCTCTGGCCCCTGGAGTTCCAGGCATTGGGATGAATGAGGGGGAAGATGGCCTGGATCAGTTTATAGCTGGCCCCCCTAATTGACTATAAGCACTTGCTTCCCTAAATAAGCCAGTTGTCTAAGGAGAACCAGTTGGGATGGATTGAAGGATTTATTTCACTTTACTTTATCAGAATGGCTAGTCCATGGACATATAAGGCGACTGAATTAATTTTTGTAAGTTTTGAAATAAAAGGGTGGGGTGAGAAGGAAAACAGATTAATAACTCTTTAACGCATGATGCACATGGAAGTTCATTAGTGGCTCAAAGTGAGCGCCCCCATTGGGATTTGAAACCAGCTCTCTCTGCTTCTAAAGCTGGGCTCTTTCCACTTGATTGTGCTGGTTCCCACAAAAGGGAAGGCAACTCTTGAGCAACCACTGTATGCCAGCCATGTGGAAGATATTTTATGTGACAAATATGTGATGGAGGTATTACGAGTTCCCATTTTCCTGATGAGGAGACTGAGGCTTGGTGAGGCTAAGCACCTTGTCCAAGGTCACAGAGCAAGTAAGTGACAATGCCAACACCCTTGTCATTTCTGAGTCCAAAACTCATGTTTCCTCAGTTTGCACGAGGCTAGGGAAGAACCTAGCTCTCCTAGCTTCCCCTTCCTTAGTCTGTTCAGAATATCAGGCTGCTTCCATCATTAAATCATTTTTGGTTGATTGATTGATAGACTCTAAAGGGCTGTACTTTGCTTGTCCAGGGATATAGGACTTGATGTGGAGGAAGGAAGAGGGATTCCGCCAATCATCTCTTTGATTTAATTTTTCCACAGTCAAGCCCCTTCTCCAGGGCCTGTTAGTTTTCTCCACTTTGGTCCTCCCCAGAACAGTTTCTAGGGTTGGTGGGGCATGGGGGAGGGGTGGGGTAAGGGTGGTCAGGAATGAAGAAAGCGGAGGACCATATTTGTAATTCCTTTCCTTTTTGTCCTGCCCCAAGCTCTGTTGGGATATTTCTTCAAACATGTTTAGTGACCTGTCACCACAGGGATTTGCTGAGTTAGTTCAGTGGAAAGAGTTTGAACTTACATGAGATTTTAATTTTGGCTTCTGACACTTTAACCCAGGTAGGTTAGGATTGCAGCGCTTGTAGCCAAAGGCTATCAAAAAGCTTCTGGAACAAAAATCCGTTACTTTTTTTTCAGAATAAATTGCGAGATAAAAACAAAGTATCACTTCTGGTTTTCAAATATAATTCGTACTTAATGTACAATGATCTGTAAATGTTTTGTGGGAGGTCTACGTTTCTTTCTTCATGTCTGGAGGAATGAATGAAGTGAGGGTGAGGAGATCTGTGAGGTGGCAGCATTCCTGAACCTCAGCCTCTGAGGTTTGTCTGAGCATTTTGTGTTTTGTATTGATGGGTGACTCTCAACTGACTAGACTGGGAAGTTTCTCCCAAATAACATCCCACTGAAAGAAAAGGTAGTCATGGTGGTAGGAGCAATGGAGAGAGGGAAAATCCACCCTGAAGGTTCTCTTCTAGACTCTTGGGCCTCTGAGGAATAAGGGCAGGAAGGAGCTTCTGTGCAATGTAAGAAGGCTTGGTCTCTCAGGTTCTTTGGGTTTATGAATCCCCGGTGACCATTCTGTGCTGTCTGCATTCCTGGGCATAGCCAGTGGCCTGCTGGCTTTTAAATATGAGCACCTGTGAAATTTGCCTACAGGCTTTCTCTGGCTGCTGGTTCAAGCCAAAAATGCCAGAGAGTTAATTCCCCCATGCTCTCCTTCTCCCCAGCAGCCCTCAACAATGACTGAAGTGAGTTGGTGGAGAAATTCCCCAGCTTCCTAATCCCTTGGCAGGGGAAACTTCGAGATGTGTCCATCCAGTCTCATGGAGTTCTCTAACAGGATTGGGCTCCATTTATTGGCTGCCTTTCCTTCCCTGACTCACTTCCGCCCTCCTTTACTGGTGTTTTCTGGGATCACCTCCCAAATAAACTTGAAGTCTTGTCCTGTTTCTGTGGGAGCCTAGCATAAAACAGACCCTTTGTAGCCAAAATGGCTTTCCTCCAAAGTGACAAGAAAGCTGCAGACACTACCTCATCTGCTGGGGGCAGTATGGGAGTGCTTCTTTATTGTTGAGCAGCTTAGAAAAAGCCAGTTGAATGGTATTGCCTACATTTTCTTTTACGGTTTTTATAGTTTTGGGTTTTACATTTAAGTCTTTAATCCATCTTGAGTTAATTTTTGTATAAGGTATGAGGAAGGGGTCCAGTTTGAATTTTCTGCCTATGGACAGCCATTTCTGCAGATGAATAGCCCAAAAGTAATTGCAACAAAACTAAAAATTGACAAATGGGATCTAATTAAACTAAAGAGCTTCTGCACAGCAAAAGAGACTATCATCAGACTGAAGAGGCAACCTACAGAGTGGAAGAAAATTATTGTAACCTATCCATCTAACAAAGGTCTAATATCCAGAATCTACAAGGAACTCAGACAAATTTACAAGAAAAAAACCAAACAACCCCATTAAAAAGTGGGCAAAGGACATGAACAGACACTTCTCAAAAGAAAACATTCATGCAGCCAACAAACATATGAAAATAAGCTCAACATCGCTGATCTCTAGAGAAATGCAAATCAAAACCACAAGGAGATACCATCTCATGCCAGTCAGATGGTGATTATTGAAAAGTCAAGAAACAACAGATGCTGGCAAGGTTGTGGAGAAGTAAGAATGCTTTTACACTGCTGGTGGGAATGTAAATTACTTCAACTATTGTGGAAGACAGTGTGGCAATTCCTCAAATATATAGAACCAGAAATACCATTTGACCCAGCAATCCCATCACTGGGTATATACCCAAAGGAATATAAATCATTCTATTACAAAGATACATGCACATGTATGTTCATAGAAGCACTATTCACAATTGCAAAGACATGGAATCAACCCAAATGTCCATCAGTGATAGACTGGATAAAGAAAATGTGGTAAATGTACACCATGGAATACTATGCAGCCACAAAAAGGAACGATATTATGTCCTTTGCAGGGACATGGATGGAGCTGGAAGCCGTTATCCTCAGCAAACTAACACAGGAACAGAAAAATCAAACACTGCATGTTCTCACTTATAACTGGGAGCTGAACAATGAGAACACATGGACACAGGGAGGGGAACAACACACCCCACCTGTCAGGAGGTGAGGCGAGGGGAGGGAGAGCATTAGGAAAAATAGCTAAAGTACGCTAGGCTTAATACCTAAGCGATGGGTTGAAAGGCACAGCAAACCACCATGGCACCCGTTTACCCTGTGTAACAAACCTGCACATCCTGCACATGTACCCTAGAACTAAAAATTAAAATTAAAATAAAAAAAAAAAAGAAAAAGCCAGTTGAATGAATGACTCACAGCTGGAGGGTTTCTTGGTGCTCCAGGTGTGACTGAGCACTTGGGGTCTCAGCACAGCCACAAGGAAATCAGTTCTCCTCAGCAGGGAGCTCTGGCAGGGTTGTTTTCTGTCTGGGTTGGCCAAGTAAAAGGCAGAGCTCTTTGGAGTCTAGGGGAGTCCTAGGGTGCCTGAAGTTCTGTGAGCTTTCAGTGGTGCTTGCAATTTTAGCCCGAGGTCTTATGAGAGATACAAAGACAGCAGGTCTCAGCTCTACCTTCTAGTAGCTTATAATCTCGAGGGGTAGGATGAGGCAGGTGTTCAAACACTTCCTATCCATGGTGGAAGGGAACAGGAGAAACAAGACTTTCTGTAATGAGTGTTGACAATCATGGATTTTGTTAAGCATCTGAGCTGTTAACTTGAGGCATTTGGAAATAAACGGGGACACAAATTTGCTTTCACTAAATGGCACTGTTATAGGAAAAGCAACTTATCAATCATAGAAAATAATGAAGCCACAAAAGTTCATATCTAGAAGACCCACATAAAATTGCTGATAATGACTGAGTGGCAGAAATGTAGATTGAGAAATATATCTTTGAATATAATATTCAAAAGGAGCTAATTTATTTTAGATGAGTAGGTCAAAGAAAGCTGTATTATTTTTAATTACTGTATTATTCATAGCAATATTTTGAATTTGTCTAGCACCTTTCTTTTGAGGAGCTTGAGGCATTTCACATATATTATCTCATTTATCTTTTATAACATCCCAGTGGAAATATATATGATTAACTCTCTATTGCCATTGGACTACATTTTTGTAAATTCTCTTTCCTGGGAATGAATGAGGCCACATCATTACAGAAGCAGATGCTGGCTGGAAGTCACCTACAACTTGCTACTGAATGCAAGTTAATTATAATAGCTCAATATTCCGATTTTTCTTTGGGAAGCCATTTTGCCTCTCTCCACCTCAGTTTATAGGAAAACAAAGGAGCCTAGTTAATCACAATAGTTATGAAATCAACCCACAACCTTTGAAAAGAAAAAACCCTCATGCACTGTAGAAAACCGTCATGCAGAGTTAATTATTACATATGGAGTTTGCTAGTTACAGCTGAATATTGATGTAACATTTCAATAGAAAAAAGGTTATATAATGAACTTTCTCTGCCACCCACTTTTAAGTGGGAAAAACTCTACTTAACAGAAAGTGCCTGGTTTTGGTCCTAGCTGAAAGGTAAATTTCTTTGTCAAGTTAGGGAACACTCTGTCCAATTATTATTGAATAATAGTATTTAAATCCCATTTCTACTGTGCCCAAAGAGGAAAATTTAGATATGGTTTTTCTCATTAACTTGAAACACTACAAAGTTCATCCATGACTTCTTCTCTATAAATTACTCTCTAGTAAGGTTTGCCAGAAAAAGTAAAAAAAATTATTTTTCCAAGTCATAACTAAGGAGTAGTAGGAGGTCTGTGAGCAGCTTTGTAGAACTCTGGGAGCCATTGTCATCTTAAGGCTTGAGGATATGGGTGCTAAAAATGGGCCACCTATGTTGTCTTGGGAGGAGGATCGTCCCTTCCTTTCCCCATGGTCTGCATGGCTTTCTGGCTTCAATTTGTGTTGAGGCCTTCAGGATATGGGTAAACACCTCATTAAACATACAAAAAAGAGGCTCTCACTCAAACATTGTCAAAAATCTGGGTCAAGAGAAGTTTTTTAACCCTGAAATATTGTCAGGCTTTACAGTCTGAATTTAGGGTAACCCTTTCAATAATTTAATTTTTGTATTTCTACTCTGCAGAAAGTTCCATAGGATTTACAAATCCCCCTTCTGTTGAAAAGGCATGCCAAGAGAACAGAAATGGTCACCCTGTGAAATACAGCAGAGGAAGCTCTGCTCCCCCAGGGAAGCTCACAATTGCTCCATACCCTGTTTGAACTGGATGAGGTCCTTTTGTTGATTTCAGCTCAGTTTCATCCATGTCTGATTAATAGAGGTGCCCCACTTCCAATCTCCTGCCAGGGTTCATCCTGTACTTGGTCAGAAAATTCTCCAGTGGTCATACTAGACCTCTTGGTAGGCTTTAAATAGGTAACTTTATAAGCATTATATTTTCTTTTCAGTAACCTCATAGTCATCTATAAGAATGATTAAGTAAATCTGGCTTCTTTTAGTTCTTTTGATTCAACAGAGCTGTCTCCTGTTTATAAATCCCTTTCCGTAATCAAATCCTTCTGGCCATTCCTTGTAGCCTCTTGACTCCAAACAGCTACCAAAACTGTAAATAAAGGGCTGCTGGATACGTAAACAATCCCTTTCTGCTGTCAAGAAACATGTGCTTTATACAAACCATGAAAATGGAGAGTAAGAAGTAGGTGAAGTAGAAAGTAAGAGGGATAGATATGTCAGTGCTTGGAACATAGTAGGAATGCTCCAAATATGTAGTGATTGCCACCAAAATTAAAAATGGAGTCTTCCACATTGGTCAGGCCTCTTTTCAGTCCCCTGGTGTCAGAAGTGGGGGTTATAATATACTTAGAATGGTGGCAAATGGATCAGAAGTTCTAGTGACAATTTGTCGGCTGGTATGTTTTGGCAGTTTAAGTTTTCACGTGCGGTAAGGATTTTCTACATGTTATTTCTTTAGTTTTCACAGCATCCCTGACAGCCCCAAGAGCTTCTTGGGTGCACATTGTGTACAGGGTATGGCACACATTGCAGTGGGATCATGGGCAAGATGTAGGACACAGGTATTATCCACCTGAAAGAGGCACAGTATCATTTAATGGGATGGATTCATATTGTGTATCCTCATACCATTTTATTAGTATAATTATTTTTGAATAATGGAAAAAAGTAGGGGAGGCAGCAAGTCATTTGGAAATTATAAGCATTATCGCTTGTTTACAGGTCTAAGAATTGTGATAGAGGTAAGCATGCAGTGCTATGCAAACACAGAAAAGGGGAACTTGGTCCAGCCTAAAGATTTAGAGAAGGCTTCCTGGAGGATGAGATAGTCTAAGCTAGGTCTTGAAGGATGCACTGGAGTTAGCCACGCTCAGAAAGAGGGTGAGAGCAATATGGACAGGAAATCGAACATGAATAAACACACAAAGGCCTTCGCACGGGGAAATCCTGGTCTTTCAGTTTTACTAAAGAGTGGGAGGTGAGGTTGGAGACCAGTCATAGAAGGCCTTAATTTATTCATTTACTTACTCACTCATTATTCAACAAATATTTGCTGAGTTTCTGCAAGGTGGCAGGCAGTGTTCTAGGCATTCTGGCTACAGAAATGAACAAGATAGACAAGGCCTGGTTCACAAGGAACTTACATTCTGGTGTTGGGAGGGGCTTGTAGATTTCACCCCAAGTAACTAGGTCTTTATGCAACAGAATAGGCATCAGAGAATCACTGAAGGGTTTTAAGCAGCGAAATGACGTGGTCAGATCTGTGTTTTAGACAGATTGCTTTAGTCTCGATAGATATAAGTGTGACTCTAATACTTGGTGACTGTAATCAGAGTAGTTAAGCCAATGCTGCCAGGAAAATTTTTGATGATTTGCCTATTTGAGAACAAAGGACATTTGGGTTTATATAAGAAAGAATTTATTGATGCTAAAACACTGAAATATGGAAGGGCTTATCATTCAACCTCAAGAATTGTTCAAGAAGATAATGTCTATACTTTATGAAAAAACAATGAACGAAATGTCTTGAATGGATCAATTGTTCTCTTAAGTTAAGCAAGAAAGTTGAAAGGTTCAACAGATGCCCTTTTGGAATTTCTTATGGCTTTATTACTTTATGATTTATGAAGTGAAAATAACTACAGTATAAACTGTGTACTTAAGACTGGGAGTAAGGATGTGATCAAAGTTCTGGGAGCCTGGTCAGGGTAGGAGGTTTAATTTTTTTTTCTTCCAATTTTACAGAGAAGTGATTTATAGAGAACTTATCACAGAGTAGCTGGAACATGAAAGACCTTGATATATTATATGATTTTTAGTTATCTCCTCTTCCTCCCTATCCTTTTCCTCCTTCTTCAATCCCACTGTTTCCATTTGTCCTAGAGGGTTGAGACTCCTTTTACCATATTATTGTGTATGTTTTAGTTGAGTGAGTTTATTACAAATGCCTACTAAATGGGCTTCATTTTTATTCACTGTGGATGATTATAGCATTGTTCCCAATAATGCAAGCTTGCCTTCCCTGTAAGAGAATTATGTATCCTCACCTGTTTCCAGGTAAACTTGCCATGGCCCCTTGAGGAGGACTATATTTCCCTATCCTATTGTCAGTCTTGACTGTGTGACTTGCTTTGGCTAATGAAATATGAGCATAAGCTTTGTGTGCATTTGCCTACTCTCTTATTCATTGTAAGTTCCCAGATAGGACCCAAGATGAAGGAGCAGCCCCTAAAATGAAAACAGAGAGCTGGTGTCAACCCATGGCAGACAAAAAATTTCTAAGTAAGAAATACCCTTTGTTGTTGTAAGCTACTAAGATTTGGAGATTATTTGTTACTGCAACACAATGTAGCAAAAGCTGCCTGATACATATAATCAATAGATGTTAAATTCAATGACAATGAAAGATAGTGGCAACGAAATATCTTTACTGTTAGATTTCCAAAGCTTGCACTAAACAATATTTATGCAATGAAAGTTCAGTTTCTTACGAAGTCAAAATTAGACCATTCCTTGGTATTCACTTGTTGAACCTTAAACCACGGTCCTTATTGGCATAAAAAAGCCTGCCCTACTAAAGGATTTGAGGATGTTAACCGGTACTGTGTTTTAATAAAAAAAAGAACACTGAATTCTGTTGGAATGTGAGCTAGTGGTCCACAGTAGTAATCTGAATTTCCCGTCATGTTTAGAAATGAAATAGGGGTTGCAAAATGTTGTCCCAGCTCCTTATGTAACCCAAGACCAAGACATTCACTTGATTTAATGGTCTTCTGGCTTCTAAATTTTTTGACTTGTGAATGTGTCTATTTTTTGAAGCTGAAGATGTTTGACTACATTTTATTTTGTTTCTTTGTTTTAGCTAACTGAACCCCCTACTTTCATAGTGTGGCACTATTAGGACACTCTGGTGGGACTTTCTGTCTGCTTCTTCCTGTGCTGGCTTTCTGAAAGGGCCACTTCCTCACTTTGATCAGCTTCTCCTCCTGTTTTCTCTTCTACCTGATGGTGCTTTAAACCCACTTGGTTTCTTTTTATTATCTTATGAGCTATCTATGCTGAACATGTATTCGAGATTCTTAATGAGGGCAAATGTATACGAAGGTAAAACCTTCTCTTTTTATCCTATTAAAAATTGTGAATGAATATTGAACTGTCTCAATGAATGAGTGATATGATTGTCCTCAGGGATTTGAGTGGTGTAACAGAATTGGCTGCCAGGGTAAAGAATACATTTGTGAGGATAGGAAAATTCAGTGTATCCAAGGGGACCCTATCATAGGCCACAAACCTTGCAGTCTACTTACTATTATTAGTTACAAGAGACAGAACTTGACCTCAAGCTATATGTATATGTATATATGTGTGTGTATATACACATACACACATACATATCAAACATATATGTACAGATACATTATACAATATATAAAATGACTGCTTGCTATCTATATATTGTGGGAGAAAATCTTTTCCTTTACCAACTTATGTTCAAGTGGTGGGGCCTGTGAATTAATTGACAACAAATACAATATGAGAAAAGTTTATTTCACACGCATGTGGGGACACTCAATAAGAGTTGGCATGCTGAACAGCCAGTGCTACGGGTTTATATACCAGCTTAACAAAAAAAGGGGTTGTAGGGCTTCAATGGGAAGTTATGGAAGGCTCTATTGGGCTTATTCATCCCAATGCTAATTGACAGTCTCCTTCCAGGTGGAACTCCCATCTCCCATCCCCCTGGGGCAGGGGAAAGGAATTTGTGGCAGCTGAATTCATACCTCCTGGTGCTAAGGGTAAGTAATCTCCAGAACAGGAAACTCCCTTAGGGTTAATGGCAGCTGTATTTTCAGGAGCTCTGCCTAAGTTTAGATAAGGCTTCTTTCTGTGGCTGCTGTTTGTTCAGATGTTTTCAGTTTAAAGTAATCTTCATGCCACTCTGTTGGTCCCCTCTCTCTCTCTCTCTCTCTCTCTCTCTCTCTCTCTCTCTCTCTCTCTCTCTCTCACACACACACACACACACACACACACACACACACACATCTATTTAAAATCTATTTAAAACATCTATTTAAAATCAGAGGTAGAATAACCTGAGGGCACAGGGACTGAAAAGAGGTCATCAGGGTTTACCCTATCTTCCTTTCCATCTTTCTGTCAGGCTCCCTCCATGTGGGAGGATTAGTGGCTGACCATGACCAGCCCCAAGCTCATATCCTCCCAGCTAGGCAGCTCCAGCAAAGAGAGCACCTTCCCATCACTGCTCTGGCAGCAGAGCTCCAGAGAGGATGCCACTTTACCTAATTGATTTTATGTGACCATGTTTGACTCAACTGTGGTCAAATGGAAGGGGTCCTCTGGGGTGCATGCTGTCTTATAGGTATGAGACCATGTGGAATGGGTATTCCACAGAGTTCTGTTTTGAGAAGAGAGGGGACTCCAGGCAGGAAAAAAAACAGGTTCTCCCTCTACTATTCTGCCTGTCTCCTTTGCCCTTGAATCTTTACCTCTATTTTAAGGAACTCTAGTAAAATACTAAATGTTTCTAAGGGAAATGGCATAAAATCAGTGAGATGGAATAACAACTGAAATCATGTTTAATGATTTGTTTTCCCCAAACCTAGTGATTCTTGTGTAAGTCTGAATCTTCTCTCTTGAGTTTTGTGCTGAGCTTTTGATTTTGATTTGATGCTGAGACATACAATAAGCCACTTCACCTTTCTACCTGATAATTACACACCCTTAAATTAAGACAATGATAACTTCACAGAGGTGTATGAGGTCTAATTAATTAAGGTCTGTAAAGTTCTTAAAGATCCTTGAATCGAAAGCACTTTACGAAAGTACAAAATGGTAATATTATGGGTGAAGCTCATGACAATAAGCTTCAGATTTTTTGGTTGTATTGAAATAGGTATCAAGTATCATTTGAAATATACAGGCTGGAACTAGGAAACCCATTTAGTATGCAGAGAACATGTTGTATCATGGTATATGAGTCTGTTCTCACACTGCTATAAAGAATACCACCTGAGACTGGGTAATTTATGAAGAAAAGAGGTTTAATTGACTCACAGTTCTGCATGGTGGGGAGGCCTCAGGAAACTTACATTCATGGTAGAAGGTGAAGGGGAGGCAAGGCATGTCTTTTTTTTTTTAACTGAGAAAAATCATGGTTTAACTAAAGCACTGAAAACAGCCCATATGAGACTTAGCAAATTGCTGTTGGTTAGTGTGACTAAATTGGTAGATAGAAAAATTCTATAGACATAGTGTGTTTGGATTTTAGCAAGGCACTGGTCAAAGCATGTGAGAAAGAACGAAGGATAACAATGAAACAGTAGTAGAGAATGGATGGGTTCAAAAGTGGTAGGTGGACTATATCCATACTGTTGACTGGTGGATTGATACAAATCCAAACCACTAACATTGCTCTGTGGTCACATCCCATACATACTTCCGCATTGTTCCAATTAGCAGAGTACTAATCTTAGATGTATAAGTTGGAATTGCATTATGAATCTTATAAGATTACAAGATTCATAATTCAAGATTCATAATGCATTCATAAGATTACAAGATGAATAATGCAAATCCAACTTATAGGTAGAAATTATTCTGTTCTTTTTTTTTTAATACTTTAAGTTCTGGGATACATGTGCAGAACATGCAGGTTTGTTACTTAGGTATACACGTGCCATGGTGGTTTGCTGCAACCATCAACCTGTCATCTACATTAGGTACTTCTCCTAATGCTATCCCTCCACTAGCATCCCCACCCCCTGACAGGCCCTGGTGTGTGATGTTCTCCTCCCTGTGTCCATGTGTTCTCATTGTTCAACTCCCATTTATGAGTGAGAATATGCGGTGTTTGCTTTTCTGTTCCTGTGTTAGTTTGCTGAGTATGATGGTTTCCAGCTTCATCCACGTCCCTGCAAAGGACATGAACTCATTGGCAAGGTACATCTTACATGGTGACAGCAGTGAGAGAGCAAGTGAGCATGAGGAAGTACCACACTTTTAAACCATCAAGATCTCATGAGAACACCCTCACTATCACAAGAACAGCATGGGGGAAGTTGCCTCCATGATCCAATCACCTCCCAGCAGTTCTCTCCCTTGACACGTGGGGATTACAATTCAAAATGAGATTTGGGTGGGGACACAGCCAAACTATATCATTCCGGCCCCAGCCCTTCCCAAATTTCATGTCCTCACATTTCAAAACACAATCATGCCTTCCTAACAATCCCCCAAAATCTTAACTAATTCCAGCATCACCCAAAAGTCCAAGTCTAAAGTCTCATCTGAGACAATGCAAGTCCCTCCACCTGTGAGCCTGTAAAATAAAAAACAAGTTAGTTACTTTCAAGACACAATGAGGGTACAGGCATTGGGTAGATGTTCCCATTCCAAATGGGAGAAATTGGCCAAAACAAAGGGGCTACAAGGTTCCATACAAGACCAAAACCCAGCGGGGCAGCCATTAAATCTTAAAGCTCCAAAATGATCTCCTTTGACTCCATGTCTCACATCCAGGGCATACTGATGCAAGGGGTGGGCTCCCATGGTCTTTGGCAGCTCCACCCCTTTGCCTTTGCAGGGTACAGCTCCCATAGCTGCTTTCACAGGCTAGTGTTGAGTGCCTGTGGCTTTTCCAGGTGCTCAGTGCAAGCTGTCAGTGGATCTACAATTCTGGGGTCTGGAGGATGGTGGCCCTCTCTCACAACTCCACTAGGCAGTAATCCCAGTGGGGACTCTGTGTGGGGGCTCCAACCCCACATTTACCCTCTGCATGGCCATAGTAGAGGTTCTCCATGTGGGTTCTGCCCCTGCAGCAGACTTCTGCCTGGACATCCAGATGTTTCCATATATCCTCTGAAATCTAGGCAGAAGTTACTAAAGCTCAACTCTTGTCTTCTGTGCACCTGAAGACCCAACACCACATGGAAGCTGCCAAGGCTTAGGGACTGCACCCTCTGAAGCAACAGCCCAAGTGTACCTTGGCACCTTTTAGCCAAGGCTGGAGCTGGAGTGGCTGGGACACAGAACACCAAGTCCTGAGGTTGCACAGAGCATCAGGGCCCTGGACCTGGCCATGAAACCATTTTTCCTTCCTGGGGCCTCTGGGACTTGTGATGGGAGGGGCTGCCTTGAAGATCTCTGACATGCCCCTGGAGACATTTTGCCCATTGTCTTGGCTGTTAACATTTGGCTCCTCATTAGTTATGAAAATTTCTGTAGCCAGCTTGTGTTTCTTCTCAGAAAATGTGTTTTTCTTTTATACTTCATGGTCAGGCTGCAAATTTTCCACTTTTATGCTCTGCTTCCCTTTAAAATATAAGTTCCAATTTGTATGCTTTCAGGAAAAGCCAGATCACCTCTTGAATGTTTTGCTGCTTAGAAATTTCTTCTGCCAGATTCCCTAAATTTTCTCTCCCAAGTTCAAAGTTCCACAGATCTCTAGGGCAGCGGCAAAATGCTGCCAGTCTCTTTGCTAAAGCATGAGTAGCATGAATGACCTTTGCTCCAGTTCCCAATAAGTTCCTTATCTTCATCTGAGAACACCTCAACCTGGACTTCGTTGTCCATATCACTATCAGCATTTTGGTCAAAACCATTCAACAAGTCTCTAGGGAGTTCCAAACCTTCCCACATCTTCCTGTCTTCTTCTGAGTCCTCCATGCTCTTCCAACCTCTGTCTGTTACCCAGTTCCAAAGTCACTTCCACGTTTTCGGGTTATCTTTATAGCAGTGCCCCAAACTCCCCGGTACCAATTCTCTATATTAGTCCATTTTCACACTGCTATAAAGATACTACCTGAGACTGGGTAGTTTTTAAACAAAAGAGGTTTAATTGACTCACAGTTCTGCCTGGCTGGGGAGGCCTCAGGAAACTTACAATCATAGTGGAAGTCAAAGGGGAAGCAGGCACCTTCTTCACAAGGTAGCAGGAGAGAGAGAAGAGAGATCAGATGAGGAAGTGCCACACTTTAAAGCCATCGGCTCTTGTGAGAACTCACTCACTATCACGAGAACAGCATGGGGGAAACCATCCCCCATGATCCAATCACCTCCCACCAGGTCCCTCCTTGGACACCTGGGGATTATAATTCAAAATAAGATTTAGGTGGGGATACAGAGCAAAACCGTATCATATGGTTTGATTTGTATCAGTCTCCAAATAGTCGTGAAGTTCTCTTTGACAGGTGGACAACTGAGGTGGGCTATCTAATTTAACTGAAAATTAACATTGGCAGCTGTTCCTGCTAAAAAGATAATCTGTCTTTCAAATTGAGTAGAGCAATGCTGACCCCTTTCCAGCTTCTTACCCATACTTGTGGACAAATGACAGTTTCCCTCCTGCAAACACTAAACTCAGAGACATGCCGGGCCCTTTGTTCTAGGTCATGTCAAATGGGATCCACAGCTGCCCTCTAAACTAACAGCCACTGATAGCAGTCCTTGCCTCTGTTTAACCCTGTTTTCACCATGGTACTCACTGAATGAGATAGATCAACACTGGCCTCTTACTTAGTCTTAATACCATCGAAAATCCTTCTGAAAATCTTCACTCCCAATGTAAAAAATTCTATTCACTCATGTTTGGAGTGCATGAATTCACTTATATTTTTGGATTTTGGGAATTTTGGAAAATACCTTGGATAGTTTCCCTGAAAGCAGACACTGCGATGGAGATTTGCATGCAGGAGGTTTTTTGAGGGGGTGTGAGTGATGAGGGAATCAGCATTAGGTAGAGGGAGATGCTGGGCTACAGTGTAGTTGTAACAGTGGCCTCAGTGATGCCACTGGCAGCTCTGCAGTTAGGCTGGCCCCTCAGAGACGTCTCACATTAAGGAAAATGGGACAAGCTAAAGGAAGCTGGATCCCTGTGTTGACTAGTGATTGCTTGAGGGTTGTCCCCAGGAAAGGGGAGTAGCTTTGGATGGGACTGTTCTTTTCAGTAGAGAGCAAGACTTAAAGAGGCACTCAGCTGTGAGCCATCAGCAGCCAATGCTCCCAGCAGCTAGGAGAACTTGTGCCTTGTCCTGTAGAGAGATCTGGGTGGTGCACTGAAGGCCATTACAATCCCAGAAAGTACAGTAATGCCAAGAACCATTTCCCTTACACCTTTTTACCCAGAATAAACTCTGGTGACATTTTGACACATTTGAGTCCTGTCTTTCATCTGTGTATATATTTAAAGATTACTCAAGTAATATATGAGTGTAATCTCCTAAGAATTAGAACATTACAAATAAAGTTCCTTGGACTACCTCCTCTATCCTTGTTCCATCCCTGTAGCTCTGGCAGAACCAAAACTAGCATATGGCAAGTGAGGCACTTGCCTCAGGTGCAAAATTTAAGAAAGTACCAAAACATTTAAGAATCAAGATACATGGTATCTGGGGAGGTCATTATGTTAATTGAAATAAGGCAGGCACAGAAAGACAGATATTGCATGTTCTCACTCATATGTGGGAACCAAAAAAAGTGGATCTCATGCAGATAGAGAGTAGATGGGTGGTTACCAGAGGTGGGGGTGGGGGGATGAAAAGAAATTGATTAATAAGTGCAAATACACAGTTTCACAGAAGGAATAAGACCTAGTATTCAAAAGATCAGTAGGGTGTCTATATACAGTTTACAATAATTTATTGTACATTTCAAAATAGCTAGAAGAGAATGATTTGAATGTTTCTGGCATCAGGAAAGGATGAATTTTTAAGGTGATGAATATCCCAAGTACACTGATCTGATCTTTACAATTTATATGAATGTATTAAGTTATCACATGTACCCTGAAGGTATGTACATCTACTATGCATCAATAAAAAATAAAAAAGATACATAGTATTTAATATGATACTTTAAAAAATCAAAATTGGTGCAAAAAAGTCCTCAATGAACAAAATATCAAAATGTTAAATACAGGATTAGCAACTGTGCAGTGTCGAGTCACACTGGAGCTTGAGGCAAAATGAAAAATTAGCCATAGTGATAATATCTTTATTTAACATTTTGATATTTTGTCATAAATTTTTTCATTAATTTTGATTGTAGAAATAATAATGCATTAACATATTATCTATGTTGATAACTGAATATTTTGGCACCCTGTTAACTTTTGTGCCCAAGCTGAGTGCCTCACTTGTCTCACCCTGGTCCCAAGCAGAGATGTTGCTGCTCAGGGCATATGCTTCTGACCATTTCCAAGCTTCTTTGCATAGATGTACACATAGTCATCAGAATCCTGTTGACTTTATTTCTAAGACAGATTTCCCAGTCCTTCTACATCTCTGCATCCCATCACTACCATCTCAGACCAAGTCACCATCTTCTCTCACTGGAGATGTTTGCATTAGCCTCCTAACATTTAAATTGTAATGAAATTCAAATTAATGAGTTTCTGTTATCTAAGTCATTGCCATACCCACACACCCAACATTGTCTAGAACTTCTCCTATGTTATCTTCTAATAGTTTTATAGTTTTGCATTTTGTATCTAGGTCTATGGTCTATTTTCAGTTAACTTTTGTGAATCTATTTAAAAAGCACTGTTCTCCTAACTTTTTTACTCAGCCATGAATTTTTGAGATCTTTCTCTCTCCCCCAACCCCCTGTGGATATATATGTATAGTTTCACACATGTCACCACTCTATTGTTTTCTATCACATGTATATATCACTTTCTACTGACGTGGTATATTCAGTGATAGGCATTCAGATTTTTTCCTTTTTTTGATAGTACAAGCAATGCTGCATCCTCGTCTACATCTTCTTGTCCATGTGTACAGGTGTTTCTCTAAGAGAGATGCATGGAAGTGAAACTGCTGCTGCAGAGTGGATGTGCATTTTCAGTTTCAATAGATCCTGGCAGAGTACTGTCCACAAGCAGAGGATGAGAGTGTCTGTCTCCCCCACAACCCAGTCAACATTTGATGTTGTCTAACTTTGCTAATCTTAAGGTTGAAAAAAATGGTATCTCATAAAAATTATTTTCCCCTAATTATCAGTGAGGATGAACATATTTTTACATGTGTATTGATTTTTAAAATATTTTATCTGCTGTTAAATGATCATTTTCTATCTTTTGGCAGTTTTTTTCTATTGGGATGTTTTTCTTCTTCTGGTGAATTTGAAGGAGTTCTTTATACTGCATATCAATATTTGACTGTTATATTTATTGCAAATACTTTTCCCCAGTCTCTTTATTGTCTTTTAAAGTTGTTTATGGTGTGTTTTGCCATACACAAGTTTCCAATTCACCTGTAGGCAAATACGTTGATTTTATTCCCCTTATTGTTTCTGTTTTTTTTTTGAGACAAAGTCTTGCTCTTGTCCCCCAGGCTGGAGTGCGATAGCACAATCTTGGCTCACTGCAACCTCACCTCCCGTGTTCAAGCGATTCTCCTGCCTCAGCCCCCCGAGTAGCTGGGATTACAGGCGCCTGCCGCCTGGCTAGTTTTGGTATTTTTAGTAGAGACAGGGTTTCACCATGTTGGCCAGGCTGATCTCGAACTCCTGACCTCAGGTGATCCACCTGCCTCGGCCTCCCAAAGTGCTGGGATTACAGGCGTGAGCCACTGCACCCTGCCTGTTTCTGTTTTTTAGGTCTTGCTTAAGAGAACTTTTCTTACCTCTAGATTACAAAATTATCACTCTATATTTCCTTATAATAATTTTAACTATATATATGCTTGTTGATTGATTTGTAGGTCTTTTGTTGACTTGGAATCTATATTTCTGTATGATGTGAAGAATATAATTTTATTTTTTAAATTAATGAATTTCTAATTATTTGCTTATACTCTACACGTCAACTTGTTTCAGTATCGAGTTTATCTTTGTGGGCTGTATCTTGGTGGGTATGAGGGGATAAGCATGGTATCTACAGAGTGTGATCTATTCCTTTCTGCAAACTATAAATACTTAGATTCTTAGTAGTCACTGGCTAATGAAAAGGATTCTACATCACTAAATGGTCAGGATGGGACCATCCACTGTATCAGTGCAGGCTACCCAATGCCAGACAAACGTCCCTAGATCTAGATTGGAGAAAATATTCCTCAAAGTTCCTTAAGGAAGACAATGTAGTGTATTGTCTTTGCAATCACACAGAGCTGGGTTTGAATCTCAGCTCTGCCATTTTCATCTGTGTGGCCCAGGGCAAGTTTGCTCATCTCTAAGACTCAGTTTCCTTATCCCTAAAAAGGAAATAATAATTCTTATTTTGTGGGTTCGTTGTGAAAATCTGAGACAATACAAAGTACTTGGCACATGTTTAGTGTTCAATCATGTTAACCATTGTTACTTCTGGTTATGATAATGACTTCTGCAAAGATGTGACTATTTGGGGCGTGGGGTGCACAGAGGAGGAGTAAAAATTGAGAAATGGCAACCATTCTTGAAGAGTTGAGGTGGGAGAGATGTGAGGTTGTTGGTATCCCCAGAAAAGCCCAGGAGAGACATTGGAGCCAGCACCAAAACTGTCTAGTACTTGTGCTAGGCCAGCAGAAAAGCCCCCAGGGATCTCTATTCTTGCCTTGTTAAACAAAACCATGAGTCATCACCTTGGGAAAGAGTGTGGAAACCCAGAGAAGCAATGTTTGAACAGATGGTCTATTGTTTGAGAGCAAATAAACTAGGGATATCTTCAGACAGGAGTAGAACAAGTTATCACATGGCAATGACTTAATAGGTTTCAATAGAAAGCTGGCTAGGGCCAAAGCTGGAGTAACAAAAAGGAACTGAAAGGGATGCCGAAGCAGAGCATACCTGGAGAATCATTGAATTATATTATAATATATTATAATATAATTCAAAGATTATAACTATAACATGGTTATAACGTTATAACTATATAGTTATAATATTATAAGCCTCATTGGTTGGCACTGGGAAGCCCTGCACCATTCTCAAGGTAGGGCACAGTCGTTCTCATCTTGCTGGGGAGCTTGGGCTAAAGCAATTCAGATGTGGTAGATGAAGACAAAGAGGAAGAAATGGGTTCTGAAGAACGTGGTCATAGAGCAAGCCTTGGTGACCTGTTGGGAGCAGAGCTGTATAGACCCTTTGTACTCAAAGCAGAGTCCGTAAACCAGTAGCATAGGCCTCATCTGGAAGCTTATTAGAAATATAGACCCTTGGGTTCCACCCCAGACCCACTGAATTAGAATCTGTATTTTATCAAATCCCCAGGTGATTTGAATACATTCAAAAGTTTGGAGAAGTGCACATCTAGGCCTGGGATAAAATAGGCTCAAGTGGAAGGAGGATTTCCTGGAAGATTTGTTTATTCACTTCTCAAAGTCAAATTTTTCAGCATAAAACATTTTTTAACCCAAGGATTTCAAATAATACTATTCCAAACATGTTCCATCTACTACTTGGGTCAGGTAAAAAATACTTTATTTTGGCATAATTATTAATACCCAAATAATAAAACCATTTTCTTACTTTAGATAAGATAGAAATACTACTTCAATTTTTCCACAGGGCAAAAGGCTTATCAGCATTAACAAGTACTATCCTGTCTTTAATTCTTTGCTTTGTCTCCAATGAGAATCATGCTTAATTATTGAACTGCTGAGTAAGAAAAAACAATGCCTATTAGATATTAACTGAGATAATTAAATCTACTCAATTGAAGAATTTTGCTCAACTGGGATCACCTCAAACATTAAACAGCCTTTAGAGTTTTCTCTTCAACTTGGTGATTCCAGGAGAAAGTGCCTGGGTAAAAATTCAGCTTGTTCCAGTTGTCACACTTTTGAGTAAAATCAAAACATTACTTAGCTCATTACCTTCTAAGAAAGCATTTTCAAAGTGTAGTCCCTGGACCAGCATTATCAGTATCACCTGGGAACTTGTCAGAGACGCACATTCTCTGGCACCACCCAAGACATACTGAACTAGAGTCTCTGGGGGTGGGGCTCAGCAATCTATATGTTTAACAAACCTTCCAGGTGATTCTCATTCATGCTAAAGTTTGAGAATCAGTGTTCTAAGTCATGTGGTCCAGGAGATAAAAAGTCAAGTGCATAAACAATGGAAAGAATGTGGAAGTTGATCCAGAAGCTGTGGATTCCAGTCCCACCTGTGAAACTTTGTTGTGTGACTTTGCATAAAGCATCACGCTACTCTGGGCTTCAATTTCCTCATTTTTAAAATGGAAGAGTTGGAATCGATGATACTCAAGGTTCCTTAAGTTTCTGATAGATTAGATGTGGCTATTGGAACAGAGTGAGTTTTCACTCAGGCACTTTCTCCTGGAATTACCAAAATAAAAAGAAAAATCTAGGAAGATCTTTAATGTTAAGTAAAATGTAGATTTTGAGGTGATCCCAATTGAGAAAATTTATTTTGAGTAAATCTAATGATTTCCCATTCATGTATCAGATGTCTGTTAGTGATAGATAATATTGCTAGTTATCTATCATATGGATATGTTTTGCTGCACGTTA
The DNA here is from genome assembly GCF_000001405.40 of Homo sapiens. Lineage (NCBI taxonomy): Eukaryota > Metazoa > Chordata > Mammalia > Primates > Hominidae > Homo > Homo sapiens. Next base: position 42,121,145 of record NC_000023.11, read on the forward strand.
AGCATGATACTTGATTCCTTGTATGGTAAACACTTATAAATTCTAACTTAAGAGAACTTATTTTCCTTTTGGAAATATTTCCACTTTTACCTTGGAATTATACTACATATATCCCCATGTGGTTGAGCTAGCTGTCACAGTGTCAATGTAGTCAAGCCCATTTAATTTTTTTAGCACTTGGTTACGTGGTTTTCTTGCACATGAGTGATTAGAAGTACCTAACTCTATGGTGATACTAGCTGTCAACAAGAAGAGCCTGCATTCTGGTATCAGAAAAAAGAGTGATGTCCTGCTGCACCAGCTTCCTTGCTGTCCCTTGTGTTCCTTCCCTAAGCAGGCTTCCATCTTAGAACCTGTGCATTTGCCGTCCCATCCTCCTGGGAAACAGGTCGACACATGTGTCATTGTGCCTAATTAAAACTGGCATTTGAAGATTGCTCACTAGAAGAGTTTTATTTACATGTATGGTCTGATTATCTGGAAGTAGCAAGCAAAGCCATGAAGTTATTATTTGTGCACAACCTTCTTATGTAAACAGACACTCTCTGTATAGAAGTCAAAATGCAGAAATAGATTAAATATAGAATTAAAGTGAAGGCTACATCTTTCTACTATTAAACTCAATAACGGTGATTTGGTTTTAGCAAAGCAACATAATCCATCATATTAAATTAATGCTGATCATCTGAATTTATTGGCTCTGTAATTTTGTTTGCATTTAATTTATTAATTAGTTGTATAGTTGCATAAAGAGTGATAAGCATGAGGAGTTTATTTTTAGTGTGTGACTATTTAAGTAATATTATGACAGAAATAATGAGACGACACTGGAGCCTGCAAGCATAAGTCAAATTGGAAAAATACATTTTAGGTGATTACGTGATGATTGTCACAATAAAATTCTTCATAACAGAGAAAACAAGGGGGAAAGTGTGAGAGGCTTAAGTATTTCAGGCCAAAGTTAAAAAACAAGAAAAGCCTTGGCAGTACATTTTGCCAGTAATAAAGAGAATTACAGGAAAAAAAAACAACAACAAAAAACTGGTGAAACTGAAAAAAAAATATGCTTCTTGGCTAAGGAATTGTTAAACATTTAGAGCCAGGAAAGAAGTTTATATTAATTTTCCAGACACTTTCTACTTTCCATTCCTCCATTCCATTAGACACGCCCCGAAAAGAAAAAAAAACAGTTAGAGATCTGAAGACGAAATTAAATAGCATGGAAAATATTGAGAGACTTTTTCCCCTAAAATATGGCTAGATGTATTCGTGCCTTTTTGGCGTTGTAGGAAGTGGTTCTCATAAAGGGACATTTGAAAAGTTGGTACCATTGTATCTGGTGACTGTGAGACAAAACAAAAACACAAACACAAAGCACCTCTAAACTTAGTCTTCATTTAAAAAGGGAGACTTGGAAGGAATTTTGAAAGCTTCCAAAGTTTTCTCATGATTTTACTCCCCTCAAATCTCTGACAGAATGAACAAGCTTTCTAAAACACAGTTAAACTCATTGAACAGTTAGTTAAATTAGCTTTTTGGCATTATGGAGAAAGAAATCGCAGTAGGCAGGATTCTAAGATTCCCGCCCTACCTGGTGTACCTGTACTTTCTCCCAGTTATTCCTCAAACACTAACCTAGGTGACACTGTGAAGGGATTTTGCAGATGCCATTAAAGTCCCAAATTGTCTGACTTTAGGATTATCTGGATAGGCTTTGCCTAATCATGTGAACCCTTTAGAAACAGAGAGTTTTCTTCCACTGGTCACAGAAAATAATCTTAGAGAGACACTTTGGCTGGCCCAGAAGAAAGCAAACACCCTAGTGAATAGCCTTTGGGCAGCTTCTGGAAGCTGAGAGTAGTCCCCAGTTAACAATAGGACAATGGGGACCTCAGTCTGACAATCACAAGGAACTGAATTCTGCCAACTACCAGTGAACCTGGAAGAGGACTCCAATCCTTAGAAAAGAACCACAGCCCTGGCTGTGACCCTTTGATGTCAGCCCAGTGAGAATGCTGAGCAGAGAATCCAGGCCCTCTGTGCCCAGACTAACACACAACTGTGACATAATAAATGTGTGTTGTTTTAAGTCAGTAAGTTTGTAGTAATTTATATAGCAATAGAAAACAAATACAGAAATTTCTCTTTTCAACCAATTGTAATCATATAGAAACTGTCAATGTTGCCTGTTGGAGCAAGGAAGGGTAGGACTAAAAATGACTATTTCTATTTATTCCATGGCCTTAAATTTAATTAAGTTAGGACTATGTCCTAAAAGTCTTCAGAGTGTCAACGAGTACAGAATAAATAATCAAAACCCAACAGCAACAAGGGAAACACAAGATGTAACATGGGGTGTTGAGTTCTTTCCACTCCAGCCATGGACACCCAGCTGTGAGTCTTGACTTAGTCTTGAGGAACCTGTGATATGACGTATAGAATTACAGGTATATGCTCATTTCACAACGCCCCCAGGGATAAAGCTCATTACATAATAGGAAGTCAGTTTTAAATGACAAAAACTTTGATAAATCAACACTATAAACTCTGCATACAAGGCAGACACTGGGCACCATGAAGGCAAAATTGTCGGCATATTCTCCTTGGTGGCAAAAAATACCTCTGAGCAAGTAAAAGTCGAAGGGTGTCTCTTCTCTTGCAGATTTATTCAGGCTGTCTACACCAGGGGCTGGCAAACTTTTTCTGGAAAGGACCAGATTTGAGGCTTTGCAGGCTGTTATAGTCTCTGTTGCAACCACTCAACTCTGCTGCTATGGTGTGAAATCAGCCATAGACAATATGCAAATGAATAAGCACAGCTATATTCCAATGAAACTTTATTTACTAACATAGGTGGAGGGCTGAATTTGGTTCAAGGGCTGTGGTTTGCTAACCCTGATCCAGACAGATGAGGAGGGCCTGAATTGGTGGTGGCACCTGGGGAAATAGAAAGGAGAGTACAAATCTGAGAAGCATTGTGGAAACTGAGCTCACAGGACCTGACAACTAATGGGCTTTGAGGGGAAAGAGAAGATTGAGATGACTTCTTGACTTCAGACTTTCTAGTCTTGGAGGACAGTGGCACCATTATCTGAGTTGGAAACAAAGGTGGAAGAGATGGTGTGTGTGTGTGTGTGTGTGTGTGTGTGCGTACGCACATGCGTTGGGAGGGTTGTGGGGAAAATGAATTGAGTGTTGAAGTAATGAATTTGAGATGTCTTCAGAATATTTATGTGGAAAGGTTTAGGAGGCAATTAGAAGTCGAGAGACAGAGAGAGAGAGAGAGATTTGTTGGGCAACTTGGGAGTTATCTCCATGCAGATCATATGTCTTGAAGTCATGGGTGTAGGTGAACTCATACATAGAAGGCTTGTAGAATGTGAGCTAATATATAGAAAAGTGCTCTTTAAACTCTGAGGCATTATACAAATGTAAAATATTCCTATTATTAAATGTGACAAACAGAAGCATAAAAGGCAGTAACAACCGTTTTATGTCTCAGAATCCCTACTAATTCCCAATTATTGCATTTTCATCCTGAGACGGCCTTTGAACAACTCTTTTTTCCTCCCTCTGTGTACATCCTGAGATTATAATGCATTAAACATCATTCATGTGATGGCATAATGCTTTTTTTCTTCCCCCAACACATACTCTCAAATCTCTTTTGGTAGACACATTTCTAAGAAAGCTGAGACAAAGACAGAGATGCCACTTTGATATTAGGGTCCAATGCTTGGAGTTTTATTTACATGAGGAATGAGGCAGCAGGTTTAAGGGTATCAATGTTTAATCACTTAGATAGGACAAGAGAAACAGAATATAGGGGTGGAGTAGACCTAAGAGAAATTATCAAGTTAGAATTGAGGTGACCTGAACCCTTGAATAGTCTTTTCCATGGGGAATTGCTCTTTTCCCTAATTTCAAGGAGAGCAGTGCTCTCTCTTAAGCAGGCTTGACCTGAATTTCCAGGTGTTTTAGTTATCTATTTCTGCTGAACAAAAGATTCCCAAACATAGTAGCTTAAAACAACAACCATGTTGTTATATTTCATGATTTTGTGGATATGAAATTTGGGTACAGCTTGTCTACATGATTCTTCTGTTCCTTGCAGTGTCAACGTAGGTCACTTGCTAGTATTCATCTGGTGGATGAACAGGCCTGATAGGTCTGAGATGGCTTCATTCACATGTTGTCTTAGTCTGTTCAGGCTACTATAACAAAATACCATTAACTGGGTGGCTTAGAAACTACAGAAATGTATTGCTCTTAGTTCTTGAGCCTGGGAAGTCCAAGATCAAGGTGCTGGCAGATTTGGTGTCTGGTGAGGCCTAACTCTATTGTTTACTGATGGCACCTTCTCTCTGTGTCCTCACATGGTGGAAGGGGCTAGCTGTTTTTTCTGGGGTCTCCTTTATAACGGCACCAATCCCACTCATGCAGGCAGATCCTTCATGGCCTAATAACCTCCCAGAGGCCCTACTTTCTAATACTATCACATTGGGTATTAGGTTTCCATGCATCAATTTTGGGGAGGACACAAATATTCAGACCGTAACACATGTCCAGCACCTTGATCAAATGGCTGGAAGACTGGGCTCACCTGAGACTGGAGAATAGAGTACCTATACATGGCCTTCCCAACATGGTGGCCTCAAGATAGTCAGATTTTGTATGTAGTAGCTCAAGGTCTAGGAGCAAGTGATCCAGAAAACAAAGTACATGTTGCAAGGGCTTGTATGACCCAGCCTTGAAGCTGCATTGTGTTACTTCTGCTATATTCTATTGGTCGAAGTGGTCATGAATCTGCCTAGACTCAAGGGGAATGAGTGGTCATAAACCATAGCTATTTATGGGAGGAGTGTCAAATAATTTATGGCTATGTTTTATGACCACCACAGAAGCCGTCTGGCAGAAGGACATGCCTCCTTGATGACAGCTCAGATGATACAACTGCTAGGAAGCCCTGTCCTAGCATTTCTTGGAGTGATGGAGACTGTGACATTCTACATGGGTTATAAATTGATGGGATGGGTTCTCTTACCCAGAAAGAGCAGCTCCTGAGACCAGAACTTGGAGGCAGGTAGTTTCTTTAGGGAAGTGATCCCAGGGAAAATAAGTGGAGAACTGGAAAGAGTGAAACAGGGAAGGAAGGAGAGCCACTCCAAGGATGCATTGTTGAGTTGGTCACTGCTGTGGGCTACTGGGGCTTATACCAGTTGAGAGCATCTGAGGAGCTATGTGATTGTACCTCTGAATTGCCTTTCTGGGGAACAAAAGATAAACTCACCAATTCTTCTCCCCCATTGGTCAGGGGCTTCCCCATGGGAGGCTGGCTTCCTCTTACTTCCAGCTCTACCATGCATGAGTCATTTTATTATTTTATTTTTGATTTAGGGGGTATGTGTGCAGGTTTGTTACATGTGTATATTGTGTGATGCTGAGAGCTTCTAACGATGCCATCGCCCAAGTAGTGAACGTAGTGCCCAATAAGTGGTTTTTCAACCATTGCGCTTTTCTCTCTTTCCTCCCTTTCGAATCATCAGTGTTTATTTTTCTCATCTTTGTGTCCACATGTACCCAATGTTTAGCTCCCACTTATAAGTGAGAGCAGCCATGCATGAGTCTTGAGGATAGCCCATACTGTAGCATCAGAAGGATTCTGGGTCAGAGAGCCAGACACACAGTGAGTTAAACTGAGATGCTGTCAAGTTACATGTGCATAAAGCAGGTAGCCATGGCAATGGATAAGGTAAAAGGTGGGCTGGGAGTATGTGAGATGGTCACAGAGGTATCTGATATGCATGCACATACATTTGAACTTCCCAACTAAGTCGAGGATACAGGCTTTGAAGCAAGGAGGTTATGCAACATAAACAGATGCAATCTAGCTTGTTTCTGTTTTTTCCCTTCTCCTGGATTTTCTATTGGGCTTGTGGCTACCAGAGATACTCTCCCCATGTGGGTCCTACCTGAGTTGGGAAAATAGCCAAATTCTTTTTATAAAACTCTCCTTTTCTCCCCAAGATTCATGTGAGCATTCTGGAAGTACCTACGTTAATAATCACCGTACTTCTAATTAGGAAAAGCTTTGCAAAGATCAGACTTTCCTGGTTTGTGAAGAGGAAAATCACAGTCAATGACCAGTCCAGGTGTCCCCAAACCATGTCCCTGCCCCCAGCTCTCTAGTGAACAGGAAAACCCATTCTTCACAGTGCAGAATAATAACCATTCTCCACTTTTTAGTCCCTAAAGGGGAGTTGACACCGAGAGTGGCTGGTGATGTTTATCATTTTATCTGCTTGCTGGTATCAGAGGACATACCAGTGGCTGGAAATGAAAGGAGTGAGGAGATCAGTGTAGTCCCAGAGGCCAATTTCAAGGCTCCTGGTGAGGGAGACAATAATCTCACCCCATTCTAAGTGAGCCTACATGTGAAATCCATATTTTTATATAATAGAAGGATGGTTCATCTCTTTACAAAAGGCATCTGCAGGGGACTAATCTGCCTATTGAGCTCCCCTGGGCCTTTTATTTGTGGTTTCATTTATTGAAAGCAAAGGCCTGTCTGGCATGCTGCAACGGTTCTCAAAATGATTCCAGAGTGTGGATATGTTGTTTCAATGAAAGCTTTTATGAAAGTTCAATATGAGACTCAGAGAGAAAAGGGATGCTCAGTTTCACTTTGGGGTTAGGGGCCTGTAATTGTAGATTCTTCTCTCTCTCTTCATCCCTCACCTTTCTTGACCCTTAAGGGACAGCAACATACTTTGTATAGCTCCTAAAATCACAGTTTGGAGGTCTCTGGGATGCAGTACAAGTTAGGAATGGGTCCTGCTGCAAGTGAGAAAAATCTGACAACAGTGGCTTAAAGAAGCAGGGAGTTATTTTTCTTTGCTTATCAAGAAATCTGGAAGTGGGCAACTGCTTTCTTTTCAGCAACCTACGCCCTTTCTCTATTTCTGCTATACTTAGTCTATTGACTTGTTGTCTTACGGTTGCAAAATAACTGCAGCATCCCTAGGGGTGACACCTGAGTTCAAGGCAAAAAGAAAGTTGAAAGGAAGTATTTTTTTTTTCTCTTCTGAGGTTCTGTATTTTTCTTGGGCAGGAGGGGAAATTACACATTACCAGAAGACTGTCCTTTAGATCTCATGAGACAGAAATAAGTCACAGGCCCATGGCAGACCAATACAGGCCAAAGGATATGAGAAGATCACTTAGTCCAATAATGATTTATCCCCTGGGGCTGGCAGAGGGGCTCTTCTTTTCTGAAATCACAGGTTTTCCACCTGTGGGTTTTTTTTTTTTTTTAAAACAAATCAGGATTTTATGAGCAGGGAAGTAGGAGATGGGGAAGGATAGAGGGATGGGCAATTGGATAGGCAACAAACTGTGTATGGCAGAGCCAATGAGCCAGAAAACCTGATTATGAATTCTAACTTGGCCACTTACTGTGAAACGCTGGACAAGCCACTTGACGTGGCCTGGCTGCAGTGACTTTATGTATAAATTGAGAAAAGTGGAGGACAACATGAGTGCCAAGTTTCCTTCTCGTGCCAATATTCAATGATTCTGTGCAGTTTTAATAACTTCCTGAATGTTCATGGCTAAACCAAAACTGGTTTATAATTGAAACAGCTGCCCTGATGGTGCTGTTCTGTTTCCAAGAACTGGCTGCTTGCACTTTCATGCAGTAAATTATGCGCTGCAGATTTCAAAGAAATTCTACCTCCCCACTTTTTTTTTTTACCTTTGAGGAAAAAAATCAGCTCTCCATTTCCTCCTCTTCCCACATAGTTAAATTCTGTATTTGAATAGTACAGCTTTCTTCCATCTAATTCTTATTTAGCTTTTCTTAATAAAAGAAGAAAAAAACCTTGCTGTTTGGCATAAAGCTCCTTCTAAGTAACAGGAAATTATTATTAGCCCTCTGATTGATTGTCCAATATTAAATGAAAGTAGTTGTCTTTTAAAATATACAATTGCAATTAGTGTTTGGCTGTATGGTGTATACAGTCTTCACCAATTGCTAACACAGGTAAAAAGTGAGGGTTCCAATCGGGTGATGTACCTGTGGTTAGCACATTGTCTGGCTTTTGCTAATTACTCAGTAAATGTTTTTTGAATCAGTGAATTATGATAAGACGTAAATGAGCCAGAGTAGGCTAGGGCAGAATTAATTCCTCAGAGTTAGATTCTCATAGTTTTAATATCCCTGATGTCATTAAGGAGGGCATTGGAAAAGACCTTGCTTAAGATATTTGATTGATAGCTTATATTATTTGTACATTAGTGGATGTACAAAAGGATGTCAGAAATAGTGCGGCATGCCAGTTCATTCATTGACTATTAATTGAGTGCCCTCTTGCTGCCAAGCACTCTTCTAGGTAGTGCCATACTCCAGTGAACAAGAGAGACAATGGTTCCTGTTTCCCTGGAGCTTGCACTGCAATGGAGGACACAGACAATAAACAAGTATGCAAAAAGTATTTCAAATAAGTTCTATGAAGAAAATGAAATGGGGTAATGTGACAGTGAGTGGGTGGACAGAGAGCATTAGCTAGGGCAGTCATAGAAAGCTTCTCTGAGGCTACTTTCATGACACTTGAGCTGAGACCAGAAGGGAGCTAGTCATGTGACAGTCTGGTAGAATAGTGTTCTAGGCAGATAGAACAGTAAGTACAAATGCCCTTAAGTGGAAATAAGCATGGTGCATTTGAAGACAAATAAGAAGGCCAGTGTGGTGCAAGTTCAATGAGCAAGTATGGGGCAGTAGGAGGAGATTAGTTAGGAGAGGTGACCTGTGTAGAACCTTATAGAACAAGGACATCATTATTCTAACTGCAATGGAAATGTATTTCAGATTTTAAGCTGAGGGAGGACATGATCTGCTTTAAATTTTTATAAGATCTTCCATTTGCTGGGTAGAGAATGGATTGGAAGGGGTAAAAGCAGAAACAAGGATACCAGTTTGAGGATCACTGCAGTAGTTCCAGTGCAAGAAGAAGAGGCCGTCTGAGCAGAGAGATAGGGAAAAGTGGTTGAATTTGAGACCTATTTTGAAAGCAGGGGGATAGGACTTGCTAATGAATCATGTATGGGGGCTAGTGAGGGAGGGAAATCCAGAGGGAGAGCCTCTGGATTTTAGGCCAAAGCGACTGGGAGGGAGGAGGTGACTGTTTTCTGACAATGGGAAGGTGGGGGTGGGTGACAGGGAAGAGCAGTTGGGGTGGAAATGGTGGCCAAAGTCAGAAGTTCTGATTTGGGAATATTAAATCTGAGCTACTTTGCAGACATCTGCACCTCAAAGGTCTTTGAAGCAGAGGCTTCATAAAGGAGTCTTCTTAGCAATGCAATGGTTAAAGACAGAGGAAAAAGGAGTAATCCTTTCCAACTCCTCAACAGCAGAATCTCAACAATGCTGTGTCTCTTGCAACCTCTCTTCTTAAGGAGACAGAGATAACTCTTCCAATGTAATCTCCCAGATCAAGAAAATAATTGAGAACACATATGCTTAAAACCTTTAATATGGACCTTCCTAATCCCCTCTTCACCTTTTTGATCAGCCCAAGTAGTTACATCAGCAGAAAATCTTAGCGAATAGAGATAACTCTGTAGAGAAATGAATTGTGAGGAAGTCTGCTAGGATTACTAAGATTAATGCAAAAGAACAGAACGGTCCCCAAATAAGCACAAGATAAAATGCCAGAATGATGCAAGGGAAAATAATCATCCAGGGTTATGTTTTCATTTTAATAAAGTGGAAATACGTAGGCAGAAAATCATTTAAAAGTTTTTCACTTGGTGAAGCTGTTCAAATAGAAGCTACACCCTTTTAATTATAAATTGAACAGAAAGCATTTCTGGTGTCTCTGAATCTGGGATCTGAGTTTTATGTTGTTGATGTGGTAGGAGATGTGAGTGGCAGAGTTGGCCAGCTTTGAGCTCTCATACGCCCCTATAAGTTGTCTTAAGGTGGTATTAAGCAAAGTGAATTTGAGAATAAAGTCTACCTATGATACTCTGGTCATAGGAAAACATGAGATTTTCTTAGAACCTCTTAGTCTTTTGGTGTGTTGCTAAGAATTCTGTTGCTGTACACTTCGTTTAAGACAAATAGATTGCTTCTCTCTTTTCTTGCCCTCCTCATGGCTAAATTCTCGCTTAGTGCACCCTTGAGTAGGGGCTATCCACTGGGTGACTTGCTCAGGCTTTTAGCTCTCTCTTCGTCCTTTCTCTGGCAGGTGAAGGGCTGCAGTGTAGGCAGATATTCAGACTGGCAGGTGCTTGACTTTGATGCACATACCTAAAGAGGTCTTGAAAGTTTTTACAGAGTCACCTCAATGTGACTATACAGGTTTTTCTGTGTAATAGTGTTTTTAAAATTATGTTAGTGATACTGACCAAGATATTTGACCATTACTTTTAAGGGCAAAAATGCAATTACTTTTGCACCAACCTAATATTAAAAAGTAAAATAAGACAAATAGAATAAAAATGTTTTGCATAGTAAACGTTAAGTATTGTTTTGTGAAACTCCATTTACAGATATACTTGTATGTCCTGGGTCATGATGTATTAAAGAAAATAAGCTTGAGGAACACGGCAATAGAGAGTAGGGGCTGAGAATTCAGTCTCGGCAGGTAGAAGGCTCAGAGGGAAGAATCTCAGCTCCAGTAATTACCAGACACATGATTGCGGGTGAGTTTCATAACCTCTTCAGGTCTCAGATTCCTCATCTGTAGAGTGAGGGTAAGGATGAATCCTGTGTCATAGGGTTGTGTTTGTTGAGAGTGTTGAAGCCTTGACTACAATGCTGGATGCACAATGTGTCCAGTAAATGGCAACTATTATAATTATTTGTGAAAACTGTGTATTCATCTGTTGTGGGTGTGTAGGGCAGGAGAGTTGTGATTAAAATGAGTCATATGGGCCTGTTTCCAGTGTGGAACATGGGTGTGGTCTCACTGAGTCCTCCTTAAACTCTAATATTTACTACTGGTCTCATGTCTGGAAGGACATCAGATACTTTATTTCAAAACACTTGTTTGAAAACCAAGACTCCCTCAATAGGCACATAATTCTTAGGATGTTCCAAATAGTGTAAATTGTAATTTGCTCTCTCTTCTCCTTTTGGAAAAGTATAAGATTGGGAGTAGCGGATGCAGCAATGGGATATGGTTGCACCCTCCTCAAAGCCTCCTGGGATGGGAGGCACAAGACTGTGCTCCTCTTGTTCTCTGTGGGGTCTCTTCATTTGTTGAAGTCAGGCTTCTGTCTCCAGGGATTAATTTCTTTCCTTTGGGCTGTGCTTTTGGTAAACTCATCCACACTGCTGTTCTGGTGGCTTAATATGATTAATAGTAATTTATTTAGGGGTAGCCTTTTTATTATCATAGTTTCATTTAATTTTTTAAACAGCTTTATTAAGGCATAATTTGTATGCCATACAAGTTTTTTAAGTGTACAATTTTAAGTGTACAATTCAATGATTCTTAGTGAGTTTTTGAAGTTGAGCAACTGTCACCACAATCCAGTTTTAGAACACTTCCATCACCTCAAAAGAGAAATCCCTCATGCTTATTTCCAACTCTTTATTTTACCCCCAGCCTCAGGCAATGACTAATCTACTATCTATTTTTGCAGATTTGCCTTTCCTAGACATTTCATACAAATGGAATCATACAATATGCAGTCTTTTGGGTCTGGCTTCTTTCACTTAGCATAATGTTTTTGAAGTTCATCTATATTCTAGCATATATTAGTACTTAATTCTTTTTGATTGCCTGACAATATGCTACTGTATGGATTTACATTTGTTTCTTCATTCCTAGTTCATAGATATTTGATTGTTTCTACCTTTTGGCTATTATGAATAATGATGCTATGAACACCCACATACAAGGCTTCATGTGGACATAAGGTTTTATTTCTCTTGGGTAGATAACTAGGAATGGAGTTGATGGATTGTCTGCTAAAATTACGTTCAAATTTTGAGGAAATCACCAAATTGTTTTCTGAAGTAGTTCGACCACTTTACATTCTCACCATCAAAGTATGAGGGTTTTAGTTTCTGTATATCCTTGCCAATGCTTAGTATTTCCTGTCTTTTTGATAATAGCAATTCTAGTGGGAGTGAAGTGGTGGTTCATTGTGGTTATGATTTGAATTTCACTAATAAACAATGAGTTTGAACATCTTTTCATGTATTTATTATCCATTTAGGTATTTTCTTTGGTGAAGCATCTATTCAAATCTTTAGCCAAAATTTTAACAGGGTTGTTTTTCTTTTTACTGTTGAATTGGAAGAGTTCTTTATATATTTATTAGATATATGATTTGCAAATATTTGTCTTCATTATTTGGCTCGTCTTTAAATTTTCTTAAAGGTGCTTTTTGAAGAGCAAAGTTTTTAAATTTCGGTAAAGTTCCATTTATTAAGTATTTTTAAATGGATTTTGCTTTTGACATGGTATCTAAAAACTCTGCCTGACTCAAGGTCACAAAGGTTTTCTTAGGAAAGTTTTACACTTTTAGCTTTTAAATTTAGACTTACAATGCGCTGAGTTATTTTCTTTTTGTGAATAATGTGAGAAAAGTGTTTAAATTTAACTTTTTGCATGTGCCATTTGTTAAAAATTGTCTCTGCTGTTTGTTGAAAAGATTGTTGTTTCTGTATCATATTGCATTGACACCTTTGTAAACAATCAATTAACCATAAATGTAAGGGTTTATTTCTAGAATCTCAATTCTGTTCCATTGATCTATATGTCTATCCTTATGCTAGTACCGCATTGTCTTCATTACTGTAGCTTTATAGTAAGTTTTGAAGTCAGGAAGTACAAGTCCTCTGACTTTGTTCTTGTTTTTCAAAATTATTTTGACTATTCTAGGGCCTTTGCATTTCCATATGAATTTTAGGATAACCCCTCAGTTTCTGTAAAAATGGCAGCTAGGACTTTGATAGGAATTGCATTGAATTTATAGACCAATTTGGGGAAAATTGCCATCATAATAATATTGAATCTTCCAATCTGTGAAAATAAAATCTCTTAGTATTTATTCATATTTTCTTTAATTTCTTGGCACAATATTTTATAGTTTTCAGTGCACAAGCAATAGACTTCTTTCATTACACTCATTTCTGAGTATTTTACTCTTTTAGGTGCTATTATGAATAGAACTGTTTCTTAATTTCGTTTTCCAATAATTTATAATAAGTACCTAGAAATACAATTGATTTTTTTGTCTATTGCTCTTATATCATACAATTTTGTTGATCTTGTTTATTAGTGCTAATAGTTTTTCAGTGGATATTTTGGGACTTTCCATACACAAGATCATGTCATCTGTGAATAGAAAATGAAATCGTTGAAAATGGAGTAGGGAACTCCAGAAGTCCACCTCTTCATAAAAGCAATGAAAAAAGTGGCAAAAACTGTCAGAATCAACTTTTTCAGAAGTTTGAAAATTAACCAAAAGCTTGCAACAACTCAGAGAGTGCTTATTCATGAAAAATGGCTGATTATTGGCAAGAACAGAGCTTTGTAGCATTTTAAATCACCCTGGTTTTATCTACCACTCCCCAGCTTAGTTATAGCCTTGAAAATAATATCCTGCATTCCAACACCAGTACGAGATGGGGCAGAAGGACCTGATTTGCAAAGAATTGCCTTTAGTTGATCTGTCTGGTGGCCCTCTGGAATACCTGGTCAAAAGATATATCTTTATCTTGCCTAGCTCCAAACTCACCCAGTCCTAAACTCACTACCGGGGGGCATATTTGTTGAAATATTTACAGGTAAATATTTTATTTATTGCTGCCTGCGGCAATGGATAATGGTTGAGACAAACAATAGACTAACCGAAAATCTTGGTAAGAAAGTCTGAGATGTGTAGGGGAATAAGGGCTTTGAAAATTTCCAACATATTTCTGGGAAGGCAGAAGGCTGCATGCAAGTTCGAGGCTGTGTGCATGCTCAGAAAAAACCTGAGAAGGCCTTAAGCTCACCTCTCTGGTCAACCTCGAGGCTCTGCACAAACCAGAAGTAAAGACCAAGGTAGTATTGTAGACTGCCTGTCTGAATGTTGAAGACATGCATCAGCATGCACAGAGAACGCCTCTGCAAACAGTGGGAGAATTTTTGGTTCCAGGCATTTAAGGAAATCTCTGTTCAATTGTTGGCTAATCACCAGGCTGACCAAACAGAGTCCTCAGTGACCAAACATAAGAAAGAGTATAGACTTTACAGAATTATATCAGTAAATTATATCAGTAAAGTTGTTAGAAAAACAACAACAAGCAGTAACATCAACAAGCTCTGGGGATGAGGGAATATCTGATTTCCAGAGTTGCCATATTATGATGTTCAAAATACCCAGCTTTCAACAAAAATTTATGAGGCAAGCAAAGAAACAAGAAAATATGGCCCATACAGAGCAGAAAAAAATGACAATCAACAGAAACTGTCCCCGAGGAACACCAGATGTTGGACTTTGTAGATGAAAACTTTAAAATAGGTATTTGAACATTTTAAATACATCCAAAGAGCTAATGGAAACCATGTCTAAAAAGTGAAAGTAGGAGAACAATGTATCACCATATAAAGAATAAGAATATAAAGACAGAAATTACAGGCACACCTCATTTTATTGCACTTCACTTTATTGTGCTTTGCAGATACAGCATTTTTTACAAATGAAAGGTTTTTGGCAACCCTGCATTGAGCAAGTCTATTGGCACCATTTTTCCAACAGCATGTACTCACTTTGTGTCTCTCTGCCAGCATTTTTAGAGCAATAAAGTATTTTTAAATTAAGTTATGTGCATTTTTTAGACATAATGCTATTGCACACAATGGACTACAGTATAGTGTAAACATAACTTTTATATGCACCAGGAAACCAAAAATTCATGTGACTTGCTTTATCATGACATTTGCTTTATTATGATGATCTAGAACTAAACCTGCAATATCTCTGAGGTATGCTTTTATAAAAAAGAACCAAACAAAAATTCTGGAGTTGAAAAGTAAAATAACTGAAATGAAAAATTCAATAATGGGGCTCAACAGAAGATTCGAGCTGGCAGAAGAAAAAATGAGAAAACTTGAAGACAGGTCAGTTGTGATTATTCAGTCTGAGGAACAGAAAGAAAAAGAATGAATAAGAATGAACAGAGTCTCAGTGACCTGTGTACTAACATACACATAATGGGAGTCCAAAAGGAGAGGAGAGAAAGAAAGGGGAAGAAAGAATATTTGAAGAAATAATGAAAAACATAAATCTACACATCCAAGAAGCTCCACGAACTCCAAGTAGGATCAACTCAGTAAACTGGGAATAGAGATAGTTTTACTTCTTTCTTTCAAACCTGGATATCTCTTTTTGTTTGTTTCTTGCTTGATTCCACTAGCTAGGACTTCCATTACGATGTTAGATGGAACTGATTAGAGTGAACATCCTTGCCTTATTCCTAGTCTTAGAAAGAAAACATTCAGTCTTTCACCATTAAGTATGATTTTATCTACAGATTTTTCATAGATGATAGTCTGTTGAGAGTTTTTATAATGAATGGATATTAGATATTGTCAAATACTTTTTCTGAATTTGTTGAGATAATCATGTGTTTTTTGTCCTTCATCTTATTTATGTAATATATTACATTAATTTTCAGATGTTAAATTATCCTTGCATTCCTGGGATTAAAAGAATCTCTTGTTATGATGTTTAATATTTTTCACAGGTTTCTGGTATTTTAGCTTACTTAAATTTTATTAAAATTTTTGCATCTATATTCATGAAGTATATTTGTCTGTTGTGCTCCTTTCATGTCATGTTTTTATCTGGCATTGGTATCAGGGTAATATTGGTCTCAGAAAATTAATTGGGAAGAGTTTCCTCCTCCCCTATTTTCTGGAAGAATTTATGAAAGATTGATTTAACTTCTATAAATGTTTGATTGAATTCACCAGTAAAGCCATCTTAGCCTAGGCTTTTCTTTGTGGGAAGATTTAAAATTACTAATTCAATTTCTCGTTATAGGTCTAGTCATGTTTTTTATTTCTTCTTGCATTAGTTCAGGTGATGTGTATCTTTCTAGGAATATGCCCATTTCATTTAAAGTGTTGAATTTTCTGCTATATGGTTGTTCATAGTATTCTCATTTAATCCTTTTAATTTCTATAAGGTCAATAGTGATGTCTCCTCTTTCATGTTTGAATTTGGTGATTTATGTCTTCTCCTTTTTTTCTTGATCAGTTTATCTAAATTTTTGTCAATTTTGTTGATTGTTGCAAAGAACCAATTTTTGGTATCATTGACTCTGTCTATTGTTTTTCTGTTGTCTATTTCATTGATTTTCACTGTGATCTTTATTATTTCTTCTTTTTGCTTGCTTTGTGTTTAGGTTTCTTTTCTTTTTTTACTTATTAAGGTAAAAGTTTAGGCAATTCGTTGGAGATCTTTCTTTTTTTAAATATAAGCATTTGAAGATATAAAGGTTTTTCTAAACACTGTTTTCTCTCTATGTCATAAAGTTTGATATATTGTGATTCTGTTTTCCTTCAGTTCCTTTCTAATTTCCCTTGCATTTTTTTCTATAACCCATTGGTTATTTAGAAGTATGTTGTTTAATTTCCAAGTATTTATTGACTTCACAAATTTCCTTTTATTGATTTATAATTTGATTCCAATGTGGTTGGAGGACATATTTTGTATTGTTTTAATCATTTTATGCTTATTAAGTGTTATTTTGTGGCCAAGTGCCTTAATCCATTCTCTGCTGTGACAACAGAATACCTGAGACTGGATAATTTATAAAGAAATGAGGTTTATTTGACTCATAGTTCTGGAGGCTGGGAAGTTCAAGATTGGGTGGCTGCATCTGGTTGGCTTCCAGTGAGGGCTGTGTGCTTCATCATAACATGGTGGAGAAGCAGAAGGGGAAGCAGCATGTGCAAAGAAACCAAACACGAGAGGCAGCCTTACTTTATAATAACCTACTGTCATGGTAACTAATACAGTCCCATGAGAGTGAGAACTCACTCCCATGAGAAAGGCATTAACCCCTCTTAGTGACCTACTCATTTCTTAAAGGTGCCAACTCCCAACATCACCACACTGAGGACCAAGCCTCAACATGAGTTTTGGTGGGGACAAACAATATTCAAACCATGGCACCTGGCATATGGTCTATCCTCAAGAATATTCCTTGTGCACTTCAAAAGAATGTATATTTTGCTATCGTTGGGTGGGGTGTGCTATAGATATCAGTTAGGTCCAGTTGGTTAATAATGTTGTTCAATTCTTCCATGTCTCTGCTGATTTTATGTCTAGTTGTTTTATCCATTCTATAGAGTGGACTATAGAAGTCTTCAACTGTTACTGTGAAATTTTTAATTTCTTACTTCAATTCTGTAAGTTTCTGCTTCATGTATTTTGGAGCTCTGTTGTCAGGCATGTGTATATTTTGTAATTGTTATATCTTCCTGATTAACTAACGCTTTATGATTATAAAATGTTCTTCTTTGTCTGTAGCAATATTTTTTATCTTAATTCTGTCTGTTACTAGTACAGTGACTTTATTTCTCTCATAGTTGCTATTTGCATAATATAATTTTTGTATTTTTACTTTCAACTTTTACTATTTGTGTCTTTGAATCTAGGTGTGTCTCTTGTAGACAGCATATAGTTGGGTTTTGTTTTATATCCAGTATAACTGTGTCTGCCTTTTAATTTGAATGTTTAATCCTTTTACATTTTTAATTAAAATTTTTATTGAGATAAGTGTATATTCATGTATAGTACTAAGAAATGACCCAGAACAGTCCCTGGTACATTCTGCCTAGTCTTCTCCAACAACAGTAACATTTTGCAAAACTATAGTATAATATTACAATTTAGATATTGGTGGTGGTATAATCCATAGCTCTTATTTCTATTTCCCCAGCTTCATTTGTAATCATGTGTGTGTGTGTGTGTGTGTGTCTGTGGGTGAGGGGGTTTATTAAGTTCTATGTAATGTTATCACCTGTGTAGGACAGTGTATCCACCACCACAGTCAAGGTACTGAACAGTTCCAACACCACAAGTATCCCTCATGTTTCCCTTTCATAATTATACCCATATCCCTGCCACCCCCACCCCTGCCACATCCCTAATCCGTGGAAACCACTAATCTGACCTCTACTTCTAAAATTTTGTCATTTCAAAAATGTTATATAAATAGGACTATGCATTATGTAACCCTTTGGGATTAGCCATTTTTTAAACTCAAAAGTATGTGGAACACTTCGTGAATTTGCATGTCATTCTTGCACGAAGCCATGCTAATCTTTTTTGTATCATTGATATTTTAGTGTATGTGCTGCTGAAGTGAGCACAATCATTTGATTTTTAATGTAGTTATTGATATATTTGTATTTAATCTCATATTTTCAATTTGTTTTATATTTGTCTCATGCCCTTTTGTTCCTCTATTCCTTCTTTCCTGCTGTTTTTGTCCTAAATACTTTTTCTTAGTGTGCTATTTAAATTCCTTTTTCAATTGTTTTTAATTATATTTTTGGGAATAATTTTATTAGTGGTTCTTCTGGGGGAATTACAGTATGTTTCTAAACTAAAAACAATGTATTTCAGGTAATACTAACTTAATTCCAGTGACATACAGAAATTTTGCTTCAATATAGTTCTATCCCTCCTCCTTTGTGATATTATTATTTATAAATATTACTTCTTTGTATGGCATATTTCCAACAGGAAAGTTTTTATAATTATTCTTTTTCTTTTGTACAATTGTCTTCATTTTTTTTTTTTTTTTTGAGACGGAGTCTCACTCTGTTGCCCAGGTTAGAGTGTAGTGGCACGATCTTGGCTCACTGCAAGCTCCACCTCCCGGGTTCATGCCATTCTCCTGCCTCAGCCCCCTGAGTAGCTGGGATTACAGGCATGCGCCACCACCCCCGGCTAATTTTGTATTTTTAGTAGAGACAGGGTTTCTCCATGTTGGCCAGGCTGGTCTCGAACTCCTGACCTCAGGTGATCCACCCTCCTCGGCCTCCCAAAGTGCTGGGATTACAAGCATGAGCCACCGCTCCTGGCCAATTGTCTTCTAAATAAATTAAGAGAAGAGAGAAACTATCTTTCTAAAGTTTCTTATATTTAAATACATAGTTACTTTTACTCATGCTCTGTATTTTTTTTGTGTGAATTTGAATTACTGTCTAGTGTTATTTTCTTTCACCCTGAGGAATTTCCTTTAGTATTCTTTGTAAGAGAGGTAATGTTTATCTGGAAATGTCTTTGTTTTGTCTTCAGTTTTGAAATATAGTTTTGCTAGATATGGGATTCTTGGTTGACAGCTTTTTTTCTTTCAATACTTTGAATATGTCATCCCACTGCATTCTGAGACTTCATTATTTCTGAAGAGAAATCAGCTACTAATCTATCAAGCTCTCCTTTCCACTTGTCTATGATGAATTGCTTTTCTCTTCCTACTTTCAAGATTTTCTCTGTCTTTGCCTTTCAACATCTTGGCTATGATGTGTCTCTGTAAATGTCTTTTAGTTCATCTTACTTGGAATTAATTATGCTTCTTGGGTGTGTAGATTAATGTTTTTAATCCATTTGGGGAAGTTTGGGCCATTATGTCTTCATTTTTTTTTTTTTTTGCCTCTTTCTCTTTTCTTCTTTTTGAACTCCCAGTACACATATGTTGGAATACTTAATGGTATCTCACAGGTCTCTCAGGCTCTGCTAATATTTCTTCATTAGTTTTACTTTCAGTTCTTCAGATTGGACAATTTCTAGTGATTTATCTTCAAATTTGCTGATTCTTTCTTTTGCCACTCAAATCTCTTGTTGAGTCCCTTTGTGTATTTTTTATTTCTGTTATCATTCTTCTTAACTCTAGAATTTAAAAATGGTCATTTAAAAATAATTTCTTTTTGATATTCTGTATTTGATGAGTCACTGTTATATTTTCTGTTTTGTCTTTTACATTTCTATTGCTATAAATAGTTGTACATATTTACGGGGTACCTATGATATTTTGATACAAGCATACAATGTGTAATGGTCAAATCAGGGTAATTGGGATATCTCTCACTTCAAACATTTTTATTTTTTCTTGGGAATCATATTTTCTTTTGATTCTTTAAAGAGGGTTTCCTTTATGTTTTTGGAACATATTAATAACACCTACTTTGAAGTCTTCATCTGGTAAGTCCGTCACCTAGGGTCTTTCAGAGTTTCTATTGCCTGCTGTTTTTGTTCTTGTGTATGAGTCACACTGTCCTGTTTTTGTTTTTATTTTTTGCATGTCTCATAACTTTTTGTTTAAAGCTGGACAGTTTTGATAATATATTGTAGCAACCCTGGACTCTGATTCCTCTCTCCCCTGGTTTGGTTGTTGCTATTTTTGTTATTTATTTATTTTGTTATTTATTTGTTATTTGCTATTATTGTTATTTATTTACCGAAATAACTATATACTGTCTGTCTCTCCAGCAGTGTGCAGTCACTGATGCCTCCACTCAATTAAAAAAAAAATCTTGATCTTATTTTTAAGCCTGTTTTTTTTGGAGCTACGTCTGGATCAGCATAGCATAGTGGTCAGCCAAAGATTTAAACTCCTTGAGCCAATAAGGCTTTTACCATATGCTGATGGGTCTGTGTATGGTTTGGAAAATGGCATTCAAAGTTTAGGCAGTTCGCAAGTCTGTCAGTCTTTACTTTCTGTGCTTTTAGGGTCTCACATTCATTCAGGGACAAGTAGCTCACTAAGACCCTCTTCAGTCTTTCCTGAGCATAAGCACAGCCATGTGGACACATGCAGCCTTCCAGATATCTAGGGAGCTTACCGAGTCCCACTCTGGCTGCCTTGATCCCTGGATCTTGCTGATAAATTTCTTGCTCTTCTGCTGGTATGATGTTTGGCCCAGACAGTAAGGCAATTGAAGGCTAGCTATGATTTTGTTTTTTTCTGATTGTTTACCCCCAAGATTGCTATTGTTTTCAACCATGCCCCTGGGCATGGGTTTTTCTATCCTCCATTCCATATCACATTAGCCCATCCAGCCATGGAGCTGCTGGTCCTCAAGGCCTGCCCTGCCCTGGTAGAACTACAGTGGCATGAAGCTGGGTGGAACAGCATGAAACAGTCTTGGACAAAAATACCAATCCCTCTCTATTCTTCCTGAGATTCAATCATTTTTCTTGACTAAATGCTCCTCATTTTTGTTTTGTTTTTGGTCAATTTCCAGATTCCTGAAATGGTTGTTTTTGACAATTTTATCCAGTTTTATTGTTGCTTTTTGGGGTGAGGATTTGGTGAGCTCTTTGCTCAGCTATTCTGGAAGTCCTGCCCTAGTAATGGCCTTCTGAGGCTGTGTTTGCCATACACAACACCCAAATGGAATGCTTCTTAGAACATAGTGGTTCATATCCAGAGTAGTGTCTGCACGTTGTGGGCAGGGCAAGGTTGGAGCAAGTTCCAGTGATATGCCTCCATAATATCTCATCAACTTTCAAAAGGAGACTTACAAAGAGATTGAGCATCCTGTATTCAGAGAGAAGATGAGCAATCGATGCCCGAGAAGTTTGCCATTCCATGTGGCAGTAAATGTGAAGGCTGGTGTGAATGGGGGCTCTACACATCCAATTGAGGAATGGTCTTTAAGATGAGAAATCAAGAAGAAGCGGGGAACATTTTCCTTCCTGAAACATTAACTGTGGGAAATGAGAGGATGGAAAACCACCTGTGAGGGACATTTCCAGTTTAAAAAAAATTACTAAGGAATATGTTTCTCATCCTCTTTATATACTTGTATATCTAGAAATACTTCTGTGTCTCTTTGTCCATTGTTCAACTCAGTGGTGTCTCTGGGCCAGGCTGTAAATATATCGATGAAGCTGGACATCCTTCATAGTTGGAAGGAATGATGGCTCTTGTAGTATTGTGAAAGGTCTATACGTCTGTGTGTGTTCAATAGGGAACCCCTTCCCATATAAAGCTTCTCAGAGTAACAGAGCTGCTATATGCAAATGAAGCTCTTTGATGTGTATTTTCAATTAATCACTGACTCTCGCACAGGATAAATGAAGTTATTTTCCCCGTTATCAGCTTTAATTCATAGGTTATAATGCTAATGAAGGTTGACTTTTTTTTTGATGTTGCTTCTATTTTTATCATTGTCTTTTCCTTATTTTACTAATTACCTGTGCAATGACATGGTATCTAAATTGATCTAAAGGCATCATTCTAAATTTTAAAAACCAACACTTAAAAAAAAGTAATCCCCACAAGTGTCTTATGCATGAGGGTGAGCGTTTAACTAATTACTATGCAGAAACCACATGTCAATTGCAGAACAATTGCCTGAAGGGAGCAGCAACTCACATAACCCCATTTTGGAGAAGTAGATCTGTTTTTATTTTATCTTTCTCAGTTTTAGCTGGTGTTTTAAAGAGAGATGTGATTTTGCAGCTCTGGGGATCACTCGTCTATTTCAGGAAATTGTCAGAACCAAGAACTGGAGGAATTCAGGAAGAGGGCTCTAGAGCTCTGTTCTAAAAAATGTTGTAGAAGCAGAGTCTTTGGATTTTAATGGCCAAGCTCTGTCCATTTTGTGAGCAAATGTCACAGTAAAAGACAGAAATACAGCTCAGAGAATAGCTTCAGAAGACAAATGGCAGGGGAGGTCCAGGTAGCTATAACTTAGTGCTTTAGTCATCTTTAATGGAAATGGAGCCTCTAGCCAAGCCTAATATATAATGTATCATAAAACATATGTCTGTCAGTCTCCCAGGTACAATAAATAGGGAAAACACAGACCTCAAAGGGAGGCTATGGCATGCCTTGCAGAGGGGCTCAAATTACTTGGCTTGTTGTGGGGGGTTGAAGGCTGTGGGGGAGGAATGATGTAATGTATATTTTTAGTGTTTCTAAGAAATGACTGTCTCCAGCCCTGTTCCGGTGGGCTGTGGGAGAGGGAATGGAAAGGGAGGGGCTGGGTTTATAGATCTGCACGGGAAAATTGAATTGAGTGCCCGTTTTACAGGTGATTAAGCTCTTTCTTTTTTATTTGGAGTGTAGTATAGCAAGGAAGAGATAGGACACGTTCAACTGATGGCATTTTCCAGAATGCCCACCAACTTCTTTTCATTTCACTGTTGCTTTTTCCCTGGTGAAACAGCAGCCCAAAGCACCCTAGTAAGGACCAGCTGTCTGATCCTGTGCTGAAGAGCTCTGGTTACTCTCTCTCAGTGGGGGCTCAGCCACCATCTGAATTTCCTGTGGTCCCAGTATGTTCTGCCTCTGAGCTGGACAATCCTTCTGGGTAGATTCTTATCTTTTTCCACTACTGAGCCTACTTCTTTGAGTACCCGTTCTTCATATGAGCTGCAAAATCTTGGGTGTAACCTCTATGACTCTCAGTTTTCTAATCTGTGTAATGGGAAGAATAAGCTATCTCTCTGGGACTCAAATACAGGTCTGCTTATTTCAACTCTAAAGCATGTTCTATGGCTCACCATAGATCCCCATGCTCAAAATGTCATCTCTGCTGTGTTTTTCTAGACTATGTCCTGCCTTTCCTTAGAAAAGCCCACCGAAGTCCTCTCAAAATGGATTAAACCAGCTCCATTCATTCTGTTTATGCCAGGAATTCTCAATACTTCTTGATCTTTCTACTGTCCTACCTCTCCTGTGTCTCAGCACACAGGTAAGCATGTGCTCAAACATACGTACGTGCACACACACATGCACATACACACTCATGCTCATAACAGCCCCACACAGTATCAAGAGAGTGGCTCTTTGTGTGATGTGATTGGAAGTTATATTGATATCAGATCTGATTCTTTGCCCTAAAATGTGAGGAAACCAGCCCTTTATTCAAATTTGAAAGCCTCATTCTTTTGATTCATGATGATTTTTTCCATGCAAGTTCTGCTAGAAACGACTAAATTATTCCCTCATACTTTGCATGCATGGGCATAGGTGAGATCCTTGGAGAATAGGGGTGGGCTGCTCTCAGAGGAGTGGGTGGGTACCTAAGTCCAACCTGACTCACTTGCCAATGCCAGTGTTTCTCAGGATCAGCCCAGTCTACACAGCTACGTCTGGTTTGTTGATGTTATTGTCATTTATGAATATTTAAGTATGTTCACACTAGCCCAGTTTCTCAGTGATTTTAAAGCTCTCTTCAGAGCTTGAGCCCTCATTTTTTCCTTTGGCTATCTCTTCTAATACTGTTTATATGGAAATTTCTTTGGCAGAATGGCTTTAACTTTTTGACTGTGACCCAGTGTAAGAAATACATTTTACACACAGCATGCATACAAATATATAGATGACTGAAACAAGGCTTTTCCAAAACTATACTAACCTTTCCTATATTCCAGGTCAAATGAATTTTGGCTTATTCTATTCTATTCCATTTAAAAATGATGTCCTTGACTGCTGTGGCAAAATTATTTACCAAACCGATTTCCTCATCTGTGTATACAGCTAGACTACATTTTCTAGCATCCCTTATGGTTCGATGTGGTCAAGGCACTGAGTTCTTGCTAATAAAATGTGATCAGGAGTGACCTGTGCCTCTTTCAGGTATGACTCATAATTCCATGTGGAATCCACCAAGCCTTTTTCCAATCCACTGGCTTGATACAGACAAACATTGTGGATATAGACAGAACGTTTGTGTCCCCCCAATTAATATGTTGAAATCCTAACCCACTATGTAATGGTATTAAGAGGTGGGGGCTTTTGGGAAGTGGTTAGGTCACAAGAGTGGAGCCCTTTTAAATGGGATTGGTGCACTTACAAAAGAGACCCCAGAGAAGTCTCTTCCCTCTTTTAGCTGTGTGAGGATACAATGAGACGTTGGCCATCTGCAACCTAGAAGAGGGCCCTCCCCAGAACCTGAGCATGCTGACACCCTGATGTCTGACTTCCAGTCTCCAGAACTGTGAGAAATAAATGTATATTTTTATAAGCCACCTAGTGTATGGTAATTTGTTATAGTGGCCCCAATTAAGACATGTGGAAATCTTGGAAGCCACTTGTTAAGATGGCAGTGCCTCAAGATGAAGTGAGCCTTATCCCCAGCCCCTGAATCTCGGCCTAGAATACACATTTTGAACTTTACGTGAGGCACTAATAAGCTTCTATTGTCTTGAATCACTATTCATTTGGGGGTTCTTTATTATACCAGCTAATATTATCCTAACTAATTTACTGTCAATAGACTCATCAACTGACTATGTTTTTACAATTACACATATCATCCTTTCTATTTTTTGAGAGATAAAAATTCACATTATTTGCTGATATTTGTAGAAATTGTGTAAGTATGCAAGAGTAATGATTATAATCACATATGAAGGTAGGGTGACCATATAATTTGTTATTCAAGTGGAACAATTTCCAGAGCGAAAGGGATTATTAATCATGGCTCCAGGACAATAGATGGAAAATGACATTGTCCTCAACAAACTGGAACATATGATCAACCATTATAAAGGGTACAGAGTGGGAGGAAGAATGGGGACTTTTTAAATTACATTTTTAAAAGTATTGGTCTATGGTGAATTGGAAACAAAAGCAGTTAATTCTTTACCATAGGTAGTTTAAAAGCTGCCTTAAAGACTGAAGAATGGCAAACCATAGATGTGAGACAAGGAACTTGGTGAAAATGCTGTCAGGGATGCACAAGAGACTCACTCCCTTGGAGTTGTCGGCCAATCCAAAGTCCAAGCATGGGAGCCAGAGCCTGCAAGAGAGGTCTGGACAGGCCTCAGACATGAGCAGTGGAGCTCCACATCACTCAATCCTGAGGACAGAACTGGATCCTCCATCTTTTTTAGTTTAAAGTTTTCCAAATAGTGACTTTCCTTAGCACCTGACACCACTCTTTGATCCCTCTGAATCCACCAGACCCACAAGCAGTACTTTGTTATTGAAGAAACCAAAGCACTGTACTAAACAGATTGGTGGAGTACAGTTGTCAGAATATGTCTATGACAAGTATTTGGGACCACATCTGCAGGCCACTGATACTTAACCTAATCATCTTTTGCTCACAGCCCAGCATTTCTAAAAATAGCAACTGTGGGTTGTGATAGTGAGAGGTTAAACTTGATTAGTGTAGAGACTTCTTACTATAGAACTTTGAATGAAGCAAAATTCCATGCCTGGGATTTAGAACAAGTAAAGGGACTTCCTTAAGTATGGTCAAAGTACACTCTGCCCTTCCCATTACTGATGCTTTCAGGGATTTTTAGGGTTTTGTGGTCCCTGATTATTGTTCTTAAACTCTGGATAAACTCACAGTATAGAATTAGCCTGAACAGGAGACAGGCTTTCTGGCAAGTTACAAATACCTTCATTCCCGGAGGGGAAAATCAATAGAAGAACCCATGGGATTGCCATTCTTCTCCTTTGTCCCTGTAGCCCTTCAGTCTTCCCCTCCCTGACTTCTTTCCTAGAGCTCAAATTGAAAAAGCCTGGCATTGCTAAAGTTCTTTTGCTGGGCTTCTTACACAGTGCTGACTTGAGATGAGTGGCTTATGTTTTTTATCTGTCACCTTCTTTCCCATCCTGCTAGGGGGGATACTAATAACACCTGCACTCTGTAAGCCCTAAAACTCCCCAGGTGTTTCCAGTGTGCAGCCAGGGCTGAGAACCACCTTTGGACCCTGCAGGCAGATCCGTGCTTCTCAAGCTTTCTGCCCATATCAATCAGCAGGGGATCTTGTTAAAATACAGATTCTGTCTCACTAGATGTGGGATGGTCCCAAGATTCAGCACTTCTAACATGCTCCCAGGTGATGTCTTTTGCTGCTGGTCCTCAGACCACATGTTGAGTAGCAAGGAGGCAGGTGATCTGGTGAGATTGCTGTTCATTATCAGATGCTGCAGGCTCTCTTCTGGTAGAATTAGAGTCAGGGATCATTTTTTGTGCCTCTTATATTTATCGGGTTACATAGCTCTATTCCACAAGGTAGGCCCCATGAGGATTAGCATCCATCTCCAGACAAGGTGGGATGCTTTTACCAGACTCTGATAGTCTGGGAAGCTTAATGTTTGGATAATCAGGTTACTTGGGGTCTTATTCCATTTGTGCTACTGTAACAAAATACCACAGACTGGGTAATTTAGAAACAATAGAAATGTATTTCTCACAGTTCTAGAAACTGGGAAGTCCAAGATCAAGGCACTGGCAGGATTGGTGTCTGGTGAGGGCTGCTCTCTGCTTTCAACATAGTGCCTTGTTTCTGCATCCTCTGGAGGAGATGAATGCTGTGTTCTCACATGGCAGAAGGGACAGAAGTGCAGGAGAGGGCTCTCTTCAACCTCAAGCCCTTTTATAAAGGTGCTAATCCCATTTGTGAGGGCTCTACCCTCATGACTTAATAATCTCCCAAAGGCCACATCTATACCTTTTAATATTGTTGCATTGGGGATTAAGTTTCAAAACATAAGGAGGGGATATCATCATCACTCAAACTACAGAACCTAGTGATAATTTTTAGATTCTTTGTTCAGCTAGAATTCACTGTTAACGTAACCATCCTTAAAACTTTCTGAGGTTCTTACTTTGAAAATTTCTCTAACAAATAACCTACCCTACTAAATATTCTACACCATACATTCACGGAAGGAATCATACAATATTGACACCCGAAGGGACTTGGAACCCAGCTCACCCACCACTCTGCATTTGAGGAGACTGGAGAAACTGCAGACTCATCCCTAGTATTGAAATATAATTTTCAAAATGTTAAAAACAGGACTTTTATACAAATATAGAATGAATGCTGTCAAAGATTTTATCCATCTCATTAATTAATGAGAGAGCCAACAAGATAGTAAGGTTGTTTCAAAGGACAGATATTTATATATAGTCAGTCAAAGGAATGATGAAATAAATTTGCCACTAGATACAAAACTGGCAAATGTCTTATGGGACCATAAAACTGTAGCTAGTGGGGTCATCTTCTCTACTGGACAAAAATATACAAATTAACAACTAAATTCAGTGTCTGTGCTCCGATTAGATAGAAATAGCAAAGCCAAACATAAGTGCATTCTCCTGTGCAATCAAATAATTCTTGGGTGAGCCTGCTTAAAATTGCATTGAAGGGACATGCATCATTTTCTTGCGTTAGTTTCCAGTTTGGGGGATGTATATATATATTTGACACTAGGCAGAACCTGAACCAGCATCAGGATCCCAGTGCATTTTTAAACTTCCCTACTCTTGGTATATCAGTAATGACATCATGTTTGGCAGCTGTTTTGAAGCATTTCCCCACTGAAACAATGATATCAGTTGACAGTAACATGTGTGATATACTCCCCTGGGCTTGCCTGTGGTTATATGGGACCTCTAACCCAACCCTTTTTTCTCCTACTACAGAAAGCGTATGTAAATGTGTGACCTTGATATTATTATAAGATATATATATAATATCACTATTACTACTTGTATGATATATATCTTATATATATTTGCTTTTTACTTAAGAAACTATTCTTAAACTTTGCTACTTAAACTATTATTAGTAAAAAAAACTTTCTTCACAGCTTACACCATAGCTGACCTCAACATATTAGCATGACATGACATGCCTTCAGGAATGATAATGTATGAGATGCAAAGCTCCCATGTTTTACAAAACCCCATTCTGCCTTACTTCAATTTGTTTCTGTTTCTCTGTAACTGGCCTTGCCTTGTGCTGTGGAATCTCAAATTCCATGCGCTTGGCCTGACAGCAAGAAGTGCTGGAACATATGTTGTTTGAGACACATTGAGTAATCCTTAACCATTTACTGCCCACCCGACAATTACGGCCTTGTGGTCACAGGGACACTCGGCAAGCTTCCCTAATGCCTGATGAACTCTAGTTCATCACATAGCATCTGCCAAGCCTATATTTCAACTATCCAACAGGGATGAGGATGCATTTTTTAAATCCTCTGGGTCACATGTCTCAGTGGTTTTCCTCTGCTGAGATGATGTTCAGGCTCATGGTGGCTTCAGGATTATCATAAGCACCCTTTGTCTGGACATGTCCTGAAACTCAGCAGAGGCCTTCTCTCAACATGTCCTATACCCTGTGACCTTGTGCCTCTGTCTATGGCTGATTGATGCGTGAAAGAGAGTAGAAACCCAACTCCATTGAGATTGGTGAGGCTGTCTCTCTTGAAAATTTGGACCTTGGAACAGAGAGAGACAGCACTTGGAGAGGTGTTGGCACTGAGTCCTTGCTGAACATAGCTTTTTGTTAAATTGTTTTTAGTTTTCATGCTGTAGTTAAGTACAAAGACCTTTCCAACATGTCATCTAAAGATCATTTCACCCACTGCTGGGTTTGGCCATCATTCTCTCGTCTTTCTCTTCAGCAATGGTGAAGTGGATACCTTTTCCCTGAGGAAGAGAAATCCATGGTTTGTTGCCTTTGCTAATAACAAAAATGTTGGAAAGCCAGGTGGCAAAGCTGTTGCCATTGGTATGTTTCACATGAACCACATTAAAACAACCAGAATGTCTTTCTCTGTTGGCCACACCAGTTCTTCCCAGGCGAGTACCCTACATGATCAGGTTAGTACCCTACATGATCAGAAGCACTTGAGTAATATATTATAGAAATGATCCCTGAAAGTATAGTAGTCCCCCCTTATCTGTGGTTTCCCTTTCTGGGGGTCTTGAACATATCCCTGTGGATAAGGGGGAGACTAGTGTATAGTCTTTGGCCACGGCTCTTTAGAAATTCAGTGGATGCCATCTAAGGGCCCTGGAACTGCCTGAGGCTCACCTCATCTGGTAAGCTAACAATTCCTTTGGTTCTGAGATATGTTGAGGGTTTTTCTATTAAATTTCCCTCCATCTTTTGTTGTTATTAATTTTGTAAAAGTTGGTTTCAGTTGTTTAAAAGTGAGAACACATTAATAGAGACCTCTACAAAGTAATAGAGTAGATGGAAGCTGGACTGACTTGAGTTAAGGGAACTTTGGTTCTAGCCCTAACTGTGTCACTCATGTGGTGTGACTGTGAATAAGTCATGTGCATTCTCCAAACCTTTATTTCCTCTACCATAATAAAAGGGGGTGAACCAGAAGAGCTTTAAGTTGATGCCGTTTTTTCAAGTGACTCCGAAACTCTTTGACATCCTTCCATTGAGACGTGGGGCTATGTTTCCTCTTTTTGAATCTAGGTGGGCTTGTGACTGTTTCAACCAATAGAGAATGGCAGAAATGATACTGTGTGACTTCTGAGCCTGGGTCCTATAAGGCAATGCAGCTTCTGCCTTGTTTGCTGAGACCCTTGTGCTGGAGCCCTAAGCCACCATGTAAGAAGTTGGCTATACTATGGTAGCCTTACTGTGATGAAGCCCAAGCCACATTCAGGGGCCACATGTTGGAGTTATAGCTGAGTCTCAGCTAAGCTCTTTGCCAACAGCCATTATCAACTGTTAACAATGTGAATGGCCATCTTGGATGTCCAGCCCAAGCTAGCCTTCAGATGACATCTGCCTACAATCACGTGACAGATCCCATAGTGAGAACAGTCCAGACAAACCTTTCCAAAATTCTTGACCCAAATTCTCCTTATAGCTCCCTCTGACTCTAATAAAATGGTTGTTTTATAGCAATAAATTTGGAGGTTGTTTATTACACAGCCAGAATCACGGAAACTGTTACCCTCTGGCCTTTACAGTCCTTTACACCCTTCCTCCATTCTTCTATCTGTCCATCCAGCCAGCACTTTTAAAGGTATGACTGTACATGGCACTGAGACCTCAAAAATGAATCAATAACTGTTCATGGCTTTGCAGAGCTTCCGGAGTATATGGGAAGGAGAGAACCAGCGTGAATCAAACCATCTCAAACCACAGGATGTATTACAAAAGAGTAGCAAGACAGCATGTGCAGCAAGCACTGGAAACTTTGTATTTGGAATGGTTAAATCTGACTGGTAAGCAAGATTCCTAAGATCCTGGATCTCATGAGGGGATATTGTAATAGAAGAGACAATCAATAAATTACTAAACAAGGGAATACATCAGCAATGGGGAGGATGGAGTGAGGTGAGTGAGGCTGGAGCATGGGAAGTCAATTATGAGGCTGAGGTAAAGTGCAGGTGAGCAAGGAAGAGAAGGGAACAGGGTGAGTGAAATGGAAGAAGGCTGGCAGGAGAGCCAAGTAGCAGTGGGCAATAGACTGGGCTTGGCAATTAATTGAAGTGTCTGGTCTGGGTTGGCTGCCTCACATCATTTCTAGGCTCATCCACCCTCTTGGTTGGAGGGTGCATTGCCCTTCCAAGGGGCTGTCCTTGGACTCTACTGAAAACCTCCATCTCAAAACCTGCCTTTGTGAAAGATTATGAAAACGTCATTCACATGAAGGTGTTAGTGACCAATAGTAAGATTTAATGTGTTACATTTTCCTAGGACATCAGTAGTCTAACATGTTAAATTAAAGGAATGAAACCCTAAGAATCAGAATGTCTGTAATTGACAAGAGGGGATTGTGTATTACTCAAGTCAGCCAGAGTCAAAAGCGGGTAAATGCAGCAGGGCTGTATGAGGGACCATTCAATCCCTTCCTCTTTATCCCCTAGCTTTCTATGTATCTTCTCTTTCATTCTCTTTGTGGCTCTGCATCATTCTCTCTTTCAGGTTGAATGGCTTTTTTCTGCTTCTCTGGACACGTGGGCCGAACACGGGAGCCCCAAATGGTGCCCTTGGCCCTGAAGTCTGCATTGTCTTACAAGTCCATCAGCTGTAGTTAACTACTGACCCAGTTCAGTCCCACTTCCAAATTTTGGGCAAGAGACCATAGCCCAGCTTGGATCCAAGTCTTCCCCATTACACTGAGCTGTGAGCAGGCTTGTGGGGCTTCATGGCAAGTCAGGAGCAGGTTGCGTGGCAGAAGGTTGCCTGAGCAGAGCCGTGCGTGAGGAGGAGACAGTGATCACCTCTGTTGCACTAGAGGGAGCTTTTGGTGAAGGGCACCCCAAGATGCATATTCCATCTGATATATGATTACTCATAAGGCATAATTTGTCCTCAGTATTTATTGTGGAGACTATTGGCAGCTATTGCTAGAAACATTCTTCCCCTAGCTACACTGTTCCAAAAGGAGATGGAAAAGATCAGTGACAGCTGGTGGTTTGTTTCAATTCTTTTAAGTCTCAGATGACTGTAGTTTTCTGTTAATTAGCCTCCAGGAAGGCCCTCCTTTACTTTGTTTCCTGTGATGGAGCAACGGGCATTTCATCCTAGACATGGTGGCACTTTCTCTGCAATTTTGCTTGCCTTATTTTCCCAGAAATTAAGGTGGATGCATTCCCTGTTGACTCAGTTGCTACAATAAAGAAGAGAGTCTAGTGCTTCTGGGAAAATCCTGCCCACTCAAACCTCAGGGGGCAGGGGGCAGGGGGCAAGGCACTAGCCATCATTGAGTTCCTATAGTGTGCCAGGTACTGTGCCAGGAACAATCCCACCAACCTCCTCCACTGATCTTATAGGAACGACGTGATGCTCAGCAAAGAGAAGTCCCATGTGGTGGATGGGTTTGTAACCACAACCACACAGCTTCTTATTTAGATATTTTTTTTCTATACATGGCATCATCATGGTTGTTTTTTGGAACACGAAGTCATAGAGTTATTAGATACCTTGTTTGAAGTAACGCAGCATAACTGTATTAGGAAATAACCTTCCCCTAGAATCTTCTGATACTTCTAAGCGGGGATGGTGTGTATGTATGGAGGATTTGCTATGAAGGGAGGATCTTCAATTTTGGAGGATGAAGGAACCACAAGAAGTGGAACCTCAAATGGAAGGTCTAAATTTCCTTTGTTTGAACTTAGATTTTCTTCCAAGAGAGCTTTAACATTTGAAAATCTTGCATCTTGGAATGGAATAACTCCTTTAATAGGCTTCAAACAGAAAATTGCACAGTAACGTGCACCTTCTTGGGTTGACTAATCATTGTTTAATGGCTATAATGGAATTGCTGGCCACTTTTGAACCTTCTGGCATTAATCTCCAATTTCCTACACTGGAGAACTCCTCAGGAGGAAGGAAGTAGGAAGTACTAATGTTGGTATTTAACTCAAAAGCTGTAATTGGTTGGAAAGTCTGTAGCCATAAAATATTGCTGAAATCTACTGAATACATGAATCACACAATACACTTTATTTATTTTTCACAATTATCTTAACTGTAAGCAGTGTTATT
Source organism: Homo sapiens (assembly GCF_000001405.40). NCBI lineage: Eukaryota > Metazoa > Chordata > Mammalia > Primates > Hominidae > Homo > Homo sapiens. The sequence continues at coordinate 42,154,400 of NC_000023.11, forward strand.
CCAGCTTTAGAAAGAAGAGAATTTTAGGTTCAGAAGCTAAGTAACTTTCTCTGGAAAAGCATAAGAGGGTAGAGCTTAATAAATGTAGATTTAAATCCTGACTTATTGCTTGTTAGGTGAAGGATCTTAGCCTCAGTTTTCTCATCTGTAAAATGGTGATCAGAGTCTCATCTGTAAAATCATGGTCAGAGTCATCTATTTCACAATGTTTGAGTGAGGATGAAATAAGTTTCTATATGCTAGGCTCCTGCTCTGACTACTCCACAAGGCCATGCAGTTCATAAGAGGCAAGCCTTAGACTTGAACCCAGGGCCACTGGATTCACATTGCCTTCCTTGGTGAGATTTTGATTTTAAAATGAAGATAGACTGGTCAAGGAAAAGGTCTGTGGCTCAGAGTCAGCCCCTACGTTTAACTGATGGGAGACAACCAGTCCCTCTTCCCCATACATACATACACACATACATAATTCTTTAAGAACATGCGTGTAGGCCGGGCACGGTGGCTCACGCCTGTAATCCCAGCACTTTGGGAGGCCGAGGCGGGTGGATCACCTGAGGCTGGGAGTTCCAGACCAGCCTTGCCAACATGGAGAAACCCTGTCTCTACTAAAAATACAAAATTAGCTGGGCATAGTGGCGCATGCCTGTAATCCCAGCTACTCGGGAGGCTGAGGCAGGAGAATTGCTTGAACCCAGGAGGCGGAGGTTGCGGTCAGCAGAGGCCATGCCATTGCACTCTAGCATGGGCAACAAGAGCAAAACTCCGTCTCAAAAAAAAAAAAAAAAAAAAGAACATGCATGTATGGATTTAAGGATAATTCTATTAGGATAGAGCAAGATAAATCATACAATGATGTGGAATGTATACTTATTGACAGATGATAGTTCTGCTAGGCAATCCTTTTGTTGTTACTTGTTTTTCTTCATGAATCAATTTCATTGAGGTATAATTTATATACAATAAAATAAACCTATTTTATTTTTGATAAGTTTTGACAAATGTGTACATCTGTGAAACCACCATGACAATCAAATGATGAAGCATCTCATTATACCAGAAAGTTATCTCATGCCCTTTGTAGTAAAGTTCCCCACCCTTGGCCCTAGGCAATCACAAATCTGTTATCCCTATAGTTTCTATCTGTCTGAATTTCATAGAAATGTAGTCATATAGTTTGTACTTTTTTTCTGCTTTCTTTTACTTAACATAGTGTCTGAGCTTCATCCATCTTGTTTTGCTGATGAGTAGTTTATTCCTTTTTATTGCTGTGTAGTGTTTAATTGTGTTTATATGCACATGTGTTTATCCATTCATCCTGGCCAGCAATTATTCAACAAGGGTTAGAGCCAGATAGTACCACCTTAGACCTGGGCAACTGGAACCCCTCTCTGGGACCTGTGCTTCAGATGACCTCACTCTGGCCCTCTTGCAAACACGTTCTTCCCTATGAGTTAGAATGACTGTGAGGCCAAGGGGATGTGACCACCTGGAACCCTTGCCTGGGTACACAGAACTAGAGAATCCCCTGCTTAAGTGGCCATGAGCCTGCTTCCAGGGCCTGCACAGACCGTTCCCCTAGATTAGTCCTCTTGAGGGTAGACAGTGATATACCCCCAAGCCCGAAGCAGGGTGGTCAGCAGTGGAAAAGGGGAGTGTAAGGGGTTGGGGGAATAGAGAGAGTACACAGATCTTGGATATGCAGGTAGAGCTGCTCATGTTTATGCATGCAAGTTTCCTCATGGAAAGAGAAGAGAGTCTGCTGTATGCTGGGGGCCTTTATTTCTATTAATTCCCCAGCCCACAAGTGATAGAGGCAGGCATGTAGCCATAGGAGTAGGAGCAGAAGGAAGGAAGAAACTCCAAGGAAGAGATGAAACTGTAAAAAGACAGAAAAGCAATTTTAGAGGTCACAGAACAGAGGGTTTTAGAATTAGAAATGATTTTAGATTCCATGTTCTTTCATTCTTTAATTGCACAGATGAGAAAGCTGAAGCCCAGAGAGGTTAAGTAATTTCTATAAGGTCACACAGCTAGTTAGTGACAGAGCTAAGATAAGAAGTGAGATTTTCTGATCTTAGACCAGAGTTCTTTCAATACACACAAGAACAGTGGTCATCAAATTCTTTTGCTTGCATAACCCCTAAAATATTTTTGTTAAACCATGAATCCTCTTCACATATTTTGAGGTTAACTTCTACAATATTTTTAATTAGAAAGTTAAATGGTTGCAAAGGATATAATTTCTAGCATATGGAAAATATTGTCATTTTAAAATAAAACTGTCATGTCACTCTTGGAAGCAAAATCTAAATGCCATACTCAGTTGCTATCCATCGACATTCTTTTTTTAAACTTTTAAGTTCAGGGGTAAATGTGCAGGTTTGTTACATCGGTAAACTTGTCTCATGGGGGTTTGCTGGACAGAGTATTTCATAACCGAGGTATCAAGCCTAGTACCCATTAGTTATTTTTCCTAATCCTCTCCCTCCTTCCACTCTCTACCCCCAGGTAGGCCCCAGGGTGTGTGGTTCCTCTCTGTGTGTCCATGTTTTTTCAACATTGAGCTGCCGCTTGTAAGTGAGAAAAGGCAGTATTTGGTTTTCTGTTCCTGCATTAGTTTGCTAAGGATAAAGGCCTCCAGCTCCATCCATGTCCCTGCAAAGGACGTGATCTCATTCTTTTTTATGGCGGCACAGTATTCCATGGTGTATATGTACCACATTTTCTTTATCCAGTCTACCAATGAAGGGCATTTAGGTTGATTCCATGTCTTTGCTATTGTGAATAGTGCTGCAGTGAACATACACATGCATATGTCTTTATGATAGAATGATTTATATTCCTTTGGGTATATACCCAGTTGTGGGATTGCTGGATTGAATGGTATTTCTGTTTTTAGCTTTATGAGGAATCACCATACTGCTTTCCACAATTGTGGAACTAATTTACACTCCCACCAACAGTGTATAAGCATTCCTTTTTCTCCGAAATCTCGCCAGTATCTGTTATTTTTTGACTTTTTAATAATAGTCATTCTGACTGGTGTGAGATGGTGTCTCATGATTTTTATTCGCATTTCTCTGGTGATCAGTGATGTTGAGCTTTCTTACATGTGCATATAGGTCAGATGTGTGTTTTCTTTTGAAAAGTGTCTGTTCATGTCCTTTGCCCACATGTTAATGGAGTTTCTTTTTTTTTTGCTTGTAAATTTGTTTAAGTTCCTGATAGATGCTGGACATTAGACCTTCATCAGATACATAGTTTGTAAATATATTCTCCCATTCTGTAGGTTGTCTGTTTACTCTATTGATAGTTTCTTTTGTTGTGCAGAAGCTGTTTAGTTTAATTAAATCCCATTTGTCAAATTTTGCTTTTCTTGCAATTGCTTTTGGCGTCTTCATCATGAATCTTTGCCTGTTCCTATGTCCAGAGTGGTGTTGCCTAGGTTGTCTTCCCGGGTGTTCATAGTTTGGGGTTTTACACTTAAGTCTTTAATCCGTCTTGAGTTGATTTTTTGTATATCATGTAAGGAAGGGGTCCAGTTTCAATCTTCTGCTTATGGCTAGCCAGTTATCCCAGCACCACTTATTGAATAGGGAGTCCTTTCCCCATTGCTTATTTTTGTCTGGTTTATTGAAGATCACAGGGTTATAGGTGTGCGGCTTTATTTCTGAGCTTTGTATTCTGTTCCGTTGGTCTATGTGTCTGTTTTTGTACCAGTGCCAGGCTGTTGTGGTTACTTAAACCTGTGGTATAGTTTGAAGTCAGCTAGTGTGATGCCTCCAGCTTTATTCTTTTTGCTTAGAATTATCTTGGCTATTCAGGCTCTTTTTTTATTCTATATGAATTTTAAAATAGTTTTTTCTAGTTCTGTGAAGAATATCATTGGTAGTTTGATAGGAATAGCATTGAATCTATAAATTGCTTTGGGCAGTATGGCCGTTTGACCAATATTGATTCTTCCTATCCAGGAGCATGGAATGTTCTTCCATTTGTTTGTGTCATTTCCGGTTTCTTTCAGCCGTGTTTTGTAATTCTCATTGTAGAGATCTTTCACCTCCCTGGTTAGCTGTATTCCTAAGTATTTTATTCTTTTTGTGGTAATTGTGAATGGTATTGCATTACTAATTTGGCTATTGGGTTGGCTGTTGGTGGTGTATATAATGCTAGTGATTTTTGTACATTGATTTCATGTCCTGAAATTTTGCTAAAGTTGTTTATCAGCTCAGGGAACTTTGGGGCCAGGACTATGGGGTTTTCTAGATACAGAATCATGTCGTTTGCAAACAGGGTTAGTTTGACGTCCTCTCTTTCTATTTAGATGTGTTTTATTTCTTTCTTTTGCCTGATTGCTCTGGCCAGGACTTCCAATATTACGTTGAATAGGAATGGTGGAGATGGCATTCTTGTTTTGTGCCAGTTTTCAAGAAGAATGTTTCCAACTTTTGCCCATTCAATATGATGTTGGCTGTGGGTTTGTCATAGATGGCTCTTATCATTTTGATGTATGTTCCTTCAATACCTAGTTTATGAGAGTTTTTAGCAAGAAGCAGTGTTGAATTTTATTGACAGTCTTTTCTGGATCTCTTGAGATTACTATGTAATTTTTTTCTTTAGTTCTGTTTATGTGATGAATTATATTTATTGATTTGCATGCGTTGAACCAAACGTGCGTCCCAGGGATAAAGCCTACTTGACTGTGGTGGATAAGCTTTTTGATGCGCTGCTGGATTTGGTTTGCCAGTATTTTCTTGAGGATTTTTGCATCACTGTTCATCAAGGATATTCGCCTGAAGTTTTCTCTTTTTTGTTGTGTCTGCCAGGTTTTGGTACCAGGATGATGCTGGCATCATAGAATGAGTTAGGGAGGAGTCCCTCCTCCTCATTTTGGGGAAATAATTTCAGTAGAAATAGTAGTACCAGCTCTTCTTTGTACATCTGGTAGAATTTGGCTGTGAATCTGTCTGACCCTGGGTTTTTTTTTTTTTTTTTTTTGGTTGGTAGGCTATTTATTACTGATTCAATTTTGGAGCTCATTATTGGTCTGTTCAGGGATTCAATTTCTTCCCAGTTCAGTGTTGTGATGGTGTATCTGTCCAGGAATTTATCAATTTCTTCTAGATTTTCTAGTTTGTGTGCATAGAGGTGTTCATAATATTCTCTGATGATTATTTTTATGTCTGTGGGGTCAGTGGCAATATCCCCTTTGTCATTTATAATGGTGTTGATTTGATCTTCATTCTTTTCTTCTTTATTAGTCTAGTTAGCAGTCTATCTGTTTTCTCTCTCTCTCTCTCCCTCTTTTTTTTTTTTCAAAAAACCTTCTCCTGGGTTTGTTGATTTTTTGAATGTTTTTTTTGTGTGTGTGTCTCAATATCGTTCAGTTCAACTCTGATTTTGGTTATTTGTCTTCTGCTAGCTTTGGGGTTGGTTTGCTCTTGGTTCTGCAGTTTTTTTAGTTGTGATGTTAGGTTGTTAACTTGAAATCTTTCTAACATTTTGATGTGGGCATTTAGTGCTATAAATTTCCCTCTTAACACTTCCTTAGCTGTGTCCCAGAATTTCTGGTATGTTGTATCTTGGTTCTCATTATTTTCAAAGAACTTCTTGATTTCTTCCTTGATTTAATTATTTACCCTAAAGTCATTCAGGAGCGGGTTATTCAATTTCCATGTAATTGTACGGTTTTGTGCAATTTTCTTAGACTTAATTTCTAATTGTATTGCGCTGTGATCTGAGAGAGTGGTTGGTATGATTTTAGTTCTTCTGCATTTGCTGAGGATTATTTTACGTCTCATTGCATGGTTGGTTTTAAAGTATGTGCCATGTGGTGATGAGAAGAATGTATACTCTGTTGTTTTTGGGTGGAGAGTTCTGTAGATGTCTATCAGATCCATTTAATCCAGTGCTGAGTTCAGGTCCTGAATATCTTTGTTAATTTTCTGCTTCAGTGATCTCTCTCTAAGTGGGGTGTTGAAGACTCTTGCTATTATTGTGTGGGAGTCTAAGTCTCTTTGAAGGTCTTTACAAACTTGCTTTTTGAATCTGGGTGCTCCTGTGTTGGGTTCATATACATTTATGATAATTAGGTCTCCATGTTGAGTTGAAGACTTTACCATTATGTAATGCCCTTCTTTGTCTTTTTTTAATCTTTGTTGGTTTAAAGTCTGTTTTGTCTGAAATTAGGATTGCAACCCCTGCTTATTTATGTTTTGATTTGCTTGGTAGATTTTTCTCCATCCCTTTATTTTGAGCCTATGGGTGTCATTGCATGTGAGATGGGTGTCTTGCAGACAGCATACCATTGGGTTGGGTTTTGCTTCTTTATCCAGCTTGCCACTCTGTGCTTTTTAATTGGGGCATTTAGCCTGTTTACATTCAAGGTTAGTATTGATACATGTGCATTTGATCCTGTCATCATGATGTTTGCTGGTTATTATGCAGACTTGCTTGTGTGGTTGCTTTATAGTGTCACTGGTCTGTGTACTTAAATGTATTTTTGTAGTGGCTGACAATGGTCTTTCCTTTCCATATTTAGTGCTTCTTTCAAGAGCTCTTGTAAAGCAGGTCTGGTGGTAACGAATTGCTTCAGCAGTTGCATGTCTGGAAAGGATCTTATTTTTGCTTTGCTTATGAAGCTTAGTTTGGCTGGATATAAAATTCTTGGTTGGGATTGTTTTCTTTAAGAATGTTGAATATAGGCCCCCCAATTTCTTCTGGCTTGTAGGGTTTCTGCTGAGAGGTCTGCTGTTAGTGTGATGGGCTTCCTTTTGTAGGTGATCTGCCCTTTCTCTCTAGCTGTCTTTAACATTTTTTTTTTCATTTCAACCTTGGAGAATCTGATGATTATGTGTCTTGGGGATGATCTTCTTATGAAGTATCTTTCTGGGGTTCTCTGTATTTCCTTAATTTGAATGTTGGCCTCTCTAGCTAGGTTGGGTATCGGGGAAACCCTCCCCCGATAATTCAATGTGAGTCTTTTTCTATTTTCCCTGAGTGTTGGCCTGTCTGAGAAATAAAGGGAAAGAGTACAAAAGAGAGAAATTTTAAAGCTGGGTGTCTGGGGAAGACATCACATGTCGGCAGGTTCTGTAATGCCCCCCAAGCCGCAAAACCAGCAAGTTTTTATTAGTGATTTTCAAAAGGGGAGGGAGTGTATGAGGGTGTGGGTCACAGAGATCACATGGTTCACAAGGTAATAAAATATCACAAGGCAAATGGAGGCAGGGCGAGATCACAGGACCGGGGCAAAATTAAAATTGCTAATGAAGTTTTGGGCATGCATTGTTATTGATAACATCTTATCAGGAGACAGGGTTTGAGAGCAGACAACCGGTCTGACCAAAATTTATTAAGCGGGAATTTCCCTGTCCTGATAAGCCTGGGAGCGCTGCGGGAGACCAGGGCTTATTTCATCCCTTATCTACAATCATAAAAGACAGATGTCCCCAGAGAGGCCAGTTTAGAGGCCTGCCCCTAGGCATGCTTTCTCTTTCTCAGGGCTGTTCCTTGCTGAGAAAAAGAATTCAGCGATATTTCTCCCATTTGCTTTTGAAATAAGAGAAATATGGCTCTGTTCCACCTGGCTCTCAGGCAGCCAGACCTAATGGTTATCTCCCTTGTTCCCTGAACATCACTGTTATCCTGTTCTTTTTTCAAGGTGCCCAGATTTCATATTGTTTAAACAATTTGTGCAGTTAACGCAATCACCACAGGGTCCTGAGGCAACATTCATCCTCAGCTTACGAAGATGACGGGATTAAGAGATTAAAGTGAAGACAGGCATAGGAAATCACAAGAGTATTGATTGGGGCAGTGATAAATGTCCATGAAATCTTCACGATTTATGTTCAGAGATTGCAGTAAAGGCAGGTATAAGAAATTATAAAAGTATTAATTTGGGGAACTAATAAATGTCCATGAAATCTTCACAATTTATGTTCTTCTGCCATGGCTTCAGCTGGTCCCTCCATTCAGGGTCCCTGACTTCCTGCAACATCTCTCCCTTTCTTTTTGTATAAATGTGCCATGGCGATGAAAGCTTGTTCGTTCTCTCGATTTTGATGCAGGATTCTTTGACTGGTCCGGCACACTAAAGACAAGCCGATTAAACAGAGAAACATAATTCCAAAATTTACTACAGTGGAGCCCCCAGTAGACTTAATCCAAGTCGTGGGGTTTAGTCCATAAAGATTTTCTGCCACCTGATCTAATGCCTCAGCTCCAGGCACAATGGATAAGTGAGATTGAGAGGCTTCAAAAATTTGTTCCTTTAATTTAGTTATGTCCAATGATAAATTATCTTCCCTACCCAGAAGGTGTCCTTTGACCACTTCCCATGAATGATCAGTCTCGTTATAGGAATATGGGGTGATACAGAAATCCGAAGTGTTCCAATCACACTGCATTTGCATGCGATGTTCGAGACTCATTACCCGATCTCCAAGCCAAATAACAGCCTGTCTGAAATGATTAATTTGATTAGACAATTTTTGATCAATGCCTTGTTGAGAATTCCACATTTGGGTGGAATTGGCTTGCCAATCATTAACAAAATGAGCCATTTGAATAGATTGATGTAACGCCATTCCGACAGTGGTGGCCAGTGCAGTGACTGTAATTAGGCCCATGATCACAGTGATTAATCTCTTAGATCTTAGACCTTTTTAGAATTTTTAGATCTCTTTAGAATTCACTGTAACACTTCATTAATTACATGTATCGAAGGGGAGGATTCCCAAGGTCTGGGCAAAGTTACCAGAATCCAGATTCCTTCTTGAGTTCGAGCCAACATTACACTTTTCTTGGAGTCAAAATGGGAGTTAATACAAGTGTAAATTAATGCATTGGACAGTTTGATTGTTCGTCCAGATTTTGATATTTCCCACTAACAGCATGTAAGGAGGCTTAACACAACTCCGTATGGGAACAATCAGGTTGGAGGTTAGTAAAGCAGAATGTCTGGATCTACGTTGATACTGAGAGAGGGGGACGGTAGTGGGGACAACAGACAGAATAGTTTTCCCTTCCCATACTCGCAGTCCAGACATAGCAATAGCCAATTTCCAAAGTTCTGGGTGTTCTGGGCTCAGAATGGGGAGTATCATACGAGGCCTCGGGGGGATAATGCCTTTATCTTCCTATTTTTAGGGAAAGAACGAGCTGAACCTCCTATGCAAAGTAGAATGATGATTCTCGTTCTCCCAATAAGAAATAAAATAAGCAGCCTCTAGGCATTCCTTTCCACCAGAGGAGCAATTGTTTTTTTAAATAGCCCTTTGGTGCCTAGTCTATTACTAAACCATATGAGTCATTTTTTAATATTACTGCATGTGAGTTAACACAGTCTTCCCAAATTAATGTTTTAGATGGGTCCTCAAAACTTTTAGGGCATGGTTTTCCTGCAGGTTTATATTGAAAGTATGGGGTATCTCCCATTACTCCCCCTTTCATTTGTTTTAAAGGAGAAAGGGAGAGGCCAGAGACCAAATGTCCTGGTTCCTCTGTAGCTGATCTCTCTGGAAGATAAGCAGCCCAGACTTGAGTTTCTAGATGGATACAACCAGGTGCATCTCCGAGGCACAGAGAGGGGTATTTATAACCCATGGTAACATTAAATGCAGTGCCTTCTTCTCCTGGTTGAGCAGGGCAACGGTCATCTGTGGCTCTAGGCATCCACACACTATCGTTAGTGTAGATTTCTGCAGGAGCATCTATCCAGGTGAGAGGTCGAATAAGTGGAGGAAAAGGCACATAAGCCCAATAAGAATAATTATGTGTAGCAGGTAAATCAGTGTGACAGGAAACTGGTGAGGCAGAAAGTATAAGGAGGAGAATCATTAAATAAAACCTAGTGTAAGCGAGATTGAGTGCTGAAGGAGGAAGAGAAGAACAGAGGATATTTTCAGGCTAATAGAAATGGTGAGATTTTTAGGTTTGTAAGGAGAAAAAGAAAGGTAATTAACAGATGTGGGATTAGTTAGATGGGTCTCCATTGCCATCAGGGAGGATTGAATCAGACCCATTTTGATTTGGGATGCCAGCTTCTGAGGAGTTGGCCCAGATCTCACCACGTCTGAGGGCGGTTTGTGACGTGGACGTCTTTTCCCTGTGGTTTTCATTTGATGATCTCCTGGTGAAACACAAGCATATCCTCCTTCCCACGTTAAGTAGAATAAGAGACAATAATTTGAAGGTTTGGGGAAATGCTGTAAGGCAGTAATTACAGAAATTAACTCTGCCTTTTGAGCAGAGGTATAAGGGGTAGAAATAAGCTTGTCTGTAGGACCTACATAACCAGCATTGCCATTACTGGAGCCATCAGTGAACAGTGTAACGGCCTCAGGAATGGGCTGATCTTTGGTTAATCGAGGGACCACCCAAGATGTCATTTTTATAAAATGATAGTCTGAAATATGTTTTCAAGTTGTTTCCATTTTTCCCATCTCTTTCAGGAACACCAATGAGTTGTAGGTTTGTCCTCTTTACATAATCCTATATTTCTTGGAGGTTATGTTTGTTCCTTTTTATTCTTTTTTCTCTATTCTTGTATGGCTGTCTTATTTCAGAAAGCCAGTCTTCAAGCTCTGAGATCCTTTCCTGCACTTGGTCTATTCTGCTCTTAATACTTGTGATTGCATTATGCAATTCTTACAATATGTTTTTCAGCTCTATCAGGTTAGTTACATTCTTTTCTCTACTGGCTCTTTTATTCTGTCAGCTCCTATATCATTTTATTGTGATTCATAGCTTTTTTGGATTGGGTTTCAACGTATTCCTGCATCTTGATGATCTTTGTTCCTATCCATATTCTGAATTCTATTCGTGTCATTTTAGCCATCTCAGCCCTGTTAAGAACCATTGCTGGAGAAGTAGTGCAGTTTTTTGGAGGAAGGAAGGCACTCTGGCTTTTTGAGTTGTCAGAGTTCTTGTGCTGGTTCTTTCTCATTTTTGTGGGGTTATGTTCCTTCAATCTTTGAAATTGCTGTCCTTCAGATGGGTTTTTTTCCCTTTTATCCTATCTGATGACCTTAAGGATTTTGTTGTGGTATAAGGTGGATTCAGTCGACTGGCTTCATTTCTGGAAGATTTTAGGGGGCCAAGGCTCAGATCAGGACTCCTTGACTGCATGCTCTAATGCTGGGGGACTGATATTGGACCCCAGCTTTGTTCTCTGGCTCCTCAAGGTTAGGAACCTAATGAGCTGGAGGGGCCCAGGTGCTTCTGGACCATTGGTCACAACACTCCAATGGGTGGTGTCAGCCAAAAGGTTTTATAGGGCAGTGGGATCCATCCTCATTTGCATGTGTCAGCAGCAGTGGCAGCAGCAGCACGGTGGGATGCATGCTTATCAGCTGTAGCAGGGTGCTAGTGGGTGCTAGGGTGCCAGCCTCTGGACGGGTATTCGCATCAGCAGCAGAGACAGCATCACTTGGGGTTGGGGACAAAGGGGGCCCCTGCTGGTGACTGTGCATGTGGTCATGCTGGTGGTGGTGGTAGCGTGGGGGCAGGGCACTCGTGGGCACAGGACTGTGTATGCCCTCTGTGCACTTTCATGCAGGTGGAAGTGGTGCTCAGGGTGGGGGCAGGTCCGCTGTTCTCCATGCCTATTTTCACTCAGCGGCAGTGTTGGCGCAGGGGCAATGTGCTGGTAGGGGTGGGGCTGGCAGGCCCTGTGCCTGCCAAGGCTCCAACTGCAATGGCAGTATGGCAGGGGCTTGAGGTGGAGTGCATTCATGCCAGCAGCAGTGGCAGGGCAGGGTGCATGTGCATACATGCGATGGCTGGGAAAGAAAGGCAAGATCCCTCCATGCCCAGCCATGCAGGCAAAGCAATGTGGGGGATGACTGTGGGCATGGGGGAAACTGCAGTGGTGGGAGGGAGCAGGCAGACTGGTGCATGTCTGCAGGGGCTGTTGTGTTGGAGCTCTCTGCTGGCCAGGCACAGTCCCCAGCACAGGAACTATAATACGGGCACCCAGGGTGCCCAAGGCTGCATTGCAAGCAGGTGTGGCCAGGCTGGGGCCCCAGGAGAGGCCAGCAGACCAAGGGGTGCTCACGTTCTTGGACTGATCCCATCTGATGGGAAAGAGCACCCTGCAGGGTTCGGGTTCGAAAGTTCTGCTAGGGCTAAAGTCTTCTATGGGAGCAAGTCCAGCCTAGGGGGATGGGCGTCACTGGCTGTGCTGCACTACAGACACTCCCACACCAAACCCTCTGGGCTCTGCAGAGGCTGGAGTGCTTCTCCTAGCACTTCTCTAGGCAGCTCTCCCTGCCAACTCAAGTGTCTGTGGTGGTCAAGGGGTGTCCTCCTTCTGGGATTCCAGAGGCCTGTGGCAAGATCAGGTTGCTCATTGCCAGTTCAACTCACCCTTTTCCCTGGAGTCACTAGGGGACAGGAATGAGACCTGGTGCACAATAGCCCCACGCAGTGTTCCCAGCTTCCTCCCCATTCATCCCAGCTTCTGTGTCTTCCCTGCATCCACGCTCAGTGTTTTCCCTCTGAAGATCTGTTAGGAGTGTGCCAGTGGTCCCACTTCCTCAGTGGCAGTGTTCCACCTGGCTGCATCTAGTCAGCCATCTTGCCACCAACCTCCAACATTCATTTAAAAGAACACATGAACAAGCTCATCCTTAATAGATACAAATTTTATATCATTCCTTTTTTTCTTTGAAGTTGAATGTTCTTTCTATTCTCCCCAAGAAATTGTCTTAACATACTTTATGTTTGAAATAGTTTTATTCATCTTGTTATAATTTTCTACATACATCTATGTCTATCTATCCCCTACCACACACCTACACATGCATATACATATATACATTTATATACACTGAAATTAAATATTGCCATTTTCTGTGATCTTTCATTTGTTTATTAAACAAATATTTGTTGATGCTTATTATGTGCCAGACATTGTCCTAATAAATGAAACAGACAAAATTCCCTGCCCTCATTGAACTTACTTTATATTGTGAGAGATAGTCAATAATATAAAAGATAAATACAATATAAATACAATATAAGCACAATATAAGCAAAATACATATAATTTTAGATATTAAAAAGTTCTAATAAGAGAGACAAAGCAGAAAAAGTAGATATATAATGTCAGGTATCAGGTGGTGTTGATATTTCAGATGAGGTGGCCTCTCTGAAAAGGTGACTTTTATATACAGATATGAAGGAATTAAAGGACCCAGTTATGTGTATATAAGGGAAGAGCATATCAGATAAAAGGAGAAGCCAGTGCAAACACCTCAAGGCTGGAGCATGCCTGTCATGTTTGAAGAAGGGCAAGAAGGCTGATGTGGCTGGAGTCAGAAGGAAGATGGGAGCTCTGGAGATGAGCTCAGAGGTTAAGGGTATCTAGATTATGTAGGGCCTTGGAAGATATTTTAAGGATGTTTGGCTTTTACTCAGAGTGATTATGGAGGATTTTCAGCCAAAAAAAATATGTCATCTGACTTAAGCTTTAACAAAGGATTTTTGGATGCTGTGTTGAAAATTGACTGTGACGGGTGTGAACCAAGACAGGGAGAGCTGTTAGTCAGTGTAATGATTTATTTTATGTGTCAACTTGATTGGGCTAAGGGATGCCCAGATAGCCGGTAATACATTATTTCTGGGTGTGTATGTGAGAGTGTTTCTGGGAGAGATTAACATTTGAATTAGTAGACTGAGTGAAAAAGATCTACACTCAGTAATGCGGGTGGGCATCATCCAATCCATTGAGGGCCTAGAGGAACAAAAAGGAAGATAAAAGATTAATTCATTCTCTCTGTTTGAGCTGGGACATTCATCTTCTCCTGCCCTTGGACGTTGGCACTCCTGGTTCTCAGGCCTTTGGACTCAGACTGAATTACACCACTGGCTTTCCTGGGTCTCCAGCTTGCAGACGCCAGATTGTGGGACTTCTCAGCCTCCATAATTGTGTGGGCCAATTTGGGTGCATGTATGTGTATGTGTGTGCGTGTGTGTGTGTGTGTGTGTGTCCTATTGGTTCTGTTTCTTTGGAGAACCCTGACTAATATGCGAGCTGCTAAATATCTTTTCTGATATTTTCCTGCCCTACTTTTTTCCCACCCTACTCTGTATCATGGGAGGTTGACCTACATGGACTACATCAGTGGGCAGCATGGCCTCTGGCTTCCAGTGGGTTCAACCAATGGGGACCAGTAGAAGATGAGAGGTAGAGAGAAGAATGAGAAAAAATTTATTCCATTTATTCCTCTGACTTCCTCTCTAGCAAGAGTCACTGCAGGTTGTCTGTGTCCCTCTACCTAAGGCCATAACTCGTTTCAGGTAGTCCTCCCCCTATAGCTACCCTTTCAGGACTCTAGTAACTGCCCTCTTCTATTTCTTCTTTAGGCCTAGAGGTAGACATGGCAGAACCCTGATGTGAGTCCCTGGTGCTTCACTATTCCTTGTTAGTTTCCATAATCCTGGACATACTTTTGTAAACATAGTCCCTTAATTAAACTCTCTTCACTTACCTCTTCAGTATGCCTTCTGTTTTCTGTTGGGACCTTGACTCTTGATTATTTATTGTTGTACAAAAGAAATACCCCAAAACTTAATGGCTTAAAACAACTGCAATCATTTATTTATTCATGATTTTGCAATTTAGGCAAGGCTTGGAGGGGATAGTTCGTCTTTGTCTCATGTGGCATCAGCTAGAGTAGCTGGGACTGGAGGGTCCATTTCCAAGATGGCTCACTCACATGACTGATAAGTTGGCTGTCATCTGGGAGCTCAGCTGGGGCTGTTGGCCAGAGGCTTTGATTCTCCTCCAAGTGGGCTGTTAGTACTTACAGTATAAAGGCTGGGTTCCAAGAGGCAGGAAGCAGAAGCTGCCAGTCTTCTTAAAGCCTAGGTCTTGAGCTGGCACAGTATCACTTCTATACGCAATTGGCGAAAGCAATGAGAGGCCAAGCCCAGATTCAAGGGAGTAGAGAGGAGCACAGTGAATTTATGGGCATCTTTAATGTACTACACTGACTGATACAGAAGGCTGTTGCCATAATCCAGGTGAGAAATGATGATGGCTTGAACCAGATTGATGACAGTGAGAAGCAGTTGGATCCTGGTTAAACAGTTGACCCTTGAACAATGTGGAGGTTAGGGGCACTGAGCCCCCGACACAGTCAAAAATCCTCATGCAACTTTTGACTCCCCCTAAATTTAACTACTAATAGCCTACTGTTGAGCAGAAACCTTACAGATAATATAGTCAATTAACATATAGTTTTTATGTTTTATATATATAATATACTGTATTCTTATAATAAAGTAAGCTAGAAAAAAGAAAATGTTATTAAGAAAATCATAGGAGAGAAAATGTATTTACTATTTATTAGGTGTAAGTGGATTATCTTAGAGGTCTTCATCCTTGTTGTCTTCATGTTGAGTAGGTTGAGGAGGAGGAGGAAGAAGAGGGGTGCACCTTGCTGTTTCAAGGGGTGGCAGAAGCAGAAGAAAATCTGTGTCTAAGTGGACCCATGCAGTTCAAACCCAGGCTGTTCAAGGATCAACTGTATTTTCAAGAGAGATGATGGGGTTTGCTGATTGGATATGAAGTATGAGAGAGAAAGGGAGGAGTTGTGTTAATCTGTGTCTTCTGAGAAGCAGATGCCCAGATGCAATTAAGCATGTAAGCATTTTATTATTATTATTTCCTGTGTGTAAAGGAAACAGGAAAGGAACCAGGGAAATCTGGGAGAGTCATCAGACCATGATGGAAGTCTTACCCTTGATGAGGGAGAGAGGAAGAAAAGGTTGGGTGGAAGAGTCCAAAACCACCATGCGGTCTAAGGAAGATTTTGCAAAGCCTTTGGAGAATGGTTGGCCAACAAAGGAGTCCTGCGTCTCCCAGGAATAGGTCTTAGCATCTCTGCCACAGTCAACTGTTGGTAGGGAGCAGCCCCTGGAAGAGATGACCTCAGTATGAATGCAGTGATAGACTTCAAGCACAGCATCTGGGGCTTTTGGTCAATTACATTTCCTGTGTAGGAGGCCTGTGAGACACATTCTCATGGCAGCCTCTGGAGTCAAGGACAACTTTAAGGTTTTCAATCTGAGTGGCTAAAAGAATGTGAATGCCTTAAGTGAGCTGGGGAAGCGAGTAGGAAGAGCTGATTTGAGGAGGCGTATCAGAAGTATGATTCTGGACATGTCAAGTTTGAGATATCTATTAGATATCCCAGTAGAAGTATCACATAAGCAACTGGATAAACATGCCTAGATTTCAGGGGAGATTTTCATGTCACAGAAAATAAATTAGGGACAATAGGACTCTAAGTGTTAAGAAAAATCTCTTCTTGATGAAGTTACCAGTACTATATTATTAGTATCCAACTGAGTTATCTTTACTGTATTATTGGTTATAATTATTATATATCAAACAACACAAATATATATGCAATTTTCATAAATGAAATAATTAGTAAATATAAAAGTAAAATTTTATTGGAAATGCATCTCTTTATAAGCTATATCTGTGGATGAATGTCACTTACTGCTAGAAAGAGTTCAGCATCACACTATGTTCCCATTTTTCATACTTATAGGTTTAAGTGCTTGTTCACATAAATATGCATATTGGAGTAGAAAGAATTTTATTATGGTAGCATCATTTTGGTCTTGAAACTCCTTCTGCATCATATGTCAAAGATACTATAATAAACTATTACAAATTTTTTGGAGGCAGGGTCTTGCTCTGTCACCCAGGCTAGAGAGAAGTGGTACAATCTTGGCTCACTGCAGCCTTGACCTCTCAGGCTCAAGCAATTCTCCCATCTCAGCCCCCCAAGTAGCTGAGACTACAGGCATGCACCACCATGCCTGGTTAATTTTTTAAAAAATTTTTTGTAGAGACAGGGTCCACTATTTTGCCTAGGCTGGCCTCAAATTCCTGGGCTCAAGCGATCCTCCTGCTTTGGCCTCTCAATGTGCTGGGATTACAGGTGTGAGCCACCATGCCCAGTCCAAAAATTAATTTTAATGATCAGCTGATGACATTCATAGGTCTCTCAGCAGTTTTGGTGAAAATAAAGAATTGGACACAGTGGTTAGAGTTATTCGCATTGTCAATGCTAGCCCAAATGCGAAATTATGCCTCTGTTTGATACCTAAAACATTTTTAGTGCCCAGGGCAGTGCACCAGTGGAAGATTCCAGAAGGGTGAGAGGTGGGCCTTTTATTCGGTAGAGTCGGGGAGGGAAATTGTGAAAAAGGGAGTAGGAAAGGTGGGTCTGCCTATCCATCACAAGTGTGTCCTCAGGCAGATGTCAGGAGAGAAATTCTGAAAATTGAATCCCTTGAAATCCTTTTGCATACTGGATGGAAAGTCTTCACATATATTTGAGTGGTTGGAAAGGTTCTCAGACAATGTGCTGGGGTTTTTTTTAGCGGACAATTGGAGTAGTCTTCCAAGGCATATGGGCATAGGAGCACTTTGAGGACCTGATCTGAGAGACCATGAGTTGGTGTTGGGCGGGGTCTGTCCTAGCCTGGAGGAAAGTTGTTTTGCTTTGCTGATGTCTCAGGCCCCGCTGAAGAATAAAGTCCAGGTTTAGGCTTGGGCCAAAGTTAGGTGAGGGTATTGGAGAAAGCAAACTTATACAGGTGCTAAGGGGGTTGCCTGATGGACATGGAAGATGGGGACTTCTAAGAACCCTAGCAATGAGTTAGGCCACTCTGAACCATTTCAAAAATTAAGGCTGGGTGTATGCACTGGGGATGAACTTAGGTTCTGAACAAGCCTTGAAGGGTTGTGTGAGGAGCAGTGATAGTTAGGATGGGAGGTGGATAAATTGCTTCATTTCAAGAGGTCTGACTCCTTAGAAGACCTCTTCCTACTTCCTTGGACATCATAAGGTCTCCTCACAGTGAAGGTGGCTGGGAAGCCTGCTATAAGGTGCCCCAGGGCCCATTCCCCCCTTAGTGTCATGGAGAGATCACTGCACTCAAGTCAGAAGGCCAAAGTTACACCTGCATCTATCCCCACTGTCTGTGTGGACTTTGGAAAACTCCATTATGAGCCCCAGTTTTCTTGCCTCTAAAATGGGAGCAAAATATTTACTTCTGCTGCTTTTTAATGTGGTAAAAATCAAAGTTTAATATCCGAATGTGCCTTCTAAATTATGATGCACTGTATAAGTAAAGGCATAAACAATTCAATTCGGTGTCAGTGAGTACCTGCTATGTGTCAGGCAGCATGGGGCAGGGAGTGGGGGATTAGACATAGAGGGCTATATGAGGACAGAAACTGCCTATGGTGAAAGCCAGATACTGATAAAACTCAAAATAAAGGAAAATGAAAGAGATATACTTGGTGTGCTGGTAAAGCAATCTGGGGCCAAGAGGGGGAGGGGTAATCAATTTCAACTCAGGGGATCCAGGAAGGTGTATACGGAGGTGGAGGGATTTGCCTTGGGCCACGAAGGCTGAGTGGGAATTTGCTGAATAGAGAAGTGGGACAAGGGCACCGCAGGCTGAACACCAGCAAGGTGGTAATATGAAGGTGTGGAAATACCTGGAATGTGCAGACGACTGTGGACATATAGATTAGATCCTCTTTTTTTGTTTTTAAAAAATTTTTATTATACTTTAAGTTCTGCGATATATGTGCAGACGTGCAGGTTTGTTACATAGGTATACATGTGCCATGGTGGTTTGCTGCACCCATCAACCCATCATCTATATTAGGTATTTCTCCTAATGATATTCCTCCTCTAGCCCCCCACCCCCTGACAGGCCCCATTGTGTGATGTTCCCCTCCCTGTGTCCATGTGTTCTCACTGTTCAACTCCCACCTATGAGTGAGAACATGCGGTGTTTGGTTTTCTGTTCCTGTGTTAGTTTGCTGAGAAGGATGGTTTCTCGCTTCATCCATGTCCCTGCAAAGGACATGAACTCATCATTTTTTATGGCTGCATAGTATTCCATGGTGTATATGTGCCATATTTTCTTTATCCAGTCTATCACTGATGGGCATCTGAGTTGGTTACAAGTCTTTGCTATTGTGAATAGTGCTGCAATAAACATATGTGTGCCTGTGTCTTTAGAGTAGAATGATTTATAATCCTTTGGGTATATACCCAGTAATGGGATGGCTGGGTCAAATGGTACTTCTGGTTCTAGATCCTAGAATTATCACACTGTCTTCCACAATGGTTGAACTAGTTTACACTCCCACCAACAGTGTAAAAGCATTCCTATTTCTCTACATCCTCTCCAGCATCTGTTGTTTCCTGACTTTTTAATGATAGCCATTCTAACTGGTGTGAGATGGTATCTCATTGTGGTTTTGATTTGCATTTCTCTAATGACCAGTGATGATGAGCTTTTTTCATATGTTTGTTGGCTGCATAAATGTCTTCTTTTGAGAAGTGTCTGTTTATATCCTTCACCCACTTTTTGATGGGGCTGTTCGGTTTTTTCTTGTAAATTTGTTTAAGTTCGTTGTAGATTCTGGATATTATCCCTTTGTCAGATGGATAGATTACAAACATTTTCTCCCTTTCTGTAGGTTACCTGTTCACTCTGATGATAGTTTCTTTTGCTGTGCAGAAGCTGTTTAGTTTAATTAGATCCCATTTGTCTATTTTGGCTTTTGTTGCCATTGCTTTTGGTGTTTTAGCCATGAAGTCCTTGCCCATGCCTATGTCCTGAATGGTATTGCCTAGGTTTTCTTCTAGGGTTTTTATGGTTTTAGGTTTTACATTTAAGTCTTTAATCCATCTTGAGTTAATTTTTGTATAAGATGTAAGGAAGGGGTCCAGTTTCAGTTTTCTGCATATGGCTAGCCAGTTTTCCCAACACCATTTATTAAATAGGGAATCCTTTCCCCATTGCTTATTTTTGTCAGGTTTGTAAAAATATGGAACACTTCACGAATTTGCATGTCATCCTTGCACAGGGGCCATGCTAATCTTCTCTGTATCTTTCCAATTCTAGTATATGTGCTGCGGAAGCAAGCACAGATCCTCTTTTTTTCTTGCTATTTGAAATATTATTGCCGTGAGCACACATACCCATACATATATTCTTATACATTTCTCCAATTATTTTCTACATATAAATGTTTAAAACTGAGATTAATGCATCAAAAAGCTCCTTGTAGGCCTTTGCATTCATACCACTTACCATATTACCCTCCAGAAATGTGGTGCCCCCATCTCCTGTAAGACAGCTCTGGCTTTACCACACTCTTCTCCTGAGCCTGCAATGACTTTTTGTATCAATAGAACAAGATAACAATTTCTGAGGATGGCGTTTGATCCATGATCTACAACTTGACCCCAAACCTCCTTTTCAATTTTGTTTTTATCTCAGAGGCAGAATACACAGTGGTTAGGAGCGCATCTTTGGAAGAGGCTGCTTGGCATTGAATCCCGAATCTACTGCTTTATAGATGAGTATTCCTACAAAAGTGACTGAGTCTCTCCCTGCCTTGATTTCCTTATCTCTGGGGGATATAGTTCCATTAAAATTTGTGAGGGAGCTCATTTTTAGTTGTCAAATTTTCTTATGATGATTAAACATTTTGAGTATTATTTTTCAAAATCTTATAAAATGTGAGTGTTTTGCCATGATCAGATGCCATGAGGACAATGAATCTGAGAGGCACGGGGAAGGCTGGCAGAGCAGCTTGGACAGAGGCGCTCTTGGGGTTGGGGAGGAGAAATGAGGGCTGAGATGGTGGTAGTGAAAATGACAAGGGAAAGGGAACCATGTATAAGGATAAGCGGAGAAGGCTAGCAGAGGGAGGGCTTGGCTGCATGTGAATATCCTGAGGGCTTGAGGCTCCCTTTCGGGTGTGCCTGCTGCTGCCCTCTGCCCACTATCCTTCCAAAGTCTGGGGGATGCTGCGGTTTTCTTTCACTCTGCCTGTGGGGAAAATATTGGGCTGTATTCAGCATGCTAGGGAGAGCTGAATTTTATTGCCAGCTCACTGCACCACTGGTTTTATCCCAGCTTCAAAAGTGTTCTTGAACAGCAAATGCCATTTGGAGGAGACTGTCTTTCTCATCCTCCACCTTTGCTCTCCCTTTGCTCATCTTTACTCCTTCATTACTGTATCTCTGGGTGTGTACCACAGGTAAGTACCATGGCACATGCTGTGGGGTACATATATAGGAGACAACATGAACTTCATTCTGCAAGGGACACAGAAGGGCACCTCCAATCAATTCCTCATTGCTTCTTTCCCTAGAAGACTTCAGAAATCACAGCTTTGACAAGGGAAGGAGGGAAGGAGACCACTGGTTGTCGAATCCCTACTGCTACGTGACAGGTAGCATGCTAGACACTCATATTGTGATGTGTCCCCCACCAGGTTACTTAAGGGTATATGCCCGCTGCTTGAGCCCTAAAAGCTAGGCCAGGAGCTAAGGCCATGGTACCCAGCTGAGGGACAGGTGTTTCCAAGAACCCAGACATCCCAGAGGGTATCTGAGAACCTACCAAGAAAAACAGTCCCATTACACACACACACACAGTAGGCAAAGAGCCAGAAAATCAGCTTAAAAGCAGCTTAGAGACAGAAAGTGATATGTGGCTCTACAGCTGTCCTGCTGCCACCCAGGAGTGTCCCACATCTAGTCTTAATAAAGTCATCTACTCGCCAAGCTGGACTTGTCCGAGTCATTCTTTGGTCTCTTAGCACCTTCCCAGTTTGGGAGGCAGGAGCAGGTGTTACAGTCCCAAGTTTTTCTCATGACAACACTGTATAAAAATGTTCTTGTTTAATCCCCTCAATGACTATAATGGCTTTATTATCTCATTTTATAGTTGAACAAATTGTGGCTCAGAGAGTTTCAGTAACTTGTGCAAGGCCATACAACTAGAGATTGCAAGACAGGTCTGTGTGGCTGACATTTGACCCCACTCTGGCCTTCATTGTCTTTACATTTGTTGGCCAAGGGACTATGGAAACCCACATTCATCCTTCTGCTGTTCAGAGGACCTCACTTATACTTATTCTCAGAGGGAGGTGAGATTCTGGAAGTGAAGTCATGAGCAGAGTTTTCCCACAGGTTCTGGTAAGCTGTTGCTTCTGAAAGGAGGTATGCATGTTGGCTAGTGCTATGGAGGGTGTCAATGTCCTTGGACTGGCAGAAGTTCTGGAGAGTGGTGAACTTTCTCAGGTAACCTCCTCTCTCAGGCTCCTTAGGTCCACACTGACAATCTGGCTGGGTTACCTATGGCATGAGGAAAGCCATACCCAGTTCAGCAAGAAACCTAGCGTCCTAGTTTTCTGCAGAAAACCCTGGAAGTCACGTTGCTGCTGCAGCTGAGGCTTCTGACTCTGGATTTTGGTGATTGATGACGAGAAATGGGATGACTGCAGATGGGCAGTCCTGGATAGGTAATGGGCATCCTGCAGGTAATGGGCATCCTGCAGAAGGGAAGTTAGCAAGCAGCCAGGTTCTGGGCTGGCTCGGTTTTATCCATGGCGTGGCTTCTTTCAGATTTCCGTTGATTAGCCCTCTTGAGAACAGTGGCAGCTTGGCTACTCCATGGCAGCCCGAGGTGTCTCCCAGGACAGGCTGGTTGCTAGGCATCCTGAGGTAGTGGCTGCCATGAGAACTGCAGGCAGCCCAAGCTGCGCTGTGCTCAGCACTCCGGGGCTTCTGAGAGCCCTGCTCTGACCATCTGATATACCAGGAAGGTGTGTTTCTTGTTGAGGGAGAGGAGGACATACCCCAGAGGCTGATAGACTTTTAGGCTGCACATGTCTTGTGTTCCTCCCTGTGGGGAGCTCCAGGAAGTTCTTCTGGCAGGCTGGGTAGGAGGCTTCCCTGTGGGAGTTCATAACATCACATCTACACTTTTATTCCTGCATTTATCTTGGTAAGTTGAAATGATCTACCAATGAAGTTAAGGACAGATCACTAGAGGAGGATGGGGAGTCAGTGTCCCCAGCACCTAGAATAGTGCCTGGATCACACAATCAATGGAGACTTATTTGTGGAGCTGAGAGGGCTGCTGTCAGAGACTCAGGTTCCTTCCGTCTTCCTGATCTGCTTCCGTCCTCACAAGCAGTCGCAAGATGGCTGATCTGTTTTTATACCTCACGTCCACATTACAGACAGTAAGAACAAAAAATTGAGACAGAAAAAAAGATGGCCTTTTATTGTATAAGCAAGGCTTTTCCAGAAATCCCTGACAGGTTAGTGTCACACGGCTATCTCTAAGCAGCAAGGGAGTTTGGGGAAATATATGTTTTCACCTGGGCTTGTTGCCCTCTTAAACAAAATCAGGATTCTTTTAGCCTGTATGAGAATGTATTAGTTTTCCAGGGCTCCCATAACAAAGTATCCCAAACTTAAATGGCAGAAATGCATTGTCTCACAATTCTGGAGGCTAACAGTCTGAAATCAAGGTATTAGCAGGGTTGGTTCCTTCTGAAGGCTGTGCGGAGAACCTGTTCCATGCCTCTCTCCTAGCTCCTGGTAGTTTCGGGGCAATCTTTGGTATCCTTCGGTTTGTAGGTGCATCACCTGATCATCACCTTCACTTTCACATGATGTTCTCCCTCAGGACATGTCTGTCTCTGTGTCCAAATTTCTCCTTTTTATAAGGACGTAATCATATTGGATTAGGGCTCCTCCCAATGACCTCATTTTAACTTGATCATCTGCAAAGACTTTATTTCCAAATAAGGTACATTCACAGATACTGCAGGTTAGGATTTCAACATCTTTTGGGAGAGCACAATTCAACATATAATAGGAAGTTTTAAAACACAGCCTTCAAAATCTTTGATACTCCTGTTATCAGGAGGTGATGTCTATGCCCCTTCCCTTGAATCTGATTGCTTGTGATTGTGTCGACTAATAGTGTTTGGTGGAAGTGACTTCCGAAACTAGGACATAGAAGGCCTTGCAGCTTCTGCTTGACTTTCTTGGGACACTCTGGAAGAAGCCAGTTGCCATATTAGAAGTCTGAACATCTTGAGGCTGCCATCCTGGAGATGCCACACGTAGGTGCTCTAGACAACATCCCCAGCTGAGCTCCTGGCCAGTAGCAGTGTCAATGCCAGCCTATGTGTGTGCCATCTCGGATATCCAGTCCAGTTGAGCCACCAGAGGACTACAGCTCCAGCTGGCATGTGACTGCAACCCCATGAGAAACCCCAAGCAAGGACTACTTATATAAGCCCTTCTCAAATTCCTGAACCACAAAGTTATGAACAAAAGCAAATGGTTGTTTTTAAGTCACTTGTTTGACAAGTTGTTGCACAGCAATAGAAAGCTAGAATAATCAGTAAGAAGGAGAAAATGAATTTTGATCAGCCAAGAAGAGTAGTGGGGCCTCTGAGATTCAGGGAGAATTCTCATCAGGAGGATGGCCCCCATGAACCCCCTTGCCAGAGGTTTTGTATTTTTAAGTTTCCACTGGTGTTAGGACTCCCTCCTTCATGCTGAGATACTTGGTTGAGTGTTGATAATGGTAATGTCATCTAATTGTTAAAATAATTATCTTCAAGGGAGAAATTACATCAGAGCTTATCACTTATCACTGTTAACTGGTGTAATGAAGGTGGTGGTCCCTGGCTTGCCCTATCAATAGGCTGCTTTGCCTGAACTGAGAAAGAATTGTCCTTGGAAAATGCAGTTCTAGCTTGTATAACTTGTTTCACCAAGGGGCAGGTACCTCCCCCTCCCCCATTTTACAGGCAAAGGCACTAGGAGAGGGTCTTCTGCAAGACCCTGAATTCTACAGCATAGTTCTCAGTTTCCCAGTTTATTCTGGGGGCCCCAGAGCCAGACTCTGCCTCTCAAATGATTGGTGAAATAGAGGCTTGTCTTATGATAGAATTTTCTGAATGTCCTTATGGTCATTCTGTGCTGAACAGCTCACCTGTGGGTGGCTGTTCTGCTTCTGGTGTCCAAAATCCCACTGCTTTTCTGTGTGCTTTGCCAGATCTCAGGACTTGTCATTTCTCTTTTAGACCTCCTTCATACCATGCCTAAGCTAAATCCTTGCTTGGGGTTGACCTTTATTGCATTTCTCTTGGCTTCTTCAAATTCACCTTTATGCTTTGAGCAATCTCCTCAACAGCAGTTGCCAAGCAACTTCTTTTCCTTTCTATAGATTCCTCCTAAAATTCCATCTGTTTCATCAAGCCCTTTGCTCAGCCATGCTGCTGCTTTCTAGTTTGCACTGTGTTGAAACTATAGATTAAAAACCAAAGTTATGCTATGTGGAGCAGGGTTTAGGGTGGTCAGGGCACAGGCTTTGGAGTCAGAGAGGTCTAGGTTCAAATTCTGGCTCTGCTACATGTCAGCTGTGTGACATTAAGTAAGTTATTTAACTTTCCAAACCTCAATTTCCTTGTCTGTAAAATGGGTATAGCAAATTACATTTTCCAATGATGACCACAACAATTTCTCCCATTTCACATGCTCTTCTAGAACCTTCTTACTCAAGAGATGGGTTCTATGTCCCTTTCTTTTGAATCTGGACAAGTTCATGACTTGCCTGTAACCAGTTGAATGCAGTGGAAATAATGCTGCATGACTTTAGAAGTCAGATCAGGAAAGGTGATACAGCTTCTGCCTTCCTGGATGGAACACTCACACTGGAGCCCTGAGCAGCCATGAAAGTTGCCTGGCTGCCCAGAGCCCACTAGACTGTGAGGAAGCCCACATGAGCTCATGTGAGAAACCATATGGAGAAGCTCTGAAAATATACTTGATTCTTATTATTCACAGCTTCTGTATTTGCAAATCTGCCTAGTCACTAAAATTTATTTGTAATCCGAAATCAATACATGCTGTACTTTCAAGGTTATCTGTAGACATGTGTAGAGTGGTGAATGATTTGAGTCACCTGATGTGCACATTCTGAGCTGAGATCAAACAAGATGATACCCTGCCTTCTTATATCAGCTCTCATACTATAAACAGGTGACATTTTCAAAGTCTATTTAGTCGTATTTTTTGCATTTTGTACTTTTAGTTGGTGATTTTGCTGTTGAAAATGGCCCCCAAGCATAATGCTGGAGTACTGTCTAGTGTTTCTGAGCTCAGGAAGAGAGTGCTGTGCTTTACGGAGAAAATACATATGTTCGATAAACTTTGCTCTGCCATGAGTTATAGTTCTGTTGACTGTGAATCCAATGTTAATGAATTAACAATATATATTTTGTGTATCTATCTATCTATCTATAAAATAAAGTGTCTTTAACAGAAACATACACTAAACAAGGTTATGTATTGATCACTTGATGAAAACATTGTGACCAGGGACTTGCAGGAACCTAATCCTGTATTTCCCCTAGGAATGATGGTTGGGTATTTGCTCATTTAGTGTTCAAGGTGACTTTATAGAACATAACTACCACAAATAATGAGAATAGACTATACATGAACAGAGAGAGATGCTCAGTCAGCCCCTGGTTTCTGAGTTCAGAAGAGCTGAAACTGACTCCTGCAGTTCCAGCTCAGTCACTGTATGACTGTGACTACTTGAAAGACCCCGAGCTAGACAGCCCAGGAGAGCCACTTAAATTATTGACCATCAGAAACTGTACCTTATAATCATTTTATCTTTAAACAAAAATACTTTTAATATTTTGTTATCTTTATTTATATAGCTATACTGTTCATACTTTTTGTTACTATTAAAAATGTTTTAAGCTGTAATAGTAACCGGAATAATGGAATCAACAATGTATCCCTCACAGGGTAGGTGGGAGGATTACATGAGACATCATTAGATCATGTTGAAAGGGCTAAACGTTGCTAAGTTCCAAGTACTTCACGACCATTAATATTATGAGTCTTCTGTATTAGCCTTTATTTTATAGAAACACGATTATTACAGTTGGAAAGAGGCTTTAAAGATCACCCAGGCTAATCTCTGTATTTTTTGAGCAAGAGAACAGAGGTGCAGAGAGGGGAAATTGTCTGCACATAGAAAGTTGATGCCAGAATATGAATTAGAAGCAAGGCTCTTCCTCTGTGCTGAATAGAAAACCCTTTTAACTGTTTTTTTGCATGTTTCAACTGTAGATGTGCCTTAGTTATTGACAAAGCCAAGTAGAATCTTAATTCAAATACACAGTAAACTTGAAGGATAATTCATCCCTTTGGTCCTAGAATCACAGGCGAGATGATCTTTTATTATCTGTCTGCACAAAAGAGGGTTGTTGTGGGGGATGAAAATTGTGCCATGGGATAAACCTTAGTAGATACCAATGTTACTGGTTTTAGATTAAAACCTGAATAAGGGCTTGGTCCCTGCATGGCAGCTTCCAGCACACAGTGACTGGCTAGGCATCGACTGCTGAAAGAGCAAGCAGATTTTGAAAGTGTTTGGGGTGAGGGAGGTGGTGATGTCTGTAACCATGGTCTTAAAAAACTCTTGATTTCAGATCCTGTTGACAGTAGCTGGTATTTGACCCTAATTTCTATTATGTACTAGAAACGAAGTGTTTCTGGTGTGATTCTGAGAGTCACTTTTTGCCCTGTATTTTCTGGGTAATGACGTGTCATCTCTGATGACACAAAATAACACCAATAAAAACTTCCAAATACTTATGCCTGTGGGCTCTAGGCCAGGCTGGTGAGTAGTGACAGGGAGCTATGCATAGGGCCCCAGTCTAGAGTTAAGGATTTCTCACCATCACAAAGGAAATGAGGGGCTCAGGGTCAGCGTGAGGAGGAGGGCTTTCATTCACCCTTGCCCTTTACTAAATATCTGTCCCTTTAAAGGTACTTAGGCCTATAAATGTATATCTCACCTACTGCATTTACTAATGAATCTTCTCTCTTTGCATAATTGCTATAATCTATCATTTTGAGAATAAAATGGAAAGATTATAATTTTGATGTAACAAAATGTCATTTTGTAGAAACTTGAAAAGTATCAAAGCCAAATGCAAAGTCAAACCAGTAACTTGGCCATATACTTTGTCTATCTCTGATGACTCAGGAGGCCCTCTGAAGAACTTTAGGAATGTCCTTCCAGTTCCCTTTATTTGTCTCTGGCTACACAGCTACAGGGACCACCTATAGAAAGTGGTTGCTTTCACCCTACTTCTTCACCCACAGCCAGAAATGTTCTTATTCTTTCTGTGTCCTTGGGGATGGAACCTCGAAACTGTTGTAAGCCAGAACTTAAATTTGCTTCCAAGAATGAATGAAAGACAGATTACATCTCTTTCCTTTGATCTTTTACATGTTATCGTTTAAGTCTTAGAGAGAAAATTTCCCTTAAAGAAACAGGATGACTTCTAGGTCTATAAACCATCACATAACGTGTACAGATTGAAGGGATTCCATTATTATGAGTTAATTAATAGTACAACAGATATTTATTTTATGACTCTAAAGAGGGTGTGTACCCACCAGAAGACAAGTTGGTCCCTTTATGGGCACATAGACAAGGGCATATCACTGAGACTAACAGCAGTTCTTCTCCAAGTGTTGTCCAGGGTAGAGGTTGCCCTATCCCATTGGGTCCTGGTGGGAAGTAGATCTCAATTGTGTGGACAGAGACCCTTGACACTCTTAACCTCATGGTGCCCACTAGTGATTTCTTTACCCAAAGCCCTTGCCCAATTCCACATCAAGTAAGCAAACTGTTGATTATAATCTGTTTCCCATGCAGATTTCTTCTAGGGAGATGTTTTAGTCCATTTGTATTGCTATAAAGAAATACCTGAGGCTGAGTAATTTATAAAGAAGACAGGTTTATTTGACTCACAGTTCTTCAGGCTTTACAAGAAGCATGGCCCTTGTATGCGTCTGGGGAGGGCCTCAGGCTGCTTCCACTCATGGTAGAAGATGAAGGGAAGCTGGCATGTGCACAGGTCACATGGAAAGACAGGAAGCAAGAGAGAGACTGGGGAGGTGCCAGGCTCTTTTTAACAATCAGTTCTTGTGGGAACTAATTGAGTAAGAACTCCTTCCCCACTCCCTCCAGGGAGGGCATTAATCTATTCATAAGGGATCTGCCCCCATGCCCTAAACACTTCCCATTAGCCCCACCTCCAATGTTATGGATCAAATTTCAACATGATGTTTGGCGAGGACAAACAATCCATATCCAAACTACAGCAGGAAAGAATGCAGTGAAGGCAAGAGTCCAGCCCCACCTGAGGACAGATTTTCTTTTTAAAATAAATCAGTAATCTGGCATTCCAATTTTACATACCAATTTCACTGAGGGATTTGGTTAATGAGAGTCTATCATGGAGAGACAAGTCCACAAACCCTTCCTGGAGGTGCCACTGAGTAGCACTGGGTAGGACAAATAGAGGTAAAGCAAGAAAACTTGTCAGGACCCACACTTTTGGGAGTATTCATATACACTGAAAAAGGACCCAAAGATGTTATGTAGGAAGTTCAACAAGATGACCGATTAATGTGTGTGTGTGTGTGTGTGTGTGTGTGTGTGTGTGTGTGTGTGTGTGGAAGTGCAGAGAAGATGGCACTGGGCAGATATAGGGGCCCACTTTTGTAAGCTCTAGCTCAGCATTTTTCATGGTATAGTCCCAATCTACTGAAACAGAATCTTTTGGTTTGGGGCCTGGAAATTTGTGTTTTCATCAAGCTTCTATGTGATTCTGATGCCCATTCAAGTTTGAGAACCACTACCGTGGTCCATGTTATCTTTGTTCAATTCTCTCTTCCTCCATGTCAGTGTGAGAAATAATGAGTAAAAAGATAACATTATGGGTCTAAGTCTAATTCCTCTTATTTCTGTAGTTAAGATAAGCAGAGGTCCCCCAAGAAATGAATTTTCCATGAACTCACATCCCAGTGCCAAATAAACTAGCTTCTAAAATTTTTAGCACTTTGGTTCAAATATCCATTAGATAATGAATTAATTTGGGGGAACAAGTGTTGGAATGAAGAGAGACAGCCATAGATGTAAGGTTTAAAGGGGTGTTCAAACATTTTATTCTCAAAAATGAGATTTTATGGCCTTAAACAACTGTTTATTACATTAGCATTTACTTAGAACATATGGTATTCTTTGCATCAAAGACTACTTAGAAAAGTGTGACTGGGGGAACCTTATCTTTCTTTATACCTTTTCAGCATCTTTCTTTGCCCTCCTGGTTTTGGCTCCAGGGTTCTCATGCTGGTCCCTGATGACTCAGTCTGTCTTGACACCTCAAATTGCCTTTGGTACAGACTTAGCTTTCTCTCATCAAAACTTACCTGTTGCTATGAGCTGTATGTTTCTGTCACCTCAAAATTTCGATGTTGGAATCCTAACCCTCAATGTGATGATATTAAGAGGGGAGGCCTTTGGGAGGTGACTAGATCATGAGGGTGGAGCCCTCATGAATGAGATATGTGCCCTTATAAAGAAGCCCGAGGGAGCTTGTTTATCCCTTCCACCATCTGAGGACACAGTGAGAAGATAGCCATCTATAAACCAGGAATCAGGCCCTCACAAGACACAGAACCTGACCATGCAGGCACCCTGATCTCCGACTTCAGCCTCCAGACTGTGAGAAATAAATTTCTGTTGTCTATAAGCTACCCAGTCTCTGATTTGTTCTTATAGTGAGCTGACCAAGACACTTGTGTTGAATTTCATGCTTGCTACTCAACCAGTTGTCTCTCTAGAAAGCAATCTGACTAATTTATCCATGCCAAAGTGTTGATACAGGATAATAGCTTTGAAGGCATTCCTAAGGACTCTTTTGGGTCTAATCTGTCAAATCAGGTGAAATGTGTTTCTAATGGAGGTGTCTAAGGCATCATAGAAGGAAAGAGAGGGGAAACTATTTGGGCAGGTAGACCTTCTTAGGATTCCTAAAATAATACCATGGAGTAGACTAATCTGATTAATTTTAAGGACAGTCTTCCCTAATTCTGAGGTTAGGAGGGGATAGTATAAGGATTTTGAATACACCTGGAGACTGAAAGCCAAGTAAAATAGGTGATTAAACCCCCCCAAAGAACATATGTAGAATTCATTACAATTTAACAAAAACCATCTAGCGACTATCACCCCCAGCAGCATATTTGAGATGACACTAGAAATTCTAGAAGGGGATTTAAGGAAACACTAAGTGCTTGGCTTTTCTCCAGCCATTCCAGTGTCTTCTTGGGCTGGAACAAAAGCACTCTCATGCTGCTCTTGAGAGAGATGTATATGCCTCCCTTGGAATTTAGAAGTACTGGGGATCAAAGAGACTGACGCCTGCTTCTCACCTGGGGAAGTCTAAAGGGAAAGGTTGGCTAAGGAAGCCACAAGAGCAGTGCAAAGGTAGGGGGCCCAGACAGGTGAGTATTCTTGCCACTTAGTAGGCAGGATGCAGTTCCTGGGGGCCAAGAGGACTGTGGGCAAGGTAGCTGGAGTCATCTTTCAGGGACCCTATCCAAGAGAGTGGCCTGCTGGGGCAAGGGGATCCTGGAAATAAGAGGCTTCAGGTTTTCTTTTGGGTGCAAAAGCTGAGGAGCTCAGAACTGATCAGTTAGAGTGTGTTATCAGAGTCAGGAAACTGCCACCCAGAGCTCCATGCAGACTATTCAAAGAGCACATTCCCCTTGCATCTGCATCCCTTAGAAAAACCAGTGCTTGAATGGTTGCTATGACAGAGGCATGTTACAATAGCACCATTGAAATGAGATATTGCCTCGTCCAATAATTTTTCTATTTCAGAGAAGCAAGCATAATATGGAAGAAGGGGTAGTATATCAACATGGGTCCCATGAGAAGAGCAGAATTACTATGAGTGACATAGAATGAGTGATCTGTTATAGGAATTAGACCTTACACATTGTGGGAACTGGTAGAGAAATCTGTGTGCAACTGTTGCTCTGTGTCTGCTGTTGGGGCCGATGTCTTTATAGGTCAGCCAGGCCAGATGGTCAGGAAAGGCAACTGGATATGAAAGTGAGAGACAGCAAGGACAAATTGGAACATGTGAGGTCAAATTGGAACTTTCAGCTCCCTCAACTCTAATGAAAAGGGTGACCTGTGGGAGAAGCTGGCACTGTCTGCTATAGAGCAGCACACATGCCTGGCCCAGGACTTAGAGAAGCTAAAGGAGAGGATCTCATTGGAGTTGGAGAAACTGTGGGCCTGGGTGCTGCCCACACCAACAAGGGGAATAAGCAGATCAGCAGCAATGTCTGCAAGCTGGCTGCAGTGCCTGGCACTCTGCTTCTACCTTCAGAGCACAAAATGGTGATTCCTTCACTTTTGTCTAGTGCAAATTTCTCTTGTGCTCCACCCTAACTCATGGGAAATGTAGTTTCAGTTTAGCTAAGTGGCTGAACCATGCAAGAAAGTGTAGAAGGAACTGTTAAGGTTTCTGATCCCTAAAATAAGTTCTCTGAGCCAGGGGTCAGGCCTGAGCCAGGGAAAGGGGAGAAGCTTTGAATTGGATATGAAATTGAAGTATTGACTTAGATTAGAGTTTGGAATACCAGAATGGGACTTCTTAAATTGGCCTAAAGGTCACAAGATTTGTTTAAGATGCTTTCAGGAGGCAGGGAGACTTGGTTGACGTAACAAGGTTAAAAGGAGTGATGGAAAATACAGCCACTTCCTATTTATACCCAGTCAAGTTCAGCCTTTTAAATAAACCAGTTCCACAGGCGTTTAACTTGTGCAAATTTCACTACATGCATTGCTACACTCTTCCATCTTAATCTTTCTGTCTGTCCCACATAATTTAAAATACTTGAAATTATATTTTGCATCTACCCTTTATTAAATATTCTCCATCACTGTGTACTTTAAATGTACATATAGAAATACATATTACTATGCAGGGTTGCACTGTATATACAAAACTACCTATATTGTTTATTGTGGACAATGTAAAGTGCTTTTCAAAGGTTATTTTCACAGTATGGAATTTTTACTTTGTGTTCTTATTGTAGAAATTAATACTCCGTATAAAATGAAGCTGTGGCTCTTCTATTCCCCAAACTTCAGGGACAAAAGGGGATAAGATGAAGAGATCACATGGCTTTAAAACTTATTGATGTTTCTAGCATATCTAGTTCATCCTGTCCCTTCTGGATCATCCAGTCCCTTCTAGCACATCCAGTCCATTCAGTCTCTTCTGAATGTTTTCACATTATGAAATTATAGCATGTTAAAGATGAAAGAGACCTTAAAAGTCACATTAGTCACCCCTCATTCTAGGAGAAGGAATCCAGTCATTAGAGGGGTGATGTGTCCAGGATCACATGATACCTGGGTGGCAGGTCCAGAACTAGAACCCAGTGTTCCCATATTAAAATTGACTTTGCCTTCCCTATTGCATCTCCATCTTATGAGTCTCTTTAGCAGGCACTGTGAGCCTGACATGGTTTCAAGCCATCTAGGGACAGAGGGTCCCCACAACTTGGGCCAAGCCATTGTCCTTTGTACATTCTGGGACAGACAGGGATACAGGACTCATCTCAGAAATGACAAGGGCTCTCCTGTTTTAGATCTGGTTTCGCCTTTACTGCAGGTTTCCCAAGGTGGATCAAATCTTTTGTTCTTCCCATGTGCCCCCTTGTATGCAGCCTGAGCCTCTCCCCTGGGCATGCACACTGCCCACTGCCCTGCTATGGTTCAGGCCCTGGGGCTGAGGCTCATTTGATGACCACAGCCAAGGCTGTGGCAGTCAATCATATCAACAGATTGACTGCGAGGGTGTAGTCCCGGCCATGCATGGTCTCTTTTAAACACCATTAGACAAGAACTCTGATTCCAGTGGTTTGAACTCACTCTGGAAATCAGCTTTCCCCAAGCCTCCTCAGGCCTCCCTTGAGATTCTGTTCTCAGTGCTCACCTCTGTAAAGGGTTATAGTCCCATAAGGGTTCTTTGTGAATGAGAATGATCATGTTCGTCTACCCCCTCCATGGCCCATCTGATTCCAGGGGAGATAGCACTTATAATCTTTGGGCACTTATGATCTTCAATCCCTTTGGGATGTCAGATACTGAATGCCATTCTTCCCCCATCAGAGGGTTGTCTTGATTTGGTTGCTTTTCCTTCTAGAGTTTCAAAGCAGGTAAAATGAAGCCTTACTGTGACATTTGGTAACACCACTGCTCAGGTCTTTTTCTGTACCTCAATTGGGAGAGAAAAGCAAGTGAGATCTCTTGATAGCACCAAATATCTAAGCATTTTGGTTTTAGACAACCACATAAAATCTGAGCTTCTATTTTCTTTGTTGATACTTGCTGCTCACTGCTGCTCCCCTGACCACAGTGAGTGCTGCTGCTGCATTTCTCAGCCTGAAAGAATTCATTTGCATCCTCCACTTTCCCTTAAGACAACATAAAAACATAACAATGCCCCTACAAAGAGCAGCAATGCCTGTGAGTAGGGGGATTTTTCTACTTCAAATTAGTATCGCATTTTTCCTGTTCAGTTGTTTTTGGCAGCTGACCACACTGAGACATCTCAAATAATCGATTAATTGTAGCGAGCTGAAGGTCTCTCTTATGGAACACATATCTGATTCAGGGCTTCTGCTCTTTCTTGCAGCTCTCACACTGTGATGATGATGTGATTGGCATATAAATCTTCTCTTTCACACTGGAACAGGGAATAAAAGCAGAGCATGCGCCAGGCCCTCAGGTATTATGGGATAAGAGGAGGCAGCTACAGAGCTGGAATGGAGTGGATCCTGTGTTCCACCAGGGTATTTCCAAGGGTATTTTCCCAGTGTGGGGTGGGGGGAAAAACTCCAGAGAAGCCACGATTGTCAGGTTGCCCTTTTTGTGTGCTCTGAAGTGTCCTTGAGGGTTTGGGAGGAGGCCAGGGATGATGCCAAATCTATTTCAACAGATACATGTTTTTATGATGTTTTCCTAAGGCTTATTAGGGGGCTTCAGAAGACACGGGTTCAGTCCTTGATCACAACATCGTATCAACAAGGGCTTAGACATCAGTTTAATAAAAGAGTTGAAAACAAAGACCTTTTCCTGAATCCAGCTGGGAAAGTCCTAACAAAATGTTGATCAGGAAACATCAGTCTTTGAAGGGCTTTGCCTTCTTTTTTTCTGGGCCTAGGCCACTCAGGCCAAAAGTACTCACCATGTGCCAAGCCCTTGTGTAGAGGCCTGGGAGATGAGGATACAGTATGGTGCAAGACAGGCATGTTAAGGAGATCTGAAGACATAAAAGAGATTAAAGAAGAAAGATATGGCAATTCCTGGCTCTTTTGGAATGGATCCTTCTGCATACATATTAAAATTTACACATATATATTACGCTTTATGTATGTTCTCATCCAACAAGCATCTGTGTCCAAACAGCTGAGCATTTTAAACTGCAACTAGATGTTTCAGATTTTCTATCTTTAGGCCAGGGGTTCTTATAGTGGGGTCCCCGAACCAGCAGCATCAGCATGACCGGGAACTTGTTAGAAGTGCAGACTCTCTGGCCCTAGTCCCAGACCTGCTGAGCCAGAAACTCTGAGGTAAGGCTCAGCACTCTGTGTTTTCACAAGCCTTCCAGGAGATTCTGATGCAGTTCAAGTCTGAAAACCACCGCTTTGGTAGAATCTGTGCTCACTGCTTTAAGTGTCAATGTCCTTTACTTGCCTCCAAATAGCAATTAACATGGTCAAATAAAAATCAGGCACATTCCTGACTCTTTGCTTTTGGACTTCCTGTTGCCTTAGCCTGAATTTTTTCCCATTTATGCTTGCTTTCCCTATCTTTCTTTAAAAGAAATCCTTAGCAGGGAGGCCGAGGCGGGCAGATCATGAGGTCAGGAGATCGAAACCATCCTGGCTAACACAGTGAAACCCCGTCTCTACTAAAAAAAAAAAATACAAAAAATTAGCCGGTCGTGGTGGCGGGCACCTGTAGTCCCAGCTACTCAGGAGGCTGAGGCAGGAGAATGGCATGAACCCGGGAGGCAGAGCTTGCAGTGAGCTGAGATCGTGCCACTGCACTCCAGCCTGGGCGACAGAGCAAGACTCCATCTCAAAAAAAAAAAAAAAAGAAAAAAAAGAAATCCTTAGCATTGCACACAGTTTAACATACTCTGTATATTTTATAGATCTTATTTATTATTTGTGTCTCCCAGTAGAATGCGAAAGTCTATGAGTTCAGGATTCCTTGTTTGTTTAATTCAGATAATGAAAGAATGAGTGAATGCACTTGGGTGGGCCAACAGAGGACAATTTTCAACACTCCTCCTATCACCTACTTCTTTACTGGACAAAAAGAGCCTACCAGAGAAATTGGGACCAATATTTAAAATTATTCTCTGTCAGCATGACATTGGCTAAAACCATTACATTTTCTTCTTAAAAACTTATGATTAAAGTTCTTAGGCAAGTAAATAAATTAACCTCCAATTATGATTCAGTTTGCATGTGATGCTTTAATTTGGATTTTAGGATCAAGTAAATTCTGATATGCTACCTAGCTCTAAAACATACACCTTTCTTTTCACTTTATTGAATATCATTATCCCAGAACAGTCCCTATTCATTCTGTTAATTCACTGAAGCTGTTATTTATTGAGTACCTACTATGTGCTAGATACTTCTCTAGGTGCTGTGGATACAGAAATGAACAGACAAGACTAAAACCCTTGCCTTCATGGAGCTTACATTCAAGTGGGAGAGGTAGATGATTTTCAAGAGAAATATGTACTATGTTAGGAGGTGATGAGCATCATGGAAAAAAAGAAAATTGGTACAGGGCAGGGGGAAGGGCTGCTATTTTCAACAGAGTAATTAGGGAAGGCCTCAATGACTAGGTGATTTTGGACAGAGCCCTGGAAGAGGTGAGTCAGTAAGCCACAAGGCTATCAGGAGAAGACCTTTCTCTGTAGGAGGAATAGCATTTGCAAAGGCTTTAAGGTGGGACAATGCCTGGAATGTTTGAAGAATAGCAAGGAGGCCAGTGTGGTTAAGGCAGAATAAGCAGGAAAAAGAGTGGTACAAGATGACATTGGGAGGGTGGGACATGTAGGGTCTCAAAAGCTATTATGAAGACTCTGGCTTTTACTCTGAGTGAGGTGAGAAGCCACTGGAGGACTTTTTTTTTTTTTTTTTTTGAGACGGAGTTTCATTCTTATTGCCCAGGCTGGAGTGCAATGGTGCAATCTTGGCTCACCGCAACCCCTGCCTCCCGGGTTCAAACGATTCTCCTGCCTCAGCCTCCCAAGTAGCTGGGATTACAGGCATGCACCACCATGCCCAGGTAATTTTGTATTTTTAGCAGACACGGGATTTCTCCATGTTGGTCAGGCTGGTCTCAAACTCCCAACCTTAAGTGATCCTCCCACCTTGGCTTCCCAAAGTGCTGGGATTACAGGCATGAGCCACCGCCACTGGAGGACTTTGAAGAGACACTGACAGGAACTAACTTGTGCTTTTGAAATATACTGCTTGCTTGGAGAACATACTAGGTTGGGGTGTGGGGAGATGAGACATAGGGAGACGATGTGGCAGACCATTTCCATATGCCAGGCAGAGATGATAGTGGCTTGGACCAGGGTGGTAGCAGCAGAGGTGGGGACAAGTAGCCAAATCCTCATATATTTTTAAGGTAGAGCCAGTAGAATTTGCTGACAGATTAAATGTGGGGTGTGAGAGAATGAGATGAATCAAGGATGTCACCAAAGTCTTGGCCCCAGTCTCTGAAAGTACAGAATCACTATTTACCGGAAAGGAGAAGACTGGGGAGGAGTTGGTTTGGAGTGAGGGTTGGAATTAGGAATTCAGTTTGGGCCGTGGTGAGTTTGAGATGCCTATTTGGTATTTAAGTGGAGTTGTGCAGTAGGCAGGTGGATGCAAATCGTTGACGTAACCAAAGAAGCTGGTGCATTTTACAGTAACATCATCTGATTTAAGAGGGAAACTGGGCCATAACTCATCTTTTAGGCTGACTTTCTTGAACATATTTCTCCTCTAGTGCTGTAAAGGCCTTGGTGGTGTCTGTAATCCTGTGATGCTTTACTTTGTTAAAAATCCACATCCCCATCAGCATAAGTTCAGGGGAGCAGATGCCACTGATACTACATGAAATTTCTTATTAGGGTAACAGACCCATGTGAAATTTAGGTTTCCTTTTTTTATATATACTCAAAGACAATAGCTCCTCAGCTTCTGACTTTTTCTTCTCTACCAACTGGTTATGCATGTTTTTACTTCTGTATTATCAGGGAGGTTAATGGGATGATCATCACAGTCCAAAAGAATTTCAAGCACTTCTTGATGTGTGGTGCTAGGCCTGGAGGTGTGGAGGGCCTTCTGACTCCTTGCAGGTGAGTTATGGATGGGGTGAGAAGTGCCCAGAACTCAAGCTGACCACTGGCTGTCGTACCAAAGTTGGCAGCAGATGGGTGAGGGGGAGTGGAGCAGCCACCAATGATTGGCACACCATTTTTGCCATACTTGCCATAGGTTGTTAACCTGTGTGTTAGAAGACATATGAAGCAGTTAACAGGCTTCTAGGGACAAAGTCTACAAAATACACACACATACATATATATATATATATGTTGTATATATGTTAATGAGCACTATAGTAGGCTACATAATGACCCAAAGACCTGTGAATATGTTACCTTACAAGGCAAAAGGGGCTTTGCAGATGTGATTAAGTTAAGAATGTTATGAAAGGGAGATTATTCTGGATTCTGTGGGTGGACCCAGTGTAACAACAAGGGACCATATAAGAGAGAGGGAGGACGGTTGGAGTCAAAGAAGGAGATGGGATGATGGAATCAGAGGTTGGAGTGATGAGGCCACAAGCCAAAGAATGTAGGCAGCCTCTGGAAACTGGAAGCAGGAAAGTGGATTCTCCCCTAGAGCCTCTAGAAGGAACATGGACCTTTGGCAAACCTTGATGTTAGCCCTGTAAAAACCCATTTTGGGCTTCTGATCTCCAGAACCATAAGGCAATAAATGTGTTGTTTTAAGCCACTAAGTTCATGGTAATTTGTTATAGCAGCAATGGGAAATTAGTAAAAGCATTTTCAGTGTACAAGGCACTGTACTAAGCCCTTACATTTATTATCTTATGTAAACTTACAAACAATACTGAGTAGTAGGTCCTATGACTACTGTCCATTTTGAAGATGGTAAAACTAAAGCTCTGAGTAATTCTGGCTACTGAACTCACCTGTGGTCGCATAGTAAGTAAGTGGCAAAGCCAGGTTTTGAACAAAGATGTTTCCAACTCCTAAGTTGGAATTCCTAAATAACATGTTATACTTCCTTTCCATATTTTTGGTAGGAAAATTGATTTTAAAAGCATAAGCCAAAAAAGCAGAATGGAGTTTTTGTTTTTGTTTTTTGTTTTTTTGGAATGAAGGGCAAAATTTACTAAACTAGAGTCTTGAGGTTCCATGCCGGGCACCTGATAGACCTTAAGAAGTATTTGTTGAATGGTCAAACCATCAGGCCAGGCATGCTGGTGGGATTACAAAGAATATATGCTATTCTTTTATGTATGCTGTAAATTTATCCAGCTGCATATTTGCAGCCAGGCTTGGTGGGAAGCCTCGGCAAGGTGACCAATCCCTCCCACTGGTGTAATGTCTCTTGGCAGAGTTGTTTGTGCAGTTACTTCCTGAGCTACCATGCAAATGGAAGGAAGCTGTGAGCCCAAATAATTAACACGACTCAGAATAATCAGAAATCATTTCTCCTGGGCTTTTGCGTGCACATGAATATTTTTATCTCCTCATCAAATTTATCTTAAAAAGGCTTTGCATTTCTTGAATATATATCAGCCCATGTTCAGGGAAGTCACCAGGTACAGTGTGGATGTGAAAGGGAAGCCAGGCTAGAGTATAAATTTTGCTATTCATCGTCTACTGGCTAGATAATCCACCTGAGGCAGAAGAAGTATGGATGGATGCTTTCAAGTTTTCCTTTCTGGTGTTTATTTGTGCAGATATTTTGTTGGTCTGTCCTTTCTGGAGGCTGGGTGTCTTGATAAACAAGACCGTTTTGCAACTCTTGTATTCACCCTCTTTCCCTTTCTGGGCTTTGCTTGACATTTCCCAACATCTCTGCCCATTCTTGCCTGTGGTCACCAGTTTCTCTGCTACTAAGGCCAGCTTCTCTGTTCCAGTATTCCCAGTAGCTTCTCTCATGGCCACTATTAGCTGTTCTGTGAAGAGTTCTCTGACCTTCAGTAAACCTTCAGCAGCAGTGCCTGAAGTGGGGTGGGAGTCACCAGAACTGGGATCCTACCCAGTGTCCTTCTCCCTGTCCTCTCATGTTCCCTCTTTCTACTTCTCAGGGTCACTGTATTATTCCATTTTCATGCTGCTGATAAAGACATACTTGAGACTGGGTAATTTATAAAGAAAAAGAGGTTTCATGGACTTGCAGTTCCATGTGTCTGGGGAGGCCTCACAATCATGGCAGAAGGTGAAAGCCATGTCTTACTTGGCGGCAGACAAGAGAGAATGAGAGCCAAGTGAAAAGGGAAACCTCTTATAAAACCATCAGATCTCGTGAGACTTATTCACTACCATGAGCATAGTGTGAGGGAAAATGTACCCATAATTCAATTGTCTCCTGCCCCCATGATTCAGTGGTCTCCCACTGGGTCCCTCCCACAAGGTGTGGGAATTATGGGAGCTATAATTCAAGATGAGATTTGAGTGGGGACACAGCCAAACCATATCAGTCACTTTTGTGAAAATTAGAGCGAATGATGTCTCTGCAGTATGAATTCCCTGGTGTCAGAAACAAGGTCTTCACAGCTTGAGGCCCAGATTCTGTAGGTAGTCCTTGCTTTCTTTGAGCCATCATTGATCTAGCGGAGGATAGGCTCACTTTTTGGCCCTCTGCATCAGTCACACCTCAACATGAATGAATTTTAGGTTCTTTACTGAAAAGAAAGTTGGTTTAATGAATTAACTAATTAACCAATTAATTTTTAGTGGGGAGTCCAAGGAAGTTATCAGAAGACTTGGCACATGATTGGAGTTCTAAAATGATGTGTGTTGAAAAAGTGAGAGGATTAGATTAGAAGAGAGAAGGGGTCTGCTTTAGGATGGGGTCCTCAGGAAGCTGACTCTAAGTCAAGGATGTGAGAGGAAGCAGCTTATTTGAGAGGTAGAGATCCTAGGAAGCACAGAATGGGGGTGGATGATGAGACAGCAGACAATACAAAGTATGTACTCCTGAGCCAGTTACCATGGCAGGTGACTGGAACTCAGAGAGACAAGTCTCTGAGTTGGAGAAGACAGGTCTCCATCTCATTCCACTTGAGGTATGAGGAAGCTAGAGTATTAGTCCCCAGTTCCAGTCTGCAACTGGTTGAGAGCTGCCTCTGGGGGCACTAACTGCTTTCCACTTCCAGTTTGCCTGTGTTCCAGGGAAGCATTTGCTGAGTCCGAAAAAAGCCCCAGGCAGATGTTGCAGGTGTTTGCAGTAGGAAACTCTTGGCATGCAAGGGAATCTGAGATGTGAGGTGTGAGCTGAGGAGGTTGGGTGGGACTGACAGCAGCTGATATAGCATCAGAGTCCCCAAGGCAGATTCAGCTGCAAATTCTCCTACTTCACAAGGTTTTTTAAGCTTGGGCCTGAAGCTTCTCAAACTACCTGGCTCCTAACAAAGGGCTTTGCAGGCAGTAAGCACACAATGCATACCAGGAGATGGATCAAATGAGTGCCCCGTGGCAGAGGTTGGACCCTCATCCCAGGAATTACTAAGAACTATTTCTTGTGTGCCAGGCATGTGCATTTTCCAAATGCATTTTATACTTGTTGTAGAACCTGGGCTTTCTGGGAACAGGGATTTTTCCTGTTGCTGCCTCGGCTTAGCCTATAGTTTGCAGGTAATATATTTCAGTAACATTTAGAAAAATTTACCACACAGCTTGTTCTACACACAAAAGCTAAATGTTAATGCAGTGTTTTACTAACTGTGCTAAAATCAGCTAGCCAGCTGGTGAATTACCCAGAGGCCCTTTACTGTTGAGACTCACATGGGGTTTTGTAGCCAGCCTGAATGTCATTTATGTAAAATCGCAGTGGTGATATCAGGCAGGTGCTCTTCAGCTTTATGCTCGGACTGGGCAGATTAGGTATTTGCACAGGGTTTGTCCTTATCCTCTGGCATGCTTCTCTTCAGTAATCCTGCCAGGTGGATGTGCTCACCACGTGGAGAGTCCAGGGCATGGCAGAGCCACACCGGGGTGCCAGCTGGGAAGCCTTCCTGCTCAGGGGGTTCATCATTAGCAGAAGGAATCACAGATGTAAGCTTAAAGTGAGAAGTCCAGCTTTGCCACTCAGTCAGTCTGGCTCCTGGTTAGAAAGCAGAATAGTGCCAGGGTAGACACCAGTGTGGTCGTCAGCACAAGGGAATCAGACTCAGTCTGGTGGACTGAAACACTGAACTGGGTCTCTAAGTTTGGGTTTAGCCTCAAGGTTTTTGCCTGTCATCGTTTTCTCTGTGGTTATTTTCAGTGAGCCATTTTATCCCCTTAGAACTCTGGCTTGCTTATTGGTAGAACATACAGTGAGTATAGTTTACTTTCTTAGTATACATTGGAACTGGTACTGGGGTGCATGTTCATTCGTGTATTCATTCATTCACTCAATGCGTTGAGTGCCTACTATGTAGATGCTGCGAATGTAGCTTGCAACTGAAAGAGTCCTGGCTAATTCTCTCAATAGTACTCTGACCCAGATTGGAGGAATTAGGAAACTGTGCTTCTAGTGACTTCATTAGTAGTGGCTGAATCGGGGACAGTTTGGTTATTGCCAGGTGGTAGTCGTTTTAAAGAACGCAATGTTGCTACTGCTTCCTTGAGGAATTGGGAATCCTTATCTCTGGAAAGGTAAAATCTTGTTGATAGCCAGGTGGTTCTTGTTTCTTTTGGTTTTTTATCACGCGTTCATATCCAGGGTTTGATCTGCTAGTTAAAACATTACTCTTACCATGACAAATCTTGCTTGTAATCTCAAATTATTCTATCTAACATGCTCGCTGACCTGGTTTGAGAAATTTTCACCTTCTGGCTCATGTTCTGTCCTGGTTTCTGGAGCTCTCTACCAATGGGAGTGGGCTCAAATGAATTTCCAGCAGGAAGGACATCTAAATGTGCATCCCGAGAGGCTGGGTGGGTATAAGCTTAATGTAGTGCAAAAGAAGACACACTATATGGAACACAGTTTTCTGCATTTGAAAGCTACCTTAATTTCACACTTGCTGGTCTTTTTTTTTTTTTTTTAATGTATTGCCTAAGGACACAAAGATAGATGGGATTCAAACCTAACTGCTTCACTCCAAATTCCACACTTTTAACCACTCACCTATAATGCCCCACTTCTCATCCATGGAATTACCACATCACAGTAACTTTTTGCGTTAAAAAAAATTGGACTTCAGTTGGTCTAAGTCTCTTAAACCAAAGTCTTTCTTTGTGTGTACTAATTCTAGGTCCTAGAGGTATCTGGCTCCTAAGCAAGCCCGTTTCAAGGGAGGAAGCTGAGAAAGAGGAGCATCAATTATAACCAAGGCCTATATTCATGTAAGTTTACATTTTTATTATGATTACATGTTAA
Source organism: Homo sapiens (assembly GCF_000001405.40). Classification (NCBI taxonomy): domain Eukaryota; kingdom Metazoa; phylum Chordata; class Mammalia; order Primates; family Hominidae; genus Homo; species Homo sapiens. Next base: position 42,197,893 of record NC_000023.11, read on the forward strand.
ATTTTATTCTTAATTGGCAAATAATAATTGTATATATCGAAGGGATTCAGCGTGATGTTTTGATACATGTATACATTCTGGAATGATCAAATAAAGCTAATTAACATATCCCTTGCTTCACCTACTTATTTTTTGTTGGTGAGAACATTTAAACTCTACTCTTTTAGCAATTTTGAAATATACATTAACTGTATCACCATGCGGTGCAATCTATCACTAAAACTTATTTCTCTTAACTGAAATTTTGTACCCTGTGACTCACTTCTTCTCTTTACTCACCCGTCTTCCCCCAGCCTCTGATAACCACCATTCTACTCTTTACTTTTGTGAGACTGACTTTTTTAGATTCCACATATAAGTGAGATCATGCAGTATTTGTCTTTCTGTGTCTGGTTTATTTCACTTATCATGTCTTCCAATTCCATCCATGTTGTTGAATATGGCAGGATTTCCTTTTTCTTAAAGCTGAATAGAATTCCATTGTGTATGCATGCCAAATTTTCTTTATCCATTCATTTCTTAATGGACATTTAGGTTATTTCCAAATCTTAGCTACTGTGAATAATACTGTAATGAAGATAGGAGTGCAGAGATCTCTTTGACATACTGACTTCATTTCCTTTGGATATATACCTGGAAGCAGGATTGCTAGATCATGTGGTAATTCTATTTTTAGTTATTGAGGGACCTCTATACTGTTCTCCAAAATGGCTGTACTAATTTACATTCCCACCAACAGTGTGACAGGGTCCTCCTTTCTCTGCACCCTTGCCAACACTTGTTATCTTTTGTCTTTTTTTTTTGAGACAGAATTTCACTCTTTCGCCCAGGCTGGAGTGCAGTGGCACCATCTCGGCTCACTGCCACCTCTGCCTTCCAGTTTCAAGCGATTCTCCTGCCTCAGCCTCCTGAGTAGCTGGGATTACAGGTGCCCACCATCACGCCCAGCTAATTTTTGTATTTTTAGTGGAGACGGGGTTTCACCATGTTGGCCAGGCTGGTCTCGAACTCCTGACCTCATGATCTGCCTGCCTCAGCCTCCCAAAGTGTTGGGATTACAGGCATGAGCCACCGCGCCTGGCCTCTTTTGTCTTTTTTATTTTAGCCATTCTAACAGGTGTGAGGTGCCATCTCATTGTAGTTTTAATTTGTATTTCCCTGATAATTAGTGATGAGCATTCTTTCATATATCTGTTGGCCATTCATTTGTCATAATAGTGGAATGTTTGGTGATTTCACTCTGCCTCTACTGGCCCAGAGGGGAACAAATTAAACAATGCATTTCTTTCTGATACTCACTTCATGATAATGAAAATCTTAGCACACCATTTCAAGCACTGGGAAACTGCTAAGTTTGCCCATTATTTGTTCTCCTCCTGTTTCTCTAAATCACATTTCTCCATTTTGACTTGGAAAGTTGGGCTTATCCAATAAATAAAACTGGAAGTAAGTGCAGCCCTGATGTGTGGTGCACTTACTTCTACCCATGGGTGGTGGTTAGGGAACGAGGAGGAAAGAGATATTTAAAGTAAAAGTGGAAGTGCCTACTCTTTTTGGATGAGGGAGCCAGTTAGACTGCACTGTGATGATGAGTTATATCTGAATTTATGTTATTGGAGTAGTGAGGGCATCTCATCACAGAATTTAAAGATAATAATAATTATTATGTTTGCAATTCAGGGAGCTATCAGGAGAGGTCAACAGGCTTATATAACAACCCATGCCTGAGGAAGAGCTGAGGGAAGCTGCTATAGTACCTGTCAAACAACTCTTTTTTTTTTTTCCTCTCTCTCTGTGTGTGTTGGGGGTGGTGGAGAGAACTTTTATTCTAACCTTGGTAAAGTGGTTACATAATCTAAGATGGGCAAATATAATGCAGGAATGTAGCTGAAAATAACAGTAAATGAAATAAAATACCTCTGTACAAGTTGAGTACATTTTTTGCATACTGCAATTCTATCTATTACTGGCAATTTAACTACAGTCTTCCTTTGTCATATTAAGCATCCAGCCTTCCAGCATTAGTCAGGTGAATAACTAACCACCTTTAAATAAATTAATTAATCTCTGCTGCAACTCATTATGGGGCATCTTCTTGGAGTTCTTATGTGAGAAACATCCCCATTACAATTCAATGCTTGCAGACCACAGAATCCAATTAAAGACTCAAAGTTGAAGTCTGTCTTTTTCAGGTGTTTCTCTTCTCATTGGGAATCTCATAGGTATCCTGTTGTACCTCAGTTTGCCTGTCTTAAAGACTGACTGCTTCTCTTATGAGGAAAGGCATCTAATGGGCAACTGAATATGTATTTTCCATACACTATTCAGCATATGTTTTATCAGGTAATTCAAAACATACCGTCAAAATTTGATAAAATTCCATTCAGTGATGTCCACATGATGTGGCAGCAGACAGAAACTTGATTTTATTTATTTATAAGAGAAACTTTTGATTTTTGCCCTATGCTTTTTGTGTTCAGAGCTTTCCGATAGCTGTTTACAACGGAAAGAAATAATGAGGAGCGCCTTTGGACATCAGCATTTTTCAGCATTCAGAGCAATGCTAAGATCTTTTCAATACAGCCCTAACAACCAATTGACAGGATATTTCCAGAGCTCAAGAGCTACTCAGTAATTGTTCCTTTGGATTTTTGGCCATAAAAATTTGTGGCGTCTTCAATTTATGTGTCCTGCATCCAAGAACCTATTCTTTGTGTCCTGGCTGTGGGATTCAGAAGTGAAGAGAGTTATATATTACTTCATTCCTGAACATTTTTGAGCAAAAACAAAAAACAAAAATATGGTTATGGTATATGGGCAACTAGATTTCAGATATGGGTTGTAGTGAGAAATGGGAGTAGACAATCGTACCTGGTTATCATTTATTTAGAAAGTGTGGTAGGAAAATTCATTGAAGTATTAAATTGTGCTTTTTTCTCACTATAATTTTGCCTCTTGCGTTCCAAGAATGTTTGCTAGCCAGATCGTTCCCCTATTTTGGGGGAGATTTATGCCACAGGGCTAAGTACCCCATTGTGCTCCACTTCTCTTTCTCTGGCTGGCTTTTTTTTTTGGAGAGAGAGTCTTCCTCTCTTGGCAATCTTGGCTCATTGCAACCTCTGTCTCCTGGGCTGGAGCAATTCTGCCTCAGCTTCCCGAGTAGCTGGGATTACAGGCGTGTGCCACCATGTCCGGTTAATTTCTGGTAGAGATGGGGTTTCACCATGTTGGCCAGGCTGGTCTGGAACTCCTGACCTCAGGTGATCCACCCACCTCAGCCTCCCAAAGTGCTGGGATTACATGCATCAGCCACTGCGTCCAGCCTGGCTTTTGTTTTTAAAAGCCACAGCATAGAATGTTAAGGTTGGAGAGACAGTTGTATTTTCTTCCACAATTTATTATGAAAAATCTCAAGTATACTGCAGAAGTGAAAGAATTTTGGATTGAATTCTCATTACCCATCATCTAGATTTTGCCATTAACCTTCTACTATACTCGCTTTATCACATTCGCTCATCTTTCTATCCACTCGGAGAACTACATATTTTGGAAGCAGATGTTATAACAGCAGAAAGAAAAGAGGGAAACTCTCCAAGACAGGAAAGGGAATGGTGCTTTGGGGCTTTATGGGTGGCTCATAGTCCTGGCTTTCACAGCGCCTGAGAGGAGGAAAAACCTGCGAGTGGTGTGGCTAGGAGGTGTGCAAGGGAAATAAGTCCCCAGGCATTGGGGTTTTCAAGTGGGGCAAAGACATGGCAGATCTGCATTCCAGGGACCATGGTGGCTCCAATACTAATGGTGGTGAATGTGGATTGAAGACCAGAGGGCCTTTCCTGACCTTGGAGTGCTGCATCACATCCCTGAGGGTGTTTGAGAAACTTTCCAGGAGTCAGGGAGATAGAAGTCTCTAATGACTGATAGAGTTTTTCTTCAGCCCAGTGCAGTTCATGTCAAATGCAATTCGGTATTAAATGCAACTTTATTTTCGAAAAACAATGTACTTTTATTTGCCCACCTGGGTTTTTGGAGTCCAATTCACCTGTTATAAATCTACTTGTATATGGAAACTTCATCTAGGGCTGTTTTTCAATAATTGGAGGGATGGGGGAGTGTGGAAGGGATGAGAAATTACTTAATAGGTACAATGTACATTATTTGGGTGATGGTTACACTAAAAGCCCAAACTCCACCACTACGCAGTATATTCATATGACAGAATTGCACTTATATCCTTTAAATAAAAAATAGATGATATAGGAAAAAATTTCTTTTTTTTCTTTTATTATTATACTTTAAGTTTTAGGGTACATGTGCACATTGTGCAGGTTAGTTACATATGTATACATGTGCCATGCTGGTGCGCTGCACCCACTAACTCGTCATCTAGCATTAGGTATATCTCCCAATGCTATCCCTCCCCCCTCCCCCCACCACACAACAGTCCCCAGAGTGTGATGTTCCCCTTCCTGTGTCCATGTGATCTCGTTGTTCAATTCTCACCTATGAGTGAGAATATGCAGTGTTTGGTTTTTTGTTCTTGCGATAGTTTACTGAGAATGATGATTTCCAATTTCATCCATGTCTCTACAAAGGACGTGAACTCATCATTTTTTATGGCTGCATAGTACTCCATGGTGTACATGTGCCACATTTTCTTAATCCAGTCTATCATTGTTGGACATTTGGGTTGGTTTCAAGTCTTTGCTATTGTGAATAATGCCACAATAAACATACGTGTACATGTGTCTTTATAGCAGCATGATTTATAGTCCTTTGGGTATATACCCAGTAATGGGATGGCTGGGTCAAATGGTATTTCTAGTTCTAGATCCCTGAGGAATCGCCACACTGACTTCCACAATGGTTGAACTAGTTTACAGTCCCACCAACAGTGTAAAAGTGTTCCTATTTCTCCACATCCTCTCCAGCACCTGTTGTTTCCTGACTTTTTAATGATTGCCATTCTAACTGGTGTGAGATGGTATCTCATTGTGGTTTTGATTTGCATTTCTCTGATGGCCAGTGATGATGAGCATTTTTTCATGTGTTTTTTGGCTGCATAAATGTCTTCTTTTGAGAAGTGTCTGTTCATGTCCTTCACCCACTTTTTGATGGGGTTGTTTGTTTTTTTCTTGTAAATTTGTTTGAGTTCATTGTAGATTCTGGATATTAGCCCTTTGTCAGATGAGTAGGTTGTGAAAATTTTCTCCCATGTTGTAGGTTGCCTGTTCACTCTGATGGTAGTTTCTTTTGCTGTGCAGAAGCTCTTTAGTTTAATTAGATCCCATTTGTCAATTTTGTCTTTTGTTGCCATTGCTTTTGGTGTTTTAGACATGAAGTACTTGCCCATGCCTATGTCCTGAATGGTAATGCCTAGGTTTTCTTCTAGGGTTTTTATGGTTTTAGGTCTAATGTTTAAGTCTTTAATCCATCTTGAATTGATTTTTGTATAAGGTGTAAGGAAGGGATCCAGTTTCAGCTTTCTACATATGGCTAGCCAATTTTCCCAGCACCATTTATTAAATAGGGAATCCTTTCCCCATTGCTTGTTTTTGTCAGGTTTGTCAAAGATCAGATAGTTGTAGATATGCGGCATTATTTCTGAGGGCTCTGTTCTGTTCCATTGATCTATATCTCTGTTTTGGTACCAGTACCATGCTGTTTTGGTTACTGTAGCCTTGTAGTATAGCTTGAAGTCAGGTAGTGTGATGCCTCCAGCTTTGTTCTTTTGGCTTAGGATTGACTTGGCGATGCAGGCTCTTTTTTGGTTCCATATGAACTTTAAAGTAGTTTTTTCCAATTCTGTGAAGAAAGTCATTGGTAGCTTGATGGGGATGGTATTGAATCTGTAAATTACCATGGGCAGTATGGCCATTTTCACGATATTGATTCTTCCTACCCATGAGCATGGGATGTTCTTCCATTTGTTTGTATCCTCTTTTATTTCCTTGAGCAGTGGTTTGTAGTTCTCCTTGAAGAGGTCCTTCACATCCCTTGTAAGTTGGATTCCTAGGTATTTTATTCTCTTTGAAGCAATTGTGAATGGGAGTTCACTCATGATTTGGCTGTTTGTTTGTTGGTGGTGTATAAGAATGCTTGTGATTTTTGTACATTGATTTTGTGTCCTGAGACTTTGCTGAAGTTGCTTATCAGCTTAAGGAGAGCTGGGGCTGAGACAATGGGGTTTTCTAGATATACAATCATGTCGTCTGCAAACAGGGACAATTTGACTTCCTCTTTTCCTAATTGAATACCCTTTATTTCCTTCTCCTGCCTAATTGCCCTGGCCAGAACTTCCAACACTATGTTGAATAGGAGTGGTGAGAGAGGGCATCCCTGTCTTGTGCCAGTTTTCAAAGGGAATGCTTCCAGTTTTTGCCCATTCAGTATGATATTGGCTGTGGGTTTGTCATAGATAGCTCTTATTATTTTGAAATATGTCCCATCAATACCTAATTTAGTGAGAGTTTTTAGCATGAAGGGTTGTTGAATTTTGTCAAAGGCCTTTTCTGCATCTATTGAGATAATCATGTGGTTTTTGTCTTTGGCTCTGTTTAGATGCTGGGTTACATTTATTGATTTGCGTATATTGAACCAGCCTTGCATCCCAGGGATGAAGCCCACTTGATCATGGTGGATAAGCTTTTTGATGTGCTGCTGGATTTGGTTTGCCAGTATTTTATTGAGGATTTTTGCATCAATGTTCATCAAGGATATTGGTCTAAAATTCTCTTTTTTGGTTGTGTCTCTGCCCAGCTTTGGTATCAGAATGATGCTGGCCTCATAAAATGAGTTAGGGAGGATTCCCTCTTTTTCTATTGATTGGAATAGTTTCAGAAGGAATGGTACCAGTTCCTCCTTGTACCTCTGGTAGAATTCGGCTGTGAATCCATCTGGTCCTGGACTCTTTTTGGTTGGTAAGCTATTGATTATTGCCACAATTTCAGATCCTGTTATTGGTCTATTCAGAGATTCAACTTCTTCCTGGTTTAGTCTTGGGAGGGTGTATGTGTCAAGGAATTTATCCATTTCTTCTAGATTTTCTAGTTTATTTGTGTAGAGGTGTTTGTAGTATTCTCTGATGGTAGTTTGTATTTCTGTGGGATCAGTGGTGATATTCCCTTTATCATTTTTTATTGCGTCTATTTGATTCTTCTCTCTTTTTTTCTTTATTAGTCTTGCTAGCAGTCTATTTTGTTGATCCTTTCAAAAAACCAGCTCCTGGATTCATTAATTTTTTGAAGGGTTTTTTGTGTCTCTATTTCCTTCAGTTCTGCTCTGATTTTAGTTATTTCTTGCCTTCTGCTAGCTTTTGAATGTGTTTGCTCTTGCTTTTCTAGTTCTTTTAATTGTGATGTTAGGGTGTCAATTTTGGATCTTTCCTGCTTTCTCTTGTGGGCATTTAGTGCTATAAATTTCCCTCTACACACTGCTTTGAATGTGCCCCAGAGATTCTGGTATGTTGTGTCTTTGTTCTCGTTGGTTTCAAAGAACATCTTTATTTCTGCCTTCATTTTGTTATGTACCCAGTAGTCATTCAGGAGCAGGTTGTTCAGTTTCCATGTAGTTGAGCGGTTTTGAGTGAGATTCTTAATCCTGAGTTCTAGTTTGATTGCACTGTGGTCTGAGAGATAGTTTGTTATAATTTGTGTTCTTTTACATTTGCTGAGGAGAGCTTTACTTCCAAGTATGTGGTCAATTTTGGAATAGGTGTGGTGTGGTGCTGAAAAAAATGTATATTCTATTGATTTGGGGTGGAGAGTTCTGTAGATGTCTATTAGGTCTGCTTGGTGCAGAGCTGAGTTCAATTCCTGAGTATCCTTGTTGACTTTCTGTCTCATTGATCTGTCTAATGTTGACAGTGGGGTGTTAAAGTCTCCCATCATTATTGTGTGGGAGTCTAAGTCTCTTTGTAGGTCACTCAGGACTTGCTTTATAAATCTGGGTGCTCCTGTGTTGGGTGCATATATATTTAGGATAGTTAGCTCTTCTTGTTGAATTGATCCCTTTACCATTATGTAATGGCCTTCTTTGTCTCTTTTGATCTTTGTTGGTTTAAAGTCTGTTTTATCAGAGACTAGGATTGCAACCCCTGCCTTTTTTTGTTTTCCATTTGCTTGGTAGATTTTCCTCCATCCTTTTATTTTGAGCCTATGTGTGTCTCTGCACGTGAGATGGGTTTATTGAATACAGCACACTGATGGGTCTTGACTCTTTATCCAATTTGCCAGTCTGTGTCTTTTAATTGGAGCATTTAGTCCATTTACATTTAAAGTTAATATTGTTATGTGTCAATTTGATCCTGTCATTATGATATTAGCTGGTTATTTTGCTCGTTAGTTGATGCAGTTTCTTCCTAGTCTCGATGGTCTTTACATTTTGGCATGATTTTGCATCGGCTGGTACTGGTTGTTCCTTTCCATGTTTAGCACTTCCTTCAGGAGCTCTTTTAGGGCAGGCCTGGTGGTGACAAAATCTCTCAGCATTTCCTTGTCTGTAAAGTATTTTATTTCTCCTTCACTTATGAAGCTTAGTTTGGCTGGATATGAAATTCTGGGTTGAAAATTCTTTTCCGTAAGAATGTTGAATATTGGCCCCCACTCTCTTCTGGCTTGTAGGGTTTCTGCCGAGAGATCCGCTGTTAGTCTGATGGGCTTCCCTTTGAGGGTAACCTGACCTTTCTCTGTAGCTGCCCTTAACATTTTTTCCTTCATTTCAACTTTGGTGAATCTGACAATTATGTGTCTTGGAGTTGCTCTTCTCGAGGAGTATCTTTGTGGCATTCTCTGTATTTCCTGAATCTGAACGTTGGCCTGCCTTGCTAGATTGGGGAAGTTCTCCTGGATAATATCCTGCAGAGTGTTTTCCAACTTGGTTCCATTCTCCCTATCACTTTCAGGTACACCAATCAGACGTAGATTTGGTCTTTTCACATAGTCCCATATTTCTTGGAGGCTTTGCTCATTTCTTTTTATTCTTTTTTCTCTAAAGTTCCCTTCTCGCTTCATTTCATTCATTTCATCTTCCATCGCTGATACCCTTTCTTCCAGTTGATCGCATCGGCTCCTGAGGCTTCTGCATTCTTCACATAGTTCTCGAGCCTTTGTTTTCAGCTCCATCAGCTCCTTTAAGCACTTCTCTCTATTGGTTATTCTAGTTATACATTCTTCTAAATTTTTTTCAAAGTTTTCAACTTCTTTGCCTTTGGTTTGAATGTCCTCCCGTAGCTCAGAGTAATTTGATCGTCTGAAGCCTTCTTCTCTCAGCTCGTCAAAGTCATTCTCCGTCCAGCTTTGTTCCGTTGCTGGTGAGGAACTGCATTCCTTTGGAGGAGGAGAGGCGCTCTGCTTTTTAGTTTCCAGTTTTTCTGTTGTTTTTTCCCCATCTTTGTGGTTTTATTTACTTTTTGTCTTTGATGATGGTGATGTACAGATGGGTTTTTGGTGTGGATGTCCTTTCTGTTTGTTAGTTTTCCTTCTAACAGACAGGACCCTCAGCTGTAGGGCTGTTGGAGTACCCTGCCGTGTGAGGTGTCAGTGTGCCCCTGTTAGGGGGTGCCTCCCAGTTAGGCTGCTCAGGGGTCAGGGGTCAGGCACCCACTTGAGGAGGCAGTCTGCCCCTTCTCAGATCTCCAGCTGCGTACTGGGAGAACCACTGCTCTCTTCAAAGCTGTCAGACAGGGACATTTAAGTCTGCAGAGGTTACTGCTGTCTTTTTGTTTGTCTGTGCCCTGCCCCCAGAGATGGAGCCTACAGAGGCAGGCAGGCCTCCTTGAGCTGTGGTGGGCTCCACCCAGTTTGAGCTTCCCGGCTGCTTTGTTTACCTCAGCAAGCCTAGGCAATGGCGGGTGCCCCTCCCCCAGCCTCGCTGCCGCCTTGCAGTTTGATCTCAGACTGCTGTGCTAGCAATCAGCGAGACTCCGTGGGCGTAGGACCCTCCGAGCCAGGTGCGGGATGTAATCTCGTGGTGGGCCGTTTTTTAAGCCCGTCGGAAAAGCGCAGTATTCGGGTGGGAGTGACCCGATTTTCCAGGTGCCGTCCGTCACCCCTTTCTTTGACTAGGAAAGGGAACTCCCTGACCCCTTGCGCTTCCCTAGTGAGGCAATGCCTCGCCCTGCTTCGGCTTGCGCACGGTGCGCGCACCCACTGACCTGCGCCCACTGTCTGGCACTCCCTAGTGAGATGAACCCGGTACCTCAGATGGAAATGCAGAAATCACCTGTCTTCTGCGACGCTCACACTGGGAGCTGTAGACCGGAGCTGTTCCTATTCGGCCATCTTGGCTCCTCCCCAGGAAAAAATTTCTTAAAGTTGTTTTCTCCACTTTTCTGGTAAGTAGTGGTTCAAATGTCTTAAGAATTGAGGGAAGTGTCTTTGAGGATATTGCCTGCTTCTGCTTGCTTGATTGAGAGCTACAGTCGCTTAAATTCAGTCCCTACTTTAATGTTACCTTTGTAACCAGGGCAATTATTTTTTTCATTATCTACCTGCAACCTCATGCTTCAGGGAGATGAGGAGGTATAATTCAAAGTGTAGCTGTGGGAGGGGTACATCAAAGCAAAAACCAATAATGAGCATTGATTAGTTTCCTGATTTCCACTGGATAAATTATGTCAAATGTTTCTTCTCAAAGAATAGAAAATTATATCAATTTTCGCTCTTTTGTCCCAATTTCCTGTCTATGAAGAAATTCCATTCAAAGAAACTGTCCCTTTAAAATAAGGCATTTGTAGGCTCTGTTTTGTCCTCACCCCCAAATACGTGTTTGACTGCAAGATGTGATATGGAGGCTGTTTGGATTAATGGATCTTTTCACATCCAGGGATGCTATTTGAATCATACTGTTACAAAGCCAGAGGAGATAAAGTCTTTGGTGGCTCAACTAAGCACCTCTGGTCTGTGTTCTATAATAAATCACACATTGGGGGGCCTGATGCTTTAGCTCGAGGCCCTAGATTCGATCTGTGCTTGTTTCCTGTTTCCTTTCCCAGCCTTTGTTTTTCCATAAAGGGATAGTGTCAGCTTAAGAAGCAGCTCCACCATTGGCTTATGTGGGGCTGCTCTGTTATGTGTGAGCAGATTTTTGAGCTGTATTTTAGAAGGGTTGGGCTAGGAGCTACAGAGACCTTGAGATTGAACTCAGCCCCACCAGCCACAGTGACAGGAGCAGTGAGGCTGGAGCAAGTTGACTACTACTTTAGATGTTATCCTGTAGCCTGTACAGGGGTGAGCCTTCCAGCCATGAAGTATTCCCTGCTCTCTGGACTTTGGGTTTTAGAATATAGCCATATGCAAGAACTGTATACTGCCAGACAAATACAGAAGCAGGTTAAATTAAAGGGAGATGAGCAAGGCTGGGGTATTATAAAATAGAGAGGATTGGCAGAGAACTTCATCTAGAAAGTGCCCTCTCCTCTTTAAGTTGCCCTCTGGTCAGGTCCATGCCTTTGTGTGCATCATGAGTTGGCAAAGGGCCCACCATAGTGCCTGGCACATCGCAAACCCTCAATAAATGTTTGAATGAAGACCCAACACCCAAACAAAGACAAGACACCCAAGACCTGTCTCTAGTTAGAGACCTCATATTTTTATTCCTTTTTTGTTTGGCTAGACTTCTTAAGAATGTCTAGAGAATTATGCTTTGTTTCAACCATTTTTCTTTGAGCATGTTAGGCAAAAGTCAGTTAGGTTAACCCATCACATATGTGCTGGTTTCTGCTTGGTGAGTCAACTGAAATGTTCAAGGAGCTTCTTACAATGCTTCAGACCCAGGAAATGTTACCGACTACTCTGGAACCCTGAGTAGCAGGCAGAATGAGTTTAAGCAGTCAGAGACCCCTGTCATATTAGTGGTTGATTTAATGCTACCAGAATGGTCAAGATGCAGTATGGCTAATTTTTTGAGTCTCAGCCTAGGAAATGGTAGACAGGTAGAGGTGGAGGGTTGGAGAAGAATGGAATAGAGGACTATGGCATCTTAAAACTTTTGTGATTGACATAAATGATTATTGGTTAAAAATATAAATGTGTTAGCTGAGTTGAATTTAGATTCCTAGAGGGGGCCAAGAAAGGGTCTGTTTCATTGGTCACATGATCCATCATGATTGTTGAGCAGCTACCATCCTAGATACCCACCACTGTGTAATGTTCTTCCACATTTAGAGAAGAATATGAGGTGTTGCCTTCAAGGAGACAAAAGTGTGTTTTGTCTTACCAACCAGAATCGCAAAGTGTCATTTCGTTGTTGGCAGTAGAGGAAGATAATATGGAGGTATACTATGGCAAATGCCTTGGCACTTATCAATTCTGTACATGTTCTTCCGACTTTCGGCTGCCACCAAATATGACTCTCTGTTTGTGGGTGTTCTCCAACCATGGAGCATGTCAGTGCTAAGTACTTAACATGGTTCAAGAGCAGCCTTCAACCAATAACTGGCGAGCTTTGGTATGTAACACCCAGCTTCTTTTTTTTTTTTTTTTTTTTTTTTTTTTTTTTTTTTTTTGAGACGTAGTCTCGCTCTGTTGCCCAGGCTGGAGTGCAGTGGCAGGATCTCGGCTCACTGCAAGCTCCGCCTCCTGGATTCACGCCATTCTCCCGCCTCAGCCTCCGGAGTAGCTGGCACTACAGGTGCCCGCCACCACGCTGGCTAATTTTTTTGTATTTTTAGTAGAGATGGGGTTTCACCATGTTAGCCAGGATGATCTCGATCTCCTGACCTCGTGATCCACCCACCTCGGCCTCCCAAAGTGCTGGGATTACAGGCATGAGCCACCGCGCCCGGCCACACCCAGCTTCTTTACCTCTAATTTGGGATAACTCTACAGTGTGTTCAGTAGTGTCCCCAGAGTGATTCAGCTCCAGTTGCTCAGAGTGGTAACCTTTTTGAAAACACTTTTTTTTTTGTTTTTTTAGATTGGCTTCCTTCCCTTGCCTGTCTCATGTGTTTATTTCCCTGTTGATGTTTCCTGGGATCACCTCCCAAATAAACTATTTGCACTTTAACCCTTGTCTCAGGGTTTGCACACTGAGATGTGTGTGTGTGTACACACATATGTAATTTTATACACACACACACACACACACACACACACACACAGTCATGCACCACATAGTGATGTTTTGGACAACAATGAACTACATATATAATAGTGGTCCCATAAGATATAAAGAAGATGAAAAATTATTATTGCTTAGTGACATCTTGATTATCATGACCCTGTATAGGGCTAGCCTAATGTGTGTGTTTTTGTCTTAGTTTTTATAAAAATGTTTCAAAAGATTTTTTAAATATTAAACCTTATAGAATAAAGCTATAAAGAAGATACTTTTGTACAGCTGTACAATGTATGTTTGAAGTGAAGTATTATTACAAGACTCAAAAAGTTAAAAAAGTTTATAAAGTAAAAAATTACAGTAAGCTAAGGTTAATTTATTATTGAAAAAAGAAAAATATGTTTTATAAATTTAGTGTAGCCTAAGCATATAGTATCTATAAAGTCTATAGTAGTGGACAGTAATGTCCTAGGCCTTCACACTCACTCACCTGTCTGACTCCCCCAGAGTAACTTCCAGTCCTACAAGCTCCATTCATGGTGAATGCCCTATATAGGTGTGCCATTTTTTATCTTTAATAGCATATTTTTACTGTACTTTTTTCATGTTTAGATGTGTTTAGACACATAAATGCTTACCATTGTGTCACAATTGCCTACTGTATTCAGCACAGTAACATGCTGTACAGGTTTGTAGCCTAGAAGCAATAGGCCATACCATATAGCCTAGGTGTACAGCAGGCTCCTTTACTATCTGGAGCCTACTATACACCTAGGTTATACTCTGTGATATTTGCATAACAACAAAATCACCTAACAATGCATTTCTCAGAATGTATCCTTGTCGTTAAGTGATATATGACTATATTTGTGTATATATGTATATATATGTAAATACAGTTAAGTAAATGTGTTTTTGCCACTTATTTAAAAAATAAAAATAGGTGTTGAAGATCTCATGCCAGCACCTATAGATTTATCTTATTATTTTTAGTAATTCACAGTATGGCTACATCCTGTGTAACCATAGCATTTCACAGTATGGATGCATCCTATTTTATTAACCATTTCTCAATTGAAGAAAATTTAGTTTTATTTTTCTAGGTTTTTTTCCCTTCTCATTAACGATGAAGCACCAAACTCCTGTTAAGACTCAATTTGCATTGTGTCTATTATGATGCTAGTACAAAAACAAAACAAAACCACCCCAAACTGAATAAATCCTTCTGGAAGTATATAATAATAAATTTTAGCACATGTGCTTGAGGATCAGGAATGGTTATGGGGATAGTAGAATCATTTGCTAGGGGTGACAGTGGTATCTGCATAACTTATTCCTCTGGGTCCCATGGGAAGACTCCTTTGTTCACTGGGTACCTGTGAGTTCCAAATTCAAGTTCTGAAGGGAAGGGAAAGGTCAACTGTAATTACTTTGGGGATCTAGTAAAGCCAAAAGGCATGGGGTAGGGATTAGCAAACCTGCAAACAGGGTGGCCACTTCATGTTTTGGCAGAGCCGGTGGAGATGAGGTTATGTGGGCTTCTCTGTCTTATCTTTGAAATTCTCCATCTTTGAAAATCTTTGAATTTAAGAGCACCAGATTTGTTTTTTGCCCTTGCTTCACTAGCTAATTGGAAGGGCCCTTAAAGTGATCACGTGGAGCTACCTTCCCATTTAACATAAGTGGAAACTGAGGCCCAAAGCAATTATGTGATGCCCAAGGTCACATGGTGAGATGATATGTTATATTTAGTTGGGGACATTTATAATCAGGAATGTTCTTAGACTGTATTGAATTGAAGGCATCTTGGCCACCTATGGGAAGATGATTCCAGATGTAAGCTCTGATAAACATTGAAATGGAGTCATCTTCCCTGGAGATTTAAAAAGGAAGAAGATACCACAATGAAATGTTCTATGTGTTTTAGATGCTTTTCCTAGAAACAAGGGGTTAGACTAGATCAATTAATAGATGTTTCTCAAACATCTGCTACAGGCAGAGGGTGCAGAGGAGGTCACACATGGTCTTTGCTCTCCCAAAACTTATGGTCTACTTGGTAGCACAAAGTGTTGTCACCAAATGACTCCTCAGAAGGCTGCAAGCAGAGCCAACTTGTTCACTAGGCAAAACAGACACTGTGACTGGGGCTCGTTATACTTTCAGGAGCCCATGAAAATGGTTTAATTACTTTTAAAATCAGAAAAACAGTGAACTTTTAAGTCAAGGAATATGTTTAAATAAGTACTATTCCAATATTTATCTTTATAACAATGGAATCATACATACATAAAATATAGTTTTAAATATTTTTGTATAGAGAAAGGGGCCCAAGAAGGCAAGTGTCTAGAGCCACAGATGTCGAAATGTGGCCCTGGCTCCAAGTGGTAAATCCCAAGTGAGGATTAGTTTATTAGTTTGCTGTGGCTGCCATAACAAAGTACCACAAACTGGATACCTTAAGCAACAGAAATGCATTGTCTCACAGTTCTGGTGACTGGAAGTCTAGGATCAAGATGTCAGCATGATTGATTGCTCCTAAAGGCTGTGAGGGAAAGATCTGTGCAAGCCTCTCTTCTTGGCTTAGAGATGGCTGTCTTCTTCTTGTCTCTTCACATAGTCTTTCCTCTATGCATATCTCTTCTTTCACATGGCATTCTCTTTAAGGACATCAGTCATATTAGATTGAGGCCCACCCTAATGACCTCATCTTAACTAATTACATCTGCAACTACCCTGTTTCCAAATGAAGTCACATTCTGAGGTACTGAGGTTTAGGATTTCAACATATGAATCTAGGGGAGGAGAATGCAAGTCAACCCATAACAGGTAATGATACTAATTGCCCAAGAGGGTCAGAACAGGAGGGAAGTGGAGGGCCTGGAAGCTGGAGGACAGAAGAGGGGGACTTGGGTCACTCTCAAAGGATGATATGGGGAGAGGAGGAGAAAAAAGATATCAAGGGTGCAGAAAGATGTGAGAGGGAAACTGCATCAGCAAAGTGTCACAGGTGGAAATGCAGAGCACGAGCTTGGGGGACACTGAGGAGGCCAATTTGTCAGGTACCAGGCAAATAGCAAAGGAAACGTTGGAAAGGGAGCTGTGGTTTTCATCCTGCAAAATCTTAAACACAGGCTAACTGGGAATGCTGCAAGATGCTATGATTTCTGACAGTCTATTCCAGGTTCATTATTGTTTCCTTTTCCTCTTTTGTCTACCCAAACTAACTAGCTCCAGGAGGTTTAAGAACCCAAAGGCTCATACTTATTTCAAAAGCTATTGTTTTGTCATACAAATTTCTCATTTGTTTCTCTTCATTTTTGGGCAATATCTTAGCAAGACATCTTTATTCTGTATTTCCATCTACTCATTGAATTTTTTTTCTGGGAATACATGAACTTATTAAAAACAATTGAGGCCCCAAAGTACTGAAAAACAGAGTTGGGTTATCACAGATAATCTTAAAATAGTAATCAGTCCATGTGTGTTATTGCTTAATTGGCACACATTTCCTATATTAAGGGCATGGTAAAAAGGAATAGAAACCTTGGTCTGCTTCGGCTTTTCTATAAAACTCAGTCCCTTTGAAAAAACATCTGGGACTAATGTGGATGCTAAAACTGTTAGCTCACACACACCAGAGTTTCATTTACTCTTTCATGATAAAAATTTTCCCCTTATAGTTGCCCAGATCCACACGTATATTATTCAGGATCTGATGTAGCATGGGCACCATTTGTGGCCACATCCTCTGAAAACCACTTCAAGTGGGTTTCCAGAACCTTTAAAAATAGGCTGGGTTCTGGCAAAGCTTATAAGCATAGGAGGGAAAAAGCAACAACCTTAGCATTTTGAAAATAGTTTAAATTTTAGCCATCTCATCCTGCTGTTGCTCCCTTATGGATCTTCTCAGGATATTAGTAGGGCTAATATTCCAAATTTCCTAGTTGTTGTTGTTGTTTTTTAAAACAGATTCAGACTGATCATCTAATATAAATTCCTCAACTACAAAAATCCTGTTTATGTATTGTTCTGATTTCCTAAAAGCACTTAGTTCTGTGTTTTCTCTACTCAGCAAACCAGAGTGTTTTGACCCTCTGTATATGGTGACTGGACCACTCCTTAGCCACTGTTAAGCAGTGGTGTGCATCCCTTCCAGTGGTGACATTAGAATAAGTTGCTTCTAAATGGCTGTAAAGCGTGTTGCCATAGCAATGGAGCTTTCCTGGTCAGCTGGAAAGAAAGTTCTTCAGTTCTGCCAGCACTTGGTGTGCCACAGGAAGAATTATCCAGTTGCTTGTTAGAAATGCTCACTCCCAGACCCCACCCATAAGCATTGTGCTTCAGGAAATTTTGGAGGTGAACCTGCATTTATAGCCATCTTTCCAAGTAATGACCATGCTGGTGGCTCACAACCTCATCATCAGAAAGACTGTGTATAGTACCAAGATATGGCCAAAGTTATGCCCCTTAGAGAATGCTGATATTCATCTCCATCGGGTCGTGTTTCGGACTGTCCCCTCCTCCAAGTTCCTGAAGAATCTGCATTCTGCCTTTTTCAGGATCTTTATATGGGAGCATCTGCCATGCATATGCTTTGTATTTACTCTCCAGGCTTTCAGGGTAAGATTCCCCAGCTTCAAAAATAAGGTCATCTGTTAGTAATTCTCTGCTTCAATTGGCAAATGACCTACCTACCAAGGACATGCAGTTGAAATGAGCATGTGCCTCCTCCTGAGAAGGTTAAAATTTCCTTCTGCCTGTGACCTTAGGAGATAGCTCATCATGGTGTGTCCATTTACCTCATTGAGGTAAATGGAGTCCCTGTGAAACCGTTTTGAAAAGACCAGCACATCATCTACGTGAGAAAGCAATTTCTGGGGTCTACACTAATAGGATGTTTGTGAACTTGAGAGTTCTCTTGACCCATTTGGAATCTTAGGTTTTTTAAGGAATACAGATCAAGCATGTTGGTTTATGAGAATGGAAATAATGAATTCTTTGTTGAAAACAGTGACTGGTATCCTTGTAGTGTGTACCATCCACCCTTAGGACTGGAGGATTTTATCTTTATCGATTACTTAGTAGAGTTCCAGAGAGAATGGTGAAACTGGTTTTTTTTTTTTTTTTTTTTTTTGAGACAGGGTCTCACTCTGTCACCCAGGCTGGAGTGTAGTGGCATGGTTGGTGATTAGCTAACTCTGAAGGGGATGAAGTGGATAGTTGTGTGTCAGCATTGACTTAGAGGAGTAGGGAAGACTTCTCAGCTCCTATTATTGTGGAAAACCTATTTCAGCCACCTCAGATAGAGGAATACCTATTTATTTGTTTATTAATTTGTCAACCTCTCAGCTTCTCAAAAGATATCCTTGGTGACCCATTTTCTGTTTAACAATTGCTCACAAATTCAACTGCATTTATTAGTATTATGCATATATTGAAAGCACCAACCATGTCTCAGGCATTGTGCTAGGTGCTATCTGAAACAGAGATAAAAATAATCCTTTCTGAAAAGTGTTTCAGCTTCATGTTTTCCCCAAATGAGGTGGCTCAAGCTGGACTTCACAGGGCATGTAGCAAACATGCCTATTTGGAACCAAACACCCACACAGAACAGGGCTGGGTGAGTACTTCTTTTTCAGTTCCCAGTGAGGATAGAGAATAACTGACTCTATTTTCCATTTTATGAAGGAGAGTAATCCTTCAGAGCTCCAAAGACTCTTGGTAAAATGCTCTCAATCTCAAATCTCTTTTCCAGGCTGAATAAATTCAGACACTTGTGATCTTTCTCTTTTGGTCTGAGTTTTTAACTTTGCGAACATTTATCATCTTGAAACAAGTAAACGTTGCTGTAAACTGGAAACCAAGGCAGATTTTTTTGCATGGAAAATACATTGCTACTTGGAAATGATTTCAATGGCCACAAAATGCAGGTGGATTGCAGTGTGGAGAAGAAATTGCGTGTGGGCTTTGCAGTCAGACGGATTTAGGTTCAAATCTCATCTTGGCCAATTAGTAGTTACTGGAAATTGGGCATGTTTCTTAATATCTGAGCCTCAGTTTCTTCTGTGTGAGGGCATATTAATAGCTCCTTGAGGGTGTTGTTGTGATGATTAAATGAGACACTCAATATAAAGCACCCGGCATATAAATGTCAGTTTCCTTTCTCAGCTTTTCTGCTACCCAAAATAAGAACATTTAAAGATGGAAATGCATTAAGCAAAGGCTGTACATCAAGAAGAGGAGAGAGTTTTGAGCTTAAATGACCTTGATCTTTGGTTAATGTATGAAGTTATCTCTTGGTTCTGAGCAGATTTCAAATTAGGCTTCTAAAATGTATTGGCTATTACCAGTTTAGCAAAGCCAAATTCTTGGATATTTGCTTTATCTTTCTGCCCACTGAGCACCTCTCCACAAACCCTTTCTTCGAAATGAATATTGTGAAAATAAGATAATTGGTCAAATGCATTCTTTAAAGCTATAATGGAGGACTATGTAGTAATTTTTATTTAGAACTGTGTCTAAGAATCACCTGGAAGCTTTTTAAAGCTATACATTCTGGCCCCACCTCAGATCTAGTAATTCCCATACGCTGGGCATAGGGAGCTGGCATTAGAATACTACCCTGGTAACCTCAATAATAACCATCACTTTAGGGCAATGTTTAAAAACTTGAGCATGCATCAGAATCACCTGGAGGGCTTGGCACCACTCCCCTTCGTCCTCCCAAACCCTGATACTATATGTCAGGGATGGTGCCCAAAAATGGTATTTCCAACAAGGTAATGCTGATGCCAAAGGTCTGGGCATCACCCTTTGAAGACAACTGATTTAAGGTTTCCTATTATATTAGTAGAGGCTCAATTCGAACTTCAGCAACCTTAAACCACTTACTGTATTTCTGAGCCAAAAGGATAAAGTCTAGGGAAAGCCTAGAAACTGAGTTCAGCAACCCTAAACCATTTACTGTACTTGTGAGTCAAAAGGATAAAGTCTAGGGAAAAAGATTCCAGTACATTAAGAAATAAGCTTTAACAGTAGAGTGAAAGAAAACAATTGGTAGGTTTAAGCACATAGATGGTAAGGTTAAGTGGTAAAAATTACTGTCTTCAATAATGTGAATATTTTTGTTTATTTAATAAGACTGACTCCAGTGATTTGCAGAGAAGCTAGACTTCACACCTTACTAGTGAAGGGTGGCCACTCACAACATAGGTTAGCCACCTCTGGAAAGGGGGGACAGACTCTTGGGGCCACATTCTATGATCTCCTGATCAGCTATGGAGGCCCATAGTCTGAGATAAAACCACAGGCCCAAGTGCCCTCTTATGGTGGTGGTTTGGGATCAGGTGCCCCTCTGACTTGTGCATTTTTTAAATAGACTTTATTTTTTTTAGAGCAGTTTCAGTTATAGAGCAAAATTTAGGGGAGGTTCTAGAGATTTCACATATATTCCCTACCCCAAAACACATGCATAGCCTCCTCCACTATTAACATTCTCCACCAGAGTAGTACAGTGTTATTATTACAATCAATGAACCTACATTGACACACCATTATCACCCAGAGTGCATATAGTCTACATAAGGGTTCTCTCTTGGTGTTATATACTCTATGGGTTTGAACAAATGAATAATGACATGTTTCCATTATTATAGTATCACAGAGTTGTTTCACTGCCCTAAAAATCCTCTGTGTTCTGCCTATTCATCCCTCAGTGGAGTTTTTAAGAGTAAAAATGAGAGTCTCAGCACAGCAAATAAAAACAGCAGATTTTCTGTTCTGCTCCCAGGAAAAGCAGAAAAGAGTATATAGGAAGCAATATTTTGAATTATGAGAAGAGTAAAACAATGTATAGTTTTATTTTTTGATGTTTTAATCATATGTTTGGAAGTCCATAACCTGCGCCTTCCAGCATCAGTCAAATACAAATGTGATTCCCAGGGTTGCAGTGTCTGCAGGAGTATTAGGCTTCTTTGTGTAAAATATCATCTTACCATTTGGGAAAGATCCTTAAACAATTCCTCAAAATATGGATTTTTAATAGAGCTTGAAAGACAAAGTTATAATTTTCACATTGATGAAAAATAAGAGGATAAAGTTTTCAGAACACATTTAAAGAAGCGGATGGAATTGTGGGTGCTGTTAAAAAAAACATGAAAATAATCAAAGAATCTCGGGGCTGGTGTTCTACTATCTCACAGGAAATGAATGTATGAATATATGAAGGCTAGCAGAGTCTGAAAATTATATAGTTTGGTCAATCTGATTATCAGTGGGTGGATTATTCAGCTTGTTGATTATCTGCAACAAAATTTTAATCCCAGTATGGCTTCTTCAGCTTGCTTTGCCTGTAATTAGTTAGCATGTGCTTGGGGAATGCCAACCAACTCTAATATTAGCTCCAGGAAAACATAATCACCAAGGTAAATCTGCAGCTGCTGCAAGAATGAATGTGTCCCAAACTAGATGCCACTGGGTTTTATACTGGATGTGGTTTTGGATTATTCATGCTATAAAAATGCAGATAATCATGAGTGGTGTGAAATTTTTCTCTTCCAGCATGTGGGGCTTTCTTTTGGTCATCTTCTTATAGTCCTGCTTTCTAGTGAGCTACCTTTCTGCTCAGCATCCACCCAGGCTTCCTGAGCTCAGAGATAGAGAGCTTGGATTCATGTTGCAAGTATGTGTTCCTATGGCTCATGCCTGTGATGGAACAACCGTGAACCACATTGGGCTTCCCCTACCACAGTTATTGCTAGTTGCTACTGTCAATTTCAGGCGAGGTCTCCGAATGCCCCTTATGGATCTCAGGCAAAGACGACTCTGTCCCCAGGAAAGTATGTACATGTGAGTGAGCAGAAGGCAGTACTGGAGGGTGATAATGAGTTGAAGTTTAGCTATAAATAGAAATGTATTTTTCAGAAGAACAACTGTAAATTGAAATTCCTCAGGAAAACAAACAACGCAAACTTTCCTAAGGGCTCCTTTTGCCATCAGTTAGGATTAGGTTCGGCTGCATATGACAAAGCACCCAAAATAACAAAGCCTAAAAAAATCTGAGTAAAAAGAAGTGTAAACTCCATTCTGTCTTCTGTAGAAGGCAGTTTTACAACGTTATCATAGTCACAGGCTTCTGCCGTCTTGATGCTCAGCCATGCTCAGCGGGTGGTTTTCATCAAGATGGTTGCTCAGGCTCCGGTCACTGTTTCCACCCTTTAGCTGGCAGAAAAATGGAAGAGTCAAAGAAGGACATGTCCATTCCCTATAAAGACCCTTCCTGGAAGTTGCCCGGGCCTTTCTTCAGCTTCCATCATATTGGCCAGAAGACTTAGTCACGTGATCACATCTAGCTACAACTGAAGCTGAGAAGACTTTATTCTGGGTGGCCCTGTATAGTTAAGTATAGCTGAAAATGGAGGATTCGGTTACCAAGAAGAGGAGAATGGTTTTCAAGAGATAATTGACTGTCTTTGTCACAGACTGCTTACCTTTCATTAAGGGCAAAGCAAACAGACCTCTGGCAGGGATGGTATTAGATTATATTACAGGTTGTCCTTACGTGTCAGAGGAAGGAAAAACCTGTTCTCTTTCATTGTCTCTATGTCCCTTCACTTCTTCTGCCCTCTTTTCCCAGTGCCCTGACCTCCAGGGGCAATTATAGGCCTGACAGCTTTGTAGGACTTATCAGGAAAAACTGTGAGTCTTCAAAATAGAAAAAAAACTGAGTGTCCTGTCTAGTATACCTTTCATGGTTATCTCCACCATTCACTGTCTTTGAGCTTTTTCACAACCCTGTGGGTTGTAGAAAAGTCATAATAATGCAAATTATTTTTGCCCATAGAAATGCAAATTAGTTGTGTCTGGTGGAATGCAATTGATTTTTGACTCATTTTGCATCTATTTGCAATTTTATTTCAGCATTCCTTATTTGCGTATGCATGTGTGGTGCTTTGAATTCTCCTTTGGACAAGTTGCAACATCTTACTGGTTCCCTCGTTAATTAGCAAGTTAAATAAAATATTTGACTTGTGTTCATTCTATAAAAGAGTTATATCTTCTTTAAAAAATTGTCCTTTATCAGAATCTTGAGTCTGATTCTGTGCCTGGTGTCTTGGTATACTCTGATGTTCTTGATCCTCTTCACTCCATCAAATCTATCATCTCAGTGTCTTTCATGTACTCTGTCATACTTTTAGAAAACAACTTAAAACATAACATCAGTAATAATAGTAATGACAGTATCATTTACTTAGTGCTAATTAGTCAGACCCCATACATACCCAACCCATTTAACTTTCCTCAGTCCACCCTGCAGAGATGAGTACTATTATAATAACCACTTTATAGGTGTGAAACTGAGCTTGGAGTAGTTTGATATCTTTCCCAAACTCACACAGCTGGAAGGTGGCAGAGACTGGATCTGAGCTCAGGTCAAACTCCAAACCAGTATCCATTTCCCAATTTCCTGAGCTTGAGAGTTAATGGCCTGAAGTGGTCACTGTTGCTACCTCTTTCAAAGATACTTGCACATTAACAGAGAATACTCAAAGAAATGAATTCCCGATAGTGGGATTTCAGACTTTTTTGGTGTGTTGGTGCTGAGATTCTTCCTCAGGTGGCAATTTCAATCATCAGATAGATTGTTCTCTGCCTATTCAATTTATTAACAAAACTCACTTTACTCAGGGAGCAATGACTACTGGGGATGGCAGAAAGAGCCCTGGGGGCTGGAGACCTGACTTCTAGTCCCAACTTTGCTACTGACTAGCTACAGGACATATCCTAATAGGACCATGAAAGTCTTCATTACTCATTTCACAGATGAAAAAACTGAGGGCCAAAGGAGAATTTCTGACTTGCAGAGATCTGTTCACTAAAACAGCACATGGCACGGTAAGGATTTATATGGCAGTGACGAGAATGCAAGGGGAGACAGTCAAGAAAGTTGAAAGTGTCTGATTTTGACTTGAAAGACTTGGGTTTGAGGCTGACTCTGCTGTGTGATGTTGGATAAGTTACTTTGGCATTTTTCACCCAACAGATCTCATCTTTAAAGTCAGGGATATATGGTTTCTAGGATCTTTCTGCACTAAATGTCTTTTTAAAAAATGTACAAATTTATGGTGTACATGTGAAATTTTGTTACATATATATAATGTGTGTAGTGATCAAGTCAGGATATTTAGAGTGTCTACCACTTGAGTATAATACATTTTTGTTAAGTATAGTCACCCTATTCTGCTATCAAACATTGGATTTATTCCTTTTATCTTACTCTATGTTTATGCACTTTAACTTACTTCTCTTCTTCCTGTCCCCTTCCCCCTACTCACCCTTTCTGGTCTCTGTTATCTCTCTTTATACTCTCCACCTCCATGTGACTAAATTTATTAGCACCCACACATATGTGAGAACATGTGATGTTTGTCTTTTTATGCCTGGCTTATTTAATGTAATGATCTCCAGTTCCATCCATGTTGCTGCAAATGACATGATTTTATTATTCTTTATGGCCAAATAGTATTCCATTGTGCATATATATATATATATATATATATATATATATCACATTTTCCTTCTCCATTCATCAATTGATTAACATTTAGATTGATTTCATGTGTTTGCTATTGTGAAGAGTGCTGCAATAAACATGTGAGTGCAGGTGTACCTTTGATATATTGATTTCTTTTCTATCAGGTGGAGTAGATATCCAGTAGTGGGGTTGCTAGATAGAATGGTAATTCTATTTGTAATTGTATGAGAAATCTCCATACTGTTTTCCATAATTGCTGTACTCGTTTACATTTCCACCAACAGTGCATAGGAGTTCCCTTTTCTCTGCATCTGTTATTTTTAATAATAGCCATTCAATAATAGCCATTCTGACTAGGGTAAGATAATATCTCATTGTGGTGTTGGTTTGCATTTCCCTGATGATTAGTGATGTTTAGAATTTTTTCATATACCTGTTGGTCATTTGTATGTTTCCTTTTGAGAAATGTCTATTCATGTTATTTGCCTACTTTTTAATGGGATTACTTGCTTTTTTCCTGTTGAGTTGCTGGAGTTCCTTGTATATTCTGAATATTAGTCCCCTGTCAGGTGATTAGTTTGCAAATATTTTCTCCCATTTAACAGGTTGTCTCTTCACACTGTTGATTATATATTTTGCTGTGCAGAAGCTTTTTAGTTTAATTAAGTCCCATTTGTCTATTTTTGTTTTTGTCGCCTGTGCTTTTGAGATTTTAATCACAAATTCTTTGCCTAGACCAATATCCAAGAGAGTTTTCCCTAGATTTTCTTCTAGTATTTTTATGGTTTCAGGTCTTACATTTAAGTGTTTAATCCATTTTGAGTTAATTTTTGTGTATGGTGAGAGATAGGGGTCCAGTTTCATTCTTCTGCGAGTGGCTTTCCAATATTTTCAGCACCGTTTTTTGAAGAGGGTGGCCTTTCCCCAACGTAAGTTCTTGTTGGCTTTGTCAAAGATCAGTTGGCTCTAAATATGTGTCATTATTTCTGGGTTCTGTATTATGAGTCATTAATCTTTGTGTGTATTTTCATAACAACATCATGCTATTTAGGTTGCTATCATCCTGTAAGATATTTTGAAGTCAGGTGATGTGATGCCCTAGCTTTGTTCTGTTTTGCTCAGGATTGCTTTGGTTATTTGGGCTCTTTTTGGTTGCATATGAATTTTAGGATTGTTTTTTCTAATTCCTTCTATGAAGAATCACATTAGCATTTTGATAGGGATTGCACTGAATTTGTAGATTGCTTTGGCAATATGGTCATTTTAATGATATTAATTTTTTTTATATCCAAGAGCATGGGACGTTTTTCTATCTCTTTGTGTCATCTTCAATTTCTTTCATCAGTGTTTTGTAGTTTTCCTTGTAGAAATCTTTAATCTCCTTGGTTAAGTATATTCCTAGGTATTTTTCTGTAGCTATTATAAATGGGCTTGCCTTCTTGATTTCTCTCTCAGATCATTTTTAGTGTATAGAAACACTACTGATGTTTGTATGTTTATTTTTTTGTATCCTTCAACTTTACCAAATTCATTTATCACATCTAAGAGTTTTTTGGTGGAGTCTTTAGGTTTTTCTAGATGTAAGATTATGTCATCTGCAAAAAGGTACAATTTGTTTTTCTCTTTTCCAATTTGGATGGTTTTTATTTCTTTCTCTTCCCTGATTGCTCTAGTTAGGACTAGAGTACTACATTGAATATAAATGGTGAAAATGGGCATCCTTGTCTTGTTCCGTTCTTAGATGAAAGGCTTTCAGCTTTTCCCCATTCAGTATAACATTAGCTGTGGTTTTGTTGTATGTGGACTTTATTATTTTGAGATATGCTCCTTCTATGCCTAGTTTGTTGAGAGTTTTTATCATAAAGGGATGTTGAATTTTATCAAATGTTTTTTCTCCATCTATTGAGATGATCATATGATTTTTGTCCTTCATTTTGTTGATGTGATGTATCACATTTATTGATTTGCATATGTTGAACCATCCTTGCTTCCCTGGGATAAATCTCAGTTGATCATGGTGTATTATCCTTTTGTTGTGCTGTCGAATTCGGTTCGCTAGTATTCTGTTGAGGATTTTTGTGTCCGTGTTCATCAGGAATATTGGTCTATAGTTGTTTTTTTTTTTTCTTCCCATATCCTTGCCTGGTTTTGGTATCAGGGTGATGCTGGCCTCATAGAATTAGTAAGAGAGAATTCCCTCCTTTTCAATGTTTTGGAATTATTTGAGAAGAGTTGGTTTTAGTTCTTCTTTGTATGTTTGGTAGAATTCAGTAATAGAAGTTGGTAGAAGCCATGTGGTCCTAAACATTTCTTTGTTGGGAGACTTTTTATTACTGATTCAATCTCATTACTCATTATTGGTCTGTTTAGGTTTTCTATCTCTTCCTGATTCAATCTTGGTAAGTTGAATGTGTCCGGGAATTTATCCATTCTCTCTAGGTTTTTCAATTTGTTAGTATATAGTTGTTCATAATTGTCTCTGATAATATTTTATATTTCTGTGGTATCCATTGTAATGTCTTTTTTCATTTCTGATTTTATTTATTTGCATCTTCTCTCCTTTTTTTCTTGTTTTAGTCTAACTCGTGTTTTATCAATTTTGTTTATCTTTTCAAAGAACAAACTTTTCATTTCTTTGACCCCTTTGTGTTTTTTTAGTCTCTAGTTCATTGAGTTCTGCTTTGATCTTTACTATTTCTTTTCTTCTGCTAATTTGGGATTTGGTTTGTTCTTGCTTTTCTAGTTCCTTGAGGTACATTGTTAGATTATTAATTTGTAATCTTCTTTTTTGATGTAGATGTTTTATACTATAAATGTCCTTTTCAGCACTGCTTTTGCTATATCCCCGAGACTGATATGTTGTGTTTCTATTTTCATTTGTTTCAAGAAATATTTTGATTTTTGTCTTAAGTTCTTTTATGACCCAGTGGTCATTCAGAAGCATGTTGTTAATTTCCATGTTTTTGTATAGTTTCTAAAGTTCCTCTTGATATAATTTCTAGTTTTATTCCATTGTGGTCTCAGAATATACTTGATATGATTTCAAGTTTTTTTTTTTTTTTACCATTCATTCTTTTTTTTCTGTTTTTTTTTTTATTATACTTTAAGTTTTAGGGTACATGTGCACAACGTGCAGGTTAGTTACATATGTATACATGTGCCATGTTGGTGTGCTGCACCCCATAACTCACCATTTAACATTAGGTATATCTCCAAATGCTATCCCTCCCCCCTCCTCCCACCCCACAACAGGCCCCGGTGTGTGATGTTCCCCTTCCTGTGTCCATGTGTTCTCATTGCTCAATTCCCACCTATAAGTTTTAAAAATTTGTTGAGACTTGTTTTGTCACATAACATATGGTCTATCCTGGAAAATGTTTCATGTGCTGATGAAAATAATGTATATTCTGTAGTTGTTGGATAGAATGTTCCATAAATGTCTGTCAGGTCTATTTCATCTATACTCCAGTTTAAATGTGATGTTTCTTTGTTGATTTTCTGTCTAGATCTTTCTAATGCTGAGAGTGGGGTGTGAAAGTTCCCCACTATTATTGTGTTGCTGTGTGCATTTCTCTCTGTCTTAAGAGCTAGTAATATTTGCTTTATGAATCTGGGTGCTCCTGTGTTGGGTACATATACATGTAGAATTGTTATATCCTCTTTCTGGATTGATCCCTTTATAATGACTTTCTTTGTCTTTTTTATTTTATTTTTTTAACCGTTCTTGACTTAAAGTCTGTTTTATCTGATGTAGCTACTCCTGCTTGCTTTTGGTTTCTGTTTGTATGGGACATCTTTTTTTCCATCCCTTTACTTTCAGTCTATGTGTGTCTTTTCTGGTATGGTGAGTTTCTTGTAAACAGCATATAGTTGGATTATGCTTTTTAAAAATCTATTCAGCCATTCTATATCTCTTAAGTGGAGAATGTAATCTGTTTACATTCAGGGCTATTATTGATATGTGATGTTTTGTTTCTGTCATATTATTAATTGTTTTCTGGTTGTTTCATATATTCTTTGTTTATTTCTTTTTCTTTTATCATTTGTTGTGGTCTGGTGGATTTCTGTAGTGATACCATTTGAGCTCATTCTCTTCTTCCTTTGTGTGATTGTTTTATCAGTGAGTTTTATACTTTGTGTGTTTCATGATGGTAAATGTCATCATTGTGCTTGCAAGTTTAGGACTGTCTTGAGCATTTCTTGTAGGGCCAGTCTAGTGGTAATGGGTTCCCTCAGCATTTGCTTGTCTGGGAAATACTTTATTTCTCCTTCATTTATGAAGGATCATTTTGTTGGATATAGTATTCTTGCCTAACAGTTTACTTCTTTCTGCACTTTGAATGTATGTATCATCCTATTCTCTTTTCTCCTGTAAGATTTCTGCTGAGAAATCTGCTGTTTGTCCGATGGGGTTTCCATTATAAGTAACTAGGCATTTATCTCTTGCCATTTTTTTGATTTCCTCTTTATGTTTCATTTTAGACAATCTGATTATAATGTGCCATGGGGAAGGGCTTTTTGCATTACATCTGCCTGGGAATCATTGAGCCTCCTATATTTGAATGTCTAAATCTTTTGCTAGACCTAGGAAGTTTTTATCTTTTACTTCATTAAGTAGATTTTCTAATCCTTTCATTTCCTCTTTGCCCTCAGCGATACAGAATTCCTATATTTAGTTGCTTTGTGCTGTCCCAAATGCCATGAAGCCTTTGCTCATTTTTAAAAGTTACTTTTTTAAAAAAAAATTTGTCTGACTGTGTTATTTCAAAAGATCTGTCTTCAAGTTCTGAGATTATCTTTTTTCTGCCTGATCTAGCCTTTTGCTGAGGCTTTCAAATGTATTTTGTATTTTCTTCAATGAATCCTTTAGTTGGGAGGCTGAGGCCAGCAGATCACCTGAGGTCGGGAGCTCGAGACCAGCCTGACCATCATGGAGAAACCCTGTCTCTACTAAAAATACAAAATTAGCTGGGTGTGGTGGTGTGTGCCTGAATTCCCAGCTACTCAGGAGGCTGAGGCAGGAGAATCGCTTGGACCCAGGAGGCAGAGGTTGTGGTGAGCCAAGATCGTGCCGTTGTACTCCAGCCTAGGCAACAAGAGTGAAACTCTATCTCAAAAAAAAAAAATTCTATTTGTTCTTTTAAAAAAAATCTATCTCTTTAGTAAATTTCTCATTTATATCTTGAATTGTGTTTTTCTGATTTCTTTGTATTGTTTTTCAGAATTCTATGTTATCTCACTGAGATTCTTTAAAATCAATATTTTAAATTCTTCATTTGGAATTTGGAATATTTCTGCTTGATTAACACGTATTGCTGGAGAATTATTATGTTTCCTTGGAGGTGTCATATTTCCTTGCTTTTCATGTTTCTTGTGTCCTTACACTGATATCTGTGCATGTAGTAGAATAGTCACTTCTTCCTATTTTTGAATTTGCTTTCATAGGGGAGGACTTTTTTCTGAAGATATACCTGTGGTGTTGGTTTGGTTGGATCCTTTGGCTTTGATTCCGGGTGTACACAGCAGCATAGTCTTCATATGGTTTCTTTGGTTGTAACAAGTGTTAGTGCTTTCTGTGATTTACTTGGAGGGTTAGGGTGAAGTTATTACTGAAGGTTGTGGTGAAGTCATATTGGGTATTGGGAGGTCAGGTAGGCCAATCTTCAGGCTCCAGTGGTAGCAGTCATGGGCTGATCACGCATGTCTTTGTGCACCAGGGTGCCGTAGAATGGCACTTGTATTGGTGGTTACTGGTGGGTCAATTATTGGGCCTTCAGGTGGCTTGCTCATATGCCACTAGTGGCAGTACTGGGCTGGGTGGGTGAGTGGGTTCTTGGGTCCCTGGACAGTTGGTGTGCTGTGGGTGATGGTAGTAAAGTCCCCCACAAATAAATTTTTGGAGGGAGGAGCTTCTGAACATGTTGGTATGTCATAGAGCTTGGGGTCTTACGGAAGTGCCAAGTCTTCAAAACTATGGTGATAATTAAGCATAACTTCTAAATGTGGTTTTAGCCATAGCAAATTAAAACATTCGAAAAGTTATTTGATGGGATTCATTAGCTAGGAAGGTAATAGTTGGCTTCATCTCTAAAATGAAATTAATAATACCTGCCTTGCAAAGGTGTAGAAAGGGTTAAATGAGATAATGCATGCAAGACATCCAGAACTTTACTGGGTACATATTGAGCAGGCAAAACATCTAGAACCCTGCTGGGCGCACATTGGGCACATGCAAAGATTATCTGATGTTACTATTAATACTGTTGTTGTCAGTACTACTATTCAGACCTCTTGAAAGAAATTTGCTAATGGTATCTATCAATGAGGCTGCCTTTGCCAATAGGCATTCAATTTCAGCACTTTGTATCAATACAATAGCCCCATGACTATAGCTCACTTATCTCTAATTTAAAATCAAATAAAATTCCTCTGGAGGAAAACAACCACCTAATAGCATAGAGAATACAAACACAATCATCGACTTGGGCAAGAAGCGCATCTGTCTCTTTAATTTAAGCTGTTGGATTTGATGGAGTGTTTTCAGCCTGCGGGACTTCACAGGATCATAGGGATTTTTAAAAACTACTTTCTTTTTTAGCATAAAGCTAATACATTTGCACAATAAATATTTCAAGCAGAATAAGACTATATAAAAGGAAAACCGCTATGTAAACTATTTTTTCTTTAACCCCCATCACATCAGTCAAATAAACCTGTTAGCCATTTTCAGAATACTTCTACAAATTTTTGATGCATATATAGGTATATTTATCTCATCTTTTTTGAAATAACATAAATAGGATCACATTGCTTTGTACCTTGCTTTTCTTCTCTTAATAATGTATCTTGGAGATTATTCTAGATTAGCACATCTTTACCCTTTTTTTTTTTTTTTTGTAGCAATGACATAGTACTCCAGGTATGGATACATGATTATTTACTAAATCTGCCTCTTTCAGATGGTTACTTGGGTTATTTTCCCTTTTTCTCTATTACAATCCACAGTAAACAGCCCTATAAGGTATTTGAATAGTTGTGGGAATATCACTAGGGTTGTGCATGGACACATGATTGGGCTGCCCATTATTATGAGATGGATTGGGGACTTAGAGTACTGTTACTCTTTCCTACAATGTTTATGCCTTGATTGAAAGCAGTGACTAATGGAGGGACTATTTGAGATCACTTCAGCCCTCTTATTCATATGCAAATATTTATCAGGCTCTTCCCAGAGCTGGTTATCTTGTTAAGCTAGTATGGGTCACGATGTTATAGTAAAACAAACTAAAAGATTTGAATAGACTCTTGGAAACTCAAAAGTGGTATACAGGTGACCAATCCTGTTCTGTCTAACATTATGGTATTGGTTACTAGGATGTGTCACTGATGTGGGGCTCACCGAAGCCCAAAACTGAGTCCTCTTTGCTTTATTTCTCTCCTTCAACCTTCTTATCAATCATTTATCAAATTATTAAATATGTTTGATTTGTCTTTCATAGTTGGTACAATTCCATCTCTTCTCTTTCCCACTACCTTCTTTCAATGTGCCATCACATCTGCCATTTGTGCTGGGCACTGTGTTAGGAGGCTTAGGTACATTTTCTCAGGTAATCCTCTCAATAGCTCTGTGAAGTAGGGACCGCTCTCCCTCTTTTACAAGATGATGAGGAGGAAACTGGGATTCAGAGAGATTAAGAGATATGTCCAAGATCACACTGCTTGTATTTAGTGACCTGGGATTGAAACCTAGATCTAATCAATTCCAAAGGCTATGTCCTTCATTCTATATCAGCTGCCTGCTAATTGGTCTCTGTTCAGACCTATTTTTCCTCTCTAGTTCATTCTGCAGGCCACTGCTAGATTAGGCTGAATAAGATAGCTCTTAAACACAATACTTTTCTATTCAAAGGTCTACAAAGACGTACTTCCCAAAGACCTGTTAATTTTATCAATGAAATGGACATGTTAACCTGGAATTTAAAGCAGTATGAACTAGGGACCCTACTTAAATTTCCAGGAAAATCGTCTCCGTATCTTTACCTCTCTGTAGTTGCAGGGGAAACAGTTTATGTGAGAGAGTCAGAAGGAAATCTTTGGCGTCAGACAGACCTGGGTTCCTTCCCACTCTACCACTTATTAGCATGTGTGACATCCAGCCAGTGAGGTAACCTTTCTAAGCCTCCATTTCCTCATCTATAAAATGGGGATAACATACTTACATCATCTTAAATCCTTACACCACACTAATTATATAAAGGGCCAGGGAGCTATTGTTGTTACATATATTCTGTTCCTAGCCCATTACTCTGTACTGACTGGATGGCCAGTGGCAGCTATTTGAATGAATGAATTGAATGAAAGATTTGATAGGTGGAATAAACTGGGCCAGGCAGACTTTGGCAAGGGACCAGTTTGAGAACCTTGAGATAATGTGTGTTATGTGCATGGGTAACTGTGATGAGGAGAAAGATGTGAAAAGGAAGGGAGTCCCTGAGAAGACACATTTTCGAACAGAAAATCTGTAAATGATTGTGCTTGATTGATCCCCAGTGGAGAGTCAGGAAAGTCTAAGAAAAAGGCATTTATATACTTGGCTCCTCCTTTCCATCAGACTGTACTTGGGATAATTGTTTTTTAACTCTTCAGCTGAGTAAACTGAGGCACAACTTACATTCTACAATTCCCACAACACAGAACACGCGTGGCTAAATTCTTAACATTACAGGGTATTAGAGTTTGATATTCTCAAGAGGAAAAGTATATTAAAGGCATGCTACTATTTAGAGAATTTTGATTGATGTTCACTGTAGTTCCTTTGCATTCTCTGAAGGCCTTTATTTGCTCACTCCATAAAGGTAGGGTCCACTAACATTAAACATAAACATGTTTGCAGTAGGTAGATTGACCATTTAAAAGCCACCTGGCTGGGGATTTGATGCTTCACAAGAGTGGGGAAGAAATGAAAACAAAAACAAAACCAAGCAAAAACCTTAGGGAAATACATTTCTAGTAATGTGAAATTGTGAATTGTTCTTTGTGTTATTATTTCACAGCTGGATCAGTTCAATGTTTGCAAAAATTGAAGTTACTCTACATCACTTTTTTTTTTTTTTTTTTTGAGACGGAGTCTCGCTCTGTCGCCCAGGCCGGACTGCGGACTGCAGTGGCGCAATCTCGGCTCATTGCAAGCTCCGCTTCCCGGGTTCACGCCATTCTCCTGCCTCAGCCTCCCGAGTAGCTGGGACTACAGGCGCCCGCCACCGCACCCGGCTAATTTTTTTTTGTATTTTTAGTAGAGACGGGGTTTCACCTTGTTAGCCAGGATGGTCTCGATCTCCTGACCTCATGATCCACCCGCCTCGGCCTCCCAAAGTGCTGGGATTACAGGCGTGAGCCACCGCGCCCAGCTCTACATCACTTTTTAAGATTTCTGACTGTGGGATTCACAGTTGAAAATGCAGTGAAAGGTGATGTGGCTGCGGGAAACAAAATTAAGGTATAAAACAATAAAATGGTAAGAGTGATCATCAAATATACAGCAAGTTCAAATGCAAATGGTATTTCAGAAATAAGTAGACTTAAAAATATGAGGAATAAAACAGGTCTGTGCAGAAAAGTAAAATAAAAGCACAAGGACAGTGATAAAATAGATCTGTTCATTTAACATCTACTGGTATAAATGTTTGCTTCTATGCATAATTTAGATACAAAAGCATAATTTATTTTGTTCAATCTTGGAAGAAAACCAAATGACATTAGGGTTCTACCTAAGGAAGAATTGCAGGGGTATCAGAAGAGTTGGTCTGGGACTCACCCCCACATGGTAACACTTGCAGGTGGATGCATAAGGCTGACCTGGGCAGAGATGTGTGTATATAGGAGGGGAAGGAGATGAGAGGAGTTTAGACCACCCCAGGGGAAGTGCTGGTGGGAACCCAGAAGGGGAGTGTGTCAAGAGAGGGAAGAAAAGAAGGAGTTTTGGTTTGGATGATAGATATATGTATAATACATGCCTGGGGTTTTGAGAGCATCTGGGAAGTCCTGCAGATGTAGTGTTTTTCTCATTTATAAATAATTGAAGGTTGGAAGTTTTGCATTTCCTCTACTTCACTGTTTATATGCAGTGGTTCTCAACTTTAGCTGTACATTAGAATCACTTGAGAAGCTTTTATAAAATAGCTTGCCTAGGTGTTAATACAGACCATTTAAATCAGAATTTCTGGGGAGTAGAATCTGGGCATCTCTGTGTGTGTGTGTGTGTGTGTGTGTGTGTGTCTTTTTAAGCTTCTCAGGTGATGCTGATGTACAATGAGGTTTAATTACTGGCACAGGAGTATTGCTGTAAGTGGAGTGCTTGAGACTGCAGTTGAGATCCAAGCCAGCAACCCGCTTTTGGTACTTCAGGGTTTCTGGTGGCCATACAGACGAGAAGGTCTTTAGGTCACAGCTGTATGTGGATTTTGGTGACCCAAGTAGGAATCCTGGTACCACCACTTGCTACATGTGAGGCCTTAAGCAACTTGCTTACTTATCTGAGCCTCAGTTTTTGTACCTGTAAGTTGGAGATAACATTAATTTAATAGGATGATTGAAAGGATTAAGTGATAGAATGTATGTATTAATAAATGATCTGGTACAAGCCACCATTTATTCAACACCTTCCACATGTTCACTGGGCTCTGCCTCACAAGGAACCAGTGAAGATGTTTCAGACACTCATCAGGTCTGCAGATACAAAACTGGGAGATAGAGCTGATATAAGAGATATTAGAATCAAGATTCAAAAAGATTTTGATCAGCCGGAAGGATGGTCAACCCTTGCAAAATAAGTACAGGGATTTGAACTTAAAATTTAATAAAAATAAGTATAGAGCCACGATTTATACCAGGACAGGATATGAGAGTAGTTCCTGTGCAAAAGGTCTGCGAGTTTCACAAACAGATTTAATAAGAAGTAGCTATGTAGTGTTATTGTTCAGAAAGCTGAAGTGATTGGAGGTTGAATGAAGAGAAGTGTGTGTGGGATGCAGGTATCATGTAGCCACAGACTCTATGGGCCCTGCTCTAGATTGACTCTCATTTTCTTAAGGGTCATTTATTCATTAACAAACATTAAAGACCTACTACAAGCAGGGCCCTGTTCTAGGCTCTGGGGATATAACATTCTTATCCCCGTGGAGCTTAAATTCTATGGGGGTGGGGTGGGGAGACAATACACAAATATATAAGTTATAAGAGCAATTAGAGATAAGAGCTATGGAAAAAAATAAACAGAGAAGGAGGGAAGACAGTGCCATAAGTAGAAGGAGCTGTTTGCAATTTTAGATAGATCAACCATAGAGGGCTTCACTGAGAAGATAACATTTGGGCAAAACTTGAGGGCAGTAAAAAAGATAAGTGGATATTTGAGGGGGAAGAGCACTCCAGGTAGAGGGAACTGCAAGTACAAAGATCTTGATGTAGGATGTGCTTATCTAATTAAAGAAAAATGAAAGAAGCCCTAATCGGAATACTGTGTTCAATCCTAGGCCTCATCCTTACTGTTCTTAGCTGAGTATAAAAGGAAAATATTTGGAAAGAAAGCATTTGAAAAATATAAACAATTTAAAGACAGTATAAATCATCTACTATTCAAGTATTCTTGGTATTTTGGCATATATTCTTCCAGCTTGTGAGTAGACTGATATGCAGAAGTAGCAGAAAATAGTGTAGGTGAATTGAGATTTAGGTTTTAGGAGCTCTCCAGGGCTCTATTTCTAGTTCTGGTGACTTCATTCTGCATTCCTATCATGTGGTATCCAAATGTGAACCTCAACATAATTTCAAATTACTACGGATCAAATCTAGCCTTTGAGTTGTTTCCAAATAGTTGAAATCCTTTACATTCAAGGATTTACAGTTTTTAAACTCTTTGCTACTTTGGCAGGTGACAAATGCCCTTTACTTTCGGGTTTCATTACCATTGGCATTGAGCATTCTTTTCTATGTTTATTGACCTTTGCAATTCTTCTTCTGTGGCGTTCCTGCTTACCAATAACCCTTTACACAATGTGGTGCCTAAGCTAGAGTACTTCTAGAGGATGCTGAGCTGAATGGCAGAGACCCTATCATTTTATTCAAGGTTGTAACATTGAATGGTAGATAGTTACCAAAAATGGCTGCAACCATTCCTCCTATCCCACATGCTCTTTTGCAATGTGACATTGCCTATCCTCCTACCAAAAGGTAGACTCCATTTTCCCTCCCTTGAATTTTTTTTTTTTTGAGACGGAGTCTCACTCTGTCGCCCAGGCTGGAGTGCAGTGACGCGATCTCGGCTCACTGCAAGCTCCGCCTCCCGGGTTCACGCCATTCTCCTGCCTCAGCCCCCGAGTAGCTGGGACTACAGGCGCCCGTCACCACGCCCGGCTAATTTTTTGTATTTTTAGTAGAGACGGGGTTTCACCGTGTTAGCCAGGATGGTCTCGATTTCTGACTTCGTGATCCGCCTGCCTCGGCCTCCCAAAGTGCTGGGATTACAGGCGTGAGCCACCGCGTCCGGCCCCCTCCCTTGAATTTTGGCTGGCCTTGTGATTTACTTTGATCAATAGAATGTGGCAGAAGTGATACTGTGACCTCAAGAACTTACAAGGTTAAATTAATGGCACAGTTTTGTTTCCCAACTTAGACTAGACATTCCAATTTTTGAATTGCAACTTTGGGGATGCAAAGTAAGGATAGGATTATTCTACCTCAGAGTAAGCAGAAAATTCAGGGGCCTGCAGGCACTTTCATTCAGAGGCAGAGGGTAACCCCCACCTAATTAACACTAAAGGGACAGCATAGGGACAGTAAGATCATAGTAGAGATGAACTTTCATTATTTCATGAATTGTTCACCTCTCGCTTGGCTGGAAGTCCAATAGCCCCCTTCTGGGGAAGAAGCTTACATTTTCCTGAGTCTGAGGCACTGCTCCAGTTTCTTGGCAGCCCCAGGCTCTTGACTATTCTTGACTATCATTCTGTGCTCTGTGATTGTTGCCCTTTCTAATGAAAGGGCAACTTTGAACCCCCAAAGTAAAAGGTCTTCCTTTTTTTGATTTCCCCAAAGCATTGTCCACCCAAGGTAGTTGTGTAGCAGCCTTCTGGGGTCTCAACCATTGCAGCAAACAGCATTAAATTGACTACTATGAATTCATATTCTTACAAGTCTTTCAGCTAGTGAGAAACTCTCAGTGGTAGGAACAGCTGCTTTTTACCTTGTATGTTCTCCCATCTCTCCAATCTGGTATCCAGCCTCTGAACACCCACATTTCTATTAATTTCTAAAGCAGAAGACTTCAGCTCCTACCTCAAATTACCTTCAAGCCTACCTTTACAGGCCCTCAAACTCATCAAGTCACTCTACTACACGTGTGACCATACATGCCACCTTAGGTTGATGATAATGGCAAACTAACATTTATTGTTGTTCCCTAGTGGCCAGGCTCACCTGCCAAGTCATTTAATATTTACAAGGTAGATATTACAATAACCCCTTAGTCTCCTTTTATATTTAAAGAAACTGGGGAGCAGAGAGGTTAAGTCAAGTGTTCAGGTCAGACAGTTAGGTAATTGAGCCAGGACTCAAGTCCAGGGAACAGAAGCCACCAACTTAACACTAGTACTGCCTTTAAAATTATAATTCTCTCTTTAAATGATGGCATCCTTAGATAAGGCCTCACTTCCCACTGAGCATTGTTGAGAAACTGTATGTATATTTATTCATCCCGTGTTTAGAACCAGTACCACAAAGGGCATGGATTTTTTTCCCTTTCTTCATGTTTATGTTTGCTATAAAAAACATTCAAAGAAAACTGATAGAAATTGTGGTGATATGGGATGTTATGAGGTGACATTGGGAACTTGTTGTCTTAATCCTACCTCCATCTCTTACTCCTACTCATGAGATGCTTAGAGAAATTATATGCCTGAGAAAAAGGCTGGCAAATACTGGCAAAACAGTAGTTTTGGGTGAACTGTGGCTTTCTCTGCAAACACCAATACGGAACCCTGGAGAAACACTGGACTTCAATGTCCTGGCTACAGACCTAATGGGTCTCCTTCCAAATCAGAATCTTACCTCTCAAATAGCAAAGGGTATTCTAATTCCTACTTTGTATTCCAGAGGAAAGAAGGAAACTTCACTTTCCCTTGTGTTCCTTAAGGTAGCTGAGTGCTACCTTACCTGTCAGGCAATGGGGAAAGACTTGAGGACATGATAGATGTGATGCCTTCTGTTATGGAGCTTATAGCTTGGTAGGGAGACAGACATTAAACAGAGCAGCACATAATGATAATGATAATTGGAATACATATTCTGAAAAACAAGTGCAGAATCTTGGGGATGGAGATGGGGGTGCGGCTGTTCATGAGAGGGCCTTAGATGTGAGCAGGAGCCAGCCAGGTGAAGACTGGGATAAAGTGTGTCACATGTAGAGGGAATAGTAAGTGGAAGGCTTGGAGTCAAGGATGGATTTGATGAATCGCAGGCCCTGGAACCTGGTGGGGAGAATGAAGCAAATGGCACATCCGATGGTTGGGCGATGGGGCAGGGCCTTTGAGACTATGATAAGTGTGAGAGTTGACCCCTTTTTTGATAAGCAGACCCACCCTCTTCCCCCACTTGAGATGGTCCCAGTGGCCAAAGGGCTCATCACACAAGCTAGGCTAATCAGAGTGTGTGTCTTGAGGATTTGAATCTCAAGCAGAGTGACCTAAGGACAAAAAACCATCAGCACCGAGCTGTTCTGACGTCTTCACTGTTCTATAAGTTTCTGACTGAGCTTCCTAGAGTCACTGGATCTCCTGCTCTTCCCAAGGACTACTTATTGATATTTTCCTTCAATTCTGAACAGTATTTTTGGCTGAAGTTAGCCAGGGTTGATTTCTGCAGCTTGTGACTAGAAAAAAAAAAGTGGGGGTGGAGGTGGTGCTGAACAGGATCCCACATCAGTAATAATAAAAGTATATTAGAAAGCCAGCAATGTTGACCTTTAAAGGCTAGCATAGGATAGACATGATCCAATGAATTTTAAAAATCACTCTGCTCTTCCTGTTTCCTCTTTTGTTCTTTATACTTTCCCTAATAACCTATCAGCAATGTATTCTATAGTTCAGATGAGAGGTGATGTGCTTGGCCTAAAGAGAGAAC
The DNA here is from genome assembly GCF_000001405.40 of Homo sapiens. Lineage (NCBI taxonomy): Eukaryota > Metazoa > Chordata > Mammalia > Primates > Hominidae > Homo > Homo sapiens. The sequence goes on from NC_000023.11 coordinate 42,237,650, forward strand.
AGGGCAGTTGCAGAAAATGAGACACAGGGAAAAGCCTGCTTATCCCTAATGCCCTGTAGTAGGCAGGTGATAGAACTTGGTGGCCTGCTTGCCCTCCCCTGCCATCCTTCCAGCAGAGTTGGTCTTAATCTGCCCTATCCTCTGAGTGGGGTAAGAAATAGGAGAACTTTTTATACAGTGACTCTGCCTTCTAGAAATCATGATCCATTTAGAGTCTTGCAATTTTACCAAGCAGAGTGAGTGAAATGCCTTGAGATTTTGACTCGTCTTTTCAAGAGGAATGAAGGAATGGAAATTAGGACTTGCTTATCTTTTAAAGCAAGCAGAGAGCTGTATCAATTGGTCAGCCCTCAGTTTATACTTTCACTCTTCTATTTTTCTGTGCCTGCTAGAAGGCATATTTTCCCTATGATTCTAGGCTGCTCTAGGCCAGCTGATCAAATTTCTGAGGCTCCCGGGGAATGGATAGAATAAATATCCATTACCAAAAGTAATCTGTGGCTGAGAGTGCAGAGAATTTGTGGTGGAAGAAGAATTTGCCCCTTCAGCAACATAATCCTGTGAGGACTGAGTTTTCTTGGCTGAAGTAGGAGCTGTGGGCCTTCATTGGTAACCTGCAGAATAGTCCTAAATGGCTCAGGGCCATAGCCGTGAGCAGAAGAACCTGCCTCATTCTTGTTGAAGTTCCAGAACAGAAATTGGGTAGACAGAGAATTTGAGTGGGTTGTTTGCCCGGAAGGTCCCCTAGTTGAATTCCTTGCTTAGCCCACATATGGTTGTCTTCAGCTCACATCTGGGCCCTGATCTAATCCCCTGTAGACAAAGCAGAGACATAGAGCACCCTACCCTGATATGGTAAGTAGACATGGGAAATTATAGTTGGGGCAGCTTTTCTCCTTAGGTGTCTAAAGAACCCATGAGTTCTCAAAGCCCCCTCTCCCACTACCTTAACCAGTCTATCTTCGTGTTTTTCAGTTGGGCACCAGTGTCTCTAGTCCTATCCTCATATATATTTCCTGGTCATTTAGTGACTTTAACAGTCCCTTCTCATTTATTGTAATCTCATAGTTTTAATATAGTTTTAGGGCCATAGAGGTCATCTATATCAGCTGTTCCATTTTACAGACATGAAAACTAGTTATAGTAGAGCTCAGGATTGCACAGCATGAGTTGGGATCCTGAGGTCACCTTATATGTCAGTAAAATAATTCTGTAAACCAACATTTTAGGAAGGGAGTGTTATGGTGAAGTTTCAAAGAGGAAAAATGTAATTATCAAGGTCAGTTTGAGATCTTTAACATGGAATCATATAATATGAATTGGTTTCGTGTCTGGCTTCTTTTGTTCTGTTTTGTTTTTGAGACGGTATCTCACTATGTTGCCCAAGCTGGTCTTAAAGTCCTGGGCTCAAGCAGTCCTCCTGCCTCAGCCTACCAATTAGCTGGGACTATAGACATGCACCACCATGCCCAGCTCATGTCTGCTTCCTTAGCTCCAAATAATGGTCTTGAGATTCATCCATGTTGTAGTATGCATCAATAATACATTCCTTGTTATTGCTGAGTAGTATTCCATTTCATGAATGTACCACAATTTATTCATTTACCTGCTGATGTTGCCTCCAGCTTTCATTTTGAATAAAGCCACTATGAACAAGTCTTTGGGTGGACATATATTTTTATTTTTGGGTGTAAATGTCTAGGATTAGTATTGCTGGCTCAGGAGACTTAGATTTTATTATTAGCTCTGAACTAATTTGTTGTTACTTTAAGCAAATTATATCCCCTTTCGGGGTTCCAGAGTCCTCATTTGTAAAAGGAAGGGGTTGGACTAGATGATTCTTTTTGAAACTGTGCTCCTTAAATCCTCTCAATTCTGAATTGTCTGATGCGGGGAGAGGGAAGGTGAATAGCCAAGGGCTGAGTCCCCACTCCTACTTTACCCAGACAGCTTGACTAATATCTAAATGTTGTCTTTCTCCATTGGAGTTCATTTGAACAAAGTGTTCCATGACTAGGAATGTTAAACTCTTGGTCTAGATGGTCTCTAAGATTCCTTTGACTCTCTAAAATATTTGGAGTGTACCAGAGTTTTTGCCTGCTTTCAGGCTTCCAGGAGTAATGTTCTGGGAACAACATCTAAGGTCACAGAAGAGCAAGCCTGAGTGAAAATCACCTCTCTTTTCTCTTTATATATGATAGCAGGTGAAACTAAGCTGTAACTGAACTGAAATATATATGCAAGAGGGCATATCAGACTTCTGTGTCAAACAAGATGGTATAGACACATTTTCCCCTGCTCTTCCTAGTTAAGTACTACTGTAAATCCAGGAAATAATGCAAAAAGCAACCAGAGGAGAAGTCAGAATGAAAGGTGGTAACAGGAAGGTGAACTGGTTTGGGACCCCAGAATTGAAAGGACAACACAGATGCAGAGCATTCATGTCCCCTCACCCAACAGAAAAAGGTTACCAGGCCCGGTGTTTCTGTATCCCTAACTTGGCAACAGAAGGCAGCCAAGGTAAGCTTGTTCTACCCCTGGATCAAATAGAAGGCCCTCTGACAATGAAGGCAAGCCCAGCATCACCAGTAAGAAGGATTGTTAAGGAGTGCTGTAAACAATAAGTAGTCAAGGGAGGTGTTCTCTTTCCCTGCCCAGCCTGAGACTCCCCTCCCCTCCTAAGAGATACCTAGGCACCAGCGCAAGTAGCCCAGCCTGCCAAGAAGCCTTTTTGTCCCTGTGGACCTAAGACTCGCTTCCCACATTGAGATATACTTGGCTGCCTGACCTGAGGAAATCTCCTCTGTTGTCTCAGGCAACATACAAATGAAAAAAATAGAAAATCTCAGCAAAGAAATAGAACAGACATTTTATGGAAGAGGATACACAGATGGTGAATAAGCATATGAAAAGATGTTCATACCATTAGCCATCAGGGAAGTGCCAATTAAAACCACAATGAGATATCACCAAGTACCTATCAGAATGGCTAAAATAAAAAATAGTGACAACACCAAATGCTGGTGAAGATGCAGCATTTGGTGCATCATACATTGCTCCGGATCACTCATACATTGCTGGTGGGAATGGAAAATGATACAGCTACTCTGGAGAGCAGTTTGGCAGTTTCTTAAAAAACTAAATATGCAACTACCATATGAGCCAGCAATTGCACTCTTGGTCATTTATCCCAGAGAAATAAAAATGTACATTCACAAAAAAACTTCTTCATAAATATTTATAGTAGCTTTATTTGTAATAGCCCCAAACTGAAAACAACCCAGATGTCCTTTGACTGGCGAATTGTTAAACAAACTATGGTACATCCATACCATGGAATACTACTCAGCAATAAAAGTGAATTAACTCTTGATATATGCAACAACCTGGATGAATCTCTGTAGAATTATGTTGAGCAAAAGAGGCAGTCCCCAAAGATTACATGCTGTGTGATTCCATGCATATAATAATTTTGAAATGACACATTTTTAGAAATGGAGAATAGATTAGTGGTTTTCAGGGGTTAGGAACTGGGGTGGATGGAGAGAATGGGTGGAGGAGGGGCTAGAAGAAGGTAGTTGTGGTTATAAAAGGGCAACAGGATGCATTCTGTCGTGATGAAACTGTTTCCTATATTGATTGTGGTGGTGGATACACGAACCTACACATGGCATAGAATTGTACTAAAACTAAACACCCCCCTCCAACACACACAAACGAGTACAAATAAAATTGAGGAAATCTGAATAAGATAGGTGGATTGTTATAGTCTTGCAAGTTGTTACTACTGGGGGAAACTGGGTAAAGGGTACACAGGATCTCTGTACTATTTCTTAAAACTGCATGTGAATCTACAATCATCTCATGAAAAAGTTCAATGAAAAAGGAGGCCATTTCAAAAAGAAGGAAGTAGATGGTATACACAGATCACTGTCCTAGGAAGGACAGGCATTGGAGGAGTCTGGGCAGCTCTTGGCTCCTAGAGAGAGCAGTGACCCTGGAAGAATGTGTGATTCAGGCGACCACACTTTCCTGCTCCTGAAGAGAGTGCTTAAGTACTGAATGCTCTTTATTTAAATTTGAAAAATGTGGTAGCCTGCTTTTGTTTGGGCCTGCCACTAAATAAGACTGTAATTAGTGAAGTATTTTCAGTAGCACTAGGGCTCTTACCCGCCGGATCTAGGATGTTTTAATTGCTCTTTTATAACAAGTGCCTAGACAGACACTTCTGCCTTCAGTCTACATGTGAAAAAAAAAAAAAAAAATCCACAACCCCGAACACCACTGCTTAGAAGTAAAACCCTTCTGAGAAAACATATTTTGAATATAACTTCACATCATTGATGGAATTTAATTATATATGAGTGTTTAAGTTTAGCACCTTGTAGCCAATTTTTACACTTGGGATTTTAGATTTCTTTAATATATTTACTCAGTATGCCAAATGTAACTTATTTTTTTCTAAACATTGAGTCTGCAGGGAAGTTTTCCCTCCAAGTGAAGGCTGGCTGCCGGAGACGGAGAGATGATTGAATTTGCAGGGTTGTCAAAAGTTGCCAAGAAGGAGGGATGAGGCAATGATGCAAGAGCTCTCTAGTGGACACTGTACTGCTCGGCCTAGATACCTCTTCAGAGCCAACACACTCATAACCGAGCTGCTGTGAATATTGATTGCAGACGGCCAATGACTGACTGAGCCCCCTGCTTCAATTTAGGACAACTCTTAGGAGCCATGCCGGCTCTACAGAGGCCCCTGTTAGGATTGGCTGAGGTCTCAGTTTCAGTCTCAGCTGAAGTCTCACCTTGCGGGTCAGTTTCGCCTTCTTCACCCAGTTACAAATGTATCTCTTGAGGTTTCTCCCTAATAAGTCCTTTGTACAAAACTCTCTGTCTCAGAGTTGGCTTCCAGGGAATCCAATCTAAGATAATACATTTAATTGGATTCCCTGAAAGCAGAGCCTGCAAGGAGAACTTCGGTGCAGAAGGTTTATCTCCCAAGAGATAATTCTAGGTATTGGGAGTGAAGGAGCAGGAGGAATGAAACAGAAAAGGAAAACAGCCAATATGAAGTGCATAATCAAACTGGTTGTTGTTGTGGGCAACGTGACCAATTCCTCTGGAGATGTCGGAGAAATCTGAGTGTGGCTCAGATATGTCTTAACAAAGAATGAGATGCTGGGGCATTTATCCGTATACTACTGCCCCCAATTGTTTAAGGATTATCTCTAGAGACACTAATGCCACCAGGCTTCTGCTTGTTCTGTGCACAAATGGAAAATTTCTCAGCATTTCTGAGAGTACCCTAAGGCAGAAAATAAGAGAGGCCCAGCAGGTATTGAGGTGGGATAGTTCCAAAATCAGAGGTAGCTGAGGGTCTGTGGTGTGGAGCACCAAAAATGTCTGCTACTTAGGAGAAGGAATACCAGCCTTTTTATTTGACAGGAGTCAGAGGAGCTCATATAATTCAGGTGAAATTTCCAGGGTGAACTAGATCCTTTTCACACCAAGCCCCTGTTTGTGGCACTGAACTGGCAGTGGAAAGCAAGGATACAGGAAAAGTCGAAAGGAGACCAATTAAAAGGTCTTTCACTTACTTACGTACAGAGCTGGCTGAGCAGTCATTGTATTGGTCCCTCTTTTCTCTGTGTAAAGCTAGACATATAAAAATTAGGTTCTGAGATGGAGTCCAACAGTATCTCAATTGTGTTAAGATGTGTTTATCTCCAGGAGTAGAAAGAAGACAAAATAATATTGGTTCTGCCAGAAAAATACAAAGGAAAGAACTGATGAGAAAACACCAGTGGCTGATCTATGTTCACTTTGAAATGTTTAGACTGGCAAATCTCGGAGCATGGGCTCGAGGTCAGCAGTATCAGTATCATCTGGGAACTTGTTAGAAATGCAAATTTTCAGGCCCTTCCCCAGACCTGTAAATCAGAGACTCTGGAGCATGGACCTGGCACTCTGTGCTTTAACCAAGCTTCCAGGGATTTATGATGAGAGCTAAAGTCTAAGAATTTTAACGGTCTAATTCTAGAGTATTCACTTATACCTGAGATTTCAGCAATGAAACCATAAATCTAATTCACAAATTTTGCTCCAGTTAGGTCTGGTTTCGAAGCAATGTGGCATACATAGTGAAAATTATTCAGCAAGTATTCCCTTTGTTAGTCTCTGTGTTGAGTAGGTGTCATATGAAGAGAAATTTTACAGATTTGAAAAACATCTAGAAGATAGCTTTTACTGTTTTACATCTCTGTAGTCGGCCATTGCCTATTTCTCTCCTCCTTGCCCAACAAATGCTGACTCATCATCTATCGTGTGCTAAACATTCGTATAGATGCTAGAAATATAGCAATGAATGAAAGAGATGTAAATTCTGGTCCTCATGGAGCTTGGTGTGTGTGTGTGTGTGTGTGTGTGTGTGTGTGTGTGTGAGAGAGAGAGAGAGAGATGGAGGTGGGAGGGATGACAAACTAGTCATTAAACACAAAGAAATTATATAGCATATTAGAGAGTTCTTAGTGCTCTGGAGGAAAGTAAGGCAGGAGAGGTGAATAGGGAATTTTAAATAGGGTGGGTCAGGGGAGGCTTCACTGAGGAGAGGTTGGAAACCAGTTTTGAAGGAGATGAGGGAGAGAACAGTGAAGATAATTTGAAGAATGAGCGTTCCAGGTGGAGGAGTGGCAAGGTCAAACAGGTACCTCGAAGTGGGAGTGTGCTTCTAGCATTCAACATCAGTTCTGAACCTAGGTATGGAGAAAATGCTGTGTGACCGCAGAGCTTTACTGCTAACTATTGGCAGGTGAGCAGCAAAACCCTGGCTAAGTTGAAAGTAGAAGCATTGGAATCTGTGTTGAAGTCCACTTTATGTATAATATGTGTTTAGATGGCTCTTGTTATCCCTTTAAACAAAGATGCAAATGCCTACGTGTAAATAAACTGCTGTACATTTTATTTATAATATGTACTTAACAGTTTATCTAGACTTATATCTATACCTAGATGCAGATATTTTTATATTTGTCAAACTGATTTACAATACATAAATGTAAATCGAACTTAGATGCAGTTTTAAGGAGACAAGGAACCCTGAGTGGAAGATGGGACTTATTTTTTCTGCTAACAAGCAAAACATTTAGAAATTGTCATGGAGCCTTCTGAAGTCATGTTCAATGATACAAGCACAAGCTCTGAGCCCAACAGGAGTAATTGCACATGGTGGGTGAGGCTGGCCTGCCCGGTTTGCCTCAACATTTCCTTCCTTTTTTGGCTTTGTGTGGGACTTCAACTCACTTTTGCTTCTCTTCAGGTTCAAATAATTTCATAACACAAATAACCTTTTGGAAAAATTATAATGTGGAGTCTTAATGGCAACCTGTTTCTTCTGGTTGTGTAAGAAAATTAGTAAGGATCTCAGAGGGTGGATAATTTCACCCTGGCTAGTAAATCAGGCAGTTCCTTACATCAATGCAAATGGCGGTTGTTGCTGGAGAGCTGGCTTGTAATAACTACAGGAGAGTTTCCAGTGATTATGAGAGAAGCCCGCTGATGTGCAGCTTCGGACTTTTTTGTGTCAGCACTGAATGTCTTGATTCAGGTTAAACACAAACCACCTCTGCTTGGAAGAAGCAGTCCTCAGCACAATCTTTCCTAATCAGTTTGCCAGAGATAATGATTTATTCAGTGTATGAAGCATAGGGGTGACTTTTCCAGTCAGCACTGGGAAATATCTGGAAGGCAGTCTCGAGTCTCCATAGTGAATAGGGTTATTTTTCCCGTATGTTTCCAGGCACCACTTCAGTCTATGGTAGTCTGTGTGAACACGTTTGCAGGAAACCTGTGAAGTTGAATTACTGTGGGGTCTACAACTGCTGAATTCTGAGTGTTGGTTCCATACAATAAACGATGAACAATTCAGTGCTGAATGACGTGTCCTACCGTCGGCCACAGAGAATTTTCCTTCTGAGGGATATTTAAGAAAACATGTATGTGGGGAGGTTTCAGAGCAGATTTGTCAGAAAATGATGGGAAGATTACACCAGCAATTCTTAGCCTTTTCAGGTATAAATGTTTTTAAAATCCAAATATTTTGGGAAGCTGCTGCTGCTGTTATTTCAGTATTCATTATATAATAGATATGATCATTTAAAAACATTACTTAGTTTACTAAGTTAAGCTTAAAGAGTCTATTCCTTACCACAGCTTCTACAAATAATTAGAAAAAAATTAACAGTCCATATATGTGTGAGGGATATTAGTTTATTTAACTGGCCAACAGAGGAGTTCATAGATTTCCCTACCCCAATTCCCTCCAAATGAAGCTCATAGCTCAGAGATTGGGAATTTAGGATGAAGTGGCTTTTCAGAATGAACTCTTGTAGCTCCAGGGTGCAATTAGTTAGTGCATGGTACTTATAAGGCAAGATGAACTCTTTTGTATCTACTAGCCTTCCACTTCCACCCTCAGCAACATACACTTTGTTAAATGTGCTGGCATTCAGGGGTGGGGGGGATAAGGTAGGACTAGTGGACGTGCTCATTTGTGGCAAAGGGCAAAAAGCAGGACCCAGCAGGTGTCATTGTGCAAGGTTTTAAGTCTAGTGTCACCATATTATGTCTGCAGTGTCAGAGGGCCACCAGACTTTGCTTAGAATGACTTCCTGCTGTTTTCTCGTCCCTGAAGGGATTTCTTTAAGTCTTAAGGTCATTGTGTTCCAGTGTCATCATTTATAATCTCTCTTGTAAGGATCTTCTCTTCCCCATGTCACTCATCCATGGAGGGTGCCTCCTTTTCAGAACAAAAGGCTCAGTGTGGATTTTATTCTGAAAGAACAACCTAATTGTAATAAAGGCTCCACTGACCCTGTAGCTTATGTTGGTAAGGCTGCATTTTATTTTATTTTAAAAAATCTAATCCTTTATCAACTTGAATTTCAAAACAAGAAATTCACTCTTCCCAAAATGACAGTCAGATGGCTTTGGAAGGGCTCCAGTTGCTTCCCTGACTCCTGCGATGGAGGTGTGTGTTTTATATATCCTATCATGCACAGGACTCACACAGACCTTTTAAAGTTAATTAAAAAGTCTGCTATAGGCTGCCAGATCTGGGCAGGAGCATTCCTCTGTAACCTTTTGTACCAGATTAAAAACCTCTGACAATCAGGGATGTTGCCAAATTTCAAATGAAGTGTTCAGAGTAAATTCAATAAGCTGTACAATTCAGTCAGCTTTAGAGTGACTCGCGTTTCTGGTTCAGCAAGAACTGGAGGATTGATGGGGACTGAATTCCTTCCTTTGAAGATTTCTTTACCATCCTGTTCTTTTCAATAGCATCCCCCCGCCCCCACTGAACACCCATAATGTTTCTAACCATAGGAGAGTGTTGCTCAAAGTCTCGTGGGCGTGCCTTTGACAAAAGTGTTCCTTGTTATGTGCAGGTTGGGAAACTCTGCATACCATATTCCCTGCTTGGAGAGGCACAATGCACAGGAGCATATCCAACTCGAGCTTTTCTGCAGAAAACAGTTTCGTTTTGCTTAACACAGTGCTTCCTAGATATATTTGACCATACTACCTATTTTCCCCCAATAATCTCTAATAGCTTCCCAAAGAGCTTGCAATATCCCACAAAGGATTAGGTTGAAGGTTCTGTGAAAATGAACTCTCTGACGTATAAATATTGTACAAGTCATGGTTTCCTGTGATAAGCACAAAGAATACATTCCCAGCAGAGCATACGAGGAGACAGTGGACTGAGAGGGATGTTTGGTAAGCAGACTTCCGCGTTGCCCCAGTTCCTTTCAGGAGACCCGCTTGGCTGGTGATGATGTCATATTCTGTTGCTTCTGAGAGAGATTCTGCCAGTTCACAAGATCAAGTGAACCCCGTGCTCTCAAATATATCATTCTAAAGTACCACCTTATATGTGTGGTTGCAAACACTGTCTTTAGCAAACCATGTCACTGTGATCTGTCATCTGGCTATAATTTCTTTCTACCCCACTAGCTCATCTTGCTCTTTTGCCCACCGTGTATATAGTAATGAACAGGCATCACCCCTGTGCAGTGGCCTTGCAACTACATAAGAAAGACCAGTTTGTGGGCACACATGCTTAGTTCCTCATGAGGTTTAAGTGGACCTTAGCACAGCAGGGATGGTCAGGGTGTACCCCAGAACAAGTGTTCTGAGGAGAACATTTTGACCTGTCATTACCAGTTCCCCAGCTCTCTAACAGTCTGGATCAGTAGAGTTTGGAGAATGCTGAACATTTTGAATTTTTTTTTTTAGCAAGGGTAGAGCCAGGGTCCTGGCAGAAAAACAAGTGGTACGCTCAGAGAATTTTAACAGGCAGCTTGTAGAGGTAAGGGTGAGGTTAAGGGAATGATAAGGGATGAGAAAGCACCCAGAAAATAGCAACAGCAGGAAGCTGTTACCACCCTAGGACTTCTCATTTTAAGGCCGATTTATCCCTATTTGTGAAAATAAAATTAAATGACAGTGTTTCAAATGACACATTTGAAAGCCATACTGAAGTGGATACGATTCTGAGTTTCTTAAAAAGAATCATCACTCCAGGACAGATTTTGAAGTTAAACCTCTGTCTTGCTGTAGATCAAGGAAATAATACTTATAAACAATTAACTGTAGGCCTGCATAGGCTAGCTCTGGACAGCAGGGAGAACCTTGTGGAAGTTTAACTGTGTGACACCTTTTACGCTTCCCCAACTCCATTTTCGTATTGGGCAATAGGAACAACAAAAGCAAATTTGAAGAGGAAAAGGAGTTTCGTAAGAACTGCCTGAGGGATCTAGCTAAGACATGGGATCTTTACACACTGGAGTCCTATATTTTGTTGTAAGGTTAGGAGAAAGTAATGTGTTACTAACTCTTAAAGTGTAGAAGTTTTGTAAATTATTTACTTATAAACATAAAAAAGATCAAAGGTATTCATCGTATTCTAATATCTTTCTTTAGTGGGAAAGAGGGTAAGAACAGCTAGCTCAGGCAAGGAGTGCTATGCCCATGTGATCAGAATTCCACATGGGTACAGCTGCACAAAATTTTAAAATTTAGTAACAACAGTGAAGCATAGATTATTAGTTTCATGCAAATGTGTTTTTGATATAAATACGAATGCAGTCCAAAAGTAGTTTAATCAAATTTATTCATACAAATTTGCAAATTTCTAGGTCAAGTGCTGGCCATTAATCAATTTTTGAGAAAGTTGATGTGAATCTTGACATTTTACAGATCGAATGGGATCTATGCTTCTCCAGAAGAGCTTAATTCAAGTACTTTTAGATTCATTTGTCGCTTCTAGACTGTTGCTCCCTCATCATCTCTTTTGAGAGTATACCGTCCTTTTCTTTGTCCCTTTGAATCACTTGTTAACTTCCAACGTACTCTCCTCCTCATGTATTAAAGATTTGGCTCCTATGTCAAAGTTTTCACAGTTTTTTCCCCATTATTCTGGATTAAATTAAATGTCCCCATGGGGGAACCACCCAACACTGTGTTTGCTGTTTTTTAACCTTTTCATCTTTGATGGCTTTCTTATTCGCTTTTTCCTCAGCCACCCAATCCCACAGTCAAACACTGGATATCATCACTATTGAAAACCACACCATCTCCACATTAGGAACATTTCACTCTATTCACAACTTCCTACCTTTCCAGCTTATCGCCGAGATGCATTCTCTTTAACAGTTATTTAATTTCAACAAGTTCCTCAATCCATTGACCTTTCCACTTTTTCCTGTGTACCGTGCTCCCCCTGATCCCACTCCCCTCTTTATCCAGTATAGATTAGATAGTTCTTATCAATACAACCATTCCCTTGTAAATATTTTTAACCACCCTTTTCCTTTTCCTTCAGTCACTATCACTTGGGTGAACTCAATCATTTGTCATCTTCATATGGGCCAGTTGCATAACTCAGTATTTCTGGAGGAACTTCCACAACAGAATAGATTATCCTGCTAAATTGATGATTATCAGGCCCAAGCAGGCCTTCAAAACTGCCCAGCAGGCCTACTTGCTCATTCTCTACTTCGTGGAGTCACTATCTCCTACATCTTTTATCTTCCTCAAACTTCTGATTATCTCCTCTACCATCACTCTGTTCTCATTCTTAGTGGATGACTTTACTTCACACTTCATATGGAAATTGAACACTGTTATTTTATTTATTTTTGGAGACAGGGTTTTTACTTTGTCACCTAGGCTAGAGTGCAGCCTTGAACTCCTGGGCTCAAGCAATCTTCCCACCTCAGCCTCCCAAGTGGCTGGGAATACAGGTATGTATTTCTACACCTGGATAATTTTTAAAAAATGTTTTTGTAGAGACAGGATCTCACTATATTTTCAAGGCTGAACTTGAACTCCTGGCCTCAAGCAATCCTCCTGCTTCAGCCTCCCAAAGTGCTGGGATTATAGGCAGGAGCCACTGTGTCTGGCCTGAACACTATTGAAAGGAACTCCCTCAACCTCTGGTCATTGATTTTCAGAATCTACTTGCATCTTAATTCATTGCTCATTTCTTTCTTTCTTTTACAATGGAAAAAGTGTTCCTTTTTATATCCTAGGTCAAACCCTCCACTCTCCTCTAGATTCCATCATTCCTGCTTTTTGGTGGAACCTCATTTCATTATTATTATTGTTATTTTTGTCTCTTTTGTGTCTTTAGCCTATTACTTTCTTTCCTGGGTTTTTCCTAAACATTAAGCTTGATTTAAGCACTGCTATTAAAGCACGCACAGACACATAAAGACACACACACACACACACACACACACCACTTCTCCCAGGCATTATATCCCTGTCTAGCTCCTATCCCATATCTTCATTTATTTTTTAACTAAGCTTCCTAAAATGGTGCCTTATACTCACTGTCTCTGTTTCCTTATCTCCTATTTATTTTGTAGATGTTACTAGAAGTCACCAATGTCTGGTTCTCCTTTTCATCAACAGATGAAAATCTTCACTTTCTGCCTTCTTTGCAGTAGGGCACCATGTGGGTAGTCTGGCCAAGAATGAGTTCATGGGTCTCTATGCTTTCTTTCCCTGCCACAGCAACTGAGGTAGATGATAATGTAGATGGTCCAACTTTAGGATGATAGAATGTCTGTTGCTCTAGGCAATCCAGTGATTTTGGCAGAAAACCCCTGCTGATGTGCATTGTACATGTTACAGTAGCAAAAAATAAGGTTTTGTGTGTTAAACCACTGAAATTTTGCAGTTCATTTTTATAATAATACCTACCTTATAGTGACTAATTCACTCTTTAATTTACTCTGCTTTAGCATTTTTTCTGACTGCCATCAACCAAAATTGCTTTTGATAAGGTCACCGATGTCCTGTGTATTGCTAAGCACAATAAACATTTTCAATCCTATCTCTGTTGACCTCTTAGCAGTATTCAATACAGCCTTTCCTTCATCCTTCTTAAAATATTCCACTCGCTTGGTTTCTAGAACACCAGATTCTCCTTGGCCACTCCTTCTTGGTTATTTTCATGGCTCCTCCTTTTCTTTCTTGTCTTTACATGCTAGTTCCTCAAAACTCAGCCTGAAAAGCTTCAGCCATATTGACCTTCTCTCAGCTCCTCGAAAGAACCATACTCCTGTCTCATGACCTTCACACTTACATATTTCTTAGCCAAGAACAAAGAGGGCAATGGAAGAGTGAAGGTAGACAAATGAAAAAGGAAGATTATTGCTGACATATTCCTGCTTGTATTTTAGATTTTAACCTGACTGCCTGTTCTTCAGGGAATATGTGAATAACCTCTCCAGACTAGGTTGGATCCTCCCAACTATTCTCTCTTATAGTTCTCTGTACATTTCCTTTACAGCATTTATCATGTATGAATATAATTATTTCTGTAATTATTAAGTATCCCTTTCCCTCATTAGTATGTAAGCTGCTTAAAACAAAGATTGTTTATATTTTGCCTAACATTGTATCTTCAGTGCCCATCACAGAACTTGGCGTGTGGTAGGTGACCAATATGCACCTGTTGAATAAATGCATGATTGGTAATTTTCATCTTTGCTATTATATTTTTATAAGATATGTATTTTTAAAGTCATGTGGAGATAAACATTGCCAGAATATGGCCATATGGTCAGAAGTTTCTGTTTAATCCTAGAAATTATATACATCTACAGATTCCAGGGACAGTATGTCTTAGAGAAGCATAGTTCATGTTCACCCTAAATGGTTGCTCCTGAAACTGAGCCACACATATAGAACAGATGCTTAATATGGATACATTGTGAGGCCTGCCTTTCAAAGAAAACTTCAGAAGTTTGAAGTATAATTTGATGCATGAAAGTATATGACTGTCTTCTGATATTGTCATTTTATTTCTACCTAATAGGTCTATAATTTTTAAAGTCTCATGTATTACATTGAACTCAGTGGAATCTACACAGAATAAGTACAGTCTTAAGGTTAATTTGTTCAATCAGTTTGAATGTGAAAACTTGTACTTTTTGACTAAATAACCAAATTAGCCAACACCAAACCCTGCAGATTTTTTTTTAACAACAACAACAACAGCAACAACAAAACAATCTGAGGAATTAATTGGTATCTGTCAAAAGCCTTTTCAGGAGGACCCTAGAATGAATAAATAAACAATTTTTGATAAGTTCCTCCTTCTCTTATGCAATGAACCTTATTGCAAAGTTAGTAGCATAAATTCTCCTTACAAATGTTGCAGTGGAAGCAGTACATAACTACCTTCTATTTTCACTCAAAAAGAAAAAGACATAAATTTCTAACCACATGATCACTTTTATAGATGCAGAAAAATCATTTGACAAAATTCTACACCCATTGATGATAAAGAACTCTGACCAAACTAGAAATAGAAGGAAAGTTCTTCAGCCAAATAAAGGTGATGTATGAATGCCCTACAGCTAACATCATACTTAATGGTGTAAAACTAAAGCTTTCCCCTGAAGATTGGGAACAAGACAAGTATGTCTTCTCTCACCACTCCCATTCAACATCATACTTCAAGTCTTAGTGCAATAAGGCAAGAGAAACAAATAAAAAGCATTCAGGTTGGAAAGGCAGAAGTAGAACTGTCTTTATTTTCAGACAGCATGATCCAGGATGTAGAAAATTCTGAGATAGTCACAAAAACTACCACTAGAGCTAACTAACAACTTCAGCAAGGTCATAGGATACAAGATCAATATACAAAGATTAATTGCATTTTTATTTACTAGTAATGAACAATCCAAAAACTGAAATTAAGGAAACAATACCATTCACAATAGCATCAAAAATAAGAAAATATTTAGAAACAAACTTAACGAAAGACCAAGACTTTTGTACTGAAAACTATGAAACAATGCTGACAGAAATTTAAGATTTGAATAAATGGAGATACACTTCATGTTGATGGATTGGGAGACTCCATGTTATTAAGATGGCATTTCTTCTCAAACTGACCTATAAATTCAATGCAATCACCATCAAAATTCCATCTTGCTATTTTTTTTTTTTTTTTTTTTAGAAATTGACAAGCTGAAATTTGTGTAGAAATGCAAGAAAATGCATGGGACCCAGGATAGCCAAAGTAGCCTTGAAAAAGAAGAACAAAGTTGGAGCATTTAAACTTTGTGATTTCAAAACTTACTACAAAGCTAGAGTAATTAAGAAAGTGTGGTACTGGCATAAGAAGAGACA
The DNA here is from genome assembly GCF_000001405.40 of Homo sapiens. NCBI lineage: Eukaryota > Metazoa > Chordata > Mammalia > Primates > Hominidae > Homo > Homo sapiens. The sequence goes on from NC_000023.11 coordinate 42,253,355, forward strand.
TATAAATCAAAGGAATGGTGCTGGGACAACTGGATATCCACATGCAAAATAATGAATTTAGACCTCTCCCTCATATCATACACAAAAATCATAGACATAAATGTAAGAGCTAAAACTATAAAGCTATTAGAAAAAAACATAGAAGTAAATTTTTGTGACCTCAGGTTAGACAATTTTTTTTTAGATATGACACAAAAATTACAAGTAATAGAAGAAAAAAATGATAATCTGGACTTCTTAAAAATTAAACCTTTGTGCTTCAAACGACATCATTAAGAAAATGAAAAGACAAGCATTTCAAATTGTAATGTAATAAAGGACTTTTATCTAGAATATGTAAAGTACTTTTGCAACTATATAATAAAAAAAACCCAATTAAAAATGAGCAACCTACCTGAATAAACATTTTTTCAAAGAAGTTGTACAAATGCTCAATAAGCACATGAAAAACTGCTCAACATATAAGCCATTAGGGAAATGCACATCAAAACCACAACGAGATACTACTTCACACCCACCAGGGTAGATGTAACCAATAAAAACAGACAATATGAAGTTTTGGCAAGGATGTGGAGAAGTTAGAGCCTTGAACCATTGGTTGTGGCAAGGCAAAATAGTGCAGCCACTTTGGAACATGATTTGGCAGTTCCTTAAAAAGTTAAATATGAACTTACCATACAACCCAGCAATTTCACTCCTGTCTGTGTATGGAAGAGAGTGAAAACATATGTTTACACAAAGGCTTGCATGTCAGTATTCATGGCAGCTTTATTCATAATAGTCAAAAAGTAGAAACAATCCAAATGTCCATCAATGGGTAAATGGATAAACAAAATGTGGTCTATCCATACAATAGAATACTATTGGGCAATGAAAAGGAATGAGGTACCAATACTGTTCCACTGTGGCTGGACTTCAAAAATATTATGCTAATTGAAGGAACTTGGATATAAAAAACCACATATTGTATGATTCCATTGATATGAAATGTCCAGAATAGGCAAATTCATAGAGATAGAAAATAGATTAGTGGTTGCCAGGGGCTGGGAGTAGAGTGAGGTGGGGTGGGGAAGGGGGAGTGACTACTGATTGGCAAGGTGTTTCTTTCTGGGGTGATAAAAATGTTCTGGAATTAGATAGAGGTGATGGCTGCAGAACTCTAAGTTTACTAAAAACTATTCAATTGCACACTGAAGTAAGTAAATTTTATTATTTAAATTATATCTCAGTAAAGCTATAAAAACGAAATTTCTAGGAAGGGATTAGGATGACAGATAGGAGGCAGGACCAGCCTGCAGCCCCACTTGGACAGATAGATCAGCGTGTGGAGACTCTCATTTTGAACTTTTGCTTCAAGAGCTACCACAGGAACATACAAGGAAAGCTGAGAGAATCCACAGACCCTCTGAAGGAACTGGATCGCCACTGCAGGCTCCCTGAGATGCTGAAAAACTGTGAGTCTGCTTGCTTTCTCAATGGAGAGGCTCGTGGTCTGGGGCAAGTTCTCAGCCCTGGTCACCAGCTGCCTGGAAATAGACTTGGTGCTGTTGAGGGGGGCGGGGGCATGGTGGGAGTAAGACTGGTCTTTAGGAATGGGAGAGGGGTGAGACTGGTGACTGCCAGCTTTTTTCTCACTTCTTTGGTGACCTATATAACTCAGCAGAGGCAGCCATAATCCCCCTGGGAATATAACTCCATAGGACTGGGAACCACTCCCCCATCCCCCACAGCAGCCACAGCAAGCCCTCCTCAAGGATAGGCTGAGCTCAGACACGCCTATCCCTGCCCCTACCTGGTAGTCTTTCTCTACCCTCCCTGGTAGCCAAAGACAAAGGTCATAATCTCTTGGGAGGTCTATGGCCTTGCCTACCACCTGAGAATCTTAAATACTAAACCAGGTGTCCCTAGGGCAAGCTTGCATCCTCCCTATAGGACCACAGCTGATGTGCTCTTGAAAGTGCCATCTCCTGGCTGGAGGCCAACCAACACAAAACCAACGCACTAAACAAAAACACAACCAAGGACCCTCACAGAGTCCACTTCACTTCCCTGCTGCCTCCACTGAAGCAGGTGCTGGTATCCACGGCTACAAGATCTGAAGATGGATCACATTACGGGATTCTTTGCAGACACCCCCCAGTACCAGCCCAGAGTCCAGTAGCGCCACTGGGTGGCTAGACCCAGAAGAGCAAAAATAATTACTACAGTTCAGCTCTTAGGAAGCCCCATTCCTAGGGGAAGGGGAAGGGGGTGAACACCACATCAAGGGAGCACCCTGTGGGACAAAAGAATCTGAACAGCAGCCCTTGAATCCCAGATCTTCCCTCTGACATAGTCTACCCAAATGAGAAGGAACCAGAAAAACGATTCTGGTAATATGACAAACACGGTTCTTTAACACCTCCAAAAGATCATCCTAGCTCAACAGCAGTGGATCCAAACCAAGATGAAATTTCTGAATTGCCAGAAAAAGAATTCAGAAGGTCGATTATTAAGCTAATCCAGGGGGCACCAGAGAAAGGTGAAGTCCAACTTCAAAAAATGAAAAACATGATACAGGATATGAAAGGAAAATTCTGCAGTGAAATAGAGAGCATAAATGAAAAACAATCACAACTTCTGGAAATCAAGGACATAGTTAGAGAAATACAAAATGCACAGGAAAGTCTCAATAATAGAATTGAACAAGCAGAAGAAAGAACTTCAGACCTTAAGACAAGGCTTTTGAATTAACCTAATCCATCAAAAATAAAGAAAAAAATTTAAGAAACGAACAAAGCCTCCAATAAGTTTGGGACTATGTTAAACATCTGAACCTAAGAATAATCAGTGTTCCTGAGGAAGAAGAGAAATCTAAAAGTTTGGAAAATATATTTGAAGGAATAATCAAAGAAAACCTTCCTGGCCTTGCTAGAGATCTAGACATCCAAATACAAGAAGCTCAAAGAACAACTGAGAAATTAATCGCAAAAAGATCATTGTCTATACACATAGTCATCAGATCATCTAAAGTCTTTACTTTACTTTGGTAAAGGTACAAAGGAAAGAATATTAAGAGCTGTGAGGCAAAAGCATCAGGTAACCTAAAAAGGAAAACCTATCAGATTAACAGCAGGTTTCTCAGCAGAAACCCTACAAGCTAGAGAGGATTGGGGTCCTATTTTCAGCCTCCTTAAACAAAACAATTATCAGCCAAGAATTTCATATCCAGTGAAACTAAGCTTCATAATGAAGGACAAATACAGTCTCTTCCAGACAAATGCTGAGAGAATTCACCACTACCAAGCTAGCACTACTAGAACTGCTAAAAGGAACTCTAAATCTTGAAACAAATCCTCAAAATACACCAAACTAGAATCTCCGTAATGTATAAATCTCACAGGACCTATATAACAATGACACAATGAAAAAGAAAAACAAGGTATTTAGACAACAAATAGCATAATGAATAGAATAGTACCTCACATGTTAATACTATTAGGTTGCTGCAAAAGTAATTGCAGTTTTTGCCAAAATGGCAGAAACTGCAATTGCTTTTGAAGCAACCTAATAGACTGTAAACGGCCCAAATGCTCCATTTAAAAGATACAGAATGGCAGAATGGAAAAGAATTCACTAACCAACTTTCTGCTCTCTTCAGGAGACTCACCTAACACAAGGACTCACATAAACTTAAGGTAAAGGAATGGAAAAATATATTCCATGCAAATGGACACAAAAAGCAAGCAGGAGTAGCTTTATATCAGACAAAACAAACTTTAAAGCTACAGCAGTTAAAAAAGACAAAGAGGGACATTATATAATGATAAAAGGACTAGTACAAGAGGAAAATATCACAATTCTAAACATATATGCACCTAACACTGGAGCTCCTAAATTTATAAAACAGTTACTACTAGACCTACGAAATGAGATAGACAGCAACACAATAATAGTGGGGGACTTTAATTCTCCACTGACAGCACTAAACAGTTCATCAAAACAAAGTCAACAAAAAATAATGGACTTAACAGATATTTACAGAACATTTTACCCAACAACTGCAGAATATACATTCTATTCATTGGCACAGGGAATATTCTCCAAGATAGACCATGTTATAGGCCACAAAACAAGTCTCAGCAAATTTAGGAAACTCGAAATTATATCAAGTACTCACTCAGACCATAGTGGAATAAAACTGGAAATCAACTCCAAAAGGAACCCTCAAAACCATGCAAATTCATGGAAATCAAATAACACACTCCTGAATGATCATTGGGTCAACAATGACATCAAGATGGAAATAAAAATTCTTTGAACTGAATGATAATAGTGACACAACCTACACCAAAACCTCTGGGATACAGCAAAAGCGGTGCTAAGAGGAAAGTTTATAGCATTAAAGCCTACATCAAAAAGTCTGAAACAGCACAAATAGACAATCTAAATAAACAAAGCCAAATACTTGTAGCCAACTGATCTTTGACAATACAAACAAAAACATAAAGTGAGGAAAGGACTTAACAGATCAACAAATGATGCTGGGGTAATTGGCAAGCCACATGTAGAAAAATGAAACTGGATTCTCATTTCTCACCTTATACAAAAATTAACTCAAGATGAATCAAATACTTAAATCTGAGACCTGAAACCATACACATTTAGAAGGTAACATCAGAAAAGCCCTTCTAGACATTGGCTTAGGCAAAGACTTCATGACCAAGAACCCAAAAGCAAATGCAACAAAAACAAAGATAAATAGATGGGACTTAATTAAACTAAAAAGCTTCTGCACAGCAAAAGAAATAATCAGCAGGGTTAACAGACAACCCACAGTGTGGAAGAAAATCTTCACAATCTATTCATCTGAAAAAGGACTAATTTCCAGAATCTACAGAGAACTCAAACAAATTAGAAGAAAAAAACAAGCAATCCCATCAAAAATAGGCTAAACACTTGAGTAGACAATTCTCAAAAGAAGATACACAAATGTCCAACAAGCATATTGATATGGTTTGGCTGTGTCCCCACCCAAACCTCATCTTGAATTGTAGCTCCCATAATCCCCATGTGTCATGGGAGGGATCTGTGGGAGGTAATTGAATCATGGGAGCAGGTTTTTCTTATGATGATGAATAAGTCTCATGAGATCTGATAGATTTATAAAGGGCAGTTCCCCTGCACACGCTCTCTTGCCTGCTGCCATGTAAGATGTGCCTTTGCTCTTCCTTCGCCTTCCATCATGACTGTGAGGCCTCCCCAGCCATGTGGAACTGTGAGTCCATTAAAACTTTTTCTTTATTAATTACTCAGTCTCGGGTATTTCTTCATAGCAGTATGAAAATGGATCAATATACATATGGAAAAATGTTCAATAGCACTAATTATCAGGGAAATGCAAATCAAAGCCACAATGTGATACCACTTTACTCCTGCAAGAATGGTCATAATCAAAAAATCAAAAAATAATAGATGTTGGGTGAAAAGGGAATACTTTTACACTGTGGGTGGGAATGTAAACTAGTACAACCACTATGGAAAACAATGTGGAGATTCCTTAATGAGCAAAAAGTAGATCTACCATTTGATCCAGCAATCCCACTACTAGGTATCTACCCAGAGGAAAAGAAGTCATATGAAAAAGATACTTACGCCACACTTGTTTATAGCAGGACAATTCGCAATTGCAAAAATATGGAACCAGTCCAAATGCCCATCAATCAACGCGTGGATAAAGAAAGTGTGGTGTATATATACCATGGAATACTACTCAGCCATAAAAAGGAATGAAATAATTGCATTTGCAGCAACATGGATGGAATTGGAGATGATTATTCTAAGTGAAGTAACTCAAAAATGGAAAACAAAATATCATATGTTCTGACCAATATGTGGTAGCTAAGCTATGAGGATGCAAAGGCATAAGAATGATACATTGGACTTTGAGGACTCAGGGGAAAGGGAAGGAGATGGCGAGGGATAAAAGACTACACGTTGGGTACAGGGTACACTGGTTGGGCGATGGGTGCACCAAAATCTCAGAAATCACCACTAAAGAACTTATTTATGTAACCAAACACCACCTATTCCCTACAAACCTATTTAAATAAAAAATACATTTCTAACAATGTTTTCATTACCAATGTCATTTCTGTGGCAAGTGAACTCAGTTTCTCCACAGTAGATCAAACTTTAAACATTCTTTACTTTTGTGGGATGTTAGTCCTTCGATGTTTATGTGAGCAAACTAATTAGGCAATGGATTTTTCATTCTTTCTTTGTTGGTTATTTTTTATCCATTAATAGCTCAGGAGGAATCTTGCTCAGGGTCAACTGAATTACATTTGCTCTGTGGTGGTTAAACCCTCAGACTGTGGGATATGAGGATCCTGCTTCCATCACTTAGCTGTGTTAAATTTGGGGCACAATTACTTAAACTTTCTAATTCTTCCTCTTCTTTACAGAGGAGGTAAAAATAGAAATGACTTCATGTTTATTGTGAGGAATTAAAATGGACTTTTTACAGCACCTGACACATAGTAAATGCTCAATCAAAATAAATGCAATCTACTCTATGGGCTGAATGCTAGACACCCTGGTATAAAGGAATAAATCATTTATTAATTACAAGATTTGCCTCAAGCTTGTCTAAGGCTGAACTGGAACTAAGATCTTCTGGATAGTTTTCTGTTTTATTTCAGATTTCAGCATGTAGAGTGGCTGCCCTATCTGTTCCTCCTCCCCAGTCTCTACCTGGTCTTGATTTTGAATTTCCTCAACTGCTTGTATGCATAAAAGTCTCAGGATCAGCTGTTATAGTCTAAGTGCACCCCCGAGTCACTGTCCTCCAGGTGGGAAAAGTTCCAAATCCTCAGGGCCTCTGGGTAAAGCTAGAGTGGCTTTGAGGATGATCTTAGACCTAGAGTGTATATGCAACAGGAAGAGATTTTGCTTTCCATTGGTGGTATCCATCAAATTTTACTTTTTGGCCAGACATGATGGGATTTTTCACAGCTTCAAAATCAGACAGAAACTGTGCCTAAGATGGAATTTATAGCCTGGGTATAAAATGAAATGGATATCAAAGGGGGACAAGTGCCCCTTAAAATAAAATCAGAGACTAGGGAGCAATGGTCTTAGAAGTGATGCCTCTGAGAGGGATTCATAATAGAATCTAACTCAGAGTTAAATGAGCAGTTTGTACAGTAAAATATCGTGTTCTGGCTACATGGATTGTCATATTAATTTATAAATTAAAAACAAGACTCCATGTTGAAGGCACACACTGACATGTTGAAGGAGAATTTCTACCACTTTGGAAAAGAATTTTTTTTTTTTTTAAAAAAGCCCTCCACGAAAATTTTGACTTGCCTACATTCTTGCTGTGTCTTCATTCTCTTTTCTGCACTTCTCCCCACCTCTCCACCTTCCTTTGCTTTGGTGATTTCTACCTGGCTCCACTGTGCAACAAGGTGAAGAATGAGGGGAGACATGAGTGAATGTGGTGTAGCCTACACACTGATTTATCTCTGTCCAAATCTTTCCTTGTTCACTTTAAGACACAAAACCAAACATTTCCTTCCCAGTCTCCCAAGGATTGGGTGGGCCTGATCTAATAAAGGTCATTAGAAGCAGAGAACCTTTCCCAGCTGTAGTAAGAGATGTGACAATAGAGCAGAGTCAGAGAGCGAGAGAAAGCAGATGTTGCTGGCTTTGGAGGTGGAGAAAGAGGCTGTGAGCCAGGGTATGTAAATAGCCTCTAGAAACTGGAAAAGGCAAGGCAACACATTCTCCCCTGATGACACTAGAAGGAAGACAGCCCTTCCAACACCTTGATTTTAGCCCAGTGAGATCCATGTCAGACTTTTGACCTACTATATTAGGGTTCTCCAAAGAAACAGAACAAATAGGATATATATAGAGAGATATATAAGAGGAGATTTATTATGGGAATTGGCTCATATGATTATGGTGGCTGAGGAGTCCCACAACCTGCCATCTGCAAGCTGGAGACCCAGGAAAGCCAGTGGTGTAATTCAGTCTGAGGCAGAAGGCTGAGAATTTGAGGGAGGGCTGGTATAAATCCCTGAGTCTGAAGACCTGAGACCCAGGAGCTCCAATGTCCAAGGGCAGGAGAAGATTGATGTCTCAGCTCAAAGGCAGAGTGAGAGAATTCACCTTTCTGCCTTTTTTGTTTTATGTGAGCTCTCAGTGAATTGGCTTATGTCCACCACATGGGTGAGTGTGAATCTTCGTTACCCAGTCCTCTGATTCCAGTGCCAATCTCTTCCAGAAACACCCTCACAGACACTCCCAGAAATAATGTCTCACCAACTACCTGGGGATCCCTTAGCCCAGTCAAGTTGACACATAAAATTAACCATCACCCTTACAGAATTGTAGGATAATACATTTATGTTGTTTTAAGCCACTAAATTTTTGGTAATTTGTTACAGCAACAATAAAAAACCAATATACCTTCCCATTCTTTTCCTTTCACCTTCATTCTCCCCACACCATTGTAAGTAGATCCTTCATTAACAGCCCTTTGTTGAAATCATTTAAAGTGAAACCTGTTCTCTGTCCTTACAAATGCATAGTCTCATTTTATTCTTCCTTCCTTCCTTCTGCCATTTATTCTCTATGCCCATACTCATTCTTCTTTTCAGTTAGGCACCCTTTCAAATGTTTAATACATGTCCTTGTATATGTAACCCACCCAAAAGATACATGTGAATGTACACCTTTTAAACTTAAACTACCTTCTATAATAAGTCTAATTTTTTCATAGGTTTTAGTTTTTATTCAACGCTACATCTTTAAGAATGATCAGTATCTCTGTATATGAGCTGGTTCCTTACATCTGATTGCTGTATCCTTGAATCCTGAGATCTAGGCATGAAAAGATCCAAGTGAACCAAGGCCCTGGGGCCTGAAGGATCCTGAGAAGAGAGCAAAGTTCCCACCTCAGAAGATGGGGTGAAGGCAGACAGCAGGGTAGTTGGGAGTGGAATGAGATAGAAGGTGAAGAGATGTGACTGGAGAGATGCCCTTAGTAACCAAAAATTTATGAAATGAGTGTGAAAAAGTGAGTTCATTCATAACAAGTAGCTTACAAGCATTTTCATTTGATCCAGCCTCCCTAAATTTCTCTGCTTTTTCTTGGCTTACCTTGGATATTTATCTCTGATCCTAGAAAGCAAAGCAAAACAAAGCAAAGCCCAGTCTGTCTCAGCCTGGTCTTAAATCTTGCTGCTAACCAAGACCTTATTTACTATTCTGACACCTAAATATTTATCTCCTTTGTGTGAACTTACAGTCTCCTGAATTTGGAGCTATATGTAGGTTTAACTCATGCAAATGATTTCTTGTGTGACCCATGAGAGTGTTTCTTTCCAGATAAATACATATGTATTTTTTCTTAGTGAAAATAGTTTTTTCTTGCTTTTATTCCAGATTATAAAGCAATTCATGTTTATTATACAAAAACATTATTACAATACAGACAAGTAATATCATACAGGAAAGAATGAAGATATAAATATTACTTATTCTATCATCTGATTTTAACATTTTGCATGTATATTATTATTTCAGCCTTTCTTAATAATATTAAACCAATAAATATTTATTATGCAATTTAATGGGCTAAGTGCTGGAATATAATAAAAAGCGAAAATAGACACAATTTCTGCCCTTTGGCCCTTGTAATTTAGCGAGGGAGAATTACATTTAATTATATGATTATTTAATGTCTGCAATAGTTGCAATGCTTTTGCTGGTATATCAGCCAGCTATTGACACAGCAATGCTCCATAGTAAATTACCCCAACACCCAGTGGCATGTAACAATAAACACTTTTTCCCATGCTCATAGGTCTGCAGGTCAGTTTGGGAAACTCTGCTTTAGGTTGTAGGTCTGTGAATTGGCAGAGGTGGCTCTGTTTTAGGGTGCGAGTTAAATTTTGGTCCTCTTTATATGTGTTCATTCTGGTACCGAGACTGGTGGGAAAACAGCTACCTAGAGCATGATCTTCTCATTTAGAGAGAACAAGAAAGCAAACCAAATCATGCAAGTACATGTTGAGGTTTTTCTCTCATTATGTTTGCTAACATACCATTGGCCACAACAAGACACATAACCAAGCCAAAAGCCAAGGGACAGAGAAGAACATTCTTACCACCATGAGGATGTGGCAAGGGTATGGCTTTCTATTACAGAGGCATGAAGAATTGGAATAAGGAATTCAACTAATCATAGTATGTACAACCAGAAGTGCTATTTATCAACTGTTTTCTCCTCATGGTCATAAAATGTCTGAAACATTACTAGGCATCATATCATCTTATGATATTATCTAAAAGGGAAGAGTTGTGTCCTATCCTTTCCTTCTTAGAAGGCCGATTCCCCATCTCCTTGTTATTTGACTTCTCATTAGCAAGAGTTGCTTCACATGCCCATTCCTAATCCAATCACTGATAGGAGAATAGAACTGACATGATTGGCCTACACTAGAAAACATTCATTCCCCGGGGCTGGAGAATGGCTCCTGACACAAGATTGTAGAAGGTCCAGAATATACCTTTCAGGGCCTTGCAGATCAAGTTAAAGTTTTTATTCTTCATCCTGAGTGCAATGGAAAACCACTAAAGAGTTTTAAGAAAGAAAGTGATATAATCAGAATTGAGTTTAAAGGAAGGTCACACTATCTACAGTGTGGAGACAAATTGAGGAGTTGCAAGAATGGATAGAGAGGGATGAGTTGAGAATTTATTGTGTAGTTCAGTTGAGAGAAGATAATAGCTTAGCTGGAATGGTAGTGGTAGATATGAAACAGATGTGATTAAATTTGAGAAATATTTAGGAGGTAAAGTTGATAGTATTTAGTGATGAATTAGGTTCGGGGATGGTGATGAGTGAAGGTATCAAGGACTATTTTTAGATTTTAGGACTACATAGCTGAACCAATGTTGGTACTATTCATTGTGACAGGGAATAGAGGAAGAGGTTCAGATTTGAGCAGGAGGACCTCAAATACAAATGTTGAGCTTGATATGCCTCTGAAATATTTACAGAGAGATATTGGATTTATGTGTCTGAGATAATATGTATGTATCTGCACAAAAATGGAAATTGATGCCAAATATGTTAATAAGGGAGAAAATAAAATGGAAAGAGTGAATGGTCTAGGAATAAGCTTTGAGGAATACCAGCATTTAGTGGGTTAATAGGAGAGGACGAGCCTATGATATGGTGAAGGAAGCTGAGAAAGACCAATCATTGAGGTAAAAGAAAAACTCAAATGTAGAAAGAAGACCTGAAGCCAAGAGAACAGAGTGTTTCATTAAAAAGAGAGTGGTAATGTGAACTGCAGTTAGATTGGTTAGTAACATTGAGATCATAGCTCATAAGTAAATCAGCAAGTACTGTTTTGGTGAACTAATGGGTGCAAAAGATGAGAAAATGGAGTTGTCGGGTAGAGGAAACTTTTTTAAGAGCTTGGCTTTGAAGGGGACAGAATATGAAGTGGGAAGTATAACTAAGGGAGCATTGGGATGAATGGGCTTGATGCTGATGAGAAGTATCCAATTGAGAAGAAGCTTTATACACAAAAGAGAGATGGTATAAGAAAGACTAAGACTCCTGAGAAAACAGAGGGTAACAGAATCTATACATGTATCTTTATGTATTTATGTAGTTAAATATCTCATCCTTATACAACAGCATCCCAAAGAGAAAATCTAGTGGACAGGTGTGAGTGACTAAAATGCCTTCTATATCCACTGCTCTCTTTTTATTTGGGTGGAGTCTTTTTTTTTTTGGAGACAGGGTCTTACTCTGTCGCTCAGGCTGGAGTGCAGTGGTGTTATCACGGCTCACTGCAGTCTCAACCTCCCAGGCTAGGGTGATCCTCCCACCTCAGCCTCCTGAGTAGCTGGGACTACAGGCATGTACCACCATGCCCGACTAATTTTTTAAATTTTTGTAGATATGGGGTTTTGCCATGTTGCCCAGGCTGGTCTCCAACTCATGGACTCAAGTGATCTGCCTGCCTTGGCCTCCCAAAATGCTGGGACTATGGATGTGAGCCACCACACCTAGCCAGGATGAAATTTTAACCCAAGGCCATCAACAAACTTCTATATCTCATTAGCCAGAACTGGGTCACATGCTTACCCCTGGGTCAATTACTAGCAATGGGAAATGAAATGTCCATGACTGACTTACAGTCACCCCTCATTTTTCATGCTTGGGCCTGGGTACATTGCCACCAAAAAACACTGAGGCAAGGAGGACTGTGAAATAAGTTTTGGACTGGTGGCTCCAAGACTGTCTACCACCAAGAATGTTTGCCTCAGTAGCTATTTTGATTGGCTCTTGTATGTTTGTGTAATTATAAAATTAATTGATAATATAAAAATTCACATAATATTAAAAGATATAATAAAAAGTGAACATAAAATAGTGCATAATTCCACTAACCCCAAAATAAGCAATTGTGATTAACATTTTGGTATAGAGCCTTTCAGAACTTTTATATGCTTCAAAATGATTTTTCTTGTCTTTCTCAAAATCGGGAGCATACTGTGTGTCTGTGTGTGTGTGTGTGTGTGTGTGACATATTCTCCTTTTTTCACATGAAACATATTTTCTGAAATGAAACACTAAAATATAAACTAGATCCTGGTAAATTGTGTGTTTCTGTTATGTTTATGGTTGTTCCATACATGGTTCTAGGCGTATATGAGCATGCATGCCTGTTTCTTTATTCCCTGAACAATGTTAGGTATATTAATTTTAAAAATCTTTGATAATCTTATAAAGTAAAAGTAATAAATCAATCTAATTAACTTTTTTGTTTAGGTTTAAAAAGCTTTCCATGGATACATTTGCCATTTTAACTTTTTATTCTTTCATTTTGCTTATATTTCTTATTGATTTGTGAGAATCTCTTTATGTATTAAGGACATGAATTCTTTCACATATGTTTCAGGTGTTTTAATTTTTTTAGTTCCTGTTTTCTCTTTTAACCTTGTTAATAATCTTTGGGGTTTGTGCAACTTTAAAATTTTTAGATAAATTCATCAAATCTTTTTCTTATGGTTTCTGAGGCAGTACAATGTAGTATTTAACATCCAGGTTTTTGGAGTCAGAAATAATAGGGCTTGAATCCTGGCTCTTTCCATGATTCTATTGCAATGATCTTTGAGAAAATGACTCAACTTTTCAGACACTTTGTTTCACCATCTATAAAATGGAGACAAAAATGCCTCCTTCAAAGGACTGTTATGCAAATTATATACAAATCATGAATGAAAAGAGTTCAATTACTGGTGCATTAATGCTCAATAATTTTAGATATTGTTATAAGAATAAATATTAATATGATTATAAAATATCTTTATATTAAAATTTTATAAAATCTGCAGGTATTTCTTGTCTTTAAATGTAAATATGAAAATATAAATCTTAATTTAAAACAGAATGATAATACCAAAACAGTTTCACATGGATTAAAATTTGAATTTGAATAACATAAATTCAAAGACTTTATTAAACAAATACAGTCCACTAATTTTTTTTTAAAGTACGGTCTCTGTTTAATGGTTAAAAGTTATTTTATGAAGTTATTTATCCTTTATTCAACCATTCTAGCTTTTTAAATTTTCAGTGAATCAAATGAATTATCAACTATGGAAGAAATTAAATAGATATTTTTCATATTCATGCTTGGTTTGTAAGTGTTATTTGAAAGTCAGAGAATTTAAGATTTCATGAAACCATTAAGTAAAGAAACCATAGCTTCCTTTTCAGCGTTTTATCCCCCCATTTTAGTTAATATCCAGAAGGGATGGCCATATTTGGGTAGATGACCACAAACAGATTACTTATGTAGTCTTGGATTTTCTGTACATTTCATGGGTGATGAAGAGCTCAATATATACATATGTGTGTGTGTGTGTATATATATGTCTCTCTCTCTATATATGTATATATGAAGTGCTGACTTGTGATGATAACAAGAATTATTGCTTTGAGAATACCAAATGCGTAATGATTCCTTCCACTAGAAGAAGTGGTGCTTCATAAGAACCCAGACAGGCTGGGAGGGTTCCAGAATACTGTGCTCCTCTTCTTAGACAGGCAGTGTGGTGTAGAGCTTAGAACAGGACTTTGCAGACTTACCGCCTGGATTTGAATTCCACTTGTGTTACTTAGTAGCTCTGAGGCTGTAGGCAAATTATCTAACTTTTCTGTACCTCAATTTCTTTGTTTGTACAATGGGGATAACAGTAGTGCCTACCTTGAAAGGGTATTGTGACAATTCAGTGACTTAATGGCTTTAAAGCACTTAGAACAGTATCTGATATAATTAACAGTCAATAAATATTATTGTGATGATCTTGTACTCCTCTACCCAACTTCTATCATAGCACTGTGACATTTACAGTTAAACTATAGTGTTCAGTACAATTATAGAAATATCTTGAATTTGTTGGTTGTCCTTATGGAGAGAAAACCCCTGGATCTCTTGAGGTTTCATGTTCCAATCTGAGTAGAAAACCCAGGACAGACATAGAAGGTAAGGAAAGTGAAAAGCATTTGACAGTGCATCAAGAAACCAATAATAGCACCTCCCCTTTTAGTGATGAAAGGCAATTTTTATATACTATACTAAATAAAATGTATTGCAAGCATTCATTAGATAGCATCAAAATCCCTTCATTATATCCACTGGCTATTGTGTTATTCAGGTATCTGTTGGCATATTGCTTGGTATAACTGAATAATGAGGCTTTCATTCAATTTGCAGATCTGCAGTACAGTGTATTTAGGAATTAGCTCAATGTTTCATCTGTGTCTGTTATGAAAAGGACAGATAATAGAAAGATTGCCATGCTGTCTGGTAGCAAAACCATCTCATGGGATTGCTAAACGAGGTGCAAGCTCATCTGGAAATCCAAGCAATCTTCCTTTCCTTTCTTACCTTTTCCCCTTTACATGAGAATTCCTTCCATTTCATTTGTGCCAGCTTTGATAGAGAGGTGTAGGAAATTATGATTAAATGTGGCATTGCAATTTTTACCCTGAATTTTGGTTGTTCAGAATTAAACAGCAGCCCTTTAAGCCGAAAAGTATCTACAGAGCCAACCCTGACATCAAGCACTGACATTGTTTCTGTATTGAAGATGCTGTCTTTGTAACACAGTGTGGTTGAGATCTAAAAGATGAAACAGAATGTGTATAACTCAGTGGCTTAAGTACATTCACATTATTGTGCGACCATCACTGCCATTCATCTCCAGAACATTTCCTTCTTCCCAAAAAGAGACTTTGTACTAATTAAATAATAATTCCTCGTTTCCTCCTCCCTCAGCCCCTGGTAACCTCTAACCTACTTTCTATCTCTTTGAATCTGCCTGTTCTAGGTACCTCATATAAGTAGAATCATACAATATTTGTCTTTTTGTGTTTGTGTTTTCTAGTTGCATTGGCATGTAATATATTTTTCTGGAAACACTGGCCACTGGAGACTTGACTTGTGATTGATTTGAGTGATTGACAGTATTGTATTGAAACACTTAGTCATATATGTTGATAAAAATAGGTACTATATGTAACCAGAATATAGGGGTAGAGTTTGAGTTTTTCATGAATAAATTTTCCTTTGGATTTTTAGTTGGAAATTTTGATTAGTTCCCTTTCACTAAAGTACAAGGCTATATTTTACTTCTAATGTTAAAAATAATCACCACATCATTGTGTAAAAGAGAGTTGAAAAGAAGCATAATTTCCCTTGGGAGCTAGAGAGCCTATCCCTGAAAGTTTTGCTTTATCCAGAGTTCCACTGAAAACTTCAGGTTGTCTGATACTGTGTCTGTAGATATTACTTGTCTGTGTGTTAAGGGGTGAAGTAAATCCAACATTAGTATCCAGTTTTCTTGAGACAAGGGAGAGAAAAGAAAGTGACATCATCTTTTGGTGACATCATGCAAAAGTCAATCTTCATTTTGAATTAGCTCTTGAAAAAGCTTGCCTTAGGTTAAAAGCCTTAGGAAAAACTATGAGTAACACTATAAAAAGCGGATTGAGAAATTCAGAACCAGAATATGATCTTGCTCAATGTGCAAATGTGGTTTGTTTAGAGGATGCTTTTAGGAAGTGTATACGTGCCTGTGTGCACACACACACATATGCACACTCACACATTGCACTGAAATGCAATATTGCAGCTTCTGACATTTGATACCTCAATTTTGCTGGAATTTCCAAGGGCATAGTTTGGAGTAAATAATAATCATTTACTGCATTAATCTTGCATTCTCAAAAAATGCCATTTTGTTTCCTCAGGACAAGAGTGTCAACTCAAATTTACTCAAACCAATTTCTCTTCATGAAAATCCTGGTGGGCTGAACTAATATTTCATTAAAAAATATGCCAACTAAAATAAACCTGTTTTCACTGAGGGTGTTATCATTGAATGATGACCTTCTGCAGACTGGAGCTGGCCTGCAGGCTCAATGTTTGGCATTTATACTCTAGTATATTTCAGGTTTACTTATATTAATAATCAAGGTAACACTAGCTTATGGGCTCTTCAGCATGGAAGGGATTTTGAGAACCCATTTGTTGATCTAGAAATGAATCCTTTTCACTTCAATTGGATTTTTTTTTTACATATGTGAGACAGATGACAATATGTATCCTGTTGGACGATGCTTGTGGAAAAATAGCAAGAGGAAATAAGTTTTAAGTGGAAGAATTTAAGTTGGATACAAAGAAGTAGTTGCTGAAAGAACAAGCAAAACACATTAGAAATAGCTATCAGTGTTGGCTTGGTAAATCTCTCTTTCCCTCTCTCATTTTGTGGGTGCATATTTGTGGGTGCAATTTGTTAATGCATATACACAATCATAATTTTTTCTTTTTCTTTTTCTCCTTATTTCAACTAGCTCAGTTCTTGCTGTTATAGACTAAAAAGTACTCACCATGGTGAGTAGTGGCCTAACCTGAGTGATTATAACTTGGTCCAACAATTGGGATTGGCCTTCAGCCTTGTTAGACATAGTTCTAAAGCAAGGCTGTTTATTTAAAGTAAGCAAATCACGAGATACAGATTTACAAATGAAATGCAAGTGTGTTACGTTCCAGGGGGAAATATTCCTCCCTGGTAAGCAGAATGATCCTATCCTCCACTCAAGGTACCTACCCCCCGGAATCAAAACCAAATGCAATAGGAAATGTTGGTTGTCATCCTGGCATTCATTCCCTCTTTTTCCATTCCTAACTAAATTGTGATTTTGTGTAGGTGTCATCTACTCCCACACATAACCCACATGCCTCAGGGGAAGCTGGTCGACCCCAGACCTTGAAGCCCCAATTAGTCTAATCTAGTCATGTAAGCCAGTCTGTTAAGCAGATAGTCTGGCCCAAATCAACTTGGTCTAATGAAAAACAAAAATAACTTCTCTGAGAGTTTTTGGAAATGCAACTTTCTTGTTGATAAGCACAGCTACAGGAAGTCAGTCTCTCACTGGGTATAAATGAGTAACCATTAGCACTAGTTGCTATAAGGGGGTATTCTATAGCCATGAGGGGAATCAGCCTCAGGATGAAGCTGACAGTGTTGGTGTTAGAATGAAGAAATGGAAGTAACCTGTGTCCTTGATGATTTTCTTGCTCAACTAACCCTGAAGTCTATCCTATAGGATGAAGCACTATGAGGAGATATAGCAGGCAAGCAGAGGTCTGAGATCAGTTAACTTTAGTTTTGGCCAACAATACGTTTTATTATTATTGAAGAGAGGTTGAGACCGGTTTTCAATTTTATACAGCTCAAAGAACTGAGTTTTTTGAGAACTCAGCTCAAAGCTTGAGTTTTCTATCATTGTCATGCCAGAGTGAAACATTTGTCGTTCTCTAATTAAATAATGTACCTGCCACAACTGGAACATTAAAGGATCTGGCAGAAAAATTTCAGGCTATTGACTACTTCTTACATATTCCAGTAAAGTCTTACAAAAATGAGATAAGCTTCGATGTTCATCTCAGATGTTGCCATTGGAAGACAGTGGGGTTTCTTTCAGAGAGAACTGTGGGATGCCAGATTGGTTGTCTCTCTTGAACTCCCTTTACTACTAGAATAGTAAACCCTGCTACCATGTCCAGGAAGAAATATATCATATATCCGTAGACTGATGATCATTGGTGGTATTTTTCATTCTTTTTTCTGTTTTGTTTTTTGAAACAGAGTCTCACTCTGTCGCCCAGGCTGGAGTGCAGTGGTGCGATCTCTGCTCACTGCAACCTCCACCTCCCGGATTCAAGCTATTCTTGTGCCTCAGCCTCCTGAGTAGCCACGGCTTTTTTTTTTTTTTTTTTTTAAGTAGAGATGGGGTTTCACCGTGTTGGCCAGGCTGGTCTTGAACTCCTGACCTCAAGTGATCCACCCACCTCAGCCTCCCAAAGTGCTGGGAATCCAGGCATGAGCCACCATGCCTGGCCATTTTTAAAATTATTATTTTCTAAAAGGAAGGTTTTATTAGAGCTTCTGTGCTTTATCGGCCATTGTGCATTACATATGCTCAAGATGTATCATTTAATTTATAGCCATCTATTGCTTGATCACTAGGAACTATATCTTGATCTGATAGAGAGGACTCAGTGTCAACCAGGGATGGGCTTGCAGCTAAGTATAGCAGCTGGGAAGACATTGGGTTGCTTCCTTTTAGGAGTGGCCAGAAAAGGAAGAGGCTTTCTATGTTTTATGTTTCTATGAAGTTTTCAATAAACTTTTACCAATATACTCCTTTTATCTCCTTGGCCAAAATTTGGTCACAAGTCAATTCCTAGACCAGTCATTGGCAAGGAAAATATGGGATTACCCTTAAATCAATCATTCTTGTCTAGAGTTAAAGCTAGCTTGCCAACTTCCTCTAAATCTGCTCATTGGAAGAGAGATAGAATGGATGTTGGAGAGTCAGCCACAGCATGTACTTCATGGATTTAGTAATCAGAGAGTTGTTTCATAAGCATAGAATAAGGTGGAGGGCTGAGACTCCGCATATGACAATAAGGAGAAACTGTACTTTTTTTCCAAGTTCTTAGGGGCAGTCACACTTGCTACCATGTACTACCATCCATGGGATGGTAGATCCTTAAGACCTAGAGGTCTAATGTTAACTTTCTCACACTTTTGTCTTTGATTAGGCCTCTCTAGCACATAACATAGTGAGACTATGATTATATGATATCAGAGATTCTTAAACTGGCTATGTTGAATAAAAGATTTTCAAGAAATTGATGAGTCTTAGGAGCAAAAGCATTGTATGTTTCTGATAATTTTTGAAATATGTGGCTTACACCAAATAAGACTCCCAATGATTTTTTTCCCCTCCCTGTATATGCAGGCTACTCTTCACATGAAGACTTTGCCCCTCCCTGCCCCTTGAGTCAAAGCCAGCCTTGTGACTTATATGGATCAATATAATGTGACAGAAGTGATGTTTTGGGGTTTCCAAACGCGGGCCTTGAGAGAACTAGCAGCTTTGCCTTCTTTTGTCTGGAAGTCAGCTACCATATAAGAAGTATGACTGCTCTGAGATCACCATAGTTTGAGAAACTCAGCCTAGCCATTTGGCGAGGTCACATGGAGGAGCACTGAGGTGCCATCCATGTGAGTGAAGCCATGCTGGGCTTTCCAGCCTAGCCATTAGCTGAATGTGAATAAATGCAGCCTGAATTCCTGACCCATAAAATCATGATAAAGCATAGAGCATTGTCTTAAGCCACTAAGTTTTAGGGTAGTTTATTATACAGCAATAGATGACTGAAACAGTTAAACATATGTCTTTACTGCAGAACATTTTGAAGCTTTTAATATACACATAATCTTTAAGTATATCCAAAGCATGAAAGGGTGATTGGCAATTGGGAACCCTCTTCTCTTGTTACAAGTATAAGTGTATGTTCTGCAGGTCAGAATATGAGAAACCACTCCAGAGTGTAGTAGATGGAGGCTTGATGCTCCATGGCCAGCAGAACTGCCAAGGAAGGAGTTTCTGGGTGCTAGGCATACCAATGGAGGTGACCAAAGTCTAGGTTATAGAAAATGTTCTCGCCAGGCAGGTGAAGCAGAGTGTATAGGAAGATTGAAAGATTGGGGCAAGTGTTATACGGGAGGAAGAGCAAGTAGTCAGCCTCAGGGAGGTCTAGCACAGTGTCATTGCTCATGAGCAGAGCATGGCCTCAGGGATAAGGCACTACGAGAAGACATAGCAGGCAATCAGAGGTCTGAGATCAGAGATCTGGAAGCTTGCACACCCTAGTCACTGAGATGGAATTTAAGAACAGGATTCCAGCTGATAGGAATCCTGTTCAGAAAGGGGAGACATTGCTGAGAACGAGGCAAGATCCCAGACTTAGAGTCTTAGGGCACCAAGTAGGTTATAAAGGCAGGGTCTTACAGTGTTGCCCAGAGATGGCTAAAAAACTTAGTCCCATTGCTGCTGGAAGCCTTCAACTGTCAGCCCTTTTTGGGGATTGTCTCAGCTGAAGATAGCCATTTCCACTGAAGAGAGCTGTCTTGCGCAAAATAATATCTCCTACCCGAAGATGGTGCAATGCTGAGGTATAAATGTCTGACCCCTCACCCCAACTTGGGACAACTCTGAAGGCCTATCCCAGCTCCAGATCTGCCTGTGGGGTTTGAATGAGGCCTTCATCAGGACTGTATGTTAGTCTCCTCAGGCTGCCATAACAAAATACCACAGACTAGGTGGCTTAAACAACAGAAATGTGTTTTCTTACAGTTTGAAGTTTAGAAGTCTAAGATTGAGGTAATGGCAGGTTTGGTTTCTGGTGAGGCCTGTCTTCCTGGCTTGAGTAGCCACTTTGTCATTGTGTGGCCACTCCTCTGTATTCTTGGGGAGAGAGGGAGAGTCTCTGGGGTCTGTTCCTCAACTTATAAGGACACCAATCCTGTCAGATTAAGGCCCCACCCTCATGACCTCATTTAACGTTAATTACTTCCTTATAGGTCCTATTTCCAAATACAGCCACATTGAGACTATGACTTCAACAGATGAATTTTCGGGTAGACAATTCAGTCCACAGCACACTGGACTCCTAGCATTCCCACTCCTCTCTCTGCCCACTCCTGCTTCCTTGGCAGTTTTTCCACAGGTGTGGATCCTAAG
Organism: Homo sapiens; assembly: GCF_000001405.40. NCBI lineage: Eukaryota > Metazoa > Chordata > Mammalia > Primates > Hominidae > Homo > Homo sapiens. The sequence goes on from NC_000023.11 coordinate 42,274,539, forward strand.
AGCACTCCCTAATAGAATTCCTGCACACAAATCTGTGCTTCAGAGTCTCAGTCCCAGGGAATCCAACCTGTGCTGGATTTGAACTGTTCAAACTGAGGTACAGATTGAGGACTGGCTATGGGAAGTACAAGCTTTTCTAGGAAAGAGATCCCAGGCTCACTGTCTCTTTTATATTTGTCTTTTTATGTTCTGTACCTGACTTAGGGATTGGCAAATGGCAGGTGTTTAATGGTTAGTTGAAAGAACTAACGGATGAATCAATAAACAGGAACAATGCCTGTTTCCTACACTTGGGATACAAGTCCAGAACTAGCCTGGTTCCCTAGATCAAACCAGATTACTTAACTTCTTGAATGAGGACTTCCTAAATACACTGTGAAGCTATAGGATCAGATCCAGAGCCTGGGATGGGGCTGAGTCTGCAGATGGAGGTCAGCTAGATCCATTTTTGAGGACTGTAGCTCTGTGAAGACACAAAGGTCAGTAGCTCCCACAGAGTGCCTTGTAAGATTAACTTCCAATGCATTAGGATTTTAATATGGCCATTTGTTTAAATTAATGTCTTACAAAATGTCTGTCCTTGATACTATCCCACTTACACTAACATCTTAGGGTTCAAGGAGGCAGTTAGGCCCTAACACATTGTCAAGTATTTGTTTATTCTGTTGATCATTTAAAACAAATATTTATTGGGCATCTATAATACTCAGGCTCTATTCCAGGCACTGGTGATTCAAAATTAGTGTTCAACAAACTCCATAAACTTCTTTTTATCATGTTTTAAATCTTACTGGGAGTGTAGATGGAAGGAAGCCTCAAGGTCACAGCTGCAAGGTTTAATACACAAGCTTTGGGATTAGCATGAGTTTAAATCTTGGCTCGGCAATAAACCTGGGCAACTGCCTAACTTTTGTGAGCCTCGATTTCCTCATTTGTAAAATGGGAATAGTAACACTAACATTTACTTCATGAGATTGTTGTAATGATTATATGAGATAAGCTTAGAAAAGTGTCTGATTTATACTTTGTGTCCCTTAGTAAATTCATAGAAAAATGGTAACCTCTTTCCCAACAGATTACCAATTTCCTTATCCCACGCATATAATCCAGTTATGAATGATAAGAGAAGATATGGTTGTGTGAGATGTGTAAAGAAACAACATGTACTGATAACTCTGGTAGGTTGGAGTATTGTTTCCAACTTTTTATTCACCCTGTAATAGAATGATATGTTCACTGACTTTGCTATATGACTTTGTGGTATCCCCCATATGAATAAGCAGAGTGTACTTCTCCACCTCATTGCTTTTAGGACTTGGCCATGTGATTTGTTTTGGTCAATGGAATGTTAGCATGTACGGGCATTGTAGTGGGTTGAATAATATCTCCCCAAAATTCATGTCTTCTTGGAACCTGTGAATGTGACCTTATTTGGAAATAGGATCTTTGCAGATGTAGTCAAGTTAAGATGAGGTCATACTAAATTAGGTGGGCCCTAAATCCAGTGACTGGTGACTTACACACACACACACACACACACACACACACACACACACACACACACACACGGTATAAGGCCATGTGATGATGGAGGTAGAGATTGGAGTGATGCAGTTACCAGCCCGGGAATGCCAAGGATTGCTGGGAGTCACCAGACACTATGAAGAGGTAAGGAAATATTTTTTTCCTCGAGCCTTCAGAGGGAACATGACCCTGCTGATACCTTAGTTTTGGATTTCTAGCCTCCAAAACTGTGAGAGAATAAATTTCTGTTGTTTTAAGACACCTGGTTCATGGTATCTTGTTATGGCAGCCATAGCAAACTAATACACACAAGTACGGAGAATTTAAATGAGCTTGTGTGTTTGACTTGGTCTCTTGCATTTCTGGCATTTGCCATGAGAAGAACATGCTCTGGGTACATGCTGGTTCCAGAATGAGGAGACTTGTGGAGTATATGTGATTCCAACCCACAGTTATGGGCAAAGTCCAGCAAATCTCAGATGATCTCAGCAGAACCACAGTCAGCCTGCAGGCTGTGAACAAGAAATAAATGCATGTGGCTATATTGCATTTTGGGCTTGCTTGTTGCACAGGATTAGTGTAGCAATAGCTGAGTAATATAGTGATGGATTGGGAGTGAGAGACGAAGGAGAAGAAGCAGTCTGTTAGAACTTTAAAAAGTTCCAGATCACCTTATTCATTGTCTTCAGGAATAGATGCAGCCCAAATGTATAGGGGGCAGTGGTGGGAGGGAGTAAGGTTTCATGCTAGAGAGTATTTTTCTTTTTTTCATGGGAAGATGGGAAGAAAATGAAACCTACTTTGGAGTCACTTATCTATCCAGTTTTCCAGATATCCATTTGGATGAACAGGCAACAAAATGAAATACAGTGGAAGTAGAAGGGAAAACCAGGGAGGCCCCTAAGCTGTTTCTGTCTTGCCAAAGGAGCCAACAACCCAAACAAGAAGAGGTTGTCTTTAGAAATGACATATGGTTAGGTAGGTTTTGAAAAATTAAAAATAGCAAAGGGTTTCTAGTGTTCCTAGCTTATTATGGGATAAAAATGAGAAGCAATTTGCAAAGATGTGGGCAGTAGCAGAATGAATAGTGGAGGCTGATTAGGTACATTTGCCCAGGGCAACTCATTAAAAAGCACCCGAGTACAGTACTGAAACCCTTGTAATTTCCACTACCTCCCACCATTACCACTTTATCAGCTTCAGAGAGAAAGTCAGTTTATTATTCAAAAAGCCCACTCCTGAAATATGTTTGTTCCCAAAGCCCTTTTCTTTCTTGTAGAAACACACTGGAGTCATTCAATTGCTTTTGGATGGGGGTGAATGGCAATACCTCTCCTTAGCCTTAAGGCAGGAGGTTAAAGATTAACTTTGTGCCTCTATTTCTGTTACTTTTTTTACCTTTGTCTTCCTTCTAGTCAACAACATACCATTACAGATGAGGTAAGACACCATGTGCTCATTCTCTGTGTGCATTTAAAATGTGGATTCAGCAAGTTCGCATCTTCTCTTTGTTTTGACAATGGGGAAGGGAAGGCTGCTTTGATCTTTGAAAATTATGGCTATAAATAATGCCTATTCAAATATTGGCTCAACAGTGATTGCGTTTGAGTTGTTTTTAGAATCTTTCTAAAGCCCTCTTTTCTCCTTTGGATGTGTTAGATGCTGATCAAATTTGAATTCCCACATCATATTTATGTATCTCAAGTATATTTGACAAACAGATGCTGTACTGTATCTCAGGTAAATATTTTATGTTTTGGTTTTTTTCTTATCATAAAAGTAATGCATGCTTATCATAAAGTTGCACTGTATACCAAAAAAGTATAAATAAGCAAAAAACTGTAAAAAATCCATAAGCTTACCACTCAGAAATACTGATAGAATCTGTATCTATGTCTGTATATTTTCATAAATATATGTATATGCAAATTTTATATATGCCTATACAGTTTCTTTATAAATTTGGTATCATACTGGTCATACGGTTTTGGAGTTCCTGTTTTTAGCATAAGCTATTATCCCATGTGCTAGATTGTACTCAATTTGGTGTGTCTGTTGTGTTTGTGGTAAGATTTATTCTTTTTCCGATTTACACTTTGCTTAGGGATATTTTGTAGCCCAGTTCTTTTACTCTGTCTTCATAGTGCATGGAAATGGAAATGTGCTCTCCCCTATGCATGAATGAGGATCTTTCATTTGCTACTCTTTCTGGAGAGAATGATAAATCCAGTTCTACAGTTTCAGATTTAACTCTAAGACTGATTTGTATGTGGCCATAAGTTTAAGTGCTAGGTAGTCAGGCTTCCAAACATGTATTAATCCCATGTCATGTGCAGAACACGATGTTAATTGTTTTAGTGTTTCTTGTGGATGTAGAAATACATCAGTCTTCAAGTGACCAGCAGCTCATGAAATAATTGGTGAGGGGAGAATGGGTTCCGATGGAGTCTGGCACTGACTGGTTCTTGGGGAAGTGAACAGAGTAGACTGGCTAAACTCTAGGGTTCATCCTTGGAACAAGAAATGCAATAATCACAGGCTCAGAGGCAGAGAAAGTCTTTATAAGTGTAAAGAATGGCAAGGAACTTGGCTTGGCAACAGCAGAGGAGCCATGCAGGGGAGAACAGACTGGAGGCTGATTTGTTTGTAGGACCTGGACGCTGAGCAGACAAGCCTGAATTTGACAACACAGATGGGAAGGATCCCGAGTAGGTTTCTCAGCAGGGCAGTGATATAAAGATGAGGGCATTCAAAGTAGATGATTTTATTGCCCGTGTGGATCTGTAGCTCTCATTATCTAGTGTGATCATTCTAAGAGTGTGCCTGCTAGGCTTCTGCCCCGTCAGAGTCTGGCCATCTAAGTTGTGTGCAGCTTGTGCAGCTAGTATCACATCCTGTCCCACTGGGAAGGTCTGAGGTGGGCCAATTCCAGCCCCTCTAAATAATTAGTTCCCACTGCTGTCTGTGCACAGAACTGAAAGGAGCAATTTATTGGCATTGTGGGTAATGCCCAGACACTGCCAACAGAAAGTATTAAGCTAACTGATTTGTAGAAGAGGACAAGGGGGATTATTTTTCAACCATAAACCCAACTTGAGAGGGGGTAGTTGTCTACTCTTTAAAATTAGCACTAAGGTTTACCTCACAAAATGCACGCTCCTGCCCTCATACATTGCTGGCAGGGATGCAAAATGGTACTTGTGAAGGAGAATTTGGTAATTTCTAACAAGATTGCATATGCAGTTACCCTTTGAGTTATGAATGCCACTTCTAAGAATCAACCCTAAAGATATAATGGCAAAAAATATAGAACGACACATGTGCAGGGTTATTCACTATAACACAGTGTAGCAAAAAATTGGAAACGTCAAATTTTATCAATGAGACAAAAAAAAACTAACACACATCTACACAAAGCAATACTATGCAATTATGAAAAGGAATGAGGAATAGCACTATACATTGCTGAGGACTGGTTTCCAGCGTATATTATGTGAAAAAGCAAGGTAGGAAAAGCATATATTATAAACTATCATTTATTCTAAGAAAGGGGGGTATGAATGTATATATTCATATGTGTATATTACTATATATACCCATATGTGTATATGAATGTACATACAGTATAATATGTTTATTTGCTTATAGTAAAAAAGGAAGGATAAACTGGAAGCTAAAAATGAAAAGAAAAAAAAAGGTTACCAATAGGGAAGGGGAACAGGAAATAAGAAAACATGGTGAAGGGAAAGGAATAGAGTTGGCACTTCTCTGAATATACCCTGTTTTGTAGATTTGAATTTGGAAACAATAAACTATATTATATAATTATATTACAAAATTAAAATTTAAAAAGCAATCTCTAAAAATAAAAAAAAGTAATGTAAAACAGATGAAACAAACTATGTAGTAAGTTTTTGACTTAACCGTACAGAGAGGAACTGTTCCATATGATTTCAATTAAACACAATAATTTGGCTTTACATTCCTAGAGTGATTATGTGCTAAGGACAGAAAGAACTGTAAAAATGTCTTGGTAATATTAGGTTATAATTCTGATGTTGTGTGTGTAGTGTAGGAAAAGGCAAATGAGTATGCTGGTGTTGTTGGGAGCTGGGATTTTTGGCGTGAATAACAGGTGATACAGATATAATACAGATGAGATTAAGTAAAAATCTTATATTCCTGGATTTGAAATGAAAGTGTCATTATAAACTCACATTATAGCTCATCTTTCGTAAGTAGATTTTCTAGCTTTGAACGCTGAAAAGACCTAAAAGCAGTGACCATCCCAGTAGCAATGCACATCCCTGGTGTCCAGGTTGTGGTCTTTAAGTACCATTTTCCATTAAAAGGAACCTGGGCTCCTTGGAAAATTAGCTGATATCAGAACTGGGGCAGAAAATGTATAAGATAAGCCTGGAACAACTTAAGAAACTAGGAGGCAAGGAAGCTTTCAAAGACTACTGTGGGTTTCTTAAAAGGACACAAGAGCCACTTGAAGGGGGACGATTTGATTATCAATAAGAATAACAATCGCGATGGATTGAAACATTTGTATATGCTTAATCTTTCCTTATGCTTATTCTGATTAAAAAAATAAAGGTCACTGGTCACCTCGGATCTTCTTTGTATTAGAGAACCAATGGATATCCTGAAAACTGGAATATAAGTGGAAAAAATCTAGCTTTTATCTTTGTTTCCTACATAAAAAGCACATCATTATAATCAATTAATTGATCAGTGGAAGTTCCTTATTCTTCTTCTTTTACTTTTAGTTCAAAGTACTCATCATGAAAGTTCCCTCTTAAGTATATTAGCTGGTAAATGAAGGAATGATAGAATTATAACACTTCTATGTTGCAACCTCTAATAAAATATTGATCTGGACAATGATAGTGGGTGACTGCTAACATCACAGAAAGAGAGAAAACCAGCTTTCTTGGCCTTTTAATGGATACTCACAGCACTACCTATTAAAGATTACTGGCAAAATAGTGTAACCAAATATGATCAAGGTTTTACTTTTAATAACCAATTTACAGGAAATACAGGGACAGAGGAACATGTTAAATAATATCATGAGATATGCTATGGTTTGAACCTTCCCTCCCAAACTCAGGACGTTTGAAATGTATTTGTCATTGTGATAGGGCTAAGAGTTGGGACCTTTAAGAGGTGATTAGGTCATGAGGGCTCTGCTCTCATGAATAGATTAATGCCTTTATTGTAGGAGTCAGTTAGGTATTATGAGAGTAGACTCCTGATGATAGATAAGTACAGCTCCCATTTTCTCCCTGTCTTGTGTGCTTGCTTACCCTTCTGCCATGTTATGATGTAGCAAGAAGGCCATCACCAGATGTGGCTCTTTGATCTTGGACTTCCCAGGTTCCAGAGCTGTGAGCTAAATACACTTGTCTCTCAGTATCCATGGGGGATTGGTCTAGGGCCCCATACAGATACCAAAATCAGAGGATGCTCAAATTCTTAATATAACATGGTATAGTATTTGCGTATAACCTACACATATGCTCTCATATACTTTAAATCTCTAGTTTACTTATAATACCTAAAACAATGTAAAGGTTATGTAAATAGATATTATACTGTATTGTTTTTTATCTGTATTTTTATTGTTGTATTGTTATTTTATTATTTTTTCCCAATATTTTTGATCAGTGGTTTGTTTGAATCTACAGATGGAGAAACGGTGGATACAGATGGCCAGCTGTAAATCTCTTTTCTTTCTAAAGTATCTAATCGGTCGTATTCCATTATGGCAGCAGAAAATGGACTAAGACAAGATACAATTTCCAAAATCCAGACTGTACAAAACATGGGACCATCAACCTAGTTTATCCAACAAAAAATTGCAAGAAAAAAAAGATATGAGTGAACTAAGACTTAAAAAAAGGAAACCAATTGCTACGTACAGATCTTATTTGGATTCTGATCCAACACATCACAGAAATGCAGATATGAGACACGGAAATTTGAATATTGACTAAATTTTAACAATACTGAAAAATTGTTGTTTTACATGTGATATTAGTATTATTATTTTTGGCAGTAAATACTGAGATATTTGCAGATTACACGTTAGGAAATTATGGATTTGTTTCAAAATAAGAAAGTAGCACGGGCTGGGGAGGGTAGTAGGTGGGGAATGTATGAGACAAGATTGGCCATGAGCTACTGGTTGAAACTAGGTGATGTGATGAGTATATGTATTACCATATCATAATAATCAGGCCAATTCTCTCAAACAAATGAAGGAGTAAATATGAGAAATAGAATACAGAGGAAAAAAGCAATATCTTTATTTCTTTGAAGTTTACTAATCTGCTTTAAAGTTCTTGAGTAATATTTAAGTATTCTAAACTTCTATTAGGATTTCAAAAATACAATTTATTTATTTATTTTTGACTCTTTTAAAATCATCATTTAGAAACAAGAACTTCCATAGCAAATTTGGATTTTAACTCAGCATTTAGTGATGAATTATACAATTCTAAATATCTGGGCTTGTTAGAAAAGATGACATTTTCCATTGTAATGTTTATGTATGAGTTATCTCTCGTACGGGAGTCCACTGCTTATAGTAGCCTAGGCTTTTGATAAGCTATAGTTGCTTCAGGCTGTGTGCTACATTTCTTGGTAAGTCTTGGTGGGTGTTAGCACAAACACTACTCATTTGTCATCTTTTACTAAGCTAAAACTTTTCTGTGCAGTTGGAACACAAGTCTTCTCTTTTATCCCTGACCTTCCTGGGACCTTTATCGCTATCAGCAGTCCCTTCCTTGACTGCCTTACTGTCATCTCAAATGGAATCTACCAATATTGTATTCCTCTTATTTCTTCTGAAGTGGTTCTCTCTTGACATAGCCTAGCATCTGATAACCCTAGACTCAAGAAATATTCTTTGTGTTTGTCTTTCTTTGGCTATGACTGCAGGTCATCTGGGGAACTGTTTACAGTTTCAGATATCACCAGTCACTACTGAGAAGGAAGAAAAGTAAAACTATCTTTGAACTCTGTAGAGGTAAAGATTTTCAAACTCTGAAAGACAGGAAGGGAGGGCCTTATTGAAACCTTTACCTTCATTGTCACAAGGGTCTCTACTCTTCTTATTTCAGGGTGGTTACTGAATTGTTTTCAACACAGTCCAATTCAGAGTATAAATTTATAGTAGATAGTAAGTATATGACTTCTTTTTATAATTTTATTAAATGGATGTACTCATCCAATTACCAAAGCCTACTTGGGAGTTAGATAGTTTTAAATTTAAGGTAATAATTTATGCAATTAATAAATCTGTGTCACCCTTTAAACAGAGATTAATTGAATTAATTTTGATAACATTATTCTTCATATTTCTCTTCGTATGTGCTAGCACACTAATAATAGATGTTAATAATGCTTTGTATTTGTAAAGAATCACTGTATTCAAACCATTTACAGTGATGTCTCATCTAATAACATAGGCAAAGTAATTATTTGAAAAATTAGAAAATTTTGATCCAATGAGGCCAGAAGACTTACCAAGTTAATGATAGAACCCAGAGAGTCAAGGAATGCTCTTTCTACATCCCTTCTTCCCAAGCCACATCCCCAACCAGTGGATGGGCTTGATTCCCACTTCACTTTTCGGAGGACCAGCTTTTGGTTTCTTTTTTCTTTTGGCTTGGAAAAGAACCCATTTATTATTTCACTGGGCTATAGATTGAATATTTGTATGCCCCCAAAATTCATGTGTTGAAATCCTAACCTCCATAGTAATAGAAAGTGGGGTCTTTGGGAGGAGATTAGGTTATGAGGGCATAGCTCTCATGAATGGGACTAGTGCCCCTATAAAAGAGGCTCTGGAGAGATCCCTTGCTCCTTCTGCCATGTGAGGACACAGTGAGAAGACGGCTGTCTTTGAACTGGGAATGAGTCCTCACTGGACACAAAATCTGCAGGCACCTTGATCTTGGATATCTCAGCCACCAGAACTGGGAGAAATAAATTTCTGTTTTTCGTGAGCCACCCAACCTATGGTATTTTGTTATAGCAGCCAGAACAGACTAAGATACACCATTTTTGTGGTTCAGGAGTCTGAGCATTGCATAGTTGAATCCTCTACTTAGATCTCACAAGATAACATCAAGGTGTCAGCCAGAGCTGTAGTCTCATCTGATGCTTAGGAACCTCTTAAAGCTCATTCAGCTTATAGACAGAATTCAGTTCGTTAAGGCTGTAGAACTCATGCAAGCTTTTATTTTCTTTGAAGCCAGGAGGAGACTGTGCCTCTGGTACTTCATCCTCTTTTAAGAACTCCCCTAAGTAAGTCAGGCTGACCCAAAATATTTTCTTTTTCTATTAACTCAAAATCAACTGATTAGTAACCTAATGACAGGAGTGAAATCTCACACTCAGGGAGAGAAAATTATATAGGGCATGTACACCAGGAGGTAGAAATCTCAGCCAACTACAAACTGTATACAAAAACCTTTAAAACATCATTGTGAGAAATTATAAGAACTAAGTAAATGGAGATATATATGTTCATGAGTTGGAAGGCCCAATATTGGCAACGTATTCTTTTGAAATTGATTTATATGTTTAATACAATCCAAATTAAAATCCTGGCAGGCTTTTTTTGTAGATATTGACAAGCTGATTCTAAAATCCATATGGAAATGTAAAGGACCTAGAACAGCAAAGACAATTTTGAGAAAGGATCAAAGTTACAGGACTAACACCACTTAATTTCAAAACCTATAATGAGGGTACAATGATCAAGTCAATGTTGTATTGAAATAAAGATAGACAAATAGATCAATGAAGTAGAACAGAGATTAAAGAAAAGGACCCACACATATATGAGCAACTGCTTTTTTTTTTTTTTTTTTTACCAGGTCTTTAAAGGGGTTTATTAACATTGGTAATGGCTGCATTAATTCAGGTGGCAACTTTTATTTATTTATTTTATTTATTTATTTATTTATTTTATTGATCATTCTTGGGTGTTTCTCACAGAGGGGGATTTGGCAGGGTCATAGGACAATAGTGGAGGGAAGGTCAGCAGATAAACAAGTGAACAAAGGTCTCTGGTTTTCCTAGGCAGAGGACCCTGCAGCCTTCCGCAGTGTTTGTGTCCCTGGGTACTTGAGATTAGGGAGTGGCGATGACTCTTAACGAGCATGCTGCCTTCAAGCATCTGTTTAACAAAGCACATCTTGCACCACCCTTAATCCATTTAACCCTGAGTGGACACAGCACATGTTTCAGAGAGCACAGGGTTGGGGGTAAGGTCACAGATCAACAGGATCCCAAGGCAGAAGAATTTTTCTTAGTACCGAACAAAATGAAAAGTCTCCCATGTCTACCTCTTTCTACACAGACACGGCAACCATCCGATTTCTCAATCTTTTCCCCACCTTTCCCCCCTTTCTATTCCACAAAACCGCCATTGTCATCATGGCCCGTTCTCAATGAGCTGTTGGGTACACCTCCCAGATGGGGTGGTGGCCTGGCAGAGGGGCTCCTCACTTCCCAGTAGGGGCGGCCGGGCAGAGGCACCCCTCACCTCCCGGACGGGGCGGCTGGCCGGGTGGGGGGCTGACCCCCCCACCTCCCTCCCGGATGGGGCGGCTGGCCAGGGCGGGGGCTGACTCCCCCACCTCCCTCCCAGACGGGGCGGCTGGCCTGGCGGGGGCTGACCCCCACCTCCCTCCCAGACGGGGTGGCTGCCGGGCGGAGGCGCTCCTCACTTCTCAGACAGGGCAGCTGCCGG